>NC_000001.11:165684587-168184587 GCF_000001405.40 Homo sapiens | reverse complement strand
AGTCTTTTCAATTAGTCTGTATACAGCCTGAGGACATGGTTTAAAGGTTTATACTTATTTGTATCATCTAAGGTACTTAGTACATATTAGGCACAAAGTAAATAATTGCTGATTTGACTATCAAAGAAAAACATGTTGTCTTAATTTCAATGCTTCTCAAATAGGGTATTTATTAAGCATATCATAAGTAAACATTTTTTCTTAAAAACAGGAACATTAAGTATAGCCTACTGCCTCTTCAGTAAGGAACACTGAAAAATCGAAAACGTACATAGCTCAGCTCAGTTGTAATTCACTTTAACAAGTATTCAAGCAGTGGGGTAATTAACTTCCATTTTTATGTCTGAGAAAAACGAATTCTAGAATGATACAACTCTCAAGTTTAATAATACCAGCCCTTCATTCTAACAACACACACGTATCATTACTGAATATTTTTTCAAGTCTTTTCTCTTTTGTTTAACCTAATTACCTTTTTTGTTTAACCTAATTGACCGGATTCTCACCTGCTTTCTTGCCACTCTTCAGCACAGGCCACTTTAAGCATTCCTTGGTAGTTGTTTACACATCTTAACGCATCTGTAGCATTGAACTCAATTCCAAAGCCAGACCCATGCTGGATTCTTAAAACGTTGTCTCCAAACATCATTTCAGGGAGAGATGGCATATGTAATTCATCGGCTAATCTATACGTAACCAAAAGTCGGGTGAGATAATTTTATATCGCTGTTGGCATTTTTGTTTCTTTTCCATCCCAACAGAATTCTTCCTACTTGCTGAATGAGTTACACAGCACATGATTTAATCAATATGATATATTTGCAAGGTCTATAAAATGCTTTCATCATCCATTCTTTCATCATCATATGGCACTGTACTAAGTAGTGGGCTAAATAAGATAAATATACAAATACGTAATATAATAGCTTATTATACTACTATAATATATAGCACACAGATATTACTATAATATATATCATGAGGGTATGAAGAAAAGATAGCAAAGCAATTAAAGATACTGTCTCTTGTAGGAAAATAATTTTTCCATTAAAATTCTCAATTGTTAAAAGTTTCAAAACGTGGTGATGAAAAAAGCAAAAGCACCTGACACTGATGAGGGAACTCAGCACTTGCCTACACAGACTTTCAGAAGGATTGTGTCAATTTACATTTCACCCTGGGGCAACAATCAAGCAAAAAAAAAAAAAAATCACAGGAATTTAACATAATTTACACACTTATGACCCAAAGTATCAGTTTTAGAATACCTGTACTAAAGAATAATTCCAAGTACAGAAAAATATTATACACATTAATACTTATAATGGCTTTACTTATAATCATGAAAAAGAAATACTCTGAATGTTTCATTATAAAGCAACAAATGATTATGCAAACCAAAGTATATCCATATGATGAAATATTATGGAACCATTACAAATGTTTAAAGAGAGACTATAATAATATGAAAAAATGCTTATGATAAAATAGTAAGAAAAAAACTGGACACACATTGTATATTTATTACATCTAAACGTGTATTTCTGTGTGCACATATCAGTGATCTAACTTTGAGGTGCAGGTCTTCAGGACTGCACAATGTTAACAATGGTCTTCAGGACTAACAATGTTAACTTTCATCATAATTTTAAGTAAAATTTATTCTTTGTTATTAGGAGATAGAAAATATTAAATACTTAAAAGATTAGATACAATAAACTGTAATTGGAATATATATTCCATAAGATTCCATAAAATAAGTTTTAACTTGAATAATGCATACCAAATGTGAAATAATATGTGAGTCTGTGGATTCTAACCAATATATCTGGAAAAATGTGGCAGTCCTATAAAATATTCCACTCATATATGTAAAAGAATCACTGTTACTAATTTACAGTCCTTCAGTGTTCTAAATATAGAGTTTCTTAAACATAGGCCAAAATGCCCTCTTTTTTTTTTGAGACGGAGTCTCGCTCTGTTGCCCAGGTTGGAGTGCAATGGCACGATCTTGGCTCACTGCAACTTCCGCCTCCCAGATTCAAGCAATCCTCCTGTTTCAGCCTTCCTAGGAGCTGGGATTACAGGCACGTGCCACCATGCCCGGCTAATTTTTGTATTTTTAGTAGAAACAGGGTTTCACCATGTTGGCCAGGCTGGTCTCGAACTCCTGACCTCAGGTGATCCACCTGCCTCGGTCTCCCAAAATGCTGGGATTACAGGCGTGAGTCACCGCGCCCGGCCTGAAAATGCCCTATTTCTAACATCATCAAGCTTCCCACTTAAAAACAGGTATAACTAGTTACAAGGAGAGAAGACAGGAAGCTCCTGTGGTTTTAAGGTGCCTTAAATATTCATTAGAAGAGCTTCTTTAATCCAATATTTTACCCAACCAATTTATTTAGCACCTTAGTGGTTTTTACAATCTATGATAATGCATCACAGAAAAATTTGGGATTGGTGAGGGTAAGTCTTCCTTTTGTCATATAAAAAAAGGCATTTTTTTTTTTTTGGCGGAGGGTGGGGGACGGAGTCTTACTCTGTCATCCAGGCTGGAGCACAGTGGCACGATCTCAGCGTACTGCAACCTCTACCTCCCAAGTTCAAGTGATTCTCGTGCCTCAGCCTTCAGAGTAGCTGGGATTACAGGCCTGCACCACCACCCCCAGATAATTTTTTTTGTATTTCTAGTAGAGGCGGGGTTACACCATGTTGTCCAGGCAGGTCTTGAACTCCTGACCTCAGGTGATCCGCCTGCCTCAGCCTCCCAAAGTGCTGGGATTACAGGAGTGAGTCACCGCACCCGGCCTCAGGCAAATTTGTTTTTAAAATAATACATAAGGAGATCGTAGATATGGAATTTTATTCCCTTAAAACTCTCCATGTATACAGCCATCGCTTAGAGAATCTGTAAGTAAATTACATGGGGGCCCCAGTTTGAAGCTGACTGCTTTATATATAATATAATTATATATTGTATTATGTTGGTGCAAAAGTAATTGCGGTTTTGCAATTAAAAACCGCAATTACTTTTGCACCAATCGGCAATTTGTCACAGAAAGTTATATGGAGAGGAGGCCGGGTGCGGTGGCTTATGCCTGTAATCCCAGCACTTTGGGAGGCCGAGGGCAGGTGGATCATCTGAGGTCAGGAGCTCAAGACCAGCCTGACCAACATGGTGAAACCCCATCTCTACTAAAAATACAAAATTAGCTGGGCGTGGTGATGCATGCCTGTAATCCCAGCTACTTGGGAGGCTGGGCAGGAGAATCGCTTGAACCCAGGAGGTGGAGGTTACAGTGAGCCGAGATGGCGCCATTGCACTCCAGCCTGGGCAACAAGTGAAACTCCATCTCAAAATAAAAATAGAAAGAAAGAATAAGAAAAAAAGAAAAGAAAAGAAAATTAAAAATAAATAAATAAATAAAAATACAAAAATTAGCCAGGCGTGGTGGCACGCGCCTGTAGTCTCAGCTACCAGGGAGTCTAAGGCAGGAGAATCACTTGAACCTGGAAGGCGGAGGCTGCAGTGAGCTGAGACTGTGCCACTGCACTCCAGCCTGGGCGACAGAGTGAGTCTCTGTCTCAAAAAAACAAAATAAAAAATAAATAAAAGTTATACAAGGCTGGGCGCAGTGGCTCATGCCTGTAATCCCGGCACTTTGGGGGGCCAAGGCGGACAGATCACCTGAGGTCAGGAGTTCGAGACCAGCCTGAGCAAAATGCAGAAACTCCGTCTCTACTAAAAATACAAAAAAAAAAAAAAAGTTATAAAAAAAAAAGAAAAGAAAGATATAGAGAGGAAAAACTCAAAAAAGTAATTCAATTTCTGGTGGGATGAAGGGAAATTTTTTTCCTTTCTTTTCTGTATTTTCCTAATTTTTTTCAGTGAGTCTACTAGAATATTACCACTTATTTTCTTGAATTAGGAAGCAAACATCGTTTCATTACTTTCCTCTCTTCCCTGGTCACTCCCTCTGCTCAAATCTTAAAATGCAAGTACTCACTTAGGGTTCTATTTTATGACCTTTTCCTCTGGATGACTTCTAGATACCTTAATTCATTCCCAAAGCTCCAGGTACCAAATATAAGCAGATAATTCCCAAACTTAAACCCACAGACGTTATCTTTTTTGAGCTCCAAGATAAATATATCTAAATGCCTACTACACATCTTCACTTTATGACCTATACCCACCTCACATTTCAATAAACTAAACTCATCCTCTAACCAACACCCTGCCCCCATCTGCTTCTCCTCCTCCTGTGCTTCTCATCTTGTTCAAAGGCATACGATACATGCAAAAATCCAAGCCAGAGATCTTGTCATCAGCATAGACTCTTCCTTTTTTATTTCTCCTCCCATCAGCTGGCCATCCCAGGGACTTAATCTTCTAAAACCTATCTTTTCTCTTACTAACTGGTCTCCTTCCCATCCCTGCGGACCTGCAATCCAGCCTCAACATGGCCTCCAGAGAAATCTTTCAGAGCGTACATCTGATAATGCAGCTCCTTTGGATAAAATTACACCCAGTGGTTGTCAGATAAAATTGAAAACTCCTTAGCCAGGCATAAAAATTCCCTCAGTATCTTGATTCCCCTGGGGCCTACCTCTCATCTCTCACAACACCCCCTATGGTACCTCACGCTCCAATCACACGGACACAGCTCTTTAAACACATCACAGCTTTCACTCTCCCTGAGCCCCCAGCTTTACATGCGTCCCCTGATTCCCCTAAATTTTGTCAAGATTCAGCCCAGGCATCAAAAACGCATCACAACTCACTCTGCCTGACCTGATGGCATGTACCTATCCACCGCCCCCCGCAACGGTTTTATAAAGATTCAGTTCAGGCATCCCAATTTCCCAGATGGTTCGAGCCCCTAAAAGACCTCACATCACTCCGTGTATACATCTTCATTACATTTATTCACGCTGTAATATAATTGTCTGTCTCTCTCACGAGACTGTGAATTGAGGCGCACGTTGTCTTTTACATTTCCTATCTCAAGCGCCGGGCACAGCACCTGACGTGACAGAAACCAAACTTATAAATCATCCCCGTCATTAACCCCTAAGAAAACAGGCAACAGCCACCCAGAAAGAAAGGTGGTGCAGGCTGAGGCAGGAGGAGACGTTTGGTGAGGGGAAAGTCCACCAGAACAGTCACACTCTACTCAAACCCAGGCGGATTGACAGTTGACGAAAGCAGCGCCTGGCGATCCCCAACCAAAGGGCCCGGAAGTGTGACTGGATTATTTATCGAAGTTGTCAATCAAAGGTCCGGTCCGGAGGGACCGAACCTCCGCCTCAGGGAAAAGGGGAGGGGCTGCACAGAGTTCGCCCTGCCTCCCGCCCTGGGCCAGCAACCGGCCAGCGCCCAGACCCCGTGCCCCGAAGCCTCACTTCTCCACATCCGCCGACTTCATGATGTGGGTCTTGGACGCCGTCAGCTTCCAGGGCCCGAAGCAGAAATCCCGGTGGCTGCTCTGGAAGCCGTGGATCATCATGGCTGAGGCAGGACCCGCAGAGGCCACAAGGAATAAGCTGAAGCAGCGGCGGCGGCGAACACCGGTTCCTCCGCCTCCCTCCGGCCCAGCCTCCTAGGCTTCCGAGCCGTTACCATGCCCGGCCCCGCCCCCTGCCGGCCGACCCGGACGCGGGCTCTGCTTCCCGTCTTCTTCTCCGCCTCTTTGCTTTTTGCTTCCGGGACTAGTTGCTCTTGTTGCGTGACCCACGTCTTACGTTCCGGCGTTCCGGAAAAAAGGAAAAAGGAGAAAGTCAGAGGGGCGGCACTTGGGTTGCAGAAGGTGTGGTTAGGAACGCACCGCCCTCTTGAACTCGTTGGGTGACGTCATCTCGAAGGATTTTAGGGACTGCCAGGGAAGGGGATGACGGTTCCAACTTGATCCTTACAGACCTCAAAGCAGTGTGATTACCTCATGTGTTAGTGAATCGTGTTACAGAGGAAATTTTTCTGTTTTGAGGTCAAAAAAAGAAGTAATCCCACAGAGTTTAGGAAATCCAGCACCAACAAGATTTAGAAGTGGCCATCTAGCCACTCTTGACTATGACCAACTCCTATCAAAAATTGCATCCTCGTAGATATGCGAAGACTTTCCATGGTCTAGTTGCTATGTAGGCACCCAGTATAGTGAAAACAACACAGCTGACTTAGTGCTAAATCTCCATTTGCAACACTATTGTGTGAATCCTTGGGCAAAGCGCTTCTCTAACGATTTTAGGCTTCAGTTGCCTCAAAATGAGATGATTTTGTTAATGGAAAAAAAACAAATTCTGTAAAAGGTTTTAAAGAGATTTATTCTGAACCAATATGAGTGACCATGGCCCAGGGAATAGTCCCAAGAGGTCCTAACAAAGAGCATCTGAAGCGGTGGCATTACTCTTTGTTTTATACATTTTAGGGAGTTGGGAATTGCAGGTAAAATAAGTCAATATATGGAAGATATACATTGGTTCAGGCTAAGGAAGTGGGATGTCTTGAAGGAGAGGCTTACAGATCATAGGTGGATTCAAAGATTTTCTGATCGGCAATCTGTTGAAAGATTTAAGCTTTAGTCAGGCGAGGTGGCTCCTGCCTATAATCCCAGCATCTTGGGAGGCCTAGGTGAGAGGATTGCTTGAGTCCAGGAATTTGAGACCAGCGTGGGCACCAGAGTAAGCCCTCATCTCTACAAACCGTGTTAATTAGCTGTGTATGATGGTATCTGCCTGTAGTCCCAGGCCACTTGAGAGGCTGTGGTGGGAGGATCTCTTGAGCCTCAGAGGCTGCATTGAGCCATGATCATGCCACAGCACTCATGCCTGGGTGAGCGAGACCCTGTCTCAAAAACAAATAAAAACACAGGCCAGGTGCAGTGGCTCAAGACTGTAATCCCAGCACTTTGGGAGGCCAAGGTGGGTGGACCACCTGAGGTCGGGAGTTCAAGACCAGCCTGGCCAATATTGTGAAAACCTGTGTCTACTAAAAATACAAAACTTAGCCAAGCACGGTGGTGGATGCCTGTAACCCCAGCTACTAGGGAGGCTGAGGTGGGAGAATCACTTGAACCTGAGAGGCAGAGGTTGCAGTGAGCCGAGATCGTGCCACTGCACTCCAGCCTGGGTGACAGAGTAAGACCTTGTCTCAAAAACAAACAAACAAACAAACAAAAAACAGTGTTAAGCTTTGTCTAAAGACTTGAAGTCAGTAGAAAGGAATGCTTAAGAAAAGGGAGTCTGCTATCTGTCATGTGATTCTACACCAGTCAGGTTGGAAAGTAAGGCACATTATACCATTGCACATAAAAAACCATTTAACGACATTTTATGGTTTGTAGGGCATGACTTAATCCTTGCCTTGCATGGCCATAGTTTTTTTGTTTTGTTTTGTTTTGTTTTGTTTTGAGACAGAGTCTTGCTCTGTCGCCCAGGCTGGAGTGCAGAGGCCCCATCTCGGTTCACTGCAACTTCCACCTCCTAGGTTCAAGCGATTCTCCTGCCTCAGCCTCCCAAGTAGCTGGGATTTCAGGCATGCAACACCATGCCCGGCTAATGTTTGTATTTTTAGTAGAGACGGGGTTTCATCATGTTGGTCAGGCTGGTCTTGAACTCCTGACCTCATGATCCACCTGCCTCGGCCTCCCAAAGTGCTGGGATTACAGGCGTGAGCCACCGCGCCTGGCTCGCAGGTCTTGTTTATTTGTATTTATTTTTTTTTTTGAGACGGAGTCTCGCTCTGTCACCCAGGCTGGAGTGTAGTGACGTGATCTCAGCTCACTGCAACCTCCACCTCCCCAGTTCAAGCGATTCTTCTGCCTCAGCCTCCCAAGTAGCTGGGACTACAGGCACGCGCCATCTCGGCCAGCTAATTTTTGTATTTTTAGTAGAGATGGGGTTTCACCATATTGGCCAAGCTGGTCTCGAGCTCCTGACCTCGTGATCCGCCTGCCTCAGCCTCCCAAAGTGCTGGGATTACAGGCGTGAGCCACTGCGCCCAGCCTAGGTCTTGTTTATAATATGGTATCTTATTGCCACAGAGTGTTTTGTCAGTCTTATGATCTCTAGTTTAACCTTAATGTTGGTCAGTTGTGCCTAAACTTTAAAAGGGAGAAGGTATAGAGGTGTGTCTAACCTCTCTTCCCATCTTGGCCTGGAATTCAGTTTTTAAGGTTTTTCTGAGGTTCCTTTGGCCAAGATTAGGTTTTGTTTTCTATCTAAAATTTCTTTTTATTTAAAAATTTTTTTATTTTTAATTTTTATGGTACATAATAGACATATTTATGGGGTATATGAGATATTTTGATAGAGGCATGCAATGTGTAACAATCACATCAGGGCAAATGGGATATCCATCACCTTAGACATTTATTATATTTTTGTGTTGCAAACATTCCAGTTATAATCTTTTAGTAATTTTTTTTTTTTGAGATGGAGTCTCGCTCTGTTACCCAGGCTGGAGTGCAATGGTGCGATCTCAGCTCACTGCAACCTCTGCCTCCTGGGTTCAAGCGATTCTCCTGCCTCAGCCTCCTGAGTAGCTGGGATTACAGGCACGCACCACCATGGCCGGCTAACTTTTGTATTTTTAGTAGAGACAGGGTTTCACCATGTTGGTCAGGCTGGTATCGAACTCCTGACCTTGTGATCCACCCGCCTCGGCCTCCCAGAGTGCTGGGATTACATGTGTACAATAAGTTATTGTTGCCTGTAGTCACCCTATTGTGCTATCAAATACTAGATTTTATTCATTCTGTCTAACTATATTTTTGTACCCATTAACCATTTCTGCCCCTCTCCACTACCCTTCCTAGCCTCTGGTAACCATCATTTTACTCTCTATCTCCATGAGTTCAATTGTTTTAATTTTTAGCTCCCATAAATGAGAGAGAACATGAAAAGTTTGTTTTTCTGTGCCTGGCTTATTTCACTTAACATAGTGTCCTCCAGTTCCATCCATGTTGTTGCAAATGACAGGATCTCATTCTTTTTTGTGGCCAAATAGTCCTTCATTGCATGTATGTACCACATTTTCTTTCTTTTTTTTTTTTTTTTTTGAGACAGAGTCTAGCTCTGTCGCCCAGGCTGGAGTGGTGCAGTGGCGCAATCTCAGCTCACTGCAACCTCCGCCTCCTGGGTTCAAGCGATTCTCCTGCCTCAGCCTCCCGAGTAGCTGGGATTACAGGTTCATGCCACCATGCCCAGCTAATTTTTGTATTTTTAGTAGAGACGGGGTTTCACCATCTTGGCCAGGCTGGTCTCAAGCTCCTGACCTCGTGATCCACCTGCCTCGGCCTCCCAAAGTACTGGGATTACAGGCGTGAGCCACCACGCCCAGCCTGCACTACATTTTCTTTATCCATTCGTCTGTTAGTGTACACTCCAGTTGCTTCCAAATCTTGGCTATTGTGAATAGTGCTGCAGCAAACACGGGAGTGCAGGTATCTCTTCAATATACTGATTTCCTTTCTTTTGAGTATATTCCTAGCAGTAGGACTGCTGGATCATAGGGTACTTCTATTTTTAGGTTTTTTGGGTTTTGTTTTGTTTTTTTTTTAACAGACAGGGTCTAGCTCTATTGCCCAGGCTGAAGTGCAGAGGCATGGTCATAGCTCTCTGCAGCCTTGACTCCCTTGGCTCCCGCAATCCTCCCACTTCAGCTTCCCTAGTAGCTGGGACTACAGGCACCACTGTACCCAGCTAATTTTATTATTATTATTATTTGTTGTAGAGATGAGATCTCGCTATGTTGCCCAGGCTGGTCTCGAACTCCTGGGCTCCAGTGATCCTCCTGCCTCAGCCTCCCAAAGTGATGGGGTTACAGACATGATTTACCACACCCAGCCCATTTTTAGTTTTTTAAGGAATCTCCATACTGTTCTCCATAGTAAATGTACTAATTTATCATCTAAAATTTCAGCTGCTTCTAGATAGGGTAACAGACCACTAATTCACATAATCAGTCATTTGCATCTTACCCTAAGTCATGTTATAATATAATTTTCTATGAACTGGCCTTGATAGAGAAGTACCATGCCACCGTTTCCAGAACTGAGGACTCACTGCTTTCCTACCTACCTTCCCAGAACATTTGTCTCTTTTCAAAATTTTTCCAGACAATATATTATGAACACATCCTCTAATAGGCATATTTTTATTTAAATATAAAATCTAACAAACCAGTTTATGACCTCCAGTCCAACAATTTATTACAGGACTCTAAGACTGTAATTCTTTGATGATACAAGGAAGTAAATCTCTAGAGGTACAATTTCAAGCACACACACATTAGAGATATTTGGGTATTGGTGGGTATTTTCAGAGCACATGCAAGTACCATCATGCATCAACTATCTGTTCTATAAAAGTGATTGTTGGGATGGAATAACATCTGGGACTTGATGGAGGGAAGGAATTCATTTTCAGCCAAATTGGGAAAAGGATGTTAGAGCCACCATATTCAACCATCTACTATTCAAGTTGGTCAAGATTCAGTGCTGAGAACAACCAACTAACCAGTCGGTTATTAATGAGTTATTATAAAAAATTTATGTGTTCAACAAACATTTTTTGGCAACTACTATGGTGCTAGAAACTGTTTCAGGTACAGTTTATAAGGACACAGGAATGAATAAAAAAGGTAAGATCCCTTTCATCTTGGAAGATGCACTGTAATATAGAAGATAGGTAATAAGTAAACAAAACTTATGATTTCAGATATTGATAGATTTTGTGCAGAACATTCACAAATTAAGTGGAGAGGGCAAGAATATGGGGAGTGGGGAACAGACTGGTAAAGACAGAGTGATCAAAAGAGCCCTTTCTATCCCAGCACTTTGGGAGGCAGAGGCGGGTGGATCACGAGGTCAGGAGTTCGAGACCAGCCTGGCCAATGTGGTGAAACCCCGTCTTTACTAAAAACACAAAAATTAGCCGGGTGTGGTGACGTACACCTGTAGTCCCACCTACTCGGGAGGCTGAGGCAAGAGAATGGCATGAACCCGGGAGGCGGTGCTTGCAGTGATTGGAGATCGCGCCACTGCACTCCAGCCTGGGTGATAGAGCAAGACTCCGTCTCAAAAAAAAAAAAAAAAAAAAAAAAGAGCCCTTTCTTTGGAGTTTGAGCCCTTTCTTTGGAGTTTACACTCCAGTAGAGATCTGCTGGTAAGAAGGAAAATCCACAAGAAAATCTGGAGGAAGAACATTCCAGGCAGAGGTAGCATCAGGTCCAGTGGAGGCAATGGGTTTGTCCCATTTCAGGAAGAGCAAGAAGGCCAGTGTGGCTGGAGTGGAAGGAACTGAGAAGAGTTC
The DNA here is from genome assembly GCF_000001405.40 of Homo sapiens. Classification (NCBI taxonomy): domain Eukaryota; kingdom Metazoa; phylum Chordata; class Mammalia; order Primates; family Hominidae; genus Homo; species Homo sapiens. Next base: position 168,173,277 of record NC_000001.11, on the reverse strand, counting down.
AGAGCAACAGGCAAAGAGTTGATCACGTACATATTGTAAGCCATACCATATCCTTTCTAAGCAATCTTATTAAATGAATGCACAATTTTTAAAAATGTCATTAAGCAGAAGCTTACCACCTCTAAACAGCTTGTGTCATTTGTGAAGCTCTAATGATAAGAATGTTCTCCCTTAAGTTAAGCTAAAATGTACTTCCTTGTTACTTATATTCTTTGGGCCTGGCTTTTCCCTCTGGAGCACCATGGAAAAATCATATTCCCCCTTCCATGTGACATTTTTATTTTAAAAGTAAATAAATGCAAAGAATACCATGACATCTGGGCAATAAAATGGTGTGTATACATGGACATGGTATAGAGTGGAAGGAGTAATTAATTCTTCTGTGGAGAACAGGAGCGACTCCCAAAGGAACTGATCCCAGAACAAGGTTTTAAAGTAAAAATAAGATTTCACCAGAAGGAGACAGTCTACTTCAAGGACAAGGAACAGAAGATGCATAGGGATGAAAGCATGGAACAGCATGTATGAGTATGAGAAGTGGTAGGTGTGGGGCACAAAGAGAGCTTGCACCCCCTTGCAAGTTAGCTACCTCAGATGAGGTCATCCAAGTGTCTTCACATCAGAAATGACTTCATCAGAGAGAGAAGGAGCTGGGGATTACAGGATCAAGGTACTTGAAGTCCTCCCAAATCTTACTACTCCAACTATAAATTTCCCACTCTTGGCCAAATAAATGTCCTAAATTCACACAAGAAATCCACAAGCATGCGAACCTACGATGAAATGCAGCAAACTGTAGGACCACAACTGCAGCTCATTTTCTGCTATGTCAGCCATATGGCTATAAGAGGCCAGAGATATTTATAATCATCAAAGAGACTCCCTAGTTTTCTGGCTTAACATGCACTAAGCCAAATATTTAAGTTATATATTCTATTTCATTTTGTTTAGTGGTCCCCCTCCTTTTTTTTTTTTTTTTTTTTTAAAGAGTCAGGGTCTCACTCTGTCACCCAGGCTGGAATGCACTGGCACAGTCATGGCTCACTGCATCCTTGAACTCCTGGGCTCAAGCGATCCTCCTGTCTTAGCATTCTGAGTAGCTGGGACTACAGGCTCACGCCACGATGCTTGGCTAATTTTTTTAAAAAGTTTGTAGAAATGGGGTCTTGCCATGTTGTCCAGGCTGATCTCCAAACTGGCCTCAAAGGATCCTCCTGCCTTGGCCTCTTGAGTCACTGGAATTACAAGCATAAGCCACCCTGCCCAGCCCTGCCCTGAAATTTTTAACATGCATACTTAACAAAGTCTGTTAATCTGTGTTACTATCCTCCTGTCAAACAACATAAGGATCTTAGAGTGTTTTAATTCTGAACACCAATCTCACTTTCTGTTATTTTCCTCCCAGGTCTTAAAAAATCCACTCGATGACTCCCTGTTTTTAATCAGCTGTCTAAATGAAATTTTAAAAAATTCCTCAAAAGGAATTGTGCGCATCTCAAAACAAAACAGAGGAGGCAGCAGTTAGGAACCCTTGTTCTGTTCTGAAGTAGGCCACAAAGAAGAAAACTTCCTAAGAACAGTGGACGGGCTGGGTGCAGTGGCTCACACCTGTAATCCCAGCACTTTGGGAGGCCGAGGCAGGTGGATCACGAAGTCAAGGGTTCGAGACCAGCCTGGCCAACATGGTGAAACCCCCCCCCCCCCCAACTAAGAATATGAAAATTGGGCAGGCAGGGTGGCGCGTGCCTGTAATCCCAGCTATTCTGGAGGCTGAGGCAGGAGAATTGCTTGAACCAGGAAGCAGAGGTTGCAGTGAGCCGAGATCGTGCCACTGCACTCTCCAGCCTGGGTGACAGGGCAAGACTCCATCTCGGGGGAAAAAAAAAAAAAAAAAAGAACAGTGGACGGAAGCAGCAGATGTGTGAGATAATTAGTGGAGACCTGGGAACAGGGAGCAGCTCACAGGAAGTTAGCCTGGGGCCTAAAACAGTCTCCAGGATTTATAGGCCTGAAGAAGGCCTCAGGATCCCTCAGTTTAGTGATGATGAAACTCCTAAACACAAAAACACATTCCCTAAGGGTGTAGTACCTTAGTTGAGTTACTTTTGGTTGAAAGTAAGAGAAACTCTCTGCAAACTAGCTTTAGCAAAGCAGCCTATTCTTAAAAGAAGAGAATGATTTCAGGATTTGGAGTTACCTCTTGCTATGTGAGGAGAAAGCGAATAATCAGGCCTCAAGAGCAAAGGACTGAGGAACTGAAAAACCTGGGGTGCTGGTCAGCTGAACACAGTCTCTCTAACTCTCTCACGGCTCCTCATCTCTCTCTTTTGTTCTCTTCTTCAGTTTAGCTCTCTGCTTCCTTCTCTCTTTTTGCAGACCAGCTCTGTCAGCTTCTCTTTGTGTGTGCTTCCTGCACCCATCCAAAACACAGTTTCCTAATAGACATCTTGATAGCCATTTCTTGGTTCGCCTTTCACATTCTCAAAAGAGAGAATCTGATTGGCTCAGCTTGAGTCAGGTGTCTATCATGGCCCAATCAACCATGACTAGATTTGGTCATGCTGGTATAAGCCCATGGGGTTTTGGGGACAGTGGTTCTCAGAGGCATATGCTCCCACATCCTCAATGTCTATAACTGGCCTTTGTGCTAATTAGGGGAGAAATAAGAGGAGTTTTAATGTGGGACTGCTAGTACAGGCAAGCCCAGTGGATGGGGATAGGGCTGGCAGACAAAGGTAATAGAGTGGAATATGAAAAGAGGAAGGAGTGGCTGAGTGTGGTGGCTCACACCTGTAATCCTAGAACTTTGGGAGGCCAAGGCAGGTGGATCACCTGAGGTCAGGGGTTCGAGACCAGCCTAGCCAACATGGCAAAACCCCTATCTCTACTAAAAATACAAAAATTAGCCGGGTGTGGTGGCACATGCCTGTAATCCCAGCTACTTGGGAGGCTGAGTCAGGAGAATCGCTTGAACCCAGGAGGTGGAGGTTGCAGTGAGCCGAGATTGCACCACTGCACTCCAGCCTGGGCGACAGAGTGAGACTCCATCTCAAAAAAAGAAAAAAGAAAAGAGGAAGGAGAAATGGAAAAAGTTATAAAATTCAACCTGTATTTATTTTACAGTTTTTGTAGTCAAAAGCAGACCTAATGTCCACCCAGCACCCTGGCAAGGTTTGAGGACCCACAAAAGCATGGGTAAAGAGGTAAAGCAAATATTAGGGTATTTCTGGGTAAGGTGAAACTGTAGTCAAAAGTCAAAGATAAAATTACTATATGTAGGCTTACCAAATATGCAAAATAGGAATATCTACTTATAAGTCAGGCTTCTAGGTCTTTCATATCTGCAGTCATAATCCGATATACACTAATTTTGGATTATGAGAAATTAGGAGAATTAACACTTCTACTTTATCTTCTAAACCATTTCTTTGAATTGACAAGGAAAGTGAATTTTCAGCTGTCTGGAGAGCGGATCAGCACCCACCATGTGGCCATTGTCATAGTGGTCCCCAGCTTATGCTGTAATTAGTTCTCTCAGAGCACTCAGCTGGGTTATAGTGGATCATCTTGGAAATCAATAGAATTGTTTCTATTGATTTTTGTCTTTGATGTTATTTTTTGGCAAAGTTTTCATTACATAAACATTTTAATGCTCTGTCATATATATATGTATATATATGTATATATATATACATATATATATATATATATATATATAATACATGTACACATTGTCAGGATAGATTTAAGTGTATGGCATGCAAAGTGGCAAAAAGAGCTGATGGGGCCAGTCGCAGTGGCTCATGCCTGTAATCCCAGCACTTTGGGAGGCCAATGTGGGCAGATCACCTGAGGTCAGGAGTTCAAGACCAGCCTGGCCAACATGGCAAAACCCCGTTTCAACTAAAAATACAAAAAAAAAAAAAAAATTAGCCGGGTGTGGTGGTGCATGCCTATAGTCCCAGCTACTTCGGAGGCTGAGGCACAAATATCGCTTGAACCCTGGAGGCAGAGGTTGCAGGGAGCCGGGATTGCGCCACTGCACTCCAGCCTGGGCAACAGAGCGAGACTCTGTCTCATACAAAAATTAAAAAAAAAACCCAGCTAATGGAACATGAGTAAATAGGTTTATTTGAGAATCATTTATAAAGGGAAACAGCTGCACTATATCATGTTACCATAATTAGTGTTAACTATTGAAGTAACTGTGTCCACTTTATAGAAAACTGGTGTTGTTGGTGGCAGGTGCCTGTAGTCCCAGCTACTGGGGAGACTGAGGCAGGAGAATGGCGTGAACCCAGGAGGCGGAGAGCTTGTAGTGTGAGCTGAGATCGCGCCACTGCGCTCCAGCCTGGGCGACAGAGCAAGACTCTGTCTCAAACAAACAAAAAAAGAAAACTGGTGTTGTTTTAGTGTAAATGGGCATTCATTCGGGTACTCAGGAAAATATAAACATATAAAAGAGCTTGATTCAAATGTTACTTTTAAGGTTGTGAGAAAATCACTAGATAATTTCTTGTAAGACATTAGACCAGGGGTGTCCAATCTTTTGACTTCCCTGGGCCACATTAGAAGAAGAATTGTCTTGGGCCACACATAAAATACACTAATGATAGCTGATGAGCAAAAAAAAAAAAAAAAATCTGTGCATAAGTCTCATAATGTAATGTTTTAAGAAAGTTTATGAATTTGTGTTGGGCTGCATTCAGAGCCATCCTGGCTCATCCACATGTGGCCTGAGTGCCATGGGTTGGACAAGCTTGCATTAGACATTTAAAAATGTCTTTCATAGCAATAAACTTTAGTACAGGATAGATTTTTGTATGTGTGTACTTTAATTGAGGTTACCAAAATGCCAAGCTATAAAACTTTAGGAGATGAGCAAAATATCACTACGGGAATTATTTCATCCTAATTTCTGAAGATAGAAATGAAGCAGGTGAACCAGAAATTTCTAAGATAGCTACCAGGGAAACAAAGAATAAAACAAAACCAAGCAGAACTATAATAGGAATTCATGCTCTTTCTGTCCAGCAATGTTGTATGGTCAAAATATTTTTCTTTCTTTTCCCTGCTTATTTTGGGAAGGAGAAAAAGGGTAAAAGAAACTGAAGCAGTTTACATGCAAGGAATTTGAATGGGCAAACACAGTCTTTCTGAAATCATAAGCTTAAGTTCAACCCCTGGTGATAGGAACGAGCTGGTAGAGGGAGGATAAAGGAAGATGAGGGCTGAGATCTAAGTGGATTCCCAAGTGGTGTCAGGCCTCTCTCCTGGTGAGCAAAAGCAGGAGGCTGTTATTGCCGAAGTTAGCTGTGGGCCTGGAAGCAGAGGCCTATCACTGCAGTGTGAGTTCCATGACTGATAGGGAAAGGAATGGAAGGGAAAGAAGGGGAAGGAAAGGTCCCAAGGAAAAGGTCCCAATGGGGTATTGCTATCATGGGATGAGATCAATCAGAGCAAGCTGAGCAGAGAAGAAAAAATTAGGCTTTGGCAAGTGGATTCTTCACTTGAAATGGGAAAAGTTGGCTGTGGCTCACTCCTGTAATCCCAGCAATTTGGGAGGTGGAGGCGGACCGATCACTTGAGGTTAGGAGTTTGAGACCAGCCTGGCCAACATGGTAAAACCCCATCTCTACTAAAAATACAAAAGTTAGCTAGGCACGGTGGTGTGCGCCTGTAATCCCAGCTACTTGGGAGGCCAAGACAGGAGAAAATCCAAGCTACTTGGGAGGCTGAGACAGGAGAATCACTTGAACCTGGCAGGCAGAGGTTGCAGTGAGCTGAGATTGCATCATTGCACTCCAGCCTGGGTGACAGAGTGAGACTCCGTCTCAAAAAAGAAAAAAAAAAAAAAGAAATGGGAAAAGTCTAAACAGGTGTGATGGTTAATACTGAGTATCAACTTGATTGGATTGAAGGATGCAAAGTATTGCCCTGGGTGTGTCTGTGAGGGTGTTGCTAAGGGAGATTAACATTTGAGTCAGTGGGCTGGGAAAGGCAAACCCACCCTTAATCTGGGTGGGCAGAATATAAAGCGGGCAGAAAAACGTGGAAAGACTACACCGGCCTAGCCTCCCAGCCTACATCTTTCTCCCATGCTGGATGCTTCCTGCCCTCAAACATCAGATTCCAAGTTCCTCAGTTTTGGGACTCAGACTGGCTCTCCTTGCTTCTCAGCTTGCAGATGGCCTATTGTGGGACCTTGTGATCATGTGAGTTAATACCTAATAAACTCCTATATATATATCTATATATATATATATATATCTCTCTAGAGATATATATAGATATATATATATCCCAGCATATATATTCATATATATCTATATATCCCAGCATATATATATATCCCACACACACACATATATGTGTGTGTGTGTGTGTGTGTGTGTGTGTATATATCCTATTAGTTCTGTCCCTCTAGAGAACCATGACTAATACAATAGGGGAGGGATTTAAGTGGCTAAGCACCAGGGATATGGAGTTAGGCTGCCTAGGTTCAAATCTTGGCTCTCCATTTGCTCATTGTGATGTGACCTCTGCCAAGCCTCACTTTTTTCATTTTTCTCATTATTATTTCTAGTAATAGCATACCTCATAGTATTGTTAGGAAGATTAAATGAGATATACACAAGTCCCTAACATAGTGCCTCTCAAAGGTGCTCACTCAATACACTATCCATTAGTATTATAGAGTAGCAGCAGTGGCCTTGTGCATTCACAGTGACGCTGTTTCTCAAAGTGTGGTGCTGGAGCTGCACGTACGTTAGAATCATCTGGAATGTTTGACAAAAATCAGATTCCTGTTGCTCCACCCAGAACTGCTGATTCAGAGTCTGTAAGCATGGGATCTAATTCAAGTGGTGGTCTTTGTTTTTAACAAGGTCCTCAGACTAATCTTATATACACTCAACTTGGAGACTCTGTGGACGAAGGCAATCACAGTAGCTACTTACAAGCCGGTACATTCACCAGAGAGAGAGAGCAGAATACACTTGGGTGAAATAGGATGTCCCTACAAGTTGGTAGGCACAGTGCTTTTCTTCTGTTAGCTGTGTGTGTGTGTGCATGCACACATAAACACACATGCACTCTGAGGAGAGAAGAGCTGGAAACTGGTAATAGTCATAATGATAATGATAACTATGATTTATTGGATACCTATTCTGTGCCAGACACCACAATAAGTGTTTTACAATTTGAGTTTAATTCTTAATATGAATAAAATTTAACTCATTCTTTTACATAAAAACATGTTATGATTTCAGATTCAGCTAACCGTATGCAGGTGAGACACCTGGATGTTACCACCATGAGAACATGACCCAGGAATCCTGCCAGTCTAGTAGCAGTTTACCCTAATTATAGCAAAGTGGGTTCAAATAATTAAAATAGCTCCTGAGGATGTCTTGCTAGGATGTTGGATGGATGGATTCTCTGCTGGACATTGAAGTCATCCATGATGATGGCAGGAAGGAAGGCAATGGTATGCCAGATACCAAAGCATTCAGTCAGGCTGAAGACAACAGTAAGGAGGAAACAGGCAGAGTGGTGGAGTTGGGTGTTATAGGCCTCAAGTGGTGGGGGGTTATACATGGAGGCAGAAAAGCAGTGGTCCTGAAGCATCACTGTGGAGTGAGGATACCGAAACCCACTACCATCTTGGAGGTATTTGGATGAGAAAGAATAAGCTGTCTAGCTCAGGAGGGCTGTAGGGAAGCAGTCCTCAGAGGAGAGTCAGATTTCCTTAAGGTAGGAGTTTGAAAGGGCAATCTGGCAACTTAAGAATTTCTCTAATAGTTTGTTTTTCACAGGATAAGGATACTGGAGGGTCCAGCAGATATTTGGAAGGAAGGAAAATGAGGAATTTGGGAAGAGCAAAACAAAACACAGAACAGGACCTAGATGGCAGGAATGATGAATGACATGGGGGAGTAGAGGCCTGGTGGGATTTTAGGCACCAAGTTTTCAAGCAGTGTTCGGGCATAACACTGCCTCATTGGAGTTGCCCAGGTAGAGTGGAAGGCGCCATGACACCAGCAGCTAATGGCTTTCTCTGTAGGTACAATGGGCCTGGGAGCATGACCTAGGTGGCTGGAGCTTACTCTATAGTTGCTGCAGCCCTACAGTGCAGGCAGAGGCCCCTTGAGAGTAGAGAACTCAACAGTGAACATTGAAACTACTGTAGAAACAGGCCCAGGGGGACGGAGGCTTTGTCAATAAGCATTACATTCCTGATATTAGTAAGTGGCACCTCTAACCCATGCCATCAGTCACCCAGTCTAGGATCCAGCGGGGGAGGGGGCACTGGTCAAGTCATCATACTCATCTGTCGATTCATCTGCTTAATAACTCTGGAATCTGTCCACCTCCCTTCATCCTATCATAACTGTGCTTCAGAGGCTCACAACTTCTCTCTGGGGTTACTACAGCAGCCTCCCAACTGTTCTCCCTATTCTCCCCTCCTCTAGTCCTTCCTCCACCCTGCAACCAGAGTGATTGTTCTGAAATACACCTGTGAGTATGTTGTGTATGTGGTTTTTTTTTTTTATTTTTGTGGGGGGCAGGGCTTTACAACCACTTTTTTTTTTTTTTTTGCTACTCTTAAGGTAAAGCTACTCTTAAGGTAAAGTAGCTGGGCATGGTGTTGCATGCCTGTAGTCCCAGCTACTTGGGAAGCTTAGGCAGGAGGATCACTTGAGCCCAAGAGTTGAAGGATGCAGTGAGCTATGATTGCAACACTGAACTGCAGCTTAGGCAACAGATTGAGACCCTGTCTCAAAAAAAAAAAAAAAAAAAAAAGATGAAGTAGATTCGTAAATATGGTCCCAAAGATCTGATGTTCTGGACTCTGCTTACTGCTCCAGACTCAACTGACAGTCCTTACCTCTGAGCTCCCATCATAGTGTGCTGTCTCTATTTTCTCAATACAATGCTATGATCTATTCTCTCTCTCTTCTCTCCTCTCCTTCCCTGTGCCCCATTATCTCAGTACTTGTTAGGTAACTAGCAAGATCACCTAATAAACTAATTTAAATAGGTGTGCTAGTGATTTGCATGCCACTCCAGTTTAATCATTAATGTATATTTTAACAGGGCTCTTCAATGCCTTCTTGCAAGGGTCAAGTATTTTTTTTTAAAAGTTGAGACCTTTGACTAGATTTCTTTATTTACTCAAAAGCATTTATTGAGAGTCAACTATAATACAGGCTCTGATTAATCAAAGATAAGGTAAGGTGCTTACTCTTTTTTTTTTTTTTTTTTGAGACAGGGTCTCACTCTATCACCTAGGCTGAAGTACAGTGGCACAATCACAGCTCACTGCAGCCTCGACCTCTTTGAGCTCAAGCAATCCTTCCACTTCTGCTTCCTGAGTAGCTGTGACTACAGGCACGTGCCGCTATGCTCTGCTAACTCTTTTTTTTTGAGATGGGACTTCACTGTTTTGGCACAGGCTAATCTCAAACTCCTGGGCACAAGCAATACTCCTGCCTTAGCCTCTCTAGGAGTGGGATTACAGGTGTGCACCACCATGCCTTGCTTGGGTGCTTACTCTTAAGGAATTTACTTCTACACCTAGAAGACAGATGCATAAATCTGTCATTAATGCAAATGGACATATGTATGAAGTGCTATGAGAATACAGAGAAAGGAGCTAATGACCAGACTGGAATGGTCATAGGATTCTCATGTGAAAGGCCAAGAAAGAAGGCCAAGATTCTCTCATGGAGAAGACATGAAGAAGGAACAGTGTAGTGTCTTAGGTGAACTAGAGGTAGTTTTAGAGACTACAACATATCAACATACCTTATTCCTATTCAAAAACCACTGGGGGGCCTAGAACGATGGTTCACACCTGTAATCCTAGCACTTTGGGAGGCCAAGGCAGGTGGATCACCTAAGGCTGGAAGTGAGAAACCAGCCTGGCCAACATGGTAAAACCCCATCTCTACCAAAAATACAAAAATTAGCTGGGCTTGGTGGTGCACACCTGTAGTCCCAGCTACTCGGGAGGCCGAGGCCGGAGAGTCTCTTGAACCTGGGAGGGGGAGGTTGCAGTAAGCCGACATCATGCCACTGCACTCCAGCCTGAGCGACAGAGTAGAGTCTGTCTCAAAAACAAACAAACAAAAACCCACTGGGGGTGGATTTGCTTCACTTGTGGGTTTGTCTATGTTTTTTTTTTTTTGGTCATGTTATAAATAAGCAGTTAATGAAAGTTTAATATCATTAGAATAAATAATTTTATAACATATTCCAAAAGAGAATTTTCAGAAAACTCAATTATTCTAAAATCTCAGTAATGAAATCATATTTCTAATAATACAAAATAATTTGGAAGGATTTGACAAATTTGGTTTCACCTTCCCTGCACAAACTCTGATGGGTCAAATGGGACCTAGGAACCTTCTGAAAGTCAGGAAAAGTCAGCCTAGAACTCAACTTTTCTTCCAGAATCCCCATGGTGGATAACCTATATGAAGATAAAGAGCATCTATAACACATATGAAAGAAATGGGGCTGGATCCACATAAACACAAATAAAATGACTAGATCTGAAAGTACTCTACTCTGTCCTATTTTCTGAACCATCATAGAAAGAATGAGCAATAAAATAATTGCTTTTGCATCCTACCAGTATAAGTCCACCTTCCAAATCAACTACACTGAACCAAACCATAGCTCTGCAGGTCTGTTTTTATATAACCTATGTCACTGTGATGCCACAGACTCTCCTTTCTACTTCCTTAGGTCCATTTACTGTTCCGCCCGTCCCCTGCCAGTTCTCTTTCTTCTAATTTCAAATAACTTTCAATTCCTCATTAATTTCTTCAAGTTGAAGCTACTGTCAAAATTCATTAGCAAAATTTCTCTTCAGGAGCAGGGACTAGAGTGACTAGAGATGTCTGGCACTTGTCCTTCCACAAGAAAGAACCAAGGCAAAGAATAAACAGTTAAGATTTGACTGGAGTGTTGAAGGAAGCACACTGGAGTGTAGCTGGGGAGTGGTGATGCACCTGTGGTGACTGGAAGTTGAACAGGGCAGTGTAGACGCAGCTGGCTGATTGGAAGTCGAATAGGGCAGTGTAGACGCAGCTGGCTGATTGGAAGTCGAATAGGGCAGTGTAGAGGCAGCTGGCTGATTGGAAGTCGAATAGGGCAGTGTAGACGCAGCTGGCTGATTGGAAGTCGAATAGGGCAGTGTAGAGGCAGCTGGCTGATTGGAAGTCGAATAGGGCAGTGTAGACGCAGCTGGCTGATTGGAAGACGAATAGGGCAGTGTAGAGGCAGCTGGCTGATTGGAAGTCGAATAGGGCAGTGTAGACGCAGCTGGCTGATTGGAAGTCGAATAGGGCAGTGTAGAGGCAGCTGGCTGATTGGAAGTCGAATAGGGCAGCATAGAGGCAGCTGGCCTCTGCAGTCCCATCTTCCCAACCTGGATTAGATCTCCCCAGAGTGAGGAGAGGCTTCCCATTGCAGGGAAAAAGTAAGCAGAAGATCCCCACCACCCCCACTGCCACCATAAACACCTACAGTGCTTAAAACAGAAGAATCCCACAGTCCTCACAAGCCCCGAGGCCAATTTGGAGAGCTGCCAAGAATTCATGCAGCTGAATTTTCCTGATTAGGAGCACAAAATGTGCACTCCCACCCTGCACACACTCCTGTGAGCCAAGCTGCTGTAGCGTAGCACCATCTTGAGACCAGAGTCACCTCTAAAGTGTGCTCAGCTCTGGGGACCAGTAGCCATGGCACCTCTCTAGCACTGGAGCTTCATTTTCATCCACCAAGCCCATACCCATGGCCAAATGTCACAACCTCAGGAGCACAGAGCATGGGCCCAGGATTGGCTGTGACTCTGGTCCTGCACAGCAGGAAAGCCAATCCCCATTGCCCTCACTTCCAGCTGAAGAACAGTATAGCAAATCTGTCCAGGAAGAACCTGTTCTTGAGCAAGCCAAACTGCTGTACTCTCTTCCCCAATTGGGAACAGCTAGGCACCCCTGCCCAGGGCCTGAGAAACAGCTCTGCAATGCCCAACCACCAGACCAGTCTGCCCCTAGCAAACACACCCCCAAGCTAGGTCAACCCTGGGACACAGCCACACAGCTTCTCAGCTAGCATGGGTAGGTGTTCGCCCCACCATTCTAACATTGCAACAGCCAACGCACCCCACCAAACCAACATCTCAATACCCATTTCTATGAATAAGTTTTTCCCTACGAAACCACTCCATAAATTTGGAAGAGGTAACTTTTCCATCAGATGTATAGAATTGTTGTAGGAACACGTCAAACATGAAAAGCCAATAAAGCTTTTCATGTTTGGAAGAACACAATAATTCTCTAATATCTGACCCCAATCATAAGGAAATACATGAGATGCCATAAAAATAATTCAAAATAATAATCTTAAGATAACTCAGTGGGATACAAGAAAATACAGATAGATAATTCAATAAAATCAGGGCAACAATTCATGATTTGAATGAGAAATTCACCAAAGTGATAGATATAAAAAAGAACCAAATGGAAATCCTACAGCTGAAGAATTCAATGAATGAAATACACAATTTATACAATTGAGAGCTTCAACAATGGACTAGGCCAAGTAGAAGTCTCTGAACTTGAAGACCAGTCATTTGAAATAACACAGGCAGAACAAAAAGAAACAAAGCATAAAGAAAAAAAAAAGGAATTAAGAAAGCCTACAGGATACCATTAAGTAAACAAATATTTGCATTATGGATTCCAGAAGAAGAAGAGAAGATGAAAGATGTAGAAAACATATTTAATGAAAGAATAGCTGAAACTTCCTAAATGTGGGGAAAGAGATAGACATCCAGGTCCAGAAAGCTCAGAGAGCCCCAGTAGATTCAACCCAAACAGGTCCTCTCCACGGCACATTATAGTCAAATTGTCAAGAGTCAAAAAAACAAAGAATTATAAAAGCATCAAGAGAAAAATGTCAAGTCACATGTAAGAGAATCCCTATTAAACTAATAGTGGATTTCTCAGAGAAACCTGACAGTCCAGGGGAGAATGAGATGATATATTTAAAGTACTGAAAGAAAAAAGCTCTGCCAGCCAAGAATATTACACCCAGCAAAGCTATCCTTCAGAAATGAAGGATAAATAAAATATTTCACAGACAAGGAAAAACTAAGGGAATCAAACCTTATCACTACAGAAAACCAGCCAACCACAAAAATAAACAATGAGAGGAAGTAGAGAAGAAAGAATATACAAAACAAACAACTAGAAAACAATAAATAAAATGACAGGGGTAAGGAGGAAGTCCTCACCTATTAATAATAACCCTGAATATAAACAGATTAAGTCACCCATTTAAAAGATATAGACTGGCTGAATGGATAAAAATATAACTGTAAGTTGCCTAAAAGAAACTGGCCTCATTTATAGAGACAGACATAGGCTGAAAGTGAAGGTATGGAAAAAGATATTCCACACAAATGGAAACCAAAAGCAAGCAGGAGTAGCTATACTTACATCAGAAAAAAACAGACTTCAATTCAAAAGCTATAAAAATAGACAAAGAAGGACATTATATAATAATAAAGGGACTAACTCAGCAAGAGAATATATGCACCCAATACTGAAGCACCCAGCTATATAAAATAAATATTATTACATCTAAAGGGAAAGATTAACCCAATACAATAAAGGTTGGGGACTTCAGTACTCCACTGTCAGAATTTGACAGATCAGCTAAACAGAAAGTCAACAAACTCTGGATTTAAACTGCACCACAGGCCAAATGGACCTAACAGATCTTTACAGAACATTTCACCCAACAGCTGCCAAAACCACATTCTTTTCATCAGCACATGGAACATTCTCCAGGATTGGCCATATGTTAGGACACAAAACAAGTCTCTAAAAACTTGCAAAAATCGAATCATACCAACTATCTTATAACCACAATGGAATAAAACTAGAAGTAAATAAAAGAAGAACACTCAGAACTATACAAGTATGTGGAAATTAAACAACACACTCTTGGATGATCAATGAGTGAAGGAAGAAATTAAGAATAAAATTGGCCGGGCGCAGTGGCTCACGCCTGTAATCCCAGCACTTTGGGAGGCTGAGGTGGGTGGATCACGAGGTCAGGAGATCGAGACCATCCTGGCTAACATGGTAAAACCCCGTCTCTACTAAAAATACAAAAAATTAGCCAGGCGTGGTGGCGGGCGCCTGTAGTCCCAGCTACTCAGGAGGCTGAGGCAGGAGAATGGCATGAACCCGGGAGGTGGAGTTCGCAGTGAGCCGAGATTGCGCCACTGCACTCCAGCCTGGGAGACAGAGTGAGACTCAGTCTCAAAAAAATAAAAAATAAAAAATAAAATAAAATTCAAAAATTCCTTGAAACAGGTAAAAATAGAAACACCAACACCTACAGAACACAGCAAAAGCAGTATTAACAGGCAATTTGATAGCAATAAATTCCTACATCCAAAAACTAGAAAGATTTCAAATAAACAACCTAATGATGCATTTCAAGGAACTAAAAAGCAAGAACAAACCAAACCCATAATTAGCAGAGGAAAGAAATTACAAAGATCAGAGCAGAAATAAATAAAATTCAGACTAAGAAAACGCAAAAGATGAGCAAAACAAAATGCTGGGCTTTTTTTTTTTTTTTTTTTTTTTTTTTAGAGACAAGGTCTCACTGTGTTCCCCCGGCTGGTCTTGAACTCCTGGGCTCAAGCAATTCTCCCACCTTGGTCTTCCAAAGTGTTGGAATACCAGGTGTGAACCACCACACCCATTTTTTAAGAAGATAAACAAAACTGACAAACTGTTAGCTAGACTAACTAAAAAAAGAGAGAGAAAATCAAAACAAATAAAATCAGAAATGAAAAAAGGAGACGTCACAAAGGATAGCACAGAATTACAAAGGATCATTAGAGATTACTATGAATAACTATATGCCAATAAATTCAAAAACCTAGAGGAAATGGATACAATCCTGGACACATACAACCTTCCAAGATAAAACCAAGAAGAAACAGAAAACCCAAACAAACCAATAAGAAGTAACAAGATTGAATCAGTAATAAAAGTTCTCCCAACAAAGAAAAGTTCAGAACTGGATGACTTCACCAATGAATTCTACCAAACCTTTAAAGAAGAATTAATGCCGATTCTTCTCAAACTATTCCAAAAAATTGAAGCAGAGGGAATTCTTCCTAACTGATTTTATGAGGCCTGCATAAATCTGATAGCAAAACCAGATAAGGACATGACAAAAAAAGTAAACTACAGACCAATATCTCTGATAAACATAGAGGCAAAAATCTTCAACAAAATACTAGCATATCAAATCTGACAATACATCAAAAAGATAATATATCATGATCAAATGGGATTTATCCCAGGAATTCAAGGATGGCTAAACATACACAAATCAATAAATGTGATACATAGCATCAACAGAATGAAGGACAAAAACATATGATTATCTCAATAGATGCAGAAAAAGCATTTGATAAAATCCAACATTCCTTCATGATAAAAACTCTCAATAAATTATGTATAGAAGGAAAGTACCTCAATACAATAAAGGCCATATATGACAAACCCACAGCTAACATCATACTGAATGAAGAGAAGCTGAAACTTTTACCTAGAACAAGACAAGGATGTTCACTCTTCATCATTCTTACCCAACACAGTACTTGAAGTCCTGGCCAAAGCAATTAGGCAATAAAAAGAAATATAGGGTATCCAAATTGGAAACTAGCAGGTCAAATTATCCCTTTTTGCAGATGACATGATCTCATACATAGAAAACCCTAAAGACCCTATAAACAGCTTATTAGACCAGTTAGAGATTTTTTTTGTTCCTTCTCCACTATCGCTGCTTTACTTGACTAGGCTAAAGAAAAACCTGTCATAACTGATTTAAAAATTCAGTAAAATTATAGGATACAAAATCAAAAAAATTCAGTAGCGTTTTTATAGAAAAAGAAATCAAGGAGGCAATCTTGTTTACAACAGTTACCAAAAAAAAAAAAAAAAACAAACAAACAAACAAAAAAAACAAACAAAAAAAAACACCTTGGAATAAATTTAACCAAGGAGGTGAAAGACCTCCACAAGGAAAACTGCAAAACACTGATGAAAGAAATTGAATGGGATATAAACAAATGGAAAAAATCCATGCTCATGGATCAGAAGAATTAATATTGTTAAAATTACCCTACTACACAAAATTATCTATAGGTTTAATGCAATCCCTACCAAAATCCCAATGGCATTATTTACAGAAATAGAAAACACAATCTTAAAATTCATATGGAACCACAAAAGCCTCTGAATAGCCAAAGCCATCCTAAGCAAAAAGAACAGTGCTGCAGGCATCCAACTACTAAACTTCAAACTACACTACAAAGCTGTAGTAACCAAAACAACACATAGTACTGGCATAAAAAACAGAAACAGACACATAGGCTGGGAGCGGTGGCTCATGTCTGTAATCCTAGCACTGCACTCCAGTCTGCGTGACAGGAGCAAGACTCCATCTCAAAAAATAAAAATAAAAAACCCAGAAACACAAACTGATGGAGCAGAATAGAGAACCCAGAAACTAATCCATGTATCTACAACCAACTAACTTTAGACAAAGGTGCCAAAACATACACTGGGGAAAAGACAGTCTCTTTAATAAATAAACCATTTGGTACTGGGAAAACTGGATATTCATATGCAGAAGAATGAAACTAGCTCTTACCCTACACAAAATCAACTCAAAATGGATGAAAAACCTAAATTTAAGATCCAAAATGATAAAACTACTAGAAGAAAATATAGGGGAAACACTTCAGGACATTGGTCTGGGGAAAGATTTTATGAATAAGATCTCAAAAGCATAGGCAACAAAAGCAAAAATAAACACATAGGATTATATCCAACTACAAAGCTTCTGCACAGCAAAGGAAAAAATAGAGTGAAAGGACAACCTGCAGAATGAGTGAAAATATTTGCAAACTATTAATCTGACAGGGGATTAATATCCAGAATATACAAGGAACTCAAATACTTCAATAGCAAAAAAAAAAAAAAAAAAAAAAAAAAAAAAAAAATCCCACTAAAATATGGGCAAATGATCTGAACAGACATTTCTCAAAAGAAGACATACAAACGACCAACATTTACGAGAAAAATGTTCAACATCACTAATCATCAGGGAAATACAAATCAAAAGCATAGTGAAGTATCATCTCACCCTAGTTAGAATGGCTACTATCAAAAAGACAAAACAAAACAAAACAAAAACAAATGCTGGCGAGGATGTAGAGAAAAAGGAACTCTTACACACCGTTTGTGGGAATGTAAGTTAGTACAGCCACTATGGAGAATGGCATGGAGCTTCCTCAAAAAATTACAAATAGAACTACCATATGATCCAACAATCCTACTACTGGACATTTATTTATCCAAAGAAAAGGAAATTATTATATCAAAGAGACATTTGCACCCCTCTATTTACCACAGCACTATTCAGAATAGCCAAAGTATGGAATCAACCTAGGTGTCCAACAGCAGAGAAATGGATAAAGAAAATGTGGGGCTGGGCACAGTGGCTCACGTCTGTAATCCTAGCACTTTGGGAGGCTGAGGCAGGTGGATCACCTGAGGTCAGGAGTTCGAGACCAGCCTGGCCAACATGGCGAAACCTCATCTCTACTAAAAATACAAAAAATTAGCCAGGCATGGTGGTCCATGCCTGTAATCCCAGCTACTCAGGAGGCTGAGGCAGGAGACTCACTTGAACCTGGGAGGAGGAGGTTGCAGTGAGCCGAGACCGTGCCATTGCACGGAGTAAGACTGCATCTTAAAAAAGACAGAAAGAAAATGTGGTATTTATACACAACAGAATACTATTCAGCCATAAAAAGAATAAAATCCCATCATTCGTGGTAACAGACATGGAACTGGAGGACAACATGTTAAGTGAAATAAGCCAGAAATAGAAAATTAAACACCATATGCTTTCATTCATATGTGGAAGCTAAAAAAACTTGATCTCACAGAAACTTTTAGAAAAATAGAACAGAAGATACTAGGGGCTGGAAAGGCTAGGAGCAAGAGGGAGTTAGGGAGAGATTTGTTAAAGGATACAAAGTTACAGTTAGATAGGAGTAAAAATTCTAGTGTACTGATATGGTCTGGATTTCTGTCCCCGCCCAAATCTCATGTCAAATTGTAATCCCCAATGTTGGAGGAGGGGCCTGGTGGGAGGTGATTAGATCATGGGGGCGGACTGTCCCCTTGCTGTTCTCATGAGAGTGAGTGAGTTCTCATGAGATCTGGTTGTTTAAAAGTGTGTAGCACCTCCCACTTCTCCCTCCTTCTCCTCCTCCCACCATATAACGTGCCTACTTCCCCTTTGCCTTCTGCCATGATTGAAAGTTTCCTGAGGCCTCCCCAGCCATGCTTCCTGTACAGCCTGTGGAACGATGAGCCAATTAAACCTCTCTCCTTTATAAATTACCCTGTCTTAGGTATTTCTTCATAGCAGTCTGAGAATGGACTAATACATGTACTATAGCACTGTAGGATGACTACAGTTAACAACAATATATTATATAGTTTCAAATAACTAAAAGGAGGATATTGAATGTTCCCAACATGAAGAAATGATAAATAAATGTTTGAGATGATGGATATGCTAATAACCTTGATCTGATCACTATACATTATATGTATCAAAACATCACTATGTACCCCATAAATATGTACATTTGTCAATTAAAAATTAAATAGATAAATTTTTTTAAAAGAGCAAGGACCTTTTTTTACTCATATCTATGTCCCCAGAGCCTGACTGGGGATGCAAATGACACAATGGCCAATCAATAAACTATTCAAGGGATTGTACAGACGATCTAGAGCTTGATTAATGGTAGGAAAGGCCAGGCTGGAAATTAAACAGACCCACAGGGTCCGGGCAGGCATTGGGATGGATTCTAGAGGTGCTTGGTGGGAGAATGCCCAGGGTAACAGACAGACCCCCTCAGGAGAAGTCCAACACTAGGCAAGCAGAGAGGCTCCTGTTCTGAGTGGGAGCACAATGTGAAGAGGCAATTCAGGCTAAAGGTCTAGCACAGGAGGGAGACAGTCACAGATCTGAGGACCAAGAGTAGAGCTCTAGTTCAACAACAGTAAAGGGAGGAAGGCAGAATCTCATCCATGGAAAATTATTGTGCACCAAAGCATCAGACATGGAGAAAAGAGGGCTCCATTACTGAAAACAGAGACTCAGTCGTGGGGAAACAAGGGAAGCTTAGACGCTAAGCTGAGACTGCTCTTACCTTACTTTTTTTTTTTTTTTTTTTTTGAGACAGTCTTGCTCTGTCACCCATGCTGGTGTGCAGTGTCACAATCTCGGCTCACTGCAACCTCGACCTCCTGGGTTCAAGCGATTCTGTCTCAGCCTCCCGAGTAGCTGGGATTACAGGTGTGCACCACCACGCCCGGCTAATTTTTGTATTTTTAGTGGAGATGGGGTTTCATCATGTTGACCAGGCTGGTCTTGAATTCTTGACCTCAGGTGATTCGCCCGCCCCAGCTTCCCAAAGTGCTGCGATTACAGGCGTGAGCCACTGCTCCCGGCCTTATCTTATTCTTTTGTGTATCCTTACATCAAGCCTCTCAGAACTTGAGAAAACTTCAGTGAGTTTGTTTCTTACAACCAAAGAGCTAAGTGGGGACAAATAACTACTTTTTTTTTTTTTTTTTGAGACGGAGTCTGGCTCTATAGCCCAGGCCGGAGTGCAGTGGTGCAATCTCAGCTCACTGCAAGCTCCGCCTCCGGATTCATGCCATTCTCCTGCCTCAGGCTCCGGAGTAGCTGGGACTACAGGCGCCCGCCACCACGCCCCGCTAATTTTTTGTATTTTTAGTAGAGATGGGTTTTCACCGTGTTAGCCAGGATGGTCTCGATCTCCTGACCTCATGATCCGCCCGCCTCGGCCTCCCAAAGTGCTGGGATTACAGGCATGAGCCACTGCGACCAGCCCAAAGAACTACTTTTAACTTCTCCTTGAGTATCTCTATCCCACTACTGTTTCATCCCCAAATATTCACATAAAATATATCAGGAGATGCCAGGTTCCTGGGGAAAGGGAGGGAAGGAGTAGAAAGAGAGTGAGATAATTTAGACTTTGGGGAATTCAAAAAGGAGGGAGGCATAATCAAGGATGAGCGTATGAATATTTCTGCAGGGTAAGGGGGTAGGGAAAGAGGGTGTAGATGACTTAGGATTTGTGGAGCTGAGAGAAGAGCAGAAGTTCATTGTATCCAAATTTATTTTCTTTCCTTTTTTTTTGAGATGGAGTCTAGGTCTGTCGCCCTGGCTGGAGTGCAGGGGCGCAATCTCGGCTCACTGCAGGCTCCGCTCCCGGGTTTATGCCATTCTCCTGCCTCAGCCTCCGGAGTAGCTGGGACTACAGACGCCCGCCACCAGGCCCGGCTAATTTTTTGTATTTTTAGTAGAGACGGGGTTTCACCGTGTTAGCCAGGATGGTCTCGATCGCCTGACCTCATGATCCAACCGCCTCAGCCTCCCGAAGTGCTGGGATTACAGGCGTGACAAATTTATTTTCTTAAATGTTGCCTGCTCTCACTTATGGCATGATTTGGAAGTAAGACTAACTAGTAAAAGAGAAATAGTAGCCAGCCATTGCAAATATTCAGAGGGTTTCAGGGAAATATATTAGCTGTCTTAAGTTGCAGAACAAAAAATAAAAGGGTCCCAAGTTATATTGGACTTTGTTATTACATCAACATGAAACAATTCTCTTTTCCTAACAGAGCTGGAGCTAATTGATTTCTGCATAACCATAATTTAGTTTAATAAATATTTCCTAATTAAGGCAAATCAACTCAATTGCAATATCACATTAACTTGCCTAATCTCTTTCCTATTAATTACTCCCCTAAGAAATATCTTTTTTTTTTTTTCTCCTGAAAAGCACATCTGATGTTAAACCATCTGGGAGTTGTAGTGGTTCCTCCCTAAATAAATGGCAGGTTGTTTGAAACCAAGGGTGGTTACTTAAGTTTGGCCATAACTGGGTTTGTTAAGATGTGACTGAGTGTATAAGACTCTTTCCTCCCCAAACACTAATAAAATCTTTGCGGGCTAGCATAGGCTGACTTCAGGGGAAGTTATATTAAAAAAAAAAACAAAAGACAACAATAAAAACCACCGCGTGGTATAATGTGAAGAATACAAGATTTGCAGTCAGTAGATTTGTTAGTTTCCTGATCTGTTGCATCGTGACTGTTCAACTTCAGGTAATTTTTTAAAAAGTTGTTTACGTAACATAAGAGTAAAAGTAACAGTAATGATATTACTTGCATATTACTTGCCTTGGCTTGCTCATACCTGTGAAGTCCTTCTATAAACCATTAATTGCTGTACAAATATCAGTTATTATAATGGTTAAAAGTATTCAAACATGCAGCTCTGTTTTCTGAGTGGGGAACTCAATTATTGCAGATGTGGAAAAGATACACCATTACTAGACCTCTGACACAGAGCTCTAGAAATACCTAGTGATTTCAGCTCTTTGTTGTGCTAAAAATACAAGAGTAACTCTGGGGTCACCTCAGGTGACAGTAGGTAAAGAATGAGGGACCAGGACGTGAACTTCATCCTGGAATCCTCAATCAGCAATCTTGCAAAGATTGTATTAGTCTGTGTATTCCAACATGTATGAGTCTGGTTGTGCTGCACTGGGGATGGAGACAGAAGATATGGATTGTAACATCCAGGAACAGCCACGTTAAGAGTTAATTGCAGTAAATAAGGGGGGTTGTAGGCCTGTAAGTAAGCAGAAGGGGGAATATTTTGATTAAAGACTCATCTTATCCAAGAGAACATCTACTACATATCTTCTGCATTCTAGGCGCTGCTCTAGATAATAGAGGTAAAAGACATTTCTCCCCTTAGGAAGCAGCTCGTGTATTTGGGAAAGGATACATTTATGTATAAAAAGGCATGGGGCCGGGTACAGTGGCTCACGCCTGTAATCTCAGAACTTTGGGAGGCCGAGGTGGGCAGATCACCTGAGGTCAGGAGTTGAGACCAGCCTGGGCAACATGGTGAAACTCCATCTCTACTAAAAATACAAAAAAAATTAATAATAATTAGCCAGGCATGGTGGCCCTCACCTGTAATCCCAGCTACTCAGGAGGCCGAGGCAGGAGAATCTCTTGAACCCAAGAGGCAGAGGTTGCAGTGAGAGAAGATTGTGCCACTGCACTCCAGCCTGGGCGACAGAATGAGACTCCACCTCAAAAAAAGAAAATACATAAATAAATAAAAAATAAAATAAAAAGACAGATACAATCTGCTTATGTGAGCTCCATGAGGGCAAAGACTTTGTCTATTTCCGTCACAGTGCCTGCCACTCAGAAGGTGCTTCAGAAATGTCAGGTGTGTGAACAAGGAATGAGCAAGGCAAATGCTTCAGGAGTTCAAAGAAAGGAACATTGCCTAGTGGTCAGGAAAGGAAGAAAATGGACAGTGCTTGTGTTAGGACTTCAAGGACGAAGTTGGATTCAAATAGCAGAGGTGGTAACAACTATTCCAGGTGCTGAAGCATCATGTGCAGAGGCCAAGAACTAGGACTGCCCAAGGGAATGAGAAGAGGGACCATACCAATGGTCAGCTATAGACAGTCATAGACACTGTTACAGACACACACTCATTAAATCTTCACAGGTCACAGCTTTGTGAGCTGTGTGTTATTACTGCCCATTCAACAGATGAGGAAGCTGAGGCTGAGAGAGTTAAATAGCCCTGTTCCCCCAGTATCACACAGCAATCAAATGAATAAGAAAGAGAATTAAAATGTCACAGGTATTTGCGACCACATAAAATATTCCTATGTATTTCTTACTTCCTCCTCTCCTTCCTTCCTTTCTTCCTAGTGAGACAGGGTCTTACTCCATCACCTAGGCTATAGTGCAGTGGTATGATCACAGCTCACTGCAGCCTTGACCTCTCAGGCTCAAGCCATCCTCCCACCTCCCAGGTGTCTGGGACAACAGACATACACCACTATGCCTGGCTAATTTTTTAATTTTTTGTAGAGACAAGGTCTCCCTATGTGGCCCAGGCTTGTCTTGAACCCCTGGATTCAAGCGATCTTTTCACCTGGGCCTCCCAAAGTGCTGGGATTACAGGCATGAGCTGCACCACCCAGCCTTTTAATGTATTTCCTTTAAATCAGATTAAATTCAAACTCAAATCCCAGACAAATAGAATAAGGATACCTCACACCATCCCTGTCCACCCCTACCCTTAGGATAATGCAAAGGTTCTAGGGATGAATCTAGATTTTCGGGGAGAAAAATGCTCGAGGAGGCCTTTCTGCTCTCGGCCTACATGTTCACCTCTGAGAGGCCCACAACTCCTACCTATGAAGCCCCGCGGCCTGTGCCCAGCCTCCTGGGAGTTTCCATTCCTCCTCTGAGGTCCTGCCCTCTCTCCAGGATTTAGGAGAGGCAGGAGGAAAGTCTCTGCCAGCCATGGTTTTCCCTTCTCATTGTGAAGAACTTTCAGTGTCTCTGATTTTGCCTGTGTCCCACCTCTCCTCTCCTCACCCTCTCCCACCAAACAATACAAATCTCCCTCAAAACTTAGGAGTACAAAACCTTGCTTGCCTTTTGGAAAAAAGGAGAGAAAATACTGAGAGCACAATACAGATGGCTCTTTTTTTTTTCTTTTGGATAATTCCACAGCAGTAAAACCTATATATATATATATATATATATACACACACACACACATATAGATATATAGATGTATATATAGATATATAGATATATAAATATATATACAAATATCTATCTATCTATATATATAAACACCACAATATATTAATCTACCACAAATAGATAACTTTTCTTAGGAGTCTGCTGCATGGCAGGGGCTGTAGCAAGCCCTTTACCGATGAGGTAGGTACAATTACCATCCCTATTTTAGAGCTGGAGAAACCAGAGCTTAGAGGGGTCAAATATCTTACTTAATATCACAAGTAATAGAATCAAAACTCAAGCTCAAGAGCATCTGGCTGGAACATCTGAGTTCTTTTCACTACACCATATAAGGGAAGTAATGCTTCCCCACTAGAGTCCAGAGCAGCAGTTTCTTTTTTCCTTTCTCTTCAGACAAAAATCGAAAGCAAAACACTCTACATAATTACAGATTCCGTATTAAGTAACACATCTAAAAAGAAATTTACTCTTAGTATCATAAAAAATGAAATGAATTTTTACTCGTCTTTGTCACCTTCTAGAACTTTCCATTTGCACACTTAATTTTTACATATTTACCACAATATGAGGTAGAATTTATAGTCCACATTTTAAATTGCTATTATATTATACTATGTCACAGTCTCATTATTTTAATATATTCTATATATTGTATATATTATATGTAAATATATCATATTTACATATTTTTATTTCATACACACATCATTATGTTTCTATAGTCTTGGTACTCTTTTCCTTACAACATCCTTGCCCTCTCTTTGTGCCCACACCTCCCCATAAACAGAAACAATTAGAGTCTAGTGTGTATTTTCCCATACATTTCTTCATGGTCACACAATCATACAATAGCACAAGTATTGAGAAATTGGCCATTATTTGTTTCCTATATTTCTTACAATACATAGTTTGATACACTTATATACTCTTACAAAAGACATGTCTTAAGTTATTGCTGTACTTTCTTAACAATATACATTGTAAAAATCCTTCCAGGTCAATTGATATCACTTCAACTCTTTCTTGTTTAATAATACAATCTACTGTGTGGTTATTCTACAGTTTATTCAATCTTTCCTCTATAGATGGACATTTACGGCTCACTGCAGCCTCGACCTCCCAGGCTCAAGCCATTCTCCCACCTCAGCCTCCCAAGTAGCTGGACCACAGGCATGCACTACCACACCTGGCTAATTTTTGTATTTTTGATAGAAATGAGGTTTCACTATGTTGCCCAGGCTGGTCTCGAACTCCTGATCTCAAGTGACCCACCTGCCTTGGCCTCCCAAAGTGCTGGGATTACAGGTGTGAGCCACCGTGCCAGGTCTCATATATTTTTCTGTACTGGTGCTTTTCTTTCTTTTTTTTTTATTTTTATTATTATTTTTTTGGTTGTTTTTGTTTTTTGAGACGGGGTCTCGCTCTGTAGCCCAGGCTGGAGTGCAGTGGCGCAATCTCGGCTCACTGCAAGCTCCGCCTCCCAGGTTCGCGCCATTCTCCTGCCTCAGCCTCCTGAGGACTACAGGCGCCCGCCACCACGCCCAGCTAATTTTTTTTGTATTTTTAGTAGAGACGAGGTTTCACCGTGTTAGCCAGGATGGTCTCGATCTCCTGACCTCGTGATCCACCCGCCTCGGCCTCCCAAAGTGCTGGGATTACAGGCATGAGCCACCGCGCCCGGCCCTGGTGCTTTTATTTCTATGGGATAGAGTCCCAGGATTAGAATTTCTGGGTCGAAGGGTACATATTTGTTGTAATTTAATAGATATTGCCAATTGTCATGTTCATGCAAATATATACTTTTATTAACGGTGTAGGAGAGTGCAGCGTCCTAGTTCCAAATGCTAATCTGAGGACAATTCACCTCCGGAAACATCCATCTAGAGGTGTTGGAAGAGAACCAGGAATATGGATAGTTTCAAAGCTCTACATGTAGTTGTTTTGTTTGGTATGGTTTTTTTGAGATTGAGTCTCGCTCTGTCGCCCAGGCTAACGTGCAGTGGTTTGATCTCGGCTCACTGCAACCTCTAGCCTCCCAGTTTCAAGCAATTCTCTTGCCTCAGCCTTCTGAGTAGCTAGGATTATAGGCTCCCACCACCACACCCAACTAGTTTTTGTATCTTTAGTAGAGACAGGTTTTCACCATGTTGGCCAGGCTGGTCTCGAACTCCTGACCTCAAGTGATCCACCCGTCGTGGCCTCGCACTCGCAAAGTGCTGGGATTACAGGCGTGAGCCACTGCGCCCGGCCTCTACATGTTTTTTTATTTTTATTTTTTGAGTCTCTCTTGTTGCCCAGGCTGGAGTGCAATGGCACAATCTCGGCTCACTGCAACCTCCGCCTCCCAGGTTCAAGTGATTCTCCTGCCTCAGCCTCCCAAGTAGCTGGGACTACAGGCGCATGCCACCATGCCCCGCTAATTTTGTATTTTTAGTAGGGACGGAGTTTCGCCATATTGTCAGGCTGGTCTTCAACTCCTGAGCTCAGGTGATCCGCCCGCCTCGGCATTCCAAAGTGCTGGGATTACAGGCGAGAGCCACCGCACCCGGCTTCTACGTGTAGTTCTAATAGGTAATAGGGTTTGGGAGTCACAGGTTCACTTCACTGTAGGGTTTATCAACAGGGAGGAATAAAGGGCAGGGATCAGGAGAGCTGTTTGATGTGGATTCCCTTTTCCAAAGAGAGCTTAAATTTAAACTTTTTATCTTATCTCCAAATAACGTTATCAGCAAGACACCCAGACAGGACTGAGGAGAGAAAATATTACTCATTCAACCTTAAATGTACGCCTCATTACCCATCCACCCCACTGATAATAGTTAATTTTTTGTTGTTAGCGCAATTATATGGAAAAGCATTACCATCTGGGATGGAACATTTTAAATTCTGTTAAAACTATACCTTATGTGTGACATACGGCCACCATTCAAACGGAAATTGGAGCAATTTTTTCAGTAATCCTGTATTATTTTTCTGTAAAAATACTATTGTTTATATCAAAATACTTCAATGATTCTAATTTTTCTGCGTAAAGAAATTACTGCATTGTACTGGAGATTATTAAAAGTATTTATTTGCCAGAAGTAAATTTATTTGCTAGAAGTAAATATTGAATGTTTTAGAAGCCTCTATTGGCATTTCTCCTTTTTTCTTCTCTTTTCTGTCCTTTTCTCTCCCCACTTCCCTCTTCTCCTCCCACTTCTTCCTGTCCCTTCCTCTCCCCCAAACCCCCCACCCCCCCACCCTTCCCCGCCCCTCCCCTCCCCACCCCTCCCCGTCCCTCCCCACCCCTCCCCGTCCCTCCCCACCCCTCCCCGTCCTTCCCCACCCCTTCCCACCCCTTCCCACCCCTCACCGAGGCTGTCAGAGTCGGTGGAGGCCCTTTCGCTCTCTGAGAGGCTCTTGTTCACCAACCAGCAGCCAGGTCCACCTGGTCTTGGGACTGGGCTGCTGCAGTTCCACCATTGGCCACTAGGGGCCCTCTGCCTCCCCGGCCTAAGGGGAGAGGAAAAGAATGTCTTTTTACTTTTCTAACGTTCCTAGTAGAAATGAGTCTCATGGGTAGTTTCAAAAGAAAATTCTCAAATAAACCAGGGGAAAATAAAGCGAACTAAAGAAAAGAAGCTCCAAATAACAAACATAGTTTTCGACCTTAAGGTGACTAAAATCTACTCCTGGTTGTCTTGACTGACACAGCTAACTGGGCACAGCCTTCGTTCCTCTCTTTCCTCATTAGAGGAAGCACAAGGCACAGATAAAATTAAATTGACCGTGATACCAGGGTTAGAAGGAGCCTCGCTGCCTCTCAAAACTTAGTTGTTTAGCCAGCATCACCTCTCTTTACATGACCTTGGGGTCATTCTCCCAGCCCCTGCCCCTCCACCCTGGGAAGCTTTTCCTCTGCAACCATCCTGATCTCTGACTCCATCCACTGGTCCAAAGGGAAGATCTCCCAGGCTTCCTGCACCAGCCTGGGGGTGTTTCTTTAGCCCTCTCAGAGGACTCCGTGACCGTCCACACAGGAAGTTTGGTCTCTTCAGCCCCTTCCCTTGGAGTATCTGACCCTTAATCCGCATCTCACTGTGGGGTCACAACCATCAACAAGCCTGGGCACAGTCAGGATCAGAATCCAGGTCTTT
Source organism: Homo sapiens (assembly GCF_000001405.40). Taxonomy (NCBI): domain Eukaryota; kingdom Metazoa; phylum Chordata; class Mammalia; order Primates; family Hominidae; genus Homo; species Homo sapiens. The sequence continues at coordinate 168,145,316 of NC_000001.11, read as the reverse complement.
GGACTCAACCCATGGACTGATGTTTACACCACAATCCCTCCTTCAAATGCATGACGTGATTTTAAAAAAAAAGGCAATGGCAGTAAGAACAGAAAGGTATGAATTTAATACACTAACAATAATAAAGGATCTTGAGTTCTAAAACTGAACAAATTAAGTGTGTAGAAAAATAAGTACACCTATGCCTTCTCAGGTGGTTCAGTTTTTACAGAAAAAAAAAAAAAGGATTTTCCCCAGCTTGCAGTGTACTCATTTTCAAAAACTCCGTTTTTCATGACAGTATACTTTCCATGTATCCTGGACTTAGATTCCATTGCTGGTCAACGTCAATGGCTAAAAGACAACTCAAAATTAGCACAGTAGCAAACTGACAATAGTGGAGAGAAAGCCTGCTCAGGGTGAAATCATAAGGTGGGCAGGAAAGTGATGGTAACATTTCTCAATCTGTCTCCTATTCCATTGGGTCATTCTCTTAGCTAGTGGTCAACTAAGTCAGGAATTGTTGCTTAAAGTTTAACATAGACATTTTTTGACTTTCTTTTCTGCTCAACATTCATCCACCATTGCAAGATTTATTTAAGAATACTTCCTAGATGGTGCTGAATACTTCCCATTACATTCCGTTCTTGTGTGATACTAAGATTGATCGGTTCTCCATCAACTATTCACTTAATGGTTTTAGTATACATTGATCACCATTGCCTGCAATAGTTATTTCATTAAGGGTTGCAAAATGGTGATTTTAAAATTCTGTTCTTCTTTGTGCATTTATTTGTTGGAATTTTTCTATTAAAAAGAACTTTCCCTAACTACTCTTTGGTCACACTGAATGCAATTCGTATAGGAAAAGTGGAATAAATGTTTGATTCCTTCCTTTTATTTACTAATTTTTCAGAGGAATGAATTGGTTGCCTAGCAATCACCAATGGTGACCAATTTTTTCAACTATAAACTCAAAGATTTTTCTATGTGGATATTATCTTAGTCAGTTTTCTGTTACTATAACTTAATACCTGAGCCTGGGTAACTTATAAAGATAGTGAATTGATTTCTTACAGTTATGGAGGCTGGGACATCCAAGGCCAAGAGGCTGCATCTTGCTGAAGGCATTCTTGCTGGCGGGGGCTCTCTGCAGAGTACTGAGGTGGCACAGGGCATCACATGATGAGGAGGGTGCATGAGAGAGAGCCATTGCAGACCTGGCTTCTTTAACAGACCCATTTTTGTTATAACTAACCCACTCCCATGATAACCTATTAATCTATTAATCCATTAATCCATTAATGAGTTAATCCATTCATGCGGGCAGAGTCCTTATGGCACAATCACCCCTTAAAGGCCTCACCTCTTAATACTGTTACATTAGGAATTAAGTTTCAACATGAGTTTTGGAGGATTCAAACATTCAAGCTTTAGCAGGTATGTTCCAATCCATTGCAACTCTTCTTTTTTTTAGAGATGTGGTCTCACTATATTGCCCAGGCTGCTCTTGAACTCCTGGCCTCAATTCTTCTACTTCAGCCTTCCAAAGTACTGGGATTACAGGCATGAACCACTGTGCCTGGCTTCTTATTCTTTTTGATGTTCAAATTGTCCCTTCAGATCAGCTCTTGTATCTTTTCAAAATGACCCCATTGGTCTTTGAAATCTCTTTTCTGGTACACAAAGATATTCCAGATTCATTTTATATGTTTTGTTTTTTTTTTTTAAAAAAAAGCATATAAAGTTCAGACCTGGAATAAGCCATTTCTGCAAGGAGCCTTAGTTCCTCTTAATGAGAAGTGGTATTTTAAGACTACGTCTGCTTGCTAGCAGTGTTCATTGCTACAGGAGTGCTCACTCCTTCTGTGTTCTCATTTCTTCTTGCCTTTTGAGTGGTTAGGGTTGGCAAACGCAAATTATTCTTTGCAGGTAGGTTTTTACTTACCTATACACTTTTATATTTTTTTCCTTGCGAAAAATCACAGGTCCCACAACATAAAGGTAATTACTTATTTGCTTTTTTCTATGTGTGTGTGTATTTTTTTCTTTTTTTGAGACGGAGTCTCGCTCTTTCTCCCAGGCTGGAGTGCAGTTGCACGATCTCGGCTCACTGCAAGCTCCGCTGCCTGGGTTCACGCCATTCTCCTGGCTCAGCCTCCGGAGTAGCTGAGACTACAGGTGCCCGCCACCACACCCGGCTAATTTTTTTTTGTATTTTTAGTAGAGACGGGGTTTCACTGTGTTAGCCAGGATGGTCTCGATCTCCTGACCTCAAGATCCGCCTGCCTCGGCCTCCCAAAGTGCTGGGATTACAGGCATGAGCCACCACGCCCGGCCTTTTTCTATGTATCTTAATTGTTTCAGACAACAATACCAGAGTACCACTGACATAAGAGAACTGAGTGAGATTGAGTTTTGTTTTTTTTTTGAGATTCTTTTTGTCCTAAGAACATATCCCACTAGGAAAGTGCCATCAAAATATTATATTCTAAACTCACTTGAAATTTTTGTTTTGAGCCGGAGTCTCACTCTGTTGCCCAGGCTGGAGTGCAGTGGCAGGATCTCAGCTCACTGCAACCTCCATCTCCTGGGTTCAAGCAATTCTCCTACCTCAGCCTCCCAAGTAACTGGGACTACAGGCATGAGCCACCATGCCTAGCTAATTTTTGTATTTTTTTTTTTAGTAGAGATGGGGTTTCGCCATGTTGGCCAGGCTGATCTCGAACACCTGACTTCAGGTGATCTGCCCACCTTGGCCTCCCAAAGTGCTGGGATTACAGGCATGAGCCACCGCACGCGGCCCAAAAATTTGTTTTTTAAAAACTTCTTTAAAAATGATTTTTCTTTTTCTTTAGAGACAAGGTCTTGCTATTTTGGCTAAGCTGGTCTTGAACTCCTGGGCTCAAATTATCCTCCCACCTCAGCCTCCCAAAGTGCTGGGATTATAGGCACGATCCATTGTGCCTGGCCCTGAAATTCTTTATATTGTTGTGGCAGAATTGGAAGATAGCTTGACAAAGATGCCCTTTCCTAATCCCCAGGACCTTTGAATATAATGAGATATCATTCCTAGGATTTTGTTGTTTGATACAGTTGACCTTACGACAGGGAATGTAGACCTGATGTATCACATGAATCCTTAAAAACAAAGAGCTCTCTCTGGCTGAAAGGGGAATTAAGAGGAAGCCAGAAAGGTCAGGGTATGAGAAGGATTTGACATGCCTTTGCTGACTTTGAAGATAAGGGGACCACATGAGGAAGAATTGCAGGCAGCCTCTGGGAGCAGAGGGTGGCCCCACTGCCAGCCAGCAAAGAAATGGGGGTTTCCATCCCACAGTGGCAAGAAACTAAATTCTGCTGGCAGCCTGAACAAGCTTGGAAGCAGAGTCCCCGCAAAAGCCTCCATATAAGAGCTCAGATTAGCCAGCACCTTCATTTTGGCATTCACATGAGCAGAAAACCCAACTGAGCCTGCCTGGACTTCTCTCTAAACTGTGAGATTAAAAAAAAATGAGTGTTTTGCCAGGTGTGGTGGGTCACACCTGTAATCCCAGTGACTCGAGAAGCTAAGGTAAGGGGATTGCTTGAGGCCAGGAGTTCAAGACCAGCCCAGACAACATAATAGAGTGTTTTAAGCTGCTAAATTTGTGGTAATCATTATGCAGTGACAGAAAACTAATAAAAGTTCATATGCCACCAACTTGATATTCATCCTAGTTTTTCTTCAGTTTTTGGAGGTTTTTTCTTTTTTGAGTTAACTTTTCTCAAATTTGTAAAATATGTACTTAGTTTCAAAGCCATACAGCAAGGAACCTTCCTAGAAACCTTGCTTTCTTTTTCATTCCTTCTGTTTGTTCCTTTCCCTTATTGGAAACCTTCTTTTTATTGTTTTTGGTTTGTTTTTCCACTTTTAAGTATAAGCAAATACCTATATATTTATTTTCTTTCCTTTTCTCACATAAAAGATAACATAGGCTGGGCGTGGTGGCTCACACCTGTAATCCCAGCACTTTGGGAGGCCAAGGAGGGTGGATCATTTGAAGTCAGGAGTTCAAGACCAGCCTGGCCAACATGGTGAAACCCCGTCTCTACTAAAAATAAAAAATTAGCCTGGTGGTAGTGGGGCGCGCCTGTAATCCCAGCGACTCGGGTGACTGAGGCAGGGGAATCGCTTGAGTCTGGGAGACAGAGGTTGCAGTGATCTGAGATCGCGTCACTGTACTCCAGTCTGGGCAACAAAGTGAGACCATGTCTCAAAAAAAAAAAAAAGATAATGTATAGCAAATATTCCTGCACCTTGCTTTTTTCCACTTAACAATACGTCTTTGAGGCCACTACATGTTAGTGTATAGAGATTTTCTTCATTCATTTGTAGCACTGAATCCTAACTTATTCCTCTAATCCCCTACTGACAGACATTTGGGCATTTTTAATCTTCTGTAATTACAAATGTATCCCAAATATATAATGTTGCTTTTTATTGGCAACAGAAGATAAATGTGTACTTGAGGATTTTTTTAATAGATCAAAAGATAAATGTACTTGAGGATACTTTTTTCCCCCGATACAAAATATGTGGAATTTTTTCCAACATCAATCAATTCTCTGACACCAATTGGGTATCCAACAATTCAATTCAATTCCGACACTAACTGCCTGAGATAGTTCAGACTCCACAGATTAAGGGCTCAGTCCCATACACTGTCCCCACTTCAGGCACCACATGAATGTCCAGGGCCTCCAGTACTTCTGACCGACTTGGCTTCAGATCAGGAGTTCCCATGGCTAATAATTTCCTATAACAGCTCACAGAGCTCAAGAAAGCACTTTACTTACTTTGATTACTGGTTTATGACAAAGGATGCAATTCAAGAGAAGCCAGATGGAAGAGATGTGTAGGACAAGGCAGTGGTACGATCTCAGCTCACTGCAACCTCCACCTCCCCGGTTCAAGCAATTCTTGTGCCTCAGCCTCCCATGTAGCTAGGACTACAAGTATGTGCCACCATGCTCGGCTAATATTTGTATTTTTAGTAGAGACACGGTTTTGCCATGTTGGCCAGGCTGGTCTTGAACTCCTGACCTCAAGTGATCCACCCGCCTTGGCCTCCCAAAGTGCTTGGGTTACAGGAGTGAGCCACCGCATCCAGCCCAATAATGCTCATTTCAATATATCAGCCCTAGTGGATGACATCATGAAGTGGTCAGACACTTGAAGTTATAGACAGGATCACTGCAAGTATGACACAGATATATAAATGTAGACCAAGTCACCTAACTTGTACTAGTAAATCTGATACCATGAGTGGCATTGTTAATAGTGAGGTGATTTCCAAAATACTGAACAACTCTTGGTGAGGTTTGAGTAAATCAAGGTGCAATCTTCCTTCAATTCACATAGTACTTGCATTCCTAGACAAATTGCTGTACAACAAAACCATGCAAAAAAACCCCTCATGGATATATGTAAAATAGTTTGGTTTCAGACTTAGAAAAGTATAGACAGTTTTTACTGTCATGTGTGAAAGGAACTGTTCTTTTTGTGTAGGACTATTTCATGTACTGCAAGATGTCTGGTATCCTGGGCCGCACCCAATAAATGCCTGGGGTGTCCTCTAATCATTGTGACAAACCCAAAATGCCTTTCAAAATGTCGTATTAAGAATCACTGAGTGAGATGCTTTCTGTTCCAAGTAACAGAAATAAACCCATACTGATTCAATAAAAATATATGTATATTGATTGGCTCTTGTTTCTGATCAGTCCAGAGGCACATCAGTTTCAGGGAAGTTTCCATCTGAGGTCAAATGGTTTTACCATTCTATCAGTGGAGGCATACTGTAAACAAATAAATAGAAAAATTGATGCATATTTTATAAATTTGGACACATTTTATGTAGAAAAACAACAGAGCTGTGAAAGAGTACATAGATTAGAGAATTTCTTTTAGATTGGTCAGGGGCTGAGTGCAGTGGCTCACATCTGTAATTCCAGCACTTTGGGAGGCCAAGGTGAGAGGATAGCTTGAGCCCAGGAGTTAAAGACAAGCCTGGGCAACATAGCAAGATCCCATCAGGGAAGACTTCTCTAAGGAAGTGACATTTAAGGTGAGATGTGAAGGGCAGGAAGGGCTTGGCCTGTAAAGAGTGGAGGAAATAACATTCCATGTGGAACAAATAGCATATTTCACAGTTTTGCTTTCACCAGTTTTATGTGGACTGCTAGACTGAAATGATATTTTACATAAAATATGTTTTATATATAAATTATTCAACACACATGTGAGGTTCAGTTGGACAAGGCCTCTCATTATCTTACTTTATAAGTCTTTGTGGATGTCTCTAAAACAGAATGGTTTATTAAACTAATTTGGGAAAGGAGAATTAGTGTGTATCTTTCTCTTTTTCTAAAAAAATATAAATACATTCTTGCACAAAATCAGTCACGTTTTTCACAATTGTCACCTATACAATGATATACGGTGAAATAATTACTTTAATAATAATTTGTCTGTTTTCTCTGCATCTGATTGAATTCTGCTCATAGCTCAATATTAGCTCCAGAAGGGAAAAAAATCTTAAGAGAGCAATTGAAAATGCATTTGTTGGCAGCAATTTCCATCCCTGAATGCACAGTAAGTTCTGAGCTTATGAGCTCAGAAAAAAGAAAAATCTTTGTGATAAATAATGCATTTGATAATGAGCAGCAGGAGAAAAAAAGTGTTTTCTGTTGAAGAGTTCAAAATGAAATAGAGTAAGTATGGGAAAAGGTTGCTCAGTATGAAGGACATCTTTCGCATCATGGATGGGTATGGAGCCACAACAGCCGTAACTGTTTATTTTTTATTCTCATTCTCACCATGCCAGTCTGTGGCATATATTTTCAGACCTTTCGTGAATACCAATTTTCAAAAGGGTTTAGTTCTCAGATTCTATGTCACTGGATGATTTACTTACATGACCTCATTTAACCTTTTCAACTCTACAGATAGGAAAGTATGAGTATCCCCATTTTATATATGAATAAGCTGAGAGGAAGGTTAACTCACTCCCTCAGGCTCATAGAGCTTAGCCGACATCTGAGTCAGTGTAAATTAAATAAATATCAGGGATTTCAAAATAAGTGTCTAAAATACTATTAAGAACAGAAAGCTTTAAGCTCCTTCAAGTGTCTGGCTTGCCGCGTGACCTAGACTCTTAAGTGGAGCGTCAGCTTCCAGTTTTTGACCAAATAAAGCATTTATCCCATAGGAATATTAAGGCACCCATTTACTTTTTTCTCCCCATTATCCCATTTGTCCCCAGAGCAATGTGGGTGTTTGGCAGGTGCCAGACAGTAAATTACTGTTCTAAATTGTGCCTCAGTGGCCCAATAATATTAAGGAAGCATCTCCCACAGTGTCAATCTGTAGACAAGGGAATAATTAATGTATTTATCAAAGCAGATGGATTTCAGAGGAATGTGAATCCTGCTCTAAGCACAGCATCAGGGTTTGTTTTTTTTTTTCTGGAGTTTAGTGAACTGGGCTTTGTAACTTCTTACCTGATTATTTTGCTGCCCTGTTTGTCCTTCCTTCTTTCCCTTTTTAGCAGTTCTACTCTGTGCTTCAACTTTTCATCCCCTTATTAAGACTGCTGCATAGAAAACGTAGGAGTCTGGAGACAGGCAGGCAAAGTGGGGAGTGAGGAAGGGAAAACAAACATTCTGAGAAGGAACTGTTCCGTCCCCCGAGCTGACAGCGCCCGCTCTTTGTTTTGTGATGACTGCTCCCTGGCCTTTTGGTTCCGAGGGAGTGCAGGGCAGCAGTGTGAAGACCTGTTTACGTCCACTCCCCACTCCCCGGGGCTGGCTTCGGGACGAATTCACTGTGGTATTAACAGAGCCCGGGACAGAGCCTGGCAGAAGGCAGATGGATGCTCGTGCCCGTCGGCTGGATGAATGAAAGGTGAGCAGCAAAGGCGATACCAGGATCGTCCACGGCGGGACTGGAGGAGGAGAATGGGACTGTGCGGAGCCTGCGGGAAGAATCTGAAAGTGTCTGTGTGATGGAGAGAGACATGGAAAAGGCGACGTCCCAGCGGCTGGAACTGGGGCGGAGGAACGGGAACAGGGAAGGCCTGAGTTAGGCACCACAAAGGTTTTCAGGAGAAAAGTGGGGCGAGCCGAGAGGGTAAGGGCGAGACAAAGAGCAGCAGCCGAGGCTGTTCGTGGGAAGAAATGGGAAAGAAGCAGCCGGGAGGGCGGGCGGACGGACGCGAAGGAAGGGGCGCGGGTGGGGAGGGGCGCCGGGAGCTGGGCGGGGCGGGGCAGTGCGGGGCGCGGGGAGGCGGCTCGGGGCTCCGGGGGCCGGAGGGGCCCGGCCGGGCGTGGGGGGGGCGGGGCGGGGCGCGGGCGCCGCAAAGTTACTTGGCCTGCGCCCGCCCGGGTCCGCGTGCTGGTGGCTGGCCCGCGGGAGGAGCGAAGCGGGGCTCGGTGGGCTGAAACCCGAAACCTCCAGTCCCGGAGCGCGGCGGGGAGGAAGGAAGCGGCGGCGGCGGTGGCCGAGGCGGGGAGGCGGCTGGGCCGGGGCCTGAGCTGCCGCGGCGGCCGCTCCTCGGTGAGCACCCGGCGTGGGGCGCGGGCGCGGGCCCGGGCGGAGAGGGCGGTCCGGATGGAGCCAGGCTAAACTCATTGTGCGAGGCTGAGGGCTCAGGGCGCGGGCCGGGAAGGGTCCCCGCCCCCACGGCGCTCCCTTTCTCCCCGCGCCCCTCTCGGAGGTCAGGGCTGTCCTCCGCCCGCACTGCGCCTTGCTTTGGAGAGCTGGAGCTCTTTGTGGGAAGATGTTGGGGGCGCGCCCCTCCCCTGCGGCCTGGGGCTTCTGAGAGGCCCACCCCATTCTGCTGGGTGCAGCCCGCCCCGTTTCTCCGGCGCCGCCCGAAGCCCCTAAACAGTCCGCTGGATGGGAGGGCGTAGGTGCGTGCCCGGGACTCTGCCGATGCGGGCCGCGCCCCCTGGGGCCAAGAGACTCCACGTCCCGCTCAGGGCAAAGGGTGTGGGGAGAAGCGGTCACGCCCCTCGGCTGGAATCCGTGAGGACCAGGTGAGCAGCCTTCTCCCAGCCGGGACTCAGGGCGCTGTCTCCCCGAGCCTGGGCGGGCGGCGGGTGGCGCGCCCAGAAGTGGCCCGGCGCCGCCGGATGGGCGGCTCTGCCCCTCAGATCTGCGGGAGGGAGATTCGGCTGGTTCTTGGAAAGGGGAGAACTCGACCAGCCCTCGGCGCCTTCTGGGCCAAGCTTAACCCCCGTGCAACCTTTGGACAAAGGCATATGGGATGAGAACGTCTGTTGGGTAAGTGGGGTGTGTCCTGTGCTTCCCGGAGGTCTGCTCACCAGTAACCACATAGCTGCGCATTGGCATCGCTTTATATCACATCTTGGAGGCTATTTTTGCTTGTTATTGTACTTTCATCCCTTTTGCAAAGTGCTTTCATAGAGCAGGTCATTTGATCCACCTCCCGGTGAAGCCGTGAGGAGGTGTGTGGTTTTGGAGGGAAAGAACCTCAGTTCCTTGATTGTCCAATGGAGACACCGATAACCTCCGGTGAGCCTGTCTCAGCGTCCTAGGGGCTGGGGGAGGATGGCCATCCTTGTGGCTCCTCCGTGGAGCCAGGCGTGGATTCAGCCTGGCTTCTTCTCCCCTAGTGACCTGGACCTCCAGATGAGTTCTGGAGAGCTACTGCTTCGGGGAATAGGCGGTTTTCCCTTATAATCTATTTTACTGCAGCCACTGGGAGCAAGTGAAGAGAGGCATTTTTCAGGCCCTCAGGGCAGAAAGAGGAGGTGGGAGGGACCTCAGGTCATAGAGACAGAGGCTCTTCAACTGTAACTGGAATGCATGGCACCCATTTCTGTTACTTCTTTCAGAGCACCTCTCTTCCGGTCCTCCTCCACACCCGTCTTATTTTATACTTGTCAGGTGCTTACAAGCACTTTCATGTACACTTTTTCATTCACACAACAACCTTGTGAAGCTCTACTAGCCCATTTGATAGGTGAGGAAACTGAGGCTCAGGAGAGATGAAGCATTCTTGCCCAGCTAGGTAAGCAGCCCAGATTGAACTCAGATCTTTTGCCTTGGTAGTGCTTTTCACGTGGTTTCCTGATGGCACACAGGTGAGTTCTTTAACTCAGGGCTTCTCCCTGCCCTGTAGCTCCACTGCCATAACATCAAGAATAGAGACCCCTCATTAAGAGGCCCGCTTGACATTTTGGAACTAATCCAAGGCCGCAACGATATCCGAACCGTTCTCTTTGTGTTGCAGCCTGGTGCACTGTGCGTCCTCTGAGAGGTGAAGGAGCACTGTGTGGTCAGAGGGCTGCGAGCTCTCTGTTTGGGTTCCGAGGAAGACAGAATGGGCTGAACTGGAACTGACCTAAATGTCAGCAAGAGGAGGTACAGTTCTGTGGTGTAAACTCCACTGCCAGCAGGGACCAGTCAGGAAGCCTGAGTGCAGGAGGCGGGTGGACAGGAGGGCTGGGTGGGAGCTGTGTGCTGCTAAGCCTGTCTCCAGTAAGGGGGCAGCTGCAGGTGCGGTGGGGCTCCAGCACATGGTTGCCTGATCTTAGTTTTGGGGGAAACTGTAAATTTTTACGGAAAACAAGCTTCATATATTTTTAAAGATAGCAACTGATTCAAAACATTTTTTTTAATGTGCGTGCAGTTTAACCAAATTATGTGTGCAGGCTGCTTGCGTCTTCTGTGTGAGACCTTGGGAAGCACTGACTGTCATTCTGAGATGCAGTAAAGCATGACAGCAGGGGAGAAATGGTGTCTTCTTGCTGTTTTTCTATAAGAACAAAAAACATCAACAGAACTAGAGATAGCTATCAGTGCTACCTGGAGTTTGGAGGAGGGATTGACTTTATGACTCCATACTTCATTCATTCACCCAGTACTCGTCTATGACTCTGTTTCTACACCAAGAGAAAAGGCTTACAACTAGTTTTAATCTATTTCCTTGCACATTTTATGTGCTCAGCAGGGGAGAGGATAGCATTCATGGCAAATATGTTCAGGGAGTGCTGGAGCATAAAGGAAGGAATTTGCAGTTGGCCAGGGGTAAAGCATGAGGAGGTATATTTCAATTTTATTTTAGTTTGTGTTTGTTTTATACTCAAGCAATGGGTGAGAGAACACTGTGTTAAGAGCACTATCTGAAGTCAGACAGCCTACCTCCCAGCCCTGCCCCTTATAAACTTGTGACCTTAGGTAAATAATGTAAAGCATTCATGGAATATAGTAATTTTTCAAAACTAAGAGCTGTAAATATTTTAAAACACAGTAACATATAGGAAAATAAATTAAATTCCCCTCCACCTCTTCTCTACTCCTTCTCCCCACCTTTGAGATAACCACTGTAAATGTCTGTCTTTTTAGGTCTTTTTCAGTGTGCTCAATATGGTCACCAAGCCTGGAAACATAGGTGAATATATAGTTTATTGCTATTATATAAAACATGATAAAAAAGTATTACCTACATTTCTCACTTTAGGACCAACCTGAATATATTGAATATACTTGAAAAAATACATAAATGAAGCTGGGCATGGTGGCGCACACCTGTAGTCCCAGTTACTTGATAGGCTGAGGTGGGAGGATCGCTTGAGCCTAAGAGTTCAAGTCCAGCATGGACAACATAGTAAGATCCTGTCTGTTAAAAAAAGAAAAACATAAATCGGGTCATATAATAATGCTCTGTGGTTTACTTTTCTGATTTAACAATATGACTTAGAAGTCATTCAATAACAATAACAGATACATTGTACTTCATTCTTTTTAATAATAACATAGTATTTCATAGTATCGGTTCCCTATAAATTATTTAAACATTCCCCTCTTGATGGACTCATAGATTGGCTTCCAATTTAATTTAGATTTTCTGTGTATCTTTATCTGTGTACATGTACAATATTTCTGGGTAAAAATTGTTCCTGGACGTGGGATCTGTGGGTCAAAGGAAATGTACATTTTAAGTGGTTATTTAAGCAGAATTATCTTTGTTTATTGAGGTCTGGAAGATTGTGTAGAAAAAGAGACTGAATTATTTACTGTATTTATTTAAGGTTATTTGTTTGAGAATAAGTAGTGAATTGGAAAGGTATAGCATTCAAAAGTTATAAAAGGCAACATCTCCCTCCCACTCCTCTTTCCTAGCCCTCTTTTTCCTTTTTTGGGTATAACTAATTTTACCAGTTTTTGTGCATTCTTTCAGAAATAGTCCATGCCCCTACAAGCAAATAAAATGTACCTTCTGGGCTGGGCGCAGTGGCTCACGCCTGTAATCCCAGTATTTTGGGAGGCCGAGGCAGGCAGATCATCTGAGGTCAGGAGTTCGAGACCAGCCTGACCAACATGGTGAAACCCCATCTCTACTAAAAATACAAAAATTAGCCGGGCATGGTGGTGGGCACCTGTAATCCCAGCTACTTGGAAGGCTGAGGCAGGAGAATCGCTTGAACCCAGGAGGCGGAGGTTGCAGTGAGCCGAGACTGTGCCATTGCACTCCATCCTGGGCAACAAGAGCGAAACTCCATCTTAAAAAACCAACCAACAAACAACAACAACAAAAACAAACCTAAAAATGTGCCTTCTGTTTTCTCTCTTTCAGAAATAAATATGATAGCATATTATATGCTCTGTTCTACATAGGGCATTAAAAAAGTTCAATCTAGATCTTGGAGACCATTTCTTTTTTTCTTTTTTTTTTTTTTGAGACGGAGTCTTGCTCAGTCACCCAGGCTGGAGTTCAGTGGCGCGATCTCGGCTCACTGCAAGCTCCATCTTCCGGGTTCACGCCATTCTCCTGCCTCAGCCTCCCGAGTAGCTGGGACTACAGGCACCTGCCACCACGCCCGGCTAATTTTTTTGTATTTTTAGTAGAGACGGGGTTTCACCGTGTTAGCCAGGATGGTCTCAATCTCCTGACCTCGTGATCCGCCCGCCTCGACCTCCCAAAGTGCTGGGATTACAGGCGAGAGCCACAGCGCCCGGCTTGGAGACCATTTCATATCAGTTATGGGCATTTTATTTTTATGAGACAGAGTCTTGCTCTGTCGCCCAGGCTGGAGTGCAGTGGCATGATCTCGGCTCACTGCAACATCCACCTCCTGGGTTCAAGTGATTCTCCTGCCTCAGCCTCCCACGTAGCTGGGGTTACAGGCGTGCGCCACCACACCTGGCTAATTTTTGTATTTTTAGTAGAGAAGGGGTTTCACCATATTGGCGAGGCTGGTCTCAAACTCCTGACCTCCGGGGATTTGCCCACCTCGGCCTCCCAAAATGCTGGAATTACAGGCTTGAGTCACCGCGCCTGGCCAGTTATGTGCATTTTAAATGCTGATGTATTCTTCCAAGTTTACTCTAAATTGATTGCTTACACTTCCTCTAATTCCTCCATCAAATTCTTTGCCAATTTTTTTAACTGAGTTGTTTGTAATTTCATCAATTTGTGAGGCTCTTTTTAAATTCTGGTCTTTAATCCTTTTCTTGTTAATAAATCAAACATCTTTATGTCTTCTTCCCCAACTTTGCTTATTGTACCTTTGATTGTCCAGAAGTATTTAATTTTTATGAAGTGAAAACTCTATCACTTTTCTTTGTTTTCAAGTTTTCTGTCTTGCTTAGGAAGTCCCCTCCTACTTCAAGAGTAAATTTTCCTAAATTTTCTCTTTTCTCTCCATTCTTTCTTTGCTTTTCTCCATTTAAAAATATTTTAAATTTCTGCTTTTCCTTTATTTATTTTCCCTCCTTGTCACTTTAACCAATCTATATTTTCTTTGACTTTTATAGTAACTTTTTTTTTTCTTTTTTTAACCAAGTCTTAAGGATGAGCTCTTCTCCAGGTGGGTGAGGAGGAAGAGACAGCATTATGGGCAGTGATAACAGTGTACAGAGCCACAGAGTTGAGAACAACAGTGAGTGTTTGGAGAACTGTGAGCAATTTGGGATGGTCGAGGTAGAGGGTATTTGCAAATGAATAAATTCTGCAGGTGGCAGGGAATAGCATGAAATGGTCTGGCTGTGTAGGGGACAATCAGTCTGGCAATAGTTGGGAGGAGAGATTGGTGTGGGGGGTAAGGGTGGGGGTGAGATCGAAAATAAGAAGAAGAGAGAAATGCCTGTTAGTAGTCCAGGGAAAAGATGGTGAGGCTCTGAGCTGGGGTAGTGGCAGTGAGGATGAAGTTTTGACTGAGAACTAGTGATGCATTGGATGTCTGTGATAGGAAATGGAACCAACTGCTTTACACACACTATCTCATTCAATCCTAGAGAGTCAGTATGGAAATCCACAGCTCAGACATGTTCATTAATACACCCATGGTGACACAGTCAGAAAGTGTAGTCAGGGCCTAAACCCCATTAGGATTCCCTTAAGGAGTGGCCTAGGATGTCCTAGGCTTCTTTCCTGAGAGATTGGGTGGGTGGTGATGTTTTATCTAGGGTAGAGAAAAACATGAGGAATAGCATAGTGGGATGGTAGCAGCAGAGATGTGAATTCCATTTTGTACATGTTCTATCTGAGGTGCCTGAATGTGACATATGGGAGACAACATCTACAAGGTGGGTGGATATGAATCTGGAGCACCAAAGAGTTTCTAGGCTATACATGGAGATTTTGGAGTCATCAGTGTTTAAGTGGGCATAGAGAGGGAACATATAGAGAGAAGAGGTATCAGATAGGAGTCTTTCTTTTGCAAGTGGTAGAATATCCATTCAAATCCACTTAAGCAAAAAGGAAAGCTATTGGCTCATGTCATTAAAATGCTCGAGTGTATTTGGCTTCTGGTGTGGGTTCAGGGTTCAAGTGGTTTTTATCAGGACCCATTTTCTCACTGGTTTTGACCTTTCTTCATGCTAAGGTTCTGTGTGGTGATCCCCAGCAGCTCTGGCAAGGGGGAAAGCTGCAGGTTCAAATCCAATGTGAAAGGGGAACTGTCCTTCTCCCAGCTGTTTCAGCAACACTGTTGTTACATCAAAGGAAGTTCGAAGATGCTGATTGGCGAGGCATAGGTCATGTGTCCACATCCATGAAGCCACATGGATGTGGTGTGTGAAAAGGGTGGGTCTCCAGAGGAGCAACTGCTGGACAAGGGTAAGAGATATCGAGGAGGCCGACAGTTAATTTCCTCTGTAGATGAGAAAGGAAGAAATAGTGCCCCAGAGGGCATCTTGGAAAACTGCAGCGCTTACAGGGTAGGATGATTAGCAGGTAAGCAAGACTGGTAAGGAACTAAAGGACGGAGAGACAGGAGAGAGGAGCTCAGGGAAGACAAGGGAAGAGGGAGTCTCAAAAAAATGAAAGGAGTCAGAAGTGTCAGATGCTGCAGAGAGCTCAATAAGGGCCCATTGGGTTTGGCTAGGATGTTAGGGTGACCTTGCCCAAAGCAAAGAGAGTCATTTATTTTGACTTTGGCTAGGACTACCCTCTAGAGGGTTCCTGTGCCTACCTGTCTTCTGCATTGCCCACCCCAGCCCTGGGTTGGCCAGGTAAGGGCAGAGGTATAGTGATGGCAGTCAGGAAATTTGTGCTTTGTCAGTAATTAGGTCTATGACTATGGGTAACTCATTTCAGCCCCTTGGGCTTTCATTTTGTCATCTGTAAAATGATAGACTAGAATGAATTACTCTGAAGGCCTCTTTTAGCTCCAAAATGTTGGCGTCTTTAAGGAGATTAGTGAATCTAAACATTTCTTAACACTTCTGTTACCATGACCCTGGTCCAAGCCTTTGTCTCTACTTGGGCCATAGCCGTGGCCTCCTAACTGGGGTCCCTGCCTCCACACTTGCCCCTTGCAGTCCCCCCTTCACCCAGCAGCAGGCACAGTGACCTCTTGAAAGTGTAAGTCAGTCATGTCTCTCCAGTGGCTTCCTCTCACATGTAGAATCCAGTCCACACTCTTTCTCCAGGCCTGCAATGCTTTTTGTAATCTGGCCCCCGACTGTCTCCAAAGTCTGCTGTTCTCTTCTTCACTCCTCTCCAGCTTTCTTGCTAATCCTTAAACACGCCGAGCTCATTTCAGCCTCAGGGCTTTGCAAGGGCTCTTCTCTGGCCTGCCTGAGGTTCCCTCGCATCATTTTCTGGTCTCTGCTCAAATGTCATGTCCTTGGAGAGCCTTCCCTGATGACCCACCCCTGACCCAGACACCCATTCCCTCTCTGCTTACCCTGTTTGATCTTTCTTTACAGTACCTACTACCCAGAATTGTTTCCTATTTTTTAAATTTATTTGTTTACTGTCTGTATCCCCACCTCCAAAATGTAAGCTTCAGGATAGGAGAGATTTGAACATGTCTTGTTCAGGGCTATGCCCCAGCTGTAGAGTTGAGCTGGGCACAGAGCAGCTCTTCAATAAATGTATTTTGTGTAGCTCAGTGAGGAATGGGAAAACAAGAATATAGGAGTGTCCAGAAACCAGTGGCAGTATGGCTATCATGGTGAGGGAGGGAGGGGACAGCCCTGTGCCTGAGGCATCCATCTCACATATGGCCATCAGAAAAAAATGTACTCCTTTCAGCTATTTAAAAATAATATAGTTTTAGGAATATGGGCTTAGTTTGCCTGGCTTGATGAGGATAATAAATAAAAAATAATTAAGGGTAAAAACTAATTCACGTAGTCATTATTTTTTATCTTGTGATAGAAGTAATCATCTCAGTCTTGTTCTCAGCACAGCTTCCATCTCTTGTCTTCTCAGAGCATGTGTATGTTATGGAAGGGCTTGTTTTATTTTTCTTGATCTGTTTATTAAGTACATACAGTAAAAAACAGAATGAGAAGAATGAACCCAAATTGTTTGTGTAGAGCAGGTTTTCTCAACCTCGGCACTACTGACGTTTTTGACCGGATAATTCTCTGTTGTTGGGGGCTATCTTGTGTATTGTAAAATGTTTAGCAACATCCCCAGCCTTAGGTGCCAATAGCATCCCCCAGGTGTGACAACCAAAAATGTCTCCAGGCATTTCCAGAGGTGCGGGATCTGGAGAATGGGGATTGAGAATCAGTGATGTAGGATAGTGAGGTAGGGAGTGGGTTTGATTATTATCCAGTGTCTACTGCTTGGATATTTTCAGACCCTCCCCAGCTAACCTCATTCTTTTCACTGATATCATTTCAGCTCTTCTGCTTAAAAAGAAAATATATGCAATTTCAGGGAAGGGGTTTTGAGCCAAAGGAAGCATGGAATATCAGCCCCACAGTTACAGGTGGAGGTAAATTAAAATTTCATATTTCTCAGTCAGCTGCTTACCTGGGTGCCCACAACCCTCAGCCTGAGCATCTGTGTGGTAGCTGCAGCAGCTCAGTTCTGGGAGGGGGCATCTTCCTATAGTGGGGCTTTAAATCTTCAGGCCCTGAGCCCCTTATGGAGTCAAAGACACTTCCACTTTGCATTCTCTTGCAATGCATCTTTTCTGTCTTCCATTTCATCTCTTCCGCATCAACAAGTAGTTGATATGCTCTGGCTGTGTTCCCAGCCAAATCTCATCTTGAATTGTAACTCCCACAATTCCCATGTGTCATGGGAGGAACCCAGTGGGAGGTGATTGAATTATGGGAGCGGGTGGGTCTTTCTTGTGCTGTTCTCATAGTGCATGAGTCTCATGAGATCTGATGGTTTTAAAAATGGGAATTTTTGCCTGCTGCCATCCATGTAAGATGTGACTTGCTCCTCCTTGCCTCCCAGCCATGTGGAACTGTAAGTCCATAAACCTTTTTCTTCCCAATCTTGGGTATGTTTTTATCAGCAGCATAAAAACAGACTAATACAGTAGTTGAATGAAACCTCTCTGTCTTTAACTAAATTTTTTTTTTTTTAATGAGATGGAGTCTCACTGCATCACCGAATCTGGAGTGCAGTGGCGCCATCTTGGCTCACTGCAATGCCCACCTCCTGGGTTCAAGTATTCTCCTGCCTCAGCCTCCAGAGTAGCTGGGATTACAGGTGCCCACCATCATGCCTGGCTAATTTTTGTATTTTTAATAGAGACAGGGTTTCACCATGTTGGTCAGGCTAGTCTTGATCTCCTGACCTTAGGCAATCCACCTGCCTCAGCCTCCCAAAGTGCTGGGATTACAGGTGTGAGCCACTGTGCCCGGCCAGCTTGAATTAAAATTTGAAAGGGAAAAAAAGAATTGAGTTTTCTTTTCATGTCTTAAGTAATTTTTGTAAACATTCCTTGAGTTTATCTTCTGACAACCTTTTTGCTCGTACTTTTACCCTCATTACCTCGTAGATTCCTCTTGGCAGTTGTATAAAGTAGAGTATATCTACTCTCTTTTTTGTCTTAGGAGAAATTGAGTCTCAGAGAGATTAAGAGACACACACACAGTCACAGGGAATTCAGACCTGGGTTTGGTAAAGATTCCAAGGCCCATGTTCTTTCTATTCGATATCAGGTTTAAGTGGATATTAGTGTAGGGGAAATATAAAATATTTGTTTTCTCCACATGCAGAGTGCTGTTGGGAATTCAAAGGGGAAACTGAGGAAGCATTCATAAGCTTTCTGGAAGGGAAAACATCCTCACCTAAAATAAAAACTTGTATTATGGCCGGGTGTGGTGACTCATATCTGTAATCCCATCAGTTTGAGCAGCCATGGTGGGCGGATTGCTTGAGCCCAGGAGTTTGAGACCAGCCTGGGTAACATAGCAAAACCCCCTCTTTACAAAAACAGTACAAAAATTAGCTAGGTGTGGTGGCACACACCTGTAGTTTCACCTACTTGGGAGGCTGAGGTGGGAAGGTCACCTGAGTCCAAGAGTTCGAGGCTACAGTGGGCTGTGATCACGCCACTGCACTCCAGGCTGTGACAGAGTGAGACGCTGTCTCAAAAAAAACAAAACAAAACAATACTTGTATTATGAGAAGACATGAATGTCTGAAAGGACAACTAAAATATAAAAGGCAAACCCTAGACCGGAGGAGATGGTAAGGGTCATTGTAAAGGTAGCATTTTCTGGAAAGGCCTCTTCAGAGTTCTTAAGGTGGTCTAGAGATAGACGGTGTTCAAATAAGTGGCAACAAGGAGGTGAGTGGCCAGCGTAGGGAATGGCTTATGGTGGTAACCTCTGAGCTCTCCCAGGCTGCATGCATCCTCTCCTGCCCTATAGTGTCACTTCAGCTGGAGAAAATGCTCAGTTACAGAAAGCTGCTGTGAGTGAATGACAACATAAACAAGGAATTTGAATTCTATTGACCGCAATAGCATCTATAGACGTTTTCAGAATAATAGTTTACATATGTGTGTAACCTCATTTATTTGGTCTTCAGACAGCTGGGGGTATATTTGGTTGGGAGACCCTTCACAGTAGCTGCCACCCACGGTTTGGGAATGCCTGACTTAGAGGATGTGTCATAGTAGAGTTTATAGGGGAAATAAAAATAGGGCCGGGTGCGGTGGCTCACGCCTGTAATCCCAGCACTTTGGGAGGCCGAGGCGGGCAGATCATGAGGTCAGGAGTTTGAGACCAGCCTGGCTAACACGGTGAAACCCCATCTCTACTAAAAATACAAAAATTAGCTGGGCCTGGTGGCGGGTGCCTGTAGTCCTGGCTACTCAGGAGGCTGAGGCAGGAGAATCATTTGAACCCGGGAGGTGGAGATTGCAGTGAGCTGAGATCACACCATTGTACTCCAGCCTGGACGACAGGGTGAGACTGTCTCAAAAAAAAAAAAAGGGGGGGGAAGCAAGATAGTCAAGATACTGTACATGTTATGCAGGCCTGTGCAAATATCTTCTGCACTGACACCTACGGTCTCTTCAAAAAAATTCATATTTTCTGGAGTTGGCCTTTTGAAAGATTCTAATGAAAGTCTTTCAGTATAAAACGTATTTGTCTGCACTTATATATTGGCCTTTCTGATGGTATAAAATCCAACAGGACTCAACATTCTTGTTTAAATTTTTGTTTAAATTCAGCAGTTTCCCTCCTACAGCTTAAAACATATTAAATCCTATTCTGGGACCTAGACTATTTCAAGGGTCTTTGTTTCCTGGAACAAATCAGCACTCCCCAAAGGCACAGGAGGAAATGACTTGTATCTGACAGAGTCTGTACTCAGAGAACTTTGCACTGAAGCCCTCCCTCAGGATAGTATTAGCTTTTACTTTATGCAGACCTTTAATACTCTTGACAAGGGAAACTGCAGATAAGTATACTTTTATAGGGAAAAGGGGGCAGCTGAAAGTTGAAAGAAATTACGGAGAAAGTATAAAAAGGAGACAGAGAATATGCAATACACATTTGATGTAAGAGGAGAACATTCTGGTTATTAGTCCATTTTGTGTTGCTATACAGGAATACATGAGGCTGGGTAATTTATAAGGAAAAGAAGTTTATTTGGCTAATGGTTCTGCAGACTGGACAAGAGTCATGGCGCCAGCATCTGCTTCTGGTGAGGGCTCCCATGGCAAAAGGAGGATCAGGCATGCCACACAGCATGAGAGGGAGAGGGAGAGCAATGGGAGGAGTACCACACTTTGCATGAGCTCATAGAGCAAGAACTTATTACTATGGGGATGGCACCAAGCCTGCCCCCATGACCCAGACACCTCTAGGCCACACCTTTGACACTGGAGATCACATTTCAACATGGGATTTAGAGGGAACAAATATCCAAACCATATAAATGACCTTTACCAGTCTTAAGGGAATCACTGTGTTTTGGATCATATAATAATGGCTCACTGTGATAACCCACTAGCTGAGTGACTGTGGGCAAGCTAACAACCTTCTCTGAGGTTCCAAAAGAAAATGCTTCCATTAGAATTGCTCTCTAAGGTTTTTCCCAAGTCAAAATTCCACGTATCTTGGCATTTAATGACCTCAAATTATTATGAAAATTATGTTTTGTATACCTTATTTTAAAATACAGAAAAATGTGTGATAGATTTTCATGAATTTTGCTTAAAGGCTTAAAGAGTTTGGGTAGTTTAAGGTGGAATTAATAAAACTCGACCAATTCAGAAAACTCAGCTATCTAGAATGGAGCATTTCCTGAGGATTAGCTTGAGTGTTAGTGCATTTTTGAAAGGGAAATTGTAACTGGACACCCTCTCCTTCCAATGATGAGAACGTTTGATTTTATTTGGAGTTATCATGGGAAAAGGGATACAAGTTAGGGTTGCAGCAGTGTTTGCCCTGGGGGTTGAGGAGAATGGGACAGGGTGGATGGGAGAAGGAGATAGATGGGCAGATGAAGACGTGGTGGCACCAATCCTTACCAGCAGCTGAGCTGACTGCATCATCATATTCATCACAGCACAGTTTGCCTTCCTCAGCTCCTCTCTTCTCACTTTCAACCTGTGTGTCAAGTTAGGATTGCTTTTTACAACATGCGAAGGCAACTCTGCTACAGGACTTAACCAAAAAGGGGTTGACTAGCTGGGGCTGGGTGTAGTGGCTTCACAGTTCATTAGGTAGCTTGGGCTGCTTCAGCGTCAAACAGACTTGGAACAGCCTTGGGCAGTTCTGATCTTTTGTGACCCAGCTTCACCTTAGGGATTTTCTGCTTTCTATTGCATGGGACTTCCAACTACATGGTCAAAAAATGGCTCTTCACGTTCACCTTCAAGCATTGACTTTGAGTTCCAGTCAGGAGAAAGGGAAAGGAGAAGGGTAAAAGCCACAGCTGAGTCTGTCCCTTTGTATTGGAGAATGGATAGCTTTCCACCACTTTGCAGACTGGGTCTAATGGCCACTCCAGCTTCCATGCAAACAAGTGTGTGTGTGTGTGTGTGTGTGTGTGTGTGTGTGTGTGTGTATGTATGTGCATATCTATATCTATATCTATATAGATAGATATAGATAGATAGATAGACAGATACATACATATAATTTTTTGAGACAGGGTCTTGCTCTGTTGCCCAGGCTGGGGTGTAGTGGTACAATCATAGATCACTGCAACCCTGACCTTCTGGGCTCAAGCCATCCTCTTCCCTCAACCTCCTGATTAACTGGGACTACAGGTGTGCATTACCATGCCTGACTAATTCTTTATTTCTTTCTTTGGTTTTTAGTAGATACAAGATCTTGCTATGTTTCCCAG
This sequence comes from Homo sapiens, assembly GCF_000001405.40. Lineage (NCBI taxonomy): Eukaryota > Metazoa > Chordata > Mammalia > Primates > Hominidae > Homo > Homo sapiens. The sequence goes on along the minus strand of NC_000001.11, from coordinate 168,123,252 downwards.
GCTGCTCTTGAACTCCTGAGATCAAGCAATTTTCCTGCCTTGGCCTCCCAAAGTGTTGGGATTATAGGCATGAGTCACCATTCCTGGACCAAGCCCATATATTTTTGTAGGCACATTTGGTACCCCACGTGAAATCAGGGTTCTTTTGATAGAAGAGGAGAATGGATGTTGGCTGGATAATGAATAGTGTCTGCTACTCTTCTGCAGAGTAAACAAGAAATGCCTAGTGTGTCAAGGTGTCTAGTGTCCCATTGTTCCTATATTTATTCATCACAATTATTGAACATCTACAATGTGCCAGGCACTTTTCTAGGTGCTGATCGGAAAATTTGCAGACCAAAATTTCCTTGCCCTCATGGAACCTACAGTCTTGTGAAAGAGTAAGACATTAACAAGATAAATAAGAACACACACATGTGCTAAGGACAAAAAGTAAAGAAGGGGATGGGGCCAGGAAGTGTTGGAGGGGGTATGAAGTGTTACATAGTATGGCTGGGGAAGGCTCTGCTGAAAAGGTGAGTTAAGGGAAAGGGCATTCTGGGCATACGAAACAGCAAGTGCAAAGCCCCTGAGCTGGAAGCATGCTTGATGGGTTTCAGAAATAGTGAGGAGGCTAGTGCGTTGGAGTAGAAAGAATCAAAGGTAATTTTTATTAAGAGATTGGAGCGGTAATGGAGAGCCAGGCCCTGGAGGGAGCTGCAGGTCGAGGTAACAACTTTGGGCTTGCTCTGTGTGACATGGGAATCTTTTTACGGTTTTGAGGGAAGCCGTGACTTGTTTTGATGTCTGTTTTAACAGGCTCACTGTGGTTGCTGTTTTGAGAAAAGGGGAAGGGTGGAAGCAGGTAGATTCGTGGGAAGCTATTTTAATAATCCAGAGAAGATATAATGTAGCCTGGACCAGAGTGGTGGTAGCAGAGAATAGTAAGACATAGGTGAATTCTGGATACTTTTCAAACCTAGAGCCAATAGATTTGCTAATGGACTAAGTCCAGGACATAAGAGAATGAGGAGCCAGGAGTGACTCCGTAGTCTAGGGCCTGCACAACTGGAAGGATGGGATGGCACGCGTGGAATGAGGAGGAACACAGGAAGAGCAGCTTGAGAGGTGAAAGACTCAAAATCTGGTTTTGGACACAGTCTTGCAATGCCTGTGACATGCAGGTGGAGATTTTGGTCGGAGGTAGGAGTCTGGAGCTCCAGGGAGTGGCACTGGCTTCTCTCCATCTGAGCATGGGCTCCTGGCACAGTTGCCTATTGAAGCACCACAGCCACTTCTGGCAGCAGCGCCAAACAGACTTGGAACAGCCTTGGGTAGTTCTGATCTTTTGTGACCCAGCTTCACCTTAGGGATTTGCTGGGAGCCCAGTTCCAGGCAGGATGGCCATGAGCCAGTGTCTGTGGAGGCTTCCTCAAGCCTGCTCTGGAAGGGCTGGAATTTCTGCCCTCTCCCACGGAGGGAATGACGTGGTTGAGGCTGGGGCAGCCGGCGGGCTGCCAGAGGAAAAATCCCTGCCTAATGTGCAGCTGAAACAGTGATTTCTATGAGGACTTGCTCAATCTTCAGGTTGCTAAAGCTGTCACAGAAAGCTGTGTGGACCCCCAGCTGTTTTTTCTTCTCTATTCCTGAAGCACTTAACTCTTGGGGCCTGAGACTCTCCCCTGAGTGAGCTGTCTTCATCATGAGTCCTGCTAGTTGCTTGTGGATTTTCTAGGAGGTTGACGTGGACCTCCACTGTCTGTGCTGACTGGGAAACATGAAGGGGTGAAGACAGCTTTTAATATAGGAGATGGAGAACTGGGAGAGAGGCCAGCTGCCCTTTTAAAAAATTCACCGACAGTCTATGGTTGAGAGCCCAGCTTTGCTTAGGATTATGTGCTTCACATTTTCCTACATGCCGCAACAAAAACTGCAGAGGGGGTTGATTCACAAAAAGTAGAATTCTGTTTTACCATGTCACCTGGGGAGTTGTTCCACTTGCTGGGGTGGGTGCAGCATGATTAATGGTTTTATTTAGTGGGTTCAGCCTTGGAAGTCACTGCTGTATTAGTCCCTTGAGAGCAATAATTAATGCCAGACAAAGTCTTAGTTTCCTCATCTGCTACAGTAGGAGGTTAGACTAGATGTTTTCTAAGGATCTTCTCATCTCTAACAATGGGTGAGAAGCTGTGGAAATAGCTGGCTTCCTTCATCCAATCCCTTTGGACAGAGAAGTTAAACAGAAGATGCCTAGATATGTTTTTTTTCCAAAATTTTTAAATTATGGTAAAATACACATAACATAAAGTTTACCATCTGTATTAGTTCATTTTCACACTGCTATAAAGAAATACCTGAGACTGGGTAATTTATAAAGGAAAGAGGTTTAATTGAATCACAGTTCTGCATGCGGGGGAGTCCTCAGGAAACTTATAATTATGGCAGAAGGCAAAGTAGAAGTGACTACCTTCTTCACAAGGCAGCAGGAGAGAGTGAGCACTTAGGGGAAACTGCCACTTTTAAAACCGTCAGATCTCCTGAGAACTCCCCCACTATCACGAGAACAGCATGAGGGAAATCGCCTCCATGATCCAATCGCCTCCCACCAGGTCCCTCTCTCGACATGTGGGGATTATGATTCGAGATGAGATTTGGGTGGGGACACAGAGCCAAACCATATCATTCTTCCCCCGGCCCCTCCCAAATCTAATGTCCTTTTCACATTTCAAAACCAATTATCCCTTCCCAACAGTCCCCCATGGTCTTAACTTATTCCAGCATTAACCAAAAAGTCCAAGTCCAAAGTCTCACGTAAGACAAGGCAAGTCCCTTCTGCCTATGAGCCTGTAAAATCAAAAGCAAGTTAGTTACTTCCAAAATACAATGGGGGTACAGGCATTGGGTAAATGTTCCCATTCCAAATGGGAGAAATTGGCCAAAACAAAGGGACCACAGACCCCATGCAAGTCTGAAACCCAGCTGGGCAGTCATTAAATCTTAAAGCTCCAAAATCTCCTTTGACTCTATGTCTCACATCCAGGGCATGCTGATGCAAGGGGTGGGCTCCCATAGCCTTGGGCAGCTCCACCTCTGTGGCTCTTCAGGGTACAGCCTCTGTGGCTGCTTTCATGGGCTGGTGTTGAGTGCCTGCGGCTTTTCCAGGTGCATGGTGCAAGTTGTCAGTGGATCTATCTTTCTGGGGTCTGGAGGATGGTGGTCCTCTTCACACATCTTCACTAGGCAGTGCCCCTAGCGTGTGGGGCTCCAACCCCACATTTCCCTTCTGCACTGCTCTAGGAGAGTTTCTTCATGAGGGCTCTGCCCCTGCAGCAGACTTCTGCCTGGACATTCAGGCATTTCCATACATCCTCTGACATCTAGATAGAGGTTCCCAATGCTCATCTCTTGTCTTCTGTGTACCTGCAGGCCCAACACTACGTGGAAGCTGCCACGGCTTGGGGCTTGCACCCACTGAAACAATGTGAGAACTCCCTCACTATCATGAGAACAGCATGGGGAAACCACCCCCATGATCTGATCACCTCCCAGCGCATCCCTCCCTTGACATGTGGGGATTACAATTCGAGATAAGATTTGGGTGGGGACACAGAGCCAAGAAATATTACCATCTTAACCATTTTTAAGTGCACAGTTGAGTGGTATTAAGTACATTCATATTGTCGTGCAGCCATCACCACCATCCATCTGCAGAAGTCTCTAGCTTGTAGAAACCCTATTCTCATTAAACTATAACTCCCCATTCTGCCCTCCATCCAGCTCCTGGCAACCACCATTCTACTTTGTCTTTCTGATTTTGACTACTGTAGGTACCTCATGTAAGTAGAATCATGAAATAGTTGTCTTTTTGTGACTGGCATATTTTACTTAGCATATGTCCCCAAGCTTCATCCATATTACAGCAAATGTCAGAATTTCCTTCCTTTTCTAAGGCTGAATAATATGTATGTACGTATGTATATATGTGTATATATATATATATATACACATATATATACGTATATATATATGTGTATATATATATATACGTATATATATATGTATACATATATATATATATGATGGAGATTTGGGTTGCTTCTACATTTTAGCTATGGTGAATAATGCTGCTATGAATATTGGTGTGCAAATATCTCTTTGAGACCTTGCTTTCAGTTCTTTTTGGTATACACAGAAATAGAATTGCTGGATCATATGGTAATTCTGTGTTTAATTTTTTGAGGAACTGCCATACTATTCTCCACAGTGGCTGTACCATTTTACGTCCCTGCCAACAGCGTAAAAGGGTTGCAGTTTCTTTGCATCCTCACCATTTGCTTTTTTTCTTTTCTTTTCTTTTTGATAGTAGCCATCCTGGATATCTCAGTGTGGTTTTGATTTGCATTTACCTAAATCATTAGTGATGTTGAGCATCTTTTCATGTGTTTATTGGCCATTTGCTCGTCTTCTTTGGAAAAATGTCTATTCAAGTCATTTGTCTATTTAAAAACTTTTATTAACACTTTTTTTTTGTTTTTGAGACAGAGCTTCATTCTTGTTGCTCAGGCTGGAGTACAATGGCACGATCTCGGCTCACTGCAGCTGCCACCTCCTGGGTTCAAGCGATTCTCCTGCCTCAGCCTCTCAAGTAGAAATTTTTTTTTATGTGTATATATTTAAGGGGTACAAGTACAGTTTTGTTACATGAATATATTGCACAGTGGTGAAGTCAGGGCTTTTAGCGTATCCATCACTGGAGTAACGTACATTGTACCCATTAAGTTGTTTCTCCTCATCCACTCCCCTTCCTAACCCTCACCCTCGTGAGTCTCCATTGTCTACCACTCTACACCACTTCTATACTCTGTGTCCCTGTGTATACATTATTTAGTGCCCACTTATGTGGTGTTTGTCATTCTGTGTCTGAGTTGCTTCACCTAATGTAACTCTTTGCTTGTTTTTGAATTGGATTGTTTGTGTTTTTCTTGTTGAGTTTTAGGAGTCCTCTGTATGTTCTGGATATTTATCCTTTATCAGATACATAATTTGCGAATATTTTCACCCGATCTGTGGGTTGTCGTCTTTTTACTCTGTTGATAGTGTCTTTGGATTCACAAAATTTTAAAATTTTCATGAAGTCCATTTTGTCTATTTTGTTTTCTGTTGCTTGTGCCTTTGGTGTCAACTATAAGAAATCACTGCCAAATCCAGGGTCATCTGTGACTTGATATATTGTCTGTGTGGTTTCTGAGCCTCAATCTCTTCTCTACCCCACTTATTTGTTTGTTTCTTTCTGTTTTTAAATAAAATTATTAGCCCCATAGGTCAATAAAATGCTTTATACTTACTACATCTTCATTCATTCCACAAACAGGGAGAGTCTTTCAAATAAGCAAAAGCAGAGTGGAAATGGGAGAGTGCGGCACAGCTGGCTGCAGCAGAGGGCCTGGGAAGGGGTTGGTGGTGAGGAGTCTGCAACACAGTGAGGCTCAACCTTGTAGCATCTCATCTGCTGTGGTGAATGGATGGATTGAAGATAAACAATAGACTCACAGGCACATGACCAAGTTGTAGGGCTAATACCTACTGTTCTCTTGAACTAGTCACTTACCTTTCTGAGCCTCAGTTTCCCCATTTTATTTAACAAACACGTAGCACTAAGCACTGTTCTAAGCACAGTACAAATATTAATTCATTGACTCCTACCACCAACCCTATGAGGTAGATACTCCTATTATCCCTGTTTTACAGATGGGGAGACTGATGCAGGGGGGGGTTAAGTAACATGTCAAGGCCACAGAGGCAGTAAGTAGCAGAGCTGGGATTTGGAACCCAGGCTTTCTAGTTCCAGAGCTCATGCTCTTAACCATTATGTCATGCTGCCTCTTTAAAAAGGGGGAGAAGTCATCCCTACCTGTAAAAGTTATTCAGAAAATCAAATGAGATTATGTGTGTAATAGTATGTCATATATTGCACTGCGTTTTGCAAATACTGTCATTATTAGTTAATAATTAAGCAATACTCTGGAAATGATAAAATTCTCAAGGAATCTAATAGGAAGAACGGAATGGATTAAGGACTGAGCCTTGGGAATATCTATACCCAGAATCCAAGAGCTTGGATTTGGAACAGTATTTGATAGACTTGCTGCTGATGCCCTTGTGGAGAGGGTTGCAGTCAGCTGCAGAAGCTGGAGAGGAACCTCAAACCCAGTGGCATTTGCAGAAGGATGTTGTGAAGGGCAATGAGGTGCTCAAGTTGATCATGTATCTGTGGAGAGCACCAAAGCCAGGTCTCTCCCATTGGCGAATTCAGAATTCAGAAGTCCATAGGCCATCTGGGGTTCTGACTCTAGCTTCTTTGCCTTTCCCTGGTACATTCTCCCAAGCAGATCAGAGCTCAGACCTGCTGCACTTGTTAAATGAGAGGTTTTGAACAAAGACATTCCTAGATTTGTGGTGCCCTGATGGGGAGAGGGCCAAAGCACTGTGCATTGCAACAGACTCTGCGTTGGCTGGGTGGGTACACGCCCCTGGGGTTGCAGAGGCCACGCCTTGTGCCTGCCATCTATGGGGCAACTTTCAGGTGAGTGCCAGGGAAGGATGAAGGGAGGGCAGGAGGGAGCCTTTGCACCTGGCTGTTTACACATAGGTGTGGACACCCAGGGAGCCCGTGATCTCTTTCTGCCTCTCAACGAGCTGTGTGGCCTGGTTTGTGGTTGGAATGAGAGTAGGGTTCCCTTTCTTTATCTCAGTTACAGGGTGGTTATTAGATCCTTCTTCCCAACCCTACCCCCACCACACACCCCGCCCCAGTTAGTGACTGATGTGTGTAAAGTGCTTTGAGGTGCTGAGATAAAGGGGCCCTGAGAGTATGGCCAGATGAGCAGCAGGGTGATTTCACCTGGACTTGTTGGAAGTGGTGTTTAGGAATTTTCCTCACCTGGAGGATAATTTATTTGAACAGCTTATGTACCTACCTGTTTGCACTTGATTTCTTTAGAAGAGGGCAGCTGGAAGTCCCAGTGCTGCAGGCTGGTCAGCTCTTCGTAAGAATTGATAGTGGGATTCACAGAGTGGACAATGGAGTGGTGCATTCTGCTCTAAAGGAGCCTGTGGAGGAGGAAATGAAACACTGCCTCACTCAGGCAGATTTAAGGATATCAGAAGAGACTTTTATGATAAAAGAAACTATTTTCAGGCTGGGCGTGGTGGCTCACGCCTATAATCCCAGCACTTTGGGAGGCCGAGGTGGGCAGATCACGAGGTCAGGAGATTGAGACCATCCTGGCTAACACAGTGAAACCCCGTCTTTACTAAAAATACAAAAAAAATTAGCCGGGCGTGGTGGCGGGCGCCTGTAGTCTCAGCTGCTCGGGAGGCTGAGGCAGGAGAATGGCGTGAACCCGGGAGGTGGAGCTTGCAGTGAGCCGAGATCGCGCCACTGCACTCCAGCCTGGGCGACAGTGCAAGACTCCGTCTCAAAAAAAAAAAAAAATTTTCTCTGGAGCAGAATTCTGGAGAGGACAGGTGTGTCTTGTCCTATCCCGGGGACCCTCATTAGAGAGGCGTCAGGACCTGCCTCCTTCTGACCACCACACCCCGCCAGTAACCCCGGGCCTGTGATTTGCAGGCTCTCAGGCTGTCCCTTAGGATGTCCTCATAAATGAAGGGTATTGTGGAGATGGGGGAGGTCTCACTTTCCTTGCTGTGGCTTGTGAACTGGGACATAGATCTTCTGATCCTAAAGGGGCACACTCTGGGGGTGAAGAGCTTCTTAATGCTTCCATATGAGGAGAGTCTACTTCCTAGGGCCCAGGAGCCCATGGCAAAAAGAGGAGGAAAAAGAGGAGGCTGAGGCAGGCACAGCTGTGCTTGAGTTGGCCTAAACTTGACAAAGGGAAGGCTTCTGGTACCAGTGTCCAAAGAGGTGGAGTCTTGACATGTGTTATATAGATCATGATAAATCAGAATATTAGGATTCTGTAAGTTGCAAGTGATAGAAACCCAGCAAAATTAGTGTGAGGGAAGGAAAAAAGTGACTGTCTTATGTAACTAGAATAAGATTCAGAATCTTAAGTCCTTTCATCAGCATTTGTGGATGAATTCACCTGTGTCCTCCCCACCTATCCACCCCTTTGCCCTGTGCTCTCATCCTCTGCTTTATTTGCTGGTAAGCTCCTCCCATGTAGTGTTAAAGACGGCCAGCTGCTACAACCCTGGGTTCGTATTTTGTCACACTGCCAGCCCTGTGGTAAGCTAGCCTGTCCTCCAACGCTTCCGGACAAAATCCCGGACCTAGGGTCATGTGAGCATCCCTAGCCCCATCAGTGAGACTCTCTAGCCCACCCGAGATCAAGAGCTGACCCCTAAAGCTGCAAGTGATGATGGCTTCACCCAAATCACATGGCCTAAAAATTTAAAAAGGGTAGGCCAGAAATAAATGAAGGGTCATTTCCCAAAGTAAAATCAGGTTAAACTCTTCAAATGGTAACACTGGCTTGCAGTGAAATGTTACTGTGCACCAGATGCTGCTCCAGGCACTTTATACAAATGAACTCAGTGCTCACAATAACTCTTAAGAGGAAGATGATACTCATTTTACAGACAAGGACACAGAAGGCAACCCTTTTACTTAGGCGTATGTAGCTAAAAAGTGGATGGGCTGGGCTTCAAACCCAGACAGTTGGCTTCAGCATCTGTGCCTTTTTTTTTTTTTTGAGACAGAGTCTCACCCTGTTGCTTAGGCAGATGGCGCGATCTCGGCTCCTGGGTTCAAGCAATTCTCCTGCCTCAGCCTCCTGAATAGCCGGGATTACAGGTATGTGTCACTACACCTGGCTAATTTTTGTATTTTTAGTAGAGACAGGGTTTCACCATATTGGCCAGGTTGGTCTTGAACTCCTGACCTCATGATCCACCCACCTCAGCCTCTTAAAGTGCTGGGATTATAGGTGTGAGCCACAGCACCTGGCTGGCATCTGTGCTCTTAACCACTAGGCCACACAGTCTTCTGACAAGTGCAGAGCAACAGCAATATGATCAGGGAGAAATTTCCACCTTAAGACAATCAAAATGAAAGAGTTTTAGGTAAAAATATGAGACCACAAAATAACCCAGATTTACACAATTAAATAATAGAAAGAACCTAGTCTTATGATGTAGTAATTCTGTCCTTGAAGCTCAAGGCATTTCTGGAATTATTTCTTGGATATTACCATGCAAAGCAGTTTATAAAACACAACAGATACCTGTCTCAATACCCTAGTATTGCCTTATTTTTTATTTTTGTTTTTTAATGTTTAAGTTCAGTGGTACATGTGCAGGTTTGTTATATAGGTAAACTCATGTCACAGGGGTTTGTTGTACAATTATTTTGTCACCCAGGTACTAAGCCTAGTACCTAATAGTTATTTTTTCTGCTCCTCTCCCTCCTCCCACCCTCCACTCTCAAGTAGGCCTTAGTGCCTGTTGTTCCTCTCTTTGTGTTCTCATCATTTAGCTTCCACTAATAGGTGAGAACATGTGATATTTGGTTTTCTGTTTCTGCATTAGTTTGTTAAGGATAACAGCCTCCAACTCCATCCTTGTCCCTACAAAGAGTATGATCTCGTTCTTTTTTATGTGTACATAATATTCCATGGTGCATATGTACCACATTTTCTTTATCCAGTCTATCATTGATGGGCACTTGGACTGATTACAAAATGGTATTAATTACTGACTTGAGTGATAAGATTTGGCTTTGAATGACCTGAAGCCGTTGCCAGTGGTCTAATCCAGCAGACAATTTACTATTTCTGGAAATGCACAAGAAGACTGAAGACAATTCCAAAAGAGGAGTGACCACAATACGTTGAGCTGTGGTGGCAAGGATGAGTTAGTGATCAACTTTCCCTGATGACCTGTCTGAGAGGGACAGCTGTCTTTCTCAGGGATAATTTCTGATAGGTTTATTAAAACCTTTGTCTAGATGTTTCTCGGAGAAGCAGTGCAAGGTGATTTACTTGGCCAGGGCAAGATGTAGTGAGTGTGGGAGTTCTGAAGCACCTTTGTGTCTAGCAGCAGAACAGCCCCAGAGAGTAGAAATGTGAGTCACACTTGAGCTTGTTTCCATTCAATGGGCCCTGGCTTGTTGGGCCCTGGGTAAGCTGGCTGCCTGCCAGGAAGCCTCCTCTGGCTGGGGCATTCCAAACCACTTCTCTTGTTCTTTAAAGATACACCCTGAGGGATTTGCTGGGGCTTGTGCCTTCGCTACTCCAGACCTCCTGGCAGAGACTGGGATTTTGGATTTCACTGGGTGGGCAGCTCTTAGGTCCACATTCCTCCTCTGTCTTCTGGGGAATATTGGACCAGAAGGCCTTAAAGACTGCAAGCCAACTCTGGGCTCTCTGATTCGCAGGTCACTGGTGTGCTTGCTAAGATGGAGTCTTGCTCTGTCACTCAGACTGGAGTGCAGTGGTGCGATCTCAGCTCACTGCAACCTCTGCCTCCTGGGTTCCAGTGATTCTCCTGCCTCAGCCTCCTGAGTACCTGGGATTACAGGCACCCGCCACCACTCCTGGTTAATTTTTGTATTTTTCGTAGAGATGGAGTTTCACCATGTTAGCCAGGCTGGTCCCGAACTCCTGACCTCAAGTGATCCGCCCACCTCGGCCCACAAAGTGCTGGAATTACAGGCATGAGCCACTGCGCCAGGCCTAAATTTTATTTTTTATTGTTCCTACTTAGATTAATCTACGTATTTACCAAATTTTTTTTTTTCTTTTCCTTTTTTTTTTTTTTTTTTTTTTTTTTGAGACGGAGTCTCACTTCGTCGCCCAGGCTGGAGTGTAGTGGCGCGATCTCGGCTCACTGCAAGCTCCGCCTCCCGGGTTCACGCCATTCTCCTGCCTCAGCCTCCCGAGTAGCTGGGACTACAGGCACCCACCACCACGCCTGGCTAATTTTTTGTATTTTTAGTAGAGACGAGGTTTCACTGTGTTAGCCAGGATTGTCTCAATCTCCTCACTTCATGATCTGCCTGCCCCGGCCTCCCAAAGTGCTGGGATTACAGGCGTGAGCCACCATGCCTGGTCCCAAATTTTTTTCTAACAGTTGATTCTTGTACCCTACCTCTTATCTCTGGATTGTTTTCTTCTTCATGAAATGTATTTGTAAGCAGATCACTCAAGAGTTGTCATTAGTAACCATTCAGGTTTTGTTCACCCCAGAAGTATATTCACCTTCTCTTGAATATTATAGAACTTTAGGGCAAAGGTTCCTTTCCTTAGATATTATTCCATTGTTTTCTGGCCTCTTTTTTTTTTTTTCTGTTGAAGAGTCTACTATTTATCTCACTGTTACTCTATAGGTGAAATTGTTTTTTCCATTTCTCTGTATGTTGGTGTTTTCATTTTTTATTATGATGTGTCTTGATACAGGCTTTTAAAAAATTATTTTCAGAACTTGATATGCTCTTTCAATTTGAGGATATTTCTTTAATCCTAGAAAATGTTCAATCATACCTCTAAATTCTTGTTAACTCTAGTAGATTGGATATGTTTGGCTCAAGCAACAGAAACCCAACTCAAAATAGCTTTAAAAACAGTTTTTAAAAATGTATTACTTCACATAACAAAAAGCCAGGAGAAAGGTGACTTCAGGATTTATTAATTTATTAGCCCAAGGACCAGCCTTTCTTTTCAGCCATGCTCAGCATGTTGGCTTCGCATCCCTAATGGTCTCAAGACGACTGCCACAGCTCCAGGCTCCCTTTCTGTCTTTGCCACTAGGGTCATTAGGGAGATTTATCTTCCTTGTGTCTTTGTGTGATCAAAGCAGCTTTACCCAAAAATCTTCCCCCTTCCCCTCATCAAAGACTTTTCCTCCTGCCTAACTACAGGTGGCGACTGCCAGAACTGCAAGAAGAAAGGGAACATAGTGATTAGTTTAGACCAATCAGGATCTGTATCCCAGAACTAGGGATAAGATCAGGCTTCTCTGAGGCACTTGGAGGAGGGTTGGACACCAGACAAAGTCAGAGGTCTGCTAGTTAAGAAAAAACTGAGAATGGTTGCTGGGTAGGTAGCCAACAGTGTCTACTCCTTTAATTCTCTCTAACCTCGCCTGCTGCCCTTCTGTTGGACATACGTTGGATTTTCTTAGCCCATTCTTCCTGTATTTTGACTTTTATTACATCATTTCAATTTCTTAATTTTTCTGACTGCATTCTGAGTAATTTCCTCGGACGTTTCTTCTAGGAACCATCTTTCAGTTAATCATCTTTCTTTTTAGCTAAATCTGCTGTTTAACATACCCATTCGTTTGTCTTTCATTGTGGTTTCTAGTTCTTTTCCCTTTTTTTTTTTTTGAGATAGAGTTTTGCTCTTGTCTCCCAGGCTGGAGTGCAATGGCATGATCTCAGCTGACTGCAACCTCCGCCTCTTGGGTTTAAGCAATTCTCCTGCCTCAGCCTCCTGAGTAGCTGGGATTACAGGTGCCCGCCACCACACCCAGACAATTTTTGTATGTTTAGTAGAGACGGGGTTTCACCATGTTGGGCAGGCTGGTCTCGAACTCCTGACTTCAGGTGATCCACCCACCTCAGCCTCCCAAAGTGCTGGGATTACGGGAGTGAGTCACCACGCCCGGCTTCTTTTCTTTTTAAAAGCTTTTACTTGTATTGGTTTTATTGTCTCTTTTCTTTTCTTTTCTTTTCTTTTCTTTTCTTTTCTTTTCTTTTCTTTTCTTTTCTTTCCTTTCCTTTCTTTCGTTTTTTTTTTTTTCTTTTTTAATGTTGACAGGGTCTCACTCTGTCGTCTAGGCTGGAGTGCAGTGGTGTGATCACGGCTCACTGCAGCCTCAACCTCCTGGGCTCTGGTGATTATTCTCCAACCTCAGCCTCCCAAGTAGCTGGGACTACAGGCACACACCACCAAGCCTGGCTAATTTTCTGTAGAGATGAGGTTTCACCACATTTCCCTGGGTGGTCTCGAACTCCTGTGCTCAAGCCATCTGCCTGCTTCGGCCTCCCAGAGTGTTGGGGTTACAGGCGTGAGCCACTGTGCCTGGCCACCATATTTTTTCTATTAATTCAAGTTTTTGGAAGTCAGTTCTCCTATTTTGTTGCTGTTGTTGTTGACTGTCGCTCATGGTGAATGCTATGTGCTCACTTTCATCAGGTATTTTCTTGTTTGTATTCCTTATAAATTCCTTATAAAGCTATTTTGATTTACTTCTGTCAGCATTAATTTTTACATGGGTTTATTAACTTGGATTTCTGTAGCATGCAGAATGTATACATTTAGTTTTGTTTGTTTGTTTTGTTTTGAGATGGAGCCTCACTCTGTTGCCCAGGCTGGAGTGCAGTGGTGCGATCTCGGCTCATTGCAACCTCTGCCTCCCAGGTTCAAGCAATTCTCCGCCTCGGCCTCTCCAGTAGCTGGGACTACAGGTGTGTGCCACCATGCCTGGCTAATTTTTGTATTTTTAGTAGAAACAGAGTTTCACCATGTTGACCAAGCTGGTCTTGAACTCCTGACTTCAGGTGATCCATCCGCCTCGGCCTCCCAAAGTGCTGGGATTACAGGCATCAGCCACTGCACCTGGCCGGAATGTATAAATTTAGAACCCTCATTAGCATGTCTTAATGTTTGATTTCTCATGGAAAAAAATGTTGGTACCCTGCCCAGAGCCTCAAGTTAAATGACTATATTTTTGCCACTTTCCTATGCCAGTGGGAGGAGCTTTCTAATCCCTTTTCCATGAAGGAGAAATCCCTTCTAGAACCTACTCTTTATGTAGGATGTTGGTTCCAGTTCTCTGCCTTGTAGGGCCCAAAGTCATTCTGCCACCTAAAAACCTCTGCCCTAGGGGACTTAAACTATAATAGATCTAATACCCTCTGGTTACAGGTGTGAGGTTAATATTCTGCCTTTTAGTTTTTTCTCTGTTACCTGTAGGTTTCTTTCTTTTTTCAAGTTTGACTTTTTTTAAAAAATTAAATTTGGGGTTATATTTAATCCAGCTTTTCTGTGCATTTGAAATAAGAAACATGTTCACATCAGTGACATCCACCATGTTGCCAGAGGAGACTCCCATAGTAAGTGAACAACGCTATCCTTTGCTTGGATAAAGTCATTATACCTTGTGAAGTGCTTCCTAGTCTTGTTTTCATTCACCTTTTATATTTTCAATTTCTTAATCTTTCTGACTGCATTTTGGGGAATTTCTTCAGACTAATTCTTATATTTATGCTTGAATAGTGAGTTCATACTGATACGTCCAATCACCAATCTAACACAAGGTGTTTTCTCACCTCCCCCCATTCTGTAATTTGTATCGTTTATCTCCCACAGTAAAATACTTGGTTCCCAACATAAGCGTGGTTATAGTTCAAACAAAAGCATTTATACACAATTGCCCTACAGTCCAATAGGTATAAAATTGCAATGCCATTACCAACATCTAACCTACTAAGTAAACTTAGTAAACTTAATTTTTTTCTCTTTATGGTTATATCATTAATCTGATTTACATTAGGCTTTTTTCTGTCTACAGTCAAGTTTATGTTTACTTTTTATAACATTTTTTATTTAAAATTTTTAGTGTGTAAAATATTTACATGGTTCAGAAATCAAAACTATAAAGAAATAGAGAAATTTACTTCTCTCTCTCTTAATTTCTGATGTATCTTTCCTATATTTCTTTTTAAATAAACATATTTATATATATTTGTGTGTGTATGTATTCTCATTTCAACTTCTTTCTCACTTATTTCCAGTTTTTTTTTTTTTTTTTTTTTTTTTTACAACTAGGGCCTCAGTGGATAAAATAACCTTGTCCACCTGTTATTTCGTATTGTGAATTTGTATCTTCAGGGTAGATGCTTAGATATGGAGTTGCTGGGCCAAGGGTGTGCAATGGTTTGGATATGGTTTTGGGGGCCCCGCCAAGTCTCATGTTGACATTTGATCCCAGTGTTGGAGGTGGGGCCTGGTGGGAGGTGTTTTTGTTGTGGGGTAGATCCCTCATGGAGGACAGCATGGTGCCATTCTTGTGGGAGTGAGTGAGTTCTAACTCTTAGTTCCCACTAGAATGGGTTGTTGAAAAGAGCCTGGTACCTCCTTTCCTCTCTTGGCTCCCCTCTCCTTATGTGATCTGCATACACTGGCTCCCCTTTGTTTTCAGCCATGAGTGGAGGCAGCTTGAAGCCCTCACCAGAGACAGATGCTGCACCATAATTGTACAGCCTGCAGAACCATGAGCTAAATAAACATCTTTTCTTTATAAGTTACCCAGCCTCAGTTATTCCTTTATAGCAATGCAAACAGACTAAGACAGGGTGCATACACTTAGTATTTTTACCTTTGCCCAATTCCTCTCCCTAGGGTTCTGCCAGTTGCATTTACTGGAAGTGTAGGAGAGTGCCTGTTTCCCCAATGCCTTGCCTGCAGAGAGTGCTGCCAACCTTTGGAATTTCCTGGTCTGAAAAGAAAGAAATGGCATCTCAGTGTAGTTTTAACATGGATTTCTCTTATTTTCAGTGAAATTGGGTATTGTTTCAGTGTTTGAGTACCATGGGCATATCTTTCTGTGAACTCTGTGTTTAGGTCTTTGTCTTTGTCCATTTTTTGTTGCTTATAACAAAATACCTGAAACTGGGTAATTTGTAAAGAAAAGGAATTTATTTCTTACAGTGATGGAGGCTAAAATATCCAAGGTTGAGGGGCTGCCTCTGGTGAGGGCCTTCTTGTTGGTGGGGACGCTGTAGAATCCCCAGGTGGCACAGGGCATCACATGGATGGGGGCTGAGTGCTAGCTCAGGTCTCTCTTCCTCTTCCTATAAATCCACCAGTCCCACTGCGTGATAACCCATCAATCCATGAATGCGTTATTCCATTCACGAGAGCAGAGCCCTCATCACCCAGTCACCTCTTAGAAAGGCTCCACTTCTCCATGTTGCCTATTGGAGGTTAAGTTTCAACGTGAGTTTCAGAAGGTACAGGCATTCAAACCATAATAGTCTTACGGCCACTTTTTTATTCTGGGTTTTCATCTGTTTTTTTTCTCTTGATTTTTTTTTAACTAGTTCTTTACAGATGAGGATGATTAGCTTTTTATCTGTGATATAAGCTATAAACATTTCCTCTCTTTATTTCATTTGTCTAATGATTCAACCTCTATTTTCTTTCTTTTTTTATAATTTCAACTTTTATTTTAGATTTGGGGGTACATGTGTAGGCTTGTTACATGCAAAGTCTATTTTCTTAATCACCATGTTGTCCCTTGTGCAGTAATATGCTTATTTAGAAACTTTGAGACGTTAATTAATAATTTACTTATTAGAGTCAACAAACCCAGAACTCGCCAACTAAAGGCAAAAACCAAAAACAACCTTACAAAGACACAGACATAGAAGGCACACCTAGAAAGTATCTCCATAGCACAAAGCTGGAGTAACTAATATGTTACATAACTGAATCAAAATTCAGAATACTTTAGCAGCCTGGAAATATGGGCCAAAATGCATAAAGGGAAATTTAGTAGAAATAATGTTTTGTACATAGGCTTAAAAACATTAATTCCACATGTTCAAGATTAGGGACATCTGTCTTCACAGAAATTCATGTATGTATAAACTTTGGGGTTTAGTCAATCACACACTTATATAAGCCCAACAGAATTAGTTGCTACAAGAAAATGTTTTGAGACAGGGTCTTGCTTTGTCACCCAGGCTGGAGCTCAGTGACACAAACAGCTCACTGCAGCCTTGACCTCTGGGCTCAAGGGGTCCTCCCACCTCAGCCCGCTAAGTAGCTGGGAGTACAGGAATGTACGACCATTCCCGGATAATTTTCTGTGTATTTTTCTGTAGAGACAGTTTCGCCACGTTGCCCGGGCTTGCTCTCAAACTCCTGAGCTCAAGCAGTCTGCCCACATGGGCCTCCCAAAGTGCTGGGATTACCGGTGTGAGCCACTCTGCGCCCTGCCTCCAGAAAATGTATTCTTAGAGTGAATAGTAGAAGGGGATTATTCTGATCATGGAGATAATTGCCCCTTTGGACCTGACACTTATCAAAATACATCCAGAATGGTGTGTTCAATTTTGGGGACCGCAAATCAAGAGAGTCATAGACATCTGAGAGCAAATACAAAGCAGGGAAGCTGAGTTAGTGAAAGGTCTGGAAACCACTATACAGCTCACTATGAGGGAAGCTTTCTCTCTGGCACTTAGGACTGCTGGTGAGGGGAAGGGCTGCCCTATTAACCCATGCACTCCCTCTGGCCAAAGAGTGTTTGAGTAGAGGCAGCGGATCCACCACGAGGGTTGTGAGGATGGCCCCGCTGCTGTGTGTAGGCAGTTTAGGCAGCAGAGTTTTTGTCTTGATCGTGGAAAGCGATCTTTCCTTTCTTTTTGGTGTCTTCTGTGTGCAGAGAATGAGAGCAGGTGGGGAAAGTGATCTGTGGGGTTTTTTGGCTAACTGAAGTATATGAAGAGTTTTGGAGAAACATTAGTCTGTAGGATTTAACATTAACATGTGTCAACCTGCGGCTTTAGCCAAGATCCCAAGCCAGTTTCCTGAGGGCAGGGACTGCACCTTATAGACAGTGATGTCTGTGGGCCAAGACCTCAAATGGTGCCTCTACTTCCCCATTTACAGTTAGTGCTTGCCCTCCCTCGCCGTGTCTGATGAGAACAGTAATGACGTCCCCATATAAACTGTACCTGATTAATCCCTGCTTAGGGAGCTCAGAACAATTCCCATGAGAATCTTACAGTCAAATTGTAATGTGCACCAAAACTGACTGGCGGTGGGCTAAAATGCAGATTTGATTCCGTGAGATGGAGATGCGGAGCCTGAGGTTCTGCCTCTCTAGTGAGCTCTCAGGTGATGGTGATCCTGCTGGTTCAGGGCCCACCCTGAGTAGCCAGGGTCTAAACACAGCAGTCTGCAGAGTGTCTCCCATAGACCACTTGTAACAGCCCCCTGCCCCCTGCCCCAGCCTGCTTGTTTAAAATGCAGATTCCTAGGTTGTGCCTGTGATCTCTGCGCCCAGAACCTCTAGTGGTGGAGCTCAAGGATCAGCTTTCTAAACTGGCACTTCAGACGATTCTTCAGCACATTAAAGGTTTTGAACCACTGGTCTTGGGAAAATGGATAGGATGGGTTAGACCAGAGGAAGAAATTGGTCAGGGGGATGTAATGAATTTCACACATGGTTGTAGAAAATGGCCCACTTATGTAGCGCTTACGTGGGGAAGACCCGCTGAGAGTCTGTACTAGCTGGGTGATCTGAGGCGTAGCACTTAACCCCTTTAAGCCTTTCTTCCCTAAGGTGGAGACGATGTGATTTGATGAATCTTTTCCTGTCCCCTGGTCCTGCCTTATCTTTCCAGTCGTCCAGCATGCTCTGCCCACCCCACGCCGAGGTGCACTGACCATGAGCCTCAACTCCTCCCTCAGCTGCAGGAAGGAGCTGAGTAATCTCACTGAGGAGGAGGGTGGCGAAGGGGGCGTCATCATCACCCAGTTCATCGCCATCATTGTCATCACCATTTTTGTCTGCCTGGGAAACCTGGTCATCGTGGTCACCTTGTACAAGAAGTCCTACCTCCTCACCCTCAGCAACAAGTTCGTCTTCAGCCTGACTCTGTCCAACTTCCTGCTGTCCGTGTTGGTGCTGCCTTTTGTGGTGACGAGCTCCATCCGCAGGGAATGGATCTTTGGTGTAGTGTGGTGCAACTTCTCTGCCCTCCTCTACCTGCTGATCAGCTCTGCCAGCATGCTAACCCTCGGGGTCATTGCCATCGACCGGTAAGCATGCCTCAGACTTAGAGAATTGAGGGATTACTGACGGGCGCTCATCTGGTGCAGTGTCCCTCTGACTGCCTTAGTTCCCTGGAGAGTGTCAGGGGCCCTTGCTGGGGGAGGATGACCAGGTGGAGTTCTGCCTCTGGAGCCATCTCTTCAACCAAAGCACATCTCGTTTTGTCTGTGGATGTTACATACAATATTATATTTTAAAAAGAGCTTCCATCGCCTAAAATAAAACATTGTAGAAACCTCTGATTCTTGGTTTGTAGATGAAGAAGCCGAAGCCAAGGCAGGTTTCAGTTCCGGGCAGCACTGGGTCCAGGGCCTCTGACTCTGCTTCTCTTTCTCCCAGTGTGACCCCTGCTCTGTCTTGCTTTGGTGTTGACTAGTGCAGCCCGAACAGGGAACACCCTCACTGCCCACAGTCCAGGACTGAAAGGAGAGCAGGGGGAAGGAAGACAGCCAGAGAATACAGGCAGTGACACCGGGGAGAGGCCGTGTGCATTTGGAAACTCGGCTGCTCCCGCCCTCAACGTAGCTGATGCACGGGGAGGTCAGGCGCAGCTGATGTTCCTAAGCAGCATCTCGCGGGTTCTTCAGGGTCCCGCATTATGCTGTCAGATTTAGTTGTACAAGTCTTGTGGGCTTTGGCAGCGAGTTTCCCACAAATGAGTGCATTTATTAGAATTTTGCTAATGGCCACTGCGTTCATCACAGGCACAGGTTGGGCTTCATGAGGACAGGGAGGATAGATTCAAGGTCTGTGTCATTTACCAGGAATTGGGGAGGAGAGTAAGTAGTGGGGTTAGGGAAAACACAGAGTGGGGCTAGCCAGGGATATTGTCACTGGGTGACACAAGTCCCCGGGCTTTTTTGAGACTGTCAGTTTTTCAGTCGATGAGTGGTAGTGGAACTGTCCACTGGGAGCACAGACTGCACCTAGACCTGAGGCTGGAATCTGGCAGCTCTTTGTGGCTGCACTGGGGAGGCAGAACCAATGAAGCCATTGCTCAAAACAAATCAATTAGCTTCTCTTTTTTTTTTTTTTTCCCTGAGTAGTAGAGGTAATCCAGAAAATATAATGAATGAAATTAGAAACACATGATCTAACCATCAGAAACAATCACTGTTGATGTTTTTAGTATATTTGCTTCCAGTAATTTTTGGTTGTATACAGCAAATTTTTGAAATAGGCTTCTGGCTCCTATGGTTTTCTGTCCTCCTTTTTTCATTTAGGTGATGGTGAGCATTTTCTCTTATTTTCAAATATCCTTGAAGAAGGTGATTTTTCATGGTTACGAGGTATTCCATCCTGTGGAGGTATATAAATTATTTTCACAGTCCCCTGTTACTGGATTAGATGACTTCACATAGCTTGCTATTCACTATAGCATTCTGAGGAGCATGTGTGTTTGTGTAATTGCTATATTCTCAGTAACAGTAAACATGCTTTCAAGATTCTTGATATATAAAAGGCAAATGACCTTTCAGAAAGTTGTACAAATTTGTATTTCAGCAGCTGTTTGTCAATAGCCTATCAGGACTGATTATATAATTTTTTTTTAAAAAAAAGTTTGGAAGTTTGTTGGCAGTGGGGAGGAATGGGATCTTGTTGTTTTAACTTTTTTTTTTTTTTTGAATTATTAAGTTTTGAACATCCCTTTCTGGGCCCTGGGTCCCGTGGAACATGGAGTGAGGCTAAACAGCTTAGTTGCAGAGATGGAGAGCTGGTCTCTAAGTGCTCCTCTCAGAGCTGTCTCTATATGAATGCTCAGTAAACATGCCAGTCATCTGCAGGGATAGCTCCAGGAGACTGTAAGCTGCTTGCTTAAATCTGGGGTCTAGATGAGTGAGAATGAGATTTTCTACCAGCAAGCATGACAAATCCTCAAATCATGCCAGCAAAGTACTTCATCTGAGAGAGGGTTTACCTCTTTCAGGGCCTTATTTCACACTGGAAATATTGGTTGGATGTCTACTCCAGGAAAGGCCTGTGCCCAATCCTTGGAGTGGTGGGCTACAAGCATGAGCAGGACACAGACCCTGCCCACCAGGGGTTTACAGTTGAGTGGCAGAGGCTGACTTGTGGGCGCCGATTTAACACAAAAGTAGAAATAACCACCATCGACAACTCCACCAGCCACTGCTGCTGATGGGCTGGCAGTGAGTGCTTCAGGGAGAAGGTGGCATTTGAGCTAGGTTCCTAAACAGCAAGTAGGATAGCAGGTACGTAACAGGTGGAGAGGCCCCTTCTGACTGAAGGAGCAGCTTCTGTGTATTCACTTGGTAAGCAATTATTGAGCACCTATTATATGCCCAGCACAGTGGTTGGTGCTGGGAATACATAGCTGAATAAGATGAATAAACATGCTGAGGCCGAGCGTGGTGGCTCACGCCTGTAATCCCAGCACTTTGGGAGGCCGAGGTGGGTGGATCACCCAAAGTCAGGAGCTCAAGACCAGCCTGGCCAACATGGTGAAACCCCATCTCTACTAAAATACAAAAATTAGCTGGGCATGGTGGCAGGTACCTGTAATCCCAGCTACTTGGGAGGCTGAGGCAGAATCACTTGAACCCGGTAGGCAGGGGTTGCAGTGAGCCGAGATCATGCCATTGCACTCCAGCCTGGGTGACAAGAGCAAAACTCCATCTGAAAAAAAAGAAAAGAAAAGAAAAAGAAAGTAGAAGTGGAGAATAGCAAGGGCAGTGGGCGTGATTTTAACTATAAAATGTTACACGCTTGTCATATTCCAGGCACTGCACTATGTATGCCGTTTATCAACAGTTAGCTCAGCTAACCCTCATGGTAACCTTGTTAGCCCCGATTTTGCAGATGAGCAAAGTGAGGTTTTTGAGGCCTTAAGTAACTTGCCCAAGGTCACGTGGCTGGGAAGTAACTCTCCCAGTTCTGAGATGCCCGAGCCTGGACGCTTTGTCATTGTACACCATCAACTCAGTGCTGCCAGTCATTCCAGCAGCCAGCTAGCGTAGCTCAGGGTTTCTCCACCTTAGCACTGTTGACATTTCGAGCCAGATAATTCTCTGTGGTGAGGAGCTGTCCTATGCCTTGTAGGATATACAACAGCATCCTGGCCTCTACCCACCAGATGCTGGAACACCTCCCCAGTCGTGACAGCCCAAAATGTCTATAGACGTTGCCACGTATACCCAGGGGTTCCCAGCTGAGAACCTTAGCTAAAGAAACTGGCTGCATTAGGAGATATACCTAATGCTAAATGACGAGTTAATGGGTGCAGTACACCAACATGGCACCTGTATACATATGTAACAAACCTGCACATTGTCCACATGTACCCTAAAACTTAAAGTATAATAAAAATAAAATTTAAAAAAGAAAAAAAAAAAAAGAAACTGGCTGGACAGATGAACCCAAAGAGTCCATCTTGTAGCCCCATGAAAAGAGAGCAAAGACAGATATAAAAAGAATGGCTGCCTGGAGCGAAATTCACAGTTTGTCAATGTCCTAAACCAGCCAAGTGAAAGTAGGGCGTGCTGGGGACACCATTTGACCTGCCAGCGGTTCCACTGTGAACGTCCATTACTTAGAAGTCTGTAATGGTGGTCACCTCTATCATCGCTGCCAAGCTGCTGGAGTTCCAGGTCTGTGGAAATAGTTCTCATATTTTCATTCCACATCACAGAAGGTGAAACTCCAGGTCTAAAAATAGAATTTCAGTACATGAAAGTAGCTAGAACAATGGGATGGATAGGGCTAGCAAAGATGACTAGTGCTTTTAGGAGACTGTTCCATGGAAGTTAATGTGTTGCCCCTTTGTTAGGTGAAATTGGCTTAGATTCTGTTTCTGTTTTCACTGAAGACAACTTACTAAGAGCAGGGCTTGCTGTCAAAGTGGCTGGTCTTGTGGCAGGAGCCTGAAGCATCGGAAGCCCCTTCCCACATTACAACTTTTCAGTTACCTGTGACGTCATGAAAGCCTCTTTAGGGTTCAAGGGTCGTGATTGGGCTCATGTCTAAAAATGAGTTGGAGGAAAGATTGAGAGCCTCAAGACAGTTAAGAGAATAGAGAGCAAAGGAAAACCCCTCTCTTTTGGCCTGTATTATTAGCCCACATAGGAGTGGGGAGTTGCTTTTGTTGTTTTCCCTTAAATCTTCAACTAGGCTTAAATGAGGCTTCTGCTGCAAATAACGACTTTATAAATCTGTGATTGAGAACACATATACCCATTTTTTCCTGAGGAGATGCAGGACTGTTCTATATCCTTTTTTTTTTTTTTTTTTTTTTTGAGACAGGGTCTTGCTCTGTCACCCAGGCTGGAGTGCAGCAGTGGAGCAGTCATGGCTCATTGCAGCCTTGACCTCCTGGGCCCAAGTGATCCTTCTTCCACCTCAGCCTCCCAAATAGCTAAGTCTACAGGCACACACCACTATACCTGCCTAATTTTGTTTTTTATTTTTTGTAGAGATGTGGTCTCCTTATGTTGCCCAGTCTGGTCTCAAACTCCTGGCTTCAAGTAATCCTTCTATCTTGGACTCCCAAAGTGCTGAGATTACAGATGTGAGCCACTGCGCCTGGCTGGAATGTTCTGTATCTTGATAGAGGTGTAGATGCGTGCATTTCAATGTACATACATTTTATCCACACCAACCCCCCCCCCCCAAAAAAAAAACTTAAAAACAAAATAATCCCTGGAGGACGTGGCTGTACATGGGCAGGGCTGTGCCTGTGGGGCTTTTCTGCCTGTAGGAGGTGGACCTTGACTGAGCCAGCACCCAGCTTCACTGCCCCAGCTTCCTGATGGCACTCAGGATGCAGCTGGCAGAAATCAGTGTCATGTCACACTGGAACTCCCTGTGCCTGAACCTCAGTCAGTGAGTGATATGGGTACCATTTGTTACAATAAAGGAGAAGTCTTGCCATAAAGTAGTAATAATAACTGGGTGTTGAGAAGAGCCAGAAGGAAATCTGGCAGAGGACAGCACATTAATTGTAATCATTTTTATGGCCGCCAAACAGAGTCGGTGGAAGGAGGCCTACAGTGAACATTCACCAGGCCTGGCTCCCACAACCGGCCGTACACTACCGAGGTGACAGGGTGGAGCGTCTGTGTGCTCTTTAAAGGGATAGAAAAAAAGTAGAAATCTCTGCATTGTTTCTTTTGAAAAGTGAAGGAAACCTTCCTAGACCCACTGCTCCCCTCCCTGCAGTCCCCTAGCAACCCCCTCACATTTCATTTGCCAGAATGACGTCAGACAGGTCCGAGTCTCAGCAGGCCACCCACAAGGGGAAGAAGACCACCATGGGGCTTGTTCGCCCCCCAGGGCTCAAAAGGGCCAGTGTCCCCTGGGGGTCATCGCAGAAGCAGGAGCAGTGTAGGGCTTTCGTCCTCAAGGAGGAAGGGGGAAAGGTCGATGGCCAGTCCCCCATTGAAGGGTAGGCACCATCCGGGCCTTTTCCATGATCTTCCTCATTCGTTCCTAGGAGCAGACCTGTGATGTGGGTGCCAGAATTCCCATTTTCCAGATGAGGGAACTGAAGCTCTGAGAGGTTACATCAATTAGCTGAGGTCACATAGCTAATAGACATCAGAGCCTCCATCTGAACTTGAATTTCCAGCTCCAAAGGCATGCTTTTTCCCTTGGGCTGCACGGCCTTTGCAAGATGCAAGCCCAGATAGCAGCGAAAGACAGTAATCACCTTACCCAGCCACTGTGCAGTGATTCTGTAATAGACACCCTAATCACTGCGCAATCTTCTCCTCAGGCCGCATAGCCGGAAATGCTCTCTTTCCAGGATAGATCCTGGCCTGGGCTCAAGGCTCAGCTCAGAGCAGCCCCAGGCTCACCCCTGCTTAGGAAGACCAAGGAGGCAGCACCTCCAGTTAGCATGTGGCAGTTCAGCTGCTGGGGCCCAAGGGTGACTCAGGGCGGTCCCTGTGGAGGAGCCACCTTCCCAGGCGATGTGTGAGGCACATAGCCAGAGTCATTTCCCAACGTCCTGCCAGGCGGCATCAGTGTGGCCACCCGTCCCTTACACATGTTGCCCTCATGGGAACATCCTATTTCCCTTGGATAAAATGTCGGGGTTGGGAGGGTGGTGGTTGACTTTCAGCCCTGTGGTCTGAGTCCTCCCACCCTTTCCAGTTAAAGGGCCAGTCCTTAGCTGGGCCTACAGTCCTTAGCTCTGCATGCCCCGGCCCCGTCCACCCGGCCTGCTTCCTTCTCTCCTCCTCTCTCCATCCTGCACTCTCTCTCCTGCCAGGTGGAGCTCCATGCAGCCTCCCTGCTGAGCTGGTGCTCACTCACAACTCCATACCTCGCCAGGCTAGCTTTCTGCCTGGGGTGGTCCTGGGTCAGTGCCTCCAACGCTGTGAGACCTGGGTCTGGAGCATCACCTCCAACAGGAGCCTGCTGTGACCCTCTGTGCTGGACCAGAAGCCTGCCAGTTTGAATGGATAGCCCTCCTGGCCCACCTCCTACCTAGCAGCACTGAGTGATTCGGACCCGCCCCCTTGGCTGTGGAACAAGAAGGCTTACACAGAATTGCTGGGCGTGTGCACTGGGGATTGTAGAGTCAGATCGCCTGGCTTTCTGTCTTTCTCCCATGGGTCTGGGGTGTGTTATTTAGCCTTTCCCTGCTTTAGTTTCCTCATCTGTAAAATGAAGATAATGACATATCCGCTGCTCACAGTTGCTGTGAGGACTCAATGTGGCCCTTACCACTCCAGGCCCTGATACTTGGCTCAGGTGTCTGCCTCCCTCACATCTTCTCAACTGCATTTCCAGGAGGTAGCGCGGTGCTTGGCACATCGCAAGCCTTTGGTAAATGTCCATTGGTTGAATGAAGCCCGTAGTCCTTCAACATCATTCTGGTTCTTAATGATCCCTCTGAAAATTGATGTAAATGGATGATTCTGCTGTCAGCAGCAGCAGAATTGATCTGGCCCAATGCATAATCCCTCAGGACCTCTGTAGGTATCTTAAGACTGGCCACACCCCCAAATATGAGTGGGCTGTGGTGTGATGACTTGGAAACAGGACTGTTCGAGCTCTGTGTCTTGCCAGTGTTGAGCTCTTCTCTGTTAAAGAGCTCTGCAGAGCTGTGGAACACGATGCAGTCTATATAACTTGTCTGGGGAGACTTGGGAGAAGGTGCTGCTTTTAGAAACATCCAACCCAGTCATGGGAGCCCCTGACGCAGGAAGGCAGCGGTTTTCTCTCTCCGCTGACTTCTCTCTCTTGCCTCCCTCCATCCCTTTTCTAGCTACTATGCTGTCCTGTACCCCATGGTGTACCCCATGAAGATCACAGGGAACCGGGCTGTGATGGCACTTGTCTACATCTGGCTTCACTCGCTCATCGGCTGCCTGCCACCCCTGTTTGGTTGGTCATCCGTGGAGTTTGACGAGTTCAAATGGATGTGTGTGGCTGCTTGGCACCGGGAGCCTGGCTACACGGCCTTCTGGCAGATCTGGTGTGCCCTCTTCCCCTTTCTGGTCATGCTGGTGTGCTATGGCTTCATCTTCCGCGTGGCCAGGGTCAAGGCACGCAAGGTGCACTGTGGCACAGTCGTCATCGTGGAGGAGGATGCTCAGAGGACCGGGAGGAAGAACTCCAGCACCTCCACCTCCTCTTCAGGCAGCAGGAGGAATGCCTTTCAGGGTGTGGTCTACTCGGCCAACCAGTGCAAAGCCCTCATCACCATCCTGGTGGTCCTCGGTGCCTTCATGGTCACCTGGGGCCCCTACATGGTTGTCATCGCCTCTGAGGCCCTCTGGGGGAAAAGCTCCGTCTCCCCGAGCCTGGAGACTTGGGCCACATGGCTGTCCTTTGCCAGCGCTGTCTGCCACCCCCTGATCTATGGACTCTGGAACAAGACAGTTCGCAAAGAACTACTGGGCATGTGCTTTGGGGACCGGTATTATCGGGAACCATTTGTGCAACGACAGAGGACTTCCAGGCTCTTCAGCATTTCCAACAGGATCACAGGTAACTTGGGCATTGTTAGGATAGCCCCTCCGAGGCAGATGAAATCTGTGGTCCTCTCAGCCACTCTGGCCTGTTTGTGGGTGAGTTCTCAGGCTGACTGGCGGTAAGGCTCAAAGCACAGATTTCCTTTCGGAAGAAACATTCCAGAGGCTCCGCTGTGATTGCCAGGGAGCTTCCTGTCACTCAGTAGCTCACGGCCATGCTGACAAGGCCAGCAGAGCTCCCTGGTGCCCTGGTATGTGTCCCAAAAGAATGGGACAGGGGACACCACGGTCCAGAAATCTGCTTTCTGAAACCCCAGCCCTGGCCCTCTGGCCTCAGAGTGTGTATAGTTAGTTCTCTCTCTCTTTTTTTTTTTTTTTTTTTTTTTTTTTGAGACAGGGTCTTGCTCTGTTGTCCAGCTTGGAGTGCAGTGGCACAATCTCCATTCACTGCAGCCTCTGCCTCCCTGATTCAAGTGATCCTCGTGCCTCAGCCTCCCAAGTAGCTGGGATTATAGGCACGCACCACCACACCCAACTACTTTTTATATTTTTAGTAGAGACGGGTTTCACCATATTGGCTAGGCTGGTCTCAAACTCCTGACCTCAAGTGATCCGCCCACCTCAGCCACCCAAAGTGCTGGGATTACAAGCGTGAGCCACCATGCCAGGCCTGGAGTATATTCTTTACTAGAGGAAAAAGAATCCAAGCATTGGACCAGGCCACCTTCTCCTGGCACAGCCACATCCACATCCTTTCCTTCAGTGTTTCCTCTTGTCAGCACCCCCTCCCCACCTCAGCTGCTGTCTTCCTCCTCAACCATCCTCCTCCTCCTCACAGATCAGTGATCTCCTCAGATGGTCCCAGACAATCCGGGGGTGTCCATGCCAAACCTCAGCCTTCCATCGAAGCATCATGGCCTTGTACGTGTGAGGCTGCTCCTTCCTCTGATGACTGATCCGGTGTGCACAGGTTTCCGGACACAATCCCACCACCTTTGATGGGACCCAGTGGAATTACTCTAGTTAGGGGTTAGATTTTTTGTTAAAACTTTTTATTTTGAAATAATTTTAGATTTACAGAAGACTTGGAAAAACAATACAGAGAATTCCCACACACCCAGCTTCCTCTAGGGTTACTGTCTTGAACAACCACAGCTCTAAAACGTTAACACTGGGGCAGTGCCATTAACTACAACTTGATTCAGATCTCACCCGTTTTTCATTAATGTCCTTTGTTTGTCCAAAGATCCAGCTCAGGATCCCATATTGTCTTAGTCAATCTTTGACAATCCTTTACTCTTCCCTTGTCTTTTATGACATTGACAGCTTTGTAGAGTACTTACCAGGTATTTTGTAGACTGCCCCTTAATTTGTGTTCATCTGATGCTTTCTCAAGATTAGAATGAGGTTATCCATTTTTGGCAAAAATGCCACAGGGGCGATGTGCCCTTCCTGTACATCATAGCAGGGGGCACATATGCCAATATGCCTTATTGCTAGTTGTGTTGCTCTTGATCTCTCGGTTAAGGTGGTGCCTGTCAGCTTTCTCCACAGTAAAGCTGCTGATTTTCCCATTGTAATTAATAAATACAACTGAGGAGATACTTTGAGATGATGCAAATACCCTGTTTCCTCTTTGGCCCTTTCCCACTGACTCAGGACACATTTGTGGATCTTGCCTCTAGCATTTTTACTGTGTAGTTTTGAGGTCAAGTAGCTGGATTTTTAGGGCCAAGGTGAAAGGAGACCATCACCTGGCCAAGCCACTGGGAGAGATTTGGAGAACATTCAGCTTGGACTACAGTCCTAATCTCTTGCCAGATGACTTCGGGCAACTCTTCAAACCACTCTAGTTAATTTCTCATCTTCATGAAATAGGTCTTTCTTCCACTTTTCTTCTCAAGAGGGTGAAAGAAATGACTCTAATTATGCACACCCAGTGGCAATGATGACAGGAGATCCTTTCCATGTGGCGATGAGACACAATGGCATCACTGATTTATTTCACGGGCTGATGGAGTTTTATTTCCAAGAGAGGAAGGAAGTCTGGGACTTTTAACCATAGGAGAAAACATTTCTCTGTATCTCAGTATTTTAACCACTGAAATGCTCACCCCTGCCAGTTGCAAGCCCACATTTTCACATATGACCTGTGATCCAGGAGTCCATTCAATGTTGGGCTTCATTTCACTGATTAATGTATTAGTCCAGATTTTGTAAACTCACTTGTCTTCTAGGCAAAAAAAAATAGATGTTTTCTAGATCAATGAAGTTAAAATGAAGAAGGAAAAAAAATGAGGACAGAAAATGGAGCAGGAAAGGGTTCGTAGAACAAAAAGAAACACCTGCTTTTGAGGCCAAGATTTTCCATGCAAGTCACTTGCAGGTGTCCTAGAAGAGCTGGTGAAGCTGTGAGCACAGGCGGAAAACACCAGCTGTGGTTGGTTTGGCACATCCCAGGCAGCTGGTGGTCTCATCTTCATTTAGGGAAAGCAGGCTTGTGGGATGCCTTTGGGCTGAAGAGCTTATGGAATGGGTTCCAAGTTATTGGTCTTTCCGAGGAATGGGAGCTGGGGTGGGGGTGGGGGATGGTTCTTCTTGTTCTTCCCTGAAGGTCCTGATCCCAGGAGGAGGCAGCAGCATCAGTAAGAGTCTGGGAACCAAAGCAGAATGTGGCGCCCCAGCCCAGCCGCTCACCCTGCGCTGTCCATGGCTTTCTGACTGCAGGAGAGAGCCCTGGCCTCTGCCTTGTGTCCCTGGTCCCTCTGTCTGAGCCAGGGCTGACCAGACCCTCTGTGGGCAAGGCCTTGATCTGCAGCAGATTCTGAAACCCTAATCACTTCCCCTGCCACTGGCTCACCTTAGTGTTAACTAGAGGTATGAAGGATGATCTGATCTGTCTCAGAGCCAGCAAGAAGCAACTTGGAGGCTCTTTCTTGATTCTGTTCCTCTCAATTTGTATGGGCACTTGGAAAGGTTTAACCAAAGTAAATGGAATAAGCTTTCCTAAAAGCAGTGCATATGAGCAAAGGCAGAAGCAGAATCCCACACATTTCTGGAGCTTCCCAGCTGACTTGGATGTCAGGAGTCTCCTGGGCAGTTGACAGTGTGTCCTTTATATCTAGCAGATTTCAGCCATAATCAGTGGTTCTGCTTCTCTCATTCTGTTTGTCCCAAAGTGAGGAAGTACAAAATCTTAGGCTTTCCATGGGTGCCAAATGTCGCTGGGCCACCAAATACCTTCTGCTTGTAAGGTCTCCTTAGCCAATTCCCACGGGGAAGGTCACTTAGGAATTTAGATCTCTGGACTTCCTGGAGGTTGCCACGCAGCACCACCATGTGGCAGATAGGTCAGCCCTGCATGGACATTGCTAAATGCTACCAGGTGGTCTTAGGATGGTAAAGCACCAATACAAAGCTGACTGGTGGCTACTGGCAATGGGAGCCAAGAAGAGGCTTCAGGAGAAAGTGCAGGCAGCCCCTCCACCTGCCCTTCCGCTGGCCGACCCAGAACCTTCACTCCAGCCAGGGCTGGAGAGCCCGAGCACCACCCCTCTCCCCAGCCAGGGAGGGTGGCCCAGGCAGTATCAGGGGGCACCCCCTCCAAACGCCGCCCTTACGAGACCCTTGAAGCTCCTGGGCATAGAGCCTTTCCCGTTATCTCCTGCGAAGGACACTGACTCACGTTTGTCCAGGGGAAAACACCTCGCTCCAGGTTCTTCCTTGAGAAGGCCTAGCTTGAGGGCGGGGAGGGTGACCCCAGAGCCTTTGGATTTACTCCCTTGCCTTCCTAAGTTCCTTTGCTTGGGGGCATCTAGAGGTCTTGTAGTTAGCTCAAAGTACCTGCAAATTTATCTCAGAATCACACCCCTGTTCTTTCAGCTTCTCAGAGCACTGTGACTGTTGCTCACCGCATGCCTCTGGAGAGCCACAAACCTGATTCCCCGAGCCTGTGCCTTTGTGCTTTTTTCTTGAGGGGTTGGATTGTGCTCAGCCCAGTAAATACATTGTTTCATGTGAACAATCTCAGGGTAATTGTCTCCACCCTCTGCTGGTAAATGCTGCATAAACACAGAGGAGAGGGATGCCACCTGGCTGCCCCGTTTCCAGACCTTTTAGCTGAGCCGCATTGGCCTGGCTCAGACCATTCCTCCCACTGGTGCAGACCGACATGTTCCTGGCTTTCACTGCAGCCTCAGAGATGGTGTCCAAAACCCACTGCGGCTTCAGCCATCCCAGCTGGCAGGAGATGCCCCCACAGGCTCTGCTCCCTAAGCCAGGCCTCCTGCTGAACACAGTCATGTTCTCAGGCCGAGACCTTGGGAGGATGGGCATGTGCAGGGGAAAGGATTGGGGCCTTTCTGGTCCCAGCTCCCTACAGTAACCCCCAGTCAAGAGGAAGTCCCCTTGCAAAAGCAGGATTCCCAAAAGCAGCGAGAGGGAAGTTCTGAGAGAAGCCTGCTGTGACCACCCCGCCTTCCCACACCATGTCCTCCTTGGCTCCAGGGAAGAAAGGAGAAAGTGCATTCTATTGCCTTGTAACCTCTGAAGAATTAGGGTAGAATGAAGGAACAGGTCTCCTCCTATCTGTGAGTGTATCATAAAATACAAGAGTGTCCTTTATGGCAGATTGCAAAATCTGCCAGGCAGTGGATCTTCTTCATGAGCTCCCAGGAGTTTGACTTCTTGTGCTTTGTTTTTAATTTCTAAGAGCGTTTTGTTATCTCCATGTTCCTTTTTTCATAGCCTGCAGCTCTTTTTTTTATTTTCCTAACATTCTGAGGATGACCCATTGTAATATTTTTTGCTCTCTTAAGCTCCCTGCATTGAATCCTCTGAGGTCCATTTTTCTTTTCTTTTTTCCCATCTCTGTCTTTCACGCTAGTACCTTCCTTTAAATGTCTAGTGATCCTTGGGCACCCCTTCACCTCTAATAACGAGGGCCTAGAAAACCACAGGGAAGCCCTGGGTGGTGGGATGCAGGCAGGCTTCCTGACTGTGGGTTGGTCTGGCAGGGCCATTTCACAGGCACCTGACTCTCAGTGCCTGTGAGTCTTTCCTCTAGGCTTGGTGGATTTTCCCAGGGAAGAGTTCTGCAGTCTCCAGCCCAGGTTAAGTGGGACAAGGGGCCAGGGTCCCACTACTTAATATGTAAATTTCCACAATACCCTCAGTTTTTACTGGGTCGCTTCTGCCGCGGCTGTGCCCGGGGCTCACTCTCTCTCCTCTCCTACCAACACTGGGGTCTGGCGCCCGAGGCCTAGCCTGGAGAAGAGCAGTGGCTCCTGGCCCCCTACCCCCCAACCCCGTTCCTGAGTTTTCAGAGCCTGGTGAAGCCTGCCTCTCCCAAACCTCCCCGTTGCCAACCTCAGTTCTCTATTCCGGGTCAGCTCATCACTCTCAACCATCTGCTTTCCAGCTTACAAAAATTCTCTCCTTCCTTTGGGGTGTAAGCCTCTTAAAAATCCCTCTTTGATAATTCAAGTAGGATTTCAGGAGGTGAATGTGGGGTTGAACCCTCCATCTTTAACGGGAAGATCTTCTCACCTCACATTTTCCCTCCTGCCTGCCTTTTTGATTGTGCTCCCTGGCCCTCTGTCATCACCTTGGTGGTGGTTGACATTGTCAGGAGAGTTTCCCCTTTGGGGGAACCCAGTGAGTGCTGCTGACACAGTGGGACAGAAAAGAGGGGCGAGCCAGGAGGGAGCAGCTAAGCTCTCCTGTCTTTCAGGGAGTTGAGAGTGAGTTTTGCAAGGGCGAACAGAAGGGCAGGAGATGGGTCTGTGGGGAAACGGAGGCTGGGGCCCCTCCTTGCAGAGTGTGATTGTGTTGTCAATGCCAATTTTGTCTTTCAGACCTGGGCCTGTCCCCACACCTCACTGCGCTCATGGCAGGTGGACAGCCCCTGGGGCACAGCAGCAGCACGGGGGACACTGGCTTCAGCTGCTCCCAGGACTCAGGTAACCTGCGTGCTTTATAAGCCTCTCACCTGTCGCGTTTTCCCTGTGTTGCGTTTCCCCCGTGTCGCGTTTCCCCTGTGCAGGCTCAAGAGCTGGCGGAGGGGCATTTCCCACGGTGGGTGGGGGGTGAGAATCATAAGTCTGGGTTTCCAGTCGTGGCTTTGACTTTTCAGCTTTCCTGTGTCTCAGTTTCTTCCTCTACAAAATGGGGCTGTCAGTTCCTGTTCTCTCTGCCGCACGGTGTTATTAGGGGGTTGAAAGTGAGTGAAAGCCTTTGCAAAATTAAAATGAGAAATGATTGTGATGATAATAACCACTGACCCAGAGGGGCCTTGCAGTCAGCCTGCCTGGTCTTCAGTCTCCAGTTGGCTTTTTAAGAGCTGTGTTATCTCAAGCAAGTTGCATGATCTCCTCCTAAACCCTCAACTTTCCCCATCTGTGAAATGGGGGTACTAATCCCCATTACAGGGCAGCTGTGAGAATTGAGAGACTTAATGAATGTGAAGCACTCATCTTGTTCTTGGCACAGAAGGAGCCCTCCAGCAAGGTCAGCTGGCCTTGTCTCCTCACTCCATGTCCTTTGATATGAAACTCAGTCTCCCTGTAGAAACGCATCTCCACCACAAATCCTGCAGAGCCCTCCCTTTAGCCTCTGCCTAAAGGATCTTGCAAGCCCAGGGCTGCTCCTTGTCTGAGCAGTCGGCTTCCTGGCATCAGAGTCATGGCACCGGGGAGGTGGGGAGCTGCAGATGCTGTATCCTGTGCTGGAAGCACGCTGTTAGAGCCACAGGAGGCCCTGGGCAGAGGCGCATGGGCAGAGGCAGGGAGTCACACTCATGGCTCCACATTGCTGAGGAAGAGCCAGGGTGTCTGGCCACACCTGCTGCCCATCCCCAGGCTGGCTGTTGGTGCACTGGCGCCTGGAGGGAGTGCCGCTGAAGCTGCACAAAGCCGCATGCCTGGCAGTGGGTCTGCCGCTCCCAGCTCCTCCATCTCTCTGCTCTTGGGAGCCTTTGAAAAACCACCTCTGACTTGACCTGGGTTTCCTGTTCCCCATGAGTGCTCCAGGGCTGCGCCTAAGCCTGTGTCATGGAACTCAGGGGTGAGCCTTGGGGTTGGCACCGGGACCAGGCCATGACCTCTCTTAGTCATGGAGAATTTTCCTTGGAAAATTCCTTATCTGGCAACCCAGAGGGCCCCGCACCACACGGAGTCATATATGAAGCACTGATCACACTGTGCCCTCTAGGCCTGAGTCCCTCATGTGATTTAAGGAAAGTCTCTGTTACTCCCCAGTCTGCTTCCCTGTTCTCAGACAACTAAAGGGATCCAGAGGCACTGCAACATTCATTCATTCATTCATTCATTCAGCAGTTATTTGCCACGTTCCTGCCTTGGCCGGACCCTGTGCCAGATGCTGGGGGCACAGTGGTGAACTGCCATTGTTGTGGAGGCTTCAGTTCATAAAAGATTGAACTGTAAAGTATATAAAGATTGTAAAGTATACAATTCTCATTGAATTGTATACTTTAAATGAGTCAGTTACATGGCATGTGAATTACATCTCTATAAAACTGGTTTTGAAAGATGATGAATGTGTCGAGAGCTGTGAAAGGGGAAGCCCTAGTGGAGTGGGAGCCCGTGGGCTGCTATAGGTAGGGGAGTTAGAGAGACTGCTCTGAGCATGCGATGTCGAAAGCTGAAGCATACGTGGAAGGTGCCCCGGCGCAAGGAGTGAGGGGACAGCACTGTAGGCAGAAGAAAGAGCATGGGCTTCGGGGCACACAGATCTGGTGTGAGTCTCAGCCCTGCCCTTTGTTCGCTGTGTCCTTATCAGGAATGATGGCCCTCAATTTAGCCCCTGCTGTGTGCAAGCACTATGCTAGATGTTTACATGTCTCAACTCAAAATCCCCACAACTCCGTGAGGTAGACTGAATGATGACCCCAGGTTTACAGACGTGGAAAGATACTGAGGCATTAAATAACCTGCCAGTGATCCTAGGTCTGTCCGACCCAAGCCTGTGTGTTTAACCACCATATTCTACCTCCCAAAGGACTGTTTCTTCTCTATGTCGGGTAATCACACCTCTGCGAGGTGCTCTGAAACAGCATCTAAAGAGCTCCAGGTTTCTCTTTCTTCCTTATTTTCTGAGCTTCAAGGCCTTTATGGATTGAAAGCTGGAAGCTAAGAACGGGGCTGGATCTGACACTGGTCCTAGTGTTGGGGAAGGGCACTGTTGAGTGATGGGTCCCATCTCAGCTCTTCCTTCCCTCCCTTCCCTCTGCCCCATTCCCTCTGCCTGCTCTGCCCACCTATCTCTAGTAGGACTTCCCTGACCTTCTCCCTTTATTTCCCTGCTTTTTAGGGGAAAATTTGTCAATTATTTTTTGATCCCCAAAGAACTCTACATTTTGGAGCTTTACATGTTTATTTAGTACAACATATTTTAACTGTGGTGATAGAAATTCAGACTGTAGGAAGAATCACTCAGAATATAAAGTTCCTTTTAGTAGGACCCTCTCCTCTACTCGGCCCTTCTCCCCACTTCCCTTCCATGCTGGGCCGGCAGATGCCATGCTTCTGGGGTCTGGTCATTGAGGCAGATAACCCCCTACTTCAGATAACTTGGCTGCATTTTTTGTGTGGCTGACGCAGCCCCACCGGCTGTCTGCAAACTCCCTGAAACAGGATGACAGGCGGGTGTTTCTTGGGCACGTGCTGCGGCGCAGTCAGCTCCACTTGATGATGGGTTTGGATGAACGGGAGAAGAGGGGTGGAAGGGGTGTTGAGAGGGGAGAAGAGGCCAGGAGGACTTTAGATTGTAGTTACATATGCACAATCTGCCCGTTGTTTTAGGGACAGATATGATGCTGCTTGAGGACTACACGTCTGATGACAACCCTCCCTCTCACTGCACTTGCCCACCCAAGAGAAGGAGCTCGGTGACATTTGAGGATGAAGTGGAACAAATCAAAGGTTGGCTTCTGTGACTGATTGCTTCAAGAAAACATAGGGAAACGGAAAGGATCTTAGGACAATTCCTTGGCTCAGGCTGGCTCCCATCCCGGAATATATCAGGGCTCCATCCCTTTGCTCACTCCCTGGTTACTCCCAGCCCTGTTGGTCTCACCTGAGTCCTTAGGCACCCAGTTCTCAGAGCAAGCAGCATCGAAGGCTGGGCAAACAATGGCTGTCAAACTCCACACACACACACACACACACACACCCACACGTGTTTACACACACAGCCCAGATCCTGGGTGAGGTATGGTTATAACTGAACCTGCTTTCCCTGAGCCTCAGTTTCCTCCTGTGGAAAATGAGATAATGGCCCAATGAGTGTATCTGCTTTGCTGGAGGCCAAAGCTGCCATCTTGCTTGTCCGTCGCTCCTACAGCGGTGATGGCCCTTGGGTCCTGTGAGGAGAATGAGTTCTGCCGCAGCCCAATCCCTACATTTTTCTACTCTATATCTTCCCCGCTCACCCCCAGGGACTGTTGTTTACTCTGGAACTTGGAATTCGTTTCCCATCCAGACATGCTGATTAGGAGAGTGACAAGAGCCATCCAGATACCAATATGACTGGGCTGTGGATTTGGTGGAGTCCAGGGGCTGTCCGATGTAAGGAGGCTCTTCAGAAATGTTGAATATGGAAATAAATATGGCCTCTGTCAGAGTTTTAGGTTCATAATTAATCACATCTCTTCTCCACACCCCTCCCTGAGTTCAGAATGAATGGAGAGGTTGTTACAGAGGTCAGAGGTGGAAAACAGTTCATTCGCTTCACTGGCAAAGCAGATTATAGAACAGAGCTTGGGCCAGCAGCCTCATGGGCTTTATAATATATTGCCTTTCTATAGGAAAAAATGAACTAAATGCTCCCCAACCCCCCAGCCCACGTAGGGCCACACTTGCCCCATCAGTCCTGCTTTGTGAGTGTGGCAGCTCCAAAGGCACCCTCCAGGTGGTGCAAGAGCAAGGCACTGCCAGGGGGTCCTCCCCTGCCATGAGTGAGTGGCAGGGCAGAGAGTGGCTGGAGGTCCCTCCAGTCTTTCCCTCTTGGAGAGTGGGGTACAGGTTGCCTACTTTCCAGAAAATGTAAGGAGGAGAGGATAAATTGTTCCCCTGAAATGTCCAGAGAAAATAGGCAATGAGTTAATAATAACAGGGAACAGGGTGTGAAATTGAAGGGCTCCCCCCTCTCACTTCTGTTCGTTTTAGTTTAGGGCTCCTAATCCTGGGAGGGGGCTTGAACCTGTAATGTCACGTCCAACCTTGAGGTTCTGCATGGGGAATCTCTGAGCAAATATGGAGAGGAGAGAGATGACATTAGGGTTTGTGGAAGTTTTGTTACACTGCTTCAGGGAGCTCAAAGACCAGAATACTCTTTCAAAGATGTAAAAATGTTGATTAGCATTAGTAGAAAGTATTTATCAAGTCTTTTCTATGGGCCAGACATAGGCCAAACATCTTAGAAAGAATTATCTCCTTTAGTTATCACAGTAACTTCTTGGAGTAAGAGGTATCTTAATATCTTCTCTTTACAGATGAGGAAACTGAGGCTAGATTAGATACTTTTTCCAAGATTTCCCAGGTAGGAAGTCAGGGAGTCAGCTTTTGGTCTAGGAATGGAACTTTGAAACCCACGCCCTTAACTGCGGTTTGTCTCCCTCCCCGGGGTGGTGGAGCAGCAGCAGGCTTGTCCCCAAGGTAGTCCCCAGGCCTGGCTCCTCAGCTGACTTTTTTTTCTGCCTTCTCCCTCAGAAGCTGCCAAGAACTCGATTCTTCATGTGAAAGCTGAAGTACACAAGTCCTTGGACAGTTACGCAGCAAGCTTGGCCAAAGCCATTGAGGCCGAAGCCAAAATCAACTTATTTGGGGAGGAGGCTTTGCCAGGGGTCTTGGTTACAGCACGGACTGTCCCGGGGGGCGGCTTCGGGGGCCGCCGAGGCAGCAGAACTCTTGTGAGCCAGAGGCTGCAGTTGCAGAGCATCGAAGAAGGAGATGTTTTAGCTGCCGAGCAGAGATGAGGGCCTCAGGGTGCCGTGGGGCTGCAGCCTGAGAGGCTGGCCCGGGGAGGAGTTCCCATCACCGCCTGTGCCGCGGCCTTGGGAGCATGTCACTGTGTACAGCTGGCCACACACAGGGAAGGAGCAGCATCTGGTATGCAGCCACCAGGACAAGGACTGAAAATAATGTCTACAGTCCACAGCTTCAGCATTTCCAGAGACCACATGTGAGCTTCTTTTAGGTCCCAGTGATGGGACCAGAAGCATCTAAAGCAAAAAAAAAACCAAAAAAAAATCTAGAGATGTGGCTGTGGCTTTTTGGGAGGTGGGGCATGGGAGGACCAGAGACGAAGGGCTTGGAAGGAGACCCCCACATGCATCATTTCCTCCTCTTCACAGTGTGCTGGGAGTCCAGCCGTGCACTGTGCCAGATGCCTCAGGAGGAGAACCCTCCCCAGTGTACTGTGAAGGATGACACAGCACTTCTTCCTAATGACACGCGACCGTCCTGGTGCCTCTACATGGTTGATGCGGGCAGTGTGGGACCCTCAGTTCTAGGACTGGTCCGCAGAGAAAGCACCCAGGAGCAGAGCGCTTCGGAGCGGTCCTCAGTGGCGCCACCTGCTGGTGCTAATAGGGACAGCCACAGGCCTCTTGCAGACTGGCCCACCCTGCCTACTTCCCTACTGACAAGTTCTTTGGTATTTCAAAAGGGAGAAACCACTATAAAAGACAAGAGGAAGGGCAGGTACTAGGTGTTTCATTTCCAGAATTAAAAAAAAAATCCATTTAAGACGTACCACTGTTTTACCGGACTGAATGGGACTGTAGTGCCAAGCACAGCCAGGAAATAGAGAAACTGTTATTATGGAAGGGAATTTGTTCACATGGGAAAGCCTCATTAAATAGATTCTATGTGTGATGTTTGAGTGACCAATGAAAATAGCTGGCCTCAGTTCTGCATGGCACACTCCCAAGAGCAACAGTTACTATTATCACAAGCCTGGTATAAATAAGATAGAAGCAGCCCTGGACCCACAGCCAGCAACCTGGGTTATTGGCCCAGCTCTGTCTTTGTGTGCACATGTCATTTGGACATCTTGTCACCTTTCTAGGTCCTCTGTAAAGTGGGAAAACAGAGTGGAGTTGGATTGAATGGTCTCCAAGATCATTTCCAGCTCTGACCTTTGGTGTTCTCAGGATTTGTAAAGCAGAGATAGGTAAAACACAAAAGCAGACCCACGGACCGACCTTTGTATAACTTTGGAGTGTGGTTGCTCATGCACATGTGAAGTGCAGGCAGATCAAGGTTCTGTGGCTTTGTCTGCCCTGTCCATTAGAGCACAATCTGGATAGAATGCCAGCCACCAAGATGCATGAGGGGCAGGGTCACCATCTCAGAAGGGGAAGCACAGGAATGTGATTGGGATGGTTAAACCTCTCTTCTCCTCCCTTTGTGCTGGAACAGCAGTTGAAGTTTGGTCCTGGAGTAATTGCTGTGATGACTTGGGAAGCCACTGATCTCCTCTTGCGTCTGCCCTTGGCCTGCATCATGACTAAATAAGTTCAGGACTTCTCTGCTTTGGTTGGCAGAAGGTAGATTCCAAGGAGATCTTGCTGGTTGCTGAGAGGCAGCTGTTCTAGAAAGTGAATTACCCTTGTGGTTTTTTCTTTGGGGCCCAGCTAGCTCCTGGTGAGGTTGTGTTTTTGTGTTGTGTGGCAGAAACCAATGGTTAGCTGGTCCCCTGGTCTGCAGTTTGTAAAAGACCTTTCATGAGGCCTGGAGTCTTGCTACCTGTGGTGATTGAACTCAACTATTCTGGGTCACCTGGATGCCAGGCGCTGGCCTAGCTTCTGGATGGGAGTGGGAAGGAGCAGAGGGCAGGTTCACCTGTGCAGGTCAGACACTCTGCTTCCATCACTGGATGGCATTCCTACGTCTGCGTGTGGTTCACGTTTTCTATATATATTCCCTGTATATATTTTTTTCTAGCACTTGTCTACTTTCTGAAGGGACCATATTCCTGATCAACTAGTGTGCACAGAGGTGGAACAGGGCAGAGAGACCTTTATCTCTAGGATGGGTTGCTGGTTAGGTGTAGGCATTCTTGAGTGCAGCAGCTTGGCTTTGAAACGCAAGGGTTGGAGAATGTTCCCCTGACTGTACTAGACTGGGCTCTAGGGAAAGAATCCTGAGACAGCCCCCCACTCCCCCACTGACCCCACACTAGCTGGGCTATTATAGAATTTAATCTAAATCTAGAAATACTGCATTTCACAAAATGATTCACTGTGTTTCCCTTTTTTTACTGAGGTCCAATTCATTTAGTCGTCTACCAGACACTGCACATCCAGTGTATGCGAAGCACCAGGCTAGGCTCTGTAGGCAATACCACTAAAGTGTGCACTCTGATTTAGGGAGCAGGACCTGTGGATACCGATTCTAATAACTAGCAAAGTCAAGTCGTGGTTATAGAAAGAAGTGTGGCTTCAGAGGGAGGTGGGTATTTCCAAATATGGAGTTAGGGATGGCTCCATGAGGTAAGTGACAGTTTGAGCTAAGTCTTGAAGGATGCTTGGCAGCTAGAACCATATTTTCCATATTCAGGAATTCAAATTTGCCTTTATTCAGCTAGAGAGAAAGAGAGAAGGGGGTGTGGGGGAGAAGGAAAAGAGAATTTTCACACATTTTGAAGTTCCTGAGAGCATTTCTGAGGATATCTGCCGTTAGTGCAGAAGGTCGAAACCCCAAGTGCCCCCACTAAACCCAGGCTCTTTAGCTGTAAACTGCCATGCAGTGGCAGGCCTGCAGCCTTCCTGATGGGACCACATGGACAGTGGCACATGGGACATTTGGCTACTCGTTAGCTTAAACAACTCAGTCCTGTGTCTTCTGGTTTTGACAAGACCACATTTAGGACTGCTGCCCACCTCTGCCTCTTTCATTGAGATTTCCGCCTTATTGGGTCCCTGTGCTATGCCACAGATACCAGGTTTGGGGTTGTTTTGACCCAGAAGGCATTGGGAGTCCCACATTACAGAGCACACACACAGCTCAACACAGCCATTTCCCTGGCCAGAGGCACCAAGACTGAAGTTCAGGCCCTTAGACACTAGGTGGCAGCGGTGTGGCTGTGCAGAGCCAAGGATGAACCTGAGAGCTTGTTTGCCTCTGGCTGGGCACTCTTGTTTTGAATTCCTTTGCCCTTATCGTGTAGTCCACGGCCTTGGTGACCAAGGACCACCTGGCTAGCCTGCTTACATGCATGACCCCATCCAGGTTCACAGGTATTGCCACTGAGTGATCTTAGGTAGATCACTGCTCCTGGAGAAGCAGAGTTGAGGAGTGTAAGACAAGGGCCATCTAGTGCCAATGTTCCTTGATTCTTATTTGAGGAGCTACTATGTGGTCTTTCTGTAAACAAGTGAACAACCAATGAGACTAAATATTTGCAATAGATAGGCTAAGGAATTTGGGTTGAGACAGGAGACGGAGGAAAAATGCTTTGATACAATGACAGATGGTTAGTCTCTTCAGATTTCCCTGAATATTTTCCATCCCGACAATATGCCTCTTAGATACTTGCAGATTAGACATGTCTCTGGATGGACCACAAGATACATTCACAACATGTGTTCAGCCTTGAGCCCTGGCTGTGTCCTGTCTGGAAGGAACTGAGGATGATGTGGCTATAAAGAGGAGGCAGTGAGCTGGCATGTGACTGCCTTCTGTGGGCCTGACCTGTTTGACATTTGAGGGCCTATGATGTGCTAGGTGCTGTGTTAGGTACTTCCAAATGCTTTATCTCATTTTACCCCAGTGCAAGTGTGATATAGTGAGGATGGTGAAGACGTGGGTATGGTTAAGTCATGAGTTCAGATCCCGTGCTTCCAATTACATGGGTGTTTTCAAACAAGTCACTACTTATGAGTTTCCTCATCTGTGAAGGGAAGTTTAGTCATCTGTTTCAATGTGGAGACACACAGGATTGAGGGAGTCCTCCGTCACAGGGTGACTGTCTGGATTCTATGAGGAAATACTTGGAAAGCATGCAGCACAATGCCTGGGGTGCAGCTGAAGCTGAGCCACTGGTGTTTCTTCACAGTATCTCTGTGGGGAGGGTGTATTATTCCTTTTTATAGGGATCTCTATAATGAAGTGAGAATCTTGAAAATATAAGTGTTATCCTAGATGGGAGGTGTTAAAGGTTTTTGCCTTGGGAATTTTGTCATATTTGTTGCACAGCAAGGAAGGACTTTCAGAAAAGCAGGGATGTGGTGAGGAAGAGCAGGCAATAGAGAGCAGGGAGGAAAGGCTAAGTAGCATCTGGAACTTGAGAAGTCTAAGGGAGCCAAAATGAGATTTTCTATTAAAAATGTCTATCCTCAGCCGGGCGTGGTAGCTCACGCCTGTAATCCCAGCACTTTGGGGGGTCGAGATGGGCAGATCACCTGAGGTCAGGAGTTCGAGACCAGCCTGACCAATATGGAGAAACCCCGTCTCTACTAAAAATACAAAATTAGTTGCGCGTGGTGGTGGGCGCCTGTAATCCCAGCTACTCAGGAGCCTGAGGCAGGAGAATCACTTAAACCCAGGAGGCGGAGGTTGCAGTGAGCCGAGATCGCGCCATTGCACTCCAGCCTGGGCAACAAGAGCGAAACCCCGCCTAAAAAAAGAAAAAAAAGAAAAAGTCTATCCTCTATGCTACTGGCCTGTTTGTACAAAGATAAAATCATTCTAATTTGTCCGGAATGACTATCAAAGATGATCAAATCCCCAGGGCCTGGTGTAACGTTCCAAATCATAGCACAAATACAGCTTGACCTTCCTTACAGTCCAGAAAGGACATTCTCCCTGAGAAATGCCCTTGGTTGCTGAGGACAGCTCTGTCCTGTAGTGACAGAGTGACTGCCTGGCTGTGGCTCTTGGGTTCACAGAATCCCTAATCCTCCAAGCCCCTAAGAGGCAGGGCAGGGATGCTACCCACAATATATGCAGAACCCCAGATGGAGCCTGTGGGAGAGAGAGGAAATTACCGTCTTCACTGTAGGCAAAGGAGAATGGCTGTGATTAGCCATATATGCCTATAAGAAGGAGCAGAGCCATACTGTCCTTGTGGGTTGGGAGAGGGGACACAGAATCCAGGGCAATTGTCTGAGGTCTCAAAGTAAGTTAAGCCAGAGTCAAAGCCAAACTCCAAGTCTTGGCCAAGGGGATGAGAAAAGCAAGGAGCTAGTCTTATAGGTCAAGGAAGATGAGGTATAGTTAAGAGTCATCAGTATCACAGAACAGGCCAGCAGGGCTTTATTAGGTATGTAGAACTATTATAAACCAAGGATCTTGGGAGATATTAATATCTGCTGGCCAGACCTAAAAAAAACTGAAGGCCCAAGGAAAGTGACTGGACTCACTGGAAAGTATCTAACAAATACTTTGGATTCCAAAGTATTTCCAATACCTTGAAGATTCCTTTGAAAACATCAAAGCACAAACTCAAATCTGCACAAGATTACAAAAGCACAATTTTGGTGTTATTTTTAGAATGCAATACACAAAGCTATGTTCATTTCTCTCAGCAAGCATTTTCCTGGGTAGTAGTAATAGCTTAGGAATCAAATGCCACTTTTGTTTTTCCTTTTTTCACTAGTTTGAAATACCACAAATCACAGGTGAGTCAGTCCTCCCAGAGGAAAAGACAGTCCTAGGGAGAATCACAGGCCTGGCAGACAAGACCACACTGAGAGCAGTAGAAGGAACCTGCATGCTTAAGGGACAGAGGACTGTGTTGTGTTCTCATAATAGACCGCTGGATGAAGAAGTGGTTAAAAACCAACCCTCGAAAAACAAAAATCCCTGGCTAATCCTGAAATATATTTAACTTGAAGTCTTTGGATGATTTTTTTAAGGTTAAAAAAAAGTTTAGGATTATTATAAATCAATATTTATAAATAAGCAACA
Organism: Homo sapiens; assembly: GCF_000001405.40. Classification (NCBI taxonomy): domain Eukaryota; kingdom Metazoa; phylum Chordata; class Mammalia; order Primates; family Hominidae; genus Homo; species Homo sapiens. Next base: position 168,079,592 of record NC_000001.11, on the reverse strand, counting down.
ATGTATTTGGAATTTTTGTTTACCTGATTAAATATGTTTTTGGTATGTGTATACTGTGGAAATGGTGAATTTGTACTTGGACTTGTGGTCTGTGGACTTTGTTGGGTGCCTCTGCCTTTCTCCCATTTTCTGCAGCCATATCCCTATTGTCAACCTCCCTTCCCATGGGCTAAAGCGAGGGAGACTGAGCAGAAAGGGGTGGATTACTGCAGAATTGGTGGGGGAGTGCCCATACCAGAGTCACCTGCAAATACTCATCCATGCATTTTCATAAATTCCTCCAAGGCAATTAAATTCAGATAACTGTTTAAATGACCTACTTCTCACCATGCCCAAGAAACACTCTTAACCCAGAGTTTTTATGGGAGCTATGCCCTGTCTATCCATCTACAGATGTATTTTCTACCCCATAATCAAAAGTCAAAGAGGGCAAGAGGCAGATTATCGTTACCATTGAGACTCAGAACCACCTCGGGGCACGAAACCCACCTTTTCCTGACCCCCTTACCTGCTACCACTGAAATCATCTTCCAAGTGGATGGTGGCCCTACGGTCCAGTTTGCTGAGCTTTCTGGGGTCCTCTGACACACACCCAATCTTGGAAGCAGCTGGCACTTGTGAATTCTGCCTCTGTAGAATGTTTTCTCTCTTTGCTGCCTCCTGACGGCTTGTCTGGCTTGCCCTGCTTCTGAGCAATACACACCATCAAAACTGCAAAATCACTGTGGGTGGGGGACCCAGTTCATTTAACAAATACTTTTTTTATTTTTTTGAGATGGAGTCTCGCTCTGTTGCCCAGGCTGGAGTGCAATGGCGTGATCTCGGCTCACTGCAATCTCTGCCTCCCGGTTCAAGCTATTCTCCTGCCTCAGTCTCCTGAGTAGCTGGGATTACAGGCACATGCCACCATGCCCGGCTAATTTTTCTATTTTTAGTAGAGGCAGGGTTTCACCATGTTGGTCAGCTGCTCTTGAACTCCTGACCTCGTGATCTGCCCACCTCGGCCTCCCAAAGTGCTGGGATTACAGGTGTGAGCCACCGTGCCTGGCCAACAAATACTTTAAAAAAAAATTTTTTTAGAGCAGTTTTAGATTCACAGCAAAACTGAGAGAAAGTAGAGTTCCCATAGCCCCACTCTCCCCCATCAACATCCTGCACTAGAGCAGATGAATACCATTTTGACTTTCTTCTATTGTTTTTCCTGACAGTTACTCCTTCACCCCACTAGTCCTCCAGTATCCTCTGTCCTGTCAATTTCCCAACACCCCGCTATAACACATCCCTGTTACTGTCTTACTACAGTGGAAGGAATGACATACTGTGTGCTTAGAGTCGTCTTTTCAGTTATCCTGTATAACAATTCGTCAATCTTATGGCTTCATCTTGCCCTAACAGCCCCTGTGACATAGGTAGGGCAAATATGACCACCCCCTTTAGAGAGGGAACAAACCCAGAGAAGTCAGGTGTCTTGAGCAAGGTACATAACTGAAAACCAGAAACTAAGACCCTTGCACTTTTCGGAAGTCATAAAGTGACCTTGTTTGGCTAAAGCTCTGATTCTATCCTCTTGATCATTTACGACGTTTCCTAATGTGGATACATATGTGCCTTTGTCAAGCTGGATGTTGAAGTCCAGCTGAACCTACTGAGCTTACTGAGTAATAACCTACTGCAGTTATTTCCTCTACACAAAAAGCTAACCTTCTCAGCAGCAGATGTCTCTGGCTGTGGAGGAGATCCTTGTTCTCCATATGGAAGAGGGATGCTCTGCTTGACTACTGACTGGTCCGTGAGACCAGTCGTGGCTCAGCCAGGAGATATTATGTCTTACTCTCAGTATCTGACTTTGTCCTTTCTCTCCAAGATATTTAGATTCCTGAAAATAATAGGAACATTTCAACTATCTGCTAATTAAACAATAAGAGATTGACTACTTTCAACAAAAAAGGGCAGCTGTTAACAGCACAAACACTAAAAGCATCAACAGACAGGGGCCCAGGATTGAGATGACCATGGCAAGCCATCACATTTGCATTGGCACTGGCCTCTTTCAGCCACCATGTATAGTCACCAATGATATCACATCCACTTCCAGAGTGTGAGCAAAAGCTAGAGCTCAAGGCTGGTGCTGATGGTGATGGATAAGCTGTCATATGATCCGTAGCTCTGACCTTGACAACTCCAACATTTTCTTTCTTTTGTAAGTGTTATAATTTTGGCAGCACTGAATAGCTGTTTCAAGATGGGGTCAATAATCAGTCCAGCATGTAATTCAATGTCTTCTCCAGCTACTGGCTGGCAAGGAGGTATAGTGAAGATAGTTACTGGCTGGACTATAGGTCATGGAGAAGTTGCTGGGTTTATTTCTGTCCTTCACAAGTGAGACAGTTCCTAAGAGCCCACTGAATGGAAGCTCAAAGACTTTCCCCACTAAAAGGGAGAAATGATGTGCCATCCCAGAAACCTACAATAGCAAAGGCCAAGCGTGTGTGTGAGGGTGTGCGCGACAGTGAGCGTGCCTTTGAAATCGCGGACCACTAAACCCAACACTCTGCCATGCTTGCGATTTTGCCTCCAAGATATTATGAGGCAGTGAACTAACTGCCTCACTCCCACCTGGCAGGTCTGGGTTCCGGAAGTGGCTTTGTATATCAAGAAAGTAGCAAAGAGAAGCCATGGACATGTATTGTGCTCATATGGATGACAAGAGGAGGAGAGAAATCAGAAAGTATAGAGAGAATAATTTGGTGTTAAGAAAAGATTTATTTTGTGAATGGACTGAAGAGACATGAGCACATGAATAGGCTGAGGGGAAGATACCAGCAGAATGAAAATTTAGTAGAAGTGAGGGAGGATGATTGAAGGGTTAGGTCTGCAGGAGCAGTTTTGGGTCATAACCTATAGGATATGTAGGTCTGGGTGTAGATGACTTGAATGGAGGTGGATACTAGAGTTAAGGAAGAGCAGAAATTAGACTGGATGGTCAATAACTTGCAGTGAAATTTAAAATTTGGAGTGAGAGGCCAGAAGCCATTTCCTTCAGGGCTACTTTATGCTACTATGTGAGCTACCCATGATGCTCTCAGTCATTTCTGCTTGAAGACTAACTCCTTTATTTGTGTAATGAGGTTCCACTGATCAGGAGCGATAACGACTGGAGGTAAAAATAAAGTATAGTTGGCCCTTGAACAACACAGGTTTGAACTACATAGATCCACCTATATGTGGATTTCCTCTGCCATCCCTCAGACAGCAAGACCAACGCCTCCTTCTTCCTCGGCCTTCTCAACAGTGAAGACCTTTATGATGATCCATTTCCACCTAGTGAACAGTAAATATATTTTCTCTTCCTTATGATTTTCTTAATAACACTTTTTCTGTAGCTTACTTTATTGTAAGAGTATAGAATATAACACATAAAATATACAAAATATGTGTTAATTGACCATGCTATCAGTAAGGCTTGCGATCAACAGGCTGTTAATGGTCAAATTTTTGGGAAGTCAACAGTTACACATGAATCTTCAACTGTGAGGGGGGCTGGTGCCACTAACCCCTGGGTTGCTCAAGGGTCAGCTGTACCGTGGAAGGAGAAATGAAGGAAGTCCTTCTATGTGATTCTATCCCACACAAGCAAAAAAGGAAAAGGTTGTTAAATCTAGAAAATATAGAAAAATAGTCATCGTATGCTACAGGAGAGATTGGAAAACTGTGGGTCAAAGTAGCAAGGCATTAAATAAAAAGTCAAATTCAGGGTATCTTAAAACAACCAGTTTCTTTAATTAGAAAGCAACAAACATGCAAATGGCAAGTGTAGAAATTTATTTGAACCAACATTTTCACTATGATGAAAATTATTCTTCAACATTGATCCAAGCTCCCACATTTGAAGGTTAGGGAAAATATTGCACTTTGCATTTTCTAGCACTCCTCATACACGGCAAAAAGTTTTAAAAACATTCTGCTAGTTTTGTTTTATACAATCTCCCAAATTCATGCACACAATCATTCCAAACCAATGTTAGGTTATCCCAAAAAAAGGGAAAAACTCCAAAAACCATAACCTTAAAATTGCACTAAAGCTCTGTAAAGAAAAAAATATAATAAATGTCTTATACAAATTTCAGAACATTTAAGTGCTTGCCAAAAAGAGTTTATTATTCCTCATCCTCATTTTCATTCTCTTGACCAGAGCCTTCTGATCTGTCACCCTCCAACCGGTCTGGAAACACAGATAAGAGAATCGCAAAGAGAAATACTTTTAGTAATTACAATTATTAATATTTTTCAATGCCTTTTATTTAAAACGCATTAAAAATCAGTTCACCACTATGTGTGGATGTCTTTAGAGGCAAATAAAAGAGTAAAGAAAACACAGTATTATTAGCTTTGATTATGCATGTTATTCTAAAACATGTAAAAATGAAAAAAGAAACCCACTCCTAAAATCTTGATATATTATGTTCTACTGCAGTGGTTGTCAAACAGTGTTCTTTGGAGTCTAGGTTTCTAAGGAGGTACATCAGGTGCTGCAAAGGGGAGTGAGGAGGCAGCTGTGTGAGAGAAAATATGTGGACGATTGTTGAGGATTTGTGTAATTCTGTTTGTAAAAAGATTTTTTTAAATTAAATACTATGTTCCAGGCATTGTGATAAAACCTGAGAATACAATGGTGACCAAAACAGATGTAAATTTCTGGTCTCAAGGAGCTTATTTAGGTTAAATACTCAAGTGAATATAAACTTACAAACTGGTGAGTACAGTATGCTCGTTCAAGTTTTCAGGAATTACACTTGCTATTCCTCTGCTTGGGATACTTTTGCCCAATTCTTTAGCTATAAAGGTTTACTCATCTCAATACAACTATTATACCCTTGGTGAAACTTTTCCTGGACATTTCCAAACAGGCTATCTGCAGAATTATGAACTCCCTCCTCCACATTCTAGAATATCTTATATGAACTTCATAATGATGATCCTAATTACAGTAATAGTCGTTTGCATGTCTTCCTGCAGACCAGATTGAGAGTTCCTGGAGGGCAGGAGTTACTTCTTTTTATCTTTATATCCTCAGAGCCTAGTATAGGATGTTCAATGAAGGTTTACTGAATAAATGAATATAAGTTTTATGAAGGTAAGATACATTACATAAGGGTATTGTGAAGAAGGCAACAGCATAAAATCACTACCATCACTGAGATGGAACTAGGATGTTTCTGCCCCAGAAACATTTCCACATAGTAACATGGAAAATATTAAGGTTAAGCATAAGGAAAACAGTTCAGTCCCACTGTCAACAGCAAGAGAAGACTGAATCCTGAGATTTTATTTATTATCTACACAGGATTAAATGCTCCCACTGGATCCTAGGTCAACAGCACCAAGAACAGTACACTGAAGGGACTATATGTCCCTTTTAATTGTTTAATTGTCCAAGTGAATTAGATTAAATCTCCTCTATGCCAACTCTAATCCAATGTCAAACCAATGACATAATGTATGTGTAACCTTTATAACCTTAATTATACAAATAGGTATTGAATACAAATAAGTATTCAATTCCTTACTGATCTATAAAGGTCTATTCAAATCTTATTTTGTTCATTTATTTTATAAATATGTATTCAATACATATTTATAAAATAAATGAACAAAATAAGATTTGAATAGACCTTTATAGATCAGTAAGGAATTTAAACACAGTAGAAGAATTTCTGACCAATAAAAGGCTACCTAAGGGATATTAGTATAAAAAAAATTACATTGTTTTTATTGTGTGATACTTTCAAGAGAGAACAAAACATGAAGTTGCTATTCTACTTAAGTAGGGCTCAGGAATGGGAATCCTGAGTATGACTGAATATATTCAAGAAACCTATCCTGTCATGTTAGAGCATGATGAAGCAGTAACGGCCTATCTCAAAGTTGGCAGGCTTCTTACTCAAATTTCTTTTGGTTGTCACATTATAAAGAAGATGGGATAATAGAGAGTTAAGAAAAAAATGTCACAGCCTTTAAATCAGGGAGTTTGCAGTAGAGGTTAGACTTTTACACTCAGAGGCACACAATAAAGAGACAAATGAGGGCCAAGAGTCTTACGATAGGTCACAGAATAAGTGACAGTGGCTTCTGAAATGAGGAAAGCAGAATAGTTGTTCTCTCCTCAAATTCAATTCATTTAACTGATGCATAGTCACCTCTTCCAGAATGTAAGCCCAACTTCTCAGAATTAATTAAATCTTCTGTTCATGAAATGCTACTGAAGTAGTAAGGCTGCAAAGCAGTTAACACTTATACAAATCTCTGGTTGGCAATTATAGACAAGGAGGTCTGAAGAACAGTGTGTTCTCTTAAATAAAAACTGGAAATAAGAATCACTTCTATGTATACTGTTTTTCTTTTTCTTCTTTTTTTTTTGAGACCGAGTCTCGCTCTATCGCCCAGGCTGGAGTGCAGTGGCGCGATCTTGGCTCACTGCAACCTCCGCCTCCCGGGTTCAAGCGATTCTCCTGTCTCGCCCTCCCGAGTAGCTGGGACTACAGGAGCGTGCCACCACACCCGGCTGATTTTTTTGTTTTTAGTAGAGATGGGGTTTCACCATGTTAGCCAGGATGTCTATGTATACTGTTTTTCAGAAGTAGCAATGTCAAATTGCTTTTGTAAATAAGGTTTACATTTGTAGAAAGGTTCCTTTTATTCTGTTAGAATATTTCTTCAGGAAACTGGGGAAGATAATGATATGAAGAGACACTGAGTTTGCTGCAGAGGGAGGGAAGGTAGATAAGAAAAAAATTTCCCAATGGAAGCCTGTGTTTCACAAAAAACACTGTTGTTTTATTTTCCAGGCTACCCTTTACAAAGAATTTATTTACTTTCTTTAAAAGAAATAATACAAATTCATTGTTAGCTAGAGATTTGATACTAGATGTGTACTTATTTACCAGAATACTCAGTATTTGTTAAGCAACTACTATGTGGTAGGCACTGTTTTAGGAGCCTAAAGACCCAGCTGCAAATTAAGACAAACTGGGTCTCTGCTCTTTATAAGCTTACTTTCTAAGGAGGAAGATAGACAACAAACAAGGTACCACCTGTATTTTTCTCCTCTAATCTGTAATAAGACAATAAATAAAGAAATTAAAGCTTAAGAGTGATAAGTACTTGAGGAAAATAAGGCAATGAACAAGAATGACTAAGTGAGAGGGAAGATATGAGAAGACACAGAAAACAACTTTAGATTGAGTGACCAGGGAAGACTTTTCTTTTCTTTTTTTTTTTTTTTTTTTTTTTTTTTTTTTAGACTGATTCTCCCTCTGTCACCAGGCTGGAGTGCAGTGGTGCGATCTCGGCTCACTACAACCTCCACCTCCTGGGTTCAGGCGATTCTCCTGCCTCAGCCTCCCAAGTAGCTGGGACTACAGGCACGCGCCACCACACCCAGCTAATTTTTGTATTTTTCAGTACAGATGGGATTTCACCATGTTGGCCAGGCTGGTCTCAATCTCCTGACCTCGTGATCTACCCGCCTCGGCCTCCCAAAGTGCTGGGATTACAGGCATGAGCCACCGCACTACCAGGGAAGACTTTTCTAAGGAGGTGATATTGGAGCTAAGACCTCAATTGTATGTGAAGTCCTGGGGGCAAAGTTGGGCAGATGAACAAGTGAAAAGGTCCTAAATGTGCTACTAAGCTTGATGAGTTTGAGGAAGAGAGGCCAGTATGGCTAAAATGTAGTGAGCTAGAAAAAAAGGTGGACTGAGTGGAAGTCAGAGGTTGGCAGAATGTATGTCATGTAGGACCTTGAAGGCCAGAGTAAGAAGTCTGGGTTTTACTTTAAGAGCAATAGGGAGTCCCTGAGAATTTTAAGAGGGGGTGGTATCTAATTTGTGTTTTAAAAAGGTGGTAGCAGACTATAGCCCATAGGCAAATACAGCCCACTGCCTGATTTTGGTTTTGTTTGAGACAGAGTCTCAATCTGTCACCCAGGCTGGAGTGTAGTGGCGCAATTTTGGCTCACTGCAACCTCTACCTCCCAAGTTAAAGTGACTCTCCTGCCTCAGCCTCCCAAGTAGCTGGGATTACAGGTGTGCACCATCACGTCCAGCTAATTTTTGTATTTTTGTATTTATAATTTTTTTTATTTTTTATTTTTATAGAGACGGGGTTTTGCCATGTTGGCGAGGCTGGTCTTGAATTCCTGACCTCAGGTGATTCACCTGCCTCAGCCTCCCAAAGTGCTGAGATTACAGGCGTGAGCCACTGTACCTGGCTCTGTTTTTATATATTAAGTTTTATTATAAGTGCCATACCTGTTCATTTACATATGGTCTATGGCTGTTTTTGCATTACAATGGCAGAGTTGAGTGGTTACAATAAAAACCATATCTGGCCATTAACAAAAAAATTAACTGACCTGTTTTGAAAGGATCCCTCTGGCTGCTGTGTGAAAATCAGACTATGAGGACAAGAGAAGTAGAAGCAGGGAGATCAAGGGTATATAAATATTAGGTCTATTCTGGAGTAAAGTTAGTATCACTTACTGAGGGAGTCAATCTGTGAACGATTTAATAAGTGATTGTGATCTCAATAGGATAACAGGCTTTGCAAACCCATGACAGAGAAATGATAACTATCTGTGCTAAGATCCAGAGGTATAATGGGAAGAATGTCAAGAGATAATGCAGGGTTTTATAAGACATGTTAACACATTTGGACTCTACCCTAAGAACATGTGTGGGCAAAGGAGAATTTTAAGCAGGGCAGTAAAGTGATTCTAAGACATTCTAGAGGAGTCTAGAATGATCCATGCAAACCATTACCATCTTTCCAAAGCCTCTCAAAGCTTCTAGGGATGTCAGAAATGCCTTTCCATCTCAAGTGGCCACTAGACTAGCAGTCTTTAGTGCATTATTCATGAGATTAACTTTGGTTGCTTTTTAAAAATGTAGACGCTTAATCTCTATCCAGCTAAAATGAACCAGAATCTTTAGCAGGTGAGACCTAGGTAAGTATTTGTAGTTTGTAAAACCCCTACAGATGATTTTAAGAGGCTCCTTCATTAAAAATCACAGCTCCAACAGAAAGAAACTGTCCGTATCTATTCCCTGGACTTCCTAGGAAGCCTTCTGGAGTAATGGATGAGCCGAGAGGTACTTTGTGGCTACCATGTGCTTATTTGATCCAAGTCCATTTTTAACTCTCCTGAATATGCACACATTATTGTATTTGGACTGCAGGACACTGGATAGGAGAGAAAAAGAGTGGTTGACTAACTGACCCATCAAATAACTAGATATCTTAAAGATAAGGGCAGCAGAAATGTTAACTCTTGGGCACTTTATTCTATCTAGTATTTTGTATAAGAGAAGCAAGAAGATAAGCTGACTAAACCAACTAGAAATTGTCTTTTTGATTGCTGGCAAAAAGAAATGAAAGAGAATTTTTATATTATAAAACACCTTATCTAATTCTAAAACCAAAGAAGGATGGTAGTGGCTATTAACTAACCAACCATTGCTACATTAGCACAAATAGATTTTTGTGCAACTGGAAAGAGAATTAATTTTCTGCAGGAAAACTACTGAGGAAGAGCCATCCACTAGATAAGAGTAAGCACATTTTAGGTGTCATTACCAGTAAACGTTTTTCTTGTTTTAAAATGCTGCTTCCTCAAATGTGAAATTCAAATGGATGAATTTTAAGGGTTACTTGCTGTTATTGAACAAAATATATTTTAAAAAAGTTACAGTGTTATTATAATTTAATAATACAGGAACCCAAAGAAGATCACAAAAACATTTTGTTGGTCTATTAACATTTTTTGTTTACATTCCAGGTTTATTTTTTGTTGTTGTTTTCACCATTTGAAGTTTTCCCTCTTTCCTGGTAAAAGTTAATATTTACATTTGAGGATTATTTTCTAATTCTTTTAATTACAAACATATGGGTCTTCTTTCAATTTTTCAGATGTGCTATACTTTCTCTCCTCTAGGGCTTAGAAAAACGCTATACGCTGTCTACTTTCTGTGGAATACTTGTCTCCATTCCCCACTCTCTCTGAGGAAGTGATATTTAATTCACTGCTTATGCAGTTCTTACAGTAAGAAGTTATCTCAACAGAGTGAAGATGGGAGGGGACAGCACGATTATAAAAACCCTGAGGTGGGAAAGAGTTTGGTGTATCCCCAAAAATCAAAGAGGGCCAGTGTGGATGGAGTAGTCACAGAAGAAAAGAATGCTGTAAATCAGCTAGAATAGTTTGAGATTAGATCATCCAGAGGTTTGCATGTCATATGAATGATTTGAATATATTCCTGTAAGTGAAATTTATAGGTCAAAGGGGAGTAAGGGCTTGGAAGCTAATTTCAAATTCTGGCTTTAATATTTATCAGTTGTGTGACTTGGGCTAAGTTATTACAAATAACCTACTTTGTAAAGGATTGGAGGTAAATGAGGATAAAGCTGTGAAATAATTAGTATAAGCCTGATACATTATAGTTACTTTATAAATGGTACCTATTATTATTAAATGATAGCTAATACCAAACGTATGGGGACATTTATGAAATCAGTGAAGAGTGGTAAAACTCTTTTGTTTGATAAATATATTCTGCTTATAACAGATACTAGACCTTTTCTTTTGTTATAAATTATTCAATTCCTTCTTGAACATTAGTTGTAATATATGCATTTTTATGTATCTGTGGCACTGCACCTCACAGTTTATCTAAAACAAAAAAATATTCAAAAAGCAAACTGAGGTATGTTTCATTTCTTAGCATGTCACATTTATTTCTGTTTGGGCTATGACTGATTTTCAACAAACCTACCATTAAAGAATATGCACGATAATATATCCTAAGGTTATGTACTCTAAGAAAACAGCAGCTGATAAGAGTTTTTACGTGACTCTGGTCTTTTCATTTTGACCATTTTACGACAAATGTAGTTCATGAGGAACTAAGTTACTGTGCCAAGATCAAGCATTCACAGAAATCCTAGTTTAGAAGTTAAGCTACCCTCATTTTGTGATATTAAAAAATATATATAAACCCCTTTAAAGCAGATCTTAAATAATAATATATTTTCAAATATAAAAATGGTTTTAGTAGTATACTTAAAGTTCCTACCAGCTCGGATATGATTAAGTGAAGCCAACATCCTCAACATGAAAGAGGCTGGAACTGTAATGGTGTTTCTAGTTTCTTCCAGCATGAGTTCGTTTCGAGTTATAACCTACAAGGCAAGTTAAAAATCGTATCAAAGATCATAAAGTAACTGTATTTTTTCCTTGAAGATCAGGCAAACCGTAAACAATCAGCCAGTACCAGGAGGAATTACTTCATTCTTTATGCGTCTGATGTCTATATTTCTGCCTTAAGTCTATTCAATGCCAAATAATCACTGTAACTTGTATTTAAAGGAGGAAGGTCAAAGAACACAACTCTTTCAAATGGCAGAAAAACAAAGGTCAAATTTTGAGGCTACTTAAAACATTTAAGAATTTAATTTAGCTTTTACTTGCAATTTGCTTCTCAGAGCCATTTACTTTGTTGGCTCCTTGTTTTCCCTATAGGAGAACTGATAACTTTAGTGACGAAATACAGTTAAATTATTATCCATGGGCCACTTGAATCCCTTGAAAAGATGTTACCTTGACTGAGGCAGAGTAGTCTTGGAAAATAAATTTTTGGGCAAGGGTTAACAAGAAACTGAGCCTTAAGTACCAAGAATAGGATTACTTGAATACTCGTGAACACCCAGAGATGCAATATGTAACCATGAGCAAAGGAAAAAAGTGGAAAAGCAAAAAACATGGCAAAGGAAAAAAAGGATGAAAGAAAGAGTATGAGAGGAAGAGAAAGATGCTACTCTGATCAACAGTTCCCCAATACTGAAATAATAAATTCCCAACTCATCAGGGTGCCCCACAGGGCCCTTCACAATCTTACCCTCACCTAACCGTTTAGTTTGATTAAGCTACTTTTGTGCATGTACTCTAGGGTTCCAGGCACACTGATGGTTCATTTACCCTCTCATGCTTTGGCACATGCTGATCCTTCTGTCTTAAATGCTGCTTTGCTCCCTGTCTGCCTGGTGAACTATTCTCAGACTTCTGTCCAATTCTTATTTCTTCTGTGAAGACCTCTCCATCCTATCTACCCCATTTACAAACAGCTGTTCCTCTCTGTGGGCTTCCAAAACACTATGTGTATACCTCTGACTGACACAGACCCCACTACAGTATGTTCTAGCTGTTTACATTGTCTTTCCCACTAAACTCTGAGGGTAGGGCCTTATCTTTTTTACACCCAGCATTATGTATACAATACATCAACTGTTTTATAAATGCCTATTCAATGAGTGAAAGTATACATGGGAATTGTGCTACGAACAGTCAGTGTTAGTCTAGAGTAGTGGTTTTCCAACTTACTAACATTTTTAGCAATGGATTCTCATTTTCATAAGAAATAGTATATGAGAACCCACAAATAAAAACCCTGGTTGAAGTTGGGGAGGAAAGGCCCAGAGTAATGCCTTCCTATTATCCACCTTCCCTCTCCCATCCCAGAAGAAATCCAGAGCTCCAAAGAACTCAGGCTGAAAATACTGTTTTAACAGGCTTAAAAAAATCTTAAAATATAATGATAAAGGAAAAGATTCTTCACTCATTTGTTCTGCTATATACTAATCCTGAAAAACAAAGTTCCATTTCCTTTTTAAGAAAAACTCAAAATGGAAAAATAGCTGTACTAAAAATGGAAAAATTGCTAGGCTTTTGGAGAAACAGTTATAATAAAATTATTTTCTTAAAAGGACAGATTTTTTTGTGTGTGATTCTTTATTGTAATAACATGAATACTCAAACCTGTTTTTCTTAAACTACTATACACCTAATCTGGTGTTACCGATGATGAATATTATAATTAGTAAGCTACTATTTAGATTTTACCTCCCTAGTATTATAGACATCCTTTTATCTTAATTTTTCTTTTTCTTAAAATTTGACCTCCTTAACTGCATTAACTTGTTTCATGTTAGCAACTAATAACTTTTAATTTTTCTTAGGGAAGCATTTTAGGAACAAATTGAAATATGGTCTATAGTAAGTACAATAAAAATCTTACTTCATCAGCAAGTTTTCGGTTAAAAATCCTTGACTCTTCTAATGGTGACCAGATCTTTATGTCATAATCTATGCCAGATGAGGCTAAAACTAGAAATAAAATTTATATATTAATATGAAGCCTAGAAACATGCAATTCAGGATATGCTTATATTATGCATATATGTATATATAGCAAAACTAACCTTGAACAGCAATTGTACACTATATATTTAACTGTTAATTGAAAATATTATTTTGACAATTTGCTAAATGTTATCCTAGAACGTAATTTTAATACCATGTTGAAGTCACTCAGATTCATTGTTGAAGTCACTTATTCATTGTTCTTTTATGAGATATGTGGGCAATTTCAAAAAGAAGACGAGCAATGCTCTTTTGTTCTGATAAATTAATTCAGCTATGTGAAGACTAAAAATGACTGGATGTTCCATTTGGATATACAATAAAAAGTTCAGTCACACCAAACCTCTTACAGCTTGTAAAACTTAGAAGAAATATTGGGAGAATAAACTTTTTAACCTATTTTCTTTTACTTTGTGCAAAAAGCAGATTACAGGTGTGTTTGAAGTGCAAGTTCAGCTGTAATTGACTCTACTGCTGCCTAGTCAGATAGTTTGGATTATTCTTATAATATTAACAATTAAAAAAGAATAATTTTGTATGACTGATGAGTCATACAAATAATTTCTAGCCCTCGTCCTAGAAAAGATATCTTACTTGGGTCAAACGGATGTGGCTGCAGGCAGTTTACCACATGATTATCAGCTTCCAGAAGCATCAAATGCTCAGCAGTGTGCCGATCCCAGATGAAAATGTGGCCACAGTCAGAACCACTCATTACAAAGTTAGCACCCCAGAAATTGGCTTCTTTTATCTAAGGGTTAAAAAAAATTATTTAAAAATTCAAATCAAAGTTATTAAAACAAAGATTTATGCTACTCTTACATTTTTTTATTTGTTTTAATTCTTACATTTTTTAAAAAACTGGCTTAGAAAATAGTAAAATTAAAAATTGATGCTGGGCGCAGTGGCTCACACCTGTAATCCCAGCACTTTGGGAGGCCAAGGCAGGAGGACTGCCTGAGCTGAGGAGTTTGAGACCAGCCTGGGCAATATAGTGAGATCCCCTATCTATAAAAAAAAAAACTGACAAAAATCTGTCTTCTAGCTTCTTTAAATTATGATAGGCATTCATCAGCAAGGGTAAGATGGCAGTAAGTAATAGAAAATCCCCCCTAAGAAGAGGGACTTTGCTTTGTTCAATACTATATTTACAGCACCTGAAATGGTACTTGGGATACAATAGGTGCTTAATTATTAACTGCTAAATGAAAGAATAGGATTTCTGGGTTTTGGGCAGTATAATGGCAATTTACATATATGTTGCTGAACTTTCCAAAAATTGTACCAATTTAGCTTTATAAGACAATGAAATAATTCACAGATAAAAGAAATTGTCTTTTGTATTTTGCTTTAGACCCAAAGAATAGAAAGAAGATCATTAGCTATTATAAGCTAACACAATTGAGAAAGATACAAACATACTTAATTTTATGAAGCAGAATCAAAGGCATATGATATACTGGAATAGTTATAATGACATTTTTAAATGAATGCACATGAATGAAACATCAAAAATCTTTGTATTTCAAACAAGGATTTTAAAAAATTTTAACTGCAGCTGCTACTTTGCCATTTTTGGTGCTCTCACAAAAGAGGGGAGACAATTTTATTGTTATCTGAGCTACTGTTAAATTTACTTATCTTCTCTTTTCTCACTCCTTCCTCTAATTATTTTCATGCTAACTTTTAGGCAATAAAATGCAAGAAATATAAATTGGTTACTTCTATTAATAATGAGTAACCTTTTAAAAATGAGTAAATTGTTACTAGCAATGACATTTATAGAAAGAGCTAATTACTTCCCCAACCCAAATGTTATTTTTTAACCTAGATCCTAAAGAAAGCAAGCTACAAATTCATCAGCAAGGGTAATATGGCAGTAATATGGATTAAAACTGATTCTGTAGATACCTTCTGATGATGCAATGTATATGAGGAGAACAACACTTTCTAGTTATGAAGGGATCAGAGTAACAGTTACACTAGTCATCTCAAAAACTTTTCTTATTAAGTAATTAATATTACACTGGGTGTAGAAACTTGTAGATCGTAAAAACTACAAAAGATCTTAGAGATCTTTCTGGTCTATTCTTATTTCATCTGGTAAGTCACTAAAACAAATTTTCACTTGTCAATCTTAAAAATGGGTATAAAGTGGCCTGACAATTTTTTGCAATCAACTTAGATTTTATAGATCCAAATCCTTCTCTCCAAAACTAACAAAGAATGCTAATACAAGCTAAAAAAAAAAAAAAAAAAAATCCACCAGAAACTTTTCAGGTAGACAGCAAATGTGAGAAAGAGAGGGGGAAAAAAAAAAAAAAACAAAAGCAATGATTACTTGTATAAACTAAAAATTTTTTTAATCTGCATTTTTTTAGTAGAGTTTTCTTGTAAAAAATAATGATCTTTCACAATATATTATAGGGCTAAAAGAACCATGTTGGATAAAGAGATAACTGAAGATTTAATAATGTAATACTGAAATCCCATTGGCAATATATGAAGATAAATCATTATGGAAAAACACTCAGAGCATGAAACTGCAATTTCACCAAAAAATGCCATGAACATTTGGTACCATTGTCCTGGAGTTGCGATGGCCTTTATAAACCATTTTTACTAGCGGCCTTCTAATGTTCAAAGTATCCAATTCTTCCATTTCTTTCCTTTCTTTTCTCCGTCTGAAGAACTCCTGAATACGGGCAACAGCAGAGCGTCTATATGAATTACATATTAAAAAAACAAAAATAAATAAAAATATTCACAAAGAATAATGAGAAACTTATGAAAATATAGTAAGTCTAGGAAATACATAAACACACTATCTCAATAAGGCACCCCCAACCAAAAGCATAAAAACGCAGACACAACAGTGAGAAGTCAGACTAGTTGAGTTACTACAACAAAGTATTTTAGTTAAGAGATCACTTAGAAATTTGGTACTGGATGAAAAGTAAAGGCAATAGCATGCGGCAAACTGGTTTTTAAAGGGCTATTTTATAAAAACATAATACAGACAAAATTCATGTGCAATTTTACTACAAATATAACAAATTTTATCCAATGTTCTTTCCCCTCTTCTCCATATTAAGAAAACACATAAAGAGAAATGAAAAGAAACTAAAGGTAATATATAATAGCAGTGGATAGACTTCTATTTTGATATTTTATTTAAAATGTGGTTTAAAGATGTTCCAAAAACAGACTACTTTAGGTAAAAAGAATAATGAAACCCCATCTCTACTAAAAATACAAAAAATCAGCCAGGTTTGGCAGCGGGCGCCTATAGTCCCAGCTACTCGGGAGGCTGAGGCAGGAGAATGGCATGAACCCGGGAGGCGGAGCTTGCAGTGAGCCGAGATCGCGCCACTGCACTCCAGCCTGGGTGACAGAGCGAGACTCTGTCTCAAAAAAAAAAAAAAAAGAATATTAATATATAAGCAATAAAACAAGGGCCTTCAAATAGCATCTTCTTTATGGACTCCATATTACGAATTTAGAACTAATGAAGCAGATTTTACTCTCTTAAGAAATGATTTGGTGACAGAACTGGGATTGAAGAACAAAGGACTCTTAAAAACTGATTTAACTATTAAAATAAAACTTCTCTCCTAACACATATTACTTAATAATTTTGTCAGTTTGAATTTATTTAAAATATTATATTTTGACATATAACAGACCAGACGTCCATAATCTTTAAAAAGGTTACAAATCAGTAAGAAAAACAGATCTCATAACAGTTAACAAATATATAAAAGATGCTCAGTCTCACTAATAATAGGATAAAAACAAAAAACTGATCTTTTTATGTTTATTAGATGGAAAAGACTTTTATGTATATCAGAATGGTAAGAGTTCAGGAAAACAGGCATTACTGAGAGGAGTTTGAAAGCGGTTTTTACACATAAAAAAGATATTGTAAACTTTTTACTAAATATAACACATATACGGGAAAGTTGAAAATCCTAAGGTAAAAAGCTCAATGAATTTTTGCAAACAAAACAGGCCCATATAATCAGCACCAGAATTTAGAAACAGTATAACCAGAATTCCTGAAGTCTCCTAAGTACCCCATTTCCATCATTACTGTCCCTTTAAAGGAAACCATTATTCTGACTTCTGATATCATGAATTAATTTTGCCTGCTTGTGAACTTTAATTAAGTGGAATAATACATTTTTTTTATGTCTAGCTTCTTTAGCTCAGAATTATGTTTGTAAGATTCACCCATGTTGTACTTGGCTGTAGTTCATTCATCCTTTTTGCTGCAGAGTATTACTTGGTATAAATATATTAATATTTATTTATCCATTCTACTATTGGTGGACATTGGGTTGTCGACATTTTTGATTACTAATATTAGGCTACTATCCACATTTGTGTATGTTGTTTGGTGAACTGTGTACATATTTATGTTGGATATATACCTAGAAGAGGAGCTGCTAGACCTCAGTATGTGCATAATGTTCTGCTTTAATAGATACTCTCAAACTGAAGATCTATTTGTGGTTTTCCAAAGTGGCTGTATAAATTTACACTCCCACCCATAGTGTAAAGTTCCAGTAAAATATATTTTTGAAGAGAAATTAAGTAATATAAGCTTTGACTCAGCAATTTAACTTTTAAAAAATGTATATTACAGAAAAACTTAAAATATGTAAATACATAAACTTTTTTTCACTGCACAACTGTAATTGAGACAGATTGGAAATAATCTAAATGTTCATATAGAAAGAATAGGTTAAATAAATTATGGCAAATCCATACAATGAAATACTTATGCAGCCATTAAAAAGGGTATGAATGATCCATAAACCACATGAAAGATATCACCATTATACTGCTTAATCTAAAACACAGGCTAAAGAATAATTCATAGAATAAAATTATATATGCATAGAAAGGGTTTGGAAAGATGGACATTAAATTGTGACTAACAATTTTTAAAATAATTATGTAACAATTATATACTTCTACTTTCATAATAAAAAGATGTTTACTTTTTCATAAACTAAATGGTATACTTTAAGCTATATAGACTTACTTAAAAAGTGTTTTCAAAACTTTTTTCTATGCTATCAAAGAAAAAGGAATCTCCACATACATTTTTAAGTTAGATACAGTTAGAAACTCCCAGAAAAGCTGACATGTTTAGTTCACTCTATTTCTGACTGGGAGGTGAGAATGGGAAGGATAGAGAGGTCAAATATTCTCGAAAGAGACATACTTAAGAGACATATGCTTGGATCTCTCATTTTTCTGAATGGAAGAAAAAGGAATAATGAATCAGTTACAAACATGTGATTAGCAAGAAACCAATAAAGAAAAAACTCTTTTGCTAAGAAAGTAGAGTTATAGGTAGCAGAGGAAATAACTGTGTTGCTAAGCCAAAGGACATAAGAGCTATAAATGAGAAAAAAATTATGCAACAAGAATTTACATGGCAGCTCAAATCATTTATTTTATCACCTAGGCTGGAGTGCAGTGGCGGGGTCTCAGCTCACTGCAACCTCTGCCTCCCAGGTTCAAGCAATTCTCCTGCCTCAGCCTCCCAAGTACCTGGGACTACAGGCCTCCACCACATCTGGCTAATTTTTGTATTTTTAGTAGAGATGGGGTTTCACCATATTGACCAGGCTGGTCTTGGACTCCTGACCTCAAGTGATCCACCCACCTCAGCTTCCCAAAGTGCTGGGATTACAGGCATGAGTCACCATGCCCAGCTTCAAATCATTTAAAACAAGATGTATGGACAAAATTAAGGCTGCATTAGTAAATGAGGTGGTAATAATTATGAATAAACGAGAACTGTATCAAAGCATAAATGTTCATTTAAAAAGTATGCTCTAGGCCAGGCACGGTGGCTCACCCCAGTAATCCCAGCTACTTGGGAGTCTGAGGCAGGAGGGCTGCTTGAGCCCAGGAGTTCAAGACCAGCCTGGGCAACACAGTAAGATCCCATCTCTAAAAAAAGATGAAAAAAATTAGCTGGGCATGGTGGTACACACACACCTGTAGTCCCTGCTATTTGGGAGGCCGAGGTGGGAGGATGGCTTGAGCCCAGTAGTTACAGGATGCAGTGAGCTAAGATCATGCCATGTATTCCAGCCTGGGTAACAAAACAACTCTTAAAACAACAACAAAAACCAAAACTCAAAATATCTACGGGCCAATTAATACAAATAATAGAAAAGGAATGTAGCTGGATACATAATCATATACAAGTTAACTGCATTTCTAAATATCAGCAGGGGACAATTAGCCTAAATTTTAAAAGGAATGCATTTATAACAGCAACAAAAAGTGTCTTTAAGTTATAAAAAATATATGCAAAACCTGCTCACAGAAAAATAAAATGTTACTGAAAGATATTTTGTAAAAGGCCTAGGCTGAGTGCAGCAGTTCACACCTATAATCCCAGCAGTTTGGGAGGCTAAGACAGGAGGATCCCTTGAGCTCAGGAGTTTGAAACCAGGCTGGGCAACATAGTGAGACCCCATCTCCACAAAAAAATCACAAAAATAAGCCAGGAGTGGTGGCACACATCTGTGGTCCCAGCTACTCAGGAAGCTGAGGTGGGAGGATCGCCTGAGCCTAGGAGGTCAAAACTGCAGTGAGCCATGATCATGCCACTGCAATCCAGCCTAGGCGACACAGCAAGACCCTGTCTCAAGGAAAAAAGAAAAAAAGGCCTAAATAAATGTAGACATAACTTTGTATTGTAAAGATAAACAATTTTCACCCAAATTTATTTTACAGATTTATTACAACTATAAGCATATTCTGATGACTTATTTGTAGAACTGAAAAAGTTGATTATAAAATCAACCAAAGGACAAAGAATAGCCAAGATCCTTCTAAAAATGAATAAAGAGAAGGAAGGGTCTTGCCTTAGCCGCCATTAAGATTTACTAAAAAGCTATAATAATTACAAAAGTATGATACTGACAGAGAGACAGGCAAATTGTCTGATGAAACAAAAGAGCCTAGAAACAAATCTGTTTTATATAAATCTTTGTAATATGACATAGGTGGGATAGCAGATCACTGGGAAAATTCACCATTTCATAAATGTACAGGGGAAAAACTGGCTATCTAAATGGGGCAGGGAAAAGTTACACATATACATCATAAACAAAAATCAGTTCCAAATAAATTAGTAACTTAAATGTCAAAAGTAAAACTTCAAAAGGAAATTCAGATAAATTTTAAAATTCCAGATAAGAATTTTGTAAATAAAAGAAAGTGACAAGCATAAAAGATTGATAAAATTTAATGTGAAAATTAAAAATGGTTCATCAAAAAACAGCCTAAAAACAGTGAAAAAAATCATAAAATAGAAAAAATATTTGTACACTAATACACGATAGTGGATTAGTATCAAAAATGCATTAAGAACTCTTATAAATCAATAAGGAAAAGAAAAACAACTCAATTAAAACAACCCAGTAGAAAACCAGATCAGGACCGGGTGCAGTGGCTCATGCCTGTAATTCCAGCACTTTGGGAGGCCGAGGCAGGTGGATCACTTGAGGTTTAGGAGTTCAAGACCAGCCTGACTAACATGGTGAAACCCCATCTCTACTACAAATACAAAAATTAGCCGGGTGTGGTGGCATGCACCTGTAATCCCAGCTACCTGGGAGGCTAAGGCAGGAGAATCACTTGAACCTGGGAGGCAGAGGTTCCAGTGAACTGAGATCGTGCCACTGCACTCCAGCCTGGTGACAGCAAGACTCCATCTCAAAACAAACAAACAAACAAACAAAAAACCAGATCAGGAGATCAGGCTGAAAAACATGAGATGCATAATCTTATTTGTAAATTGGGCAATGAACATCAAGACCATATTATTGTTTACCAAATCAATTAGAAAAATCAAGATATGTGACAACAAGAATCAGTGATGTGAATAAACACGATTTTTAAAAAATATTGTTAGATATTATATTTAATTTACACTCCCACTTTGGAAAACAATTTTAAATTATTTTGTAAATGGTCCATTCCTTGGTATATACGCAAGAAAAACTGTTATCAGGAGAAATATTTCAGAATGCTCAAAGCAGCACTGTTAATACCAAAAACTAGAAATAACCTAAATGTCCATTAACAGGAAAATGGATAAACTGTGGTTTAGTCAAATATGGATTATTAGATAGCAGTAAAAATGATTGGGCAAGAGCTACATGTAACATGGATGAATCACAGTAAGATAATATCTGAGGAAAAAAAAGAGTCCCAGTCTTGTATACAGTATGACATCATTTTTATATAAAGTTCAAAAGTGGGTAAAACTTTATGTTTATATGTTTATGTTTTGTTTTTTAAAGCAAGGCATGATAACCATAACATTCAGGACACTGGTTACCACTGGCGTGGTAGGCAGATGGACAAAATAGGGTGAACAGGTAGATTTAAGTTACAGCGAGTTTTTTAGTTCTTGGATTGGTTGGTGGGCTCATGGGTATCTAAAGAAAGAAAGAAAAGGAGCCAAGTATGAACTAACAATGATAATGTGTCACAAACCAAGAATTATAAAAATACAATTCTCCCCTTCCTCAGGTTAGATTAGGGGTCCTTAATACTCTCAAAGCCCTGCAAAGCCCTGTCAATGCAATTACTGTATTGTAACTATGTATATGTGTCTGTGTATCCCACTGAACTGAGAGCTCAAGGAGGGTAGGCGTTGTGTTATCATTATCACCAGCACCCACCAGAGTATCTAGCACATAACAGGTTTATTGAAGTAACAAAATAATAGGTAAAAAATTGATTATCCAGCAATTTCAAAGCAATAATGAAACAGCTCAAAGTATCAATTATTATTCTATTTGGAAGAAACATTTAATGGAGGAAAAGAGTAAATCTGAAGGATGTACAACTAACCTAAGAAAATAAAACCTAGACTCCTGACTTTGTATTTTACTATTGCATATTCCAGAAAATCTGGAATCTTGGAGATAACTCCAAGGTTAAAGTATGAAGTTACATGAAGCAGAAACAGTCTATAAACCCGTTTTAAAAGTACTAGTCACATTTAGTAAAAAACTAGGCTAAAATATAAGCAGAAATTCATTAAATAGCACTAAAAAATATGAATTAATTTGCATACCATTTTCAAGATGGTAAACCCTTTCATAAAACACCATTACACATAGGTAGAATGGCACAAATTAACTGATATTATAGGTATTATTAAAATACCTTACAAGAGAACAAAGACTTTTTAGGGTGGAAAAAACAGCATAATCAAAGATTAGGAGAGGACCAGGAATGAAATGACTTAAGTAATTCAGTTACCAAACAAGGTTATTATATAAAGGATACTGTACCATGGATAGAATACAAGAACATGACTAGAATTATAGCTGGCGAATTTTGAATAAATCTGTAGAAAGAAATTCTTTACTGTGCAAAACACACAGTGAAAAACTAAAGGGAAATAAAAGCTTCTCCTAGTCCAGGTTTCTAAGGAACTCAATACTTGTCTAGAATGTAGTTAGAATAATCCAGAAGCAGAGCATTTCTAAAACTTGGGATTTTTGTAGGTATTCCACAAAATAGGCTTATGATAAAGTAAGTGTGGAAAATGATATACCAAACAAAGCTTAAAGAGGTTTCTTGCTGCAAGTCTTCTCAGAGGCTTTATTACGCTACAGGTTCTTGTGAATCTCACAAAGAGGTATACACAATGTAGTATTTCCCAAATTTTGTGACCACATTGTAGAGTATCAGAACACTTTGGACAACAGTGACCTTCATCTTCTTATTCTGTAATTAAATTATTCCATTCAAAAATAAATTGAGTGTGAATTTATTATTAAAAACTTAAGCCTGGGCCCCTCCCCGCCCCGCCTCCCGGCGCGGGTGGCCGAGGCGTAGCGCTGCGACCCCCGCACCCCTGCGAACATGGCGCTGCGAGTGGTGCGGAGCGTGCGGGCCCTGCTCTGCACCCTGCGCGCGGTCCCGTCACCCGCCGCGCCCTGCCCGCCGAGGCCCTGGCAGCTGGGGGTGGGCGCCGTCCGTACGCTACGCACTGGACCCGCTCTGCTCTCGGTGCGTAAATTCACAGAGAAACACGAATGGGTAACAACAGAAAATGGCATTGGAACAGTGGGAATCAGCAATTTTGCACAGGAAGCGTTGGGAGATGTTGTTTATTGTAGTCTCCCTGAAGTTGGGACAAAATTGAACAAACAAGATGAGTTTGGTGCTTTGGAAAGTGTGAAAGCTGCTAGTGAACTCTATTCTCCTTTATCAGGAGAAGTAACTGAAATTAATGAAGCTCTTGCAGAAAATCCAGGACTTGTAAACAAATCTTGTTATGAAGATGGTTGGCTGATCAAGATGACACTGAGTAACCCTTCAGAACTAGATGAACTTATGAGTGAAGAAGCATATGAGAAATACATAAAATCTATTGAGGAGTGAAAATGGAACTCCTAAATAAACTAGTATGAAATAACGCAAGCCAGCAGAGTTGTCTTAAATTAGTGGTGGATAGAAGACTTAGAATAGAAACTTTTAGTATTACCGATGGGGAAAAAAAAACTACTGTTAACACTGCTAATGAAAGAAAATGCCCTTTAACTTTCTAATGATTATAGATAAATATAATATGCGTCTTTTTCACAATATCCTATGATTTTTAGACTAGGCTCTAGTGTTCAGAATTCATGAAATTATCCATGGTAAAAACTAGTTATAAAAATTACATAATTCAAAGATAACATTGTTATTCTTAAGCCTTATATAATATTGTAACTTGCATGTATCCATACCTGGATTTGGGATGAAATACTTAATGATCTTTCCATTGGAAATAACTGGAAGTGAAGAGGTTTTGTTGCTTGTACAGTGTCAGATGAGGAACACCACTATCTTAATTTTGCGATACACTGCATTTGCTGGTGCTATTTTTATACAGTGAAGCAACAGCTTTGCAGCAAAATAATAAAATACTTCTTCGTTAAAAAAAAAAAAAAAAAAAAAAAAAAAAACTTAAGCCTGATTTTTTTCAATTCAAAGATTGAAGATCTAGGTTCTTACAAACATAGGATAGCTATCCTCACCACCATCTCCTTCAATAGAAGAGTTTCTGCAACAATTATTACATTTCTATATCTCTACTTTCATAGTAGCTATAAAACTTTTCTATAAGAATCAAAGTTACTGTGGGTATGTGTTAAAGACGCATTCCCCAGGCATAAATAAGAAAAAAGATATTAAAAGAATAAATTAAATTCCATGTATTTATGGTTCATTGGAAATGCTCATTATAATTCTGAATACCACTGTTCTTCAGTATATCAAGTTAAAAACCCCGTCTCTACTAAAAATACAAAAAACTAGCCGGGCATGGTGGCACATGCCTGTAGCCCCAGCTACTTGGGAGGCTGAGGCAGGAGAATTGCTTGAACCCAGCAGGCAGAGGTTGCAGTGAGCCGAGTTCACACCACTGCACTGCAGCCTGGGCAACAGAGTGAGACTCCGTCTCAAAAAAAAAAAAAAACCAAACCCGTATGTTCTTTTAATTTATACTATGTATACATTTTTCTTATATTAGCTTAGTAGTTCTTAGAAAAGAAAACCTCATTAATTTGAATCTTCTTATATGCAATCTGTGATTATTCAGACAGGGTGAAGCTGAAATTTACATTTAAATTATAAATTTTAAAATGTTTGCAGTCCAATTGAATCCTATAAGTAAGAGTCTAGAAAAAAGTTATTAAAAAATAAACATTTTAAGTGCTTTAAAACACACACTTGGTTTATAGTAAAAGCTATGTGCTATGGTTTGCATGTCCCCTCCAAAACTCATGGTGAAACTTAATCCCCAATGTGGCAGTACTGAGAGGTGGGGTCTTTAAAAGGTGATTGGATCATGAGGGCTCCACTCTCAAGAATGAATTAATTCACTTATAGATTAATAGGTTATCAGGTCAGTGGGGACTGGTGGCTTTATAAGAAGAGGAAGAGAAGCCTGAGCTTAGCCTTCTCATCATGTGATTTCCTGTGCCAGCTCGGGACTCTGCAGAGTCCTTGCCAGCAAGAAGGCTTGTACCATTGTGGCCCTTCAACCTTGGATTTCCCAGCCTCCGTAACTGTAAAAAATGCATTTCTTTTATTAATTACCCAGAAGATTTCTATCATAAGCAACAGGAAATGAACTAAGATACTATTAGTATGTTAGCGTTATCTAGCTTTATCAATAAAAAAGTTCTATATGTTAGAATTGCTGTCATTTCAACATATATCTTTACAAGTATCTGAAATAAGTGAGGGAGATGGGTTGCTAGAGAGTATCTTGCTGTTTCTGCTCCTTTGTGGGGGCAAGAAACTGGATTCTTTGCCTTACAATGTATTAGTAAATAAAGGTAAGGGATAGCAGGTCTGATGCTGCTATCTTTAGAAGGGTCTGCTTATGAGGCTGGCCCTTGGCTGGTGTCTGAGAACTTGACTTTTGGCATGTTACATTGCTCTGCCTGCCTGGGACACAACCCTGCGGGGCCAGCTTGCGTAAACTGCAAAAATAACATGATTTGTGGTGAACACCTACTTTCCTTCTGGGTCTGGAATTCAGGTGACTGTGGTTAGGCACACAGGCAGAGGTGCCTACATGACCAGACCCCAGTAAACACCCTGGATTTTGAGTTATAAGCAGGCTTCACCAGGGCAGAAAAACTACAGAAGTATTACTGTATTTTATTGGGAAGGGAGGTGCACATTCTGAAAGGGAGAACTTTGGAACACTGAGCCTGGATTCTTCCACTGTGTCTGATCTTTTTTCCTTGCCATAATAAATCATAGCCATGATTGAAGTGCCTTTGATTCTTTTGAGTCTTTGTAGCAAGCAATCAACTGTGTGGGGAGGCCGTGGGACCCCTGAAACAGTAATTCACTGGTTTCTCATTCAAGTTTTAGGAAGCAGAGAAAGAAAGCAAAAACCCATATCATGCAGGGAGATATGAATAAAAATTTAGTTAGCTAGAGTTTTTGACAAAAAGGTGTCTTTGCCAACTTTTATTTCTGTATGCATGTATGTATTACACTGTCCTTAAAGGTGCTTACATTCTTATATATGAAAACATACAAATATACAATGCACTGTGATAGGTAGTACAGTAGGTATATATAAGGGCCCATATTTTTGATTAGGGAATATATGGGCCAGGAAATGTAGCTTAAGATGATGTTGAAAGATGAGGTGACCCAAATGATGGTGATAGTGATAGGAGGTCTTTTCTGTTAGAGGGCTCAGAGTATGTAAAGATACGCTGACTTAAGGCAGCATAATGTATTCAGAGAACTCCAATAGTCCTCTGAATGTATTCAGTGACACTCCAAGTATGGCAATGTAGACAGCATGACCAATTTTTGGCAGCAGCTATAATATGAAGTGCCCTATATACCAGGCAAGGAAGCTGGGTTTGTTTCTTCTTTATATCATAAACAATGGAGAACTACTGAAAGCAGGAGTAGAAGGAGTTGGAGAACTCCCTCAGTACACCAGGTAAGAGGTGATGAGGTAATAAAAGTAGAATGAAGAATAGGGGATGACTACCATTTTATTTACTATTCAAAGAAATATGGTACCTATCATTCAGAATCTTAGCAGATTATAGTAGAACACATTCCCCATTGTAAGACAGTCCCTAATGAAGACTAGTCATAACGGGCAGTAGATATAAACATCTGTGATAATTTTATTTTTCTAATTTTGTCTATCTTAAGCAGAAGTTTACATTCTTTGAACATCTCTAATAGCTAAAAGGAGAAGCAGAACAAATGTGTGTTCACTGGCAGGAAAATACTGCCTTATAATTAGAAGTTTCCACCAGATAATCTCTACATAAGAAATAAAATGAAGTAGAGAAGAATGAGTCTCACCTCATTCACTCTACAGGGAGGTAACTGTTACATTTTCTGCTTTACCATTGTTTATCAGTTCATGATAATCTCTACTTTAGTGTTTCAGCTTTTCTAAAACTCAATTAAAGCATCATGGTACTTTATAGTTGCAATTTTCATTATAAAACCAGAAACCAGCTTTGCGTACTTGTGATAAAAAGTATAAATCAGGATATCAAAAAACTCTGAAGCAAATTCCATTTTATTGTCATACAATTAATCAGAAAGTGATAACTAGGCCAGATGCGGTGGCTCAAGCCTGTAATCCCAGCACTCTGGGAGGCCAACATGGGCAGATCACTTGATGTCAGTAGTTTGAGACCAGCCTGGCCAACATGGTGACCAACCCTGTCTCTACTAAAAACACAAAAATTAACTGGGCCTGGTGGGTGGGCGCCTGTAATCCCAGATACTCAGGAGGCTGAGGCGGGAAAATCACTTTAACTCTGGAGGCAGAGGTTGTAGTGGGCTGGGACTGCGCCACTGCACTACAGCCTGGGCAACAGAGCAAGGCTACATCTTGGGGAAAAAAAAAAAAAAAGAAAGTGATAACTAGTAATAATTTGAAAAAGTTATTTCAAATATACCTTAATGTTAAAACAGGCTAGAAACAACAGCACAAAACAAAACAAGTTTGAGAAGCAAAAACAAATTTGAGACTTGTAGATGAGAATCCTCCTGACAATGAACCATAACCAGAAATTTCCATACATCTATTATATTTTTTGGCTTATTTCATGACTTCTGTATTTTTCATTAGGAACTCTACAAACTTTACATTTCTGATTGTTGCTATATGTTTCATGTTCAACTGTTTTAGAAACTGATGGTAAATAACAGATATATGCCTCTAGAGTTAAGTACAAGGTTGATTTTGTCAGCAAAACAGGTTTTCAGTAGGTGACTGATGTCATTGAGGTTCACTTTAAAGATCTACTCAAAAATATGTCCCAAATAGAGAAGTGCTTGAGGCTTATATATCATCTTGATATGTGACACTATTTCTAAACTATTTATAAGGAAACAACTTTCTTGCAAAAATCAGAAACCTATACACAGATTTAGATTCAAGTACATTTTTAGTTATTGAGCTCAAGGAAAAGGAGCATATACGAATAACAAAAAGTTGGTAATTGTTATCCCAATCAAATTTAAAAAACATAAATTGCATTCTTCAACAAAATATCCAAAAAGAGTAACTGATACTTAAAGTACATCATTTCAGATTATAGTTACTTTGCCATATGACATATTTGAAGTGAACATCAGTCTGCACACAGGAAATTTCTTTTCATTCTATCCCCATGCAGTGCATGCAGCTAAATATAGTTTGTGGAAAGCGACCTGCTTTACAATGCTTAGCACTTAGAATTCAGTAAGTCCAAAGGGAGTATTAACTGTTAATAGGAAAGGTGGTTAGCTGTGGCAAAAGAAGACCTGGCAAATCCATCATAAAAAAAAAATTATGAAGGAACATACTGAATTACCTCATTATTCTATCACCTATTGTTGTTCCTCTGATATTAAATCTAGTGAAGGGAACACAATAACTGAAATCACTTACAAAGACTTCAAAGAACCAAATATTTAAAGCATTAAGGACACCCTTTTTATCATCAATCATCTCAATTTAAAAAAAAACTTTTGTTTCCCTTTGTGACTTCGGGCATTAAGCAAGGAATATGTCAGTCAACTAAATGTATATGAAGAAATTAAGGAAACAGAAACACTCATTGAAGCTAGAATAGAAGGAAGACATTGCACTTAATCCCTTTTATCTTTTAAATAAATCAGAACCCAATCCTGTCACAGTATGGGAAACTGCACTGGCTTATAATGAATACCATCCTCTGGAACACGTACATGCTCCTCAAAGCTGAGGAGCTCTTTGGAAAATAAATAATTAAGCCCTAAGCTAATTCACTTGGCCTAACCACAAGACTATATAACAAATGAGCAAAGAATAACAGGGCTTTTAACTCCCTAGGAGTCCAGTTCTTTCTCTTTGAGTACATCTTTTCTCTCTGCAATTTTCTTTAATAAAGAGTAAACTGCAATAATGAGAAATAAGGAAATCATGGTTACAATGATGACTGAATAAATGCTGCCAAATTTACAGTACAAGGAATTTTGGCTTTAAAAGTGAGGGCTATGCTCCATGGTCCAGAGTAGGTATATGGAACCAAATTTCTATGAAAATAACACTTTAAAAGTTATTAAAGGGCAATATAGGATAAATCACTCTTTAGGGAAAAAATTGTTAGATCATCCTAACTGAGGCTATAATTAAAAACTATTCAAGACTATGTGAGGACTTATTCAGGAAGCTTTCTTAGATGCTTGTTTTTTTTTTTCAGAGAGTAATTTAGGTTTTCTCTTGAGTTTAGAAACAGTAAGAGCTACCAATCAGGCCGTCAAATCACTTACAACAGATTTGGCATTGTAAAAAAAAAAAAAAATTATACAGCCTGGGTGCGGTGGCTCATGCCGGTAATCCCAGCACTTTGGGAGGCTGAGGCAGGCGGATCACGAGGTCAGGAGATCGAGATCATCCTGGCTAACACGGTGAAACCCCGTATCTACTAAAAATACAAAAAATTAGCTGGGCGTGGTGGCAGGCGCCTGTAGTCCCAGCTACTTGGGAGGCTGAGGCAGGAGAATGGCGTGAACCTGGGAGGCAGAGCTTGCAGTGAGCCAAGATTGCCCCACTGCACTCCAGCCTGGGTGAGGGAGCGAGACTCCGTCTCCAAAAAAAAAAAAAAAAAAAAAAAAAATTATATGCAGATTATCTAAACAGAGATCTCAACCACACTCTTTTCATTCCAAGGGCATATATTTACGTTTCTTAACCCAGTATATGGCCAGGCGCGGTGGCTCACGCCTATAGTCCCCCAGCACTTTGGGAGGCTGAGGCTTGAGGCCAGGAGTTCAAGACCAGCCTGGTCAACATAGTGAGACTGTCTCTTCTAAAAAAAAAAAAAAAAAAAAACAACAACAACAACAACAACAAATTAGCAGAGTGCAGCAACATGCACCTGTAATCCCAGCTACTTGGGAGACTGAGGGAGGAAGATCGCTTGAGCCCAGGAGTATGAGGTTGCAGTGAGCTATGATCATACCACTGCACTCCAGCCTGGGCAACAGGGCAAGACCCTGTCTCAAAAAAATAAAACAAAATGAAATAAATACAGTATATAAAATCACTAAAAGATACACATACTATTTTTTTGCTTTGTTTTGCTTTTTTCCTAAGTCAGACTTATTTTTGACATTAGGACTAATTTTATTTTTTTAAACACCATGATTAGAGAACAAACATTTCTTTCTGTCTTTTTTCAATTTATTTCCCATTTACTGTTCCATGTTCTTGCCTTACGCAAAGTTAAAGGGAACCCAAATATGTGGAGATTCATATTATTTCATTGTTTCAAAGTCTGGATTTTTGCCAGTAGAGGCATTTTACCACAGACTATAGTTTGATTTCTCTCTATAACACTGATTACTATAGAGCAGGTATTTGCAAGCTATGGCTCTTGGGCTAGATCTCCGCCAAATGCCGATTTTTGAAATGAACCTTAGGCTAAGAATAGTTTTTACATTTTTAAATGTTAATATTTTAAATGGTCATATAAGTACCTACCATAATGGTCTCCATTTTGTCTCCTGGCCAACAAAGCCAAAATATTTACTATATGGCTCTTTAGGAGTAAGTCTGCTGCTCTGCTATAGACTCCCAGTTACATTTACATAGACTTGCTGTAGTTAATGAGAAGAGCATTCCATTTAAAAATATCTATGTTAGTTGTTAAGGTCTTCATTTTCTAAGACATTTCCTTCTCATGCTTGATCTCAGCCCAAAAGTGAAAACCTGGGTCATTTATTTAACCAAATTATAAGAATGTAAATATTTTTTTAAAAATCATTACTCTGTATTGCAAGGAACTGTTCTGATATTTTCAGTAAATTTGTCAGAAATGACTTAGCTATAAAGCCTTTTAAAGTTTCCTTTTAAAAATTAAATTTGGAACAAAAACTGATGAGGTCCACTATATAGTTCTTCATATAAAGTACAGATCAAATTAAGTATACACTTGTATAATATTTAATTTTAGGACCACTTCTCTACCCCAGCTAAACTAATATTGACTGGGCTTTGCAAATGGCAGCATGGAGGGAACTTTAAGACATACATCCTTTTAGGTGGGCATTTCATCCATGTGTGCAATGTATCCTTGGACTCTAGGAACCAAATGGTATGATTGTTACAACAGAGCTTCACAACCCTTAGTCTCTTGGGAAACAGAAACTCTCCAAAATCATAGGACTAATTACAAGCTGGTAAGTGATTCTTTTCATGTTCTTAAGAAGCAAAATCTCTTAAACTTTCTCTCTTTAGAATAAAAGTCAGCTAAATTGAGAAGTAAGATAAACTGGCAGGAGTGTCAATGATGAAGAGCCCTTAGAAAGGTGCAGAAATATTAAAAGTATACTTTTTTACAGTTGTTCAAGATTAAATCAGGATGGTGCCAAAAAAGTTAAGAATTATAATAACCGATTTAGATAAAAGTCAGAGGAAATATTTACACCATTTACAAATTTTTGGTAAAGAGCTAGAAAATAATGCAAATCTCAAAGGAAAATTAATGTAATTGTTACTCTAATCACTTTCTAATTACCTCAGTATACACATCTTTTATATATATATACACACACACACATATATATATAATTGTATTTACTTTCATATATTAAATGTTTTCTATGTTCCTATAAATGGCTTCGGTATTCTCTCTTATTCATAAATAATTAAGTTTCTTGAAGGATAAGAATTTTATCGTTCTTCTGTTACTCTTCAGGAAGTTTACTACTATATCTTACAAAACAAAATACCATGTAGGACCAACATAGGCTAAATACTCAAATGAGTGTACAGAATATTAAATAATATTTAATTTTTAAAAAGCAGGGAACTAAATGTGATCCCAGAGTGGTTTCAAATCTGGATTTAACCATGAAAGTATGAATTCAAGAGTATATGCATGAAGTGGGATCAGTTCCAGGCTGTTTGTTGTCACTGATTATCTCTCTTCTAAAAGATTCTGCTAGTCTAGTTCAGCATCTGGGTTTCCTTGGGTCAATGAGGCTATTGGGAACCAACTTTGTGACAGATCTAAATGCTAAAAGAATCCCTAAAACATATAAATCATCTAAGTATTATGAAGATGATAAAGATCTATAGAAAGATTACAGTTTCTGTATTCTCTAGGACCCACCCTCCCTCAAATCCTCCTTTCTCATTAATGTTATAGTACTGTGTTTCAAAAAACAAAACTCCTTAGCTCTAGAATATACAAAACCCTTTGCTTAGCACCTAAGTTTCCTCAGCTATAAAGCAGGCTTGGTATTAAGTGTTATAATTAGCCTGCATAGAAGCTGCTAAATAGTTATGACTTTCTCAAAGTGTCTAATATCCATTAAAAACATTACTAGAAACTGGGCACTTAAATTTAATTTTCAATTATGACCTCCGTATCATGTTCTACTACTTAAATGTAGAAAAATAAGACATTAGCTCATTTATATAAATGGAAGGCCATAAATGTACAAGCTTAATTATAGAATCTAGCTCTCAACCCTGGGTTTTGGAAATTATCAGTTTGATTTTGGAAATTATCAGTTTGATTTTCAAATTGTGCTAAGCTTGCTAACCTCATCTGCATAAATTAAGTGGTAATGACATTCTAAGGAACTCCCTCTGGGTATGGAAAGAAATAGAACTAAGTCTTACTTGCCTAAAATATATACTAAGAATGCTCAAGATTACTGTGTACAGGTAAAGAGAAGATGTTTGATTAATCTCTAAGTATAAACATGGGAAATTCTTGCTTCATATCTACAAAAAAAGTGCCATGGCAAAGTAAACATTTCCCAAATATGACTAAAGAAAGAAACATACCCTTTCATAGTTAAGAAAAGGCAGTTCCCCTGAGCTGCAAGCTATCCTCTTCAGGATTTTTGCCTGTCTTCTTTCAGTCTTTATCCCTAGAGTCATTCTTACTGTAATTCTTTTAAAAATTAAAGTGGCCTCATAGACTATCTTGATTGTTTAATACAGCTATCATTTAATTAGTGCTATTAACATGAGCCAGGTCACATCATGATTGACTGATAGATTTTTTTAAAATTCTTACAATAATTTTAGATAATCATAACCCTATTTTATAGATAAGAAACTGAATCTTTAAGAGTCATTAAGTAATTTGAATGAAAAAACACTGCTGGTAAGTGGTGAAACCAGTATTCAAACCCATCATCATGCTCTTGACTATGAGTGGTAAATTAATCTTTCATTATATTTTTCAGTTGACAGATACTTTAGGGTATCTTATAAACAGCAATATATTGAGCATATAAAATGTGAAATATTTCAAATAGAATCTCACTCCTTTGTAAACTAGGATTTTAAGATTAAAACTAGGTTCTCTGAAAGAGGACAGAACTTACAATAAGATATGATAGCACTAATAATAGAAATAGTTTTCCATGAGTATGAAATGCAGTATACTTTAAAAATTTATTTTAACTCCCACAAAAGAAAATATATCCTTGTGATCACATAAAATATAGAAAAACTATAAAAACATGTTGGCAATTCAATTTTTTATTGCTGCTATGGTATTTATTTGGTATAATTTTTCATTTTCTAAATTCAGTCACTAAGTTTAGTAGAAATCAAAGAAAAACAGTGTTCCCAAAAACAGAACTACTAACACACTACCTTAATCCAGGGTCAATAGAAAAGCAGAAAAAATTAACATTAAAACCAAAACAACACTGATAAAGGCCTGGATATCTACAAGATAATCTGAGAGCTAAGTATAACCTTGACTTCATAAATAACCTGTGGGTCATTCTTAACATTCTTTTCTCTTGATCTGTAAATTCAGAAGCAAGCCTCAGTGCTAGAGATATGGAGAATGAAGACTTTTTATTTCCCTATTAATGCACAGTGCTCAAAGAATATAATACGTAAAATCATTTACAGTAAACTGTAAAGTTTCTTTAAGTTTATATGAATGAGACACTCTTAGAGGAAGCAACTGTCAAAAATGGAGAGATTCCCTTCAATGACTTCAAACAAATCCTTGTGAAATACATTTTTTACAGTTCATGTTAATTAAAAATTTACCAACCTATCACCAGGTCCTGCTCGATACCTTGCACCTGGGATCAGGACTGGGTCATCATCACTGTCATCTGTGTCCTGAAGAGCAGAGTCCCTGGTGGATGTTTCTTCATGAGCTGAAGGCCCAGTGGCTTCTGTTTGGAACTGAGGCTCAGGATTGGTGTTATTTTCATTGGTAGCACTCTCAGTGCTAGTCTGATCTGAAGTTTCTGGTTCCTTGGCTTTTTCAGATGAAGCAGATTCTTCTGGAACCCCACAAGAGCGATCAAGATTGAGGTCATTTCTTTCTCCTGAGTTGGAATCCAATGGCTTGGCTGTGAACTTATCTGATTGTGCTGTCAGAAAATAAAGTTGTATGTAACAGGTGGTAATGTGGGCAATACTAATTATTTAACCTAACTTAGGAGCTCACAAACACATTCTAATATGATGTCTAATTCCTCTATAAGGGGAGGAAACTTCCACAATACACTTGAACATGGCCTCTAACTATAGAGAGATTAACATAGATTAAGGCTTTTTATTTTCCCATACAAAGCAATTATCTAAAGGGAGCAACTCACTTATATTGATATGGTTCTCAACTGGGTTTTCTGCAGATACTCCTTCCTGATATTTTGTCACATCCTCTGATGATTCTTCAGGAGCTTCTGTAAGTAAACCAAATTACAGTCATCCCTTGGTATCCATGAGGGATTAGTTCTAAAATCGCTGAAAATACCAAAATCTGCAGCTCCTCAAGTCCCTCATATATAATGGCATAATATTTGCATATAACCTATGCATACCCTTCCTTATACTGTAAATTATCTCTATATTACTTATAATACCTAATGCAATGTAAATGCTATGTAAGCGGTTGCTACGCTGTTATTGTTTTTAAATCTATGTTCCTTTTTATTGTCATATTGTTATTTTGGGAGGGAGTATTTCCATGGAATCCATGGGCATGTAGGGCCAAATGTATCATTAAATCCAGATTTTTTTAGAAAAGTAAACATCAACTTAATACTCCAGCTTTCCTATGGATAAATGGTTCTTAACCCTTTCTGAGTCATAGGAACCTTTGACATTCAGCTAAAACCTCCCCTCAGTACAAGGCAAATATGTATTTGCACACAAAATTGTACAAACACTATCATGGACGGATGGGCCCACTGCTTCTTCCTGAAGCCCAGGAATTGAGCTTCATGAACTCTATGTGCAGAATCTCTGCTTTAGACTATCCCTTACAGCTGAAATTACCTGATCCTGCATTTTACTAACCTTCCCGAAATCTAAACTTAAAACTGAGCATTTTTCTGCCCCTCTATCATGTATTTGGTAAAATCTAAACTATCATGAACAAGTAGTTAAGCTGACCATACTATAAATTCTGTTTTGGCCACTGAAAATACTTAATTCTGGAATTTAACTGTCAGATGCATGAAGGATCAGTCTTTAATGTTCCTTACTGGACATTTGCTTACCAGATAGCTGTCTTACACATACTTAATTTTAAACTCTGTTATACTAAGGTACCTACACATTTATAAGAAATATAATTCATTTATTCCTTCATTAATCAAGCATTTATTGAACATCTACTGTGTTCTAGTCTCTGTGCTAGACATTAAATTTCATGTAATTGTCATATAAAAATATTCTATTAGAAAAGGGTTCTGAAAAATCCCTTAAGTGGCACTTCAGGTATTAAATAGATTCACTCGTAACTTGTTTAGATTCTATTCCTTTTTCCCCCTCTATAAACCACATATACAACCAAAACAAATACAGTGGATTTCATTGCTAGGTATAAAAATGATAAAGACTAATTCAAACTAACATTTATATCTCATCCATTTATAGTATGATGAACAACTATCCTGGCCACTGTGTCCACAAAGAGGATTGTGCTTCACTGTGTCTCCTCATTTTAACTGCTTAAGGTCCCCATCTTTTGGATTTGCTATCTATCAGTTTAACAGCTGGACTATAGAAGCAAAAGTAATTTATTAAAAACAAGAAACAAAATACAGCATCGAAGGGAACAGGAAAGTAGATAAACATCCAATGCTGCAATTTTATAACAACAAAAGCAAAATAACACCTTACTTGTTTCACTGTCTCCTTCTGGTGGTTGCACTGAGCTCTGTGGGACGAAAGATTCCTCCTGACCCTCAGATTTGCAATGGCTCCCAATTCCTCTAGAACTTGATGCTATACTGCTCCTATCATCAAAACAAGATAAGTGATTCCACCAAGAAGTTAATCAATATGATCTTTTAGGATTTTTATATTTTACAACTAGAAAGGTAGACCAAAAAATTCACAAGTAAAATGTAGGATTTATAATTTTAATAGCATTTGTAAACATCATTTCAAACAAATCAAGATGACTATCATAACACACTTTACTCTTGAAAAAAAATTCAAAAATATAAAGGGACTGCTTCTTCACTGTTTGGATCCTTTCATTATCTAGTATGTATTTCTACATGTCTCTCTATTGAATTTTAAGTGAACTACATTGTCTCCTTTCTTGTCTTCACTACAGATGGTTCACCATATCCAAAACCTTAATGGTTATACAGATTTTTATCATATGCCCTTCTAGACTCTGTTATTCCAGGCTACTTTAAAATTAGTATTTGAACAAAAGCCTGGCCAGTTCTTTGGTCTTTTGAACTGCTCCCTGTGGATCACTTCCAGTTCTGATCTGCTGTTCAAACATGGCAGGTGACTGAGCATCATAGTTCTGTAGAAGGACAGGGTAATATTTTCTGCTTCAGTTTTAATACTCACCTGATGATGACTATAGTTCTATTAGCATTTCTAGCTATAGCGGAATACGAGGCCAATTTTTAAAGAAATAATTTTCAATAAGTATTCTGTGACAAATCATGGCATATGTGTAACAAGAGGACTGAATGAGAAAGAGGACATGTATAACAATCTGACTGAGATTTAAATTAAGTTCATAGAAATGCAACAATTCTTTAAGTTTAAAATAAATGTGAACAAGAAAAAAAGTAAGATTTACAGTAACTTAAAAAAACATTAATTATAGACAAATACCAGTAACTCAATAAACAATACAAACGATCATGGACTTTTTGCCATGACAAAAACTCTTTTAGGCTGACTGCAGAAGTCAAATTGACTTTTTAAAAAAAAGAGAGTACATATATAATATTATTTAACTAAAACTGTATATTCATATGGGTGTATATATGCAGAGAAAAATGTCAGGAAGGCTATGCATCAGTGTTGAGTGTCATGTCAGTAGAATTACTGCAGGTAAATTTTTTATACTGAATTTGTGTGTGTGTGTGTGTGTGTGTGTGTGTGTGTGTGTGTGCGCGACAAACATGTATTTCTTTTAAACCAGAAAGGAATATATAGCTATTTTGGCAAAAAAAAGCTAAGGTGGTATATATATATTTATTTTTTCCATTGAGAAAGCTATGATTCAGGCATGAATAAAACGCTTAGTGTATACATTATAGTAATTAAAATATTATGGTACTGAGTAGGAATAGAGACATATTAGTGGAAAAGACACAGCAACCGAGTAAATATATTTAACATACGTTAATATGGCATTTTAAATCACACAGAAATAAAAAGATTATTCAATAAATGGTAATGAGACAAGAAAACAGCCATGTGGTAAAACCAAAGCTATGGCTTCACGTTATACTTTATGGGAAAATAAATTCTAGAAGGAATATACAGTTTTTGATACTAAATTATAGAAAATATGAGAGGAATATAAGAACCTTTTCCCTTAATTCTAGGAATAACAAGGCTTTCCTATGCATGCTATCACAGGCAGAAACCATAAGGCAAAACCACTGTAAGTAAACTGAAAAACAAACACCAAATTGGGAAAAATATTTGCAACAAATGAAAGACAAATGGTATAATCCTCATTTAATTCTATAATAAATAAATAGCTCTAATAACGCAATAAGAAAAAGATAAACACCATAGAAAACTGGGCAAAGTATCTGAAAGACAATTTACAAAAGATGAGAACTGTAGCTAACAATCAATGAGGGCCTTCTCAGGTGCCAATCAATGTGCTAGTAAGTGCTACGTACTTTCTCTGCATGATCTCATTAAATCTTCATACTAAACCTATGAAGTAGGTTCTATTAAACATGCCCGTTTTCAAGGGAGAAAACTGAGATTTAGAGAGATTCAAAAACTTGTCAATTTCAGTCCAAGCTCTTAGCATGTTCTATTGCCTCATCTGTTGCCAAAGAAACTAAAATAAAAGCAAGAGACAATCCTGATATAGATGAAAAAGTCTGTATACTTTTTTTTTTTAAGTTCTGCCTGTTTGGTTTTTTTTTTTTTTTTACAATGAATGTTGAATACTTGCATAATAATAAAAAATGCTAACTGCTTTTCTGACAAAGAAATAAGAAATTGATGAATGAGAATATAATTCATGGTCAGTTTTTAGAGAAGGAAAAGTAGCATTCAAAAGAAGAATGGGACTAATGATTTTCTCTAAAAAAAAAAAAAGCCCAAAAAGTTTAGATAAGATTCTTCAGAAGATGCCAGCTCCTTGTGTACAGAAACATGAGAATGGAAAAGACGTGATAAGTACGATGACCTACTGTCATCTTAAATTATGTATTAAGAAAAAGGGCCACAAACATCACAATTTTTAAATGGTCAGGCACTAAGACTTATAAAGTCCTACTGGCTGCACCTTCAAATATATATCTAGAATCCCATCACTTTTTTTTTTTTTAAACCACCTCCACTGCTCCCATCCTTGTCTAAGCCACCACCACCTCTCACCTTTCTTACTGCCATAGCTTTTTAACTGTTCTTCTGGTTTCTACTGATGGCATATGCTCAACACAATAACCAGAAATAACCTTTTCCTTTTAAATATCCTCCTCAATTTCCTGGCTGACCTTATCTACTACTCTTCTCTCCACTGGTCACTCCACTCCCGCTACACTGGTCTTCTTAAGATCCTTGAACATACTAGGTCTGATGCTTCTGCTTCAGAGTCTTTGTACTGGTTTTCTCTCTGCCCCAAATGCTCTTCCCCTAGATATAAATACGTGGCTCACTCCTTCTCACTCTTCAAGTGACATTTTGCCCAAATGTCACCTTCTCAATGATGCCTAGGTTTCCCAATCACTTTTACCTGCTCTATTTTCCTCCATTGTCCTTCTAACATACTATATGGTACACTTATTAATTATGTTTATAATAAACTTCCTCCATCTAGAATGTAAGTTCCAATAAGGCAGGGGTTTTAAGTACTTTATTTCACTGATGTATTTCCAATGTCTAGAATAGTCCCCGGAACATAGAAGATATCCAATAGTATTTTAAGATCCTACTTAATCAAATATTTTAATATAAAATACACACATACATAAACACAAATGGAAACCAGTGAATTTAAATAAAAGTAATATCACATATCAACATATAATTCATTACATATTAAGACAATACATAACTATATTATATTACATATATTATAGTAACAGATAACATGATCATATATTAATATACAATTAAATATTTAATATATTAATATATTAATATATTAATTATGAATAATTAATATATTGTCATTAAACAATTGGTATAATTATATATTAACAAATATTATACAACTATATTATATATTAAGAAATACTATATCAATATATTAACTAATAGATTACTATTCCTAAGTTTAAAAATTTTGTATGCTCTCTCATTCAAATGGTCATGAGATAGTGGGAAAGAGTATAAAAAGCTTACATAACTTGCTTTTCTCAAATGTAAAGTTTCATTAGATTAATGAGCAATAAATATGATCAGAAACATTATTAAAGAGAAGCTATATGACCATTAAATAAAGAAAAAGTTCAACCTTACTAATAATCAATTAAATACTAAAAGTATTTTTAAATCAAATATAGAAGTTAAAAATAAATAAATATATTGAACACTAGCCTGGAGACAGTAAATCGTATACTTCTACATGTGTCTAGTAGGACTATAGTAAGTAAAGATTCTTTTGGAAATAATTTGGCAATATCTTTTAATCTAGATATAGTTCATTTCAGAAATATCTCTCAAATAATCTTGAAGGCAGGAAAAGGCTTTATAAGCAAAGATATTCATTAAAGCCTTATTTGGTAAAAAATGGTAAACAAATTTACTGCCCAATTAAATGAAAATGGCTAAGTAAACTATAGAACATCTACTTGATGGACTATTACACAGCTAGTAAAATAATATTTATTAAAACTAAGTAGTAACATGGGAATATTTATTATAAAGTCAAA
The DNA here is from genome assembly GCF_000001405.40 of Homo sapiens. Classification (NCBI taxonomy): domain Eukaryota; kingdom Metazoa; phylum Chordata; class Mammalia; order Primates; family Hominidae; genus Homo; species Homo sapiens. Next base: position 168,038,938 of record NC_000001.11, on the reverse strand, counting down.
CAAATGCAGGGGAGAATACAGTATATTTAGTATCACTAAAATTATATTCTAAAACTCAAAACAAAAATCATACATATACACCTACCTAGGACCACGACTGCAAAAAGTCCCAAAATGTTTATATTTTTGCACTAATTTTAATTATTATTATTAGTATTATCTTTTGCATTTTCTATCAGAAGAAATATTCTAGGATGAGCAGCACCGGCATCATCTGGAAAGTTTTTAAAAATGCAAATTCTCAGACCCCCACTCCAAACCTAATTCTGAGAGTGGGGTCCAGTAATATGCATCTTAACAAGCTCTCCCAGTGATTCTGAAGCACACTCAAGTTTGAAAACCAATACCTTATAGCAAAACAAAACATAAAGATGACGAAGTGTTAAAAATTAAAATCTAATACAATCCTACAAAATGGCTAAGAACATCTTTACAAAAATATTAACTTACCATTCATCTGTAAAGTTCAGTTTTATTGTGCTTGTAGTTGTTCCTTCTGTGCTGTAGTGCAAACTTAAAACTGGTTCACCTGTCCCTGGTTTGGGGCTCAGCTTTTCATTATTGTTATCTGAAAATTGTGTTTAAAACATTTGAAAAAGTCTCTGAAACCAGTAAAAAGATGACATTTCCTAAAATTTATAAAACTTATATTAGGTTGTCCTTGTCATAATTCTTTTTTCACATCTGTTATGGGTTTCATTTAAAGTTTGAAGGCATGTGTTGTGGAAATACTCTTTTATATTTCAAAGTAGCACTACATCAAGTTCTAGCTTTGTGTACATGACTCCCTTTGATTCAGATGGAAATCACACACATTGAGAACCATATTTAGTCATTAGGGGAATCAAAAAGTATTAACATGCAATGACATAGTTACAAACTGGTACCCTTATTTAATGGAATGCTCATAATTCCTCAGTTGCTTGAGCATCAATAAGAACTAATTTTGGCTCTTTCAGAAACACTGAGATGTAAGATACAAGGGCTCTGTGAAAAGCGGTTTGGCAAAAACTTTGCTGCAATGAAATGTTATCAAATTCCTTCTGTTCTTTCAAACTCACAGATCTATAATTTAGGGAGGAATCACAGTCTGCACCTGATGGAGAAGAGGGTGGTATTTATAGTGCTTTGATATTTTCTAAAATATACTTTGTTATATTTTGGTATATTTCCGTTTCTCTTCCTGACTAATCTTGCAAGGAATTTGTTTAATTGTGGAAACAGCAATTTCATTTTAAGAGCCTATAGATGATGTCTATAATACACATCTATCTCAATGTATGAAATCTTTTTTAAATGACAAAATCAAGAAAGCCTACACAAATTAATAGAGTATTTAAAGCTACCTTCCCCACCTGCCAAAAAAAAAGAGTACATGGATATGCAAAGACATAATTAAACAGAGCTTTACATATTTTTCATTTTATGATGAACAACAGTTTGGGAAACATTAAAATACATAGGGAATACAAATGGATACATAATCAAACATGTCACATTTCTGCCAGTTGCTTGCAGAAAGAAAACTCTTCTGTGAGATATCTTTTTCCTTGATACCAGTTCAAGGACTGATTTAATACTAAAAATAAACTTCTCTTGAAAAATAACAAAGACAATCACAATTTCATAAAAGCAAATATACTTAGGATTTTTTTTTATTATTGGATCTACTTTCTATTGCAATGAAGGACTTATATCTTTTTTCATTCCTCTTGAAGATGTTGGAGCACACATTAAGAGAATCTCAGCGGGGCTCAGTGGTGGGAGGAACCCTTAAGCCCAGGAGTTCGAGTCGAGTCTGGGTGAGACCTCATCTCAAAAAAAAAAAAAAAAAGGGGGGGGAGAATCTCATAGAACCTCTCTTCTAGCCTTTATTCTGTGAGAGGACAATTAACAAGACTTCAAATACAGAAATGCAGTAGAAAAGTATTCCACAAGAGTCAAGCTGATAACAAAACTTAGTATCAATTCCTCTGTCTTAACTTCCAACTCATGAAAAATCCTGTCCTACAGAATTGCTATTTGAAAATAATGTGAATTATAAACCTGACATCCCAAATGGTAAAGTCACTTTGTTTCTGTACTATTTTTGTTATGATTATGTCTTTTAAACAACTCCTGGAAATAAACTAATAACCCATTCCAACTGTCAAAGATTTAGTATTACATTCAGTGTTTTAGAGGAGGTATTTTACCAAATGGCATTCTGATAAATAACTGAATTAATAGACCTTTAGCTTACAGAAATGTATTAAGGAAACATCTGCCCTATCCTTGACCCTCTTTCAAAAACTTGCTGTTTGCTAGTCATTTGTCCACAGTTTCCTCTTATTCTTTAGTTATGTTACTGAGATTTTTGTTTCATCACTGCTGTCTTTAGGCTTCTGCAATAGATGAAACAGACAGCTAAAGATTGGATGATTGGATGATTAAGGAAACTGAGAGACTGAGTTCGGGCTAGTTTTTTCATTTTCTCTCTTAATATTTTATAAATGTTTTGCTGTTTATTTTTCTTTTAAGGTAAAGACAGTAGAGAAAACAAAAGCAGATGTGAGAGAAGTGTAAGACTGAATTTCTCAGATCCACCTTGGTTATAGTTAAGACTTCTTAAGTTATGAGAAGCCTTGTGGAATTTAAATGATATATGAAAACTTTCCTTTTCAGGAAAATTTAAGAGACAGTTATAGATATCTACATGCTATGACTATAGGAATATATTACACAAACTATTAAGAGATCAGAACAGAGCAGAAAACATTTATACAGGTTCCCCACCAAAGGCAAGAAGCTTTCTAAGATGGTTAATGATAATTAAAACTTTCTTCCTACAGTATCTACTACAAAGTTTTTTTGTTTTGTTTTGTTTTTATTTTTTTTGAGATGGAGGCTCTTTTTGTTCCCCAGACTGGAGTGCAATGGCGCGATCTCGGCCCACTGCAAGCTCCGCCTCCCGGGTTCCAGCAATTCTCCTGCCTCAGCCTCCAGAGTAGCTGGGGTTATAGGCACCCACCACCACACTTGGCTAATTTTTGTATTTTAGGAGAGATGGGGTTTCACCATGTTAGCCAGGCTGGTCTTGAACTCCTGACCTCAAGTGATTCACCCACTTCGGCCTCCCAAAGTGCTGGGATTACAGGCATGAGCCACCATGCCCGGCCTACAGAGTTCTTATTTAATCTCTCAGGAATATAATCTACATATTACAAAACATGTCAAATATTGGTAATATTCATTTAATCATAAAATGATTGATTATAGTTGATAGAATTTGTTCATTTAAGTTGTTAATGAATTCATCAGCCTTGTGTAAAACTAGCCTATTACTATAAAAATAACATGAACTCTTCTGTTAGTCACAAAAACTTCAGGTCCCTGAGTGTAGTTATTTCCTCGTAGCCTACACTTAAGTAAACAGTGTCTCTGGCAGAAAGACAACACAATGAAGAACCTGGTTTCTTCAACTCCAGGTTGTTTTGTTTTTGTTTTTGTTTTGAGACAGAGTCTCACTCCGTCGTCCAGGTTGGAGTGCAGTGGCGAAATCATGGCTCGCTGCATCCTCAATTTCCCAGGCTAAGGTGATTCTCCCACCTCAGCCTCCTGAGTAGCTGGGACTATAGGCACATGCCATCACACCTGGCTAATTTGTAGTAACTTTTGTAGAAACAGGGTTTTGCCATGTTGCCCAGGCTGGTCTTTAACTCCTGGGCTCAAGCAATCCGTCTGCCTTGGCCTCTCAAAGTGCTGGGAGTACAGGTGTGAGCCACCGCACTTGGCCCAACTGCAGTATTAGTGACAGTATATATTCCAAGGTTTAAATTCATCTCCTAGCCTTTTTCCATTTCACTGTCTTCTTTAATTCTAGTTTGCTTGGTCATATACAACCTATCAGGTTACATTTTCTCAGGAATTAGGATTCCTGGACTACTAATGAATGCATTCACTCTTTGTGATAAAATGCATATTCTAAACTACAAATGTCTTAAGAAAAACCTACTTTAATGATTTTAAAAATTAAATATTTTTACTTTATTTGAAAAAAAATTGTAACTATTTAAATGTTCCCAACTTCTCTGTCAGAGGTTGGATCAGCAAACACATTCTAAAAATTGTATTTTTCAAAGTCTTATTTACATAATGCACAGATATGTTACTTAAAAGGTAGATTTTTATTTAAAACCCTTAAGGTTTAGAACTTCAAGTAAACACACAAATAGCTTTATGTAGAAAGCTATCATATTAATAACTATAATTTATTGAGCATTACTATGAATATACATCAATTATAAATGTGTGCCAAGATATATACATTCCTTTAAAAAAATCTTTGTAATCAGTATTGTCATCTCCATTTTACAGATGATGAACTGAAAACAATAAGCTTAATTTTTTCTCTAGTTACGGACTTTTCCTCCCCCACTCCATCCTTTCCATAGACAGGGTCTTGCTCTATCACCCACGGTAGCGTGGTGGCACCTTCATAGCTCACTGTGGTCTCAAACTTCTGGGCTCAAGTGAATCTCCTGCCTCAGCCTCCCAAGTAGCTAGGATTGCAGGTGTGTGTCACCATGCCCAACTTCTTTATTTTTTCTAGAGATGGAGTCTCACTATGTTGTCCAGGCTGGTCTTGAACTCCTGGCCTCAAGTGATCCTGCTTCCTCAGCACTCCAAAGTGTTGGGATTACAGGTATGGGCCACTGTGCCCGCTGAGGTTTCTTTTTATATGAAGTTCCTACTTAATATACAATCTTAGAAATAATCTGACTACAAAGACAAAAATAAGATTACTTAGATAAGTAACTATTTTAATTAAGAAATATCAATTGTTGATGTTGTTACTCCTCAGAAATAAATAATTCATATCAACAACATTAATAACTGGTTAAGAGTTCTGGTAGCCAAAATTATCACTTTGGCATCATAGTATAGGAAAACTATGTTGTATCTTCTTTTAGGGCACTTAAGAGACTGAACTATTTCTTCCTCTAAAAACATTACAGGAGAATATTTATTTGTAGTGTGCTCAGCACACACACAATATAGTGGGGAAAAAATCCCTTTTAACTTGTTCAACACTGCTAAGTTTTTAGATAGCGATTCTATATTGCTCAGTAATTATGGTTATTAAGAACAACTGATGACATCAGCAGCTTAGAGTGGTCTCTATGGAGGCAAATTACCATTTATTTGAAACATGCTTCAGAAGCACAGCAATGACCACATAAACATCAAGATAAAAGACTGTAAAGGACTTCATTTTGGGGGATTAGAAGTGAAAGGTCCGTAACTTGAGATTCAGGAAACCAACTTAAAAGATCCTTTTCAGGCCGGGCGCGGTGGCTCACACCTGTAATCCCAGCACTTTGGGAGGCCGAGGCGGGTGGATCATGAGGTCAGAAGATCGAGACCATCCTGGCTAACAAGGTGAAACCCCGTCTCTACTAAAAAAATACAAAAAATTAGCCGGGCGCGGTGGCGGGCGCCTGTAGTCCCAGCTACTCGGGAGGCTGAGGCAGGAGAATGGCGTGAACCCGGGAGGCGGAGCTTGCAGTGAGCCGAGATTGCGCCACTGCAGTCCGCAGTCCGGCCTGGGCGACAGAGCGAGACTCCGTCTCAAAAAAAAAAAAAAAAAAAAAAGATCCTTTTCAGAAATGCTACTAGAGACCTCTCAGGATAGTGCATTGGCTCAGAAAAAAAATTCAGAATAAGCTGAAATATAATTTGAAAGCAGTTTCCTTGAACTGTTATGTATTTAATTAGGTATCTTTCAAGTCTTTTGCATAAGAATCACAAAGTAACTATTTTTTGTAATGCACACGCTGTGAAATGATTTAATCTGTACATTTCCACTACGAAATTATAATCATGAGGTTCTAAAAGATGCTCAAAGACATACAAAAACACATGTGATAACCATAGTAAAAAAAAAAATGCTGAGTATTTTATATATTTAAATACTGTTCAAAATGTTGGTATAGATCTAAATATCCAAATACTAATAAGGACGTTCAGACTTTAAGCTGGGATACCCCTGGAGAATCTATCTCATATGTAAATCTAAACCAAATATTCAAAATGAAGATAATTAACTAGGGTATAGCAACAATAATTTCTTTAGAACCACCATGCCCAACATTTTTCTCTGCTGTTGGGTCCCTATTATAACTTTATAATCATACATTAATTAACTATAGTAGTTAGATAAGCTGTGGAACATGTGAAAATAAAACACTGTTTACCTAATGAGTTTTCTATTGTATAACGATGTGTGTATGATTATATAATGATATTCTAATTCCCACTTCATTATACCAAATATTTTTTAAAAACCAAAGTAAGGTCGAAATAAAACATATGGTGAAATATTCTGAAAAAATAATAAAGTTTAACTATCTCCCCACATTCTGCACTCCAACTTACTAGACTTGTATAGAAAAGGCAAATTTCTCAACCACAGTTTTTAAACCAATGCAAAATTTTCCATGTTCATAGGTCAGGGAATCCACAACTTTTTTGTAGATTCCAGATTAGAGGATCTCCAATTCTCCTTCCAACTATTTGTATAAGGAAGCATATCTGGATTCAAAGTGGAGATGCTGCTTCTAGGAGTAGACTGCTAACAGAGAAGATCTATCTACCCTACAGATAACTGTGAGGCAACACATTTCATTCTAAAAATTGAGTGCTTACACTAGTGCAAATCTGGCTTTATAAAACAGAAGTGATACTATGCAAGCCAAAACGAAACAAAGTGCAATTTTAGTACAGATATTTATTAGGAAGTCCATTCTCTCTAATCTTTTTAACATTCAGTCAAATTTTCTTCTGGCAATCACAACTCAACTCTATGTCAATTATAATAATTTTAACCCAAGAACTTTTTTCATGACATAACATAGAAGTGTGAATTGAACTTAAATATGTGATTTCGATACATTTAGATTGAAACTGTGCTTGGTTCCACATTCCTACCAGTATTTAGAATTTATGGGTTGAAATGTGGTAGCCATTTGACCTTTGCTTCCTTTTCTCCTACTTCAGAACCAGTAGTTTTATATACCTCTATTCATAAACGTCTCCTATTCCTATCTCACTTTCAGTCTAGAGGGAGGACAGTATAGAATGAAAATAAGTAAATACGCCCACGCCATGTGGCACATGAGTCCTGCCAAAATCCTTTTCCAGTATTTCTTTTCATGACTGTTTCCTCAGGTATATTCTCCTTTACTGGAAAAAAAAAAAATCAAGTCTGCCTATCATAAATAACACTCTCATTTTGTAGATAAATTAACAAGTTAAAATGTGACTTCCAAGTGAAAACAAATGAGGTAGACAGTTTAGGAGAACACTCCCTTTAACAACTTCTCCTTCCAGTTACTGTCCTCCTAGCTTATTGTTTTGAATTGCTTTTCTTCTCATTTCCATTTTTTCGTCTCCTGCTCTAAAATCTGGCCTATGTCTCTATCACTCTAGTGAAAGTGTTCTACTAATGGGCTCAATCACTCCCACATTGCCTAACTTAGGGGATAATTTTTTTGGAGCCAATTTACTTGACCTTCCAGCAGACAACACTCTCGTATTTGAAAATTTCTCTTGATCACAAGACACCACGCTGTTCTATGTCGCCATCCACCTCTCTAGTTGCTTCTTCTCAATCTCCTTTACCAGCTCTTCGCTGGCAAAATCTTTTAATTTTAGAATTTTTCTGATTTTTCTTGAGATGTTTTAGCTCTCTTACTCTGTCCTCTTCTTTCTACTTTCATCCTAGTTAAAATTCCATCTAACTTCATGGCTTCAGTTAACATCTGTATGCAAAAATCTCCCAAATTTCTTTCTTGAGCTCTGATATCTTTTCTGAGCTCTATATCCACACAATCAACTACCCAACCGATTTTCAACTTGGGTATCTCATACAGATAACTCAAACTCAATATATTCAAAACCGAGTTCATGATCACCTACCCCTACACGTCCCCGCCCATGCTTCATCCCTTTTCCAGGGCTACCTATTTAAGAAAATAGCCATTCACTTAGTTGTGCTCAATCAAAACATGAGCTACTCTTGCAGTGGCTGAAAAAGTCACCTGTTAATCTCCAACAGTACCTCCCACAAAGCACTATAAATAAATGTATAACCTAAGTAAAAACAGTGTATTTGTTTTACAAAAGATTTAAGACACAAGTCCTGGCCTCTGCAGACTGCTATTTATTACTAAACTATCTACATAAGAAAATTCTGAAGTTGTTACTGCAACTTATACTCTGGATTCCTCCTCAATCCCTGTGTCATTCAATCTACCACCAAGTCCTGTTTATTCTACATCTTAAATATTTCTTGAATCTCTTCACATCTCTCCTACCTTACTTTTATCACCAGATCAAAATCTCTATTACCAGGAGAACTTCGTAAGTGATTCAGTCTCTAATCAATTCTCCATACTCCATTCAGAGTATCAGGCCATAGCCATACTCCCTAATTTAAACACTTCATTAGCTTCCCTCTGTTCTTAAAATAAAAATGCGAAACCTAAAAATGTCCAAAAAGTCACTTTGTCCTGCATACTGAGGTTCTCCTAGTCATCCTGTATGTGGCATCTCAGAGGCTCTGCAATATGCTATTCATGCTTCCCTTTACTCATGCTCCTTCACCTAACTTATTCAGGCTCACCTTTCAGATCTCAGCTTAATGTCTCTTCCTCAGGGATGCCTTATTTGGCCCTCAACTGGAGGGAATGAAGGCCCACTCTCCTATGTTCCACACTGAACCCTGCTATTTCCCCTTTCTTATATAACACTCATCACACTTGATTTATTTTTTCATCCATCTTTACTGTTAGATCAGGCAAAGCAAGTGGTTATGATCACGGATGCCAGAGCCAGACCTCTTGGGTTTGAGACACGTTTCTAACGCTTACTAGCTGTGTGCAACCTTAGACATGTTTCTTTTCTTTTTTTTTTTTTTGAGACGGAGTCTTGCTCTGTCACCCAGGCTGGAGCGCAGTGGTGCAATCTCGGCTCACTGCAAGCTCCGCTTCCTGGGTTCACGCCATTCTCCCACCTCAGCCTCCCAAGTAGCTGGAACTACAGGTGCCCGCCACCACAGCTGGCTAATTTTTTGTGTTTTTCATAGAGACGGGGTTTCACTGTGTTAGCCAGGATGGCCTCGATCTCCTGACCTCGTGATTCGCCCACCTCAGCCTCCCAAAGTACTGGGATTACAGGCGTGAGCCACCACGCCCGGCCTTAGACATGATTCTTAACCACCCTTTGCCTCAGTTTCCTCATCTGAAAAATGGGGGTAATAATAGCACCAACTACATATGGTTGTGGTAAGGATTAAGTAAATTAACATATAAAAAATTGCTCCAAGCAATGTTTGGTACAAAGAAAATGTGGTATTAAGTGTCTTATGTTGTTGTTGCTGTTATTATTATAAATCAACTCAATGCTCCCAGTACAGAAGACAGTAGTGTTATTTATTCATGCACCCTAGTACCTATCCCAGTACTTGCCACAAGGTAGGTAGGCATTTACGTATCAGTTGAATTAATGAAGTACAGACATACAAATATGGCTCCACCACTTATTTCACTCATCTTTACATATTTCTTGGAGTCTCAGTTTCTTCATTAGTAAAATTAAGATAATTCACCTCATTGTTAGCACAAATTAGATGATGCATGTTAAATTCTTAACACAGTGCTAGTCACAAAAAACTCAATAAATGTCAGTTATTTTTATGATAAGACAATTCTAAGTTAAACAAACTGGAGGTATAGGTTTGATCAGCAGAAGAGTAGAACACACGAGCATATGCAACAAAAAAATTAAATAGGGTTTAACTTCCAAAAGATCAAATATATCATTAATTGGAACAATCAAGACCTAGTAGTTGGGGATAGGAAGAAATTAGTTACCTCATTCCAAGTAACTAAGTGATAACTAGTTCTAAGAAATACAAAGAATTTAGAATGAAATTTTATTTCACTAACTTATTATTTCACTAGAATTTAAAATATACTATTTATGGATGTATTCCAGTGTGGGGAATACTGAACTTATATTCTTATTAATACAGCAAGCTTCAATCACTAGATATTTATTTAATAAAAATTAGAATTGTCAATATGTTTAAAATAATATTAGATAATAGTACTAAAATGAAATTTCAATTTGGTGATAGTATATAATCTTAAGGTAATACATATTTAATGCATGGCAGGTCCAACTTTTCCATTTCCCAATCTACCTTAGTAGAATTAGTAAAAATCTGTTTCACTGGTTTTTGATTATCCACTAGTCTCCTATAGATGAATGTTTCACAAACATCAAAGACAGTCAGCTTATATAAAATGATACATAGTGGAAAATTAACATTGATATTTTTCATACCTACAAATTAGTGTTTATATTTCTTTAAATCTATAACAGAAAATTAGTGCCTGCAGATGCACAACTGCCTACAGACGTAAGTTTCAAACTCGATGGCACTGTCAACTTCCACTTAATGGAATCACTGTAAGGAATAGAAAGCAACTTGTTTCAATCATGGCCAAAACCTAAAACTCAGACAAAATTACTTTCTTATATCCTCTCAAAAGTTAACTGTTCTCAAAACAACAATTACATATTCTTTTTGCTGTTGTTATTTTTTAAAATAAAATAAGGGGGAAATTGCTGGCCTACATATTTTTAAGAGGAAAAATTTGTTAAGTTTTAATAATATAAACAAGGTAAAATAAATATATGTCAGAAGAGAATTTTTCCTCTTATAGTAGAGAGATAAAAAGGAAAACTAAAACTACCCATTAAAACATACTGTTGAAACTAAACAAGATGCATGATGGACATTACTGTGCTTATTCAAACAGAATTTCACTTTATGCATAATTAGCACAGAAAGGCCATCAATGTGTTTACACACAACTCCAAATTTGGAGAACACTGAAAATTATTTTATAATAGGATACAATTAATAACAATGTGCATGTTATACATTTATTTCCCTACAATTTTGTTTCTTAAAAAAAGTAAAACTATTGAGACAACCAGGGAGCTGCATTAATGAATGAAGATTCAGGCTAAACATACTTCTATCAAATTGTGATTTTGTTAAAAATTCAGGATAAATAAGCAAAGACACCAGTTGCACTCAACCAGTTTAATACTGTGTATACAGTTATTCAAAGAAAAAAATTTCTTCAGTAACCAAGTCCACTAAAATTTTTAAAAAAATTTATTAGTAACATTTTTGTCCTTGGTAATCCTTCCAAGTAAAGAAATCTATGAAAATGCTATGGAAAATTAAACAACATATAAAATGATTTGGGCACCTGGAAAATGGTGAAGAAATATTTTGTGACATAAACATAAAACTGAACTATCAATTTTTAAAAAGCATTCGTGTTTTGTTAAAAGTATGAAAAACAAATTTAAAATATGCTGAAATAATCATTAGTCAGAGATATATTCAAATAGGAAACTTATTAAATGTACTACTTTTTCCATTCTCCATGGTAAAACTGAGAACAAGAATCTTGGTAAAGGTTAAAATTTTGAAATAATAGCATATCTGGGGACATCAACTATCCCTTACATCTTGAACACACAATCTGTTTACTCTATAAACATGCTCAGTTTTGAACCTACCACCACCTATACCTGACATTATCTTTGCTCTTTCAATTCTTAATTGGGCTTATGAAAAGAGACATAACAAAGTCTCTACCTTTTTCCCCCAAACCTTTCTCCTCAAACCACTACTATCTGGCTTCTGCTTCCACTACATCATATCTCAAACTACAATGTCAAAGCAATCACGTTGCCAAATTTAAAAAATGATTTATCAGACTTTCTGGGAGTTGGTATCATTGATTTACATGGCATTACTAACCTGTCCCTCCTTGCACTTCTTTTCTCCTGGTTTTGGATATGGCATTCTTTCTGCCCTGCGTACTTCTCTCATCATTCCTGTTTGGTCTCATTAGCTAGATCCTTTTCTCTACTTGCTCCTGTAGTGCACTCTACTCTTCTCACACTACCCTCTTTTTCTAGACAATCTCATCCACTCCCATGGTTTCAACTGCTATCTATAAACTAATGATTCCTTACCTTTATTTCTACCTCAGATCACTTTGGTGACTTCCAGCATCATATAGCCATCCAACCATCTATGAGATCTCTCCACGTGGATATCCAAAGACACTTCAAACTTAACATTAAAAAAAAACTCACATACTTTCTTCTCCCCTCAAATCAGCTAGCTGTTCCTCCTAAAGTCTCTATCTTGGCTGATGGTTCATTATCACCCTATCAAGACACCTGGTTATCATACTCTCATTCATTTCTAACTTATCAGTCTCAAAGTCCCATGAATTCAACCTTTCAACTATTTTTAAAATCTGTCCATTCCCACTTCTCACCACTATTGCCTTAGGTTGGATCCCTCATAATCTCTTAGGTGGACTATAGCAATGGCCTCTTACGTGTTCTTGGTGTTTTCAATCTTACTCCTTCCAATCATTTATAATGTTGCCAAAATGATCTTTCCAATATGTAAATCTGATCACATTTCTCCCAAGCTGAAGTAATCCCTACAGCTCTTAAATAATTGCTTAAAGAATTCATTTACTCACTCGTTTAACGAATATTATTTACCACATGATGTATGATTTTAGGCATAGAGGAAATTATTAAATGAAAATATTTAGAGAATATGCAAAAAGGTAGATATTAAACAATCCCCTAAATAAATGTATGATTACAAATGTGATAAATGCAATGAGGAAAAATAACAAGTCACAAAGGAAGAAAAAGAGGAGACTTACTAGAGATTGTGAAGTTATATTATTTTTGAGAGTAACATCTCAGTGAGTTTAAAAAATGAGTAGAAATTGCTCAACAAAAAAGTAGTTTTGGTAGAGGGAACAGCATGTACAAGAGATGTACAGCCTGTACAAGGGATGTAAAAGAAATGAAAGTAAGTCTATTTGGCAAGAGCTTAGTGAATGATGGGATAGTGGCCTGAGACGAGATTAGAGATACAGAAATCAAGTCATGTAGGTTTTGTAAGCCAAGGTATGGATTTGGGTTCTTTTGAAAGGCTATGGGAAGTAATTAAAATGTTTTAGGCAGATGAATCACATGATTATATTTACATCTTGAAGTTTCACTCTGGCTGCCGGTAGAGAATAGACTATAGCCTGAGTGGATGTGAGAAGACTAGTAAAGGGATTATTCCATTAATCTAGGAGAGACAAATGGTGGTGGGCAGTCTCTATTAACTTTTAGAAGTTATCTTTAGGTAATGTGAGCCTGCAATGTGAAGTTCCTAGTACTTTAAAAGTTATAATGCTGATGAACAAAAAGGTATGTAAAAACTCAGGATTTAATTAATTAGATATATTTTCCACCATTAGAACATTTCTGCTCAGAGGTCTTATTACAAAGCTACATTTCTGATAGTCTACTACGGTGCAGCTTCTGCCAAAGCCACTCAATACTAACCTCTTACATAGCAACTCTACTTACATGACTAAAATGTATATCATACTTTACATAGCCAAAAAGATAAAGAACCACCTGATTTCTATTTCCAAGCTACTCAACCCTAGTAAATGGCCTTATCATTTACCCTACCCAGGCACTGATGTAAAAAATCTGGGAGTTAATCATAATTTTTCTCTTCCTCTTATATCCCATATCATATGTAAATTATCAACTTAAATTGAATATAATATTAAATGTAATGCTATGAAAATTATTGTATGTGATTAACTAGAATATAAATCTGGCTATAAAATCTCTGATAGTGATATATTATTAAATCCATATATCCTTAGAAAAAAAATCCTTTAATTATAGAGTAGTTATATACAGTAGTCTAATATAGTAGGCTATAGTTGTATTTTGCCTTAATTATTCTTCATTGTTAATACCTCTGTAATAAACATATAAAATAACACATGCTTAATTCCTTAGTTTGCAAATTAATTTACCAATTCATTCATTCATTCTTTCTTTCTCAAGAACAGAAAACCTTATAGTAATACAGGTCATCTAAGGTCCATAAGGAGTAATTTAAGATCAGAAATTCACCTCAGGTCCATAAGGAATAATCTTTTTTTTTTTTTTTTTTGGATACAGAGTCTCACTCTGCTGCCCAGGCTGGAGTGCAATGGCGCAATCTCGGCTCACTGTAACCTCCGCCTCCCAGGTTCAAGCGATTCTCCTCCCTCAGCCTCCTGAGTAGCTAGGATTACAGGCACGGGCCACCACATCCGGCTAATTTTTGTTTTTAGTAGAGACAGGGTTTCACCATGTTGGCCAGGTTGGTCTCAAACTTCTGACCTCAGGTGATCTGCCTGCCTTGGCCTCCAAAAGTGCTGGGAATACAGGTGTGGGCCACCACGCCTGGCCCCATAAGGAATAATTTAAGATCAGAAGTACAAAAGAAGTTTTCTAATTCACTTTAAAATTAGTTTCTGAATATTTCTCTAAGAATATAGTTTAAATTACATATATTTCACACCAAGTAAGTACAGCAATATTTAATTTCTGCATTACTATTGACATATGAGTCATCTAATATGTAAACTTTCAGTCAACCAAATCTTATGGCTTTAGTGCTAATTTTTTAAAAAATGTTTTTGAAAGGAACATTTGTAAAATATATAAAGGCAATCACCTGCCTTTTTTCTGTTCTTTTTTTTTTTTTTTTTTAAAGAGATGGGGGTCTCACTCTGTCACCCAGGCTGGAGTGCAGTGGTACAATCATAGCTCACTGGATCCTTGAACTCCTGTGCTCTAGCAATCCTCCTGCCTTAGCCTCCCTATTAGCTGGGACTACAGGCATGCACCACCACACCCAGCTAATTAATTTTTTTTTTTTTAAGAGACGGGGTCTCGCTATATTGACCAGGCTGGTCTCAAATTTCTGGGTTCAAGTGATCCTCCCGCCCCAGCCTCCCAAGTAGCTGGGATTACAGGCGTGTGCCACCACGTCCAGCTATCTGCCTTTTTAAATAGAGAAAGTGAATATCGTGTTAAATCATTCTTAAAGACTTAACTAAGATTACTTATCACACTTTGTCACAATATATTTAAAATACTTCATTAAATTCTGAGGTGAGATAGTAAAACATTTGCGCTAACACTAAATAGCCTTTTTAGTTTTTAGTCTTCCTATCTCCAGCCTTTTCAGATGTCCCTTCATGTCAGAATGTCTTCCTCTACTAATCCTTCTCTGTGCTATATTTGATCGCTAGTAATAAAGCCTGATAAATAAGTAACGCGTTCATTTCATCAGGCTCTATTCAAGGCTTGGAGATTGATTCTATACCTTTCCCACATTGAAAAGTACAAGTGGAAGTGGGAGCTTCTGACTGACAGCTTTTGAGCTTACCTCTGGGTTCGTAACTATAGTCTTTAGTTAAAGCTACCAGGAATTTGGCTACCAGATAAGTGAGACATAAAACCAAGTATCATTACTAAAGCAATCTAGTAATATAGAATATCACTGTGTTTAAATAACTTATCCTACATAAGCAACGAGGTAGTATTAACCTCACACCCACAGTTCTACACAATTTTATGACAGATACCTAGAATTTAAAAAATGGATATAGTTTGTATCCATTATAATTTTGTTATAGGGAGAGAGTTCAAAGTTGGCATCAAGGGCCAAAGTGAGAAATGAGCTTACATAGAAAATAATCTGTATAGGCCAAAAAGACCTTTTATGTACAATACCACCTATTGTAATTTGGTCCACAAAATACTGACTATAAGACCATAATCAAAATGAAATGCTACGAAAGGTGTGAGAGAGCTTAGTATATGCATTGCAATAAAGCTATGGATGGATGGGCATAGCGCATCTCCTGTTGCACGCACCCTGTTGCTCGTCAAGTGACATGGATCCGAGCTGTTTGTTAACCACAGAAGAAGGAGAATCTGAAACAAAAATGAGATTTCAACTTAAAAGTAAGCAGCAGAAAACTGCACAGCAATGTCATGATCATCTCTAAGCTTAAGAAACAAATGTATAAGGCTGCGGAATAGAAGTAAGTACTGTGGTGTGATTCCCAAGCAGTGAGTAAGCAGGGCCATGTGCTTAAGATATGTTATTCCAGGCAAGCATTTAGTAACTTTGAGAATGAGTTGAGAAACTATTCTTCTATTTCCATGCATACACCTTTTATCAAATTCGTATACCAGAGGCACAAGGTGCAAGGTAGATATATTAGAAATGGGGTATCTAGTTCACTACACAAGACTCCTTGCCCTTCTCAAACTCCCTCTCCAGCTCCTTAAGATGGTTTTCATCCTGCCTTGGAGGATTCGAAGCATGAAACGAAATGCTCACTATACTTTGAGAGATGTTGTTTGCTGTACTGTGGGCTGAACAAGGAGCTAACATCAAGATCTTATACAAAGAAAATGGTTTATAAGAAAAATATTCAATGAGGTAATTATCATTACAGAAACATGCATGACTTTAAAAACTCTACAGTATATTGTGCATATTAAAACTATACTATGTAAAGGCTCAAGTTTCTTTAGCGTTACCTGGTAGGGAAAGGAAAAGAGAGGCAGAGAAGACTTAATGATCTGGGCTTTACACTTTCTACCTTGGCTTCAAATAGAACAGCTTCGTTCTTATCTTTTTAATATGCTGGGTTTCTATGTAAGAATTTACTTTATAAGCGGTTTCTACTGTTTGAAAAACACTGGTATTAAGGCAGGCAGCATAATAAAATGGAAAGAGCACTCATCAGAAGTTAGTAAGTTTTAATTCTTAACTTGATTCTGACAGTAATTAGCAACATTTTTAGGCCCAAGCTTCTCCTTACTCTCTAATCAGCCTGGGGATCTAGTAACCTAAGCAAGACACTGGGGAATAGGTGTTCCAGTAGGGCTACAGTAAAAGAGAAACATAGGTAATAAGCGCAACTCTCCCCAACCAATAAGAATAATTCCCAGTTTCTAATATCCTGTGCTCTAGTTCTTAGCAAATGTTAACAAAATACTTTTGGCCAACACCAGTTTCTGCTCATAATGGCATATTTTTCCCAAAAAGTAGGTATTTTAAGATTGCCCTTAGCTGGATAGCTGAGTTTTCCAATATATCCTGGATTCACATTGATTTTATAGGATTTGATTGCTTGCATTTGTACATTTAAAAGTCTGAATCCTGCTAGTGGTACCATTTCAATCAACTTTAAATCTTCCATCTTCTAGTATCACCAGTTTGTTCATGTATTTTTCTCTTACTAGATTTTGACAAAACATGATCATTATTTGAATAACAGCTTTTACTTATCCTTACTTATCACTTTTTCATCAGAACAGTTAAATCTTTAGTACACAAAAAAGAAAGTGGGAACAATAGCATTTCAATCAGTTCCCTAATCTATTCGTGCTTTACTTTCTTAAGATGCCTTCTCATTTATCCATTTCACAGTTGGATTCAACACTACCATCTATGTTGTTTTTAAAGAACAGATAAATTGGTCTTTAGAAAACAAATTAAACTCTTTAAAAAAACAAGAAAAATGTGACTCACAGTGAAATAAATATTGGGAAACTCTCCTAAAAATCTGTGAAAAATATTTTTCATCCATTTGGATTTGTTATACATTTCATTATGCCCTCATTTAACAATTTAAGAGCCGTAAGAAAACTATAAACTCTCCAAGAAATCTTATCTTCAAACATTTATTTTTTCTAAAAAATACCATGAAATGTACAAATCTTGTTCAGATAAAATGCATCTTATTTTTAATAAAATTTAAGAAAGAATAAGTCACGGGGAAAAAACTATTAATGAAAGATATAGAATGCTGTCATCTCTACAAAACTATTTTCAAACTCTTGAAGTATTTAAAATATTAAAGCTATGTTAAGACAGAAAGTATTAAACTAAAAGGGTTTCCTTTTTGGTTTTACTCTGCCATAGACATTGTGTATTTCTGAGGCATTTGCTGTTCCTCCCATCTTGAAGATTAATTTTATGAAGAAATCCTTCCTGGTCACTGCTTTCATTCTATTTGTAATCTTGGGAACACACAACTCCTTTGGGAAGGATTATTTTCCTATCATATGAACATTTTAAGTGACATGTTTTTTTAACCACTATTCATAAATACAATACCTAGAACTCCTATCTTACATAAATATTTTCAAATATTAACATAATAACCATTAGAATAGCTAATATTTAAAAAAGTAATTACTAGTTTAAGCTGACTGCCTCAGTTACTGGCATATTCTACTCTACCTCTCTGGGAAATACCTTCTAGAGAATATAATCACAAACTAAAAACCTGAATATATGGTCCAATGGTAGTTTATTGTAACATGTAATATGGTTGGTCAGCTTATTTGAAGTGTTTAGAATTGTAACTTTTTTTTAAGGTAAAGATACACTTTAAGCAAAAGCTCACTCAGTACTAAGCTCAGCATGTCTCATGGTCAATTACTGTGTATTTCCAAAAAATGTGTTGTTTGGTCTTGAGAAAATTCTTTAGCCCCTTGACACCAGAATTATCTCCACTGTAGAAAAAATAGACAATTATAGTCTAACAGGTAAATCACAAAAATTCTTCAGCCACACTTCCTGGGTTCAAATGTGGTTTTTCTACTCAGTAATATTGTAACCCTGGGCAAGTTATTTAACTTGTCTAAGTCTCAGTTTCTCCATCTGTAAAATGAGGATAATCACAATATCTACTACATAATGTTCTTCTGAAGATGTAATGAGATAATCCATGTAAAATATTCAGACAGCACATAGGAATGGGTCATTTAATGTTTATCATTACTTGCCTATTTTTCAGACATATGGTATTGAATGAAAAATAATGGTACAAAGCTGTTCTGAAACATCTGGAGCGTATTATGTTTAAACTTCTAAAAGACTCATCACTGTTTTGCTTTGGACTCTGTCATTCAAGGTAGTTAAGGACTGCTGGCAGAACCAGACTAATATATCTAATTTATTAACTACTTATAAACATCAAACACATAGATCCAATGCATCCATCTGAGAAGTGCTGCCATGTGACTGTCATTATGGACACTGTGGGAAATCTGGTGTTGTTTAGAGCCTGCTTGCACAGGATCGGGTAAGTGCTGATTTTTTCCAATATGGCTCAGTTTTGAAAAGCCCTTTTTCAAAAATAATCACCAATGTTTTACACCCTTTTGGGGTATAAAAATTACTTTTTTCCAATTGGTAAAACCGTGCCATAAAGTGAAAAAACAGTTCCTACCTGACCCTCTCTAGGCTGGCTCCATGCTCCAGTGGGGCTCTGTGGTGGTTAGGTCAGTACCAGCAGACTCCACAGGGTGCTGTCACTCTGAGCAGGAGCCAGCAACCCATGACTTCAGGGGACCTGAAATGGAAAAAAAGAGTTGGGCTTAAAATCAGCCATATGCTGAATGCCTCTGCCATACCTGTTTAGGACATTCATCTGATACATGTACATATAGCTCATTCAAAACCCTGAATGCTATCAACCTTATGGGGGCCTTTATATGAGGACATTTTTAAGTAGCAAACAACATACTACAATTAAGATAGTACATTATTGGCTGGGCATGGTGGTTCACACCTGTAATCCCAGAACTTTGGGTGGCTGCAGTGGGTGGATCACAAGGTCAGGAGATCAAGACCATCCTGGCTGACACGGTGAAATCCCATCTCTACCAAAAATACAAAAAATTAGCCGGGCATAGTGGCACATGCCTGTAATCCCAGCTACTTGGGAGGCTGAGGCAAGAGAATCACTTGAACCCGGGAGGTGGAGGTTGCAGTGAGCCAAGATAGCACCACTGCACTCCAGCTTGGGCGACAAAGCGAGACTCCATCTCAAAAAAGAAAAAAAAAAAAGAGAGAGTACATTATCATGTGTACTGCTCTCCTCAGGTAGGTAACTTCATATATACTGTATTGCCTTAACCCATCCTTACATGGTCTCTGTAAATTACAGCAAGCTACACTATCTAAATAAATCAATAATTGGGAAACTGAGGCATAAAGCAGTCAAATGACCTGCCCAAGGTCATCTAGTCATAAAGCCAGGGACAAGAGTTCAGCCAATCTAATTCCCAGGCACTGATGTGATAAAGGCAAATTCATTTCTTTTTGGTTAAAAAAAATTGCTAAGGATTTTATGAGTTCCTGCATATTTCCTAAAAGTCTAGAAAACAAGTTATGGTGTATTTCCTAAATGAGTTGTGGTGTATTTCCTAGAAAAGATATACTTTTAAAAAACTAACAAGTGAAAATATTTTTAAATGATATATTCTAATTTTTTAAAACCATATTTTTGGAAATTAGTTCTAAAGAATTATCATTTACAGGTGTCAAAAATTCTTTTAAAGCACTGATTTTCAAACTGGGCTTCAGGGAGCAGAGGAGCTTTAGGGGTAGCAGGAGGAGCAAGCAGGTGGGTAGTCGCTCCTTGTTTCATGTTTAAGTCCCAACAGTGCTACTTTTATATACTTTCTATTGGAATTTCCACATAAGACTGATGACAAAGAGTGAACAACCAAAAATAAATAAAAAACCACTGTTTAACATCTTCTAATACCTATTTTATACAGCTCATTTTAAACAGTTTGAAACTTAAGGTGATATCATTTGGTGCCTTAGAATGGTGTTTTAGTCTTCAATTGCCAAGAAATATCAGCAACTAAATAGATAATATTCCATCTGGGATTATCCTAAACCAGCATCAGGCCCCTTCCCATTTGAGCCCACTAAAAATGTAGGTGATTATTTCTACAAAGTGGTTTCAAGGTTTGATCTAACTTTCCTACAGGAATTAGGTATTACTGATTTCACAGAATATTCCCATGAGTTCTATATATTTTGAAAAGAGAATAAAATGGTTGCCAAACAATGTAATGCAGAAATTCTTTCTATACTTTTTAAAATTTCTTGGTTTCCAAATCATAGTAATGTCTCCTTTGAACATCTTATAGCTAAAACACTTAAATAGGTGAGAAGACAACAGAAATATGTTTTACTGGCACTATCACCACTAATTGATACTCTAAAGATACCAAAGTATGAAGGAAAAATATGCTTCTTACATATGAGAAACGCACATTCTTCTATTATTAATAAATTAAAATCTAGGAGGCTAATTTTGGTGCTTTCTGTATGGGTAGATAGTAGTAACATCTATCATAAAAGAATGAATCAATTAATGTCCATATACAAAACTGCATTTAATTATTATGTATAAGATAAAGTTTTATAATTGTTACTCAATTAAAACCTACCCTCCTGCTGAATTTCATAAATTTAATTTCTACTGTTGCCAAACTAGATATTTAATTAGAAAACACTTAAGAGTTGGAAAGACAGCATCTTACTTCACAGAAACCACACATTCACTCTAAAGCTTTCTGATTCTAAAAAGAGCTTGCTTCAATTCAAATCCGTGAACTAGTTACAAAAGATTAGTGAATCTCAAAATATTTTTCCAACATCTACAATGTATACTTCTTTCCTGTTAGACAGTTTTGTTTTATACTCAAGATCATTTTAATACTAAGTTTGTAATCTGCTAAATTTTAGTATTTTAAAAATAATTATATACGTAGGGACATTTTATTTTTCTTTCTATTGACTTTTAGGTTTCATGATTTTTTAACCTTCAAAACATGTTTGCTAGACGTTTATATACAGCAAAAAAAAAAACAAAAATGTTTTATTATTAAATGTCATTATTGTAATCTGGTCAAATTTTCTTGTTAATTGTTAAAGTATAGGAAAATATTTCCCCATAGGAAAAAAAAAAATCAGAGGCCTCTGCCTGATACTCCCTCTATTAATATAACATTGAATTAAAAATAAAGTTTATGATTTATCCCAAACATCATATCTATATTACAATGACTTAAATTTATTTAATTTTACCACATATAAAATGTGCTTTTGTTACCACAGCACTTACTAGAACAGATATTTATAAAGTGCAGGTTGTCCAATTCTACCAATATATAAATTAGTTCCAAATAATCAAATTAGAACTCTCAAAGCCCAAACTCATCACTCTTTAGGGTAGCAGAAGAAAGCATATCAAACAAAGCATTATAAACTGATTAGTATGAGAACCTAGACATTCTTGTTCCTAAATAACTTATTATACCTACTATAGTATTTATATAATACTATAGGATTTACAGTATCTATTACCCATCTTGAAATAACTAAGTTGACAAATTATTTTGTGCTATTAATATATCTTTCATTAATTCTTTTAACAAATGTTTATTGAGCATCATGAACTTTCTGGTCATAAGATGACAGGGCATTAAAACACTCATTGAGAAAAAAAGAGTGACAATTTTTACTATGTTATCACAGTTTTATAGCATAATAAGAACATGAGACTGTGGAGTACTTTTGCTGCCCTACACATCAGAAAGTTGATTACGTATAGAGGAATAAGAAAGCAAATATTGAAAATTTTCAAATAATGACAGAAGGAAATAATTTAGTCAGCATGCTAGTATGGCCAAATAATACTATAATTCTAAAATCTAGCATTACTAGGTTTTAGGAATATTGGCTAACATTCAAAGAGGAAGAAGAAGAAGAGCTAGGAGCCATAAAGCATAGATTCATTTCAGCATATGCAAACTTTCAATAGAAAGATCAATGCAGGCTCTAAATTCACTAATTATTCAAAAAGAGGTCATCAGCTTTAAAAGTAATAAATATTTGCCCCTCTCCAAATATATTACAACTTTTAAAATTGATTATTTTATATTCACCTCTCTGGCAGATGCTGCTGCCAATCTGTCCCCCTAACACGTGATGTTGAATACCACCCATATGCAAGGAAAGGAGGGGTAAGCTGCAAGCGCATTAGCTCTCTTTTTGAATGGGAAAAGGGAAGCACCTTATTACACAGTAGCAGTATTAAAAAACAATTCTATCAGCTGCTTAAGGACACTTGACATTAATAACCTGAAGCATGAGGGTCCTGTGAAGAGCCCTCATGAGAAGACTGATCAGAAGTGGAAGGCTGTTGCTGGGTATGTGCAGCTAGCTCTTGCTGCCTCTGCTGCTCAGCCTTCTTAAGCCTCAGTTGTTGCAGGCGCTTACGAAGCAAAGCTATCTCAGGGCCCCTTAAAAATTCTGACACAAATAGGAAAAGAAAGGTGAAAAGACAGTAATAAAATAGAAAATAATAAGAATTTGATTATACATTAAAAAAGAAGAAGGATATAAACAAAACACATGTCTCATAGAGGAATACTATAAACAAATTACTGATAAAAAATTACTGGTCATTAAATTATGAGACAATACATATACAACCAAATGCTTCTATTTAACTACGATGAATTAGATACATATATTTCTCTAGGAATATTTAAGTAATTAAACCAAATGGAAATAAAAAGTCCTCCATAAGCAAAAGATTTCAAAATGAACATAGAACAAAATGATACTAGGAAAGAAACAGAAATTGAAAACAATCAGTTAACTCATCTGATTTATACACAAAAATTTAAGCTGCTTTGTTAATTTCAATCAAATAACAAAATTCAATTAAAAGGATAAAAACTTATGCATTTAGAAACAACTCAGAATTTATTGAGAAGAGCTCTAAAAAAGTGAGTTATATATTCTTCAGCTAAATATTTCATGTTAGAATTGTCATTTTAAAAAATTTTTTAAGTTCAAAAAGATTTACATAATCAATATTTTCTTAACCTTTATCTGAAGTGATCACAGATGAAAAGTAGAAAAATAACATTAAATTCTGCAAAGAGATATTTACTGAATGTCTTCTATGTATGAGGCATTGTTTTAGGCTCTAGGGATAAATAAAATATTGAACAAAACAGTCCTTATTCTTGTGGAGTTAATGTTCTGAGAGAAAAAGACATTTGCGAATACACAGGCACACATGATGTTGAACATATGTGTTTGTGTCACGTGGGGATAACTGCTATGAATTAAATTGGCAGGGTAAGGTAAAGGGGATAGTGAATAATGATGACAGGGCAAGGGTTATTTTATATATGGCAACTCAGGAAAGCTTCTCTCATAAGGCACCACTTGAACAAACACCTCGAGGAAATAAGCGAGTAAACCACATGGATACCTGGAGGAAGAGTGTTCCAGGTGGAGAAAAGAGCAAGTGCAAATACTCAAGGGGAAAGCATATAGGAATGTGCAATACATTTTAAAGGTAAAAGCAGTAGAATTTGCTGATAGTTTGGATGCAGAGTGATCCCAAAGTTTTTGGCCTAGGTAACGGGAAAAACAAGTAACCAATTTATTACGGCAGGGAACAATGGAGAAACAAGTAGTGTTGGGGGAAAGAATGAATAGACATCCAAGTGGAGAAATTAGGTAGGGACTGAATACAAAAGTCTACAATTCAGAGATATAAATTTGGATGTCATTTTAAGTCCCCTAAAGAGTAAGGGATGACACAGAAGAGGTCTAAGAACTGAATCTTGAGGCAGTCAAATGTTTAAGAGGAAAAAGAACCTCTAGAAAGAGTAAGAAGGAAAAGCCAGAGAGAGAGCTGGAGAACTGAATGATCAGAGCTCTGTAGGCTAAGTCGTGAAATTGTATCAAAAAGGATGGAGTAAGCAGTTGTGTGAAATGCTGCTAGTATACTAAAAGAGATACTAAGGGCTAATCACTGGATTTTGTATGATGGAAGTCATTGATGACCTCGACAAGAGCTATTTTAGTTAAATAATAAGGACCAAAATCTGATAGCAGCAGGTTTAAGAGAAAGGGGAGGTGATGAAGTAGAGACACAAAGTATATATATTCTTTGTACAACTCTTGCTATTAGTGGAGAACAGATAAATTGGATAATCATTGTCAGGGTTATAAAGAATCAAGGGAAGGCAGGAAGGGCACCGTGACTCACACCTGTAATCCCAGCACTTTGGGAGACCAAGGCGAGAGTATCACTTTGAGCTCAGGAGTTTGAAACCAGCCTGGGCAACACAGTGAGATCCTGTTTCCACAAAAAATCAAAATTAGCCAGGCATGGTGATGCACACTTGTGGCCCCTCGGGAGGCTGAGGTAGGAGGATCACTTGAGCCAGGGAGGTCAAGGCTGCAGTAAGCCACGACTGCACCATTGCACTCCAGCCCGGGCAACAGAGGAAGACCCACCAAAAAATAATAATAATAATAATCAAGAGAAGTTTGTGGTTTTAGTTTGGGAGCTAATACACACGTCTGTATTCTGATGGAGAATGTTTAACTGAAGGAGAGAGAAAGATGATGCTTAAAAAAAAGCGGAAAACCACAGGAATGATGTCCCTGAGTAAACTAAAGGAGATAAGTTCCAGTGTATCAGAGGAGGAATTGGTTTTGAATAGGTGCATAAAAACCTCATTAATTATAATCAAAGGGAGGCAGAAAATATGCACAGAGATGTCAATAGTGAGATTTGGTGGTAGGAGCATAGAGAATTTCTGACACTAGCATGAAATTATACAAACTACCAAATAAACTTTCAGCCTCTCCAGATACTAAGAGTAAAAAATTTGGTTTACTGTTTCAGAAATCAATAACGCCAGGTACTAATTTCTTGTTACGATGGTTTCTATTTATAAAGCATTTTATTCAATTACCCAATTGGTAGTTAAGATTTAATAACTCATAACATCATACTCACTCACTGTTAGTTCTTCCTAGAAAATGATCCAGTACCAATAGGGTAGTATTCATTGACAAACAAATGGTGATGCTCAGTGGCATACTGCTTTCTTTTCAGGTAGGTACAGACACCTTATTTATAGTCAGCATAATAGTAATGCTTTTAGCAATATAAAATAAAGCATTATTATACAGCCATAAAGTTTGTCACTTCACACTTCAAAAGAAATCTATGAGAGAGGCCATATATGTCAAATTTTGCTAAAAAAGCAGAAAAATACCATCAATTTCATTGGAGTGTCAACCCTCTCTATTGAGTTACCAAATGTTTTATGAAGACATAAATCTCCATCCCAGAACCCACTTGGTGAAGTGGCAAACAGCAAGATCTCAGTACATGTAGTGATGCTCTAAAACTTGAAAAAAATCAAGATTTAGTTGTGATAATCTTATGAACCATTTATTCAATATTTCCGGTGCTTTTTAAATAAGAATTTATCTGCTTTGAAAGCTGCTTGTATGGTGGCTTTTTTCTCCTTGGATTAAAAACAAAATCAGGCTCAGAAGAGAAGTCACCACATAGCTGTTAACTAGGAAAAGCAAGTATTGAATTAAAAAATTCAACCAGACATAACAGACTAAATAACAGTTCTGCTAGCAGCTTGAAATTTTAAAGCAGTCAACATACACACATATTACATCCTTTAAAAAGATATCACAAACATACATAATTTATAAATGTAGATAAATGCTTGGAGAATTAGCTTTTGTCAACATGACCCAAACTGAAAATTGAATACAATAAATACCTTGGGTTGAATTTTAAAAACAACGATGATAAAAATTCAACAAGGTATTATAAACTGCCACAGGAAAATTGTACTTTGTCATCTCCTCAAACTACAAACCCTATTCTTGTTTTCTTCTGAAAGATTACAGGTTATTCTCCTAATGACTTAATTCCAGTGAGACAGAAGAACAACAAAAACAGCTACAGTTGACGCAACAAAGGTCCACCTGGTTCTAACCTCACATCCTGCCTCTACAATACATACAGTATTTTTGTCCTGGACTCTGGATCATTTTTATATCTAATTTGGTGGCACTTTATCTGCCTGCTATAAATCTGTCTTCTAGTCCCAACTTATTTCTTGTCCTGGTAATGATCCTTGTGCATTTTTTCTCCTGGGACTGGTCACTTCTTCACTGACCTCCATGTTTCTCTGTTCTCTTCTTTGGTTTCCCCAAAAATGGCCATTGACCTAATATTTCCACTTGTTTCTTTCTTTCTTTCTTTCTTTTTTCTGAGACAGAGGCTCACTCTGTCGCCCAGGCTGGAGTGCAATGGAGTGATCTCGGCTCACTGCAACCTCTGCCTACTGGGTTCATGCAGTTCTCCTGCCTCAGCCTCCCAAGTAGCTGGGATTACAGGCACATGCCACCACGCACAACAAATTTATTTTGGTAGAAATGGAGTTTCACCATGTTGTCCAGGCTGGTCTCAAACTCCTGACCTCAGGTAATCCACCCACCTCGGCCTTCCAAAGTGCTGGGATTACAGGCATGAGCTACCACACCTGGTCTCTCCACTTGTTTCTAACCTATAAATGGCCTATATCTATCTGACTAGACTAGACTAGACCTTTATCCCATTTAAGGAAGCTATAATTTGGATTTGGGGCTTTGAAAGGTTTGCTTTGATATGGTGCACAACAGAGTTCTTCTCCAGCAATTTTTCTACAAAGCTCAATTTAGCTATAATAATTCTACATAGGCCAAAATAAATTTGTAATTCCTGTTTATGACTAAATAAGCAAGAATCCACACACAGACCACATCATATGCTATCTTTAAAAAATTCTGGGTCGGGCGCAGTGGCTCACGCCTGTAATCCCAGCATTTTGGGAGGCCAAGGCGGGTGGATCACGAGCTCAGGAGATCAAGACCATCCTGGCCAACATGGTGAAATCCCATCTCCACTAAAATACAAAAAAAATTAGCCAGACATGGTGGCATGTGCCTGTAGTCCCAGTTACTCAGGAGGCTGAGGCAGGGGAATCACTTGAACCCGGGGGCAGAGGTTGCAGTGAGCCGAGGTCGCGCCACTGCACTCCAGCCTGGTGACAGAGCAAGACTCCATCTCAAAAAAAAAAAAAAAAAAAAAAAATTCTGATGGTCTGAGTAGTCTATTTAATTAAAAACACAGGGCAGGGAAGCTTTAAGTGATTCACTTCTCAATATGAGCCCTAAAGGTGAATTTTATATATACTGATATCCCCATCCACTTCAAAGTTACCAGCTTCTCTAAATCATATTCTTTAAATAGGTTAAAATGAAACCAAAGAAAAAAATTAAATAGCACACTTGGAAAAATGCCTCATTTAATACTCTTTCATTATGAAAAGATTCTTAACATGAGAATAATTTACAAATCATGAACTAAATGAAAACATTTCTAGGCTTAACTTAAGAAATAACTGAAAGAGATGTCTGATAGGCCTTACTGAGAAGAAAATATTCATAGTTATTTTGAAATATTTTTTATAAATAAAATTATGAAGATTTCATTTTAACCTATACAGTTTTAGCTCATGGTCGTATCTTTCTCATTTTTAAACATATAATTTTATAATCACATTTTAAAAAGCAGTCTTTTGTTAAATGTTCAAGAAAAGAAGATATATAAAAATCAAAATATCTTCAAATTCTGGGCGAGGTATATAGAACGTGGTTTCAAATGGTCTGACATATGAATTAAAATAAAATTCAAGAATACAAAGGGTAAAGCAAAAAAAAAAATCCATCAACTGATTTTAAATTCCATTTCAGTCTACTTACCTTCCTAATTTAGCTACAAAACTCCAAAGCCAACACTGTGACCCCTCTAGATTTACCATTCTTCAGGGCATTCATTTTGCGTATTCAACTCACTCACTGCTTCAATTAATTATTTTCATACCCATATTCACCCATATATACATGAGTGAAAAAGCACAAACAAATATATATATATATAATGAGACAATTTTTTAAAGTATTTCTGTAAGTTACCTTAAAATGTCTTCAGAACAACCTAAGAACAATTATCTACTCAGTCCTATGTGGTCTAGACAGTCAAAGGCAAACAATGGATCCAAAATGATAAATGGTTAGACAGCTAATCACAGCATCTCTCTTCTAGGTGTTACCAAATTTTGGAAACTTAATGGAAACAGCCAGAGTAAATGACTGGGGCTAAAAGTATAATCTAAAGACTAAAATAAAGCTAAATATACCCTATCTAGTCTATATCAGCTTAAAGATAACAAAATGTCTCATCACACTTTTAATCGTATCTTTAGAGGGTGAATATTGTTGGGGAAAAAAGATGCTTACTCAGAGACAACAAGATAGACAATATCCTGTCTTCAAGAGAGCTTATCATAGTAAAAGAAAATTATAAATTTTTATAATTGCTTTTCACAAAATAAACAGGGTTATATAGAAGAGAATAAAATTTCAGCAAGAAGAAAAAGGAAAGAGGACTTTACCTAGGGTAGTTATGAAAGACTTGTCTTATATGGCATTTGAGCTGAGACTCAAGGAAAAGGAAGTTGGCCAAGTGATAAGCCAGGACAAGGGCTTCCCAAGCATACAGAGAATAACACTAAGAACAAAGTGTAAGAAGGAAAGAGGGAAAGAAAAGAAAAGACAGGAAAGAGAGAAAGATGGGAAAGGAGAAAAAGGAGAAAGAGGAGAAGGAAAGAAGGGATGGAGGAAAGAAGGAAGGAAGGAAGGGAGGGAAGAAGTGAAGGAAGGGAGGGAGGGAGGAAGGAAGAGAGAGAGACAGAAAGAAAGAAAGAGAGAGAGACAGAAAGAAACAAAAGAGAGAGAGAGAAAGAAAGAAAGAAAGGAAGGAAGGAAGGAAGGAAGGAAGGAAGGAAGGAAGGAAGGGAGGAAGGAAGGAAAGAAGAAGAGAAGAGAAGAGAAAGAAAAGAAAATGGCAGGGCACAGTGGCTCACGCCTGTAATCCCAGCACTTTGGGAGGCCGAGGAGGGCGGATCACAAGGTCAGGAGATTGAGACCATCGTGGCCAACACGGTGAAACCCTGTCTCTACTAAAAGTATAAAAAATTAGCCGGGCATGGTGGCAGGCGCCTGTAGTCCCAGCTACTTGGGAGGCTGAGGCAGGAGAATGGCGTGAACCCAGGAGGCAGAGCTTGCAGTGAGCCGAGATCACGCCACTGCACTCCAGCCTGGGCAACAGTGCAAGACTCTGTCTAAAAAGAAGAAAAAGAAAGAAAGGAAGGAAGGAGAAAAGAAAAGAAGGAAGAAAAGAAAGAAAAGAGAGAGAGAAAGAGAGAGAGAGAAAGCAAGCAAGTGGGAGGAAGGGAGGGAGGGAGGGGGGAGGGGAGGGGGTGGGGGCAGGGTGGAGGCGGGGTGGGGCGGGGGAGGGCAGGGCAGGGCAGGGCAGAATTTGGCACGGAAATTCTCTGATAACCGAAAGAAATCAGTAGTACATCTAGAGTGTAACAATCATCAAGTACTGAGAAAATTGAATGAGATGAGGCTAGAGAGACAGGGAAGGGCAGGCCATATAAATTCTTATACGTCCACAGTGAGGAGTTTGATTTTTTTTTCTTTTGTAGTTGTATTTCCAAATGCAATTAGGAACTTCTGAAGGGATTTAAACAGCAAAGTTATATAATCTGATTTAACATGTTAAAATACTCATTCTGGCTCCTGCATGGAGAATACATTATAATGGAACAACAGTAGGTACAGGCAGATTAATTAGGAGACAAGAAATGATGGTGAGATGAAAAGACCCAGGTTATAGTTTAGATACAGGAACAAAAGAACTTGCTGATGAGCTGGCATGGGACTTGAGGAAAAGGAAGGAATCAAGAAAAACTCACAGGTTATTCAAATAAGCAAATGGACCAAGAAGGAGCCAATTACGGAACAGGAAGGGTAGGAGGCTGCATTAAGTTTTAGTTTGAACATGTAGATTTATGACGTACAACAATAGGCCGGGTGCAGTGGCTCATGCCTGTAATCCCAGCATTTTGGGAGGCCGAGGCGGATGGACTGCTTGAGGTTAGGAGTTCAAGACCAGCCTGACCAACATGGGGAACCCCATCTCTACTAAAAATACAAAAATTTGCTGGGTGTGGTGGCAGGAACCTGTAATCCCAGCTACTTGGGAGGCTGAGGCAGGAGAATTGCTTGAACCCAGGAGGGGGAGGCTGCAGTGACCTGAGATTGTGCACTGCACTCCAGCCTGGGTGACAGAGTGAGACTGTCTTTAAAAAAAAAAAAAAAAAAAAAAAAAAAGATGTACAACAATAACAAAAACATACTGTCAAAATAGCAGTCAGACATCAGGCATAAGGGTCTGGAATTCAGGGTAGAAGATCAGATTGCTGATATATATATTTGTGAGTCATGAATTTACAGGAGATATTAAAAGCTATGAGGAACTGACACAATCACCCAGAGAAAGAGTGTATGTAAAGAGAAGAGAAGAGAGCCCAAACTAAGGGGTTTGATTATAATATTCAGAAGGAGATAGAACAAGAAACACGAACAACAGTTACTGAAAACCCACCAGAATTAATAAGAGTAAATAGGCAAATATGATATCATAGATACCAAGAAAGGAAAGTGTTTCAAGAAGGAGTGACAGCCTATGTTAAATGCAACCGGGTCGAAAAATCTAGTAAGGTACTAACAGAGAAATATCCTTTAAACTGGTGAATGTCACTAGTGACTTTGATTAAAAGTTTCAGAGGAAAAGGGGGTTGAAAAGCAGATGGGGGTTGGTTAATAAATAAATGAAGGATGGCAAGAAAATGGAGAGAGCATCTATCAACAACTCTTCTGAGGATTCTCATTACGAAAGCAGCAGAGAAATAAGGCAATAGCTGAAGGGGAATGTGAGATAATTAAGAGAAAATTTTTAAAGAAAGGAGATAATAAGAGCATGTTAAGGCCAAAAGAAACAATTTGGCAAAAAAAGGCAATGATAATGCAAGAGAAGGGGCGAAATCTTTGAGAAGCTGGAAAGGGATAGCAACTACATTGACTAGCTTTTGATAGGAGCTTTCTGCTTCTATCACAATGTGAGTACAGATGTTGGAAAGCTGGGAAATTATTGACAGTAGGAAAACGAGTACTTTTCATTGTGAATGAAAGGTTAGAATCTGGAAGTGGGGCGGGGATGAAGGGAAGTATTAAAGTTTGAGAGACATGAAAGTGTAAAATAGTCATTTTGTACAGCTGGAGAGCAACAGTGTGAGGCTGCTCTGATGCACAGTGTTGAGCACCCATTGAAATTTGTGGTCATAACTTTCTTCATTATCATTCAGTGATTCCACTGTAGACTAAGAGAAGGCAGACAATTAGGTTCAACCAGAGATGGAGCGTAGCAAATTTTCATATTCCCATTGTCCGTTTCTTTGATATCAGTAAAAATGAGGGAGGACATGTAAAGGGATAAACATTTACATAAAAAGGTATCCACAGCAAGGCAAGCATAGACAGAAGTATACTTTATCATTTTCTCTATCTCTATGCAGGGAAATAATAGAAATCATGGTCCTAAGCTGACATTTCCATCTACTACATTCACCCAATGGACAATTCCCAATATTCACAAACACATTTGGACTTAGGCTATGGCAAATGCAAAAGAGATTGGACAAAAAACAAAAACAGAAACAAATTAAGTCCTTACTCCTGAAACGTTGAACTCCAGAATAATGAAAAAGCTGTTATCAGAACAACTACAGTCATAACCTTCAGATGTTACATCTAACACCAAATCATTTTTCTCAATAGTGATAATGTCTTGATAACATGGAAATATTCTAATTATCTATAGCTTAGTCAACCAAAATTCTCTCAATAATCTCCCAGTTAAAAATATTTCCTTACTTCCTATAAATAATTTATGAGTAAAAGTACTGCATAATGTTTCAATAATCATCACATGACCACCAAAGATATTTTTTCTTCTTCAATAATTCAAATGATTGTCACATTTAATACTTACATTAAATATTGAAAGGAATTTAGCAATTTGAAATGCAGTAATTAAAATGCATTAGATAGCTTTAAAAAATAAAGTTCCAAATACTTTACTCATAAATATATTTAAGAAACAACTAGAATTAGTTGAGATTCAGTGGAAGCTGAATGTAAGCTAGAGTCTTCTTGCTAAGTTTTCCTAAAAACTTATAATTGATCAATATGTTCAAGAATATCACTTTAAAAATTCTTGCTTTTCCCAATTTTACCTGCTTTGAAAAACAAACTTTTAACTACTTCTGCTTTTAATTCCCAAATCTTCCAAAATATTTTATTTTTCCATAAATTAAAATGCTATGTCAACTGAGTGTGAAAACCTTGATTCTGTAGCTCAGCTTTAGCTTATTATTATGGATAAAATGTATACAGTGTTAACAGTTATGTAACTGACTCTGGCTTTTATTCCCATAGAAACTGAAAATGAATTACTAAAAGTGGTATATACTGATAAAAGAGTGCTTAAATTAAAACATCCCATATTTGGTAATCTGGCATCAGTTTCCAGAGATGTAAGAATAAAGTGACAGCTTGGCAGCTAAGCTGTTAGAAATTTTTTTATAGGTTTCAGCTTAGGCCTGCCAGCTATATTTCTAGTTGCTAATAATTCTGGCTCTATATTGAGTAAAATTCTTCCTTAGAAGAACCAAAGAAAACTATGAATAAATATCTTATTGGTTTTTATAATTACATGTATATAGTTTAAAGTACCGAGTAAACTGTAGATACATCTGCTGAAAATTACTATTATAAATACTAGCACATTCCATAGTTAGGGGAAAAAAGTTGACCATAAAGACTTATAATACTGAGAAAAAAATAGCATTTTAACAGAACGTAGAGGTTATTTTCACTAGCATCAAGTATCAAGAAGATAAGCATTTGGTAAAATAATTCTTTTTCATGTAAATACTAGAGAAACAAATTTTTTGGTAAATTATATGTTGTTGACAAAAGACCATATCAAATCCACCATAGAGAGTATATTAAAAGTACTGCATTATTTGAGGGAAATAATCAAGAATATAAGCAAAGTGAAACTAATACTGATATTTTCATAATCACTTTAATATAGACATAAAACCAAATAAATCTAGAAAGATATTTTGGTCTCTAATAATCTATAAAATAATATTTAAGTCAGGCACATTAAACTATGTCAAAACACTATCTTTTGGTACTTGTACTTTTAAAACAATTGTTTTATATAAATTGAAGATTCCTGCTATTTGTTAAAATTCATGCAAGTAAGACATAATTAATTTTTGTGTTTAAGTTACATAACCATATATTACATGTCATTTTGATCATTTATTCCAACAAGAAGTTGATGTGATTTAGTATCTTTCAAAATAGCCAGTAAAGAAATTTTCACTATCAAAAATCATTAGATGAACCACAGCATACTTATCCTCACCAGACTGATGATGTGTGTGGTGTCCAGATGCCTCAACAGACTGCCTTTGTTCACTGTCTGGAGAAGATAGCAAAGGAGTAGAATGAGGGCTTTCTGTGGGAGATGATGTCGAATGAGCCTGAGCTGACATTGTAGAGGATGTAGAAGGCTGAAGAAATTGTTCAGCTGGAGTATCTACTTCCATTGCAGTTTCACTCACTTCCAAATCAGGACTTGATGGGACCGTAGGAAGAGTTGAAATATCTGATTGACTTGTTCCACCTTCAAAACACATGTTAAGGCAAATTCAAATTTTAAATATTTTCTAAAACCAACAACTCTAAACAGATATGCTCAGAAAACACATTTATATTTACACACACAAATATATAATTTCAGTGATAATAACTACTGGTGATTTGGCCCATTTGACAAAATAGGCCAGTCAAGAGGGATAAAAACTTATCTACAACATATTCTTGTTAAAGCAATCAATCTTTCCTATTACATAAAACTTGTTTATACACAGAATTTTATATATTTCCATTCTCAGAGTGCATTAAAAAAAGGCTTAAAATAGGAAACCTCAGATTCTTCTACTTTACTTTGAGAAAAGCAAAAGATACGCACTAGGTCCAATGGCACCAGAAGGGACAAATTATATCCAATATCTTTTATTCTCTACTACTTCACACCACACAATAAGAACCTTGTGATTATTACAGATGTAAAACATGGTATAATTTACATGATAGAAATAAAAACTGGCTTCAATAAGTAGTTTTTGCCAGCTTTCTGATGACTTTAATTAACATTAAAAATTACCTCTGGGTCGAGATCTTCCTCGTCCTCTATTGCTTTGTGCAACCTCACTTGCTTCTTCAAACCATCTTGATAACATATCAGACATTCTCTGCATCAATGACACATTGGGACTCTGCTCTCCTATTACAATATAGGTCTTATCAGTGAGTTTAGTAATAAGTCAGAATCTTTCATTAATACAAAAACCTAGATTTGAAGGGCTTTAAAATGAAAGCATATTTTTAAAAATCAAATTTCCTAAATAAATTGTATGAATGTATATAAATCTATTAGAGCTCTCATCACATTTTATAGTAATTGTTTATATCAGTGACTTTCCATGTGTATGGTAAGGTTTCTTGAGAACAGGGCTCACCTCTCCTTCATCTTTGCCTATTCTTAGGTACCACTAAACCTCCCACTTCCTACCTCAACCTAAATTTTTAGTTCTAAGAGTACCCAGCCAAGAAAGGCTCATGAATTCTAAGTTTAATAGATTAAAAGAAAGGTTTTCCCTCTCCCTAAAGCATTATAATCAAGTACAGACACAAAATAGCCTTATGCTTTTGCATGAAGTTTCCTTAAAGTCAATTTATTTTCAACATCATTTACTGTAAGCAAATTTCAGATATTTGAAATTAACTGGAACCAGAAAGTATTTTGTCTCTTCCCTCACTCCTTTTCCTCCTGCAAGTAAACAAGTTTTTCCAAGGGTATTTTCAAATTAAAAGTGTAATGTCAAATTCAAAATGTGACAACTCTATTCTATAGTCTTATAATTTAAAATGAAAATCGGTTCTTCTTACATTTTCTGTGAAATCAGAGTTTCTTTTACACTTTATTGCCTTTATATAATGTAGCTCATATATTGGGGAATATGCTTTTGATCACAAGAGATGTTTCAGAAGTCATTATAGTAAGATTTTGGTTACAGACCAATTTAATAAAACATAATAATATAGAATTATAATTCATAGATTAATTCTATTTTCAAGTGTGCTATCTTAAAGCTCCCAGGGTTGATTCTTATGCTTATCAAAGGCACTTGATAGAAAACATTTTATGTGCTAATATAAAACCCTTGGGCTGAGTTTTCATTTCTCTTAATATCTAATAGAAAGGCAAAAACTGCAAAGTCTGACAATACCCAACGTACTATGGGGTAATGGGCATTCTTATACTTTCAGTGGGAATGTAAATTAGCACATCTTTTTTGGAGACTAATCTGATAACAACTACCAAAATTAAAAGGTACTTATCCAGTGACTGCGCCATTCCACTTCTAAGAATTTATCCTAAGATATATTTGCATAAGTATACCTATATGTATAAGAATGTTCATTACAGAATAATTTATAATAGTGAAGAAACTGGAAGTTAAAATATTAATTTTAAAATACCATATACAAAGAAAAGCTGACCAAAGTATAGTTACCATCTCGTTCTCGTTCACTCTCCGGCCTTGCTCTGGGTCCAGTATCTGACCAATCACCACGAAGTCTCAAACGCTTAACTGGTGGTTGTCGCAACTAAAAAATAAGAACGGGTAAATTCTATGTAAGTCTAAAACTCATCTACTCTCAACTCTTAAAGCATACTTTATGTCTATTTATTTCCATCTCCCTACTTCTTGAGTATGCAAATTAGATCTACATGAAAATATGAAAGACACTGGTATAAGCGTCAGTCTTTTAAAGCATTCATTCTGAGGATAAATATCCACTGATGTTGACAGCCTATATCTAATATCTTCAACCTAAAGAGCCTGAATGCAACTTTGAAATCATGTATATGTGATTTCTAATCCCACCTGTATCACCTTCCAGCTGACAAAAGGAAGATATTTTTAACCATCTTGAGCCTTAGTTTTCTATTGTGATGATAAATATAGTCTAGTTAAATTACCCACATACCTAATTAACAATGGGAACCATCATTATTTTTATTTATTATTGACAATTTACTCATTATTGACAATTTACTCTTCGGTTCCCAAACAGAATCTATTGCGACCCTTTATGACTTGCCTCAGGCTATCTATTCCATCCTGCTGCCCTCATTCTTGCCCTCTTAACAATTTTTCCTCCTACTTCAGAGAAAATAAAAATAACATCATTTTCTTCAGCTGAATTCTATAAATTAAATCTACATCTACAACTTTCTAACTCCTTCCAGCCTTTCTTGAAGGGTGTATCATTTATTCTATTTAAGCCTAATTTCTCCATCTGTGCTTTTTATTTCATTCCTTCAACTCCTTGAGTATCTTGCTTGACCAATTATTCTCTCTTCTCTATACCTACATCCATTTTCTCTCTCTTGGCTCTTTGCCACAGCATGCTAAAGGTTCTTATCATTTTTAAGAAAAAAAACAATATTTCAACTTCATAAAATCTCAGTTTTACAGCTACAGTCCTTTCTCTTGCTATCACTTTACTTAAGCTTCTTGAGAAAATTCTATATTCAATCTACCACTCCTCCTTCAATCCACTGTAGTCAATCTTTCCATTGATTTCCTATCTTTCCACTAACTTCATTCTCACCAGTCACCAGTGAATGATCAATTGCCAAGTTCACTGATCAATTATAAAGTGTTCAATAATATGATCAATAATCAATTGCCAACTCAAACAGCATCTTTCAGAGCTTATTTGACATGTTTATGGCACCTATCACTCTTGACCGCTCCCTTTAATGTTTACATTTTTAACTTTTTTTTTTCCAGGCAGGGTCTCACACTCTTCTCCAGACTGGATTGCAGTGGTCCCATCCTAGCTCACTGTAAGCTCCAACTCCAGAGCTAATAAGATCTCCAGCCACAGCTTCCTGAGTAGTTGGTGCATGTGCCACCACAACCAGCTGTTTTAAAAATTTTTTTAGAGATGGAGTCTAGCTATGTTGCCCAGGTTGGTCTTGAACTCCTGGCCTCAAGCAATCCTCCCACTTCTGCCTCCCAAAGTGTTGGGATTACAGGCATGAGCCACCACATCTGATCCATTTTAAACATTTTTGTATTGAAATATAATTCACATACCATAATATTCATAATTTTAAATTATACAATTCAGTGGTGTATATTCATAAAGAGGTACAACCGTCATCATTATATAATTCCAGACCGTTTTCATCATCCCAGAAACAAACCATCATCAGCCACTCCCCACTCATCCCTCTGCTCAGCTCCTGGCAACCACTAATCTACTTCCTGTCTCTGTGGATATGCCTTTTCTAAACATTTCATATAAATAATCATACAATACATGGCCTTTCGTGTTTGGTTTCTTTCACTTAGTATTATGTTTTCAAGGTTTATTCATATTGTAGCAGGTATCAGTACTTCATTTTTCATAATACCCCATTTTAGCAAGATACCCTATTCTGTTCATCCATTCGTCAATTGGTTGACGAACAAACTTATTCCACTTGTTGGCTATTATGAATAATGCTGAATTAAGCATATGTACAAGTTTCTGTAGGAACATGTTTCAATTCTCTTGGGTATACAGGAGAACTACCCAAAAGAATTGAAACATAGTACCTCATTTTATTGCACTTTGCTTCACTGAATTTCACAGATACTGTGGTTTTTTACAAATTTAGTGGCAACCCTGCATTGAATAAGACTATTGGTGCTATTTTTTCCAATAGCATGTGCTCATTTTATGTTTGTGTCACATTTCAGTAATTCTCATATTTCAAACTTATTCATTATTATCCTACCTATTATGGTGATCTGTGATCAGAGACCTTTGATCTTACTATTGTAATTGCTTTGGGGAGCCACAAACCGCATCCATATAAGACTCTGAATTTAATTGACAAATGTTATGTGTATTCTGACTGCTTCACTGACCAGCTGTTTCCCCATCTCTCTCCCTCTCGAGCCTTCCAATTTCTTGAGACACAACAATAATATTGAAATTAGGCCAGTTAATAACCCTACAATGGTCTCTAAGTGTTCAAGTGAAGGGAAGAGTCATATGCCTTTCACTTTAAATCAAAAGCTAGAAACGATTAAGCTAAGTGAGGAAAGCATGTTGAAAGCCAAGACAGGCCAAAAGCTAGGCCTCTTGCACCAAACAGTTAGCAAATTTGTAAATGCAAAGGAAAAGTTCTGGAAGGAACTTTTAGAAAAGTGCTACTCCAGTGGACATATGAATGATAAGAAAACGAAACAGCCTTATTACTGATATGGAAACAGTCTGAGTGGTCTAGAAGGAAGATCAAACCAGTCATCACATTCCCTTAAGCTAAAGCCTAACCCAGAGCAAGGCGCTAAATCTCTTTAAAGCTATGAAAACTGTTAGAGGTAAGGGAGCTGTAGAATAAAAGTCTGAAGCTAACAGAGGTTGGTTCATGCAGTTTAAGGAAAGAAGCTGTCTTTCTGTAACATAAAAGTACAAGGTAAAGCAGCAAGTCCTGATGTGGAAGCTGCAGCAAGTTATCCAGAAGATCTAGCTAAGATAATTGATCAAAGTGGCTACCCTAAACGACAGATTTCCAATGCAAATGAAAC
Source organism: Homo sapiens (assembly GCF_000001405.40). NCBI lineage: Eukaryota > Metazoa > Chordata > Mammalia > Primates > Hominidae > Homo > Homo sapiens. The sequence goes on along the minus strand of NC_000001.11, from coordinate 167,999,497 downwards.
AGCCTTCTATCAGAAGCAGATGCCATTTAGGACTTTCACAGCTAGAGAGGAGAAGCTGATGCCTGCCTTCAAAGCTTCGAAGGACATGCTGGTTCTCTTGTTAGGGGCTTATGCAGTGGTGACATTAAGCAGAAGCCAATGCTCATTTACCATTCTGAAAATCCTAAGGCCCTTAAGAATTATGTTTAATTGAATCTGCTCTATAAATGGAATAACAAAGCCTGGATGAGGGCACATCTCTTTACAGCATGTTTTACTGACTATTTGAAGCCCACTATTGAGACCTACTGCTCAGAAAAAAAGATTCCTTTCAAAATACTACTGGGCATTGACAATGCACCTGGTCATCCAAGGGCTCTGATGGAGATGTACATGGAGATTAACATTTTCATTGTATCCCATAGATCAAAGAGTAATTTCAACCTTCAGGTCTTATTTAAGAAACACATTTTGTAAGGCTATAGCTGCCACAGATAGTGATTCCTCTCATGGATCTGTGAAAAGTCAACTGAAAACCTAGAAAGGATTGACCATTCTAGATGCCTTATTAAGAACTTTTGTGATTCGTGGGAGGTCAAAATAACAATATTAACAGGAGTTTGGAAGAAGTTAATTCCAACCCTAGTGGATCACTTTGAGGGGTAGAAGACTTCAGTAGAGGAAGTCACTGCAGATGAGGTGAAAACAACAAAAGAACTAGAATTAGAAGTACAGACTGAAGGTGTGAGAATTGTTGCAATCTCATGATAAAACTAACAGATAAGGAGTTGCTCCTTATGGATGAGCAAAGAAAGTGGTTTCTTGAGGCGCAAACCACTTTCTTTGCTCATCCGTAAGAAGCAACTCCTAGTGAAGATGCTGTGAACACTGCTGAAATGACAACAAAAGGATCTATTATAGAGTACTACATAAACTTAGTTGATAAAGCAGCAGCAGGGTTTGAAAGGACTGACTCCAATTTGGAGAAAAGTTCTATTGTGTGTAAGAAGCTATCAAACACCGTTACAAGCTACAAATACATCTTTTATGAAAGGAAGAGTCTATCGATGCAGAAACTTCACTGATGTCTTATTTCAAGAAACTGTCACAGCCCCAACCTTCAGCAACCACCACTCTGATCAGTCAGCAGTGATCAACATTAAGGTAAGCCCCTCCACCAGCAAAAAGAATACAACTTACTGAGGTTCAGATGATTGTTAGCACTTTTTAGCAATGAAGTATTTTTAAATTAAGGTATATACATTGGTTTTTAAGATATAATGCTATTGCACACTTAACAGACTATGGTACAGTATAAACATAACTTTTACATGCACTGGGAAACCAAAAGATCTGTGTGACTTGCTTTAATGCAATATTTACTTTATTGCAATGGTCTAGAACCAAACCTGCAATATCTCCAAGAGAAGCCTGTATATCTGGGAGGAGAAGTATGGCTCATATAATAACTCTAATTTTTTGAGGGTTCCAATTTCTCTACATGTTTGTCAAAACTTGTTATTGTCTGTCTTTTTTATTTTAGTCATCCTAGTGGGTATGAAGTGATATCTCACTGTGGTTGTGATCTGCATTTCCCTGAGGACTAATAACGTTGAGTATCTCCTTATGTACTTATTGCCATTTCTATTATATGTCTTCTCTGGGGAAAAAAAAGTATTATATATTCAAATCCTTTACCTATTTTTAAGTTTGGATATTTGTCTTTTTATTGTTGCACTGTAAGTGTTCCTTATACATTCTGGATACTAAACTGTAACCAGACACATGATCTGCAAAACATTTTCTCCCATCCTGTGGGTCACTCTTTTTATTTTTATTTATTTTTTAAAAACAGCATTCATTGATTTTTTTTTCCTGAAAATTAAACAGGTTTTGATAAAAACTTGGTGACACTTAACAGTGAATTTTCTGATTTCTTCTGGAAACCATACCTAGTAACATGAATAGAAAAAAATCTTTGCATCCTGAGCAAAGGAGACAGAAAAAAAAATCCCCATAAATTCCATATTATGTGTAAGTATGGCTAAAGGCAACTGAGAATAGTAAAATCTACACAGGAAGACGTAAGTGTGTGACAGGGAATAACCAGAACAAAGCTTAATGTGGCAGCTGTGCAAATTCTCAAACAACTAATCACTCCCAAAAGGAGAGGGCTTCATCCTTCATACGAACTATTCTTAAAACAATATAATAGAATCTTGCTTCATGGTTTCAACAGAGAGGAATTTTTATATTACATAGCCAAAGAACTGGTTTTACAACCTCAGCAATTATTTATAGAATAAAATCTTCAAATTAAAAACAATCTCAAATTTGACTTTCTGAGTATGTGAAATAACCTAGGCAAGAATACTGAAAATGGCGTTTCATTCACCAAATATTTTTTGAGCACCTTTTATATGTCAGGTACTATTACAGGTATTGGAAAACAACAATGGACAAAACACACAAAAAATCCCCAATGTCACAGAATTTACAGCCCGATGGAGCAAACAACACATGAAATGAAAAAGCAAAATATACATAGAAAGTTACTGTTATGGAGAGAAATAAAGTAGAAAAGGGGATAGGTAGTATCAGTTAAAGGCCGTGATTTTAAATAGGATGGTGAAGTAGGGCTTCACCAAGAAGGTTACATAAGCAAAGACCTGAAATACACAGGGAAGAAAAAATCCAGGTATCCAGGGAAGAGCATTTCAGGCAGAGTAAATGCAAAATCCTAAAATAGAGTCATGCTTGGCCTGAGTTACTAAGCAAGTAGATGTGGTTAGAGCACAGTAAAGAAGAAAACAGTAGAAGTAATAATTAGGACCAGATAATATAAGATCTTGAAGCCACCATAAGGACTTCAGTTTTGCTTTAGGTCCGACAGGGAGCCACTTAGAATGTTGATGAGAAGAGCGGCATGATTTAACTTATGTTTCTAAGGATCACTTTGAATGCTGTATAGCTATAGGGCTGTAGGAAGTGAAAGCAGGAAGACTGGTTAGAAAGCTAGCAAAATCAACTACAAAGGGGGATAGGTCATGCCAGAGATGCTGATAGCTCGGATCAGGGTGGTAATGCAGCAAGGGTGGTGGTAAGCAGTAGTCAGATCTGGAGTATATTTTTAGGCACAAGCTATGGGGACCAGAAGAAAATGAAAGAATGAATTCAACAAAGAAGCCCAATAATGGGGTAGGGCAGGTGGTAAACTGTCAAAAAGAAGAAAAGAGAGATGATAAAAAGAAAAAAGGATAGAAAAATAAGGGAAAACAGAAAGTACAAAAAAAATTAAGACAAAAGAATGAACCAAAGAAAGAAGGGGGAAAAAAATGAAAGAAATTATTAGAGGCGGTAAGGAAATAGAAAGGCCTCCACAAATTGAGAAAATACAAAAATATTATGGAAACATAAGACAAAATCATACAACAAACTTTTACTCATGCTTTAAAACCTTCCTCAGGCTTTACTCAAGATTAATTATTCCCTACTTTGTTCTACTTATACAGAACATAGTCCTTATACATAATTCTATATTAAGTTTTACATATTTATTTACTTGTACCTCTACTTCCACTAAGCTGTGAATTCCTTAAGTAAGAGATCATGTCTTTGTCTGGTCATCCTTCATTTTCCAAAGTTAAGTAGAGGACTTGGTGTATAGTAGGCACCCAATAAATATTTGGTGAGTTAAGTTTGTCTGAATACTATCATCAAAGTTTCAGTATAAAACACCAAAATGTGTCAGAATTACAAATAAGACAGATTATTAATTTATTCTATGTATACCTCTGAATTGTTTGGTTTGTTATAATAAGCTTTTTTTTTTTTTTTCTGAGACTGAGTTTTGCTCTTGTCACCCAGGCTGGAGTGCAATGGCGTGATCTCGGCTCATGCAACCTCCTTCTCTTGGGTTCAAGCAATTCTCCTGCCTCAACCTCCCAAGTAGCTGGGATTACAGGCGCCTGCCACCAAGCCCAGCTAATTTTTGTATTTTCAGTAGAGAAAGGGTTTCACCATGTTGGCCAGGTTGGTCTTGAACTCCTGACCTCAGGTGATCCACTCGCCTCGACCTCCCAAAGTGCTAGGATTACAGGCGTAAGCCACTACGCCCGGCCAACAAGCATAATTTAAATCCACTTTCAGCATTGTTTTTCTTAATTTAGTTAATGCAACAAACAAGACCAAGGAAAAGTCTCCCAGAAAAAAAAATGTTCATGACTCAGCCTCATTCACTCTGATTATATAAATATCTTTTGGCTAAGTATTCCATGGTATCAAAACTAGTTGGCCCACTTAAAATGTCTATGGACTTCCAACTCTTTCATTATGTAACAATCACAGTTTGACTATAACTTTACTTACCCATGTATTTCAAGGGGAAATTTGCATAGCAGTAACAAAATGACAGAGCAGATTTCATGTTTTTAACCAGAATAAACTCAAAAATCATTTTATTAGCCATCATACCCTTCTTCATCAATTTCCTAATTCAAATAAATACACTGCAAGGATAAAAATCTCAAAGTATATTTATAAAGTAATCCTGATTTCTAATTTTACAGCCCTCTACACCTGAAATTATGAGGAATGAATATAGTTTTGTATCTCGTAGGAATTCCAAAATCACTGTTATTAGTAACCTTTAAAACGTATTAATAGGCATTGAGCCAATACCAAAAGGTCACTGAAAATAAAAATCAATGGTTAATTTCAAAAGACTTTTACAAGCCAAAGTTCAAAGTGAATAACACAGGACATTATAAAATAAAAAAGCCAAAGTGAAAAACATGTTGAGGAAAGAAGCTTAAACAGGTTAAAGCAAACATTTTTCTACAGCTGTGTACTGTCAAAGATACCTTATTTCTACTTTTCCCCTTTTATAAATAATAAATTCATTATCTTCTAGTAGTCTTGTGAAAGTAATTCATTCACCTACTTTTCAATATATACAACTACTTTAACTTATCTTTTTCCCACTTATATTTATTTTGTAAAATATACCTAAGGTTACTGTTATAAATCACTAGTATGTAACTGTGAAAGAGGCACAATTGGGACAGAAAGGGATTGCTGTCCATATATGAAGAGTAAATGGTAATACGTAAAACTTCTATTGATCCATGGACATACACATTTAGTCTCTTGGAAATTTATCATCATATTTTCTATTATTTTAATCGCCTTTTCTGCAAGTGTTAGCACTGTTGATCTTTCTTGCTGCTGCTGTACATCTACAAAGTTAAGATAAACATTTTGCTATCAAGTATATTCTCCTTAAAAATAATTTAAAATATTTTTTTCTAAAGCCTTATCCCTAATAATTCACTGTTAGGGATAAGGTTTTAGAAATAGTATTTAGAATACCAATAATAAATTAGTGATTTATTATTACTAATACATTATTAAGAATAGACGCTAGTAATTATTTACTATTAATTATAACACAAATTACAAAAATACTATTTTTGTCATTACTAATTATAATTACAAATTATTAGTAACTAATTACTAACTATAATTAGTAATTAGTAACTATTAGTAATTAGTAACTAATTGCTAATTATAATTAGTAATAACTGATAGTAATTTATTAGCTTCTATTCTTTCAAGTATGTCTCATGTTTTTTGTTTTCTGAACTGTAAGTGCCTTGAAAATTAATTTTTTTTTTTGGCCTTTAGGCCCCAAGAGTCACTGAATTGTTTTCTGAATTGAATAAAGGACATGGGGTTTTTGTTGTTGTTGTTGTTGTTGTTGTTTTTTCTGAGACGGAGTTTCACTTTTGTTGCCCAGGCTGGAGTGCGATGGCGTGATTTCGGCTCACCACAACCTCCGCCTCCCGGGTTCAAGCGATTCTGCTGCCTCAGTCTCCTGAGTAGCTGGGATTACAGGCATGTGCCACCACGCTCAGCTAATTTTGTGTTTTTAGTAAAGACGGGGTTTCTCCATGTTGGTCAGGCTGGTTGCAAACTCCCAACCGCAGGTGATCCACCCACCTCGGCCTCCCAAAGCGCTGGGATTACAGGCGTGAGCCACCGCGCCCGGCCAAAGGACATGGTTTTGAGTAAACCTACCTCTTCTCTTCTCTCTTCCGCAGAAGGAGTTTTAAGTTCTCGTGCTGTATCATCTTTCGGGTCAAAAAGATATATGTAATCTGAAGAGTAACTAACGAGAATCTCTTGACCATCTTCACTGTAACACAGAGATGTCACTCTGCAGGACTTATTATTAAGATGGGAAGGAATAAAACGGGCAACCATTCCAGTAGTCCCTCGACCTGCATAATTCCCTAAAAAAGAAACAAGAAGTTATTTAAAATTAATAATGTTTTAAAGAAAAACATTTTTTAAAACTCTTAATCTGAATTATTACATGTGACTTAATGTAGCAATACAAATAAAAGCCATCACGTTTATTTCCAGTAGAGGTTCTTCCTCTGCAGTCAGATTTTGTAACAAAACAAAAAAGAATATGGTATAAAGGTAACACCTCTACCAAAAAAATTCATGATTGTCTAGAATTCCAGATTACGTATGCTTTGTTGAAATGAGTTAATCAAGGAAAATGATTTATAAATACAATCACACGAAGTCATCTTCCAAAAGTTCCCCCCAAATTAAGATAACAAATTTTTACAAAAAGCTAATACTTATTAGCATACTACATACATTAGTATGCAACGTATGCAATATCCTTAAGATGATACAACTTTTACTTTTTAAAAAAATTTCTGATTGCCATGAAATTTGCCTGTTATATAGTACAGAGTTAAGAATACTATTCCAATTTTAATTAACTCTGGTAGTCTTCAATGCAATATGACAGATAGGTGTACAACTGGCACTTTGTGCCCTGGGGGCCCAGGAATGCTAAATTCTAAGAATCCCACAAAGCTGTATAACCTTGCAAAATGAAGTCTTATCATGCTCAAAATGTCAATTGTGTCCACCTGTTGAGAAACAATAATTAAGCCTATTATTTCATATTATATTACTGTTTCCCCTAAATGTACATATCCAAATAGACTGGACTCCTCAATTATTATTAGATATGTGACTTAATGTAGCAATATAAATAAAAGCTATCACAGTTCCGAAAAGAAAGATCTCATCTGGTATTCCCATCTCAATAATCTATGTCCATCTTTACTGACATTGTTGGTTTCTGCCCAAGTCCACCTTTATTTTTAACAATATAAAATATGTGAATATATGAATGTGCATTCGGTGTTTGTGTGTGTGTGTGTGTGTGTGTGTGTGTGTAATCCTGGCCTTCCTTTACTGAAAAAATGTGAATGGAAGTTGACTTCTAATTGTTTATTTTGGAAGTACTTTGATCCTATAGTGAGTGAAGGGAAAGAGCATTAGTTTATATTAGATTCAAATTCAGTACTCAGCATTATTAACAGCACTTTAAGGTAAGCAGGAATAAATATATGCTACACATTAATACATACCCAAGTCACTGTTTTAAATTTTCTTACTACCACATTTACCATTGTTTTCTTGATTGAAAAATAGCAGAGTCTCCCCAAAATTCATGTCTACACAGAACCTCAGAATGTGACCTTTACAGATGTAGTTAGTTACAGTGAGGTCATACTGGATTAGGGCCCACCTAATCCAGGGCCCACCTCACCCTAACTGGATTAGGGGTGGGCCCAAATCCAGTATGACTAGTGCCCTAAGAGGAAAATGTAAACGCAGACACACACAGGGAAAATTGCATGTAAAGAGAGTGGCAGAGATTAAGAGTGATTCATCTATACCAAGGGGATGCCAAGGATTGGCAGCAACCACCATGAGCTAGGGGAGAAGGCATCGAACAGAGCTTCCAGTAGAAACCAATCATAAGACATCCTGATTTCAGACACTGAGCCTCCAGAAATTTAAGAGAATAAATTTCTGTTGCTTTAAGATACCCAGTTTGTGGTCATTTGTTATGGCAGTCCTGCCAAACTAATACATCAAATGTTACAACTTTTTAAACTGCAAAAGTATCATCCCAAAGGGTCATAAACACTTGGTGAAATGTTATTTTTTATAATAATCCATATTAAACAAATACTATTTTCTGAAATTTTATAACAAACAAGAAATTTTAAAACTGAAAATGTCATAGAGATTTACTCTTTGAACTGACAGTCCTATATTTTCTCTAATATTATCTTCTTACCTGTAGCTCTTGTGCCCAGCATTCGCCGATCATATATTCGTACTGAGCTGTCAGAACAACCAACAGCAAGGTAATATGGTATTGGTGGGCAAATAGCAACAGACGTGGCAGCACGTCGACAGTTAATTAAAATATCCTACAAAACATAACATAATACCAATTACATATAGTTATACAGCAGAGGTGAAATTATATTTAAAATATTTTCTCATTAGTAATTAGAATAACCATTCTCAGAACTCCTAATTCAGTCAAGAATGACAATGAGCGGAAAAACAATACGGCTTTCTTTTAACTTTTTTTTCGGATTTCTACTAGAAATATTTCTAATACATTCAGCCTATGTGAAATCAAAATAAATATACTCAATCAATATTTCTAAGGAAGATACTCTTTTCTTTATAGTTGGCCATACAACTCCAAAATTGATTGATTTCTACCACAATATTGTAGACTTTCCTTATAAACCAATTAAAGTAAGAAAAAATATGAAAATACTAAACTTAATTAAAATACAGATTTTTAAAATGATCAGTATTTGAGCAATTAAATACATTCTAAAAAGGAAAAAATAAAAATTACTTTCAAATATAAGACTGAAAATACTGAGTAATTATACTAGAACAGCGCCAGCTACAAAAAGATGGTAATAATCCAAGAAACTCATATTTATGTGACAATTAAAACTCTTTCTAAACTAGCTACATTTCATACAATGTTATAATACAATTTGAATTATTTCTCAAAAATGCCTGTTAAATATTCCCATACTCATGAATAATGAACATCTTTAGAAATGTAAAAAATTCAAAATTACCTATATAATGTATCACTAAGTCATTAGTACCATTAGAAATGCCTGCTATTATTGGTCCACTTGACAGCAAAGATGGAGTTATAATCTACCTATGACAAATCTCTCATACTGTCTATAACTATTGATTATTTATATAGTATTCATATTTTTTTTTCTTTTTGAGATATGTCTTGCTCTGTTGCCCAGGCTTACAGTGGTGTGATCACAGCTCATTGTAACCTCAAACTCTTGAGGTCAGGTGATCCTCCTGTCTCAGCCTCTCAAGTGGCTAGGACTACAGGTGCACACCACCATACCAGGCTAATTTTTTAAAAAAAATTTTGTACAAATAGGGTCTCACTATGTTGCCTAGGCTTATTCATAATATTTTAATTGTAATCACTGCTATTAAAATATAACAAAAAATTAACTGACTTCTATATTTTATACTTTTTACTTATAAAACCTTTCTCCTTAACCAGCTCAAAAATAAAGTACACATATAAATACAAACCCTGCAAAAGACAGGTCTTACTATAATGTTATTACTTATCTCTGTAGAAGAATTAGAAAATGTAAGAGCTAGTACCCCAAACATATCCTGAAGGTACTCTGTTGATTCCATACTGCTTTGTCTAATGACTCTCACTCCTCATTCTTCTCAGTAATTTTTTTTTTTTTTTGAGATAGAATTTTGCTCTGTCGCCAGGTTGGAGTGCAGTGCAACCTCCACCTCCTGGGTTCAAGAGATTCTCCAGCCTCAGCCTCCAGAGTAGCTGGGATTACAGGCATGTGCCACCACGCCTGGCTATTTTGTATTTTTAGTAGAGATGGGGTTTCTCCACATTGGTCAGGCTGGTCTCGAACTCCTAACCTCAGGTGATCTGCCCGCCTCAGCCTCCCAAAGTGCTGGGATTACAGGCGTGAGCCACCGCGCCCGGCCCCTCAGTAATGTTTTTAAGTCAATTTAACCTTATACTTTGTTCAATTACTAATCTCAGAACATTACTCTCATTACATAGAATTCATTAACCAAATGCCTTTCATAATTCTAAGTTTTTAGTAGTTAAGGATTACTCTAGTTACCAGTTTTTCTTTATACTCTCTGCTTCATTTCACTTTTATACATAAAGGAAAAGTTTTACTAAGGAAAGACTACTTTCACGTCTTATCAGATTTGTTTTCTTATTTTCCTGGGGGTTTTGTTTAGAAAAACACAACTAAATCTTACTACACTGAAACACTAAAATAGTTTAAGAGAGTTTGCAATAACAAAATTTAGTACCCACCACTTACTCTAAGGAACAGGTATATCAAACAACCCTAATAACGTGATATTTAAGCTTATTTCTGAGTTTAGTTCAATGCTTCCCTATTTGCATATCTGTGTATATACAAATACGTAACAAAAAAACTGATTAAACTGTATGTTTAAAGGTTTTTTTGTTTTGTTTTGTTTTGTTTGAGATGGAGTCTCGCAGTGTCACCCGAGCTGGAGTGCAGTGGTGTGATCTCGGCTCACTGCAACCTCCGCCTCCCAGGATCAAGCAATTCTCCTTCCTCAGCCTCCCGAGTAGCTGGGATTACAGGCACCTGCCACCACGCCCGGCTAATTTTTTGTATTTTTTGTAGAGACAGGGTTTCACTATGTTGACCAGGCTGGTCTCCAACTCCTGACCTTGTGATCCACCTGCCTCGGCCTCCCAAAGTGCTGGGATTAGAGGCATGAGCCACCGCACCCAGCCTAAAGGTTTTTCAATTTCTACTTTTTGTTTTATTTCTGTTTCAAATATATAAAATAATCTTTTTCCCCTAAAGCATGTTAACCAGTTGGTAACTGGTTTAGTTAGCAAGCACTTAACCTGATTAACAGTAGTACCTTTTTTTTTTGTAACTTTCAGTAAAAACATATTTTGAATAGTACTTTCTTATTTCATTTACTACTTCAAAATGATCCAAGGAAAAACTACTGTGCTCTTAATAATGTATGTCAGGAAAAATCACTTGGAATTACTTGTCTGGGGTCAAAAGACTGAATGATTTCTCAGGCCTTTTGTAAGTTTAAAATAGTATTAAAAGTCAAACACAGTGGCTCATCCCTGTAATCTCAGCACTTTGGGACACCAAGTCGGGAGGATCACTTGAGCCTAGGAGTTTGACACCACCAGCCTAGGCAATATGGCAAGACCTCCTATCTACTACAAATAAAAAAAAAATTAGTTGAGCATAGTGGCACACACCCGTAGTCCCAGCTACTCGGGAGGCTAAGGCAGGAAGATTACTCGAGCCCAGAAGATTGAGGCTGCAGTGAGCTAGGATTGCACCACTGCACTCCGGCCTGAGATGACACAGTGAGACCTTGTCTCAAAAAAAATTAATTAATTAATTTAATTGTATTAAAGCATAAGAAACTGATAGTAGAGATATTATCTTTAGGAAAGTGGGCTAAATTTGAACAAACATGTTGATAGCATGCTATCTTATTATTTCTTTTTAAAAAAGATAACATGTAATTATTGGTTTAAAAGACAGGAGAAAAAAAGACAACTACCACAAGCTTTTATAACTGCTATTTGATAAGTCAAAGCTGTTTCCATGAGTAAATGAGATACATTTATATAAATTCTTCAGGTTTTTATATTAGACAGTATATACTGAACAAATTATTTGAATTTTCATAAATATATTTTAAATGTACAATTAAAATATAAGTTCTCCAACTTCAATATTAACATTTTACATTTTTCAATTTCTGATTATAAACTATATGCTTATTAAATATTTTAGCAAAACAAAAATTTAAAAATTCACCCATAATCTTACCATCCACATAACTTACTTTTAATTATAACCTTAATTATAACTTTAATTATAACCAATTTTAATTATAACCTTAATTTTTTCTGCATCATTTGTATAAAAATTTAATTCTTACATCTTTACAATCTTCTTTTGTGCAGCTAGTTTTGATGCGTGTATCAAACCACCTAACAGTTCCATCTTCACCACAAGAGAGAAAAGTGTAAGGGTCATTGGGTACAGTCATAATCTGAAGATGAAAAGAAAAGTGCAGATAATCATACGAACATTTAAACAGACGGCTCTGAAAAACATTCCTACTATTTCATAAAATGATTAAGGTAAAGGTTACAAAAACCATGCATTTTAGTTACTCATGGCTTACCCATACTATGATTCAGAATGGTACAATACAGATAGAAATAGATAAGAAGTAATTGTTGAATTAATATGATTCAGTACTTTGAAGATTAGCATTAACTTAACTTCAGATAAAAAGTTATCTGAAGTTATAAACTTCTAACAACTAGGGAAGAATGATTCTCCCCTAGGTAGCTTGTTCAAACTATTCAAAGCTTAATTTTTATGTTTTATCTATGTGAGTTTATAATTGTACAATAAATACGTAAGCAAATTTTCTTCTCTGGTAACGTTTAAGACAACTGTGGGATGCTGAAATGATTTAAGTGCATAACTCACCTCTTAGAAAAATTTTAATTGTGGTAATGGTTATACAACATGAATATACTTAATGTCAACGAAATGTACTCTCAAAACAATAGTTTAAATGTCAAACTTTATATGTATTTTACTACCATAAAAACCTTTTTTAATGAAGTACAATATTTTAGATATGCCTGTATCCACTTCTAATTTAGCAATGACAATATTGTAAGTTGAGGCTCTCTATAAACCCTGCCTCAATAAGTTCTTCTCTCCCTATGTCCCAAAGACCCAGTACTGGTCCGTAGCCTGTTAGGAAGTGAGCAGCAAAGCAGGTAGTGAGCAGCAGGTGAGCGAGCATTACCACCTGAGCTCCACCTCCTGTAGGATCAGCAATGGCATTAGATTCTCACAGGAGCATAGACACTATGGTGAACTGTTTCTCACAGGTTGTGCACTCCTTATGAGAAGCTAATGCCTGGTGATCTGAGGTATAACAGTTTTAAACCCAAAACCATCCCCACTCCATGGAAAAATTGTCTCCTGTGAAACCAGTTCCTGGTGCCTCTGCTATACATGGTTTTCTGTATACAATATTCCTATGTTTGAAACACTGTATATATGAAAGGTATTCAAACTCAGCCATCGAGGAAATATAAATTACCACCACAAAGATATACAGCTATACCATACCCGAATGGCCAAAATGAAAAGACTTATAATATCAAGTGTTGATGAGGATGTGGAGTTACGGAACACATTGCTGATGGGAGTATAAAATGGTACAATTGCAATGGAAAACTATGTATCAATATCTATTAAAGCTGATCATATGCTTCTCCTATAACCCAGCAGTTCCACTAAAAATAAACGCCTGCATGGGGCATGTAAAAACATGCACTAGAATGTTCACAGCAGCACTATTTATATTAGCCAAACACTTGAAACAACCCAAATATCCAACAATAAACTGGGATTAAATTGTTATCTATTCCTAAAATAAAGTACTAAATCATCAGTAATAATGAACAAATCATTACTATTCTCAGCAACATAAATGAATCTCACAAACCTTCTGTGTGAAAAAAGCCAGACACAAAAGAGAAGGCACAGTATGATTCCCATTTTTATAAAATCGTAAAAAGGCCCAAACTAACCTGTACTTTTAAGAGCCTAGAAAGCAGTAAACCCTTTGAGGGGGTACAAAGGACTTATGGGGGGCTGTTTCTTGTTCTAGATGCTGAGTACATATATATTTTACTTTGTGAAAATTAATCAAGTTGCACAAATACACGATGCCAGCACTTTTCAGTAGGTGTTTTATACTTTTTAAAAATTTACTTGGAAAACTTTTGTCTTAAAAGGTTTACTATTATTGTGGTAAGCAGAATAATAGTAGCCCAAAGATATCTACATCCTATTTGTTAGAACCTACGAATACTTTACCTTATACTGCAAAAAGGATTTTGTAGATGTGATTAATTAAGGATTTTGACCATAAGGAGATTATCCTAAATTATCCACAGAGGCCCAATATAATTACAAGGGTCTTACTGAGCAAAACAAGGCAGGAGAGTCAGAGTCAGAGAAGGAGACAAGATGATGGAAAAAGAGAGAAAAAGAAAGAGATCTCAAGATGCTATGTTGCTGGGTTTGAAGATAGAGGAAGGGGACTTGCTCCAAGGAATGCAAGTAGCCTCTAGAAGCTGGAAAAGGCAAGACCAGAAGGAATACACACTTGCCAACACTTCGATTTTAGCCCAGTACACCTTATTTCAGACTTCTGACTTCCAGAACAGTAAGATAATAAATTTGTTACTTTAAGCCACGTGCACACGCGCACGCACACACACACCACACACACACACACCACACACACACACACACACACACACACGACGTGGTTTGGCTATGATCTCACCTAAATCTTATCTTGAATTGCCACGTGTTGTGGGAGGGACCCAGTGGGAGGTAACTGAATCATGTGGGCAGGTCTTTCCCATGCTGTTCTTGTGATGGTGCATAAGTCTCATGAGATATGATGGTTTTTAAAATGGGAGTTTTTCCACACAAGCTCTCTTCTCTTGTCTGCTGTCATGTGAGACATGCCTTTCACCTTTCACCTTCCACCATGATTGTGAGGCCTCCCAGGTACACAGAACTGTAAGTCCAATAAACCTCTTTCTTTTGTAAACTGCCCAGTCTCGGGTATACCTTTATTAGCAGCATGAAAATGAACTATACATAATTTTTAATTTACCAAACTTCAATCTATTAATGTCCTTTGCTTCAATTGAACCAATTTTGCAATGAACACAGAATAATAAGATTTATACCCTGCAAAAAATATATAAAAAGTATATTCAACCTAAATAAGTATACATTTCAAGGAAAATGAGAATTTTTACTCATTTCATATTTGTGAAAATGTAATTAGTATTCCATCTAATCAAGTCAGCAGTTTACTTATGAAACTATTTTATCAGTAAGAAATATTTATGTAATTTATTGACTTAGCTTTGATGACTTTATTAAGTAAAATGATCACTTCTGCTTTGTATACTACTGTCTATAAATGAAATCATTGGAAGCATATATTTCCAAGGATATTTATTTTTAAAAACTAGAATACTGAATTTGATAATCAAATTAATGAACTATGAGCTGTACTCACACTATTATAAAATTAAATTATTAAAACATGTATCTATTTCTTATAATTAATGCCTTTATAAGATATGTTCAGAAATCTGAATCATTTAGGAACCTTTCCTCACAATTTAACCTTCCTCAAGAAGGAGGGGAAAAGTGTAAGAATGTTACAGAAGAAGCACTTCTGCAATGGCTGAATAAGACCTCTGAAAATATACTTCTCCATAAAAGCACTGACAACACTACAAAATTTCAAAATCAACTTTTTTAGAACTGTGAAATTTAACCAAGGGATTAGAACAATCCAAGAAACATTTATTCAAGACAAATAACTGGATCTCAGAAAGAATAGTGAGCCTTGAGCCACTTTAACTTGTGGTATTTTCCCTAAGTCAACAGCAGCCTTGCGACTATGGTAGTTGTAAAAAACAGTAACTTCGCAGCCACTGTAAGTCACAAAACAAGTTTGAGACTCCCCCAAATGCCCTATCCTCAAAGACTTATCACAATTTAATCTGTCCTTAAGTTCCCTGGAAAAGCTGCCTTTTAAGGACTTACATGAATCTGACCATATTCAACCCCATCCTAAGGGTGCTTGTCAAAAATAATCAACAGCAATGATTTAACATCACAGTTGCTTGAGGCAGTAATACTAGGTGAGGGAAACAAGAAGCTGACCAGAAAAAGTTAAAAGTAAAAGTAAGAATTAGACATTAATAGTAGAATTTGAAAAGCAACAAAACATTTCTGGGAATTTAGAAATTATGCACATATATAAGAATGTGCACATGCCAAAGAAGGACCCAAGAAGGCCCTACTCTAACATCTCTGGCTGACCTTGAGGCTCTGAACAAGCAAGAAGTGAAAGCTAAGGCAGAGTTGTAAATTTCCAAGGCACTTGAAGGCAACCCAAACACACAGGCCCCTTTGACAAAGACTGGAAGGCTTATTGGTTCAAGGCATTTAAAGAAATCTCTATCTAACCCTTAGCTGACAACTAAGCTAACCAAGAACAGACTCCAGTGCCTACACCTGAAAAAGAATGCAGATTTAACAGAATTAGTCTAGGAAAATCACTAAACAAACAGCAATGACAACAACAAACAGCAACAATGTTTTTCCATTTATTTCATGCTCACGGATTGGAAGAATCAATATCGTTAAAATGACCATTCAGCCCAACACAACCTACAGATTCAATGCTATTCCTATCAAACTACCAACATCATTTTTCACAGAATTAGAAAAAACTATTCTAAAATTCACATGGAACCAAAAAAGAGCCTGAACAGCCAAAGCAATCTTAAGCAAAAAGAACAAAGCCAGAGGTATCACATTACTTGACTGCAAACCATACTTTAAGGCTACAGTAACCAAAACAGCATAGTACTGGTACGAAAACAAGACACACAGGCCAATGAAACAGAATAGAGAACCCAGAAATAAAGCCACACACCTACAGTCATCTGATCTTCGACAAAGTTGACAAAAATAAGCAATGGGGAAAGGACTCCCTATTAAATAAATGGTGCTGGGATCACTGGCCAACCATATGTAGAAGAATGAAACTGGACCCCCCTACATTTCACCATATATAAAAATTAACTCAAGATGGATTCCAGATTTAAATGTAAGACCTCGAACTATAAGAATCCTAAAAGAAAATATAGGAAACGCCATTCTAGACATTGGACTTGAGAAAGAAATTATGACTAAGTCCTCAATAGCCACTGCAACAAAAACAAAAATTGACAAGTGGGACCTAATTAAACTAAAAAGCTCTGCACAGCAAAAGAAACTATCAACAAAGTAAACAGACAACCTAAAGAATGAAAGAAAATATTTGCCAACTATGCACCTGACGAAGGTTTAATATCCAGAATCCACAAAGAACTTAAAAAAATGTCATGCCTGTAATCTCAGCACTTTGGGAGGCTGAGGCAGGCAGATCATGAGGTCAGGAGATCAAAACCATCCTGGTTGACGCGGTGAAACCCCATCTCTACTAGAAATAAAAAATATTAGCTGGGCGTGGTTGCATGCGCCTATAGTCCCAGCTACTCAGGAGGCTGAGGCAGGAGAATCGCTTGAAAGCAGGAAGAGGAGGTTGCTGTGAGCCGAGATCGCACCACTGCACTCCAGCCTGGCGATGAAGCGAGACTCCGTCTCAAAAAAAAAAGAACTTAAAAAATTAAACAAGCAAAAACCAAATAACCCCCTTAAAAAATGAGCAAAGGACATGAACAGACACTTCGCCAAAGGCATACAAGGAGCCAACGAACACAAAATAAAATGCTCCACATCCACTAATCTCAGAGAAATGCAAATCAAAACCACAATGAGATACCATCTCATATGAGTGAGAATGGCTATTATTAAAAAGTCAAGAAACAAAAGTTGCTGGTGAGGCCGCAGAGAAAAAGGAATACTTATATACACTTGGTGGGAATGTAAATTCGTTCAGCCACTATGGAAAACAATTTGGAGATTTCTCAAAGAACTTAGAATGACCATTCAACCCAGCAATCCCAATCCTGGGTATATATCCAAAAGAAAACAAATTGTTCTACCAAAAAGACACATGCACTCACATGTTCATCGCAGCACTATTCACAATAACAAAGACACAGAATCAACCTAGGTGCCCATCAATGGTGGACTGAATGAAGCAAATGTGGTACATATACATGGAACACTATGCAGCCACAAAAATGAATGAAATCATGTCCTTTGCAGCAACTAAGATGCAGCTGGAGGCTATTATCCTAAGCAAATTAACACAGGAACAGAAAACCAAATACAGCATGTTCTCACTTATAAGTAGGAGCTACACACTGGATACTTGTGGACATAAAGATGGCAACAACAGAAACTGTGAACTAGTAGAGCAGGGAGGGAGAAAGGGAAGGAAGGGGTGAAACACTAACTACTGGGTACTATGCTCAGTTCCTGGGTAACAGGATCATTTGTACCCCAAACCTCAGCCTCATGCAATACTACCTATGAAACAAACCTGCACATGTACCCCTCGAATCTAAAATAAAAGTTGAGGAAAAAAATGAATCCATAAAGTAAGAAAAAAGCTGCTGGGAAAACTGGTTATCTACATGCAAAAGAATGAACTTAGACCCTTACCCTACATATGCAAAAATTAATTCAAAACGGATTAAAGATCTAAACCTACAAACTGAAAGTATAAAACTCCTAGAAGAAAACATGGGGGAGGCCGGGAGCGGTGGCTCATGCCTGTAAGCCCAGCACTTTGGAGGCGGAGACGGGCAGATTACCTGAGCTCAGGAGTCTGAGACCAGACTGGGCAACACGGTGAAACCCCATCTCTACTAAAATACAAAAAATTAGCCGGGCGTGGTGGCATGCGCCTGTAATCCCAGCTACTCAGGAGGCTGAGGCAGGAGAATTGCTTGAACCTGGGAGGCAGAGGGTGCAGTGAGCCACGATTGTACCACTGCACTCCAGCCTGGGTGACAGAGCTCAAAAAAAAAAAAAAAAAAAGAAAATTCAGAGAAAAGCTTCATGACATTGGATTTTACAATGATTTATTAGATATAACAACAAAATCACAGTTAACAAAGCCATAACAGACAAGTGGAACTACATCAAACTTAACAGGGTAAAAAGACAATCCATGGAACGGGTGAAAATATTTGTGAACCATGTATCTAAAAAAGGGTTAATATTTGGAATATATAAAGAAATCCTATGTTAACAACATAATATTCGGAATATATAAAGAAATCCTATGTTAACAACAAAAAATAATGCAGATTAAAAAAAAGCAAAGGAGATTTCTCCAAAGAAGATACACAGATGGCCAAGAAGCATATGAAAAGAAGCTCAACTTCAGTAATCTTTGGGGAAATGAAAATCACAACCACAGTAAGATAAAACTTCAAGCCCACTGGAATGCCCACTAAAAAAAAATTGTAAGTGTTGGCAAGGAAATGGAGAAGTTGGCACCCTTGCACACAGCTGGTAGGCATGTAAAATAGTGGAGCTGCTATGGAAAATAGTATGGAGGGTCCTCAAAAACTTAAAAATGGAATTACCATATGATCCAGCAATCTCTACTTCTGGGTACAGATCCGAAAAAACTGGAAACGGGATCTTGAAGAGATATTTGCACACTCATCTTCACTGCAGCATTATTCACAATAGCCAAGGAGTAGAAGCAACCTAAATATCCATCACTAGATGAATTTATTTATTTACTTATTTATTTATTTATTTCTGAGATGGAGTCTCACTCTGTCGCCAGGCTGGAGTGCAGTGACACGATCTCAGCTCACTGCAACCTCTGCCTCCCGTGTTCAAGTGATTCTCCTGCCTCAGCCTCCCAAGTAACTGGGACTATAGGCACATGCCACCACATCCAGCTAATTTTTGCATTTTTAGTAGAGACAGGGTTTCACCATGTTGGCCAGGATGGTCTCAATCTCTTGACCTCGTGATCCGCCCTCCTCAGCCTCCCAAAGTGCTGGGATGATGGGTGTGAGCCACTGCGCCCAGCCTGTTTATTTATTTTGAGACAGAGTCTCACTCTGTCACCCACGCTGGAGTGCAGTGGCATGATCTCAGCTCACTGCATCCTCCACCTCTTGGGTTCAAGTGATTCTCCTGCCTCAGCCTCCTGAGTAGCTGGGACTACAGGCACCTGCCACCACGCCTGGCTAATTTTTGTAGTTTCAATAGAGGCACGGTTTCATCTTGTTGTACAGGCTGGTCTTGAACTCCTAACCTCAAGTGATCTGCCCACCTCGGCCTCCCAAAGTGCTGGGATCACAGGCATGAGCCACAGCACACAGCCTAGATAAATGAATAAAGAAAATGTGGTATATACATACAACGGAATCTTCTCCTGCCTTATAAAGGAAATAAATTCTGACATATGCTACAATATGATCATGCTAAGTGAAATCAGTCAGTCATCAAAAGTCAAATACTGCATGATTACAATTATATGAGGTATCTAAAATAGTCAAATTCTTAGAAACAGAAAGTAGAATGATGGTTGCCAGGGACTAGGATAAGGAAGAAAGGAGAGCTGTTGATAGATGCAGAGTATCAGTTTTGAAAAAAAAAAATTCTATGCTAATTAAAGTGTGTATATGTATTTGGCAAAAAACATCTTGGGTAAATGGGTCTATCATGTTAAAATGGTCTTTCTTTTGTTTGTGTGCTGTTTTGGATTTTGATTTAATTTTCTAAAAAATAAATTATGTTAACACAAAAAACTTCATATGGGGTAAAAAAAAAAGTTGACTCAAGTCATACTATAACAAAAGTCAAATCCAGATAGATTACAGATCTAAATGCTAAAGACAAAGCAATGAAATTAAAGTAGAAGAATATCTTCATAACTTTGGGATAGGAAAAGATTTCTTAACCAGGATGCAAAAGATACTAATCATAAAGGAGCAGACCAACATATTAGACAACATTAAATACTTTTCTTCATCAAAAGACACCATTTTAGGCTGAAATCCCAGCACTTTAGGAGGCAGAGGCAGGAGGATCGCTTGAGCCCAGGAGTTCTAGACAAGCCTGGGTAAGATAGCAAGGCCCCGTCTCTACAAAAAATAAAAAAAATTACCCAGGTGCAGTAGTGCATGCCTGTAGTCTCAGCTACTTGGGAGGCAAGACGATTCCTTGAACCCAGGAGCTATAATCATGCCACTGCTCTCCAGCCTGGGTGAAAAAGTGAGACCCCATCTCTCAAAACACACAAACCGCACCCTCCCCCACCACTAGGAGAGTGAAAATATAACCACAGAATAGGAAAAGATAGGCTCATATGCAGAAGATATTTTTTCAAAAACTCCTATAAATTAATAATAACAAAATAAAATAAGACAAACAACCCAACAGAAAAAAATAGGCAAGAGATTTGACTACACATTTCATTAAGAATACATCCAAATAACCAACAAACATTTGAAGAGATGCTCAACCTCAGTAGTATCAGCACAGAGAGGCAAATGGAAACCAATTAAGATGATACTATACATCCACCAAAGTAGAGCTGAAAATACCAACTGTTGGCAAAGATCAGAAGCAACAGGACCTCTTACATGCTGTTGGTGGGAATGTAAGTCGTTACTACACTTTGGAAAACTATTTGGCTTTATCTCTAAAATAACCAAATATATATTCTATGACCCAGCAATTTTACTGCTAAGTATACACCCTAACAAATGTGTGCATTTGTGTACTGAAAAGACACGTAAAACAATGTTCTCCAAACTTCCAACAGCATAGAACAGATAAATCAATTGTGGTATATTCATATAATGGAATACTATACAGTAATAAAATGGGCAAATTATAGTTACACACAACATGGATGAATTTCACAAATGAGTTAAGATTTTGCTCAGCAAAAAAAGCCAGATACAAAAACAACAACAAAGACACAAAAAGCCATATTTCCATTTATATAACGTTCAAAAACAGAAAAACAGGGGTATTAGAAAAAACAGAAAACTCCAGTGTTAGAATTCAGAATAAAGGGAGCTTTTGGGATACTTAATGTGCTAGGTGGTAGTTACATGAATAGATTTGCTTTGTGATAATTCACTAAGCCATATACTTAGGATTTAGGTACTTTTCCTATATGTTCTATATTTCAATTTTAAAATTTTTAAATAGTGGATGGAATAAGGTCTAATAAGCAGGTCTGATATGGCTAATCAGAATTTCCCCAGACTACAAAAAAATGGAGAGAATAATGAAGTAGTAAACCAAAGACCTACTGACTGAAAATTTCTTACATTTTTCAAGATGCCAATTGCTCACATCAAGAACATCAACAAATCCCAAGTATAAAAAATAAAAAACAATGCACATCAAGACACACTGTTCTGACATAAAATAAGAAAAAAACCCGGCAAAGAAAAACAAAATTAAAAGTAGTCAAGGAAAAGAAACAGGTTACCTATACAGGAACCACAATTAGACTGATGTCTGACTTTGCAACTTCAACAATGGAAGTCAGAATATAATGGAATACCATCTGAAATACAGTAACTATCAAATGAAATCCATGCCCAGCAAAACTATCTTTGAAGAACTGGCATTTAAAAAAAAAAGACATTTTTCACAAAGGAAAGAAAAGGAAGAAAGGAAAGAATGAATGAAGGAAAGAAAAGGAAACTGAAATTGTTTTCTATCAACAAACTCTCATGTAAAAAAAAAAAAAAAAAACTGTGGCCCAGGCACGGTGGTTCATGCCTGTAATCCCAGAGCTTTGAGAGGCAGAGGCAGGCAGATCACCTGAGGTCGGGAGTTCGAGACCAGCCTGACCAACATGGAGAAACCCCATCTCTCCTAAAAAAAATACAAAATTAGCCAGGAGTGGTGGTATGCACCTATAATCCCAGCTACTCAGGAGGCTGACAGGAGAATTACTTGAACCCAGGAGGCAGAGGTTGTGGTGAGCCAAGATCATGCCATTGCACTTCAGCCTGGGCAACAAGAGCGAAACTCCGTCTCAAAAAAAAAAAAAAAAAAAAAAAAAAAAAAAAAACTGCTAAAGGATGTACCTTCAGTACAAAATGATACAACATGGAAAATGTGTGATGGGAAGAAGGAAAGGTAAACCAAAGGTATTAGTAAATATGCAGGTAAATCTAAACAAACAACACTAACAGTAAACCAATAACATCTAATTCATGAGAGAAAACAGAATATAACTAAATCCTGAACAATATAATCACATAAAATGGAACAAGGTATGTTCCAAGTTCCTTTATTCAAGAGAAGAGTAGAAATATTTACTGATATTTGGCTTTGTTCGATATTCTTGTGAAAGTAGCTGGGGTAACCTCCAGAATAACAAAAATGAATGTCTATCTTAGAAGCAAGAAACAGAAACACAATGGACAAAAAGTAAAATACTCAAGTAATTCGAAAGGTAGACTTTATTTTTATTTTTTATTTTTGAGACACAGTCTCACTCTGTCGCCCAGGTTGGAGTACAGTAGCGCAGTCTTGGCTGACTGCAACCTCTGCCTCCCAGGTTGTTCAAGCAATTCTCAAGCCTCAGCCTCCCAAGTAGCTGGTATTACAGGCGTGCACCACCACACCCAGCTGATTCCTGTATTTTTAGTAGAGACAGGGTTTCACCATGTTGGCCAGGCCGGTCTCAAATTCCTGGCCTCAAGTGATCCGCCCACCTCAGCCTCCCAGAGTGCTCAGATTACAGGTGTGAGCCACCACGTCTGGCCTCCAAAGGTGGACTTTTAAAAGGAGAGGAGGGTTAATGGAGATTGGAAACTTTTTTTAAAAAGTAGAAAACAAAGGGATAGAAACAAATCCAAATATATCAGAACTCACAATAAATGTAAATTCATAAATCTCCAGTAAAACCCCAAAACTGTGAGACTGGATAAGAAAACAAAATCTAGCTATATATATAAGTACATACAAAAACATGAGGACATAAAAGAACTGGAATTCAAATGATGGAAAAAGTATACCAGTTTAACACAAAAAATGGGAAACCTATCAATAATTTGATACAAAAAAATGACATGCAAGTATTTCAGAAGAACACTCTGGAGGCTAGTACAGTGGCTCACATCTATAACCTTGGCACTGTGAGAGGCCAAGGTGGGAGGATTGTATGAACTCAGGAGTTGGAGACCAGCCCTGGCAACATAGCAAAACCCTGTCTCCACAACAACAACAACAAAATTAAATTAGTTGGGCATGGTGGCACATGCCTGTAGTCCCAGCTACTCAAGAGGCTGAGGTGAGAAGACTGCTTGAGCCTGGGAGTTTGAAGCTGCAGAGAGCCATGGTCATGCCACTGCACTCCAGTGTGAGTGACAGTGTGACCCTGTATCATAAATAAAAGAGAACTCAGTTGTACATTTTTTCTGAACCACATAAAGCACTAAAATTGAGTCTTAAATTTATTCCACCTTATTTAATTCAGCTCAGGTCTTAAGCTCATTAATATCCTTTAGGAATCTGATTCTTTTGTCTACTGGAGTCCCTTCTATCCTACAAAAATTTGATAAGCATGTTGGCTATGACTTTACACAAGCAAGCGATTGTTTAAAAGGGTAAAGCCTAGTACAGTCATGCAGCACAATAACAGAGGTATCTTTAAAGGTAAACGTCTGTTTGCTTACAGCATGGTTGCTCAAGCAATTACAAACCCATCTTAGAGTACTATTACTTGCATCTTATTTCTTAACTTTATCCAGAAGCCTATCAAGATACATTTTCTCAAATGCTCTGCTGACACCTAGATATTGTCAATAATTTATATGCATCAAATGTGCATACACACACATCTGTACATGTACACACATGCATCTACACATGTATGTACTTAATCAAAAATATACATACTTACATATATATCATATAATCATAATAATACCATACCTCATAAGTAGTTCCATAATGACACGTAAATTGGCATTGTCTGTTGGTTTCTGCATCTTGCTCAACGTTGGTATAAAATATTACTCCATCTCCAGAGCAGGATACAATCTGTTTATCATTTGTACAAGGTAAGAACTTTGCACTAAATATGTTTGCTCGGTGCCCTGAACGAATTGTTGTCAAAACCTAAAACACACAAAGAAAGCAGTTAATGGTAACTTATTATTTCCTAGAAATATTCATTTTTAATATAATCATAGCCAGTAATACATTCTCATTAACATTCTCATCTCAGTGAAAGATTATCACTAGACTGCAAGCTATTATAATTTAAAAAAATCAGAATCCCATATATTTTCTTTTGTTCCCTGTGAGATGTGAATAAGATTGAGTACCATCAACAGGAACAGTATCATGAAAATAAAACATGCATATTTCCATTTATTTAGTTTATCTGACTCACTCATAAAATCTCAATAAATAACAACGAACTACTTTGACTGACTTTTGAAATTTACTGTATGCTAAATGATTAAGTTATTCCCTTTCAGGATGACAAAACAATAAACTGAATTTTAATTATTTTCATAAAATCAAAGTAATGAAATGGTACACATAAGACACAGCAGAAGTCCCTACATCCAATTAATAATATTTAAAAGACCAGAATTACTGTGACAGTAATAAAGTTTAAAATTGATATTTTAATATTTGTATAATTTGTTGCAGATAAAGGACTAATTCTCCTAGTAGTGTTTTAAAATTGAGAGGAAAAATAACTGACAAGACCTGATTTTTTTTTAATGGGCAAGGTACCAGAACAGACAGTATACATGCAGATATACAAATGGCCCTTAAAAATAGTAAAAAATACTCAACTTGGATCATTCATAAGGGAAATGCAAATTGAAATTATGCTGAGATATCAATTCTCACTTAACAGACTGGCAAAAATTCAAGAGCTTGACAACAGACTCTACAAACAAGCTTATGTGAAAACAGACTCTTAAACACTGTTGGTAGGAATGCTAAACGGTAATACCAGTGGAAGGGAATTTAGCAATATCTCACAAAACTACGTATGTGCTTACTCTTTGACTAGGCAAATCTATTTCTAGGAATTTACCCCAAAGATATGCTTCCAATAAGACCAAAAAAAATGTCAAAGATTATTTACTGAGTTATTTATAACAGTAAAACACAGGAGACTGGTTGAATAAACTACAGTATATCCCCATAACAGATATACAATAGAGAGGTGAGTGGGGAATATCTGTTGTGCTTTTTTAAAGTGCTAAGAAAAAAGAGAAATGTCAAAACACCAACACTAAGTTGGCTTGAAATCTCCATGGAACAAATTTAGGACAATTTGAGTATCAAAAAGAATAACATCAGTGATTGACTATAAAACACTGAATTAAAAAAATGTTTAAGGTGCTAGGGACAGAGAAAATGCTCTTATTTACTGAAGAATGTAAATTAATAAATGTAGAAGAAATGACAATTTAAAAATCACTGTTTTGTGACATTACAACAACCGATTCAAACAGAAGTCATCAATTAATATAAAAACCACTGGGGGAAAGACTGTTAGGAAAGAATATTCAGTCTCAACATGCCACTTCACAGACAGCTTGTTAGTTACAAAGGGTAACCCAAAATAGAGGGATCAAACAACATCTCCAATAAGGGAATAAATTATATAACATCATGTACCACAATATCACCTGAGAATTCTCACCAAAAATGTTTAATCTGAATCTACTCATGAAGAAACAATCAGACAAATCCAAATGGAGCAACATTCTGTAAAATAACTAGCCTGACATGTCAATGTCATGAAACAGAGAGAGTAATTAACGTAAAGCCTTTAAACAAGATAAATATCATGTTCTTTAACGCTGTCAGAGATTTAGGGTGGTTTACCAAGTAGCTAACTACACACTACATACAGCCATTAGTTACTTCGTTTGTTAGGCCATTGGCTTTGGCTGTGCATTAGTAACATTCAGCAGACATTACTCTTAAAAATTTATGATTTACCTCCACTTAAGAGGTTTATTTATAATTTCAGTAACAAAAGCAGGAGCCTCACTGCTTCATCAGTCACTCATAAATTGAAAAGCATTCCCTTATTAAATAAACTAATTAAAATTTAGTGAGTAAAAAATTGGGGGCCCGTTCCTTTGAACAAATCTCTAGATTTCAGATGCCCCTCTCAAAATACACTCCCCTCTTCCAGTGTTCTCCATCTCAATGGCATCAGTATCCACCCATACAGTTGATCAAGTCAAAAACTAAGGAACCTTTTTTCATTTTTCTTTCCCTCATCTGCTGTATCAAATCCACCAGCAGAGCCATGCCAAAATACATCCCAAATTACTTTTCACCAACTCCAATGTCATTATCTGTGCCTGAGTCATCTTTCCCTCTTACCTGGATTATTTCAATGGCCTCCTATCTCCTACTTCCAATCTAGTTCAAACTCTACCCTCCAAAAGCAGCCAGAGCTATCTTTTAAAAATATAAATCATATCAGTACATGTTTAAAACCCTACAGTGACTGTCCACAAAAATCACACTAAAATGTAAACTCCTTAATAAGCTTATCTGATTCCTATCATTTGAACTTCATTTTGTACCACTCTCTAATTTATTAATGAATAATTGTTCAAAGAATTATTATTCGTGTTATGTATGTATAGTTGGTAATTTCAATGAAGGTTAGAATTTGTTCTTTAATTGTTGAAACCAAATCTATACAGCCAATATGGGTATGTATGATACTGCAGATAAACAGCAATAAGGCTGATTAAAAATATTTATGTGTACTTGGGAAGTTATAATTTTTGATAGCTGGGCCAGGCATGGCGGCTCATGCCTTGTAATCTCAGCACTTTGGGAGGCCAAGGCAGCTGGATCACCTGAAGTCAGGAGTTCGAGACCAGCCTGCCCAACATGGCGAAACCCCATCTCCACTAAAAATACAAAAATTAGCCGGGTATGGTGGCGCATCCCTGTAGTCCCAGCTACTCGGGAGGCTAAGGCACGAGAATCACTTGAACCCGGGAGGTGGAGGTTGCAGTGAGCTGAGAATACGCCACTGCACTGCAGCCTGGGCGACAGAGCAAGACTCTGTCTCAAAAAAAAAAATTACAATAACAATAATAACTTTTTATTGATGGATTTATCTTCTTAGTTGTGCTTTCCTTGGATCAATGCATTATGAGTTATTCTGAAAACACCCTAAGGATAATGCCCTAGAGAGGTATAATTGCCAGAGTAACTTAATCTGAGATGAAAATAACATATTGATAATTGCAATGATTACTATACGTTAAGGTGGTCTAGTTGTAACATCTGTCATTCTGCTGATTACCAGTTTATTTTGACTAAATAGCTGGCCAAAGTTGGCATCTCTTTCCTTCTTAATCATGTCACGTACAACACTCCCAAAACTTGAAGCTCAGTCCAAAAGTATCCAAATAGTAGAGGATGGTTTTTTAATCCCTTGGTAAAAACAACCCCCTTTCAAACCTGACCCATAACCCTGTCTGAGGTATCGAATATACAGATTTATACACTCGTTTTACTAAGACTTAGTGGGCTCCAACTATATGAGAGGTAAATAAATAATGTTAAGTGTTGAGGATGCAAAAAGAAAAAAGAAATTGTCATTATCTCAAAGAAGTTGCCATCTAAGCACAACATGCAAACAAATATAATACAATATAATAATAGAGTTATCCACAAGACAGGAACACAGATGAAGGAGTGGCTACATGTGTCCAGGAAATGTTAGAGAAATATCACAAAAAAGAGCTGAGATTTGAAGAATGAATTTTAAATTTACCAAGTAGATGGGAGATACCCGAGAAAGCAGGTGATCTCAGAAAGAAAGAAGAGTATAAGCAAAAGCACACAGTAATGAAAACTTTTTAAGCTCTGAGGACTATAAGTAGCTGGCTGAGGCCAAATCAAGAAAAATCATGTATACAGTATATATTTGGAATTTATTTTACAAAAGATATTGCAAGACCATCTCTGGGCTTCCTTCTCTTTCACCTATGCCATAATAGGGTACCCTAATGGGACTCCCCAGTATATGATGGGGAGTCTCTATGCTATATATAATTAAAATATAATTGCATTAATAAGGAATATCTCCAGTCTCTTAAATCTATTTTTTTAAAAAACTAAGTGTTTCAAAACTCTTATTTTCAATAAATTAATGTTCCCACAAAATCATAGGATCTAAAAATAATCAAACTATAAAAACAGGTAGTATTTGACTCATGGTCAAAAAGCTTTTTTTCCTATATAATGAATCATTGGTGTTTTAAAATTTTAAAAAGCCCTATAAAGGCTTATGATAATAATTTTTTTTTTTAAGATATCAGCTCTTGCTGTCATCCAGACTTGGAGTGTAGTGGTGGAACGCCTGGGCTCAAGTGATCCTCCTGCCACTCCCTCCCGAGTAACTGGGACTACAGG
Source organism: Homo sapiens (assembly GCF_000001405.40). NCBI lineage: Eukaryota > Metazoa > Chordata > Mammalia > Primates > Hominidae > Homo > Homo sapiens. The sequence continues at coordinate 167,970,521 of NC_000001.11, read as the reverse complement.
CATGTGCCACCACATCCAGCTTTTAAATTTTTTGTAGAGACAGAGTCTCACTACATTTCCCAGGCTGGTCTTTAACTCCTGGCCTCAAGCGATCTTCCCACCTCGGGCCTCCCAAAGTGCTGGGATTATAAGCGTGAGCCACACACTTGGCCTATGATTATAATCTTTAAAAAGAAAATCTGACTAATCATTTCTCAAGCTGGAAATGAGAAAGAGTATCATTTTTTCAAATATACATATTCTATTGGAAATCATACATCAAAGGGATCGTCATTTCTTTAAAAATAAGCAAATAAAACAGAAACAGGTCTTTTAACAATCATTCCTTTGGTACCCAAGTGATTATTTTGTATAATGTAAGAGTTAAAATTCTGAATAGTGATCGTCAAAAAGCTTTCTACATATACATTATTTCAGGAAATCTTCTCTATTATAAGAAAAGGGGGCTAGGCGCAATGGTTCACGCCTGTAATCCCCAGCACTTTGGGAGGTGGAGACAGGTGGATCATTTGAGCTCAGGAGTTCGAGACCAGCCTGGCCAACATGGTGAAACCCCAACTCTACAAAAAATACAAAAACTAGCCGGGCGTGGTGGCACACACTTGTAGCCTCAGCTATTTGGAAGGCTGAGGCAGGAGAAACTCTTGAATCTGGGAGGCAGAGTTTGCAGTGGGCCGAGATCGTGCCACTGCACTCCAGCCTGGGCAACAGAGCAAGACTCTATCTCAAAAAAGAATAATAAAAAATAAAATGAAAAGTGTTACCCTTGTAATTACTGACCTAAGAGAAGTAGGATTTGAAAACATCAAGCTTTTTTTGCTAAGCCAGGACAATTAAGTAAAACTTAATGAAATAAAACTACGACCCATTAAAGACAGCCTCAATATGAACTTCTTTTTCAGCTGATAGATGATACACACTTATTTAAATATCTTATTAAGTGTGGAAAAACAAGAAATAAACAATTTATTCTGTAAAACTGAAAATTTTAAATTACACTTTGGACTGCTAATACCATGTTTTCAGATATAAAAACAGCTGTATACTTCCTCTATATATGAACTCAGAAGCTAAAAGCCAATGAAAATCAGAACATAATCCTAACCTAATTAGAACTCATATGTTATCCCAGCTTATCGAATTGTATATCATGAAGCATTTCACTAGAACCTAGCCACTGTTTGTAAACTGATAAAAATCCAGTTTCTTAAACTACTTGGCTGAAGATTACATTCTATGAGCCTAAAAGAGTAAGTCATAACCTGTAAGATCCAGCTTCAAACAGCCAGCCAGGCCCATTCAAACATCACTATATAACCTAAATTAATAGACAAAAATGTTTTAAAACATTTTTAGAAACAAATATAAAATATTAATATTAGAAAGGACTTTAGACATAATGACTTTCTTAATATATGAAGAAAAAGGCTAAGGAAAGTTTAAATAACTTGGTCAGAATGGTAAAAAAAAACCAACATATAAATCTATATTTGCCATTATAGTAATCATAATATAATTTTAAAATTTTCATGGAACTCTTCTTCATTCAAAGACCTAAATATTAATGAAGTAAATTTCACATTGCAATAATACCAAGAAGCAGATAAAGGTAAGACTACTGTGCCACTTATCAAATTATTTCCTCTCAGTTCCAAATTTACCCTTCACTTTTATAGATTATGCAATGGAACTGAGTCCTTCAAATATTTTTCCTTTGCCAGTTGGCATGATGTTAAGCTTTGCCAGTAAAAAGCACTGAAAGAATAATGCAGGAAAACGGAGTTTGCTTCCTATCTCTAATGGGAGCTCCTGCAACCATGCACAGGTTTTCCAGTGCCAGGGTCTTCCAGCACGGGCAGTTTCCCCAACACCATAGCACCAGAGTCCTGCAGTTTCACCAGGGCCCACCTACTAAATGAACAGTTCAACACCCGACAGCTTCTCCTGCCTCATTTCCCCACGTCCCTAGACATTTTGTAGCATACTACCTCTGATGAGAAACCTCTCCTTAAAAAGTATTTCTCAGTGCTCTAGAGAGAGGTGTTCCACCAAGTTCCAGAGGGGAATTCGCAACAAGTTACACTAGCATGACATCACAGAGACTTCCCTGCCATCCAGTGAGCCATGACACCCTCTTCAATAAGGTCTAAATCTCAGCACTCAGCACGGGGGGGTCTCTTCTTTTCAGTGGTTTATCTCAGTCCCAGGGTTAGTGGCGGTTCATAGTATCTGTTATTTCTGTATTTTATAGAGACCTTTTTACTTTTTAGCAGCCAAGCCTTTACTACTCCAATCTCCTGATATAGGTAGTAATTCTTTTTATTACACTTTCCCTATTGAAATTACTGTGTGGTTTCTTTGACTAGAACCCGACTGATACAATCACCAATACACGGTTGCTACTACCATAAAAAATTAAAAGCTGGAGTACATTTTTGGAATTACTATTAAAATAATAGATGTTAAAAGACTTAAAGATACAAGAAATTTGGGCTGGGCGTGGTGGCTCATGCCTGTAATCCCAACACTTTGGGAGGATGAGGTGGGCAGATCACTTGAGGTCAGGAGTTCAAGACCAGCCTGGCCAACATGGTGAAACCCTGTCTCTACCAAAAACATAAAAATTAGCCGAGCATGGTGGCACACACCTGTAATCCCAGATCCTTGGGAGGCTGAGGCAGGAGAATCGCTTGAACGCAGGAGGCAGAGGTTGCAGTAAGCCGAGATCGCACCACTGTACTCCAGCCTTCCAGCCTGGGTGACAGAGTGAGACCTTGCCACAAAAAAAAAAAAAAAAAAAAAAAAAAGATACAGGAAATTTAAGACAATCAGGAGAGAAAAATGTATCATGTGAGTTGGGAGGCAGCTAGGAAATATACATATTCCTATTCTTAACTGGAACTTTAAATGATGTGTTGAATGTTTAAGATCTTACAAATTTTAAAATAACTATTTAGTCATATTTCTAAAACAGAAGGTTTCTCATTTAACTGTTATGTCAAGTGTAAAGAACATCACACACTTTCTTTTTATTACAATCAGTCAGCTGTTTATAGCTTTATCATTCAGTATCTTAATTTCTCTGAAACCATCCTTGTAAAGGAAACATTCTGTGGATAAAATGGAATGCTATTTGAAACAGTAATTAAAGTTACTTGAGAGTTAGAAAATTATTTAATTCTTAGATATCTCTTGCCTTCTAGTGAGGGAGTTTATTAGCTTATGGTAATTTTTTTCTTCATTGAAACCATTTTAATTTTCTCAGTACCTCAAGAACTATTCACACCGCAGTCATTTGGCTGTTTTTGTCTTTAAAAGTTTTAAATGTAAATTTTCTAAAAGACTAAATTTCAAATTTTTAAGAAAACGAAACAATGACCAAAGTTGGCAGCTTTACCCACACTATTCTTAACATTAAAATAAGTAACTTTTTAGAATGTTAAGATAATATATTAAGGTAACACATAAAAGTAATTTTCTCATTAACTCATACTTTATTTATGGCACATTTTCCCCCAAAAAATGTTATTGAAATAATGTCACTTGTACCAATTATTAACCATTTAAATAAAGTATATTTAAATTTTCTAGATCCCAAGGCTGAATAAAATCTTGTTTCCCTAAGTAATCTAAGAGACCCACATGTACCTAAGAACCTCTAAATTATACAATAAACCTCAGCAAAATAGGGAGGATATTCTAATATAAATGCCCATTCTATGACTGTTCACAGTTTCTTCATTTCTGCCTTCTTGATTTTTTTTCTCTCATTAAATTACAGATTTTTTAAACTACTTTACCTTTCTGCTGTAAGGATTACTAATTACTAATTTGGTGTCATCTGAGCCAGATAAAATATATTCTCCAGTGTCATTCCAACAGATTGTATTAACCTAAAGAGAAAGCAAAAAAGAAATATAAGCAAATTGGACATAAAAGAAAATATGCCATCTTTCACTCACCTGGCGGTACAAAATTTTTACCACTAATGAGGTTATACGTTAAAAAGTATTTAACATAGGGGTGTCCAATCTTATGGCTTCCCTTGGCCACAGTAGAAGAAGAAGAATTGTCTCCGGCCACACATAAAATACACTAACACTAACAATAGCTGATGAGCTAAAAATAAATAGCAAAAAAATCTCATAATGTTTTAAGAAAGTTTATGAATTTATGTGGGCCACATTCAAAGCTGTCCTGGGCCTCATGCAGCCCACGGGCCGTGTGTTAGACAAGCTTGATTTAATAGTTGATGTATTAAAAAAACAAGCTTCCAGTTTCCAGTTCCACACGTAAGAAGCTTAGCAGTTGCCACTCCATACTAACAACAAATAAAAAGTTAACAAACTGTAAAATCAATAACTGATCTTGGATCCTTCAGAGAGGTAAGGACACAGGACAAAATGCTACCCCCTAGATTGCAGAGATGAACAGGTAAACACAAGGAGTCTTGGCTTACCAGAGCACAGACTCATGAGCAGAAACCTCTGTGAGAAACAGAGCTAGGGTAGGAAAACCTGAACTATAATTGATGAATTGTTGGAGGTTCAGAAAGCGTTAAGTCTGAATGTTAAAAACTCCAGGGAAGGCCGGGCGCGGTGGCTCACGTCTATAATCCCAGCACTTTGGGAGGCCAAAGCGGGTGGATCACCTGATGTCAGAGGTTCGAGACCAGCCTGACCAATATGGCGAAACCCCGTCTCTACTAAAAATACAAAAATTAGCCGGCCATGGTGGCATGCGCCTGTAATCCCAGCTACTCGGGAGGCCTCAGCCTCCCGACAGGAGAACTGCTTGAACCCAAGAGGTGGAGGTTTCAGTGAGCCAAGATCGTGTCACTGCACCCAGCCTACGCGACAGAGCAAGACTCTGTCTCAAAAAAGAAAAAAACTCCAGGGAACCCAGTCATGCGGTGGGGGTATGGTGCAGAGGGTGTTTTTGTGATTTGATTTTAACTTCAGAGCTCAACCAGATTTTCACAATAAATTTCAGATTAAAATCACCTTGTACATCCAGCAGAGGGAGGGAAAAAGAAACCATTTTGGGTATCCCAGAGTACTCTAACTTTCTTAACAAGATCTGCCCTTAAGAAAAGCTATTTCACCACAGCCTACCCACTGAGGTTTTATTAGAGCCTAACTGACCTAGACAAACAGAAATACCCAATTCCAGCCTTCCGCATTGGGGAAGGAAAATACATAACTCCAGCCTAATCTACTAACCTGTTCCACCTCAGTTGGGAATAGGAGGTGCTGATAATCCCTTGTGAAGCCCACAGTTCAGACGTATAGGCTCTTTAAGTGACAGACACCTAATCATAGGCCTGTAGAACACTTCCTCTCCTCCTACACTTTACCAGTAAATTCCTAAGGACCTATTTATACCATTACTTTTAATAAGTACTTCATGTCCAGTTATTAAGAAAAATTACAAGCCATACTAAAAGGCAAAAATACAATTTGAAGGGATAAAGCCAGCATCAGAACCAAACATAGCAGGACTGTTGGAACTGTAAGACCAGGAATCCGAAACAACTATGATTAGCATGCTAAGAGTTCCAATGGATAAAGTAGACAGCATGTAAGAAGAGATGGGCAATGTCAGCAGAGAGACGGAAATCCTAAGAATAAAAAGGAAATGGTAGCAATCAAAAACAATGTAACAGAAAGGAACAATGCCTCTGATGGGCGTATTAGTAGACTAGACACAATTGAGGAAACAATCTCTGACCTTGAGGATATATCAATAAAAACGTACAAAACTGAGAAGCAAAAAGAACAAAGACTGAAAAAAAGCAAAACAAAACATAATGTCCAAGGAATGTGGGACAACTACAAAAGGCATAACTCATGTATAATGTGAATACCAGAGGAGAAGGAGAAAAGAACAGAATATCTGAAATAATAATGACTGATAATTTCCTCCAAATGAATGTGAGAAACCAAACCATAGATCCAGTAAGCTCAGAGAACAATAATCAGGATAAATACAAAAAGAACTACAGCTAGGCAAGCATTTTTCAAACTAAAGAAAATCAAAGATAAGAAAAAATCCTGAAAGAAGCTGGAGGAAAAAACATTATCTATAGAGGAGCAAAGATAAGAATTACATCCAACATCTCCTCAGAAATCATGTAAGCAAGAAGAGTGAAATATTTAAAGCAGTAACGGAAACAAAACAAAGCAAAACCAACCTAGAATACTGTACCCCGCAAAATTATCCTTCAAAACTAAAGGAGAAATAAAACTTTTCTCAGATAAATTAACATTGAGGGAATTTGTTGCCAGCAGACCTACTTTGCAAGAAATTACAAAAGGAGTTCTTTAAAGAAAAGGAAAATAAACATAGGTCAGAGACATATATCTACATAAAGAAAGAAGGAGCACTGAAGGAGGAATAAGTGAAGATAAAACACAAACTTTCATTTTACTTATTCTTAATTGAGCTAACAAATTATTTTATTGTTCAAAATAACAGCAACAATGTATTTGATCATCTATGCTTATATCTAGCACATATACAAAAATATGCTTATGAGTGCTTATAAATAAGTGAAATGAATAACAGAAATAGTACAAGGTATAAGATGGAAGATTTAAAATTACTTTGTACTCACACTCCCTGTGAATCATTATAGTGTTATTTGAAATAAAGTGGACTTAGATTTGTTGTACATGTATAGTGAAAACTTTAGGGCAAATAATTAAAAAGTTTAAAAAATAGGTGTAACTAATAAATACTAAGGAAGGAGAAAAAAAAAACTATATGAAATGCTCAATTAAAACCACAAAAGGTCCAGGCATGGTGACTCACACCTGTAATCCCAGCACTCTGGGAGGCCAAGGTGGGTGGATCACTTGAGGTCAGGAATTAGAGACCAGCCTGGCCAACATGGTGAAACCCCATCTCTACTAAAACACAAAAATTAGCTGGGTGTGGTGGCATCCCAGCTACTCAGGAGGCTGAGGCAGGAGAATCACTTGAACCTGGGAGGCGGAGGTAGCAGTGAGCTGAGATTGAACCACTCTACTCCAGCCTGGGTGGCAGAGTGAGACTCCATCTCAAAAGGGAAAAAAAAAAAAAACAGAAACAAAAAAAACACAAAAGGCAGAAGAATGGAAAACAAAAATAGGAACAAGGAACAAAGACAAAAAGCAGAAACAGTTAACAAATATAGGAAATATTAATCCAACTATACCAGTAATCCCTTTGAATGTCAATAGTCTAAATTAAAAATTATTATTTTGGTTTTTTTTTTGAGACAGAGTTTCACGCTTTTGCCCAGGCTGAAGTGAAGCAGCACGATCTCAGCTCACTACAACCTCCGCCTCCTGAGTTCAAGCGATTCTCCCGCCTCAGCCTCCCGAGTAGCTGGGATTACAGGTGCCTGCCAGCCACTATGCTTGGCTAATTTTTGTATTTTTAGTAGAGCCAGGGTTTCACCATGTTGCCCAGGCTGGTCTCGAACTCCAGACCTCAGGTGATCCACCCGCCTTGGCCTCCCAAAGTGCTAGGATTACAGATGTGAGCCACCACGCCTGGCAACATTTTTGTTTGTTTGTTTTTTGAGATGGAGTCTCGCTTCATCGCCAGGCTGGCGTGCAGTGGTGCTATCTCCGCTTACTACAACCCTCTGCCTCCTGGGTTCAAGCAATTCTCCTGCCTCAGCCTCCCAAGTAACTGGGATTATAGGCATGTGCCACCATGCGTGGCTAATTTTTGTATTTTTAGTAGAGACAGAGTTTTGCCACGTTGGCCAGGCTGGTCTTGAACTCCTGACCTCAGGTGATCGCCCACCTCGACCTCCCAAAGTGCTGGGATTACAGGGGTGAGCCACCGCACCCAGCCTAAAAATTAAGACAGAGACTGTCAGAGTGGATCAAAAAACAAGATCCAAATATATGTTGTTTACAAGAAATCCATTTTAAATATAAAGATCCATATGGATTAAAAGTAAATGGATTGAGAAAAATATATCATACTAATACAAATCAAAAGAAAACAGGAGTAGTTACATTAATTTCAGACAGACCAGAGTTCAAAGCAAGAAAAATTATCAGGGAAAAAGAAGGGTATTTCATAACGATAAAGAGGTCAGTTTCCCCAAGACAACATAGTTTCCCAATCCCTAACATGTATGTGCTTAACAACAGAGCATCGAAATATGTGAGATAAAAACTGACAGAACTATAAAGAGAAACAGATGAATCTAGTATGATACCTGGAGACTTCAATTCCCTCTATCAGAAACAGACAGACCTAGCAGGCAGAAAATCAGTAAGGACACAGTTAAACTCAAAACCATCAATTACCTGAATATAACGGACATTTATAGACTACTTCATTCAACAACAGCAGAATATACAGTCCTCTAAAGCTCACATGAAACATTTACCAAGACAGACCACACTTGAGGCCTTAAAATACACTTTATCAAATTTAAAAGAATAAAAATCAAACAGTGTCTACTCTTAGACCACAATGGAATTAAACTAAAATCAGTAACAGAAAGATAACTGGAAAATCCCAAAATACACACAAGTTCAAAATAACACATCGGTCAAAGAAGAAATCTCAAGAGAAATTTTAAAAGATTCTGAATTCAATGAAATCAAAACAAGACTAATTAAAATCTGTGAGGTGCAACAAAGTAGTTCTCAGAGGAAATTTTACAGCATTTCTGAAATCCAAAATACTTTGAGCATCATGTGGCACTCAAAAAGTTTCAAATTTTGGAGCATTTCAATTTTCAGATTTTCAAATTAAAGACACTCAACCTGTAGAATATCAAAAACAAGACAAGGATGTCCTCTCTCACCACTTCGTTTCAACACCATACTTTAAGTCCTAGCTAATGCAGTAAGACAAGAAAAGGAAGGAAAAGCAAAGGAAAAGTATGAAGATTGGAAAAGAAATAAAACGGTCTTTGTAGATAACAAGATCATCTATATGGAAAATAAAATTTTAAAAACCCTCCTGGAGGCCAGGCACAGTGGCTCACGCCTGTAATCCCAGCATTTTGGGAGGCAAAGGAGGGCGGATCACGGGGTCAGGAGATCAAGACATCCTGGCTAACACGATGAAACCCCATCTCTACTAAAAATACAAAAAATTAGCCGGGTGTGGTGGTGGGCACCTGTAGTCCCAGCTACTCGGGAGGCTGAGGCAGAAGAATGGCATGAACCCGGGAGGCGGAGCTTGCATTGAGCCGAGATCGCGCCACTGCACTCCAGCCTGGGCGACAGAGCAAGACTCTGTTTCAAAACAAACAAAACAAAACAAAATAAAACCCTCCTGGAACTAATAAGTGATTGTAGCAAAGTAATAGGATACAAGGTTAATATTAAAAAGTCAATTATTTTCCTAAATACCAGAAATGAACAAGTGGAATTTGAATTTTAAAACACAATACCATTACATTAGCACTCCAAAACATGAAACACTTAGGTATAAATTGAATGAAATATGTATAAGATTTCTATGAGGAAAATTATAAAACTCTGGTAAAAGAAATCAAAGAATTAAATAAATGAAGAGCTATTCCATATTAATAAATAGAAAGATTCAGTATTTTCAAGATGTCAATTATTCCCAACTTGTTCTATAGATTCAATGCAATTCCTATCAAAATCTCAGCAAATTATTTTGTGGGTATTGACAAACTGATTCTAAAGTTTATAAGAGATGCCAAAGACTCGGGCTAGCCAACACATATTAAGGGAGAAGAACAAAGTTGTTCTTCTCAAGCTTACATGGAACATTTACCAAGACAGACCATATTTGAGGCCTTAAAATACACTTTAACAAATTTAAAAGAATAAAAATCATACAGTGTCTACTCTTAGACCACAATGGAATTAAACTAAAATCAGTAACAGAAAGATAAGTGGAGAATCCCAAGACAGCTGACACTACCCAACTTCAAGACTTACTATAAAGTGCCTGTAATCCCACCACTTTGGGAGGCCAAGACAGGAAGATCACGAGGTCAGGAGTTTGAGACCAGCCTGGCTGGTGGTTCGAGACCACCCCATCTCTACTAAAGATACAAAAAAATAAGCTGGGAATGGTGGCGCGTGCCTGTAATCCCAGCTACTCGGGAGTCTGAGGCAGGAGAATCACTTGAACCCAGGAGGTGGAGGCTGCCGTGAGCTGAGATCGCGCCATTGCACTCCAGCCTGGGCAAGAGGCCGAGACTCCATCTCAAAAAAATAAATAAATAAATAAATAATAATAAAAATTTTACTGTAAGGCTACACCAAATAAGACAGTGTGGTATTGGCAAAAGAGCAGACAAACAGATAACTAAACAGAATTCAGAGCCCAGAAACAGACCCACATAAACACGATCATCGGACCTTTGACAAAGGAGTAAAGTCAATACAATGCAGATAGTCTTTTCAACAAATGGTGCTGCTACAACTGGATATTCACATGCAAAAAAAATAAAAATAAAAATAAAATCTAGACACATAACTTACACCCTTCACAAAAATTAATTCAAAATAGATCACAGACCTAAATATAAACACAAAACTATAAACCTCTGAGAAGATAACATAGGGAAAAAACTCAGATGACCTTGGGTATGGTGATAATTTATTAAGTACAATACCAAGGCAAGATCCATAAAAGAAATCATTGATAAGACTGACTTCATTAAAATTAAAAACTTCCACCCTGCAAAAGACAATGTCAAGAAAACAAGAAGACAAGACAGGGGAAATACTTTCAAAAGACACATCTGATAAAGTAATGTTATCTAAAATAAATAAAGAACTCTTAAAACACTACAATAAGAAACATCTAAGAAATGAGCCAAAGGCCATAACAGGCACCTCAGCAAAGATACACAGATTGCAAACGAGCATATGAAAAGATAATCCACATCCTATGTTATCAGGGAAATGTACTACATATCTATTAGAATGGCCAAAATAGAGAACACTGACAACATCAAATACTGGCAAGGATGTGGAGCATCAGGAACTTATATTCATTGCTGGTGGGAATGCAAAATTGTACAGTCACTTTGAAGGACAAATGGTGATTTCTTATAAAAACTAAACATACACAATACAGCATGCTCCTTGGTATTTATCCAAAGGAGCTGAAAACGTATGTCCACACATACACCTGCACACGAACGTAAACGTATGTGCACACCAACACCTGCCCACAAACGTTTATGGCAACTTTACTCATAACTGCCAATTTTTGGAAGCACCCAAGATGTCCTTCAGCAAGTGAATGGACAAACTGTGGTACATCTACAGAATGAAGTATTATTCAGCTCTAAAAAGAAATGAGCTAGAAGCTATGAAAAGATAGAGGAAACCTAAATGTATATTGCTAAGTGAAAGAAAACTAATCTGAAAAGGCTACATACTATGTGATTCCAATTATATGACATTCTGGAAAAGGCTTAACTATGGAGACTATAAAAAGATCAGTGGTCATCAGGAGTTCAGAAGGTGGGTGATAAATAGGCAGAGCACAGGAGATTTTTAAGGCAGTGAAACAACTCCACATGATACTATAATGGTGGATATATATCACTATACATTTGTCCAAACTCATAAGATGCCTGAAACCAAGAGTGAGCCCTATTGTAAACTATGGACTTTGGATGGATTATGATGTATTAATGTAGGCTCATGAAATACAGCAAATGTACCACTCAGGTGGAAGATGTTGATAATGGAAAATGCTATGCAAGTATGTGGGCAGGGGATATATGAGAAATTCCCATACCTTCCTCTCAATTTTGCTATGAACCTAAAACTGCTCTAAAAAAATTCAAAATAAAGCGTTAAATATTGACTGTCATTTAGTAAACACAATGTTCTGATATTTTACAATGAAATGTCTGAGCCATTAAGTTTCACTGTGTAAATTTACTTATTTGAATTTATTTAGTGTTCACAGGCATAAAACCAAGTCACCTAAAATAAAACTAGAAAAACTTATTACAAAACTACAGTAATCAAGACTGTGTGGCACTGGCAAAAACAAACACATACAGATCAATGTAATGGAATTAAGAGTTCAGAAATAAACTCTTCTATTTATGGTCAAGTGATTTTTTGACAAGAGATCCAAGACCATTCAATGAAAGAAAAGTCTTTTCACCAAATGGTGCTGAGACAACTAGATAATCGCCACCAAAAAAAAAACAAAAAAAAACACCTTGGACCCCTACTTTATACCATATAAAAATTAACTGAAAATAGATCAAATATCTAAACAGAAGAGCTAAAACTATACAACTCTTAGAAGAAAACAGGTATAAATCTTCACGACCAGTGATTAAGCAAGTTTCTTAAATACGGCACCAACAGCCCAAGCAAACAGCAAAAAGAAATTAGACTTCACCAAAATTAAAAACTTTTGTACATTAAAGGACACTATGAGGAAGGCAAAAAGACAACCCATAGAATGAAGGGAAATATTTGCAAATCATATATCTGATAAGAGTCCCATGACAAGAGTCCCAGAATATACAAACACAACTCAACAACAAAAAGACAAACAATCCAATTAAAAATAGGTAAAGGATTTAAATAGACATTTCTCCAAAGAAGGTATGTAAATGACTCATACCTTCATATGCACATAGAAAGATGCTCAACATCATTAGTCATCAGAGAAATAAAAACCAAAATCACAACAAATTACCACTTCACATCCACTAGGATGATTATAATAATTTTTTAAAGAAACAGAAAATAAGAGTTGGCAAGGATGTCAAGAAACTGGAACCCTGTATGTTGCTGTCAGAAATGTAAAATGGTACAGCTCTTTGGAAAACAGTTTTGATACCTCCTCAAAAAGTGAGATATCAGTTTACCATATGACCTAGCAATTCTGCAACTAGGTATACAGCCAAGATAATTGAAAACTTACAACACACAAAAATTTGTACACAAATGTTCACAGCAGCATTATTCATAATTGCCAAAAAATGGAAACAACCCAAATATCCAACAACTGATGAACAGATTAAATGTGGTATATCTGTACAATGAAATATTAAATGTGGTATATGTGTACAATGAAATATTTATTCAATCATAAAAAGGAATGAAATACTGACACATACTACAACATGGATTAACCTTGAAAACATTACACTAAGTGAAAGAACCCTTACATTAACAGCCAATATTGTATGGTTCCATTTATATGAAATGTCAGAATACGCACATTGGTAGAGACAGAAAGTATTAGTGATTGCTAACTGCTAAATAGAGGGGAAATGGTGACTGATAATTGGTACTCTTTTTCAGATGATAAAATTAGAGGAATTAAATAGTGGTGATGGCTCCACAACTTTACAAATACACTAAAAACCACCGAATTGAACACTTAAGATGCGTCAGTTTTATAGTATGTGAGCACATCTAAATTAAAAAAAAAATAAATGTCCACTTATAGTCAACATGTCAGCACATGGACCAGGTTTATCATCATGCTTGTAACAACTAAAAAACAGCAAAATATACATTTTTTAAGTGTACAAGAAACATTTACCAATAGAGACAACATTCTGGGCCACAAAACAAACCTTAATATATTTAAATAGAAGACTACAAGTCATTGAAAGTATGTTCTCTGACCAAAATGGAATTAAATCAGAAATCATTAACATAAAGATACGTTGGAAAACTAAGAAATAACAGATGGCCATAGAAATAACAGATGGTCAAAGAAGAAATTACAAAATAAATTAAAAAGTATTTTGAACTCAATGAAAATAAAAATGCAACATATCTCAATTTATGGATTACAGCTAAAACAATATTTAGAAGAAAATTTACAGCACCAAAGAAACCTCTATTTTAGAAAAGACAACGGTCTCATATCAATGACCTCAGCTTCCACTCAAAAAATTACAAAACAAAGAGCAAATGAAACCCAAAGTCTGCAGAAGACTCAAATAATAAATATATTAGCAGAAATCAATGAAATAGAAAACAGAAAAACAACGGAGACAATTAATGAGACCAGAGGTTGGTTCTTGGAGAAGACAAAATTAACAAGCCTCTAGCCAAACTAATCAGGAAAAAACATGGAGAAAATATTACCAATATCAGTAATGAGAAACACAGTAACATACACTACAGATTCTACAGATACTTAAAAACATAAGGGAATATTATGAACAATTTTATGTCAATAAATTCAATAATTTACATAAAATAAATTCAGTGAAGCACACATATTAAACAAGGTTCACTCAAGACATAGATACCCTGAATAGTTTATTTTTACTAAATAAATGGAATTATAGTTAGACATTTCCCAGGAAAAAAAAAAGACACTTGGCAAAATCCAGCAATGATTCATGATAGCTCTTAGCAAGTTAGTAATAGAGGAGAACATCCTCAACCTGACAACAAGCATCCATGAAAAAACTGATGACATCATACTAAATAGAAAGAGACAATGTTCTTAGCTAAGCACAGCGGCTCATACCTGTAATCCCAGCACTTTGCTTTGGGAGGTTGAGGTGGGAGGTATCACTTGAGCCCAGGAGTTCAAGACCAGACGGGCAACATAATGAGACCCCACCTCTACAAAAAACAAACACATTTGCTGGGGTGGTGGCATGCACCTATGGTCCCAGCTAACTCAGGAGGCTGAGGTGGGAAGATAGCTTGAGCCCAGGAGGTCGAGGCTATAGTGAGCTATGATTGTGCCACTGCACTCCAATCTGGGAAACAGAGGGAGACCCTGTTTTCCTTCTAAGATCAGAACAAGACAAGGATGCCTGATTCCACTCCTTCTATTCAATCTTATAATAGAATACTAACCAGTGAAATAAGTCAAGAAAACGAAATAAAAGGAATCCAGACTAGAAAAGAAGTAAAACTAACTTAATTCTCAGATGACTTGATTATTTACATAGAATATCCTATAAAATCTTAAGGAAAAAAAAAAGCTACTTGAATGAATATGAGAGTTCAGGAAGTTTCCAGAATACAGATGAATATCTAAAAATTAACGGGGCAGGAAATGTAACCACAACATGATACTACTAGATGCCTGTTAGAATGTCTTTAAAAAAAAAAAAAACTGACCACACCAAATGCTGGTGAGGACATGGACCCACTGGAATTTCTACATACTAACACTGGGAATGTTAAACGGTACAACGATACTGGAAAACAACTGGTTTCTTAACAGTTAAGCAGGTACCTACCATATGACCCATTCATTCCACTCAAAGGTATTTATCAAAAAAGAATAAAAGCATATGTTCATACAAAGACGCAACACGAATATTCATGGCAACTTTATTTGTAATAGTCCTCAACTGGATACAACCCAATGTCCACTGACAGGTGAACAGAGATAAACATTATGATTTATCCATACAATAAATGCTCCTCAGCAATAAAAAGTAATAAATTATTGATACACTCAACAACATGAATCCCAAAATAATTATTCTAAGTAAAATTTAAAGTAAAAAAAGCCAAATGAAAAAAGGATACATAGTCAATGATTCCGTTTATTTAAAATTCTAGAAAATGCAAACTGATTTATAGTGACAGAATAGAGATCATTGGTTGACTGGGGTTGAGGGTGATGTGTAAGGAATGAGAGGGCACATGGGCAAACTTTTAGGGGATGATTGATATTTTATCATCATGAATGTGGTGATGACTTTGTGTATGTTTACATGTGTTAAACATATCAAATAGTACACTTTAAATATGTACAGCTGATCATATCTCAATAAAGCTCTTAAAAATACAAAAATTTGCCGGGTGCGGTGGCTCACGCCTGTAATCCCAGCACTTTGGGAGGCAGAGGCGGGCGGATCATGAGGTCAGGAGATCGAGACCATCCTGGCTAACACAGTGAAACACCGTCTCTACTAAAAATACCAAAAATTAGCCGCGCTTGGTGGTGGGTGCCTGTAGTCCCAGCTACTCAGGAGGCTGAGGCAGGAGACTGGCGTGAATCCGGGAGGCGGAGCTTGCAGTGAGCCGAGATTGTGCCACTGCACTCCAGCCTGGGTGGCACAGCGAGACTCCATCTCAAAAAAATAAAAAAATAAAAAAATAAAAAATAAAAATTTAAGCACAAATCTAGGGGTAATTCACAAAAGTAATTAAAGTTATTATATAATAACAAAAAGTAATTAGGCTGGCAACAGTCTTACCAGCTGAAGTGAATACTAGAAAACATTTGTGTAAGACCTTGAAAACTACAGAGTGGGTGGGGTGCAGTGGCTCACACCTGTAATCCCAGCACTTTGGGAGGATCACCTGAGGTCAGGAGTTCGAGGCCAGCCTAGCCAACACGGCGAAACCCCGTCTCTACTAGAAATTCAAAAATTAGCCAGGCATGGTGGTGCAGACTGTAATCTCAGCTTCTCAGGAGGCTGAGGCACAAGAATCACTTGAACCCAGGAGGTGGAGGTTGCAGTGAGCTGAGATTGTGCCACTCCACTCCAGCCTGGAAGACGGAGTGAGACTCAGTCTCAAAACAAACAAACAAAAAACTACAGAGTGAAAATAATGTCCAACCTAGAATCCTGTATCCACTCAGATCACCAATGAAGTACGAAAGCAGAGAACAAAGGTATGTTTAAACTTGAAAAAAATGTTGGGCCAGGAACAGTGGCTTACACCTGCAATCCCAGCACTTTTGGAGGCCAAGGCGGGCAGATCACCTGAGGCCAGGAGTTCAAGACCAGCCTGGCCAACATGGTGAAACTCAGTCTCTACTAAAGACACAAAAATTAGCCAGGTGTGGTGGTGGGTGCCTGTAATCCCAGCTACTCGGGAGGCTGCAGCGGAGAACTGCTTGAACCCGGGAGACGGAGGTTGCAGTGAGCCAAGATTGCACCACTCACTCCAGCCTTGGTGACAGAGCAAGACCCCATATCAAAGAATAATAATAATAATTAATCTAACACATAATATACTCTTTGTCTCATCAATGAATAATTCATAAAGTGCCACATCTGTTTCAGGCATTCCTGTTGATAGTAAATTTAAAAAATAAATTTGTGAAGGTATTTTTTTGGTCCAATATGCCAAGGCAGGGGGGCAAAAGTGTAGACTATGAACAAATAAATTGGTTTGTTAATTATAATGCCAGATAGTAAGCACTATCAATAATAATAATAATGTAAGGAGAAAGATACTGACCAGGCGTGGCATGCTGTTTAATTAGGGTGTTCAGGGAATGCTGCTTTGGTAGGCAACATTTGAAAAGAGAGCTAAATAAAATGAGAAGGTAAGCTTTACAGGTAAGTGAGAGAAGAGAATTCTAGGTATAAGGCATAAAATATACAAGGCAGAGGTGTCCTTGGATCATCTTTTGAACAAATAACAATAAAAAGACATTTTAAAACAAAGAAAATATGGACTATATATTAGATTAATACCGAAAAAACAGTCAATATTATTAAATTACCTAATGGCATTTTGGTTATATAAGAAAATGTCAATCGCTTTTTAGGCTTACATATGAAGGTAAAATAATATATCTTCAGCAAGGCGGATCTTCAGCAAGGTGGATCTTCAGCAAGGTGGATGGGGGAAGAAAATAAAATAGAAAAGAAAATATGGCAAAATCTTGATAATTACTAAGTCTAGGTCACAAGTACATGAAAAGTACATTTGAAATTTTTATAATAAAAATTGAAAAGAGCTCTGTTTTGGATCTGCTAAATTTGGGATGCCTATTAGACATGCAACTGGACATGTTAAGTAGAAAGTTGGATATAAAAACTCTGGGAAGAGGCAGAAGTCATGTTTTCTTTAGCCATGGGACTAGATAGGGTCATTTTGAGCTGGAGAGAAAAGAGGGTGGGAGATACCAAGACAGGGTCTTCGTGCAACCAACATGTGAAGGAACATATGCGGAGGAGTCAGCTGAGACAGAGAAGATGTAGCAAGTCAATGGATTGAAATAGGAAGAAAACCAAGAGAGTATGGTGTTAGCAAAAGCCAAGAGAAAAAGTATTTCAAAAAAGAGGATATGGGACAGGCACAGTGGCTCACACCTGTAATCCCAGCACTTTGGGAGGCTGAGGCAGGAGGATCACGAGGTCAGATCAACACCATCCTGGCTAACACAGTGAAACCCTGTCTCTACTAAAAAATACAAAAAAATTAGCCAGGCGTGGTGGCAGGCACCTGTAGTCCCAGCTACCCAGGAGGCTGAGGCAGGAGAATGACGTGAACCCGGGAGGCGGAGCTTGCAGGGAGGCTGAGCTTGCAGTGAGCCGAGATTGCGCCACTGCACTCCAGCCTGGGCAACAGAGCAAGACTCTGTCTCAAAAACAAAAACAAAAACAAACAAAAAAAAGTATGAAAAAAAAGAGGATATGTTTGAGTGATATGTCTAGTTTCTAAGAAGTGAACACCACATTTGGAGACATGAAGTCACAAAAGCAGTTTCAGTACAGTGAATGAGATGGAAGCCTTTCGATAATATTAGAAAACTCATCTGCACTTTAAAAAATCTTGCATACACTCTTCTAGATTCAAAATATAATTTTATATTTTAATGTAAAACTTTATTCTCCCATTTTATTATAGTCACAATCCTTTCTGGGAGGATTGGGACATTTCATCAAACACTTAAACACTTAGTATCAAATCCCTTCAGAGTTGAGAATTAACTATTACTTACACAACCATCATGCACATTAAGGGTTGCTTCAAGTTTTAATCTTTGGATAAATTCTCTTCTTCCTGTTTAAAAAGAAAGAACAAATTAAATAAATCACACAAATACTGAGAAAAATATAACACAGAAATTAGGAGCCTAGGATCTGGCATGAAAAGTAAATTCATGCTCTAATTTCAGCTCCACCATTTATAAACTGAGTGATACTGGGCAATTTAACCTCCGCCTAAGACTTAGTTTCCTCATTAGAATACCTCTACCTCACGCAGTTTTTTGTTTGTTTGTTTTTTGAGACACAGTCTCACTCTGTTGCCCAGGCTGGAGTGCAGTGGCATGATCTCAGCTCACTGCAACCTCTGCCTCCCAAGTTCAAGCAATTCTCCTTCCTCAGCTTCCCAAGTGGCTGGGATCACAGGCACACAGCACCACGCCCAGCTAACTTTTGTATTTTTAGTAGAGACAGGATTTCATCATGTGGGCCAGGCTGGTCTCAAACTCCTCACCTCAACTGATCCACCCGCATTGGCCTCCCAAAGTGCTAGGATTACAGGTGTGAGCCACCACGCCCGGCCTGTAGTTATTTTAAGGACAGAAAGGGCTTAGCACAGTATCTGGACCACAATAAACACTCGTACATTTCTTCATTTATTCATTCAACAAATATTTATTGAGTACTCACTCTGTGTCAGGTAAAGTATATTTTACGGTGGTAAAATAAAACAAAAAGATTTCTGCCTGCTTATGAGAGGAGAAAAACAATAATCGGTGTAAGTGCTATAAGTTAGTATAGTGCTATGCAGAAAAATAAAGCAGGAAAAAGAGATAAAAGATGACTGCAGGTAGGGAGTAAGGTTTTTAATTTTAAATAGGATGGCAAACAGCAATAGTAAGTACCAACTATTTTTAAGCATTTCTCAATTTCAGAAACGTTAAAGTTAACATTACAATGATGAAATATGGCATTAAAAATCAGCATAAATGTCCATCAATAGCAGAACAGTTTAAATACTGCAAAAACAGAGTAAGTTCCTTCTTTGAAAAAGAGAAATCTGTCCCTTTAAGGAATGAATCATCTTTACCAAACACAGATCAAAAAGCATGTTTATTCAGAAGCTGTAATGAAAGAAGGCTGAATTTACAACAAAGAACAATAATTAAGTAATCAGGCTGATGAGATCTCTCATAAAATTGTATCTGCCTATACTTTCTGTATACTGTCACAAAGGGCAGATTTCTCTATTGCACTTTCTTGCCATTCCATGTCAAAATCAAGAGCCTCTTGAAGCCAATTTGTTTTACTTCTTTCTCCATGTTATTTAACTGGTAAGATGGCTAGGTAAAGGATGAACATATAAGTTAAAAAAAAATTATGGATAATTATGGGGGCTTTTATTTTGGGGAGGGAGATGCTCTATGGTTTCTAAACTTACTGAAATAAAACAACCTAGAGAAATTCAGTAACATGTTTTCATGAAGTAGGTTGTACTTCAGGTAATTAACTTTTCAAATCTGATTTTCGCTTGTAAAAAGATTCTAACTTCAGTAAAAAAGATAAATTTTTAAAAACTCATTTCATTTTGGTCAAAGGATTGGTAATCTCATTGAGTTATACGAGTTAAGAAACAAAGTATTCAAATTAACAATATGACAGCAATTAAAACACATTAAAATATTAAAGTATTGGAAACTTTGTCAAAATTTTAAAACCTGCGTTTGAAACATGGCTCTAGCCACTTCAGTCTGGAGAAAATGGTGGCAGAACCTAAGAATAGAAGATAAAGTAAGCTGTTTTAGCAAGAACTCTTCTATATGACGTTTGCACATTAGAACATGTATAGAGGCATAACACATTGTGGTTAAATAGATAGCTTTTGAATGACATTTTTATACATGACTTTGGAGATAAAATTTATTGCATCGTCCAGACATCTCATAAAGTGTGCTTCTAGAGCAAACTAGCAAAAACATCCACTACCCTTTTAGTAATTAAATGTAATACCAAGAAATAGAAGCAAAAACCCACCACAAAATAAGAACAGTACCTTAATAAAACTGAGCCTCCTCAAATTAAAATTAAAATAAACTCACATCTGAATGCTATTAAAAGCTGTGAAGAGTCTGGCCTATTTGCAAGGTAACCAATTGGACTGCTACCTTTCTTGGATGCTAGCAAAAGACACCAAACTCCTAAGTCAGAGGCAAAAAAATTTACTACTCATGTATGGCAAGCAGTATGAGCTTCAGGTTTACATTGGTTCTTCCTGTAATCCAAGTCTCATAGGGAAACTTGAAGATGCCTGGATAGATGCTGTGCATGTAATGGGTTTTAATCACAGCTGAGGAATCTTGAACTTGGGGAACCTAAATCTTTTATCAAGCAAACCTGCCCGACCTTTATCCCTAAGGAGACATTATTAAACTGAACAACAAATTTGTCCTTGGCTCAAGAGGCTCTCAGTACTCCAGTGTTGGGTGCAAATATATATTTAGAATTGTTATATATTCCAAGGCTATTCACTATATAAACCTCACTGAGAAGATAGTCCAGAACAAAACGACTAGTGCCTCTGCTCCGAAGATGTTCAGAAATCCAAAGAGCTATGAAGAATCTTCTCCCAAGAATTACACACTTGTTATGGATGAACTTACCATTGTGGCTTCCAACTCAAGTCTTTCTGTACTTCAAGCTGCCTCTTATAATTCTGACTCTACTCTGGCATTCTTTTATATTAATAGGTTATAAACTCCATAAGAACACTGCTTTATTGACCCATGTATTCCAAATACCTAATACAGTGCCTGCCACAAAGTATGCATTCAATATACGTTTGCTGAATCAGTGAATAAATGACTGGGATCATGATATTCATTCTGTTCTGGAATCTGTATTACCACTCAATAACACATGGTGATTGCTGTGCGTGGTGGCTCACACCTGTAATCCCAGTACTTTGGGAGGCCGAGGTGGGTGGATCACCTGAAGTCAGGAGTTCAGGACCAGCCTGATCAACATGTCAAAACCCCATCTCTACTAAAAATACAAAAATTAGCCGGGTGTGGTGATGGGCACCTGTAGTCCCAGCTACTCGGGAGGCTGAGGTAGGAGAATCGCTTGAACCTGGGAGGCGGAGGCTGCAGTGAGCTGAGATCATGCCACTGTACTCCAGCCTGGGCAACAGAGTGAGACTCCACCTCAAAAAAATAAAATAAAATAACACATGGTGAATGTATTTCAATGACAATAAATATACAGCTATTGCTCATTTTTAATGGTTGTGTAATCATTAAACCATTAAATAAATTACAACTTTGTAAGTTATTTATTCACATACCTATCTCCTTTACTAGACTAGTTGAGAATTATTACTTATAGAGATGGTTGGGGCAAGAAATGTTGGATTAGGTTTAAATATCTGACTTGAACATACTACACTTAGGTTGGGCAAAACTTATTTTCTCAGAGCCTTAGTTCTTACTTGGGGGTGACAAACTCTACCAAGGAGAGACAAAACACAAAATTATTTCATCCTTGGCACAGGACAGATGACTGCTAGTTAAGAGATTTAGAGATCCAGATATGAGAGGCTCAGCAATCACCAGACAAATACAGTGTAAAAAGGTCTCCACCATGGCAACATTATAATCAGACTGTCTGAAGTCAAAGTGAAGAGTGAATCCTAAAAATGGCAAGAGAAAAAACCATCTAAAAACAGTTAAAAAAAAAAAAAAAGGACTAAGAAAGTCGTTATATAATATTAAAGAGACCAATTCAGCAAGAATATATAACAATTCTAAATACATATTTGCACCCGACACTGGAGTACTAAGAGTCATAAAACAAGTATTACTAGACCTAAAGAAAGAGATACACTGCAACACAATAGTGTGAAAATTCAACACCCCACTTACAGCATTAGACAGATCATCTAGACAAAGAATCAGCAAAGAAACACTGGACTTAAACTGGACTTTAGACCAAATGAACTTAACAGACATTTACAAAACATTCTATCCAACAACTGCAGAATATACAATATTTTCATCAGCATATGGAACATTCTCCAAGACAGACCATATGTTAAGCCACAAAACAAAGTCTCAACAAATTTTTTAAAACTGAAATCACATCAAGTGCCTTCTCAGACAACAGCAGAATAAAACTAGAAATCAATACCAAGAGAAAATTTACAAACCTTACAAATACACAACAATTAAACAACATGCTCCTGAATGACAATAGGGTCAATGAAGAAATTAAGACAGAAATTTAAAAAAATGTTTTTGAAACAAATGAAAATGTAAACACAACATACCAAAACCTGTGGGATACAGCAAAAGCAGTGCTAAGAAGAACACAGCAATAAATTCCTACATCAAAAAGGAGAAAGATTACAAGTTAATAATCTAAGAACGCACCTCGAGGAACCAGAAAACCAAGAAAAAACCAAACCCAAAACTAGCAGAAGAAAAGAAATAAAGATCAGAGCAGAACTAAATGAAATATGGACTGAAAAAAAAAACCCACAAAAGGTCAATGAAATGAAAAGCTGGTTCCTCAAAGAGATAAAAAAAATTGATAAACCACTTTCCAGACTAACCAAGAAAAGAAGGGAGAAGAGCCAAATAAAATCAGAAATGAAAAAGGAGACATTACAACTGATTCCACAGAAGTACAAAGATCATCACAGACTATAATGAACTATATACTCATAAACTAGAAAACCTACAGGAAATAGATACATTCCCAGAAAAACACAACCTACCAAGAATGAACCAGAAAGAAACAGAAAATCTGAATAGACCAATAATGAGCAGCAAGAATTAATCAGTAATTTTTACAATCTCCCAACAAAGAAAAGCCCAGTACCAGATGGCTTCACAGCCGAATTCTACCAAATGTACAAAGAAGAAGTAATATCAATACTCCTGAAACTATTCCAAAAAATCAAGGACAGGCCTCTCCCTAACTTATTCTATAAGGCCATTATCGCCCTGATAACAAAACCAAAGAAGGACACAAAACAAAGGATACAGAATAAAAAGAAAACTACAGATTAATGAACACAAATGCAAAAATCCTCAACAAAATACTAGCAAACCAAATCCAACACCAAATCAAAAAGATAATACACCATGATCAAGTGGGTTTTATACCAGGAATGCAAGGATAGGTCAACATATGCAAATCAATAAATGTGATACATCATATCAACAGAATGAAGGGCAAAAACCATATGATCATCTTAATAGACGCGAAAAAAGAATTTAATAAAATTCAACATCCCTTCATAAGAAAAACCCTTAGTAAACTAGGCACAGAAAGATCATACCTCAAAATAATAAAGGCCATATATGATAAACCTGTAACTAACATCATACTGAATAGGGAAAAGATGAAAGCATTCCTTTAAGAACTGGAAGAAAACAAGGATGCCTACTTTCACCACTCTTCAATATAGTATTGGAAGTCCTAACCAGAGCAATCAGGCAAGAGAATGAAACAAAAGGCATCAAAATTATAAAGGAAGGAGTCAAATTATCCCTGTTTCCTGATGATATGATCTTATATCTAGAAAAACCTAAAGACTCCCCACAAAAACTCTTAGATTTGCCAGGCGCGGTAGCTCATGCCTGTAATCCCAGCACTTTGGGAGGCTGAGGTGGCCAGATCACCTGAGGTCAGTAGTTCAAGACCAGCTGGCCAACATGGTGAAACCCTGTCTCTACTAAAACTACAAAAATTAGCCGGGTGTGGTGGCACATGCCTGTAATCCCAGCTACTCGGGAGGCTGAGGCAGGAGAATCACTTGAACCCGGGAGGCAGAGCTTGCAGTGAGCTGAGATTGTGCCATTGCACTCCAGCCTGGGCAACAGAATGAAATTCTGTCTCAAAAAAAAAAAAAAAAAAACCCTTAGATTTGGTAAATGAATTCAGTAAACTTGCAAGATACAAAATCAACATACAAAAATTAGTAGTGTTTCTACACACCAATAATGATTCAAAATGAAAACCAAATCAAGAACACAATCCCATTTACAATAGCTACAAATAACAAAAAAAAAAAGGCCGGGTGTGGTGGCTCACGCCTGTAATCCCAGCACTTTGGGAGGCCAAGGTGGGTGGATCACAAGGTCAAGAGATCGAGACCATCCTGGCCAACATGGTGAAACCCTGTCTCTACTAAAAATACACACACACACAAAAATTAGCTGGGCATAGTGGTGCGCACTTGTAGTCCCAGCTACTCTGGAGGCTCAGGCAGGAGAAGTGCTTGAACCTGGGAGCCGGAGGTTGTAGTAAGCCGAGATTGTGCCACTGCACTCCAGCCTGGGTGACAGAGTGAGACTCCGTCTCAAAAAAGAAAAAAAGAAAAAAGAAATTATAAACACACACATACACACACACACAAACTAGGAATATATTTAACCAGAGGTAAAATCCCTACAAGGAGAACTACAAAACACAGCTAAAAGAAATTATACATGACACAAATGGAAAAACATCCCATGATCACTGGATATTCAGAAGAATATCATTAAAATGACCATACTGTACAAAGCAGCCTACATATTCTATACAATCCCTATCAAAATACCAAGTTAATTTTTTGCAAAATTAGAAAAAACAATCCTAAAATTCATATGGAACCAAAAAGAAGCCCCAATAGCCAAAGCAATGCTGAGCAAAAAGAATAAAGCTAGAGGCATCACATTATCTAACTTCAAATTATATTACAAGACTATACTAACCAGAACAGCAGGTTACTGGTATAAAAATAAGACACACAGGTCAATGGAACAGCATAGAGAACCCAGAAATAAAGCCGCATACTTGCAGCCAACTGATGTTTGACAAAGCCGACAAGAACATACACTGTGGAAACGAAACCCTCTTCAATCAATGGTGCTGAGAAAATTAGATATCCATATGCAGAAGAATGCAATTGAACTCTTATCTCTCACTAATACATAAAAATCAACTCAAGGTGGATTAAAGACTTAAGTGTAAGACCCAAAACTATAAAGATACTAGAAAACAGACAAATGGGACTCAATTAAACTAAAAAGCTTCTGCATGGCAAAAGAAATAACAGATTGAAGAGACAACCAATCCTGTTGAATGACAGAAAATATCTGCAAATTATTCATCCAACAGGGGACTAATATCCAGACTACACAAGGAACTCAAACGATTCAACAACCAAAAAAATCTAACAATCCTATTAAAAAGTAGGCAAAACACATGAATAGACATTTTTCAAAAGCATACACCCAACAGGTATATGAAAAAATGCTCAACATTACCAGTCATAAGAGAAATGCAAATCAAATTCACAATGAGATATCACCTTATCCTAGTCAGAATGTCTTTTATTAAAAAGACAGACAATGTTGGTTATCATGTGAAAAAAAGGGAACTCTTATATACCATTGGTGGGAATGTAAATTAGTACAGCCTCTATGGAAAACAGTATGGAGATTTCTCCAAGAATTAAAAATAGAACTATCTTTCCATCTAGCAATCCCACTACTAGATTTTTACAAAAAGAAAAGAAATTAATATATCTAAAAGATATGTGCACCAGTATGTTTACTGCAGCACTATTCACAACAGCAAAGATATGGAATCAACCTAAGTGTCCATCAATGGATGAACAGGTAAAGAAAATGTGGTATATATACACAATGGAATACTATTCAGCCATAACAAAGAATGAAATCAGGCTGGGCGTGGTGGCTCACCCCTGTGATCCCAGCACTTTGGGAGGCCGAGGCGGGCAGATCACAAGGTCGGGGGATCGAGGCCATCCTGGCTAACACTGTGAAACCCTGTCTCTACTGAAAATACAAAAAAAAAGTTAGTCAGGTGTGGTGGCGGGCACCTGTAGTCCCAACTACTTGGGAGGCTGAGGCAGGAGAATGGCGTGAACCTCGGAGGCGGAACTTGCAGTAAGCCGAGATCTCACCACTGCACTACAGCCTGGGCGACAGAGTGAGACTCCATCTCAAAAAAAAAATGAATGAAATCATGACATATACAGCAACGTGGATGGAACTAGAGGTCATTATCTTAGGTTAAACAAACCAGGCACACAAAGACAAGTATGATGTTCTGACTCATAAGTGTGTTCTAAACAAACGTGTTCACACAGATGCAGAGTGGAATGATACATAATGGAGTGGAAGAATGAGGAGGTGGGAGGATGATGAGAAATTCGTTAATGAGGACAAAGAACGTTATTCAGGTGATGGATACCTTAAAAGCCCTCACTTGACTGCAGCATAATCTATGCATGTAACAAAACTGCATATGTACCCATAAATTTGTACAAATAAAAAGTAAAAATAAATAAAAATATCATCTAAAATAGCATTACAAATATGAAATATTTAAGGATAAACCTAACACCAAAAAATACAAATCACTGCTGAGAGAATCAAAGAATGCTTAATACACGGAGACAAACCAGAACCACAGATGAGAAGATTCATATTGTAAACATGTCAGTTCTCCCTGAAATAATATATAGATTCAACACAAAATCCCAAGTCTTTTTGTAGAAATTGACAAGCTAGTTCTAAAATTTTTATGGAAATAGAAAGGGTTCAGAATAGCCAGGATAACTATAAATTTTTTTAAAAAAGACCAAATTTCGGCCAGGCGCGGTGGCTCACGCCTGTAATCCCAGCACTTTGGTAGGCCAAGGCGGGCAGATCACAAGGTCAGGAGATCGAGACCATCCTGGCTAACGCGGTGAAACCCCATCTCTACTAAAAAAATACAAAAAAATTAGCCGGGCGTGGTGGCGGGTGCCTGTAGTCCCAGCTACTCGGGAGGCTGAGGCAGGAGAATGGTGTGAACCCAGGAGGCGGAGCTTGTAGTGAGCCAAGATCGAGCCACTGCACTCCAGCCTGGGTGACAGAGCAAGACTCTGTCTCAAAAAAAAGACCAAGTTTAAAGTATCACACTAGCTGATTTCAATCCTCGGTATAAAGACATGAAGCTAGATCAATGGAATGTGGCTAGGAAATTGACTTAAACATTTATGGTCAATTGATTTTCAACAAAGGGAAAAAAGTAGTCTTTCCACACACTGTTAGATCAATTGCACATTAATATGCAAAGAAATGAAACTTGACTCTTACAACATATGTAAAACTTAACTCGAAATTGTTCACAGACCTAAATGTAAGAGGTAAAAAGATAAAATCTCCAGGAAAAAAAAAGTAAAAATCTTTGTTACCTTGGATTAGGTAAAGATTCTTAGATAGGACATAAAAAGTATGAACTATAAAAGAACCTGTTAAGAAAAAGACATAAACTGACAGAAAATATTTGTAAAGTACATATCTGATTAAGGACTGTTATATAAAGAATTATAGAATTCTTACAATATTAAAAAGGTAAACCTGAACATTTAACCAGACTATATGGATGACAAAAACAAAAGCCACAAAAGATACTCAACATCATTAACCACTAGAGAAATGCAAATTAAAGGCCAGGCGCAGCGGCTCATGCTTGTAATCCCAGCACTTTGGGAGGCCGAAGCAGGTCAATCACCTGAGGTCAGGAGTTCGAGACCAGCCTGACCAACATGGCAAAACCCCATGTCTACTAAAAATACAACATTAGCTGGGCATGGTGGCGCATGCCCATATCCCAGCTACTTGGCAGGCTGAGGCAGGAGAATCTCTTGAACCCAGCAGGCAGAGGTTGCGGTAAGCCAAGATCATGCCATTGCACTCCAGCCTGGGCGACAAGAGCGAAACTCCGTCTCAAAAACAAAAAAAGAGAAATGCAAATTAAAACAATGATATATTTCTACACGCCTACCATGAAGGCTACAATTAGGAAGACTCACTACACCAAATGCTGATGAGAATGTGGAGCAATTGGAACTCTCATATACTGCTGGTGGGAATGCAGTATGGTAGAATTACTTTGGAAGACAGTCTGGAAGTTTTTTATAAAGTTAAACATACTTACCATACAAGTCAGCAATCCCACAATAGATATCTATTTAAAAGTGTTCGACCCTAGTTATTTTGTCCAAGATGTACATGAAGTTTCACTATTTACATTTTCCCTGTGGAGCCATCAGCAGTGTTTAAAAAAAAATTTTTTTAATCTCCTTCAAGTACTTGGGGAAGCCTGCCCACCTTAAACCTGAAGCAACATTAAATTACAAGAACTACACACCATCTAGAACAATTTTCCAAACCTCAAGCTGAGACTCATT
The DNA here is from genome assembly GCF_000001405.40 of Homo sapiens. Classification (NCBI taxonomy): domain Eukaryota; kingdom Metazoa; phylum Chordata; class Mammalia; order Primates; family Hominidae; genus Homo; species Homo sapiens. Next base: position 167,941,620 of record NC_000001.11, on the reverse strand, counting down.
AGTGCGTACTCTACCAGTTCAACACCAACAGTTGTAACAATATGAAAAAAAACAGAATGCATCCCATCTAGTAAGGTTTATATATACACCTAGAGAATCCTTTATTTTCGTTGTGTATATCACAGGTTGCCACATAAATGTACTTTTATCATGGATCATTTTTAAAACATTTTAAAAACACTGACCTAAAGCATACTTGTAACATAAGCTCCATGCTACCAGAAGCTTCTAAACCTTCTAAGCACTTATAACTTGATTCATCCTATTTTAGGAAGCAATGAAACCCACAGTAGAGCTATCATAGTGTCTATGGTTGTTATGATTACTTATATGCCTTTGGTGTCCTGCCTTAAGGAATTATCAGTATATCTTACGTTTGTCACAATTGACCGTCATTTTTCAATACTAAAATCATACATTTTTCAGCTTTCACTGAAATTTCAAGACTAAAGAAACAAAATACAAATATTTCACTAACTTTTCCCCAATGGCTAAAAAAAGAGGCAAAAGTCAGAAGTTACTAATCTTCATATAATAAATACACTGTAACTTGGCAACATATTATGAAGAACCTGGTAATCTAGAATGCAGATGTATTCAAGATGCACTAAAGAGTAATCGACACGCAAAATTATCCATTTCAGTACATACTGACTCTAATGATATTCAAAGGACACTGACTTCATAAACTCCTTACAAAAAGATGAGATTCAATCTCCACTAAAAAATTGTCACTGGCTGCCTAATCATAATTTACACATTTTATACATTATAATAAATAACTCCCTTGAGAAGTACCTTAAAATTACTTTTTTATCAATTACTATCTTTTAATTTAGAAGGGTTAGAAAGTTGTAGGAGTGTCTGTCCAAAAGGAAAGAAATATGAGTAGAAACAAGCAATGTATTGAAATAAGTTTATTTTATTAACAATGTTTATCTTTACAAAACCGTATATATATGGGATAATAAAATCTGTGTGGCTAATAAATCACTGATTTCCAAAAGCACTACTCTACACCTAGTATACAGTAATTTGAGAAACTATTACATTTAAACATTTAAACCTACAGGTATCTCTGACTTTGATAATTATTCTTTAAAAAAAAAAAAAATTCCAGGAGGCTGAGGTGGGAGGATGGCCTTGAGCCCAGGACGTGGAGGCTGCAGTGAGCCATGAGGGTGCCACTGCACACCAGCCTGGGAGACAGAGCAAAACCCTGCCTCACCCTGCCCCCCGCCTCCCACCAAAAAAAAGAATCCTACATTGAAATTTAGATAGGGCTCACAAAGATTAAAATCCCTGGCCTATCCTCTAAATCCATGCTAGTCTAAAACAACACTCTGTTGGCCCAGGTGAATCTTGTGGATTTGGGAGCTCTAAGTAAACATATCTTTTAATCATAAATAACATCTGGGAAATTATTCATCTTCATTCCCACAACATAATAGGAAGTTTTCTGAAGTATAATTTTCTTTGATGGGAAGAAAGGAGATAATTAATCAGTTTAAGTAAAATCAATTACAAAGCTTGAATATTAACATTGAAAGGGCACATGCTATGGTGAAATAACTGGAAATGTAAAGGCTACAAGAAAAATTTATCTATTTGTTCTATCCCAATTTTACTATTTAGCAGTAATTCACTGCTAAAAAATCTGTAGAAATACAAATAATGAAAATGTATCAGAAAAATACTTAAATCTACAACCCTGTAGATAGACAATCGTAATGTTTAAATATTGAAGTCTTTTAAAAAAGGAATCTATTTCCTTAGGAAAATCCTAACTTGGAATTTGACTTTTAAAAGGAAGGCTTTATAAGTGTACCATACTTTATTTATTTATTTATTTATTTATGACGCAGAGTTTCCCTCTGTCGCCCAGGCTGGAGTGCAGTGGCACAATCTTGGCTCACTGCAACCTCCACTTCCCAAGTTCAAGCTATTCTCCTGCCTCAGCCTCCCAAGGAGCTGAGACTACAGGCGTACGCCACCACTCCCGGCTAATTTTTGTATTTTTAGTAAAGACCAGGGTTTCACCATGTTGGCCAGGCCGGTCTCAAACTCCTGACCTCAAGTGATCACCCACCTTGGCCTCCCAAAGTGCTGGGATTCCAGGCGTAAGCCACCGCGCCCGGCCAAGAGTACTGTACTTTAAAAAGTCATTTTATCTAATAATAAAAATAAAATTAATAATAATGATAAAGTCATTTTATCGCCACACACAAAAAAAGATGGTAATTATGTGACATGATGGATATGTTAATTAACTTGATTGTATATGAAGTTATCAAGTCCTACACCTTAAATATAACAATTTTTAATTGTCAATTATACCCCAATAAAACTGGGAGGGAAAGTCATTTTTTAAAAAAAACCATCACTAATTCAAACATTACCAATGTGGATTTTGCTGCTTCCTGAATGCAAAGCCAGGATTAGCACTGTAGTATAGAAGAGCTGAATAACAGTGTAAAGGTCTACTAAGGGTAAAGGCCAATAAATTAGTTCTTTGCAAACATTTTCAAGTTTCGATACTTTCAAAAAGTATTTTCAAGTACTTAGAAAACCACTTTTAAAGGAAGTCATTCCAAAAATGTCCTATTTTAAGAGTATATATTATCATATCTAAAATATTATTTAAGATAAAGAACTCCCTGTATGTATACATACACATTTGAAAAACTGTAATTCAGGCTTTCTAATATAGTCAGTGAACCCTTCAATTCCCCTAGACCCAATACACAAATTCCATTTCCATTAGGGAGTTGGAGTAGGAGGGGGAAAAGCAGGTATATGGTTTTGTTATATTTTAATTAACTCGTTTGTAGATATAGCTGAAGTAACTGAACCAAAAGAAAACACTAAAATATAGAACTATATACAAGTACTTAAACTGTCCAACTGAGATAAAGGACCAAATTATAAATGTATCCATGCAAAACAATGTTAACGTTTGTTTTATTAAGCTAAAATTAAGTTCTTTCTCCGCAAATAAATTCTAAAAGAAATACTGCACACTTTTTTTGGTAAATAGTTTTAAAAACCAGACTCCAGCTATGTTCAATTTTAAAATGATTAATCACCACTCTAGGTACTTATCCTACAACAAATGCACAGAAGCTTGTAGAATGATGTTCATTAAAATGCTGTAAGGGCGAACGTCTACTTAAAGAAGAAAGGTTGAGTACCCTATGGTACTTCATAATGTTACCTACTATGTAATAATTTAAAAGACAGAATCAATCTATTTTTACTGCCATGGAAAGATCTCCAAAATGTGGAGAAGTGAAAACAATGTTTACAATATGACACCATGCACTCAGGTGTCTCTCTCATACACACACAAACACACACACACCCCAGCATTTGTACATGTACATATGTACTTGTAAGAATGCAAACAAAAAGGTCTGGAAGAATATTCAGAAAACAGAAAATATTATTTCTAAGGGTGGCGGAGTGAAATTGAATGGGAGGGATCAAAGGGATTTTTGCTTCATTTTTATTGAGTTTTTATAAACAAAATGTATTCGTATTTTACTTGAGACACTAAAAAGAATTAAAAAATTGCATGCTAACTTTTCTTAAATAATTTACAAACCAGAACTGTTGGTTGTAATGAGATTTCATTTTCTTCTCTTTACTTGAAATCAAAAACAAATGAGAGCAACAAACACTTTTTAACTAGCAAGTGGCAAAACTGGAAAGAAAAAAATTTTATGATGTTGTTTGCCGTATCTCCAAATAGAAAGAAAGAGTAATGAAGAGTATACAGGAAGAAACAAAAAAGACCTTTACTAAGTACGTCCATTTTTAAGAAACCAAACTTTTTAGTTGACTCGGGCGTGACCTAGAATCCTCAAAAAAAAAATGTTATGCAAAACGAAAAAAGTGGAATACTGTTCCCCCAAGTACTGAAGGTTGTTTTTAGAAAGCTTAACTACGAAACTGTAAATGCCAAGTGTGTTTTCCAGGGGTGGGAAGAGGAACGTGAAACCCTACACCACCTTTAAGCGGTCAAAACGAACTGAAGAGCAGAGTGGAACTGGGAGAGCGCGCGGGGGTGGGGAGAGCTCAGCTATCACTTTTAGGTTTTGGCTCAGCGCCGCAAAAACAGTTTACACGGATTCTGTCTGGAGCGTGAAGTCCCTGAGGGTGGTCAACGCGTCGCAGCCGACACCTAAACCCTCTGGAGATTGAAGGAGAGGGTGGGCAACAACTTAGGTTCTTCGGCTGAGCGGGGAAAGCGCGCTGGAAAAGAGCAAAAGAGCTAACTTTTGCTCTAAACGCGGCAGCTCCTGGAGGTTCCGCAAGTCTCCCGAGTCCCAACCCATCAGCGACCCCAACACCTTTACAAGCCAGTACCTTCTGCCCACGGCCCGGCCCTCCGAGAAAAACCCAGCAAGGGCGGCGGCTGGCAGCATGCACAGGGGGCTTGACTGGGGGAGGCACCGGCACGGAATTCGGCAACCAAGGCCCCACCCAACACCCCAGAGTCTCCGGGCGCCCCCACCGAGACGCCGTCCCACCTCCAACAGACCCGGCAGCGTGCCCCCTCCCCCACTCTAGGCGGCGACCTCAGCGCCTCCGCCCCGGGGCCCCCGCTCACCCAGGTAGCGACTCCGCAGCCGGGACGGGTCCTCCAGCCCGAGGGACCTTTTCCTCACGTCCCACAACAGGTGTGGGTAGGAGCCACCCCGAGACATGGCTCTGCCTGAGCCGGGTGGGAGGGGAGACCACCGCGTGGGGGAGGGGAGGAGGGGGAGGGGACACCCGTTTCAACACCCGAGCCGCACCGGCACCATCCGCGCGCCGGGCCTCCAGGGCGCAGCGTTAGATGGCGGTGGCAGCAGCGGCGCCTGGGCCCCTGAAGCCCGGCCGCACCCGGGCCGGAGCTCGCCTCATACTCTCCTTCTTAGACTAACCAGAACATCCAAAGATCAGCAACAGTCTCCTCCCTCAGCCCCCCTCCAACAGGAGGAGGCGGAGGCGGAGGCGATGGCGACTCCTCCCTCTCCTCGTCCTGGATACCCTCCCCGCCAACCCTTTCTCGCGAGATGACGACCACCCTGGGGACTGAGGCTGGTGTGTGCTGCGGCTGCCCTCACCCTGGAAGAATGCATTCGGGCCACTCTAACCAGATCCTTAAGTCGCTAGGGATAAAAGACGAGTAGAGAGAGAAGCTACTCAATTCTGTAGTCTCTCGCTCACGAGTCTCCAGTGAAAAGAAGCAAGAGAATTGTGCGGCATCATCTTTAGGCACTGAAGGCCCAAAAACCCATTTTAACTACGGGCCTGCTTAATCAAAGTGAAAGGGCAGTAGAACCAGCGCAGCTTCACTTTCCCTTCTCCAACATGGCCTCGAGGGCATGGGGAGAAGGAGGAGGTTTCCGCTCGACCCCGCCCGCGCCTCGGGGCGGGCCAATCATGGCGGGCAGCTCGGCCTGCGCAAGCGCGCTGCCAGCAGGGCGCAGCGCAGACTTGGTGAGGTGATTATTTTGGCACCTGTTGCCATGGCTCCTCCCTCTCTCCTGCCGGGGGCCGGAGGCGGACCGGGGGCTGGCAGTCGGCAGCCTCCGCCCCCTCAACCTTCGCGGGGCGCGGGCCGCAGCTTTTCGGTTCACAGCGGGCAGGGAAAGCCGCGGGAAGGGTACTCCAGGCGAGAGGCGGACGCGAGTCGTCGTGGCAGGAAAAGTGACTAGCTCCCCTTCGTTGTCAGCCAGGGACGAGAACACAGCCACGCTCCCACCCGGCTGCCAACGATCCCTCGGCGGCGATGTCGGCCGCCGGTGCCCGAGGCCTGCGGGCCACCTACCACCGGCTCCTCGATAAAGTGGAGCTGATGCTGCCCGAGAAATTGAGGCCGTTGTACAACCATCCAGCAGGTAATGGACCCTGAATGGCTCCTTATCGAGACCTTCCTTCTCGCTTCCTCTAAAATGGACCTTTTAGAGGCCCTCTGACAACTGCCTCTAGAGGCATCCACAGCCCCAATCCCTTCCCTTCAAGTGAAGCCGTCTACTCTCCTAGCCTGTGCATTTCACCCTCTCTCCTGCAACATCTCTTCCTAAGCCAACGTATCTCAAGTCAGCTCCCTTCCCCACCTATGTGACATCCGCTCCCTTACGCACGACTCCAACCCAAACCTGATCTCCAGATTTGAGCCTTCTCAACTTCTGCGGCCACCAAACTGTCTGGGGCCACCATGAAACACTCATTCTCTTTCTCTTTTCGAATTGTGGCATATTAACCCACTCTAGGCAGAGCTGGATGGGTGGTTTGTCGCACTGTAGGGTTTGGAGTAAAGGTCACTTTCTTCAGCTGCTGCTGGCAGAGGCCTGCAGACTGAGCCCTCCCCCAAACTGCATGCTTTACTTCATCCAGGCTTGAGTCAGTGTCATTTCTCATCCCATAGGTCCAGTGTGTTTTTTTAAGTCTATCCTTATTTATGAAATTGTTGAACAAGCTCTACCCAGAGCTTTTTGTGTGGACAGACCTGGATATCATTCTCTTCTACCACTTATAGTTGTGACCTTGAGCAAAAGCCTAGATCTCTGTTTGTGTAATACGCGGTCTATGAGAATGACAGATAACATATGTGCTTGACTCTTTGTAAATGCTCAGTAAACGTTACATCTCTCTTTGCCTACTGGAAAACTGTGTTCTTGTGGTTGAAAAAAAAAACTGTAAGAAACTGAAAGATTCCAATCCCTTTATTAAAGATCTAGAATTCTGTTACCTCTTCTATAAAGTGAGTTGTAATAATACTTATTTGCTAGGGGCTAACATCAGATATATTCTGAGGTCTGTTTCAAGCCTAAGACTTGGCAAACTAGAAAATGTGTTGTAAATTGAAAGACTGAAGTGCTACCCGAAAAGTGGCTTTTATTCTCCTACATAGTTAAAATCTGTATTCTGTAGTTGGTATCATTAGGAAAGTTGTCTAGTTCCCCCATTATCTGATTATGAACCAGCTCTCTGGAGTCTGAACTGGTTACTAAATCTGATTTCCAGTTTGATAATGGAATGAATTGAACATCTGGATTATACTCTAACCCTTAATATTATTTACTGCAACATTGAACCCATTATAAAACTGATCATTAAGGACAGTTTGTTACTGATTTAAAAAGTTTTTGTTTATTTGCCTTTTAGTTCTTTTAACATTCAATTTTTTTGGAATTATGCTGTGTTTTGTGGCAAAGATTTTCGGGAAGGAGGGTTGAGCTATGCTTTTTGTAATAATCTGGGCTTTACAGAGTCAACTGAATGTGAAGTCAACCCTGACCTTCATAAGCTTTGTGTTTTAGCTGTAGGATAAGGGCATGACAGAGTAAGAGTAATTTTAAACTACTTAAAATAATACAAAATTGGAGGGTAGTCTTACCTTGATCCTTTCCAAGCCTTTAGTTTTTAGCCACCTGTAATTACTGCTTAAAATACTACTCAGCTTTCAGAATGAAGAGGGATTACCTTTCACTTGCAGGATGTGCATTTCACCTGAAAATCCTTGGATTCGTTCAGTTATTTTAACCCCCTTTTTCAGTGTAGTAAAAGGAGCTAGGCTTTGAAGGGAAATAGACCTACGTTTCAGTCTTGGCTGTGTGACCTTGACCCTAAATTCCTGCCTTAGTTATCTCATCTATAAAATGGGAGTAATTGTAATCATTTCAGGATTGTTGTGAAAATCAGATGATCTAATGTCTCTAAAACATGTAGCACAGCGTTTGCACTTAGACTCTCAATAACTGTCAGTTCTAAAATTTGAGCAACATACAGAGTAAGGATATCTATTACAGCAGAATTATTTATGATCGACAAGTTGGAGGCACACCAGTGTAGAAATGGAGGAGCTTGAAAAATACGTTGACTGATGAGTATTGAATAAAATCTAAGGAAACACTGATTATTGTCTTAAGAGTTTATCCAGAGTGAATATTCAAGGATTTTGCATACTATTTTGCCTAACAGTATTTGTTATTGAATTGTCATTGAAACATTTTTCTAGATTCACCTACAAGGAGTTTATTAAATGATATGAAATGCTACAATATTAACAGTTGGAAATCATACATTGCTGATTCTAGATTTTTGAGATTTAATTTTATCACTGACACTGTATGTCTCGACAGGTAACAAGAATGTGTTTTTAGCCAGGCACGGTGGCTCACACCTGTAATCCCAGCACTTTGGGAGGCTGAGGTGGGTGGATCACCTGAGGTCAGGAGTTTGAGACCAGCCTGACCAACATGATGAAACCCTATCTCTACTAAAATACAAAAATTAGCCGGGTGTAGTGGCGGGTGCCAGTAATCTCAGCTACTTGGGAGGCTGAGGCGGGAGAATCACTTGAAACCAGGAGGTGGAGGTTGCAGTTAGCCAAGATCGTGCCATTGCACTCCAGCCTGGCAACAGAGCGAGGTTCTGTCTCAAAAAAAAAAAAAAAAACTAATGTGTTTTTATGTATAGATACATATTTTAGTTACAGTATTGCATCTCTGACCTGTGAGCCAGAATTTTGAGGCTCTCATTATCCATTTGCCTATGTGTTTTTGCTGGCATGTCATGATCTGCCACTGTAGAGAAGGAATAGAGTTCTAGCCAAATGTGTGTCCTGGTCAAGTTCCTCAACTCACAAAAAAGGATGTCAGTCCCCGCATTATCCCCCACCTGACTATAAAAATATGTGACTCCACCCTAGCCAGTTGCATAGCTGTACTCCAGTGTTTGTCAAAGAAATAATCTTGAAGTTATGTTGCCCAGTGTTATTTTTTCTTTTCTTTTCTTTTCTTTTTTTTTTTTTTTTTTTGAGACAGAGTCTTGCTCTGTTCCCTAGGTTGGAGTGCAGTGGTGTGATCTGGGCTCACTGCAACCTTGGCCTCCTGGGTTCAAGCGATTCTCCTGCCTCAGCCTCCTGAGTAGCTGGGATTACAGGCATGTGCCACCATGCTCAGCTAATTTTTGTGTTTTTAGTAGAGATGGGGTTTCCCCATGTTGGCCAGGCTGGTCTCAAACTCCTGACCTCAGGTGATCCACCTGCCTTGGCCTCCCAAAGTGCTGGGATTACAGGTGTGAGCAACCACACCCGGCCCAATGTTTTCTTAAAAGCTTAGTTAAGGAAAACAAAAAAATTATCAGTGGAGGAGTGTCATTTATTTGTATTTGTGAGTTCCAAAATGGGGTAAGTCATCCCAAGGGGTGCACACAATGAAACACTGGAATGTAGGAAGAAAATTATAGAACTTCCAGTAACGTTTACTGTTATTTCATCCACTTAAATTTTTCATTGTGTATACATTCTGTAATACAAAAATATATTATTGCAGTAATTCTATATAATTTATAAATATATAAATGATTTATAAACAGGATGTATACTCAAATTGTTTTTTACTGATAGGGCATATGTTCAAGAGGAGCTGGAAGACCACAGCTCTAAAGAGTCTAAAAACTATCCTTTGGTGAAGTTAGTCCCAAAAACAGCTATCTGAACCATATCATTTTAACGCATTATAGCTCTCCTTTTACTGAATTACATTTTGGCTTACATGGAAGAGCTTTTGAAAAAATAGTTCTGTGAAACTTGTTGCAGTGCTTAATGTGCTGGTGCTGAGAATATCATTCTTAACATTACATGGGTTCCCTCTGAAGACTCATGGGAAAAGTTACTTTAAAGTCTAAATAAGAATAATATTTGCATTTTTCCTAGATAATTAGCTTGTTTAATTTTAAAGACCTAGAGGATATTTCTTTTTAAATAAAAATAAACTAAATGAACCAATGTTATCAGTGTTTATAAGGAAATATCTGTATCATAAAAATTTTATATTCAATGCTAAGAGAATTGATGTTACAATAGATGGTTAAATACAACTTAGTGCAAATATATATTGTTCTATTATATGTAAATAAAATCTAATATGGATCAAATAATGAGTGTACGTACCTACATAGTTTGAATTACACAGTTCTTTAGCATCTCTGTTAGAACTTATTTTGTTGCCACAGATTGTCAGTGAAGAATCTTAATGCCAGTCTAAGATATTAATATATGTCCATATATATTCTTAAGTGTATATTTAATATATTAAGTTTAAATACACTAAATATACATATATTATTTTTTAAAGTAATAACTTATTTAAAGTTAAGAGATAACTAAAATAGATGTAAGATTAGAATTTCAAATACAATTGTAAAATATTGGTGAAAAATAGAATATCTTCAAACAATCAGCTACCAAGAAGGTTGAATTATTCAATATTTATTGAGGGCCTATTGTATATTAGACACTGTTCTGGCACTCAGGATAAAGCAGTGGATAAAATAACGAAACCCACCCACACAGAGTTTGTATTCTCAGAAGAATTCATAAAAAGGAATATCAGCTGGGCGCGGTAGCTCACACCTGTAATCCCAGCACTTTGGGAGGCCGAGGCGTGTGGATCACCTGAAATCAGGAGTTCGAGACCAGCCTGGCCAACATGGTGATACCCTGTCTCTACTAAAAATACGAAATTTAGCTGGGCATGGTGGTGCACACCTGTAATCCCAGCTACTCTGGAGGGTGAGGCAGGAGAATTGCTTGAACCCAGAAGATGGAGGTTGCAGTGAGCCAAGATCGTGCCACTGCACTCAATCCAGCCTGGGCAACAGAGCAGATTATCATCCTTGATGCAGTTGTTCAACACTTAACATATTTTTTGTGTGCTATCCTGCTTTTAAACTAACTTTAAGAAATTAGAACTGTTTATGCAGATGTGCTAAAGGAGAAGAAAGCCCTAAGCTATAAATAGTTTATCATTTCCAGGTCATGTAAAAATATTAATTTTGCTTATAACAGAGAATGAAATATGTTTAAAGTGCTGTATGGTACAGTAGAAAGAGGACTAGGATCAAAGAAACTGTGTTCTAGTCGTTGCTCTATCCAGAACTCTCCTGAGTGTAAGACAAATTACTTAACTTGTAAGTGCCTCATCTTTTTCATTTATAAAAATGAGGGAGCTTGGACTTTCCTTAAAGTCTTTTCCAGCTAATAATCTATAATTTGGTATTCTCTTAGGACTTTTCTTACATTCAGAACCTTCAGGAAACTCAGATTTCATTGGGGAAAGTCATATAATTATTGTTAGATTAGGATTTAGGGATCTAGTTTTTTATCCTTGTTGGATTATTTATTTTAAACAAGTAATTTGTTTACTGGGCCTCATTTGCCTGATTTATGAGTGCCTACAGTAGATGATTTCAACAGTCTTTCTAAATCTAAAAGTAACTGATTCTTTGTACCTGAAGAAATAAGTAAATTTAAAACGTATCATCCCTACAATGCATCTTAGCTATTTTAGTCTCTTTACCTGTTCTTTACTCTGGAATTTCAAACCAAAGTGTATTTTCAGTCAACATTTTTAAAAACATTATCTACCCATGATGTTTTGGGTACTATTTTAGTGATAGCTATTTCCAAGGCATTGTGGAAAATATTAAAATTATATGGCTCTAAAATGGTAGCTTAGTCATGTTCTTAGTGTTAAATCAGAACTAGCTTTGGCACAAATAAAAATGAATGATTTTTTGGCCGTCAGTATCCATGTCAAAGATTAACCTTTACATATTCTAAGGATTTGTATCTAGTTTGTCACATGATAGCAAACAGGTGAACTTGTGTAATGTAAGGAATTAAGAGGGGTGTTAAAAAGTAACAAACCATAAAGGAGTGGCATGAAAGGGATGGGAAGAGGTAGGGAAATGTAGTGATTTTATGACCTCTTAGCATTCAGTAAGAAACTTTATTTTTCACAGAGGGATATAGTGAATACCTCAATCCAGTATTTGTAAGTGTGTATATGTGCTTGAGAGTAAAAATTACCTATTCTGTTCCAAAAAGTTAGTCTTTACTTAGGGAGGGAATCATATATACGATAGGTGGCCTACTTTCTGGGTAGGATTCATATAATATTTTATTAACAGTAATTTCTCTCAAATAAGGAAATTAGGAAGTAAGTTTATGTCAGTTTATTAATAGGTTCATTGAAGTTCAAGGCAACTAAATTTGTTTATTTGAAAATTTATGTCTGTTATTATTTGCTTATGATATTCACTTGTAGAATTTCTCAAATTCTATGAAAAGTTAGAATTTAAAAACATGAGTTTCACTTTAAAAATAAGGCAATAAAACACAAAATAACTTATAGTCAGTATTTTTCATTCTTGAACATAGTTCATAGTTTAAAATGTGTAGACTTTTTTTTTTCTTTTTTCGAGACGGAGTTTCGCTCTTATTGCCCAGGCTGGAGTGCAATGGTGCAATCTCGGCTCACTGCAACCTCTGCCTCCTGGGTTCTAGCGATTCCCCTGCCTCAACCTTCCCAAGTAGCTGGGATTACAGGCATGCACCACCACGCCCGGCTAATTTTGTATTTTTAGTAGAGATGGGGTTTCTCCATGTTGGTCAGGCTAGTCTCAAACTCCCCACCTCTGGTGATCCGCCCACCTCCGCCTCCCAAACGGCTGGGATTACAGGCATGAGCCACCACGCCCGGCCTAAATGTATAGACATTTTAAATACTTGTTTAATGTTTCTAAATTGTCAGCATTGGAGGCCTTCTTCAACATCCAGTAGTACTGTTCAAAGAAACAAGATGAAAATGTATTAATTCTTTTTCTAAAAGAATATATAGTATGTTTGATGTGGACAATTTCTTTCATCTTGGGCTATAAATTAATGTCTTATGAGGAGATTTTTCTTCAGTATATTTTCAGCAGTTCAAATTTTCCACCTAATCAAGTTATTTCATTTATCATAATGGATGTTAGCCAGGTATCTGTTAGTTTATACTTCTGCTTATTCTAATATTAAGGTATTATAATCACTTCACGTGTCATAATTATCTATTTTTATGCTCTCCTATGAGAATAGCTGTGTCATTGTACAGAACATAAGCCTGTGTTTTCCAGGTCTAGAATGACACATGTGACATTGTATTGTCACTATTTGAGTGATACCTATTTCTAAATGCTTTGTTTTGTCAAAACTTTATGTTTAGAAATGTTGAAGTAAGTTGGAATGTTTTTTCGCTACCATATCCACTGTTGATCAATTGCTGTTTTCTGGAAGACAGCCTCTGTATCTGTTTTATATATGTCTAAATTTACCTGTCTAGCTTTATTTGACATATTATTTACTCTTACAGGAAAAAAAAGCTAAGAAATGTTAATTGAATGTTAATTAGCTACAATGAAAGGGTTAAGTTTTCTTTAAAATTTTGTTAACCCATTGTGTGACTTTTTTTTTTTTTTTTCTGGAGTGCAGTGGTGCGATCTCGGCTCACTGCAAGCTCCACCTCCCGGCTTCACGCCATTCTCCTGCCTCAGCCTCCCGAGTAGCTGGGACTACAGCCGCCTGCCACCACGCGCAGCTAATTTTTTGTATTTTTAGTAGAGACAGGGTTTCACCGTGTTAGCCAGGATGGTCTCGATCTTCTGACCTCGTGATCCGCCCATCTCGGCCTCACAAAGTGCTGGGATTACAGGCATGAGCCACCGCGCCCGGCCGACCTTTTTTTTTAACAGTTAAGAAAACACTGTTTGCAGTTATAGATATTAAACTGATTTTTTTGTCACTTGTCCACATCTTTTAGTATCTCAGAAAAATTAGCAATTTAGAAGGCCTTATGTATTGGCTACTGCTATTTTTCTGTTTAGTACATAGCAGTTGTTAAACTAAAATTAGAGCTTGTTTTCATAGTTTAAAATTATTCACTCACTAAAATACCTCTCTTGGTCCAGGTTCTAGCAACCATAATTTGATGTTTGAAGTTTTTTCAGTTGTTTGGTTTGGTGGGGAAGGGCTGTTGTTAATATTGTAAAACTATTACCTAGCTCTAGGCAGTTTAGTAAATTAGTTACCAGGCAAACCTACTGAAAAGATCGACTATTAACCCCAAAGGATCAACCATTTAAGCCTGTCAGCCATTTAAGCTTGAAACCAGAATCTAGAGGCTTTACTCAGAAAACAATTTTGGGGTGACAGAAACTTCAGCTTTCAAATAGAACAAGAGAAGTCTGCTGAAGAGTTCAGAGTAAAAATGAACACCCATTCAGCCAGAGACTAAAACAATACATGGACTGACTCTTGATTGATGAAGCGAAACTCCATGCGAGGATAAAAACTAAACTTAGTAATTGATACTGTGTATGAGCCAGAGACACTGTGTATGACAAAGAAAAATGAACCAGGTGTAATGATAGGAATCCCAGAATCTCACCCTAAATTTCCAGAGAGTTTGAGAAGACTGACTTATAGGATTAATGCATTATGGCATCAGACTCAGGGGAAGAGAGCTGTGGTCTAAGAGTAGAGTAACTAATGAGTGAAATCTAATATATCCTTGGCATAAAGGGAACCTGATGTCCCTAGAGATGAGAAAACAGCAAATTCCAGCCTTGAGGATGAAGCAGTGTCGAGGCAAATCTGGGTCAGACAGAAAGTTTGAATATCTTTGATTAGCATCTATCCTGAACATGGTGGATCCAATTCAGTTCTGTTGGCACATACCTATTATTTGTCAAGGAAGATTAAGAAAAGGACCTTGTCTTCGGGTTAATGTGACAGATGCATAAATAATCATTTTAACAGAAAATGATAGAAGAATATACAGGCTGCTTTGGTAGTTAAGAGAAGGAGCAATTTAGCCTAACCTGGAGTTTTTTTGTTTGTTTTTTAAGGCTTCCTTGAGGAGATGCAACCTGAGATGAGTTTCTGATGGATAGGAGTTAGGTAAAGACTAAGCAGGATATTGAGAAGGGACAGCATGAACTGAAGAGCCATAAAATAGCATGAAACTAGTTGAATGTTTGCCTAGCTTATCAGTCGCCCTAGGCCAGGATTTCTTAACCCTCTACTTTCTGGGAGCGGCTGTCCTGCGCATTGGAGGATGTTTAACAGCATCCCAGGCCTCTACCCACTAGACGGCAGCAGCAGCGGCAGCAGCAGCAGCATCTGCAGCAGTTGGGGCACCACAGTTGGGGCAACTAAAAATGCCCCTGGGGGGACACTCCTGGTTGAGAACCGCTGACTTGGCTAATATTTAGTTAAATTAGGATTATATATTCTGAAACTCAGTGGCTTCATGTTTTCTTTTATATTCCCCTTTTTCCCTTCGTAAAAATGTCTTCAATTCCAACCTTAACCAAAGAAGAAACTAAATTATTTTCTATCTTGTAGAGAGAAAAAGATGTGGCTAGAGTTCTATGTGTGTGGTGGCTGTGCCCAGAACAATACTGCTTAGAGAACTGGATAACAGAAACTGAATATAGATAGGTTTTTCACTCAGTTGTAAGAACATCAAAATTTAGAACTCCTTGATAGTTTAAATTCTCTCACCAGCTGTTTCAGCACTGTTTTTAGATTTATTCTACAACTTAAAATACGGAAAATTCGAACGTACACAAGAAAATGTAAAAATGGTTAGATACCAGATGTATGTGAGAAAATAAAGTTTAACATTATAATGGGCTGAGTAGTCCCACAAGGAACCACAGGGTTTGTGCCGTGATCTTCTTTCTAGTGTTTGAAGAATTATTCTAATGATACCCAGCTTCTCTGAAGAATGAGAAAATGAAACTTAGATTGCTGTAGGACTTTAGGATTAAATTAGAAAATCAGCAAACATATTTTAAAACTATTAAAAGCATAAGACAGACTTATCAATATTTAAGTATCAGGCTGATAAAAACAACTTATGATTTTAAAGTACTTTAAAAGTTATTTGTGGCCGGGCACGGTGGCTCACGCCTGTAATCCCAGCATTTTGGGAGGCTGAGGCGGGCAGATCACAAGGTCAGGAGTTTGAGACCAGCCTGGCCAACATGGTGAAACCCTGTCTCTATTAAAGATACAAAAAAATTAGCCGGGTGTGGTGGCAGGCGCCTGTAATCCCAGCTACTTGGGAGGCTAAGGCAAGAGAATCACTTGAACCCGGGAGGTGGAGGTTGCAGTGAGCCGAGATTGTGCCATTGCACTCCAGCCTGGGCAACAGAGTGAGACTCTGTCTCAAAAAAAAACAAAAAAAACCAAAAAAAAAACCAAAAAAAAAAAACGTTGTTTGTATGTGTATATATATATGTGTGTGTATATGTATATGTATATATATATATATATATATATATATATATATGTGTATATGTATATCTGTATATTATATATACACATACATATATATTAGGGTAATAAATGTTAGTATAAACTGCTTCCAACTCTACTGGCTAACTTTCCTTTTTATTTATTATTCTACATTCTATTAGGTAATAGGGGTACAAGTATGAATAGTATTGAGCCACTAGCTTCGAGAAAGTCATAATCTTGATAGGTACATAGATTTACAAATAACTGGAGTAAAATATGTAAAATGTACTGTGGTAGATTTTAAAATGACATTGAATTAATGAATTTTGCTGTAAGAATACTGTGAATTCGAGAGGGACAAAAATATCAAGGACTATGTTAAATTGTGGAAGACAGAATGTGTAGCATTACCATCACTTAAGGCTAAAGGCAAGTAGTTTGCACTATCTGGTGATACTTTTCAAAACCTGCATACTAAGCAAAAATTGGAGGGAAGCAACTGCCATTTTTACATTTTTCAAATTTTGCTGCTTAATGTTAAGATTACCCAACTATTTGTTATAGTAATTCAGCCAAAATGCACAAAAATGGGGTGTTATCACTGGGTTCATTTTCATTTGGGATGAGAGTGTTACTTGAGTGTAAAACTAGTATGAAAGTACATTAGAATCAAGGTTCCCTAAAATATTTTTATATGGCAGTATATTTACTGAAAAAAATTTGCATACAGTTGAACCTATCAGTTCAAACCTGTGTTATTCAAGGGTCAACTGTACTGTGATACTGTGGTGCCTCTCTAAATGTTAACTGAAATACAAAGTATGCAAAAAGCATAGTAAAAGTGGTTAAAAATAGGTTGATAAATCCTTTGGTTTTTAAAATTTGGTGACAGCTGTTAAAAGACGTGTATAATATATTTGGTTTATTCCTGAATTTTTCTTTTCTTTTTTTTTTCAGGTCCCAGAACAGTTTTCTTCTGGGCTCCAATTATGAAATGGGTAAGTCTTGAGTTTTTACGGAAGCTACTGAAAGACAAATTCCTTAATAGGAATTTACTAATTTGAAGTAACTTTTATGAAGGATATACTTTAGAGTATTCTTGGTATGCCTCTAGATGATTTCATGGCAAATATTCTCAGACATATCGTTTTCTACATAAAGCAACTATCTACTTTAGTTTTTCTGAACTCTTTAGATAAGAGGCCTTCTGGGAACATACTTGTTATCAAAAAACTTACAATTGTGCACCACATGGACATGAAATTTCATTCTAAAATGTTATTACTAAGTAAAACATTAAGCTAGTTAGAACCCCCAAGTTAACTTTTATTATTAATTTAGTATGAGAACTGAAGGTACTATCACCAAAATATAGGTGAGGAAAGTTACTCTCAAAAAGTAGATGGATTTATTCGAATATAAATATTAGCATTTGGTAAATGAGAGAACCTAGGACTTCTGACTCCAAGCCCAGTGCTTTTACTCTTCCCCAAAGTTTTCTTTCTTAAAGTTCTTACTTAGCTGAAAAGAAACAATTGTGGTGGCTGTTTGTAGCAAATCATTGATTTTATGTTGAAAGGGCCAGTTTGGGTCTATAACTGTGCTTCTCAAAGTGTCATCTCTCTGGACCTGCAGTGGCATCATTTGAGAACTTGTTAGGCCCCATCACAGACCTACTAAATCTGAAACTCTAGATGTGGAGTCCAGTGAGCTCTGTTTTCATAACCTCTTCGGATGATTCTCTAATGCCCTCTAAAGTTTGAAAACCACTGGTCTGTAGGCTTTTTTTTTTTTAATGTGGTAAAATACATATAAAACTTACTATCTGAACCATTTTCAAAGTGTACAGTTCAGTAGCGTTAAGTACATTTACATCATTGTTAACCAATCTCCAGAACCCTTTTTATCTTGTAAAAGCAAGTCTCTGTACCCATAATTCCCCATTCTCCTTCTCCCAGTCCCTGGCAACCACCATTCTACCTTCTGTCTCTATGAATTTCACTACTCTAAGTACCTCATGTAAATGGAATCAAAATGTATTTGTCTTTTTGTAGTTGGCTTATTTCCCCTAGCATAATGTCCACAAGGTACATTAACGTTGTCACATGTGTCACTTTCCTTTCTTTTTAATGCTGAATAGCATTCCATTGTATGTATTTACCACATTTTGTTTATTCTTCTATATGTTGATTGGACAATTGGTTTGCTTCCACATTTTTGCTGTTGTGAATAATGCTACCATGAACATTGATGTACAAGAATCTGTTTAAGTCAATACTTTTAATTCTTCTTAGTATACACCCAGAAGTTGAATTGCTAGATCATATGATAATTCTGCTTAATATTTTTTGTTTTCCTCAGCAACTACATTATTTTACATTTCTACCAGCAATTCATAAGTGTTCTAATTTCTCCACATCCTCACCAACACTTGTTACTTTTGATGGGGGAGCATTTTTGTTTTTGTTTTTATGATAGGCACCTAATGGGTGTTAGATATCTTTGTTTTTATTTGCACTTCCCTAATGATTAGTCATGCTGAACATATACTTATTGTACTTATTGGTCAGTTGTGTATATTCTTTGGAGAAATATTTATTCAAGTCCTTTGCCTGTTTTTTAATTTAATCAAGGTGTTTTTTGTTGTTGTTGAGTGATGGGCTGTTGTAATTCTCTTAAATGTACTTTTAAAATGGTTAGAACAATTCAGAAACTCAGTTGTAAATTCAAGTGGTTGAGAATGTTAGAGTTGGAATTGGCTATGACTCAATCTTATGGCCTTGGGCAAGTTTAGTCTCTTTGTCATTTTGTCTCTTCAACTATAAAGTGACAAGATTAGAATATAAGTCATTCGGGAGCTGTATTTTACAGAGATCTAGGGAGCAGGTTTTTTTTTTCATATCTACATATTGAGAAAAGATCCTAAAACCCCCTATACTAATGGAAGTTACATTACCATTTCCTTCTTCTCTCCCTACCTACACTTAAAATTACATAGTAATAATATATCTTTATAGTGGAATTGATTGCTGAAGTATTCAATCATTAAAAGAGTTTGAGTGATTTCATCTATTCACAATAAATTTAGGGGCCTCTTTGATCTCAAATTTACCACAGTTTAGGAGTTTATTGATTTTATCAATAGCTTTGGGGTTTATTTGAACTGGTTCATTACTGTTGTGAGATATTGACAGCATTATATACTCATAAATGCCTTCTTGACTATCTGTCTCTTTAAGAACATCTATTTTAAGTACATGTTGAAATCATACATAGTCTCCAGATGACAGCATAGCAATAGAAACTTCTGTGTTTTGTTCTCTGGTGGGGAGACTTCTTCTATTAGATACTTACCTTATATACCTCTTACTGTGTTTTACTATCCCAGAGTATTTGATAATTAATCTGTAGAATTCTATACATGACACATAACAGTTGCTTCTGCAAGCCACATATGTTCTATAACATGAAGACTCTCAGACCATATGCCTTCAAACATATAACTGTAGTAGAGTCCTTTGTAACCACTTTAGTTGAAACCACATAACTAATCATAAAGGTCAAAGTGGATAATCCTAAAAACAAAAACCTATGTACCTTAAATATTTTATTTTAACCTAAAGGATATAAATATATATTCATTGACAATCAGTCTTTTTTAAAGCTAAATCTTTTATTTGTGTATGGATTTCTGAGCTCCACATTTTCTATCCTGGATAAATTACACTACAGTGCATCCTATATAATTTCCAGCTTAGTTTTTTTAAAAAAAAACAATTTATTAAATCATGTAAATTACATTAACAAGTAAAACTGGCATAAATAGATTGGGGACAAACATAGTGACTTGGTAAAAATACAGCTCATCTGGTGGGAGCAAAAACGCATGAGTGCAATAGAGACAGTGTTAAAAACACAGAAGAGAAATGGCCATGTATATGCTGATGTTAAAGAAAAATGGCGTAACAGCCAAGGCCGGGCATGGTGGCTCACACCTGTAATCCCAGCACTTTGGGAGGTTGAGGCGGGCGGATCACCTGCGGTCAGGAGTTTGAGACCAGCCTGGCCAACATGGTGAAACCCCGTCTCTATTAAAAATACAAAAATTAGCCAGGCATATTGGCACACGCCTGTAATTCCAGCTACTTGGGGGCTGAGGCATGAGAATTGCTTGAAACTGGGAGGTGGAGGTTGCAGTGAGCCTAGATCGCACCATTGCTCTCTAACCTGGGTGACAGAGTGAGACTGTCTAAAAAAAAAAAAATGATCTAACCAAAAAACTAAAATTATAAGTTTTTCTGATATTTATACTTTTAAAAAATAATTCATTAGAAGCCCAAACCTCAGCATCACACAATATACCCATGTAACAAACCTGCACATATACCCCAAATCTAAAATTTAATTTAATTTAAAAATGATAACATTGGCAGAAAACATCAAAGGAAGAATCTATACAAATGACCTTAACAGCTTTTAGGTATCTTCCATGCTAGTGGTTAGTGGTTCCTGACATATATAAAGAGTATATAAATTCATATGTGAAATAGGTAGACCAAAAAAAACCCAAAATATATATGTACGTGTAATGCATACATATACATCTTATCTATATATGTACTACTGACTTTCAGATATGTGAGACTGCTTAGTGTACCTAACAAAATAAAATTAGTTCAAAAAGCAGTTTTTTAATTCATTGTGCTTTTTTTTTGTTGTAATCTACATTTTCTTAATGAATGGACACTAAAATTATAGCTGCTAACTTACGGAAATCTCAAAAATGTCTTGTGCTTGATTTAAAGTTAAAACTATTACTCCACATTTGTGATACTTTTTTTCTTTCTATGCGTTAATGTGTAGGGGTTGGTGTGTGCTGGATTGGCTGATATGGCCAGACCTGCAGAAAAACTTAGCACAGCTCAATCTGCTGTTTTGATGGCTACAGGTAAATTAAATAAATATCTTCTGTGTTTCTTGTAGAACATAAATGATTTTTGTTTTCTTTTATATCAGTTTATTTAGTGGCTTAGTGTTTGAAATACACCCACACACAAAGGAATTAACAGTATTATGTCTAGGAAGTTATTAAGTTATGGATGGAGGAGTCACAGAAAGAATAAGTATCTGAATGGGCTTTTGCTTTTCAGGTTTTTGCCATGAACATATTTTTATAAGTGGGAAGAAAATTACAGTTAATAGTCACTTTAAAGATTCCTCTTTCATGTAAGAATTGAGTATTTTCTGTGACACTAAGTTACAGAAACATTGAAAATTCAGAGTATAGCATTTCTTTGTCCCTCATCCTACATTATTGTTGTAATTACTTTACTCAATATTAAGTATTCACTGAAGTTATTGAAGCAGTATGTATTCTTTTTAAAGTAACATTTTGTTTCAACAGGGTTTATTTGGTCAAGATACTCACTTGTAATTATTCCAAAAAATTGGAGTCTGTTTGCTGTTAATTTCTTTGTGGGGGCAGCAGGAGCCTCTCAGCTTTTTCGTATTTGGAGGTAAGCCTACCAGAGATATTTTTAAAACTGTTGCAAAAGCTACTTAGATGGCACTAATTTTTTTTTTTTTTGAGACGGGGTCTCGCTCTGTTGCCCAGGCTGGAGATGGCACTAATTTTTTTAAAAGATTCATATATAATGCTAAGACAAGAAGTATCTAAAGTAGAAATTTAACATTTCTAGAAAAGTCTAGGGGTTTACAAATAAGTTAACCAGTTAACTAGTTAACTGACTAAAATCAGTTAAGCAGTATGTTACCTAGTTTTTAGATTTAACTGTGCATCATTTAGATGGTTAACCATCTCACATAATCTCTTTTATTAAGACAACATATACAGTTTATGATTTATTAATTTCTTATGTAAACCTTTTATCACTTTCAATTGTATATAATAAATTGGAACTTAAGTGTATTGTTATGTAGTATTGGAAATGATACGTAGAGTGAGGTCTTTGCTTTCATTGGAAAGTGTTCCATGAGCACTGGAAATTTTTAAACTATTTACTCAGTAGTTAATATTGTCAGTGATTTATGATAATGACATTATGATCAAATATTTGAAATCAGGATCTTTTGAGAAACCTAGGAGGTATGGTTGGCTTCATGGAATAAGTTCCTTCTTATGCTTTTATACTACTCTCCATTCCATTATAAGCTAGGAGGAATAGTAAATGAAGCCCAAGGTATGGTAGAAGGGAAGGAAAGACTATGGCTCTGTGGTTACTTCTTTGGATTGAGAATTGAGGAAATGGTCCTTAGCGTTTGTGAACTTAAGTGTTTACAGGCTGTTAACCCAATAGCCTGCCTGCATCACAGAAGTATATTTTACCTTAGTGGTTAGAAGTATATTTTACTTTAGTGATTACTTTAGTATATTTTACTTTACCTGTTGATCTTATTCTTAGGAAAGGTGCTTTGCGAGTATAAATTTTAAAATTCTAGGTGACCACATTTTACTAAATTTTATACATATGTTCACAAGTTTGTCACGTTCTTGTAGAATTCCAGAATGAGAATATTTTTATTAAAATAATACTTTTGCACAGGAAACTATATGTCAGCTAAGCTGTTAAAAGTTTTTGGCAGGCCGGGCATGGTGGCTCACTCCTGTAATCCCAGCACTTTGGGAGGCCGAGGCAGGCAGACCACAAGGTCAGGAGATCGAGACCATCCTGGCTAACACGGTGAAACACCATCTCTACTAAAAATACAAAAAATTAGCCAGAAGTGGTGGCGGGCGCCTGTAGTCCCAGCTACTCGGGGGGCTGAGGCAGGAGAATGGCGTGAACCCGGGAGGCAGAGCTTGCAGCGAGCCGAGATCACACCACTACACTCCAGCCTGGGCGACAGAGTGAGACTCCATCTCAAAAAAAAAAAAAAAAAGTTTTTGGCAGTTGTGCTCTTATTATCTGAAACAAAATCCAGATGCAAATGAACTCTTTGAATCCTTTCCTTTCTGCCTGTTTCTACCTGTAAGCCCTCCGGGAAGATTCTGTTTACAACTGTATAGCTACTTGACCACCAAGAAAGAAGAAATGGAGTATGCTTCCCATTCTCTCCTTACCATAAATTTGTCTATTATTATTGATGATTATTTTTCTTTCTGTTTTCTTTATAGATATAACCAAGAACTAAAAGCTAAAGCACACAAATAAAAGAGTTCCTGATCACCTGAACAATCTAGATGTGGACAAAACCATTGGGACCTAGTTTATTATTTGGTTATTGATAAAGCAAAGCTAACTGTGTGTTTAGAAGGCACTGTAACTGGTAGCTAGTTCTTGATTCAATAGAAAAATGCAGCAAACTTTTAATAACAGTCTCTCTACATGACTTAAGGAACTTATCTATGGATATTAGTAACATTTTTCTACCATTTGTCCGTAATAAACCATACTTGCTCGTATATACCCCCTGCCTCCTTCTGTTCCAGTCAGCCAACATATGTACATAAAAGAACACACAAATTCAAGAAGTTGGAAGATTAAATTATCTGCTTATTTAGTGTAGGATGGTCAGGTAGCTAGCTATAAGTGAAAGGAAATTTTGCTGAAGAGACTGAGAAATGGGTAGTGGAATGACTATCAAGATGACCTCAAACTATTTAAAAACATTTTAACTTGCCATGAAGAATCTTGATGATTTTTGTATAAATGTTGTATAAAATTCTTTTACAGCTACAGATTTTTAAATAGGATCATTGTAAAGATTAATGAGATAATGTTTTAACATAGTGCCTGGTCCATGATAAGTGTTAAATTTTTCAATTACCCTCAGTAACTGATAATGTAGCAGAAAATACTCTATATTCAGACAGACCTGAATTTGAATCCCAGCTCTATGACTTATCTGTTGTGACTTTTTTTTTTTTTTTTTTTTTGAGACAGGGTCTCGCTCTGTGGCCCAGGCTGGAGTGCAGTGGCACAATCTCGGCTCACTGCAAACCCTACCTCCTGGGCTCAAGTGATCCTCCTGCCTCAGCCTCCCGAGCAGCTGGGACTACAGGCACACACCACCACACCCAGCTAATTTTTGTATTTTTGTAGAGGTAGGGTTTTGTCATGTTGCCCAGGCTGGTCTCGAACTCCTGGGCTCAGGTGATCTGCCCGCCTCGTCCTGTCAAAGTGCTGGAATACAGGCATGAGCCACCATACCCAGCCTATGCTGTGACTTTAGACAAGTTAGGAAAGTACCTAGCAGAGTACCTGGGACATAAGTAGGTTTTCTGTAAATGTTTGTGACCTTTGGCTCCGTTGTGAGGAGAGACTGAGCATACATTACTCCACGCTACAAATAATTAACTATCTATTTGATTTGACTTTCAGTGTGGAGTGCAGAGCTTTTTTTCTAAAAGTGCTAATAAAGCCAGTCCTCATTAAAAATATAGTCAGATGAGTCAGCAAAGCAAGTTATTTCAAAATTTGAAGAAATGAGACAAAACAACTTTTTGAGTAATACTATAACCTATGAAAATTTGGCAGTTAGCAATTGAAAACCTTGTACTTTATCATCTGTCCCTTAACCATGGCCTACCATTGAGGAGAAAAGATTAGAGAGCTTGACATAGGCCACAATGAAGAGGTTCTGAAGAGTCAAACTATTATTGCTTTCATTTCATAAACCACACTGTTAAATTCATTTGTGTGTTTGGCATGGGTGTGCACACATGTGTTTCCTAGGTTAAGCATTTAGGAAAAACATTATGAAATATGACATAGACACAAAAAAGTTTATTAAAAATTTATGTGAGCTTGGTGTTTCACTTCCTTTTCATTAAAACCTCTTCTGTGCGGGGTCTCCTAAGCCCCTCTTGTCAGTCAAATTTGTTGTAGCATTTAGATACAATCATAGGCAGTCCTCCTTTCTTGTTTCTCAGAAGTTTCATTGACAAACAACCATCACATGCTTCTTTTCTTTTCTGCCCCAAAACTCTTAATCTATCCAATTTTTTAATCTTAAAAATTAAATCTTGGCCAGGTGCGGTGGCTCACGCCTGTAATCCGAGCACTTTGGGAGGCCAAGGCAGGTGAATCACCTGAGGGCAGGAGTTCGAGACCAGCCTGGCCAACATGGTAAAACCCCGTCTCTACTAATAATACAAAAATTAGCTGGGTGTGGTGGCGCACGCCTGTAATCCCAGCTACTCCAGAGGCTGAGGCAGGAGAATCACTTCAACCCAGGAGGCGGAGGTTGCAGTGAGCTGAGATCGCGCCTTTGCACTCCAGCCTGGGCGACAAGAGCAAAACTCCCATCTCAAAAAGTAACAATATGTATCCTGTCAAAAACTCTCATTGCCACTTGGAACACATAGCCTAGTTATCAGTTTCACAACTATTCTCAAAGACTTAGTAAGAATATATTAGAAGTCCTTACTATCAATGCAGTTACTGAACTCCGTAAAAATAATTTCCACAGTGGTGCAAATCGATTAGTATAGTTGAGTTGAATTCTTTATCACAGCTTTTTGACAGGTCTTTATTGATAGCTTCACTATGTAAGTTTTCTTTCTCAATGCCAAGTCTGACAGCCCTGGGTTTCAACTCAACTCTGCCACACATTAACTGTGAGACTTTGTTAACCTCTGTCTCTGACCTTTAATATTTTCAAGAGCAAAATGAGGATAATCATAGTACTGACTTCATAGGATTGTTCTAAAGATTGAGATAAGGTTTTAACACAGTGCCTGGTCCACAGTAAATATTGAAGATATGGAAAGTTCAGGAAACGGGCCAGGCGCGGTGGTGCATGCCTGAAATCCCAGCACTTTGAGAGGCCGAGGCAGGTGGATCACCTGAGGTCAGGAGTTCGCGACAAGACTGACTAACATGGTGAAACCGCATCTCTACTAAATACAAAAAAATTAGCTGGGTATGGTGGCACATGCCTGTAATCCGAGCTACTTGGGAGGCTGAGACAGGAGAATCACTTGAACCAGGGAGGTGGAGGTTGCAGTGAGCTGAGATCACGCCATTGCACTCCAGCCTGGGCAACAAGAAGAAAGTTCAGAAAATGGTAATCTTATTAATTGAAGGTAGACCCAGAAAGTACTTTTCTTTAAGTACTTTAAAGGAAGTTTTAATTTTACTACAAAAAGGATATACTGTGTTAACCTATTTGCACGGTTTCTGAACTAATAACTTTATAGCAGAAAAGAAGCTGCTTGGGGTAGAGGAGTAGTAGGTGGGGTGGAGAATGCTCAATAAGAGATAAATTCTTTAGTCTTTTTTTGTGGTATGGCATCTCTTTTAAGGAAACTTTGATCCAAGGTATGTCAGTGCTGCTGTTTCCTCATAGTAAATATTTTCTTTTTTAACTTATAAAATCATAGCGAAAGGTTGAATGTTAATGAGGATGGACCTCAAAGCTAAGGTTCCTTTCTGTAAAACAAAGGTCTCTACTGGAGCCTGTTTATATAATGAAGCAGAAATAGAAAACACTGGCATTTATTAAGAATAGCTCTCCCTAAGGGGATTGTTTAATTAAATGAGGTATGATTCTAATTATAAGACTGGTTTCCACAACTCACACCAGAAAATTCACTCAATGAACATAATTAAATGACCCTCTTGTTTTCCTCCCTAAGACAACTGTGTTTTACAACATTTGGAAGTACACAGTAAACAATTACAGAGCGGGGCTTTATAGGAGAACATGTACAGCTTTTTAAATAAGACTTTTTAAATTCCAATTTTAAAAGCTGTGCCCCTAAATGATAATTGTGGTTGTGATGATATACATAAGAACATTTAGAAAATCAACACATGATTTAAGCTGTTAGAAAACACACCAGCCTCTTAAAATACATTTTTCCAGTGTCACATCAGATAAAGAAAACTCAAATCCAGTGCCCATTGGATTTCAAGTTATCTTTGGGATAAATTTGATTAAAAGCGTGCACTTGACCAGTCAGAAAGGGCAGGTATATAATTCTTCAAACAAAAATTTACCTCACAAATATATCTGAAGGTAAGTATTGAATTTATTATAACTGGTAAATTTCATAGTCCTGGTACAAGCTGTAACCACTATTGACTAAAATTAGGTGTTTGCTTGCTCTGGAGATACTTCTGATGATCACCTACCAACTATTGCCTAATTTCAACCATCCTCCACATGGCCAAGGGAAGAATTGTGTAAACTACTCTGGGGTCATGTCAGTCTCCCCTGACCCTTGCCTCAAATGTGCGGATAAGAGAACCTGAAACAGCCAGTCCTTCCTTGTACAGTAGTAGGCCACTCAGGTTGGTGGGGGAGGGGACGGCAGTGCCACCCAATCAGAAACATGGTCGGTGCCCGTGGAACAATGAGCTACTGATGAGGGTGTGGCCTGGAAAACGGCTTTTAGACAAAACTGTCATTTTATGGGTCAGCTATAGACAGACATGGCGCTTCAGCTGTCTTCAGAATAATGTCACCCGGCCTCCTCTCCTGTCTTCTGCAGTCTTAAAAGACCTAGTCCCTAACTGAGGTCTGGCTTTTCCTCAGCCCTGGATGAAGTGGAGGTATGTGGAAGTAAGAGTCTCAGCAGAAAGATTGATTGCAGAGCTGAAGATGAGGGCGACCGTCAGGAAAGAAGACAGCTATTGCAGAGGAGTGGGAAGCCTGGGGCTAGAAGTCAGGGTTCAAGTTTGTGTATACCTCTGTGTCAGTCCCTTACATGAGCTTAGAAGCTTGAAGGCTTAAATATTGCCTCACCTTCTCAACCTGGATGCTCTGTCTTTCTAGCTTACTTTCTTTATTTGCCTCTTTTCTGCAGTTTCTCACGTGATATCCTCCTTTTTATCAGTCAACAACTACCAAGTGCCTACCTCTTGAAGGGGGCTCTGGCAAGGTGCTGTGGAGTAAACAAAGATATGTAGAAGATGGTTCCAAACGGGGAGCTTACAATTCAGATGAAGACAAAATAGAAGCAATTCAAAAGATAATCAAGGATATTTGTATGGGAAATAAGCCACTTAAGTGTAGACATTAAGAGCCACAATAGCTCAGAAGAAAAATTACCATGGCTAGAGTAGGCAAGCAAGCTTTCATGACAGGTAACACTGTGCCTTTAAGTTCAGAGTATCTCCCTCTTTGGACTCGTGAAACCTGACTTTACATGTAGGTGAAAAGTTGAATATAAAATCTATTAGGAAATTCTAGAGGAGAGATTTAGAGAAACTGATGAATATAATCGAACCCTAATTTCTCTTTTCATTTTTGGGTACTACTGAGTTTTCTTTACTCACACTCCGCATTCAGGAATCCTTCTTGGTTTATCTTTCGGGCCTCATTCGCCTGCTTGCCTTTTGACTCAGGTATCCTCATTTCTCATTCCAAGGTGCTTCCGCGCTTTGTCAGTACCCATGCTGTTCATGCTGTATTCTTGATGTGATAGAATTGGCTGAACAGTTGATAAGGGTACCATCAACATGCATTGAAAGTGCTCTTAAATTAAACCTACATCTTTTGTCTAGGTCATATACATCCCCAAAGTGCTATAAAGCGTATACAAATGGGATATAGCATGATATAGTAGAAACAACAGGGACTTTCAAGTCCCACAGACCTGGATATTCCAGCTTTATAACCCAGAGCAAGTTAATACCTCTGTGCTTCAGTTTTCATATCTATAGAAATCAGGTCTACTTCATAGCGCTGTTTGGATGATTAAATGAGGCAACCTATGTAGAATTGATACGGCTCCGATGAGTGGAGGAACACCAAGGTTCTTAGTCCTCATCCCGGTTTAGATAAAACGACACAGACACATGTGGAGTGATTTTAAGGATCGGAGAGTTTAATAGGCAAGAAGGAAGAGGAAAGAGGGAAGAAGCTCCCCCATACAGAGACAGAGGGAGGGGGGCTCCAAAGCCGAGAGAGGGAACCCCCAGTGGGGTGGACGTCAGCTAGGTATATATTACAGACGCTGGAGGAGGCAGTGTCTGATTTGCATAGGGTTCAGGGGATTGGTTTGACCAGGCATGTCATTCACAAAGCCCTTGAAAAAGCTAGCCCTCTCACCCTAGCCTTTTAATATGCAAATGCAGGGTGCCATGATGTTCTACACACGTGGGAGTATGTGGAGGTGGCCATGTTGCCAGGAACATGTGGGGCAAGGGAAAGAAGGCCTCCGGAATCGCCATGTTGGGTGGGCCCTGTTTCTAATGGCCTTCATTTGCTTATCAAAGGTTGCCGGCCTGGCTCTAAGAGCCAAGGCTTTACAAGAAATTTTCTGGAGATGCTTTAAAAAATGAAAATTTCCCAAGGACCCCTTTTCCTCTCTATCTGCCTAAAATAATTTCTTAATAACTCCTACAATAGAATGCTTCACATAAAAAGGTCATAATAAATTATAATTACAATGTGGTATGTGCCTGTAGAAAGGTAAATACAGCTATCACTAATCATTTTGTGATGTTGCAGAACTTAAAGCAGAAAACTATATCTTCAAAAATAGAAAATTTCTATTGTCTTTTATGGGTGTTCATAAGAAACTCCCAGATATTTATTTTAGATCTCCCTGCCTTTTAAACCTATCATTTTCTTCTTTTAGTTTCACATCTACATATGCCATCTTAATCTCAAAATGCATGTACTTTCCTTGTTTGGTCATCATAAACAGAAAAATCTGTCCAAGTTCATTCACATCACCTTAATTAAAACAATAGAATCTTAACAATCATCTAATTCATCTCTACACTGACTAAAATCACCTCTGTTTGAAACGCTTGTTCTCCAATGCCATAAAGAAATAGCACTTGAACATAAATTTATTTAGTAAGGGCATTTTTACTTCCTGCAGAGAGGGTATACTCGCCAGCAGTTTTGCCACGAGAGTACACTGAACAAAGGAGACGGGGTCATTTATAACCTGACACGTTCACCCTACTGCCCATTGGCCGGAACAGGACCTCACATTCTGTATTTGTCCCGATCGGCTAGCAACTTAGAACTTTTAAAAGAGGCAAAGGTAGAGGAGAACAAAAGAAGGAGGAAGTAACTTGTGGAATGCTGAGAAAAGTAAAAATACTTTTAAATAAGGAAGAGGAACAGGCTATGACCTAATGGTTGCTTGGACCAGTATAAGCATGCCAGGGCAAATATTTAGGCTACATTGTGGGAGCCAAGAACATAAAGTACATTGATTTCTTTATTATGGCTAGCAGATATTTAAGAATGTTAGCACAGGTCTTTGAATAAATTTTGCTTTTAAGATAAGTTACTATTTATTCCTAATTAGACGGGGAGGAAAGTCTTTGAAGAGGAACCTCTACTTTACTTTTTATACCTCTACCCTCACAGGTAGATAGCTATTCAACACTTCCTAAAACTGCCCAGTTTGAACACTCATTCTTACATTGTTTATATTTGTCCTTCGGTGATTGCCAGTCATTGATCCTAGTTGATCCTGAGCAACAAAGAATAAACCTAACCCACTTTCCATCCAGTGTTAACAACTTTAGCAAAACAGTCTATACTATGCATGTGAGGAGAGTGTGGTATTGCCAAGATTGAAGGGGCTGATAGTAGGGCTGCTAGAAAGAATGCAATGTTTGGAATATATTTATACTAAAAAATTGTTTATTTAAAATTCAGATTTAACTGAGCATCCTCTGTTTTCATTAGCTCAGTCTTTCAATCTTACAAGCTTGGTAGCTAAAGAAGTCAAAGTTGAGCCAGTGAACTGGGGGCAGGAGAGGGAAGAATAGAGCTACGCCCTGCTCAGTTCTGCTCAGTCCTATCTTAGTTCTCTGGCTACTCAGCACATCTGTGGAAGCCACTTCAGAGCACCCATGCCTACGGAACATACTGTTTACAGTCACTTATTCTTTGATAACTAGCTCCCTCCACTGAAGAAAAACACACCAACTTTCCTTTCCCACTGCATACTTCCCATGAACTTTAATCTTGCTAACCCAAACCAAATTTCTACCTCAAGGAGAAGGTAGGGAAGTTGTTCTTTGATTGCAGGGTCCCACATTACACCTTGCATACACACCCATGTCCCCCACTTAGCCCACGTCCACCACTTACCCCACAACTTTCACAGTTCAGCCCAAATATTTGAAGACAACTACAATTTTAACCAAAATGTCATAATTTTCTGACTTATTTCCAGTCTCTGCCATCATTCCTCACATTCCAGAGTCAATGAATTTTAAAGAGGTCAATGAACTTCAGTCCTCTGGATTAGATTTGAACACTTTTATGTATCTTAAAATTGCATTGCATCCAAATAGCTAGTTAACATATGAAAAGGTGCTTAATCTCCTTAGTACCAACAAGGAAACACAAAACCACAGATACCATTGTAGCAGGACGAGCCACAGACAAAACCCCTTAGACACCCGGGTTAAAGAAGGAAGAGGCTTTATTCGGCTGGGAGCATTGGCAGACTTGCATCTCAAGAACTGAGGTCCCCAAAGAAACAGTTCCTGGCCCTTTTAAGGGCTTAGAGCTGTGAGGGGTTCCACGTGAAAGGGTCATAATAGATTGAGATCTGTAGATAGCACATGTGGTTAGAATGGGGGTTAATCTTTTAACCTCAGACCTGGTCATCAGTGGCGCCGGCTGGTCTTGCCACTGACTTCATTCCTGTGTTTTTCAGCTTTTACTTCCTCTTTCTCTTCAGAGACAAGAGACAGTAAGAGAAATGGCCTGTCTCCTCACCACCACTTACCTAGCAAGATGAC
Source organism: Homo sapiens (assembly GCF_000001405.40). Lineage (NCBI taxonomy): Eukaryota > Metazoa > Chordata > Mammalia > Primates > Hominidae > Homo > Homo sapiens. The sequence goes on along the minus strand of NC_000001.11, from coordinate 167,909,802 downwards.
TAAAAGTTGAAAAGCCTGACAAAATAAGTGTTGGCTGAGATATGTAGCAACTGAACTGTCATACCTTGCCTGAGGGAGTGTAAGTTGGTACCATCACTTTGGAAAGCTGTTTAGCAAGATCTACTCAAGCAGGGGTATCCAATCTTTCGGCTTCCCTGGGGCACAATTGGAAGAGGAAGAATCATCTTGGGCCACACATAAAATAATACTAACAATAATGATAGCTGATGAGCTAAGAAAAAAAAATCACAAAAAAATCTCATAATGTTTTAAGAAAGTTTACAAATTTGTGTTGGGCTGCATTCAAAGCCATCCTGGACCGCATGTGGCCCACAGGACATAGCTTGGACAAGCCTGTACTAAAGTTTAACATGTGTATACCCTATGACCCAGCAATTCCACTCCTGTGTATATACCCAGGAGAAATGCATACATCTTTTCACCAAAACACATGAATAAGAATGTTCTTAGCACCATTATTCATAATGGTCTAAAAGTGGGAACAACCCACAGGTCAATAGTATAGTGGATAAATGTTTTGTGGTATATTCCATCAGGTGATGGAATACTATATAGCATTGAAAATGAACAATTATTGATATACAACAACATGGATGAATATCACAAACACAAAATATGTAGTATGATTTCATTTATATAAAGTTTGAAAACTGGCAAAGGTGATCTATGTTGTTAGAAATAAGAAAGGTTACCTTCAGGGAAAAGAGAAGGGTAGTGACTTGAAGGTGGCATGAGAAAAACTTCTGGAAAGCTGGTAATGTTTTCCTTCTTGCTATGAATGGGTATTACACGGATTTGCTCACCTTAGAGTAATTCAAGCTATACACTTATGATTTGTACATTTTCCTACATGTATGTTATGCTTCAATAAAAGTTTTTTAAAAGATAGCACTAATTTGCAGTAAATCTAGTTTTTTAGCACCTCGTGCTTATGCATTTGATTTTGTTAAAAACTCTAAACACAGCACTTTGCACTTATTCTTTTGAAATTTCATTATTTTGGTTGATTAAGATGTATTAAAATCCTAGCTCTGTCATCAGTGCATTAGTTCTCTCACTATATTTTCAAATTTTATTTTCCCTCAGCTTTATTAAGGCAAAAATGACAAAAAGTGTACATATTTATGGTGTACAATGTGATGTTTTAATATATGTATACATTATGAAATAATTAAATCAAGGTAATTAACGTATCATCTCACATACTTAACATTTTTGTGTGGTGAGAACAGTTAAGATCTACTCTCTTAGCCATTTTGAAGTATATAATACTTTATTAACTGTATTCACCTTGCTCTAGGTTAGATCTCCAGGACTTTTTCATTGGGTCTAATTGAAACTTTGTATCCTTCAGCCACCAACATCTCATTCCACCCACCCAACCCCAGCCTCAGGCATCACCATTCTACTCTGCTTCTATGATTTTGACTTTTTTAGATTCCATATATAAGTGAGATCGTTCAATATTTTTGTCTTTCTGTGGCCGGCTTATTTCACTTAACATAAGGCCCTCCAGGTTCATCCACACTATCATACAAGAAAGAATTTCCTTCTGTTTTACGGCTGAATAGTACTCCATTGTATACATTATCCAATGTTTTCTTTATCCATTCATATGTTGATGAACAATTAGGTTGGTTCCATATCTTGGCTATTGTGAATAGTGCTGAAATAAACATGGGAGTGCAGGGATACTGATTTCAATTCCTTTGGGTATATACCCAGATGTGGGATTGTTAGATCATATGGTAGTTCTATTTTTAATTTTTTAGGAACCTGCATATTATTTTCCATAATGGCCGTACTTTCAATTATATCTTTATCAAAGTCTTCTATCGTGCCCATGGAGGCTTACCTCTGAGTTGACACCAGAATACTAATCAATTTCCATTAGGTGTGATTGCTAACCAGCCAATTATATTTTCTTTATTCCTATAATTTTGTATATTTTACTCACAAGGATATGAGAAATTTGGCCAAATGCCTTAAAGTCAATATATACATTGTCTATAGCAGTCTCTTGATTTAAAAGTTTAATAACTCTTCCAAAATAGGAAATAATGTTGGCTTGCTCTTGGCTCTGAATCCATTTGACTCCTTTTAATCACCTCTTGCTAATCTAAATAACCATTGAGGCTGCTCCCAAATATTCCAACTCTCTTTCCTATTGTGCACATGGTAGGAGTGCACTTCCCTGTCTACTTGAAACTAGGCATGGTCATGTAATTTGCTTTGGTCAATGCCATGAGTAAAAGTGAAATACGTCACTTCTGGGAGTAGAATGAGTATACTCCACTACATCCTCTTTCCCACTACCTTGACAACCAGAATATTCCAGTTTGGGTCCCAAAGTGAAGGCAAAAACAGAGGAGAACCCCATACAACCCACAAGGGACATGTAGTGTGAGCAAGAAATGAACAAGAAATAAGCCTTTGTTATTTCAAGCCATTGAGATTTCAAAGTTATTTGATAATGAAACATAACCTGTATTATCTCAACAAATACATTATGTTTACTGGTCTGTGTTTTCTGGGATCCATGAGTAGCCTCATCTTTTGAAATTCAAAAGAGAATGTGCCCATCTATGGTATTCCAGCCCATCTCTTGTTCTCCATGGTTTTTTGAGATTACTGACATTACACCTGTCAGTTCTTTCAGTATCTGTAGATATATGTTGTCTGGGACTAGCTAGAATTTATTTAAAATGACTGTGTGCTTTAGCACTACTTATCTTGGATTTCAATTCTTTCTTAGCAATGCTTGTTATACTTTTCAATCCTCCATGGTGGAGAAGGTAGAAACAAAAGAAAAGGTGTATGGTACACCATACTTAAGCTTCATCCTTATTCCTCTTTTATTAATTACCTTGTTTTCAACAAAGCCTTTAAAAATCCCTCTAGGTTTTCTTAACTTTAGCATTTTTTGTAAGTCTTTCATTCTCGACATTCAATTTTCTTGTACCTTTCTTTTTATTATCATTATTATTATTTTAGAGATGGAGTCTCACTCTGTCACCTAGGATAGAGTGCAGTGACACGATCTCAGCTCCTTGCAGCCTTGACCTCCTGGGCTCAAGCCATCCTCCCACCTCAGCCTCCTGAATAGCTGGGACTACAGGTGCATGCCACCACACCCAGCAATTTTTTTTTTTTTTTTTTGTAGAGATGGGATTTCACTATGTTGCCCAAGCTGGTCTCGAACTCGGGCTCAAGCAATACTCCTGTGTAGGCCTCCCAAAGTGCTGGGATTATAGGCACAAACCACTGCATCTAGCATCTCACACCCTTCTTAAAAGTTCATATAGCACCAAATTTACTATCTGAAGTTATTTATTTGATTTAATTTTATCTATTGACTGTTCCTGGCACATGCTGTGGTCTTTTGCTGCATTTTTAATGCTACCCTTTTTTTTTTTAAACCTTAGTTATATGTTTCTTTCTTTTGTTCACTTCTTAACATTTGAGTTTGCCAGGACTTTTCCTTTTAAAGGTTATCCAATATGTAACATTTAGCACTCATTTTTTAGAATACTAAATACATTTTTAAATGTATACTATATACATTTTAAAGTTTGTCTGTTAAATGTACAAATATTTTTCCCTGAGTTATTTTTTAAATACTTCCCCTTAAATCTAAGGGATATAAGCGACTGTCTCAATTTTTTCCTCTAATACTCTAATATATCCCAATATGACCTACTAACAAGTTCCTCTCTGCTGGTCAGAATTAAACCAAAAATAACAGTTCCTTTTCTTAAAAAAACAAATCCTCTTATATTTTCTGTATAACCTATTCCAGTAACTTGGATTGCTCTGAAAAAGTAAAGGGTGTTTGCTTTTACTGTTCAGGCTGGTAGAGCATGATTTTTACAACATTTAGGCATGAGCATTTAATCTGCCCCAGCAGCTACAGGAAGGCCTTAGGAAATCCTAGTTTTCTCAGAACTAACTGGGCAACAAATTGAAATTTCAGCATTTCCTTCCATTTACAGCTTAAGGTCTTCCATCTTTCCAGCTGCCACACACACACACACACACACACATTTCTGAACTCTTTTCTTCCATTTATTTAACATTATACCTTTATAGTCTTAATCTCTTGCCTATATACAAAACTCTAATACTCACTTACATATAAATACACTCACACACACGAATCACATCTACACTTTTTTTTTTTTTAAAGAGAGAAAAAAGTAAAAGACCAAGGTAGAGAGAGGGTAAAAGGAAACATGAGGACAGAAGAAAAAGAAGTCTGGCCTGAGTGAATAGAGCTTAACAGCCCACTACAACTGGACTTGCCCTGCGAGGGCCTACCCCTTCCTGCAAATGAGTTGAGCCGTTCAGCTACCCTCTTTCACCCCAGCCTCTTTGTAATGGAGCTCACTTATGCAACAGCTGTTCAGGGTGGGAGGGTTCTTCCTCTGTATAGAAATTGGCCCTTTTGAAGTGTGGCTCAACAACTCTGGCATTTTCACCACTATAAGCAGGCCGCAGGTTAGAACAAAACAAATGGAGAAAGAGCAATAGGAAAATGAGCAAATGAATATATCAGATTTCCTCTATTTCAATTTTCTTTTTAGAAGACCTATTTGGAGACTGCTTCCTGTCACCATAAAATCCTGAACATTTGTCTTGAACATGAACACTCCAAAAGAAGAATTCCAGGACTGGCCCATAGTCAGAATAGCAGCTCATTTACCAGACCTCATTGTCTATGGACATTTCTCCCCAGAGCGACCCTTTATGGATTATTTTGACGGAGTCCTGATGTTTGTTGATATTTCAGGCAAGTGCAAAAGGGATGTTTGTTTAATGTGGATGAGCAACAGGCTCGCGTGGGAATTCACATGCAGAGCTTGATTGCAGAGTAGGGAGGCCATTCTGGAGCCCTTGGGCTGTCACAGCAGATGTGCTCCACTGAGAACACAAGAGGGAGGAAATAGCTTGTGGCCCTGGCTCTCTCTCATCCTCCCTTACTCAGGACTGCCAGTCATAGGCATATCTTTAACATGCTCAAGTCCCATTCTTTGCTCCAGTATCTCTGCCCCAACTTCACTGACTCATCCTCTCCAGCCCCAAGCCCCATACACATCCCAGTCAAAATTGACCTCAGGAAATGATCTCCCTAGATGATGTTTACATCTTACTAATAAACTTGCCACCTCTTCAGAAGTGTTTGAAATGTGTGTGTTTTTGTTACCACGGAATGAAAATTTTATTCCCAGTTAAAGAAGTTGCAGTTATCACTGTACAGTTGAGAATTTGGAAGAAAGAAATATCTGGAGCCTTTTCCTGACCCCTAAAATAATAGCTAGAGGAGGCTGCATGTCTGACACTTGACCAGCCACAAAGATCCTTAAGAAGAAACTCTGCCTGTTTTTAAAAGCTGAGGCCACCGGGTTCGGTGGCTCACGCCTGCAATCCCAACACTTTTGGAGGCCGAGGAGGGCGGATCACAAGGTCAGGAGTTCGAGACCATCCTGGCTAACATGGTGAAACCCCATCTGTACTAAAAATACAAAAACGAGCCTGGCATGGTGGCGCACGCTTATAGTCCCAGCTGCTCGGAAGGCTGAGGCAGGAGAATTGCTTGAACCCGGGAGGCGGAGGTTGCAGTGAGCTGAGATCACACCATTGCCCTCCAGCCTGGGCTACAAAGCAAGACTCTGTCTCAAAAAAAAAAAAAAAAAAAAAAAGCTGAGGCCCGCTGCCTTCCAGGGTAGTCCTCTTCTGGCTCTGTTTGATTCCCCCAAGCAGCCAAGGAAACCAGCTGCACATTTATTCCAGGTTTTACTGCAATGACTGAGAAGTTCAGCAGTGCCATGTACATGGACAGAGGGGCTGAGCAGTTGGTGGAGATCCTCAACTACCACATAAGTGCAATAGTGGAGAGTAAGTGTTCCCATAGGTTTCTGGCTTGAGAATATTTCAATTCATTGTTTTTTCCGTAGTTGTCAATTATAACCTGATAGAGTACAATTGCTTAGCACTCCTCCTCTTCCCCATGAAATGTGTATAAAACCAGTCTTTTTTGAAATATGATATAGTATAACTGAAGAAATAAATATAATCAAACCTCACTAATACAGACTATTTGAGGGAAGGGATGTTTTGTGTTAGAGGGCTGAATTATACACTGCTTTTAAAAGAACTGTAGTAGTAATACTTTTAGTTATATATCCAAGTATTTATATTTATTTTTATTTATTTATTTAGAGACAGAGTCTTGCTCTGTCGCCCAGGCTGGAGTGCAGTGGCACAATCTTGGCTCACTGCAACCTTCGCCTCCTGGGTTCAAGCAATTCTCATGTCTCAGCCTCCCGAGTAGCTAGGATTACAGGCGCCCGCCCCCACACCTGTCTAATTGTTGTATTTTTAGTAGAGATGGGGTCTCACCATGTTGGCCAGGCTGGTCTCAAACTCCTGACCTCAAGTGATCCACCTGCCTCAGCCCCCCAAAGTGCTGGGATTACAGGTGAGAGCCAGGGTGCCCGGCTATTTTTATTTATTAATTTTTTTTTTTGAGTCAGAGTCTCACTCTGTCTCCCAGGCTGGAGTGCAGTGGCACGATCTCAGCTCACTGCAGCCTCTGCCTCCCAGGTTCAAGCGATTCTCCTGCCTCAGCCACACACGTAGCTGGGGTTACAGGCGTGCGCCACCATGCCCAGCAATTTTGTATTTTTTTCAGTAGAGATAGGGTTTTACCATGTTGGCCAGGCTGGTCTCTAACTCCTGACCTCAGGTGATCCTCCCACCTCAGCCTCCCAAAGTGCTGGGATTATAGGCGTAAGCCACCATGCCTGGCCTATCCAAGTATTTTTAAAAGCCAGCATCTATAAAACCCAAAGATAGTCATTAAGAGATTGTTGTATGAGTAGATAAATGATTTATAATTAGCTTCTCAATAATTTGTCTCCTAATGATGGATGCTGAAGCACTTAGAGTGAACTGAAAACTTTAGTCCCCTTGTCAACCTCTGCCTGCCATCTTGTTTGCATTGTTAATTCAAACTATTCATGAAGACAACGGTTTACTCTGTTATGGTGAACTCCTGGCCTAGTGTTTTATCAGACTCTGAGTTCCTTAGTAATATCTTGATGTTACCCACTAGACAAAATTTAATGCTTCATAAAAGCAGGAACTATGGTTGATTCCTTTCTGCATCTGACTTGGCACAACAGGTGCTTAACCAATCCATGATGATGCGTAACTAAAAGAGAGAATGGCCATTTATGCCATACCGTCTAAATAAACAAAATACAAAGTTGGTAATAACCAAAAATGCAAGTGACTATGGTTGTGATTTTCCCATTCCCTGACTCCTAGTTTTTGTGGAGTCCTGTCATTCATCCACCCACCCATGCTTACACAAGCCCCAGCCTATAACATATATTGATCAATAAATTAATTAAAAGCATTCCATTATCGTGGGAGGAGGGCAGCTGTCTTCAGACCTCATCAGAAACCCTAGCTGCCTTTCTCCTGTCTTTCCCCATTCACAGAAATGGAGCATAGATGTAAACTGGTTCCACGTACTCATTCTCCACTTGAGGAAACAGACTCAAATGGGTTAAGTGGCTTGTCTGGGATGAGATCTTTAGTATAAGCCTATTCTCTGAATCACTGTTCTTTTGACCTAGTTTCTATTCCACTAAGAAAGAATGATGTTTTTTTACTACCTTTAAGGAATCAGGGTTTGATTTAATTTTTTTTTTTTTTCTCAGAAGTGTTGATTTTTGGAGGAGACATCCTGAAATTTGCAGGTATGGGGGCTTACTAAGATAGAAGGGGTAAGAAAGGAGTGCTGAGGTGCCTGTGCTTCTGTGTTGGGGACAAAGGAGGCATCCTAGAGAAGGGAGTGGCCAGGAGATAGGCTGAGGAATGCTTGATGAGTAAGTTTCTATACAGATCTCATACAAAATAGATTGATCCCCAGGGCAGGTCAAAAGCCCGCGGCATGTCTCTCTCTGAAGGTGATGCACTGCTAGCCCTGTGGAGGGTGGAGCGAAAGCAGCTGAAAAACATTATCACAGTGGTAATTAAATGTAGCCTGGAGATCCATGGATTGTTTGAGACCCAGGAGTGGGAAGAAGGCCTAGACATCCGAGTCAAGATAGGTAAGCATTTGAGAAGGAATAAATCCTACGGCAGCTGGGATAGGGTCTTGACTCCTGGGGCATCTCTCTCTCCCAAAGAGAAGTAGTAGAACATGGTGGCTCAGCCCCATGATGCCCTGAACTTTGGCATCAGGACAATCAGAATGTGAATTTTGGCTTCCTCACATACCAGTTGAGAGAATTTGGGTTAATCATAATATCTACCTAATAAGCTATTACAAAAAGTAAATTAGTTGGTATGGTAGTTAATGCATAGGAACCACCCAATAAAATAGTCTTTATGACTGCTACTGCTGTTATTATTATTCCATCTTGCTGCTTGTCAAGGTTGTGCAGTATAAAACAAAATAGAGACTAGCTTGCCATTACATAGTTTCAGCAACGACATGAGACTGGTCACCCCCTACCTCATAAGAATGAGGTGTAGGAAAAGCTTAACAGGTCAGCCTGCAACACAGCTCCAGCTTTACACAAGGCTTCTTAAAGTTATACATATAATATAGTAATAGTCACACATATTTCCTTATTACATTGCAGACATTACACACTATGCACGTGCAAACATTACGCACACTATATGACAGTCCTGAGATACAGGCATCATTGTATCCATTTCATAGATGAAAAATGAGATTCTGAGAGGTATAAGTAATGAGTAACAGAGTTATGGTTGGTGCTGTTGGTGTTAGCTTCCGCCTAACTAAACTTTGCAAAACTTAGAATTCTCACATGTCATACCTGATAGGATCATCAGCAGTTATACAATTAACTGTTTCTCAGCCTTCTTTAACCTAGGCCCGCTTTTGATGTTGTTAAAAATTTCCAAATAAGGCCAGGTGCAGTGGCTCACACCTGTAATCCCAGCACTTTGGGAGGCCAAGGTGGGTGGATCACCTGAGGTCAGGAGTTTGAGACCAGCCTGACCAACATGGTGAAACCCCGTCTCTACTAAAATACAAAAATTAGCCAGGCGTGATGGCGGGTGCCTGTAATCTCAGCTACTTGGGAGGCTGAGGCAGGAGAATTGCTTGAACCCAGGAGGCGGAGGTTGCAGTGAGCCGAGATGGCGCCATTGCACTCCAGCCTGGGCAACAAGCGTGAAACTCCATCTCAAAAAAAAAAGCCCAAATAAGTTAAATATTTTGTTGAAAAAAAAATCAAAGTTATTATAATACTGAATATTTTTTCTAAGTTAGTACCCAAGGAGTCTGATGTGTTATCCTTCTTGAGAATGATGGGAACCCAGCCCCCTCTTGCATGCTGATTGGCTGTTAGTGAGGTGGGTCCCAGCACCTTTTTTTAGAGTAAGTCCAAACATCAGTGTGTTTCAGATAGAAAACAAACTGTATGTAGAATCAGGGGGGAGTCAGCCCTGACAAATCAGTATAGCAGAGAGCGAAGATAAAAAATAAACATTGATTGTATTACAGTCATTTGAAAGAAATGTGTGTCACTTACAGTTCATTTATACATATATTTTGTGTACATGTCATATTATACAATATCTTCTTCTGTCACTTAGGTTCCAAAACTTTCATTTACCAACTTAAAAGCAATGAGAGAAATGGTTGTTGGGATGGGATGTGTAACTGTCAAATGCATACTTCCTTTCCCCCACCCTTTGTTGTCTAAAATTCAACCCTAAGGGATTATTTTTAGTTACAGCTTCAATCTCTGCTAAAATGCAAATTCTCCCAAAATAAGAATTATTAAAGGTATTCCCTGTTGCCCTTAAGTATACATAATTGAAGAAAAGGTAAAAATAACTTTGGGGACTGGTAGGACCATGTAGTGAGATAATGTTACAGACAGGCAAAATTTAGTGGTAGAACTTTCTAGCTTTGGAAGAAGGGGAGCTTTGGAAGGCCCGAGCCCAAAAGAGGTATGCCATAATTCCTATGTAAAGTTTTAGAAGTGAGATTTTGCTCTGAGATAGTATAGTCCCACCAAGATTATGGTTTTTCCAAAAACCTGTGCTGCTGGGAAATAATCCAGAACTTCTTGTGCAAACCTATTCCTTGCCTTCTTGCCAGGACTGGCTGCTGGCCACATCAGCATGTTGGTCTTTGGAGATGAAACACACAGCCACTTTCTGGTGATTGGTCAGGCAGTGGACGATGTGCGCCTTGCCCAGAACATGGCTCAGATGAATGATGTTATTCTGTCACCAAACTGCTGGCAGCTCTGTGACCGGAGCATGATTGAAATTGAGAGTGTTCCAGATCAGAGAGCAGTTAAGGTGGGTGTGATGCTGCTACTTACAGAAAGTTCTGCCAGCCTGTAACAGAGGCCCCCTGCCAGAAGAGTCACTGGGCACGCTGGTTTCATAAAGCTCCTGGGCTGGAGATTGGGATGGGGTCAGTCTGGGTTAGGCTACAGAGGCTTTAGTCCAGGGCAGCTCCTCTGGGAGGAGCCCAGGCTGGTGAGCTTGAGGAGGAAATGATTAGGCTTCTTTATGGGTAACTGAGGATATGGAATTTGGGGATTGAGGCCTTTTGAGGGGCTAGCGACCTTGCTTAAGGAACCAGAAGGGTCTGCCGGTTCATCCAGGAGCAGAGGGGAATAGTTTTAAAGGCTGTCATTGACCCTCACTTTCTTTACCCAACACCCTCCTAACCCAGGATGAGGGATCACTGAAGGTAAAGGTTGGAGTTGAGCAAGTGCGGCGAAGTTCAGTGATAGAAGAGAGACTTCTCTTCCTGTGGCTCTGCCTAGTAGAAAACATTGTGGTTAAGTTGCAGATTGACTATAAGCAGAACTGTCCCTGGGATATGGACAATTAAAAAAGCTGTGCTTTGAGGGTATGAAAGTGGAAGAAAGGTGTGCTGCTAGATGAGCCAAAGGAATGGGACTACGCGGCAGAAAGAAAGAAAAGACAGAGAATCCGTGCAGATGCTGGTCAAGATAGGAGGCACTCCCACACTCATGCATCAGCCTACAACCCTCACCACCACCACCCACTCCTCACTCTTCCAGCAAGACATATCCAGCCTGCATGGCCTAGCTGGCTTATAGCAATAGCCCATTCCCATGCTCTTCAATCATTCTTTTTTTAAAAAAAAAAAAACGGAGTCTCGCTCTGTTGACCAGGCTAGAGTGCAATGGCGTGATCTCGGCTCACTGCAACCTCCGCCTCCCGGGTTCAAGCAATTCCCTGCCTCAACCTTCCGAGTCGCTGGAATTACAGGTGCCCGCTACCACGCCCAGCTAATTTTTTGTATTTTTAGTAGAGACGGGGTTTCACCATCTTGGCCAGGCTGGTCTTGAACTCCTGACTTCGTGATCCACCCACCTCAGCCTCCCAAAGTGCTGGGATTATAGGTGTAAGCCACCACGCCCAGCCTCTCTTCAATCATTCTTGATACCTTTAAAAATTGTTTTAACTTTGAATTCATGTTAGACTTACAGAAAAGTTGAAAAAATAATACAGAGTTTCCATATATCCCTCACCTACCTTCCCCTAATGTTAACATCTTTCATAACAAGACTGCAATAGTCAAAACCAGGAAATTAACATTGGTACAATACTATGCACTAGTTAAAGACCTTATTTGAATGTCACCAGTTTTCCCACTGTGGTCCACTTAGTGGAATGTTCCAGGACTGTATGCATGATCTCACATTGCATTTTGTTGATTTTTTTTTTTTTTTTTTTTTTTTTTTTGAGACAGAGTCTCTCTCTGTCGCCCCAGGCTTGGAGTGCAGTGGCGCGATCTCGGCTCACTGCAAGCTCCGCCTCCCGGGTTTACGCCATTCCCCTGCCTCAGCCTCCCAAGTAGCTGGGACTACAGGCGCCCGCCAGTACGCCCGGCTAATTTTTTGTATTTTTAGTAGAGACGGGGTTTCACCGTTTTAGCCGGGATGGTCTCGATCTCCTGTCCTCCTGATCCGCCCGCCTCGGCCTCCCAAAGTGCTGGGATTACAGGCGTGAGCCCCTGGCGCCCGGCCTTGTTGATATTTTTGATGTAGTCTCCTGCAGTCTGCAACAGCACTTCAGTGGTTCCGTTGTCTTGCAGTGACCGTGACACAAGAGAGTTGCCAGCCGATGTTGTCACACACATCTCTGGTTAGCACTGCCTGATGCTTTCTCTCATCTCTTCTGCATCTCCAACAACATATCTCTCTCTCTCTCTATATATATATACATATATATATATTTTTTTTTGAGATGGAATCTTACTCTGTCACCCAGTGGGGAGTGAGGTGGCATGATCTCAGCTCACTTCAACCTCTAACTCCCAGTCTCAAGCGATTCTCCCACCACAGCCTCCTGAGTAACTGGGACCACAGACATGTGCCACTACACCTGGCTAATTTTTTTTTTTTTTTGTATTTTTGGTAGAGACAGGATTTCACCATTGTTACCCAGGCTGGTCTCGAACTCCTGAGCTCAAGCAATCTGCCCACCTCAGCCTCCCAAAGTGCTAGGATTACAGGCCTGATGTTTTCTCTTTATTGGACCAAGTTTATGCTTTTTTTTTTTTTTAACCAAGAATACCACAAAAATGAGATCGTGCCATCCTCAGTGTGTCATCACATGTGTCTCATGATCTTGATGTCTTATGACTGGTGATGCTCCTAATTCCTTTTTGGCCATCAGCCCCCGTCCTTTAACACTTATAAGGAAGAAATGGTGTGCAGTTTAACCAGGTTTTATTTGAATTAAAATGTTATGAAGGAAAAAAAGCAGGAAAAAGTTCTAAGGGCAGAAAAGTATAAGATTAGTCCCCCTTGGAATGACCCTCTCTGTACATATACCAAACATTGAGATGTGAGTGAACACTGTAATTGGAAAGATTTTTTAGATTTTCAATTTAAAATTTCAATTTTACAAATCAAATAGTCTTGGTGTTTAAGTGTGCCAATCACTGTTCAGTCAAAAGCATACTCTCTTTCTGCTAAGAAATTACACTTCAAAGGATTAAACAGTTCTCAGAATAACTGAAAACTTCTCATTTGCTTTTATTTAGGTTAACTTCTTAAAACCACCCCCCAATTTTAATTTTGATGAATTTTTCACAAAGTGTACGACCTTCATGCATTATTATCCTTCTGGTGAGCACAAAAGTAAGTACCCACCATGGAAAAATGCCTTTGCCTCTACCAGTGGTCAGTAGGGTCTTATATCAATGCCGACAGCTTCATTACTGGTGGGTGGGCTCCTCAACACAGCTCCTGGTCCTTACCAGCACACAAAGGGGACCTACTTCCCATTCTCCGGGACAGCAATTCTAAGTATGACACTCCCCACACCATCCACCTCTCCCTAGGCACTGACTCCTTTCCCTCATCCATCAAACATTAATAAGTATCCCCTAGGATAAAAGAAAAAGTAAAGCTTCTTTCCGTGCTGCTTTCCCCTCCTAACCTTCACCAATAAACTTCTAGGAAAAGTAATCTGTAAATGTATTTATACCTGCTCTCATGTCCCCTTATTTATTTATTCATCCAATAAATATTGATTGCAAGCACCTTGATGTCTGTGCTCACCTGCTCTTCAGTCTTGCACCGCTGACACCTAGCTTCTACGCTAGTCCCCTGCTGTCTACTGAGACTGTTTATGTCAAGGCCACCAAGGACCATTAATTTGCCAAACCAGGTGACCTCTTCTCAGGCCTCATCCTAGATGGTTGACCATAGCTTATGCTCTTTTCTTGGACACTACCTTCTCCTTTTTCCTTGAGTTCAAAAGTATTATTCTTTTCTAGTTTTGCCTTTACGTCTCAAATCACCTATTTTCAGTCCTCTTTGCTTAGTTTCCTTTCCATGTCTTAAATGTTGGTGACTTCAGGTATCTGTCTTTGACCTTCTAGTCTTCTCTACTCACTTCTTAGTGAACCATTTATTCGTGCTTAACTTCCATATGAGTAAGATGAGGCAAGTGAGAAGACTGTATCACAAAACTTAAGCAGACACTCACTCTCAAGGTCCTGCAAGTTGCTTACATCACCCGAGTCTCAGACCTAACAGCCAGAATTCGCTTCAGTCTTTTGTCCTGAATTCTAGGACAGATTTTTGTCCTGAATTCATAAAAAACAAACAAAATACCCTACCTATGGGCGACTTCCACTGGATGTCAAATAGGCATCTAATATTAACGTATCTGAACTTTAGCTACTTACCCTTCCCTGAAAACTCCATCCAAGTGAGAAACATCAGAAACATCTTTGAATCATTCTTTCTCATCATTTATGTACAGGTCTGGAGTATTTTAGATGTTACAAATAGAAGACTGTACTTTTACAAAGCCACAATAGGCAGTGGGGTGGGGAGTGGGGAGACTGTACAAACATTGATCAGGAAAGGCCAAGAACCTCAGAAGCTCCAGAGATGAAGGAGAAAGCCTCATGACATTACCCACTCCTTGAGCTTTACTAATGCCATCTCCTGGGTCTTAATGGTACCTTCTATAAAGGGTTTCTTCAGGCCTTACTTTGAGCACCATAATACTGCAATGCAATTCCTTTTTTTTTTTTTTTTTGAGATGGAGTCTCACTCTGCCACCAGGTTGGAGTGCACTGGCGCGATATGGGCTCACTGCAACCTCTGCCTCCCGGGTTCAAGCGATTCTCCTGCCTCAGCCTCCTGAGTAGCTGGGAATACAGAGGCGTGCCACCACACCCAGCTAATTTTTGTATTTTTAGTAGAGACAGGGTTTCCCATGTTGGCCAGGATGGTCTCCATCTCTTGACCTCATGATCCGCCTGCCTTGGCCTCCCAAAGTGCTGGGATTACAGGTGTGAGCCACCGTGCTCGGCCTGCAGTGCAATTCTGATGTTATAACCACCTGGAGTTAGTGCAGGATTTCATTGGTTGAATCCTCTACAAACTTCAGACACTAGCTGCAAGCTCTGGGATCCCCAGACCACCGGCACTTCTGACCAACTACCTACAAATCTGGGGATCTCCTTAATGCCCTCAGGTTCAGTAATTCACTGAAATGACTCACAGAACTCAGCAAAGTGCTACACTTACAGTTATGGTTTTATTATAAAGGCTACAAATCAGGACCAGCCAAATTAAACACACACACACACACACATTTTTTTTCACATTATCATTTTCTTCCCTGCTGAAAACCCTTTGCCATTTCTGTCTCCCTTATTTTTTGACTCCCTCAAACTCATTCCTACCATCTCTTATCAGTCTATCCTAGAGCATAAAACTATCAATCTTTATAGTGAAGGGAACCACAGAGATCATGAAGCTCAACTACTCTTTTCCCAGGTGAGGAAATAGGAGGCAACCAGGGCAGCAAAGTGACTTCTCCAGGGTCACACAGTGAAGCGGTATCAAGCCTGAGATCAGAAACCAGTCTTCTTAATGTTATTCCTGCTGCCCTTTCAACTCTACCATCCCCTTCATTCTGTCACCATGCTCCTCTCTTGTCATTCCCTCATTTGTTTGTTCCCATCTCCTGTGGCAATAGTTCTAAACCAAGTTCAGAAGTGAAAATCTCCCTAAGTCCCAAAGCGTCATGTCAGTTTGAACAAGGTTTTGAGCTACATGTGACTGAATTTTGGGAAACCTTTAACCTCTAAGAGCTCCTCTTTGGATTTCCCCTGGCCCTTTCAGCCCCTAGGTGTCCCAGAGTCTCCTGACAACTGTAAGGACAAGAAGGCCCACTGCCCAAGAGAATAGGGACTGGGAGCCTCCTCTCACTAGCACTGCAGAGCCAAACTTCCCTCTCTGAGCCTGCACCCTCCTTCTGCCTTCTTAGACCTCCTGAGGCTTGCATGCACGCTGAAGCCTGATCCTGAACTGGAGATGTCCCTACAAAAGTATGTGATGGAAAGCATTTTGAAGCAGGTATTTTCAAAATTGAATTTACTGGCTTTGGGGATGTCAGGGATCTGGACAGCTGGAATTTTAAGATTTAAGAAAAAAAAAACAGCAGCTACTAGTAAATAGTAAAATGTTCCATTAAAATAAAAAGACTTCCTTTTTTTTTTTTTTTTTTTTTTTTGAGACAGAGTCTCACTCTGTCACCCAGGCTGAAGTGCAGCAGCATGATCTTGGCTCACTGCAACCTCCGCCTCCCGGGTTCAAGCAATTCTCCTGCCTCAGCCTCCCACATGCGCCACCACACCCAGCTAACTTTTTGTATTTTTAGTAGAGATGGAGCTTCACCATGTTGGCCTGACTGATCTCAAATTCCTGACCTCAAGAAATCTGCCCGCCTCACCCTCCCACAGTGCTGGGATTATGGGCATGAGCCACCACACTGAGCCTAAAAAGACATTCTCTATATGTAGGTGACTGTGAAATTCATTGTTCAAATCTCAATACTTTCAAAGAGATCATTATTCATAATTATAATATGACAACAGGCATAAAATAGGACTGCGTTGCCTTATATAATTGCGCAAATGGGAGCTGTTGCAAGCATATAAGAACATGCGGGCACCCTTTCTATATGCCACATAGCAGAAAGACTTCAAGTGGATGAACATTGGTACACTATTTCTCCAAGTCATTTGCATTAGCTCTTAAGTTTTGAGATTTAACAATGCAGGTAATTAGAATACTCTGAGCTACCTCCACCCTCCAATATTTTCTCTTTTTATTCTCTTAATCTTGGTTCTCTCAAATTTATTATTCCATGTGAATTATAACTATCTCTTATCACTCACCATATGCCAGTCACTCTGCTAGTTCATGTATTTATTCTTTACAGTCCTTGGTAGATATTTTTATCCTCATTTTATATGCATGAGAAAACTGAGACCCAGAGAACACTACAGCCTTTCCTGAGGTTGTCAAGTAAAAGATATAGCTAGGATTTGGACCCTGGTCTATCTGACTTCTACAATTTTTGCACAGGCTATCCACCCTCCTAATATATGCCTGCTTTAATACTTAGTCCCATCAAAATGCTGTTGTGTCCTGGAGGAAATCTTTGTAACAAAGGCCTGTCCAGTGGGTAGCTGCCTTCATAGAGTGAATTGGAGAGGTATCAGAATGCACCCTGCCACCTTCAGCCCATTGTAAAAACATTACCCCTAGTGCCTGCATTGCTTGACTCTTCATGGCTTTTGAAGCTTAAAAAAGTCACCCCATTCTCCCGCAGCCATTCTCAAGAGATATAATACATTATGCTTCTTTAATTGCAACCAGTTGAAAACAAGGTCTTTAGCAATGGAATATAAGATGGACTCTGTGAGTCACTGGGAAAATTCCAGGTAGGAAAAATGTTTACCTGGTGAAGAGGTACAGCTAAGAGGGTTGAAAATAAGACCAAAGACAACCTTTTACAACTTTACCAAAACCAGACCCTGAACCCAAAGAAGAGAAGTCCTTAAAGATACCGTAGTCCTCTTTTCCAAGCCAAAACTCAGAATACATAGTCTGACAGAAGTTTTTTATTTATTTGTGAATGATTTTATTTGAAAAATCAAGGCCAGGCTCATGCCTGTAATCCCAGCACTTTGGGAAGCCCAGACAGGTGGATCACTTGAGCCCAGGAGTTCAAGACCAGCCTGGACAACATGGCAAAACCTCATCTCCACAAAAATACAAAAATTAGTTGGGTGTGGTGGCACGTGCCTGTAGCCCCAGCTACTAGGGAGGCTGAGGTGAGAGGATCACTTGAGCAAGGAGACGGAGCTTGCAGTGAGCCGAGATTGCTCCACTGCACTCCAGCCTTGGGGACAGAGCAAGACCCTGTCTCTAAAAAAAAAAAAAAGAAAAGAAAAAAATTAGCACATTGGTTAATTAGAAATTATTAAATCTCTTTTATAAAAAGAATAAAATTACATGAAACCAGGACCTTCTAGGCAATTAGGAAGCATGGCTGCATTATTCCCTATACCAATTCCTTCTTTAATCTAGAAAATGTGTTTCACATTGTCGTTGAAGAATCTGACACTTCTGTGCTATTTCGGGGAGAAAGTGCAGTGATTTTCCCCCATTGATTTGCTATGTATTTAATTAACAAAATTCAGGGATGATGATTGGCAGGGATAATTTGGGAACACTCTCCTTTCTTTCTTTTTTTTTTTTTTTTGAGACAGAGTCTCATTCTGTCGCCCAGGCTGGAGTGCAGTGGCGCAATCTTGGCTCACTGCAAGCTCCGCCTCCCGGGTTCATGCCATTCTCCTGCCTCAGCCTCCTGAGTAGCTGGGACTACAGGCGCCCGCCACCACGCCCGGCTACGTTTTTGTATTTTTAGTAGAGACAGGGTTTCACCGTGTTAGCCAGGATGGTCTCGATCTCCTGACCTCGTGATCTTCCCGCCTCAGCCTCCCAAAGTGCTGGGATTACAGATGTGAGCCACTGCGCCCGACCCAACACTCTCCTTTATTTTCCCTGTGCCTGTTGTGTTGGAGAGAAGAGGGGAACTAAATGAAATATACCACCACCCCAGAGAGGCAGGAGAGTGTGGCAGATTAAATGTTAGATGAGCCAAGCGTGATGGCTCACGCCTGTAATCCCAGCACTTTGGGAGGCCGAGGTGGGTGGATCACCAGGTCAGGAGTTCAAGACCAGCCTGACCAACATGGTGAAACCTTGTCTCTACTAAAAATACAAAAATTAGCCAGGCGCGGTGGCACACACCTGTAATCCCAGCTACTCAGGAGGCTGAGACAGGAGAATCGCTTGAACCCAGGAGGCGGAGGTTGCAGTGAGCCGAGATTGCGCCACTGCACTCCAGCCTGGGTGACAGAGCGAGACTCTGTCTCAAAAAATAACTAACTAACTAAATAAATAAATAAATGTTGGATGAGGAGTCTGGAGATTTGGATTCTAGTTTATTGTGTCCTTATGTGACCTTGGGAAAGCTGTGTTACTTCTCCATACATCAGTTATCTAATCGGTAAAATGGGGATAATAATACTGATTTCATTTTGTTTGAACGTAGAGTAGGACAGAATGTGAAAACATTCCAGAAGATACCTAATGAAAATGGAAGTTTGAATTACATAGCATGCTATTCTTATCCCTAACTATAAAAATAAGAGAGCCAAACTCCCAGATGGCATCTGTGGACCTGCCTGGGGCCTGGAGGAACTCATCACCCTGAAGGGAAAGACACAAACCTGGCTGGCTTTGCACCTGCTGATTGTAGAGTGCTAGAGCCTTGAACAAAAATAGGTGGTAGCCTGGTAGTAGTCACAGTGGGCCTTGGGCAATATCCAGTGCTGTGCTAGCTTCAGGTCTGACCCAGTGCAGTCTCAGTGATGGTAGCCACAAGGGTGCTTGTGTGACCCCACCCCCAGCTCCAAGCAGCTCAGCACAGAGAAATAGAGACTCCATTTGTTTGGGAGAAAGTAAGGGAAGAGAACAAAAGTCTCTGCTTGGTAATCCAGAGAATTCTTCTGGATCTTATTTAAGACCACAAAGGTGGTACCTCTATAAGTCTGCAAGAACCATAGCATTACTGCACTTGCGGTGCTCTGTAATATAGATATGGCTTAGATCACAACACCCAAGTTTTTTTGAATATATGGAAAGCCTTCCCAAGGAGGGCAGGTACAAACAGTCCTAAATGTCAAAGACTACAATAAATACCTAACTCTTCAATGTCCAGACACTGACGAACTTCCACAAGTATCAAGACCATCCAGGAAAACATGACCTCACCAAAGGAACTAAATAAGGCACCAGGGTGGAGAGACAGAGATATGTGACCTTTCAGACAGGTAATTCAAAAAAGCTGTTTGAGGAAACTCAAAGAAATTCAAGATAACACAGAGAAAGAATTTAGAAACTTTCAGCCATGTTAACTAAGAACAGAAGAGAAAAGACCCAAATAAATAAAATCAGAAATGAAAGAGGAGACATTACAACTGATAATACAGAAATTCAAAGGATCATTGGTGGCTACTATGAGCAATTATATGCCAATAAATTGGAAAATCTAGAAGAAATGTATAAACTCCTATACACATACATCCTACCAATATTGGACCCTGAAGAAATCTAAAACCTGAACAGATAAATAACAAGTAACAAGATCTGGGACCCGAAGTATTCACTGCTGAATTCTACCAAAGACTTGAAGAACTAATACCAACCGTACTCAAACTACTCTGAAACATAGAAGAGGAGGGAATACTTCCAAACTCATTCTACAAGGCCAGTATTACCCTGATACCAAAACCAGACAAAAGTACATCAAAAAAAGAAAGCTACAGGCCAGTATCTCTGATGAATATTGATGTAAAAATCCTCAGCAAAATACTAGCAAACTGGGTTCAACAACATATTAAAAAGATCATCCATCATGATCAAGTGGGATTTATCCCAGGGATGCAAGGGTGGTTGGACATATGCAAATCAAACACTGTGATATGTCTTATCTACAGAATGAAGGACAAAAACCATATTATCATTTCAGTTGATGCTGAAAAAGCAGTTGATAAAATTCAACATCCCTTCATGATAAAAATTCCCAAAAAACTGTGTATAGAAGGAACATACCTCAACATAAGAAAAGCCATATAGAATAGACCGACCACTAGTATCATAATGAATAGGGAGAAACTAAAAGCCCTTCCTCTAAGATCTAGAACACAAGGATGCCCACTTTACCACTGTTTTTCAACATAATACTGGAAGTCCTATGTAATCAGACAAGAGAAAGAAAGAAATGGCATACAAATTGGAAAGGAAGAAGTCAAATTATCCTTGTTTTCAGATGATCTTATTATATTTGGAAAAACCTAAAGACTCCACCAAAAAACCATTAGAACTGATACACAAATTCAACAAGGTCACAGTATACAAAATCATCATACAAAAATCAGCATTTCTTTTTCTTTCTTTTTCTTTTTTTTTTTTTTTGAGACGGAGTCTCCCTCTTTCGCCCAGGCTGGACTGCAGTTGCGCTGTCTCGGCTCACTGCACGCTCCGCCTCCCGGGTTCACTCTATTCTCCTGCCTCAGCCTCCTGAGTAGCTGGGACCACAGGCGCCCGCCACCACGCCCCGCTAATTTTTTGTGTTTTTAATAGAGACGAGGTTTCACCGTGTTAGCCAGGATGGTCTCGATCTCCTGACCTCGTGATCCGCCCGCCTCGGCCTCCCAAAGTGCTGGGATTACAGGCGTGAGCCACCGCGCCCGGCCCAAAAATCAGCATTTCTATATGCTAACAGGGAACAATCTGAAAAAGAAATCAAGAAAGTAATCCTGTTAACAATAGCTAAAAATAAAATAAAGTACCTAGTAATTAACCAAAGAAGTGAAAGATCTCTACCGTGAAAACTATAAAATGTTGACACAAGAAGTTGAAGAGGCCACAAAAAAAAAATGAAAGATATTCCATGCTTATAGATTGGAAGAATGTTCATACTACCCAAAGCAATCTACAGATTCAATGCAATACCTAACAAAATACCAATGACATTCTTCACAGAAATAGAAAAAAAAAATTCTAAAATTTACATGGAACCACAAAAGACCCAGAGTAGCCAAAGCTATCTGAAGCAAAAAGAATAAATCAGGAGGAATCATATTATCTGACTTCAAATTATACCACAGCTATAGCAACCCAAATAGCATAGTACTGGCATGAAAACAGACACATAGACCAGTGGAACAGAATAGAGAAACAAGAAATAAACTCATACATCTACAGTGAACTAATTTTTGACAAAAGAGCCAAGAATATAAAGGAAAAGACAATCCCTTCAATAAATTGTGCTGGGAAAACTGGATATCCATATGCAGATGAATGAAACTAGACTCCTATCTCTTGCTATATACAAAAATCAAGTCAAAATGGACTTTGAGACATCAAACCATGAAACTACTACAAGAAAACATTGGGGAGACTCTCAAGGACATTGGAGTGGGCAAAGATTTCTTGAGTAATACCCCACAAGCACAGGCAACCAAAGCAAAAATGGACAGATGGGATAACATCAAGTGTTTTTTTTTTTTAGAATTATTTTATCAGATAAAAAATTAGTTTCATTGATGAGTTTTTTTAATCTTTTATTTTTATATTTATTTATTTATTTTTATTATACTTTTAAGTTCTAGGGTACATGTGCACAATGTGCAGGTTTGTTACGTTATGTATACATGTCCCATGTTGGTATGCTGCACCCATTAACTCATCTTTTACATTAGGTATATCTCCTAATGCTATCCCTCCCCCTTCCCCCCAGCCCACGACAGGCCCTGGTGTGTGATGTTCCCCACCCTGTGTCTAAGTGTTCTCATTGTTCAATTCCCACCTATGAGTGAGAACATGTGGTGTTTGGTTTTCTATCCTTGTGATAGTTTGCTCAGAATGATGGTTTCCAACTTCATCCATGTCCCTACAAAGGACGTGAACTCATCCTTTTTATGGGTGCATAATATTCCACTGTGTATACATGCCACATTTTCTTAATCCAGTCTACCACTGATGGACATTTGGGTTGGTTCCAGGTCTTTGCTATTGTGAATAGTGCCACAATAAACATACATGTGCATGTGTCTTTATAGCAGCATGATTTATAATCCTTTGGGTACATACCCAGTAATGGGATGGCTGGGTCAAATGATATTTCTAGTTCTAGATCCTTGAGGAATCGCCACACTGTCTTCCACAATGGTTGAACTAGTTTACAGTCCCACCAACAGTGTAAAAGTGTTCCTATTTCTCCACATCCTCTCCAGCACCTGTTGTTTCCTGACTTTTTAATGATTGCCATTCTAACTGGTGTGAGATGGTATCTCATTGTGGTTTTGATTTGCATGTCTCTGATGGCCAGTGATGATGAACATTTTTTCATCTGTCTGTTGGCTGCATAAATGTCTTCTTTTGAGAAGTGTCTGTTCATATCCTTTGCCCACTTTTTGATGGGGTTGTTTGATTTTTTTCTTGCAAATTTGTTTAAGTTCTTTGTAGATTCTGGATATTAGCCCTTTGTCAGATGGGTAGATTGTAAAAATTTTCTCCCATTCTGTAGGATGCCTGTTCACTCTGATGATTTCTTTTGCTGTTCAGAAGCTCTTTAGTTTAATTGGATCCTGTTTGTCAATTTTGGTTTTTGTTGCCATTGCTTTTGGTGTTTCAGTCATGAAGTCCTTGCCCATGCCTATGTACTGAATGGTATTGCCTAGGTTTCTTCTAGGGTTTTTATGGTTTTAGGTCTAACATTTAAGTCTTTAATCCATCTTGAATTAATTTTTGTATAAGGTGGAAGGAAGGGATCCAGTTTCAGCTTTCTACATATGGCTAGCCAGTTTTCCCAGCACCATTTATTAAATAGGGAATCCTTTCCCTATTTCTTGTCTTTTTCAGGTTTGTCAAAGATCAGATGGTTGTAGATGTGTGGTATTATTTCTGAGGGATCTGTTCCATTCCATTGGTCTATATTTCTGTTTTGGTACCAGTACCATGCTGTTTTGGTTACTGTAGCCTTGTAGTATAGTTTGAAGTCAGGTAGCATGATGCCTCCAGCTTTGTTCTTTTTGCTTAGGATTATCTTGACAATGCAGGCTCTTTTTTGGTTCCATATGAACTTTAAAGTAGATTTTTCCAATTCTGTGAAGAAAGTCATTGGTAGCTTGATGGGGATGGCATGGAATCTATAAATTACCTTGAGCAGTATGGCCATTTTCATGATATTGATTTTTCCTATCCATGAGCATGGAATGTTCTTCCATTTGTTTGTGTCCTCTTTTACTTCGTTGAGCAGTGGTTTGTAGTTCTCCTTGAAGAGGTCCTTCACATCCCTATATAAGAAGCTGTAACAGCTCTATAGAAAAAAATCTAATAATCTGATTAAAAAATGGGTAAAAGGTCTGAATAAGGCCAGGCGCAGTGGCTCACAGCTGTAATCCCAGCACTTTGGGAGGCCGAGGTGGGCAAGTCACGAGATCAGGAGTTCAAGACCAGCCTGGCCAACATGGTGAAACCCCGTCTCTACTAAAAATACAAAAAATTAGCTGGGCGTAGTGGTGGGCGCCTGTAATCCCAGCTACTCAGGGGCTGAGGCAACAGAATCACTTGAACCCAGGAGGCGGAGGTTGCAGTGAGATGAGATGTGCCACTGCACTCCAGCCCAGGTGACAGAGTGAGACTCCGTCTCAAAAAAAAAAGATCGAAATAGACATTTCTCAAAGGAAGACATACAAATGGCAAACAAGTATGTGAAAAATATGTGAAAAGGTGCACAACATCACCAATCATCAGATAAATGAAAATCAAAACTACAATAAGATTATCATCTTACCCCAGTTAAAATGACTTTTATCCAAAAGACAGGCAATAACAAACGCTGGACAGGATGTGGAAAAAAGGGAATCCTTGTACACTGTTAATGAGAAAGTAAATTAGCACAGCCACCTTGGAGAACAGTTTGAAAGTTCCTCAAAAAGCTAAAAATAGAGCTACCATACAATCTAGAAATTCTACTCCTAGATACATACTCAAAAGAAAAGAAATCAATATATTGAAGAGATACCTACACTCCCATGTTTACTGCAGTGCTATTCACAGTAGTCAAGACTTGGAAGCAGCTTAAGTGTCCATCAACAGAGAAATGGATAAAGAAAATGTGGTACATATACACAACGAAGTACTATTCAGCCATAAAAAAAATGAGATCTGTCATTTGCAACAACGTGGATGGAAGTGGAGGTCATTATATTAAGTGAAATAAACCAGGTATAGAAAGAGAAACCACATGTTCTCACTTATTTGTGGGAGCTAAAAATTAAAACTATTGGGCTGGGCATGGTGGCTCATGCCTGTAATCCCAGCACTTTGGGAGGCCAAGGCAGGCAGATCATGAGGTCAGGAGTTCGAGACCAGTCTGACTAACACAGTGAAACCCCGTCTCTACTAAAAATACAAAAATTAGCCAGGCATGGTGGTGCATGCCTGCAATCCCAGCTACTCTGGAAGCTGAGGCAGGAGAATCGCTTGAACCCAGGAGGCAGAGGTTGCAGTGAGCCGAGATCGCGCCACTGCACTCCAGCCTGAGCAACAGAGCGAGACTCCGTCTCAAAAAAAAAAAAAAAAAAAAATTAAAATGATTGAACTCATGGGGGTAGAGAATATAAGGATGGTTACCAAAGGCTGGGAAGGGTAGTGGGGGATGAGGAGGAATTGGGGGTGGTCAATGAGTACAAAAAAAGAGAAAGAATGAGAAAGACCTAGTATTTGCTAGTACAACAGGGTAACTATAGTAAAAAATAATTTAATCATTGATATGGTTTGGATTTGTATCCCCTCCCAAATCTCATGTTGAATTATAATCCCCAATGTTGGTGGAGGGGACTGGTAGGAGGTGATTGGATCATAGGGGTGGATTATACCCTTGCTGTTCTCGTGATAGTGAATGAGTTCTCATGGGATCTGATTGTTTAAAAGTGTGTAGCACTCCCCCTGCTCTCCTCTGGCCATATAAGAAGTGCCTGCTTCTCCTTCGTCTTCTGCCATATTATAAGTTTGAGTCCTCCCCAGCCATGCTTCCTGTACAGCCCATGGAACTGTGAGTCAATTAAACCTCTTTTCCTTGTAAATTACCCAGTATCAGGTAGTTCTTTATAACAGTGGGAGAACGGACTAATACAACCATACATTTTAAAAATAACTAAAAGAGTATAATTGGATTGTTTGTAACACAAAGGATAAATGCTTGAGGGGATGAATAATCCATTTACCCTGATGTGATTATTACGCATTGCATGCCTGTATCAAAATATCTCATGTAACACAAAAATATATACATCTACTATAGACCTACAAAAATTAAAAAATTTTAAATTTTTTTAAAAATAGGAGAGCCAAAAAGAACAGTAGTTATTTCCCTTATTGCAATGGCTCATATTGGCATGAGGAAGCCAGCAGTTGGGGTAATGGAGTGGTTGCTGGCCAAAAATTAGCACATGCATAAGTCCCCACTGGAAGAGAGGGATTTTGATTATATTTCCATCTGCTCCACTTCAGGCATGCTGGCTCTGTCATGTTGTACCTCACCCATTCTGAGGTAGACATTCCCTAGATGATTTCGGGTATGAGGTGGGGGCGGTGTTGGGGGAGGGATCCACTGCCAAGGACACCTACAGAAAGCTGCTCTCTACTTTGCAGATTGATAACAAACAGCTTCAGGGCTATTTATCTGAGCTTCGCCCAGTGACGATTGTGTTTGTGAACCTGATGTTTGAAGACCAAGACAAAGCAGAAGAGATAGGCCCAGCCATCCAGGATGCCTATATGCACATCACTTCTGTCCTGAAGATCTTCCAAGGCCAAATCAATAAAGTCTTCATGTTTGACAAGGTAAGTGTGAACTATGGGATGGGAACCTACCAATAGTTTTAGGTTAGCATTCATGGACAAGCACATTGGTGAGAATAGACACAGGAAATTTAACCTAGAGGCTGGGCGTGGTGGCTCACGCCTGTAATCCCAGCTCTTTGGGAGGCAGAGGTGGGCGGATCACTTGAGGTCAGGAGTTCAAGACCAGACTGGCCAACATAGTGAAACCCTGTCTCTACTAAAAATGCAAAAATTAGCTGGGTGCGGTGGCACGTGCCTGTAATCTCAGCTACTCAGGAGGCTGAGGCAGGACAATGGCTTGAACCTGAGAGGCGGAGGTTGCAGTGAGCCGAGATCGCACCACTGCGCTCCAGCCTGGGCTATAGCGTGAGACTCCGTCTCAACTAAACAAAAAAAGAAATTTAACCTAGAAGGCCAGTCTTTGTTTATAATTATAACTTCTATGGTGGATATGGCACTTACTATGTGCCAGGCACTGTTCTCAGGACCTGATCTCTATTGACTCATTTCATCCTCATGACCACTCTGAGCAGTAGGTTGCTCTTGTCATTATCCTCATTATATAGATGAGGATGCTGAAACACAGATTAGGATACCAGGACAAGGCGAGATTACGTTTTGCTTATGATCATCAAGCTAGTAAGGGGGAGGCTGGGATTCAAACCCAGGCAGTCTGCCATCCCCGTCTGAGCTCACTATGCTGGGCTACCTCTCACTACGCTGGGCTACCTCTCACTACACATAAGTCTCCAGCTCAGTGCATGATGTATTACCCAGGGGTTTCAGGTCAGGAGTCTTTAGTAACCATCTTACCCCAGAAGCTTGTTTCCAAGAAAGCCCACTTGCCATGTCAACACCTCCAGTTCCCCTTTTATTTTCATCCATGGCAGGGAGGGGACTGCCTCTGGCTCCCAGGTGTTTTCGCTCTGTTCTTTTTTTTTTTTTTTTTTTTGAGACGGAATCTTGCTCTATTGCCCAGGCTGGAATGCAGTGGCATGATCTCGGCTCACTGAAACCTCCGCCTCCCGGGTTCAAGCGATTCTCTTGACTCAGCCTCCTGAGTAGCTGGGATTACAGGCATGCGCCACCACACCTGGCTAATTTTTGTATTTTTAGTAGAGATGAGGTTTCGCCATGTTGGCCAGGTGGGTCTCGAATTCCTGACCTCAAGTGATCCACCTGCCTCGGCCTCCCAAAGTGCTGGGATTACAGGCATGAGCCACTGCACCTGGTCTTCACTCTGTTCTTAATCAATTCAGAGAAAAGTGATGTGATGAACAAATGACCACAGATGCATATGTGAGAATTGATTTCCCATCTCAATTCCTTTTGTGTATTAAAAGCAGAGCACTTAATTACTGCCCCACATCCACTCACTCACTAATTCAACAAGCATTTACTGAGCATTTCATAGAAGACGAAAAGCTAGGGCTGGGCAGCAGAGATGAGTAACACATATATTGACACAACCAGGCAGGAAGCATGCATTCTATATGAGACGAACTAACTCTGTGCTATGGGAGTTCTGGAAAGGGATTACTTCCAGCCTGGTGTCTCCAGTACCTTCTTCAATACTGACCCATGGGTATCATAAGAAAAGAGTGTAGAATCTAAGAGAACAGTCTTTCGTGTCTTGCAGACATGGCTCCAAAGATTCCCAGCTGTGAGACTTAGCAAGTCATTGAACTTCTCTGAGCCTTGGTTTATTCCTCTTTGAATGGGGATAGTATTTGTCTCAAATGATTGTGGAAAGTTTTAAATAATGTAATATGTGTGAGGCACTTGGTGTAATGCCTATCTTAGAGTCAGTGTGCAATAAATGAGAGCTGTCATTCCATTGCTAGGGGGAATCAAAAGCTCTTGCCAGGCCGCTACATAAATTTGCAGGCAAAAGCTCCCTGCTTCCCCCAAAGGGGTTGCCCTCTTTGCACGTACCTAGAAGCAGTGTTTCCCCCTTCATGTCAAGGCAGATCCCAGTCCTTTTTAAGATCTAACAGTTGATCAAATTCTTTTGGAGAGGGTTGAAGAAATTGAGGTATTTTAGTGTTCTTTGCATTTTATCAGGATGTAACATGTCAAAAACTCAAAATTTCAACCCATCACCCTTTATTCACAATGCCCTTTTCTTACAGACAACAGCACCTGACTGAGGTCATTTTTTAAGTGACTAATACTACAAATGCCAAGTTTTAGAGTTGAATCATTGCATGGAACAGTTAGCTTTATGATAAGAAAACCTACTTACAGCCTAAGCCTTTATCCCTAAGAATAACAGTATCTGCAAAGTACTTTATAGTTTAGGATGACTTTTTGAATATATATAACACATTAATTCTTTTAGTAGCCAAAAACATCTCAGCAGGTCTACAGTATATCCATTTTCAGAGAGATAAACGGAAGTTCCTAGATTGTAATAGACTTATCTAAGTTTCCACACTTGAGAAGTGGCTTGAGGACAGAGACTTTCTGATTCCAGAGCTGGTGCCTTTTCCACTGCTCTGTGCTGCTGCTTCATAGACTTAAACTGAGCACTTTGCAGCATGGACCTTGGCCACAGGAGAGAGTAGGCCGAAGCATGCACACAGATAGCTCAGCCCTATTCACTATATCTGGAGCAAAACAAGCCCTTCTCAAGGCTCAAGCCCTCCTGTTGATGATGCAGTAGAAGTGTTTGAAGTGTACTAAAAATAAAATACTGTGAGAGAAATCATGATAAAATCTGATTCAGAAGCCAAAAATTGCCGCCGGCTCTCTGTTGAGCCTTCTGGCCAGTCCAGTTTAAAGCACACTGTCCATCAGCTGTGGTTGCTGTCTCTCTCCCTCACAGGGCTGCTCTTTCCTCTGTGTCTTTGGCTTCCCTGGGGAAAAGGTACCTGACGAGCTCACTCATGCTCTGGAATGTGCTATGGATATATTTGACTTCTGCTCTCAAGTCCACAAAATCCAGTGAGTATTGACCCTGGTCCCACCCAGCGGTCCCTGACCCTTTTGAGGCATAAGTAGGGAGGGCATGCAGGGAACAGGAAAGAAAGAAGAATTAATTAAGAACTTAGTCCTGTGTCTCAAACTGTTGTTCCTCCTTCGCATCTCCGGGCCATGTAGAAATGCCATAAACTAATTCCAACGGGTAGAGAAAATCCTTTCCCACCCTTTCCCAACCCAGACATTATTTCCCACCCTTCCCACTTTCTCTACGCTCATTATCTTTATTTCTTTCCCCACAAATCTTGTCTCCCCTGCACCAGAACTGTATCCATCGGTGTTGCCAGTGGGATTGTCTTCTGTGGGATCGTTGGACACACTGTGAGACACGAGTACACAGGTGTGCTGGGTCAGCTCATCTCCAGCTTTCTTTCTGCAAACACAGCACCTTGCCACTGGGCTTTGCGGGAGGAAGCACAAAAATGAGTGAGACATGAGCCCTGCCCTCAGAAACTTTAGAGTCTTCCAGATGGAGCCAAGCCATGGAGCCCTCAATGCTTGCAGAGTGTGCATTTCTGGGGCTATGTATGAGTAGAGAAATATGTAGTCATGAGAGGGGAGCAGTGGGAGGCTATATGTTGATGGAATGAGGGGCTCCTGTAATACTTTCCTGTTAACATTAAATAGTTACTTCTCTTAATTCCTGGAATAAGCTAGAACTCCTTAAAAATTATGAATGTTGATATTACTGAAAAATAATGACACTCTCAAAAGAGAGTAGTAATAAGTAAATCTTATCTCCAGATTTCACAACTCTATTACTTCCCTTTTCCATCCTATCAGGGTTTAAGATTTTCAGCAATAATGCATCTAAAATACTGAATATATGTAAAATACCACGATAGTTATGTCTGAAATGATACAATGTCTGAGATGTTCTTCAAAAGTACACAGGGTGGGGAGTGTATGGGGGTGAGGATGGGGCAGGATTAGCCATGGGCTAATGGCTTGTTGGGATGGGGTGATGGGTATATGGAAATTCATTATATTTTATTTTATGGTCAAATTTCTCCACAATAAATAGTTTTCAAAAAGAGTACCTTGTTCAGAAGTATTCAAGTTTATGTTAAAGTGACACATTTGCTACCTCATTTGTAGTAATATTAATTGAAGGCTTACAAGCAGCCAGCTGCTGTTGAAAGTGATAAACGTGTATTAACTAATTAATCTTCATAAACCACCCTCTCAGAGAGTTACTATTATCATCCCTATTTTATAGGTTAGAGAATGGAGGCATGAGGAGTTATTTAAAGTAATTGTCCCAAGTAGTTTGCACATAGTTAGGGGTAGAGCTGGTGTTCAACCCTGCACAGTCTGCCTTCAGAGCCTGTGCTTCAATCCTCCATGCACGCCTCTTCTAGCCCATTTACTAAATCGAGAAATCGCCAAATGAAGGTTTATTCATAGGAGCATGCAGACACAATTTTATGTCTCATATGGAGATCAGTACCCCAGGCCCAAGCATGTGCTTGTCCACCTTGTGGCAGAAGACCAACTGACACCTTCTCTGAGAGCCTTCAGTGCTGTGGCCATCCCACTTACAGAGCCTGCTCCATACTCAAGCCCCTTCCATCCCTGAGCAGGTCATTCTCTTGACCTCCCAAGTGAGGCAGAAACTTTGCTAATGGCTAACTAACTCCCTGCACATTTTGTGAATAGCCATTGGCTGAATATGGGTCTTGAGACTAGGCTTCTGTGTCACTCATGAACAGCAAAGGGAGTAAAGGGTAAAAATGCTATTTGGGGACAATGTTTCAGATTACATTCAGTTCAATGCCTGTTATTTCCCTGATCTTTGACTTTCTCTTTCTTGCTATAGTCATTGGTCAAAAAGTCAACTTAGCTGCCAGGATGATGATGTACTACCCAGGAATTGTGACCTGCGACTCTGTCACCTACAATGGGAGCAACCTACCAGCGTACTTTTTTAAAGAGCTTCCAAAGAAAGTTATGAAAGGTGTTGCAGATTCTGGACCATTGTATCAGTATTGGGGCCGTACTGAGAAAGTGTGAGTGTGGAGCATTAATTTTGAAGTATATTTTAGTAAAGAAGCGGGAGAATTATGATAGCAAAGCAGTCACCCATTTAAGATTTGGAGCCAGTTCAAAAAGTTGAAATCTATGCTTTCCCCAGACCAAGGCCCAGACTTCAAAATCCTTAATCTTTCCTCCATCTGACTGACACTATGGCATGGTGGAAAATCCCATTCTCTCCTCAGATCTGAGAATATGAGGGTAATTCTTCAAAGGTTGTACAAACCAAACAAAAAATCCTCTCATTTGAGTATCTATTTGCACCCAAATGGGCCCAATCACCAACCATTTAATATTATTTACTAATTATGTCAACTGTATGCCGAGGCATTGTTAGGGTTAAAAGAGTATAAGATATTATTTCTCCTCTAAGTCTTTAGTGAAATACATTCCCCAAAAGCTCAGCATAGATTTATGGGTGTCACTTTGAAGCTTAAAATCCTTCAATGGCTTTCAGTCATTTTCATGGTGATGTTCAAAATCTTTGCAGTGACATACAAGGTACCACCTGCCTTTCCAACCTCATCTCCTCCTGTTCCCCCTCCTCTGGGTTGTTTAAGTAGATTGTCCTCATCAGCACCCACCTAATCCTGGTCTATTGGGAAAACCGCAGTCAATTTTTGAAACCCAGCTCGAGGGATTCATAGACATTCCTCTATGAATTCCCCATCCCAGCTAGACAGTTAAGCTCTTTCCCCCTTTGTCTTCCTTCTTCCTCTTCCTTTTTTCCTCCTATAGCATATGCTTCTATTAGAACACTCCTTGCCCTATATCACAATTATTCACTTCCTACAGTTTTCACTTGTTACACTGTGAACTCTTTGAAGATACTAATTATTTCTTTATTCTTATATCCCCAGTGCTTGGTATACAGTAGGTCCTCAATAATGATGAATAAATGAATGGCACAGAGAGCAGAAAGTTGTTATTCATTAGATTAGCAAGCTGGAATCGAGGTCTTCAAGAGTCAGATAACAGAACCAGGGCTGCAGTTGGGTCAAGGTGTCTTTATTATTCCCTTCAGTATTCCTGAGGCTTAGCACTGTGCTTGGCATACATAGGCCATCAATAAAGTGCAGTTTGAATACATGAATGAATAATAATTTTTAGTGAGTACTTATTAAACATCAGGTACTTTACCTCAAAATATATAATCCAGTCTTAATATTGACCATACGAGATAGAAACTATTATAATTTCCATTTTATAAATTCAAAAACTGAGGCTCAGAGATGTTAAATGACTTGTCTATGGCCATATCTATAGTGAGCAATGGAGTCAAGATTCAGTCACAATAATGTGACCTTACGGGCAATCACAAAACTTCAGTGGTGTGCAAAAATAAACATTTATTTTTCTCACAAATGTGGGGTTCAATTGATCTTGGCTGGATTTGGTTGATCTTGTCTTGGCTTATTCACGTGCCTGGGGTTCAACAGACTGTTGGCCAACCTGGCGGCCTCAGTTGGGATAACTAGGGCAATCTGGCTCTATGTGTCTCATCTTCCATCCAGCATGTTTGTCCTGGCAATACTGGAGGAGCAAGAGAGCAGGCCCAATGCAAAAGCATTTTTCAAGCCTCTTCCTATGTCTTATGTTTGCAGATAGTCCATTGACAAAAGCATTCACAAGGCTGAGTCCAGAATGAGAGGACTCTGCCAAGTTACACAGCAAAGGGCACAGATACAGGTACTGGGGCCATTAATGCAATCAGTTTACTATGCAAACCCAGGACTATCTGATCCCAAAGCCTGTACTCTTCATGATTTTTCTGTACCACCTCTGCAGATAAAAGTGGAGAAATACACACACAGTATGAACAGGGCCTAGTTCCTGCCCAGAAAACTCACAATCAAGTGGGGAAGACCAACATACACAAACTTAGCTGTATGTTACATGGGAACCTTTGATATATGCTATAAGAGAGGCATAACAAAGTAGTATTGTAGTTCAGAGAAGGGCATAATCCATTTTGACTAAAAGGCTTCTTCAAGAGATAGTGTTATGGAGTGAGCAAACATATGCACCCTGGCCTATGTTTGGATACTGTCAGTATCCTGTGTTACCACCTGCTATGGGGTCTTGGGCAATTAAACTCTTTGTGCCTGAATTTCCTCACTGGCAAAATGAACATAAGAGTAGTACTTTTTTTTTTTTTTTTTTGAGATGGAGCTTTGCTTTTGTTGCCCAGGATGGAATGCAATGGCGTGATCTTGGCTCACTGCAACCTCTGTCTCTTGGGTTCAAGCGATTCTCCTGCCTCAGCCTCCAGAGTAGCTGGGATGGCAGGCGCAAGCCACCACGCCCAGCTAATTTTTGTATTTTTAGTAGAGACAGGTTTTCACCATGTTGGTCAGGCTGGTCTCAAACTCCTGACCTCAGATGATCCACCTGCCTCGGCCTCCCAAAATGCTGGGATTACAAGCATGAGCCACCGTGCCTGGCCAGTAGTCCTTTTTTTTCTTTTTGAGATGGAGTCTGGCTCTGCTGCCCACGCTGGAGTGCAGTGGTGCGATCTCGGCTCACTGCAAGCTCCCCCTCCCGGGTTCACACCATTCTCCTGCCTCAGCCCCCTGAGTAGCTGGGACTACAGGCAACCGCCACCATGCCTGGCTAATTTCTTTTTGTATTTTTGGTAGAGACGGGGTTTCACCGTGTTAGCCAGGATGGTCTCGATCTCCTGACCTCGTGATCTGCCCACCTCGGCCTCCCAAAGGGCTGGGATTACAGGCGTGAGTCACTGCGCCCAGCCAAGTAGTACTTCTTAACAGTGTTTTTGTCAGGATTAAAGAAAATGATGCATGTAAAGCACTTGGAACTGCGCCAGACACATAGCATGTGCTCCAATAAAAGGCGCGCTATTATTGTTTGAGCAATTGGTGGAATCTTTGCAGGATGTGTGACTCTGCACCACATTGAAATCTACTGGGTCGTATATCAGGTGTCTGATCTCCCCAGAAAGGGGTTTCTCTACCAGTGCAGACTCAACAGCATTTATTGAACAATGTGCCAGATGCTATGGAAACAGATGCTACCTGAGTTCTTTGGATTCTCCACTACCAAGTCAGACCTTCTCGTTTCTCCTTCTTTTGGCGTTTGCGACCCGTGAGTCAGGGGATAGACTCTTGTTAGCAATTGAGAAGGAAACTTTCTGGGAACTAAGAACTAATCACTCTTGCTCTCAATATGTCCCTGTTTTGAATCTAGCATCTGTTCTTTTGTTCTTCTCTTCAGCATGTTTGGTATGGCGTGCCTCATCTGCAACAGAAAGGAGGATTACCCTTTGCTGGGTAGGTAGTAGGCCTTGATTTTAAACTTCTTTATTGAACTAAAACAAAACATGCAGAAAAGTACATCAATGATAACTGTGCAGCTTAATGAATTATCACAAAATGAAAATATAATCATCATCCAGGTTAAGAAATAGAAAAATAGCAATACACCAGGATTACTCTTTCCTTCTTCCTTTCCCCAAAGTCTTCTAACACCCTCGATTACTTATGCCTGTTTAAAAAATTGATACAGATGGAATCATACATTGTATAATTATATACGGCTTATATATACTTTCTCTTACTCAATGGTATGTTATATAATTCATCCATATTGTTGGGTGTAGCTGTAATTTATTCTATGTCATTACTATGTAGTATTCCATTTTTATAAATATACAACAATTTACCCATTCTGTTGCTGTGCAACATTTGGGTTATTTCCAGTTTTTGGTTCTTATGAATAATATTGCCATAAACATTCTTACACAAGTCTTTTGGTGAATGCATGTATGCATTTCTGTTGAGTACAAGGTAGGAGTAAAACGTAGGACTGAAATTGTTGGGACAAAGGGTGCCAAATAGTTTTCCAAAATGGTTGTATTTATTTATATTCTGACTGAGAATGTTAAGAGAGTTCCAGTTGTTCTTCATCTTTGGCAACAACTTAGTTTTATCAATCTTTATCCTTTCAATAATTCTGTTGGGTGTATAGTGGTATCTTATTATGGTTTCCATTTGTATTTCCCTGATGTGGTTGAGCTCCTTCTTCATAAGTTTATTGGCCATTTGGATTTATTTATTTATTTATTTATTTTGAGACAGAGTCTCACTCTGTTGCCCAGGCTGGAGTACAAAGGAGCAATCTTGGCTCACTACAACCTCTACCTCCTGGGTTCAAGTGATTCTCAGGACTCAGCCTCCTGAGTAGCTGGGATTACAGGTGTCCGCCACCATGCCCAGCTAATTTTTATATTTTAGTGGAGGCAGGGTTTCACCATGTTGGCCAGACTGGTCTTGATCTCCTAACTTCAAGTGATCCACTTGCCCCAGCCTCCCAAAGTGCTGGGATTACAGGCGTGAGCCACTGTGCCCAGCCCAGACATTTTTTTAAAGTACCTGTACAATTTTTCACCTATTTTTCAACTGGGTTATATTTTGATTATCTTTTGGAATTATTTACACATTCTAGAGATGGGTCCTTTGTCATTTGTTTCTACTGTATATCACTTTTCCCACTCTGTGTTTGCCTTTTTACTCTCAATTATGCATTTAATAAACAGAATTCTTAACTTTAATGTAATCAAATTTACCTGTCTTTTATAGTTAGTGCTTCTGTATACTATTTGAGATACCTTTCCTTACCCAAAAATCATGGAGATATTTTTCTAGCATTTTTTTCAGAAATTTTGTTTTTACCTTTTATATTTAAGTCTACAATCCATTTGGAATTGATATTTTTGTGATTCCTGGTGATAGGGACCTTATTGTAAGAAAGATAACTCGAGATTAGACAGGGGAGTAGACCTAAAATGAGGAAGGGATATACCTATAAGAGAAGAGACCCAAAGAAGATTGACCTGTGGATTCTGAAGGCAGCCACTTCTAGTAGCACTTGTAATTTCCTTCTGTCAGACACGAACATCCCCAAAAGTCTTATCATAAGTTAAATCTTGGTCCTAACTGTGTCAAGGCAATTAAGAGGAGGCTCTGTCTCACACTTTGGAGAAATATTGGGCCACAATCTTGGTGTCAGCAGAGCCTGAAGGAGGGCAACAGTTCCAGAACTGCAAAAAAACACTTGGGCCAGCAGAAATGCCTCACTTTCACTGCTTTCAGGTAGTTTTCAGGGTCTTCAAGCCAATCACTTCATTTAAGTCCAGATTCCAAAACTCCTGAAGCTAGAGAGAAGGAATACCCACTCTCACCCTCCTCAGAGGCCTTACTTTTCATCCTAGGATATACTTATTTTACTAACTGACAGCAACAGAATCCTAACCTTCTTTCTACAAGATTGCAGACCCAACATGACAGTCACATTAGAACACATTATGTGGATATTTCTTTTTTTTTTCTTTTGAGACAGAGTCTCACTCTGTCGCCCAGGCTGGAGTGCAGTGGCGCGATCTCAGCTCACTACAACCTCTGCGTCCCGGGTTCAAGCGATTCTTCTGCCTCAGCTTCCCAAGTAGCTGGGATTACAGGTGCACACCACCACACCCAGCTAATTTTTGTATTTTTAGTAGAGACGGGGTTTCACCATATTGGCCAGGCTGGTCTTGAACTCCTGATCTCGTGATCTGCCCGCCTTGGCCTCCCAAAGTGCTGGGATTACAGACGTGAGCCACTGCGTGCAGCCTATGTGTATATTTCTCAGTCTGATCTAGTTGCCCTTTTGCACTGATTCCACCAGTATGACATAAAGATCAGGTCCACATACCTTTCCTTCAAGCTATAACCAAACACAGATTGTCAGAGGCTAGCAGCATGGGAAATGCCCTTCTTTTACAAGGGCTGCTATAAATGAAATTGCAACAGCATGGTTGACAACAAAACTATAATAAATAAATAGTGGCTTTTTAGGGTAAAAACTGCATACAACAGTCCCCGATATTGAGGCTTTGCTTAGATAGAAACAAGGTGCATGCATTTCAAGTTAAGGAGACAATCTCATTTTAGAATCCAGCTAAAGATACTCCATAAGGTTCTACCAGTAGGTGTTCTGTATGAATAGAACACAGGGAGCTGGAAGAGTCAGCTATGCAGGCTTTTTTTTTTTTTAAGCTTCCTTAGGAAACTTTATTTTTTTTGAGATGGAGTTTTGCTCTTGTTGCCCAGGCTGGAGTGCAATGGCGCCATCTCGGCTTACTGTAACCTCCGCCTCCCAGGTTCAAGCAATTCTCCTGCCTCAGCCTCCTGAGTAGCTGGGATTACAGGCATGCACCACCACGCCCGGCTAATTTTGTATTTTTAATAGAGACGGGGTTTCTCCATGTTGAGGCTGGTCTCGAACTCCTGACCTCAGGGGATCCACCCGCCTCGGCCTCCCAAAGTGCTGGGATTACAGGCGTGAGCCACCGCTCCCAGCCTGGAAACTTTATTATTTTTTATTTATTTATTTTTTATTATTATACTTTAAGTTCTAGGGTACACAATGCACAACGTGCAGGTTTGTTACATATGTATACATGTGCCATGTTGGTGTGCAGCTATGCAGCCTTTGAAGCCTCATCTTCTAAGTTCCTATGTGAGCTTCATTCAGGCCAAAGAAAAACACAAAACATCTCACGAAATTGAGGTTCAAATGCATTTTCAGAAAGGGAATATTTCACCCAAAAGAAGCAATACAGTCTGCTAAGTAGTTCTCACTAAGCCATACTCAGAAATGTATATTACCAAGCAAAGCACTTAGCTTCTTTTTATTAAATGTCTACACTTGAATTAATGGTCCTTCAACAAAGACATTAGATAATACCTGGATATTTATTTGTTCTATCAGTGAATAACAAAATGGGCCTCCACATTCATCTGCCCAGCACAGAAGGAATAGTTAGCTCTCAATGAGTCTCCAACTTTTTTGACAGAAATTGCTCACTGCTTAGAAATTACAATTCTTACAGCTCCTTACAGCAGGGTTTCAGATTTCACCCAGGGCTGTTACAGTATTTAAAAACACACAAGAAAAATAAGGGTTGTAACCCAAGGTGATTTTTATTTTTTTCTTTTCCAAGTTTTCCATATTTTCTACAGCAAGCATATGTTAGTTTTATAATCAGAAAAAACCTATAATCTATTTTCACTAAGAATTTAAGTTGCTCTTATGATAGAAATAATCTGTACATGATTTCTGAAGGCAAATTGAATTTTATCCCTGGTAATGCTTTTTGTAGCCCTGAATTAAGTATAATCTTCATTTACAGAGGGCAAATTTCCTTTATCACAGAATCAGAAATAAAAATATTTTATCCATAATTGTTTAATGTAGGAAAACTAACTTTAATAAATTTATTTCCTAATGTAATAGTCTACATATTACTTCTAGTGTGTTGAATAAAAACAAAAAACAAAAAACAAAAAAAAACAAGCTTTAGGGTTAGATAGCCTTGGCTTAATTCCTGGTTGTGTAATCTAAGCAAATCTCAGTTTTCTACACTATAATTAAACATTATAATGAGGATTATAAGAATACTTTCTCTCACAGCTTCTAATCAAATGAAACTGCAAAACCACATGGTTAGCTAAAAAGCTCCCAGGAAGATTTAAACAATTTTGAAAGTGCATAAGGCTTGAAGAAAGTCTGTGAACAATGCCATGGAAATTCCAAGTTTTTTTTTTTTTTTTTAGATGGAGTTTTGCTTGTCGCCCAGGCTGGAGTGCAATGGCAGGATCCCGGCTCGCTGCAACCTCCGCCTCCTGGGTTCAAGCAATTCTCTTACCTCAGCCTCCTGAGTAGCTGGGACTACAGGCACCCGCCACCAAGTCTGGCTAATTTTTTTTTTTTTTTTTTTTTGTATTTTCAGTAGAGGCAGGGTTTCATCATGTTGGCCAGGCTGGTCACGAACTCCTGACCTCAGCAGATCCGCCCACCTCGGCCTCCCAAAGTGCTGGGATTACAGGAGTGAGCCACAGCGCCTGGCCCAAGGATATTTTTAGAAGGAGGGTTTCTATGTGACTTTTTATATCTCTAGACTATTTTACGTTGATTGAGTTTGCTCTTTTTTAAAACTAAAAATAACAGGACGTAATAAAGAGATCAACTACTTCATGTATACTATGAAGAAATTTTTGATATCTAACAGCAGCCAAGTCTTAATGTATGAGGGATTACCAGGATATGGAAAAAGCCAGATACTTATGAAAATTGAGTACCTGGCCCAAGGTAAGAATCACAGGTGAGTGTCTTGGAATGATTGTTCTGTGTGAACCCATAGAATCCTGATTTATTTTGATGCTCCTCTCCTTCCTATAACTTGCCTTATGTAAATTATCTATAACCTACAATTATTGGATGCCATGACCCTTGTGCTAAATAGATAACTAACAATAAACACATAGAGCTAAGAAAAAGAGAAACTGGGCTGACCCATGGATATCCTGATTTAATGCCAGGAAGGGCTTGGTTATTTAAAGTTTCCTAAGTAATCCCAATATTCAGACAGATCGAGAACAATTGGCATAGATGTTGAGATCAAGGCTAGATTTGGTCTGCAGAACAAACACTTAAGTTTATCCAGCTAGCTGACAGTGTAGCAGGACCAGCTGCAGACAAAACCCCTCAGACACCGAGATAGTGAAGGGAGTGGCTTTAATCAGCTGGGAGAATCGGCAGGCTAGCGTCTCAAAATCCGAGCTCGTCAAGGTGCTCAACTTCTGCCCTTTTAAGGGCTCACAACTCTAAGGGGGTCTGCATGAGAGGGTCGTGATCGATTGAGTAAGCCAGGGGGTACGTGACAGGGGCTGTGAGCACTGGTGGTCACAGTGAAACAGAACAGAACGAGAGATTTCACAATGTCCTTCCATACAATGTGTGGAATCTATAGATAACAACAGTTGCTAGGTCAGGGGTCGAATTTTAACTACCAGGCTTAGGTCAGGCAGGCCCAGGCCTGGTTTCGGGTCTGGTTCTTAGGCGCCGGGCTACCTGCCTTTAGTTTCGCTTCTCTGTCCTTTTCTGAGTATAAAACAATATAAAACAATATGAGAGGGTCTCTCTCTTCCCTCATTTCCCCCGTTTGAGACTCTCACTTTTTATTAGTGGGAGTTCTCACTCTTATTTTTGCCACTTATGCCTTCTTGTGCAATAGATTGATAGTGATTCATATAGTACACTTGTGTTGAGGCATTTTGGTGAACTAAGGTAGCAATGAAGCTTTTTATCATTTGAAGAAGTACAGGCAGCAAGCAAGGGAGCAGTAAGCAGGTTTCTATTACTATTATAACTCCTATATAAGAGTTTTAAATCCTCCTAGTGCTGGGAACCACCTTCTAAACATGGCTTCAGGGTCGAATCCGTGCTACACTCGTACGGGCATATGTGCCAGTTTTGTCATGTTTTTAACTATGTCTTTAACTACGTCTTTAACTACTTGCCTTTGATTATCTATGTGTAGACAGTAATTAGTAAGGTTAAATTTTTATAGACCTCTCTTTCA
Organism: Homo sapiens; assembly: GCF_000001405.40. Lineage (NCBI taxonomy): Eukaryota > Metazoa > Chordata > Mammalia > Primates > Hominidae > Homo > Homo sapiens. The sequence continues at coordinate 167,868,996 of NC_000001.11, read as the reverse complement.
GCTGCTAGAAGTAGTCGAGAGCCAATCTATTTTGATAGATAGCATTTCTTATCTGAGTTTCTTGCCGGGCCAGAATAGTCAAGGCTTGACTGGTTTTATTAGTGATGATTTCTAAAACAGCTTGCAACCGTATGATTCAGTTGAGCATGTAAATGGGGGTCTGGTATACCCATGAGCCATCTTGTGTCTAAGTGGCAGGCCTATAGTATTGTATAATTTTTTAGGTGGTCATTCATCATCTTTTTAATTATCTATGGCTATGTTTCGCTTTTCGCGGAAAGCATAGACAGGGAAGCCCAGGAGTTCGCCTATTTGTATGGGCAGTAGGAAGAAAGATGGTTTAATAGTGCCAATAACACAACTACCTGTCCACTGGTCAGGCAGCTTAGCGTAGGTTCTATGTCCACGTATCCAGTATAGCCTAGTGGGGGGCTGTCTAGTCCCGGTGGAATTCTGGGTGGGCTTAAACGGTCTGCAACTTTGGAAATTTACTGAATGGATTTTTATCTGTGTGGTTTGAACTCCACCATGTAACTGTTTTTGTGGTACCATTATACAGTTTTTGTCCTAGGCAACTAAGTCATCCTACAGGATGAGTGAATTCTTTCCTTTTTTCAGCTATGCAATATTGTCTAATAATTGAGACTTTTAGAACCTAGAAATGATCAGGGTGATTCTTTTGGGCCGGGAATTCATCAGGAACTGGGTCTGTAGGCACTAATTCTCGGGCTTCTTATGCCATTGATCTCTTATTACAGTTTCTCCACAAACGTAACATGAGGTGACATTTAGAGACTGGGCTACATGCTCGGCTAATTGCAAAAACAAATTTCTGGTTTTTCCTGGAGTCTCTGGTACTGGCACATTTAGTTAATCATAGAAAGTCTGAAATACTGGTTCCGGAGAGAGTTTACGAACCTCCTCTTTTACTAAGGTATTTACTCTAGGATCTAGTCCTTTTTTATCGACGCCCAGAGATACGTGTACTTCTTTTTTTCTACCTTGGGTTTAAGGGATTTGTAATTACTAATTTCAAGGGGTTGCAGCTTCCACTCGTACAGGAGGGGCTGCCTTCTCCTTTTTGGAGCTAAACAGGGTCTTTTTCATCCTTTTTCTAAGTAGCCTAGATGACACAAGACCAGTAATTACACACATTTGCACATGAGCTTAATTCGTGGCAGATATACTTATTTCCTGCTGTGTAACTTTTTTTTTTTTCAGTTTAAAGAACCGCATCTTATTCTATGCCGATTGCTATTGATAGTGGCACAAGCATTAAATTTTAGTGTTACATGCTTGGGGATCCCTCTTTCTTCTGTCTTAGCTATTACTTTACTTGTGTCACCTAGAAAAGGACCAGTCCTTAATTTATTTTAAAAAACTGTGATCATTGGAGGCTTAAAATGGGTCATAACACACATCAGGTTGGTTATTTCCTAGGCTACATACCTTGGATAGAATAGCATTATACAAACAAGTTTCTTTTAGAGTCCTCGTACACTTATAATAACCATGAAATAATAGGACTGTAGCAATCTTTTGTCCTACCTCAGTGACTTGATGTATATACTGGGAACAGTTCTCAGTCTGAGGAAGGTCAGTTGAAGTCCTTACTGTACAAGTCCAAATTTTAAGGAAAATGAGTCCCGTGATGAGTTTTCTCATGCTTCGGCCGTGCGTGGACCAGTCAGCTTCCGGGTGTGACTGGAGCAGGGCTTTTTCTGAGTCACTTTGCAGAGGTTGGTGAAGCTGCTCCCATCCACGTACAGCTCCCAGTTTACTGATGTTTAAGGATGGTTTTGGAGGTTGGGCCCACTAGAATAAACTGAGTCCAACACTTCTACACAGTTATGTTTAACTGGGCTCTCTGATACCAGGAGCAAGGTGGCGGGGTTTAGGGTGTTGCAAACTTCAATGGTTATGTGGGGATTTTCACAGAGCAAGCTTTGGTATCTAGTTAGTCTAGCATTCATTAGCTAATGATGTCCTTTGGTACTGATTAAAGTCACCACAGCATGGGGGGGACTTTATGTTTAGGTTTTGCCTAAGAGTTAGCTTATCTGCTTCTTGTGCTAACAGGGCCGTTGCTGCCAGGGCCCTTAGATATGGGGGCCAGCCTTTGGAAACCCCATCTAGTTGTTTTGAGAGATAGGCCACTGGCCTTGGCCAGAGCCCTACAGTCTGGGTTAAAACTCCAACTGCCATTTTTTTTTTTTGAAGATAACCATTCTTTTTTTTTTTTTTTTAAGTGAACTTTCTTTATATCTGTGGACTAGACTGTCTAAGGCCACAAGATTAGAAGTTACTATAATACATGTTACACTGTTAACTTTTAGCAAACTTTACTTTTGTTGAAAACCTTGTAAGTTTGGGATTTCAATTATCCTTTGCTATGAGTAAGACCTTGTTTAGTCTAAATTAACTTAGAATTGGTATAGATGGCCCTTTTTTTTTTTTTTTTTTTTTGGCACATAGAGTGTGCACTTTCGTCAGGTCAGGTAGCCCCAGGGCTGGGGCCGACCTGAGTTTTTCTTTCAACTCATGAAAAGCTTGTTGCTGTTGTTTGTAATAGATATAATTTATCTAATTTACATTTTTATTAACATCACTCACTAAAATATTGACTTAAATTTTGTAGCTATTTGATTTCAAGCTTTAAATTGATCTGGTATTCCTCGTGGGACTCCAATTGCGTCTAAATGGACGTGAGAGTCGAAAGACCTATAAGGGGGCTTCTCTCGCTTTACGATGTCTTATTTTTCCTCCCTCTTGTTGATGAAATGCCAGGGTGAAAGGGATAGCCAACTGGACTAAAGTATAAGTGCCACTCCAGTTATTCGGCAGAGTGCCCAGTAAAGGTCCACCACAATACCACCACACATCCGCTTGGGGATGAACAAGGGCTGACTGATTGATAAGCTCTTGAAAATTCTTAAGCTCATTGCATCACTTCAGGTCTCCAAGGAATCCTAAGTTTCCTCTCTGTGGTGAGAGACATGAAGTGAACTTAGTGTTGGGAGACGGAGGCTGGATGGCCCTCGGGGGCTGACCCACAGGGATAGCAGAGAGAGTTTGGCATGACTTATTACTCCAGGCTGTAGAATCCTGGAAAAGAGCTACCATGCAGCCCACGCCTGGTGGACTGGAGGACCACTTTAGTGGAAGGGGGACAATGAGGGCCTCTGGCCTGCCATGTGCACAAGCATAACAACTGCTTTTGTTTAATGTGCAGATGGAATATTTGATCCATTTCAACCAGGCATTTGCATCTTGGTATGCTGTCTTAATTGCCAAAGTTTGTTTTAAGTCTTTAACTTCTATGATCCTCTAGTAAAATGAATGTTTCCTTTAGGACCTATTTTTATTAGTTTTTAGACCAAAGAAAGCTAAACACCATTTTATATTTAATAATACTTCTTGTATGATTTTTATACCAGATAAGCTAAATTTTACCTTTATATTAGTGTGTTATTAATGTTAAACTTAATTTTAATAAAACCTCATAGACATATTTATCCAATTTTTCATGTTTGACCATAAGGTAAGTTTTTACAGACTCTTTTTAACCTTTTATAATTTTTGTTAAAGAGCAGGTTGGTGCTTCAAGAAAAACCTGTTGCATTTTTACTTTAATGTCCAGTTCACAGAAAAACTGGATGATACCTTTTTATCTTTAGCTAATTAGTTTACACACAGAATTTTTTTTTACAATTAACATTTTAAAACTTGCTTAAACTTTCAAAACAATAATTTTTTTAACCTTTTAATGTAGGTAAAAATCCACATTCTTATGCCTCCTTCTAATCTTTTTACCAAAAGTATATTTTACTTTTCTTATGCACCTTGCACATAAACTGTTTCTTCAATAGTACTCAGGAGGCCTTATTACTTTCAAATTATACAATATTTTTTGCATAAATTTTTTATAACATCGTTTTCTATGACTTTCGCAGATAATTCTTTGACATGTCTCAACTTTCTGACTTATTACAAATATTTCTTTCTTTAAACAACAGTTAATTTATTTCAAGACAAGAATTTACCATATAACACTCTTTTTACATAAATTTTGCCTTCCCACAGCTCTTTTTTTTTTTTTTTCCTGTTAGCAAAGCAGCTGCTGCTACAGATTGAATGCATCTGGGCCATCCGTGGGTTACTGGGTTAAGGATTTTTGATAGGAAGGCCTCAGTGCTTTCGGGATACGCCCTTGTTTACACTAACAACAAAGTGGTATTAGAGTGTTACAGGGTTACGGAGAATACCTTTAATTATCAATTTTAGGTTTTAAATTTACCTTGGCTTTTAAAGGGAATAGGGTACACTATTTTTTTCTTAACTACTTGGATATTTCTCTCTATTTTTCTTTCTCTCTTTGACTTTCTGTCTCTCTCTCTCCCTCTCTCTCTCTTTGACTTTCCTTTTGCCTCTGTTTCTTCCTCTCTTTCTGCCTCTCTTAACTACTGTGGGGGCGAAGGGGGTCTAAAACCAGCTGTAATTGTCTACGTACAGAAACTGGTCTGTGTGCCTTGGCTTACAGGTTACCTTGTGCCATACATTTGAAACAAGGGACCTGTCTAGGCTTCCTTCTGATGGCCAACCCACCTCTAATGTTGGCCAGTCTATTTTACACAAAGTTCTAAGTTTTTCTAGTGTCATAGTAACACCGTAATCTCCCTTAAATCCTTTCTTGAAATTTTTCAACATAGTTTCTAGTAGGGTGGGCTTATTTGTGCCTGACCCATGTTTCTTCGAGACAAAACACCACTCTCACACCACATGCACACCACAAAACAAAGAACGGGTAAAAAGGGCACGCACACACTTTTGCAGTTTACACTAAACCAAAATCAAAACCAAAATCAGAGTATTCAGAAATCCAAGCCAGGTCAAAACCAAAACCAAAGTATCAAGCAATCTAAGTCAAGTCAAAAACAAAAACCAAAGTGCCGGAACAGGCACACCGTGGGTGATCAGATCAGGCCATGCTTCCACTCAAATGGAGTGGGAATGGAGTGGGCAAGTTCCCAAGACCAGTCCTGTCAAGTAATTCAAACCAAGTCAAAACCAAAACCAAGTGCTGATAAAGGCACGCCGTGGGTGATCAGGCCATGCTTCCACTCAAATGGAGTGGGCAAGTTCCAAAGACTAGTCTTACCAAGTTTTAGTTGTCCGGACTCCAAGTGCCAATTCCTTCCCGGTGTTCAGCCACTCTGTTGATCCTCCACGGGGGCCTGCCACACACTGCTCTGGCGAGGTGTCCCACCGGGGCAAATGCCTACCCAGGAGAGCTCTCAGGATCCGCGTCACTCTGGCTGGTTGGAGTCCCCAGCAGGGATGTTCCACAGGGCAGGCTAAAGCCGCCTAAGGAGCTGCCTCGACCATCTGTTAATCACCTTGCTTCCCGGTCAGGGAACCAAGAAATGTAGCAGGATGAGCCGCAGACAAAACCCCTCAGACACCGAGATAGTGAAGGGAGTGGCTTTAATCAGCTGGGAGAATCGGCAGGCTAGCGTCTCAAAATCCGAGCTCGTCTGATGCTCAACTTCTGTCCCTTTTAAGGGCTCACAACTCTAAGGGGGTCCGCATGAGAGGGTCGTGATCGATTGAGTAAGCCAGGGGGTACGTGACAGGGGCTGTGAGCACCGGTGGTCACAGTGAAACAGAACAGAACGAGAGATTTCACAATGTCCTTCCATACAATGCCCTTCCATACAATGTCTGGAATCTATAGATAACAACAGTTGCTAGGTCAGGGGTCGAATTTTAACTACCGAGCTTAGGTCAGGCAGGCCCAGGCCTGGTTTCGGGTCTGGTTCCTAGGCGCCGGGCTATCTGCCTTTAATTTCACTTTTCTTTCCTTTTCTGAGTATAAAACAATATGAGAGGGTCTGTCTCTTCCCTCAACAGGGAATCACTAGTTCAAACCATTTAGTCCTAAGACTGGAGATAGAGAATAAGAGGTCTTTGGATTTTTCCCTGGAAGACAGATCTAATATACTTGTCTCATGTTGTTTATTTATTTTCATATAAGGAATATTATGAGGGCTATCTTTGGGACAATCCATTCTACTTCCTCATGGAAGTAGATAGTATGGTATTCAATAACAGTGGTGATGACCAGGACAATAATGATGGTGACTCATATCCCTTCCCCACCTAACCTAAACAGTGTGAGGGGAAAATGCTTGTTAATCTTATAATATTCTTAGCTGTATCTCTATCCCACATTAAAGTTAGGCCTGAGAAAGGCCAGTTTTAAAATATCTTTATCATTGCTGAAGGGATAATTCACAACAGTCAGAAGACATTTGTTTATTCATGTATTCAATCATTAATTGAATTCCTACTATGTTCAGGAACTACTAAGTGCTGTATTCACTAGCCGGGGCCTCTGTAAAAAAGTACTACAAATGGATGGCTTACAACAGAAATTTGTCTCATAGTTCTCAGGGGTAGGAGTCTGAGATCAAGGCATCTTTTCTTCTCTGGACCATGAGGAAGAATCTGTTTCATGCCCACCTGCTAGCTTCTGGTGGTTGCTGGCCATCTTTGGTGTTCCAAAGATGGCTTGTAGAAGCGTCACCCTAATCTCTGCCTTCATGTCACATGGCATTCTCCCTGTGTGTTGTTTGTGTCCAAATTTCTCCTTTTTATAAGGGCATCAGTTTTATTGGATTAGAGGCCTACCCTACTCTAGCATGATCTCATCTTAACTAATTGTATCTGCAACGACTCTCTTTTCAAATAAGGTCACACTTTGAGGCCCTAGAGGCTAAGAATTTAACATATGAATTGTGGGGACATGTGTCAACAAGTGCCAAAGCCCTGAATATCAATAAAGTCTGCTCTCTGCCCTCAAGGAGCTCTCACAGAAGAGGAGGAGAGAGATAATGTGTTAGTCGTTTTCACGCTGCTATAAAGAACTACCTGAGACTGGGTAATTTATAAAGAAAAGAGGTTTCATTGACTCACAGTTCCACATGGCTAGGGAGGCCTCAGGAAAATTATAATCATGACAGAAGGCAAAGGGGAAGCAAGGCATGTCTTACATGGTGGCAGGAGAGAGCGAGCAAGGGAGGAAGTGCCAAACTTTTAAACCATCAAATCTCATGAGAACTCCCTCACTATCATGAGAACAGCATGGGGGGAACCGCCCTCATGATCCAATCACTTCCCAACAGGTCTCTCCCCTGACACTCGGGGGTTGCAATACGGGATGAGATTTGGGTGAGGACACAGAGCCAAACCATATCAGATAGCATTAAAAGTTGAATATAGTGAGGGCAACGATAGAGTCATGCAATAGAGAATTGTGGAAGTTCAGAGAAGAAAGGGTATGTAGTCAACCTTAGGACATTGATGACAGTTTCCAGGAGGCTACACCTGAGCTGAGACTTGAGATGAACCTCAAATGAGGGGCAATGAGAAGCCATAGCACTCTGGGCTGAGGAGACAGCATAAGCAAAGGCATGGAGAGGAGAAATAGCTCTGGGTGTGCAGGGAACTCTCACCTGCTTGCTGTTGGTGAAGGGTAGATTGCTAGGCAGAGAGTGGCAAGAAAGGATAGAATGAGGCTTTGGAAAGTCTTGTGTGTCACATAAAGGAGGCCTGGGTTCATGCCGTTAGGCAATGGGAGCTCCCAGTCAGAGGGTCATGACCTGGATGGGGGTAGTGGCTTGCTATTGTGGTAGTATAGGGTGGCAGTAGGACTAGAAAGGAGAGAATTAGCTAGGTTAAATTAATCAGGGCTTAGGAACAGGAGAAGAGGGAGTATATCAGAAGCAGCAATAAAGAACCATTGCGAGATAGCTTGGAAAATCTCCATCATTATAGCTGAATATGAGAAGACAGAGCTTTCCTTCAACCTCTATTATTTTCAAAAATATATATTTAAAAACTCTCTTCTGTTTCTTGATTTTCTCACAAACAGGATTATTGCCATTTCATTGAATAAGATCAGCTTCCATCAAACTTTCTATACCATCCAGATGTTCATGGCCAATGTCCTAGGCCTAGACACTTGTAAACATTATAAAGAACGACAGACCAACCTTCGAAATAAAGTCATGACACTGTTGGATGAAAAGTTCTACTGTCTTCTTAATGACATTTTCCATGTTCAGGTAACTAGCTAGTATTATACTTCTGCACAAATAGCCATGGGCAGGCACAGCAACTCCTCTCTGGTGCATTGTGACTTAGCATCTCTTTGGTCTGTATATCTGCAGTATCCAGATGGTGAGTAAATGGCTCCCAATCCTCTCTGGATGTGCATCAACATTCTTGACATATTAGAGGTATCTTGAAATATCATACTCAAGAAAATCCAAATGGCCATCTGCTGACTAATTTTTTTCTTACCTTTCTATCATAGCTATACTAGCTACTCTGGGACACAAAGTCACTCTGTTCCTACAAGTGATGCCAGTGCAGACTGTGCCCTGTCTTTTCCTGAATTATCTAACACAGGGGTCCTCAACCCCTGGTACTAGTTCATGGCCTGTTAGAAACCAGACCACACAGCAGGAGGCAACCAGTGGGTGAGCAAGTGAAGCTTCATCTCTATTTATAGCCACTCCCCATTGCTCACATTACCACCTAAGCTCCTCCTCTTGTCAGATCAGCAGCAGCATTAGATTCTCATAGGAGCCTGAACCCTATTGTGAACTGTGCATGCAAGGGACCTAGGTTGCATGCTCCTTATGAGAATCTAATGCCTGATGATCTGTCACTGGCTTCCATCACCCTCAGATGGGACCATCTAGTTGCAAGGAAACAAGCTCAGGGCTCCCACTGATTCTATCTACATTATGGTGAGTTGTATAATTATTTCATTATATATTACAATGTAATAATAGAAGCAAAGTGCACAATAAATGTAATGCACCTGAATCATCCTAAAATCATCCCCTCTGCCGCAGTTCATGAAAAAATTGTTTTCCACAAAACTAGTCCCTGGTGCCAAAAAGGTTGGGACCACTTATCTAACACATGAGGATTTTAAGACACAGAATAGTTAAGTGTTTTGCCCAAAGTTGCATAGCCAGTAGTTCCCTTTGCTATTTTCCCATACTCAATATTCTCATAATTCTTTGTACAGTTCCCTATTTCTCGGGAGATTTCCAGGATGAGCACCTTGAAAAAGCAAAAACAATTGGAAATATTGTTTATGAAGATCTTGAAGCTGGTAAGAGCATCTGTGGGTCAAGAAGTAGGGGGAAGAAAACTGGGCAAATCACCACAAAGCCAGGTGGTTTGAGGAGTTCAGACCACATTGGCAAGAGGCTTTTGAAGGATGTGAAGGCTTTGTCCTAAAGTGCTTCATTCTCCTCCATCCTTCCAAACCTCAAGCAAAAGGTCTGTTTAGAATTTAGATGCCTTGAAAAGAGTCCCTTAACATTACTCCTAGGAGTCTGGCCTCTCTCAGCACTCATTTTTTCATCCTTTGTTGAGATATAATGTACCAAAGTGGTTACATATGCAGGCTCTGTCGTCAGACCACTGAGGTTTGAACCCCCAGGCCTATCACTTGCTACCTGAGCAACCTCAAGCAGTGACTTACCCTCTCTATGTTTCTGCTTTATCATCTATCAAATGGAGGAAAATAATAGTACGTAGCTCACTGGGATGTAAGTTTAAATGACTAGATTATATGTAGAAACACTTAGAACAGTGTCTCTTTCATAAGAAACACTCAACAAGTGTTAGCTCTCTCCCAGTAATATCACGACTGTCTGCTATATATTGATCACCAAATTTATATTTCAGTCCCCACCTCTCTTATAAACACCAAAACCATATTCCTAAGAGCCTTGTATATATTCCACTTGGATGTAGTGACTCACGCTGAGTTGAGTGTCTAATGCCAAATTCATTTTTTTACTATAGTGCCCTTTCTTCCTCATCCTGATCCTGATCCTTGATTTCATTAGTAGCAAATTATGCCATTCTGTATCATTTAAAGTTATCCTTGCCTTCTTTTTTGCCCACATTCCCGCATTTACTCACTGCCAAGTCCTACTATTTTTACCTCAGTCTCTGGAATCTCCTTGTCCTCCCTTCCTATTGCCATAGTTCAGGCTCTTATCATTTTTTCCTGGACTATTTCCATAGCTTTCCAAAAAACTCTGTGCTTCACACCTCTCTGCTTCAATTCATCCTTCATATAATTCTCAGAGTATATGCAAATCACACCAACCCATACTTTATACTCTCGAAATAAGTCCCAGTGGTAATAAGATAAAAGCCAAAAGATTTTTTTTAACCTAGAGAAATGGTGCTCATCTTTCAATGTCACCTCTTTGGTGAGAACTTCCCCAGATCACTAGACATGACTAATTCTTCTTCCACCAGGCTTCTGTAAGGCTGTGAACACATTTCTAGTTATACTATACACTCTATACTATTATGGCATATTGCCATTCATTACTTATATATCTGTTTCTCTCTCCCTCAGGAAATCGTGAGCCTCTTTTTTTTTTTTTTTTTTTTTTTTTGAGACAGAGTCTCGCTCTGTCGCCCAGGCTGGAGTGCAATGGTGCGGTCTCGGCTCACTGAGACCTCCACCTCCCAGGTTCAAGCGATTCTCCTGCCTCAGCCTCCCGACTAGCTGGGACTACAGGCACGCACCACCACACCTAGCTAATTTTTGTATTTTTAGTAGAAATGGGGTTTCAGTATGTTGGCCAGGCTGTTCTCAAACTCCTGACCTTGTGATCCGCCCATCTCAGCCTCCCAAAGTGCTGGGATTACAGGTGTGAGCCACCACACCTGGCCTGTGAGCTTCTTAAGAACAGAGAGTCTCTTAACATTTCCATATCACTATTGATGAGAAATGTGCCTCATAATTGTACATAATAAATGATCGATATAAGTTGGTGGCATTGTATTATATTTATAATACAGCTTTCTTCTTTTGTACTTCAGGTCATAGGCAAGACAATATCAGTAGTTTCTAAGTGTCAGGGCTTAGACTGTTTGCATCACAAGTATTTACAAGAAGCTCCTTTAAAAATATGGATTTGTGAGTTCTAACTCTAAAGATTAAAAAAGTAGGATGTGGATTGGGCCTAGGAACCTGTTTAGTTGTTTGCTTTTGTTTTAAAACTTTTCAGTTGGTGCTGAAGCAGAATCTTGTTTGGAAACTGCTACCAAAGCTGTGTTTGATTATGTACTGACAAGTCTTTGGACCATTAACTATCTGTGTGACCCTGGGCAAGTTACTTAACTTCTCTGTGCCCAAATTTTCTCAGCAAATAGATTCAATAGTACCACTTTATATGGATGTTGTGAGGATTAAGTGAGTTAATTATGTAAAGAGCATCCCGCAGTACTTGGAACATAGTAAGTATAATGTAAGTGTTGGCTTTTTTTCACTTTAAAAAGAACCCAATCCTCATTTTAGATTAGAAGAAACCAGGCCAATGTTTTATTATTGAATTCATGATTTTTTGTTCCTGCTTTATTCTCTTCAATTTATGAATAATTCATTAACAAGGCTATCCCAAGATTAAAACTTAAATTTCTATCTGCCCCATCTTTTTAAAGATACCAGTCAAACTCAAAACAATGTAGTGCTTACCTCCTCATTAATTAAACTGTTCTCAGGGCTAGTCAAAGGGCTAAGTATTTGGTGACAGAACGGGGCTGCAGGAGTAGACTTAGGTATGTGTGAACAAGGCAGGTTATAACACTTTATAATGACTGTCAAGCACAAAGAGAAAGAATGGGTTAACTCAATCTCTTCTCAGAGGGAAACAAAAAGCAGCCATTAGCAGTCTGGAGCAGTGAGAACTGGGGAGCCGGTTTTCTGCATTGTGACACCTTACACAGTGGTAAGGCAGAGCCTGCTACGTAAGTGGTTGACGCTAAAATGTAGGCTCCGTATTTTGTTTGAGACTGTATTCCCAGTACCTAGAACAGCACCTGACCCTGATAGATGCACAATAAATGCTTAATGAGTGAATAAATAATTCAGACTACTTAGGGGAGGGTAGTCTATATGAGAAAAGGGACCTGTGATCTGTTTTTTAAGTGCAACACATACCACATTTCAAGCTAGAATAGCATCGGCTGCCAGCAGGGCGAGGACTAGTTTTGTTCAGCACCTAGCCCAGGGGGTGCTCAGTAAGCATGTGCTGAATATATGCTGGTTGAATAAATGTCAAGTAGATTTCCCCAGGACAACTGTATTGTTCAATAGATTAAAATGACTCATAATTAACAAACCAGTTATTTTTATGTAATGGGCACTTCAGTTAGCTTTTGTGGGTACCCCTAAAACTCCATCTATTCTCCAAATTTGCACTATCTTTACACAAAGCTTTGACCAAGTAAGAGTCCATTCCAGCCAGCTCTGTCCAAATAGCCACAAATTCTAAGTTAATGGAATATAAATGAATGCAAAGTTACTGGAAAGAAAAGATTGAACTTAGTTCTTTCGCTGCATCATAAGCAAACCAGGAAGCTCAATGGATACATATGCATACCCATACATGTGTAAAAAAACCTGACGTCCTATGGTGTTTCTCTTTCTCTTTCTGCATCTTGTCCAGATAGTGAAAGAGGAAAGGATTATTTTTATCATTGATGAGGCCCAGTTTGTGGATTCGACCTCCTGGAGATTTATGGAGAAGCTTATCCGGACTCTTCCTATCTTCATCATTATGTCCCTGTGTCCCTTCGTTAACATTCCCTGTGCAGCTGCCAGGGCCGTAATAAAGAACAGGAACACCACCTACATTGTCATTGGTGCAGTACAGCCTAACGACATCTCCAACAAGATCTGTCTTGACCTCAATGTGAGCTGCATCTCCAAAGAACTGGACTCGTAAGTAACCTCTTTCTATTCTGAACTCTCGACATCTGCATACATTCCCTCGGTCTAGACTTCATCAGATTTCTTAGTATGTGTCTTGATGTGCCTATTTCAGTATCTTTCCTGGCCCCACCTTTTAAAAAATTTTTCTTTTCTTTTTTTCTGTTTTCTTTTGAGACAGGGTCTTACTCTGTCACCCAGGCTGAAGTGTAGTGGTGCCATCATGGCTCACTGCAGCCTTGACCTCCTGGGCTCAAGCCATCCTCCTGCCTCAGCTTTCTGAGTACCAGAACTACAGGTGTGCACCTCCGGTAAATTTTTTATTTCTGTAGAGATGGGGTCTCACAGTGTTGCCCAGGCTGATCATGAACTCCTGGGCTCAAGCAATCCTCCCATCTCAGCCTCCCAAAATGCTGGGATTACAGGTGTGAGCCACCATGCTTGGTCTGGTCCACCTTTTGAAGGAGCCATTCATAATGCTTGGTAGGATGGATGTTGCTCACCTTTTCCATGTTGCCTCCCTGTTACGCCTTCTTAAACTTTGCTTAGTGAAAAGCTCTATTTCCCTTTCATCATGGGGGGTATGGGTATACTCACTTTAACCTGCAGTGACTAAGAGCATTGTTATGGGCAAGTGACAGGAAAGGCAAACTGGTAAGCGTTAAAGACCATGACCTGCCACTAAGCAAGGTCTTACCTGGCTGGCAATGGTGTGGTCTGGTATTGGTGTTCTCTGTCTATGGCAGATGTGGAAAGCTGACTCACTGGTGAGTGCTCTCTGAGCTTTTCAGTGATTCCTCTCCTGGGGTTTTCTTTGTTTTTTGTTTGTTTGTTTGTTTGTTTGTTTTTTGTTTTTTAGACCTAGTTTCGCTCTCATTGCCCAGGCTGGAGTGCAATGGCACGATCTCGGCTCACCGCAACCTCCACCTCCCGGGTTCAAGCGATTCTTCTGCCTCAGCCTCCCGAGTAGCTGGGATTGCAGGCATGCCCCACTACGCCCAGCTAATTTTGTATTTTTAGTAGAGATGAGGTTTCTCCATATTGGTCAGGCTGGTCTTGAAATCCTGAGCTCAGATGCTCCGCCCTCCTCGGCCTCCCAAAGTGCTGGGATTACAGGCGTGAGCCACCGAGCCTGGCTCTCCTGGCGTCCTGACAGCAGTCACCTTAACAACATAGAGAATGTTTTTTCTTTAGCTGGCTGTTTACAGCCCATCTTAGTATCTGCAATGAGGTTGCCCTGCTTCTGGAAGGAAGATGTCTTGAACAAAGGCTCATTTAAGATAACTCCAGGCACCAATTTGGCACTCATTCTTTCTGTCGGTCTCTCTCTCTCTCTCCCCCTCTCTCTGTTTAAATTATATAGAACATGTATATCTTTCCAAAGCCAAAAAGGTACATCCTTAGTCTTGCTTCCCTCCCTTATCCTATAGGTAACCATTTTGATTAGTTTTTGGCTTATCCTTCCAATGTCTGTTTTAAAAACTATAAATCAAGTGTGTGCACACTTATTGTGTACACACATGAGTGAAATAAAAAGAAAACAAAGCAATGCCTCAAAACTGAAAACAAACAGAAACAAATGAAGAATGACAAGAAATTATTTTCAAGTGATTGAGAAGACTTACATATTTTTCCTTCCTAAAAGATGTATCTTCAATGTAAACAGATTGCCTTGTTTTCACTACAGGTACCTGGGGGAGGGAAGCTGTGGGATTCCATTTTACTGTGAAGAATTGCTTAAAAACCTGGAACATCATGAGGTACTCGTTTTCCAACAAACGGAGTCTGAGGAAAAGACAAATAGGACCTGGAATAACCTGTTCAGTAAGTCCTGCGGTGATGGTTCTTTCTTACTCTGTTCTGCCTAACTTAAGTCTTCATTCAGAGAAGGTAGCAAAAATGAGCTATTCCACAGGCTGCTTCCTGTAGAGTCAGAAGGTTCTGGGGAGCCAGGAATTATTGGATCCGATATTCCAGATTGTAAGCGAACTTAACATTGCCTGGGACTCACTGGACTCGGCTAAAGATTGTCTAACTATGGCCGGGCGCGGTGGCTCACGCCTAAATCTCAGCACTTTCGGAGCCCGAGGCAGGCAGATCACTTGAGGTCAGGAGTTCAAGACCAGCCTGGCCAACATGGTGAAACCCCATCTGTACTAAAAATACAAAAATTAGCCAGGTGTGGTGGTGGGTGCTTGTAATCCCAGCTACTCGGGAGGCTGAGGCAGGAGTATCTCTTGAGCCTGGGAGGTGGAGGTTGAAGTGAGCTGAGATTGCACCACTGCACTCCAGCCTGGGCAACAGAGTGAGACTCTGTCTCAAAAAAAAAAAAAAAAAAAAAAAAAAGTAACTATAGTAGAAATGAAAGAACATTGACAAATCTTAAGGCCCAGAACTGAAGGGCCGCTTTGATGTTATCTTCAAAAAGCCTTTCCTTTTTTGCCAGAGGTAAAATTGCTAGTACGAAGTGAGTTATCAACAAAGATCCCGTGCTACACAGATATATACAGGGATGAAATCTGAAGTGATGGCATGAAGGAGGCCAGTTGGAATTTTTAGGAAAATAATTTTATTGCAGGGAAAAGGGTGGGGGCCAGAGATTACAAGTTGGAAAGCAGAGAATTAAGGCTAGATAGAGCAGGCTTTAATTGGGACTTTTTTTGTTTCCACTCCCTTGGTGTTTCTGAGTTGCTAGATTCTTAAGCTCTAAGTCTTGAACATGTGAGGCAAAAAGAAAGCCCTGCCATGGGACCCACTGCCACGTTTTTCCTTGGGTCCTAAGGTCCCTAGCTGGTCTGACTTCTTTCCACCTTCAATGTCATCTTCTGTTTGTTTTACACATAACGTCTAGGGGTTTTAACTATATTTAGCAGGAGGAATAGGGAAAAACATACCAACTCTCTCTTCCTGGAATTGGAAGCCTCTTCATTTTTTTGTGACTCAAATTAAGTAATACGATGATTTAACAGCTATAAGCACGACGTGTATTAATATTACTAAACCTAGAGGGTCAAAACGTATTCCTCTGCGACTAAATTTAAAGACAAGAATATAGGTGTGAGATCAGTGTCATGATGAGGTGAATACGGTGCAATAAAGGACTTATGGTGCTGCTGTCTCTATGTAGCAGGATAGAAAATCACCACCTAAAGGTGACAATGAGGGAAATTTCATAAAAAAGATTCCTCTTGCTTCCTAAAAACCCCTGCCTCCTGGGTGAATGAATGATGCTCAGATGTCCCTATCCATGTTTCAGTCTGTGCTGCATCTGTTGCCTCTCACTTCTTGTTCAATAGCATGACTACAGGACCATGTGGCCCCCAAGGGCACATCTGTAGGAGAAATGAGACAGATGGTTGTCTGAGAGAACAGGGCAAAGCTCTACCTTTTTTTTTTTTAAGGAACAAGAAACATTAGCTTGCTTTTTAAGGAAAGATCAATTTTTTTTTTCTTTCTGGATGATTGTGATGAAAAAATGGAGAAGACTTTCTCTGGCCAAATTAGTTTTAAAGATGATAGTGGATCATTAAATAGATAATGACTGCTATGATTATTATTTTTAGACTAAATAATTCCATTATAATAATATTAAGATGCCAATGGATTAAAGGAAAGCGATATGTAAATATAAATACTGCAGAGTAAATACTATTTCT
Source organism: Homo sapiens (assembly GCF_000001405.40). Classification (NCBI taxonomy): domain Eukaryota; kingdom Metazoa; phylum Chordata; class Mammalia; order Primates; family Hominidae; genus Homo; species Homo sapiens. The sequence continues at coordinate 167,852,520 of NC_000001.11, read as the reverse complement.
AAATTTTATACATTTGTTTACTTTGTTTACTTGTTCAATAAATGTTTATGTAGTATCCGTTATGAGCTTTTTTTTTTGAGACAGAGTCTCACTCTGTCGCCCAGGCTGGGGTGCAGTGGAACGATCTCGGCTCACTGCAATCTCCGTCTCCTGCGCTCAAGCAGTTCTCCTGCCTCAGCCTCCCATGTAGCAAGGATTACAGGCATGCACCACTACCGCCCAGCTAATTTTCATATTTTTAGTAGAGACAGGGTTTTGCCATGTTGGCCAGGCTGGTCTTGAACTCCTGACCTCAAGTGATCTGCCCGCCTCGGGCTCCCAAAATGCTGGGTTTACAGGTGTGAGCCACTGCACCTGGCCCTGTTATGAGCTTTTTAAAACACAATCAGGTGTCTTCTCTATTTAAAACCCTTCAGTGTCTTTTGTGTCTTAATTTTAAAAAACTGAAATTAAGGAGAGATTCTGGTTACATAATATTGTGAATGCACTACAGGCCGCTGAATTGTATACTTTAAAATAATTAATTGCATGTTAGGTGAATTTCACTTCAATTAAAAAAATAAATATGATACATAATCCTGGACTGGATCCTATACTGGAAGAAAAGAGAATGTTAAAGGATATTATTTGATCAATTCACAAAATTGGGATATGGACAGTAGACTAAAGTATTGTATCAATGTTAAATTTCTTTTTTTTTTTTTTTGAGACACTCTGTCGCCCAGGCTGGAGTGCAGTGGCACGATCTTGGCTCACTGCAGCCTCCGCCTCCTGGGTTCAAGCAATTCTCTGCCTCAGCCTCCCGAGTATCTGGGATTACAGGCAACTGCCACCATGCCTGACTAATTTTTTTTGCATTTTTAGTAGAGACGGGGTTTCACCACCTTGGCCAGGCTGGTCTTGAACTCCTGAACTTGTGATCCACCCACCTCGGCCTCCCAAAATGCTGGGATTACAGGCGTGAGCCACTGTGCCCGACCAATGTTAAGTTTCTTGAAGGTGATAACTATATTCTAGTTATATGAGAGAGTGTTGGCCAGGTGCAGTGGCCCACACCTATAATCCCAGTACTTTGGGAGTCTGAGGCGGGCGGATTGCTTGAGCCCAGGAGTTTGAGACCTTCCTGGGCAACATGACAAAACCCCATCTCTACTAAAAATACAAAAATTAGCCGGGTGTGGTGTCGCACGCCTGTAGTCCCAGCTACCTGGGAGGCTGAGGTGGGAGGATTGCTTGAGCCAGGGAGGTTGAGGCTGCAGCAAGCTATGATCACAACTCTCCACTCCAGCCTGGGCAACAGGAGTGAGACCCTGTCTCAAAAAAACAAAACAAACAAACAAACAAAAGAGTGTCAATATTTTTAGAAAATACAGAGTAAAGTATTTGGGAGTATAGGGTGTGATGTATGTGACTTATATTCAAATGCTTCAGAAAAATATGTACACATAGAAGGAACCTAGGATATAGTAAATAGGGCAAAGGCTGACAACAGGCGAACCTGAGTAGGGAGTACATTCTGTCTATCACCCTTTTATTTCTTTCACATAATTGAATTACGAGATTATCCTTTTAATGTATTTATCTATTGTTTAATGTTTGTTTCCCACTAGAATGTGAGCTTCATGAGGCATGGAGTTTTGTGCTCTCCTGAATCCCCAATCCTAGGAAAATTCCTAGCACCTAGAGGCAATCAGTTAATACTGGTTGAGTGATGGAAAGAATGGTTGTCTCAATGCTAGGTCCTGGAAGGGGAAATAAGCATAAAATAGCATGGACCACGTCATATCCTTGAGCCCCACTCTCCTACTCCCAACACACACACACACACACACACACACACACACACACACACACACACGGCCCCCTTTTTGGTATGCTATCCTCCCTTGGCTTTCCTGACCCCACACTCCTCCTGTTCCCCTCTCTGACCAGTCCTCAGATAATCCTTGGCTCTCTACCTGGGTCTACTCCTCCTGGGACATTCTTCAAGTTCTATCCTTAACCCTTTCCTCTTGCTAGCTTGCCAGAATTGGAAACAACTCTCTCCCCAGTTGTTTTCATTTACTCATCTATTTCTCAGCCTTCGTGTGTGTCGAACCCTAACCTCACCCTTAATTCCACACCCATATTTCCAATTGCCCATTGAACTATTCCACAGATTCCCTTAAACTTAATAAATCTAAAACTTCATGCATTATCCTCCCGCTCAACCACCCCTCCTTCTGTACTTCGTGTCTCTGTCACTTCTATCACTGTCTTGCTTAGGCCCCATTTCCTCCATATCTTTAGTATTTGCTTTCTCCTTGCTGAACCACTTGCCTGGTTCTATCCATCCTCACTTCTTGACATTCCATTGTTATAGCTCCTTACATAGTCTTCCCTGTCCTAGTCTCTCGCCTTTTCCATATGCTGCTTCCAGTGGTACCTTCCTAAATACGACTAGTTGGATTACTACTATCTCCTCTTCAGAAATCTGTGACCTTTCCCTCTTGTCTATAAAGTCCAGTCTTCATATTATGGTGTTTAATGCCCTCCATGCTCTGCTCCCAAACTAGCTCTCCAAACACGTCTCCCACATAGCACCTGAGCACTCCAGGCCCTGCACTTTAGTCACGCTGGGCCGCTCCATTCCCCTAACTCGCTAAGTACTCTGAGGTTCCTGTGCCTTCGCGTTGGCCTCTCCTCCACTTGCCGCTTAGAATATCTCTTCATCCTTCAAGGATCAAAGTACTTCCTCCCCTATCAAGCCTTTCTGAATCCACCAAGTCTGATTTAATTGTTATTTTCTGTTCCCACAACATGTTACTCTTTGCTCTTTAGCTCTTAAGTCACCCATCCTGATGTTATAATTAGTTACTTATGTATCTGTCTCCACAGATTTTTAAGCCTCTTGAGGGCTGGAAGCATGTGTTATTCACATTGATAGCCTTCACTGGATATGATGCACAGAAAGTCCTTAATAAATATGTCCTGTATTGATGTGAACTCTGGTGCTTACTGTATGTGCCCAATCACATGGCACTCATCTACTGCCTGGCAGTCCAGCTCTTAGTGTACATGACTTAGAGCTCCAGGAAATAAGGAACTTGGTTTTATTCACCTTCCTATTTCCACCTCACCTAGCACAGTCTTGCCGCTACCAAGGACTACATGAATGGCTGAAGGGATAGAAAAATAATGCATTTTGGAGTACTAGGAAACCAAATTACTAGGCACATTTACTATTCAAACTTCACCATTTAAAATATCTCTGATAGTAGCTATGTCCTAATTAGAGTACAGTGCCTCACAGAATGTGTTTGTAACTGAGTGTGGGTATGTAAATGTATACATACAAATATATGTTTATGTATATATATAATAATACATTCTGATATACATTATGTATATACATAATACATATATAATACATTCTGATAATCTGACTGTGAATCAAACGTTTGTAAAGCCTTATATCCTATGGAAGACATCAATAGTGCCAATTCTTTTGGTTGGGCAGGGTTGGCAGAGGGAGACAAAACATTTTTGAGTACATCTAGATTTTCATGAATCAGTTTTACTTAGAATAAGGTTTCCAGCGGCCTGGTGCAGTGTGGCTCATACCTGTAATCCCAGCACTTTGGGAGGCCGAGGCAGGCAGATCACTTGAGGTCAGGAGTTTGAGAACAGCCTGGCCAACATGGTGAAACCTCATCTCTACAGAAATTAGCCAGGCATGGTAGTGGGCGGCTGTAATCCCAGCTACTTGGGAGGCTGAGGCAGGAATCGCTTGAACCTGGGAGGCGGAGGTTGCAGTGAGCAAAGATCACGCCACTGCACTCCAGCCTGGGCGACAGTGAGAGACTCCACCTCAAAAAAACAAAAAACAAAACAAAACAAAACAAAAAAAAGGTTTCCAGAATATTTGGTGAGCCAATATACATCTCTGCCCAGTCTTCCTCATATGAGATCCATCTCAAAGTTCATTGGAAAATCAGACCTTATAAGACAGGATAATGACTCAACTTTTCTTCCCTTTTATACCCCTGTAGAGTATTCCATTAAGCTAACAGAGAAGTTAAACATGGTTACTCTCCATAGTGATAAGGAAAGTGAAGAAGTCTGTCACCTCACAAGTGGTGTCAGACTGAAAAACCTGTCACCTCCAACGTCATTAAAAGGTAAGAAAATCTGGCCGGGCGCAGTGGCTCACGCCTGTAATCCCAGCACTTTGGGAGGCCGAGGCGGGCGGATCACAAGGTCAGGAGTTTGAGACCAGCCTGGCCAATATGGTGAAACCCCGTATCTACTAAAAATACAAAAAAATTAGCCAGGCACACACCTGTAATCCCAGCTACTCGGGAAGCTGAGGCAGGAGAATTGCTTGAACCTGGGAGGCGGAGGTTGCAGTGAGCCACTGCACTCCAGCCTGGGTGACAGAGTGAGACTCCATCTCAAAAAAAAAAAGAAAAGAAAATCTGACCTGGTATTTATTTTCTAGTCCCTAAACTCCACTTTGGCTTTCTCTAGGATGTCTGTTTTTAAAAGGAAAAAGAAAAACAGCAACATTGGTTGTTTGTCTGTTTGCTCTGTACTGCCTGAAGCAGTGAGAAGGCTCAGGGTAGGCTTGGCTTTGCTCCTAAGAGCCATCTTTCCCCCTGTGTATATTCTGGGATCTGCATAAAAGAATGAAATATTGTACATTTTCAATTAAACAGAAACCAAATAATGAGGGAGAAAATCTAATACTGAGATACTTCCTGTCATCCACTTTTATGAGAAAGAAATGACAAACGAGTTTATATGAAAGACATATTATTGGCCAGGCACAGTGGCTTACTCCTGTAATCCCAGCATTTTGGGAGGCCAAGTCGGGTGGATCACTTGAGGTCAGAAGTTCTAGAGACCAGCCTGACCAACATGGAGAAACCCCGTCTCTACTAAAAATACAAAAAAAAATTAGCCGGGCATGGTGGCGCATGCATGTAATCCCAGCTACTGAGGAGACTGAGGCAGGAGAATTGCTTGAACCCAGGAGGCGGAGGTTGCAGTGAGCCGAGATCACGCCATTGCACTCCAGCCTGGGCAACAAGAGAAAAACTCTGTCTCAAAAAAGAAAGAAAGAAAGAAAGAAAGATGTATTATTATTCTTTTAAAGAAAAATGACTTTCAAGGAATGTTTTAGTATGAACTCAGCTCCAATTCATGCCATCCATAAGCAACTTTCAATGTTTAGAAAGGTGGCCTAGGGACATCTCAAGGTCCTCAGTCTTCAAAAGAGTGCCATTTATGTTTCGTTAGCTGTGTCTACTAATGTAAGAAGGCAGTAGCTCACACCTGTAATCCCAGCACTTTGGGAGGCCGAGGCAGGTGGATCACCTGAGGTCAGGAGTTCGAGACCAGCCTGGTCAACATGGTGAAATCCCATCTCTCCTACAAACACAAAAAATTAGCCGGGCATGGTGGTGGGTGCCTATAATCCCAGCTACTCAAGAGGCTGAGGCAGGAGAATCTCTTGAACCCAGGAGGCGGAGGTTGCAGTGAGCCGAGATCAGCCATTGCACTCCAGCTTGGGCAACAAGAGTGAGACTCCATCTCAAAAAAAAAAAAAGAGGATGGACTAGCTTAGTTTCTACTGTGTTTTTTGGGCAAGTTGAGAAATTCTAATTTTGTCCCTAACAGAAGGACATCCTGGTCAAAATGTCCAGAAAGTCACATGAGCTACCGATATTCAAGCTTAGATGAAAAGTTGGGATAGGAGCTGTGAACTCTCTGACACTTGGTCATGACACAGAGATGATAATGTATGTCATGAGAATACATAAATTTCTAGGGCAGATAGAGAGAAACCAGGAGTTTCTAGGAGAAAGGGGAGGCAGAGAAGAAGATACAAAAGGACCAGCTGAGGAAGTCAACAAAGCACAGGAATGGCAGGGCCTGCTCCTTCTGACAATAGTGATTACAATGTCCTCTCCTCTCCTCACACACACTTGTCACACTTTAGCACAAAATCAGAACACCATGAAATAGATCTTAATTTTGTCAGGTCATTGTGCTGTGTGTCTTTCTAGGCCATAAGCCTGCATCTTTAGTACTCCCAGCACAAGTGCTATCCACAAATTAGGTACTAAACAAATACTTCTTTTGACTTAGCTTGGCTGAGTTTCTTGCAACAAGAACTGTAGAGCAGGATGGTTGTCCACCTGCTCTATATTAAATACAGCATATTAGATAAAGATAAATAACTAGTTTTCTACTGTGTGGCCTTCTACCTGCAGAAATCTCTCTGATCCAGCTGGATAGCATGAGACTTTCCCACCAAATGCTGGTGAGATGTGCTGCCATCATTGGCCTGACCTTCACCACTGAGTTGTTGTTTGAGATTCTCCCCTGTTGGAATATGAAGATGATGATCAAGACCCTGGCAACCCTAGTGGAATCTAACATTTTTTATTGTTTCCGGAATGGCAAGGAGCTTCAAAAGGCCCTGAAACAGAATGATCCCTCATTTGAGGTGCACTATCGTTCCTTGTCTCTGAAGCCCAGTGAAGGGATGGGTGAGTAGCACCTGGAGTGACCCAATTTCCTCTTAAGGACCCATCTAGATCAAAGAATTGACCTATGTTAGGTAGAAGGGGCTGATCTGTTGCCCACTGCCTGGCTGAAAAACCCTTTTTGCTCTCTCCAGATCACGGTGAAGAGGAACAGCTTCGTGAACTGGAGAATGAGGTGATCGAGTGCCACAGGATTCGATTCTGTAACCCTATGATGCAGAAAACAGCCTACGAGCTGTGGCTCAAGGACCAGAGAAAAGCCATGCACTTGAAATGTGCCCGCTTTTTAGAAGAAGATGCCCACAGATGTGACCACTGCCGAGGCAGGGACTTCATTCCCTATCATCACTTCACAGTGAATATTCGGCTCAACGCTTTAGACATGGATGCCATTAAAAAGATGGCTATGTCTCATGGATTTAAAAGTAACCTACTTCATTTTAAAATTATCCTAACTGTTCTTGGGAAATCTAGAGACTAAGATCTAGAAGGAGTGGGTGTGGATCTTGAGGGCTTCAAGTCTCATAAGCGGCTTGGGCACAAAGAATGATGAGACTTCAGCAGCCTAGGCCAATGGGGAAGAGAAAAGTAAGGGAATGTACCTGTATTGAGTCTAGCGAACCAATCTCACTATAACTGTCAGGGAGGGTTTGGGGATAGGGGCTCTGGCAAAATGGGATGTGACCAGAACTCAAACTAAAATATCCCACTTAATTCACACCAAAGGATGGAATCCAAAGGGGGGTACAATCTGACATGATGACATGGTGTTTCTTGGCAGATAAGAATATTATTGCTTTGTTGGTCTAGTTTGAAACAGGTTCCAGTGGGTAAAGAACATGACTGAGAGAGAATTAGCCAGGGCTAAGCAGGTCAGGGCTCCAGAAAACAGGGCTTGGTTTCAGGGCAAGAATTCAAGACCATCGGAGAAGCAAAAGTTAAAAAGTTACAAGCCAATAATACCAACCAGCCATGTGATCTGAGAAAACATAGCAGAGGATTCAGGGGGTGTAAGGACCCAAAGACTCAGTCACTATGGGCATGATGGGTGTCAGACACAGAGCAACACCACCAATTCTAGCCCCCATTCATGGTGGCCAGGGAGCTCCTAATGGGCTGCCTACTCTAGTCAGAGGACCTTGGTGATTATGGCTAAATCTGGTTGGGAAATCAGAGGCTACAAGTAGAGGACTCCTATATTATAAGGATATTAAAAATCAGGAAGAAATGTATCTAAACTGCCTAGTACATAGCAGGTGCAAAATAAACTTTTTTTTCTCATTCGTTCTCCATTTCATGTGCCTTCTCAGTGGATCCTCATATTAACCCTTTAAGGTTGATGAGGGTTGTTTTCATTGTATAGATTTTTTAAATTGTGGTTCTGGAAGCTTAAGTAACTTACCCAATACCACAGAATGAGTGACAGGCTTTATTCAATCTGCCATCAGTCTAATTCCTAAGTTCATCCTCTGCTCATTATACCTGAGCTCCCCCAAATGTGGGGTTGGATTTTAGGTAATACTTGCCAGAAGATAGGAAGTTCGTAGACACAGCATGAAGTAGAAATCAAGAGAATGAGAAAGTTGCAGCTTTGCACAGTGGGACGAGCATGTTGTTGAAACTGCACTAACACTAGTCCATCTCCCTTTTTGGAAAACAGGAATCAGGCTGTAGGTTCAGAGCCTTAGGATCTGGACCATGAAGATTTTTAGTCCTCTGAGAGCTTGAGTACAAAGAGGATAAGACTTCAGCAATAGTCTCATCTGCACTGGGCAGGGAAGATGTCAGGGGAATGTACACCTACCTGAGTCTAGTTCTATTACTAGCATTTATTAAATTCTCTCTTGTTTGTTATATTTTTACAAAATTGGTAATATTATTATCACAAAAGTGGTATGTGTGTAATATTATGTTGAAATTGAAATTTGTGCCAGAGCACCAAGATACAACTAATGCTGCAATTCAAACTGAGGCAGTGGATATACAGAATTACAAAAGAAATAGCTGAGAATCAATTATAATCTTGGATCCTTCGCCCAGACCTAAGACATAGAAATGAGGAAGAGGATGTAGAGGGTCAGGATTTGTGAAGAGATCTCTTTGGTGAGAACTGATGAGGTGCTGTGTGCCCTCCTCAAGTGGGTTGTTTACTTCATCACCTCAAGCCTGGTGAGGTGTCTTCCTTAGAATCAGAGGACATAGAACACTGGGGCCTGCCTCATGCCTAAGAAGGCTGAAGTGGCCTGTGGCTGCATTGGGATCAAGCTGCCATCCCAGACTGTGGGAAAGGATGTGTGAGGGTTTCTCATGGATCAGATAAAACCCACCTGGGAGAAACAGCCAGTCTGGAACCATTTTAAGTTCTTCCCAGGGTGCCCTTGGGAGGGTAACAAGACCCTTGGGTGTGGACTGCTAGAATGAGACAGGGATAAGGGGGACAGACTGGAGCACCGAGAAGATGCGCTGCCTGAATTAAGGAAGCTTTAGTGAAGGATCCCACACAGGGCCCTATTCAAAGAACCAATGAAAGTATCAGTAGGAGATGAAATGATGGAAAGAGATGAGGGAAAGGGGAAAGAAGAATATTTGACTGTGCGGGGTCAGTGAGTCATACATATACACACACACATACACATGTACACACACATACATATACATAGATGCATTTTTTGGTAGATTGATGTTTTATTTTGGGGGATAAAATAAGCTAAAATACACTGACAGCTAGAATATAGGTCAGTTTGAGCAGCTGGCCTTGAGCAGGTTGACTAGTGTCATCAAAGCAAACAATTTCAGTTATTTGCAGATTTTCCAATCAACTGGCAGTTCAGCTCTGGAACATATATGACCAAATGTCTCTGAATAATGTCTGCTGGTATCCCTTCCATCAGCACCTCCACCTGAGTGAGGCCACAGCTCTACTATTTCTCTTATCAGAATTTTTCACCTGTTCAGAAGGCTATCGACTCGACAAACTTTAGAGACTTTGTAAATTCCCTAAATGTCGTATCACAAAACAGTAATCCCATGGCCGACCGTCCCACACACCTTCAGTAATTCCAGTCAGGGGCAAACATTTTTAATTTAGCTGTTCTTTCTAGTCATTACCTCCATATACTAAATGGTATATTAACATTGCTTTTACTGATTTTTAAGAAAATCAAATTCTGACATCTGTTTTCTGGCTATGGCAGATGAGGATTTAACTCTGTTACACCACTCCTCGGCCCCTCTCCCCTATATTGTCATATAACTGGCATTAGATAAGCCAATGAAGTGTTTACATTATTAAGACTATGTAAATGTTGTCCATTACAAACCAAGTAATATACTGTGAATAGATTTCTTAACAAATGTTTATTTTCCCTAGGGTTACTAGGAAACGTTTTTTTTTTTGCAGTGTCTTCCTTAAAATATCCTGCTTTAATCTATCCTAGACAGATAGATACTCTGTCTATCCTTTATCCCTGAACCTCCCAAAGTGTGGAGTATAACCTTTAGGCAATACTGGTCAAGGACATAATTGGGACCAAGTGTGGTGGCTCACGCTTGTAATCCCAGCACTTTGGGAAGCTGAGGTGGAAGGATCACTTGAAGCCAGGTTCAAGCCAGGGCTGGTTCAAGACCAGCCTGGACAACAAACTGAGACTCTGTCTCTACAAAAAACTAAAAATAAGAAAATTAGCCAGGTATGATGGCACACATCTATAGTCCCAGTTTCTCAGGAAGTTGAGGTGGGAGGATCTCTTGAGCCCAGGAGTTCAAGGATGCAGTGAGCCGTGATCATGGCCACTGCTCTCCCCAAAAGGGGAAAAAAAAGACATAATTGGAGGAGATTCAGGGCTACTGCATTATGTGTGAATCAGATAGGGAGGAAGCTGGTAGCTGGTCCCTTTCAATTCTCTTTTGATCCTCATGTCCTTCTTAAGAACTGTTATTTTCTAAGTCTTGATTCATTCCAACGGTTTACCCTCCTGGGGGCTGTCCTTCAGCTTCTTCCACCTATTTCATCAGTGACTACTCTTCTCACTCCTTTATCTTCTACAGATATGTTGAACTTTCATTCAGCATTTCATTTACTCATTCCACAATTATTTATTTATGTGCCAGGCATTGCTTACTGCTCTAGGCATCTGAAATGCATCGGTGAACAAAACAGCATTCTGTTGGAGAAAAGTAGACAGTGGAGAACAAAAACATAATAAAGAAGTAAATATCTGGGTGCAGTGACTCATGCCTATAATCCCAGTGGCTTTGGAGGCTTGAGGCCAAGGGTTCAAGACCAGCCTGGGCAGGATAGCAAGACCCCATCTCTTAAAAAAAGAATTAGCCAGGTGCGATGGCTTGTGCCTGTAGTCCCAGCTACTCAAGAGTATTGCTTGAGCCCGAAAGTTTGAGACTGCAGTAAGCCATGTTCACCCTACTATACTCCAGCCTGGGTGACAAAGCAAGACCCCAACTCTTAAAAAAAAAAAAAAAAAAAAAGGAAAGCATATAGTATAAGCGATAAATCCCATGGGGAAAAACAGAAAAGAATGTTGGGTAGGAGGAGCGCAGAGCCATTTGGGTGACTTCACTGCAAAGCAAGATTCATGTAAAGACAGAGGAAGTGAGGGATTTTGCTGTGTGAGTGGCTGGGGAAGACTGTTCTAGGCAGAGGGGTAGAGAATGCAGTGACCCTAAGACAGGAGCGTGGCCCTTCCATTCTATACATGTTGAATTTATACTTTTAGAGATCATTTTATTCTTGCCAGGCACAGTGGCTCACCTGTAATCCCAGCACTTTGGGAGGCTGAGACAGGTGGATTGCTTGAGCTCAAGAGTTCAAGACAAACCAGAGAAGCATGATGAACTCTCCCTCTACAAAAAATACAAAAAAATTAGCTGGGTGTGGTGGCAGGTGCCTGTAGCCCCAGCTACTCAGGAGGCTGAGGTGGGAAGATCATTTGAGCCAGGGAGGTTGAGGCTGCAGTGAGCTATGATGGCGCCACTGCACTCCAGCCTGAGCGACAGAACAAGGCCCTGTCTCAAAAAAAAAAAAAAAAAATCATTTTATTCTCATTTAGTTAGGTAAAATGTCCTGAACCTGGGGAGACAGAAGATAAACCCAAGAGGTAGTCTGACATCTTGAACCTAAAGTCTTAGTTTTAGTTCTTTGAAACCATAAGGTGGGCAGGTGATATCTTTGCTTTTCTCTTTTCATTTGAGAACCTATAGGCATTTGTATGTTTTTTTCTTTTGATTTTTACAGATTCTCCTTGTAGTAGGAAACTCTTAATATAATATCTCCTTTGTAAATGAAAAAAATGAGAATCAAAAATAATATGATTCTGGTTGGGCACGGTTGCTCATGCCTGTAATTGCAGCACTTTGTGAGGCCGAGGCAGGCAGATCACAAGGTCAGGAGATTGAGACCATCCTAGCTAACACAGTGAAACCCCATCTCCACTAAAAATACAAAAAATTAGCCAGGCATGGTGGGACACGCCTATAGTCCCAGCTACTTGGGAGGCTGAGGCAGGAGAATCGCTTGAATCCAGGAGGCAGAGGTTGCAGTGAGCTAAGATTGCACCACTGCGCTCCAGCCTAGGCAACAGAGTGAAACTCCATCCAAAAAAAATAGTAATAATAATATGATTCACCCAAGCAATAAATGACATAATGACAAAGAGCATACCTCATATGCCCTGATTCTATTTGCTTTATCTATCCAATCTTTGCATCCCATTCTATCACCATTACCATTTTTTTTTTTTGAGACAGGGTCTTGCTCTGTTGCCCAGGCTGGAATGTAGTGGCATGATCTGGGCTTAGTGCAGCCTCAAACTTCCAGGCTCAAGCCATCCTCCCACCTCAGACTCCCAAGTAGGTGGGACTACAGGCACATGCCACCATGTGCTGCTAATTTTTTTTTCTTTTCTTTTTTTTTTTTTTATAGACAGGTCTTGCCATGTTGCCCAAGCTAGTCTCAAACTCCTGGACTCAAACGATCCTCCCACCTCAGCCTCCCAAAGTGTTGGGATTATAGGGATGAGCCACTGTGCCTGGCCACCATTACAACTTTAAACATAAAAAATACATAGAATGTTGAAGAAGGAATAGCATTTTCATTTTACTGATTGATTTATTTTCAACAAACGTGCGTTTATGCAACAAACATTTATTAAGCGTCTACCATGTGCCAGGAAGTGACCTAGATATTCGGACCATAGTAGTGAAAAATGGTAGACATTTATTATCAATTTTTATTTTATTATTAAGATAGACATGTCTCTTCTTATAAATTTGAATTTTAATGGCAACTGACAGACAATGAACAGATTAAGTAATAAAATCTTCAAGGGGCCTTGTAGACTTTGATAAATAGTCTAAATTTCAGTCTAAGTGAATTGGAACACATTGGAAATATATCAATTAGAATGAGTATTGGCTGCATATAATAAGGACCTAGCTAGTGTGGCTTAAATTTATTTATTATTAAATGTATTGTATTTATGTATTTCTCATGTAAAAGGCTTGCCTCATCACTGGGACTAGTATGGAGGCTTCATGATCATCAGGGTCCTTGGTCCAAAACAGCTGCTGAGGCTCCAGCCAGCATGTTTAATGCCAGAAGGAGAAAAGAAGCCAAAACATGAAAGGATATCCCCTCCCTTTTAAAGGATCTTCTAAAAGTCCTACCCAGTATTTCCTCTTACATCCCATTGATCAGAACCTACTCACATGACTATATCCAGTTGCAAGGGAAGCTGAAGAATGTCGCTGTCTATTACTAATGAGAAAAGGGACAATGGAGATTGAGTTGGGAAACCGGCAGTTCCTGCCACAGAGATCTGAATCATGCTTTTTAAATGGTACTGCCTTCTCTACAGAAAGAGATTGAAAAGGATAGGAATAGAAGGGAGATTAGTTTTTTGCAGTTGTCCAGGTAAAATTTTGGTAATGGACTGAGGTGGTGCTGTAGTGAAGATGGACAGAAGACGATGAATTCAGATATGTTTTTGGGTATGGTCAACGGGACTTTCTGATGGACTGAATAGGGAAGGGGGTAAGAAAAAGAAAATAATCAAGGATCTTGCGCAGGTTTTTGTCTTGAGAAAATGGATATATGACAGTGATGCTTACTATGTTAGGAAAAGTTGTAAGTGGGTATAAGTTTCTGGAGGAGAGATTCGAGAGTTTCTGTTTGAATCATGTTAATTTTGAAATGCCTATTACACATTCAAATGGCAGTTGCCAAGGTGGTATTTGAATATATGGGTCTGTAGTTAAAGTAGATGTCGAGGCTTAGATATATAAAATGGAAATCCATTAGCATATGAATGTAATTAAAAGTCATGGGCAGATGAAACTGCCTAGGGAGAAATTGTGAAAGGAGAACGGAGCCCAGGACCAAACTGAGGTTTACCAACATTTAGAATGTTGGTAGACGAATAGTAGCCAATTAAGTAGGCAACCAATTCCCTTATAACACACAAAACAATGTGTGCTAAAAGAATCAGTGAAAAGGGAGAGTGGTCACTTGTATTAAATGCTGCTGAGAGGTAATCAAGTGCAGACAAAGATGTAGCCTTTGGATGTGGCAACATGGTGGCCACAGGTAACTTTAACAACAGCAGTTTTAGAGAAGTAGGGGGACAGGGTCATAATTCAATATATTCAGCTGCTAGTCACTAAGGAATCAATAAATAGTAATCTAGGAGAAGAGGTGGCCAAATTGATCTCTGTGCAGTACAATAAGGACTATGATACAGGTCTGCACAGGGTTGACGGGCACACAGGAGTTGGGGTACTTATCTATGGAGGCAAGAGCACAGAGGGCTTTCAGAAGAAGGTGGTAACTTCTTAGATGTTCAAACTGCATCTATAAGATGTATGGAGTAATGCATTAGCCTGGGAGCCAGAAAACCTAAGTTCTAGTCCTGCCTCCACCACTAACAGATGTATGACCTGAGACAAGTTCATTCCCCTCTCTGGGATTCTTTCTTCTGCCTGAAGGGAGAAATGGCTGGACTAGACAAGCCTCATTTGTTTTCTGTTTTAAGATCATTATGGAATTTTCTAACCTGTTCAAGTCTGCTTAGACTGAGGTTTTTAATTTAAGATTCTCTGCCCTTCAGTTAACCTTTTGGGGTATTTCATTTAATTATCTATATTTCTCCACTGGAAATTGATGTCACTTTCTTCAGGTTTAATTCATAGTTTTTATTGCAGAATAAATGAGTTAGGATAATGTTATTAGCTATCACAAACCCCAGCATTTCTGTGGATTAACACAAGAGAGTGATTATTTCCCCCTTATGAAATAATCCAATGCAAGTGTTGACCAATGGCTTTGCATGCAGTTAGCAAGGGACCCAGGCTCCTCCCAACTTGTGGGTTTGCTATCCTTCAGGTTCTTAGAATTACTTGCTTTCTTGTGGAAAGAGAAGGCAGAGAAGACACATAACCATCTTAGCCTAGAGGTGACATATATTACTTCTGATCTAATTCTATTGTGAGAACTCATCACGTGGCTTCACCTAAGATACAATGGGGACTAGGCAATGTGGTTTCTGGCTGGGCAGCAACAACTCCGAAAAGGGAACAAGAGTCTTGGGTAGACAGCAGATATCTCCACTGCAGAGAACATTTCAATGACCCATACAACTCATTTGTTTATTTTCTAGCTGAAGAAAAGCTTATCTTGTCCAACTCAGAGATTCCTGAGACATCTGCATTTTTTCCTGAAAATCGCAGGTAGAGGCATATATCATTGTTTAGGAAGTAGAGCATAAATAATTGTCATTAAATTCAGAACACTATTAGAATCATTTGTCTGGCCAGTACTTTTGACCTCTTAGATGCAAGTGGGAAACTTTGGGGGGTATGCATGGTGAGTTTAGTCAGTAGTATCCACACTAGGTTTTATTATCCTGCTCTTTTGTTTTTAAAGATATTTTATTTTATTTATTTATTTTTTCAAGATGGAGTCTCGCTCTGTCACCCAGGCTGGAGTGCAATGCCACAATCTCAGCTCACTGCAACCTCCGCCTTCTGGGTTCAAGTGATTCTCCTGCCTCAGCCTCCTGAATAACTGGGACTACAGGCGCCTGCCACCACACCCGGCTAATTTTTTGTATTTTTAGTAGAGACGGGATTTCACCGTGTTAGCCAGGATGGTCTTGATCTCCTGACCTCGTGATCCACTTGCCTTGGCCTCCCAAAGTGCTGGGATTACAGGCATGAGCCACCGCACCCGGCCTAATTTTTATATTTTTAGTAGAGATGGGGTTTCACCAGGTTGGCCAGGCTGGTCTTGAACTCCTGATCTCAGATGATCCACCAGCTTCGGCCTCCCAAACTGCTGGAATTACAGGCGTGAGCCACCGCGTCTGGCCTAAAGATATTTTAATATCAAAAGTGATACTGTATAAGTTACTATTATTTATTTCTGCATATGGACAGTCCTGAAGAAATAAGAGAAAAGATCTTGAATTTCTTTGACCACGTTTTAACAAAAATGAAGACATCTGACGAAGACATTATCCCTCTGGAATCTTGCCAGTGTGAAGAAATCCTAGAGATTGTCATCTTGCCTCTGGCCCACCATTTTCTGGCTTTGGGAGAAAATGACAAAGCCTTATATTACTTCTTAGAAATTGCATCTGCTTATCTCATCTTTTGTGATAACTACATGGTAAGCTGTTTCTACCCAGACCACCTCCACCCTAGAGACAATTCATAGAACATAGAGCCAGAAGGAAGCTCCAGCATGCTTTCTGATTACTTCACGTTGTATATTCCCGACAGCACCCCTTTCCACTGAAAATCACATTGCTTAGAAGGGAAATGATCTAAGATTGAGAAAAGAGAATTGGAATACATTGCAACTAGCATTGTAAATTATTTAAAATATTGCCACCTTTAGAAACTTGCCATGAATTGTCTACCTGTATGGGAGGTAAGGGGGCACATCTCATTCCCAAAATGATGCAGAGAGGACTCTCAGCATAGTCTTCCTCAAGTGGCATTTACCCTCTGTTAAGCCTAAAATACCTGTGAGCACAAAATACCTGTAGGTCTTTGGATAAGTGCAATTCTGGTTTTTTGTTTTGTTTTTGAGATGAAGTCTTTGTCACCCAGGCTGGAGTGTAGTGGCGCGATCTCTGCTCACTGCAACGTCTGCCTCCCGGGATCAAGCCATCCTCCCACTTCAGCCTCCTGAGTAGCTGGGACTGCAGACGTATGCCACCATGCCCAGCTAATTTTTTGTGTTCTTGGTAGAGATGGGGTTACACTATGTTGCCCAGGCTGGTCTTGAACACCTGAGCTCAAGGGATCTGCCCTCCTTGGCCTTCCAAAGTGCTAGGATTACAAGTGTGAGCCACTGTGCCCAGCCAATTCTGGTTTTAATATTGTGATCCCCAAAGAGGCTCTCCCTGCCTTTGTCATCATGCAATGTGTGCTAGATTATTACACATACCATTAGACCACCAAAGCACTAGTGAATGTTTCTCTAGGGTAATTATAAATAAGGTTCCAGGGCACTATGCCCATAGAAATGAGGGGATTTGATACACATGATGAAATAAACAGAATTCATTGTTAAGTAAGTTGGAAATCACTGAGCTGAATACAGGTAAATAGATGCCTTTAGATACTTCAGGGCCTTTGATATGCTGAGATATATATATAAATCTGTTCAGAGGACACAGAAGGGTAAAGGCCAGGCTAGGCTGAAGCATACTGTGTTTCTCAAACTTATTTGCCCTTAGATCTCTTTTCATGGAGCAGCTGGCTGGGCTAACCTTCCATGAACTCACTTGAGGAAATGTCTTTCTGGGCCCTTGCTTCATCTGACTTCAGCCAGCTTCAGGAAGAGCTTCATAGACCTTCCATAATTTACAGTTGCTACTGGTCACAGCAGCCTAATCAACCCTCCTACCTTAGATTTATATAAAATTATAAAATTAAACTGTTAAAAATGTCACTAAGTTCCTGTCCTTGAAACATTTATGTTAAGAATGAAAGTCTCCTGCATATTTCATGCACATATTCGAGGTGATGATGGGGATGTAGCCAATGAGTCCCAGGAGGAGGAGGCTTAGGTAGCCCTGGGGGCCAACTTTCTAAAACCTATGCATACCCCGTTTCACTTGACAAGAAGACAATGATTAGAAGCACAGCCTCAGTGCAAGGTCCCAGAATGTGACATTTGTACCCCCTCTCCCATCAAACTCCAGTGGGACTGGGGCTGGTGGCCAACTCATCATGTCTCCCTCTTTTTTTGCCTCCCACACATACCCAACAGGATGCATGAGACTGGGAGATACTGCCTCACCTTATTATATTCTTCAAGTCTGATCTTACCTTGGTGT
This sequence comes from Homo sapiens, assembly GCF_000001405.40. Classification (NCBI taxonomy): domain Eukaryota; kingdom Metazoa; phylum Chordata; class Mammalia; order Primates; family Hominidae; genus Homo; species Homo sapiens. Next base: position 167,834,627 of record NC_000001.11, on the reverse strand, counting down.
GCACACGTGCTAAGATTTGCCTAATGATGTTGGGAGGTGAAGCTGAAGTGATGAGAGTTGTGCAGGGACTTACTTCCTCATCCACCTCCCAAAATGACCCTGGCAAAGGAAGTGGGGGTGATTCATAATTCATTTAAAAACTGAAGACCAACTTCTCACAGATGTGGGGATGCTGTTCAAGGGAAGTGGATGTGTTGTTGGGAATAGGGAGGTTGGGGATAGAATTATTGAGAGGAAGAAACTGGCTTGAGGGAAACTTCGGGTAAGGCAACCTAGATGATAGTGTGAAGAAAGGTGGAGATTTCCAGATTCATTCTCTTGATGGAGTGATCCAGCAGACAAAGGTAAGCATGAAGGTGAGATCTTTACCCATCAGCTCCTGTCTGGAATTTGGAAGCCCATTTTAATCAGTGGAGCTGGGGATGGAAGTGGAGGTGGTAACTGAAATGGCTCCTGCATCTCTTACTTCAGTAGAGTCTGGGGCAATGGCCCTTCTGTGGGCTCAATCCCTGCTGAATCAACACTTTTCTACTCCTTGGGCTGGTTACAGGCATACATGTATTTGAATGAAGGACAGAAGTTGCTAAAAACTCTCAAGAAGGACAAATCTTGGAGCCAGACATTTGAGTCTGCCACCTTTTACAGCCTCAAAGGTGAGGTAAGAAACCATTAAAGACTTGAATTTATCTGTTATATATCTTAGGCCTTTCCATAGAAGTAGAAGTCATCCCTATACTTTCTACACCCTCCTCCCATCTCTTGCCACAGACTTCTAGCCAAGACTCTAGAAACTCAAATCCCTGGGCTCCAACCTCCTCACCATGGCTTACCAGCAAGATCTTCCCTGTCTTCCAGGTTTACATCTTTTTTTTTTTTTTTTTTTGAGAGGGAGTCTTGCTGTGTTGCCCAGCCTGGAATACAGTGGCGTGATATCGGCTCTCTGCAAATTCCGTCTCCTGGGTTCAAGTGATTCTCCTGCCTCAGCCTCCAAAGTAGCTGGGATTACAGGCATGCGCCACCACGCCCAGCTAATTTTTGTATTTTAGTAGAGATGGGGTTTCACCATGTTGGCCAGGCTGGTCTCAAACTCCTGACCTCAAGTGATCCGCCCGCCCTGACCTCCCAAAGTGCTGGGATTACAGGCGTTAGCCACCGTGCCCGGCCCAGGTTGACACCTTTATGAAATATTTTTGTTACAATCTCTAAAAATGGACCTGAATGGGTAAACATTGTCTCAGAGGTAGACAATGCACAACTAAGATGCTAAATCCTAGTCATTCAACCACCCTTCATGCATATATCCAATAGACATTTTCTATTATGCCAGGCACAGGAAGATTTTGTTTCTGGTCCATAAATTACCTTTTTTGATAAGAATCCCCAAAATATGGATTGTTGGGACCTACTAATTAAGTTAGAATCATCGTTTTCCTCTTTTCCTCTCTTCCCTCCCACCTCCCTGTAGGTCTGTTTCAATATGGGCCAGATAGTGCTTGCCAAGAAAATGCTGAGGAAGGCACTGAAGCTCCTCAACCGAATCTTTCCTTACAACTTAATCTCCTTGTTTCTCCATATCCATGTCGAGAAAAACAGACACTTTCATTATGTGAATCGGCAGGCCCAAGAGAGCCCACCTCCAGGGTAAGGGAAGGAGCTGGGGAGAGCAGACTGTTTAGTCTCACTCCCCAGAGAGGCCTACACATAATCCAAGTCAGCCCCCAAAGCCTGGCCTCCAGGGGGCACAAGGACTCCTGTTTGGCTCTGACCATTCACTGGGGAGGGGGCGAGTGTGGGAGGTGCTCCCATACCAGGGTTGCCACAAAGTACTTTACAGGCAGTTTTTGCCAAAGGGAATTTTGATGACTCAAACATAAGGGACCTCGTTGTAAGGTAAGTTCTAGGGTCCGTCCTAACTCATCTAGCCCTTTAACCCCCATGGCCATCCGTGTTCTCATTGGATGGAACCTGCACCACTGCTCCTGGGACCTCAGTCACAAGCCCTCTTCCATTAGGTGCTAAGACACTGGGTTTTGCCCCGCCCCAAAGAAAAATAGCAAGCCCTGAAGACATTTGCCAAAGGACAAAACTCCCACCCATCTAGGAATCTCAATAGGGATATGGGTTACATGGGGGGTATCCGTTGGTCAAAATTGTACTGTTAAGATTTGGGCATTTCAATATATATAAATTCTACCTATAAGATAACTATAATAATAATGAGTGGGAAGAAATAGTGAGTGGAGAGGTAGATGAAATAAGCATGTTGCTAGTTGTTGAAGGTAGGTGTTGAGTGCATTTTGCTCATCATACTCTTGTTTGCTGTGTGTATGCTTGAATTATTCTATAATAAATGTTTTCAAAAATATTCCACCTATCTAGCAATTCATGGCAAAGGAGATGCCTCCTTGTTGGGTACCTGGAGAGCTGACAGAGGACACCTCTTCCATCTTGGGGGAGCTCTGTAGCTATATTACTATAGGTTCTGCCTAAGATACAAACATCTATTCCTACGAGCAAGCTACTACAACTCTTTTGCAACCCCATCAGAAACTGCCTTCCCCAGCTTCCAAACATGTTCCTTTAAATGTAGGGAATCCTGAGGTGAAAAGGAAATGTAATGGAGCTGAGCTCCTGTGCACGTTGGAGGTGGGCTCCTGGGAAAACCTGGCTGTTTCTGGAAACCCCAAGAGGAAGGGCTGGGAGATGTTCAGCAGAGATCTCTCTGAGAAGGCAGTGGTCTTTGCATTACACATAGGGTTGCAGGATGCCTCAATTTGAATTTCAGATAAACAGTGAATACTTTTTTTAGTATACATCTATCATATGAAATATTTAGGACATATGCATTCCATAAAAATTATTAGGTTTAAAATTCAAACTTAATTGGGCATCCTGTATTTTCATCTGCTAAAACAGGTAATTTACACATTTCACATTTTGTAAAAGGAGTAAGAAGTACCTGCACAAAGGGAAAAGGTAGAAAAGTGTTGAAGAAGAAAAAACTGAGGAGCTGTTGGCTTAAAATATCCACAGGTCAAAAGGTTCTCATCTCAAAAATGAGTATGACATGGAACAACATTTAATGTCAGAGTGTCCATGACCCTCACGAATGCCCTATAAGAGATTTTACCCAGGGCTGGGTGTTGTGGCTCACGCCTGTAATACCAACGCTTAGGGAGGCTGAGGGGGGCGGATTGCCTGAAGTTGGGAGTTCGAGACCAGTCTGGCCAACATGGTGAAATCCCGTCTCTACTAAAAATACAGAAAAAATTTAGCCAGGCGTGGTGGCGTGCACCTGTAATCCCAGCTACTCGGAAGGTTGAGGCAGGGGAATTGCTTGAACCAGGGAGGTGGAGGTTAAAGTGAGCCAAGATCGCGCCACTGCACTCTAGCCTGGGCGATAAAGCGAGACTCCGTCTCAAAAAAAAAAGAGAGAGAGATTTTACCCTGTCCATGTTTCCTAAGAACCTTTAAAAAAAATCATTTCCACATCATAATTTAGAAAGTTTATTTTGCCAAGGTTGAGGACACGCCTGTAACACAGCCTCAGTAAGTCCTAACGACATGTGCCCAAGGTGGTCGGGGCACAGCTTAATTTTATACATTTGGGGAGACAGGAGACATCAATCAACATATGTAAGAAGTACATTGGTCTGGAAAGGTGGGACAACTTGAAGCAAAGGCAGGAAGTTGGGAGGGAGCTTCCAGGTCACAGATAGGTGAGACAAAAGTTGCATTCTTTTGAGTTTCTGATTCGCCTTTCCAAAGGAGGCAAATCAGATATGCATCTATGTCAAAGGGCAGAGGAGTGACTTTGAATAGAATGGGAGGCAGGTTTGCCCTAAGCAGTTTCCAGCTTGAGTTTTCCTTAGTGATTTTGGGGGCCCAAGATATTTTCCTTTCAAAATGCAATAGTTAAAAATGCTCATTTTTTGGCCAGGCGCAGTGGCTCACGCTTGCAATCCCAGCACTTCGGGAGGCTGAGGCAGGCGGATCACCTGAGGTCAGGGGTTCAGGACCAGCCTGGCCAACATGGCGAAACCCCATCTCTACCAAAAACACAAAATAATTAGCCAGACATGGTGGTGTGTGCCTGTAATCCCAGCTACTGGGGAGGCTGAGGAAAGAGAATCGCTTGAACCTGGGAAGCAGAGGTTGCAGTGAGCTGAGATCATGCCACTGCACTCCAACCTGGACAACAGAGCGAGGCTCAAAAAACAAAAAATCCTCTTTTTTTTTTTTTTTGTAAACTAAAAAGTACCCAAGACAGGTATCAATCAATCTGTAAGTTTATTTTGCCAAGGTTAAGGACATGCCCAGAAGAAAAAAAAACACAAAACCACAGAAACAGTCCCTGTTTGAGACTGCAGTATTTAAAGGGGAAAAGTGGGCTGGAGGAAAATGAGGGAGGGCGTGATAATAATCCACATGTTGCAAGAGAATAGGAGCAGCTAGGGGAATAGTCAATTATGTATTGTCTCACACTCAGTAAATAGGCACTTAAGGTAGGATAAGGCAGACATAGAGTAGCTACCCGTGCAGATACTTAACTTTTTATCTGTAGCTGTCTGCTAAGGAACAAAAGGAAAGGCAACTTCTTGCATGACTCAGCTTTCAGCTTAATTTTTTCCTTTTGGCATAGTGAATTGGGATCCTGAGTTTTTATTTTCCTTTCACACCTTTGTTGAGCTGAGAAGTAGTTCCTGAAAGCAGTGTGCAATGGAGAAAATAATACATTGGGCTTTTGGGCTGGAGGTAGATGGAGTTTGAATCCTGGCACCACCACATTCCAGCTGTGTGTCTTTGCCTTAATTACTTAACCTGAGTCTCACCTTCCTCAAATGTAAAATGGAGTCAGTTATTCCACTCTTTTCTTACAGGATTGTCATCAGAATCAAATGTGATGAATAATATCAATGTGCTTTTTAAATAGCTTCATTTAGCAATTACCTGACTCAGGACAGATGCTTTACATAAATTATCTTAATCATTATAAAGTAGGTATTATGATTCCCATTTTACAATGAAGAAAATGTGCTCCATAAAAATTAATGTGCTTGTTTGTCAGTCATGGAGACAGGCCTCAAATTCAAGTCAGTTTTGATTCCCAGGCCCATAGTGAGGACACCATGTACCTGTGCTCCCCTAAATCATGGTAATGATGATACCTTTCATGTTCCATTTGTGTTTACCTTATCCAATAGGAAGAAGAGGCTGGCACAACTTTACCGGCAAACTGTCTGCCTTTCCTTGCTGTGGCGCATCTATAGCTACAGTTATCTTTTTCACTGCAAGTATTATGCCCACCTGGCAGTTATGATGCAAATGAATACTGCACTGGAAACTCAAAATTGTTTCCAGGTAGGGGATTTTTGTAGCTGCTCCTTTAAGTTTCTGAATTTCATTTGGGAAGAAAAGCCTAGTGAAAGCCAATTAGGATTCAAAATTCTGAGGATATAATAATAGAAGGCTTTCTGATTGGCTTGTTTTGACAAGGCCAGCAGTTCTCAAACACTTTGGCTCCAGGATCACTTCACACTCTTAAAAATTATTGAAGATCCCGAATAGCTTTTATTCATATGGGTTGAATCTATTGATAGCATATAAGAAACAAAAGTCGAGAAAATTCTAAAATATTATTATTATTATTTTTGCTGGTTTTTTTTGAGATGGAGTCTTGCTCTGTCACCCAGGCTGGAGTGCAGTGGCACAATATCGGCTCACTGCAACCTCCACTTCCCGGGTTCAAGAGATTCTCTTGCCTCATCCTCCTGAGTAGCTGGGACTACAGGCATGCGCCACCACACCCAGCTAATTTTTGTATTTTTAGTAGAGACGGGGTTTCACCATGTTGGCCAGGCTGGTCTTGAACTCCTGACCTCAAGTGATCTGCCCACACTGGCCTTCCAAAGTGCTGGGATTACAGGCGTGAGGCACTGCACCTGGCCTAAAATATTATTTTAAAATAAAGATAACAAGCCTATTACATATTAACATAATTACCATTTTCATTTTTTAAAACTCTGTTCCGCAAACAAAAAATGGGAAATGTGGCATTGTATTAAATTTTTGCCAATATTTTAACATCTGGCTTCTTAGAAGACAACTAGATTCTCACATCTGCTTCTGCTTTCACTGTTGCAGTATCACATATGTTGCCTCTGGAAGACTCCAGTGTATATTCATGAGAGAATGAGGGTGAAAGAGAAAAATGTTAAAGGATAATTCTTTTTTAAAAAGATAGAATTATAACTGATAACAAATATGGAAAGTACACATCAAAGATTTTATTTAACTCACTGAGTTGACTCAATCAAAATTAGTAAGATTGGAACCAAGTGGTTCCAAGGAGAATCTGTTTACCAATGGATACAAAACTTGTCTAGTAACAGCATAATAATCACTTGTATTCCACTGAATATTTACATTTCTATGAAAAACAAATCATATCACTTATATTAATATCAGTTTTCTGCAACATAGTTGTAAGATAGTCCAAAGAAAAATAGAGATAACTTTGATTAGTAAGCTAGATAGGATCCCCACTAAGTTGTGTTTTTGCCCATTTTAAGGTCTTTCACTATTTTTCCTGTCACAAATAATGCCTGGATATTAGCGGGGCATGGTGGCTCACGCCTGTAATCCCAGCACTTTGGGAGGCTGAGGTGGGCGGATCACGTGAGGTCAGGAGTTCGAGACTAGCCTGGCCAACATGGGGAAAACCTATCTTTACTAAAAATACAAAAATTAGCTGAGTGTGGTGGTGGGTGCCTGTAATCCCAGCTACTCAGGAGGCCGAGGCAGGAGAATTGCTTGAACCCAGGAGGCAGAGGTTGCAGTGAGATGAGATCACACCATTGCACTCCAGCCTGGATGACAAGAGCGAGACTCCAACTCAAAAAAAAAAATTTTTTTTTTTTAAATTTAAAATGCCTAGATATTATGGAACTAGCTTTGACCTCATGTGGTCTCTGAAAAGGTGCCACGGATCCCTAGGGCTCCCAGGATGAATTGGGAGAACCACTAGTCTAGGTCATAACCAAAGAAGCCTTTGACTGGATGAAGAAGATATCAGGAGACATGATCAAGAAATTATTAAGCTAAATCAAACTCATCTAATGAGAGTGACCTTGCTCCTTTATAAAAGTACATTAAATCAGCAGGCCGGGCATGGTGGCTTATGCCTGTAATCCTAGCACTTTGGGAGGCCGAGGTGGGCGGATCACAAGGTAAGGAGATCAAGACCACGGTGAAACCCTGTCTCTACTGAAAATACAAAAAAAAAAAAAAAAATTAGCCGGGCGTGGTGGCGGGCGCCTGTAGTCCCAGCTACTCGGGAGGCTGAGGCAGGAGAATGGTGTGAACCCAGGAGGTGGAGCTTGCAGTGAGCAGAGATCACTCCACTGCACTCCAGCCTGGGCGACAGAGCAAGACTCCATCTCAGGAAAAAAAAAAAAAGTACATTAAGTCTGGGTTTCTTCCTCCTGGAGTCATTAGTTGTCAAGAATTAAGGGAAGGGGTCAAGTAGCACCAAGGAGCTACTGTTGGAGGAGCTTAGATTCCTAACCTGGAGTCTGTCCTCTACATTAGTTCCTTTTGGTGAATTTAGGCTGGCTCTCCTAGAATACAGAAGTATTTATAAAGCCCATCAAGATTGACCCCTGCCTATTTCCCATCCTCTTCTAGCTCTGTAGGCCATGAAGTAGCCACAAGCCCAGCCATATTGGTCCTCTTTTGGTTCCTCAAACACAGAAGTTTAATCCCATCTGTCACTGGATGTTTCCTCTGCTTGGAGGGAACTGGTCATGGCCACCCATTCACTTTCTAACTTGTCACTCTGTTTTAATAGGTATTATTACCATTTGACAATTTCTTGTTTGCTCCTGCATTGGTTCTTGGTCTCTCTCCCTTACCAGTGTGTAAATCCCTTGGAAGCAAGGACCTCTTCAGCTGTCTTGTTCACATCCTAAGTTTCTAGAACATTTGCAGTTGCTCAAGAAATTTATATGGACTGAAATACTTCTCCACACTTGGAGCTATATCCTAAGAATTGTGGTAGAGTTGGGGTGGGGAAAATAAAAAGTCAGGATAGAATGTGAACCAAGACATTTGTCATCAAGGTGGCTGGGATTGAAAGCAAAGAAGCGCTCCCCTCAGTGCTCAAAGGCAGGTGAGGGACTCAGCATGGGAGAATGGAAAGAACCAGACTGAGAGCCAGAGGGTGGTTTCCAGGACTCCGCCTATCTGCAGTGTGACCACTGAAAAGCCGCATAAACAAGGAGCTTTATATTTTCTCTGTAAAGTGAAGCAGTTGGACCTCCATTCTCTTGGTCCAAATCCAAGAGGTCCTAGGCTTTATTACAGCCTTGGATTTCTCGTGCCCAACACTTCTCTCTTCCCCCACCACCATTTCTGGCTATCCTTACCTTCTGGTAGCATTATCTGGAACATGTTCCAAACCAGAAAGAAAGGAATTCTCTAAGACTGATGTGGTTTAAGTATCCAGGGACCTGCCTATAACACAGAATTTGTAGGCTGCTTATTTTGTCCCATCTGAGGAATTCCAAGAAAAAAGCCTCTACTCTAAAACACTTCCCCGACCCCAATACTCCCACCACTAGAGATACTTTATTTTTCCTGTTTGTATTTTTCAAAGTAGTTTACATGTATTATTTTGTTTTTGTATATATAATAAAACTGCTTCTTTAGAAGGAACCCTTTTCTCCTCACTATTCTCTAAGCATGTATACTCTGAAGCAACTTTATCTTTTTAAAGAGTTGTTTAGAGTAACCAGTTTCTCTTAAATCTGCAAATTAGATTTATTTGTTTGTTCGTTTTTGAGAAGGGTCTCACTCAGTCACCCAGGCTGGAGTGCAGTGGCGTGATCATGGCTCACTGCAGCCTCAACCTCCCCTGCTCAAGTGATCCTCCCAAACACCTCAGCTTCCTGAGTAGCTAGGATTACAGGCTTGTGTCATCATGCTGGCTACTTTTTTTTAAAATCTTTTGTAGAGATCAGGTCTCACTATATTGCCCAGGCTGGGCTCAAACTCCTGTGCTCAAGTGACCTCTCGTCTCAGCCTCCTGAGTAGGTAGGACTACAGGCATATGCCACCATGCCTGGCTAGTTTTTGTTGTTGTTGAAACAGGGTCTCACTATTGTGCCCAGGCTCATCTGGAACTCCTGAGCTCAAGCAATCCTCCTGCCTCGGCCTCCAGAAGTGCTGGGATTATAGATGTGAGCCACTGCACCTGACCTCCAAATTAGGTTTAAAACTAGTCCTTATTTAAAAAAAAAAAAAAAGCCAAACAAACAAAACCAACCTTTCTTTCTTTTTTGTTAAATTACAAAAATTATACATGCTTGTTATAACAAACATCACAGAGGTGCATAAAGTAAAATCTCTCCTCCCACCCCCAACAAATATATAACTACTGTTTACACTTTGGAGTGTATCCTTGCAGCCTTTTTGCTCTGCAATTATACATCTAATATGTAAGCTATTGCTTTTATTTTTCACAGAAATTAAAATTTTTATATTTCATTTAAGGACTACATGGGCAAGGGGCCATCAAGCTTATCCTGAATGACTCAGTAAACAGGTAGCAGAAACCCAATTTGATTTCTATTTCTAAGCCCATGGCTTCGGCCAAATGTCCAGCTCTATTCCCAAACTTAATAAACAAACATTTACTGGCAGACATTGAGTGATGTTCCTGAGCTTTCTGCTTTGCGTTCTGCCTCACTCTTCCTCCACTCTGCCATTTCAGATCATTAAGGCTTACCTAGACTATTCGCTATACCACCACCTGGCTGGCTACAAAGGTGTGTGGTTCAAATATGAAGTCATGGCCATGGAGCACATCTTCAACCTCCCCCTGAAAGGCGAGGGCATTGAAATCGTGGCATACGTGGCTGAGACACTGGTCTTCAACAAGCTCATAATGGGACACCTGGATTTGGCCATTGAGTTAGGTAAGGGCTGGCTGGGCAAGATGGGACATGAGGATACAAGGAATGCCCCACAATATACTGGAATTGTTTTCTTCCCAGGCTCCCGAGCCCTTCAGATGTGGGCACTGCTCCAGAATCCCAACCGACATTATCAGTCCCTCTGCAGACTTAGCAGATGTCTCCTTCTGAACAGCAGGTATTTATCTTAAAGCATTTTCCAAAATTAGGGGGAGGAGGCCGTATTATTGAGTATTCTGGGTTCAACTTTAGCCTAGTCCTAGGGTGGGGAAGGGAGTAGAGTTTGCAGTAAGAAAATGTAACTGATAGTAGTCACCCTTTTTTCTTTTTTCAGACAGAGTCTTGCTCTGTCTCCCAGGCTGGAGTGCAGTAGTGCAATCTTGGCTCACTGCAACCTCTGCCTTCCGGGTTTAGACAATTCTCCTGCCTCAACCTCCCACGTAGCTGGGATTACAGGCAACGTGCCACCACACCCAGCTAATTTTTGTATTTTTTAGAAGAGAGGGGGTTTCACCCTGTTGGCCAGGCTGGTCTTGAACTCCTGACCTCAAGTGACCCACCCACCTCAGCCTCCCAAAGTGTTGGGATTACAGGCATGAGCCACTGCGCCAGGCCTTGTCTTTTTTATTTTAAACAGAATTCTTTGCCTTGCATCATCTCTAATCTGGTTGCTCTGGCCAGTGATCAGAGGGTAGTCAGACAGTCATCCCAGCTGTGGGAATCAGGCCTCCACTTCTGTCAGGTGGAGACAAAGGGAAAAGTCTTCCAGGGAGGCAAATGGCCAGAGAATAGCAACCAGGACTAGAGGTCAAGGCCAATTTGCTCTGACTCTGGTCACCCTGATATAGAGGACCCAGGAAAGAACAATTTGAAAAAAGAGCCAATTTGAGATTGAGGTTTTAGTCCTGGATAGGGGTGTGTTTGAAATCTGTTTAAGAGGTATATTTGGTTCCGAATTACTGAGAAGGACCAAGACTAGACCAGGAAGGGACTTTACTGAACCTCATCCTATCCACTGCTTTTTTTATTCAATAGCTTTGGGGGTATAAATGGTTTTCGGTCACATAGATGAATTTTATAGAGGTGAATTCTGAGATTTTAGTGCACCTGTCACCCGAGCAGTGTACACATACCCAACATGTAGTCTTTTATTCCTCACTTCCCTCCTCCCCTCCCCTCCGAGGCCCCAAAGTCCATTATATCCACTGCTTTTTTTTTTTTTTTTTTTTGAGATGGAGTTTCGCTCTTTTGCCCAGGCTGGAGTGCAGTGGTGCGTTATTGGCTCACCACAACCTCCGCCTTCTGGTTTCAAGCGATTCTCCTGCCTCAGCCTCCCAAGTAGCTGGGATTACAGGCGCCCGCCACCATGCCCAGCTAATTTTTGTATTTTTAGTGGAGATGGGGTTTCACCATGTTGGCCAGGCTGGTCTCGAACTCCTGACCTCGTGATCCACCCACCTCAGCCTCCCAAAGTGCTGGGATTACAATATCCACCACTTTTTAATGGCCACTACCTTTTCTTTTCCATAGATACCCGCAATTGATCCAGGTGCTGGGGCGGCTGTGGGAGCTTTCTGTAACACAGGAACACATCTTCAGCAAGGCATTTTTCTATTTTGTCTGCTTGGACATCCTGCTTTATTCTGGTAAGTGTGGGTTTGGGATGTAAAAGAACTTGGGGGTGTTGATACCTGTGCTGGTGTGGTGTGGCAGCTCTCAGGTTGGGGCTTTGGGACCACTAGGTTTCTGGCTGGTGGACTTACAGGGCAGGGATGGAGAGAGGCTGGTTGTGTGAGCTGAAGCACTGTCTAGCAGGTGCCGAGATTGTAAAGGCACGGCAAGAAGGAGAATTAAGTCTGAAGGAACCTGATGGATATGAGCTGCCAGTTAAACTGTCAGATCAATTTGCACCTAAGTGATAGTGGCTGACTGTCTTACTATGTGCCTTTTACCAGGGGTTTTTAACTTTTAGCAGGATGTACTTAGAGACTTCACGCTTTAGAATGAAGGACTAGATTGCTTGAGGTGAGAGTTCCAGGCTGGTAGCTATTGGTGATTTGGAAAATAAGTTACTTCCTGATAACCTTCAAGTGACACCAAGTAGGTCACTTGAAGTGTACACACTAAACCACAGGAACCAACCTGAATTGTTTTCCCCACATGTGATCTTGAAAGGGGATGCAGACATTGCCATCAACAAAGGAAGCATGTGTGGAGAGACAGAGAAGTCCTAGGCTGCACTAAGGCCAGGAAGGATTAGTTTAAACCCCACACCTGCCTGGTCGGTACTGTGGAACTGTAGTATATATCCATAACACTCCCCAATAGGTAGGACTCAGCAAACACAGGGCAATCCAGTCATGAGGTTGTTGCAATCCACGGGACCCTCTGGATTCATACAATAATCAGAGGCAACTCTCCCTGCAGTGGGAAATTCAACTGAGAGTGACTAGGCTAGAAAGATGATCACCCACACCTACTAATAACTCTCACCCATTCCTCTCTCTCTTAGGTTTTGTTTATAGAACATTTGAAGAATGTTTGGAATTCATACACCAATACGAAAACAACAGAATCCTCAAGTTCCACAGTGGACTCCTCCTGGGACTTTATTCCTCTGTAGCTATCTGGTAACAATGTGTGGCATATCACTAAATTCCCAAAGTGAAAATGTTGAATCCCAAGGAAGAGTTCTTGAAAAATCTTTTAGAAAGTATTCATAATTTATACCTGAGACAGCTTAAGGGTGTCAGAGGATATTTACACAGAGAGACATGTTAGGGATCAACTAGTTCATCCCCCTTGGCCAAGGACAGAAAAGTAAATTTATCTCAATTACATCCATGCAATAAACATTTATCGCAAACATATCATGTTGTGGTGATACAGGGATAAATAAGAAAAGATTGCTTTCTTCAGAGGGGTGCTGGGGTTTGAGGAAGACTAATGAATAGCACCACTTGCCCACCCGGCACCTGCCCATATCTAATCACATGGATTGACAAAGCCAATGTTGGAAGACATGGCTTATATCTTCACGAAAGCGGGCTTCGTAATATTGAGCACTGGAATTAGACTTAACCCATTCAGCAGCAGGCAGTTCTGGAAAACTGTAGGTCTACTCACATGGAGGCAGGCCTCTTGTAGCAGAGAGATCAGTATCACACTCCCTGTTGGCTTCACTGGCTCTCAAGATAGAGAGAGACACGGACTGAGTTATACTTGCCCAATTCATCTCCCAAATCACCAGCAAGATCTCTCCTTATCATTGAAAGGGCAAGTAAAGCGGGGAAAGAGTTCTGGTGCTTTGCACCAAATAGAGGCCCCTTACATGGAAGGAAATTTCAGGAGTGAGGAAGCAGCATTCTCCCCGCACCCCATTAACTCATTAAGCCTAAGGCTCAATTCCTTTAACCTACTACGTTTTTAACTCAGTTAAGCATGTAGCTATTATGGTCATACCCTTAAGGAAGGAGATGAATGCTAAGGTTCTAAAATGGGTCAGAACAGAACATTCATTAAATTATTTCCATGACTATCCCCAAGACTGAAAATCGCCCCCTATTATTTTATTTCCTATCTTAATTATATGCAACCGTATGGTCTATCAGAGGTTTGTGATGAGACTAAATGACAATATGAAGACATTCCTATATAAAATGCTACAAGTTAGAACAGCTCCAAATTGGAATAGAAATCCACCCCTTCCTTCTTTCTGAGACAGTCTTGCTGTGTCACCCAGGTTGGAGTCCCGTGGTGCGATCGCGGATCACTGCAGCCTCGCCTTCCCAGGCTCAAGTGATCCTCCCAAACACCTCAGCTTCCTGAGTAGCTGGAGTTGCAGGCACATACCACCACGCCTGGCTAATTTTAATCTTTTGTAGAGATGGGATGTCGTGATGTTGCCCAGGCTGGTCTCCAACTCCTGGGCTCAGGTCCCGTCTACCTCAGCCTTCCCAAATGCTGGGATTACAGGCATGAGCCACTGCACCTGGCAAGAAATCCCCTCTTATTATTAAAATTAATGAGGAGAAATTAAAATCCAAAAATTGATTACTCTTGCCAATTAAAGTTCAAAATCAAATAACTTACCAATGTGAGTTAAAGGTTAAGGAATCTAAAGTCCAGAAATCATCCAAATTTATTTTTCTTGTCTATCTCAGCAGGAGAATTTTTTAAACAGCTGTGTCCTAGGCCAATGCTGCTCAGACTTTAGTGGGCATAAAAATCACCTGGAGGGCAGTCGGCCAGCTCTCGGGGTGCTGAGCCAGGCGGGCTAGGCGAGGCGCGGGCTGGCCCCGCCCCTCTGGCCGGCCCCGCCCCTCAAGGCCGGCTAGTCCCCTTCCCAGAGACTTGGCTAGGCGGCCGGCGCTGCGGCGCCAGCAGCCCTGTGGTGGCGACGACGATGGACCAGGACCCAGTGGGCCCTGTGGAACGAGGAGAAGCCGTCGCAGCCTCGGGAGCTGCGGCCGCCGCGGCATTCGGGGAATCTGCGGGGCAGGAAATTAAGGGATCCAAAAAGCTGAGTCATGGTCCAAAAGGAAACGTTGATGTCAGGACAACCATAGCCAAATTTTATCTCAAGGATGAGTAACGAAAGAGGCTTTGAAACGTAGAACTGGGAGTCATAGGAAAAAAGAAGAAAGTCCCAAGGAGAGTCATCCACTTTGTTAGTGGCAAAACAATGGAAGAATACAGCACAGATGAAGATGAAGTTGATGGCCTGGAGAAGATGTTTTGCCTACTGTTGATCCGATTTGGCTTTAAATATTTGGCTATTAGAAAATCATGCCGGGCGCGGTGGCTGACACCTGTAATCCCAGCACTTTGGGAGGCCGAGGCCGGCAGATCACCTGAGGTCGGGAGTTCAAGACCAGCCTGACCAACATGGAGAAACCCCATCTCTACTAAAAATACAAAAAAATTAGCCAGGCATGGTGGCGCATGCCTGTAAACCCAGCTACCTGGGAGGCTGAGGCAGGAGAATTGTTTGAACCCAGGAGGCGAAGGTTGCGGTGAGCCAAGATCGCGCCATTGCACTCCAGCCTGGGCAACAAGAGCAAAACTTGGGTCTCAAAAAATAAAAAAAAATAAAAAATAAAAAAATCATAAGCAGGCCAGGAGCAGTGGCTCACGCCTGTAATCGCAGCACTTTGGGAGGCTGAGGTGGGTGGATCACCTGAGGTCAGGAGTTCGAGACCAGCCTGGCCAATATGGTGAAACCGTGTCTCTACTAAAAATATAAAAAATTAGGCAGGCGTGATGGCAGGCGCCTGTAATCCCAGCGAGGCAGGAGAATTGCTTCAACCAGGGAAGCAGAGGTTGCAGTGGGCTGAGATCGTGCCATTGTACTCCAGCCTGGTCAACAAGGGTGAAACTCCATCTAAAAAAAAAAAAAAAAAAAAATCGGATTTTCTACACAGAAAATATTCAAAGGATTGTACCATATACTCTGAAGGTAGTTCCAAATGCAGGTAGAATATTAAAGAGGTATTTCATGCAATGTAAGAATTGTTGGAATAAATGTCTTATTTTTAATTACTTTGAAGGGTTAAAAAAAAAATCACCTGGAGAGCTTGTTAACTCAGAGATGCCACACCCCCAGAGCCTGTCTGATTCAGTAGACCTGGACTGAACCAGAGAACCTGCATTAATGAGAATCCAGGTGATACTGATGATGCCAGTCTGTGGACTACATTTTGAGCAGTACTGGCCTAAATCATCTCTCTTTGGTATTGGAACAATTTCTTCAAGCCCCAGAATCCACAGCTCCAAGTGTCTGATCTCCCTCACTTTTTAATTTAAAAAGCCAAAGTGGCCGGGCATGGTGGCACAGCCTGTAATCCCAGCACTTTGGGAGGCCAAGGCGGGTGGATCACCTGAGGTCAGGAGTTCGAGACCAGCCTAGCCAACATGGTGAAACCCCGTATCTACTTAAAATACAAAAAATTAGCTGGGCGTGGTGGTACACACCTGTAGTCCCAGCTACTCGGGAGGCTGAGGCAGGAGAATCACTTGAACCCAGGAGGCAGAGGTTGCAGTAAGCCAAGATTGTGCCATTGCACTCCAGACTGGGGGACAAGAGCAAGACTTCGTCTCAAAAAAAGAAAAAAAGCCAAAGCCAAAGAGTTCAATGGTGGCTAATATTACCTGAGTGTTTCCAAGGATTCTATTCATCTCAAGTCATCAAAAAAATTTATTATTTCCTTGCTCTGTATCACATAATTTCCTGCTTTTTTAGGGAGTGTGAAGCAGGGGTAGGCAGGAGACTACACACTTCCAGAGACCCAGGTAAAGGAAGCTGCACATCCAGAGAGACATTTCAGAAAGCCAGCCTATTCCTAATGGGTGATACTGATTTTTCTTATTCTCTTGTGGTAATGCAGGTATGCCAGACTTCAGGAATGGGACAACTTTTACAAATTTTCCAATAGAGCTAAAAATCTTTTGCCAAGAAGAACCATGACACTTACTTACTATGACGGAATATCTAGGTACATGGAGGGGCAAGTTCTTCACCTTCAAAAACAAATCAAAGAACAGTCAGAGAATGCCCAAGCCAGTGGGGAGGAGCTACTCAAGGTGAGGCCTATTCTCCAGTTTCCAGTATAAAATATGCCTTAAATGGATCTCTGTCTACTTCCTGTGCTAATTATTTTCTCATTATAGAATTCATATATTTTTATAATAGAAGTTTTTGAAGGCACTTCCCCAAAGTAAGAAAGAAAATATAAATTGCCCATAACCTTACTACTCAGAGATAAGTACTTTTTGTATATTGAGATCCCACTTTTCAAGTATTTTTCTGTGTGTGTGCATGCACATTTCTCTATTTTGTAATTTGCTATTAAATATATTATGAATAATTTCCTGTCATTAAATTGTTTTTCACATCACGATTTAAAAGGAAGCATGGTACTTTATCTTACAGATATATGATTGTATGGCCTAATTATTATTGGATAGAACTTTTCTGTATGATTTTATTGCTATTGCTGTGATAAAGCATCCTGGTAGACAAATCATTCCACACGACAATTTAAAAAATTCAAATATGTATTAAGCATATTAATACAAGAGTGCTGGGGCGCAAGAGTGAGCAAATTAAACACCTCCAAGAGTTTACAACCTGGCATGGGCAAGCCCCCAAGAGAATAAAGGGCTAAATCTCTGGTGTTGGGTTGACACGTTTGCCTTGTTCTTGTAAACACTGAGCACAGGTGTACTAGTTTTCTATTGCTCTGTCACTCATTACCACAAAGTAAACAGCTTAAAACAACACCCACTTCTTAACAGAGCCTCCCTTTGTCACCCAGGCTGGAGTGCAGTGGCGCAATCTCGACTCACTGCAACCTCCGCCTCCCGGGTTCAAACAATTCTCGTACCTCAGCCTCCCAAGTAGCTGGGATTACAGGCACGTGCCACCATGCCTGGCTAATTTTTGTATTTTTAGTAGAGATGGGGATTTCACCACATTAGCCAGGCTGGTCTTGAACTCTTGACCTCAAGTGATCCACCCACCTCAGCCTTCCAAAGTGCTGGGATTACAGGTGTAAGCCACCATGCCAAGGCCAAAACAACACCACTTCTTAACTCACAGTTTGGCGGGTCCAAAGCCTGGGTGGTCTGGTCTGGGATCTCTGCTTAGGAGATGTATTTACATAAGTAGACATAATTGAATAATTGAACACATTGTTGCTGTTATTTTGAACAAACTGTCATCTTTTAGAATAAGAAAAGGAAAATTTTTATTTTACCTCCACTTACTCCTTCTTCAATGCTTTCTTTCTTTATGTAGATCTAAGTTTCTGAACTACATATTTTCCTTCTCTCTAAAGAATTTCTTTAACATTTCTTGCAAGTCAGAGCTATTAGCAACAACTTCCTTCAATTTTAGTTTGAGAAGTCTTTATTTTGTCTTCAATTTTGAAGGATAATTTCACTGGGTAAAGAATTCTAGGGATTTTTTTCCTGTCAACAGGTCATGGCACTGTCTTCTTGCTTGCATGGTTTCTGAGGAAAAGTGAAAGGCAATTCTTTTTTTGTTGTTGTTCCTTTATAGAAGTCCCTTGGGCTTCTTTAAAACTTTTTGTTTTTCTCTTTTTTTTGAAATGGAGTCTCACTCTGTCACCCAGGCTGGAGTGCAGTGGCGTGATCTTGACTCACTGCAACCTCCACCTCCTGGGTTCAAGCAATTCTCCTGCCACAGACTCCTGAGTAGCTGGGATTACAGGTGCCCGCCAACATGCCTGACTAATTTTTGTATTTTTAGTAAAGACAGGGTTTCACCATGTTGGCCAGTCTGGTCTTGAACTCCTGACCTCAAGTGACCTGCCCACCTCTGCCTCCCAAAGTGCTGGGATTACAGGTGTGAACCACCGTGCCTGACCTAAAATTTTTTATCTTTGATTTTCTGTAGTTTACAAATTATATGCCTATGTGTTGGGGTTTTGGGGCATATATCCTACATGGTGTTCTGCGAGCTTCCTGGATCTGTGGTTTGGTGTTTGACCTTAATTTGGAAAACATTTCAGTCTTTCTTGCTTCAAGTATTTCTGATGTTACTTTCCTCTTTCTTCTCCTTCTGATATTTCTATTATGCATCTAGTATACCTTTTGTACTTATCCCACAATCCTTGGATATTCTGTTATGGTTTTTCTTTTCTAGTCTTTGCTCTCTTAGCTTGTCAGTTTTGTAGGTTTCTATTGATATGCTCTTGAACTCAGAGATTCTTTCCTCAGCGGGGTCCTGTCTACTAATAAGCCTGTCAAAGGCATTCTTCATTTCTCTCACAGTGTTTTTGATCTCTAGCATTTATTTTTTGTTCTTAGGATTTCCATCTCTCTGCTTATATTGCTCTTACATGCTCTCTACTTTATTCATTAGAGCTTTTAGCATATTAATCATAGTTATTTTAAATTCCCAGTCTGATAATTTCAACATCCCTGTCATGTCTGCTTCTGACTTGTGTTTTCAAACTATGTTTTTGCCTTTTAGTATGCCTTGTAATTTTTCTTGATAGCCAGATATGATGTATCAGGTAAAAAGACTTTGTCTAAATAAGTCTTTAGTAATGTGATGGTAAGGTGTGAGGAGAGGGAAAGCATTCTACAGTCCTATGATTAGGTCTCAGTCTTTTAGTGAGCCTATTCCTCTGGACTAAGAACTTCACAAGTGCTTTTCAGTCCCCTCTTCCTTAGGTGGGACATAATGGCTAGAACTGGGTTTAGTTGGGTATTCCTCTTCCCCAAGATCAGTTAGACTCTAGTAAAACCCCTGGAGGTTAGGCTCTGGTTACATAGTTTCTCCTGAGGGCACACCTTGTTTAGAAAAACGGAGTACTCTGGCATATTTCAAAATGGTTCCTTTTCCTCTTCCTCTGCTGAAAGAATGAGAGATTTTTTTTCCTCCAATATTTACTGAGAGATCCTGGTTGAGCTTCTGGAGGTAAAACACACAAAACTGTGGGGGCTCACCTGAAGGTGTTTGGGGTTTTTTTTTGTCTAATTTTTGTTGTTGTTGTTGTTGGAGACAGAGTCTCACTCTGTCGCCCAGGCTGGAGTGCAATGGCGTGATCTCGGCTCACTGCAACCTCCGTCTCCTAGGTTCAAGTGATTCTCGTGCCTCAGCCTCCCGAGTAGCTGGGATTACAGGCACCCGCCATCATGCCTGGCTAATTTTTGTATTTTTGTAGAGATGGGGTTTCACCATGTTGGCCAGGCTGGTCCTGAACTCCTGACCTCAGGTGATCCGACCACCTCGGCCTCCCAAAGTGCTGGGATTACAGGCATGAGCCCACGTGTGGCCTAATTTTTTTTTATTGTGATCCAAATACACATAGCATAAAACTTAACATTTTAATCATGTTTAAGTATGCAGTTCAGTGGTATGAAATACATTTCTAATGTTGTGTATCCATGTCTGCCCTCCATCTCCATAACTCTCTTCATCTTGTCAAACAACAACTCTATACCCATTAAGTGTATGTTTGTTATATTTAGTTGGTTTATTGTGTTGTCTAAGTCCTCTGTGTCTTATCTTTTGTATAATTGTTCTATCCATTATTGACTGTTAGTGAAGTCTCCAACTACTATTATAGAACTGTCTATTTCTACCTTTAATTTTGTCAGTTTTTGCTTCATATATATTGACGATCTTATTGGATGCATAAATGTTTATAATTGTTATATTTTTATTTTAAAAATATAATTATAAAACAAATGTTTATAATTGTTATATATATTTTGCTGTATTTAAATTTTTATTAATATATTATTCTTTGCCTCTTGTAAGTTTCTTTCTGATTTAAAGTTTATTTTGTCTGACATTAGTATAGCCACCTTTATTCTCTTTGGGTTACTATTTGTATAAAGTATCTTTTTCTATCTTCACTTTCCATTTATTTGTGTCTTTGGATCTAAAGTGAGTCTCTTTTAGTATGTAATTAGATCATGTTTTTAAAAAATCCATTCTGCCAACTTGTTTTTTTGTTGAGAGTTTAATTCAATTTAAAGTAATTACTGATAAAGAGGGACTTGTGTGTATCATTTTGCTATTTGTTTTCAATATGCCTTACAGCTTTTTCATTCCTCATTTCCTGAACTAGTGTCTTATTTTGCATTTAATTTTTCATAGTGGAACATTTAAGTTCTTTCCCCATTTTCTTTTGTATATATTCTATAGCTATTTTCCTTATGGTTACCATGAGGATTACATTTAGCATCCTAAAGTTAACTTCAGTAATGCACAAAGAACTCCACTCCTTTAATAGCTTCCCACCCCTTTCAGTTGTTGATGTCACAGAATTACATTTTTGTACATTATATGCCCCAAAACATAAATGAATAATTATTTTAAATGATCAGTCTCTTCAATTATGTAGAAAACAAACTGTGGAGTTACAACCCAAAGTTACAATACTACTAGCTTTTGGGCTACTAAATTTTAAAAACGTATTAATCTCTTAAAAACGTAGAAAACAAAACAAGTTACAAACTGTTATTACAATAACACTTAATTGTCCATGTATTTACCTTTGTTGAGATCTTTATTTCTTCTTAGAGCTTTGACTGTCCTTTCATTTTACCCTACAGGGCTCCTTTAGGTATTTCTTGTCTTTCTTTCTTTTCTTTTCTTTCTTTTTTTTAAGGCGTGGGCATTTTTTGGAAGAAAGTCCTGGTGGTAATTAACTTTGTTTTTGATTGTCTGGGAATGTCTTAATTTCTCCCTTATCTTCGAAGGACGCTTTTGCTGAATAGAAGACTCTTGGTTGACGGGTTTTTTTTTGTTTTTTTAATATTTTGAATGTATTGGCCCACTGCCTTCTGACCTCTAAATTTTCAGATGAGAAATCTGCTCATGATCTTATTGAAGATGTCTTGTATGTGATTAGTTGCTTCTCTCACTGCTTTCAAGTTTTGTGTCTTTCACTTTTCAAAAGTGATTATATTTGTCTCAGTGTGTATCTCTTTAAGTTTATCTTACTTGGAGTTTGTTGAGCTTCTTGGATGTTTATATTCATGTCTTTTATCAAATTTGGAAAGTTTTTAACCATTATTTCTTCAAATATTCTTTCTAGTCCTTTCTCTCTCTCTTCTTCTTCAGGGACTTCCACAATGCATTTATTGGTTCACTTCTTGGTGTTCCACAAGTCCCTTAGGCTCTGTTAACTTTTCTTCAATCTTTTTTCTTTCTGTTCATCAGACTCAATAATTTCCATTGTCTTATCTTCAAGTCTGCTCCCTGTTTAATTCTGCCTTTGAATCCCTCTAGTGATTTTTTTAAATTTTAGTTATTGCAGTTTTCACCTCCAGAATTTCTTTTTGGTATATTTTTAGGTTTTCTGTCACTTTACTGTTATTTCCATTATTTTCATACATCAATTACTTGACTTTATCCACATTTTCCTTTAGTTCTTTGATTATCTTTAGAGTTGTTTAAAAATCTTTGTGTAGGATATCTGCCATTAGGTCTTTTTCAGGGACAGTTTCTCTTGATATTTTTTCCCCCTTGGGATGAGCCATGCTTTCCTGTTTCTTGGTATGCCTTTTTGTTGTTATTATTGGAAACTAGACCTTTGAATCTAATAATATCACAGCTCTGGATATCAAATTCTCCCTCTTCCCCAGGGTTTTCTGGGTTTTGTTGTTGTTTTTGTTTTTTATTGTTGTAGGCTGTCTCTATGCCAAGGATCAGCCTGAGGTGCAAACTTAAGGTCTTCCCAGATCTTTTCTGAGCCTGTGCCTTTCCCTAGGCATGCACAGTCACTTTCTAATTTTCCTTTTATAGGCAGTTGCTTTTGAATGTCCTAGTATTTAATGTCTGGCTGTCAAGGTGGTGGAGGGTGGGTGGAGAAAAAAATAAAGTTGGGGGAGGAAAGGGCAATAGCCCTTTAAATCCACTGGAAGTCACTTCAACTGGAGTGGGAGGGGCTTGCAATGACGGGGAGAGGTGCAACAATGACTGCCTACCTCTTCCATCAGAAGCAGCAATTGGTGATCAGAGCACAGATCCCTGATATCTCAGACAGGGTCCTTTTTGCCCACCCTTGTTCCCACAAGTTGTACGCAGGTTCTTCAGGAGCATGTGCACAACAACTGTCTGCCACAGGTTTTGAGGCTGGGGGACAGGCAGCTGTGCTAAGAGCTGAAACTGAAATTAACCTCAGTTTACCATCCAAGCCTTCCTCTGGTATTTACAAGCCTTCAGTAGACTCCAGAGTTCTAAAATAGTTACATTCTGACAGATTCTGCCAGTGTAATGATAGTCTAGGTGGGGCTACAGATAGTTGGTACTTCCTACTCTGCCGTCTCTCCAGAATCCTCTTCTCCCTAGAGTTTTTAACTCCCAGACCGGTCCAGTCTGAGTTTCTAGCAATTCATCAATTACAGTTCAGGTTTTTCTAGCCTGGCACTGGTTCCCACAGTGGTTTCCACTTGTGAGTCTCCATCTGTTTGTCTCTCCAGTCTTAGGGGCAGCAGTTTGCCCTGTGTTCTCACTTCTCTTATGGATCCAAGAATAGTTGTTGATCTTCCAGTCTGTTCAGCTTTATTTATTTATTTATTTTTGAGATGGAGTCTCACTCTGTCACAAGGCTGGAGTGCAGTGGCACGATCTCGGCTCACTGCAACCTCTGCCTCCCTGGTTCAAGCGATTCTCCTGCCTCAGCCTCCTGAGTAGCTGGGACTACAGGCGTGCACGACCATGCCTGGCTAATTTTTGTATTTTTAGTAGAGACGGAGTTTCACCATGTTGGCCAGGATGGTCTTGATCTCTTGACCTTGTGATCCACCCACCTCGGCCTCCCAAAGTGCTGGGATTATAGGCATGAGCCACTGCGCCCAGCCTGTTCAGCTTTTTACTTGTTTCTAGGACCAAGTGGTTATTTCCAAGCTCCTTACATGCAGAAATGGCCAATTTTTTTTCCTAATTTTTCAACAATTAACTTGTACTGCCTTAATAATCATAATAATCAAAATAATTTTTTAAAAAAAGTTATTGCAGAGAAGTAATGATGGGATCTCTCAGGTCAATTCCTGATCTCAGTGGACCATGGTGGCTACTCTGCCTGACATTTATTGTCTTATCTCCAATACCTACTGTGTATGTCTCTATAATGTATTTTCTCACTTGATTGCTTAAATCCTTGAAATGTTCCCAAATCATCTGTGAAGGAAATAACTTACAGTCAAGGACCCCTGTTTAATTCTAATATACTGTTGTGGGTTTTTTTTCTTTAGAACTTGGAGAATCTGGTGGCTCAAAATACCACTGGCCCTGTCTTTTGCCCAAGGCTCTACCACCTGATGGCTTACGTCTGTATATTAATGGGAGATGGGCAGAAATGTGGCCTCTTCCTGAACACAGCCTTGCGGCTCTCTGAAACACAGGGGAATATACTGGAGAAATGCTGGCTGAACATGAACAAAGTATGTATCATCAGCTAGCAAACCGGGGTGGCGATGCTCACCCATATAAAGAAGCCCAGAAGCCTACTGCCTGGTTAGGTTTCACCAGGCTGCCATTAACAAAATATCTTAGACTGGGTCATTGATGAACAATAGAAACCTACTGCTCAGTTTTGGAAGCTGGAAGTCCAAGATCAAGGCTCTGGAGATTCGCTGTCTGGTGAGGGTCCGTTCCTCACAGATGGTGCCTTTTGCTGTGTCCTCACATGTCAAAAGGATGGAAAAAGAAAATTTGCTCCCTCCAGCCCTTTTATGAGGGCAGAGCCCTCATGACCTAATTACCTTCCAAAGGCCCAACTCTTAATACCATTACCTTGGGGGTTAATTTTCAACATATGAATTTCAGGAGATGCCAACATTCAGACCATAGCAGTCACCATAGGCCTTTCTGGATTCTTACCAGAAAGGGTGACATGTCCATAGTTCAGGATTGTGAGCTTCCTCTTCCCCTTTAAGTTCTCATGGTCTCTCTCCCTCATCCAAATCCCCCTTAGCATGCCCTCTCTCTGCCCTTCTTTGTGGCCACTTTCCACTTTGTGTTACATCTGTCTGCGTGTCTTTCCTCTCCTTGAGAATGTGAACTCTTTGAAAGCAAAAACCACACTTAGTGCCTAGCACAGAGCCCTATACTCAGTTTTGTTGAATAAGTGAATGAATGTATGAGTATATGTGTGTATTTAAAGAGGGCTGTGTCAGTATCCTAGTTTGGACAGCAAGATTCGTTTTTGTCTATGGGTTCACATGGTTTTTACCAAAGATGTTTTGCCTTGTTTGATATTGGACTAACCTTGATTACAAAAGTCAAGAAGCACTAATGATTTCTTTGTTCTGTTTCTTTCCTCTCAGGAATCATGGTACTCAACCTCTGAGTTAAAAGAAGACCAATGGCTTCAGACGATCTTGAGTCTCCCATCATGGGAAAAAATTGTAGCAGGCAGGGTAAACATTCAGGATCTTCAAAAAAACAAATTCCTGATGAGAGCTAATACCGTGGACAATCATTTCTAACATGTCAAAGAAAAAAGATTTTAATAAGCACTATGTCCTTGTGATTATCTATTATTGACCTTTCTCCGTGGCTGGCCCACTCCAGGTTCCTACATAATCTCTTCTGTTCCAGACACAGAAACAGACATGTTGATTTCTTCTCTTTCTGGAGGGCCTACAAGGGTCAGGAGTGTCATGGTTTACTTCTTCCTAATGTTACAAAAAATTGCTTTTACCATTCATGTTGTTTTAGCTTGACCTGTTTATTTCAGCCCATGCAAAACTGTATCATATTACAAATTATTAATCTCAAGATGGTATGACATCGTGTGTTGCAAAAGACATGTTTCTAGTTAGTATGTTAACTGAAAATACTTATTTTTAAATGTCCAATTGTTAAGTCTTTTGGAGGTAGCACAATATTACAAATAGCAAACATTTGTCATGGTCTACAAAGACAGAATTAGAAAAGATACATGTTTGTAGGGCCTGACTGCAGCTTCCAAAGCCAGGGTGATGTCTTAGCCCCTCTAACCACATGCATCAAATATCAAATAAAATTTTAATATCAGATAAATATGTTTAATATAAAATAAAGATCAAGTTTTAAAAATTAAAATATTAATAATTTTTACACGGGTATCTTTTACATATTTAGAGTTTACATGTTTTTTTATATTTAAGAAATAACATTCATTCTTCATCATTTCCCAGATGCAAAAGCAAGGCTGTGCATTTTTTCTCCTGATCACATAACTGAGTTCCACAAACGAGGTTGGACAGACCCAGATGATACCACGAGGTTAACCACAGAGGCCTGATGGCCTGGCATGGAGGGAAGAGCTCCAAGCTAAGAAATCAGAACATTAGGTTCTAACATGAGCTCTGCCATAAGCACACTTTATTCCTGTCTGATACATACACCCTGCCTGATCCACATAACTTCACTATGTTAGTGTACATTTGTGAATACTGAATAAGATAGTGAAAGTTAAAAAGTGTTGAAAATTACAATGTGCCATACAAATAAAAACAAACTAATATTAGATGACTGATTTTAAAATAAACACATCAAATACTAAACTTCAATTAAGTATTGTCCCCTTCAAAACTGTCATCCTGGAAGCTGCATGCTTGCCCCATGCTGCAATATAGAAATCCCTTGCTTTCTAGTTGCCTTATTTTGTACTTTATTCATTCTCTCACTTATTCACCCCACTACAATTTTCCAACTCATTACTGTATACTAATCCCTGACTAAGTACTGGAGGTTAAGATATAAAAACATGAAGGGCACAATTCTTGACCTCAGCAAGCTCACATGTCCAATAGAAAAAACAGATGCACGTGTAAACCTCACTGAGCCCATTCTACTGTAATATAATAGAGCTGTGTTCAAATCCTTCATGGTGGAAGGAGTGACACATACAAAACCTGGACATCTTGAAGACTCAGCGGAACAGCCTCTGATTCATTTCGACTGCATTGTCATAATAAGCTAATGCCTTAATCATAACAATTCCTTACATTTGTACAACTCTTTATAGATACAGAGAGTTCTGGGACCTGCTCTTATCTTCTCCCTGTAAACCCTGAATGGTGAGAATGGCAGATGCTTTGGCTTGCCTGAGATCATCTGGCCAGTAAGTGGCTGAACTGGAGCCTAAGTCCAGAAATTGTGTGCCCTTGTCGAAGCATATTCAAGTCCACTTTTTCTGGCTCTCTGTCTGTGCAAACCATCAGGAAACAGTGTTTTCTGTCTTAAAAATCGCTTTGACCATCTAAAGATTCAAGTTCCCTTTAGCTTCCAAAAAATGGACCTAGTTCTACTCTTTGGAATCATACAGAATAAATTTAAACTTGTTCCTCACTGACCCCTTCAAACTCTTGAACACACCTCTCATGGTTCTCTTGAGCCTTCTACAAGCTAAATATCTCCGGTTGCTTCTGCTTCTCCTACCAGCTCCTTGTTTTCGGTTCCCTCAGTATCCTGATCACTTGTCTCCGAATATATTCAAATTTATCTCCATTTCTCTTATATATGAGCTATAGATTGGCCAATCTGGAATAGGAGAGGACTCTTACTTCTTTTGTTCTACCTAGAAGAGTCCTATTAAAACCACTTATGCGCCTTCACTTTTTTGGAAGCCAGTTTTGGAGTCACTGTGGACATATTCCAATTATCTGGAAGATAATCCCAAGTTGGCTACTTACTCTCTGTGCCTTAGTTTCCTCATCTGTAAGTGGAAATAATAGTTGTACATACTGCATGGAGTTGTGTGGGGTTCTTTTTTTTGAGAATTACATGAAAAACACTGCCTAGGGCTGGGCGCAGTGGCTCACAACAATAATTTCAGCACTTTGGGAGGCTGAGGCAGGTGGATTGCTTGAGCTCAGGAGTTCAAGGCCAGGCTGGGCAACACGACTAAACCCTGTCTCGACCAAAAAAAAAAAAAATGCAAAAGTTAACTGGGTGTGGTGGCAAGCGCCTATAGTCCCAGCTACTTGGGAGGTGGAGGTGGGAGGATTGCTTGAACCTGGGAGACGGAGGTTGCAGTGATCAGAGATCATGCCAGTGCACTCCAGCCTGGGCAACAGACAAGAGTCAGACCATCTCAAAAAACAATTTTTCCCTCTCCCTCTCCGTCTCCTTCTCCCTCCCCCTCTCCCCCTCTCCCCCTCTCCCTCTCCCTTCTTTCTTCGGTCTCCCTCTGTTGCCAAGGCTGGACTGTACTGCCGTGATCTCAGCTCGCTGCAACCTCCCCGCCTCGGGCTCCCGTGATTCTTCTGCCTAGGCCTGCTGAGTGCCTGGGGTTGCAGGCACGCGCTGCCATGCCTGACTGGTTTTTGTATTTTTGGTGGAGATGGGGTTTTGCCATGTTGACCGGGCTGGTCTCCAGCTCCTGACCTGGAGTGATCTGCCTGCCTTGGCCTCCTGAGGTGCTGGGATTGCAGACAGAGTCTCGCTCACTCAATGCTCAATGTTGCCCAGGCTGGAGTGCAGTGGCATGATCTCGGCTCACTACAACCTCCACCTCCCAGCCGCCTGCCTTGGCCTCCCAAAGTGCTAAGATTATAGCCTCTGCCTGGCCGCCACCCCGTCTAGGAAGTGAGGAGCATCTCTGCATGGCCGCCCATCGTCTGGGATGTGAGGAGCCCCACTGCCTGGCCATCCCATCTGGGAAGTGAGGAGCGCCTCTGCCCAGCAGCCCCGTCTGGGAGGTGAGGAGCGCCTCTGCCCGGCCGCCACCCTGTCTGGGAAGTGAGGAGCGCTTCTGCCCGGCTGCCCCGTCTGGGAAGTGGGGAGCGCCTCTGCCCGGCCGCCACCCTGTCTGGGAAGTGAGGAGCGCCTCTGCCCGGCTGCCCCGTCTGGGAAGTGGGGAGCGCCTCTGCCCGGCCACCACCCTGTCTGGGAAGTGAGGAGCACCTCTGCCCAGCCGCCTCGTCTGGGAAGTGAGGAGCGCCTCTGCCTGGCCGCTGTGCAATCTTCCAAGTGTGAAGTGACAGCCTTTCTGCACGTGTACCCAACAGCTCCGAAGAGACAACGACCATCGAGAACGGGCCATGATGACGATGGTGGTTTTGTCGAATAGAAAAGGGGGAAATGTGGGGAAAAGAAAGAGAGATCAGATTGTTATTGTGTCTGTGTAGAAAGAAGTAGACATAGGAGACTCCATTTTGTTCTGTACTAAGAAAAATTCTTCTGCCTTGGGATGCTGTTAATCTATAACCTTACCCCCAACCCCGTGCTCTCTGAAACATGTGCTGTGTCAACTCAGGGTTAAATGGATTAAGGGCGGTGCAAGATGTGCTTTGTTAAACAGATGCTTGAAGGCAGCATGCTCCTTAAGAGTCATCACCACTCCCTAATCTCAAGTACCCAGGGACACAAACACTGTGGAAGGCCGCAGGGACCTCTGCCTAGGAAAACCAGAGACCTTTGTTCACGTGTTTATCTGCTGACCTTCTCTCCACTATTATCCTATGACCCTGCCACATCCCCCTCTCCAAGAAACACCCAAGAACGATCAATAAATACTAAAAAAAAAACAAAAACAAAAACCAAAAAAACAATTTTTTTAACTTAAAAAAACCTGCTGCCTAGTATACAGAAGGAGATCCATAAGCATTAGCCTTTAATACTGTCACATGTATTCTAACAAGTTCTCCCCATCCTGTATTTAGACAGTTTGTTTTTTTTTACTTTAAAGAGAACAGACGGTACAGACAGGAAACAAAGAAACCGACTGTGGTCTGCTTTTAGCCAGTGAGAGAGAAGTAAACTAAAACATATGTCTAAATGCTGATGGGCAAAGGAAGGTAGGCCTTTGGGCACTCTCTCTGGATGGTGGCCTTTATCTCTAGCCTATGCCTTCCTTATTGGGTTATACTCGTTCCTTCTCTTTAAATATCCTGCACCCTGTGTTAGGCCTTCCTGGTGGTAACTGCAGGCAGTGATCATGATAAAGTCAAGTCATCTCCTTCGAGTTTAGCATCCTCTGGTTGCCACTCTGCATTGCTTGAACATAGGCTCAGGGGACAGTACTCTGGGGTTCTGCCCCAACCACCTTAGTCTGGTTTATACTCAGCTGCCCAACAGCTGCCAAAAGCATGAGTCTCACCCCTGTGCCCTTTGTGAACTGCAGGCAAGTATTCATGTTTTCTGTAAGTCAACACCACCAGGCTTCCCTGTGATTTTGATTCTATGGGTAGATAGTGCTAATGAGTGTGAGGATTTCTGAAACTAATAGTTCATCTCCCAAATTACTAAAAAACTAAAGCATACCACACACCTACGAGAATGGCCAAAATCTAAGACACCAAATGCTGGCAAGGGCGTGGAGTGACGGGAACTCTCACTCGTTGCTGGAGGGAATGTGAAGTTGTACAGCCATTTTGGAAGACAGTTTATAGTTTCTTACAAAACCAGACATATTCTTACCATACAATTCAGCAATTGTGCTTTTTGGCATGTACCCAAATGAACTGAAAACTCATATCCATACAAAACCCTGCACATGGACATTTATAGCAACTGTATAATTACCCAAACGTGGAAGCCACCAAGATGTCCCTCAGTAAGTGAATGGATAAACTGTGGTAAATCTAGACAATGGAATGTTATTCAGCACTAAAAAGAAATTAGCTATCAAGCCATGAAAAAAACAGAGAAGAACCTTAAATGCACATTACTGAGTGAAAGCCAGTCTGAAAAGGCCACATGCTCTATGGTTCCAACTATGTGACCTTCTGGAAAAGGCAAAACTATGGAGACAGTGGTTGCCAGTGGGGTGGGAGGAGGAGAGATGAACAGGAGGAACCTAGGGGAGTTTTAGGGCAATGAAACTATTCTGTACATTACTCTGAAGGAGGATTCACATCATTATACATCTGTTCAAACCCATAGAATGTGTAACAGCAGAGTGACTCTTAATGTAAACTATGGACTTTGGGTCAAAATGCCGTGTCAGTGTGGGTTCATCAATTGTATCACATGAACTGCTGTAGTGGGGAATGCTGTTAGCAGGTGAGGTTGTGAGTATGTAGGATCAGGGGCTATATGGGAATTCTCTACCTTTCATTCAATTTTGCTATGAGTCTAAAACTGCTCTATAAATAAAGTTTATTAATTAAAAACAAACCCACAAATACCTAAAGCATATGTTGACCAGCTCCCTTTCCCTCCACAGAGCTAGGATGCCTCATTCCCCAGTGCTTCCCCTGTCCTGGAAGTGCAGTGATGAGAACTGGTTTCAAAAAAAAAAAAAAAGAGGAGAGGGGAGGAGAGATGGGAAGGGGAGGAGAGGGGAGGGATGGGGGGAGGGGGAAGGAAGGAGAGAGGAGGGAGGGGGAGGAGAAAGGAGAGGAGGGGAGGGAAAGGGGGGAGGGAAGAGAGAAAGGAAAAAGCGAGAAAAGACCATACTGCAATTTGAAGGTTAAGTTCCATGTGCCTGAATCCAGAGGAGCGTGCATCAGGTTTTGCAGGAACCCTGTACTTGGTTCCGGTTCTGACTATGCCACAAACCAGTTACGTGACCTTGGGCAAGTCCCTTTTTCATCAGTTTCCTCATCTCTAAACTAAGCGAGTTGTGATAAAATCCCTTCCCTCCTCCATCTGGCTGTGATTCAGCCTCCTAACAACAGAATGGGTGTGGGCGAACCTGCTCTTGGCCAGCAGGTGGCAGCACTGGCTCCTTACTGTGGCTGCAGCCAAACGAACCATTCCTGGTCACGCTCTGGAGGCTTTTGTCTTCAGACCTGCAGCCTCAGCACTTAGCACCACTGCGGCGCCCCTCGTTACCTACAGGAAGCTTCCAGCATGACATCCTCGGGGCATCCTGGATAGAATTATTTTTAGGAGAAGGCAGACATAAATAATCCACGAAGGCTTCAGGAACAGGAATGAAAAAGTGATGATCTTTTTAAAATATTTATTTCTGTCACAACCCCCATGCCTGTCAACTCAAGGGTAAAGGTATTGTTCTCATTCTCTATTTCTCGCACTAAGACCAGTGTGCCTGCACAAACAGTAAGTCTTCAGAAAGTGTAAATTAATAAGTTCATTAAATAATATTTTCTTTTCTTTTTGAGATGGAGTTTCGCTCTTTTTGCCCAGGCTGGAGTGCAATGGTGTGATCTCGGCTCACCACAACCTCTGCATCCCAGGTTCAAATGATTCTCCTGCCTTAGCCTCCTGAGTAGCTGGGATTACAGGCGTGTGCCACCACGCCCAGTTAATTTTTGTATTTTTAGTAGAGACAGTGTTTCACCGTGTTGGCCAGGCTGGTCTCCAACTCCTGACCGCAGGTAATCCGCCCGCCTTGGCCTCCCAAAGTGTTAGGATTACAGGCATAAGCCACTGCACCTGGCCAATAATATTTTCATTTGATCATTTCAAGCTAATTCTTACAGACTACCTTAGAAGTAGAAACCTAATATTTATTGAATGAGTAAACAATATGGAGGTAAACAAAAATTACTTAACATCAACTATACTAATCAGGCTCTGCACTAGGGTTACAATGAGAAGTAAGAAACACTCTGCATGGTGGTTACCGATGTGGGCCTGGGACCACACTGGACTGGATCCAGTTGCTACTTCTTTGTGTCCTTGGGTAAGTTATTTAACCTGTTTGTGCTTTCTTTCCCTTGTTTGTAAAATGGGGATAATAACAGTATCCACCTCATAAGGTTGTTGTGGGTTAAGGGTGATAAGGTTTGGCTCTGTGTCCCCACCCAACTCTCATCTCGAGTTGTGATCCTCAGTGTTGGAGAAGAGGCCGGTGAGAGGTGATTGGATCATGGGGGCAGGTTTCCCCCATGCTGTTCTCATGGTAGTGAGTTCTCACGAGATCTGATGGTTTAAAAATGTTTGGCACTTCCACCCTCACTCTCTCTCTCCTGGTCTTCCATGGTAAGAAGGTACTTGCTTCTCCTTCGACCATTGTAAGTTTCCTGAGGCCTCCCAGTCACGCTTCCTATTAACCCTGTGGAATTGTGAGTCAATTAAACCTCTTTTGTTCTGAAATTACCTCGTCTCAGGTAGTTTTTAATAGCAGTGTGAGAATGGATTAATACAACAGGTAAAGCACTCAGAATTCCGCTGGGGGAACAGATCATTAAAACGCATAGCTATGAAGGGGCCCGGCATGCACCCTATCCTGGCTTTAGAAGGCTGGAGAAAGCTTCCTGAGAGAGGAAACAGGACTCAGCCAGGTGAAGAGCTTTACAGATTTGGGACACAGCGTTTGGTGCTGGAGGAGTTTTGGAGCCTGGGTCCTCCCACTTGGTCTGGCTGGAGTTCTCCTCAGCAGGGTGACATGTGTGTGATGACTAGAGGGCGGGCAGGAGCTGCATGCCCTCAGGCCTTATGGGGCAGGTGGTAGAGTTTGAGACCTTATCCTGCCAGCAGTAGGAGGCACTGAATGACTTTCCCAAGGAAGTGCATGGACCATATTTCCGTTTTAGAAAGACCATCACTCTTGGCCAGGCATGGTGACTCACATGTATAACCCCAGCATTTGGGAGGCTGAGGCAGAAGGATTGCTTGAGTCCAGGAGTTAGTGACCAGTGTGGACAACATAGTGAGGCCCCATCTCTTTCATTAAAAAAAAAAAGTAGGGTCGGGTGTGGTGGCTTACGCCTGTAATCCCAGTACTTTGGGAGCCGAGGCAGGTGGATCACTTGAGGTCAGGAGTTCAAGACCAGCCTGGCCTACATTGTGAAACCGTCTCTACTAAAAATACAAAAAAAAAAAATTAGCCGGCTGTGGTGACACACACCTGTTATCCCAGCTACTTGGGAGCCAGAATTACTTGAACCCGGGAGGCCGAGGTTGCAGTGAGCTGAGATTGTGCCACTGCCCTCCTGCCTGGGCGACGGAGCGAGACTTTGTCAAAAAAAAAAAAAAAAAGAAAAGTAGAAGGACCACCATTCTTTATCCAGAATGGGTTAGAAGACAGCTGAGTCAAGATGAAGACTGGGAGATAGTTGCTGTTGCAAGCTTGGAATTAGGGTGGCCTGCAAGAAAGAAGTATCAGTGGAGACAGAGATGAAGGCGTTGATTTGACAGATAATGGAGGAAGAACATATTGAAATCAGAGGTGGACTTTTTAAGGAGGATGCTCAAAATTAACAAACACATTCAGAGAGGCTAAGTAAACTAAGGA
The DNA here is from genome assembly GCF_000001405.40 of Homo sapiens. Taxonomy (NCBI): domain Eukaryota; kingdom Metazoa; phylum Chordata; class Mammalia; order Primates; family Hominidae; genus Homo; species Homo sapiens. The sequence continues at coordinate 167,801,029 of NC_000001.11, read as the reverse complement.
CTGAACAATTTCAAGCATTTGCATGGTTCTCGTTACTTGCTAAATGGACTGTTATGTTTGTCCCTCCTGCTGCACTCCGAACCCCAACCTTTCCCCGGTTGTCCGCTCATGACGTTTCCTATCTGTTAATGGTACCAGCCCCTGCGGTCAAGACTCCTCCAATCCCAGAGCCAGTCATATTTTGCCAATGCTCTTGAACATCTTCCTACATATTTCTTACACCCCTCCTATCCTCTTATTCCCATTGCTGCTGAAAAACCATTTCCTTCATCTCTGACTGAGCTCTGGAATGGCCACATAATTAAGTGGCCTCCTGATTTCAAATTTCCATCTGATTTCAGATTTTCAGCCATTGGTAGGATAAGCTTGCTAAAATACCAATCCCCATTTATCACTCTACTTCAAATCTGGCCTTCAGGATACATACTGATTTCTTAGCCTGGAAGGTGGGCTTTTAAGGTCTGGCTCAACCCAAATCCCCATACTGCAACCACATTGGCCCCACTCTCCTACCCTGAACCCTTGTGACTCGTTGCTCCAGCTGGAATGTCTGTGCCAGAGTCTTTCACATGCTTCTGCCTCAAAGCGCCTGCTTCTGACTGCTATGGGTTGGGTTTATCAGTTGGTCCCTGTTTTTCCCCCAGGCTCTTCCAGGACTGCTGCTGTTTGGGGCTGTCTCCTCTTTGAGCTCATCAATGGCAGGGATTCTGTTGCTCTTATCTTTATTTCTAATTTATTTTTAGTTTTTGGAGACAGGGTCTCGTTTTGTCTGAAGTGCAGCGGCACAATGATTATAGCTTACTGCAGCCTTGACCTCCCAGGCTCAAGTGATCCTCCCATCTTACCCTCCCGCCCTTGCCCCCAGCCCCCACCACCCACTATCCCTGAGTAGCTGGGGCTAATTTTTAAATTCTTTCTAGAGATAGAGGCCTCATTATGTAGCCCAGGTTGGTCTCAAACTCCTGGGCTCAAGCAATCCTCCCACTTCGGCTTCTCAAAGTGCTGGGATTACAGGCGTGAGCCATCACGCCCAGCCAGCCCTCATCTTTATATCCCAGAACTTGGCATAAGGTCAAAGCTTAGAAGACCTTCAGCAAGCTCTATCTTGTTCTCAGATGCATTGTAGCACTTTGCAATGTGTGGGACATCATAGGCTATAAATTATATTGAGTGAGTAAAGAGTGTATGCTGTCTATCCACGAGAAAGTGTCAGCCACCAGACCACTGCTGTGGGGGGTACCCCCATCCCCACCATGAAAAAAAAAAGGCTATGGAGGATTCTGAGCTTGTGTGCATATAACCTGACACAACTATCTAAAACGTTGCCAACCCCTGTGTGGTCTGCACCAGTGTCATCCAATAGAACTTTCTGCAATGAAGGAAATGTTCTGTATCTGCACTGATCAATATGGTAGTCACAAGACACACATGTAGCCACTGAACACTTGCAGTATGGTAATGTGACTAGAGATATAAATTTTAAATGTTATTAATTTTAATTAAGTTTAGCTGGGTGCGGTGGCTCATGCCTGTAATCCCAGCACTTTTTTTTTTTTTTTTTTTTTTTGAGATGGGGTCTCTCTCAGTCACCCAGGCTTCAGTGCAGTGGCACAATCACGGCTCACTATAGCCTCCGCTTCCTGGGCTGAAGCAGCCCCCCCACCTGAGCATCCTGAGCAGTTGGGACTACAGGCATGTGCCACCACACCCGGCTATTTTTTTATGTATTTTTTTTTGTAGAGACAGGGTATCACTGTGGCAAGCCAGGTCTCACTAACGCAGGCCTCCATTACAACTGTCCCAGCTCTGACTGAGTAGCTAGGTTAAACATTAAAGCTGATTGAGCCAGTGCCCTTATACAAAGGGCGGAATGTAACAAAGAGCCCACCAAGAGTTGTGCCTAGGCTTTTCCTGGGCCTTGAAGCATGACAAGATAATGAAGGAATTCTTAACAGGACCCTTTTACGATTAAACAAGTTTTATTGGGGGTCTGAAGAAACTCCCCAGGCCTCCACAAACAAGTTTACTGGGATCTAAAGGAACTCCCCAAACCTTTATGATTTAACAGGAGACAAGATAAGGGTAATCACCCCAGCACCTACACCTATTTACATTAAGTAAATTTACTGAGGCTCCAGAAGAAGGTCTTCAGGACTCAGACCTTAGTCATAGATTAAAAGAAGTTAATCACTTATGTCTTTAGATTAATGCACACTTACACACAGACATATAGCTTGAAGGTATATACACTCTGAAAAACTTCGTAATTTTGAGTTGTTCTGGCAATAATTTCCAGGCCTTCTCCCTGTAACTGGTTACAGAAATAAAAACTCTCTTCCTCCCCAGTTCATCTGCATCTCATTATTGGGCTGCGAGACATAGCAGCCTGACCCTCAGTTTGGTTTGAGAACATCACCATGTTGCCAAGGCTAATCCCAGCACTTTAGGACATTGAGGCAGGAGGACTGATTGAGCCCAGAAGCTCAAGACCAGCCTGGGCAACAGAGCAAGATCCAGTCTCTACAAAAAATTAATTAAAAAAAAATTAGTCAGGTGTGGTGGCATGCATCTGTAGTCCCAGCTCTCAGGAGGCTGAGGCGGGAGGACTGCTCGAACCCAGGAGTTTGAGGCTGTAGTGAGCTGTGATTGCACCATTGCACTCAAGCCTGGGCAACAGAGTGAGGCCCCATCTCTTTCATTAAAAAAAAAAAGTAGGGTCGGGTGTGGTGGCTCATGCCTGTAATCCCAGTACTTTGGGAGGCCGAGGCAGGTGGATCACTTGAGGTCAGGAGTTCAAGACCAGCCTGGTCAACGTGGTGAAACCCCATCTCTACTAAAAATACAAAAAATTAGCCGGGCGTGGCGGCACACACCTGTAGTCCCAGCTACTCGGGAGGCTGAGAGGGGAGAATCACTTGAACCCAGGAGGTGGAGGTTGCAGTGAGCCGAGATCGTGCCATTGTACTCCAGCCTGGGTGACAGAGCGAGACTCCATCTCAAAAAAAAAAAAAAAGAATGTGGAACATTTTACAAAACCTTGTCCAAGATCTTGCCGGCCCAGCAGAATCCCCTGTCTAAAACAAACAAACAAACAAACAAAATTAAATGGCCACATGTAGCCAGTGGCTGCCATGTAGTACAGTGTAGGTCTGTGCCTATCTCCATTAACCTTAACATGCCAAAACAAAGCCACCGAAGGTTGAACTGAGATGTTTCTATAGCACAGAATGATATCAACTTGGATGAGAAGAGAGGTACTAATATATAAGAGAAAATATATCAGGCTGGAGAGGCAAACCCTTTTATCAATATGTAGTTATCCAATTCTTGTGATTCCAGGATATCAATTTAGTGCTTAGTAACAGATTAGATATTAGTCTAATGCACAGGTACTACATTGGCTAAGCTGCTCCTATTTCTCTATCCTCCTTCATATGACCTCTCTGCCTCTACCAGAAGAACCTGCATTTTGCCGTGACTTTAATGGCATGCCTACTGATGGGAGGAGGAGGTGTGATGGGTAGCCATAGAACTACAATCTAAAAGCTTGAAATTAATTTGAATCAACACAATTTACAATAGAAACCACAAATTTTTTACTTTCTCTTATGGTATTTTTTAGAGAGGATATGGAAGAAGGCCAGTTATTTCCAGCCAAGTACAAGCTCTCCTCCTAAGTTTATTTCATGTATCTCCCTCGGGTATTTTTCTCTCTTGCTCAACCTCAATTAGTCAGCATTAAATGATTACCACGACCTCCTCTCCAAGAGCCTGGTGTGTCAGAGGGACTCAGGCAGCACTCAGCAGTGTGATCTCCTTGCCAGTGAGGCAGTGTTGTTTCATCTTCCTGTAACCCCATGAGCTCAGTTCAGCTTCCTTGGCTGCAGGACACTGAGCAGTGTGGGACTTGCTGGCTGCTGGGAACTGTGTGTTCCACAGATGCTTGACATTCTTGGGACCCAGGTACTTGATCAAGCTTTTCAGAAAGTTTTCCCCTGCTGAGGCAACCTTCTTCAGGAATAGCTTACAAGTAAAAGACTAAGGCTTTTTCTCAGATAGGAACATCCAGACGCGTTATAGACAAACATCTGGGATTCTGCTGGGCCGGCAAGATCATGGACGAGATTTTGTAAAATGTTCCACATTCTTTTTTTTTTTTTTTTTTTTTTTTTTGAGACGGAGTCTCGCTTGTTGCCCAGGCTGGAGTACAATGGCACGATCTCAGCTCACTGCAACCTCCACCTCCTGGGTTCAAGTGATTCTCCCCTTCTCCCCGCTCAGCCTCCCGAGTAGCTGGGACTACAGGAGCATGCCACCGCCCCCGGCTAATTTTTTGTATTTTTAGTAGAGATGGGGTTTCACCATGTTGACCAGGCTGGTCTTTAACTCCTGACCTCAAGTGATCCGCCTGCCTCGGCCTCCCAAATTGTTGGGATTACAGGCATGAGCCACTGCACCCGGCCAAATGTTCCACATTCCTATGAATCTATTGTACCTTCTAAGAGATTCCCTACAAAATATATTTAAAAGTTCTTTCTTTTAAAAGAAACTTTGTAATTTAAAAAATAATTCTATTCAAAGGCAGAGAAAGAACCAACAATGTACTCTAGTATTGAAATTCAGTTTCCTTGGAGTCCTTATCACAGAATGAGAAACCTCAGGCCTTAAGATGGTTTTTAGCTGTTCTATCCCCCGCTCCCATAGCAGAGCAGTGACTCAGGTATAAATACCTGAAATCATTTAATGCCCTGAAGGGCAAAGTAACCAGAATTTTGTCAGCCCCACAGCACGGAGGGCAAGGCTTGAAAGCAAATCTGCACCACATCCTCTTCACAGAGGTAGGGAGATTTTAAAAGACAAACAAACAAACAAACCCAGCCCTTCCTTATATTCTGCAACACTAAAGGCCAGCTCCACAAAGGCCACAGTGAAGAAATGGATGGACAAACAAATCCAAAAGCCTGAGCCAAGAAGGGACAATAGCTTCACATCCTGTTTGCAGGAGGAAATGGAAGCTGGAAGCAGCAGTTCCCTACGGACCCCTTTGGGCTTTACGTCTATGTTTTCTTCTTTGCAAACACAGCCAGGTCTCCCGTGGATTCTAGAGCTCCCTCCTGCCTTCCACTCCCAGTTGTTTTTCTAACAACCCAAGACTCAGTCAAACTTGAGAGCAGCCAGTGTGCTCTGTGGCCAGCTCCTGATGGCTTTAGGAAGGATGTGAGGAGGGCAGGGGAGCTTGTGAGCCACTTTCATCGCTCTCAGATATTAGATCCCATTTCCAAGGCCAAGGACGTGACTGATTCTGTGTTGCTTCTCTGAGCCTGCAAATTATTTGGCTTTTCTTCCTTAATAGCTCATGAAGGCAAATGACAATTACAGCACTACTTGTAATAGCCAATAACAAAACAACTGGAAACAACCTATCCAGAAGATCAGAAATGGTTTAAAATGCAAAGGCTGGCTGCGGTGGCTTATGCCTGTAATCCCAGCACTTTGGGAGACCGAGGTGGGCGGATCACCTTAAGTTGGGAGTTTGAGACCAGCCTGACCAACATGGAGAAACCCTGTCTCTACTAAAAATACCAAATTAGCAGGGCATGGTGACGCATGCCTGTAATCCCAGCTTGGGAGGCTGAGGCAGGAGAATCGCTTGAACTTGGGAGGTGGAGGTTGTGGTGAGCTGAGATCACGCCATTGCACTCCAGCCTGGGCAACAAGAGTGAAACTCTGTTTAAAATAGAAAGAAAAAAAGAAATGGTTTAAAATATTCCGGCGCATCTACAAAAGACAAAGTCCTGCAGGTGCTATTATCTAATGACCTAGTTCTTCATGCTGAAACTTCTCTGCCATAATGCTAAGGGAAGAAAGCAAACTGCAGAGCACCATGATCCCATTTTGGGTTTAAAAATAGGCAAAAAAAAAAAAAAAAAAAAAACTTTACCAGAACTATGTTTGGATCCTGACTGGAAGAAACCACTTGTAAAATGCCATTTTTTAAGACAAGGGAAACTTGAATATTAACTGGGTAATAATATATAAAACCAAGGATTTTGTTTGTAAAAAATGTGTTTTAGGACAGGTTTTTGTTAAATGTGACAAGATATTGTGATTATGTAAGAAAATGTCCACATTTTTAAAAGATGCACAGTGAAGAATGTAGGGGTGCACTTACATGATTTTGGGATTTGTTTTAAAATAATTCAGAAAAGAGGAAAAAAGAAAAAAGGGGCTGGATAAAATAAGTATTGAAGATAATAAGTGTATGCAGGTTGATTTTACTATTCTCTCTTCTTTTGTATATGTTTACATTTTTCTTTTTTTGCCATCTCACCAATTTAATAAAAAGCAGAAAATTCAATCAATCATCAGTCAATCTTTTCATTTCCAAAAGGATCAAATAACCTATGGGGCATTAATAGGATCTATTCTTTTAATGTCTTCAAGGAACAACCAGAACGTTTTAAGCAATTTTCAGTATGATGATACAAATAATTGAAACAATTATCTTTCAAGTTTCCTGTCTAACTGGGTATTTCAAACAAAAATGCTAATATTGCTGAAGTGAGTTGATACATGCTCTGAAATCCCCACATCACTTGACACCTCTGGGAAATTTAAGTGGCCTTCATATTTCAAGCTCATTAATACCAGTGGAAATCATACCTGCAATAAGAGAGATGAACTTTCAGCACATAGGAAGCTGCCTTTCCATCACTGATGAACAGGGTGTAACAGAAAGGTGACTCCAGGCTGTATGTGAGTCGTAATTCCTGTCATGTAGTTTTGTTACACTCAGCCAGTCATATACTTTTATTTTCACCTCTTTTGGGCAACAATAGGAATTTGTGAAATGGTTTTTGTGGAGTCAAGAGTAAGTCTGTGGTTGGCATTATGAATCTCTGATGCCATGGCCAGAATCTCTGCCTACCTACTTTCTCTATCTAAATCAGGACACATCTATTATTGTATCACTGGAAAAAACTGAGACAGATCATAGAGCTGAACATAATCCAAGATACACATAAAGCTATGAGTAAAGTTAATGTACAAAGTGTATATGGAGTGTACAATCTGTGTACAGTGGTAGAAAGTGACCCACAAATTTGGCTAGGACCTAGAGAATAGCAAAAGCAAAGAGACAAATACAATCAGTGACAAGTCAGTGCACATGACTAGTTTGAAACAAAATATTCATAAGAAACAGTTTTCCTGGTGTATTACTTGTTTTCACGCTGCTATAAAAGATACCTGGGACTGAAGGCCAGGTGTGGTGGCTCACGCCTGTAATCCCAGCACTTTGGGAGGCCAAGGCGGGCAGATCACCTGAGGTCAGGAGTTCGAGACCAGCCTGGCCAACATGGTGAAACCCTATCTCCGCTACAATACAAAAAAAAATTAGCCGGGAATGGTGGCGCATGCCTGTAATCCCAGCTACCCAGGAGGCTGAGGCAGGGGAATCGCTTGAACCCAGGAGGTGGAGGTTGCAGTGAGCCGAGATCGTGCTACTACACTCCAGCCTGGGCGACAGAGTGAGACTCCATCTCAAAAAACAAACAAACAAACAAAAAACAAACAAAAACAAAACCCCAAGACTGGGTAATTTATGAAGAAAAGAGGTTTAATTGGCTCACCGTTCTGCAGGTTACACAGGAAGCATAGCGTCTTTGGCTTCTGGTGAGGCCCCAGAAAGCTTCCAAATATGGCGGAAGGCAAAGGGGTAGTGAGGCTTCTCATGAGGCGTCTCACGTGGCGGGAGGAGGAGCGAGAGAGCAGAGTGGGAGGGTGCTGCATACTTTTAAACAAACAGGTCCCATGAGAACTCACAATCACGAGAACAGTACCAAGGAGGACGGTGCTAAACCATTCATTAGAAATCTACCCACTGTGATCCAATCACCTCCCACCAGGCCTCACCTCCAATGCTGGGTATCACAATTCGACAGATTTAGGCTGCGACACAGATCTCAACCATATCATCTGGTATTAAATCCAGAGAGATATTTGTGCTGTGGGTCTTTATAACATTGAAAAATGTATGACAGGGAATAACGTTCTCAAAGCCATGCTGGCAGTAAAGTACAATAAGTAGCTAGTTTCCTAGGACTCTTTTTTATGACATACTTCAATGTAGGCTGATAGAATTATGTCAAAGGGGCTGGGCCTAGTGGCTCACACCGGTAATCCCAGCATTTTGGGAGACTGAGGCGGGCATCTCTACTAAAAATACAAAAAATTAGCCGGGTGTGGTGGCGCGTGCCTGTAATGCCAGCTACTGGGGAGGCTGAGGTGGGAGAATCGCTGGAACCTAGGAGGTGGAGGTTGCAGTGAGGCAAGATCATGCCACTGCACTCCAGCCTGGATGACAGAGCAAGACTGTCTCAAAAAAAAATTTTTTTCAAATTATATCAAAGGGTAATTTCATTAAAGTAATTCTACAAAAAAACAAAATATATTGAAATTGTTCATACAATATCTTGACTATGCAAGAGGAAAGTGCAGGGGAGAACCCGCCATAAAAGCAGATGGTTGGCTCCTACCACCAGCTCTACCAATACCACAGATGCCACTTTCCTCCCCGTGGCTGCTCCCTCGCCTTTCCTGCACAGTGGGAGGATGAAGTCAGTGGTTCCCCAGTCCAGTTAGCACAGGAACTACCCAGAGGGGTCAGAAGGGAGCCAACTGGGGTGAGAGAGTATCTGAGTTTCCTCTAAACACTGCTCAACTCAGCTCCCTCAGGGGTGGAAGCTGCTCTCATAAATAAAAAGTCCATCTTTGGTTGGCAAGGCCCCTATGTAGCTTGGAAACCAGAGCCCCAGCAGGTGGATGCCCTCCGACACTTAGTGCTGACTTGGAAGGAATTGCAGAGATGACAAAAATGTGATTCCATCACTCACTGCTGCCCTTGTGTGGTGAAGGAAGCATCCCTTTTCTTTTTGTCACATCACGCAAGATGGATGCTGTTCACATGTGAGAATTACTCCCAGGGGAGTTCCTGCCAGCTGTAACTCATCTTCTCCCACTCAAGAACGCATTAGGTTTTGCAAGCCCAAAGTTATGCAAGGCAGGGGCTCATTGTGAATCCATGGTAATTTATAAAATTACTAAGTCACTGCGAAGCCTCAATGTTTTATTAGTAACACATTATTTGTAACATAGTTCTCAACAAATTAAGTCACCACATTGTCTTCCAGACTGAGGTTAAAGCTCTCAGACATCTGTGCCTACCACCTAGACTACACTACCCTCTCAAGTTCCTAAGGGACTCTCTAACCAGCTCCTAAGGGACTGGGAGAAAACTGCAACTGCATTTCAGCACATTTATTTGAGTAAGGAAGCAGTTTGGTACTTCCTTTTGGTGTGAGAGGCCACAGGGCATAGTGGTTAGGAACAAGGCTGTGGATCAAACAGCGGCCCCAGGCCCAGCCCCTCTTCTCTGTTCCTTTATTAGCTAAGTGGCCCTGGGTAAGCCATATAATCTTTCAAACAATGGGATTAAGATTAGTACAATTACTGTTAACTCACAGAAATAATAGAGAAAGAAATGCAAAGTGCCTGGCTCACACCAAGTATTTGGTAACTACTAGTTACTTCCATTCATGTCACCTGTCACCTCCACCCTGTGGCAAGCTCCTTGAGGAGCTTTGTCTTGTTTTGTTTCCTTATGCTTAGCACAGTGCTTGGCACAGGATTGTTCTCAGTGTAGGTTGCTGAATGGATGAATGCTTCCACCTACTCATCCATCCACGTAACATGTATTGAGCAGCTAAGTGCCAGGTGCTGTTCCCTTTACTGCAGACGGAGCAGTGAACAAAACAGCAAGGTTCTGGTCTCTTGTTAACTATGTTCTAATGCGGGAGAACAGACAAGTGTGTACTGGGAAAGAGGGAGAGAAATAGAGTAACTAGAGCAGAACTGAGGGGGCCAGGAAGGCTGAGGCGGTGGGGTGGGGGGCTTGCTCTTTTATATATCACAGAAGGTCTCCCTGAGGAGGTAACATTTGAGCAGAGGCTTAAAGGAAGTCAGAGAGCAAACCACAGGAATATTGGCAGAAGGCATGCTTCAGGCCCAGGGAACAGCATGTGCAAAGGCCCAGAAGCAGGCACACGGACGGCATTTTTGAAGAAAAGAAGGCAGGTGTAGCTGGAATGATATGAGTGAAAGGCATATCTCTTTTTCTATTCTGGTCAAAATGAGCACACAACACAATTCAGAAATTGAAAAAGATGTATTAAAATATTCACAAAAATACAACTGAAGATCAAAAAATAATAATGAGCTTGATGGTTTTTCCCTAGCTGATATATTTCCATTGAAAAACTAGAGATAGTTTGAAATTTCAATCTCTAAGTAATGCCTTTTGAGTGCTCCCATACAGAATTAGCGCATAATTTTAAGACGACCCTGTTTGCCAGGACGAAGACATGGAGAGGGCAGATCTGCCCTTTAGGCAACCTTAGTTCGTTATCTGCAACCAGGAAAGGAGTGCTGAGGCACAGGGAAAAGGGGAGCCAAAAGGGCTGCAGGGGTGGGTGTGCAGGGCTTGGGAAGAGGTCCTGCCCTGAGAGGCTCATCTCAGTGTGAGCAGCTTCCTTCAGGGAAACCTGTCCTGGCAGAGCACCATGCTGGCAGCTGCCCTTGCCTGGGGGGAAGGTTGGTGAGAACTGGTGAGGATTCTCTGCCAGAATGCCAGGGCACTGACAGAGTTTGAGGTGTCTGGTTGGGCAGGAGGCCAAGAAGTCGGGCTGGGGAAGGGAGTGGTAAGGGAGGAACAGGCCTCCAGGTGTCATTCGAGTGAGTGGCCCCCACAGCACCAGCTTCACCAACACATGGTCCCGGCACCGCAAGAAGAAGTGAAGGCTCTTGCTCTCAGGGAGCTCCGAAATGTTTCATTTATTCACAGGAACTGTTGAGAAAGCAGTGAAAAAACAATGCCCCTTTTCTCTGTAAAAAACGACTGTAAGGAAACATGACACAGGCCTGTCTACAATGTGTGTCCTCTGTACCTCAAGCACAGCCCTGGTCAGCTATGTGGTTTTCATGGTGGCAAAGGCTCACCAGGAGTCTCAGCTTGAAGGATGGTGACAATCTCAACACCCTTCCCCTCCAAACATAAGAGGCCTTCCAAAGGCTCCTATAGTTTTCAAAATAGATGCCCAAAAAGTTTTAGGATGCAAGGCAGAGTTGACCACTTTGTGGAAATGTCTCAGGGCCAGCACTGTGTGTCACTCTCTTGGGCTGGGCCTATGAACATGGAAGGCAGCAGGGCAGGCGTTTTTTTCTCCATTCCACACAGAACACAGAGCAGACGCTGCCCAGCTTCAGACATGTGTGGTGACCAAACCTGATCCCTGTTGACTCACACAGATGTGGCATGTAAGGTGGAGCGTTACAAGAATAACAAAAATAGCTCCTCAAAAAACAAAAGGCTTCATGTATGCAACAGCATTAGTTTTGAAGCTCATATGCCCTTTATCTTACCACCTTGTGCACACCTCAAAATCTCAATCCTGTTTTATTCCCTTTGTGAATTCTGTTGGAACTCAGCCTTCAAACATCCCCAGAAGATGACAAGATGAGAAGAAAAAGCAGCAGCTCATAATGGACTCCAAACTACAGGGAGAAAAAGTAACATTGCCCCTCACTCCCACTCACCCCAAACACGTTCTGCAGACCATCTAGACAGTAATTCTTTCCATAACTGTGGGCTTTCGAACAATTTTAAAAGGGGGGAAATTTAAAAAAAAATTCAGAAAATGGGAGAAATGACAACATAAGTGTTGAATGATCTTCACCACACTTTCCATTCCCAGTAAAAAGTAAAAACTCATAGATTTTAAGTGCGGTGGGGAGTAGTGAATAGGAGAAAACAAGTTTTAGGGAAGGACAGCCAAACTGTCTAATCTAGGCTCTCATTAACCTCAACAGTCTTTGAGGCACCATGAAGCTGTTATAAAGCCATGACTGATGCTGCCTCTTGCTGGAAGCATGACTGACGCTTTATAAAGAAGGTGATTCTTGCCAGCTGCAGTGGTGCAACTATAGTTCGTTCCAGCTACTCGGGAGGCTGAGGAGGGAGAATCACTTGAGCCCAAGAGTTCAAGGCTAGTCTGGGCAACATAGTGAGACTCTACCTCAAAAAAAAAAAAAAAAGCGAAAGAAGGTGATTCTCTAGAGAGCGAGCTCTGGGAGATTGGAGAGCGGCAACATAATGATACCATTTCTGCCTACTTAGAAGGAAAGAAACTCCTCTCCTTTAGCTGTATGGTGACTGTTATTTCAAGCAGAAAGGACATCAGCAAAGAATAAAACCGATACTTTTTACTCTCCACGTTACAAAAGTTCTCAAGCAAAGCTTGGATTTTCTACTTAATCAGTATTGATCCAACTGTGTCCAGAATGAAGTGACCTTCGGCATTTATCCTTTGCTAATCTTGCTATTATGAATCCAGAAATTGATATGACACATTTCAAGGGTGCAAACTTAAAGTAAGTCTACACAACATGTAAGGCTAACAATTGCCCCATATTTTAGTGAGAAAAACTTCAAAAAAACTTCTCAAATTGTTTTCAAGTGGCATAGCCAATGGGTATTTTTTAAAAGCGGCAGACAAATAAATGGTACTGATACTGTGCTAAAGGCCACCCTGGGTATGCTTCCATCATAGCATCTCCATCCTCCAACTACAGTAAATGCTAAGACTAATCAGTCTTAAGCCCTTAGATTAAAAGGCCATGTCTACTGGAAATACTACAGGATCTGCTATTGTCTCCATTAAGGCAAACCATTTCTAAATGATGGTGAAAGGAATGTTTCTGAAATCTCCCAATTGTAAATGACCTGAAAAGAAAGTACAAAAACAGCAAGACAATGGGTACATATGTAGAATCATACCATCTTTTCATCATGCAACACTGGCTCCTCATATCAGGATGACTAAATAGAATATTTATACATATCCTTTGTACACATCTTTCTCTCCCTCTGTGAGTACACGTGTACTTGTCCTTGCCTGGGTCTCCAAGGCTACATGTGGTAATGGGCTACATTTTCTGCACGAGAGTCCAGTTTGGTTTTGTTTCTTGCTGAGGATATGTTCTAGGTATTCTCTTAATTCTTTCGGATATCCGCATACACCACAGACTCTGACTTGTTAATCTTGTCACTGTGATGTCCGCCGGAGTGGTCTAACTGTGCATATATGACTGGGCCCTGGAAAAGGGAAGCAGAAGGATTAGAGGACTGAAAACGCTGGCGGTTCCTTCAGCTACAGGCATAGAAGCAATGATTAACGTGATCACATCAGGGTTCCAAAGCAAAGACTTCCCTCTTGAATGTCTTCAGGAAGACTTCTTATGGATGATACATCCAGGACTGACTTTGAAACAAGATTGGACATACGTTGACAATAGTTAAAGCAAGTACATGGGGCTTTGTTACATTATTCTTTCAAACCTTTTTGATGTTTGAAAATTTCTGTAATAATATATTCCTTCTTAGGAATATCTCTTATCTTAATAGCTATCACAGAATTCCTCAGCTCTTACAATTGGGGTAAGAGTCTTAAGGACTAAGATGGGAACTTCCACGCACCTGAGACCCACAGAAATCATGAGCTTCAGAATAATCAATCCATGCAAGAAACCAACATATTTGGTGCCACCCAAAGATACAATCAATTTGATCTGGTCACGTTATACAAATAGGTATAGTTTTAAACAAATAGTTTAAAAGCACTTCAAATATTCTTCAATACAACTACTTACAGCATAATTCTTTTAGTCTGAGCGTATTGTGACCAATACAAATATTGCTTCCTTGATTTTTAATATCAGATAACTGTTCTTCCTGTTTTAAAATAAAATTAAAAAGAAAAAACAAAAAGCCACAATCTACACAGATATAAAGAAAAACCCTAAATGGAGTAAAGTAGAAAAGATCCTCTTCTCAGCCTCAGCAGTAAGGAAGAGGTTACAATTCCAGGGAATTGTCAGGGTCCCATTCAGGAGAGCAAGGGAAGGTTGGGTGGCCTGGGGGCAGAGCGAATTCCCTAACTGTTGGGGGAAGAGGTCAGATAGGTGGCTGCATTTCATGACTCTTTCAGTCTAGACTCTTAAAATTGTAAACAACAACAAAATAGCCCTGGTTTTAAAAGAAAGATTTAATATTACCCAATGTCAACTTTTCTCCCAATCTAGGGGAACTCTCCTTGAGAAGTCTAATAACGTGCTTAAGCTTTCACCTTTGAAATCATAAGCTCAATAGCCAAAAGCACGTGGTTTAAAATAAACACACTTACCCTCATCCAGGAGCCCTAACAACCTGTGTCCTTAGTGTGTAACCTGGGGTTCTGTGGAGTTCAGCTACTCCCACATCTACAGAAGGGACAGGCCCAGTTGTAAGGGCTATACAATGGTGCATCTAAAAGCGGAGTTAGAAAATAACACTCGAGGACTAGAGCCATTTGAATGTTGGCAGATCTGCAGTCTGAATTATGATATCGTCTTTGTTGAACCTTAGAGAAGAGCACTGGTCACGTGGCCCTGGGCACATTTGTAAATTTCTAAGCACAAGTTTCTTCATCTCTAAAATGGTACTACTAATAATATCTACATTTTTGTTTTTTGTTGTTATGAAAATTAAATAAGATGATACCTATAACTTAGGCAGTGTCTCACAGACAGTACTTAATACATGTTAGTTATTATTATGAACGTCTTGTTACACAAACATACTTTAAAATGCACTGAGGTAACTGGTCAAGTAAATTAAATAGTCAAACTCTGTGTGTTTATCTTTAGTCTATAATGGCTGTCATAGGAAATATTAACAGATCACATGGTTAATAATCATACAGACCCTCTATATTCATCTCAGAAAGCTACAAGTTAAATGCTAACCCCACCAAAAAACAAAAGGAAGTTAAAAAGACTGTTTTCGGCCGGGTGTGGTGGCTCACGCCTGTAATCCCAGCACTTTGGGAGGCCGAGGCGGGCGGATCATGAGGTCAGGAGATCGAGACCATCCTTGCTAACACGGTGAAACCCCGTCTCTACTAAAAATACAAAAAAATTCGCCGGGCATGGTGGTGGGCGCCTGGAGTCCCAGCTACTCAGGAGGCTGAGGCAGGAGAATGGTGTGAACCCAGGAGGCGGAGCTTACAGTGAGCCAAGATAGCGCCACTGCACTTCAGCCCGGGTGACAAAGCGAGACTCCGTCTCAAAAAAACAAAAAAAAGACTGTTTTCTACTAGGAACAGAATTAAACTAACTGTTCCCTGGTAACAGCTATTTCCAAGAATAGGACGGAACTCCCAACATTAAATTATATAAATTCTTAGATAATAAAACCCCATATCATAATTCCTAAAAACTCACTAAGAGTTTTAGGGTATGTTCATGGGAGAAGGGGTTTACAATGTGTGACTGACTGCACAAATGGCTACAAACTCTTTCCTTCTCTGCATCTTACTCTTTGCAACATAATGCTGTAGGTCCTTCCAATCAAGAGTAGAAATCTGTTTCTCTACCCCTTGAATCTGGGCTGATCTTGTGATCAGCTCTGACTAACAGAATGAGGCAGCAGTGATGCTGTGCAGTTTCCACACCCAGACCTCAACAGACCTTGCCACTTCCACTCTCACTGATCTTGGGACCCACACAGCCACCACTACCATGTGAAGAAGCCAAAGTCAGCCTGATGGCTGATGAGAGATGCATGGCCCAGCTGTCCTCTGTCTGCCTGGCCAACAGCCTGCCAATGGTTAGACTGTAAGTGAGACCACTGTAGACTGTCCAGCTACCAGTCAACCTTCTAGCCAACTGCAGATGCACAAGTGAGCCAGCAGAGATCAGCTGAGCTCATCCAGACCAGAATCTGCTCGACCAATCCACAGAATGGGGAGCCAAATAAATAGTGCGTGTTTTAAGCCACTATATTTTGGGGGGTTTGTTACGTAGCAGTAGATAATTGATATATTATGTGAGTAGAAAAGAATGAGAACAGAGAAAGTAAAGAGGAAAAAGAACACAGAATTATCTTTTAGTCTGTAAATGTTAAAATATCAATGAGGTCTTTCATGTGAGACAGTACTGTCTTTCATGTCAAAAGAATACAACTATCTCATGAAAGTAAATGGGAAAACACTGAAGAAATCCCTTCCTGCTGATGGACTTGGTATTCTTCAAACTGTTTACCACTGCCTGATGTTATCCTCATTCCTCTTCCCCCTTAGAATATAATAAGGTCTTAAGTCAGGGACTTTGTTAACTTCCTAGAACTTGGCAGAACACAGGTGCTGGATGAAGGGATGGATGAAAGAAAGGATGCAGAGAAACTGCAGATGTAGGTTGAGATTGGGGTCTGCTGACAGATCTAGCTCAATCTAGAACACCTCTATGAAGTTTGATTCTGAGTGCTATTTAGAGGTGGAAGGAGCCCTGAGTCTCTATGGAACATGCCTCAGCACCTCGATTTTGAGGGCAAATGAGGCTGCTCAGGACTTCAAGAGGATCCACAGAACCACGATCAACTTTGAAATGAACCTACCATTGTTAAGACATTCACTTTTGGGTATAATAAAGAAGGAAAACAACAACAAAACCTACATTAACCTAGCTGTTTTACTCTATCTCTTGGTACTCACCCTCCCCACCCTCCATTTCATTTATTTATTTATCTTTGCTTTTACACAAAGAATTACAACAATAAAGTGAAAAATTGGTCTGAGTATGTTTTCAGCTACTTTCTGCATGAATAGGCCTTAGCTATTGAAAATGTTTCAAGAAACACATTGCTTAATATAGGCCTATTATTTTAGTTACAACTAGAGATAAAATTACCTCTGAAGTTTACTTGTACCAAAATTAATTATTTATTCCAATAAAAAAACCATAACTGGTGAAGGTTGGGGGAGAAGGTCCAGGAAGAAAGGATTCTAGAAAAGCAAAGAGACCTGCTTCTAACTACAAATTAACTGCTCAGGAGTCATTATGTTGTGTCCTGTAGTACACCTTTCACAGTCTCTGTAGCCTGTAGCCCTATTTAATTTGATTCTAGTCCTTCAGGTGTTAGAGGAGTCATCCCCAAAAGCCTAGCACGAATCACTAAGAAAGAACATCTATTTTTACCATGTGCTCATTGACTACTGACAGAACACCTTTTTTTTTAGTATTTATTCCACTGTTTTTTAAGTAAAATATAAATATGAAACACAGCTATGTATTATGACTTTCTTTGAGATAAATGAGACAAATACTGATTATCAAAGCAGAGGTGAAAAAAATTGGACAGGATAAAATATACATGTGCCTTAGAACCAGACAGATCTGGCTCAGCCACTAACTACTGACCTTGAGCAAGTGACTTGCCTAACTAAGCCTCAGTTTCTTCATGTGTAAAATAGAGACAACAGAAGAACTTACCCTGGAGGACTGTTGTGAGGACTAAAGGAAAAACGCACATAACTACTTCTTGAAACATTACCCTGTCTATGCTATGCACTATAGTTGACAAATACATAAATATTCCATTCAATCACTGTTTAACAACATAACCCAAAAACCTACCTTTTGCATACAGAGCATCAACGATATCCAGAAAAGGATCTAGAAAACCAACTACTCCTCAAATACATATACAAAAATTACTTTATACCAATCTCATTCAAAACTAAGCTTCACAAAGAAAAAAAATTTTCTTATTTTTTTCCACAGTGCCTTAACACTCTAAACTCTAGGTAGTGCCTATCTAACACCTTCCCAACCCAGCCTCCCACTCCACTTGGCTGGAAGAGCCCCAGTTTGGTTCTGGTCTTTACTCTCCCTTTGCTCAGGTAGATGACCCTACCTTCCTCTGCCCTAAGAGTGAATCAGAATGGCATCAGCTTCTAAGCCACAATGCTGGAAGCCAGAACAATCAGCAATGACTCAAAATGCTGAAGGAAAATGATTTCCAACTGGGAATCCTACCCCACCAGATTCGCAATCAAGTTTGAGGGAGGAGAATAAAGACAATTTTAAAGGTGTTAAAAACATATTAATTATCTCACAGTTTTACAGGTCAGAAGTCTGAAATGTGTTTCACTGTGCTAAGATCAAGGTGTCAATAGGACTGCGTGCCTTCCACAGGTTCTAGGAGAGAATCTGTCTCCTTGCTTTTTCCAGCTTCTGGAAGCTGCCTGTATTTCTTGGCTATGAGTTCTTCATCTTTAAAGTCAGCAGTATAGCATCTTCCAGTCTCTCCCCGATGCTTACCCTTCTGCCTCCCTCTTCTAAGGACCTTTATGGTTACAATGGAGCCACCCAGATAACCCAAGACAATCTCCCTATCTCAAGGCAATTTAATCACATCTGCCAAGTCCTTTTTGATACGTAAGGTAACATATCCTAAAGAATCCAGAGATTAGAATGTGGACCTCTTTGTGGGGCCATTATAGTCTACCATTCAAGTTCTCAAAATTTTTTTACCTCCTGTGCATTTCTTCTCACTGGGTTGGTAGTATCCAAGACACAGGCAGAAGAAATACAAATCTTCTCATGAGTAAATATATTTTAAATGAAGACTCAATCAATTTGTACAAAGTGCCAAGAACGTAAGTACAGTCTTCAAATTATAAAACACCCATGAGATGAGAAAATAGCCACCATTAGCAAGAAATATAGAAACAAAAACCGTAGTCAGATCAATAAAGACTACAGACACTGGAATTATCAGTTTTGAGGTATAAAATAAGAATATTTAACATGCTTAAATAAGATAGTTGAAAATATGAAGTTATAAGGAACTATCAAAATTAACCAGGTATATTTAAAAAAGAACCAAATAAAATTTCTAGAAAATAAACCTGTAATATGAAATTGAAGTTTAAAAACTTTTAAAAGGGGCTAAACAGTAGACTAGTCACAGCTAAGGAATTAGTGAATGAAGGCAGATGAAGAAATTATGCAGAAAATGGCAGAAAGACAATACAATGAAAGATCTGCAAGAGAGGTTAAGAGACTTAGAGCATAGAGAAAGTATAATACACATATAATCAGAGTTCCATAAAAAGATAAATAGATAAAATGCAGAAAGGAAAAATTCAAAGAGATTGTGACTAGAAATTTTTTAGAATTTATTAAAGACATCAACCTTAAGACTCAGGAGGTCCAATGAAATTACAAGCAGATGCAACAAGGGATAATCTATAATTAAATAGTATATAAAATGCCAAACACCAAAGGCATAAAGAAGATCCGAAAAGCAGCCAGAGAGAAGCGACAGATTACCTACAGGGAAACAATGAGAATGTCAGCTGATTTTTCCACAGCTCTTCTCTTTATTAATTCTATCTGTTTATGTTGGGTTTAATTTGCTCTTCTTTTTCTAGTTTCTTCAGACAGAAGCCTAGATCATCAATTTTAGAGCTTTATTTTTTTCTAATATAAACAGTTAATGCTACAAATCTTCAAAGCACTTCTTTAGCTATATCTCACAAATTTTGATATGTTATTTTCACTCAGTTCAAAATATTTTCTAATTTTTCTTGTGACTTCTTGTTTTACTCATGGGTTGTTCAATTTTGAAATATTTGAGACTTTCCAGGTATCTTTCTGTTGATTTCTGTTTAATTCCATTGTGGCCAGAGAACGTACTCTATATGATTCCAACCCTTTTAAATTTAATGAGAATTGTTTTATGAACCAGAATATGGTCTATATTTGGTTAATTTTCATGTGTACTTAAAAAGAGTAAGAATTCTGCGCTTGATGGAAGGAGTGTTTTATAAATGTCTATTAGCTCAAACTGGTTTCACTGTTAAGTCTTCCGCATCTTTTTTGATTTTCTGTAAACCTGTTCTACCAACTGCTGAGAAAGGAGTGTTGAAACCTCCAACTATGATTGTGAATATGTCAATTTCTCCTTTCAATTCTCTTAGTTTTACTTCACTTACTTTCAAGCTCTATTATTAGAAGTATAAATATTTAGGATTATGTCTTCTTCATGAGTAGATCACTTTGTCATCATAAAAAGTCTGTCTTTATCCCTGGTTCTATTTCTTGTTCTGAAGCCTATTCTGATATTATTACCACCCAGATTTCTCTTGATTAGTGTTAATGTAGCATATCATTTCCATCCTTTTACTGTTTAAAAAATGTGGTAAAATATATATAACATAAAAATTAGCATCTTTACCATTTTAAAGTGTACAGCTTAGTAGTGTTAAGTGCATTTACATCCTTGTGCAACCAATCTCTACGATATTTTCATCCTGCAAAAACTGAAACTGTACCAATTAAACAACTCCCTATTCTTCCTTCCCCAACAACTACCACTCTACTTTCTGTCTCTATGAACTGGACCACTGTAGGGTATGGGATATTAGTAGAATCACATAGTATGTCTTTCTGTGGCTGGCTTATTTCACTTGGCATATCTTCAAGATTCATCCATGTTGTAGCATGTGTCAGAATTTCTTTCCTTTTAAAGACAGAATAATATTCCATTGTGTATATATATACCACATTCTATTTATCCACTTGTATACTGATGGACTCTTGGGTTGCTTCTGTATTTTGGCTCTTGTGAATAATACTGCTATGAACATGGATGTACAAATATCTCTTCAAGACTCTGCTTTCAATTTCATCCTTGTATTAATATTTTTAACCTACCTGGATCTTTTTATTTAAAGTGGTTTATTGCAGACAGCATATGATTGGTTCTTGCTTTTCTATCCAATTTGTCCATCTCCACCTTTTATTGGCACACTCAGCCCATTTATAGTAATACAATCATCAGTCTGGTTGAGTTTAAATCTACCACTTCATTATTTGTGTTCTATTTGCCCCATCTACCCTTTGCTCATTTTCCCCTCCTTTCCTGCTCACTTTTGGATTAACTGAGTATTTTGAAATGATTACATTAAAGTTTCTTGTTGAAACCTCCAACTATGATTGTAAATACGTCAATTTTTCCTTCCAATTCTCTCAGTTTTACTTATTTTCAAGCTCTACTATTACAAGTATAAACATTTAGGATTATGTCTTCTTTGTAAGTAGATCGCTTTATCATCATAAAAAGTCCCTCTATCTCTGGTTCTATTTCTTGTTCTGATGCCAACGTTGATATTATTACCATCCGCATTTACCATTTTCCATGTTGTAGCATATGTCAGAATTTTGTTCTTATCAGTATTGCCATTCGGAGATAGAGCTTGTTAGCTGTATCTATCTCTTTTATTTTTTTCAGTGTTTGCTCTAGAATTTGCAGCATATATCTTTAACTTACCACAGTCTACCTTCAAATTATAATTTCATGGATAATATAAGGACCTTACAACAGTATTCTTCCATCCTTCCACCCCATCCTTTGTACTACTGTTGTCATACATTTTACTTCCACATGTTATAGCCTCATAAAATGCTGTCATTATTTTTGCTGTAAAGAGTCAATTTTTTTTTTTTTGAGATGGAGTCTCACTCTGTTGCCCAGGCTGGAGTGCAGTGGCGCGATCTTGGCTCACTGCAATGTCCGCTTCTGTGGTTTAAGCAATTCTCCTGTCTTGGCCTCCCAAGTAGCTGGGATTACAGGCGCCTGCCACCATGCCCAACTAATCTTTGTATTTTTAGGAGAGATGGGGTTTTGCCACGTTGGCCAGGCTGGTTTCGAACTCCTGACCTCAGGTGATCCACCCACCTCAGCCTCCCAAAGTGCTAGGATTACAGGCGTTGAGTCACTGCGCCCAGCAATTTTCGCTATTGCTTTCTGTGTGTTTATGTTTTTCATTAAATTTACTAAAAATTTCACTATTTCTTTACATATTTTTTTCTCTCCCTTTTTCTTCTCGGATTCTAATTAGATTGCTTGATATTGTCCGGTGGCTCACTGAAGCTCTGTTCACTTTCTTTTTTTTCTTTTTTTCTTTTTTGAGACAGAGTCTCGCTCTGTTGCCCAGGCTGGAGTACAGTGGCATGATCTCAGCTCACTGCAACCTCTGCCTCCCAGGTTCAAGTGATTTTCTTGCCTCAGCCTCCTGAGTAACTGGGACTACAGGCACGTGCCACCATGCCCAACTAATTTTTTGTATTTTTAGTAGAGATGGGTTTTCACCGTGTTAGGCTCTGTTCACTTTCACCCCGCCATCTGTCTTTCTCTTTGAGCTTCATTTTGGATAGTTTCTATTGCTATGTCTTCAAGTTGATTGACCTTTTTTTTTTGCAGTATCTAATCTGTTGTTAACACCATCCAATTTTTTTTTATTTCCAGAAGTTCCATTTTGGTCTGTTTTAGATATCTATTTCTTTCCTCATTGGGTTCAAGCTTTCCTTTACATCTTTAAGTTTACTAATAAGATTGATAATACTCATTTTAAGGTCTTTGTTTATGAATCCCATCATTTCCATCCATTCTGAATTTGTTTCTGATTGATTTCTCCTGATTTTTTATTGTAATTAATTATTAAATTATTATTTTTTTAAATCTATCCATCCATCCATCCATCCATCCATCCATCCATCCATCCATCCTTCCTTCCTTCTTTCCACCCATCTATTTATTTGAGATAGGGTCTCACTATATTGCCCAGGCTGGTCTTACACTCTTGGGCTCAAGCAATCCTCCCACTTAGGCTTTCAAGTAGCTGGGACTACAGGTACACACCACTATATCTGGCTTATGTGTTTTATTTTTTGGTTTCTTTTTATGCCTGATAGTTGTTTTTTTTTTTTTGAGATGGAGTCTCACTCTGTCACCCAGGCTGGAGTGCCAGTGGTGTGATCTCGGCTTACTGCAACCTCTGCCTCCCAGGTTCAAGTGATTCTCCTGCCTCAGCCTCCTGAGTAGCTGGGATTACAGGTGTGCACCACCACACCTGGCTAATTTTTGTATTTTTAGTAGAGATAGGGTTTCACCATGTTGGTCAAGTTGGTCTCGAACTCCTGACCTCGTGATCCACCCGCCTTGGCCTCCCTAAGTGCTGGGATTACAGGCGTGAGCCACCGCACCAGGCCATGCCTGGTAGTTTTTGATTGGTGCCAGACATTGTAAATTGTACATTGTTGGGTGATGAATTTTGTTGTAGCATAAAGCGTGTTGGATTTTGTTGTAAAATGCAACTAAATTACTTTTGGATTAGTTTGATTCTTTAAAGGCTTCCTTTTAAGCTTTGTTATGGTGGGTCCATAGCATCCTTTATTCTGGTACTAATTTAACCCATTTAGGTATGACCATTTTGAGAACCCCAACCAATACCCTGTGTATTATAAGTCTCTCTACTCTGGCTCTTAGGAACACAAACTAGTCCCTCACCTGTGTGAGCACCAGGCATTGTGCAACCTACTGCATTTCAGGTAGTTCTTCCCCTGGTTTCAGAGAGTGTTCTCCTATGTGTATACAACTCTGTAATCAGACAAAGACTCAAGGGGACCCCGCTCCAAATCTCTGAAGTGCTCGTGCTCATCCTAGCACGCTCTCTCTATGGTTCCTTCTTTGGTACTCAGCCTCATAAATCTTAGCCTCCTTGACCTCCCCAAATTCTGATTTCCGCCTTCTCAATTGAGTGAGACAGCTGGGCCCAGTTTCCATTTTCCCCACCTACACTGCAGTGTGGAAACTGCTTCAAGGCAGTACACTGGGGCAATAACACGGCTCACATTGTCTGTTTCCTTTCTTTTGGGGATGACAGTGCTGCATAATTTGTGTTCCACTGTCTTGAAAACCACAGTTTCTTTTTCTTTTTTCTGGTTTGTTTTCAGCAAAAAAGCAACTTCCATAGTGCTTCAAGGGCGGAATAAAAATGTTCCAATGCTTTTTTAGATGCTATGCCTATGTGTATGTAACTTTCATGTCTTCATTTACAACCATATTCCTGTTCACAACCCAAATTAGTAGACTGAGGTATCTGACATATATTATGTAATGTGAGAGAGAGACAGACAGATAGAACAGGAACAAGTAATGAGCCTGATGCTGTGGTAGAGAACATGCTATCTAGACACCTGGGTTCTAGCCCCAGTTCTGTCACTAACTGGGTGTGTGCTTTTAGTAATTTAACATCACAATGCCTTAGTTTCCTCACCACATATAACAACTATGGAATAAGACTATGGGTACTTTTCCCACAAAACACTGTTACTCTCTTTATTTCCTCTTAAATCCATTCCCACCAGCTAACACCTTTTTAGGACAAAGCTATAACTGGCCAAATTCTTTAG
Organism: Homo sapiens; assembly: GCF_000001405.40. NCBI lineage: Eukaryota > Metazoa > Chordata > Mammalia > Primates > Hominidae > Homo > Homo sapiens. Next base: position 167,776,837 of record NC_000001.11, on the reverse strand, counting down.
CATGCTTTCTACCCCAGAAAAATCAAACTGAACTAAGCTATGGAATTTTTGCCAAGCCACAGTTATAATTAAAATACTACAGCCAAAACACACAAAGCTAGATTATATGCTAACTTCCAAATAAAACCTGTTTCTCTTCTGTACTTTCTACAAGTAGAAACCAAAACCATTCCTTGTTCATCAAGCCTATTAATTATTCAGATAAATGCTTACTTTCCATTTTTTCTAAAGAATCCACAGAAAATAATTTTGGTTTTATTATCAATACTAAGAATACCAACTTTTCCTTGCTAATTTCTTATCTTAGAGTACCTCAATACAGAAAGAATCTCCTTCATTAGATTCATTTCCTTGGGCAATTAAAGAATCTTTTACTGACAAAGCCATTTCCTAATTCTGCTTGAGGCAAGGAAGCTACATGGTTAGTAAACAATTTATGTTATTGGTGGTTTCATGGAAATCTTTACTCAAGCAGATTCTTCACCACATATTTTCCTGTGGTCTTCCTAGGCCAGCCCTTTAATTCCTCACTCCCACTCTCTCTTTGTCTCTGTCTGTCTGTCTCTGTCTCTGTCTCTCATAGCTCAGTATTCTTTTCCACACCCAAGGAAGTGACAGAGCACCAAGCTGTAGGGAACAGTGCAGTGGGCAGAATCGCAATCAGCCATTACCTGGTGAGATCCAGAAGGCAGACTCTTTACAAGACCCTCAGTGTCGGAGGGGGACTTCCGAGGAGCCTGCTTAACTGGTGACAAACTCTCTGATGTACTGCAGCTGATGAATTGGCAATTTGAAGAACAAATGTAAAAAATAATAATAATAAATAAATAGAAACAAAAATATAGAAATGCAACTGACGGCAAGATGAAGCAACAGATATATAAAAACAAAAGACAACATAACAATGGGTGTCAAAATGATCACATGTTTTTAAACTATTTTCTATACCTGACACTCACTCATTCTTCTAAGTCAATGAACTCATCACTGGGGGAGGCACAGAAACAAATATGGTACAACCTCTTCAACCCAGTTTACAAAAATCATATTGGAATTCTAGTTACAATACACATTTATCCTTTTGCTGTTTGTCTTTTCCCCCTGCCATCAACCCTCCTTTGGGATAAAGGTTTAAGGGAACAAGCTCTATGGTACCTTTTATTAGCTTAATGGCAATTCACTTTTGTTATAATCAAAGGCAAACCTCTTCTGAATGTATGTTTTAAATTACAGATATATATCCAGGCAAGTCTTGGCTTATCTTGTTCTCTCCATATTTTTATTCCCTACCAATACCACAATCAAATCCCCCCAAAAACTCAGGAAGTCATGAATGAGAAATTAGGGAATGCCAGGTCACACAGGCTGAACCTTTTCACGGTGACAGTAGTCTTTAACAACAAGCACTATCTCATAAATGAATCAGGGAAAGTGAATGCCAGGAAGTAAGAAAGCTGGGGTACAGCGTAGGGATTTTCCAATGAGATGTGTCATCAGTACAGCTTAAAGCCTTTTGATATATACTTTTAAAACTTAGGAGTTTGGGGAGAATCACATTTAAAGTGTCATTACTAAGACCAAAGCATACCATGCATTCTGCAAACTGTTCCTTCTGTGAAATGGGAGGCTACATGCTCTGAACCAAAATGGTTTAATTATTCTAATACATAATCAGTCAGGATCTTAAATATTGATAACATAATACATATATGAAAAAAGAAAACTAATGCACACACACACATACACAATGGCATTTTACATGAAGAGCACAAATATTCAGATGTGCATAAAAACTCTATGTAACTTCACAATCCAATTTCATCCAGATAGTATGCTCAACATGTTTCCAATACAAACATGTGACATATTCATGGACAAATCATAATAGCTGTTGGGTTAGCTCAGAGCTAGCTGGTTAGTCATCAACAAGGGAGAGGGGCTGAATACATACACAGGAATATTAACAGTAATGGGCAATGTGATTAGTTACCATGTGTCTAGTGGGAGTGGAAGAGGAGACCCAGCCCTGTTATAGTCCCAATGTGTCTTCTATGTCAGCTTTTCTTAAGAAGTGGAAGATAAGCAGGATCTGATCCCAGCACACCAAGGTAGAAAAGGTAGAGGAGGAGGAAAAAAACCAAGGTAAGAAGAACAGCAGCATTCATGATGCCATGCAGGAGTCTAAGGAACTCTTTCCTGCCCCTCATTAACCCCGAAGCAAGAACTACAAAGACCGGCATGTCACCACCCTGGATTAGTCTCATGTTGAAACCAATAGTCCAACTATATTTAATCATAAAACACTCACCATGCAAGGGGGGCAGATACAGTCAGCAGAATAGAAGCATTCCAAGCAAGTAATATCTGAATTTGAACACTCAAACTTGTTAAAACACAGCACTCCTAAAAACTCTAGATCAGCAGAGCCCATAGATAGAGGTTCCCACCATCCACCAGCAAGAGAGTTCAGGACATGCAATCCTTTCACATCAGAGTCCCTTCAGGATGGCTAAAGTTAGATCTGTGCATCTGCAACACTGCTCATGCTATATCAACTTGAATCCAGCCTCTGCTCCCAGTCTTACCACATGAGTTCTACATAGCTTATATGGGTTAGCTTTCCAGCTGGAGTGGGGAAAAGAGAAGGTCCTTTAATTAGATACACACCCTATGCTTAAACGTGTTCCATCTGAGAAGCCATAAACAAAAAGAAAGTCTATTTTTCTTTATTGCTGATATATTTTGTCATCAATTCTTATTATCCCATTTTGGGTGAATCTAGCTAAGAATGATCAAAGCAATAAAGCTACTTAAGCTTGGAGTGGGGTAGGGGAACTACAAAAAGGAAAAGCCCTGCACCATCATCACACTGGGCTGGGGGAGGTAGTTTATTAAAACCACTGCTTTTTCTTCTTCTTTCTTTCTTTCTTTTTTTTTTTTTTTAAAGAGACAGGATCTTGCTATGTTGCCTAGGCTAGATTCAAACGCCTCGGCTCAAGCAATCCTCCTGCCACAGCCTAAGTAGCTGGGACTTACAGGCACATGCCACTAATTCCAGCTCACAACTTCTTAATTAGGGTTTTATATTTCCTAACTGGAAAGAACCACCTTGTGAGTTTATTAGCAAGAAATTGAAATTAAACTCTTAAATTGGGTAAGTGATGTCTTAAGAATACTAATTGCATAGTGGATGGTATTGAAACACAGAGCACAGACTGCTGAGCAGCTCATCTCACCAAACCTAAGAAGGAAACTGGAACAGAGATTAGAATCATATTCCACATTTAATAGCAGGCCCACTGATTTCCACTTGCCCATGTTAGAACACCTCCTAAGGAGACTGCCTGATTCTGACATGAAAGAAAATAGTAGTTAATTCTTTAAAATCCTTTTTTCATTAAATACAGAAGTTTCTATAAACCCTGATTCCCTCCCTCCACCCCTGCCCTAAAAAAACAGTGTTTCTTACCCAGTGTAATCCCGTTTAGAGTTTTTCCTTCTATAGAGGACAGCCAGAATCATGCTGATGAGCAGAGTGAGACCTAGGACCACAGCAGTAACTATGCCCACCACTACCCAAACTGGAAACACAGGCAAATTCTCTAGAGAGAAAGAACAAAATAGTTTTAAGGTACATTGCTACAGAGAGAAAACATGGAATTTTATTAAATTAACGAGCAAGTATCTTCATTTAGCAGTTACCGTACCCTCTTTTATTATCCAAACTATGAGATCCTACTATCTATCCTATTACTATGTAATTCATGACATGTGAATATTAGATGAGAAAGAATGAACTATGGAACTAAGCATTTCTACACCTACAATCCCTCTCAGTGCTCTAAAGAAAAACCGGAGGTGTGAATTTACCTGGATCTACTCTCCAACAAAACAGACTTTGTCTCAAAAATGAGACACCAGAACCTGCATTTCCTGTTTGTTCTCAAAATCAAAAGGAAGAAATAACTGTGCTGTTGTTGAAAGCTTTCTCCTGGAGAATATAAAACAGTATGAATCTCCTTCTTTCCCACTGCCCATCACATCCAAACATAATGAATTTGGTCTTTCTTCTAATTAACACTGAAAAATTCATACTCCTGAAATTAGACCAATAGGCACCAGACGGTAGGAATAAAAATGGAGAAATCAGCCACTCTGGGTCAGAATGAGCAACAAGTTTCCCAGCTCCAAGTGTGTTTGGTAGAGCCACAGGTTCGTGGCAACAGGGAGCACAACTGTATGGCAAAAATCCTCCCTCCAAACCCACCATGAAATGCAACTCATGTTTTCCAACCAAACATGAGATAAAGGAGACTGCATTATTACTGCCAAAATACTCAAGGAAGTACCTTTTTCTACGACATAGAGCCTAATGTGTCCAGGCTGGACAACGATGTCAGGAGGGTTTTTGACATCACAGATATAGGTGCCATTGTGTATAAACTGCATATTTTCTATGTTGATTGATGCATCTTTCTTGTCAAGGTCTCCAGCCCAGCTGATTCTGTCTTTAAATGGTGGATAATTCCCAAGGTACACTTGCCCTTGGGAGTAGTGGAAAAACTGCAATTAGAAAAAAGGAACACATGAACTATTCTCAAAGGCAGAATTCCTAAACTCTGTAATGTGCATGCTATGAAAGGTTCTTTTAAAGACTTCATACGGAAAGAAATGCAACATCTCTCTCCCTCTCCCTCTCCCCCTCTCTCTCCTCCTTTTTTCGGTCTCCCTCTGTTGCTGAGGCTGGACTGTACTGCCGTGATCTTGGCTCGCTGCAACCTCCCTGCCTCGGGCTCCTGTGATTCTCCTGCCTCGGGCTGCCGACTGCCTGGGATTGCAGGCACGTGCGGCCACGCCTGACTGGTTTTTGTATTTTTGGTGGAGAGGGGTTTTGCCGTGTTGACCGGGCTGGCCTCCAGCTCCTGACCTGGAGTGTTCTGCCTGCCTCAGCCTCCCAAGGTGCTGGGTTTGCAGATGGAGTCTTGCTCACTCAATGCTCAATGCTGCCCAGGCTGGAGTGCAGTGGTGTGATCTCGGCTCGCTGCAACCTCCACCTCCCAGCCACCTGCCTTGGTCTCCCAAAGTACTAAGATTACAGCCTCTGCCCAGCTGCCACCCCATCTAGGAAGTGAGGAGCGTCTCTGCCTGGCCGCCCATCCTCTGGGATGTGAGGAGCCCCTCTGCCCGGCCACCCTGTCTGGGAAGTGAGGAGCGCCTCTGCCCGGCCACCACCCCGTCTGGGAAGTGAGGAGCGCCTCTGCCTGGCCGCTGTGCAATCTTCCAAGTGTGAAGTGACAGCCTTTCTGCACGTGTACCCAACAGCTCCGAAGAGACAGCGACCATTGAGAACGGGCCATGATGACGATGGCGGTTTTGTCAAAAAGAAAAGGGGGAAATGTGGGGAAAAGAAAGAGAGATCAGATTGTTACTGTGTCTGTGTAGAAAGAAGTAGACATAGGAGACTCCATTTTGTTCTGTACTAAGAAAAATTCTTCTGCCTTGGGATGCTGTTAATCTATAAACCTTACCCCCAACCCCATGCTCTCTGAAACATGTGCTGTGTCAACTCAGGGTGAAATGGATTAAGGGCGGTGCAAGATGTGCTTTGTTAAACAGATGCTTGAAGGCAGCATACTCGTTAAGAGTCATCACCACTCCCTAATCTCAAGTACCCAGGGACACAAACACTGCGGAAGGCCGCAGGGACCTCTGCCTAGGAAAACCAGAGACCTTTGTTCACGTGTTGACCTTCTCTCCACTATTATCCTATGACCCTGCCACATCCCCCTCTCCGAGAAACACCCAAGAATGATCAATTAAAAAAAAAAAAAAAAAGAAATGCAACATCATATTACAAATCACAAGTTATGGAATCTAAGCCAGACAGAAGTTTAGAGATCACGGCACTCAACCCTGCCAGGTTTCAATGGAAGAATCAGACTCATATATCACCTCTAATCCTCTCAATATTTCATTGATATAATTATTACCACCCATAATTTTATAAAAGACAAAATGGAGACTTAAGAGAAGCCATTTTCCCAAGGTACCAATGATAGTAAATTGGGGACCCAGAGTAAAATTTAGGCCCATCTGAGTCTTCAAAGCCAATGTTCTTCCAGTAACACCATGATTGAGCCCAGTGATTCCCAAGGCTTCAGAAAGCTTAGTGTTGAGTTAGCTTACCACTAAGATACACAGAAGCACAAAGGAGAAGAATCCTAAATATCTCAGATCAGCTAATCTGAGTTTCGCCCTCTTCCTTCTGGTTTCCTATGGAAAAGTCATGGGTGTGTGAAAGGAACAAAGCCCAGATAACACAAGATACTCTTGCCGGCTTTTGAAAGTTCAGCCTTTAGCCCCTTTCTCTTTCCACTCCTCAGTCTCTCCTCAGTCCTGCTTTCAGCAAAGGAACTGTCTTCTCAAAGTAAACCTTGTCAAACTCAGCACCTGGAAGCAGGGTTAAGGCCCAGTGGGAGGGGATCTATCCTCACACTTGGCTCTAATCCAAGCAGCTATGCTGGAGGCCTGATGTCTTTGTTCTGGTTAATGGACGGGGTGATGGTGGAGCTGGGGATAGAAACCAGCTCTATTAGCAATTCAAACAGAACATTTTCAGAACCCTTTGAGCACGGTGAAAACCCCAGTGCAGACTCATCCATTCCTATGATTTAATGATCATCTAGATTTTCTTAACTCCCAAACCTCTCTCTCCATCAATAGCGTCCCCTAAGCTCTAGACTCCTTGCCTACTCACTTTACCACCTGGCTGCCCCTCTCCCCCAAGCTTGTCACCCTCTCTTACAAACTTCATCTTCCCCTCTTCATGTATCGTGTCTTCACTGATGGCTACTGTTTCTTTCCAAAACCATAAATCTTGAAGTCATCCTTGATTCTCTTTCTTCCTATCCAGTTAATCCCCCAATATTGTCAATGTCTCATTAGTTTCTCTCAGTTCTCTCTTCTCTCTATTCGGTTCCCACTGACAATATCTGTTTTTATGTTTTCATCATCTTGGACTATGGCCTCTTAACTGGTATGTCTAACTCATCATCTTCCACAATGCCTAAATGATCACTGATAAAGAATAATGGTTATTATTATAACATTTATCAAATATTTACCCTGCATTTCATATGACCTAAATGCTTGTTAAGAACCGTGAAGGGTCTGAGATTTTACCCTACTTACAAGCTAACAAAGTTAGTTGGCCACAGGTTCATAGGTGCTGACAGAAGACACGGACTCCTGTGAAATCTTCACTCCCATGAAGAAGACTCAGAAACAAAGAACCTTATGAGCAGAAAGCATGTGTTTGTTTCTCTTGCCCCGCAAGTCCCATAGCCATGACATGGAGGGGCTCACATGGATGTTGTGCAGGCAGAGGCGTTGCATCACAGCCGAGGAACCCCAAGCTCAGGGAACACTATTCTCTTACAAGGGGCAGAAGACATGTCTGACTTCAGCCCTGAAAGGAGACACTACCTTTACTATACTCAAGAATACACAAATTTGTCCTTTGCTCCAGAGGGTAACATCATCTCTGCCTTCCAAAGCTAGTTACTGTATAAAAAAAGTCCAGAACAAAGGCAGCCAGTGCCTTTGCTAGCAAGGTGTGCAAAAACGTGAAAGACCCATAGAAAACTGTCTCCCAACAACTCTCTAGCCCTCACAACCACCCTGCAAGGTGAGATTCGCCTACCTGATATTTCATAAATAGGGAATGTGAGGCTCAGGAAACCTTGGTGACTTTCCCAAAGTCACAGGTTTTAGAGATGGAATTCAAACTCAGCTCTGATTTCAAAGCTTATGCTATTTCCAATGTTTAAGGCCTCTCAGGTGAGATCATGTCTTATCTGTTCAAAGTTCTTCACTCTCTCTTCTTCACTAGAAAATGAACCATAAACTCTCAGCTTTGCAAATGAATCCTTCCATCACCTGCTCTCTGCCTTCCCTTCCCACAACATCTCCACATATTCCCTGCCTTGCATTTCTGAACCAGCGGGGATGAGCTACATGATGCTGTTTCTCAGCACTGGGTCTGAGACAGCTCCCTCAGTCAGGCTCCCTCATTGAATGGGGGCCATTTGAAGGCAGAGGATAAGATGTATTTATCTCTGTACTCCTTAGCACTTTGGACACAGCAGGAACTACATAGTTTGCTGAATCAAACTGAGGAATAACGTCTTGGTCAAACCAGTGAGAGATGGAAATAAAACAGTGAAAAATTCACAGAAAAGACTAGAATCATTATCAATCAATATTTTTAAAGTACAAGCCATGGTGCTAAAGCTATGAGGTATACTAAAGATGTAAGACAGGCAAGTCCTCTTAAAACACCCATATTCAGGAAGAAGAGGAAAACTGTCATATTAAGGGATCTGTATTATAGGAATGGCCCAGATAAGGGTAGTGAGTTTTAAGGGCTAAAAGGTTAAAAAAAAAAAAAGAGGCATTATGGAGGAGACAGAGGGTAAAAATGGGGTACAGCTTAAATGACAAGTGTTCAGAAGTAGGAAAACAAAGCACAAAGCATTTTTACTAAACTGGAAGTGATGCCATAAGAGAACAGAAGTGAGGCTAAAGTGGTAGGCTGGGCCAAATTGTAATGAGCTTTTAATTCTAGACAAATGTTGTCCACAATGGGAATCTAGGTTCCTGATAACCTGCAGTGGCAAGGTGAAAGAGCTGTTCTAAGACTATGCACCTGCTGGCATATGAGGGTTGGATTGAAAGATGAGAAAAACAGAAGCAGAAGAATAACAAGGGGCTACTGCACAAGACCAGGCACACAGTTAACATTGCTCAATAGACAGCAGAGACACAGGAAGGCTGACAAAAAGCTAGACACCAGAAACAAAGTAGGAAGAACCAGCAAAGGTTCTTATTTCTTGGGGGCAGAAGGGAAGTGGTAAGGGACAGGGAAGGAAAGGACAGAAAACACAAAACAAAACAAAACAAAACAAAACAAAACAAAACAAAATGATTACAAAACTCATCTGCAGATGAACACAATTAACCTAAAAAAAAAAAAAAAAAAAAAAAGCAGAAAAGGGAAACAGAAGGGAGAAAAAATGAGTTCAGTTTCAGACATGTGGATCCCAAGGCCATGGGCCAAAAAAGCCATCCACAGTATGGCTTTTGAATATACTGGGTTTGAATATACTTTTCCTGTAAAACCTATAAAAACAAAAAAGCAACCCACTCATCTTATTAAATGTGTCCCGACATTTTGGAATTAAAGGATCCTATGTCAATAACTGAACATGCTGGGATTAACTGCAATCAGACTCGTGTGTAAGTATAAATTGATTAGCTAAAAATATTAATCAGAATTACAGCATGTTCTTAATATTAAGTTTTGAGTTATGTAAACCTTCATGGACCTACACGACAAGACTGTTTCCAGCATAAATGGAACCGCTCTTTAAAAGAAAGTTATTACCTCTGGGTGGCTCTCACACCCACTCTTGCAGAAGACTTCAGTGGGAAATCTTTAAATGTTTAAATAGTTCTTTGGACTCTCTTGAGTAAACTTATGTGTTTAATCTTGCCTCTATGGGAACATTAGTGTATGTTCTATGCTGATGCCATATTTACGTGAAGCAGAGAATGCCTCTTTATGTCTTTCCATGGTATCTGTATGGATTCCTGTGCTCACCCTTATGGCTACTGTAAGGGAAGGCCTCTCTTATAAAGACCTCTAGACTATGCATTCTCCATAGGGGAGATTCTCCCCCAAGGGAGCAAACACTGGCTCTTGGGTGGGAAGCTTTGAGAAAATCTTTCTCTTTTATATGTAAAACAGTTGCAGAGGATATCTACAATATTAAAATTTCATGGAAGGGGGCAGAGATTAAGAAAAATGTGAAAAGGCTCCTTTTAAAAATAAATTTTAAAAAATACTGAGAAGCACTGCCTTAGGTAATCCCTAAAACCTATGAGGCCGTAAATATTATTAGCAGATTTTTCTACCTGAGAGAGAAATAATACATAAGGGAAATCATACCGTATTGAAGTTTAAACAATTCTAACCTGTGTGGTATGGCCACAGGTGAATAACTCTTGAGTCAGTGTCTCCCATCCTCCCCACCCTGTCTTCCTCATAGAGCTGTGAAGATTAAATGGCATAGGCATATGATGGGCCCAACATCTAGGTGGTGATCAACAATGTAACTCACCATTCAGAAGAAGAATTGGGCATTCTTAAAGATAGATGACAGACTGTCCTTGCTAAACACTGACAACCTGAAACATGCAACAGTACTAAAATATGTGCCAATATATGAAGGGCATTCCACATGCTGGGAGAGCAACAGTAACAACAAATGGTGTATTTTAGTAACTCAAGAGCTAGACACTCTCCTGAGCACTTATCTTGAATAATCTTACTTTATCCTCCTAACACCCTTGTGTGGGAGGTTTTATCGTCTCCATTTTACAGACCAGAACCAAGATAGTCAGTTCATGTTTAATAACCAGCACTCCACTAGTTACTAAATAACCTTTTTTCAATGCTCTGGTGCTGTATTTCTGTTACATCCTTTATCTTACTCCAAAGTCATCTATATATCAGCCTTCCTCCTAATCATCTCTAGGTGAGAGCAAGGATTCTGTTTTAGACATTTTTGAAGGCCCTACATAACCCACTACATAGTAAGCTCCCAAATCAATATTGCTAAATCAGATGGACTATACGCTAAATTAAAAAAAGATAATCAAATCAGAAGATGCATACATATATATATAAAATTTGATAATACATAAAACAAATATCAATAAATATGGGGCAATAAAAGATGAAAAGATGCAGGATAAATCCTGATTAGAGTCAGTGTGGTCAATTAAGATCAATTTCAGAATGGGATTTGATGGTGGAGAGGAACTGATCAAAGACAAGGAAACCAGACGCATTTAAGAGATGCTGAACTTATTTTATCCTGAAGCAAAAGAAGGGCCTTGAAGTCTATAACAGATAAAAAATACACTCATTTTGGAAATGAACCATCAGAAAAATGGATCACCAATTATACAGCAGTAAAGAAACCTGTGAGGCAGGACTAGCCAAGAGAAGTCAAGCATTCTTACCGACACAGTAGTGTCGGCCCCCTCTGGCTGGAAGCTCCAGGAGACTGAGGTCAACCCGCCAGTCGTACTAGTAGACTTGAACTTGCAGGTCAGCTTCCCTTGTGTACCATTTGCCACGAAGATTTCTTTTGGCGTATATACTTCCAAGGCTGATACTCCAGCTGTCACTGAAGAGAAAGGAATAAGGGTAGTTGAAAGTAGGACTTAACATGAATACCACTGTGCATTTTTGCCAGACAAGAAAAGATACAGCAAAGTTACTAGATATATACAGTAATTCACTGCCATTACATATTTCTGGCAGAATATTCTACAGCTAAGTTCAATCAGAATAGCACTATAAACAGAATAATTGCTGACAGTTTAGGTTTGTATTGCTTTTTAGTTAAGATATTTTTATTAGTCTGGTTATATTGAATTTTTTTTTTAAACTAATAGACTTTTTAAAGAGCAGTTTCAGGTTTACAGAAACATTGAATAGAAGGTAGAATTCTCATATTCCCTCACTCTCCCATGGCCAACCTGTTTCTCCTATTATTAACATCTGGCATTAGTGTTATACGTTTGTTTTAATTGATGAGCCAATATGGTTACATCATTGTTAACCACAGTCCATAGTTTACATTAGGATTTGTGTTAGTGTTGTAGATCTTATGGATTTTGACAAAGGTGAATAGTGACGTCTCCACCATTACAGTATCATACAGAATAGTTTCACTCCCTAAGCATCCCCTGTGCTACACCAATTTATTCCTGCCGTCCTTCCCCCCACACCCCTGGCAAACACTGACCTTATACTGTCTCTATAGGTTTGCCTTTTCTAGAATGTTATCTAGTTAAAATTATACAGCATGTAGCCTTTTAAGGTTGCCTTCTTTCACTTAGTAATATGCACTTAACTTTCTTCCGTGTCTTTTTGTGGCATAATATCTCATTTCTTTTTATTGCTGAATAATATACAAATTGTATGGATGTACCACAGTTTATTCATTCACCTACTGAAGGACTTCTTGGTGGCTTCCCTGATGGTCTATTTTTAATGAGGTGATGGGCATATTTTTATTTCTTTAAGTAGTTCTCATGCTTATCTGTTACGCAATTGTTATCACACTGAACTTTTCTCATCATCCATATGTAATGCAATTAAAACTATCCTAAGATATAACTTCATTTTAAAGCCACATTTATTATTTAACTGATCCTTTTCTTATAAAGAACTTAAGGAAGAAAAATGCATGTTTTGGTTTTGTTAGTGCAATCATACCTACCATAAGATTTCACTGTGCTAGGTAAGTAAACAGCTGATTACACCGTATATCACATTTTCATTTCACCCATCAAGTTTTGTCAGTTAGCCTAAGCCCAGGAAATAGTAATTGAAATGTGTCTACCACTTAGAATATAAAAATGGCTCTTTTTTCAAGATCTGCAATAGTAGGCAACTGCAGGAATTGTTAAGGATTGCTGTTAAAAGTATTTGCCAAATTCTTAAAGATTGCTAATTTGAACATACTGCTATAAAAGAAATGCTTTCACAGACAAAATGAAAGTCAGAAAAAAAAAACTTATTTGGCCCAAAATTGGTAACTTAAAAATACCCATCTTCCATATTTTTTAAAGAAATCGTTTGGAATAAATATCTGCAGTGTTGCAATAATTCTTAGAATGTAACAGACGGGCAGAATAAGGAAGAGTATTGTCAGCCAGGACTGATGGTCATTTTCAGAATTTTTTCTCCTTGAAGACTTAACTGACTCTCAGCCAAGGAGAACAAGAGTACTCCCCCATTCCTCCCAACCATCTTGCAAATGTTTATTCTCAGGACATAATGGGCACTTTTGGCTATTCTTTTAAATAAACTGATAGCCATACTGCATCAAGCAGATTTTTTTTTCTGCGAAAGAGGGTGGATTATTATTACAGGGAACAATAGATTATTATTTGCGGTCCAAACCTCAAAACAAGCATTTCTTTCAGAGGAGATGCAAACAAAAGAGTTCCTTGCTATTGTGGGTACGCAGAAAAGCAGCCCCAGGGCACTTGAGTTCAAAATGAAGGACAAAGCACAAGACTAGACTAGTGGACCAGCTTATTCCAGGAAGCAGCACTGGCTTGCAACCCTTATTCACTCTGTGTGATTTTGACTAGTTTTCTCCATGGTGATGAGTACTGGAAAGCCACAGTCTCTAAAAGTCTATAAATAAAGTTTCTCAAGGATTTTCTTTTCTTTCTTTCTTTTTTTTTTTTTTGAGACCGAGTCTCAATCTTGTCACTCAGGCTGGAGTGCAGTGTTGCAACCTCCGCCTCCTGGGTTCAAGCAATTCTCCTGCCTCAGCCTCCCGAGTAGCTGGGATTACAGACACCCACCACGACGCCCAGCTAATTTTTGTATTTTTAGTAGAGACGGGGTTTCACCATGTTGCCCAGGCTGGTCTCGAACTCCTGACCTCAGGTGATTCACCAGCCCCGGCCCCCCCAAAGTGCTGGGATTACAGGCGTGAGCCACCGCACCCAGCCTTCTTCAAGGATTTTCTTAAACCAGATCCCTTCCTCGAGGCCTAGCTGCAAGACTTGTCATCCCGAGACATTATTTAAAGATGGAATTAGACCAAGTGTCCAAGTTTACAGTCACAGAATTTTGAGCAAAAAGACTAACCAAATTCCCAAATGGCTTTTAGGCATCTATTTAAGACACAGATTTCATTATACCAAAGTTAGGTAATAAACAGGTGGCTTTTTAAAAAACACACAACACTCTTTGGCTAATCTGAACGTGTAGCTCTTAGCCAGGATTATGAAATCCAAAGCTAGCCCATCAGCTAGCTCAAGAAAAAGAAAATGATGCCACACACTGAGAAATTAACTTCCTCCCATCCCTGGCTATCTACACTTTTCTCTAATACTACTCTTGTCATCATTTTTGGAGATTTCATCAGTTGTAAGATAAACCTTCTAAAACCCTAGTCTGTTTATCTTCTCCAATAATCTGGGTAAGATCAGGCCTACCCCAGCCACTCATTTCTATGGTCATACCTGTTCAATCAAGTTTAGCCTAAAGCTGCCTCCTTACATATTTTAAGTTCAGCCTAAGGGTTTTTCTGTACACTGTGAACTATAACAAGTGTAGGTGTAAACAGGCCGTAGCCAATCACCTTGGGCCAAGCACCGAGTTTTGGCCAATCAAATGTAGCCAACTGTTCAAATTGTGTTCAAGTAAGGCAAATGCTGAGCTATAATCAATGCAGCTGTTTCTGTACCTCACTCCCGTTTTCTGTACATCACTTTCCTTTTTCTGTCCATAAATCTTCTTCCGCCACGTGGCTGCGCTGGCGTCTCTGAGCCTACCTTGGCTCAGAAGGCTGCCCAATTCGCAGTTCATTCTTTGTTCAGTTAAACTCCTTTAAATTTAATTCAGCTGAAGTTTTTCTTTTATACCCTAAACCAGGGCTTCTCAACCTCAGCACTACTGACAACTGCCACAGACAATCCTTTGTTGTGGGAAACTGTGCTATACCTTGTAGGATGTTGAGCAGCACCCCTGGCCTCTACTAGATGACAGCAGTATCTCCTCTGCCTCCAGTTGTGACAACCAAAAATGTCTCCAGACATTGCAAATGCCTCCTCAGAGGTGAAATCCCCCCAGTTGAGAATCACTAGCTCTAGACCCAATCATCAGTACCTGCACCCACTCCAGAATCGTAGTTTCAGGCTTCTCTACTCCCTAATTGACCACCTCTTAGCTTTCCAATATCCTCCAAAACCCTGAGTTCACTGATCCCTAAGCTGCATCAGAAACTAAAATCCCAGCATGTCTTCATTTGCCTTACTCAGACTAAACCCCATAGGCCACCATTATACTCACCCCCTTGCATACACAATCAGCTCTCTTGCCTCTCCCTTCAGGGCCTTCACCTGGAACCTCTATCCTGGTTAAATTCAATTCTCTATCCACTATGCATCTCCACCAGGGTGGCTGACCACAGCTGGACAAAAGCACACAATCCCACTGACTATTTTCGCCTTAAATGTATGGTCACTAACCTTAAAGGGACTCTTAATGCTGTCTAGCAATCCACCCACATTGCCCTAATCCATCTGCTTTCCATTTCCCTAGAGGACTAGTTTAAACCTTCCTCTCTAACCTCAAATTTCCACTTCCTCTGGTTTCTCACTCCCAGCTAATGACTGAGCTGCTTATTTCACCGAGAAAACAGAAGCAATGAGAAGAGAACCTCCCTATGTCCAGACACCATAGCTACCCACCTCCCTGCATCTGTGCCCATTCTGCTTTCCCTGCACTCCTATGTAGAAAGTGTCTGTCTGCATCCCTCTCCAGGATGAACCTCTCCACTGCACATTGCATCTCATCTCTTGCCTACCTAAGGACATTTATTGATCCAGCAATTCTCCCTCTTCTGAATTTTTCACTCACTACTGAATTACCACCAGCAGCAATATAAACATACATATTTATATTTATATCCCAGGTTTAGAGAAAAAAAACCTTGACCCTGCATCTCCCTGCAGCTCTGGCCCCTTTGTCCTCCTTTATTTTATCAATCTTGAAAGAACTGTCTGTACACACTGTGTCCAATTTCTCTCCTCTTCTGTTCTCTTGGATAAATCCAATTTAGGCTTTCATCTCCGTTACTCCATAGAAACTGTTTTTGTTAAGGAATGCAATGACCTCCATGGTTAATTCTCAAATCTTGTCTTATTGCCCTATCTAAAACCTTTGAAAGTTACTCCCTGCTAAAACCTTTTTTTTTGTTTTTTAACAGTTTGGCTTTTGGAATGCCTCTCCCTCTTGATTCTCTTATCTCATTGACTGCTCCTTCCCTGGTTCTCCTGACCTCTATATGATTAAGAGCCCAGATCATTTCTCTGACTGCGTATCTATTTAACATTCCTTCTCTTGGTGACCTCACTCAGTTTCAAATGCTGATGACACCTGTACACACACACACACACACACACACACACACACACACACACACACACAGCCTATTCAACTTTGCTTGGATGTAATTGGCATCATCTCAAATTTAATATGTCCAAATTAAACTCCTGATTCCCACCCCCCAAACTTCCTTTCCATGGTCTTCTCCAAATCAGTAAATGGTAACACCAGTTTTCTAGTGGCTGAGACCAAAACCCTGGACTGTTTTGTGACTCCTCTCTTTTGCACAACTTTCCTCCAAGCTGTCAGCTACACATGTCATCTCTACTTAGAAACCTATCTAGAGGGGCCGGGTGCGGTGGCTCACGTTTGTAATCCCAGCACTTTGGGAGGCCAAAGTGGGCGGAACACCGAGGTCAGGAGATCAAGACCATCCTGGCTAACATGGTGAAACCCCGTCTCTACTAAAAATACAAAAGAATTAGCTGGTGTGGTGGCGGGCGCCTGTAGTACCAGCTAATCGGAAGGCTGAGGCAGGAGAATGGCGTGAACCCGGGAGGCGGAGCTTGCAGTGAGCTGAGATCACACCACTACACTCTGGGCGGGGTGACAGAGCGAGACTCTGTCTCAAAAAACAAAACAAAACAAAACAAAAGAAACCTATCTAGAAATTGATCTCTCTCTGCCTCATTTGGTGTCACCATCTTGGTCCAAGCCACTGTCATCTTTCACCTGGATTAAGTATTGATAGCTTCCTAATTGGTGTCTGCCTCCTTCAGCCTTCCCCACTTCACAGCAACTAGTCCACAGAGAGGCCAAAGAGATCTCATTAAAATTCAGGTTGGATCATATCACTCTTCTACTCAAAATCCTCTATGGGTTTCCCATCAGCCAGATCAGGCCAGTCCTCAAGTGGCCTACAAAGTCCTACATGAGCTAACTCCTGGCTACCTCTCGGACCTCATTGCCTACCCTGACCCCCTCAAATATGTTGCAGCAGCCACCCTGGTTACCATGTTTTTCCTCTGCCTATTGTGAGTGTACCCCAGATAGAGAATGCTATGGACAAAGAGACCAAAGGTATCCCAGGAAATCACGATGCCATGAGAGACAAGGGAAGAGTGGCCAACTGTGTCAAATGCTGAGAGCTGGGCACTCTGCGTAGTTGATTGCAGCGAGAAATTTCAGTGAAGATCCTTGCTTAAAACTGCACATGGTTTCCTTGCACACAGCATCTAAAATCCAAATTAACTTTTGCCAAGCACAGAGCCGCAGTTTCTGACCAACTACGGTGAGCACGAATGGCATCTTGTCAGAAGTGTTCTCCTGTGTGGGTAAAGAGAGAAACTAAATCACAGGTTTCCCTCTCAGGCTGTATTCTATGCAGTCCAAGCAAGGGATGAGTTCACTGGTTTCTTAAACAATTGGGAATGATTTGCTTTGTCCATTCCCCTGCCTTTTTTTAAATGACTAGGAGTATTATGGGAATACATAGTAAAATTATTGTTGAATTCAGATAGCTCATCCACAGAGTCATAAAAGAGAGTTTTTAGGGGCTAGTTAAAATGGCTAAAAATGCAAATGTAAAGACCATTGAGATATACAGAAACTATTGTTCTAATCTACATTCCATGTCACTGAAGACTAGAATCTCAATCTGAATAAGATATTAAATAGGTTTCTTTGAGGCCAAGGATTTATAATTATGGCATAGTGGCAAAAATGGCTGTGAAATGTAGTAAAGCTTTGGTTCAAAAACTTATAGATGGATTTAAAAAAGTCTGTTGATTCCTGAATAAAACCAATTGCTTTGGGAATAAAAACACAGAAATGAAATGAAATAAAATAGATTAAATGATATACAAACATTTTCATATCCTGCCAACTTTGGATTCTGAGCTCCATGTAAACTTGCATACAAACTTCAACATGGAAATGAGAGCTGAGCTTACTTTCTCTCTGGGGAACGGTTCTATAAGGAGTACCGAATCCTGCTGAGTTATGCTAGAGTTTAAAGGGCAAGAATATAAACAAATAAAATCCAAACAACCCTTCTCTTAGAGTACTCTGGAGAATAAGGTTTCTAAAATGTACCATGTTGCTCAAAGGTATCATTTAGCAATGAAGTGACACTGACCCTTAAAATAGGAAATCAATTCAAATGAAAAAAGCCCGCAAAGTCATTTGACAAGTAATCAAAAAGTCTGTGGAATCATCTGACTAGGGGTCATTTTTACAATAATCAAAGGATATTCAAAATGTAATATTCTTACAATTTGGATGGACAACCAGAACATTTCAGAAAGAAAAAAAAAAGCAAAGATAGAAAACAAAACAATATCCATCACAATCACAAAGAAAAAGGCAAATTCAAGAATGGTTCACCTAAGAGTCTATTTCCTGACATGACTGACCTATTTCAATATTCTGAATTACTGAAACAATAGAGTAAATAATGTCTCCCAACTACATGCCGAGATGATCTTACTCCAAGTAAATTCAAACTCTCATACCATAAAATAATTTGAAATACACTGTGGCAGTATTATTAGGAACAAATAAACACGTTCACAGCAGGGAACATAGGCAGGGATCTTGAAGCTGTTACTGGTTGAAGCAATTCAATGTCATGTTACTACTGGGTCCATTTATAGCATACTGGTTTGTAAAAACCTTATCTTTTTTTTTTTTTTTTGAGACAAGAATCTTGCTCTGTTGCCCAGGCTGGAGTGCAGTGGAGCGATCTCAACTCACTGCAACCTCCACCTTCTGGGTTCAAGTGATTCTCTGGCCTCAGCCTCCTGAATAGCTGGGACCACAGGGGCGTGCCACCATGCCTAGATAATTTTTCTATTTTTTTTAAGTAGAGACAGGGTTTTACCATGTTGGTCAGGCTGGTCTTGAACTCCTGACCTCAAGTGATCCACCTGCCTTGGCCTCCCAAAGTGCTGGGACTAAAGGTGTGAGCCACCTCACCCAACCTCTAAAAACCTTATCTTTTTAACACACCTTGTTAAGGTTTTCCTTGAAACTGAAAAAGGCTTTTGTTTTGAATTTTTTTAAGCACTTTGATGTTACCACTATAAACTCCTGCTTAAAAGAGTACAATCAAGCAATTTATTTAAACAGCGTTCTGACCTATCTCTTGTTCTTTGTTGGTACACAGCAAGAGTCTGATACTGTAATATCTCCTAATAAGCATAAATATGACCTTTTAAAACATACTAGAAGAGAGGAACAAAAGAGAACACTAAATACAAATTCAGGGTAGTAGTTACAACTGGGACAGGGTGGAGGAGGCAGGATGTGAAAGGTACACACTATTGGTAATGTTTTATTTCCTAGGCTGGTCATGAGTACATGGGTGCCCATTTTAATACTGATAGTGTAAACTGTACACACATACACTCTTTGGTATATATTTTACTTTTTACAATAAAAATTTTTAAAAAGACAGACACAGGAAGACATTAGTAAAGCAATAAAAGATTTACTTTTTAAGTTTCAGAATGCTCCAGTGAAAATTCCACACGATTCCCTCACAGTGTCTACTATGACTTCTACAATCAGGCTGGATAAAGTAAAGCTGACTCAATGACGTGTGCTGGTGGAGATAACACAGGCACAGAGCTGCCTTGCTGCCACTGTGGGGTCAGACTCAAATCTCTCCTGGGAACAGGGCCACCCTGCAGCTGAAGTGGGCTCTTTCCTCCCGCGAATCAGGGCTGCTATTGTGGACCTCTCTTGGCTGGATGGCACAAAGTAGGGGAAGGCTGCAAAAGTATCCTCCATTCAACAAGCCCTAAGTATTAATAAACTAAGCTTTTCATTAGTCAGGAACACACTCTTCTGCACTCTTTGTCTAAAGTTATGCTTCAGGCCTTAATCTCAAGGGACTTCCTCCTAGCGTCTGCCCCACACTCCCCACCCTGTGCTCCCCGACATCCTGTCCTTTCCTTGTAAATGCTCTCCTCACACCCCACTTAAATGACCGGCTGTCTGCACCCCCAAGAGGGCAAAGGGCTGTGTCTACCTTGTTTACCATTATACCCTCATTACCTGACAAATGCCTGGCCCTTTCACAATGTGTTCAAGAAACATTTGTTTGAATGTCAGGAAAAATGAATGAATCAGTGAATCAATGAATGAATAAATAAAGAATACAATATATCAAACTAAATTCAGATAAGCTCAGCCATAAAAATCAACTTGCTCTACAACAAATGGCTTCAGCATAATGCCCAACACAAAAAGTGTCTGCAGAGATAATTCAGGATCAACTTTGAATGCTGACACTACCTTGGAGGATGCTTAGATATGTTTCCTCCAAGAATCATCTTTCTGTGTGAGAGAATCACCCCAAAGGAGACTCACCTTTTGAAATATTTGATTACCAAAAAAAAAAAAAAAAAAAAAAAAATCTGGCCAGACAAGGTGGCTCATGCCTGTAATCCCAGCATTTTGGGAGGCTGAGGCAGGAGGATGGCTTGAGCCCTGGAGTTTCAAGACCAGCCCTCGTCTTGACAAAAAAATATTAGCTGGGCATAGTGGCTCAAACCTGTGATCTCAGCTACTCAGGGGGCTGAGATAGGAGGACTGCCTGGGCCTGGGAGGTTGAGGCTGCAGTGAACTGTGATTGTGCCACTACACTCCAGCCTGTGTGACAGAGTGAGACTGTAAAAAAAAAAAATCCATGTACTTTTACTAACACACAAGATTACCAAATCCCTCTCGGAGTCAATTCCTTCCGCTCATGATCGATGTCCAGCTGGCCACATATCTATCCTTAACCTTTTTTGTACCAACAAAGATCTTTCTGTTTCTCAAATGAGAAATGCTCAAAGGGTCCTGAATCAGGCCAGTCACTGAACTAATCACTTGACTCTAAAGCCCTGGGATTTCTTCTTGCCCTCCTCTATATATGTACTGTTCATCTCTCTCTCTCTCCTGCAAATGGTCTCCTTTCTTCAATCAACCATTCATTCTTTCAAACACACACTGAGACTCAGCCTCTAAATGTACTGGACAGCCTAGTGGAGACAAATAAACAAACATCTACAGTGCGGCTGCAGAAGCACCGTGGCTGGCCCCTGGGATGCACAAAGTGCTATTAGGAGACTTTCCACAGCGCAGGGCTTCCATTAAATACTAAAGGCTCAAAACATGAAGCAGGCAACACAAATGCCCCAGTTGCAGTTAGTTTGAATTGTATCATCTGCATAAAGCATCCAAACATTTCTTGGTTCTTAGCAAGCAGATGAAAATAAGGAACTTTTGGTAGGAAAAATCAGATTTTACTTCTGCTAGAGTACAGGGGACTAAAATGCTTAACATAAAGAACATGTTGAAAGCTCTGGAGGCATATCTGATAGATAAGAAAATAACACTCTCACATATTTTACACTTCCCAGGTGCTGAAATGGCATATTAAAATTGCTCTTCAGGAAAAAGACCACTGTACCTTAAACTTATCTTTCTGGGCTCTCAAATCTTATCAGGTTTATAGTATGTTTGAAGATATGTGAACCAAAATTTAACTGAAACCAGAAAAGCCAATACAATTATTACTAGAAGGACAGAACAAGAGATTGGAAAGAATACGCCTACGGTCGATGGCAATAAGAATATATTCCTCTCCTCCAAAATACAGCAAAAAATTTTTAAAAATTTAAAAATACTGATGCCTACTGAAACTACTGAAAAATACTAAATTACTCTATATGATATTATAATAATAGATATATGTCATTGTACATCTGTTGAAACCCATACAACGTACAACAGAAAGAAGGAACCCTAACGTAAATATAATGGTCTTTGGGTGATAATGATGTGTTACTGTAGGTTCACCAACTGTAACAATGTATCACTCTGGTGGGGGATACCAATAATAGGAGAGGCCATGGAGGAGACAGATGGGAAATCTGTACCTTCTGCTCTATTTTGCTGTAAACCATAACTGCTCTAAACAGTCTAACTCTTAAAAGAATACTAATGCCTGGGTCCCACCCCTACCTCCAGGAATTCTGATTTAATTGGTAAGGGGTATGGCCTGGGTATCAGGATTTTTAAAAGGCCCCCAGGTGATTTGAAACATGTAATTACTACCCAGCATACAAATGAGATGTTGGGACTTCACTTACGATGCTATTATACAATAAGACCATGCCTGAAGCAGACGAGCCACACCTTGCCTGGCATTTGATTGACTGTAGGTATAGGTATGTTCACTTGTAAAATACATTATTAGTGCACATGCATGAACCTGAACTTTTCAAAATACCAGGGCAGTGCTCTACTCAGCTTCTTAATCAATAACACACTTGTATAAGTTTACATGTCGGCAGAGAAATTACAAAAATCTACTTTATTCTGAAGACTGCACTGGCAGCCTGAGTTAACAGGACATTGGTGTCCAAAGTCCACGAATTATTCATATAACCACCCACAAGTGTGTGTGCTATTTTTTATTGTGATTTTAATGGTTTAAAATGTACTTTGGAAACAAATGAAATACGCACTAAGCATTTGGAAGCTCTAAAATGCAGCTGTGCCAGGTGCAGTGGCTCACGCCTATAATCCCAGCACTTTGGGAGGCTGAGGTGGGTGGATCGCTTGAGCTCAGGAGTTCAAGACCAGCCTGGGCAACATGGTGAAACCCCATCTCTACCAAAAATAAAAAAAATTAGCTGAGCCTCATGGCGCACACCTGTAATCTCAGCTACTTGGGAGGCTGAGCGGGGAGGATTGCTTGAGCCCAGGAGGCAGAGGTTGCAGCGAACGGAGATCACGCCACTGCACTCCAGCCTGGGCAACAGAGTGAGACTGTCTCAAATAAATAAATAAATAAACTCCAGCTGCTAGAATCTAATGAAGAGAGCTTGAAAATCACTGTTCTGCTTGGTTTTAAGAAATTCAAAGGCCAGGCGCAGTGGCTCACACCTGTAATCCCAACACTTTGGGAAGCTGAGGCAGGTGGATCACCTGAGGTCAGGAGTTCGAGACCAACCTGGCCAACATGGTGAAATCCCATCTCTACTAAAAATACGAAAATTAGCCCGGCGTGATGGCGGGCACCTGTAATCCCAGCTACCTGGGAGACTGAGGTAGGAGAATCGCTTAAACCTGGGAGGCGGAGGTTGCAGTGAGCCGAGATCGCACCGCTGCACTCCATCCAGCCTGGGTGACAGAGCGAGACTCCGTCTCAAAAAAAAAAAAAGAAATTCAAGTTTACTTCAGGGTGTAAAACCAGTCTGCTGCAGCTGGACAAACGGCCTAACCACAAACCAATCACCCAGGGGAGGGTAAATTAAATGGAGAAAGAAATACTTCGCCTTTTTTACAGCCATGGGTACTTTCGAGATATGTTTACTGTCGAGTTATCCTTTGGACACGTTTTTAATGAGATCTGAATTCAATGCTGATTTGTCCATGACAATTTCTTATTGAAAACACATTTAAAAGCTCCTCCATTGCTTCATAAAGTCCATCATTCTCAGCATGGCACACTAGGCTTTTCAAAGTAACCCTCCTTTTCCTGCTTTACATTTGGCAAAGGCTGTTGGTGGCGAGCTGGTATCAGCTTGCTCTCACTTCCTTCAACATGCCACGCAGCCAGCTTACCTCAGGGCTATACTCACACAGCTTGGAACAAGGCCCACCTCTGAAAGCTTACAGAATTTCAAGACTCCACCTGAACGTGACTTTGGTAAAGCCCTCCCTGATCTTACCACCTTTTCTTCTGCCACACTCTTCAGTAATTCTCACACGACTCTATGGCTGTAGTCTACCGAAGACACACCTTTCAGTGAAAAGCACAATCTCCCTTGCAATTAACTTCAGCTCCCCTGTTAGACTCACAACTCCTTGAGCCATGGAACTACACCTTACTTGGCTTCAGTGTGCCTAGCACCTACTACACTTCCTGGTGGTCAGAGAGCTCTCAAAGAACACTTCAAAAGGAGTGAACAGATAACACTAAATTTTTTGGATTCCTGTAAAGTGAAGTTATGATTAATGAAACATATAAGCACTATTTTTTTTCCTAAAATAAGGAAACCAACCTGCCCTTAAATGGATGCCTGACCCCAGTCAAGCTCTCTCTGGCTCCTAGAAAAATCTGGCAAAAGAGTATTGATTAATCAGCACTGATTCATCACTGCCAGAAAGAGTTCAAAGTGTAAACACTCACCCTTGAACAGAAAGTAAAATATGAGGGAGGAATGGAAACATCTGCCCCTGCTTCCTATTGAGATGCTGGCTTTATCAGAATTTTTAAAAGACAGTATCAACTGAACAATTCATTTATTGAATATATAATAAGTCCTAAGTTCTGAGTGGGATGAGTCTCATTAGATACTGTACATGGAAATATACACAAGAATGTGTACAACAAACTTTGTGTCCTACAGTGTGCAGGGTATGGCACAGTGCAGGGCATGGGAAAATGGCCCTCCAAGCAGGGAGTCAGCACTGCCTGGTCTGTATCTTATTGTTATTTATGCCACCTTATCTTCCCTAAGGTAAGTTCCTACTAAACCATCCCCCTGAAGTAGCAAATAGACTATATGTAGCTAATTAAAGTCAAAATTTGAAAAATGAAGAGGTCAGGGAATATTTTATGAAAGATGCACTTGAATTTTATCTGGTATACTGAGAAGACTCAAAATAGATTGAAAGGGCATTTTGCAGAGACAGAAAAACATGAGATGATGTTTAAAGATGAATTATGAAGATGAATTTGGCTGGAATAGAGGAAAAGTTTTAAGATGAAAAGGTAGTCTGAATTCAGATGAGCTGGAACTTGATCCTGTAGGAAGTGGGCATCACGGAGGATTCTTAAGCAGGCTTGATATAGTAACAGTGGACTTTTTGGTTGAGTTGTAAAGATACACAAAAAAGGGAGGAAAAGAAGAGACATTTGGAATAATTACTGGAAAATTTATTGGAATAATTTTTTCCCCAAAGGATTTTTGTTAGTTTCATTCTGCCTCCAATACTGGAAAAATAGAAAAATTTCCATGAGTGACTCATCTCTAAATCTTTCAAAAACAATACTACTAACAAATGAAATTATTTTTACATGTATAAACCTGCAAATTGACTTTAGATATGTGAGGGATATTTTTAAAAACTAAGTATTGCATACATTTAATTTCTTTTCTTTTTTTTTTTTTTTTGAGATGGAGTCTCGTCCTGTCGCCCAGGCTGGAGTGCAATGGTGCCATCTCGGCTCACTGCAACCTCTGCCTCCTAGGTTCAAGCGATTCTCCTGCCTCAGCCTCCTGAGTAGCTGGGATTACAGGCGCGAGCCACCACGCCCGGCTAATTTTTTGTATCTTTAGTAGAGATGGGGTTTCACCATGTTGGCCAGGATGGTCTCGAACTCCTGACCTCAAGTGATCCGCCCACCTCAGCCTCCCAAAGTGCTGGGATTACAGACGTGAGCCACCGCGCCCGGCGCATACATTTAATTTCTGATAGTAAGTAATTCTACATGATTATATCTGTCAAATGACTACTCCATGTTCCTTGAAGTTATTTTTTTAAACATCACAACCATTTTGATGGGACTCTTACTAAAATGTATTATTTTCCTTCTGTCTTCATAAAAAGATAATATGGTGAGTGAAAGTTTAAGGAGAAACATGATAGTTGCCTAGTTTCAAAGAATTACCCATAAGATAGTTATTAATTACAAAGGGGAAAAAAATAGTTACTTTAGAGTGGAGAAACATGGCAGACAACACCTTAACCAAGGATCAAAGTCAACATCACCAGCAGTGGAACAAATAAGCAGCACCTTTCTCCTTAGATCAGGTACTGAGAAGAACAGAACATTACTTCCGTGGTGTTCCTGCCAAATATGGATAGCCTAAATCATCAGACACACTTGAATGAGGGGCAATCTACTATGTAACTGGCTTATATAATATACATTAAAAATATTAATGTAAAACTTTAAAGAAAATGACTCAGGAAATGCTGCAGACTAAAGGTGATGAAAGAGACATGATGGCTAAGTGAATCACATGATTCTGGATTTTCTTCTGCTCTAATGGACATTATTGGATCAACGGGCATCATCCAAATAAACTCTATATATTAGATAACAGTACTGTTACTGTTTCAATATTCATTTCCTAATTTTGATAATTACACTGTGGTTATATAACATGATGTCCTTAGTCTTCAGGAAATACATGTTAAATTATTTATAAATAAAGGAACGGCATTTTTACTGCTTCCATGTGGTACAGAAACACATATACAAGGTGGGAGGGGGAGGAAGGGGAGAGAAAGATTTAAGCAAATGTAATAAAATGTTAACATCTGAAAAACCTGGGTGGGCCAGGCACGGTGGCTCACGCCTTTAATCCCAGCATTTTGGGAGGCTGAGGCAGGCGGATTACCTGAGGTCAGGAGTTAGAGACCAGCCTAACCAATATGATGAAACCCTGTCTCTACTAAAAATACAAAAATTAGCTGGGCGTTGGTAGCATGCACCTGTAATCCCAGCTACTTGGGAGGCTGAGACAGGAGAATTGCTTGAACCCTGGAGGCGGAGGTTGCAATGAGCTGAGATCGCGGCATTGCACTCCAGCCTGGGCAACGAGAGCAAAACTCCGTCTCAAAAAAGAAAAGAAAAGAAAAGAAAAGGAAAAAGAAAAGAAAAGAAAAACCTGGGTGAAGGATAGATGGTATTCTTTGTGTTCTATCTGAAACTTTCTGTAAATGAGAAATTATATCAAAATAAAACTGCAAAAGAAAGAACTACAGTATTCCATTTAACCTTTATTTGGTAGCTCAGAACTTGTGTGGACATTAGGAACATAATGTAACTTAGTGTGCCCTCTGGGGCCACTCAGGTATGTCGGACTATTTGCTCCTAGCCAGATGTCTCCAGCCATGATTATTTTTGAACTTTTGTAAATGCTTTTAACATTCTTACTGTCTACTCCATGCAGATCAGGCCAGCTGTGGCCACTGCTGATTGCAGCTTGCCTCCAGTAGTAGCCTCTATTTCACCTCTAATTAATTGTTCTACTATAGGCTTGAAAACTCATCTAGTTCACGTTCATTTTATAGATGAAAATACTCTAGCCCAAAAAAGGAAAGTAACTTATTGAAGGTATCCAGATCATAGAGAACAGAAACAGAATTTAAACAATTCTGAAGTTCTTTTTTTGTGATATCACACTGACTTGATCAGTGTATAAAATAAGAATAGTCTCTTAGTGAAGAACTGTGTTACAGGTAAAGATCAAGAAGTTGAAGGAATGGGTTTTGCCATACTAATCTTAGCTTCCTATTAGCCTTTTTTTGTTTACTTTCCAGTGGCCAAATATGCCTCTGCAGATTAGGAAAGTGTTGATGTATTTCAAGATTTTCCCCTAAGCCTCCTCTTTAACAAAGAAACCTATATGTTTCATAATCTCTGGATATTTTATATCTTACTGAGTTGGCTGCCTGTATTGCCTGAAGTTTAGATTACTACTCACTTTGATTTATACACACAGACAACAATTCAACAAAAGAGTAAAAGAACACATGCCATTAAGTCATCTGAAACTGACTGTAGCTTAGATGGTACAACAAAATTTTAGAGCACCTTGTCCCTCCAAAAGTATTTTTCCATATATTTTCAGATAATTGAAAGAAACTTTTGCTTCCTGACTTACTGTAAACATTTAATGGAATGAAATATCTTGAATTCCTTGGGGTCATTCTACCCAAAGGACTGGGATTTATTCCAGGGCTTCTGAATAGCATGAGTTGCCTGGAACAACCAAATCTGTGAAATGGATGAAATTGTATTTTTGAGAAGGGTGATATGAAACAACTTTCAAGCCACAATGTCATTTTGAGATAATTTCCAAACCCAAATGTTTGTGTAAATCTCCATCAATGAGAGACTGTTTAAAGTAGCTATGATATATCAACATAAGAGAATACTATAGTATCATAAGAAAAACTGAGGAAGTTCTTTAGTGCTGGAATAGAATGATCTCCCAAGATATTATTAAATGAAAAGTACAAAATGTAAAGCACATCATATACAAAAATTAACTCAAATAAAACATAGACTTAAAGGTAAGAGCTAAAACTATAAAACCCTTAGAAAAAAACATAGGAGTAAGCTCTGTGATCTTGTATTAGGCAATGGTTTCTTAGATAACACACCAAAAGCATGAGTAACAAAAGAAATAATAGGTAAATTGGACTTACCCAAAATTTAAAATTTTTTGCTTTAAACTACCAAGAAAGCAAGAAGACATCCACAGAATGAGAGAAAATATTTGCAAATCATATATGAGACTTGTATTCAAATATATAAAGAACACTTACCATCAACATTGCAAAGATTAAACAATTTAAAAATGGGTAATGTACATGAATATCATTTCTCCAAAGACATACATAGCCAATAAGCACTTAATGGTGCTCAAGGATCACTAAGTCATTAGCAAAAAGGCATATTAGAACCACAATGAGATACCACTTCACACTCGCTAGGATGGCTATATCAAAAAGATGGCACTAACCAGTAGCTGGAGAGGATGTAGAGAAATTAGAACTCTCTACATTGTTGATGGGAATAGAAATGATACAGCCTTTTGAAAAACAGTTTGGCAGGTCCTCAAATGGTTAAACACAGAGTTATGATGACTCAGCAATAGCAATCCTAAGTATATACACAAGAGAAAAACATGTCCCTCATCTTATGAACAGATAAACAAAATGTGGTATATTCATACAATGGAATATTATGGCTATAAAAAGAAATGAAATATTGATACATGCTACATCATGAATGAAAACTGAAAATGTTATGCTAAGTGAAAGATGCCAGACAGAAAAGGCCCCATATTATCTGATTCTATCCATATAAAATTTCTAATACAGAAAGTAGATTAGTAGTTGCTAGGGGAAGAGGGACTAAGCCCTAATGGATATAAGGTTTCTTTATGGGGTGATGAAAGTGTTCTAATATTATATAAGTAATGACGGCTGCAACACACTGTGAATACACTGAAAAACCACTGAATCCCAACTGAAATGGGTGAATTCCACAGTATGTGAATTATATCACAGTAAAACTTCTGTTAAAAAAAAAAGCAGCTGTAGAACCATGTGTATGAGATGCTATCACTTATAGATTTGCTCACATCTCCATAAAATATCTCTGGAACCATACACAGGATACTAACACTGAGTTCCTCAGCAAAGGGACAGGGGACTAGGAGGAAGACTTTTTATCATGTATTCTTTTTTAACTTTTGAACTATGTCAACATACTACTATCTAACATTTTTATTTAAACGTGAAATAAAAGACCTGGTGTGGTGGTTCATTCAGCACTTCGGGAGGCTGAGGCAGGAGGATCACTTGAGCCTAGGAGTTCTAGACCAGCCTGGGCAACATAGTGAGACCCCTGTTTCTACAAAACATTTTTTAAAAATTTGCCAGGCATGGTGGCTCATGCTGTAAATCCCAGTTATTTGAGAGACTGAGATGGGAAGACTGCCTGAGCCTGGATAGTTGAGGCTGCTGTGAGCTGAGATCGCACCACTGCACTCCGGCCTAGACGACAGAGTGAGGCCCTGTCTCA
Source organism: Homo sapiens (assembly GCF_000001405.40). NCBI lineage: Eukaryota > Metazoa > Chordata > Mammalia > Primates > Hominidae > Homo > Homo sapiens. The sequence goes on along the minus strand of NC_000001.11, from coordinate 167,747,237 downwards.
AAAATAAAAGGGAATGAAATTAGAAAATGTTTTTAAAAGACTAGTTCCTTCTACTGGCTTAGCAATGCAGGCTCTATGCAAAACAATTCGCTTATGGGCTGCAAATGGTAATGAGTGTTAAAATTAGGCTGAAACAACAGAAATATTTGCAGTTTTCTTCCTCTATTGTATAATTCCGGTTCCATTAATGTTTCCTGACTGATCTTCTAACTCTCTATATATCTCAGTGGCTCTCTGATGAACAAATTTTCTGTGTCTCTTGTTTGGAGACCCAAACTGAACAAATTTCTGCTATGAAGGATCAAATTCCCAAATTTCTTATAAAAATAAAACCACAGCAAGAATAACAAACTTATTTTTTCTTAAATTTTGTGATAAAGCCTCCCTCTACAAAAAGTTATATTTTAGAGGAAACTAAGAATGATAAATCACCTTTAATTTAAGAATATATAGCCCTTAGGAAAAAGCCAAAAACAGCTTAGAAACACATGTTCCACTCCTAAATTTCCATCCAAATGGATTAATACTGCCCTCTGAAAGCCATTCCTCATTTTTCAACAACTTTGTCACACAGCTTGCCCACAAACAGGCTTCTAAAACAGGCCACTGAACCCCAACTCCATTCACAACAGAGCAGAAGGAAATAGCACCCCCTTGGTAAAGTTCTCCCTTCCATCTGATTCCAGGGTGCAGCCCTTTCCATTTTGGAGAACTCTGTGCTAGAGATCTTATTCGACATATGTATTGTCTTCACTCTTCTGTTATTGGTGCCAATGCTGCCCACCCCTTTGCTGATGCAAACAGGGAGGGAGAGCTGCTTTACAATGCTGCCTAACATGCCAAGACAGCCTCAACTCCCTCGCACGGCACACAGAGCCTTTCAAAGGCTGGCTCCAGGTTACCATTCCAGCCAGTTTATCATTCTCATCTCATCCCAGAGCCTACATTTTTGCCACATCAAACTTCTAGCCCTTTCCCCAACACAGCACACTCTTTATAATATGCTGTATATGCTATCTCTCAGTCTGAATGCCTTCTCCACCAACCCACTCCCGTTGGGCCAACTCCCACTCTTCCTTCAAGGCAACTCCAAGGCAATCACCACTGCAAAGTCTCCCCTAACTCGTGGTCTAATCATAGGTATTTTTTCTGAAGTATAAATGAATTTTTTATTTTAAAAGACTTATAAAGGTGTAAAAATTGTCATAGTTCATGTAATTGAAGACACCACTGAGGGTAAGACACATTATTTTCTGTGTCCCCAAGAAATAAAAATGCTGGCTATGACTCGCCAACAATTGTAAGGCATATCCCAATATCAGAGATATTAAAATATTAAAAACTGTGTCAGAATTAATGAAAGGCAGTAAACCACAAACCTGAAAGGCATGTTGTCTTCCAACTATCAGTTAACCTATAACACATCTCAATAATTGTTTTCCAGCGTCTCCCTGGCTTCTGGCATCTAAGACTCTGAATTTTACCCAAATTTGGTTCTTCTATCTCTTGTTTCTTAGCTCAGAATTTAAAACCCAGGATATGCATAGTAAAATGAGTCCTATTTATTAAGTTTGAAAATAAGAGTGCCCATTTATTAAAAACATGTTTAATAAAATACAAAAAGAATATGACAAAACACAGAAATCAGTAATATCATAAAACTAAACAAAAACAAAAAAAGCTTCTTTGCCCATAGTGACCCAGGCAATCAATACCCAACATTTCAGCATCATCAGTGTTAACCCAAACAAAATAGAGATGTTAAGTATTTTCCGTGTTTTTAAAAGACACACAGGATATTCCCTGTGTTCAAGGTTCCAAAAACATTCTTGACATTAGTCTGCTGAATCTTCTATTCACACTATTAGTGACATGGTGTTTAGTACAATGCAAGATTTTTGCCCCATAACATAAACAATGACAAGCACTTAAAAATATATTTGTAATAAAGAGTCTGACATCATTTTTGATATTTGACTGCCAAGAGCTTTCAAGCTGTACCCCTTTCCTCAGGGCAAGCTAATAAGAAAGCCCAAGTGAGCCATCCTTTGGAACAGGTGGGAAGTTCAAACCAAGACCTGGCTGAAGGGGCATATAAGGACCTTCACTCCAGACTCAGCAACTTATCACCATAAAAGGAGAGCCAGTATCCTTTTCCTGCTTTCTCAAGCCATTCTTGTACCTGCATGGGAAGCCTGCCCTGCTCTCCCCAAAAAGCCTCAGTAAGTGAGTCATAAACCCTTTTCGTACCGTCCTGGTGCACATATGGTATCATCAGTTTCCACATCTTAACCAAATTTTGCAGTGGGGGGAGAAGTAGTGGATCCATCCGCCTCTGCGGAGTAAGCACAACATTTATTCTTAAACTGATGACAGTAAACATTATTCTGTTTTGATCTTACTCCCAATTTAATGGAAATAAATTTAACGAAACAAGTGGAAAAAAATATTTACTAGTTGTTGGAGTCTATAACTTTTATTAAGGTCTATATGTGAACTTGGAAGGAGAAAATGGGCAAACTGCTATTTGGAGGTTCTTTTTTTTTTTTTTTTTGAGACTGAGTTTCGCTCTTTCGCCCAGGCTGGAGTGAAGTGGTGCGATCTCGGCTCACTGCAACCTCTGACCCCCGGGTTCAAGTGTTTCTCCTGCCTCAGCCTCCCAAGTAGCTGGGATTATAGACGCACACGACCATGGCCCACTAATTTTTGTATTTTTAGTAGAGACAGGGGTTTGCCATGTTGGCCAGGCTGGTCTCAAACTCCTGACCTCAGGTGATCCACCCGTCTTGGCCTCCCAAAGTGCTGGGATTACAGGCATGAGCCACTGTGCCCGGCCTTTTTTTGGTTTTTAAAGAACACTTAGACTCTGGACATGCTTCCTAATTGTTTTACACATCAAAAGTTGTCCCCTTTGTAAGTTTTTAACAAGATGTCTAGAAAGGTTTCCTGAAAAACTTCCGGTGTGACTATGTGGTCTGCAACTATGTGAATCACAGGGTTACCCGAGACAAGAAAGAGTGATGTGGGACCTTGTGCAAAAAGCCCTCCATGCCTCAGTTTCTCATACTTTTAAGTTTATTCTAATAGTACCGACTTCAAAGAGTTATTACAAGAATGAAATGAGTTAATATTTGTAAAGGGCTTAGAATGCCTGTCCATTACATACCTCAATGTAATAAAAGCCATCTATGACAAACCCACAGCCAACATAATAATGAATAGGGAAAAGTTGAAAGCAGTCCCTCTGAGAACTGGAATAGGACAAAGATGCCCACTCTTACCACTTCTCTTCAACAAAGTATTGGAAGTCCTAGCCCGAGAAATCAGACAAGAGAAAGAAATAAAGGGCATCCAAATCAGTAAAGAGGAAGTCAAACTGTTGTTGTTTGCTGATGATAAGACTGTTTACCTAGAAAACCCTAAAGACTCCTCCAGAAAGCTCCCAGAACTGATAAAAGAATTCAGCAGTTTCCAGATGCAAAATTAATGTAAACAAATCAGTAGCTCTTCTATACACCAACAGCAACCAAGCTGAGAATCAAATCAAGAACTCAACCCCTTCTACAATAGCTGCAAAAAAAGTAAAACAAAATACTTAGGAATATACCTAACCAAGGAGGTGAAACACTTCTACAAGGAAAACTACAGAACACTGCTGAAAGAAATCACAGATGACATAAACAAAAGGAAACACATCCCATGCTCACGGATAGGAAGAATTAATATTGCGAAGGCCAGGCGCGGTGGCTCACGCCTGTAATCTCAGTACTTTGGGAGGCCGAGGCGGGAGGGTCACGAGGTCAAGAGATCGAGACCAGCCTGGCTAACATGGTGAAACCCCGTCTCTACTAAAAATACAAAAATTAGCTGGGCGTGATGTGCGCCTGTAGTCCCAGCTACTTGGGAGGCTGAGGCAGGAGAATTGCTTGAACCCAGGAGGCAGAGGTTGCAGTCAGGCAAGATCACGCCATTGCAATCCAGCCTGGCGACAGAGCGAGACTCTGTCTCGAAGAAAAAAAAAAAGTGAAAATGATGATACTGCCAAAAGTAATCTACAAATTCAACGCAATTCCCATCAAAATACCACCATCAGTTTTCACAGAACTAGAAAAAACAATCCTAAAATTCATATGGAACCAAAAAAGAGCCTGCATACAATCTGGAGACATCACATTACCTGATTTCAAACCATACTATAAGGCCACAGTCATCAAAGCAGCCTGGTACTGTAATAAAAATAGGCACATAGACCAAAGGAACAAAATAGAGAACCCAAAAATAAACCCAAATACTTACAGCCTACTGATCATTGACAAAGCAAACAAAAACATCAAGTGGGGAAAGGACACCCTATTCAACAACTGGTGCTGGGATAATTGGCTAGCCACATGTAGGAGAATGAAACTGGATCCTCATCTCTCACCTTATACAAAAATCAACTCAAGATAGATCAAGGACTTAAATCTAAGACCTGAAACTATAAAAATTCTAGAAGAGAACATTGGAAAAACCCTTCTAGACATTAGCTTACGCAAAGACTTCATGACCAAGACCCAAAAGCAAATGCAACAAAAACAAAGATAAATAGCTGGGACTTAAACTAAAGAGCTTTTGTGTGGCAAAAGGAACAGTCAGCAGAGTAAACAGACAACCCACAGAGTGAGAGAAAATCTTCACAATCCATTCCAAAATAAACTATAGTTCCTATTCTGATTATGGTAGACTGATGATAGACTATGGACTCCTTAAGAAATTCCCTCAGGCACTCCATATATATTTATTTTAAAAGTTGGCAAGTATCTTTTTTATTTGAAAGATACTATTAAGGTATCTGCCCATAATATAGTTAGGCGATACACTCTTATACTTGTTATATATTTATATGCCGGGTTTTTGATATTATGGAAAACAAGAACAATTTGATAAGATCAAAGATTTTTTTTTCTTTTTTTTGTCTTGCTCTGTCACCCAGGCTGAAGTGCAGTGGCATGATCTCTGCTCACTGCAACCTCCGCCTCCCAGGTTAAAGTGATTCTCCTGCCTCAACCTCCCGAGTAGCTGGGACTACAGGTGAGGGCCACCACGCCTGGCTAATTTTTCTATTTTTAGTAGAGACGGGGTTTTGCCATGTTGGCCAGGCTGGTCTCAAACTCCTGACCTCAGGTGATACACTTGCCTTGACCTCCCAACAAGGGTTTTTTTCTGGGGGCAGGGTCTCACTTTGTCACCCAGGCTGGAGTGCAGTGGCATGATCATGGCTCACTTCACCCTCAACCTCCCAGGTGCAAGCAATCTTCCCACTTCAGCCTCCTGAGTAGCTGGGACTACAGGTGTGAGCCATCAGGCCCAGCTAACTTTTATATTTTTTGTAGAGACAGGGTTTCACCATGTTGCCCAGGCCGGTCTTGAACTGCTGAGCTCAAGTGATCCTCCTGCCTTGACCTCCCAAAGTGCTGGGATTATCGGCATGAGCCACAGTGCCCAGCCAAGACTAAAGGGTTTTAAACAACAAAATGACAGCACCTGATGTAAAATAGTTCTTGCTGCTATGTAGAAAATGGAGTGGAGGGGAATACGGACTGAAATTGGGAAAGCAGTTAAGAAGTGACTGCAGGCCAGGCACAGTGGCTCATGCCTGTAATCCCAACACTTTGGGAGGCTGAGGCGAGCAGATCACTTGAGGTCAGGAATTCAAGACTAGCCTGGTCAACATGGTGAAATCCAGCTCTACTAAAAATACAAAAATTAGCCAGGCGTGGTGGCGTGTGCCTGTAATTCCAGCTACTCAGGAGGCTGAGGCACAAGAATTGCTGGAATCTGGGAGGCGGAGGTTGCAGTGAGCTGAGATCATGCCACAGCACGCCTGGGTGACAAGTGAGACCTTGTCAGGAAAAAAAAAAAAAAAAAGTGACTGCAGGCTAGACGTGGTGACTCATGCCTGTAATCCCAGCACTTTGGGAGGCTGAGGCAGGAGGATCACTTGAGCCCAAGAGGTCAAGACCAGCCTGGACAACATAGCGAAACCCCCATCTCTAAAAAAAAAAAAAAAAAAAATTAGCCAGGCGTGGTGGCACATGCCTACAGTCCCAGCTACTTAGGAGGCTGAGGCAGCAGGATTGCTTGAGCCCAAGAGTTCAAGGCTGCAGTAAGCCGTGATTACACTACTGCACTTGAGTCTGGGTGACAGAGCAAGACTGTCTCAAAACAAAAACCAAAGAAGTGACTGCAGTAATTCTGGTGCTGTGTACTGCAGCCATGACCTAGACTAGAGGCAAGGAGATGGTGAGAGAAAGGGATGACATACAGGACTTCTTGCTATTAGATTGGACATGGGAGTGAAGAGAAGGGATGAATGGAGAATAACTCCTGGGTTTCTAGCTTGAGCAACTGGATAGATTTAACTGGAGAGAAGGAATAGAAAGCAACCTGCCATTTTGGAAATGTTAAGTTTGCAATGTCAATGAGACCTTGAGACCTCTAAATGGAGTTAAGCAGGTAACCGGATATGCAGGTCTGATGTTCAGAGAGGTCTGAATTGTATATAAATTTTGGAAGTTACCAGCATACAGGCAGTATTTTAAACTACAGGAGAAGATGCTATTACATAGGAAAATAATGTAGAGGAAGATGAGAGCCAAGCCGAAGTCATACAGACATCAAACTATAAAGGTCAGGGAGGGAGAAAAGACCCTGAAAAGGTGGCGGAAAGGGAGCAGACTGTGAGAGGGGAAGAAAACCAGAGAATGTGGTGTAAGTAAAGCCAAGAGAAGAGAGGAGGGACTGAGAAGTCATATAAGGTGGCTATAGGGAAGAACTAATATGGTTTGTCAACCTGGAGTCCTCTGGTGATCCTGATAGGAGAAGTTTCAATGGAGTGGCAGAGGCAGCTGTGGGATGGCTGGACAGAAGAAAGTGGGAAGGGAGGGTGTACATACAAAGAAAGGAGTATAGTCCATTTTTGTAAAAATTTGCTAAGAGTTACGGCCCAGAAATGTAGCTAAAGAGGACTATAGAACCAAGAGAAGGTTTTTAAGATTAGAAATTCTAGCTCATGTTTGTATTGTAGTAAGAATGATCTAAAGAGGGCAATAATTAAAGCAACAAATGCTTAAGGATGTAAAAAGAGATGGTAGGGTTTTCCCAGGGTTGAGGGATTGCCAGGTAAGTGCAATGATGGCACAGAAGGGCTGGGGAAGTAGGAGCCTTTACAAAGGAATGATTATAACAATGAACTATGGACTCCAAGTTGGAGCGGGAGAGGGAAGCAGCCAGGAAGTAACGAATACAAAACAAAAGCAGGGAGGGATGGGAAGACTTGATGAGCTCCAGAAACTGTCGTAGTGAAACTATAAAAGGATATGGTGCTTGAAGGGTGGGAAAAGATTGTGGAGTTGCTACATTTTCTGGTAAGGAGGTTCTGAGCAGATAAGAGGGGTAAGGAAAGAGAGCCAAAGTAGATGTTTAGAGTAGTGACTGTAGTTAACAGGGATATGACAAATGAGGGGGCAAATCCAGACACTTTTGAGAGTGAGGCAGAAAACAAAAGTTCTCTAGCTATATTCCCCAGGTATATGGCTGCTTACCAGGCTCCCTGGGGCTTCTCTGGGTGTCATGGCAATGTTTAATGTTTATGGGAAGGCAGCACATACAGAGAACTTGAGAGCTCAATTTCTACATCTGTATAAGGTAAATTACATCTTAGAATTTTTGAAAGCTTTAATTATTCTTTCAAAATTCAAAAGCTCTTCTACTTAAAAACTTTCAATTAACAAACCAACAAAGCATGGTAACACTCTGCACACCACCAATAAATTCATTCAACAAACACCTGAATTCATTCTATGTCCCAGTCACTTTTCTGGGCCTTGGCAGAGATTCATACTGCAGCAGGAACGCCAAGAAAGAATAAACATAAATATATATATGTGTATATATATATATATATATATATATATGTATATATGTATATATGTATGTGTATGTATTAGTCCCTTTGGCTGGGTGCAGTGGTTCACACCTATAATCCCAGCACTTTGGTAGGCTAAGGCAGGCAGATAACCTGAGGTCAGGAGCTCAAGACCAGGTTGACTAACATGGTGAAACCCTGTCTCTACCAAAAAACACAAAGCTTAGCTGGGCATGGTGGTGTGCACCTGTGGTCCCAGCTACTCGCGAGACTGAGGTGGGAGAATCGCTTGAACCTGGAGGTGGAGGTTGCAGTGAGCCAAGATTGAGCCACTGTACTCCAGCCCGGGTGACAGTGAGACCCTCTCTCAAAAAAACTCCGAAAAACCAAAATATATGTATTGGTCCATTCTCACATTACTATAAAGAAATACCTGAGACTGGGTAATTTATTAAGAAAAGAGGTTTAATTGGCTCGTGGTTCTGCAGGCTACACAGGAAGCATGATGCTGGCATTTGCTCGGCTTCTGGGGAGGCCTCAGGAAACTTACAATCATGGCAGAAGGTGAATGGGGAGCAGGCATGTCTTACATGGCAAGAGCAGGAGCAAGAGAGAGAGGAGGATGTGCTACATACTTTTAAACAACCAGATCTCGCAATAACTCACTCACTCACTCACTGTCAAGAGAACAGCACCAAGAGTATGGTGCTAAATCATTCATGAGAAATCCCCACCCCCAAGATCCAATCACCTCCCACCAGTTCCCACCTCCAACACTGGGGATTACAATTCAAAATGATATTTGGGTGGGGACACAGAGCCAAACCATATCAATATATTTCCAGCTATAAATAGTAGGAAAAATACAAAGTACAGCAATGGAGATCAGTAAATAATGGGGTTAGTAGTTACACGGACATCTTATTTGTATCACTATGTTGTTAGCAGACATGAGTATTTGTGGTCTTCATGTTCATTTTTGTGCACTGACTCAAGTCCAAGGTTCTTTCAATTCAACATTAGCGTACTAAATATCTTGAAATCTGGTAGAGACCTGATTATTTAGTTAAATCAAAAAAAGGTAATGAATTTTAAAACAAGAAATCTTGGCCAGGCGCGGTGGCTCACTCCTATAATCCTAGCACTTTGGGAGGCCGAGGCGGGCGGATCACGAGGTCAGGAGATTGAGACCATCCTAGCTAACACGGTGGAACCTCGTCTCTAAAAAAATACAAAAAATTAGCCGGGCACAGTGGCAGGCGCCTGTAGTCCCAGCAACTCAAGAGGCTGAGGCAGGAGAATGGCGTGAACCCAGGAGGCGGAGCTTGCAGCGAGCCGAGATTGCGCCACTGCACTCCAGCCTGAGCGAGAGCAAGACTCTGTCTCAAAACAAACAAACAAACAAACAAACAAAAAAACACAAGAAATCTCAGTACTCAATGGATGATATTGGTTCTCTGTAGAGATAATCTACTCTAAATGACAGGCTCTCCATCCAGGAAATCTCTTTAAGATCCAGAAAAAGGCCAATCAATGTTTCTAGGCCATATCCTCATATCTAAAGTGTCATTGTCAGCACACTGCATCACTGCCCAGTGAAGAGGTAATGTAACTAATCCAATGCACCTGTCAGTTATATTCCTACTGTGAAGAAAGGGGTGTTTTAGGCTATGATAGCTTGATGGCCAGAGCCATTGAGGTCATTCAATAAACATCTACTGGGCTTATCCCATATTCCCTGGGCAATCTTGTGAGAACAATCTATCTCAGCACAGGGAGAGAATGTACTAACAACCCGATCTGCTAAAATATACTAGCCCCCCAGCGTTTATAAAGTTCACTGTAAGTTAAACTGACGTTACGATCTTATTGAACACCACCCCTCAACCCCTTCCTGATCTTGGCCCAGTTCCCTCCCCAGCCTCATCCTGGCCCTGAGCCACATCACTATCAAATCCAGTGTCTACAGTACAAAGTTGAGGACTGATTACTACCCTGCTCTTAAGATCTTAAGTTCTGGGAGGTTCTGCTTCCTTATTTTCACCCTCTCTGCTCTGATGTTTGTAATTTCCACTTGAGTACAGTTCAACAGTTCATCTAATATATACTAAACATTTACTATGTTCCAGGCATTATGTTAAGCATTGGAGACCCAAAGTATATAAGACACACAGTTCCTGTATTTGGGGAGACAATCATATAAAAACATAATTTTAGATAAAGAGATAGAGGAAGCTTAGAGGCAAAGTGCTTGGCCTTGAGATTACATCTGAGATGAGAAAGCTAAATAGGAGTTAGCCAGGTAAATAAGGGACAAGGGTAATCAGAAGAGTGAAAATATCATACACGAATTCAAGGAGACATAAAACAGCAGTATTATGCAGAAATGTTGCAAAAAATCAATAAAGTACAAGGAAGGGGATGGCAGACCTAAGTACATCCCAGAGATAATGGGGAGAGATGGAGGATCTTAACAGAAGAGTGGTACAATTAAATTTGCCCAAGAGAGAGATCCCTCTGGCAACAGTTGGGAGGGCAGACCTGAAGGGAAGATGACTACCATTAGAGAGACGATCTAGGAGTCTCAAGCCTCTTGCAGTAACATGAACTTAAAATGACTGGCATTTGTCCTGGGACAATGGAAAGGAGGGAGTGGGTTCAGAAATAAAAGGTAAACACTGGCAGAGATCTGATTAAATCCAGGGAGGTGAGGTGAGGAAAGGGAAGGATTCTAGGATGAAGACCAAATTTTTGGCTTGGCTGACTTGAGGGAAAGACAAATAGGACAGCAGCAAGCAATAACAATAGCGAGTGGCATGCCGGAGGAAGCACAGTTTGAGGAGGAGAGATATATAGAGTTGAGTTCTGAGCATACAGAGTTTGAGGTGCCTCTGGACATTCAAATGGGTATGTCCAGTTGTATGTAATGGTCAGTTGGTAAGATTCTGCAGTTCAGAGCACTGGGGATATATTTGGGAGTCACCATTTATTCAACAAATACGTATTGAATGCCTATAGCTGCCACATATTCACTGTCAACAAACAGACAAAAATGGACGAAATTACCAAAGACAAGCATGCAGTGAGACTAGCAAAGGGCTGAGAGCAGAACCTGCCTAAGGAAAATCAACATTGGGGCCACAGGCAGAGGATGAAGACTTGAAGAAGACAGGGAAGAGAGATGAGAACCAGGAGTAATGTCACAAAGGCAAAGGAAATGAGATCAAAGTGGTCAACCATGTTAAGGAAAGCAAAAAGGTCTGGAAAGAAAAGGCTGAAACAGGTTAGTTGATTTGGTAATATCAGATGGCCTTTATCAAAGTGTCAAATAGTGAGAGGAGGAGGAAGTCAGATAGCACCAAGTTGAGATGTAAAGAGAAAGTGCTAAAATAGAGACAACAAAGAATAGAATTGTTTACAATCATGGGAAACCACAATTTGAGATCTCCACTATGGCTTATCTTTTAAAATTCATTAGTTATTTCTGTGAAGCTGTTTTCTGATAAGATTAATATTACAATTGGGGGACTCTGAGTAAAGCAGATTACCCTCCATTATAATGTAGGTGTGCCTTATCCAATCAGTTAAAGGTCTTAACAATAACAAAGACTGACCATCCCTGAAAAAGAAGGAATTCTGCCAGCAGACCGCCTTTGGACTTGAATTGCAACTTTTCCCTAGGTCTCCAGCCTGCCAGCCTACCCTGCAGATTTTGGACTTACCAAGCCTCCACAATCATATGAGCGAATTCCTATCTATCTATCTATGCCAGCAAGATATAGATAGGTTATCTATCTATATTTATATAAAGAAAAAGAGAGTGCACACACACACACATGCACATCTTGCTGGTTCTGTTTCTCTGGAGAACCCTAATTTTGGTTTTAAGAGTGGCTCTAAAGGAGCAGAATCTTAAGGATGAGTTCTCTGAATTGATTCTAGGGTTTCAGGACTTGGCTCTCTAACTGGATTAAAGGACACTAATGACTATTTCCAGTAGTAAAAGTATGGGTATGATGTGGCAATGGAGATATGCAAAATGTCACCATTGGGTACTTTTAATCAAACACGTATAAGAATAAGGTTCTGGGTGACCACATATACTATACCTTTAAACATTTTTGTCAAACTAATGAGTATAATGAGATTTGTTGGTTACTCCTAATGACAATGGACAAAGTGAGAAAAGAAATGGATGAGCTCAGGGATTCAAATTCCCAGCTTGAGCACTACATATCTGAACAGAAAACTTTATGTCTGAAAGATATCCTTATCTCTGTTAGCCATAGAGCTGAAATTGCTGAAAATCAAATCCAGAATCTTATTCTGCAAATGACTCAACTACAGCACAAACTGAATTCCCAACGTCTGCAGGGTGTCTGCTACTAAAGTGAGGGCATTGATTGGGAAGGAAAGGGATCCTGAATATTGGAATGGAGAAATGTGGGAACTCCCTTATGGAGCTGGAAACATTGAATCCCTAAATTCTTATGAGTCTTTTTTGCCAGTGGAAGCAGCCATCCACCCACATCTGAGGCAATTAAACCTGCTGTGCCTGAGGAAACTTTAATGGCCTCCCCTGAGGCAGCTGCATTGCAAGACACTGCTGATTCTCCTCAGGACCTACCCCCAACGCCTCTCTTTGCTTCTAGATCTATAACTAGACTTAAGTCTCAGGAGGCTCCTAAAGGTGAGGTACAAAATGTGAACCATGAAGGTGCACATACTCTAAAAAAACTATTTGATTTTTCTAATTTATATAAACAGAAATCTGGGGAATATGTGTGGGAATGGATATTAAGGGTATGGGATCATGGTGGAGGGAACGTCAAGTTGGGTTAGGCCAAATTTACTGATATGGGCCCACTAATCAGAGATTCTGCATTTAATGTTACGCAACTCAGGGTGTTAGAAAGGGCTCTAACAGTTTGGTTTGCTGGCTGAAACATGGACCAAAATGTGGCCCTCAGTAAATGAACTTGAAATGCCAGGCCTGCCTCGGCTTACTATGGAGGAAGGCATTCAAAGGCCTAGGGAGACTGGAGTGTTACAGTGGGTTTATCTTTTTTTTTTTTTGAGATGGAGTCTCGCTCTGTCACCCAGGCTGGAGTGCAGTGGCGCAATCTTGGCTCGTTGCAAGCTCTGCCTCCTGGGTTCACGCCATTCTCCTGCCTCAGCCTCCCGAGTAGCTGGGACTACAGGTGCCCACCACCATGCCTGGCTAATTTTTTGTATTTTTAGTAGAGACGGGGTTTCACCATGTAAGCCAGGATGGTCTTGATCTCCTGACCTCATGATCCGTCCGCCTTGGCCTCCCAAAGTGCTGGGATTACAGGCGTGAGCCACCGCACCCGGCCTACAGTGCATTTATCTTTTAAGATCTACTTACTCACCTGTGAGTGTCCAGAGGACATATCTTTTTTTTTTTTTAAACAGGGTCTTGCTCTGTTGCAGGCTAGAGTGCAGTGGCTCAATCATAGCTCACTGCAGCCTTGAACTCTTGGGCTCAAACAATCTTCCTGCCTCAGCCTTTCAGGTACCTAGGACTACAGGCTCACGCCACTAAGCCTGGCTAATTTTTTTTTTTTTTGACAGAGTCTCACTCTGTCACCCAGGGTGGAGTGCAGTGGCACAATCTCAGCTCACTGCAACCTCACCTCCTGGATTCAAGCGATTCTTGTGCCTCAGCCTCCTGAGTAGCTGGGATTACAGGCACGCATCATCACGCCCAGCTAATTTTTGTATTTTTAGTAGAGATGGGGTTTTGCCATGTTGACCAGCCTGGTCTTGAACTCCTGACCTCAAGCAATCCACCCATCTCAGCTTCCCAAAGTGCTGGGATTACAGGCATAAACCACCAGGCCCAGCCAGAGGACACACCTTTCACCACATGACTGTGAAAAGTAGATCTGTGAGGGGAGTCCCAGCATTTTAAAAGAACTTTGTGACACTCTTATCTATAGCCTAGAACTTACAGTGGGAACTGCTGTCACTAAATTGGGACACGTAAATGCAGTGGGAATAATTGGATCATGGGATGACAGGGGCCAAATGGCAGCACTGAACTGCTAAAAGCAAGGTAGGCATGATTACCATGATGGACAGCAGAGTCAAGGCACAGCTGGAAGTCTGACTCTCACAGATCTATGGCATTGATCAGCTGGTCACGGTATTCCTACAAGTGAAATAGATAGGAAACCTACTAAATTCTTACTTGATCTATATAAACAGAAAAGTTCTAGGTCAAGTGAACAAAAAGTCTAATGTGAATCATAAAAACAGAAAGTCAGGACCCTTCAATCAATTCCCAAACGTGTGCCAGTTCACAGATTTAGAATTCCTTGAATAAAAGACAGGCTGAGTCCAAAGTAGCATAAATTTCTAAAGGAGTTTCAATGAAAGCTCTTAAGTGGAAAGCACACTAGCTTTGTGGACCAAAACATTTAAAGAACTAAAATGACTTTGGGAGGCCAAGGCAGGCGGGTCACCTGAGGTCAGGAGCTCGAGACCAGCCTGGTCAACATGGCGAAACCCCATCTCTACAAAAATTAGCCAGGTATGGCAGTGCATGCCTGTAATCCCAGCTACTCAGGAGGCTGTGGCAAGAGAATTGCTTGAACCCAGGAAGCAGAGGTTGTGATGAGCTGAGGTCGCACCATTGCACTCTAACCTGGGCAACAGAGCTAGACTCATCTCAAAAAAAGAACTAAAAAGAGCTGGGGTTTGGTGGCACACACCTGTAGTCCCAGGTACTTGGAGACTGAGACAGGAGGATCACCTGAGCCCAAAAGTTTGAGGCTACAGGGAACTTTGACCATACTTGTGAATTGCCAGCCACTGCACTCCAGCCTGATCATCATAGTGAGACCACATTTCTAAAAATGAAAAAATAAATAACTAAACTGTATTTTGTATTTTTTTTGTTTGTTTTTGTTTTTGGGACAGGGTCTCCCTCTGTTGTCCAGGCTGGAGTGCAGTGGCATAAACATGGCTTACTTCAGCCTCCACTCCTAAGCAATCTTCCCAAAGATGCAGTTTTGCCATGTTGCCCAGGCAATATTTTGTAGTTCTTAGTACTTACAAGAGTAGAAGGAAATTTCTGAGATAAGATATTGTACAAGCCAACAAGCTAATCGAAAAGTCTTAAGGCCAGGTGTATTTCAGAATATAGAATTTTTCAGATTTTAAAAAATTAATACAATACCTATACTATATATTATGTAGTAGTCCCTAGAGAGTACAGGGCAGCATCCCACAATCAAACACATTAATATCTCTGCGGTGAAAAATACAATTAGTCATACCAAATAGGATCACAGTTGTAAACAGTATCTTACTACTTCAGGTTGAATTTTGCAGCCAAAGAATTTGTATCAAACTTAGGAAAAAACTTAATTTTCAAAGTATTTGTGGCTTTGCAGTTACAGATAAAAAAACTGTGGACCTATAACTTGTTTTTTGGTTTATTTTTACTTTGTAGAGATGGGGTCTTGCTATTTTGCCCCAGCCAGTCTTGAACTCCTGGCCTCAAGTGATCCTCCTGCCTCCTTAGCATTTTCTGATCCCCCTTTTTTTTTTTTGAGACACAGTTTTAGGCTGGGTGCGGTGGCTCACGCCTGTAATCCCAGCAGTTTGGGAGGCCAAGGCGAGGGAATCACGAGGTCAGGAAATCGAGACCATCCTGGCTAACATGGTGAAACACCGTCTCTACTGAAAAAATACAAAAAATTAGCCGGGTGTGGTGGCGGCTGCCTGTAGTCCCAGCTACTTTGGAGGCTGAGGCAGGAGAATGGCATGAACCTGGGAAGCAAAGCTTGCAGTGAGCCGAGATCGCGCCACTGCACTCCAGCCTGGGCGACAGAGCAAGACTCCGTCTCAAAAAAAAAAAAAAAAAAAAGACACAGTTTTACTCTGTCGCCCAGGCAAAAGTGCAGTAGCACAATCTCGGCTTACTGCAACCTCTGTCCCCCAGGTTCAAGCGATTCTCGTGCCTCAGCCTTCCCGAATAGCTGGGATAACAGGTGTGTGCCACCATATCCAACTAATTTTTTCCATTATTAGTAGAGATGGGGTTTCATCATGTTGGCCAGGCTGGCTTCAAACTCCTGACCTCAAATGATCCGTCCACCTCAGCCTCCCAAAGTGCTGGGATTACAGGCGCGAGCCACGGCACCCGGCCCATTTTCTGGTCTTAAATCCATATTATTCAACCTGATTACAAATTAGCATCACCTCTGTTCATTATTAATCCATTCACCAATTTCATTAGTGTGCAAGGTTCAGCAAGCCTCACTGCAGTTCTTCTAAATTTGCAGTCACTGAAGAAAAAAAAAGAATTAAATTCCTAATAGCTGAAAATGATCAAGACTCAAAGTTCCCAAGAGTTAACAGACAAGTGCTAGACCTCCAACTTGTGGCAGACAACATGGCTACAGAACCTCTGTCAATGGGGCAGAGGAGCCAAGAAGAGGTACAAGGGAGGAGACTTTGGTTTGGATGCCTGGGCCTGTTTGGACATTCTGTAAGGCAAGCATGCCAGGAGTCTAATGGCAAAAGGACCTGCACAGCCTCCAGAGAAGAACTCATCTCAAAGGAAGAAAGTCAAGGCTTAGTGGCTTCTTCCACATGTAATGTGTAATGAGGGGCAAGGAACCATTCTGAGCCCAGTATGGTATCACTCAGTATAATGGATTCATGCTTGTGCTCTTGATAGCGGGAGAGGTATGAGTGAGAAGAACCTACAAGAACCACATCAGCTGACATGGTGGCTCATACCTGTAATCCCAACTCTTTGGGAGGCTGTGGCAGGCGGATCACCTGAAGTCAGGAGTTCAAGACCAGCCTGGCCAACATGGTGAAACCCTGTCTCTACTAAAAACACAAAAATTAGCCAGGTGTGGTGGCAGGCACCTGTAATCCCAGCTATTAGGAAGGCTGAGGTGGGAGAATCACTTGAACCAGGGAGGTGGAGACTGCGCTGAGTGGAGATCGTGCCACTGCACTCCAGCCTGGGCCATATCAAGAGACTCTGCCTCAAAAAAGAAAAGAAAGAAAGAAAAAGAAAAAAAAAAGAACATCATTAAAAATCCCTGAGGAGCATTTAGAGTATTGGGTGGCACAAACAGATTCTGCATGATTGGTGAGGATGGCTTCAACACGGCAGCTTTATTCCTCTTTAACAGAGTCAGCAGCATCAAGGCATGAGGGATCTTGGCACAAACATCACCCCAAAGAAGAAATCTGGATGCCCCAGGACAGCTAAAAAGCCACTCTGTAAACACTTAAGACATTCCAGAATCTTCCCCAAAATGTTTAGAGACTTTGAAGAAAAAATTCTATAATACAGCAGGGTGGTTGCAAACATGTGCTTTGGAAATTGAGTCTCAACTCTACCATGTATTAGCTGTGTGATCTTAAGACCCTTAAGTTACACAATCTCTCTGAAACTTACTCTTCTTATCTATAAAATTAATAAAAATAATTATTGCACAGAGCTGTGAGGAGTATATAAGTAAATCGTTTAGCAAAGGCGTGGCACATAGTAAGCACTCAATAAATGAGAGCAGAGCAGAAGATATAACATGAACCTAGTTCTATGCCCTAACTTCTAAGGGCTAAGAAACAGAAAAGGGAGAGGGAGAAGTTAAAACATCTCCCTAACTGCTCACTCACTCTCTTTCTCTTCTCTTTTCAGACATCTAGGAGATTTCAAATATTTGCATTTTACCACATTTCTCTTAGGAACCTGAGTCCTCTATCTATGCTTCCTAATTCTCAGCAACACCCTTTGGAAGAAAGTATATAGCAATGATAACCTGGACTTGACTAGAGAATAACTATTAGACACTGTCTGGCCACAGGGTCACTAGGTTCTCATTGAAGCTAAGCTGACAATATAACACCTTATAACTTTTCATCTTTTCAAGTTTACCAAGTGTTATCTGGAAGAAGCACATGATTATGTTAAATGTATATAACTCCACATTGTAAACTTAATGTTTGGAGAGAAAAGAACACATTTCTTAATTTTAATAACAGCATCTTTTTTTTTTTTTCTTTTGAGACAGGGTGTCTCACTCTATCACCCAGGCTGGAGTGCGATGACACGATCTCAGCTCACTGCAACCTCTGCCTCCCAGGCTCAAGCGATTCTCATGCCTCAGCCTCCCAAGTGGCTGGGATTATAGGTGTGCGCCACCACCCCCAGCTAATTTTTTTTTTATTTTCAGTAAAGATGGGGGTTTTATCATGTTGTCCAGGCTGGTCTTGTACTCCTTAGCTCAGGCAATCCACCCGCCTCAGCCTCTCAAAGTGCTGGGATTACAGGCATGAGTCACCATGCCCGGCCGATAACAGCATCTTTTAAAATGCACGTAATAAACTCCCCAGATCCTAAAGTAGAATATCAGGGTCCCAGTATGAAAAAATGTTCATTGCAAGTTCATCAAGGTCTGTTCAGTTGGTTGCAGCATGCTCCTAACAAAACTTAAGTCATAGATTTCATTCTATGGGGCAATCTTATCTGCAATACACAGGATAGGCAAAGACATACTGCATTTCTAACTCCAATCAATTAAACCTAAGTACTGGATTCAGTGTATCACTGTTGCTACAAAATTACTCAAGCTCTATGTTCTAACAATAAGATCAGAGGTATCATAAGGTATCACAGTTTCTAGAGACTCTGAGTTTAGAAGAAGAAACCTACTGAAGGAGGATTTATCAATGAAATCATCTTGGATAAAGGCCTAATGGGATCAAGAAAAAATTGTTAAGTGAATAAAAAATTACAGTAGCCACATGCATTGAAAAAGACAATGAATAGGTTGGGCACGGTGGCTCATGCCTATAATCCTAGCATTTTGGGAGGCCGAGGCGGGTGGATCACCTGAGGTCAGGAGTTCGAGACCAGCCTGGCCAATATGGTGAAACCCCATCTCTACTAAAAATACAAAAAAAAAAAAAAAAAGAAAGAAAGAAAGAAAAAAAAGAAAAAAAATTTGGGCAGGGCACGGTGGCTCACGCCTGTAATCCCAGCACTTTGGGTGGATCACCTGAGGTCAGGAGTTGGAGACCAGCCTGCCCGACATGGCAAAATTCCATCACTACTAAAAATACAAAAAAATTAGCCAGGCGTGGTGGCAGGCACCTGTAATCCCAGCTACTCGGCAGGCTGAGGCAGAAGAATCGCTTGAACGTGGGAGGAAGAGGCTGCAATGAGCCGAGATGGCGCGACTGCACTCCAGCCTGGGCAACAGGAGTGAAACTCTGCCTCAGAAAAAAAAAAAAAAAAAAAATTAGTTGGGCGTGGTGGCTTATGCCTGTAATCCCAGTTACTTGGGAGGCTGAGGCAGGAGAATCACTGAACCTGGGAGACAGAGGTTGCTGTGAGCCGAGGTTGCACCACTGCATTCCAGCCTGGGCGACAAAACGAGACTCTGTCTCAAAAAAAAAAAAAAGGAAAAGAAAGAAAAAAGATAATGAATAAACAAAGGGGTTTAAAGGCAAAGATATAAAGATCCCAGGAGACAACCACAATTTCTCAATTTATGCACTATGGTGAACGGAGCCAACTGACCTCTGCTTTCTTACGGCAGCAAAAATTCCAAAGACTTTTGTCTGGACTCTAGGGCACTGCTAATGTCAAACGACTTAGCAAAGTAAGAGTGGAAAAGGAAAAAAGGAATATCATTCAAGATACATGAAGGCTTAATATCACCAGCCTTAGGGGTCAAGTCTCAGAGCCATATGACACTTGAGACCTCAGGAGATGCTTCTAGTTCTTCTAATAATTATACCGTCTTCGATGGGGCTAAAGACTAATCTATAATAAATTATATGCCAAAGCTTACCATTTTACTCTCCCTTTTAAAATGACATCTGTGGTCTTAGAGAGCAAGATTAAAAATCTTTCCAAGGTTGAGGTACACATGAGATGTATGTCTTACACAAATAATTCAAATTCTCAGATAAAAGATATAACTCAAAAACAGTCAGGCTCCAGTTAGAAGGCTCTAATCATCCAGTAGAGACATGACTGTGGCTGTACTATATTAGCTCCAGTGTGGATGCAAAGTGGATGGTGAGAAATATTTAGTAGGTAGACCAGCATCTACTGGATAGAGGGGAAACAGCAATATTTCTGAAAAGCTATGTTTTTCCCAATTAAATCATGTTTTTAAAACTCAGTGGGAAAGACCAATCTTTAAAGAAACCCTATAACATATCCCTTATAAGTTTTAAAAATATTTTATAATACAAATAAGATGTTCCATTTTTCAAAAATTTGCTGCAAATTTTCATATTAGATCAATCATATTTTCTTAAAAGTTGTGATTGTTGGGAATTTAATCTGTCCTTTGGTATTATTTATTTGAGTAGATGTTTCCTGTCTGTCACTTCTCACTAGCATCTAGGCTCCCTGCTGCATCCCATACATAAACAGTGCCTTGTGCCCAGTAGGTGTTCATTTACGTTGAATAAGTAAATAAATTAGACTTAATGAAAACACAAACTTGCATTTTATGTTCTTTTGCACATAGCTGTCTTTCACTTAACATTTATCTTTTTCTTTTGGCAGCATCTAAGCCTAGTGGATATCCTGGAGTTGGAGTAAAAAATATACATATTTTATAAGACTAAGTTTCTATTTTACTATCCTGACTAGTAAATAAGTAAAAGGCCAAGGGAACTGATAATGAGAAATAAGCAGTGCATGAAATCACACTTTGGAAAAATATTCTTCTTGCATAAACACATATTGAGGACCTACTATACCATGCTAAATCATAACTACATATTGCAAACTCCTAACAAACTGTTGTCAAGACATGCCTATGCCTCACTGCCATTTAACAAATATTTTTAGCATCTACCATATCCACTGTGTTAAGCACTAGGAATACTTCTATAAACAAGACAGATGATTTGTCTGTCCCAGATTCTGATGGAGGAAAAAAAAGAGAAGAAAAACCATATAGAAATTACAATAAGGAAGTAAACGGCAAACCAGCAAATAGTAACAGGTAAGTACCCTAGAATAAGGTGGTCAGAGAGGCCTCTCTAAAGATGTGAAACTTAGAGCCTCTGTGATGGAAAGGAGCCAGCCCTGGGCAACATCAGAACAGCTAGTTCAAAGGCTAGGAGGTGGGAATGAGTGTCACAGAGCAGAAAGATGGCAGTGTGGCTTGAATATAGTGAGAAAGGGGTGGTGGGTGGTACAAGTTGAGGTCATAGAGGTAAGCAGAAACCAGATCACAAAGAGCTTTTCAGGCCATGGGAAGTTTAGATTTCATTCCAAGTGCAATGGGAAGCCATTAAGGATTTTAAAAAAGAAGGCAACATGATCTGATTTGCATTTTAACAAAATCATTCTTGCAGTTTTGTGAAGAATGGATTAAAACGAACCAAGATGAGTACTGGGCGTGGTGGCTCATGCCTGTAATCCCAGCACTTTGGGAGGCTGAGGCAGGCCGGTCACTTGAGGTCAGGAGTTCCAGACCTGGCAAACATGGTGAAACCCTGTCTCTACTAAAAATAAAAAAATCAGCCAGATGTGGTGGCTCACGCCTGTAATCCCAGCACTTTGGGAGGCCAAGGCGGGTGGATCACCAGGTCAGGAGTTCGAGACCAGCCTGGCCAACATAGTGAAACCCAGTTTCTACTAAAAAATACAAAAATTAGCTGGGCATGGTGGCATGCGCCTGTAGTCCCAGCTACTCGGGAGGCTAAGGCAGGAGAATCGCTTGAACCAGGGAGGTGGAGGTTGTGGTGAGCCGAGATCACGCTACTGCACTCCAGCCTGGGCAACAGTGCGAGACTCCATCCCCCAAAAAATAAATAAATAAAATAAATTTAAAAATAAATAGAAAAATCAAAAATTAGCCAGGCATGGTGGTGCATGCCTGTAGTCCCAGCTACTTGGGATGCTGAGGCACAAGAAGAATCACTTGAATCTGGGAGATGGAGGTTGCAGTAAGCCGAGATTGTGCCACTGCATTCCAGCCTGGGCGAGACAGAGCAAGACTCCAGAGGGGGAAAAAGAGGAAGAGCAGCTGGGAGGCTATCACAGTAATATAGGCAAGAAATGGTGGTGACTTTGACTAAAAGGCTAGGAGTGGAGGTAGAAAAAACATCAATTCCAGATGCATTTTAAAGATGGGAGAACTGATTGGATGTGAAGGACAGGGAAGAATCAGGGATGGACCCTAGGTTTCTGGCCTGCACAATTAGATGTATGGAGGTTCCATTTACTGACATGGATGGTACAAATTACTGAGATTTAGTCCTCATATACTATGTGCTCATTTCAATTACCAAATTCAGTGAATTCTTATCACATTTTATCTCTCTTCATCTGACAATGCTGAAATACCAAACTCACCTGGTTTTTCTCTTACTCACAGAGACTCTTTGTCAGGTTTCATATACCCCAAAACTCCGTCTTTGGCTCTCTGCTATGTTCTTCAGTGCATTTTCCCTGGATGCCCTCATCCAAACAATCCAAGCTTTAACTATTAGCCACATAACTCTCTAAATCTCCATTTCCAACCAGAACTTTCTCCTCACCTCCAGAACTGTCTATCCAATTGTTTTCTGCCCATCTCCATTTGGATGTCTTACCCGCATCTCAAACTCAACATATTCAAAAGTATCTCCATCATCTTCTTCCCCCAAGACTCCTATTTCCCCATCTGTGAAAAGGCCAAAAATATGCCCAGCTTCCCAAGCCCAAAACCTATGATCATTTTATCCACCTCCTCTTTCAAGCCTGCATCAATGTTTCCAAGCTCTATCAAACGTACTTTCTAAGTGGCGCATCAACATGTGTCCTCTCTTCATAGCCCAATGCTTGAATTCAGATCTTCATCATCCTCCCCGGGATTATTACAATAGTCCTCTGCCTTCTCTGGCTTCAGCCTCACCCCACTCTAACCCATCCTTCACATCTCAATAGACAGAGAAATCCTCATTGGATTAAGTGTGGCAGACAAGGCCCTTTGTAAGCTGGTGCCCTTGGCAGGCTCTCCTGCCTCAACTCCCACCATTCCCCTTATATACACTCCAACCTCCCACTATACTGAACTACCAACAGGTTCATTCATAACTCTGTATGTACTTCTGCCCCTCCCCCATGCCTACCCAGTTTAAACTCCCTTCCTCCAGTAGCCTGAACTACAGTCTGAGATAATGACCCTCCTTCAAGCTCCCACAGTACATCTTTACCAATGTGCTTCTGACCCTACACAGTGGCACACACCTGTAGCCCCAGCTGCTTGCGAGGAAAAGGCAGAGGAATCACTGGAGCCCAGGAGTTTCAGTTCCAGAGCAGCCTGGGCAACACAGTGAGACCTAACCTCCCACCTTTTAAGTGTTAAGCACTTAAAAGGTGCTCAGTGAATGTTTGCTGAGTAACTGTCTTGATAAAACTTTAGAAGCTATCCTGTAAAAGATAAACTCTTATGTGCAGTATCCATGACCAGAAAAGAGGTGATTTGGCAAGAATTTTAGATTCAATAATTTTCTAAGTTGAACCAATAACATCAGCTGCTGATTTTTACATATCAACATTCATCTTCATTACTGAAGAGTTACGTCCAAGTTGTATGGGGCTATTACTCTAGTGATCTTTTCACTACTATGTAGTTTTGCACTCCTTCTACGTTTAATACCCTGATTTTAATTAAGATCACCCTAACTGCTTTGTCCTCCATAGCAATGTCTGACCTCTCATGCATAACAATTCTGTCTGAAGCATATTTCTGATAAACCTTAATTTTAGGCTATTTTCTACTTGTTTGATTAAACACAAATACCACCACCAACAAACACACTTTTAACCTTTTTTTCTAAGACAAAATACAGAATGGATTGTGTCTTACACAAAGTGTGTCATCATCTGTCAACCCCTGGAGGGTAGGGAGACTTTTACATTTATGCTTTACAGCCCCTGGAATCACTGTTTAAGTGGAACAGTTGGTGATCCAACAGAACTTCACCTAGTTTCCCTGATCCAAGGATTATATTAAGAACTTTTCCATGAAGAAAGAAATTACTGAGTAAACTCTGGTATTCAGATACTGTGATGCTAAATCATAACTGACATTTTGAAAACAAAGGGAATGAAAAAAATCTACGTGGTTTCTTAGCAGCTGGCCCTCTTTATAACTATTATTTAACTAAATTCGGAGACAGCAACAAGTACTTTGCTTTGAACAACAACACAGAAAAGTCCTGTGGCAGATACCACTTCAGATGTCCATAAAACAAGTCATCCAATTCCCATAAATTGAGCCCGAGGTTTACCTTAAGCTTGAGTCACAATATTTGGTAAGAAAAAGGAGCTTTTTTTTTCCTTTAGGAAAATTATGCTTTTTAATGCTCTATGTCTTGTCAAATTATGGTGGCTACGTCTGGAATTATGATGGATTTGACCAAATTCTTTTAAGCCAGGCCATCTCACTGGTATTCCAAGCTCTTTGCATTCTAACCTAGAAGTAACAATATTTTTTTATTGGCGTTTTGCAGACCACGGAAATGAGACTCTTTTATTACGGAGACTTAAAACTGAATGAGAGCATGGGAAAGGGAACTTACAACAAAACCCTGGCTTAACAGGAAACAAATCAACAAAGGCCCTACAAATGAAAAACCTGCAACTTTCCGCCACCTCCCAAAGGTGAAGAACGCCAGAACCCTAGTTCCTGAGTCAGAATCCGGGAGGGCCTAGACGATCCAGAGTCACCACGAGGAGAGGGCAGGGTGCGCCGCGAGGGCTCACCGCAGCCGCCCGCCGGGTCCGCTCCCCTGGACCGCCCCCCGGGAAGGAGCAAGGTAAAGCACTCTCCCCTCCTCCTCCGCACTCCAGGATCCAGGAAAGAGAAGAAAGAGGCTCTGCGCCTTCCCGGCCAGTCGCGGAGGCCCGCGTTCCCCATGGGCTGGGTCCCCTCGGCCCCAGAGAGCGCAGGCCGCGCCCCCTCCCCACCTCGGCTCTCAGTGCGCGCGCCTGGCCTGCGACCGCCGCGATGGGCGTGTGTCGGGCCCGGGGGCCCCACTCCCCGGCCCCAGCCCTGGTCCTGGCATCACTTACAGAGCCCAAGCGCCGCCGCCAGCACCGACCACAGCCAGCGCCGGCTGTCTGGGGCTGCAATCACCGCCCCGGCTCCGGCGGACGCTGCCATCGTCCAGCCACTGCAGTCGCCGCCGCCGCCGCCGCGTCCCTGAGCCCGGGTCCCCGCTGAGGTTGGCTCGGCTTGGGGAAGAGGCTTCTGATCTCTCCGCCACCCGCGCCGGGTGGCACCTCCACGCCGCGCTCCCCACTCCGGTCCCAGCCGCGGCTCTCCAGCTCTGCACCGAAGCCTCAGCCCCACTCCGGCCCTCGCTGTCCGCTCATTGGCCTGCCCGCACCCTTTTAAGGACGCGATTGGAGAGTCAGGCTGTCCATCATCCGTCCGCCGGGAAGGCCCCGCCTCCTCGGTCCCACCCAGGCGCCTCGGCCCCGCGCGGAGGCCGGGTCTGCAGCGGTCCCAGGCCGAGCCGAGCCTTCCGCCTGCCTGCGTGGCTGTCCGCCTGCGGGCCCCACCAGCCAGCGTCTCCTCTGCCTTTCTCAGGGTCCAGTCCCGTGGTCCTCTTCATTGTCTCTCCTCGCCACAGGTCTTTGCTGGGTACTAACCTCGCCTCCGTTTCAGCTCTTCTTGTTCTCTGCCGGCCTCACCTAACGAAAAAGAAGCAATTCATTTACCTTAAAAAGAAAGAAAAGACAGAAAGAAAAATAATGAGGCGTTCAATTGATGGGGGAGAGACTTCTGATTCAGTCGTCCAGGTGGAACACGTTCCCCGTGCCGTGTCCCCAAGGCCTGTCCTTTGCGTGGACTAGATAATGTATGTGTTGCAATTTGCGAAATCTACTAGTTTAAAAAGAAGTCTCCATCTTGCCCTAACCTCCTCTTAGGAACCTCCCTCCTGGCTTCAGAAGGATGGGAATCTGGAACTCTTTCCTACTACCTGAAAAACAAATGAAAATGCTTTTTGATTGTTTTGCTTTCGCATATCTGTGTTCCTGTCTGTGTCCGTGAAAAATAGAAAGCAGAAGTTCCCAACACTGATTCTGAAGTGCCCTGCAGAAGTTCCCGACACTGATTGCTGGCCCTGCTCAACTTGGTTGCCTTGGCCCAGAACAGTCTGCCACCTACGGGTTGTCCAATCAATAGGGGAAATATTTGGAAGGATCCTTATGAAAATGGCTTACAAAAGGGAAAAATGGGGGACAGGGGCACAAGAAAGATGAGTGTGAAGGAGGAAAAGGGAAGATTCAGGTGGGAGGCTGATACGATGAGGAAGGGAAGCAAGCTTTAGACAATTAGGACAAGAGCGGGGGAAGAGTATGGTGAGAACCCAAAATGTAACCTCTCACTTCAGGGTTTTTGTCTAAGGTCAGTCTTAACAATGCCATTCCTGATATCTGTGCTGTTTCAGCTAACATTGCAGTACAGCGAAATCATAAGAACATTAGTGAGAAAAAAACTTAAAAAAAAAAAATACCAGAACCACTTTGCCCTATTTCTGTCAGCAGATCCTTTTGAAGTTGTATCTCAAATGCCATAGGTTGGAAAAGATACCAATGCATTAATTGAACCATGGATGTAGAACACCTGGGCTTTACTCTCAAGAAGCACATCGTCTACTAGTGTACACAAACAAGTACTCAATTACATTTGTAAAAATGAGGGCCGGGTGCGGTGGCTCACACTTGTAATCCCAGCACTTCGGGAGGCCGAGGCGGGCAGATCACGAGGTCAGGAGTTTGAGACCAGCCTGGCCAGCGTAGTGAAACCCCATCTCTACTAAAAGATACAAAAAAATTAGCCGGGCATGGGTGGCGCGTGACTGTACCCAGCTACTCGGGTGGCTGAGGCAGGAGAATCGCTTGAACTGAGAGAAGAGAGACAGAACCTCTCATATAGTTTTATACTCAGAAAAGGAAAGAGAAGCGAAATTAAAGGCAGGTAACCCGGCGCCTAAGAACCAGACCCGAAACCAGGCCTGGGCCTGCCTGACCTAAGCCCGGTAGTTAAAGATCGACCCCTGACCTAACCGGTTATGTTATCTATGGATTCCAGACATTATATGGAAAGGCATTGTAAAAATCCCTGTCCTGTTCTGTTTCGTTCTGATTACCGGTGCATGCAGCCCCCATTCACAGTACCCTCTGCTTGCTCAATTGATCATGACCCTCTCACGCGGACCCCCTTAGAGTTGTGAGCCCTTAAAAGGGACAGGAATTGCTCACTCGGGGAGCTAGGCTCTTGAGACAGGAGGCTTGCCGATACTTCCGGCCGAATAAACCCCTTCCTTCTTTAACTCCGTGTCTGAGGAGTTTTGTCTGCGGCTCATCCTGCTACAGAACCTGGGAGGCAGAGGTTGCAGTGAGACGAGATCACGCGCCATTGCACTCCAGCCTGGGCGACAGGGCGAGACTCCGTCTCAAAAAAAGGAAGAGTGAATAAAGAAGAAACCCAAGGCCAGCAGGGACAGTGACTCTCAGCAGTGTTTAAAGCTTCTCTGCTGATTGTGATGTACCTCAGCCACATATACCTCGCTCTCCTAAAATCCACTGGCCCAAGAAGCATCTAGAAAGATTCACCAAGGATAAAACATTTAAGGTGAACTTTAAAAGATGAATAATTCACCAGAGAGAAAACAGGAAAAGCAAACTCAGAGAACGGAGAAAACAGGAAAAGCACATTCAGAGAAAAGAAATCACCTACCAAGTGTGAGAAACATTAGGTGAATCCTTTGTGGTTTGCAACTTGAGGGGAGTGAGGGAAAGAGGGGAAGAGAGAATGCCAGGAAAGGAGGCTGCGGTCATATTTTGAAGAGCCTTGAGTTGTGTTTTTTCTGGAGGCAGTGGAGAGTGGTGAAAGGGGTGTAAGAAGTTCGGATCTGTGTTTTAAAAAGGTAACCACTGCAGCAGGGCAAGAATGAAGAGAGCAGGAAATAAGGTATTGATAGTGGGGATGAGAAGACAGGATTTGAGAGACATTTCACGAAAAGAATTACAGGACTGGGTATAAATTGGATGAGAAGTATAATCAAGAGAAAAAGAGTCCCAATTTCTAGCCTGTCTGTCTTTGTCTTCAAGATCTGTTGCCAGAGGAAAATTGGAATGTGGGTGGTGTCCCAGGAACCCTGAGAATTTGACTCCTCGCAGATAACAAATCAGATAGATTCAAAGAGGAATCCCAGGCCACCTTGAGAAAGATTCGCCTGAAGCCAAATCAGTTTCACAAAGAATGTCTTAATCCAGAAGCATTGCTGCTAGAAATTTTTGAAAATTGGAAAATTAGAGTTCTAGTGTCTCCTTCCCCTTGGCACAGAGACACCAAATTGGGGGAACGAGGGTAAAAGGGTCCTTAGGGAGGTGTTAATTCTTACAGGAGAAGGCTGTGCTGTCAGACTTCTAAATTCACTGTAGCTGGGATAAAATTTTCCTCAAGATACACTGTTTTCCTGGGCCCTGCAACCATCTGTGTACTACATCTGCTTCCCAAGGACCTAATTCTAGGGAAGCATGTGCCTGGACAGATAGCGCAGGCATTCCTCCTACCAAATAGGGATATTTCCCACTGTCAATGAAGCAATCAATATTCTGAGTTTTGTTATTGTCAGTCTTTCTGCATCATTGTTATGACAGTCAAATGAGATACTCAAGTATTTGGCCTGCCGAGTAAAAGACAAGTTCCTTTTTAATGATTAGATAGAAGAAGTTGGGGGGAAAAATCTAAAATGATAATAGCTATAGTAAATTCAAAAGGGAAAAGAGAGAGAGCAGGGAGACTTCTTGAGACTGAGGCTTTCAGATATCTGAAGTGGTTATATTATTTTCTCTAACCAGTTATATTCTACAGCTTCCTCATTTTAAGGAGAAAAGCAGTATAAACTTCTTAGGTGTCCAGGGCATATTTTTTTCCAGTTAGATTTTGATGAATACACTATCTGGCAATCTAGAACTTATTAACATTGTACAAGGTATTCTTATCCTCCCTCCTTTCCTGGAGCCCTAAGAAGAACTGAAGACTCAAGTTAGGGCAGTTTTAAATAAAACAAGGGTAAAGACAGCGCTAGATTTTCTATAATTTTCTGTTGTCAAACCATAGGAAGAAAGTGGACAGTTCGGAGTCGGTCACATAGTACTTGTTGTTAAATGTTTGTTGAAGAATGAGTAGGCTGGGCGCCGTGGCTCACGCCTGTAATCCCAGCACTTTGGGAGGCCAAGGCCGGCGGATCACAAGGTCGGGAGTTCGAGAACAGCCTGGCTAACATGGCGAAACCCCCATCTCTACTAAAAATACATTTGGTGCCCACCGTTTGTAATCCAGCTACTTGGGAGGCTGAGGCGGGAAAATTGCTTGAACCCGGGAGGCGGAGGTTGCAGTGAGCTGAGATTGCGCCACTGCACTCCAGCCTGGGTGACAGAGCAAGACTTCCGTCTCGGAAAAAAATAAAAAAGAATGAGCAATGAATGAATGAATGAATAAACCGATGAATGTATGACATATGAAATAAAATTAATGAATAGGTCTATTTAAGATAGTCACTCTGTCTACTTGTTTCCTATCTGGTTGGTTATTTGCTAGAATGACAATTCACAATTACTGTTTGTCAATGTGTTTGTCAACGTGTTAGGGAAGCAGCAGCCTAGGAAAGCTAGAATAATGCCATTTTAAGTTCAGCTCCATTTTAGGACTAACAAGGCACATTCCTTGCCTGCCACGACCCATAGTCATGGGATGTTTATAATTAAGGAAACAGCCTGAAGATAACTAGGACTGACTCCTACAACAGCAAGAAGTCCAAATGTCCTAATATCTACAACAATATATGCCTTTAAGATAATCACAGTTATGCTTTTACGTATTCACACACTAAAATGTCAATAATTGTCTTCTTTAAATCAACAGAGTAACAAAATTTGTCATGTTGTCTGCTCACCCGTATGTAGGCACAGCTTAGCCTAGCTTTTACATAGGTAAGATCACTATATAAGAAAAACTTAAGAACGGGGTGTTTCTCCTCCTACTTTCTGAGAACATCCTGCTCTGTAACAGAGTAGTTTCCAATAAACTTGCTTCTTTCACCCTGAATTCTTTCCTGCACGAGATCCAAGAACCCTCTCTCCAGGTTCGGTGAAGACCCCTTTTTCCGGCAACAAAAGTACTAAAATGCAGTGAGCCATGATCATGCCACTGCACTCCAGCCCGGGCGACAGAGTGAGACCCTGTATCAAACAAAAAACACCTAAAATTCGTATTGTTAAGGAATTTGAGACAAATTGTAATCATTCAGAATCATTCATTGAGCACCAGCTTCCTTATGATAAGCCTCAATGCTAAGTATTTAAGAATTTAGGGCCAGGCACGGTGGTAATCCCAGCACTTTGGCAGGCCGAGGCAGGTGGATCACGAGGTCAGGAGATCGAGACCATCTTAGCTAACACGGTGAAACCCCGACTCTATTAAAATACAAAAAAAATTAGCCAGGCGTGGTGGCGGGCGCCTGTAGTCCCAGCTACTGGGGTGGCTGAGGCAGGAGAATGGCATGAACCCAGGAGGCGGAGCTTGCAGTGAGCCGAGATCGCGCCACTGCACTCCAGCCTGGGTGACAGAGCTAGACTCTGTCTCAAAAAAAAAAAAAAAAAAAAAAAAAAAAAAAAAAGAAATTAGGCCGGGCGCAGTGGCTCACGCTTGTACTTTGGGAGGCCGAGGAGGGTGGATCAACTGAGGTCAGGAGTTGGAGACCAGCCTGGCCAACATGGTGAAACCCGCCTCTACTAAAAATACAAAAATTAGCTGGGCATGGTGGCAGGTGCCTGTAATCCCAGCTACTCGGGAGGCGGAGAATCGCTTGAACCTGGAGGGCGGAGGGGGCGGAGGTTGCAGTGAGCCGAGATCACACCACTTCTCTCCAGCCTGGCGAAAGAGCGAAGCGAGACAACGTCTCAAAAAAAAAAAAAAAAAAAGAAAGAAAGGAAAAAGAATTTAAAATATAGTTAAGAAGCCATGCTTACTATATCTAATTAAAGATATTGGGACAATCGAACAGCAATCACACAATTGGTTGCCAATTCTACAGTAGAATTTCGTGTTGGTGTAGGTGTCTTGCGCTCTAAGAAGTTACAGTTGGAGGAGATAAGACTGAAACCCAGTTATTTACCACATACTATTGGTTTTGATATGTTAAAGGATCTTTTTCTGGGAAGGTTAGAGTTTGGGATTTGTCCAAAAGCAAACAGGTTTTCCAGCTGAAGAGAACACTTCGAGTAAAAACAGAGATGGGAATTCACAAGGCTAGATAGGTAGGGCTTTGAATATTACAATAAAAAATATCGGCAAGAAACCGAGATTTTAACATTATAGAAAAGTGCGAAAAAGAACGAATGAAACATCCAGAACTCACTCAGTAACGGAGAGAGTCTGGAATCTGCCACAGTGACATTGTCCCACACTAATAGCCATTTATTAGCCATGAATAGAAATACAATTACAATTTTCGAAATAAGAGGTCGATATTATACTGATAGTGACAATTTTGCTGTCTTCTGTGTTACTGATTTTCAAAGAGCAAAACAGAAAAGAAAGAAAATTGAAAACGCGGTATCTATAGAAAGCAAACACAACCCAAAGATCGAATCCTAACATGCGAGCAACCACTTGAGGGCGCAGGACTAAATAGCTATGTGTTCCTTTCTGATGACAGTAAGGTGGAGTTTGTGTCGGCTCGTTGGTCTAGGGGTATGATTCTCGCTTAGGGTGCGAGAGGTCCCGGGTTCAAATCCCGGACGAGCCCTGTTTTGGAGTAAGAATCACTTAAAGGTGAGTTTTTTTGGGGATAGATTACTAAACGTAATAAATACAGGTTGGTCAGAGTAAAACACAAAATTGAGATTTTTGGAAACTTAGAGCACACTCTACATTGAAATACCATTAAAAGGCCTCATTTTGAAAATGTAAAAAGTTTGCTAGTAATGTAGTATTGTACTATGAAAACATTGTCCCTAGCTGTCTATTCCTGGGTGCAGCGCGTGTACAGGGCCATCGGGAGCTCAGTTCTTGGCTGCCTATGGCGTGGTTTAAACTCATCCACGACAGTGCCCCTCATCGGGGGTGGGGATATCTCCTGAGCGCCCCTTTCCTCGGAAATGCTGATTCCCGAACCCCGGGACATGCTAATCCATGACGCCCCCTGCTCGTTTGGAGGAGTTAAAGGCGTGCACAGGATTCCGCACTAGGCGTCTGTTTTTCAAGAGTGTGTGTTTTACATGGTACAAAGCAATTTGAATGCGTTGCCTTTGGGCGTACAGTAACCATATGTTGTATTAATTGAGCTCACATGGTCCCTCGCTTCAAAAAACAAAGGGGATCAACATTCGAGCTCATGGGACCAGTATGTTTTCATTTAAGTTTCTGAATGGAATATGTGGGGAATTAGGGGGAAAAAATCTGTTTTTAAATTTCGGGTGTGGGGTGGGTAAAAGCCTGGGCTCGTCCGGGATTTGAACCCGGGACCTCTCGCACCCGAAGCGAGAATCATACCCCTAGACCAACGAGCCGCTCTCGGCAAGGGCACTCCCAGAGCTTCCCTTCAGCCTTGTTCCGCCTCTCACCTCGTGTTCCGAGCAACCACGACCTGCGACCCTTATACTGCGTGTCCTCTGATTCCCTAAGCCTCGGGTCCGGAGCGCTTACTGCCCCACAGCGTGGAGGAGCAGGGAGGGACCGGCTTTTGCCTGGTCCGGCCGTTCCAACCCCCCATCGCCGGCGTGGCCTCCACGTTCGCACGCGCTCCCGGAAGCCGCCTTCCGGCTTACGGGCTCGCCCCGGCTGTTCCACTCGCAGTGTTGGCGGGCGCCCGGGAGCCCGGGCTGAGGAAAGTGCGGGGCGGGGCAGGGCGCCTCAGGACGCAGCCCGGTGCCAAGTCCCGGCGGCGCCCCGCCCGCGCCCAGCCCGTCAGTGCACGCAGAGCTGGGCCTGCTCGCTCCGCGAGTGGGTCGGTGAATGAAGACGGGGAGTCCGAGCGAGGGAAGGGAATACCCGAATCCTGGCTAAGAAAGGGGTGGTGGGAGACGAAATCCCATAGGAGTGAATATTAAGTTAACTCCCCGAACCTTCATTTGGGGATAGTGCACTCTTTTAAGCCCTTTGCTTGTATTGAACTCACCTGATATTCGTAATAATCCCCTAGGTGCCATTGTATCTCCATTTGCAGATGAGGAAACTGAGGCTCAGAGATGTTAAGTCGCTCACATAAATCCACTGGGCTAGGAGCTGGCGGTGGCGCTGGTCTAGGAACTCCCGAGGTCCTGGAGGGTGGGACAACTGGGGGCTGGGGCGTGTGAAAGGGACTGGAGAGTTGGGGAGAAGATTGGTACCTCGGTAGCTTGGAGAAGAGAGGGCAGTGGCAGTGGGCCGGGTCTTCTCCCTCCCGTCCAGCAGAAAATGTGGGCCTGCCCTACTGCTCTTCTGCTCAGAGGAGCGGGAGTCCGAGTGCGGGGTCTCCCGCCGGTGTGGTTTCCCGGCCTGGGGTCTAGCTCGTCTTGCCTGCTTTCCGGACTGCTCTCACCGCTTCCCCCCACTTCACGACCCCAGCCCGCCACTCTGCACTCCGGCTCCTTGCAGTCTGTGGCCAAGTTGCAGACGTCCCTTATTTCTAAAACACTCTTGCATTCTTAGGCTACTTTCAGTTCAGCGTAAGAGAAATCCATTGCTCTGTAGCCTGGTCAGACGTTCTTCCAGGTCCTGGTGGTGCTTTTGCCCTGTCACCTGCTAACCGAGAGCTTCCCACGTGCACCCGCTTCTCTGCTCTTTTCTCTCTCTCTTCCTCTCTTCCTTTTAATGTCAGTGAGCTTTTGGGACGACACTTAGCGATAGGAGGTCAGGACCAGGGTTCATGCCGGTGGGGAGTGTAACGGGAAATGCAGTGAAGACACCTCAGAACAAACAGCGAGCACTGAAAAACCTTTCTTTAGCCCACTCTGGCGATGTAGAGAGCCCTGTCGCTGGCTGGTGCAGGGGCCAGGTCTAAGGTGGGCAGCCCTGTCTACGCCTTCTATTTGTTTGGAAGTGCGTAAAACTATTGACACCCTGTCCTTGTCTGAGACCACTTTTCTTCCTCCTACTTACCTAAGGTGTGAGAACTGGATATTGTTTAATTTCTTTTCTTTTCTTTTTTATTTTGAGACGAAGTGTCGCTCTTGTTGCCCAGGCTGGAGTGCAATGGCGCGATCTCGGCTCACCGCAACCTCTGCCTCCCAGGTTGAAGTGATTCTTCTGCCTCAGCCTCCCGAGTAGCTGGGATTACAGGCATGCACCACCACGCCTGGCTAATTTTGTATTTTTAGTAGAGACGGGTTTCTCCATGTTGGTCAGGCTGGTCTCGAACTCCCGATCTCAGGTGATCCGCCTTTCTCGGCCTCCCAAAGTGTTGGGTTGAGCCACCGCGCCCGGCTAGATATTGCTTTTAACACACTGTTTGGTAGTTTGAGGATGGGTCAAGGGTGGGGAAGGTTGGGGAGAGAGTTTTCATTAGGGCAAGTCCTGAGCAGCTAAGCGTCGCCCTCCTTCCCTTTGAGAGTATGCGTGCCTTCGCTGGGGCTCTCTCTGCCTTGCCTGAGCTGTATCCCACTCCTGGGAGCTTTGACATATTCCTGCCACTCACCATGTGTGTGGAACATGATAGAGGTGGACACTTCTATCTTTGCTGAGTATACACTCTCAAGGGTTTTTTGTTTGTTTTTGTTCGTTGTTGTTTTAATTTCCCAAGCCTGGGGAGAGGGATAAAAAATAAAAATAAGTTCCCAAGTCTGCTTTTCCACTCCGTTAAGTAGTTTGTAATGGCTTCATAGTATCCCATCAAGATAATGGCACATCCTTTTCTTAATTATTCTTCCACTGTATAAGTAAGTGGTGTCAAACATTTTGTTGAAATTTTGTGTATATACTTTTTTTTTTTTTTTTTTTTGAGACAGGGTCTCACTCTGTCACTCAGGCTGGAGTGCAGTGGTGCCATCATGGCTCACTGCAGCCTCAACCTCCTGGGCTCAAGTGATCCTCCTACCTCAGCCTCCCAGGTAGCTGGGACAGGCATGTGCCACCTACACCCAGCTAGTTCACCCACACCTGGCTAATATTTTTGTATTTTTTTGTAGAGATGGAGTTTCACTATGTTGCCCAGGCTGGTCTCCCAACTCCTGGGCTCAAGTGATCTGTCCACTTCGGCCTCCAAAGTGCTGGGATTACAGGCGTGAGCCATTGCACCCTGCCCCTTTCCATGTACTTTGGATTATTTCCTTAGGACACACTCCCAGAGTTGGCCTGGTCACAGAGACAAACACTGATCCTTGGCCACTTTTATAACTCTTGATGCAATTCTGTGCTAAGGAGCTTGGCTTGGCTGGTTAACAAGTAAGATGGAAACGTGGAAGAAGAGGAACAGTGGCTCTCAGATAACTTTAAAGCCCATGATTTGATCTTTTAATTTCATTTAAGGGTTTTGATGGCATCAAAGCTTTTGAGAATGCTGATAATAAGTATTGTTGATGATAACAATTTTGACTTGGGGTCAGATGCATAAAAGGGAGTAAAAGAAATTAGAAAACTAGTAAATCCATTAGGAGATGATTAGAATAACTCTGGGATGACATTATTGAAACTGTGAATGGGCATTTAAATCACTTGTAATGGGGATTCAGTGACTATTTAATAACTAAGATTTGCTGGCTACTGAATTCTTACCCAATTTAGGCTTAGGTGGTGCAGACTTGGCTCTGTCTAGCAAGATCAGTCCTTAGGAATAAGAATACAATTAATTACATGGGTTCACCACTCCAAGGAACCTTCTCGCTAACTTGGCACACAAGACTGGCCTCATGCTCATATGCTGAGCCTTGTTTGCTGCTTGTGGGGTTATGTACTAATGGACTAGAAGGCCATGGCAGTTGTCTTGGTAGGCTTGTGTCACGCACAGCAAGCCTTCCTCCAATTTAAACAGAAACTTGGATCTGACTGAAAATTTGTGTCTTTTTCCAGATTCTAGTCCAATATCCAGCAAAAGCTTCAGCTACATTTTACTAAACATATTTCTATTTGGTTTCCCTCAGTGATCCTTTTTATGAGGTTTAGATCATGTGTCCCTCTGAATTTTGCAGTCCCTTCATTGAATCACTATTAATGAATTCTTGGAATTGCCTCAGCCTCTTCATTTTTCATTCAAAAGGTTTTGCTTGTTTTTAAGTTCTGAGAGTACATGAGGTCAGAGGGGTAATATGAATCTCAGATGTAGATTGTGAAAGAACTGCTCTCCGCTGGGACACCTTCACTTTCACCAAGGAGTCTTATTACCTGTTCATCTTATTACCCTCTGTTTTATACAGACCTAGTTCTGGTCAGATGTTTCTGGTTAACACAAAAGTGTATCATTTTCATGATCAAACTTGTGATTCTTTATGAAGACATGCTCATGAGAGTATGTTACAAAAAAGAAAGAGAAAATTAGATATAGTAAAATCCCAATTTTGCACCAACCAAGAATTAAAACAAAACGTATATAATGCACTAAAAAAAAAGAAGAATATCCATAAAATAGTAACATTAGTTATCCCTAGATAGTGGACTTAAAAATACTTTTTTGTTTGCTTCTTAAAATTTTTTCTTCCCCTCCACCAATTTTCTAAAATAAAGATGCATTGCTTTTACAATGAGAAAAAAATTAGGATAATTAACGTTTTTAAGCCACAAAGAAAACAGGGGTCTTGAAACTGCATTTCTTTGTTCTTGGTAGAATGGAGACACAGAATTAGAAGCAATGTAAAACAGGCCCTTTTGTGCTTCTCCATCCCTTCTGCTTCCAGAGGTGGTCAATAAGCCTGTTTGTATCACTCCTGAGAGGCCAGGTGCAACTGTGATGGGGATGTGCCTGGCACCGTCTAGCATGTGTGGCTTCCTTAGATAGTCAAACAGCAGTGACTAGTATTGGAGGTCCTATTGTTTGAAGAGGCTATTATTTTCTTGGGGGGGAATGAGTATCTGTGTCTTGGCAATATCCATCCTTTGAGTACCAATCATATAATTATTCTAGAATTTTGTTTCTGCATGCTGGTTAAAGTGCAATTCAGTCCACTCATTCTTTAAAACAGAAGCACCTGGTAAGTGTGGTAACTGACTTAGGGGTTTACCCAAGTTAGAGTAACTTTCTCTAATTTCTTTCTTTTCTTTTTTTTTTTTTTTAGAGACACAGTCTCACTCTGTCGCCCAGGCTGGAGTGCAATGGCACAATCTCGGCTCACTGCAACCTCCGCCTCCTAGGTTCAAGCGATTCTCCTGCCTCAGCCCCCGGAGTAGCTGGGATTACAGGTGTGCGGCACCCTGCTCAGCTAATTTTTGTATTTTTAGTAGAGACGGGGTTTCACCGTGTTGGCCAGGCTGGTCTCGAACTCCTGACCTCAGGTGATCCACCCACCTTGGCCTCCCAAAGTGCTGGGATTACAGGTGTGAGCCACTGCACCTGGCCACTTTCTTAAATTTCTATGTAAAACTACATCATGAAGGACTAGAGTCATATTACTTGCAGGAGTACTTGGGGGCGGGAATCCTAGCCTTTTTTTTTTTTTTTTTTTTATTGAGACCGAGTCTCACTCTGTCACCCAGGCTGGAGTACAGTGGCGTGATCTCAGCTCACTGCTGCCTCCACCTCCCGGGTTCAAGCGATTCTCCTGCCTCAGCCTCCCCAGTAGCTGGGATTACAGGCACACCAACAGACTCAGCTAATTTTTGTATTTGTAATAGAGACGGGACTTCACCATCTTGGCTGGTCTTGAACTCCTAGCCTCAAGCTATCCACCTGCTTTGGCCTCCCAAAGTGCTAGGATTACAGGCATGAGCCACCGCGCCTGCCCAGAATCCTAGCCTTTTCTGACCTCTTCCTTCGGCATCCTGCTTCCCTCATAGTGTCTTCCTGGCTGCTCCAGGCGGAGGGTGTTCAGCTCCCATGGAGAAGCCCCACAGCTTTTCAGGATTAGGGGGATGTGTAAGACATCTCTTAGTTCCTGTTTTGGATGTGGGTGGTTTTACTGTTGGCTTCCTTTACCCTCTGAGGCATGTAATACATTCATCATCTCTTCCTCCTCTGAGGAGTCTCAAAGAACCAGTTTCCTGCCCCATTTGACCACAGTGGGACTTTGCTGGAATTCCCACAGCTCTCCTGGGATTTGCGGGCAAAACTGGAATAATGGTCTCTTGTCAGCATCCATAGCCACTGTGATCAGGACATCCAGCACAGGGCTCATGGGGAGCCTGGGTTACCCCAACAAAACTGGGAAGGCAGAAAAGTGTGTCTCCTGACCCTAGAATTTTGTGCACTTTGCTCCTCTTTTGTAACCCCCTCTGGGAAGGGTCTCAAGAAACTTCTCACACCAAGGTGTAAATGACAAAGGAGGCTCCAAATAATGATCTCTCTCAGAAGTATTTGCATATTGAAGGAAGCCAATGATGACATTTCAGGTGTCTGCTGTCAGATAAAAGAGGTGTTAAGCAGGGATGACTGTTGAAAATAATCCCATCTCAGCTCTGAAATCAATTCAGTCATTCATGATTTAACAAATATTTATTGAATACCTACTATGTCTGAGGCACTGTGTACAATGAAGAATAATACAAACACATTGTACTCCCCTAGAGCTACAGGTTAGCTCTGGGCACAGTAATACATTATTACATAAAATAATGAGACTGATTTTCTTGGGTGGCTTATGAAACCTAATCCCATTTTATGTGAGCATTTGGATTTTGTTCAGTGCTCTTGACATCTTCATAAACCACCTGATCATGCATTATATAGAGACATTGTTTATCCTTTTTTCACGTGGTCCATCGAGCAAAAACTTGACTAGAACTAGTTGGGGTCAAACAAAATTTAATTTTGAAGCAAACAATGGGATAGTAATTGGGTGTTTCAGGTTTTGCCCTATGGGAAACAGCTGTTGTTTTTTGCCTGCCAGCATAGCTTCTTTTGGTAACAGCACCCTGATTTCACTTTGGGGAATCTTCTTGCTCACCTTTGCAAGCCTTGTAGAGAAAGTGCAGGATTGACTCACCTAGCTCCTAGCTCCAGGAGAGGGCACGCAGTCTCTGCATCTGCTTGGTTGTAACAGTTGATTCAGGTATAGACACGTGAGTCACACAGGGCCTATGGAAAGCCTCTACAGGACTTTTTCCCCACAGTAATGGTGAAAGAATAAGCCCTTTCACTGGGTTTGCAGGCTGGGAAGAACCTACTTAAGAAAATGACTGGCTGGACGTGGTGGTTCATGCCTGTAATCCCACTTTGGGAGACCGAGGCAGGCAGATCACTAGAGGCCAGGAGTTTGAGACCAGCCTGGCCAACATAGTGAAACCTGGTCTCTACTAAAAAATACAAAAATTAGCTGGGCATGGTGGTGCATACTTGTAATCCGAGCTATTAGGTTGGTGCAAAAGTAACTGCAGTACTTGGGAGGCTGAGGCACGAGAATCGCTTGAATGCAGGAGGCAGAGGTTGCAGTGAACTGTGATTGTGCCACTGCACTCCAGCCTGAGTGACAGCGCGAGACTCTGTCTCATTCAAAAAAAAAGAAGAGAAAAGAAGAGAAAAAAGAGACAGCCTTGGCTGCAACTATTAAGGAAAACTAATTAAATAAGTTTTTAAAAAAGAAAAAAAAAAGAATATGGCCAATACGAGGGAAAGCAGAGACCAATACCATGAGAGATTCCTGACATCACTTGGGTGACTGTATTTAGGTTTGTTTTTTTCAGTTCTATGAGGCTGAAAAAGGGGGAGAGATTCATTGATCTGTATAGTTCTGTTTTTCATCAGCTAGTTTGAGTTGGGTTTCTGTCACCAGCAGCTGGGTGAACTTGTTCATTCAGCTGTACTAAACACATCCCTAATCAAGAAAACCTAATCATAAGATGATGAACTGGTTGCCTTTTCACGCATTTATTTCTTTGACATTTATTTATTGAACATGTAGTTAACTGGTCATAGGACAAAACCTGCATGAAAAACTGGGCATTGTTCAGGGTGATCTCCGTGAGGGGCCTGGAGTTCTGAGGCCACTGAAGCTTACCTAGTTCCACATGCAGCTGAAACAGAATCCTAATCCCCTTTTAAATAGTGGCAGATCCCTTCAAAGCATCCAGGTTTTTTTTCTTGCTCCCTCTCTGGAGTAAGGAAGGACACAGTTTGAAATTCAAGCTAGACTACAAAGATCGTGGAAGAATGACTATGACTATTTCTTTAACTCTGTTGCTGTAGAAGAATCCGTGTTTTCTTTCAAACCCATTATGGAAGCCTGAAAGAAACAAGGTCTTCCTGGCCTGTTAATAACTTTGTGCTACCTAAGACACAGATGAATTTCTTTAATCCCAAATTTAGAAGTTCCAGTATCAACCATGCAAATAAAACACCTGATCATGGTTGCTTTGAGAAAGGAGAGTTTTAAGCAGTGGGGCTGCAGCACCAACAAAAATCAGTCCCTGTACTTCATGAGTTCCCTGCCAAGAGCCCCCTTTATTAATGAACAAGCCCTGGGAATGGGGCCTCTATTTTTTTCACAAAATACACCAAATAATGTGACTAACAGGAGACTTGGGGGATAGAAAGGTATTCTGATGCCCACAAGCATGGTGCCGCAATGTCACATTCTTGTCATTTTTACTGCCCCTCTCTCGTCTGCTACTATGTTTAGACCCTCCAGAAGAAAAATGCAGTTTCATTTTTCATATCTAAACCCCATACTTTCTGTTCCATGCCTTCCTCAAGTAAAGTGGCCCTTTTCATCACACATTCACAATCATGCACATATTCACAAAGTACTTGCCCAGATAGTGCATGTGTATAAACAACCCAAAGACATATATAAATAAAACCAAGTATTGTTTAGGGGTAGACTTCTCTGTCAATAAATGGATGGTAGCTAGATTGATAGCAAGCTAGCCAGCTAGATAGATAGACAGACAAGTTTATAGATCTCAAAATAATTGACACACACATCTCCCAAATTCTGCTAATATCCAAAGTTTATCATAGCTATGACAATATCAGTCCCAACCAGGTTACAAGTTTGTTACAAATTACAAACTACTTAAAAACAGTTTTGAAAAAAAATATATCCCAAATATTAACACTAAACACTACCCTGGAGTTAGAAAAACTGTAAATGGGATGAGGAAACTGAGGTACCAGTGGTGACATAAGGCCTTTTTGTCTGACAGACTGTTTTCTGAAGTCAGTGTAGGATGTAGTCTAACAGACCTCCAGAAGAATAATTCTTCCAACTACCAAATCAGCACACTGAGACATTAAAATACTCAAATCAGAATAAGGACCGACCCTAAGTTTAAATGTGTATTTGGATTAACATTTTTCAGCAGGAGTGTATGAAGAGGGGAGAGGATACAAGTCAAAGACTGGGTAGTCAGGCCCCCTGTCCCTTGCAGAATCCCTTACACTCACCAAACAGAATATTAAAGCAAGAGCTACCCAATAAGAAGAGACTAAAGACCCCAACTCACTCCTTTTGTGTTGGGCAGAAGAACCTGGGCTGTGAGTCAAGAAAAGCTTCCCAGGGAAACTAAGAAAAATGTTTTAATTATGTAGCTTGCACATAATGGTACTCAAGGCACCTCCCAGGAAACATCTAATCCATGCTCAAGGATTCTGGAAATGCAAATTCATCCTCACAGGATCAATCGGAGAGCCAGCATTATTCAGGTATCACTGCTTTTCTTTCAGGAGGAGATGCAACGCGGGACATGAAACCTCCTGCCATTCTGCCTCTCCATGGGAGTTCTCCACATTCTCAAGGGTGGGAGAAGGGAGTGAGCCGAGCCAGCGACCTCCCATGGTGGTCACCAACTGGAAAACCACAGGACAGGAAAAGCTCCTGCGAATGGAGCACTTTTTTTTTTTAAATGTTTCAATCATTATCTCTTCTAGTCCAGTGTTTTAAAGACTGGTTGGCCAGTTCAAATTTGGATCAAATTGAAAAGTTGTCTCTAGGGTTTTGATACAATTTAGGGTCTTCTGTAACTTACAGGGTTTCTATTTTATGTTTATGGCCACCTAAAATTAGTTTTTAACTGATATTTGAGAACCGTAAACACTTTAGAACATTAAAAAGGAACTTTACCCAAGCAAAATCTGATCAGCTAAATTAGAGCTCAGTTAAATTAGAGATCAGCTAAATTAGCTGCAGGGATAGGTGGGTGTGGATAGCATCCAGGGCTCCACAGGCTGACCAGTGCCCCTGGGACTCATCACCACAGTACATTGTTTTAAGTAAGTTCTTGTTGTTGAACCAAGTCCATCAAATGACATAAACTCAAGCTGATAAAAGTCTGCTGCCCTCAGATTCAGTCTCCATCTGCAAGGGAACGTTTGGTGTGGAGGCCAGGAAATAATCCACCCTGTGTCTTCAGGCTGACTCCAGACACTCAGCATATTCTGCCTCTGCAATGGCTTCGTCTGCTGCTGCTACAACTGTTGCTGCTACCTGCAAAGAGATGTGTCCAGCAACTTCATCACTGGGGCACAATGAGCTGTTCTTCACATTTTAGTGTCCTGGAC
Organism: Homo sapiens; assembly: GCF_000001405.40. Taxonomy (NCBI): domain Eukaryota; kingdom Metazoa; phylum Chordata; class Mammalia; order Primates; family Hominidae; genus Homo; species Homo sapiens. The sequence goes on along the minus strand of NC_000001.11, from coordinate 167,704,675 downwards.
AGGAGTGTCATCCTGTGAACAGGGGAGGAAAGAATTAATTAGGAAAATGGTGAGGAAATCCTGACACTCAGCATCCCTCCTTGGGGATGATGGATCTGGCAATAATAGTAACAGTAGGAGTAATAGTAAGAATGATAGTCATAAGAATGCTATGTGCCCAACTTAGTTTTTTTTATGCATTGACTTATTTAATCCTCACAAAAGCAATATGAGGTAGTTACTTTTATTAACTCTATCATAGGTGAGGCAATGAAGGCACAGAGAGGTTATTTCCCCTAGGTCACACAGCTAGTAAGTGGTGAAGTCAGGATTTTAACCCAGGGATCAGAGCTTGAGTTGTCCAGTACTAAGTGACCCTGCCCACCCTTGATGCCTGAGTTCCCTCTATCTTGGCCTCTTACCTATTCACTCATTCCCATTCAATGTGCTCTCCTGAAACACTGCTCAAGATTCTTAGGCAGCATATAAATGGAAAAAGGACAGAAAGAGTTGAAAATAAAAGACCAATACTTGAGTAAAAGGACAGTAAAGTAGCTATTTATTCAACAGTCATTCCGAAGGTATTACTTTGAGATCCTTCTGTGCTAGGAGCTGTACCAGGACTCCAGCCTCGTCCCCATCAGTTCTTTTGCTGAGAAATGGAAACATTTGGGAATGTAACCACAGTACAAGGTGGGGTGTGATGTGGACCATCCTAGTGGATTATACTGAGCAGGGGGGCATTTGTCCTCAGAGCAATCAGAAAAGGCTTGTGGAGGGGAAGATAGAGGTGTGGTGAGAGGACTTCCAGGTACCAGTGAGGGCTGGGTTAAAGTGGGCTGCAGGCAATTTCAGCTGGCAGTGCAGGCATTTGGGCAAAGAGGCTGTGGGAGTGGGTGAGGAGATGCCTTGCCTAATGCAGAATGGTGGAGGGTGCAGGCTGGCTGGAGCCCCGGCCCCACTATTGGGGAGCATGGAGACAGTGAAGGTTAGGCATGTGGCAAAGCCCAGCCCATGGAGGAGCATGAACTCCATTTTCCAGTGGGCAGTATCAAAGGGTTTGGGATAGGAGAGCAGACAACCTATGGTATTTATAGGAAGAGGCATTTGTCACTGATGTGTAGGGTGAGTCTGGAAACCAGGAATTCTGTTAGGAATGAGTTGTGATTGTAGAGATAGAAAAGAAAGGCTAGCACTGGTATCATCATAGAGATGGGGTTGTGCCATGTTGCCCAGGCTGGTCTCCAGCTCCTGGGCTCCAGCGATCCTCATGCCTCGGCCTCCTAAAATACTGGGATCACAGGTGTGAGGCACTGTGCCTGGTCACAATTCCATTATTGATTGAGCTCCCACAAAGCGCTGGTCATGCTCGGGGCTGAGGAGGGTCAAGGAGGAGCGGTGGGTGGGAAAGGGGAAAAGGAGGAGAGACAGAGGGATCTCTGGCAAGGACAGTTAATGTGTCTGAGGGATGATTGAGGTGGGAATGCAGGGAGTGTGTCCCCAAAAGAACTGAGAAGAAATAGGGCCAAGAACTGAGTCTGTTGACCTGCCAGTTAACCAGGAGGGAGAAGAAAGAAAGAACAATGTTAACACTACAAAGTTACAAAGGTAGGGGATTCTCAAGAGAAGGATGTATTTCATCAGCTCAGGGAGAAAAGAATTTCAAATCAAATGTTGAGAAACCAAGGGGAATGACTTGGAAAGCAATTGAATCAGGCAATTAGGAAGTCGGCACTTATTGTTAATACAGCAAAGTCTCAGATTTGATATCCAAATATTTCGAATGTCTTTGTTTGGGTAAGTTAGTCTCTGGCATAGCTGAGTGCCCTACACAATACTGGATACATAATGAGTGTTTGAGAAACACTTGATAAATTTTTATTTATGTATTTATGTATTTATGTATTTATTTTATTTATTTTTAGACGGAGTCTCTGTCACCCAGGCCAGAGTGAAGTGGCTCGATCTCAGGTCACTGCAACCTCCACCTCCTGGGTTCAAGCGATTCTCCTGCCTCAGCCTCCTGCATAGCTGGGATTACAGGCACACGCCACCACCCCTGGCTAATTTTTGTATTTTTAGTAGAGACAGGGTTTCACCATGTTGGCCAGGCTGATCTTGAACTCCTGACCTCAAGTGATCTGCCCGCCTCAGCCTCCCAAAGTGCTGTGATTACAGGTGTGAGCCACCACGCCCAGATAACACTTGCTAAATTTATTTTAAGTATTAGAGTTGTATCTGATTCTGTGCCCTCTTTTCAGGGCGACTTTTCCTTATAAACAGAATCCTAAGTGCAGTGACTTGATACGTCCAGCTTGCCTATGATTGAAATCCCCAGGATGACTCCTTCTTTCAGTACGATATGTTAAAACACTTGTGAGGGGCAACCTAACAGTAAGGTGACCCTTTATAGTGCTTTCACACGTCTGATGCCTTTGGCGCACTTATGGAACTTTCCCCTGTTTTCTCTCGAAGAACAAATTGCTCCAGCCTTTGTGCTTCACATAGCACCCTTCTAGGGCAGAATCCCATTTATTCTACTGCCTTGTCGTTATTTGTTTATGCCTCTGTCTTCTTCACTTTTGACTCCCAGTATCTCACATAGTGGTAGGGATAACGGGTGCTTGTTAAATGCTGATTGCATGAATGCAACCATAATTAGTTTGTCTGATCAATCTATTTCTACCGACAGAGGAACAAGATGGGAATTAGGTTAGGGGGTTAGAAAACTGCTTAGAGGTGTGTGCTGCCTCTGGGGGATCCAGGAAAGACCTGGGACAGACATGGGTGCCTGAGGAAGCCCATAACTCAAGGGGTCAACCTTGTAATTGTTCTTACTGATGGTTCCTTTTGCACTAGTGACTCAGGCATTTTGATTCTGACCTTGACCTGGTTTAAGAGGAACAGGGAGGACTGGAGACAGTGCCCTCTTCCAGATTAAACAAATTATGCACACGTGCACAGGTACTTTGTAAGCAGTTTATTCTGATGATTGGGCAGGTGCCTAATATGTCAACATTGACTGAGCTCTGTGACCATGGACAACTCCTGTCCTCTCTTGGAGCCTTGGTTTCTTTCTCTCTCTAAACTAGGCTGGGCATAGTGGCTCCCTCCTGTAATGCCAGCACTTTGGGAGGCTGAGGTGGGCAGATCACTTGAGGTCAGGAGTGTAAGACCAGCCTGGCCAATATGGTGAAACCTTGTCTCTACTAAAAATACAAAAAATAGCCTGGCATGGTGGTGCGGGCTTGTAATCCCAGCTACTTGGGAGGCTGAGGCAGGAGAATTACTTGAACCTGGGAGGCAGAGTTTGCAGTGAGCTGAGATTGTGCCACTGCACTCCAGCCTGGGTGACAGAGCAACACTCCATCTAAAAAAAAGAAAGAAAGAAAGAAAGAAAGAAAGAAAGAAAGAAAGAAAGAAAGAAAGAAAGAAAGAAAGAAACTAGGCAATTGGGTTAAGTGGCGTCAAAGTTTGGCATCTCAGAGATGACCGAGAGGAAAAGCATTCCTCTCATTCCATTCAGAGATGGAAGTGGAGCTACTCTTTCTCCATCTGAGCTGCCTATTTGGGAGGAGAGTGCTCTTGAGGTTGCTGGGCATTCTCTTCCCCTGCCCAAGGCTCTGTTGGGAATACGGAAGTGGCAAGGCTTGAGAGATTACCAGTGAGCCTGCCCCAGAGCTCCTGGAGTTCCCGCAGGAAGACTTCTTCTACCTGAGACCTCCCTGAAGCAGCCCTCTTCCCTACTAGCTTTTCAACCAAAGTGACTTTTCAACCCTTCAGGATTGGAAGATGCTGTCAGTGAGATGGGGAGGTCTCTTGGCAAGGCAGGTGTCTCCTAACCTGAAAATAAGATGTAGCAACCACTGGCAGGTGACTACTTGGACCCAGTGACTTCATCCTCAAAAAGGACTAACAGATTGGGGCATGTATTTGCCTTCTCTAGACCTGGTGGAATCTCTCAGTTCCAGAAAATCCTAAATGTAAAGATTGCTTACTTAGAATGGAAAGTTTTTTTGTTGTTGTTGTGCTTTTTTTTTTTTTTTGAGACGGAATCTTGCTCTGTCACCTAGGCTGGAGTGCAGTGGCGCGATTTCCGCTCACTGCAAGCTCCGCCTCCCAGGTTCACGCCATTCTCCTGCCTCAGCCTCCTAAGTAGCTGGGACCACAGGCGCCCACAACCACGCCTGGCTAATTTTTTTTTGTATTTTTAGTAGAGACGGGGTTTCACTGTGTTAGCCAGGATGGTCTCGATCTCCTGACCTTGTGATCCACCCGCCTCAGCCTCCCAAAGTGCTGGGATTACAGGTGTGAGCCACCACGCCTGGCACTGGAATGGAAGATGTTAAAGAAATCTGGAGCACCTCTGCCTAACAACTTAACCCAGGGGTCTCAGTCATACTTTATGAGTCTTTGGGACTCACACATTTTTCTCCCTGATCTAGCGTGAGTGAGAATAACGTGAGGGCCCCAGGAGATCCCCTAAACACATCAGTTCCTCTTCTACCTGTACTTCTATCATTAGAGATTATTTCTTTTGGGTCAGACAATTTTCTGTCTTCTTTTAAAATCCATTCATTCACTCAACAAAGATTTTTTTAAAGAACCTACTATGTTCCAGGTTCTGTAGCAGGTGCTGGAGATGCAGTGAGGAAAAGGAGTAGAGAAATACAATTAAAAAATACACAGGAGAATTTCAAATAGTGATGTGTTCTATGATAAAAGTAGAATCGTGGGAGAAAATAACTGATGGGATGGAGGGAGGTCCACTTAGACTGAGTGGCACAGACAGGCCTCAGTGAGAAGGGACCATCTGAGCTGAGCTCTGAGCCGTGGGTAAGAAGCGGCCCTGTAAGGATCAGAAGGAATGTCCCACACAGAGGGGACAGCAAGGATAGAGCTCTGAAGTGGGAATGAGCTTGCTGTATTGGAAGAACAAAAAGACCTCAGCATGGCTGGATCACAGTGAGGGGGAGAGTCAGGGAGAGGTGGGTACATCCAATCCAAACCCATAGTACCTGTGAATTTGACCTTATTTGGAAAAAGGTTCTTTGCAGATGTAACTAAGAATCTCAAGACAAGATCATTCTGGATTTAGGGTGGACTCTACATCTAATGACTGACATCTTTATAAGGGGGAGGAGGGGGACTATGAGACACACAGTAACAGTGAAAGGCCGTGTGATGGAGATGGAGGCAGAGACTGGAGTGGTGCATCTAGATGCCAAGAGATGCCATGAATTGCAGCAGCCACCAGGAGCCAGAGGAGGCAAGGGAGAATTCCAAGGGTTGCAGGCAGCTGCCAGAACTTAAGGGAGAGGAACAGATTCTCCCCCAGAACTGCTAGAGGAGACCAACCCAGCCAACAACTTAATTTTGAAGGTCTGAACTGTAGAGCTGTAAGAAAGTATATTTCTATTGTTTTGAGCCACCAAGTTTGTGGTAATTTTTTATGGCGACCCTGATACAAGAGGCGAATAATTTTAGCAAAGAGCAGTTGATCTAAAAAACAAACCAAACCTGCTGGTTGCTGTCCAGAGAATGGATTATATACGCAGGGGGAAAAAAAAGTGGAAGCAGGAAGCCAGAACTACTGTAAGGCCGGGCGCGGTGGCTCACGCCTGTAATCCCAGCACTTTGGGAGGCCGAGGCAGGTGGATCATGAGGTCAGGAGATCGAGATCATCCTGGCTAACACGGTGAAACCCGTCTCCACTAAAAATACAAAAAATTAGCCGGGCGTGGTGGCGGGCGCCTGTGGTCCCAGCTACTCGGGAGGCTGAGGCAGGAGAATGGCGTGAACTCGGGAGGCGGAGCTTGCAGTGAGCCGAGATCCCGCCACTGCACTCCAGCCTGGGCGACACAGCGAGACTCCTTCTCAAAACAAAAACAAAAACAAAAACAAAAAACAAACAAACAAACAAACAAAGAGGCTACTGTAGCAGGAAGCTGATAGTGGTGTGAGTAAATGAACGCATGAATGAATGAATGCACTAACAAAAGCGACGGGTGAAACAATTGTGGGTGACTGACTTGATGAGATTGTTAGGGACTCTGCAGAGCTGGTTCTGCTCTTAAAGCATAGATAGGTGAGCTCAAGATGGGCTTCCTGGGAGCTGGTGGGGAGCAGACAGGTGTAGAGGAAAGGGCCAGTAAATGCAGGCCCAGGCAGGAGGGCAGGGACTGAGTCACCCCGTCCTCCTCATGTGCAGCAGATGCCCAATCCCTGAGAGAGAGTGAACGTCCCAACATCACATGCAGCTTCTTTCTCTGAGGGCCAACTCAAATACTACCTTGGCCCTGAAGCATCCCCAGCTTTTTGTCCCATCCACACACAAATTGTTTCTGCTACACTTGCACTTTGGGCTTCCCTGGGAATGCCCCCTGTCCACTGCCCTATTCCACCTTGTTCATGCACATGAAAGAGTTGCTGGTCTCATGTGCTAAACTGAGATGATTTTTAGAAAGGAGCTCCCCTTTCTTTTTCATCTCTGGATCCCCTGCAGCAGCATGCCCAGGCTCCTGCACTCAGCAGGCTTCCATAGATGCTTGCAGGCCTCAGTTACTGAGCCGTGCCGAGGCTCGGTCACTCACACACACCCAGAAGCTTGCCAGAACTCCAAGTCAGCGAGAAGTTGGCAAGAGCAGAAGACACACTTCCTCTTTGTGTCCTTTTGTCCCCTCAGCCTCAGCGACAGCCTTTCTCCAACAAGTTGGCACGAGGCAGGAGCCTGGCACCTTTGTTTCTGCATGTCGAGCTGATTTATGAAGGGACTGTACGGAACAGGACATGTGACAGAGGCACACACTGGCCCTGGCACTGCCTTCTGCATGTGAACGAGCCAGGCCACCTACCTCCGGCTTGGGGACTGCTGGCTCGCTCTGGACCTCACTGCTGGTCTCCAGCTGGGCAGGGCCGGTCTGGGGGCTGCAGCCTGGCTCGAGCACTGCCCCCTCCTGTTGTTTTTCCTTGCCTTTTTCCTGCTTGGGGACATCTCCGCCCTTCACTCCTCCAGGGGGACTGTGGGGGGTCTCCTTCACTGCAGCTCCCTCCTCCAGCTTCTTTGTTTCTTGGCTGTCATGTTCAGGTCCCACCTCTTCATTTTGCACCCTCTCCCCCTTCACCTCTGTAGCCTTTTCCATCTCTGCTTCCTCTCCAGCTGGCTTTTCCTCCCTGGGGCTCCCACACCTATTTTCTGCCTCTGGGCCAGAGGTCTGGGGCGATTCCGGGACCTCCTCTTGGGCCGGGTGCTGGCCGTCCACCTCCTCTGAACTCCGCCTGGCCTTTTCACCGTTCTTGGCTTCCTCTGTGGCCCTGTCCTCCTCCTGCTTCTCTGTCCTGCTGGGTGACCTCCTCAGAGGAGGCTTTTCAGCAGGTCCCAGGGTTCTCACTCCCTCTCCCGCTGCTCCCTCACTGGACAAAGGGGATCCTGGGGCCTTGCTCTTGGATGGCAACACTTCATCCCCATCCTCTTCCTTAGCACCGTTCTGCTGAGATGACTCCACCGCCCTGAAATCTCCAAGTTCTCCACAGTCTGACTGTGACCTTCGGAATCGCCTGGAGGGAGGGCGCCTTTTTATTGAGCCCCTCGTCCGCACCTAGAAGAAAGTGTTAAGGAAAGTTATCCAAAAACTCATAAAAAAAGGCCAAGAGGAGGACTGTATGCACTTTCAATGTCAGTCTGGTGCACTGCTTCACAAGTCCACGCAAGGACCGTTTAATTTTCCAGGAGAACGAATCATTGTTTGCTATTTATTATAGATTAGAGCCATGTGGGATTGTGAAATCACATGGTGACCTGCAGACTTTTATTTTGTGAAGATGCAAATGCTTTCCATTCAGTAAAAAACAAAAACAAAAACTCATGATTTTATTGCACTGTAAAACATTAATCAGTTCGGTGTCTAATTTAGTAATTTTATTCTGACACTTAAAAAAAAATTCTTGCCGGGCATGGTGGCTCACACATGTAATCCAGCACTTTGGGAGGCTGAGGCAGGAGGATCGCTTGAGCTCAGGAGTTCAAGATCAGCCTGGGCAACGTAGCGAGACTCCATCTCTACTGAAAGTAAGAAAAATTAGCTGGGGGTGCTGGTGCATGCCTGTGGTCCCAGCTACTTGGGAGGCTGAGATGGGAATATAGCTTGAGCCTGGGAGATTGAGGCTGCAGTGAGCTGTCATCACACCATGGCACTTCAGCCTGGGCAGCACAGAAAGACCCTGCATTAAAAAAAAAAAAAAGAAATTGTCTAATTATCTATAAATAACCAGTTCTTCAAATGCTGTTTGACTAAGTTTTACCATCTTACAAGTTTCCTCATAAATTGACATATTGAATAAAATCTCTATTTTGCATAAGAGTCAGACTTTTATCTTGTGAAGATGCAAAATGCTTCCTATCCAGTAAAAAAGATAACTTATGATTTTATTGCACTGTAAAATTTTGAAAAATTTGAAAATTGTACTTTTGAAAATTATACTTTGACAAAGATGAATCGCACCGAGAAGAGGGTTAGAGACCTGCTGACGGCCAGGCCCTGGTGCAGGGACCTCAGGGGTGCTGAGCTGGAGACCTGGTGACCAGCTTCCTCTCTTGCCTAACTCTGTCCTTCCTGCCCCCGTGAAGTTGGCGGATACTGGGAAACCTGAGCAGCCAGATTCCTTTGCTTCTAGAACTCAGGTCCACCACTGTCAGAAGCTGTTTCTCAGGAGCACCAGCAGAGCTGCCTGAAGGTGATCTCTCTGGGAAGCATGTGATTCTCAGAATCAGGCCTCTTCTCAGCTTATCAGACTTAGTCAAAGGTGCAATGGAAATGTTCACATCAGATACCCTACCTACTAGAGTGATGCATCCTTTAAAAATCAGTATATAAGTGGGCTGGGTGTGGTGGTGCCCGCCTGTAATCCTCGCACTTTGGGAGGCATAGGCCAGCAGATCACTTGAGCCCAGAAGCTGCAGGAGCCTGGTTGAAGACATGGCAAAACCCTGTCTCTACAAAAAATACAAAACAAGGTGTGGTGGTGCATGCCTGTAGTCCTAGCTACTAGGAGGCTTGCCTGAGCCCAGGAGGTGGGGGTTGCGATGAGCCAATATCGCACCACTGCACTCCAGCCTGGGTGACAGAGGAAGACCTTGCCTCAAAAAAAAAAAAAAAAAATTAGTGTGTAAAATAAATTTTTGTAAATGTTATTTTCCCACTGATTTACATTTTGGTATTTGTCAATCCTAGTTCCCCATCTAAGAAGTATGGAATGAATACTTGGTTTATCAGGGCCTCCCAAGCCCTTTCTTGAGACCATGATTGGGCCAGCTCTGGAAGGTATCAAGGCCCCAGCCCTCATGACCAGCAGGGTTCCAAAATAACTTCCTCTTGCTGCTGTCAGAAGGCTGAAGCCTCCAGGCATTATGACCAGGCAGCAGCTCCTCCCTCCCTGCCTCACCCTGTGAGAAGATGCGGCTCTCTCTGAAGGTTCCTCTCTGCCTTCAGGGGTCTCCATCACCCTGGCTGGGGGACTTCCACTCTGGCCCTAGCCGGCAGGCTCAAGCCTGCCTGAACCCCTCCTTACCACTAGTTTATTTCCTTGAGTCCTCCCTGTTTTTACACATTTGATTTTTTTTTTGCTAGCTGGACTTCCTAGAATGGCCTAGAAGATCTCATTTCTCCATCATTAATTTTAAGCCACACCCATTTAGCATTCTCTGGCACCAGACCCCAAGAAGTCTTGGCCCCTGCTTGGCCCTGGCACACATTTGTTGGCTACCTGCTTGGCCCCTATCTCTGATCCTTACCTCCTCCCAGCAGGGCGAGGGATGTGATGAAAGCTCACACAGAGGATCAGGGTTGCATCTGTAGAAATGCACCCTGCCATGTCATTTTTGCAAAGGGAACAGTTTGGATGTTCTTTAACTGGGGCAAGCTGCAGGAAGAATGATTTGAGTCCACACTGGGACACTTAGGGCTATTCACACCAGGCCAGACAGGACGTTTTGGAGTTCTAGGGATGCTGCCCAGCATTCTGTGCAAATCACTGATCAGGCCTTTAGCTTTTGCGTTCAGCTTTTGACATTAATGAACTATGCAGCTGGGATCAATCCTGAATTTCCATACCTTTCTCCACAAAGGAGAGAGCACGCCATCCCCCAGGCTTGTCTTGGGGTTGAATGGCACAGTTACAGCAAGGGGAGATGAGCCAGTCAGTCGAGGAAAAAGGTGATCCTAGTTCAGGGATCATTTGCAAAGGAGAGGAGAAATTTCACTTGGGTTAACACGCAGCTCTGACAGTAACTCCGAATGTTTCCTCCTTTCTCCAGGACAACAGGGTAGAGAAAATTCAGGGGTGCCAGTGCCCACATTTCCACAGACACACCGCCATAATCTGGAGCTAGAATTTACCTTGTTGTAACAGGGCAGATGACTGCCTTCAGGGGGCTGGTCGAAGCTGACAGGCACCTCCTCTGCCTCGCTGGGCCTAGATCGCACACCAGGGCTGCTGGGGGTAGAAGGTGGGCTGTGAAATGGCGACACCATAGCCTTGAGTCCAGGACTCTTGGGTGAGGCCCCAGGCAGTAGAGCAGCTGGGTCAAAGGTTAAATTGGCCTGTCAAGAAAAGATGAACAATTTCAAATAGGACTAGGGAGAAGATCAGAGCCTCTACTTTAGCTTGTTGGTTATCTGGCCTCAGGCCTGGTTGAGACTAGGTAACACCAGGCTTTTCATGCTACTTCCCAACCCATTATCCACTGTCCCATCATGGCCTGCTCTTGGAAGCATTGCCTACTCTATCCTCCTCTGCTACCTGGCTTGCCACAGGCTGCATTCCAAAATGCTCAGCCAGCACTGACGAGGATCCAACAAAAATTTCCCAGAACAAGCTCAACTTATCAACAAAGTGGCGAAGCAGCAACTGCCAGGAGCACCTGTGGCACCAGGATCTCACAGGAAGTCAGGCTCTGTGATCCCCTTTCTCATCAGAGTCAATAGTACTCACTCCCACTAGATGCCTACTATTGCAGGGCACATGTAGCTGTGTCCTCCACAGCAACCCCACACGTTCAGCTGTGTTCTCATTGCACAATCAAGAAAGTAGCTAAGGGATCTGCCCTGAGATTCACACCGGGTCTGATTCTCCCTCAGCCTCCAGGTATCAGGTTCCCTCTTAATAGACGGCAGAGTGGTGGACACAGTAGGCCACTGAGCTCCAGGACGAAGGCAGTGGGACACACCATAGTATGAGCCACCACTTGGGGTATCAAGGTACAGGTGTGACCCGATCAAAATGAAAGGCAGCCAAATGGGAGAGTCACCCAAAGGTAACGAAAGCCTCAGGGAGTCTTGAGTTTGGTTGGGGAGGAGGCAGGTGGTCCCAGATGCCCGAAGGCGTCCATGGGGAGAACGTGCGTGAGAGTCCGATCCTCTTTAAGGCCATCTAGGGTGCTTCTCCTGCCCTCTGCATTCCCAAATCACCACAGAGCTGCGTCCTGCAGACCCTGTGGCAGTGCCGAACCAGGAGACAGAGCCTCTTTGAGACTTCACAGAGAAGGGATGGAGTGTGAGGGGCAGACGGTGCAATGGGAAGTACATGGGTTTTCCATACCGACAGATCTGACTTTAAATACTGGATCTTTCACTTAATAGCAGTGTGACCTTCAGGCCTTCAGCAAGTCCAACAGCCTTTCCGAATCTCAGATTCTTTGTCTGTCCAAACCTTTTGGCCTGACTTCCAAAGTCTTTTCTATCTGGTCCCTGTGTACTCTCTCCTGCCCCATACTCACACCCTCTCCCTCCCAGCTCCCCTTGGCCACCTTCCCACCTCCTACCAGCCAGACTCTGCTGTCCTGGAGAACTCCTATGTATACTTTAGGACTTGCAGACTTGAAAGCATTGCACACGTTTAGAAGGGTGTTAGTGTTTTCATTGTGATCTTAATAAAGAAGGTATCATACAGACAAGACTGAGTCATGGTAAGAGTTCAGTATATAAAATACGAAAGTTAAATAGCATACTAGCCCAAACCATGTCAAAAAGCAGCATATGAAGCTGGGTGCAGTGGTGTGTGCCTGTAATCCCTGCTACACAGGAGGCTGAGGTGGGAGGATTGCTTGAGCCCAGGAGTTTGAGACTTTGAGTCCATCCAGGGCAACAAAGCAAGACCTTGTCTAAAAAAAATAAAAATAAAAAAAAAAGCGGCATATGGGGAGTACCCAGGGGAGGATTTGGAGCATAGTTGCCGTGCAGGTTGATATGCTGGCATGGCTGAGAGGGCTTCATGGCAGAGGGGGTTCACTGGACCTTAAAGGAAATGCTCTTCTCTAAATTTCAAGCAGAGAAATTCCCTCTGTAAGACTGCTTGCAAATAAAATGGATGTTGATAGCAGAAAAGTTGAATTGTGAATTTTGGGCTATCCTAAAAAAGAAAATCCCTAGTTCATAATTCATTCAGTAGAATAGTTAGAAGAAAATCTAGCTGGCGACGCATTTCTTAGCTGTTTCTCCCACATATTCCCAACGAAGTAAGTTTCCTGTGGGATTTGGCTAAGTTGTCATTCTATTGCTGACAATCTTAATGAGATTGAACAACTAGACATCCAAACCACATTCTCAAGTTGTTGTGTTTCCCCAAAAGACTCATTAATGACTGGAAAAAGGAATGGGTCCAAAACTACAGGGTACAGAACATTTGGTAACTGGTTTCTGGCACTTGAATGAGGGCTAGGGTGGGCTACAGGGAGGCAGAGGTAGGAGTCTGGGGCTACATCCCTCAGCTGGATGCTAGGAGGGGTGCTGGAGTTCTGGGATCCCTTCTGAGAGACCCCTGTTACTTATTTAGGAGCCCTGCAGCCTCCTGGAGTGACAGGTAGCACCACCCTATTCCTGCAGCCGGGTGGAATCAGGGCTTCTCAGTTTGAATTAAATTTCAGGTAGACACTGCAGAGCCCTCCCCACCCTCCACAGGGTAGGCTCATGGCCAGAAACCAGAGATGCTTGCCTTAACCCCCAGTCAGGCTGGGATCCAAATCCCTAGGCTCTCCCATGGCTGGGAAGTACAGAGGCTGTGGCTATTCGTCTTGACACCTCTGATGCCTTCAGAATGAAGTTGGTGAGCCGGTGCTCTCAGTTGGGCCTGGATGGGAGGTATGGTGCACAAGCACCTTGTTCCTTCTCCTGGGTGGCTGGACAGAGGGTGGGGTGAGAACAGGAACCTCTCCTACAGCCCCCACCTGGACATAACATGCCTGCCTCTCCTCCGCACTTTAGCTTCTGCCATTCCCCCACGGGGAACATCTTCCTCCCACCTTTTCAGCCACGCATTCCTTAAGGACGGGCTCAGGACATAGGTGTTTCATAAAACATTCATTAATTACTCTGGCCCACTCTACTCTCTTCTTGCTCTGAAATTCTAGAATGGTGGGTCTCACCTGGGATCTGGGGTGGGAGACAATTTTGCCTCCAGGGGACATTGACAATGTCTAGAGACATTTTTCATTGTCACAACTTGTTGGAGAGTGCTACTGGCATCAATGGGTGGGAAAGGGATGCTGCTGAACATCTTGCCGTGCACGAGACAGCCCCTGCAACAACACTATCCAGCTCGAGTAATGCCAAGGCTGAGAAACCCTGGTCTTGAGCAGCAGGAGCCGGGCAGTGACCCACAGTGGAGATCTCTGGCATCAGCTCCTTTTATTATATCACCTGTGAAAGCTCTGTCTCCACAAGACTGTGAGTTCAGGACCAGTGTCTTCTGCTTAATTACAGTCCCAGGGAGCCAGCCAGCCCTGGGCACGGGAGGTGAGGGCTCTGGGCACACAGGGTTACTGGTGGAGAGGTTGGACAGGATACTTCCCAAATAACAAATTTGTCCAGACTGGTGCAGTGTGCAGCAACTGAACACCAGCCCTATGCAGGGCTGAAATGGTTTGTGGCTGCATTCAGGCCTTGGGAGAGAGGCGTTGGCTATTTCAAAGTGTTTATGGCAACTATGGTGTCCTTTCCCGTAAGACTCTTTTTTTTTCTTTTCGTTTTTGAAGACAGGAGCTTGCTCTGTTACTCAGGCTGGAGTGTAGTGAAGTGACCTCAGCTCAATACAGTCTCAACCTCCTGGGCCCAAGCGATCCTCTCACCTCGGTCTTCAGAGTAGCTGGGACTACAGGTGCACATCACCATGCCTGGCTAATTTTAAAATTTTTTGTAGAGATAGTGTCTCACTATGTTGCCCAGTCTGGTCTTGAACTCCTGGGCTCACGTGATCCTCCAGCCTCAGCCTCCCAAAGTGCTGGGATTATAGGGGTGAGCCCAGCCCCATACAGACTCTTGAGGTATCCCGTTACCCATCAACCCCCACCACTAAATGTCAAATACATGAGCTTGTGCTTGATGTGGTCCTTATGTTAGTTCTTTTCCCTCAGGCAGGGCTGTGAGATCCTTATCGTTTACTGCAATTTGATCACTGGCTGATTATTGGGGCCAATTATGCAGGTGACACATAGGCTACCCCTATGAGCCTCAAAGTCATGCAAATTTTGGATAAGAAGTGGAGTTAGATAAAAGGTAGCAATAGACAATGAATTCTGCACTTACCTGAAGCTTCTCAATCAGAGGCGAGCTCTTGACCTTGAATTTAGGAGGGTGGCTCGCATTGGGTGGTGATTTCTATGGAGCAAATCAACCAAAACAACCAGATAAGTAAGGTGAGGAAAGTGGGGTTCTGGTTGGAACCCAAAAGCCACAGGCAGAAGGAGAAGAGAAGTTGGTGTTGCCACTTTCTCATTAGTTCAGTAGCCCACATACTTCATTAGGGCCTGGGCGACGTGAACTTTCCCCCTCCCTCCCTCATCCCACCACAGCAAGATCTTCAAATCAGAATTAGAGAAGTCAGCGCCGACATCCTTAACACAGAAGGTCTCTCCCAGGAAGAGTGACTTCATTGTTGTTATGAAGGAAAACTATATCTGAGCAAGATCTTCACCTCATGACCTTCAACACTGTGAATCAACAATTTGGGGGATTTCAAAGACAAAGGGCAAAAATTACCATCCTGTTTGTCACACACACAACAAGAAACCAGACCAGGATGACAGAGGTATGACTGGAATTCCTCCCTGGACCCAGTGATATTTTGGAAAATCCCATCGATGGCATGATTTATAAATTATGATTTTCCAAAATGTTGAATATTTGAATATTCTTTTTCTTTTCTTTTCTTTTTTTTTTTTTTTTTGAGACAGAGTCCTGCTTGTTCCTCAATCTGGAGTGCAATGGCGCAATCTCGGCTCACTGCAACCTTCGCCTCCTGGGTTCAAGCAATTCTCCTGTCTCTGCCTCCCAAGTAGCTGGAATTACAGGCATGCACCACCATGCCTGGCTAGTTTTTGTATTTTTAGTAGAGACAGGGTTTCACCATGTTGGCCAGGTTGGTCTCGAACTCCTGACCTCAGGTGATCCACCCACCTCCCAAAGTGCTGGGATTACAGGCGTGAGCCACCACGCCCAGCCTGAATATTCTTTTTAACCAAGTAAACATTTACTGAGTATTTACTACGTCCCAGACATTGTGTGGGTCATACAAAGATGAGCATGATTCAGTCTCGGTGGCAGGAGCAGTCCGTGGCTGATGCATGTGTTACATAATCATACGTACTCTCTGTTAGTTGTAGATATTTTTGTGATGAATGAATGCCAGGAATCTTGTCTGCCTTCGGGATCCATATCATGTAAAAATATTAACTCTGTGTTTTGCGTAAAATCCCCACAAACATGTGAGAATGGTGACAGTGATAGGATGATGATGATGAAGAAAAGGAAGAGGATGACTTCCATGTGGTTGGACAGAGGCCAAGGCAGAGGAGGGATCTCCCCATAGTGTGGAGACCAATGTGTATGACCTGCTCCTTGACCCCATGTACTAATTTTCCTGAACAATAAGAAGAACTACACTGATCTCTTAGGAAGATTCTGAGATATTTATAATGTGAGATGATTGTGTTTTAGTGATGGAAGGAGGGAGGCTCACCCAACTGAACTCCTCGTGATCTTTTTACAGCCCAACACCAAGGGAGAGCATGGGCTGGACTTACAGGATCCCCACTCCTTCTAATTCTAGTTTTGGCAGGAGCCAGACGAAGCCCTTGGCCTCAGCCTCCTCTACCAAGATGCAGCTGGGCGGGAATAAATGATTCTAAGGACTCCTGCTGCCTCTGCCTCCATGTGTCTTCACTGTCGGGTATGTTCCTATAGCAGTCTTTCAAGGAGCTTTTTATCTAGGATGAGTATAAAGAGCTTCCAGCCCCAATGGAAGTGCCCTTGGTTTCTGTGCTTTACAGGGAAATTTCACACGGGCTGGGGTTTTCAGAGAAACTTTTAGAAACTGCAGCAACAATTTTGCTGATAAAGCTCACTTCATGTAATATTATTAGTTCTTCTCTTCCCCAGCTGACCACTGATTTCTGAAGTCTGTGGAAATTCAGTGGACCCTGCCCCTTAAACACAGTATAGTACTGGGGACCCAGCTGATGCTCCATAAAACCCTATTGATTTGAATTGCAAAGCAGAAAGAATCCAAAATAGCCTCTAGTGCAGTTCCTGGAAATGACAGCAGGTGGCATCATTTCCCTTACGGTTTAACAAGGGGCTTCAGGCAAGCGGCTGAGACTAACAATCCGGTGGAGAAAAACCAGCCTTCCATCCCTGTATATGTATATATATAGCTGTATTTACATGACATTATTACCACGTCTAGAAACTACGGACTAATTTCCAGATGGGAATGCTTTTCAGCCTTTTCTGAGTATAGGAGGCAGGATCTGTGGCTGCATTAAACACCCAACTTCAGCTGGTTCTTCCAGAGAGGGGTAACTCTTGGTCACCCTGCCATCAGGAGGGGCCCTGCAGTCAGCAGGTGCTGTCAGGGGGCTGACCCCACTGTCTCAGACCTGAGCAAGCATAGCGGGGCAGGGATGAAATGACCCTTCCTGGCACTGTGCATTGGGAACCGAGGGGTAGCCTGACCGGGTCCCTCCCTGCAGGCCCCCAAGGTTTCCAGCATTAGAGCCTCTGCAGGCTGAGCTACAGGAGTATGGAAGGAGAAATGTGGACAGCAGCCTCCAATTAGCCCTGCCAGACAAAGCAGGCTGCTCATTTTATTTCTATGTGAATTTCTTTTCTTTTTTTTTTTTTTTTGAGACGGAGTCTTGCTGTGTCACCCAGGCTGGAGTGCGGTGGCGCGATCTAGGCTCACTGCAAGCTCCGCCTCCGGGGTTCACGCCATTCTCCTGCCTAAGCCTCTCGAGTAGCTGGGACTACAGGCGCCTGCCACCACGCCTGCTAATTTTTTGTATTTTTAGTAGAGACGGGGTTTCACCGTGTTAGCCAGGATGGTCTCAATCTCCTGACCTCGTGATCCGCCCACCTCGGCCTCTCAAAGTGCTGGGATTACAGGCGTGAGCCACTACGCCCTGCTTCTATGTGAATTTCAAGGCCACGAAAAGTCATTGATCCCTGGAGGTAGTGTCCTTTCAATGTGCGAGCAGCCTGTCACTCCAGGCAGGATTTTCTAAAATCCGCCCTTGGACTTAACCAGCCCTTGGCCATTATAAGCCATTTAACTTCTGGGTGATGTGCCCCATGGGGTGAAACCTGTGAATGCATTTCCACAGAGCTGCCAGGATGGAGCTGTTTAACCCAATCACTAGCCTAACTCCCTCTGCTTTTACTCTAGGGGATAAAACTTCCCTAGCCAGCCTCCCTGATCTATCTGGTTAGTGATTTTGTCCTCAATTTCACAAATAAGAAAAATGATTCGGTATGGTGTGGTGACTTCTCCTGGGCCAAGCCCAGGCTATCAGGGGGCAGTCTCACATTAAGCTCTGAGTGGCCATAACCTCAACCCATTGCATAGCAGTGGAGACACTGAGCCCAGAGGTTGAAGGTTACAAGGAGAAGTTGATTCTCTGGAAAGAGAGGTTGTTGGTATGTGTTTGGTCACAGCACTGGCTGATGACCCCATAAAGCCACAGAATCATATTGTTGGCACTTGAAGAGACCCAAGGAAAACCTCAGTGTTTTTAAACTGTGCTCCTTGGGGTTCTCATCCAAGAATAAGACCCTTGGTCAGTGGGGAGAGAGTATTCTGAGAGCATTTGGGGCTCCAGGCCTCCCCTCCCCCATCTCACTTGGCCTGGGGCAGCGATGAGTTTCTGCTTTATCTTGTGGGCTTCTGTTTATAAGCCTTAGGTTGACAAAAAGGCTTGAAAACCATTGATCTATTTCAGCTGTTTCACTTTATAGATGAGAAAATGTAGGCATTAAGATGCTTGCCCAAGTTCACATAGGGCACCTAATGGCTATTGTCAGGATGCTGGTCCCCAAAAAAGAAGGGGAGAATAAAGAGGTTGTTGAAGTGGAATTTGGGAATGACATTGTCTTTGGCTTGCTTGCTGTATTTTGGGGTTGGCCTCCCAGGTGAGATGACAGAACATACAAATCCATTTCTGGCACAGACTATGACCACAGTGAAGGTTCATGGGTTGCTGGCATAAGGTGTGGAGAAGGCACTCCTGCAGCTACAATTAGATAAATAAAGATAGGAGAATATGCAGGCTAAGAACCTATTACTGGCTATGATCTATGATACCAGAGCCTTTATTATGTTGGTAACGTTGGCTATTTATATCTGAGGGCAACGAGGCCTCCTGTGCGCTCTGGTTTTCTTCCAGTGATCTTGAACAATAGCCAGGCTTTACAAGGATACTGCAGAATCACGGGGTTTTCTCATGCTTCCGTCCTGCCCTATGTAAGTGTAGCCCCCTTTCCAGGTACCTTCTCCACACCTTATTCCAAGATCACCTAAGTCAGATCTGGGAATAAAACAGAACTTTCCTGGCTCCTGAATTGGGTCTGTTAATAATATATGACCCATTCTCTTTGCTAAAATTCTCAGGCTTGGAAAATAGTGTTCGTGTCCTTGACAAATCATAAAGGAGCCTCAGTAAAAGGGAGCAGGGAGGAGCCTAGTTTCCAAAGTAAACGATTCAGGAAACATTTAAGAGGAGATTCACTCTGAAATGGAGAAATTCCCTGCACAGAGTCTGAGCTTTAAAGTATGAGTTTGGTGCCCCCTCCTCCAAACTTTCCTCAAGAAGAGGAAAGAAAACCCATCACAGCATCCTCTGAGCCCCAACAGCAGCACTTACCTCCTCACCATTCTGGCCCAGGTCTACCTTGGGGGGGAACAGGGGGAGGGAACAGGGCGGTTTCCTTCGGGTTGGTTTACTGGCTGGTGTCTGGAGGGAGGGCGACAGACAGACACACAGAGAAAAAGAGAGCACTGATCAGGCAACAGGGAGGAAGAGCAAGGAAATGGAAACTGGTTTCAGGAAGGTTTAGGGATTTAGGAATGTTAGGATGTTAGGGAAGTGTAGGAATATTTAAGAATGGAGGAAGGGAACTGCGTGTCTTTGGGACAGCCTGCTTACTATTTAAATTAATTCTATTTACCATCTACCCATTTTGACTTTCACCCTCTCCACTCCATTTCCTTTCCTGCTAGAATATCCACTTTTACTTGAGATTCACCGACCTGAATCACATTCAGTTTTCAGGCAGTGCCAGCACCTGAGATCAATGCTATCTTCTTTATCCTTTATGACATGCCTGTACTGTCTAGAAATTATGAACCTGATCTTTCAGATGGGAAAACAAAACCCCGAAATAGTGCACCTAAAAATGCAAGGCAAATAAGTACTCACTTGCCCCAAGGGGCCACGATAGATTTCTCTCCACCTTGGGGCACCCTTCCCTCATCTCACTTGTTTGTATTTATTTATTTTGAGACTGAGTTTCGCTCTTGTTGCCCGGGCTGGAGTGCAATGTTACCATCTCGGCTCACTGAAACCTCCACCTCCTGGGTTCAAGCGATTCTCCTGCCTCAGCCTCCTGAGTAGCTGGGCTTACAGGCATGTGCCACCACGCCCGGCCAATTTTGTATTTTTAGTGGAGACGGGGTTTCTCCATGTTGGTCAGGCTGGTCGCGAACTCCCAACCTTAAGTGATCTGCCTGCCTCGGCCTCCCAAAGTGCTGAAATTACAGGCGTGAGCCACCGTGCCCGGCCCCCTCATCTCACTTCTAATGAGCTTCTCACACTGCTTGACTCAAGAAAATCTAGCCCAAATCTCTCCAAAGTTAAGACCCTCCCTTGTCACACTTTCCTCTACTGGTCACCGGACGCTCTTCCTTCCTGATCCCTGGTTTCCTATCTGAATGTGCTTTCCTTCAAGCCCTCTCTTCTTTCTCAATTCTCGATTTGGAGTCTGCCCCAGCCTTGCCTTGCTCTGGCTACAGGGCAGGAGCTGGCTGTAGGAACTTCTTTATTCTGACACAGTCCAGGCCTGGCACAGCTGTGTGAGATCTAAGTCTGTATAGGTGGATGATCAAGATGGAAATGGATACAGATGCCCATCTCTGCCCTGTGTCTGATTCCTCCTGGCCAGAGTGCAAGCCTCACCCTGGTGGGGACAGATTCTGTCCAGGCACAGCAGCAGTGAGACATTCCTCACATTCAGAGAAACCCCTCCAGCCCCTGGCTTCTCTTCCTAATTTGGTAACTACCAAGCCTCCTCCCTCCCTCTCCGCTGGGCCTGACCAGATTTCCCTTTCCTCCTGCCCGCTGCTGAAGAGGCTGCTCTGAAGCGGCCTGACTCACCTCCTTGGCTGCAGCCGCCTGCTCCCTAAACCGCCCGGCCAGCTGGGCCACCGAGGGGGACGCCGAGTTGTCCACATTGGCATTGGTCTCTGCCGGTCTTTCCTGGCAAATGGAGAAGAAGAAACAGTTAATCAGCAAATGGGTACCAGATGCCATGCAAGGCACCTGTTTTGTGGCTGCAAGCAGGAATGCTGTGACAGTGAGGTATTTTAACAGCATTATCCAACTGGCTCCTGCATTCAAGGACTTAAAAAATTCGGTCAATCACATTTAGTGAATATCTACAATGCTCTTGGCCCGGGGTGTGGCTTTGGGGACCTGGAGACAAACAAAACCTGGTTCTGTCCTGGAGGGGTGCCCTGGGATGTCAGAGGCAGTACAGGTCCAATTTTCTCATTCCTCAAGGACCCCACCGGCAAAGGGCAACGTCTGCGACAGTGTACGAGTCTCCTTACCTCCTGAACAAGGGTGAGCAAATGCCCTTTATTGAACTTGAAACACATATATATGTGTCTTTTGTTCCCTACTTGAGTGCCATGGGTAAAGAAGCGCTCAGTAAATATTTGTGGAATTAATAAGTAAGTGACACGAGAGCAGATAGCACAGTGGATGGGAGCCAAACTGCCTGGATTCAAGCACTGACTTGCTCCATCTCTTACCAGCCTGGGGACCTGGGGCAAATGGCTTAGCCTTTCTGTGCCTTGACAAGGATGGCTGTAGCACATCCCTCATCAGTTGTTTTGTGGATTAAATGATTTGCTATATACCCAGAGGGCTGGGACAAGGCCTGGCTCATTGCAAATGCTTTGGAAGGGTGGTTGTTATTGTTACTGGCGGTGAGTCTTGCCTCCAGTGTGGTCATCAGTTTACCGTGGCTGTCCCTCCATTGAGGTGCCCCCAGGTTCCCTGAAGAGGCCAAGATGCACCCCAGGACACCATTTATTCTCATGTACCATTTGTCACCAAGACACACAGAGTAAGTCAGTGATGCTGGAAATGGCCAGTTCGTTTCTGCCTTGTTACAGGAGGCCTACATAACCACTTGGTTTGAATAAGATTTTTTACATGTCCAGTCCCGGAGACATTAGGTTTTTGTCTTTTGTCACCATGGTGGCAGCATTTCTTACACAGACTTCGAACTCCCCCTGCACTTCCCCTCCTCACGTCTAGTCTGAAAATGGGAGGATTTGGGCAGCAGTTTGTCTGAGAAAGTCCATCCTGCCTTTCCCTGGCTCTTGTGGTCTACAAAAACAAAGGATGCTTCCCTCCAGCAGCGAGCTTACTCCCTTGTACACACACACACACACACACACACACACACACACACACACACTCTTCCATGGCCCTCCTTTTGTGCTAAAAGTGGTGTCTCTGAGCTTTCTTATTTGGGTGCTCCCTCCAAAGTAAATAACTTTAGTCATTCTAAGATGCTGTCCCCTTGGAGCAAGGGAGGGGCAGATCTCCTCACCTCCCAGCCACTTCCAGCAGGGAAGTTAAGTTAATGGGGCAAAGTTTTGAGAAGAAGGCTTTGACAGGCCGGACATGGTGGCTCACGCCTGTAATCCCAGCACTTTGGGAGGCCGAGGCAGTTGATCACTTGAGGTCAGAAGTTCGAGACCAGTCTAGCCAACGTGGTGAAACCCCATCTCTACTAAAAATACAAAATTAGCCGGGTGTGGTGGTGTGCACCTGTAATCTCAGTTACTTGGGAGGCTGAGGCAGGAGAATTGCTTGAACCTGGGAGGCAGAAGTTGCAGTGAGCCAAGATCACACCACTGCACTCCAGACTGGGTGACAGAATGAGACTCCATCTCAAAAAAAAAAAAAAAGGCTTCGTTTAGGGATTTGAAGGAACTGCTGGGGCCATGGACTTTCCGATCTGCGAACAGCTGTTCTGGAGGAAAAGACAGGTACCCCTTTACTGTGGGTTGCTATAATTCAAGCTCATCTCCATACCAGCCTAAACACCAAATGCTGATTTCACATAAAGATATAAAAGGATTCACCTCTATTCAAGATGCCAGATTTCCCCATGATGCTGGGGGAAAGCCGAGGAGTGCGAGGCCCCACCCTGATGAGTTCCCCACTGGGAGGGGCTCCTAGACTTGACACGTTTTACCCTCACACTTGCCACATAAGGAAGTCAGAGAATGGAACAACGAGAGAGAGGCTTGGGGACAGTGTGTGATTAATTGAGCTGTTCTTGGCAAAGATGCTGGCTGATTGGTTTGTCCATCTGTCTAACTTCTTGCCCACATCACAGATCAGTCTCTCTGTCCCCTGCTATTTATGCTTGGGTCCTGCTGACAGTGTGCTTTACCTCAGTTTCAAAGGCGCCAATCACTGGTGGAGCAGGAAGATAAATTCCAGTTAAAAATAGAGCTGTATAGGAATCAAAAGCTCCTCCCTTACTTCCCTGTCCCAAAACTAGCCTTGGCAAGGGGCTCAGAAGTGAGAGAACTCTGAGGCTTCTGGAAGCACTTAGGGCTTAAAAGCTGGGTTGAAGGAAAGATTCTATTACCTCTGAGTTTGTTTTCCTGGAGCCTAGTGAATGGCTTTTCTTTAGACTAAGGACTCCAGAGCTTGTCGAAGCTTGGCAGATCCTGTCACCATCAGCCCCTCTCCAGACACTTCCCATCCTCTGTTGCAGAAGACTGATTGATTATTACCGTCTGCCCTCCAGGCACATTAAACCCAGAGAAGGCAAGTGACAGCCAGAGTCACACAGAACAGGCCAAACAAGGTAATCTGTGAAACATCTGACTCCAACTCCTGAGACTCCAGTAATGGACATCAGTTAAGTAGCATCATTTGTGAAAGTGCCTTGGCAACTCTAAAGTGCTATACAAATCTCAACATTATTATTAGCCTCTGATTTGCATAGCTGCAATGGAAGAAGTGTGGTCTTGGGGATGAATCGGGGCTGGTGGCTCAGCCTGTTTGATGCCTTGCCTGGATTTCTGCCTTGCAGTTCTGGCAGGTACAGCTGCTAACCCCTCTCCAGTGTGCTCAGCACCATACCACCTCAGCCATGGGCCAGGAGCTCTTCACGGCAGTCCCGCTAAGGCCATACCCTCACCTTGACTGTTAGGTCTGAGAACTTCAGTTTCTCTACCTATTCCCAGACTTTCCTGAGACACCCTTAGCCTCTCTGGATTAAATGTTCTTTCTCTGTTCCTGTGATGTCCATAAAGTACTTAGCACAGAGCCTGAAACATAGCATGTACTTGGCTGGGCACAGTAGCTCAAGCCTGGAATCCCAGCATTTTGGGAGTCCAAGGCAGGAGGATCTCTTGAGCTCAGGAGTTCGAGACCAGACTGGGCAATAAAGAGAGACCCCATCTGTATACAATATTAGCCTAGTGTGGTGGCGTGTGCCTATGGTCCCAGCTACTCAGGAGGCTGAGGAGAGAGGATCACTCGGGCCCAGTTGGTCGAGGCTGCAGTAAGCCCTGCTCACATCACTGCACCACTGCACTCCTGCCTGGGGCAACAGAGACTCTGCCTGAAAAAAACAAAAACAAAAACAAAAACAAAAACAAAAACAAAAACAGGGCTCATCTAAGGTTGGTTTCTTCCTCCTCCTCCTCCTCCTCCCATCCGACCTGGTCTGCTGGTGTCAGGGCCTGGGTACCTGCTCACAAAGTCACTGACACCCTCAACTCACCCCCATGGACCATACCCAGATGTATGTAAGTCCCTCCCCTGCCAGCATCTACCCTCCAGGTCCTGGTCATTGCCTTGACTTCAGCTTGTCCTTTCTTCTTGGGCCATTTTCCATGTCTTAGATCTGTTTTCTGCACTCATCTCCCTTTGTGCCCTGCTTTAGCTCACACTTGTCTTTACAGATCGCAGGCCTGTACTCCATCTTCCTGGGCCCAGGTCTTGCTTACGAAGCCCTCCCTGCTACCTTCCAGCTGGGCCATGCCAGGTAACTCGGAAACCATGCCTGTGGTTACTGTCTGGCCTGACTTTGCCAAGGCTAGGAGAAAATCACCTCTGGTGTTTACTTTCTATTTCTATGGGACTTTCTTCCGAGAACTGAGGAGCCCCTGTGTCTGGACAGCATGGAACTTCCCCTCCGCTGTTGCCATGTTGCGTAAACACAGTTTGGATACTGCTGACCATCCACATAATGAGACCTTTATGTACAGGCCAGACTAGGCTCTACCTGCTTCCTAGGCTCTGCCCTGTCTCTCCACCTTCTGCGCTCATCCAAGGTCTCAGTATCTCCCAGCCTTTGGGCTATGGTTTAGGGAAACAAGGCCCCAGGGAAGGCCTCATCATCTGCAGCTTAAGAGAAGATGCAGTGAGAGAGCCCAGTGTGGGGCTGGAAGAACTATGCTCTTGGCCAAAAGGAAGTTTCTCTCTCTCACCAGAAATAGGCCAGAGCCCAGAGCCTCAAAGGTCTGAGGTATGTTTGCTTCTTCACTCCTCCAGAACTGAAGGGGATCACCCCTTCCAGTGTGACCACGCTTAAATCATCACTTCAAAAAGACCACCATAGAATCTCTCTGAAATACTGCAATGACTCTAGAATCTTCCTTTATGTCCTTAGTTATCCCTAGTTCTTCAATGTATCCCAATGTTTGACCATTACTATCCTAGGAGGATGGAAAGGGTTCTGGACTGGGAACCAGGTAGGTCCATTTGACCTGCTCATCTACCAGAGTACCTCCTATGTGGGAGGCACTGTCCTTACAGCCTTTGATATATTTTCTGTAATTCTTACCTCTCTAAAAGAGGAAACTGGGGCCTAGAGTTGCTAAGTAAGTTACTATTCAAGTCAGTAAGTGCAGGCATGAGAATTTTCTGGATTCCAAAGCTCTTTCCACACCAACATGCTGTACTAACTCTATGCCTTTACTGGAAGAGTTAACTTAGTCTCTTGTTAATAGGCATTTACTGGTCTAGGCCCTGAGATACATCAGTGAACAAGACAGTCCTTGCCCTTCAGAAGTTGCTACTTCAGCAATAAACAGGTACACAGCGAAACCATAAGACGCTTTGTTAAACGCTGTGAAGAAAATAAAACAGGGCACTTATTTTATGGGAATGTGGGAAGACATCTCTGAAGAGAGAGCACATGAGTTGAATCCCAGTTGGGGAAAAGAGAAAAGGAAAATTGTTCTGAGCAGAAGCACAGACAGAAACAAAGGTTGAGGGGCAGAGAAAAGAGAAGGGTGGCAGGGACAACAAGAGGGGGCGGGAAGATGCGAGTGGTAGTGTGAGGCCAGCTACATTGGGCCTCATGGACCAGAGCGCGCAGTTTGTGTTTTATCTTGAACCAGCAGGATGTCATTTGGAGGGTTTCAAGGAGGGACGTGACCTGAGTCGCGCATCAAGGAGCTGTCTGTGGAGGAGGGACAGGAGTGGAAGAGGGTGAGCAGAGGCAGGTGCTGGCAGCGGTCCAGCTGAGATTGGGTGCGGGAGTGAACAGGGCTTGTGCAGGGGGATGGGATTTGAAGGTCAGGCTGCTGGGAATTACTGATGCATGGGTGTGAGCAAGGGAAAGAG
Source organism: Homo sapiens (assembly GCF_000001405.40). Classification (NCBI taxonomy): domain Eukaryota; kingdom Metazoa; phylum Chordata; class Mammalia; order Primates; family Hominidae; genus Homo; species Homo sapiens. The sequence continues at coordinate 167,678,484 of NC_000001.11, read as the reverse complement.
AAGAATCATGGATGACTCCTGAAGGTTTGACTTGGATAACGGGATGCATGGGGTATTTGCTTCTGGGTTGAAAGCCATGTTGGGGAGAGAGGGGTGGGTGGGGCTAGTTGGGCAATGAATAGTTCTTCCTTGGTCATGAAAGTCTGACATGTCTATTAGACGTCTAAGTGGAGATGCAATGCAGGAGGTTGAATATATACCCAAGTCTGGAGTTCAGAGAAGTGTTTCAGGCCAGAAACAAAACTTGGAGAGTCACTAGCTAGAAATGGTAGTTGATGTTACGAGACTGCATAAAGTCAGAGGAAACAGAGAATAGGGAAGAGAAGAGGCCCAAAGACTGAGGTCTGGGATGTCTCCTTAGTCACCCTAAGCTGCCTTTCATTCTCAATGTGAGGGGACTGGTCCTGTTATTCCAGTGGGAGCCTGGAGGGCATTTTGGTGTAGAATGCAGATGGGATGGGCTTGAAAGGAAAATAAACCTCAGACTGCAAAATCACTAATCCAAAGGGAAAAGTCAAGCTGTGAAACGCATCAGGCAAATCTGCCTCCCACTTTATTCCTGAATAAGATAAACAAAGATTAAAAAGCGACATACCCCCCTCATAATTTTTCCCACTAGAAAATTCCTTGTGGGCCTCAAGATCTTTTCCCTAAACAGTTTTGTTGAATTTTACCCTGACAATGTAAATTGATAGCTTATCTTCACAGGTGCGGGACAAAGGACAGAACTCTAAGTCAGTCTCCTGCTCACCTGAGACAAATGCATATCAGATTGCTTCCTCTGATATAAAAATGCAGATTCACTGAGCTATGGAGGCAATAGGTGGACTGTTTCCTCTACTCATCTCTCACATGTAAATTGTGTATCTGGTGAAAGGCTGATCAAAGTCTGAAAAGAGTGAAACCATTTGTCTCTTATCTACCCACACCTTTTAAAAATTTCTTCCTGTTTCCCCAATATTCATCCTTTCCTCTTTAAATATTAAAGGCTTCAACATCATCTTTGGCGAAAGGCACAGACCTGCCTCCTGGGGGCACATGCTTAACTTTGGCAAAATAAACTTTCTGAATAAAGACCTGTCTCAGATAATTTTGGTTCACATGGCTTAGGGCCAGAAGATTTCTTTGGCTAAAGTGATAGAGGGTAAGAAATCCTGAATGTCACTCATGAATGTTGCGTGCCCCATCCACATTGTCGGGTCATTTAATCACCCCTTCCTGAGCATCTGTAGACACTGTAGAATGCATTGGGGTAACCGTGACGGCCCTCAAGGAGTGAACAGCCTTTTTCAGGGGTGAGGAGAATACAGAGAGGTAAAGAAGAACTGCAAGAAATAGATAAGGTAGAGGAATTGAAACAAGCATATATTAACAAATACATGTAATCAGATATCTCACACAGAACCAAAAAAGTCCCAGATGTCCCCTACCTAACCACTTGTAGGCTTTAAGGATCTGAAAATGGCAGGTCCTTGGTCTCTGCAACTGGCTCCCAGGGAGAATCCCAGGAGGTGCTCCACTCACACAAAGGACCCACACGCAGGCATTGAGCCTGGGAGTGTGTCCCTGTTTGGAACCTCCAGGGCTTCCCATTTGCTCCCAGGACTTGGCATTGTCACCCAATATTACGGACAGGGTTTAGCTGTTCTCACACTGTGGGAAACAGTCCTGGCTGCTTCAGTGGTTTTAAAATCAGCATAGTTCACAGCCTCTGGTGCCTGGGAGGGTCCTCCAGGTGGGGGTCTGTGGGTTTAGTAGTGATGGCTAGTGTCTGGGCAAATTCCCAGGTGCCAGCAGGGGACCATAGAGAAGAGGGAGATGTTCATCCAGAATGCCATTGCAGTGACAGGATTTTATCAGTGTAATTTGGGAGATGATGGTGGGAAATTTGTCTCTAAAATGTGCCAACTGTTGTACAAGCATAAAGAAAGAAAAGAAATTATTTTGAGTCTGGTGGGGGTGGGAAAGCACAAAGAACAACAAATTCAGAGTCAGATCTGGGTTTCAGTCTTGCTTCTGATATATGTTGGGTGTGAACCTCTCTGAGTCTCAGTTTCCTTGTTTGTAAATGAGGCCATTAACATCTATCATCCTTTGGTTCAACCCAATATGCAAACACTCATCTTGTTTTCTGGCAGTGGCACCGCCCTTCTTCCATGGATGGCAGGAAGGAGGCTGATGCACTGTCTGCCCTGGAGGGTGCACTATGCTTTACACTGCTCTATGAAGGGAAGCACAGAGCTCAGGCTTTGAGCCAGACTGTCTGGGTTCAAATCCCAGCTCTACATTTACTAGTTCTATGGCCTTGGACAAGTTACCTAACTTGTCCGTGCCTCAGATTGCCTATCTGTAAAACGGAATGATGATGATAGTAGTTATGTTACAGGCTCATTGGAAGGATTTAATGAGTTTTTGTAGGTGAAATGCTTAGAACAGGGCCTAGCATGTAGGAAGTGTTTGATAATTGTTAGCTATTACTGGATGTTGGCTATGGGGCTAGCAGCATTCCTGAATACTCTGAGGGATGCCTAGGCTTGCATCCTAGATGTCTAATCTTCTCCTGTCCTTCCATCCCATCTTGGATACAGAAGTCCCAGATAGAGCCCCAGCTAGCTAAGATGTGCTCCTTGCTGCTTGCAGCCATTCTTTGCTCAAGAATGGACCATCTGGACTCAGCGATTTTGGTGGGCTATTTTATTACTAAGGCAAGAGCTTAACAGACACTCTCACCCCAACCCTGAGCTCATATCATCCCTGAGAGATGGATGTGCGTGGTATCTAGCAATTAAAAAATAAATACAGCTGAGTTTCGTTTTATGGCTTTTAGGGTCACGACAAGGGTTTTGAATACTCACACATCCCAGCTGTCCAGAGCTCTGGGTCAAGTCAAACAGCTGAACCAAAATATCAAGTCCATGTCTGACATGGTTTGGCTGTGTCCCCGCCCAAATCTCATCTTGAATTCTAGCTCTAATAATTCTCATGTTTAATAGGAGGGACCAGGTGGGAGGTAATTGAATTATGGGAGCAGTTGTTTCCCATGCTGTTCTCATGGTAGTGAATAAGTCTCATGAAATCTGATGGTTTTATAAAGGGGAGTTCCCCTGCAAAAGCTCTCTTGCCTGCCGCCATGTAGGCCGTGTCTTTGCTTCTCTTTTGCCTTCCGCCATGCTTGTGAGGCCCACCCAGCCATGTGGAACTGTGAGTCCATTAAACCTCATTCCTTTATAAATTACCCAGTCTTGGGTATGCTTTTTTTTTTTTTTTTTTTTTTTTTCCGAGATGGAGTCTCATTCTGTCACCCTGGCTGAAGTGCAGTGGTGAGATCTCGGCTCACTGCAACCTCCACCTCCTGGGTTCAAGCAGCTCTCCTGCCTCAGCCTCCGAAGTAGCTGGGACTACAGGCACGTGCCACCAGGCCCAGCTAATTTTTTGTATTTTTAGTAGAGATGGGGTTTCACTGTGTTAGCCAGGATGGTCTTGATCTCCTGACTTTGTGATTCACCCACCTCAGCCTCCCAAAGTGCTGGGATTACAGGTGTGAGCCACCGCACCCGGCTGGATATGTCTTTATTAGCAGCATGAGAACAGACTAATACAATGTCCATTCACTGACAAATGGAGAAACAAAATGTGACACAGCCATACAGTGGAATATTTTTCACCTATAAAAAGGAATGAAGCTCTAATACATAGTAAATGTGATAAACCTTGAAAACATTACGCTAAGTGAAAGAAGCCCATCACAAAAGACCACATATTATGTGATTTCATTGTTATGACATGTCCAGAATAGGCAAATTCAGAGAGAAAGAAAGTAGGTTAATAGTTGCCTAGAGGAGATAGGAAGACAGGAGGTGGGGTGATAGCTAAAGCCTACAGGCTTTCTTCTTTTTCAGTGATGAAAATGTTCTAAAATTGACTGTGGTGGTGGTTGCACAGTCTGTGAACATACCAAAAAGTATTTCATTGTACACTTTAAATAGGTGACATGTATGTAAACGATATCTCAATAAAACTGTTATTTTTAAAAATTGTCAGGTCCTTACAGCCAGTCTGTTGGATTGTGGGTAGGAGGGGCCAATGGAGGGAAATTGGCTTTACTTCCATGTTCGTGACTTTCCTTCCCTCATGCTCAGCACCCTCCACCCACAGGCTCAGCCCTTCCCTGCCTCCAGCATGCCTTGCAGCTGCAGACACATCTGAGCAGTCTCTTCCAACCCACCACTGGGAGGGCTTATAGGTCTGTGAGGAAGACAGGGTGAGTTTCATGTCAAGTACCTGTGAAGGGTCTGGCTTGAGGGGGCACTCAGTCCATGGCTGTTCACTTATTCATTCATTCAGTTAATATTTATTGAACACCTTATGGGCCTGACACTTGTCAGATGTGGGGATGTAAAGATGAAGTTTCATGGTCCTAGAGCTCAATGAGCTTCTACTCTAGTTGAAAGGCAGACTTGTAATAAAACTATCAGAATGAAAACAGGCCATTGCTGCAATTGGGAAATGCATAACACTGCAATGGAAGCTCAGGAGAAGGGGTAGTTAACCTGCTTAGGTGAATCAGGGAACGCTTCACAGAGGAAGTGATGTTTACGCAGAGTCTTGAAGGACAGATAACAGCTTGCTAGGAGAGAAGGTGGGCATGAGGGGAGAAGGAGGAAGGCATGTTGTAGGCACAGGGGCTGGCTGGTACACGCAAAGTGTCAAAAGCATGGAAGGGCATGATGTCTATGGGAAACTTTAGTTCAATATGGTCTAAGCAAAAAGAAAGGTAGAGAAATTGAAAGATGTGGCTTGTCCAGAGTAAGGCATATGCAAGTTATAATTCAGGCTCCAGAACTCATTAGCTATATAGGTGACCTTGAGTAAGTCACTTGATTTCTTGAGTCTCAGTTTCAACATCTGTAAAATGAGGTGGGCAATACCTGTGTCATTGTGTGGTGATGAGTATCTAAGATGATAACAGCCATCATAGCCAACACTCACTGTGAGCTTCCTCGGTGCCAGCTCATACCTCAAGTGCCCACTGAGCACATGGGAAGTGCTTGGTGAAAGCTGTTATACTGAGGCTGTGCTGCAACATGTGGACTTCATTTCTTAAGCCGAGATGATGAGGGAAGTTATCTGATTTGCTGTTTAGAAGGATTACGCGGAAGCAGATAGTTATCAATCTATGTTTCAATCCATTCTGAAAACCTTGGGCAAATGGAGGGAATCTGCTGCTACTCTTTTAAGGCAGTGCTGTTAAAAAGGAATCATTGTCATGTCTTCCTCCTCCTCTCTTCTTTGTTCTTCTTCTCTTCTTCTTATAATTATGCTTATTGCTATCTTTCATATGCTCTCCCATTGCCTAATGCAGGGAGCTCTCAGAGGCTTGCTGGTAAGAACGCAAGGTCAGTCCCGAGCATCGTCTTGGATCTGCCTCTTTCCTGAGTGTCAGATCACATGAGCTCTTGCAGTCTCAGCCTCCTCATCTGTAAAATGGGATCAAAATACCTGCCTTACCTATCCCAACTATCACGGGATAGTTGTGAGGCTCTAAAGACACAATGAATGAAAGCACCCTGGATGAGACATACACAGAGAAGGACAGGATGAGCATGGTCTATACCTCTGGAGTCTATGGCCTACTGTGGAACAGGGACAATTAAGCAAGTATGTAAAGTATGATAGGTCAGTCAGTATGGTAGCAGAATAATGGCCCTCAAAGATGTCCTCATCCTAGTCCCTGGAACCTGTGAATATGTTAGATTAAATGGCAATGAGGAATTAAGGTTACAGATGGAATTAAGGCTGCCAGTCAGCTGACTGGATTATTCAGTGGCTCCCATATTATCACAAGAGCCCTTAAAGTGGAAGAGGATGGCAGAAGAGTGAGAGTCAGAGTGATGGGAGGCAAGAAAGACTCTACCCACCATTGCTGTCTTTGAAGATGGAGGAAGGAGCCACAAACCAGCAAAAATGCAGGCAGCCTCTAGAAGCTGAAAAAGGCAAGAAAATGGTTTCTTCCCTAGACCCTTCAGAAGAAATGCAGCCCTGCCAAAAACTTGATTTTAGTCCATCTTGAGCTTTTGACCTCCAGAACTCTAAGATAATAAGTTCATATAGTGCAAGCCACTAAGTTGGTGGACATTTGTCACAGCAGCCATAGGAAACTAATACAGTCAGTCGGTCAAGTATTTGCAAGCACCCACGATGTGTTCTGAGTTCTGAGAACATAGTGGGGAAGAAGAGAAAGTCACTGCTTATCACTGGAGCTCACATTCCAGTGGAGAGAGCTAGGCAGTAAACAAATAAGCAAGTGAATGTATAGTATGTGAGTGGTGCTAATATGGAGAGTGTCAGCCTCCACCTCTGCAAGGGAGGTCACAAGAGGCCTTCTGAGCAGGAGGTGGAGGAGGAGGAGGAGGAGTTGACATTGAGTTGTGGGTGCTATGATTGCAGAAGGACATGGTGAAATGCACAGCAGGAGCACACAACCTGGCCAGAGGCACCCGGGAAGACTTCCAGGAGGAAGTAACAAACTGGCCAAGCCTGAAGGGTAAGCAGAGCTGGTCATTCTCACGAGGGAGCTGCACAGTTGAGGAGTTCAAGGCCAGGGGAGCCTCAGGGAATGACAAGTTCTGTCATGTAAGCATGCGTGCAAGATGAGGCCAGAGCATGAAAGGCTGCCTAAGTTGGGACTCTGGCCTGAGGGCCATCTGAGGTCACTGGAGGGTTCTAAGCAAAAAGCAAAACCACAGATTTATTTTTGCAAGATGCCTATGGCTGCAGGGTAAGACATGTGTGGCCTGGGGTTCAGGAGTGGTCTTCAGGAGGTGGAGAGCCCAGTCTAGAGGCCATTGCAACTATCATGGAAGGTAAAAAATGAGCAAGTTGACAACTATGCTGTCTCCTGCAGAAGGTGGCAGAAGATCTTTTCACTGGGTTCAGCTTCTTGTGGGGTCTGGATCTGCCAAGGGAATTGGGAGCTGCATTTGGGAAGAGTGAGTGTGGAGGAGAGCAGGAGTAAGGAGAGCTGAGAAATGGATAAGGGCTGGCCCCTTCCGGGGTGAAATGGCAAGAAAGAAAGAACCTCTGGCAATGGGATGGCTGAAAGGACTGTGAGGATCAGGATCTCAAATCCTTGATTTAGAATTGTTAGCTGTGTGGTATCAGCAGACCTTCAGTAAAAGTTGAACTGTGTGCAGAAGCCTTCTATTTGTGGGTGCTTTTTAGACATGTAGAGTGAGAATCAAGAGCATAGCCCACATTTAGAGGAGTAAAGGAATGGCTTCAAGATGTGGAGTTTATTGAATGAACTACTCAGTGGCTATTAATGAGACCCTACAACATGCCAGACCCTAGGCCAGGCGCTAGGGATTCATCAGAGCAGAGCAGATGAGGCTCCCTCTTTATAAGAAAACGGAGAATAGGGATTCAGCAGAGGCAGAAAACTGGGCCCAGTGGTGACCATGAGCAGATAAGTCCATCTGAAAATAAGTAGAGATCTTAAGGATGGCTTGGATCCACAGGGTTGGAGTCAATATTCTGTTGATTTCAGGAGTCTTTAAAACTAGAGAGGATGATGGCCTGGATGGGGGTATGGTTAGTGGAGGGGAGATTGTTGATAGGACTCAAAAGCAATTTAGGAGGAAGGACTGACCAGAATTGGGGACTGATGGGTGGGGCAGGGTGGAGTCAAGATGATGCCCAGATTTCTGGCTCTGGCTTCTGGGTGGAGAGGAGTGTCATTTACAGAGAGGGGGAGCCGAGGGGAGGAGCAGGACTGGAGGAGTGCTCAGAAAGGGTGAGTTGCCAGAGTGGAGGGCCCACGGCAGACCCTGAAGCACCTGCTTGGGATTTGTGGAGTCAGACAAACCTGAGGGTGAATCTTGGCTCAAATTACAAGGTGATGGCAGAGGCTGAAGACAGGGAGGGTGAGCAAAGGCTGCAGAGGAGATGGAGAGGGTGCTGGGATGAAGAGGCAGAAGGCAGCAATGCCTCAGGGGGTTACACACAACCATTTTTGTCTTCTCTTTCCTTTTCCCACCAGCAGGCATGCAGGGGCAGAGCTGCCGATCAAACTCAACCTTGTCAGTCTGGCAGCCTCTGAACAGCTCGAGTGGTTTTTTTTTTTTTTTTCTTTTGCAAAGGGAAAGAGTGGGAAAGAAGTGTCTCTTCATAGCTGGCATGGGTGATTTAGATGGATTTACTCACCTAAGCCAACAAGTAAATGTACGATTTGTTACTCTCCAAGGTAAGTTCAGAATCTCCCTGTTATGCACTACTCTGACTCTCTACTGTTGGTTAGTTCAATAATAAAATTGACTTCACAGAGAGCTCCTCTGAGTCTGAAGGGTGGTTGGTCTCCAGGAGCCACCTTTCCAGGATTGCCTGGAGTCCTGGGGTATGTTACAGCCACCTGGAGGCCCACACAAGTACCCTTCACTAGGGGCCATTCCTGCCTCCCAGGCAGGAGTCAAGTGACAGTGTGAGTGTGCGTGTGCGTGTGTGTCCTGAGGTCTGGGACACTTGTCCTTCAGGCTGCAGCAGGAAGCCAGGGCATACCTTCTAAGATTAGAACAAATTTCCTAAGGACCCAGCCCCCGGTCTGCATCCCAGTCAGCTGTAGCCTCTCCTGTTACAGCGTCTCCCAACCCTGACTCCCTTGCAGTCAGGAGTGAGCATTAGCAGGACATGGTGCTGGGCCCTCTGGTCCCTGCCCCTGCAAGCCTCAAGAGGGGGTACTGGAGGGAGACAGGAGAGGACCATCAGTCAAGACAAATTTTTGCATTTGACTTGTGGATCCAGGTCACACGCAGAAGAAATCAATGATAATAATTCAGTAGCTGCAACATCCTGAGCACCGAGTACATGCCAGGCCATTTGCATGCACAGTCTTGGTTAAAGTATGTAACAAAACCCAAAGAGGAAGCCACTTTGCCTAGTACTCCATGTAAAGTGAAAAGAGCAGATGGGGCAAGGGCTATGCTGGAGACCAAAAGAGGCCCTGCCTGCTGCAAATAGACATAATTTCTGATGGTTCCCAGGCCCATTCTCAGAGGATCAGGGCTGGCCTTGAAGTGACAGGTCAGGCAGGTTCAAGCAAGCCCAGACTACAGCCTAGGGCTTGTCCTGTGGAGGCCAATAGGCCTTGGCTCACATTATCAAGGTAATGGCAGAGCAGGAAGCTAGGAAGAAAAAAGAACTTTTTCCACTTTAATCAGTCTGTATCTGCACCAATGGTCTTACATGGTCACTTGATCAAATTGCCTATAATTATTTGTCCATGATCCCTTGAAAATTCTAGATAGCCCTATTATCCATAAATCAAGGTGTTTCCAGTGTTTAGATGTCACAGTCATTAGATTATTAGCAAACATGCAGAACTTTTTTCATGCACATCATTTCCTTACTTAATCTTTGACTGTACTTGGAATTAATGCATAGGGGAAGTGTCTAATTCGGAGGCAGAAGAAAAATAAAGGGATTCAGAAGAACACAAGCTTAAGTTTTTATAAATTACTGAATTCACAAATCTGTTTAACTACATTTGCAAAACACTACACAAAGTTCTAGAAAGTATTTATGAATGCCTAGATATACAGACAGCACAATCTGAAAAACTGACATCTGAGCTTCCTTCAAGCACAGTTTCACCCTGGGCACTTCCAGAAAACCCCCTGTGAAGCTCCCCTTCCCCACCATGCACCTTCCCCCATTCAGGCAGAATTGGCAGCTCCCTCTTTTTTTTTTTTTTTTTAGTACATCTTGGACATATTCATTCATTCATTATTTCTGTATTCCAGGCCCTGCAGTTGGTGCTCAGGGTTTAGGAATGAACCAAATCAAAAGAGTCCTTTCATAATGGAGGTTACAGTCTAGTAGGGGAGACATATATTCCATAGCCATTATTATCTTAGCTCCAGCTTATTATTTATTAGGGTGATAAATGCTGAAGAGGAAAAGGGTTTTAGGAGAGCAGGTGACAAGAAAATCTGACCCAAAGATGTGACATTTAAACTGAGGTCAGTAGAAGTGATCCAGGCAAAGTGTGAGGTTTGAGGGGTAAGGAGGGTTAGTCAGAGGGTGGCCAGAGGTAGCCAAGGGCATTTGAGTAGAGTTTACACAAAAACCTCCTGGAGGAGAGACAGGAGGTGTTTGAGGAACTGAAAGAAGATGTGGCTGGAACTCACAGAGTTTTTTTTTTTTCTGGAGACGGAGTCTTGCTCTGTTGCCCAGGCTGGAGTGCATTGGTGCAATCTCAGCTTACTGCAACCTCCGCCTGCCAGGTTCAAGCGATTCTCCTGCCGCAGCCTCCCGAGTAGCTGGGATTACAGGTGCCACACTCAGCTAATTTGCTAATTTTTAGTAGAGACGGGGGTTTCACTATGTTGGCCAGGCTGGTTTTGAACTCCTGACCTCAGGTGATCCATCCGCCTTGGCCTCCTAAAGTGTCGGGATTACAGGTGTGAGCCATCACACCTGGCCCGAGAGCTTTTAAAATACCCACATTTTTCATGTTTTTCTCTTTCTACTGTAATTGCTGAGCACACAGACCATGTGTTATTCATGGCTCCATCCCCTAGCCCATAGTAGGTACTCAGTAAATGCCGGTAAATGAATGAACAAATAAATGAATGATGCCTCCGTAAACCAATACCACTGGGGCAACATTGTGAGGGATTGATAAATATAGATCAGGACCTTGAAGCAAAAATGGAAACAAATTGTCATCCAGGGAGGCTCTGAGCATACCAGGCTTGAATATTTTCATTAAGGTTCAGTGACTTGTCCAAGCTCCCTAAAATAGTAACCAAAGGGCAAAGAATGAGACTTTCTCCTGCCCAAGCCATTACTTAACAATCTGAGCCTCCTGTCTCTAACTGGAGCTATGAAATCTATTATAATTCCATATCTCTATCCATGGGTATCTGTCTTCTCCAGTTTTAACAACCCAACCTATCCTAGAACATGACACATCAAAAATACTTAAAATTTGTTTCTTTATCTAGAGTGGTTGAATATATCTGTTTGCTGCTTGATATTTTCAGATCCATTTCAGCAAGGAGAAAATTTGAAGAAAAGAAAGTTATAATGCAGAAGGTAGAATTAATATATTATGAATATAGTAGAATGGTGTCTGCCCCAGTTCTGAAGTCCACATCTCTGGTCCGGTCTCAGTATCTGCCTTCAGTCACCAAGGGAGAGGCTCCATGCCTCCAAGCCCCTTCCAAGGGCTCCTCTGCAGCCCAGGGATGCTCAAGGCAGGATTCCACAGTCTCTAGTATATCAAGAGGGCTCCATCCAAAGTACGGGATAGGCGCCCCCTCCCTTGAAGCCTACTCAGCTACAATGAGGCGGCCCCCTCCCTTGAAGCCTACTCAGCTACAATGGGACCAAAAGGAGTCTTGGAGCTGAGTTTTTAAAATAAACTTTTCCATCTCCTCTCACCAGCCTGCTACAAAAAGGGAAAAGAAACAAAAGCCATCCAGCTGAGTTGAATTGCTTCACTTGAAAGTTCTATTGCAGGGGTCTCCAATCTTTTGGTTTCCCTGGGCCACAGTGGAAGAATTGTCTTAGGGCACACATAAAATACACTTAAAAAACTCATGATGTTTAAAGAAAGTTTATGAATTTGTGTTAGGCCACATTCAAAGCCGTCCCCCTTGGCCACATGTGGCCAATGGGCCGTGGGTTGGACAAGCTTGTTCTATTAGGTTTTACAGAGCAAAGCAGCTAGGCTCCTGGCATGGCAGGGAAGACTGTTGGGTGTTCAGCCTGCAGAGGTTTGCTGATGGCCAGCCCTCTCTCTTCCACCCACCCTTTCCTCTGGATGCTCCCTTTGGGCCTTGGGCTGATTCACAGTTACTGTCCCCTCCCAGGGCTGACGGAAAGCATTCCAGGGCTTTCCGTCATGGTCCCATGAGAATTCAGACCTGTGTGTGGGGAGTGGCAAGTCCCCTCTGTAACTAGCATCATCCGCATACTCAGGAATTCTCTCTACACTTCCTTCCTGCTCACTGTCTCTCTTTAGAAACTGGTTTTGAATGAGTAGTAGTAGGCTTTCATAATGTATTTTTCAACAGTAATAAAACAGCTAATTTACTGAATGATTATTGTGCCAGGTACTGTGCTAAGATGATCTCATTGAATCCCCATGACACCTCTGTGACATGGATTCATAATTATCTCCTTTTTACTGATGAGAGAATTGAGACTCAGGAGCCCAAGTAACTGAATTATGGGTTGTGGAGCTACTGATGGGAGATCTGGAACCCATGCTCAGTTGGTTTATTAAAGCCTGTGCTCCCAACCACAACTCCACACTGCCTCCAGCAGGAAAAGCATAGAGAGTTTACGTTTTGGGATTAAAAAGTGCTCATTTGGCTAGGCATGGTGGCTTACGCCTGTAATCCCAGCACTTTGGGAGGCTGAGGCAGGCCTATCACTTAAGGCCAGGAGTTTGAGAACAGCCTGGCAAACATGGCCAAACCCCGTCTCGACTAAAAATACAAAAATTAGCCGGGTGTGGTGGCACACGCCTGTAATCTCAGCTACTCAGGAGGCTGAGGCACGAGAATCTCTGGAACCTGGGAGGCAGAGGTTGCAGTGAGTGGAGATCATGCCACCGCACTCCAGACTGGGCAACGGAGTGAGACTCTGTCTCAAAAAAAAAAAAGGTGCTCATCAAATTTATTAATAATGAGACAATAGTAAAAATGGGCAAAGGATTTAAACAGACACTTCACCAAAAAATACATATGAATCACTAATAAGCACATTAGTCATTAGGTAAACACAAATTAAGACTGTAAAGAGATACCACTACACACCCACAAGAATGGCTAAATTAAAATGAACTGACAATACCAAATGACGGTGAAGCTGCAGAACAACTGGATCACTCCTATATTGTTGGTGGGAATGTGAAACAGTATAGTCACTTTGAAAAATATTTTGGTAGCTGCTCGTGAAGTTAAGCATACACCTACACTACACCTACCAACAATCTTACTTGTATTTGCCCAAGAGAAATGAAAGCTTATGTTCACATAAATACTTGTATACAAATCTTCAAAGAAATTTTATTATTAATATCTGAGACCTAGAAATAACTCAAATGTCCATCAATGGGTAAGTAGACAGACAAATTGTGTTATACGTACATTATGGAATACTATTCAGCAATAAAAAGGAACAAACTACTGATACACACAGCAACATGCATGAATCTGAAAAGCATTGTGTTAAGTGAAAGAGGTCAGACAGAAATGACTTCCCGTATGGTTCTATTTACATAACATTCTTTAAAAGGCAAAACTATAATAACAGAAAGAAGATCACTGATTGCGTGGGACCAGTGGTGGGGGCAGGGAATTGACTGTAAAGAGTGTGAAGGGTCTTTTGGGGTGATAGAAATGCTCTATATCTTCTTCTTCTTTTTTTTTTTTTTTTTGGTGACACAGAGTCTCACTTCATCACCCACGCTGGAGTGCAGTGGCACGATCTCGGCTCACTGCAACCTTCACCTCCTGAGTTCAAGAGATTCTCGTGCCTCAGTCTTCTGAGTAGCTCGGATTACAGGCATGCGCCACCACGCCTGGCTAATTTGTATTTTTAGTAGAGACAAGGTTTCTCCAGGTTGGTCCGGCTGGTCTTGAACTCTTGACCTCAGTTGATCCACCCGCCTTGGCCTCCCAAAGTGCTGGGATTCTAGGCGCGAGCCACTGCACTGGGCCAATTTTTGTATTTGTAGTAGAGACAGGGTTTTGCCATGTTGGCCAGGCTGGTCTCAAACTCCTGACCTCAAGTGATCTGCCAGCCTCAGCCTCCCAAAGCACAAGGATTACAGGCGTGAGCCATAACAGCCAGCCAGAAATGCTCTATACCTTGATCATGGTCTACATCTCGTGGTGGTGGCTATATGACTGTATACATTTGTCAACACTCATCAATGTATACACTTAAAAGGGGTGAATTTTATTGTAGATATATTTTACCTCAAAAAGGTGATTAAAACATTTTAAAGTGCTCATGATAGTTCAAATACAAAAGTTGAGGTGCACTCAGGCTGCAGGAGGTCTTTCATTTGCCCTAGGGCTAGGAACCTGGCTTGGTCTCAGGATGCCAGCTCTGTGTGCCTCAGGGCGTGAGCAGGAATGCGCTGTGGCTGCAGGAGGCTGGCAGCCTCTGGTAGCTGCTGGGAGTAGGCCACATCCAGCCACTCCTGTCCAGCCCAGGGCAGCTGCCAGGACTCATGCAGCAAGATAGTGGAGACAGCACAGAATTTGGAGCTTGGCAAGACCAGGTTTGGATCCCACTCTGTAATTGACGGGTTGTGGGATCCTAGGCAATTGACTTAACTGTTCAGACTCTCATCTGTAAAATGAGGATAATAACACCCCCTACAAGGTCATGGGGATACTAGGAGATGGTGTTTGATTAGACAGTTTGGGTTCACATCCAGACCTTGCCTTTTACTAGATGTGTGATCTTAGGCAAGACACTTGACCTTATTGAGCCTTAGTTTCCCCACTTGTAAAATAAACATTTATAATAGCACTTATTTTTTAGAATTGTGATAAAGCCCAAATGAGATATTGCATATAAAGCCCCAGCACAGTGCCTGGCACATAATAAGCTCTCCCCTCATTTTAGCTATTGTTGTTGTCACCTAAGATACCAACTGGCACACAGTAGGTGTTAGTCAAAATGTGGGCTCCCTTGCACTCTTCGTAGAGATACCAGGCTGTTGCCAGTTTGGCCCTGAAGAATTCTAAGGGGGTGGCAGGGATCTGCTGTTGCCAAGTCATTTTCATTCCCATCTTGCAGAATAGGTTGGCAGAGCAGATGGGCTGGCATTGCATCTTCATGTCGGAGGAATTTACAAATGGGAGTCTTTGGAACCACAAGAGCAAGCTGGAGTGTGATTCTGGCCTCCAGCCATGAGGACACTCTCTCAGAGAAGGGCCATTTGTGTGCTGGGGTCATTTGGATGTCTCCAGGCTGTGGGGTAGGGTAATGGGTCAGGATCAGCCTTCAGAGGGAAGACTGCTTGTGGCTTCTGCAGGTTGGGGAGGGTCTTGCCGTTACCCAGGCGTATGGTATGAAGGGGCCATAAAGGGCAAGTCCAGTGCAGCTGGCTAGTGCAGCTGGCCTCAGGGGTGTGGCCACAGTTTGAGGGCTGTGCCTGCCCCTGCAGGTCTAGGCCTGATGGGGATAATTTCTCAAGTGAGGGCAGGGGCTCTCAAAGGCTTCTGTGGGTGAATGGCCTGAGTAGTTCTCCAGGGAACACAATGGTCTAGGGAGTGGGACTACGGGGTTAAGTCTCTGAGCAGACAAGCCCTGTCCTGCAAAGTTAGAAGGGAAGATCCAGATGAGTCATTTCAAGAGCTGAGCAGCTGGGAGGCAGGCGAGGCCACTGACCCAGCAGTCAGAGGAGCGGCGTGAACTCACTGGCCCTGATGACCTTCTGCTTCATCTGTGAGATGAGGGGCTTGCAAAGGACGCTTCCTAAGACCCACGCTGCTGGCTTGCTCTTCATTTTTAACATAACGTAAGAAGAAAATTGGGAAAACTTGGGTTATCTTTCTTATGTAGATGAAAATAGAGGTGGATAATGGATAACCTAAATAAGTTCAGGCAGAATCGCAAGAAACTCGGCCAGGGAACTCAGGGATGCCAAGCAAACCCAGCGCTTGCTACAGCCCCAACATCTTCACACTCAGCTCTTCCAAGTAAAGAATCCCATCCCTCCTCCTCCTCTTCCTTCCTAAGAAGATTTTAGGAGTGGAACTCCCTGCCTTTCTTAAATCAGGAATAAAATGCCCAATATGATACGGTCCTTTTATTCCAAATTAGCAAGCTGAGGCCAGCCGTTCTTTCGAAAAGGAGAGTTTCTGGAAAGCAGATGGCATGGCTCAAATAGCCTAGGAGGTGTCCACAAGCAATTATAGAGGAAAGTGGATGAAAAACTGGTAATGAAGAACAGTGACCAAGATGATCAAGGGACACAAGGCCAGAAGAAGTATAATTGTGAACGGGGAGAAGAAAAAAAGAAATGAGGAGGCAGAAAGAGAAAGAGAGAAAGAGAGAGACAGCAAGATCAAGACAGCCTGCATATACCACATACACACACGAGTGTGCTGCCTGCACACCCCAATCCCCCAGCACCCCAGGGGATTGCTGCTACCCAGCTAGGGAAAAAATAACCTTCACTTTGGTTTCATCAGAAAAGTCATAAAAGATGGAATGAAGATTTTGTTTTCTTTCCTGTTACTTTTTTGCCATCTGCTACAGCAAGGGCACAGGCCCAGCCCCTTGGCCAGCTTGAAAGCCTCATGGTTCTGAAGCAGGAAGGGTCAAGGCAGGAAGCAGGGGCTCTAAGAATAGAATGGGTCATCTAGGGAAGCTTTTGGAATAGATACAGACAGGGCTTTTCACTAATCCCCTAGGGTGAGTGACTGGGGCACTCCTCACTCCCTCAGGGGGCTCCCAGACTCTAAGCAGAGGTTAACATACAAGGTTGCTGCACAGATCAATCTGTGCATTATATTCCTCATGGGAAACCCAAGAAGGGTCCTCCTTATAGTGAGCACAGAAATATAATGGCCCCTCAGCCCAAGAAGCAATGAATGCAAGATCTAAGATACAAATAAGCCAATCTTCTCTTGCTACACTCCCATCAGCATCTGTACTATCCTCCACCAAAGGCATGAGGAATCTCTTTTTGGATACTGGCCAATCTGCTCCTTGTGTAGTTATTTGGGCAGATGACTCACAAGATTTTATATATATTAATCGACAGCGGAACTGTGGACAGCCCAGGCAGTACTTTATCCCACCACCTCAGCACATCCACATCCACTTCCTAGTGGCCTCCAGGAGCCCAGGATGGTGGCTGCTGTGGCTTTTGCAGGAGAGGTGGCTCCACTCTTAGTGGCTTCCAGCCACTACACCCAGAGAGGATCCAGGATTGCAAAAGGACCTTCTAGATCCCTACAGAAAGCAGAGAGCAGAAATGGTGTTCATTTCCACCCCAGGGTCAGCACAGTGCTGGCAGTGAGGCCAGACTGGCCCATGCTTGTCTGTCTGCGATCAGCCTAACGTCCAAGCACAGGCTGGCATGGAAGATCCAGAACTAGGCCCTCAACCAGGGACTCCACCAGGGGAGGATGTGGAGTTAGAAGTGCAGGGTCTAGTCCCAGACCTGCACTTCACGGCAGGGACCCTGGACAAGCTACCTATCTTTTCTCGACTTCATTTTCTTCCTCTGTAAAATGGGGATGATATCTACTACATAGGATTATAATGAAGATAAGTCACAATGTGTATGGTAAGTGCCTTATAAACCAATGTTTATTTAAAAATAAGGAAATCCCAATATGTATTATTCCTATTTTCAACTGATTTTACTTAATGTGGTTAGGGGCAGGCCCATGTTGGGGATAGAACATGCTTGATAGTCAAGATCAAGCAGGGACTTCTTTAGGCCCCTAGTTGAAAGCAATGAGATTTAAGAAGATTCAGTGTCCCTACAGAATTCTTAGCTAAACCTCATTTTGGTGGAGGCCAAAGGAAGTTCCTGAAAAATAAAAAACAATCAACCAACAATTTGGTGGTGGGGAGGAGTTTATAGAGAAATTAAGTTCCTCTGTATTGAAGTTGACAGACCAGTTAGGGAAATATGAAACCAGGGTATATCAAATGCAAGAGTGAATTAAAGCTGGGCACGGCGGCTCACACCTGAAATCCCAGCACTTTGGGAGGCCAAGTCAGAAGGATTGCTTGAAGCCAGGACTTCAAGAACACCCTGGACAACAAAATGAGACTCCATTGCTACACAAAAATAGAGAAATTAGCCCAGCATGCTGGCATGCACCTATAGTCCTACATATTCAAGAGGTATTCAAGAGGCTGAGGTGGGAAGATCACTTGAGCCCAAGACTTCAAGGCTTCAGAGAGCTATGACTGCACTCCAGCCTGCAACAGAGTAAGACCCTGTTTCTAAAAAAAAAAAAACAAAACAGTGAATTAAGGAGCCAATGGTATAGAGGTTGTAACTCTAGGGGGCATGATTCACAGCCCAAGGAGCAGCACAGGTTGTTAAGTGTGGCTGTGGCTATGGGCCCAGGAAGGAGAAGTGATGGGGTAAGGATGGGGATCAGATGTGATCAAAACGTGATTATAGACAGTGTTCTGGAGATGGAGTGTCTGACTGACATCTCCACTCTGTTCCTTATGTGACCCTGGGCAAGTAACAACCTCTGTAAGCATCAGGGGCCTCATCTAAAAGTGAGGATAGGAACGCTTAACATCATAGGCGTCAAACAAGAGAGCACATGTAAAATGCTTAACACAGAGCTTGGCACACAGACAAGTGTTCAACAAATGCAAGCTATTAAGCATGGAGCCAAGGTATTTGGAATCTATCCTGAAGGGGTAAATATGACGAGGAGTTTAAGAGAAAACACTTGTCCTGAATTCTTACGTGCAAACCAAGATTGCAAAAAAGAGGCACGTGGGCAGCCCTCACAGTGATGCAGACATCCTTTTGGAGAGAGCGTTCAATGTCCAGGGAAGGGTGAGTGACCTGGCTAAGATGGCAGGAAAAGACCCTGTAACCCTGGGAGGCCCTGGAGCAGAGGCATGGCGAGTTCAGGGACATTCCACATCTATCCCACCAGAGAGAAGGGCAAAATATAGAAGAGAGCTGAGAAAATGGAAGGAAAACTTCCATTTAAGGAGCAAATGGGGGAGGGGGCTGACAAGGGAGGAAAGAGATGACAGAAGCTAAAAGCTGGAGCTAGAAAAATTCCAGACTGGTATCAGCTGTAAGATCTGGCCAGGGAATGGACACGTGGTCCAAGGGGAGCCTGTGATCACAGTTCCCAGCATGCTTTGCTGGATTCCCACGCCTGGCTCTGCAGTTCATGGCATTCTGAAGGCAAATTGAGATTACTTAGTTGAAACATAGGATGCAGTGGCAGAGTGTAGAGTGTGCCCAAAAAGGTGTTAAAATAAATGTTTCCCTTTTTTAACTAAGGGAAAACTCCCAGAAACTATTAAAATTTTAAAACCCCAGGAAACAAAACCTCCTGACTATAAAGGAAAATGTAAAACTTATTTACATATAGAAATACTATCAAAGAAGTAAAGAGAAAACTAGAGACCTGGAAAAGTATTCTAACACAGATGAAAATGAGGTAATGTCTGTTATATAAAGCACTCTCGCATAATGACAGGAACAATACATAACAAAGGATATAAATAGGCAATTCATAGAAAAGCAAATTCAAAACGCCAATCAACATAAAAAGATGCTCAAACTTACGATAGTACTTGTCAGGGAAATGCAAGTTAAATTAACACTAAGATTTCTTTTTATGCTTATCAGATGATGGGCGGTGGGAAGGAGAGGGAGAGAGAGAGGAGGGAAAATAGCAATTGCGGTTGGGGAAATGGAGATAAGGAACCCTCATATATTGATATATTGCTGGAGTAAATGTGACTTGTTACAGCCTTTTGGGAAAGTAATCTGGCAACATCGATTAAATTAGATTACACAAACCCTTCAGCTCACCCTACACTCCTGAGAATCTACCCCATAGACATAAATGCTAGCGTACACAGCCATGGGGGCTAACTGCAGTACTGTTTACAGCAGCAAAACACTAGAGACAAAAAAAAAATACCATAAAAAGGGAAATGGTTTATGGCCCATCCACATAACAGGTTATTAGGAAACCATTAAAAAGAATGAACTAGGCCAGGCATGGTGACTCATGCTTGTAATCCCAGCACTTTGGGAGGCCGAGGAGGGTGGATCATTTGAGGTCAGGAGTTCTAGGCCAGCCTGGCCAATATGGTGGAACTCCGTCTCTCCAAAAAAAAGAAAAAAAAAATTAACCAGGCGTGGTGGCACGTGCCTGTAATCCCAGTTACTCAGGAGGCTGAGGCAGGAGAATTGCTTGAACCCAGGAGGCGGAGGTTGCAGAGAGCCAAGATTGCACCATTGCACTCCAGTCTGGGCAACAGAGCGAGACTTCATCTCAAAAAACAAACAAACAAACAACAACAACAAAAAAACTCCAACTTCCAGGAAAAATTGTAAAGTGAGAATTGTAAGATGCAGATAAGTTTATATAACACTAGTTTTATAAATCAACAACCAGAAAACTTACCCCTTGTGTGTGTATCTCTATGTACACATATGCTCACAATGTATATGTAATTTTTTATATAGTTATGTGAATGTAAAGTATCCTACAGAAAGGTATATGTGAAGTTTCTGGAGGCTGGACACAGGGAGGGGGGCTGATCTGGTGGAAGCAAACCAAAAGAAAAGCACTGCTGCATAAACCCAGTGTGTCTCATACCATCTCAGTTATGTAAAAGTGTGTGTAGCCAGGTGTGGTGGTGCACACCTGTAGTCCCAGTTACTCGAGAGACTGAGGCAGGAGGATCACTTGAGCTCAGGAGCTTGAGGCTGCAGTGAGCTAGGATCGCACCACTGCACTCCAGCCTGGGTGACAGAGTGAGACCCTGTCTCTAAAAAATTAAAACAAAAATAAAACGTGCATGTGTGTGTGTGTGTGTGTGTGTGCATGAGTAAACTAGAACTGATTTTGTAGGGCTGTCCACGATATATTTTCAAGGAAAAGGAAGCAAGTTGTCAAGATATATAATATGGAAAACATCAAATAAAGAAAAAAAATTTTAATGCTGAAATGAGAATTTTAAGCTCTGCTCTCCAGGACGTCTGATTTGAGCAGGGGAACAAATACCTGGAAAACAACGCTGCAGTGAGCAGTCCATCTGCTCAGCATATCAAAACCAAGTCCTGGGTGTCTGGGGACTGGGCACAGATGCCCAGAGGGGAGGGGAGGAAGGAGGTGAAATTACTAATAATCCCATAAGGATATTTCATTACTAAATTTAAATGTATGCACCTTGAAGCTGTTTTTAGGAAGTATGAGGCTTACCAAAATTTAGGTCAATTTGCCCCATTTGCAGCCAGCCCTAAACATATTTTTAAAAATGCTGTCCCTTTGCTATTGGCAACTGCTTTCTGCTCAAGCAAATGATCAATCTGAAGCCAAAATGGGCCCTGTCATCTCAGCATATACTCTTAAAAATCCAAATCACAGGACAAAAGAAAGAGAATGGGAACATAGGTGATTTTCTTTAGGCCCCACACCCCTGATTTTCTGTAGGTCTTGGACAAACAAGCATAGATCCATCTATATCCCTGGTGATAAACAGATTGTATCTCCAAAGGAGTCATGTATTCACCAGTTTCGAAAAAAACCAGCAGGACAGGAATCAACATCTATAGATTGAGTGCTTACTATGTGCAAGGCACATCATGGACACTGGCTCACTTAATCCTCTTACTTGCCCTATGAAGTAGATATTATTGTATTATCAGTCCCATCTAACAGGGAAGCATAGAGATAAAGTGGCTTTCCCAACCAGGGTCACATGCTGGCATAGTGAAGGTGGGTTCAAAATGTGTCCCAGTCTGACTCTTACCAAGACACAGCTATCCTCCCTTCTATGAACTCTCTTTCTACTCTGTGTCAGTGATGTAAATTCTGAACAGCAGCTCCTATTTTGAGACTGCAGCTTGACTCTTGGGAGCAATGACCCCCTTTAGAGCAGATGGAAAAGGGAGAGCTTCCCAATGTGCAAGACCCATTTTCATCCAGGCCCAGCTTTGTAGCTTGTTTCCATGCCTCCCTCTCCCATCATTTAGAGGAGGCGTTGCTAACTCCAGTGCCTTTAGATGGTGGGCAGGCAATGTAAATGACTATGTGGAAGGCGTCCTGTCCTGTCCCCATCCAAATGAATGGAGCTGCTGTTCCTCAGCTCTAGCCCACTGTCTACCTGTGTTACATTGGGTCATTTTTCAAAAGATCATTCAAGGCCCAGTGTCACCAAATGATCTGATTTTTCAAAACAAGATTAAAATTCAGATAAAATGCAATCTATTGATTTTAAAAATTTGCTCAATTAAAAAAGGAAAACAAAGAAGAACCTCAATAGTGGAGAAAATGTTTGCCTGCTGCATTTTATTCCAGTAAAAGCATTCCATTTGCCCGACAAGGAGGTGTCTCTTGGTTTAATATATTAATTTCTTTTTAATTATTATATGCATATCATTATACCATTGTTCTTACTATGAAATAATATCAAAGGTATCATTACCTCCTCACTGAATTCTAGGGAGGATTATGTCATAGAACTCGAGACAGGTTGAAAAGACCTGGGTTCAAGTCCTCCGCTTGCGCCTCAGCAGCTACTCAACCCCTTAACCATCCTGAGCCGTAGTTTCTTAAATGAGTCCACAATACCCACCTCACAGAATGTCTGTGAGGGTTTTAAAAGATAGGCTGTATAATTAAAATATTCAATAAATATTTGTTCTGTTGCTTCTAAAAGACAGATGTGAGGCTCCATAAATCCATGTATATTGTAAACAGATACATTTAGAGAGATTATGTTGTTTAACTAATAGTTTCTTCACTTTGTAAGAGGATTTCCCATAATGGGCTTCTCTGGTGCAAGTAGAACATGGTGTTTTTCCCAAAGTTTTAGTTTATGTATAACATTTTTTCTTGCCTAAATGAACAAGTATTCTGCCTTTTCAATAGCGAAGGCATCCTCACGGGTTCTACAGGGCTGTCATCTCTGGTTGGGATGGGAGAGTTGTCTTATGTATGAGAAGCAAAGATTCTATTGGAGCTGCCTAGCAGTAGCTAGGAACTCAACAACCACAGAGTATTGTTGGAGACCAAGGGCTTCCTGCTCTCCTAATCTCCACTTTTGTACCTCTTATCAGCTGGTATTAAGAGAGAGCCCTGCCTTGCCCCCCAGGGTGACTGGTGGAGGGCACAGAGCAGGTTATGCAGCAGTGGTGTGTTCCCTTCACCTTGCCCAGAGGGGGTTTGGGATGGCACACGCAGGTCATAGCAGGGAGACTTTTTGATAATCTCAGGAACAAAGCTGATTATGTGACGAGCTCTGTCCTTTCTGACAGCAACACCATAGGAAACACCTGTAGACAGCAGGAAACTAGAGGAATTAAAAATATCTCCCTGATCCCTAAAAAATAAAAGAGGAGAGAAAAAAATGGTCTCTTTTCTTCACAGGGAAAACAAACAAAGCGATATCTGGTTTGAGCCATTTCCTCTCTGCAAAGCACCTCTCTCCTGTGGGCCAACCCTCCCCAGGCAGAGATGGGCCTGGACCAGACGCTTTAACAAGCTATCCGGATGCCTAAGGGTGATGTCAGTGAGGGTCTTGGGGCAGGTTCCAAGTGTCTAAACTTAAGATTTCTTTTGCAGGAGGGAGGTTTGGGGAAGCTGAGCTCATTTCCTTCGGGAGAGGTGCAGCCTCCATCCAGCTTCGGAAACAAGAGGCCCTTGTACTCTTCCTCCACAGCCTTCTCAACCTCAGGAAGTCAGTCCCTGGGAGCCATGAAGTGCAGCAATGACAGGCCCATCTGGAGAAGACATGACGGCTGGGTCTGCAGGACCCAGCTGAACTCAGGAGCAGATTTGGGGATGGCAATCAGGTAATGTCGGATTCTGTCTCCCCTGCCTTCTCACATCCAGTAGGTCACTAAGCCTAGTCCTGTCTTCTATATATATATTTCTGGTCTAGACTCTTCATCCTCACTGTAGTTACTGAACTTCAGGCTGCCATCACCTCTCTCTCGACTGTGGGAAGAGATTATGGTTACCTAACTGATTTCTTTCTGCTCTCCTTCCTCTTGTCTATTCTGCCCTCTCCTGCCCACATAACCTTTCTCAAATATAAGTCTCATCATGACTTTTCTTGGTTTATATACTACCTACTAAATAATCAAAACATCTTAGTAGAGAATATAAGGCCCCTGTCAATCTCTCCTTCCAGAAAGGTAACTATGGAGGCTAACACAGCACTATGTTGACTTCTGCTTAACCCTGGCTACAGGAATGCCTCTGAAATTTCCAGTTTAAGTATTGTTCCTTGTGTAAGAGCACAAACTTACTGTAAATCCTGCCCTTACATAAAATCATCCTTGATAAACTTGTACTGACTTAAATCCTGCCCTTAGATCAAATTCCTACCCATTCCCTCTGAAGCACGTGTACCCTTTCCCTATGGTATATAATCCCTGGTCTGAGGGGTAATGGTGCAGCCACCCAAGACCATACTTCTGTCCATAAGTTCCCCAGTAAAATCACCCTCCAATGGCACACTGGACTTCTTTGTCGCTCAGCTCCTTCTGCATTTGGGAGCCACTTTGTGTACATGGCCCTTTCACCAAACAGTAACACTTCCTCAATAATGGCCAACACTTATTAAACATTTACCATGTGCCCAATACCATGCTTAGTGCTTAACGAAGATGATCTCATTTGATCCTGAAAACTACCTTTTGAACCAGCCAAGCATTATGATCCGTATGCTGTAGAAGGTGGAATTGGAGCTCAGAGAAGCAAAATGACAAAGGTGACAAAGCTGCAGCAGAGCTGGGGTTTCAACCCTGGCAGTCCAATTCCAGGCCCCTGCTCTTCCCACCAGGGACTTCCTGCAGCCTTCTGAACCTATTACGCATTTTCCTGCCTCTGTGTCTGCAGATGCTGTTCTTCTACCTCAAATGCCTTGATCCTTATTCTCTTCACCTGGACAGTTCTTCTTCATCATCCAAGATCCAGCTCCTTCCTGCCTTCTTTAAGAAGCCTTCATGGACCTCTCCCCTGGGTTATGCCATCATAGCCACTCCATGCAATTCTCTCTCATAGCACTTATCTTGCTACATTGAACTGTCTGTCTCTCTAACAGAGTGTGAGCCCGCCTTGAAGGTAGGTACCCTAGCCTTTACCTTGACATCCCCATATTCCTAGCAGAGTGGCCAACACGTAATAGGTGTGCAATATTTGTGGGTTTAAAGACATCAGCCGCTGGATAAAGACTGAGGCTCTGTCTTCCGGATCAAGTAACTGGGCTACAATGCCTAGGCAGATCTCCATCTGTTAAATCAGATTAGCAGTCTGCCCAGTTCCTCAGGTGTTGAAATTTTAGAAACTCTCCCCCCAGGACTCTAACAGGAATCCAGAGTTGAGAACCACTGCTTTCATAAAAGCAGATTTTGTGGAGGCAAGGGCTGCCAGGGTAGAAGCTTGCTAAGGAAAATTACACAACATGTTTATACCTGCGAAATCTGTGTAAAATAAACACCAGAAAGCAACTAAAGGAGATAAACTTCCAAAGCATGGGAGAAAATACCAACCCAAAGTTATAGTTTAGGAAGACACATGACATTGACAGTCATTAATAAAATGCAAAGTAACTCTAAGGTATCGTTGCACAACTGTGAGATGGGCAGAAATATGTAATAATGATAAAAGGCTGCCAGGATTATGGCGAAAATTGTTCCCTTAAAAACTGCTGTTAGCATTACACTTTGATTAATTCTACTCTGTTTTGAGACAATAATCTGCAACTGTGTAACCAAAGCTCGAGAAGTCTTTGTTCTATTTTTAGAATATACTATAAGAAAATAAAGAAGAATGCAGTTTATTCAAAATTGCCTGTAGCAGTGGCATGACATAAAAGTGAAAAATTAGAAGCCATCTAAATACTGAATTTTGAAGACTAGTTGAAGTAAATTATGGATCACAAAGTAAATTCTGGAGCATAATAAAACACTATGCTACCATTACAAATGACGAATATCCAACATTTCTCACACATGGAGATGTGTATGAAACAAGAAAAAGGCTAAAAAAAAATCCCCCATGCTTTGTGCCCTGCGATGAGTCACATAACAGCAAATCAATACAAATTCACAAAGACTGGAGGTGCATTCGATGG
Organism: Homo sapiens; assembly: GCF_000001405.40. Lineage (NCBI taxonomy): Eukaryota > Metazoa > Chordata > Mammalia > Primates > Hominidae > Homo > Homo sapiens. The sequence continues at coordinate 167,652,630 of NC_000001.11, read as the reverse complement.
GCAAAAAAGGTACTGTTCATTAGCTTTAAAGTTGTTTGACTTTCTTGTAATTAGAAAATAATATTTAGAAAATGTGTGTCCTCTGCTGGGGCAGCAACTGTTGGTCTGTCTCGAGGGAGCAGCAGGCCTGTTTCCAGCCTGACAACTGCTTGTATCTTTACCTAGGCCTCTGGCTGAAAATACACTCAAGTATCTGGGCCCGGTGAGGTTTCATCTTTAAAGGGCCCAGTTCCTTTTAAACTTAAATCCTCTCCAGGCTAGATGCTAAGAGGGGAATCATGGCTCCAGGAGGAATGAAAAGTGAACAGAGGCCAAGCGTGGTGGCTCACGCCTGTAATCCCAGCACTTTGGGAGGCTGAGCCTGGCAGATCACCTGAGGCCAGGAGTTTGAGACCACTCTGGCCAACATGGTGAAACCCCGTCTCTACTAAAAATACAAAAATTAGCCGGGCATGGTGGTGCATGCCTGTAATCCCAGCTACTCAGGAGGCTGAGGCAGGAGAATCGCTTGAACCCGGGTGGCAGAGATTGCAGTGAGCTGAGATCGTGCCACTGCACTCCAGCCTGGGTGACAGAGCAAGACTCTATCTCAAAAAAAAAAAAAAAAAAAAAGATGAACAGAGGCAGGAGCCTGGGCTGGGGGAACCTCCTCCCATCTCAGGCCTGGAAATAGGGCTTCTGCCCTTCTGTGGGAAAAGGCACTGTTAACTGTTTGGGTGAGAAAAAACACCTGGACCCAACCCCCAGATAAGAGTGGAGGTCAGGGAGGAACGCAGCCCCCCTCAAGAACAGCGGGGAGAAGGCCTATCAGAGGCTCATCCCACCCTGTTCCCTGCCATGCTTTCCCTGTATCTATACCCTCTTCTCCTCTGTCTTGGCTGGGAAGACCTAGCACCCCAAATGGAATAATCCTGGGAGGGTAAGAGCTCAACAGGAACAAAATTACTTGCAGGATGGCAGGGAACAGGCAGGGAGGTGTTGCAGGTAGAGGGACCAGCAGGAGCAACAGGCCAAGAAGATAGAAGGGCAGGAAGACACCTGGTCACAGTCCACAGCATTGCACTCTGTGTTAGAAAGGCGTGACATGAGTTTATCGACCCAGAAGGAGGTGACATAAGGGAAGCTGGGCCCAGGTCGGCGTGCGAGGAGAGTTGCATAGCAACAGTGCCAGCGCAGAATGCAGTGTGCCCTGGTGCCTGGGACACTCTTTCTAGGATGTGGCCCAGGGCAGGCATGACAGAAGGAGCCAGGCATGAAGGGAAAGGTGGGACCCAGAACTCCAGTACAGATCGGGTGTTCAGAGCCTGTGGCATTCTGTGGTTAGGTGTGGTGACTTCTGCTGTGACTTTTCCATTCTCACCCACAGCTGGAAGTGAGGCTCCAGGCTGGTGGCATTGTCCTGGGCTGAACTGTCTCCTGAAATTCCCATGTTGAAGCCCTAACCCCTAGTACCACAGAATGAGACTGTATTTGGAGGTAGGGTCTTCACAGAGGAAATTAAGTTAAAACAAGGTCATTACGATGGCCCTTGGTCCCACCTGGCTGGTGTCCTTATGAGAAGAGATGAGGACACAGACACGCACAGAGAGAAGACCACGTGAAGACACAGGGAGAAGATGGAGAGAGGCATCAGAGGGAGCCAGCACTGCTGACACCTCCGTCTCACATTTCTAGCCTCTCGAATTGCAAGGAAATAAAGTTTTGCTGTCTAAGCCATCCAGTCCATGGCACTTTGTTACAGCAGCGCTACCGAACTAATAAAGGCATTGAACTTGGCCTCGGGGAAGCTGCTTCTGGGGCTGCCCCCCTCCTTATCCCCTCCTTACCCCATCGTACCACGCACACTCCGCTCACCCCTCTCCCTACTCCATTGCTAACCTCACACGAGCAGAGCCATTGGCTCCACTCCCTGCTTTGTGCTTAATTGGTGCTTTTGTTTCTAAAACTCAAAATGCTTAACCAGAGAGAGGGCAGTCCCTACAGCTCCTGGACTTTGGCTTTGGCTGTGGCTGGAACAGAGATCTTGGCTGAAGGGATGGGCGGCGGTCCTTCTGGTTAGAGAGCACAGGCCTCCTGGTAGGCCTCTGGGGTACCAGGCCAGAGCTGGACCCAAACACTCGAGAGTCAGGAAATCCTGCCTACCCCCTGGCTGGTGGCTTCAAACACAGCCTCTGCTTCTGAGTGAGTGGTCTGGGCCTGGCCCAGCCTGGCCTCTCATCTGTAACAGCTGCTCAGAGCTTCAAAGGGAAGCCACAAGAAGAGGAGGAAGCAGAGGCCAGAGGGGAGGTGAACGCCTCACAGCTTGACCCTGCCCCCACCCCAACACACACACATCCAGGCTCCAGAGCACCTGCTTCTCTTTGAGGGACCAAGCTGTTTGCAGACATTTCCCCGTGTTTTCCAAAACACAGTGGAGACAACACCTTGCATCTGTGGAGTCTTTTATATTCTTTCCAAATCCTTAACTCTGAATTCATTATCTCATTTAATCCTCCCAATAAGCCAGGCAGGGATGAGATGATCATTCCGGTGAGGCCCCCAAATCTTGTGCCACTGATTCAAGATCCCACAGCAATTTAGTGATGGGATTTGGTCCAGAGCCTTGAACTCCTGTTGGCCACTCTGCCTAGCTTCCTCCTGCAACGTGTTAACACTTGCTTGGTTCCCCTCTGGCACACACATGGACACACACAGTGCATCTTTACAGCTGCCCCAGAGGCACAGGTGAGCTGTTTATTATTATGGACACAAGACACCCAGGCCCTGGTCTGTCTGTCCTTTAAATGTTATGCCTACACCCAGGCATCCCCATTAACACACAGGTCCCTTGGAACAATGCTGTCCTCTCCCTTAGTCGTCAGCTAGGCCTTAGATAGAAAATTCTTGTCCCTGTGAGGAAGGATCCTCCTCTCAAACTCCTTTTCTCTTTCTCTGCCCTCACAGTCCCTTCTGAAGCCCAGCTTTCCTGGTCTTTAGTCCATATGAATGACCAGCCTCCTAAAGGCCTCATACCATGCTCTCTCCAATCCATTCCTTGAACCACGGCCAGAGCCAACTTCCTGAAATTCAAGTCTGGTTATGTAACTTTCTGCCCCCCCATCACTCTGGGAATAAAACAAGTGGTGAGGCCAAGCTGTGGTTTTTGAGAGCTGTAACACCCCATAATATCATCAGCCACACCAAATACATATTCCGTTTTAGGCGAAAAGTATGCTTGTTATACAAATAACAGTGTCAAGGCTAGCCCCTTGGACTCTCCCCTTGCAATTAGACTGTAGCCCCAAGCGCCTTCTGTGTAGAAATCCCGGCACCTCCCGGATCAAGCCCTGAAGAGGTTCTCGAGGTCTTGCCTGGCTTACCAACTCAATCTGGTTGGATCCTGCACACTGTCCTCTTTCACGCTACTTCCTCCAGCTAGAACACCCTCCTCCTCACCCTTCAACTATCCATTCCCTCTTTGTCCTCCTGGATTGAGCTCAGGTTTCACTGCCTTTAAGAAGTCTTTCTTTCCCCCAGCCCCTCCCCACTCTGGGCAAGATACCTAGGTCATACTCAGATCTGTGTTCTGAGCACAGATCTCTTAGAATACTTAACCAAACTGTTTCAATCACTTGTTATCATTCTGACTGTCTTACCAGACTGCAACCTCCCTGAGGGCAGGATCCAAGTTTTATTACCTTTTGTGTCCAGAATTCCCAGCACAGAATCTGACACAGTGGGCACTTATTAAATATTTATTAAGCAAGCGAGTGACTGATTGCTTCTCCTCCCAAACTCAGGCCACTCTTGCTCAGGACTTCAAGGGATTTCCTAGAGGACCAGCCCATCATTCTCTAGAGTTCAGCCCAAACCCTCTGGTGTTCTGCCTCCATCCCTGACTGGTGGGTGAGATTCTTGGTGTCCTGGTGTCCCCGGGCTCACTGTTGCCCGCACCCCATCACTGGTATGTAACTTCCCCCTATCTGCAGCTGCTCCAGCGGGAACTACCATATGATTGCTTCATTTCCAGGGGGTCCACACCCCTTTCCTGTGCTCCCCTCCTATCCACTCCCTGCTGGTGGAGGGGGAACCACAGGACTTGCTGGAAGACCCTGGGAGGAAAGGGCTCTTTGCTAAACCGGCTTAGTGGAGGGCTCTCACCTCATGTCTCCTACCTGGCACATCTCGCTGAGCCTGCAATTGTACACACCAGGTACATACAGTGAGTCTTTGCAAAAGGAAGGAAGGCCAGGGCTGATTTGGCAATGCTTGTCAAGAGACACTCATATCCTTTGACCTAATAATTCCACTCCTGGGAATTGCTTCCAGAGAAATAATTCAAAAGAAGGAAAAAGATACATGTACTGTTTATAGCTATGTTATTTGTAATAAGGAGAAAGTAAAAGCAAATGCTGTGTTCCAAAATAGAAAAATGATTAAATAATTATGATATATTTGTATAACAGAGTGTCGTGAAGACATTTACAATGAAAATATGACTATGAGGAACAAGAATACTGACCTGGAAATAATGTTAAGAGAAAAGATAGAGTACAGAGTTGTATATACACTGATTAAAATTATGTAAGAATTATGCATTTGGCTAAAACTAATAAAGATGTGGAAAATTCGAAGTAGTTATATTATACAGGATTGTCTTTTTATTCCAACTTTAAAAAATAATAAAAGGGATATAATTGAGGATTTCAAGGAACAAAAAAAAGAAAAAGAAAATAGTTGTGTTAAGATGATGAATTTCAAATCTTAAAATATTTAAGATTAGCTTAATTTTAGCAAATTAGTATTTTAAAACAAAGTGACTAGAAACTAGAGAAAATGTCCTGAACAGTCCTAGGGTTTTCTAGAAAGAATTTTTATTGGTTGTGGTCTTATCGTTGTTTTGTTTTATTTTTGATATAGGGTCTTACTCTGTCACCCAGGCTGGAGTGCAGTGGTATGATCACAGCTCACTGCAGCCTCCATCTCCCAGGCTCAAGCAATCCTCCTGCCTCAGCCTCCTGAATAGCTGGGACTACAGGTGCACCACCATGCACTGCTTTTATTTTATTTATTTAATTAATTTAGTTAGTTATTTTAGAGATGAGGTCTCACTATGTTGCCCAGGCTGGTCTTGAACTTCTAGGCTCAAGCAATTCTCCTGCCTTAGCCTCCTGAATAACTGGGACTACAGGTAGACCACCATGCACTGCTATTTTTTTTTTTTTTGTAGCGATGGGGTCTCACTATGTTGCCCGGGCTGATCTTGAACTCCTGGGCTCAAGTAGTCCACCCTGCCTCAGCCTTCAAAGTGCTGAGATTACAGGTGTGAGCCACTGTGCTTGGCCCCTTGTTTTAAAAATAAGAACATGCCTCATGCAGGCCTTCCCAATGCATGGCTGTGGGTTATAAATTGCTTGCTGTGGAACCTGCAGCCTGATTAACACTAAAAGCACTTAAAGACATGTGCCTAATGGACAAGTAATTCTGTTGCCTCTACCCCCTTCTCTCTCTCTTTTTTTTTGAGATGGAGTTTCACTCTTTTTGCCCAGGCTGGAATGCAATGGTATGATCTCGGCTCACTGCAACCTCTGCCTCCCAGGTTCAAGCGATTCTCCTGCCACAGCCTCCCAAGTAGCTGGGATTACAGGCATGCACCACCATGCCAGGCTAACTTTTGTATTTTTAGTAGAGATGGGGTTTCACCATGTTGGTCAGGCTGGCCTTGAACTCCTGGCCTCAGGTGATCCACCCTCCTTGTCCTCCCAAAGTGCTGGGATTACAGGCATGAGCCACCGCAGTGGCCTCTACCTGCTTCTCTACCTGGCTAACACTACCCCAGGTTTTGGGCGATGCCCCAGAAGTTCCGAGGATCCTATTTCTCTTGAGGCATCTACTCCCTGAGCTTGAGAAAGAGCTCTGGAAAGGAGGGGGTCACACAAAGGAGAGTCCTGGGGATGACGCCTAGGCAGGATTAGAAACTCGAGCATCAGGACAATAGCTAATGCATGTGGGGCTTAAAACCTAGATGATGGGTTGATAGATGCAGCAAACCACCATGGCACATGTATATCTATGTAACAAACCTGCACGCATGTATCCCGGAACTTAAAGTAATATAAAAAGAAAAAGAAAAAGAAAAAGAAAAAAAACTCTAAGTCTCACACAAAATTGAGTCTTTCTACTTCTTTTTTTTTTTTTTTTTTTTAGAAAAGTGTTAGCTTATGGTCGGCTATAACTCCCAAGCCCTCTTTCACTGTCCTTAGTCTTCCTGGCATTCCTCAAATGTGAGGGCTGTCCCGAGCTGTCTTTGGCCTGCTTCTCTCCTTATAGCCGCTGCTCACCACCCAGGCCTGTGGTGAACCACTGCTGCGCGAATGACCACCCAGCTGCGCCTTGGCCCAAAGCCCTCCAAACTCCACTTCTGAATTTCCAACAGGGTGTCCTGTCAATGCCTCAACCAAAACTCAGCCTCTTCCGCACCCCCAACGAGTAAAATTCTCCATGCTCCTAGATGGAAAACACAGTCATTCTGATCACTTTCTCTCTAACTCTGCCCCTGTGACAGTCTCCAACCAAATACCAAATCTGCACTGTGGATTCTTCCCGCAGTTGGTTTCGCAGCTTCATTGCCTTTCCATTCTCAAGGCCACCTCTCACCGGTGCCTTGGCCTCTCAACTGGTATTTCGGCTTCTAGATTAATTAATGGCCCTCCAGTGCTCCTTCCATCCCTTCCATCCCGTGAGCCCCACTCTGCAAGGACCCTCATGACAGACTGAGGGAAGCAGGCAGCATCAGTGCTGTCTCCCTAACGTGTGCACCACCTCACTGCATCCAGTCCTTCCAACAGTGTTTACCCACCCTCTCCCCATCTGCTGTGCACACACATGTGCACCCACACCCACACATGTGGGTTAAGAGGTCTTCCACTCTAGTCGCTTAGGGCACTCACAGTTCCCCGTGGGCATCCTTCATTTCTTCTCATCACACTAGCTTCTCACCACCATCCCCTTCTTTGCCCCTTCATTATTACCATCTGTTTAAAAAAAATTCTTCCTAGTTTTTGGTGGCCACTCTGATGTCACCCTCTCCCAATAAGCCTTCTTCAGTTGAATAAGTTGAGAATGTTCTTTCTCTGTGAAATTCCCCAGCCTCGTGGTCTTGTTGCTTATATAACACTTTAGCATATCCTGTGTCCTGCTTTATCTGGGGACATATCTTATCTCTTGGCACCACCACCACTAAACCTCCAGCTTATTGAGATACTGTCTTTATATTTTACTCCCTCCAGGAATCCAGACAGCATCTGTCATACAGTAGGCCCAATAAATATTTGTGGAACAAATGCATGCGTATTTCCAAGCCAGGTCTGTCCTATGCTAGTGCATGAAATTTTCCTAAAGTTAAGCAGAGGATTTTACATTCATCCCTGTTTAATTTTATTATGTTGGTTTTGGCCCAGCATCCCATCCTATATAAATCATTTTGAACTTGAATATGTCACGTAGCATATTAACTATCCCAGCTGTGGGTCATCTGGATTCTTTCTATTTTTCATCCAAGTCATTAACAAAAATGTTTAATAATCAGGGCCAAGGATAGAGCCCCGTGGCCTGCCACTGGAGACTTTCTTCAGGAAAGACCTGGGGTCCTTAATCAAAATACTTTGGGCAAGGTAGTTCAACCTGCACTGAATACATCTTGTCAAAAAATCCTTTGTAATACAAGTAATGTGACCACGTGAGAAATCAGAATACCCTTATTGGCATAGGAAAGCACTCAGTTGGAAAGATCAGGACTGATGTCAGCTTAGACAGGGAGAGGGGCTCTGGTCTGAATGCTTAGCCTCTTACTGTCCAATCCCCGCAGCTGTTTTAGCAGTCTCCGAATCCCACCCTGTTCAGCTCCCTAGGCAGGGGCCTCCCCACAGAGGTGTGAAAGGTAAGGAATTGTCAGGGTACAGGCAACCCAGGTATGTGGGGGGAGGAAGTGGAAGGGGAGCTCTACTCCAGACTGCTCTCCTTCCCATTTCCTACCTCCTCGTTTCATTGATCTACCTGGGTGAACTCAAAAAATACACTTGCCATCTGCTCTCCTTCCCTCCCTTTCTTTGAAATGTATGTATGTATGTATGTATGTATGTATGTATGTATGTATGTATGTATTTATTTTTTGAGACAGAGTTTCACTCTTGTTGCCCAGGCTGGAGTGCAATGGTGCGATCTTGGCTTACTGCAACTTCTGCCTCCTGGGTTCAAGCAATTCTCCTGTCTCAGCCTCCTGAGTAGGTGGGATTATAGGCGCACACCACCACACCCAGCTAATTTTGTATTTTCAGTAGAGAAAGGGTTTCTCCATGTTGGTCAGGCTGGTCTCAAACTCCTGATCTCAGGTGATCGGCCTGCCTCGGCCTCCCAAAGTGCTGAAATTACAGACGTGAGCCACCGTGCCCAGCCAAAACATATTTCTTGAGCCAAGGAGACTGACTCCCTTTTTCTTGCAGGTTTTGGCTGCCCATGAGCCTGACACTTGGATTTGCTATTCTATGCCCAAGCCTCCCCTAGTCTCCCAGGTTCTAGTATGGATTTATGTGGGATACTGTTCCAGCATTGCCCCCAAGACCCAGCCTCCTACAGAAGCCCAGAGAGATTTACCGGCAGTTTTGCAGGCAGGATGCAATAACCACCCCTCTGTCAAACTCTCAGGCTGGAGGAGAACTTCAGATGTCCTCTTGTCCATCCCGTGTCCCAGTCAGAGCTGCACCAAAAGCGCAGGAGGCTGTTCTCTTCTAAATGATTATAAAAGCCTCTTTCCTTAATCAATAAACAATTACATCACACCTAATATGTGCAACGCACTAAGCACTTTACACAACCACCGACTCATTTACACCTCACAACAACCCTAGCAGGTAGGTGTTATCATTATTTCCATTTTACAAATGGAAAAACCAAGCCATGGAGAGGTCACAAGCTAGTAAATGGCAAAGTCAAACTCAAACCCAGCCATATGGCTCTCTGTGTGTGCTCTTAGCCCTTAAGCCATTGCACTGCCTCCCCATGAGGCATATGAAGCCTGCATTCCTGCATCTACTCACAGGATGTGTTGAATATACATTATGCTCATCATTGGATGTTAGAACCTATGATGGGGATTTGCAGAGCTTACAGTTTAGCTGAACAGATACGGGAAAGTACTTTGACAATAAAGTGTGGTAGAAGTGTAAAGTATTTTTCCTATTACTGTTGCACAGCTTAAAACCTCCTTTATGCTATAAAAAGCCTCTTTGTCCTATATTGGAAAGGTTCACTTTGCTCATGTGCACCAATGTCACCCTCTTTGCCTTCCCTTCTGCCACCTTCCACTAGGCACAGAGAGCGCCAGTGCTTTCTTACAGAAGACACGCTCAGGGTTGTTACAATTTTTCACAATATCAGTTTAATAAATACTAATAACACCACCACCATGCATTTGTGAAATAATTGAACGCTTCAAGGTACTTTCATAAGATATTTATTACATGCATAATCTTACTTCCTTTTCAAAATAACCTTGGAAGGTAGGTAAAGCAGGTATCGGTTTTACAGAGCACGGAACTGACCGGGATCCTGAGGCTGGTAACTGACCCTGAACCTAAAACCCAGGATTGATGGTCTTTCTCTGCATGGCATCCCCCTTGATCTACTACAAAATCAATAATCAGGCAAAGAAAGCCTTAAGGGAGCAGAGGGCTGTCTGTTGCTACCATTTCTTCAAATTCTACTGCCTAATTCCAATGTTACTCACAGGCCGACTTTCACCAACTCCTTCCTTAGGGACAAAAGGTAGGGCTTATGTACAAGCCTTATGGGAAAGAATGGTGATTCTAAGTGTTATATAACTGCATGTAGAAAAAAGACATAGATTCCCTTTCACCAAGGGGGAGTGCATTCCAATCAAAAGGCGTAGACAATTCCATGCTGCTCACATAGCCACAAAGACGTTCACCTCCCAAGAGCCACCTAGGCTATAAGTTGCAACTCCTGGTGGCATGCTCCATGGAATTGGCTGTTCCAGGACTAAGAAACTTGAGAAACAGTCTAAACAGATGCCCTTAACGCTTATGTTTATATTTCTCTGATATATTTTCCTGCATATCTGCACCCCTAGCTTCTCGTTCAAACCTACTTGCCTCTCTCAATCACCCCCAAAGCATGAAGAACAGCTGACATCATTGAAAACATTATTTGTGCTTATGAAGCAGTTTTCATTTCAATCTGCAAGAACATCTCCGACCACAAAAGCCGTGTAAGACTCAAGCGAATGAGCCCTGAGTGGTGCAGATAAACACTTTCTCCCTCGGCTTTCCCCCTCTTGTCAGCCTGAAAGACACAGTCTTACTTCCAGACACAGCTCAAAGATCGTCTGCTTTGTGAAGGCTTCTAAGACTCTATCAGGCCACTAACAATGTTTGTGAAGTACTTCTAGCTCTCATCATTTGGAGGCCATGAGAGGATGGTACTTCCTGCCCCTATGGTTAATTGGAGCCATGTGGATAGTTAGGAACCTTCCAAAAGAGAGCATTTAATGGCCAGCGTGAGTCTTCCAGAACTTTCCTTCCTTCTGCCATGACAACAAGCAAAGGGGTAGCTGCTCCCACAGCTTAGGTCTCAGAGGGAGGACAAGAAATGAGCCAGAGCAGAGCCCCCAGCCAACCCTCAATGGACTTGCAGCAGGGGTGAAAAGTAAACCTTTGTTGTTTTCAGCCACTAAGATTGTGGCATGGTTACAGCAACACTAGCCTGTCCTGTTATTTATGCAACAGGACTGTTTACTCACTGCCTTTTCAGAACCAATCACACTGTTTTGTAATCACTTCTTTCATTTATGTCCCCTCTTTACCTTCAGACTGTATGAATCTTGAGGGCAAGGATTGTGTCTTATTCTTATTTTTTTGAGACAGAGTTTCACTCTTGTTGACCAGGCTGGAGTGCAATGGCGCGATCTCGGCTCACCGCAAACTTCACCTCCCAGGTTCAAGCGATTCTCCTGCCTCAGCCTCCTGAGTATCTGGGATTACAGGCATGCACCACCATGCCCGGCTAATTTTGTATTTTTAGTAGAGACGGGGTTTCTTCATGTTGGTCAGGGTGGTCTCAAACTCCCGACCTTCTGTGATCCACCTGCCTCGGCCTCCCAAAGTGCTGAGATTACAGGAGTGAGCCATTGCACCCAGCCAGGATTGGTCTTATTAATTTGCATTTGGTAGCGTCTTGGTGCATCTCTAAATAAATGAATGAAGGGATTAATGAAAGAATAAGATATTTAAGAATAGGATTTTATAATCTTGCTAGGCATGATCCTTTACAATGGTGGTGGTGATCCTAGATAATCTCGAGTGGCTCTTCCCAGCCTGCTTACACCATAGTTATCTCCCTGAAAAGTGACCAGATGAGTTGGGGGTGATCCTCATGGCTTCATGGAAATGCTCCATAGCGGCCTGGAGACAGACTTCCCCTCCCAACTGCAGCTCTCTGAACAGAGAATTATAGCTGAGACCCAGGCACTAGGGGTATGGATGACACAGCTGTATATACGGGCTACCTAAGAGGCAGGAAATTAGTCACACAACAGGTGTCAATAAATATTCCTTGGTAATTTGCACCCAAGGCACTAGTGGGGGCTCGGGGGGTGGTTATAATATAGCTTAACAATAACCCAGGATTCACTCCTCCAATCCCCAAGTTCTTTACCTTTATATGGATAGCAGGTTGACTGCGATAGTGGGGTGAATGGTGACCCCCTAAAAGTTATGATAACTTCCTAGACAGGCACAGTGTTTAATGCCTGTAATCCCAGCGCTTCAGGAGGCTGTGGTGGGAGGATCACTTGAGCCCAAGAGTTCAAGACCAGTCTGGGCAACATAGTGAGACCTCGTCTCTACTAAAAATACAAACATTACCTGGGTGTGGTGGTGCACGCCTATAGTCCAGCTACTCAGGAGGATGAGGTGAGAGGATCACTTAAGCCCTGGAAGGTTGAGGCTGCAGTGAGCCATGATTGTGCCACTGCATTCCAGCCTGGGCAACAGAGCAAGACCCTGTCTTGAGGAGGAAAAAAAAAGATATGCTCACTTCCTAATCCCTGGAACCTGTGAATGTTACCTTATGTGCAAAAACAGTCTTAGCAGAGGTAGTTACCAATTTTGAGATGAAGAGATCATCCTGGATTATCAACGTAGGTCCTGATCCAATGACACAGGTCCTTATAAGAGACACACAGAGGAGAAGGTGTGGCAAAGATGAGGCAGACTGGAGTGATGTGGCCACAAGTCAAGGAAGCTGGCAACCACCAGGAGCCAAAAGAAACATGGAATGGAGCCGCCCCTCGAGCCTTAGTGGGGAATGAGGTCCTGCTGACACTCTGCTTTTAGACATCCGGCCTCCAGAACCATGAAAGGAGACGTTTCTGTTGTTTTGAGCCACCCAGTTTGTGGTAATCTGTTACGGCAGCAGCCCTCGCAAACTCATACACCTGCCAACTCCACTGGCATCAGATTCTCCACCTGGGCAGCACTTCCGCACTGTATAGCAGCCTGGAGTGCCAGGCATCTCTTTGAGTCTCCCATTTGTTTCCCCAAGGAAAACAAGCATTTGGAATCATCCTTGTTCTTCTCCTCTCCAGTACTTAAATTCAGGCCTTTGTGAGGGGATTCAGGCATGACTGGACAACAGGGGCCAAGGGGCTCCCCCAGAAAGACCCCTTGAGGGCATCGGAGAAAGTAAGCCTAGTAGAACAAGGCGTGGCGCTGCAGCTAGGGTAGCTGGGCCCTCCTAGCCTCAGCTCTGGGTCTCTTGGCATTTGTTAAAACAATGAGAATGGGCCGGGCATCATGGCTCATGCCTGTAATCCCAGCACTTTGGGAGGCCAAGGCAGGTGGATCACCTGAGGTCAGGAGTTCAAGACCAGCCTGGCCAACATGGTGAAACCCCGTCTCTATTAAAAAATACAAAAATTAGCTGAGCACAGTGGCAGGCGCCTGTAATACCAGCTACTTGGGAGGCTGAGGCAGGAGAATCGTTTGAACCAGGGAGGTGGAGGTTGCAGTGAGCCGAGATTGCACCATTGCGCTCCAGCCTGGGAGACAGAGCAAGACTCCACCTCAAAACAAACAAACAAAGAAAAAAAAAACAATGAGAATGAAAATGGTTCTTCTCCCTACCCACCCTATCCCCACAGATAGTAGTGCTTGCTAGGGAAGACCTAGAGAGCTGAGCACCACTGTGTGGAGGACTTCAGAGAGCCAAGAAGACAATACACAAAAATGCAAAATCAATAAAGTCATTATATATGAGTTCATTTGAACATGCGGGTCAAAGGCGTCCTAGTGTGCTGGGAGTCAGAGGACCTTTTTGTTTGTTTGTTTTTGTTTTTGCTTTTTGTTTGTTTGTTTGTTTTGAGACGGAGTCTCCCTGTGTCACCCAGGCTGGAGTGCAGTGGCGTGATCTCTGCTCACTGCAACCTCCGCTTCCCGGGTTCACGCCATTCTCCTGCCTCAGCCTCCCAAGTAGCTGGGACTACAGGTGCCTGCCACCATGCCTGGCTAATTTTTTGTATTTTTAGTAGAGATGGGGTTTTATCGTGTTAGCCAGGATGGTCTCAATCTCCTGACCTCGTGATCCGCCCTCCTTGCCCTCCCAAAGAGCTGGGATTACAGGCATAAGCCACCGCCCCCGACCAGGACCTTGGTTTTAACTCTTGACTTGGCTACTAACTGACTTTAAGTACGACCATTGGTAAATTGCTTATGTTCAATTTCGTCATCTTTAAAATGAAGGGGATGGAAGAAATTGCTATGGTTCTTTCTTGCTCTCAAAACTCCAAAGCCCTAAAAATGAATTTGGAAAAGTCTTCCTGTTTTGCTTTAGGTGTGGGCACCAGTTTCACCCAGAGACACAACTGGGGCCTTTCAGAAGTCTTTTAGCTGTGCAGAGGAGGGCTCGGAGTAAACCTGTGCCAGGCCTTACAAGCACCAAGCCTTGAGCTGGCTGGCCTCCACCACAGCCTGGCCTGAGCTGGAGGAAGACTGGCCAGGCTGAGGAGCCTGTTGTCTCCCCGAGAGCCCACACAGGTGCTGTGGGGGAAGCCAGAGTTTCTCCAGAGCAAGAGGAAGAACAGGGACAGGATCCCACCGGATAGGGTAGGTTCAAATGTTAGAAGGTTGGTAATTACCTTCTAGACCCTGGGCACATCATTTAAGCATCTCAAAGCCTCAGCATCCTTTCCTAGAAGACATAATATGACTTTATGAAGATTAAAAGAAATAAATCTGTGCACAGCATCTATATATAGTAGGCATTCAACAAGTGGTAGTAATTACCATGACAACAAGCTTTAGGTCTCTCCCACACTGACATCGGTGTGGCTGCTCAGAAATGAATTTCCCATTATTCATCAAAACATATCTGTAAAGGATGACAAGCCAGGAACCTGAATCCTGGGAATGTGCTTCAGAGATGGAGGTCGTGGTGGGCAGCCCAGCAGGGTGGGAAAAGCGTACATTTAGCTCACGCATTGGGAATGAACTATTGAAGGTGGAGGGTCTAGCGGGGAGGCTCAGAGGAGGCCCAAAGCCTGCTGCGGCACATTGTGAGATGCAAATTCTCTGTGACCTGTGGCGTGGGTGCTGGATTGTGCAATAGCAGCCACAAGGCCCAGCGGCACTGCTTACTGGGTTTGGGCTGATGCATGTGGTTGGCTGCTGCTCTACAGTCCACCCTGGTGCATCCCTTGTCTGCCTCTGGGCAAGCAGGAGAAACGCTGACTTTTCAGGGAGTGTACAGGAAGTGTGGCCATAGTGGAAGGAATGAGCGGGGCTGCAGGTGGAAGTGTGAGTGGGAACAGAAGGGGTGTGTGTGTGTGTGTGTGTGTGTGTGTGTGTGTGGTCTATTCCTAGAGCCCTCTTTCTGTCAGAGAAGGTAGGAGGACTTGGGGTGGCTTTTTGGTGAGCTTGAACAAAGGCATTCCCTCGGGACCTGGAGCCTATTTCAAATCAACTTCTCTAGCAGGAGCCTTTGGGGCAGGCCCCAGGCAGGCATGTGCTGCCATTAGATTGAGGTCTCCTGTGTGTTCTGCACCCTAGGGCTGCCAGGAGGTGGGGGAAGAGCAGCACTTGTGGAGGAATCCCCAGCACAGGAAGCTAGTTTTCTCTACCTTGTATTAGAGGAGCTTTTGAACGCCCACATACCTTAGAACTTATCAAGATTCTATCTTGCATGTTTTTATGTCATGTCATTTGGGTATATCTTGTTTCCCCAAATAGAATGAGTTCCTTTTAGGGCAGGAACTGCAACTTACATTTCCTGTACTCCCCATCTAGTCCTCAAATATCTTTATCTTGCTTTATCCTCCAGGAATGAACTACTTATTATTTCCCATGCACACCGTGCTGTTTCTTGCACCAGTAGCTTTGCTCTTGTCACTCTTTCTGATTGGAATGCTCTTCCCAATTTTCTGCCCTTGGTTAACTCTTACTCACCCCTCAAGATTCAACTCAGAAATTATTTTTAGCAGGAAGCCCTCCCTGAGCCCCAGGCTGATGCTCCTCCTCTGTGGGTGTAAGCTCTCATCCCTGCTCTGCAATAATCTGTTTAGGTGTTTGTCTCCCCTCTTAGACTGCAAGTTCTTCAAGGGTCAGCAAGCTGGTAGATACGTACCCCTTTAGATCCGCAGTGCCTGGCAGGCAGTAAGGGCTCAGTGTGTGCTTACTGAATCTAACTAAAAACCTAGTGCATGGGCCAGGCGTGGTGGCCTGTAATCCCAGCACTTTGGGAGGCTGAGGTGGGTGGATTACCTGAGGTCAGGAGTTCAAGACCAGCCTGACCAACATGGTGAAACCTCATCTCTACTAAAAACACAAAATTAGCCGAGTGTGGTGGTGCATGCCTGTAATCCCAGCTACTTGGGAGGCTGAGGCAGGAGAATTGCCTGAACCCGGGAGGAGGTTGCAGTGAGCTGAGATAGTGCCATTGTACTCTAGCCTGGGCAACAAGAGCAAAACTCCGTCTAAAAACAAACAAACAAACAAAAAAAAACAAAAAGAAGCTAGTGCATGGCATGCCGTGAATCATTAATGATTAATTATAAAAGATTCAGCCTGGGAAAGAGTAGTGATTGCTACCTCGAGGCCAGGAGGTTGGCCCTGACATGGTACAAACAGGTTCAAAACAAAGGGCTGGAGACATCTATGATGCTGACTCAAATTTTTGGCTGGAGATAATGTCTGTTCCAATGTCCAGAATTTCTCAGTGCCCCCACCTGACTGCTCTAGCTTGGAGGCTTCTAATACTATTCATTAAGGATAGGCTCTAATGGCATCTCAGAGGGGTCTCTTACAGAGGTAAGGGCCCTGCACCTCTCTTAGGGACTCATTGGGATTTGGAATTGCACTGGCTGGAGGCCCTTCCCATGGAATAGGATTTGATCCATTCAAATAAATGGCTCTACAGGGTGAGCCTCATGGGCTTAGCCAGCTGTTTCCACAATTCCCAGGAGATGGGTATTCAGGAAGCTCCAAAGGAAAAAAACGGGAGGCTGACTGCCCAGAAGACCAAAGAACCAGGACAGTGTTCATTCGGGTCTGGCTCTGGTGATGAGCTTCAGGAGATTCCTAGGGCAATCCTGTTGATAGTGGCAACTCAGTGTTCATCCTGTGTCCGAAGCATTACTGAAACTTTGCTGCTACAAGAACCATCCTTCTGTCTTACTTCTGAAGGCTTGGGTTGAACTACTCCCCAGGTAAGAGAAAAATTGCAAGCTGTTGGCTTTCCAAAAGTCCAATAGTGCCTAAATCCTCAAGATACCTCTTGGTGAGTTGGTTTATCCCTTTACCATATGGCAGAGGGCAGTTAAAGATTGTTTTATTTCACCCAGAGCTCTGAGATTTTTAGATTCTAATGAGTTGAATAGGGTTGGTCAGGCTGGCTCCACAGACTTAAATATTATTACTGGAGAAAAGCGGAGCTGCCTTCAGATTTCTCTGGAACCAAAATGCTTTCTCTTGCGGCCCTGATAAGATTACCGGGCTGCTGAGCCGCCAGTGTTCAGATTTCCCACGGAACCGCGCGCGCCAAGCTCTGGCTCGCAGTGCTGTGAGGAGCCACGCTGCGGATCAGGCTCTGAAACCCGACTCCTTTCCAGGAATGCACATTCACCCCCTCCTGTGATAGGGCCTGGGCTGGGCCCTTAGAGTCTCACTCCCCAAATTCCCCCTGTCGTCGCAGTCCAACAAATGGAAGATGTCTGCTGAGTGGGGGCCAGTGTGAGGGTGAGGGTCCCACAGAACACGCGGGAGCCAGAGAGGAATGTGGGGTATTTGGGCATGCCACAAGTCCACCGAGCCAAACTCTAGCTTCAGAGGCTGTGCAATTCCTAATTACGGCCCATCAGCTCCAACCAGCAGCCAACATATGGCTCAGTGAGAGGGTGGGTGGGTCAAAAAACAGCGAGGCTGTGGGTGTTTCTCCTAGTGTTTCACGGTGAAATATCAAAATAATCTTTTTAAGATTTGGATTCGTTACATGTTTCTCTTCTATCTCCTAGTCCCATAATTTTAAAAAATGTGGTAGAAAATGTTTACTGAAGTAAAAAGATATGGATGAAAAAGTAGGTCACAAAACAAACACATTATATACACCAATATGTACACACACACACACACACACACACACACACTCTCATCATAGTAATACTGACAGTCTGTGAGAATGTAAAGACATGAGAGCTCCATAATTTTTAAGTAACATTTAAAATACAAGATCTGGTATGTAATAAGGGCCCAATAAATACTGAGTAGGTCCATGAATGACAAATAATATCTGGGAATGATTTGCAGTTACCCCAGAGAAAAGGATTCATTTATTGTCTCCACCTAAGTTAGAAATTTATGACTTTTTTTCAGTGCCATGATGTGCCTACAATTTAGTTGAACAAACAAAGGATTTAGTCAGCGAAAATTATACTTTTTTTCAAGTGCCCTCAGGCTATTGGCAGTGCACACAATTTATATTTAAGTGACTAACAGTATTAACTTAAATGTGACATCATACGCCTCCAGCTCCTTCTTTACACACCTCTGTCCTCTGGGTTCCTATCCACAATAGCATTACCTATTATCTCTTCTAGAGGAGAATCACATTTGTATCATAACAGGTTTGTATTTCTTAGGGAGTGGTGGACATTCTGCTTAGAACAATCAAAACCAACATATCTAAACACTGCTTGTTAAAAAAAAAAACCCTGATCTTCCTTCCCTCTTCAATATTTGCTCATGCAACAAGCCTTTCTTGGTGCCCATTAGGCTCTAAATATATAAGACATGGCCCCTGCCCTCAAGGAGCCTTCCGGGGTGACAGTTAGGGAGGCTGACAGTTCCAGTTCTGCCTAGTGTTCTAATAGTGGCTTGAACAAAGTGCTCTGAGAGTGCTGTAGAGTCTGGGGGCTTCACAGAAGCCTTCCAGAGGTGGAGACGTTTGAGCTACAGACCGAGAGGGGAAGGAGTTCCCTATTTATGCTAATCATTTATCAAGCAAACTTTTATTGAGAAATTATATGACTATATGCCAGGCACCGTGCTCATTCTGGAGACTCAAAGACCAATGAGAAAATCTGCCTGCAAAAGGCTTTGTATGGAGCTGTAAAAGTTGGTACTGCCATTTTCCCTGGCACCATAGAGAACTTCACTCTTCTGGGCAGCTTGGTGATTTCTGACTTCCCTTCCAGCGCATGGTCTTTACTCTTTTCCATCTTCTCCATTCTTATTGTATCCTGAAGTCAGAATATACCTGTACTGGAAAAGATGCTTTCTCACCTGGTTCCCTTGCTCACTCCATGAAGTGGCATTTTTGCTGTATCATCCCGGCTACATCACTGCTGCCAGCTGCCTCAACACCTCTCAGAGTTTCCTACTGTCCATGGAGCAGAATCCAGGGCCATACAACTCTGGCCTTCAAGAGTTGCAGATGGCCTCTGCATGAATTAGAAAAAGCCACCCGTTTGAGGCTCAACTAGGCAAGGAGATTTTGTATGAACAAAAAGTAACCTTTTCCTCCAAGTGACTTGGATTTCAGCTCCCACTCACCCACTTAGCTGGGCATCTACTATACTCAGTGACCTTGGATTTATCTTATTACTTTCATTTTTTTCTGTTACTGCTTTCCTACCTTCCTTCCCAGCCAGCTGGACAAAGCTGGCATGTTCTCCCTGTGCCCATCCCTTATACCTTCTCCACCTTACCCACATCTTTCTTCCAAGGCTTCTTCTGAACCTAATCTAGTCTGAACTCCTGCAGAACTCATGATCTGCAGCAGTATTCAACTGGCATTTATGCATTTGAAGATTATATATGTGACAGGATATAGTCCCTTTATTGGGTTGTGAGCTTTTAAAAGGCAGGGATCAGATGGCATCTATACTTTGTTTATTCCACAGGGCTTTATGAGGGATGAAGATTGATGTTGTTGATAATGGTAACAGTGACTTTAAAAAAAGATCTCTCAAAGACTTCCAATAATACGTGAGCTTTAGAGAATGAATATTGAGTAACCCTCTTTGGTCTGGTTTGGATTCCTAGTACTGAGAAGTAATATAACTTAATTTCTTTCCAGATACAGTAGCCCTTTCATGTCCCAAAACTGAGTTTCACCTCTCAAAAGAGGGTTTTACTCTGAGATTTTCAGAAACCCCCAAATCCAACTCCTGCATATCATGCTTCACCATGAAAAGTTTACTTCCTGGCTAAGAATGGTCACTTCCCTGGCCCCTAGATTTCCTCTTTACTTTCTTCACTAGCAGTTGCATGTTGTTTTTTTGTTTGTTTGTTTCATTTTTGTTGTTTTTTGTTTTCCAGGCATTTGGACAAAGAAACTTCAAAAGCAGCCACTGTCCAACCAGCAAATTGATGGACTAGGCTTAGTGACCTACTGGATGTGAGACGCAGGGTGATTTGTCAGGCTTCTGGCTGGCTGAGCTATTCCCTCCCTGCGTCCCTCCCAAACCCTAGCACGGGAGTGATTTTGGTATCTTGGTGGAATCCTGCATAAGTTACTACACATCTCAATAAGGGAGGGCCTTCTCTTTTACTGCAATCCCCTCCACCCCCCAAGCCACACAGGAAGTTGCTCAGCTGATAGTTTCAGGGCCTCTGCCATACACTATTCCTTCCTCATCTGAGGGGGGAGAAACTGCCTCTGTGGAAGGAGACCCTCCTTGTTTTCCTAGAACAAAGTTGACACTTGCATTTGGCCCTCCAGCAGCAACCTGCTTGAAGTCTAAGAGTTGCTTTTCTCTTATCTCCAATCCTTTTCTTCAAGAGGTTAGACAGGCCATACATCATAGTGAATCTGCAGCCTGGGGCCTAAGGCAGTTTGTACACTTCCAGAAGAGGGAAGCCACTTCTAAAACAATTTCTTAAGGAGACTTCACCCAACCCAAGAAGCTGGGTGTTGCCTGGGCCATTTCCCTCCTCTGCCCTGAAGCAGTGGCCAGCTCAGAGAGAACCCTGTTGTTTTGTGTTTGTGTGATCTTTGGGTGGATGTGTGCACACCACCTGCTGAGCTTCGCTGTGTGCGTGCCTCACCGCCAGCCCTAATCTGCCAGAGCTTCCTGGCCTTGCAAATGTTTCTGTGGAGGGTCCATATTAGACTCCAGTGGTTCTTGCAGTCTATAAAGTCTCCTTGAAGGTGATTCCCTGTTCCTTGAAGACAACTGGCTGGGCTGGATGCCTGAATATAGCTCCCTGACTTCTCTAAAGGACAAACTTATTGCCCCTTTAGAGAAGTCATGAAGCTTTGCCGGCAAGCACAGAGTCTAGCTTAGAAAACACAACCAGGGCCAGGAGTGGTGTGGCTCATGCCTGCAAATCCAGCACTTTGGGAGGCCAAGGCTTAGAGGATCACTTGAGCCCAGGAGTTCAAGACCAGCATGGGTAATATAGTGAGAACTTGTCTCTACAAAAAATTTTAAAACTAGCCAGGCATGGTGGTACACACTGGTAGTCCCAGCCACTTGGGAGGCTGAGGTGGGAGGATCCTTTGAGCCTGGGAGGCAGAGGTTGCAGTGAGCTGAGATTGTGCCACTGCACTCCAGCCTGGGTAACAGAATGAGACCCTGTCTCAAAAGAAAAAAATAAAAAGACCACCAGGGCCCAGGCACAGAGCCTGGAGCGGGGAAGAGATAGCGGAGTTAACTGTGAATCCTGATTGCACTGACCACAGTCTAGTGAGCAACACATGTTTCCTTTTGAATATGAGTGGGAATCACCTTTAAAACTATATAACATTTGCATCTTCTCAAAAGCCCCAGGTCCTACTAAGATTGACTTAGGGCTACATATCAGGTCTCATTTTCAAGGAGGAAACACAGGGAAGCCTCAAGATGTGCAGAAGAGAGGGATGTGGGGAATACACCCAACCACTCCTCTGCTGAGGTTGGAACAGAACAAGGAAAGTCCCCGGACCTCCTCTCAGCAGGCAGAGAAGTGCGGGGCCTCCCTCTGGCAAAGCCTGCAGATGTGGCCAGCATACCTCCATACACACAGCTTCAGAGGCAAGGGTGTCCAAGGGAGTCTTAAGTTTTATCAGAAATAATGTCATTCGACTGACCAGTAAGGGGAGCTTTCAGAAAGTTATGGAAGAAGATGCGACAGACACAGGAAGGACTTCAGAAGCAAGAAGACAACTGGACTCTCTAAAATGCCACTCCGAAAGCGAAAAGGGAAGCCCACAGACCCACGAAGACGTGCTGGCCTCGTGTTGCCAGTTCTGTTTCTCTTTCAATACCCATCTCTTCAGATTGAAGGGCTTCTGCCTTCTTGCAGTTTTTGCTGACACGTTTACCCATTTACAAACCTTGGCTGCACCTAACTTTTTTTTTTTTTTTTTTTTTTTTTTTTTTTTAGCATTTAAGTTCCTAGCCAAAATACCCGGGCCTCTAGGAAAGCCCTTTTCTCTCCCTCTGAGATCTTTCCTTACCAACCCCAGCCTCCCAACCCGGGTGTCCTAGGTGGGACCAGGGACGATCCTTCGGAGTTGGTCAAGGAGGCGTCGGAACAGCAGGCATTTGCCCTTCTAGTTGGCAGCAGCGATGAGCCGCGTGCTCCATGCTCAGGGCAGGGGCAGCCGCCCGGGGAAGGGGCGCCCGATACACCGCTCACCGCTCAGCCCCGCGTCTCCCTCCGGGGTCCTTTACCTCCATGTCCTTCAGGTGCCGACTCTGCGGCAGACGCACCCGCTCGCCCGGGCCGGAGCTCACGATCCCCGCTGTCCCCTCCGCTCCCGGCCGTGGCCAGTTTCGGGCTGCGGCGGGCACAGGGCGAGTGGGCGGTGGCGCGCGCCCGGCTGCGCTCGGCTGCGGGACTGCCCCGGCCGCGGGGGCCCTGCGCGAGAGAACGAGGAAGGAGGAGGAGGGAGGGAGGGAGGAAGGGGAGGGGAGGGGAGGGTGGGGAGCGGGGAGGGAGGCCGACGATCAGGGTTTAAATTTAGACGCAAATCTAAACAGATACTGTCCCTCCCAGGGCAGGACTCAAGAGCGGGAGCCACGACTCCATGTGCCCAAACATGGGGATGGGCAGCCACCGGGCCCCTCTGTCTCGCGAAGTTTCTCAGGACCCTGGGCTTTGCCACGGTCTCAGTCCTTCTCAACGTCTCCCTCCCTTAATGCGCCTTCTTTCTTTTTCCTGTCCCTTCAAGAATTAGAGTGGTCCTTTAATTCTTTTTGTTTCCTCTCTTTTCGATTTCCTTCTTTTGTGTCCATCCTTCCTGCTTTCCTTCTTCCTCTCCCTCTTTTTAAAATTGCATTACTGTCATACCTGGTTTCCCTGCAGTTCTTGGGTGGAGTTCGAGGACCCTCCCTGGTGGAAGGCGTTTGTGTTCTACCAAAAGAGGAGCCCTTCTGACCGAGGCTTCAGAGCTCAGCGTGGCGCCGACGGGACCACCTTTCCCTTCTCACCTCTTTTCCTCTCCACCTTCCAGGAAACCACTATCTATCCATCTATCCATCTATCTTCTGTATACGAGTAGAAGGAGGAGGAGGAGGAGGAAAATCAGGAATCCACGCAAAGTTTTCCAAGCTCCCTGAAGTGGTAAATCTTTTCTTCAAACCTTGCTTTGACTGATGCATTCGGTTTTGTGGGAATTTTGGCTCCCACAAGCTGCTTGCTAAAGGGCCTCGTCTCCATTCCTGTTAAATATAGCAAAGGGCAAGATGCTCAACATCTGATTCCCATAGGGCCCAGCATAGCAACCTTCCTTTAGGGCCATCCCGGCTGGGCAGCAGAGACCGCATGGGAGGGATTCGGGGACTGGAATCTGCACCAGGGTCACTCCCTGCTACCCGGATCCCGGCCCCCTTCAGACCCTTCGGCAGAGAGAAACAGGAAAATGCCTTGAGAGACCTGTGAGTGCCAGGGTATTGGCTGGGTATATGACGCCTCTGGGTTATCCCACAGCATTCTCACCCGCCCAACCCCAGCTCAACCAGGGGAGGGGAGCCCCATCAGAGGTGGGCAATGGGACAGGTGATGGTGAGCACTGTGAAGAGACATGTGGAGAAACAGTAGAGAAAAAAGGCTGAGAGTCTGCTCCTGCTACAAAGACTACCCTGATTCTGGTTATCCCGGCACCATCTTTGCACTTTCAGGCACTTAGATTGCTGCTTTGGGTACCAGTCTTAGAAATATGGCCTCCTTCCTGTCCTAGAACTTTCTAAGGCCCAACTTTCTAAAACACTGGCAGCCCTAATGCCAGAGTGGCTTCTAGTTCTTTAGCTTAGCTAAGCATAGAGGAAGACGCCTGGTTTTAGGAACAGACAGATTGAGGGCTGAATTCCAGCTCTGCTACTTTCTAGTTGTATTTTTTAGACAAGTCACTTAACTGCTCTGATTCTCATTTTCCTCACCTATACAATGTAGTAGGCACTCTGCAAAAAGTGGCTGTTTTTATCATGCTTAGCCCCATGTACAAGCTTCAGATGAATAAGAGCCTGATATTTCTTTTATTTAGAGACAGGCACTCGGGGACCCAGTGAAAAGAGCCCTCACTCCCAGGAATTAATAGTGAGGCCCCTCCCAGTCCAGCCACATGGCTGCTCAGGTGAAGACTCGAGAGCAGAGTCGGCAGTAAGGAAGGGTATTTACTGGTAACCTGCAAGGCACACTTTTGCTCGTGCTTCTTTCCTTTCTTTTTAAAGGTGCAGGACGTAGTGATGACTGCATAGTCTACTATCAGGTCTTCTAACTCTGCTCCACAGGGCCTTTTCCTTTCTCCCTCTACCTAGTCCTCCTTTGTGCTCAGAATGGGGCTGCCCCAGCACAGGTTTCTGGCTTCACAAACAGGAGGGCGGAAGTGCTTACCCAGAGGAAACCGTTAGGCCTAGATAACATCAGTCACCCAAGGTGACTTGCAGCTGCTCCCCACGCCCTGCTTAGGCCTCTCTTGGCTGAGAACAGATGACCACAAAGCAAACAAGCTTGGCCTCCACCATGCTCCTGGGTCCCCAGTGCAGAGTTTAATGCTGCTCCAGAGCTATTTGGGCCCCAGACTGGGACTTCTCCTGAGGGAGGGGGTGGAAAACGGGGAGGGAGGGACCAAGAGGTAGCCCCGAGCTGTGTTTAGGCAGCCATGAGTAGGTGTGGTGTGTGTACTCCCCTTATCTTCTTCTTCTGTCCCTACAGAAGATCTCCAGGAGCCAGAATAGCAGTAACTCTGCTGATAAACACCCAGGTTTGCTGGGTTATCTGGGATTGTAACTGGCTGCTCTGGGGGCTGGGAGGAAACAACAGCCCAAGGGGAAGGGAAAGTGACTTTCCGAGGAGTTGGTTCCCCTCTCTCTCTGGAGGTCTGGCTGGCTAACACGGAACCACTTCCTTCAGTCTACCCTGGGCCTTCCCCTTCATATATCCTGATAGCCAGAACCAGCCACGCAATAAGTAGAGGTCATCAGGTAACTAACAATAAAAACACCAGGCTGGGCTCATGCCTGTAATCCCAGAACTTTGGGAGGTGAGGCAGGTGGATCACAAGGTCAGGAGTTAGGGACCAGCCTGGCCAACATAGTGAAACCCCATCTCTACTAAAAAAATACAAAAATTAGCTGGGCATGGTGGCGTGTGCCTGTAATCTCAGCTACGCGGGAGGCTGAGGCAGAAGAATTGCTTGAACCTGGGGGGCAGAGGTTGCAGTGAGCCAAATTCTTGCCACTGCACTCCAGCCTGGGTGACAGAGCCAAGACTCCGACAAAAAAAAAAAAAAAGGCCAGGTGCAGTAGCTCACGCCTATAATCCCAGCACTTTGGGAGGCCGAGGCAGGCGGATCACGAGGTCAGGAGTTTGAGACCAGCCTGGCCAACATGGCAAAACCCCGTCTCTACTAAAAATACAAAAATTAGCTGGGCGTGGTGGCATGTGCCTGTAATCCCAGCTACTTAGGAGGCTCAGGCAAGTGAATTGCTTGAACCCACAAGGCAGAGGTTGCAGTGAGCCGAGATCGTGCAGCTGCACTCCAGCCTGGGCAACAGAGTGAGACTCCATCTAAAAAAAAAAAAAAAAACAAAAAATAAAAAAACAAGAACACCAGAGATACAGCTCAGCCAAGGGAGGGGCGTATGGGGAGGTATGGGGAGGAGCCAGGCATATAGAAGGCCCTCAATAAATATTTAGTGAATGAGGCCAGGTGGTAGCTCACACCTGTAATCCCAGTGCTTTGGGAGGTGGAGGATGGTTTGAGCCCAGGAGTTCAAGGCTGCAGTGAGCACTCTATCCTTGGCAACAGAACAAGACCTTGTCTCTAAAAAAATAAAGTAAAATAAAAATAATTTGGCGAATATGTGCGTGAATGAATGAACAAGTGAAGCAAATTAGGATCTTTCCCTTTAAGTCAGAGACAGAGTCTTTCAGAGATGGGTCTCCCATGGAAATAAGGACCCAGTGGGAGAAAAGATCATGAAAGGCCACAATAAGTAGTAACTTAATTAGCTTTCAAGCAGAATTGCAAAGAGGTCTAATCAATCAGCTGTTTATAGTGGACACACTGTACTGCTGATCATCTATTTTAAAAATGAAGAGCAAGAAGCAAATATTCTTTTACGACTACAAATACTACCTACTATGGTATAGGTAAATGCATATATAGGTAAAAATTACCTCATATGGTATTACATGAAATATCATCTATATAATATAGTTATATTAATATAATATATAAATATATACAATATAAATATATAAAATAATATAAACATAATATATATAACATTTTACATAATACCATTCATTCCTAAATTCTGGGAATCTGGCAAAACAAAATATAATGAAACACACACACACACACACACAAATCCCAATTCATTTTGCCGTAACTGTCATTGAGGAATAAATTTGAATTACATTGAAATGAAAGCACAAAGTCTGAAGTGTTTTTATGTCTTTAAGAACCTGCAATGGAAAGTTTCCCAAAGGCAGATGAGGAAATTGAGGAGAAAGACAGCACAGCAGCAGTGGGACTGCAGCGGGAGGATATTGGAGTGGTGGAGAAGGCAGTCAGCATAGGCTGGGGACTTCATGAGGAGAGCTTTTGACTAGGCCTGTGGGGTAGCAGCCCTGCAGAGATCAGGAAATTGGCTACACAGAGAAATTGAGCAAATAGATATTTAGATACCTTGAGGACAACGGGAGCCAGATTCCTCACTGATGGGGAAGGGATGTACAAATATGCAAAGGAAAAGGGCTAGAATGAACCCTGGGATGTTGCATTGGAATAGGAGGTATTGGTGTGAGGTCATGGTTTTCAGTATACATAGATAGATATGGAAGTAAATGTAGATATAAATGTGTGTACATGCATACATATATTTCCTGGTTTGATGCACTGAGAAAGCCTGGGAGCGATGACACTCCAGTAACAATAGGTGCACATAAAGCCCAGATCTTGGTTTCTAACTACTGTGCTTCATTAATAGAACCAGGACTTCTTGGAGTAAATGGCTAATTACAGGGCCAGGGCAGGTAGGACAAGATAAGCCTGGAACATCTTATTGTAGCAGAAAATAAGGAAGTACTCAAAGAGTGATGAGGGAGATGTTAAAATGATACAAAAATCAGTTTACAGGTGCTCCTGCCAGTAATATTGAGATTGTGTAAAAATCAAAATAAATAATGAAAGCAATGGATTAGAACTCTTCAAATAAAATGGGAGCTCATGAATCTACAATGATATAAATAACTAAGTGAATAAGTAGAAGAGAAAGTTCTTTCTTACAGTATAATGCTGTCTTAGTCCATTTTATGCTGCTGTAACAGAATACCACTGACTGGGTAATTTATAATGAAATTTTTATTTGGCAAATAGTCCTGGAGGCTGTGAAGTCCAAGAGCATAGCATTAACATCTGGTGGGGGCCTTCTTGCTACATCATGTTGAAAAGTGTTGCATGGGCTGGGTATGGTGGCGCCTGTAATCTCAGAATTTTGGGAGGCTGAGGTTGGAGGATCACTTGAGCCTAGAAGTTCATGACCAGCCTGGTAAATATCTTGAGACTCTGTCTCTACATTAAAGAAAGAAAGAAAGAAAGAAAGGCATGCATTGGTGTGAGGGAGCATGAGAGAGAGAGAGAGAGAGAGAGAGAGGGAGAGGGAGGAGGGGAGGAAAGGAGCTGAACTCATCCTTTTATCAGGAACCCACTCTTTTGATAACTAACTCACTCCTGAGACAACAGCATTAATTCATTCATGAGAGGAGAGCCCTCATAATCATCTCTTAAAGGTCCTATCTCAAAATATTGTTGCATTGGGAATTAAGTTCCCAACAAATAAACTTTGGAGGACACATTCAAGACATAGAAAATGGGATGGGTGCGGTGGCTTACACCTGTAATCCCAGCATTTTGGGAGGTTGAGGCAGGTGGGTTGCAGACCAGCCTGACCAACATGGTGAAACCCTGTCTCTACTAAAAATACAAAAGCTAGCCAGGTGTGGTGGTGTGTGCCTATTATCCCACCTACTCGGGAGTCTGAGGCAGAAAAATAGCTTGAACCTGGGAGGTGGGGGTTTCAGTGAGCCAAGATCACCCCACTGTACTTCATTCAGCCTGGGAGACAGACTAAGACTCCATCTCAAAAAAAAAAAAAAAAAAAAGAAAAAGAAAACATAGAAAATGCCAACTAACGTGTAAAAAAAGTTAGAAAATTTCCATCTAACAACCATCATAGTTAAATTAATTTTAGGAAAGAAACAAAGTTGTGTGCTAAATCTATTGGGTAGAAGTGGGGTAAGGAATGAGGTTTTACATAATTTAAACTAGCTCCCTCAAGTCACTGATTAATTACAATAAGGAGAAAAGCAACCTTACAGAGAAGAAGCTTTAATAGACATCATATTAATCAAGTGACCAAAGTCGACATCACCAGTAATGAAACAAATTGACGTCACATGATGAGATGCAATAAGAATGCACCATCACTTCTGTAATATTCTGGCCAAAAGGACATAACTTGAATCTAATCATGAGGAAACACCGGAGAAACCAAATAGGAAGACATTCCTCAAAATGACTGGTCTGTAGTTTTTATAAGTGTCAATGTCAGGAAAGTCAAGGAAAGGCTGAGGAAGGGTTCTGGTTAAAGGAGGCTAGAGAGACATGATAACTGGGTTAAATGAGTGGTTTGGGTTGGCTTGTTTGAGCCAAGCATATTAAAGGAATTATTAGGATAATTGGCAAAACTGAAAGGAATTCTGGGTGGGAGGCTATATGGGAGTTCTTTGTGTTAACTTTATAACTTTTCTCAAAGTTTAAAATTATTTCAGGCTGGGCACAGTGGCTCATGCCTGTAATCTCAGCACTTTGGGAGGCCAAGGTGGGAGGATTGCCTGAGCTCAGGAGTTTGAGACCAGCCTGGGCAACATGGCAAGACCCTGTCTCTATAAAAAATAAAAAAATTGGCTGGGCACGGTGGTATACTATAAATTGTAGTCCCAGCAACTTGGGAGGCTGAGGTGGGAGGATTGCTTGAGCCTGGGAGGTCAAGGCTGCAGTGAACTGTGATCGTGCCACTGCACTCCAGCCTGGGTGACAGAGTGAGACCCTGTCTCAATAAATAAATAAATAAAATTGTTTCAATTTTAAAAATTAAGAAAAAAGGTAGTTAGGGGGAAGAATTGAGCCCTCACACTGCTTTGATTCTGGACTGACTCCTGTGCCAGCTTTTTGTCACCCCCTCCTCCTTACCCCCACCACAGAGATCCACAGACAAGCTGGGGCCTGAGGGCACTGGCCATGGAGAGAGACAGGCCCAGAGAGAGCCTCATCTTCTCGAGTAATAGAGAATGGATACGGGAAGAGGAAGATTATTCAAATATTTCTTGGTAGAAATAACTTTGTGCTGTTTCAATGGTTATAGTAAACACATGTATTTTCGTAATTTGGGGGGAGAGATCTAATTTTTAAAAAAGAAGAAAACAAAAGAGTTACAGACTGGACTGAGGAAAGGGTGGCTGTGAGGATAGAGACTGCACTCAGCTCAGGTACTCTAAGAAAAGGGCTGGGTGGTCTCCAGCTGAGAGAAGGGCCAATGAGGGATGGGGCTAGGAGAAGACACTGGTCTAATAACTGAGGCTAAAAAACAGTGTTGATGGAAAACCCAAGGGGATGACTGAGAGGTCCCAAAAGATCACAACCTTCTCCTTCTAACACATTATCCCAGGTTTTAGGAATGACATTAGGTAAATCTACCAAGGAAGCTCGAACCTTCTTAAACCTAAGAAGTATATCATGCAGGGCGCCTGCACAACAGTTTCAAGTCAGGCTGTAAATTAGAATGACCCAGGGAGCTTTGGAAAAAATCTTTCTTGGCTGGATTCAGTGGCTCATGCCTGTAATTCCAACACTTTGGGAGGCTGAGGCAGGAAGATCACTTGAGGTAGAGACCGGTCTGGGTAGTGTAGTGAGACCCCATCTCTTAAAAAAAAAAAAAAAAATCTGTCCTAGCTACTCAGGAGGATGAGGTGGGAGGATCTCTTGAGCCAGGAATTCAAGGCTGCAGTGAGATACGATCATGCCACTGCACTCCAGTGTGGGCAACAGAGTGAGACCCTGTTTAAAAGAAAAAATCTGGGCCTGGGCCCCATGCTAGAACAATAGGGAGTGGGGCCTGGTGTTAGTGGGTTTTTTAAGGTTCAATAAAAAGATATTTCCTGCATCGTCTAAGCCAGTTTTAGAAATATCATTCCCCTTGCCAGAAATTGTTTTATTTTTTAGGGAGGGATAAGTGAGGAAATTTTGACTAATGAGACAAAAGGGGGAAAGCATTACCCTTTCTGATAAAGAAGCACACAGGAAGAGATGCCCTGTAAATATTGGATGTTATCTTACCTTATAATGATGCCTGGAACTGCAACAGCTATTTTGCTACCATGAGGCAAAGCTGCGAAAAGCCAGAATGTAAACTCCATGAACACAGATATCTTTGTTTCTTTTTTTTCAGTGTGTTTCCTGTGTGCCCAAATCAAGGCCAGGCGCAAATAGGCGCTTAGTGAATGTTCATTGAATAAAAAACCCGATAACTCTGTTGAGGTGCTGAATCAAGCAACCCTGAGATGACTTCCCCCTCTGGACTTCTTGTTAGGTGAAGCAATACATTTCTTTCTTTCTTTCTTTTCTTTCTTTCTTTCTTTCTTTCTTGCTTGCTTGCTTGCTTGCTTGCTTTCTCTCTCTTTCTTTCTTTCCTTTCTTTCTTTCTCCCCTCCCCTCCCCTCCCCTTCCCTTCCCTTCTTTCTTTCTCTTTTTCCTGAGACAGAGTCTTGCTCTGTTGCCCAGGCTGGAGTGCAATGTCTTGATCTTGGCTCAATGCAATCTCTACCTCCTGGGTTCAAGCAATTCTCCTGCCTCAGCCTCCCGAGTGGCTGGGATTACAGGCGCAAGCCACCACGCCTGGCTATTTTTAGTGTATTTTTAGTAGAGACAGGGTTTCACCATGTTGGCCAGGCTGGTCTCAAACTCCTGACCTTGTGATCTGCCTGCCTCAGCCTCCCAAAGTGGTGGGATTACAGGCATGAGCCACTGCTCCCAGCAGAGCAATACATTTCCTTATGGCTTAAGCCATTCAAGTTATGATCTTCCCTCTCCCCGCCCCCTGAGATGGAGTCTCGCTCTGTCACCCAGGCTGGAGTGCAGTGTCGCGATCTTGGCTCACTGCAACCTCCACCTCCCGGGTCCAAGTGATTCTCTTGCCCCAGCCTCCGAGTAGCTGGGATTACAGGCGCCCACTACCATGCCTGGCTAATTTTTGTATTTTTAGTAGAGACGGGGTTTCACTATGTTAGCCAGACTGGTCTCGAATTCCTTACCTCAAGTGATCCTCCTGCCTTGGCCTCTCAAAGTGCTGGGATTACAGGCATGAGCCACTGTGCCTGGCTGAGTTATGATTTTTTGTTATAGCTGAAGGTATTCAACTGATTCAGATAGATACAAACTTATAAGAAGACAAAATCAGACACATATATCAGTACAAAGAAAGAGGTTGACCCTCAGAAAAATGTGGAGCAGAGATGGAGAGAAAGAGACTGGCAGGGAAGGGCAGAGAGAGAAACATATGCACACATACACACACACACACACACACACACACACACACACACAGAGAGAGAAAGAGAGAGAAACAGAAAGATGGGACAATGCGATGCAGAAAAAGGGAGTGAGAAGCCTAACATCATTCGTGGAGGAAAAACAATTGTAAATTGAAAAAAATAAGAGTAACCATTGTCAGAATTTAAAGTGTTTTAATTCCTATCTGAATTTTAAAGAGCAGTTGGTATTGATAATCCTTTTTCTCATTCTTAACAAAGAACTAATTTCTCCGAGAAAATGCGGTGATGTTTACTGAAATGAAGGTTTTTTTTGATATAATTTCTTTAGGATATTGTTGATAAGGTTAAGTGATGTTGCAGTTTTACCTCTAAGGGCATTCACTAATTCAAATCAGTATCTTGAAGTGGGCAGGAGCTTGCCCAAGCTCGAGGTTACCCGCTTGGTCTTAAAACAATTATCTCCAACAATTCTATACAAATAAAGTTAAACAGATTATAAGAAATAATAGTATCCAAATCCCACCTATGACTCATCTCCCTTTGTCTTTTTACATGGATAACAGGCAGAGAAGTATGTCAAAAGTTTTCTGCACAACGTGTTCTTGTTTTTGACTTTGGCAAAGTGCTCATTTGCAAAAACATACTGAAAACCTGTGTCCCCGCCTGATAGTTTCTCTTTCCCTCTTGCAGTGGCCTCAGTATCCATCCATTTGCTCATGACAGAAACCTGGGAGTCACTCTCGATTTATCCTTCATCTTTAGCAATCAGGTGCTGCCGTTCTAGCTCTGAAGCTCCCTGACATCATCCCCCCTCCCTCCATCACTGTCACTGCCCTCTTAACGTCAGGATTATGAAAACAGTGTCCTAGTTAATCTCTGCATCTTCTAGTTGTTCTCCTTACCTCCAGCCTTGACTCATACTCCCCCCATCCCATCTATTTTCCGCTCCACAGGCAATAATCTTTCAAGAACATGTAACTGGCTCCCAGAAGCATTCAGGATAAAGGCTAACTTCTTAGATGGCTCACTCACATCCCTTCCTGACATGGCTGCACTTATCTGTCTGGCCTCTTCTCAACAGAGAACAGCCAGTATTCCAGACTCCAGGCATCCTGAGCTGCTTTCAGGTCCCTGAATTGGCTCTTCCCTCTGCCTGGAATACATTTCCTGATTTGCGCAAAGTGAATTTTATTCATTTTTGAGTAAGAGTTCTTGGTTCAGGCTTTCTCTAGGAAAATGGTCCTGACCACCACCACCCCTTTCCCCACTCTCCCACCACCTGGGAGAGAGATATTTCCTATGTGCCATTCAACACCTGTACTATTACTGCCATTGAAAGAATTATTATATAATTGCCCATTTACTTTCTATTTTTTTGTTTTTTGAGACGGAGTCTTGCTCTGTTACCAAGGCTGGACTGCAATGGTATGATCTCGGCTCACTGCAACCTCTGCCTCCCAGGTTCAAGCGATTCTCCTGCTTCAGCCTCCCCAGTAGCTGGGATTACAGGCACCCACCTCCACGCCTGGCTAACTTTTGTATTTTTAGTAGAGACGGCGTTTCACCATGTTGGTTAGGCTGGTCTCGAACTCCTGACCTCAAGTGGTCCATCCACCTCAGCCTCCCAAATTGCTAGGATTACAGGCGTGAGCCACCATGCCCGGCCCCATCTACTTTCTTTATATTCTTATGAAACTTTAAGCTTAATTAAGGCACATTCCACCCTATCTCAGTCAAAGTTCTATGATCAGTGCCACCTTCAAATCTGGTGAATCAATACATGTTGGATGAATGAGTGCACACTAGCCCCGTGCAAAAAAGTAGATAATTCATTTTGTCATCCACTTCTCACATGCCCACTTAAAAATGCAGTAATAACATAGGGAGTTGTAATATACAGTATACCATAGCGCAGTTAAAGACCTGACCTTTTTTCCTAATTACCACATATCAACTAGTTTACATACTATCATCTCCTTGTATAAAGTCACAACTCCTGGTGCTGAAGTCTCTTCCGTATTTTTATGGTTTGGGAGTATGTTATAATTACACTGCCTGCTTCCTGCTGTGTGATAATCTTTGAGACTTTTAAAGACTTTTCTCATCTTGGTGTACCTAATACCACTCTAGGACCCATGAGGCAAACATAGAGTTCATACCTTGTGAGTGTCATTTATCTGAAAAGGCAGTAATAGATCCTTGAGTCTTCGAATCAGAATACAAGCTAAATACTAAATGTGCTAAAGCAGTGTAAGACTGGATGTTGCTGGGTACTGAGGAAGGCCGGAAGGACTAGGATGGAGCGTCAAGGAAGGCCTCGGGGGCAAGAGGAAGAAGACGTTGACTTAGGTGTGCTCGGTGCAGGGGCTGATGGCAGAGCTTTATGTGGAAGGATCCTGTGAGCAAACAGCCCCAGGAGCCCGCGGAGGGGGTAGAAGAGAACGTGAGCTATTGCCAGAGCCAGCTTCAGTCCTCAGGTTTGCGGGGCCCGCTCCAACAGGGTGCACATCCGTCCTTTGAGTGGGCACAAAGTTTGGAATCCATTTCAGCCTCCTTATGGAGATCCTGCTGCACTCAGAATGTTGTTCTGGGAGAGTTTTGCGCTTGGTGTTTGCATCTGCGAAAATGGGTGATATCTGTATTTTGAAGATAATTGAACTTGAGCAGTGGCTTCTGATTTGTATTTTCTGCTTCTGTTTCCTTCATTGCACGTGGAAGGGCTTTTAGGTGGCAACAAAGAGAAAGAGATGGGATGAGACTAACCAAGGGAAAGAAAGATTTGACAACCAATTACCTATAGATAACCTGTAGGCAAAGGGGCCAAAGTGAGGCCTGGGGATTCGAAGATCCTACCAGATAGGTGATTTGCAGAGAGCAAAGTGACTTTACCGTTCTCCTTTTCTAATTTGATGAGAGTTCTCATCAGTCACCCA
Organism: Homo sapiens; assembly: GCF_000001405.40. Lineage (NCBI taxonomy): Eukaryota > Metazoa > Chordata > Mammalia > Primates > Hominidae > Homo > Homo sapiens. The sequence continues at coordinate 167,618,111 of NC_000001.11, read as the reverse complement.
GGAATGTGGTAAGGAACTCCTAATCAAAATGACCATAAATCTGAAACCATAATGAAATGGGTTAAGCACTAATCTGACCCCTTACAGCCAGGCGGCAATGAAGCAAAGGAAGCAGACAGCCCCTGATGGAAGTCACACAGGGAGATGAATGCTTTGCCGCAGAAAGGGGAATGGTGTGGGTGGCAGCCGTTGGGGAGAGGGGTGGGGGTGGGGTGGAAAAGGAATTTGCATCTCATGGCTCAATCAGATCTGAAACCTAACATCCTGTTTTTCTGTAGGTTGGGCACATCAGTAGCTGAGAGACTCCTCTGACCATGGCCAGCCTCAGGAAGTGAGTGTCAACAGCCTTGCAGATGGGAACTCAACTCCTGGGTACCCATGCCTGAAAAGACGTAAGTCCTGCTCCCACCGGCACCAGACCCCCTGCCCTCCCTCTACCCCAATACTAGAACTCCAGACCTCACCCCTCCTCCCCAGAGACATATCAGCAGGAAGTTAAGTCAGCTGGAACACTTTGTTCCCTTGACATTTCTGTTTTAATTCTGCAGCTGTGTTTAAGGCTTCATGAATTATCTGTCCAGCACGGTCTGTTTGTCTGCCTAGTGCCTCTTCTCCCACTTCCCTGCACCAGGTCATGATTACCCTAAGGCTGGTAGAGCAGAACTGGAACTAGGGTTGGTAAGAAGGAAGTGGGATGGTAAGAAAGGGCATTAGGGACTGTAATATTAGCTGTTGATGAGCTAAGGATGATGATCTGATTGCTTGCTCAAGGAGGAGGAATTCCTAAATCATTAACAGTGTGCGTTGCCGATAGCTCTCTTTCCTCACCCTCTCATGGTATTTATCTCTACATCACATCATAGTGATGAATAGGTGTGTCTTTTCTCCTCAGTATTCTATAGTGCCTACTTACATGCCTTATTCATGCTTATTCATGTTCAGGAAGCAGTTGGTAATTGAAGGAATGAGCCTTCTCGCCTTCCTTTTATCTCAAGTCAGCTTATCACTTAAAAACAAAAACAAAAACAAGCCATAGCTTCCAAATTCAACTTGGTCCTGCTCAGGGTGGTATTTCTTAATTTCTTATAGCTGCAATTCACAGGTCTGTATCCTTGCTTGCCAATGTCTGTTTTGGTATTCATGGTAGTTGGCTCTGAGACATATCAGAGCACTATATTGTTCTTTCCTGGTTGCTTTTTCTTCTGCTTCTCATCAAAGTCTAGAGAGAAACTCAGTTTCTAAAGCCATTAAGAACCTAGTAGGAAAATGGTGATTAGTCTCTCCAAGTTCTTCTTCCTCAGCAGACCCACGAAGAGTGTTCTCCATTCACTGGTCAATCAGGCTCACATGTGTGAAACGTCAAGGTTGGCCTTAAAGGACCACCCGGGCAAATGACTTATCGTTAGTTACGTGAGCTGGGTATGTTTTGTCAACCACCCCGCTTGAAACCTAAGCATGAGAGAACGTAGCTCACAAGACAGGTATGGCCCCATATGTCTCCATAAGCCCACATCTAGAAAATACGTATGCAGATTTTTCTGTTGCCAGTTGGTCATCCTGAGCTATCATTTCTAATGTGTGACTAGTTTCAACCAAATTTAATATTTTAAAACCAGTCTCAAAGCCCTATATTTTAAAAAGTAAAACTATAAGTGGGCCTGGCATGGTGGCTCACGCCTGTAATCCCAGCACTTTGGGAGGTTGAGGAGGGCAGATCACAAGATCAGGAGTTCAAGACCAGCCTGATTAATATTGTGAAACCCCATCTCTACTAAAAATACAAAAATAAGCCGGGCGTGGTGGCACGCACCTGTAGTCCCAGTTGCTCGGGAGGCTGAGGCAGGAGAATCACTCGAACCCGGGAGGCAGAGGTTGCAATGAGCCGATATCATGCCATTGCACTCCAGCCTGGGCAACAGAGTGAGATTCCATCTCAAAAAACAAAAACAAAACAAAACAAAACAAAACAAAACTGTATAAAGCCCACAATTAACATTATACTCAACAGTGAAAAACTGAAAGCTTTCTTTTTTTTTTTTTTCTTTCTTTTTTTGAGATATAGTCTCACTCTGTCACCCAGGCCAGAATGCAGTGGCACGATCTTGGCTCACTGCAACATCCACCTCCCGGGTTCAAGTGATTCTCTTGCCTCAGCCTCCCAAGTAGCTGGGATTACAGGTGTGCACCACCATACCTGGCTAATTTTTGTATTTTTAGTAGAGGTGGGGTTTCACCATGTTGGCCAGGCTGGTCTCAAACTCCTGACCTCTAATGATCCACCCACTTCGGCCTCCCAGAGTGTTGGGATTATAGGCGTGAGCCACTGCACCCAGCCAACTGAAAGCTTTCTAAGACCAGGAAGAAGGCAAGCTTGCTTCCTCTTACCACTTCTATTCAACTTGGTACTGGAAGTCCTAGCCAGAGCAATTAGGCAGGAAAAAGAAATAAAAGGCATACAAATCAGAAAGGAAGAAGTAAAATGATCTCTGTTCACAAATGACATGATCTTATATGTAGAAAGCCCTGAAAATTGTACACCAAAACACAGTTAGAGTTATTACATGAATTCAGCAAAGTTATATGATACAAAATTAGCATGAAAAAAGTTGTGCTTTTATGTACTAACAATGAACAATCCAAGAAAAAATTAAGAAAACAATCCCATTTACAATAGCAACAAAAATAGTAAAATACTTAGGAGTAAACTTAATCAAGGAGGTAAGCTGAAAACTACACCTATACACTGAAAACTACAAATCATTCCTGAAAGAAATTAAAGACACAAATAAACAAAAACACACTCTATGTTCATGGATCAGAAGACTTAATGTTGTTAAAATGGCCATACCCCCAAAGCTATCTACAAATTCAATGTAATACCTATCAAAATTTCAATAGCTTTTTTTTTGCAGAAATAGAAAAAAAATTCAAAATTCGTATGGAATCTCAAGGGACCCCAAATTTCCAAAACAATCTTGAAAAAGAACAAAATTGGAGGCTTCACACTTCCTGAATTCAAAACATAATATAAAGCTACAATAATCAAAACAATGTGGCATGAGCATAATGACAGACATATAGACCAATGAAACAGAATAGAGAGCCCAGAAATAAACCCTCATGCATATGGACAAATGATCTTCAAAAAGGTTACCAAGACCACATGATGGGGAAAGGACAATCTCTTCAACAAATGGTGTTGGGAAAGCTGGGATATCCACATGTGAAAGAATGAAGTTGGACCCTTACCTTACACTATATACAAAAATTAACACAAAACGGATTAAAGACCTAAACCTAAGACCTGAAACTATAAAACTCCTAGAAGAAAACATAGGAGGAAAGCTTTATGACATTGGATTTGACAATAATTTCTTGAATATGACACTGACAGTGTAGGAAACAAAAGCAAAAATGGACAAATGAGACTATATCAAACTTAAAAATTCCTCCACATTAAAGGAACCAACAGTGAAAATACAATCTATGTAATAGGAGAAAATAATTGCAAATCACATATCTCATAAGGGGTTAATATCTAGAATATAAAGAACTCCTACAATTCAACAGTAGAAAAACAAGTAACTGGCCAGGCATGGTGGCTCATGCCTGTTATCCCAACACTTTGGGAGGCCAAGGCAGGAGAACAGCTTGAGCCTAGGAGTTCGAGATCAGCCTGGGCAGCATAGCAGGACCCTGTCTCTAAAAAAAATAAAAATAAAAAAATTAGCCAGGCATGGTGGCATGTACCTGTAGTCCTAGCTACTCAGGAGGCTGAGGTGGGAGGATCACTTGAGCCCAAGAGGTTGAGGCTGCAGTGAACTATGATTGCACCACTGCACTCCAACCTGAGTAACAGAGCAAGACCCCATCTCAACAACAACAACAACAACAACAAACCACAAAAAAAAAACAACAAAGGAAGGAAGGAGGGAAGGAGGGCGGGAGAGAGGGAAGAAGGAGGGAAGAAGGAAGGAAGAAGGGAGGAAGGAAGGGAGGAAGGAAGGAAGGAAGGTCCGTTAAAAAAATAACAAAAAATAGGCAAAGGACTTCAAAGGACATTTCTGCAAAGAAGTTACATGAATAACCAACAAGCATATGAAAGGATGCTCAACATCACTAATCACTGGAGAAATGCAAATCAAAACCACAATGAGATAGTTGAGTGTACCCCATACTCATTAGGGTGGCCACTATCTGAAAAAAAACCCAGAATTCTCTAATTTTTTATGGAGAAATTAGAACACTGTGCACTGCTGGTAGGAATATAAAATGGTGCAGTCCCAGTGAAAAACAGTATGAAGTTTCCTTTAAAAACAAAAATAGGGTTGGGCATGGTGGCTCACACCTGTAATCCCAGCACTTTGGGAGGCTGAGGCAGGTGGATCACGAGGACAGGAGATCGAGACCATCCCGGCTAAAACGGTGAAACCCCGTCTCTACTAAAAATACAAAAAATTAGCCGGGCGTAGTGGCGGGCGCCTGTAGTCCCAGCTACTTGGGAGGCTGAGGCAGGAGAATGGCGTGAACCCGGGAGGCGGAGCTTGCAGTGAGCCGAGATCCCGCCACTGCACTCCAGCCCGGGCGACAGAGAGAGACTCCGTCTCAAAAAAAAAAAAAATAAATAAAAATAAAAATAAAAAATAAAAAAACAAAAACAACAACAACAAAAAAACAAACTAAAAATAGAATTACCATATGATCCTGTAATCTCACTTTAGGGTATATATTCAAAAGAATTGAAAGCAAGATCTTGAAGAGATTATTTGCACACCCATGTTCATGGAAGCATTATTCACAATAGCCTGGAGGTGGAAGCAACTTACATGTCCATTGACAGATGAATGGATAAAGAAAATGTGTTTGGCTGGGTGCGGTGGCTTATGCCTGTAATCCCAGCCCTCTGGGAGGCCAAGTTGGGCAGACTGCTTGAGCCTAGGAGTTTGAGACCAGCCTGGGCAATATAGTGAGACCCCATCTTTACAAAAAAATACAAAAATTAGCCAGCCCATGATTGCACCACTGCACTCCAGTCTGGGTGACAAACAAGACCCTGTCTCAGAAAAAAAGAAAAGAAAAAGAACAAAAAAGAAAATGTGTTATATGCATTCAATGGGATATTATGCAGCCTTTAAAAAAAGAGAATTTTGTCACATGCTATAACATGAATAAACCTTGTGGATGACATTATGCTGAATGAAATAAGCCAGGCACAAAGGACTGCATGGTTCTACTTATGTGATATGTCTAGAGTAGTCAAAATCATGGGAAACAAAAGAATACTGGTTGTCAGAGACTTGGGGAAGGAGGAAAAGAGGAATTGCTTGATAGATATAAAGTTTCAGTTTTGCAAGATGAAGAAGTTCTAGAGATCTGTTACACAACAATGTAAATACGGTTAACATTACTGAACTGTACACTGTACATTACTGAACTGTAAAAAATGATTGAGAGGGTAAATTTTATAATATGTGATTTTTTTACCACAATTAAAAAATTTTTAAGAATAAAACAATAAACACCTGAATATGCCTGACCATAAATTGCCACCATCAGTGTCACTCCTCTGGGTTAACTTCTAAGTCCAGGTATATGACTAACTGGGTAAAAATTCTAAGAAAGCAGATTTGGCATCAATAAAGACAACACTTTTATAAGCCTTCTAGCTGTGGTCTCTTTTCTAAAGATGTGTGTTCTCCAGCACTGAACATCACAAACCAATCTCAGACAATCACTTTTGGTTTGTTATGTCCATGTTCTGATAGAGTCTAATGACTTGACTTTCAAAGTAGTTTCCAATGTGGGGATTCTGAGGTTGGAAACCATACATTTGGGCTGAGAAGTGGTGATAGGACAGGTAGAAGGCCCTTTGGCTTTGTGCATTATCTCTCTTTCTGTGATTAGTCATGATATTAACTGTTGAAGCCACAAACTAACATCACACTTGAGTGGATGAAATGTAGGACAGCTATGACAATGTGTGTCTGGTGGATTGGCCGGGGGTGGCAATATGGTATGTGGGCATTGAGAGATGGGCAGGAATAGAGCAGAAAACAAGCAAAGCCCTGGGGGAGTGAAAGGGAGGAGGGCAGGTGAAAGGTGGGCAGCATCTTTCAAAATGAGGCAAGAAGACATTATGCCCATCCTGATATGATGCAGTAAGTGCCACCTATGATGATGGGATATTTGCAAAAGTAAAAAAATATAAAATGAAACCAGAGACTAATCAAGCCTCCAGCTCTAACTTTCAGTTTACAGGAAACATGGCAGATGGCCCATGTACATCCCATGAGGATTTAATCAGCAAAAACTAGAATGTGGGAAATTTCTATAGATCAAATGAACTGGTTTCTTTAACAAATAAACAACATTTTAAAAAAAGAAAGAGGGAGAAAGAATTGTTATATATTTAAAGAGACTTAAGAGAAGTATCAGCAAAATGCAATGTGTGTACCTTCATTGGGTCCTGATTCAAACACACCAATAATTTTGAGACAATTGGGAAAATTTGAACACAGATGGTATTAGATGATGTCAAGAAATCCATGTTACTTTTCCTAGGTGTGAATGTGATATAGTGATTGTGTTAAAAATAAAAGATTTTATCTGCCAGAGATACATACTGAAGTACCATGGCTAAAGTTACATGAGGTGTGAGATTTTCTTTAAAATCTTCCAGGGGTGAAAAATCGTTAAAGAGATAGATGAGGCAGAATTGGGAATGCATTGATAGTTGTTGAAACTGGGTGCACGCATGTGGGAATTCATAGCACTATTCTCTCTGGACTTGTATACCCTCATAAATTTCCAAAATAACAACAAAAATAATAACAACAACAAGAACAAAAACAGTGAGTAGACTCAGGGTGATCGGATACCCAGGATAGGCTCTTGGTGATGGAGAGAGAAAGGTCACTGAAAACTTTGAGATCAGTAAATACATCTTTATCTACTTTAAAGGTTTGCTTAAGGGCAGCATTCTTCATATGGCTGTTGGAAAAGTTTAGTTTATTCATTTCCTGAAAAATTTGTGACTCTGCTCCATGAACCAGGAATTTCAAACTTAGGCATGCTCCCAAGAGAAATAGGTAGATATACCTATCAAAAGACACATACAAGCCTATCATATTGGTACAAATCAGTTTTATCCATGATAGTACAAAACTACGAACAATCCAAATGTCCAAGAACAGATCAACAAATTGTGGAATATTAATGCAATAAAATATTACCACACTCGGCAATAAAAAGAAACAAAATACTGACACACGTGACAGAGGTGAATTTCAAAAACATAATGCTGAGCAGAAGACAGACACAGAAGAGTATGTGCTATGACGCTCAAGAATAGGCACAACTAATTCAGGGTGATAGATGTTAGAATAATAGCTACCCCTGAGCTGGGATATTGACTGGGAAGGTGCATGAGGGACCCTTCTGAGGTGATGGAAATGTTTTACATCTTGGTCCAGGTGCTGGTGTATACAAATGCAAGAACTCATTAAGCAGGACATTTAAGATCAGTGCCCTTGTGCACTCTATGCTATTTGTATTATAACTCAAAAATAGTAATCATAATGAATAAACAATAAAAAAGGAAAAGAAAAAAAACCTGGAAATGTTTTGAATTTCCAAAAGAAATCTAATGGTAGAAAAATTTAAGACAATATTTTTAGGGTCTAAAGAAAATTGAGTTCCTGACTCAGAAAGCTAAAGTCTTATGCTAGGAAAATGTTGTCTGGAATGTTCTATAATCCAGGGGTCAGGGAAAGGGTTCCAGTTCTATTCCAGACTTCTATCCTGCCTTTTCCCTTTTGCAAAATGCATCAGCCCTGTTTAGTCAGCTCTTTGCCCCAGTAGCAATGAAAGAATCCAGTCTTTTTTTATATTTTGTTTTTTTTTCTGAAAACATTCATGAGAAAATCCTAATAATCACCAGTTCAACACATTAAGCCAAAGGAAGTTGTCATGTACAGAATAATGAGCATGCAGCCTGCAAAGAAGAAATGGTTTGTTTCCCAGGACCTCTTCCTGGGGTACAAGGTCTGAGGCAGAAGGGGATATGGGGTAGGATGAGGTGGGGTAGGGTGGTGGAGTTCAGTAAATGGTACTAGGCTGGTCTTCCTACTAAAAGACTTGGGTTCTAAATATAGCTATTTCTTGAATGTGTTTGGGGGCAAATCATGCCAACTTCTCTTGTCATCAGTTCTTCCTATAAAAATTCAGGGTGATGAAATTGCAGGGATATCGTGAGGATTAAATCAGATCATGTGCACACAGTCGCACAATCAACAGAGACTTAAATAGAAAAGAAGTAGGAGGAACCAACATTTTCCAGTTTTTTCTTTTCATCTTTGTACTAGTTCCTTTTCTTTTCCTCTTACCTCCTGGTGCCTCAAAGGACCTCAGGCCCTCCTGCTATGGTCAATACCGCACTCTGGCACCTCACCTCAAGTACTCCACTACAAACCTGAGATAGAGTCTTAGATGTAGCCAGTGCTCTTAGCCTGGGGCAGAGATGCGACAGCAGTGAGAGCTAAGGTGCTGAGGAGGTGTCACTGAGGACTGAGCACTGGGGTTAATAACGAAGACCCAAGTCAGATTTTTCAAGGCTGTGAAGCTATCAGGAGCAAACTGGAGGATACACAAAGGGGTGCACTGTACAGAGGGAAAAGCAAAGTCCATTGTGGCGGGGATGACAGAGAGGAACAGGGGCTGGAATTGGACATGCAAAGGAATTTGGACTTTGTCAGTAGGAGAAAGGGCAACATCTTAAGAGCTGTTTTGCAGGGGTCAGATTTACATTTTAGGAAGATGATTCCGACAGCAGAAGGAATCAGAGGCAATTTTGCAGACAGGAAAACAAGTCAGGAGAGTTGAAGACCTAAGCTGGAGAGGAAAAAAGAGGGTTGAAAGACACTACAAGTTTGATTTTCCAGGGATTAAGTACATATTAGGATGTGGGAGTAAGTAGGAGGAGCCGAGATTAACTTAAACTTTCAGAGTAAGGCTGTCAGGTTTATCAAATAAAAATACAAGCCATCCGGTTAAATTTGAACATCAAACTATTGATAAGTAATTTTTAGTATAAATATCTCCCATGTGTATTAGTCTGTTCTCACATTGCTATAAAGAAATAACTGAGACTGAGTAATTTATAAGGAAAAGAGGTTTAATTGGCTCACAGTTCTGCAGGCTGTATAGGAAGCATAATGACATCTGCTTCTGGGGAGTCCTTGGGGAGCTTTTACTTATGGTGGAAAGCAAAACAGGAGCAGGTGTCTTACATGGCAGGAACAGGACTGACAGACAGGAGGAGGTGCCATGGACTTTTAAACAACCAGATTTTGTGAGAACTCCATCACTCTCATGACAATAGCACTGAGGGGATAGTGCTAAATCATTCGTGAGAACTCTGCCCTCATGATCCAATCACCTCCCATCAGGCCCCACCTCCAACACTGGGAATTACAATTTAACATAAGATTTGGGTGGGGATCCAAACCATATCATTCCACCCTTGGCCCCTCCAAATTTCATGTCCTTCTCATGTTGCAAAAGTACAATCGTGACATCCCAATAATCCCCCAAATCTTAACTCATTTTGGCATTAACTCAAAAGTCCAGAGCCTGTAAAATCAAAATCAAGTTAGTTACTCCCAAGATACAATGGAGGCATAGGGATTGGGTAAAAACCCCCTTTCCAAAAGGGAGAAATCAGCCAAAAGGAAGGGACTACAGGCCCCATGCAAGTCTGAAACCCAACAGGACAGTCTAAATCTTACAGCTCCAAAACAATCTCCTTTGCTTCCATGTCTCACATCCAGGGCACACTAGTATGAGGGGTAGGCTCCCAAAGCCTTGAGCAGCTCCACCCAGTGGCTTTCCAGGATTCAGCCCCCTCAAGAGCTGGCATTGAGTGTCTGCAGCTTTTCCAGGTGCAGGGTGCAAGCTGTTGGTGGATCTACAATTTTGGGATCTGGAAGATGGTAACCCCCTTCTCATAGCTCCTTTAGGCAGTGCTCCAGGGGGGACTCTGTATGGAAGTTCCAACCCCACATTTCCTCTTTGGACTTCCCTAGTAAAGGTTCTTCATGAGGGCCCCACACTTCTGTAGCACACTTCTGCTTGGACGTCCAGGCTTTTCATTCTCTGAAATTTAGGTGGAGGCTCCCAAGCTTCAACTCTTGCACTCTGCACATTAGCCGGCTTAACACAATGTGTAAGCTGCCAAGGTTCATGGTTTGTACCCTCTGAAGCAGTGTCCTGAGTTGTACCTGGGCCTCTTTGGGCCACAACTGGAGCCAGAGTGGCTTAGGATGCAGGGAGGAGTGTCCCCAGGCTGCAAAGGGCAGGGGGGCCCTAGGCCTGGCCCATGAAACTACTCTTCCCTCCTAGGCCTCCAGGCCTCTGATGAGAGGAGTGCCACAAAGGTTCAGCCTTTTCCCCATTATCTTGGCTATCAGCACTTGCTTTCCTTTTAGTTATGCAAATTTCTGTAGTTGGCTTGAGTTGCTCCCCTGAAAATGGGCTTTTCTTTTCTCCCACATGGCCAGCCTTCAAATTTTCCAAGCTTTTATGCTCTGCTTCCCTTTTAAATATAAGTTACAGTTTCAGATCATTTCTTTGCTCATCATATGAGCATAGGTTACTAGAAGCAGCCAGGTCACATCTTGAATGCTTTACTGCTTAGAAATTTCTTTCACCAGGTACCCTAAAATCATCATTCTCAAGTTCAAAGTTCCACAGATACTTAGGGCAGGGGCATAATGCCTATGAGTTCTTTGCTAATGCATGACAAAAGTGACCTTTGCTCCAGTTCCCAGTAAGTTCCCCATCTCCATCTGAGACCTCCTCAGCCTGGCCTTCATTGTTCATATCACCATCAGCGTTTTGGTCACAATTCAAGCAGTCTCTAGGAAGTTCCAAATTTTCCCCCATCTTCCAATCTTCTGAGCCCTCCATACTCCTCCAACCTCTGCCTGCTACCCAATTCCAAAGTCACTTCCATTTTCAGGTATTCTTATAGCAATGCCCTACTTCTCAGTACCAATTTTCTGTATTAGTTCATTCTGGTATTGCTGTAAATAAATACCTGAGACTGGGTCATTTATAAGGAAAAGAGGTTTAATTTGCTCACAGTTCCACAGGCTGTCCAGGAAGCATAACAGCATCTGCTTCTGGGGACGCCTCAGGGAGCTTTTACTCATGGCAAAAGGCAAAGCCAGAGCAGACATCTTACATGGCAGGAACAGGACCAAGGGCAGTGGCTGGTGCCAAACACATGTAAGCAACAAGATCTTGTGAGAACTCAATCACTAGCATGAGGACAGCACCAAGTGGATGGCGCTAAACCATTCATGAAAACCCTGACCCCATGATCCAATCACCTCCTATCAGGCCCCACTTTCTTTCTTTCTTTTTTTTTTTTTGAGACGGAGTCTTGCTCTGTCACCCAGGCTGGAGTGCAGTGTCGATCTCGGCTCACTGCAAGCTCCACCTCCTGGGTTCACACCATTCTCCTGCCTCAGCCTCCCAAGTAGCTGGGACTACAGGCACCTGCCACCATGCCTGGCTAATTTTTTTTTTTTTTTTTTTTTGTATCTTTAGTAGAGACAGGGTTTCACCGTGTTGGCCAGGATGGTCTCGATCTCCTGACCTTGCCTCAGCCTTCCAAAGTGCTGGGATTACAGGCGTGAGCCACCGCGCCCGGCCAGGCCCCACTTTCAACACTGGGGATTACAATTCAACATGAGATTTGAGTGGGGACAGATTCAAACCATATCACCATGCAATAATCAATCTGAAGTTCAAATTGAATTGGGTATTCTGTATTTTATCTGGCAACTCTATTTCAGAATCACCTCTCTAAAATGCAAATCTGATCTGTTTAATCTATTGCTATCTTAATGTGACTTCACAGGTAAATAATCTTCCTCAAAAGAGACTGTATTTATCAGCTGGAAGGAGTATTTGGGTCAATTGAAAAATCATATTTCTCATTTTTGACCAGAGAATCAGCATAGTGAAGAGCATTTTCCCAGCACCATTTTTTTTTTGGTGTCATGGGCCATCCATACCATGACTTTTTTCAGTAAGTTTGAGATCTATATTAAATTAATTTACTTTTTAAATTTTGCATTACACTAAGTAATGATATCCATGAAATCACCACTCCAATGAGCTACTGATTTTTTATACCTATTACAATAAACACAGGGCTACAATAAATTTTTATTCCTATGTTATCTAAAACTTGCACGTACACTCTGGGAAATACCAATAGAGGAAGGAGAGCTGTGCTGGCGCTGGTCTGATCTGACTCATACTCTACCATCCCGGAGCCTCAATCACTGTCTGGTTGGAGAGGAGAAGGCCCTGGTGTGCTGGCAAACCCTGAACTTGACTGGATTAGATTAGGATGAGAGGGACAGGACAGTCAGGCTTCTGATAAGGATGGAAAAGTGGGAATTGGAGTTCAGCCTCCAGGAATCCTGCAGGCCCCCTGGTAGTGGAGCCATATATGTATTTGGGGTCCCACTACCAGAGAGGAGATACATGGGGACCGGTGAGGGCCAAGAACGTGGCCAGAGGTTGTGGTTGAGGAGTTTAGGACCCCAGATGAAAAACTCCTGTCTCCAGGGGCTGAAAGCAGATACTTAAGAATTCTTCTTGTGGGATTTGGACACAGACTGTGATCTACCTGCCTGCACAATGTCTCATTGTTCCTGACTTGTTAAGAAAGCTTCTCCTGATACTTGGTAGCAGTTCAGGTTGATGTCAGCCCCTGGGCTGTCCAGCAGAAAGATTTTCCCAGGTTTCTCAGTGGAGACTGGAGCCACCAGAACTGTGACACCCTGAACTTGAACCAACCAGCCAGTCTTGTCAGGTACCTCTGACCCGAAAGGTCATGCCAAGAGCCCAGAGGCTCTGATCATGATCTCAGCACTTCATCCACATAAAGGAGCCCACTGTTGTGTTTCCCAAATGCTGCAAGGCTCTTTTGCTCCGGGTTTCACTGATCCGCCCCTCCTTTTAAAAAGACTCTTGGATTCTGCCAACATTACTCTAGGCCTCCACTCTCTGCTCACCAAAGCCTAAGCCCTGTGGCCTTAGGGCCGATAAGTCCTTGGATACATTTCCCAGTGTGTTTTTCCTTGGTGGGCCGGTGAGACAAGAGACGATGGGGGTCTTTACTGTACTCATGTGACACATGGCTGTTCTGCATGCGGCAAGGCAGAGGGGCTGGGAAGGAGGGAGAGTATGAAGTGTCTGTTTTGTGCCAAGCATTGAGCTAAGCCAATTGTCACAATAATCCTGGAGGCAGATACCATCATCTTCAGTTTATAGATGAGGAAAGCTAAGCTCAGAGAGATTAAATAACTGTGAACGGCAGAAAAAACCGAGCCGGAATTAGACTTCAGATCTTCTGACCTTAAGTCTGGTGCTCTTTGAGTCATGCCACCTGAAATCAATTTGAGAGAAAGGGCAATTGTTGGCTCAATTTTGATGAAATAAGAATTTGAGGGGACACCCTCTGTGTGCCTAAGGATGAGGCCCAACACAGGGAACAGAATTCAGGAGACTCTGCAAGGGCAGAACATACTGGTAACATGTCCTGCAGGCTTTAACTCCTATTCTTTTTTCATGATTGTTCCACAGTCTTCTTTCCTAAGGACTATTATCAGATCCATATACCCATGTTAGTTAGAGTAAATGTTAGGCTTCTGTAACAAATAAACCCAAAATATAATGGCTTAAACTTAAGTTTATCTCTCTCACATAAAATTCCAGGTGAGTGGTTCAGAGCTGGTACACCACAAAATGTCTTGCTCAGCTCCTATCATCACATCTTGCATCCCTACCATCAAGATGGAGGAGAACATGCAACTTCTTTTTAAGAGTCTGGCCTTGAGGATTGCACATATCACCTCTACTTATATCTCATGTTGTCCCAAACAATGACATGAACAATTGTAGCTGCAAGGGAAGTTGGGAAATAGAGTCTTTATCTGAGTTTCCATGTACACAGTAAAAAAACTTCTGTTGCTATAGAAAAGAGAAAAAAATTGGGGAGAACATAGAGGAGCCACTACTATAATAATTTTGGAACACTCTTACATGAATTGATAGGCCATTTATGTTTTCTTTAAGAAGTCTGGGCCAGGCGTGGTGGCTCATACCTGTAATCCCAGCACTTTGGGAGGCCAAGGCAGGCGGATCACCTGAGGTCAGGAGTTCAAGACCAGCCTGGCCAACATGGTGAAACCTTGTCTCTACTAAAACTACAAAAATTAGCCGGGCATGATGGCAGGTGCCTGTAATCCCAGCTACTTGGGAGGCTGAGATGGGAGAATTGCTTGAACCCGGGAGGCGGAGCTTGCAGTGAGCTGAGATTGTACCACTGCACTAAAGCCTGGGCGACAGAGCGAGACTTCATCTCAAAAAAAAAAAAAAAAAAAAAAAAGTCTGGATTATGTGGCTTAGAGCCACAACTCTGCTACTTAGATGTGATCTTGGCAAGTTGTGTAACTTCTCTGAATCTCAGATTTTTCCTCTGTACAATGAAGTGATGAAATTAGCCTACCTACCAAGCTCGGATATTGGAAGGCCCAAATAAACTCATGTCTTTGAATGCTGCATGTAAGCTGCAAGGTCCCATGAAAAGTGAAGTGCTACAGCATTGGGCCACCCAGAGGGGGGTTTTTGTTTTTGTTTGTGTGTTTGTTAAGCATTTGGTGCTGGTTCCTCAGCTTGGTTTAGGGTGAAAACCACATATCCAAGTCTTCTGTATGGTATTTCCACTCTCAAGGGAATACTTTAGCACATCCTATTCACTTCTACTGGTTAGCCTGCCTCTCTCCCCAGAGCCCTGCCACTCTTGTGGGCTCCCATCCTTCCCTTGGGTGCAAGTCACTGCCAACCCACCCCGACTGGCCACTTCTGATCCCTAATCACAAGTGGGTAATAAAGGCCCCGAAACTTACTCCTCCCGGAGTGGATTTGGGTGGAGGGCCCCGAAACAGGCCCTGCAGGAAGGAGCCCAGGAAACGGCCCCCGGCAATGCTAATCTGAGCGTTTTTCCCCAAGCATATGCAACAAACCTCAAAAGGCCACCTCGGCATGCTTTCACACCCCTAGTTGAGATTGTATGACAGTCAGCAGTGTGTGTTAGTTACAGCAGGACCAGTTGTTATCTATTAGCCTCTAAGCTCCTTAAGGAAAGAAGGAAATAAACCTTTTCTCAGCATCTATTATGCCTTAGGCTCATAAACAATGTGCCAGCATTTATTCCTCACCCAACCTCACTGCCAGGAGGAATTATGACCTCCTTCTTGGTAGATGAGGAGTAAGAGGTTGAAAGAGTACCTTGTTCAGTACCAGACAGTCATCAAGTGAAGGTGGCAAGATTTGAATCCAGGATCTGATGCCAAGTCTGGCTCCCTCCTATGACACCGTGATTAATCTGTACTGTAGTTGAGTGTGAAAAGGTGGAAACTATGTGTTCAGCCATTGTACCTTCCCTTGAGCACTAACACGATTTCATGCCAGCAGGGCCTCAAAAGGATTAAAGAGAATGGCATTTTTCACCATTTTATCTCTGACAGTGCACAGCACAGTTCCTGATACGTGAAACAGGTCATTATGATATTTATTGGACATACCGAAATTGTTGGACTGATATTTTTTAAAAAATCATAGCTGTATTTATTCATTCCAAGAGCTGAAGGTGAAAGTGCCTTGCAAAGCCTTCCTGGGAGTAAGGTTGTCAGGCAGATAAAACAAGCTAGTGAAATCAGGGAAAAGATTTCCTGGACACAACTGTTCATGCCAGGCTTCCTGGCGGAACCACAGCAGGAGTTAACCAAGGGTCTACTGTGGTTATTGCCTGAGCCACACTCACAGCCATGAATCTGTGGCAAAAGCAGATGGCACTTCCGGCAGACATCCCCCAGAGGAGAGAATTTTCCATGAGGCCTGTGTATGGCAGCCAGCCATCCTGGGTTTCCTGGCATGGTCCAATTTCCCATCTTTTGTCTCAAAGTCCTTAGAAGGACATATGTATGGGGTGGGTAAAGTCCTGCTCTTAGTTATTTAATTTATTTATTTTTACAGGCAGCCTCTCAAACCAGAGTAGGCTCAGAGAGACTCCTGAGTCCTGCTTTTGAATTTGGAAAATATGGTTATAGCAGGCACGTGGAAAGTGCCTTTTATTGCCTCCCACCTGCAGATCAAAGGCAGAGGGGCCGGCCTGCCCAGGTCAGCCTGTTTCACCCGGGAAAGGGAGGGCCATCTGCTCCAGTCAGGAAGCCCTGGGGAGCCTTCTAATAGAGGAAGCCCACCAGGGCCAGAGCAGGGCTGTGTCCTAAGAATTCAACAGTCCCCGAAAAGTCCAAGAAAGTGGTAACAGGAAAGAAGCAACAGCAGAAGCAGAAACTGCTCTTTTGATCTCATTGCGCAAAGGAAGGAGGTGACCCAAGGCCTCTTGTGACACACACAGAAGCACATAGAAGTATATTTGGGGAAGTGTGTGAGAGCTCTCCCCAAAGATGTCTTCAGATTAGAGGTCAACCCTGGGTGGCTGCCCTGGGGCAAGCTGGGATGCTCTTGTGGTTCAGCTCTTTCCACACTCAGACGGGGTCACTGCTGGGTAACAATATGCCTAGCAAGCACAGGTAAACCAAGCCAAAAGCCTATTTGTTTTCTAGGATCAGTCTGTTAACCCCTCAACTCCCAGCCCAGCCAGGCAGGTCCCTATGGGTTAAGCTTTGTGCTAGGCCTCAGGAGACCTTGGGTCTCATCCCGATCCCCTAAACAGCTCTGAAGCCTGGGGCACATCACTTTTTTCCTCTGACCTCAGCATTCTCACCGGTTCAGTTAAGGAATCAAGAAGGCTAACAGAAGTTTAGAGGGCTTACCGCACACTGGCTGATCACTTTGCCCTGAAGTGATTCAACACTAAAAAAGCTCGAAAGTGTTAGTTTTCTTCAGTTTGGTAAAATCTGTGTGATTCTACACATCCTATTCATTCATTCGCTTGCTTAAACTTGTCCTGAGCATCACTATACATCAGCACTGCTAAGTAACAAACACTATTAGTGTCTCCTTATTGAGTTCCAACTAAGTGTCAGGCGCTTTAGATAGATTACCCCCACTTAATCTTCCTCACAGATCTGTGAGGCAATACCTCCATTTTTATTTATTTACTTTTCTTTTTTGAGACAGGGCTTTACTCTGTCACCCAGACTAGAGTACAGTAATGCAGTCATAGCTCACTGCAGCCTTGACCTCCCAGGCTCAGTTGACCCTCCCGTCTCAGCCTCCCAAGTAGCTGGGAGTACAGGTATGTGCCACCATGCCCAGCTAATTTTTATATTTTTTTGTAGAGATGGTGTTTCACCATGTTACCCAGGTTGGTCTCAACTCCTGAGCTCAAGCAGTCTGCCCACCTTGGCCTCTCAAAGTGCTGGGATTACAGGCGTGAGCCACTGTGCTCAGCAATACCTCCATCATTAGAGCAAGAAAAGGTTAAGCAGCTTGCTCTAGGTCATTCATCTTTCATTCTCAGTCAGTCTCCAAAGCTGGTGTTTTAATACACTAGTTCTATCCCTGCAGAGCTAAATGAGATGAGGTCATCCTCATTTCAAGGAAGTTCCAGCTAGCAACCCTGTGGTCAGAAGGCCAGGTTGCAGCCCCGAGAGTCCTGGCATTGTTCATAGGGTACATTAGGACATGTCACACTTGGAAAACCTGGCGAGCCTAGAACACATAGCAAACCATTTTTCTCTGCATGTTCCTAGCCACGGTTCTGCAGACCTAGCTTCCCACATGAATATTCTTTCTGTACCATGAATATTACAAACTACAGAAATAGTGCCCTCATGTGTCAGGAGCACAACGCACCTTTGAACTCTGGAGAAAGGCACATTTTAAACAATCTTAAAACTATGAAACACTTTTGTTTTTGCTTCTTTTGTTTGTTTTCGCTTTTGCTTTCTATGTCTTTGAAGCATGCTGGGAAGAAATGATGAAAAATTGCTAAATCTGCAGAACTCCACCCAGAGGCAAATTACTAAGTACCAGGACCTGCAGGAGAAACTAAAGGGAAGTAATCTTGGAATAGTTGGTATTCTATGAATTGTGCATCTGTGGATTCAACCAACTGCGGATCAAAATTGTGTGAGAAAAAAATTCCACAAAGTTTCAAAAAGCAAAACTTGAATTTGCATGCACTGAGTACTACATTGAATCCAGGCAAATGAAGTGATGTGTAAGCATTGCATTAGGTAGTCCAGATGTGATTTAAAGTATTTGGGAGGATATGTGTACATTATATGCAAATACGATGCCATTTTTTTTTTTTTTTTTTTTTGAGACGGAGTTTCGCTCTGTCGCACAGGCTGGAGTGCAGTGGCGCGATCTCGACTCACTGCAAGCTCCGCCTCCCGGGTTCACGCCATTCTCCTGCCTCAGCCTCCCGTGTAGCTGGGACTACAGGCACACGCCACCATGCCCGGCTAATTTTTGTATTTTTAGTAGAGACGGGGTTTCACCGTGTTAGCCAGGATGGTCTCGATCTCCTGACCTCGTGATCCGCCCGTCTCGGCCTCCCAAAGTGCTGGGATTACAGGCGTGAGCCACCGTGCCCGGCCGATGCCATTTTATATAAGGGACTTGGGCATTGATACGGTTTGGCTGTGTCCCCACCCAAATCTCAACTTGAATTCTATCTCCCAGAATTCCTACATGTTGTGGGAGGGAACCAGGAGGAGGTAATTGAATCATGGGGGCTGGTCTTTCTCATGCTATTCTCGTGATAGTGAATAAGTTTCACAAGATCTGATGGGTTTATTAGGGGTTTCTGCTTTTGCTTCTTCTTCTTCTCTCTTGCTGCCGCCATGTAAAAGGCGACTTTTGCCCTCTGCCATGATTCTGAGGCCTCCCCAGCCATGTGGAACTGTAAATCCATTAAACCTCTTTTTCTTCCTAGTTTTGGGTATGTCTTCATCAGCAGCATGAAAATGGACTAATACAGTAAATTGGTACCAGTAGAGTGGGGCGTTGCTGAAAAGATACTCAGCAAATGTGGAAAATGTGGAAGCAACTTTGGAACTGGGTAACAGGCAGAGGTTGAAACAGTTTGGAGGGCTCAGAAGAAGCCAGGAAAATGTGGGAAGGCTTGAAACTTCCTGGAGACTTGTTGAATGGCTTTGCCCAAAATACTGATAGCAATATGAAAAATAAAATCCAGGCTGAGGTGGCCTCAGATGGAGATGAGGAACTTTTTGGGAACTGGAGCAAAGGTGACTCTTGTATGTCTTAGCAAACAGACTGGTGGCATTTTGCCTCTGCCCTAGAGATTTGTGGAACTTTGAACTTGAGAGAGATGATTTAGGGTATCTGGTGGAAGAAATTTCTAAGCAGCAAAGCATTTAAGAGGTGACTTGGGTGCTGTTAAAGGCATTCAGTTTTAAAAGGGAAACAGAGCATAAAAGTTCAGAAAATTTGGAGCCTGACTATGGAATAGAAAAGAAAAACCCATTTTCTGAGGAGAAATTTAAGCCAGCTGCAGAAATTTGCATAAGTAGCAAGAGCCTAACGTTAATCCCCACGACCATGGGGAAAATGTCTCCAAGGCATGTCAGAGGTCTTCACTGCAGCCCCTCCCATCACAGGTCCGGAGGCCCAGGAGAGAAAGTGGTTTTGTGGGCCAAGCCCAGGGTCCCCGTGCTGTGTGCAGCCTAGGGACTTGGTTCCCTGTGTCCCAGCTGCTCCAGCCATGGCTGAAAGGGACCAACATAGAGTTCAGGCTGTGGCTTCAGAGGGTGAAAGCCCTAAGCCTTGGCAGCTTCCATGTGGTATTGAGTTTGCAGGTACACAGAAGTCAAGAATTGAGGTTTGGGAACCTTCGCCTAGATTTCAGAAGATGTACGGAAATGCCTGGATGCCCAGGAAAAAGTTTGCTGCAGGGGCAGGGCCCTCATGGAGAGCCTCTGCTAGAGCAGCGCAGAAGGGAAATGTGGGGCTGGAGCCCCCAAATAGAGTCCCTACTGGGGCACTGCTTAGTGGAGCTGTGAGAAGAGGGCCACTGTCCTCCAGACCCCAGAATGGTAGATCACTGACAGCTTGCACCATGTGTGTGGAAAAACTGCAGATACTCAACGCCAGCCTGTGAAAGCAGCCAGAAGGGAGGCTGTTACAGAGGCAAAGCTGCCCAAGACCATGGGAACCCACCTCTTGCATCAGCATGACCTGGTTGTGAGACGTGGAGTCAAAGCAGAGCATTTTGGAGCTTTAGAATTTGACTGCCCCACTGGGTTTCAGACTTGCATGGGCCCTGTAACCCCTTTGTTTTGCCCAATTTCTCCCATTTGGAATGGCTGTATTTACCTAATACCTGTACCCCGATTGTATCTAGGAAGTAACTAGCTTGCTTTTGATTTTACAGGCTCATAGGTGGAAGGGACTTGCCTTGTCTCAAATGATACTTTCGACTGTGGAATTTTGGGTTAATGCTGAAAGGAGTTAAGACTTTCGGAGACTGTTGGGAAGGCATGATTGGTTTTGAAATGTGAGGACATGAGATTTGGAGGGGCCAGGTGCAGAATGATATGGTTTGGCTGTGTCCCCACCCAAATCTCAATTTGAATTGTGTCTCCCAGAATTCCCCCATGTTGTGGGAGGGAACCAGGGGGAGGTAATTGAATCGTGGAGGCTGGTCTTTCCCTTGCTGTTCTCGTGATAGTGAATAAGTCTCATGGATCTGATGGGTTTATCAGCGGTTTCTGCTTTTGCTTCTTCCTCTCCTCTCTTGCCGCCATCATGTAAGAAATGTCTTTCACCCTCCGCCATGATTTCAACCTCCCAGCCATGTGGAACTGTAAGTCCAATTAAACATCTTTTTCTTCCCAGTCTCAAGTATGTCTTTATCAGCAGAGTGGAATCGGACTAATACAGGCATCCATGGATTTTGGTATCTGCTGGGAATCCTGGAATCAATCCCCCATGGATACCCAGGGATGACTATACTCTCATGCATGCTGAGGGGAGCTGATGTCCTGTGCTAGCCTGGAAAGTCTAGAAATTTTGTTTCAAGGGATATGATGAGGAAAATATATGTAATAACAATAATAATCAGAAAATGGTCCTTACTTCTTTACCATGTTTGTTTTTTCTTTTATACTTTCTTTTCCATGTCTTTTATTATTTTCCCTTCATTTGCTTTTTTCCCTTCCTCTCTCTACGCTTCCTATCAACTTTTAGAAATAGTTATGTTGGCCGGGCACGGTGGCTCACGCTTGTAATCCCAATACTTTGGGAGGCCGAGGGGGGCGGATCATGACGTCGGGAGATTGAGACCATCCTGGCTAACATGGACTCCGTCTCTACTAAAAAAATACAAAAAAAATTAGCCAGGCGTGGTGGTGGGCGCCTGTAGTCCCAGCTACTTGGGAGGCTGAGGCAGGAGAATGGCGTGAACTCAGGAGGTGGAGCTTGCAGTGAGCCAAGATTGCGCCACTACACTCCAGCCCGGGCGACAGAGTGAGACTCCGTCTCAAAAAAAAAAAAAAAAAAAAAAATAGTTATGTTTACTTAGAAATCATGGCATTTTTATTTTGCTCATTTATGTGGTTTTAAAATTTTGCCTCTTCTTTTTTGAGTGTGTGTTGGGGTGAGTGTAGATGTGCAGAGATTGAAGCGCTATGATATAACCAAGAGAAAACCAGACTTGGATTTAAAAGATCTAGGTTCCTCTCCATCTATCCTCCCCTCCCTGCTCTCTCCACAAAGAATTAGCAATCATTCATTAAAACACATACAGTAAATAATCATACAATATACTCTTAAGGGATATGATGAAGGAAAATAATAAAAAGTAATGTATAACATAGAGTCCTGTATATTTGCTCAAGGTAGGTCACAAGACATTTCATTGTGAAAACTCTCAGAAACCAAAGCGAAAGGGAAAAATAATTAATAATTGTTTTTATCATCTCCATTAGATTAAAAGAAACCAGTTGCTCTTTGGAAGTATTATGCTTTCTGATATTGAGACTTGACACATTCTCTTATGGGTGCTCATAAGGAAAGTACTGTTTTATAGAGGGAGACATCTCAACATAGCCCTACAAGAGCGATAGTAACACATTTCCTCCTGTTCTTTCTTATAACTGTGTTTGAAGTAAGCTGATATTGTAACTCTGGGGTACAATTCAATAAAAACAAAACCAAACAAAAGGACAAATAGTACAATTCCAGTAGGCAATTCTTTGATACTCAGATGCATTTCAAGGGTACAATTTAGAATAGCTTAAAAAAAAACCCCAATATGAATGGACTGCATGTTCTTAGGAAATCCACCACAGATATTATTTCTCCTAACTGGGCATTTGATAAAACTGAACATGGCAGAGTGTGAAGTTGTAACATCTCAAAAGAAGCAGCAGAAGGTAGATTAAGTGGGTACCCCAAAAACAGAAGCCAAAGTCTCTTTCGAAGAACAGTTTGGCTCCTTTAGCTTATGAGAGAAAGAGAGAGGCATCTAAAAATTCTCGAATGTTATAGTGCATAGGCTGTACTAGGATATTTGTTAAAAATGCAGAGTCCCAGGAATCTCTCTATGGATTTTTGATTCTAGTGTTCTAGAGTAGGCCAATGAATCTGCATTTTAAACAATTACTCAAGAAACAACTGGGACAGGACACTACCTTAAGCAGGTCTATGATAACTCTAGCTGGGGAAAAAATTCAAAGCAGATGCTCAAGATTGCTCACTTGGACAAACATCTCTCAGTAAAACACCTTAACTTAATTTTAAAATATAGAGTTAAAATGAGTTTAGCCTAAAGCTGCCTCCTTACATATAAATATCTTAAGTTCGACCTAAAGGTTTCTCTATATATCATGAACTATAACCTAAATGGACTTGTAAACAGACTGTAGCTTACTCTTGTGCCAATCACCAAGTTTTAGCCAGTCAAAGGTGGCCAACAGTTCCAACCGTGTTCAAATAAGGCGAACACTGAGCTGTAACCCATCTGGCTGTTTTGTCCCTCACTTCAGTTTTTTATAGAGCACTTTCCTTTTTCTGTCTATAAATCTTCCATCACATGTCAGTGCTGGAGTCTCGGAGCCTACTCTGGCTTGGGAGGCTGCCCGATTCACAAATCGTTCTTTGCTGAATTAAACTCTGTTAAATTTAATTTGCCTAAGGATTTTATTTTAACAGTAGTTTCCTGGTAAACCCTCTAGGACAAATTAGTTTGGAATTGCGGTCCCTGAGTAAATGAATGTTTTGACCTGCTGTATAGAATTGCTGCTAAAGCTAATTTATGTTAAAGGATGTCTGCCAAATTTTTTGACTTTAGAGTAGGTAAACTAAAGCCATTAGATCAATTTGGATTAGGTTTGGCTGCATATGACAGAAAAAATACAGTGGCCTAAACATCATAGATGTTCTTTCTCATAGAAATGGGTTTCTTATTTCATCCTGTAATTCCAGCACTTTGGGAGGCTGAGTCAGGCGGATCACTTGAGCCTGGGAGTTTGAGACCACCCCAGGCAACTTGGTGAAACTGCATCTCTACAAAAAATACAAAAATTAGCCAGGCATGGTGGCACAAACCTGTAGTCTCAGCTACTTGGGAGGGTGAGGTGGGAGGATTGCTTGAGCCCGGGAGGCAGGGGTTGCAGTAAGCCAAGATAATACCACTGCACTCCAGCCTGGGTGACAGAGCAAGACCCTGTCTCAAAAAAAAAAAGAAAAAAAAAGAAAATAAATGGGTTTCAGAGGCTGGCAGCGCTGAGTGCTGAGCAGGTATCATGCTCTCCAATGGAAGGGACCTAGGCTCCCTCCATTGCTCTGATCTTCAGCGTGTGGCTTCTACATGCTGAAGACATCACACCCAAGACGGCTGCTGGAGCTCCTGCTACGGTTCCACATTGCAGATTGCAGGAAATAAGAAGGGCAAAGGTGGATGTACTCCCTCCCTTTAAGGACATTTTCCGGTTTTGTAGTCAGGATGTGTGCATACATGTCATTGACCAGGACTTCGTCTCATGGCCATACCTAGCTCTGAGGAGTCAGGGGTAAGAGGGTGTTGGGAAATGTAATCTTTATTTTGGATGGCCACATGCCCAGCTAAATATGGAGGTTGATTACAAAAGAAAAAGGGGGGAAATGGGTCTACCAGTCTCTGCCATAGCCATTTGTGGACATAGATTAGGAGACAAAAGCAATTGTCTGTTGAAGCTAGACA
This sequence comes from Homo sapiens, assembly GCF_000001405.40. Taxonomy (NCBI): domain Eukaryota; kingdom Metazoa; phylum Chordata; class Mammalia; order Primates; family Hominidae; genus Homo; species Homo sapiens. Next base: position 167,593,852 of record NC_000001.11, on the reverse strand, counting down.
TGATACTATGATAAAACTTAGTTGGCAATGTCAAAGCCATGTCACCTTTCTTAGAAAAAGTCTTTCTGATTTCAATAACAAATGCACATGCTTCCTCCTTACCTGAAAGCAAAAGCAATTCATGAGATACACACTGAAAAGGTGTGGGGTCAAAATCCCTCTGCTTTTTTCCATTTCTACTGTTATGAAATTTTTACATGTGTAACGTACCCTTATTGTAACAAACCCAAGCAGCACAGAAGAGTAAAAAGTGAAGCGTCCTCCTGTTGAAACGCCTCCTTCCTCCAATCCTACCTCAAGTGCTGCCTTGGTTAACATTTTGAGTGTTTCTTTCCAAACAAGATTTATGTCTCCTACTCCAAATTGTTACCTAATCTATCAGGACTCCATGCTTATCCTGACTTCTATTCTGCTTTGTTCCATATTAGTGTGGCATTTTACAGTCATTGCAAGAAGGGATGCAGTGGGGGTCAAAGATTACAAACGTTAAAAAGTGAAAGGGGCTTGAGATATCACAAAGCATTCTCACAAATAATTCCTTGGTTTATGTTGGAATGTAAATATGACTACACTTGCTTTTTTCCCACATGACTTAAGGAATTTTCTTCATGTTGTAATGTTTGATGGATGCAAAGCAAATGTGTAGCTTATATGTTTATGAAGCATAATAACATAATCAAATCTGTGCACCCACCGCCCAGTTTATAAACCAATTTATGTCCAGTACCATCTAAACCACCTGCGTGCTTCTCCTTTCAGCCCTCCACCTCCCCATGAGAAGTCATACTATCCTACTTTTACATTTTAATTAATTTGGCCTTTTAAAAAATAGTTTTACTACAGATGTATATGTGTACAAACTATATATTAATCTTACTTCTTTTTTGAGCTTCAAAAAAGGGATTATATGGTGGATTGCCTTCTGCAACTTGACTTTCTTTTTCCCACTACATTATATTTCCAAGATGCATTCATGTTGATACAGGTAGCTGGTGAAGACATTTTTTTTTTCTTTCCTTTTCTTTTTATTTTTTTGAGACAGGGTCTTGCTCTGTCACCCAGGTTGGAGTCCAGTGGTGTGATCACAGCTCACTGCAGCCTCAAACTCCTGGACTCAAGTGATCCTCCCACCTCAGCCTCCTGAGTTGCTGAGACTACAGGCACATGCAACTGTGCCCAGCTAGAGAGATAGTTTTTCATTGTTGTATAATATTCCACTGGGTAAGCATTTCACAAGTTATTTATCTATTCTCCTGTTGATGGAATTTGGGTAGGTTCTGTTCTGTTTTGTTTTGGTCATATAAAAATTACTGCCCTCAACATGTTTCTTGGTGGGCATACATGAGCAACAGTTTCTCTAGGGTATTATGTCCATGATGAATGGAGAGGCGGGTGGAGGATATGTGTCTAACTATAGAAGACAATGACAAATTGTTTTTCTTTTTTTTCTTTTCTTTTTGTTTTTCTTGAGACAGAGTCTCACACTGTTGCCCGGGCTGAAGTGCAGTGGCACAATCTCGGCTCACTGCAACCTCCACCTCCGGGGTCCAAGTGATTCTCCTGCCTCAACCTTCTGAGTAGCTGGGATTACAGGCACCTGCCACCACACCCGGCTAATTTTTTGTATTTTTAGTAGAGAGAGGGCTTCAGCATGTTGGCCAGGCTGGTCTTGAACTCCTGACCTCAAGTGATCCGCCCTCCTCGGCCTTCCAAAGTGCTGGGATTACAGGCGTGAGCCACTGAGCCCGGCCCGACAAATTGTTTTTCACAGTGGCTAAACCAATTTACATTCCCACAGTCATGTATAATACGTTATTGACATTTGGTTTAGCCAGACTTTGTCATTTCTGTCCATCTACTGTATATAAATAGTGCTGTCATTTGTATAATTCATAGTGTGGCTTGGGATCTTTTCATAGTGACCTTATCCTAAACTTTAAGGTGATACCAGGATTTTATTTTATTTTTATTTTTTTAAGTATATATACAGACAAGGCCTACAAACTTACTTTTTCCTGAATCCACTCACAGTACAGCCATGGCAGCCAGTGGTCTTGGCATGCTGGCCTCAGACACAAAGGTCCCAGAAGTGGCATAGCCTTCTATCGACCTGAATCTTCTTCAGTCGCTCCAGGTCTTCACAGAGCTTGTTTTCCAGACCAGGACCTAGCTATAGTTTCCATCCTTTACATCCTTCTGTCTGTTCAGGAACTAGTCTGGGTTCTTGTACTGGCGTGGATTCTGCATCATGGTGATCCTCAGGGCATTCCACCTCATCCTCAGTGAATTCTCCTGCCCTCTTGGGGAAGCCGATGTCTGCTTTTTCAACTCCACACGAGCATAAGTTCAGCTCACACCCTTAATGGCAGTGATGGCAAGGGCTATTTTCTGCTACACATTGATGTTGGGGTTGAGTACTCACAAAACATGGCTTGAACTTCTCAGTGATCACTCAAGACACGGTGGCAGCATGAGTGGCAGTGCGCAGGCCTCCTGTGGAAGAGCTTTGTCAGCGCTTTGAATGACCAAGCATCAAGATTAAGTCTGCACAGCTCCGACTGATAACCTGTCCTATCTACAGGCTCAAAGGCAAAGGCTGAGGAAAAAATATTTTTAAATAAAGGACACATCTTTTTTTTTTTTTTTTTTTTTGAGATGGACACTCACTCTGTTGCTCAGGCTGGAATGCAGTGGCGCAACCTCGGCTCACTGCAACCTCTGCTTCCCGGGTTCAAGCAATTTTCCTACCTCAGCCTCCTGAGTAGTGATTATTACAGCACCTGCCACCACACCTGGCTAATTTTTGTATTTTTAGTAGAGATGGGGTTTCAGCATGTTGGCCAGCCTGGTCTTGAATTCCTGACCTCAGGTAATCTGCCTGTCTTGGCCTCCCAAAGTGCTGGGATTACAGGCATGAGCCACTCCACCCGGACAAGGACACATTCTTATGTTGATTCTTACAGACTTCCCCACAAGGTGTTTCACATATAAGTCATGAACTGGGGCTGGGTTCAAAACCCACATGCTTCTGGTAGGGAATATTGATCCAAAAAACCAGATCTGTCACGTATGAAAGCAACCTGGAGTTTATAAACTGTTTATTATATAAACTGACCTATTATTTATGGGAATAGAGAATTGTCCTCCTAACTATGAATCAGCTTTATATTTAGGATAGACTTAAGATAAATCTGATTGTAGAAAACCTTTAGCCTTATATTAGTCCGTTTTCATGCTGCTGATAAAAACATACCCGAGACTGGGCAGGGTGCGGTGGCTCACACCTGTAATCCCAGTGCTTTGGGAGGCTGAGGCGGGCGGATCATGAGGTCAGGAGATCAAGACCATCCTGGCTAACACAGTGAAACTCCATCTCTACTAAAAATACAAAAAATTAGCCGGGTGTGGTGGAGGGCACCTGTAGTCCCAGCTACTTGGGAGGCTGAGGCAGGAGAAAGGTGTGAACCCAAGAGGCGGAGCTTGCAGTGAGCGGAGATGGCACCACTGCACTCCAGCCAGGGTGACAGAGCAAGCCTCTGTCTCAAAGAAAAAAAAAAAAATACCCGAGACTGGGCAATTTACAAAACAAAAGAGGTTTAATGTACTTACAGTTCTACATGGCTGCAGAGGCCTCATAATCATGGTGGAAGGCAAGGAGGAGCAAGTTACATCTTACATGGATGGTAGCAGATAAAGAGAGAGCTTGTGCAGTGAAACTCCCCATTTTTAAAACTATCAGATCTTGTGAGACTCATTCACTATCATGAGAACAGTGCAGGAAAGACCTGCCCCCATAATTCAATCACCTCCCACCAGGTTCTTCCCAAGACACAAGGGAATTGTGGGAGCTACAATTCAAGATGAGATTTGGATGGGGACACAGCCAAACTGTATCAAGCCTGTTATTTGAGGGTTCTGATCTCCTGTACCTGATCACAGAGGGGCCTGGGATCAGCAAAGATCAGAGTGGTTTCTCCTGGATCACAAGGCCAAACAATCTTTCTGCGTGAGATACTGACCACACCTTTTGGGAGCAAATGCACCCGAAAGTACATTGCTTGATTCTACGTCGACAGCTTGGTTGGTAGCGGGGAGCTCATGAGCCTGACTCAGTAAGCAGGCTTAGTTGTTGGAGAGGGAAGATTTTGACTAAGATTGCTTTCTTCTGTTAGTCTGCCCCAGGAACAGTCCCCAGGAACTTACAGCTTGGTCCTATAGAGAAGGGGGGTGTACATTAAAACTCTTTGAGGAGTGGAGGCACAAGCAGTCCTTCTTTGTTTGTGGCCAATCTGCGGCCAATATTTCTTTGTTTATCTCCCAGCATCCTCTCCCTTGGTGCAGCAACACTCCCTGACTTCCCCGCCCTCTCCTAGTCATGTTGTTGGGGTGCAACACATGACTCAGCCTTGGGCAGTGGGCATAGTTCATTCCCTGGCTTAGGAGTGGGCTCCTTGCCTGAGCTGGTCTGATGAGAAGAAACCCAAGACTCCTCTGCAGAACTCCCAGAAGAGAGGCTTTCCTTGTACTGCCTTGGAGGCCGTTAGGTTATGATGGTTTGCCCCTGCCTAGAGCCTAAGAATGCTGGCAACACAGGGAAGGGCAGAGCAAAGAGTTAGAAAGAACCCAGAAGACAACACTCGAGCTCTGAGCCCAGCCACATCTGAACGTAAAGCTCCTCTTGGGATTTTTTTTTTGAACACTATACTTTTTTATTTTTAATTATATTAGTTGTACATATTTTGGGGTACATAAGATATTTTGATACATGTATACAATGTGTAAGGATCAAATCAGGGTAACTGGATATCCATCACATCAAACATTTTTCTTTTCTTTGTGTTGGGAACATTAAAATTCTTCTCTTCTAGCTATTTTGAAATACACAATAAGTTATTAACTATAGGCCAGGCATGGTGGCTCATGTCTGTAATCCCAGCCCTTTGGGAGGCCAAGGAGGGCAGATCACCTGAGGTCAGGAGTTCGAGACCAGCCTGGCCAACATGGTGAAACCCCCTTTCTACTAAAAATACAAAAATTAGTAGTCCCAGCTACTTGGGAGGCTGAGGTGGGAGAATCACTTGAACCCAGGAGGCAGAGGTTGCAGTGAGCTGAGATCACGCCACTGCACTCCAGCCTGGGTGACAAAGCAAGACTCTGTCTCAAAAAAAAAAAAATTTTAACTATAACTTCCCATTACACTATAAAATACTAGAACTTATTCCTTCTATCTAACTGTATCTCTGTACCCATTAACCAACTTCTCTTGATCTTCCTCCCACTTCCTTTCCCAGCTTCTGGTAGCCACCATTCTACTTTCCATGTCCATGAGGTTCACTTTTTTAGTTCCCACATATGCATGAGAACATGTGATATTTGTCTTTCTGTGCCTGGCTTATTTTACTTAACATAATGATCTCCGGTTCCATCCATGTTGCTGTAAATGACAGGATTTCATTATTTTCCATGGCCAAATAGTATTCCACTGTGTATATATGCCATATTTGCTTTATCCATTCTCCCGCTGATGGACAATTAGGTTGATTCTACATCTTTGATATTATGAATAGTGCTCCAATAAACATGGGAGTGCAGATGTCTCTTTGATATATTAATTTCCTTTCTTTCAAAGATATACCCAGCAGGGGGATTGCTGGATCATATGGTAATTCTATTTTTAGCTTTTTAAGGAACCTCCATATTGTTTCCTGTAATAGATGTACTAATTTACATTCCCACCAACAGTGTGTGTTCCCCTTTCTCCATATTCTCAGCAGCATTTTTTTTTTTTTACTTTTTGATAATAGCTATTCTAACCGGGGTCATATGATATCTCATTGTGGTTTTGATTTGCATTTTCCTGATGATTAGTGATGTTGAGCATTTCTCAAATACCCATTGGCCATTTGTATGTCATCTTCTAAGAAATGTCTTCAGTAACATAAATAGTATCTTCCTTTTGGTTGCTTACTTATTTTTTGCCATGGTCGGTTTGAGTGTGATTTTGCTGACACTTGATTCGGAAAATGTCCCCAAAGGTAACCACCTAAAATAGTATGAAACAAATTCAGGAAAAGAGAGGCCATCTTCCTTTTCTACCATAGCATTTAGGGGCTCCAGTGGCACAGAAGGTGGCAGAAGCCCCCTGCCAGGAATTGTGGGGTCTGCCACAGTGGCCCCTTCAGATGCATGTGAAGAGGCCAGAAGAAGTAGTGATATCTTGCAAGGGCAGTAGTGTCTGCAGGAGATCCCCAGCAGAGGAAGCTCTAGCAGGAGGAGGTGAGAACATGGTCCATGTGATGCGTACACCAGTCTCCTCGCCCCAGGGCTGTGGCTGCCAGTGTGCTTGCTGCTGTGGTCATCATCACTTCATCTCCTCATACTGCCAGCAGCTTCAGCCTCCCCCTGGAGACAGCCTGCTTCTACATGGCTTCTATAATGCTTATGGGGACAGCACAGGTGTCCAAATTTTTCCTGACTAGACCCACAGCTGCTGTGGCTCCTCTCACACTTCTGGGCTCAGGTGAAGACCACATTGGAGGACATGGGATCTGGCCTCCCTATTAACTGCATAGAGTAGCCACATAACTCAACCAGAAGAGTAGGGGAACCAACACCCTGTATAGTGAATCTTAACAATGACAGAAGGTGAAAGACCTGGCAGATATAGCCCTCTCCTTTTTCACTAAGAGGGACATTTCCAGGGCATGGGTTTCTACAGGGCCTGTCTAGACAACATTCTGCACAGCTGAGCAGCTGCTCTCTTTCCTTGGAAGCTGTGGGCTGCTAATCCAAGTGCCACCTTGCATTTGCTTTCCTTCCTTCCCTGCCTTGCCCCCGCCCTGGGATTTACATTGAGCTGTAGCATGTGAGGCTTGCCTCTGCTCTGTTTTTCTAGAAAACATGGGCTGAGGGAGTAACTGATAGTATTTGTCATGAACACATGTGAGCTGCTCCCTAAAGGGAGCATTGCAAGATTTAACAAATAAAAACAGAGGGCCAGGCACGGTGGCTCAGGCCTGTAATCCCAGCACATTGGGAGGTTGAGGTGAGCGGATCACCTGACGTCAGGAGTTCAAGACCAGCCTGGCTAACATGGTGAAACCCCATTTCTACTGAAAATATAAAAAAATTAGCTGGGCATGGTGGCGCACACCTGTAGTCCCAGCTACTTGGGAGGGTGAGGAAAGGGTACCGCTTGAACCCAGTAGGCAGAAGTTTCAGTGAGTCGAGATCCACTACTGCACTCCAGCCTAGGCAACAGAGTGAGATTCCATCTCAAAAAAAGAAACAAAGCAAAAAAACAAAACAAAACAAAACAACCCAGGACACTTAGTTAATATTGAATTCCAGATGAATATAAAAAAAATGTTTAGTATACATATATCCCAAATATTGCATGGGATATAGTCATGCTAAGAGGAATTATTTGTTATTTACCTGAAACTCAAATTTAACTGCGTGTCCTGTATTTTATTTTAACTGTGTGTCCTGTATTTTATCTGGCAACCTTATCTGATGACTCCCAATGACTCCCAGAAATACCTGGGGGAAAAGGAGGACCTAGGTCTTTGATGATGTCATTAAGGCACTACACTATCTCTGGACTATATTTCTCCAGACTTCTTAGAGTTTAAGAAAATGAAACCCCAATTATTTAGGACTACAAATGTCAGGTTTTATTTCACTTGCAAAAAATTGATTAACCTGTCGAATTCATCTTTGTTTCTTTCTTTGGAACTTAGCACAGTGTTTAAGCCCAGAGTAAGTGCTACATAAATGACTGTTAAATCATTTATATTTAGAGGAAATAAATTTCTTTCAATGTATAGACTAGGCATCATGTATTTATAGGAAAACAAGGGAGACCGGGCACAGTGGCCCATGCCTCTAATCCCAACACTTTGGGAGGCCAAGGCAGGAGATTGCTTGAGCCCGGGAGTTCACGATCCGCCTGGGCAACATAGTGAGACCCTATCTCTTTAAAACAAACAAACAAGGGCTAAATAATTTTGTCAAGTTTTTATTAAGGAAAAATTTAAACATATAAAATTGCATGTAAAATAACACAATAAGCCCTAAAGTCCCATGTACATATCACCCAGCTTAACAATTGAGGATAAATAATTTAATGCTTTATGACTATTACATAAAATGATACTTTATATCCATCACTGATAACTTTCTTTTTTTTCAGACGGCATCTTGCTCTGTCACCCAGGCTGGAGAGCAGTGGCACAATCTCGGCTCACTGCAACCTCCGCCTCCTGAGTTCAAGCAATTATCCTGCCTCAGTCTCTCAAGTAGCTGAGACTACAGGCACATGCCGCCATGCCCAGCTAATTTTTTTTATTTTAGTAGAGACGGGTTTCCACTGTGTTGCCCAGGCTGGTCGCGAACTCCTGAGCTCAGGCAATCCTCCCGCCTTGGCCTCCCAAAGTGCTGGGATTACAGGCGTGAGCCACCCTGCCCAGACCATCACTGATAACTTTCTTTTGTGGAGGTGATCACTGTTCAATCGCCATTCCATCTCTTGCATCCTGAGATAATAACAAAGATGTAATTGGTTTTTTGCCAAATTAAGTATCACCATTTAGACTCCTTCAGCAGATAGAAAGAGAAAGATTTTCAGAATTTTATAAAGTCAAAACCAGAAAGCCATAGCAGAAAGAGCAATACTGGAAGTCAAAAGCTCTGTTTGGGTCAAACTGTGTCTAAATTTCTCATCCATGACGAGTGGGGTCTGAAACGGAATATCCTCTAAGGGCTTTCCAACTCCAACAATACATGAGTTTTGAAAGAATCCTACATGTTTACTGAGTGGCATTTGAACCACACACTCAAGGTATGAGTTCTGCTTTGGGTCTGCACTTGGATCCTGCTTTAGGTCAAGAATGACTCTCTCAGAGAGGATGCTGTGGTGTGCCCCTCAGATACCCACTTCCAACCCCTTTCGGGACTGGGTCACTTATTTCCTCATTCGCTCAGAGTGTTGACAACTCACAGCTGGTAGCTGAGGCCCTCTCTGGAGATTGCCCTCAGCTGTTGAACACAACTAGTAAAGACAGGGTGTATAAATATCTAGCCCCCTTGCCCCAGTGTGGGATGGCTATGAGCCATCTCAGCTCCACAGGACCAGTGGGATTGGTTCAGGCTTTTGATGTGACTACATCACAGCTTAACTTCTCCTGTTGCCCCATCATGCTCCCTTCCCTTCCCCTGGGAGTTAATTTTAAAAGCACTCCCCGATAAACCTCTTTTTTGTTGTTGTTGTTGTTGTTGTTTTTTTTTTGAGACAGAATTTCGCTCTTGATGCCCAGGCTGGAGTGTAATGGCATGATCTCAGCTCACTGCAACCTCCGCCTCCCAGATTCAAGCAATTCTTCTGCCTCAGCCTCCCAAGCTGGGATTACAGGCATGTGTCACCATGCACCTCTTGCACCCGGTCTCCTTCTCAGAGTCTGATGCCCAGGAAATCTGATCTGTGGCAGTGTGGGGATTCATCCAAGAATGAAGACTGTTTGTAAATTGAGATTTGAGGGTGGAATCATCCACTGGCCAGCCAGCTGTGAGGACCAGCCGCTGGTGGTTGGGGGTGCACAAATGGCCTCAGGCCCGCTGTACTGCTGCAACTATTAAAACTCCACCATGGTGTACATGGAAGGATGGCTGGTAGAATAGGACTTACTGGCAAGTAGTGTATCAGGCATTTGAGAGATACAGGGCAATAGTCATTATAAAGACAATAGAACTAGATAGTTGTTGTTAGGAAATAATCTATTCTTTGGGGCAAGACCGTAAAAGGCTGAGGGTAATTAATCACCTCTTACAGGCTAAGTCAGAATTCCAGAGGACATCCTCAGAAGCATAAAAAGATACCCTCATCTCCTATCATTGGAGTGCAGAAAAACCTGAGGAATGAATTTAGGATTTAATTATGGAAGCACAGAGTTTCAGAGAAGGTTGAGTTCTGAGTTCCACAGACCAGCTCTGCCAAGGTCAGAGCCCTAATTATGAAGGAATGGAACTGCAATACATGGGATGTGGACAACTGATGTAGGATTTTTTCTTCTTGGTCACTTTGCAAGCCTGGGACCTCCAGCCAGTGATGTCCGCCCAGGGCTTGCTTGGCTATGCTGGTGTGCCTCAGCTTGTCTGTGTTATAGCTTGTACCCACATTTGGTGATTCTCAAGCTCTTGTACCACACCCAAGAAGATTGAGGATATGCTGCACATTGAAGGGTGAGGAGGGCAGAGAAGAATTTTACTGAGCGACCGAACAGCTCTCAGTGGAGAGGGGACACAGGGGATGGTCCCTCACCCCCACAGTCAGGTGGTTCTCTCCTCCTTGCGTAGGTGGGTCTGGGGATTTTTATGGACTCAGAATGGGGAGGGGCAGGCCATAGGTAGTATTGGAAAAGGCAACACTCAATTGGTTAAAAAGTATTATTCAGAAAGAATCAATAGGGAAAGGGTGAGCAAACAGGAACAGAAGTTCTCATTCTGGGTCACCGGTTTCATCTGGGACCAGCAATCTAGTTTTTCAGCCTTCAAGCTGTTTTTGACTTGAAGGTGGGGTTTCACCAGGGACCCACCCCTATCTGCCTCAGCATTTGGCTGACTCCTATCGCTATCAAAACTGTGTTAATGTATTAGAAACTCTTGAATCCCCAGATTCTCCTGTATCCTCTGGGTCTGCAGAAGCAACCCACTCCTTCCTGTTAAAAGATGGTACTCTGATGTGCACCACCACCCCCAAGGAACACCCCTTGGTTTAAGCCAATGCAAAGTCCTTTGCCTTGCGAGACAGCATGCACACTCCTCAAGGATATGTTCTCAACTCCCCTCCTGACCAATAATCAGAAATATGTCACAACGTAACCCAACTGTGCTGGGCCTGCTAAGAGAGGAAAGGGATTACAGCCAGCAGGAGCCACCGGACATATATGCATATGCATACATTCCAATATGCGCTGGCAGGAGCTGGGAGAATACATAAATGACTAGATTCTAAGGGTACTGGATCAAGGGGCATGGGACATAAAGTTGGTTAGGGGACAGTTTATCAATATGGCAGCACTCTTCTGCAATACAGATTTAATACCCTATTTAAGGAGGTGAAGCTAACATATTTCTAGGATGGCCCTTAGAAGCTTGGACAAAGTGAAGTAGAAGTGCCAGAATTGCTGTGGCAGATGGTGGAAGAGGGATAGAAACCTTGAGCAGTAGGCCTACTACAGTGGATATAATTAGCAAAACTGGGAAACTCACTCTATGACTATGTTTGGTGGGAAGCCCTGGAGGACACACTGTTGATAAAATCAATAAGAAATGCACTGACAAGAAGGCACCAGAATCTCTGAGAAGCTTAGTGGTTGGTGATAGTCTTCTGCAAGGTGGGAGATCCTGTTGCAGAACTGGGCTCTCTGATAGTAGAAGGAAATGACAGAATTCCAAAATAATAGAGTCAGGTGACACTTAAATACCAGAAGAAAAGTGGGTGCAATTATTGTCATGAAAAGCAAAGCTGAAGTGGAAGCCCAGGAGGCCTGACCTGAGAGCTATTGAAGCAGCAACTAGAACGTGATGTCCCTGGAGGTAAGACAAACAGACAGTCAACAGGGTCTTGCCCAATCTATACAAGCAAAAGAAATCAAGAGTAGATGATTAGGAGACTAAAAGTAGCCACCACAGTAAAAACTTAAAATCTCTTTTTTAGTTTCCAGACCTGAGCCAGTTTTCTGACCTAGCACCCATTGATTGAAGGAGAATCTAAATCCCTGGGAAGGCCTTATAAAACCATAGCAAGTATAAATGGCAATGATTCCCCTAGTCTTCCCCCCAAAATACTAAGAACTATTTACTTAGGTAATTATGTACTGGGAAAGCGTGGTACCCATATAGTTTGAGGACACAGAGCCCAAGTTAATATTGGTACCTGGAAACCTAAGACATTAGGAGAGCCATCTATTAGAGGAGGGGTGAATGGGCACCAGGTAATAAATGGTCGAGGCCTAGGTCGAGCTCACACTTGGTCCCCTGGGGTCCACAGACTCACCCAGTGATCATGGTCCTAATCCCCAAATGTGTAATTTGAAATGGACATACTTGAGGGTTGGCAGAAACCTTACATTGGTTCATTGGCCTGCAGAATGAGAAGTATCACAGTAGAGAAGGCTCAGTGCAAACCTTGAACTATCCCTCTAGCCCATGCAAGATAAGGCAGAACAGGAACCCCTTTTAGGAGCCTGTACCCTTCTTCCCCTGAGCATGAAAATAAAGGAAAATCTTCCTTCAAAGGAAATTTGAGGCAACTAGCTAGCCTAAATAAGGGAACAACTTAATAAGCAAGAAGGTAATAGTAACTTAAAACAATAGCCAAGGAAGTTAGAGTCAGCAGATAATTTGTTTCCTATAGAAACTAAAGGTAACATCCTAACATATGTCACTGAGTTGTTTTTCAAAAACCCGGATCCCCACCAAATGGATCCATTGGCACTTAGGCCCAGATAAGGAGGAAATGAGGACTGAACCCTGACCGCTGTTCTTTGTTCTAAATTTCTTCCTAAGGGGCCTGGAGGAGGTCACACCCACGAGCCAGAGCTGACGTTCTTTTTTAGAGACAAAACTTTGCCTCCTTAACCAATTGCAAATGAGAAAATCTTTGAGTCTGCCACCAACCTATGGGCTCCTGCTTTGAGATAGCCCACTTTTTTAGGTCAAACCAATGTATAGCCTCCGTGTTTTGCTTTATGACTTTGCCTGTAACCTCTGCCTCTTCACCTTTAGAAACTGTTACCCGTAAGTCATCTGGGAGTTCCGGTCTTAAGCATGAGCTGCCCGATTCTTCTTGCTTGGTGCCCTGCAATAAATGCCTCACTTTCTCTTGATGCTATGCCAATGTCAGCATGTGGCTTTGCTGCCCCAGGCAAGTGGACCCCAGTTCAGTTTGATAACAAAGATAAGTAAATCAAAACCAATATCATATCCTGGGGGAAAACAGCAGCTGAAAACATCTGCCTCCTCCGTGGTCATGTTCCCACATCCAGTGGCAGGCCAATCCTTGAGGATCAGGACAATTCTGAAAGGCCATCCTTCATCTGGAGTCTTCCATGAGATTGACTGAGACCACTGGTGCGACCGTGTCACACCCCAATTCCCCTTCTGCCCAGTCTGGCTTTCTCCACCCCCGACAGGTGTTGATTCCCAAGAGTCTCTCCCAATAACCTTATTGCATGTGAATATATATTTTAGAATCTGCTTCCTGGGAAATCTGACAGGACAGAATGAATCCACAACATTCACTACCAGAAGATGCTCTGCCTTTGAACTGGCCTGCCCATGGGCTTTTCCCTGGACCTTGGGAGCACCTCTAATCAAAAGTTAATACCCAGAGCCTCAGAGGTTTCACTGAAACACTGCCCAGGAAGGAGTCACTGAAAATCCTATGAGGAAGGGAAGTGGGGGAACCTGGGAGGAAGGAAACTACACAATCTGAAAGATGTATAAATACAAAGTTTCCATAAGTTTGGGGCTTGAATCATATACCTGAGAGAGAGAGATTTCTAGGAATGAAAAGAAGCAAGCCACAGCCTTTCATCAACTACCTAAGCCAAGCAGTGGGCAGATCTACCAGCTGGCCAGGCAGGGGGTGCTGAATGGCTGTCAGTCTTGTGGACAGGACGTCCCAACTATTCTGACCTGTCACCGCTATTTTGGGCACAGAAGGGAGGACCGTGGGGTCGTCAGCCTCAAGGCATTTAGTCTTCTATTCCTTTTCTCTTCCTTTCCAGTTCTTTGAAATGAGAATCAGGGTTTATGTCCAGTCCCAGAGTGACACCTTAGACACCTTAATTACACCACTTTGTTCTCTCTCTCTCTCTCTTTCTTTTTTTTTTTTTTTTGAGATGGAATTTTGCTCTTGTTGCCCAGGCTGGAGTGCAATGGTGCAATCTCGGCTCACCGCAACCTCCCCCTCCTGGGTTAAAGTCATTCTCCTGCCTTAGCCTCCTGAGTAGCTGAGATTACATGCATGTGCCACCACACCCTGCTAATTTTTGTATTTTTAGTAGAGACAGGGTTTCTCCATTTTGGTCAGGCTGGTCTCGAACTCCCAGCCTCAGGTGATCCACCTGCCCAAAGTGCTGGGATTACAGGCGTGAGACTACAACATGGTCCAGCCCTGATGCCTCCCTTTTCCTCCACCCCCATCTAAGTTGAGAAGATTCTTAGCTGTAAAACTGTCATGAGCTGACTGGAGAGGTCTATATTTTGAGCTTTAAATGCACCTGGAAAGCATATTTTTGCTCTGAAAGTGCCCAGACATGGAAGAATTAAAACAATTTTTAATTTCCACTTTCTACAGGACTCAGAGGAAGAAAACCCCACCTGAGAGGCATTTTTTTTTTCTCTTTCTCGGTGTCTCAGTTTCCTAGGGCTGCTGTAACAAAGCACCACAAACTGGGTACTTAACAGAAATGTCTCATTCCACAGTGCTGGAGGCTAGATGTCTGCAGTCAAGCTGTGGGCAGGGCCAACCTGCCTCGGAAAGCTGTGGGGATCCTTTCTAGCCTCACTGCTAGCTTCTGCTGATTTGCTGGCAATCTGTGATGATTTGATTTTTGGCTTGCATCTGTGTGACTCCACTCTACCCTCATTGTCACATGGTGAGGGAGAACAAGGAGGCCATGTTCTCATGGCCATCTTAAAGGACATCAGACAGATTAGGGGCCCACTCTAGTCCAGCATGACCTCATCTTAACTAATTGCATCTGCAAGAGCCCTATTTCCAAATGAGGTCACATTCTGAGGTACTGGAGGTTAGAACTTTAGAATATGAATTTGGAGAGCACACAATTCAACCCATAATACTCAGTGGGGATTGCATTGCCACCCTTTCTCTGAACCCCTGGTAAAAAGAAAAGAAAGAAATTGTGCTTGGGATGAAATGAAGGGTCAGAATGATTGGAAATCTCAAGCTCTTTCAGGCACTCCTGGGTGGTAGTTGATTGGGAGTCAGTGAAAAAGAAGAGCTCAGCTGGGCGCGGTGGCTCACACCTGTAATCCCAGCACTTTGGGAGGCCGAGGTGGGTAGATCACCTGGGGTCAGGAGTTCAAGACCAGCCTGGGCAGTGTGGTGAAACCCTGTCTCTACTAAAAATACAAAAATTAGCTGGGCGTGGTAGCGCGTGCCTGTAATCCCAGCTACTCGGGAGGCTGAGGTAGGAGAATTGCTTGAGCCCAGGAGACAGAGGTTGCAGTGAGCTGAGTTTGCACCACTGCACTCCAGCCTGGGTGACAGAGCGAGACTCCATCTCAAAAAAAAAAAAAGAAGAGCTCAAATATGTTATTAAATACAAATTAGCCAGTAGAGTTGTTGGATGATTACAAGACATCTGATAAAAAATCACATTTTCAGAAGACATTATTCTCTAAGTAAGTACCAAACGCTGGCACCGTATCTGGGCTTGTGGAAATAACGTATTTGATTTCAATGCTGGTCTAATCCAGAAGAATGTAACCTGCTTAACGTTCACTAGAATTTTTATCTGTGCTCTTCCTTTGACATCCATTTTTGTCACAGAATGTTATCCAGGGCACACTGGCCTAGAAGTAAATGTAGTATAGTATACTAACATTTATCAAGTGCTGATTTTGCACCAGGTACTTTTCTAAGAACTTTATCTGTGTATTTAATCCTCACAACAATTCTATTATTGCCATTTGGTAAATTAGGAGATTGAGGTACAGAGAGATTACACAGTTAGGAAGTGGCAGCATGAACAACAAAAGAAAAAATTAGATAAACTGGACTTCCTCAAAGTTAAAAACTTTTGTGCATCAAAGGACATTATCAAGAAAGTGAAAAGGAGACGTGTAGAATGGAAGAAAATATTTGCAAATCATATACCTGATAAGGGTCTAATATCCAGAATATATAAAGAACTCTTGTAGCCTAGCCTAACATGAAGAGGACTACCCAATTTTAAAAATGGGCAAAGGACCTGAATAGACATTTTCCCAAAGATACACAAATAGCCATCAAGCACCTGAAAAGGCACTCAACATCATTAGTCATTAGGGAAATGCAAAGCAAAACCTCAACCAGCTACCACTTAACACCCACTAGGATGGCAATAATCAAAAAAATAGTCAATTACAAGTGCTGGCGAGGATGTGGAGAAATTGGAACCGTTGTTCGTGGCTGATGGAAACATAAAATGGTGAATCCACTGTACAAAAGAGTTTGGTAGTACCTCAAAGAGTTAAACATAGAACTTTCATTTGACCCAGCAATTCCAGTCCTAGGTGTATACTCAAAAGAATTGAATACAGGTACTGAAATCCTTGTACATGAATGTTCACAGTAGCACTATTCAGAATAGCCAAAAGGTGGAAACAACCCAAATCTGCATCACTGGATGAGTGGATGAACAAATGGTGATTATATATATATCTATATATATCTATATATCTATATCTATCTATCCATATATCTATATATATCTATATAGATATACAATGGAATATTATTCAGTGATAAAAAGGAATGAAGTACTGACACATGCTGTGACATAGATAAATCACAAAAACTTTATGCTCAATGAAAGAAGCCCATCACAGAACAGCACATATATATTGTATGGTTTCATTTATATGAAGTATTTAGAATAGGAAAATCCATGGAAACAGAAAGCAGGTGAGTGGTCTCCTGGGGATGAAAGTAAAGGGAATGGGCACAACCGCTTAATGGGTACAGGGTTTTATTTGGCAGTGATTAAAAGGTCTTGGGATTAGATAGATGTGATTGTACAACTGAATTGTTCTGTTTTAAATGATTTATGTTATGTGAATTTCACCTCCATTGAGAAAAAACTTTATTCTACAAGCAATGGGACATAGTAAAAAGGTTTAAAAGCAGGAGAATGCCCCAAGTTCTTGTATTTGTAAAGTCATTTAGCTCCTTTGTGGAGAATGGACTCTTGGCAAGGGTGGAAAGACTAGGGACAAGGAGGCACTCAGGAGGCTACTACAACCATCCAAGTGAGAAAAGGGTGCCAAGAAGGGGATAGGGAGAAGGCATGGGAGGAAGAATCAACACGGTTAAGGGTTAGATGAAGGAGGAGTCAAAGATGTCTCAGGTTTTCAGGTGACAAACCAGCAGTGTACCCTTTTATTCAGTTAAAAAATACAAGAATAAGATTGGGTGGGAAGTTCATTTTTAGACTTAAGGTTGAGAGTCCTGTGACACATTCAAGTGGAGCTGCTAATTAGGAAGCTGGAAATACAGAGTCAAGAGCTGTTATCCTTCTGATGGCTAATGAAGCCACAGGAGAGGATGAGAGTGCTTAGGGAAAGAGTGTAGAATAAGAAGGAAAGACGGCTTACAACAGAGCCTCAAGGAGCTGCAAATTTTATGGCTAAGTAGAAAATGAGGAGGAGGCAGAGGAGATTAAGATGTGCCAAAAAATAGCAGAAGAACAGGAGAAGAAAATCAGGGGGTCAAAGGAAGAGAATGTTTTGAGAAGAATGAAGTTGGCAGTTATGTTGAATGCTTCTGAGAAGTGAAGTGTCCACTGGCGTTAGTAACATGGGAGTAATTGTCACCTTTGTATGGAAGGATGGGGAGGAAAGCCAGAGTCATTAAGTCAAAGAGTGGGAACTGTTATTTCTTCACCCTCTTGACTTCCAGGTCACTGCAGGGTTGTCTTAGATTCTGTCCTCTGACTTCTCACTGCTCATTCCTCATTCTTCATTTTTCCTCTGTGATGCACAATTTTTTGCTCCTTAGTTCAGCTAAAATCCAGGTCCTTATCTCATGACCGAGAAAAATTAGGCATGCAGACACATTGAAAAGTGAGGAGGGTGGAAAGGAAAACTCTCAACAAGAGGGGTCCTGCACTCAGGTTTTCCACCTCAAAAATTGAATACCAGGCCACCACGCACGAGTTGAAGAGACCCGGCTCCCGCCTGCATAAGGCACGAATTCCTGGTGGCTCCACCCCATTCTTTCAGTGCGCATACAGGCTCTTAGTCTGAGCCACTCCACGTTGATTTAGTTTCCTTACTGCGCGTGTGTTAAGGGATGAAATTTTCCACTGTGGGCATGTTTTTTTTTTTTTTTTATTCTATTTTATTTTTTTGAGACAGAGTCTTACTCTGCCACCCGGGCTGGAGTGCAATGGCACGATCTCGGCTCACTGCAACCTCCACCTCCAGATTCAAGCAATTCTCCTGCCTCAGCCTCCTGAATAGCTGGGATTACAGGTGCACACCACCACGACTGGCTAAGTTTTTGTATTTTAGTAGAGACAGGGTTTCACCATGTTGCCCAGGCTGGTCTCAAACTCCTGAACTCAGGCAATCCACCTGCCTCGGCCTCCCAAAGTGCTAGAATTACAGGTGTGAGCCACTGCACCTGGCCCACTGTGGGCATGTTAGGCAAGCCCCCTGTGCACAATGACCTGGATGGCATTTGGCTGTCTCCTGCCTCTATCATTCCCCACCTAAAGAAGTACATCTAACTGCTATTAGAATAAGGATAAATATAAGGATGAAGACTAATCTTAACTGCTTCCTGCTGACAGGATATGCTGTTTTGGGAAAATGGTAGTCAGATCTCCCTTGGAGACCTATCTAAGGGTCCTGGTAAAAGGGGCCATCATCCGAGTCTCCAGTTGCATGACCACTTGGAGTTTAATGGCCTGAAGGTGAGAAGAGATAAACCAGGTTATTAGAAGACATGTATCAAAACAAAACAAGAGGGCAAGGATGGCTCAAAAATCCTGAGGCTGCTGACATGCCCAGATAACTGGTGGCTACAGTTATGCTTGCTAAGATTTGGATGCACAGGGCTTGGCTTTGGTTAGCTCCCTTGCTCTTATTTTCTCAAAAAAGGAAACCTTCGGGTGATGGGCACCCTATTTACTCTTATCAACTGGAAGGATTTGTAGGATAGTTGCCCAGAACTAGAATATTGATCCAAGCACTTATCCTTCTTTAAGCCAATTAATTAGAGCTTTCTTATAGACATCACACACAACACATATATAACTAAACAGAGAAAGAAGATCTGATAGCTATAAGATTTTTTATTTGCCAATCTCCTAATTGGATTATTGCCCTCCAGGTGGGGCCCTTTAAGAGCAAGGCTAGGAAAGCATGCTGTTTCCAGGGCCCGACAAACAGGTATAGCTGGAAGACAAAAACAAATTTTGAGAGGGACCTATCTGTTTTTAATTCCTGGGGTTCCATGAGGAAAACAGAGGTTTCTCCCCAAATGGAATCTGTGGCACCTTTTCTGTTTTTCCCAAGGAGTCCTAGGCCATCAGAAATTATCTTAGGGTCTCTCATGCATGCATTAAGAGTGGCAACGCAAAATGGAGAAAAGTAATTCAGTTGACTTTTTCTAGCAAAACAAGATCCAAGAAGAGAAAAACATAAAGTCCTTTTAAATACACCTATAACTTGGATATCCACTTTTAATTAAGCTGAGTGCTCTTTAAGAAAGTCCTGGCTGGGCATGGTGGCTCAAACCTGTAATCCCAGCACTTTGGGAGGTGAAGGCAGGTGGATCACTTGAGGTCAGGAACTCAAGACCAGCCTGGCCAACATGGTGAAAGCCTGTCTCTACTAAAAATATAAAAATTAGGCTGGGCATGGTGGCTCACACCTGTAATCCCAGCACTTTGGGAGGCCAAGATGGCTGGATCACCTGAGGTCAGGAGTTCAAGGCCAGTTTGACTAATATGGTGAAACCTTGTCTCTACTAAAAATACAAAAATTAGCTGGACGTGGTGGCATGCACCTGTAGTCCCAGCTACTCGGGAGGCTGAGGCAGGAGAATTGCTCGAACCTGGGAGGTGGAGGTTGCAGTGAGCTGAGATCGCACCACTGTACTCCAGCCTGGGCCACAGAGTGAGACTCCATCTCAAAAAATAAATAAAATAAATAAATATATATACAAAAATTAGTCAGGTGTGATGGTGCGTGCCTGTAGTCCCAGCTACTCAGGAGGCTGAGACAGGAGACTTGCTTGAACCTGGGAGGCGGAGGTTGCAGTGAGCTGAGATTGGGCCACTGCACTCCAGCCTGGGTGACCAGGGCTGACATTCCTGACCCCTGAGAGTGTCAGGGTTGGGGGATAGGGTGCAGTTTCCTCTCCCTTAAGTCTGAGGACAAGAAGGCTCAGAAACAAAAGGGAAAGAGATTTTTGAGTCTGCATTTTACTCACCCTTTTTCAGGTCCCCATACAGGCACCAAAATAATGCAGGATATTTTGCTCCTTAGTTCAGCTAAAATCCAGCTAAAATCTTGTCTCACAACCAAGAAAAATTAGGCCTGTGGACTCATTGAAAAGTGAGGAGGTTGTAATTTATTAAGTGAAAAGAAAAACTGTCAACAAAAAGAGGGGTCCTGCACACAGGTTTTCCACCTCACAAAATTGAATACCAGGCCACCACACACGAGCTGAAGAGGCCCCCTCCTGCCCTCCATAAGGTGTGAATTCCTGGTGCCTCCACCCCATTCTTCCAGTGCACATGTGGGCCCTTACTCTGAGCCACTCCACATTGATTTATTTCCCTTACTGTGCATGTGTTAAGGAACGGAATTTCCTACTGTAGGCATGTTTAGGCAAGCTCCCTGTGCACAATGACCTGGACAGCATTTGGCTGTCTCCTGCCTCTATCACCTGGATGGCTTTCTCTATGTCTCTCCCTCTTCTTAACAGGTAACAGACCCTCCTCCCAGATTGTGCATAGAAGTTTGAGGCAAATTTGTCTCTGGTGCAAGGGCATGGTGGCCTAGGAAGCACATTCAATATTATTTTCCACTTTCTAGTACTAGGGCAAGGGCCACCATTCACACAAAGCCCTAGTAATCAATGGTGTGCTAGTAAGTGTTTAACAGCCAGCTCTCCAGGTAGAAAAAAAAGGGCCCTAATTTTCAGCATTTGCCAATATCTGTGGTGTAAATGCTGTCAACATGGCCAATTTCAAGCCACTGTAAGGTAACTGAACTTGGAGATAGGAAGCTACATGTGGAATCGGCTACTTAGAGCTGGTACATGCTGGCTCCAGCACACGGCTGCCTCTGCACCTACCTTCAAACTTCTGTCTGGAAACCACTTGTACTTTTTTCTTCAAATCTACTTCCTCCAGAATGTATCAACAGATTTGGCTTAAGAAGCATACTTGACACATAGGAGCTATTAAATTGTATTTGTTGAAAGACTGAAGGAATGTATGAAATCGTTTCATGCTCTACCAACTGTGTGTATATAGCATGAGCCGAATGGTACTCATTGAAGAAAATATAGTTTATTTGAAAGACACCCTGGACATAGAAAGTGCCCTGAACTTGAAGTCAGAAAACTTAGGTTTAAGACCTAGCTCTGTCACACATTATGAATCTCACTTAGGGTATGTCTGTTAATGGCTCTGGACTTTATTTGGATTGTCTGTAAAATGAGGCTACTAGGAATCTGCCAGAGGCTGCTGGCAAGATGGCCGAATGGAACAGCTCCGGTCTGCAGCTCCCAGCAAGACCAGCACAGAAGGCGGGTGATTTCTGCATTTCCAACTGAGGTACCCTGTTCATCTCACTGGGACTGGTTAGGCAGTGGGTGCAGCCCACGGAGGGTGAGCAGAAGCAGGGTGGGGTGTCACCTCACCCAAGAAGTGCAAGGAGTGGGAGAGCCTCTTCTTCCCAGCCAAGGGAAGCCATAAGGGACTGTGCTATCTGGCCCAGATACTATGCTTCTCCCACAGTTTTTGCAACCCACAGACCAGGAGATTCCCTCAGGTGCCTACACCACCAGGGCCCTGGGTTTCAAGGACAAAACTGGGTGGCTGTTTGGGCAGACACTGAGCTAGCTGCAGGAGTTTTTCTTTTCATACCCCAGTGGCGCCTGGAACCCCAGTGAGACAGAACCATTCACTCCCCTGGAAAAGGGGCTGAAACCGGGGATCCAAGTGGTCTCGCTCAGCAGTTCCCACTCCCACGCAGTCCAGCAAGCTAAGAACTACTGGCTTGAAATTCTCGCTGTCAGCACAGCAGTCTGAAGCCAATCTGGGATGATTGAGCTTGGTGGGGGGAAGGCATCAGCCATTACTGAGGCTTGAGTAGGCGGTTTTCCCCTGACCGTGCTAAAAAAGCCTGGAGGTTTGGAACGGGCAGAACTCAACACAGAGCGGCAAATTGGCTGTGGCCAGACTGCCTCCCTAGATTCCTCTTGCCTGGGCAGGGCATCTCTGAAAAAAAGGCAGCAGCCCTAGTCAGGGGCTTATAGATAAAACTCCCATCTCACTGGGACAGAGCATCTGGAGGAAGGGGCGGCTGTGGGCGTAGCTTCAGCAGATTTAAATGTTTCTGCCTGCCAGCTCTGAAAAGAGCAGCGGATCCTGACAAAGAGGGTTCTACCAGCGCAGTAGAGCTTGAGCTCTGCTAAGAGGCAGGCTGCCACCTCAAGAGGGTCCCTGATCCCCGTGACTCCTGACTGGGAGAGACATCCCAACAGGGGTTGACAGACACCTTATACAGGAGAGCTCCAGCAGGCATCAGGCCAGTGGCCCTCTGGGACAAAGATTCCAGAGGAAGTAGCAGGCAGCAATCAGAGGGTGCAGAGAAATAGGAACACTTTTACACTGTTGGTGGGAGTGTAAATTAGTTCAACCATTGTGGAAGACAGCATGGTGATTCCTCAAGGATATAGAACCAGAAATACCATTTGACCCAGCAATCCCATGACTGGGGTATATACCCAAAGGACTATAAATCATTCTGTTGTAAAGACACGTGCAAACGTATGTTTATTGCAGCACTTTTTACGATAGCAAAGACTTGGAACCAACCCAAATGCCCATCAATGATAGACTGTATAAAGAAAATGTGGCACATATACACCATGGAATACTATGCAGCCATAAAAAAGAATGAGTTCATGTTCTTTGCCGGGACATCGATGAAGCTGGAAACCATCATCCTCAGCAAACTAACACAGGAACAGAAAACCAAACACTGCATGTTCTTCCTCATAAGTGAGAGCTAAACAATGGGAACACATGGACACAGGGAGGGGAACAACACACACTGGGGCCTGTCGGGGGATGGGAGGCAAGGGGAGGGAGAGCATTAGGACAAATACCTAATGCATGCAGAGCTTAAAACCTAGATGACGAGTGATAGGTGCAGCAAACCACCGTGGCACATGTACACCTATGTAACAAACCTGCACGTTCAGCACATGTATCCCAGAACTTAAAGTAAAATACAAAATAAAAAAAAAAAGCTACAAGGATCTAGAACCAGAAATACCATTTGACCCAGCATTCCCATTACTGGGTATATACCCAAAGAATTATAAATCATTCTACTATAAAGACACATGCACACGTATGTTTATTGCAGCACTTTTTACAACAGCAAAGACTTGGAACCAAGCCAAATGCCCATCAATGAGGGACTCAATAAAGAAAATGTGGCACATATACATCATGGAATACTATGCAGCTATAAAAAAGAATGAGATCATGTCCTTTGCAGGGACATAGATGAAGCCATCATTCTCAGCAAACTAACACAGGAACAGAAAACCAAACACCGCATGTTATCACTCAAAGTGGGAGTTGAACAGTGAGAACATATGGACATAGAGAGGGGAACATCACACACTGGGTCCTGTGGGGGGATGGGGGGCAAGGTGAGGGAGGGCATTAGGACGAATACATAATGCACGCAGGGCTTAAAACCTAGATAACGGGTTGATGGGTGCAGCAAACCATCATGGCACATGTATACCTATGTAACAAACCTGCATGTTTTGTACATGTATCCTGGAACTTAAAGTAAAATAAACAATTAAAACCAAAACAAACAAATAAAAAAGAATGTGCCTGACATAACAGGAGTGTTGTGGGGATCACATGAAATTACACTGAGTAAAAATTCTATGGTGCTGTTTTATTGGGATCACTGGAATTGGATTGGAATTTCAAAACTGGAAGTTCCAATTCAGCAAAATTGGAAATTCAAAAAAGCTATGAACCTGTTTGTAAGAATATTCATCAAAAAGTAAAGTTCATAAATGTAAGTATAAATTCAGCGTAGTGAGCACAGGCACTGGGTCAGATGGAGGTGGATTTGAAAATAGTCTCCACCATGTATTTGCTCTGTGGCCTGAGAAAATCACATCAATAACATGGAGATAATAATACCTGTTTCAGAGGGTGATTGCAAGAATTACAATTAGATAGTATATCAAAGTAGGCTAGGCTATACTATGGTAACGAATAGTCCTTAAATCTCAGTGACTTCAAATAACAGGTTTATTGTTTATTTCCCACTCATAATACGTGTTTACTGTGGTCCCTGCAGACCAGCTTTGGTGGGAGAGGGATCTACTCTACACTGATCCAAGATACAAGTGGACAGAGCACCCACAATCTGGAACACAGCAACCTAGGGTAAGGGAAAGAGCCTTCTGGAGGGTCTGAATGGAAGTGATACATGTCATTTCCATTTAGATCTCAGTGGCCAGAACTAGTCATATGGCCCCACTAACCCTAAGTTGGCCCCCCTTGTGCCCAGAAGGCAGAGAGCCAGAAATATTGGGTGGACAGTATAATGCCTACCACAGATAGCACACATGATTACCTTTGGCACAAAATGCCCACTCAGATGTTCCTCCCACACACACAAACACAAATGTTATACACACACACACACACACACACACACACACACACACACCCTTTTTTTTTTTTTTTTGAAACAGTCTCATACTGTCACCCAGGCTGGAGAGCAGTGGCATGCTCACAGCTCCCTGCAGCCTTGATCTTCTGGGCTCAAGTGATCCTCCCACCTCAGTCTCCCTAGTAACTGGGACTACAGGTGTGTGCCACCATGTCCAGCTAATTTTTTTTTTTTTTGTATTTGTTGTAGAGATGGGGTTTCTCCTTGTTGCCCAGGCTGGTCTCAAACTCCCGGGCTCAAGTGACCCACCTACCTTGGCCTCCCAAAGTGCTGGGATTACAGGCGTGAGCCACTGTCCCCAGGCTTTCCTCCCTTTCTATGGAGGAATAAGATGAATTTAAGCAGTATGCTTGAAATTTATTTGATCAGCATATACTGAGTAACTACTTAAAGTTTCCCTTTGAAATTTTGTAAATGTGAAAGAGGGAGTTTTAAAATGGGCCCTAGAATTTATTTAAAAGAAGAAATATATTTCATTTAACAAAATGCTCAGAAAGCCATTTTATTGTGGAAAAATACTGCCATGCCTCGTTGGCTGTGCTAAGAGAAGACATTGAGCAAAATTATTGTACATATTAAAGGGAAAAGAATTTCAAGTTTCTTAAGGCAGCCTGGGAAGCTTTCTAGAATAGAGACTGAAACATTCAATTTTAAATAATCTGCCGTGGTACATGGCAATGTAACGCCTCCCCTAAATCTTCAACAAAAACCTGCTATGCTTTGGGTGAGCAGTGTTTGTTGCAGGGAAATTAAGGCAAAGTAGTGTTTGTTGGGTTAATTCAGGACAAGAAGCAGAGAAAGCTTCCAGCAAGATAAAAAATCTTGCAGAAAACTATTGTGAACAGCATATACCCCTGGGAATCCTCAGTTATTCTGTGGGGAAATGCTGAGTTTCCAAGCCCAGCATATGAAATATTTCCATTTAAATGTTAAAGGAAAAAGTGACACAACTAAACTAAAGGAAACGGGGCTCTCTAGGCTGCTAAGTTTTAAATAACTAGTATAGCCCTCCGATATTTGTGGGTTACTTTGTAGTTGGTTAGCATTTAAAAAATCATAGTTGAAACTGATTTCTTTGAGAAATGCTAGCCTCTTATTAAGCAAGTTCAGTATATAAAGTATTGAAATGAGTTCCCTGCAGAGACGTTGCTATTATAATACAGCAAGTCAGGCATCCATTTCCCTGTGCGGCTGAGACAGGAGCTGCTCCAGCCTTTCTTCCCGAGCATCCCTCTGTTCTCCTGATGAAGTCACTCCGTAACCCACAGCCCTCCAGGGCAGCTAAGCCAGCAATAAGAAAGGAGGTTAATTTACCTCTACCTGCCTCCTCCCAAAGAGAAAATCACATTTTTGAAATCCACATGAAACTTAGGGTCATAATAAGCTTATGTGTGAAGAATGTAGGTGGTTTGCGTTGTTTGTAGAACAAAACTAGGCTCTGCGAAGAGGTTGCAGTGAAATAAACATTTTATGGAGCCCTTCCTGCAGTGTTTTTTTTTTTGTTTGCTTTTTGGAGGTGGGGCCTACTAAAAATTTCTGTAACATGTCTGCTTTTAAAAACATTTGCCCATCTTTACCCATGAAGTATTGAGAGCGCTTATTGAGGGTTAAAGTGCTTATTAGTGGGAGTTGACCTCATGGCTGCATGGCCAGAGAAGCCCTGCAGTGGGAAGGGGCTGCCCTTGTCTTCCTGTCAGATCTTGAAGGCCTGGCCAGAGCATGTTACCCTCTTTAGGCATTTTTCTTTTTACTTTCAATAAGGGGTCAGGCTTTTAAAAACATTCTATGTCATCCTTAAGGAAAAAATAAAAACAAATTATTGTGAATGGCCAAGAAAGTCTATCAGGAAGGAAATAAAGTGGAGAGAAAAACAACCACAGGCTCTTTCACCAACTCTTGGAGAAGCAGGAAACATGGCAACATCAGGGCGAATTTTTACTCATCCTTGACCTCTGTCTGGAGAGGGGCAGTGACTCTACCTCCCACCCAGGACAGGATGCTGTGGTCGTGAGGAGGGCACCTCTGGGCACAGCACCTACCTGGGGCTATGCATTCCTTCTGACCCAGCCTCTCTGGCACCTGGGAGTGACTTGTGGAAAACAGGATGTCTGTTAGTCTACTCACTAAATGCTAGATCTTGAGCAAGGTCTGTAACCCCCAGGGGCTTCAGTTTCCTCAGCTGTAAGATGGGGCTGAGAAAAAGAGCTCGTAATCCCTTACCCAAGACCCTTGGGCCAAACGTGTCTCAGAATTCAGGATTTTCAGATCTGAGAAAGGTAAGAAGCTGCCCAGAAGTATCTATTTTATGTACTACACAGAAAAGAAAAGAATTTCACATTTCTTGAGGCAGCCTGGGAAACTTCCTAGAATAGAGAAAGTGGTGTCTGGAGCAGTACCTGCAATCGAATACACTGAGAGACACCGAAGGACCAAGAAGTTTCCACTGAGGCTGTGGCATGTCCTCGTCCTCCACAGCTGTTCTTCCACCCACTCTAACACGTGACCTTAGCCCCTAACTGCTCCTCCTCATCCCTCTTAATGAAATCCAAATTGCCTGAACAATGGTGGCTGATGTGCAAGAATTCCTCTCTCTTCTAAAATCCATCCCTCACCTACTATTCCTGAACTTCCTGAATTAAGGCTGACCCCCCTGCTAAGGCCCTATAACAGCAATAAAAACAACAACAACAAACAACAAACCCAAAAACCCTCCCTCCTCCCCCAAGGTATTTGAGAACACTCCTTTCAGGGACTGCTTCTGCCTGGCAGTCTGGATTAAAGTCTACGGTCATGGTGTTCCGGTTGCTTTTCCTCCACAACATTCATAGTTCTGCAGTGAAACATAGGAACACCTGCGGAGCACAGGATGGATAAAAAACATGAAGAGTCTCACCGAGGGAAGGTGTGCTGGCAAATGACTGTTTTCAGAGCTTTTTGAATTTTGGAAATGAGGATGTGAAATTGAGGACCTGTGGTATTATGTCGTAGAGTTGATGTGAAAATGAAGTGAGATAGTACATGAAAGTATTTGGAATAGTACTGGGCACACAGAGCTTGATAAATATTTGCCATGGTGATTATGCTGAGAGTTTTATGTAACCAAGGAGCTGTCACATTGGGGTTCAGACTCACAGGTGCACAGAGGGACCACAGCTTAGGACAACACCATGGGAGAGGGTATCCTCTCATCCCTGCACCCTGAAAAACTTTGCAATGGCAAGTTTCCAGCCATACCTGCATCTGGCTCTAGGCTGCCTGTTTCTGGAAGAGATCCTGTGCATCCTCAACAGCTCCACATACAGGCTCTGAATGCAGCCTCTCTGCAGAAGACTCCAGTTTCCCAGTTATCAAATGATTTATTTTTGTACAAGGCAATCGTAACTGACCCCATGGCTTGAAGAGCAGCCCAGAATTCTTGGGCTTCTTACTGGGGCACATAGATAGAAAGAATATATTCTTTTGATAGAAGTAAAAGAATGTAGAGTGATATCATCTTAAATTGTACTTCAAGTTATAGAAACTATGGAAGGAAACATAGCTAAAAACATTTAAAACAAGCTTGTGCAACCTGTGGCCTGTGGGCTGCATGCAGCCCAACACAAATTCGTAAACTTTCTTAAAACATTATGAGAATTTTTTGCGATTTTTTTTTTTAGCTCATCAGCTATCATTAGTATTAGTGTATTTTACAAGCGGCCCAAGACAATTTTTCTTCCAATGCAGCCTAGGGAAGCCAAAAAAGTGGACACCCCGATTTAAAACATGGCTCATAATTTAATCATCCACATATTAATTCATTTAACAATCAGTGCCTGTGCACCTGTGTGGCCCAGGCACTGTTCTATGCCCAGGGGATTCCGAGCTGAACAAAACAGACAAGTTTCTCCTCCCATGGAGTTTCCATCCTAGTGAAGACGGTGGACAAATAACTAAGTAATATAATGATTAATCGTGGTGGGTGCTAGGAAAAAAACAAAACTGGGTAATGGAGCTGGGAGTGTCTGGAAGTGGGTATTTTGGATGGGGTAAGTCAGGGAAGGTCTCTATGAAATTATCTTCAACAGTTGAGAAGGGGTTTGGAAAGAAGCTGGCTCATGAAGAGCTCAGAGAAGAAAGTTCTTAGCAGAAAGAGGAACAAGTGTAAAGCCCCTGAGGCAGAAGGGATTGGAGATGTTTGGGGAGCAGCCAGGAGAGGCATGTGGCTGGAGCTGGGGACTGAGAACAGGAGGTGTGGTTGGAGAGGTATGCAGAGGCCCGCTCTACCAGGTCAGACCCTGCAGGCCATGCCAAGCAGTGTAGCTAGTAAGTGTAAGGAGTAGCCACTGGAGGGTTTAAGCAAAGACATGATGCAATCTCGTTTATCATTGCTTGAGGAGCAGGAGAATTGTTTTCTATAGTGCCTTCTGGTCTTTTATTTTTCACACACCCTTCATGGAATTTGCTAGGCATAGCTTTTAAAGGGCTCTGAATTCATTCTTGTGACTGTATCTGGTATTCTAGTGGTCATCTAGGTCACTAACAGTGCCTTGGGTCACCACCTCCAAAATTAAGCCATCCCCACATGTAAAAACCTGTGACTATCAGTCTTAATGCATATGATGTTGTGTGACTTTTTCTACTGTACAAAAAACCCCTTCCATTAAATATAAATGCACATTAAATATTTAGCAAACACTTGTTTAAGGAATGATGCATGTGGAACAAGAAGTAAATGGCATAAGCTCCCAATATACAAGCCACATATTATCGTGACAATTCAACCTTACCTGTCATTATTAAGCTTTCATTTTCCTTCTTGCTTTTAGGAAAAACAGCCCCAGCATTCCCTATCTCCTGACGCCTCCCTGCATCACACATCCACATTTTAGGTAGAAGGAGACTTTCACACCCAGCTCAAGACTCTCGGAGGTTGTAGACAAGCAACAAGGAGAATGTAAGGGCCAGCCAGTCTGGATTCAGTCCAGCAGCTGCCCAGTTGAGACCTGGACCAAAGCCAACTTCTCACTCACCTCCAGCATAGTCACTATCTATCTAGCTGATGATTTCTCCTTCCTTTCAATGAAAGCTTTAAGTGGCTTCTGTTTGCCTGGGAGACAAAGTGAGTCACATTCACAGTAGCTCTTTATATTGATGACCCTTGTCTCCACTCATGATGGTGGGGCCTCTACTTCTCCTCCAAGTCGCTCCTATCACCAGAGGCGTCTCACTTATGAGCTCAACCTCCTTTGCCTGCTCGGGCCACCTCTGCCTGCACAGCTGCATCAGGGCCCTTCTTCTGTTGTCACAGCCTTCAGATGAGCCACTTTCATGGGGAACTGTTGCACCGGATACTGCAGCTCTGCACTGGCCTACAACCACCGGGCATCATCGAAACTGGACCTCCACTATTGCCAAACATTACTGCCAACATATGCACTTTCAGTTCATGTTGTTGAGGTTTTTTTTAGCCCCTCCTTCCCCTATCCATCATGTTCCACTTCTAGACTAAGGCATGAGACCAGGGGAGGTTATAAAGCTGGACTGGAGGATAAATATAAGTTGTAGGTGTTCTTCCATCTTCTTTGTTACCCCCTCCTCTCTGAATACTGGAGTAGTATAACAGCACCAATCCCATATGCTTGCCTTCCTCACCCCCTGGTATCATGTCCTGTGTTAATCTCCTCTCCTTGAATGACGGAATGTCATTCTGAGATTATGAAAAAATTGTAAGACTCCAGTGGAGCCCTGAGATGACTGCGGCTCCTGTCAACAGCTTGACTGCGACTGTCATGACAGACCTTAAGCCAGAACTACTTAGTCAACCCACACCTCAATTCCTGACCCAAAGAAATAATGGAATAATACATATTCATTATTTAAGTCACTAAGTTTAGGGATAATTTGTTAAGGAGCAACACAAACATAGACACATAAAAGTATAAAAATCAAGTGTAGAGCTCAATGATTGTTTCATAAGGTGAGCACACCTCTGTAAGCACTGCCCAGCTCCAGAAACGAACATTGCCAACAGCCTCGAAGCTCCCCTCATGCTCTCTTCCAGTCATTATCTCCCAAAAGGAACTGTTGTTTTCATATTTAGACCTTAGAATTATTTGTCTACTTTTGAATTTTATATAAGCAGAATCATACATGTGTTTTGTGGCTGGCTTCTCTTGCTCAAGATCATCTTTATGTGATTCATCCATGTTGCTTCATGTAGCAGCACTCATTGCTGAACTATTCCACTGTGGGAATAAACCACAGTTTATTTTCCATCCCACTGTCAATGGACATTTGGGGGCTATTACAAGTAATGCTGCTATGAACATTCTTGTACACATCTTTTGGTCAACATATGTCAGTATTTCAGGCTGGCTATGGTGGCTCAGGCCTGTAATCCCAGCACTTTGGGAGGCCAAGGTGGGTGGATCACTTGAGTCTAGGAGTTCAAGACCACCTGGGCAACATGGCGAAACCTTGTATCTACCAAAAAATACAGAAAATTAGCCAGGAAGGATGGTGTGCATCTGTAGTCCCAGCTACCTGGGAGGCTGAGGTGGAAGAATCACCTGAGCCAGGGAAGTCGAGGCTGCAGTGAGCTGAGATCGTGCCACTGCGCTCCAGCCTGGGCAACCAGAGTGAGACCCTGTCTCAAAAACAAACAAAACAAAACAAAAAATATATACAAGTATTTCAGCTGGGTATATACTGGGGAGTGGAATTTCTGGGCCATATGTTTAATAGACACTGCTGGCCGGGCACGGTGGCTCATACCTGTAATCCCAGCACTTTGGGAAGCTGAGGCGGGGGGATCATGAGGTCAGGAGATTGAGACCATCTTGGCCAACATGGTGAAACCCCATCTCTACTAAAAATATAAAAAATTAGCTGGATGTGGTGGTGTGTGCCTGTAATCCCAGCTACTCGGGAGGCTGAGGCAGGAGAATTGCTTGAACCAGGGAGTCGGAGGTTGCAGTGAGCTGAGATCACGCCACTGCACTCCAGCCTGGTGACAGAGTGAGACTCCATCTCAAAAAAAATAGATACTGCCAATCAGTTTCCAACCTGGCTGCAGCAGTTCACATTTCCACCAGCGGTATGTGAAAGTCCCCACTGTTTCACATTCTCACCAACACTTGGATTTTAGCTATTCCGGTGGGTATGTAGTCACATCACATTGCGATTTTAATCTGCATCTCATGAGTCATTATGCCATTGCCCCACTTCCGATGGACCATATACACTCCAGAACTCCTTAGGAAGAGGGGCTTTGTCAGGCCTGCACTGCAGGTTCGCTTCTCTCTCTGCCCAATCCTGCTGCCACCCTTTTTTTCCCCCACAGATATTGATCCTTAATAAGTACAGATGCTCCTCAACTTACGAGGGGGCTATGTCCCAACAAGACCATCGTAAGCTTGAAATACTATAAGTCAAAATGCATTTAACTTAAACTTGCCTACCTTAAACGTGCTCAGAACACTTACATTAGTCTACAGTCGGGCAAAACCATCTAACACAAAGCCAATACTATAATAAAGGATTGAATATCTCATGTAATTTATTGAATACTGTACTGAAAGTGAAAACAGAATTGTTGTGTGGGTGATCAAAGTATGGTTTCTACTGAATGCCCATCACTTTTGCATCATCTTAAAGTCAAGCAATCATTAAGTCGAAGTATTGTTAAGTCAGGGACCATCTGTGCTCTGCAGGCCAAACTCTGTCAGTGTCTGCTTCTGAGGAATCCAATCTGTAACAATTTGCCTATTCCTACCATAGTTCCTACAGCTGCCTCAATTACTGTCATGTACAGTGTGTTTTAACCTATGAGCTTTTGTCAATGAACACATATATATTTGTTTTTCATGACACTGTAAGGTAGCAAAAATCAATCTAAATCCTATAAATGGTATTGTTATATGTTTGTTAAAATTATGCTTTAAAGCTTTAAGTTATACTGTTACATACACATTTCTTGGAGAGATTACAGTATGATTGATATTTATAGGGCAATTTCCCCCTTACTGCTTTTCTTTTGCAAAAATATCTTAGTTACCCACATGGATTACAATTCCAAATAAATTCCAAAATGAGTTCATCAGTTTCCCTTAAAAAATTCTGTGGAGATTTTGGTTGGAAGTCACTGAATTAATAGGATAACTTGGGGAGAACAGATATCTTCATAAAATTATATTTCTTTCTTTCTTTCTTTTTCTTTCTTTCTTTCTTTCTTTCTTTCTTTCTTTCTTTCTTTCTTTCTTCCTTCCTTCCTTCCTTTCTCTTTCTTTCTCTTTTTCTGTCTTTCTTTCTTTCTTTCTTTCTTTGTTTCTTTTTCTTTCTTTCTTCCTTTCTTTTTCTTTTTTGTTGAGACAAGGTCTAACTCTGTCACCTAGGCTGGAGTACAGTGGTACAATCTTGGCTCACTGCAACCTCCGCCTTCTGAGCTCAAGGGATCCTCCCACCTCAGCCTCCCCAGTAGCTGATACTACAGGCATGCACCACCATGCCCAGCTAATTTTTTTTTGTATTTTTTGGTAGAGACGGGATTTCACCATTTTGTCTAGGCTGGTCTTGAACCCCTGAGCTCAAGTGATACACCTGCCTTGGCCTCCCAGTGCTGGGATTACAGGCATGAGCCATCATGCCTGAATTGATCTTTCTAACATATGAATTTTCTATGGCTTCCCAAAATCAAAATCTCTTCTTGGCATGATATATTTCCCCTACCCAGCTGAACATGCTCATCTGCCTGCATTGGTTCTTCACATTCTTTTCAACTTAAAATGGCTTTTTCTGACACATCATGTCTTCTTGCCTCTGTACCTACTATTTCCTCTGTGTAAAACTCTTCCTCTCCTTCTCTCTAGTCCCACCTTCTCACTGTCTGCCACGCTTCTATTTGTTCTTCAAGTTTCAACTCAAGAATTACCTCTGATATGAACCTTCCCTCGAGACAGGCCTATGCTCCTTCTTCCCTGGCGCCTTTGCCTGTGGATAGCCCTCCACGTTGCACTAATGACATCGAATTATACTTTGTCTCTTTGCTTATTTGTGAATTAATTAAGCAGAAATTTTTCTTAAAATTAAGGACAATGTCTATTAATAATTTTAATTCTCATCACCCATCACAGCACCCAGGGCTTGTTTGGCACTCAATGCATACTTGTTAAATGCATACATCTAATGTACAAATGCATAAGTAGTGGAATTATGGGCATCTGGCAGGCAAAGAGGACAGATATTTTGTTACAGGCACTCTTTCATTTGTGCTTTTAAAATTACTATGATGATGATGTGAAAGGCTGGCCTTATTTTAGTGCAAATTCTAATCTAATTATTTTCTTCTGACTCGCAGGTAACTTTCTTCTCCTGTTTAATATTGCTGATATATTGATACACCATGGAATAATATGTAGCCATAAAAAAGAATGAGTTCACGTCCTTTGCAGCAGGAAGCCATCATTCTCAGCAAACTAACACAGGACAGAAAACCAAACACTGCATGTTATCACTCGTAAGTAGGAGTTGAACAATGAGAACACATGGACACAGGGAGGGGAACATCACACACCAAAGTCTGTTGCGGGTTGGGGGTAAAGGGGAGGGAGAGCGTAAAACAAATACCTAATGCATGTGGAGCTTAAAACCTAGATGGCAGGTTGATAGGTGCAGCAAACCACCATGGCCCATGTATACCTATGTAACAAACCTGCACATTCGGCATATGTATCCCGGAACTTAAAGTAAAATTAAAAAAATAAATTTTACAGATATATTGAAATACTGGGATGACTACTCTTCTAAAGCTTAGTTAATGTGTTTTTGATTAAACAAATGCAATCCAAAAGATACATATTAACATGTCTTTCTATGTAGCAAGCACTATTAGGCATTTGGAAAACATGTCCTCTAGATTGAAAGGAGTCAAGAATTGTTCCCCAAATGTCTGGAAAATAATTGTTATCCAAATGTAAACGTGCATGAAAGAGAAACATGTAAAACTCAAGGCAGTCAGCAAAAGGGCAGGTTTTCATTGCTACCTTTTAAATTCGGAACATTTGACTAAAGTGAAGGGATGTGAGAAGAACCATGGGGAAAGGCTATCTGCTTAATGAAAAATAATAGGCATCGGCATTTTCTCCCTCAAAGCTGGGGTGGGCTATGAAAGTACTTCCTCAATAGCTGCCTGGGGACTTTCAAGACATTTTATAAAGTTATTTTTTTCAAGAGGCTTTTTTTTTTTCCTGCAGAGGCCACAGTGAAAAGTGTGAAAAATCTATAGAGAAATTAAATGAAGCAATCTACAGATTTTTAGAGTAGAAAGTGGGAACAGAAATAGTGGGAAAAGGCCTGGTATGGTGGCTCACACCTGTAATCCCAGCAGTTCAGGAGGCCGAGACGGGCGGATCACCTGAGTTCGAGTTCGAGACCAGCCTGGCCAATATAGTGAAACCCCATCTCTACTGAAAATACAAAAATCAGCTGGGCGTGGTGGCATGCCTGTAATCCCAGCTACTTGGGAGGCTGAGGCAGGAGAATCACTTGAACCCAGGAGGTGGAGGTTGCAGTGAGCCAAGATTGCACCACTGCACTCCAGCCTGGGTGACAAAGCAAGGCTCCGTCTCAAAAAAAAAAAAAAGAAATAGTGAGAAAAAAGCTAACAATTACTAACACATAGCTAACAACTACTGAGCATCTATTCTGTTCCAGGCACTATAATGGATATTTTAAATGCATTCTCTCATTTAATCCCCATAAAAATCCAGTGAAGGAGGAGCTATGATTTTAATGACAGGGAAATTGTGGTTCAGTATCATCCTATGTAAGCTCATGCTTAAGTGGCTAACTCCAGAGCTAACTCTCTTCACTGTTTCACTAGCTATCTACTATTTGAAGCATGCATACCACAAAAGAGAAGTTTTCTATTCTTTAAAGACTAAAGCCTGAGCTATGGCAGACAGCCTGAGAACCCTCTGCCCTTGGTGTGACTGTTCTGATACAATTCTTTTGTCAATAACATGTAATGGGTACCTGCTAGATGCCTGGATCTGTGCTCGGTGCTGGGAGACGGAAAGGACAAAGCCACTGCTTCTAACCTAGAAGGAACCGGTGGTGACCTAGACAAATAAGCAAGGGCAACACCATGTAAAAGAAGGAGTTTGCAGGGTGGGTTCTTCATAAGGATCAAACCTAGACATAAGGAAAAGATAACTATTCCACAGTGGGCCTGTGGGGATGGGGACCAGTGTAGGTTGTTCACATAAAAACATAAAGTCAGGATGAGAAGCAGCAGGATCTGGGATGATTATTTCAGCCACTCCTGGCTAAGGGCTTCCCCTAATATCCCAATGAGGAGGATTTGCTAAACAAAAGCTGGAGCGCCTGGTTGTTAGCTTATGCTGATTTACTCATCCTCACTTTTTAATCATTTTATACAGCTCTATGTGCAAAGAATTTTGCCAGATATTATTCACTGTCAGGTAGTCTTTCAATAAATATTTATGTAGTGCCCACTCTGAGCATTGGGAATACGAAGGCGGACAGGATAGACAACATTCCTGCTCTCCCGGAGCTCGCGTTCTACCAGTGGAGACAATAAACACGTAGCTAAAAAAATAAATACTGTTATTATAGTATTTATTTTTGTTGTGATGAATTAATGATTGCTATGAAAGAAATAGAGTTGGCTGAGGGAGAGTAACTGGGGAAGGCCTCTCGGAAAGAGTGCTCTAGGAGTCACTGCTGAGGAGTGACATCTAAGTGGAGGTCCCAATGGGAGTGAGGTAGCCATGCCAGCAGCTGAGGGAAGAGCATTTTGAGCATAGGGAACAGCAAACACAAAGATAGATACTGAGGTGGCGTGCTTAAAGCCAGAGGGTTTGTAGACCTCATTCTCCTGCTCTGATGCCTGAGACCAAGCTCTAGGCACCTGTTTTGTAATGGAGCTGTAATAGGGTCTATTGCTATTTTGTATGCCAGCAATAAATGATGTAGCAATAAATAAATTTTTTTCATCTTTTTGCAAAAAAATTCACATTGTGAAACTTACAAAAGGCTCATACTTTGCATGTTAATAG
Source organism: Homo sapiens (assembly GCF_000001405.40). Lineage (NCBI taxonomy): Eukaryota > Metazoa > Chordata > Mammalia > Primates > Hominidae > Homo > Homo sapiens. The sequence goes on along the minus strand of NC_000001.11, from coordinate 167,557,046 downwards.
AAAAATAAGGCCAGGCACAGTGGCTCATGCCTATAATCCCAGCACTTTGGGAGAATGAGGTGGGAGGACCAATTGAGGCCAGAAGTTCAAGACCAGCCTGGGCAGCATATGAGACCCCATCTCTACAAAAAATTAAAAATTAGCCAGGTGTGGTGGCATACACCTTTAGTCCCAGCTACATGGGAGTCTGAGGTGGGAGGATCACTTGAGGGAGGATCACTTGAGCCCAGGATTTTGAGGCTCACAGCTCGTGAGCCACCACTGCAGTGTAGCCTGGATGACAGAGCAAGACCTTGTTTCAAAAAAAAAAAAAGAGAAAAAGAAAAACAAACAACCACAAAGAAAAAGAAGATATAGGGCTGGAAGAGGCATCAGATATTAATATCATCTAATCCAACTCCTCATTTTAGATGAGAAAATTGAGGCCCAAAGGTAAGATAAAATCCCATGGTCACATGGCACGATAGTGGCAGACCTGAGATTAGAACTCCAAATGTGAGAGTATTCTTTCCTTAACAGGTAAGGGATGAAATGTTTATAACCGGCAGGTACTCAAACTATTTGTATTAATCATTTGTTTTTAAAATGATGAACCCAATTTTCCTCCTTTTGAATTTCTCCCACTTAGTTTTCCATCTATTTTGAAGTTCTTCCAAATTCAGTTGTTATAAAGCAAACCAACTTTGATTAAGGATCCTTCTTACCCCAATGTCGAAATCAGGGTGTGTGACATCATTTGGCCACCAGAGGGCACTGAAGTCTCCTGTTCAGAGTAGATGATCTTGCTTCTTCTGATACACAATTCCTACTGTGTAGCCTGAGAAGTTGGCTGAATATTAGGAGGCTGGTTTTGAGAAGGGAAGTAGCGGTGGGACTTTGGCTCACACACCTGTTGCCCACGGCTGCTCACATGACTGGCCAACAGCAGCTGAGTGAAATTACCTCACCTCTGTTACACAACTCAGCCTCACAGGGCCAGGTGTCTGCCAGAGCCAGCTTTACAAGATGACAAACTCTTGCACTAACACCACCATACAGTCTTTATAACAACAATTACAGTGGAAATTTGAGGCCAGGCCAAAAAGATTAAGACTTGCTCCAAAAAGACGTGACCAAAGCTTAAAGTCATAAAGAATGGAGGCCAGGTGCTATGAGCTTATTGACCAGTTTCCAGAATAGCAGAATCAGGAGCACCCGTGAGAGAATGAGACAGGCCATCTTAGAAGAAGCAAAAGGAATGTCCCTTACATGGAGCAGGGAAGGGCAGCGGGGGCAATAAATTCATGAAACCGCCGACCCCAAGCTTAATGTCTTAACAGGTCCTGAACTGGTAAGTTCAAATTTGTACATGGGATATTGATAGTAGACTAACAATCCCTTTGTGCGTCTATATGAGGGACTCCTGGGCCAGTAGTTTAAAAGGTCTTGACGGGCAATAACAAATGTTGGTGAGGATGTGGGGAAAAGGAAACCCTTGTACACTGTTGGTGGGAATGTAAATTAGAATAACCGCTTTGGAAAAAAATTTGGAGTTCCTCAAAAAATTAAAAATAGAGGTACCATATGATCCAGCAATCCCACAGCTAGGTATATCCCTAAAAGAAAGAAAATCAGTATATTGAGAGATGTCTGCACTCCTGTGTTTACTGCAGCACTATTCACAACAGCTAAGATTTGGAAGCAACCTAAGTGTCCATCATCAGATGAATGGATAAAGAAAATGTGGTATATATACACAATGGAGTACTATTCAGCCATAAAAAATGAATGGGATCCTGTCTGTCTTTGCAACAACATAGTTGGAACTGGAGGTTATTACGTGAAGTGAAATAAGCCAGGCACAGAAAGACAAACTTCACACATCCTCACTTATTTGTGGGAGCCTAAATGGAAACAATTGAACTCATGGAGACAGAGAGTAGAGGGATGGTTACCAGAGGCCAGGAAGGGTAGTGGGGGGACTTGCAGGGGAGGAGTGGGGATGGTTAATGGGTACAAAAAATAGTTAGAATAAGACCTAGTATTTCATAGCACAACAGGGTGACTATAGCCAATAATAATTTAAGTGTACATTTAAAATAACTAAAAGTATAATTGGATTGTTTGTAACACAAAGGATAAATGCTTGAGGCAATGGATACCCCATTTACCCTGATATGACTATTATGCATTGTATGCCTGTAGCAAAATATCTCATGTACCCCATAAATGTATACACCTACTATGTACCCACAAAAATTAAAAATTTTAAAATAAGTAAATAAAAAGTTTTTTAAAGGTCTTGAACTTTCGGGCTTCTGCCTAACTTTACTACTAGTGTAAGTGGGCCCCTTGAGATTTCAGCACCCCAGCATTTGTTAGTGACTGAAATAATGAAAATTCTGATCAGGCCCTTGCTTGCACATGTTGACAACTCTCTTTTTGCCCAATATCCCTTGTTCCTACAACATAATCATAAACTGCTGATGTACTGTTTCTTTATCAAGCAGGAGGAGATAATAACTTCAGGGTTACGAAAAAGTTTGCAGGAGGAATAAGTCCTTTGAAGTACTTTGAGGCCAGCTTCTGTCGCCCAGAAGTCTGATTGTTCAAGGAATTATCTGAGACTGAAGAAACACAGACTTTTTCCCTCGATTCCCTGAAACTCCCCCTCCCTGACTCGCTGGCCGCATAAACACTCTCTGCTTCTTCTTTTTGTTAGGGCGGATTTGAGAGATCTTGCCCTCCCGCCTTCTCGCTTTGGCCAAATCGAATAAACTTTTATCTCCAAGCACCTATATGTCAGTGTTTGGCATCAGCTACACATGGGGTACACGAGCCTGAGTCTGGGCTTCTACAACGCTGGGACCCTCGCTGTTCTTTGGAGCTGATGGTAAATTCAACAGAAAAGAGGCGCATGGGTAGAAAATGCAGCATTTCCTCTCAGATGCCAGATATTCATCTCCAAAGGTATTAAAAGGAGGGGGTGTGTGCCTGTGTAAAGAGGCTGGTCTTTTCCTAGCAGTACGATTTGGGCAAGTTGCTTGATTTCTTCAAGCCTTTCTTTTTCCGCCTGTCAAACAAAACAAAACAAATATCCCGTTTAGGACAAATTCACAATCCTTAAAGAGGGCAGGCAGAGCGATTGGAATGCAGATGAACCAATCCCTTCTCCTGCAGGTTGCGGAGCTGCAGAGGGACCCCGCCCCCTGCATTGTGCTTAGCTCTGATTGGCGCCTCGCGGAGGGGGCGGGGCCTGGGCGCGCCGAGCTCCGGCTGGGTCCCTGCAGGTCTTGGGGCCCGGGACTCTTCCTGGAGACACCGCCATGGCCGGGCTATCCCGCGGGTCCGCGCGCGCACTGCTCGCCGCCCTGCTGGCGTCGACGCTGTTGGCGCTGCTCGTGTCGCCCGCGCGGGGTCGCGGCGGCCGGGACCACGGGGACTGGGACGAGGCCTCCCGGCTGCCGCCGCTACCACCCCGCGAGGACGCGGCGCGCGTGGCCCGCTTCGTGACGCACGTCTCCGACTGGGGCGCTCTGGCCACCATCTCCACGCTGGAGGCGGTGCGCGGCCGGCCCTTCGCCGACGTCCTCTCGCTCAGCGACGGGCCCCCGGGCGCGGGCAGCGGCGTGCCCTATTTCTACCTGAGCCCGCTGCAGCTCTCCGTGAGCAACCTGCAGGTGAGCTGGGGCCCGCGGCTTCCCCAGGCGGGCTGTGGGCGGGGCGGCCACAGAGCGAGCCTTCACTCTCCCCAGAATTCTTCCCGGGAAGTGGAGCGTGGCTCGAACGGCTGTTGCTTCTCTGCCGCGCAGGCAGGTAGGTGGGCGTTGCAGCGTCCCAGATGTTGGGCAGCTGGGTACCAGGAATTTCCCACAAGCCTCCGCCACTGGGCCACGCACCTGGGGTAAATTCTCTGCCAGCAGCCCGAGGACTTCTCATCCGTGAGTGGTTCTCAGTCGTCTTGGGGCCCAGTGTCTCTATTAACTGTGCTCCTATTCTCTTTTTTTTTTTTTTTCCCTTTGAGACAGAATCTCACTTTGTGGCCCAGGCTGGAGTGCAGTGGCGCTATCTCAGCTTACTGCAACCTCTGCCTCCCAGGTTCAAGCGATTCTCGTGCCTCAGCCTACCGAGTAGCTGGGATTACAGGTGCGTGCCACCACACCCGGCTAATTTTTGTATTTTTAGTAGAGGCGGGGTTTCACCATGTTGGCCAGGCTGGTCTCAAACTCCTGACCTCACGTGATCCACCCATCTCAGCCTCCCAAAGTGCTGGGATTACAGGCGTGAACCACCGCGCCCTGCCTGGGCTCCTATTCTTAAAGGTTTTACAGGGCATAGAGATTGTTAGGTACTTAAGCACTTTAATATGTGACTTCAGGGTTTCTCACTCTCTTACCCTTCCTGAATTAAGCTTTTCCCTCCTGCAGCAAGACGCTAACGTACAATATCATGGACGATTACAATGATTACTGCAGTCTTTAGGCCTCCACAGGCATAGTGGCTCCTCAGTAAGATGCAGAGCTGATTGAAGGTGTATCTCTTCCTCGCCCTTTGCCCACCTTCTGGTGCAGGGCCACACTTACAACTCTGATGGATCTCTGCTGTCTCAGGGATGGGGTCACAGACACCCAGCTTGGGAGGCCGGAGACACACAGAGTCCAGGAATGGAGCCTGATTTGATGGAGGGTCTTTTTGACAAAGCTCTCACATTTGAGTTCAACTCTGAAAGTACAACATTGTTGATAAAGACAGGATGCAAGAAACTGATGCTTGATTAATCACTTTTCCATTTGCCTTCCATTCGTTGTCTCTTCTATTAATTCTTTGAAGTAGGTATTATATACCCCATTCTGCAGATGAAGAACTTGAGGCCTACCTAGGTTAAGTAACTTGTTTAAAGCCAGCGGGCAAACCCCTAGTTTCATCTCAGGTTCATCTTTCTTCAAACCACCTATCACAGGCTGGTGGCCCATCAGCTGAATATGTCCCACAGACCGGTTTGGCCTACACAAAGTTCTGTTTTGTTTTTAATAAATTTGAATTTGTTACCAACATTTTAAAATTTAGATTTTACTTTAAAATGTAAATCTCTAACTTTTCTTGAAAAATGGGAAGATCCAGTGACACTGTGGGCCTGCACTCTTTGAGCAAAAACAGAAGCAGTGCCCTCTTTTAGCTAAGGCAGATACACCCCAGTTCACCATTTTCTTATTCCCAGCCCATTCCACACCTTTAGGCGTTTGCTCAAAACAAACTCACTCCACTCCATCAGTGGTGCTCAACTTTGACTGCAAATCATAGTCACCTAAGAAGGCTTTAAAAATGGGATGCCAAGGTATTTTATTGAAAGCACATTTTATTTTAAGACAACACCCCTTCCCGCCTCCCCACAAACCACTCCCTGATGATTCTAATGGGGGAGGAGGGAGATTGACCAATACATAATCATATTTAAATTTGTGAGGTGACTAGGGAGTTGCTGGTATTATTGTCCCCATTTAGGAAGTGAGGAAACACAGACTCAGAGGTGCAGGGACTTACCCTGTGACCAGTCAGCTAATGGCTGTCAGGTAGGACATTAGCCCAGGTCTTTCATGTTTCTAGAAATAGACAGGGCAGTGGCAAGGAACCTACCCAGGGCTTTAGGTTTCCATGATGGCAGTGAAAAGAAGTGGCCACATTAGAATTTGTCTGACTTGATTCCATCAATTAGCAGGTCAAAGTTTCTGCTTTTTTCTTTTCCTCCTCCTGACCTCCAGGGTGCTCTGCATTTCTTCTCATTGACAGGGGGTGAAATCGTTCAGAAGGAACAAAAAGACCTAGGTTTGGGACCATTTCTCATGTGTAAAATACCTGTCCTCTGTAACTTAGAGATATGTTGTGAGCTTCAAACGTACTTACCACTGGGCTGTTTCTTTTGTATGTCTCTTTCTTTGTGGCATTTTTGTATAGTAAATGTCTGTAGGACAGTGTTGCTGATGTTAGCTTATAGTGGGACCGTGTTTGGCTGCAGAGCCAGTGAGTCTGAAGGGAAATCTTGGGGTTTGATTATTTGCACCAAGACCTCTTACTATTAGCCTCCCTTCCATTTTGGCATTCTTTTCTTGTGATGTGCCCCTTTCTGTTCTGGTCACTCTTGGTTTTTTTTCTCTGACCCACTAAAATAAGTATCCCTCAAAGTCAGTTTCCTACTCTTTTGTTCCCTGCAGCGATCCTCAGAAGATTGTATACACTCTCGTTGTATACATTCTCTTCTAGTCCTTACTAGGACTCACTTCCAGATGTGTGTCCATTTCTGACCTCTTCAAAGTTCTCTATATTTCTGCTTGCTGTTCATTTTTGCTTCGTTACTTTGCCACCACTTCAAATTCAACATGTTTAAATCCAGTCCTTCTTCCTCCTGAAACAAGCTGCTTTTGATCTTCTGCATTTCTGTTAGTGGAATTATTGTTTTCTCAGTAAACCCAGTTGGTTCTCACTGCCTCCCCAAATCCCTCAGTTCCCAAGTCCTGACAGTTTTTTGTTGCCTTCTTTACCTCTGTCCTTGCCCCTTCCTCTTCATTCCTGCCACCTCATCCTTAAGCTTATCATCTCATGCCTAAAAGTACTAGAACAGCTCTTACATAGTCTTCCTGTCTGCCCCATCCACCTTGCCTACCCAAATAGATTAACAAAAATACCTGTCACAGCATTGCCCTCTGGCCAGAAACCTTTAACAATACCCAGCTGCCTATAGCTGCGTAAGAGCTACCTGGGATGTTTGTTTAAAATGCATATAGAGGCGGGTGCGGAGGCTCCAGCCTGTAATCCCAGCACTTTGGGAGGTCGAGGTGAGCGGATCACCTGAGGTCAGGAGTTTGAGACCAGCCTGGCCAATATGGTGAAACCCACCTCTACTAAAAATACAAAAATTAACTGGGTATGGTGGTGTACGACCGTAGTCCCAGCTATTTGGGAGGCTGAGTTGAGAGCATCAGTTGAGCCTGGGAGGCAGAGGTTGCAGTGAGCTGAGATCACGCCATTGCACTCCAGCCTGGGTGACAGAGCTTGATTCTGTTTCTAAATAATAAAATGCAGATAGAGGACAGCTTGGTGGCTCATGCCTGTAATCCCAACACTTTGGAAGGCCGAGGTGGGAGGATCACTTGAGTCTAGGATTTTGAGACCAGCCAGGGCAACACAGTGAAACTCCATGTCTACAAAAAATAAAAAAATATTAGCCGGGTGTGGTGATGCACATCTATAGTTCCAGCTACTCAGGAGGATGAGATGGGAGGATCACATGAGCCCTGGAGGTTGAGGCCACAATGAGCCATGATTGTGCCACTGCACTGGGTGGCTGCCTGGGTGACAGAGTGAGACACTGTCTTAAAAAAAATATTGCAGGCCAGGTGCGGTGTCTCACGCCTGTAATCCCAGCACTTTGGGAGGCCGAGGTGGGTGGATCACAAGGTCAGGAGTTCAAGACCAGCTTGGCCAACATGATGAAACCCAGTCTCTACTAAAAATACAAAAATCAGCTGGGCGTGGTGGCACACACCAGTAATCCCAGCTACTCGGGAGGCTGAGGCAAGAGAATCGCTTGAACTTGGGAGTTGGAGGTTGCAGTGAGCTGAGATCGCACCACTGCACTCCAGCCTGGGTGACAGAGCAAGACTCCGTCTCAAAAAAAAAAAACAAAAAAAAATTGCAGTTATTTGGGTTGGGAGTGAAGCCTGTTTCAACATTTTAACCCAAATCAGCATTTTATCAAGCTCTCCAGGCAGGTGGTTCTTAGAAAACAGTGCCTAAGGTTGGCCCACAAATTACAATCTAGACTCCTTAACTTAGGTTGGAGCCCTCTCCACTCCCAACCCCAGGCTCCTCCCGTAGGAAAGCCCTTCTTTCCAGCAAATCAGGTTTCTTGGTACTGTTCATCAAGTCTTAGGCTCACCCAGTTCTGTGTTTTTTGCAGTCAGTGTCTCCTCTCCCTTTAATATGTCCTCCCACCTTCTATCCTGGTTTTGAATATATTATAAAGCTCCTTACAGTTCCTCTATCACTCTGGTCTATGCTGGACATACACATTTGTTTATGTCTGCCTTTTCAACCAGATTATAAACTCACGGAGGGAGAGAGTTTACCTGAGTGTCCCCCTCCCCTTCTTTGGTCTCCTGTGGTGCCTTGCCTAATAGTTTCTAGACAGTGACTATTTGGCTAAATGATTTCAAAGAAATCTCTTTATGACTCTTTGTTTTGATGGGTCAGTGTGAAATGGCAAAATTCTCCACACAAGGCACTTAGAGCTTAAAGAGCTAAATAGTCTAAAATGCGATGTGTGAATTTTGCTATAATCTGTCAACAGTGCCTTTTATGAAGTTGATTTCTGAATAAGAAAGCATTAAGAATTTTACTTGTGTTACTTTTTGAATGTGGGATAAAACTCATTGTTACTAAAGCAGGAATGAACAACTTCTCCAGTTTTGAAATCACATGACAGTTTCTGCTAATGTAAGATAACCAAGTAGCATGATTCAGCTACTTTCTTGCTTAAATCGCGTAGTTAGCCAATTGAGCAACTGTGGTGTTTTTAGCAATGGTTTTGTATAGAGTTTAACCCTTTAAATCTTTCAGTGAAGCCTATAGAACAGCCTTGAATTTGGGTGTCACTATAATTATAATTCTTCTGATGAATATGGAATAAATTCAGGGTTTCAGAAAAAGAATATTGAAATAATTTTTACCAAGTCAGTTCATTTTAAATATGAACCCCCGCACCCCCTTTGGGGAGTGGTCAGGATACTTTCCAAGTATTATTTTCCCCTGAGTGGAAGGTGATGTTTTATGATTCATTGTTTCGTGGAAGACCAGTCAAGCTCTAGGGACATCATGTATGCAACTTTTGAAATTTATTACCTCTCCAGAAACCATATTTCACATGAGAGGATCTTCATTTTCTCTCTATAGGAGAATCCATATGCTACACTGACCATGACTTTGGCACAGACCAACTTCTGCAAGAAACATGGATTTGATCCACAAAGTCCCCTTTGTGTTCACATAATGCTGTCAGGAACTGTGACCAAGGTAAGTAGTTATCCTACAGGAAGGGAGATGGTTTCAGAACACCATCGTATTCACAATGAAAGAATAGATCATTTTTCTTTTGAGACAGAGTCTCACTCTGTCTCCCAGGCTGGAGTGCAGTGGTGTGATCTCGGCTTACTGCAACCTCTGCCTCCTGGGTTCAAGCGAGTCTTGTGCCTCAGCCTCCCTAGTAGCTGGGATTACAGGCACGCACCACCACACCCAGCTAATTTTTGTATTTTTAGTAGAGATGGGGTTTCACCATGTTGGCCAGGCTGGTCTTGAACTCCTGACCTCAAGTGATCCACCCACCTCGACCTCCCAAAGTGCTGAGATTACAGGCGTGAGCCACTATGCCTGGCAGAATAGATCTTTTCAGAATGAAATGCAGTTGATTTGTGATTGCCATGCCCAGTCAGAACATGTTCTATTCTAATAGGTGAAGTAATTCCATGAAAACCAAACGTTTTAATAAGTTGCTTTCATATAGGTGTTAAATAAGATATGACAAAAATGAATGATTTTCTGAAGCCAAGCAGATGTAACAACTATGAAGCTCCTGTATATAAAGTTATTCTTACTAAAGAGCATCTGGTTGACCAAAGCCCTCTACTCTCCATTACATTTTACATTGGTATAATGTTTTTCCATGTCTGGGCTCCTTGTCTCCATATTTTAACAGTGGCTTAAAGCAGAGAAAACATATTAAGTAGGCCAACCAGAGGACTATCCATTACTGAAAACTGGAAGTGAATTTAGTTTGGATCACCTGCTGAAGGGAAGAGGTCAAATACAATCTCAGGAAGAGCAGTGGGCATGGTGTCAGGAGTGCTGATCTGATTACCCAGCCAGCAGATTTGCTTTTTGACCGTGTCAATCATTAATGCCTCAGACAAGTGTTATTTATGGTCTGTAAATTCTTTGTGGATGCATCTCTGTAGTTGAGTGTCCTTCACTGGCAGGAAAAAGATGGAGGAGCAGCACATGCTTTTGAGTTCTGTTATGTGGTTTCTAAACATTTTTATCCTTCAGTACATTCATCTGTATGTTTAACATGTCCATGTTATGGGATAAATATGCTAAACATTACATGTCTTAGGCACCAGTAATGTTACAGTACTTAGTGCTAGTTATTCTAATAGCTCAAAATGCCTTTTTACCAATGAAAGTTGGTATTATACTTACAGTGGTTTCCCACTTCGTGGTATCTGTTATTACCAACAATTGAAATCTTTATTCTCTGCATTCTTTACATTTCCTTTATTTTCTCTTGATTCCTTAAGGTTAAGATCAAGATTTACAAGTAAGTAAACTCTTAGGATTTATAGAATGCTAGAGTCACACATTCTTTTTTTTTTTTGAGATGGAGTCTTGCTCTGTCATGCAGGCTGGAGTGCAGTGGCACGATCTCGGCTCACCGCAAGCTCCGCCTCCCGGGTTCATGCCATTTTCCTGCCTCAGCCTCCTGAGTAGCTGGGACTACAGGTGCCCACCACCACATCTGGCTAATTTTTTTTTTTTTAGTAGAGATGGGGTTTCACCGTGTTAGCCAAGATGGTCTGAGTCTCCTGACCTCGTGATCCGCCCGCCTTGGCCTTCCAAAGTGCTGGGATTACAGGCGTGAACCACTGCACCCGGCCTAATCACACATTCTTAACAAATGAGAAGATAAAGTGTTACTGCCATAAGAATGTTTATTTCATATATGTCCTTTAGGTGAATGAAACAGAAATGGATATTGCAAAGCATTCGTTATTCATTCGACACCCTGAGATGAAAACCTGGCCTTCCAGCCATAATTGGTTCTTTGCTAAGTTGAATATAACCAATATCTGGGTCCTGGACTACTTTGGTGGACCAAAAATCGTGACACCAGAAGAATATTATAATGTCACAGTTCAGTAAGTACTTACACATCTTTCACCTAAGATTGCCGCCCTTACAGCCATCCTCAGCCTTCTAAGGCAAGGGGGGTTTAACCGTTTCATGTGCCCTGGACACCCTGGGCAGTCTGGTAAAGCCGCTGACCCCTTCTCAGAATAATGTTTTAAACACATAAAATACAGAGGATTAAGAAGAAAATCAACTATAATGAAATACATTTATGAAAATATTTGTAAATGTGTGGTATAATCGTTTTATTAATATATTAAATATAAGATCTAGTAATAAGTCTATTACTTTTTCTTTTTTTTTCAAGACAGAGTCTTACTCTGTCACCCAGGCTGAGTGCAGTGGCACCATCTCAGCTCATTGCAGCCTCCACCTACTGGGTTCAAACGATTCTTATGCCTCAAGCCTCCCAAGCAGCTGGGAATACAGGCATAGACCACCACACCCAGCTGATTTTTTGTATTTTCATAAAGAGGGTGGTGTCGAACTCCTGAGCTCAGGCAGTCTGCCTGCCTCAGCCTCCCAAAGTGCTAGGATTACAGGCATGAGCGACCATGCCTGGCCTTTTCTGTGCTTTTAAAGTAGTGAGGATTGAAGACAATATTTTAAGACATCTGCAACACCTGTGACATGATATGAACGTATCTGTGATTTCTCTATTTCTGTTGGAGACAGTCACAGATAGGCTGTCACCCTGTGGTTTATTCCCTACATTCATTATTGAAGGAAATGATACATTCAGTTAGAGCCTAATGAAAATGAAAAAAAAATTTTTTTGAGCCAAGTTCGCAGACCCCTGAACTCTGTCTACAGGCCTGGACACCAGGTTGAGACTCCATTTTAAGGCTGTGCTTATTGGGCCCTGAACAGAGCCCAGTTATGACCCACGATGGCATTTTCTCATGAGGCTTAGACTCAGGTGCTCCTGGACTGTGAATGCCCTTCATCTGAGTCTGAGCAAGTAACCCCATCCCATCAGCCCCAGTACTACAAATGCCTATGGGGATGTGTGGTTTATCCCACTAAGAAGTGCATGGAAGGGAGGAGGCTGAGATAAAAGAGGCCATGGGAGAAAATAAAGCCCAGGACCTGAAGACAGAAAGGGAAAGGAAAGAAGAGTGTAACTGGAGTCTTTGGAGTTAGCTAAGGGTTCAAATGAGGGAATACAAGGGACTGGTGCTTCTCCCAGGTGACACAGGGAATTCTGGCATATCTGGGGAGGTGATAAGAACAGTAACAATAACAGCTAGTGTCCATTGTTTATTACTGGCTGGGTGCTATACTGGCTACTTTTCATGTATTAACTCATTCAGTTCTCACCACATCCCTTTCTTGCGCAACCTTCCACCGCAACAGGTAGGTGCTGTTTTTCCACATGTGTGAAATGGAAAGCTGATGCACAGAGAACAAACTGGCCTAAACTGTTTGTTCTTGCAGCCAGGAAGTGGTGGTGCTGGGACTCAAACCCAGGCATTCTTGCTCCAGAGCCATCACCTGACTTCTATCCATGATGCTGTACTTCTCCTCTGGCTGCCTCACTGGTAGCTGGCCAGGCTCCTAGCTCAGTGTAATTTATAATGCACTTTCTGCTTGTAATGATTGACTGCTGTTTCAGGAGATTACGGTGATGATAACTAAGGTAGACTTGTAGGTTGTAGGTCATTTGAGGGCTTAAATTCTTAGCATTTATTTAATCTCTGTCTTTTTCAATTGTAGAACAATTCCGTGTTGAACTATTGACTCCCTACCATGATTGGAAATCTCAGTTTTGTTTTGTTTCTAATTTTTTTTAATTCCAAGCAGGGCCTAGGACAGTGTGTGTCATAGAGCAGGTGTTTAGGAATGATTGTCTGGCTCATTACTTGAGACAAACACTCTCACACTCTGTTGGAATAAAGAATCCCACAGTCCTGGCGCTTGTTTTGCTGCTGTGCATGCAGGAGAGGCACGGGCCACTGGTCGTCTTCTGGGCTGGCAAAGCCATCTGACTTCATAGGAATATAGAGGTAGCAATTACAACTTTATTCCCTGGCAACAAATTATCAGGATGACTGTTAAGAAGGGCCTGCTCTTCGAAGTTAAAGTTTACTTTCACAGGACATAATCTCTAAAGCGCAGTTATCTTTATATAAATAACATGCCCAAAGGCAGTGCCTGGTTTAATAACAAAATAAAACTGTTTTCCCATAAGTCTCCACACTGAATAAGTGAGTAAAACAGATACTTTTGAGGTTCCCACTTTATTATGCTGACAAAGGAGCACTTCTCTGCAGCACAGAGATAGAACATTTTTCCCTTGTCCTGAGAGGCGGCCCAAAGGCTAGAGCAGATGTGACTCTTCTGAGGCAGTGCACCAGAACCCGAGGGATGGGCAGGGCCTGAAAGCTGCCCGCTCTGACCGGGTGCCTCTGGCTAGGAATTGTCCATCTCCGAGTCTAGGAGTGCCCCCACTAATCCCACCCGCCAGGTTTGCCACCAGAGCTGTTTAATAGTCCGGGGAGTGTACAGTGATATCTGTGAGGACCAGGGCCCCCATCTTCTTGGAGAACCACCCACAGGGGCCTCACAGGCGTTCTGGAGCTTCCCCACATTGGCAGCCACCTTGCTTGGCTTGCCCAGATCGGTTTTGGAAGGTATTATTCCTCCAAATACCACGAAGCCCTCTGCATCTGAAATCTGTTTCACACAGATGGAGACTGCCACTTGTGAGAGCTGATACGGAGCTTAACTGAATGTGGTTTGCCTCATTGGACTGTTGGGTGAAGCCCCCATGAGCATGTTTGCATGATCAGTGGAAGGCTTAAATGTCTACACGAAGCATTTGCTGGCACCCTGGAATAAGCAGTTCTTTTTTTTTTTTTTGAGATGGAGTCTCACTCTGTTGCTCAGGCTGGAGTGTGGTGGTGCGATCTCAGCTCACTGTAAGCTCTGCCTCCTGGGTTCATGCCATTCTCCTGCCTCAGCCTCCTGAGCAGCTGGGACCACAGGCACCTGCCACCACGCCTGGCTAATTTTTTGTATTTTTAGTAGAGGCAGGGTTTCATCATGTCAGCCAGGATGGTCTCAATCTCCTGACCTCGTGATCTGCCCGCCTCGGCCTCCCAAAATGCTGGGATTATAGGTGTGAGCCACCGCGCCCGCCCAACAAGCAGTTCTTATAAGCATAAGCATTGCTTTTGACCACTGTTAAGTCTGGGCAGCAGCATGTTTGTGCTAAGCCTCATTTTATCTCCTCTGGCGCACATCCGGATATTTCCTAGCAAACACACAGGTAACAAAAGGTCATGGATTACAGACTTGCCCAGTCTTGATACCTAGAGATGGATTCCCTGGTTGGTGGCAGCAGAAAGGGGGAAAGTTCACCTCCCAGCTGTGGTCACTATCACTGGGCAATGGCTAATCACTGCTCTTCTGCCCTGATGTTCAGGACCCCTTCTGTTCTCAACTATTTTTGTCTTTTAAGCCTTCAGATACTCTTAAATGAGATAACAACAGCAGCCACGGCAGTGGCCTGCTTCTTGCTACATCCTAGTAGCGTTTATCAGTGTGTCAGAATCATACTTGGAGAGGAGGGTTATTGCTAAAATGAGGATTCCTAGGCCCCACCCTCAACCTATTGAAACCGAAACTCAGGAGTCTGCATTTTAACAAACCCAAGTGGTTATTTAGTATATTCTAGTGGTTGAAATGAACTGAAAATCTTAATTTAGATCAGAAATTTTATCTAGTCCTTCCCTAGAATGAATTAATTTTTAAGATTTGTTAACCCAGTTTAACAAAATAATTCTTCTCTGTTCCCCTTTCTAGGTGAAGCAGACTGTGGTGAATTTAGCAACACTTATGAAGTTTCTTAAAGTGGCTCATACACACTTAAAAGGCTTAATGTTTCTCTGGAAAGCGTCCCAGAATATTAGCCAGTTTTCTGTCACATGCTGGTTTGTTTGCTTGCTTGTTTACTTGCTTGTTTACCAATAGAGTTGACCTGTTATTGGATTTCCTGGAAGATGTGGTAGCTACTTTTTTCCTATTTTGAAGCCATTTTCGTAGAGAAATATCCTTCACTATAATCAAATAAGTTTTGTCCCATCAATTCCAAAGATGTTTCCAGTGGTGCTCTTGAAGAGGAATGAGTACCAGTTTTAAATTGCCCATTGGCATTTGAAGGTAGTTGAGTATGTGTTCTTTATTCCTAGAAGCCACTGTGCTTGGTAGAGTGCATCACTCACCACAGCTGCCTCCTGAGCTGCCTGAGCCTGGTGCAAAAGGATTGGCCCCCATTATGGTGCTTCTGAATAAATCTTGCCAAGATAGACAAACAATGATGAAACTCAGATGGAGCTTCCTACTCACGTTGATTTATGTCTCACAATCCTGGGTATTGTTAATTCAACATAGGGTGAAACTATTTCTGATAAAGAACTTTTGAAAAACTTTTTATACTCTAAAGTGATACTCAGAACAAAAGAAAGTCATAAAACTCCTGAATTTAATTTCCCCACCTAAGTCGAAACAGTATTATCAAAACACATGTGCACACAGATTATTTTTTGGCTCCAAAACTGGATTGCAAAAGAAAGAGGAGAAGAATATTTTGTGTGTTCCTGGTATTCTTTTATAAGTAAAGTTTACCCAGGCATGGACCAGCTTCAGCCAGGGACAAAATCCCCTCCCAAACCACTCTCCACAGCTTTTTAAAAATACTTCTACTCTTAACAATTACCTAAGGCTTCCTCAACTGCCCCAAATCTCTTAATAGCTTCTAGTGCTGCTACAATCTAAGTCAGGTCACCAGAGGGAAGAGAACATGGCATTAAAAGAATCACATCTTCAGAAGAGAAGACACTAATATTATTACCCATATACATGATTTCAGAAGATGACATAAGATTCCTCTTAAAGAGGAAATGTCAGGAATCAAGCCACTGAATCCTTAAAGAGAAAAGTTGAATATGAGTCATTGTGTCTGAAAACTGCAAAGTGAACTTAACTGAGATCCAGCAAACAGGTTCTGTTTAAGAAAAATAATTTATACTAAATTTAGTAAAATGGACTTCTTATTCAAAGCATCAATAATTAAAAGAATTATTTTAATGAAATGTGTTGGATTCGTTTTCTTAAACATAGACATTAATATTTATTACACTTTGTTTTATTGTCTACTGTCGAAATAGCATGTTCCTAAATCAGTCACTGGCTGTTTCAAAACTTGAAGTGAATAATACCACTCTTTCTAATTGGCAAAAAGCTCATTGTGTCCTAAAATTCTGGGCATGGCCAGATCTAGCCTTTGTCACAGGTTCTGCCTCAGGGATTTGGTTGCCAGTGTACCTTGTGATAGAATTAGGTTGAGGGCAGCTATTTGGTTTTCTCCCTTTACCCACTTAGTGAGTTTTTTCTCCAGCATTTGGAACCACATAAATACATATCGACATTCAGGTAAGATCTAGTTATCATACAGAGTAAAGTCAACCAGTGTTTCACAGCAGGCAGATTCTTTTATAATTGAATGTGCCAGAATATGTCACTGTTAATATTCCAGTTAGCCACTAGGGGGCACTGGACTACTCTTTGTGCAAGTTTGGGTTTCTTACACAGCCAAATCAAGCCCCTAGGAATAATGCTCTGGGTTAGGAGCTGGAGTAAATGCAGCTCAGCAGGGGCAAGAGGAGAAGCAGAGGCCTGATTTGCTGCTGCTGCTGCTGCTGCTGCTGCTGCTGCTGCTAGGTTTTCCTGGGTTTATCATTCCCTCCACACCATGTGCTTCTACATCAGGCTTCTGGTCTCCTTGCACCCCACCTGCTGCAGAAGGAGAACAGATCCCTGGGCTCAAACAGCTAGGAGATGAGTATCTTAGACTGGGGTGGGGAGGGGGAGTCAGCCTTGGTGCAGAGAGCAGGACAGGCCCTGATAGAGAAAGATAAAAGTGTAAAGAGGGGCCGGGCGCGGTGGCTCACACCTGTAATCCCAGCACCTTGGGAGGCTGAGGCAGGTGGATCACGAGATTAGGAGATCGAGACCATCCTGGCTAACACGGTGAAACCCCATCTCTACTAAAAATACAAAAAATTAGCCGGGCGTGGTGGCAGGCGCCTATAGTCCCAGCTACTCGGAAGGCTGAGGCAGGAGAATGGCGTGAACCCGGGAGGCGGAGCTTGCAGTGAGCTGAGACCGCGCCACTGCACTCCAGCCTGGGCGATGGAGCGAGACTCCGTCTCAAAAAAAAAAAAAAAAAAAAAAAAAAAAGTGGAAAGAGGGAGTAGCTCAGGATCCTGAAGCTACAGAGTCCAGACAGCTGCGTTTGGCAGATGCTATCTTGACCATCCTTCTGCACTCAGCTGGTCAAGGCCATTTGTCTTTACCAACCATGGCCAATAATCATAGTTTATTCTGTGTTCTAGTCCAGGTTCAAAGTCCTTGACAGGTATGTGGGGGAGTGGAGAAAAATCTTTATGAAATGTGACGAAGTTCAATGAAATAAATGCATCAGATATTCTGAGGAGGTTGCTAGTGTGATGTTCCCTTCTTAGTAGTATTTAGACTGAAGATCACAAAGTAATTGAAAAGGAGACTACTTTCTTTTAAGGGAGCATGTTTTTCAGTTTTAGTACTGAGGAAATAATGCTCTAATTTGTGTAATGCTGGTTGGTCAGTGTTTCCTAGGGGAATTCCAAACTGTCACTTCAAAACCAAGTGTTCTATAAATATTATTAGAGAAGATAATTATAATTTAATTATAATTCCTTTTGGAATTAAGGGGGGTACAAATCAGTAAAATGTAAATTTTTCAGTTTTTTCTTTAAGATTTATTGTAAGACATTTGTATAGGAAATGTGGAGAATAAAAAGTTTGACATTTATAACCTCACCAACCAGCATGGTTGCTAATATTTTGGGTGTGTTTTCTTGGGAGTGATGTTTAAACATAGTCAAGATCTTGCTGTTTAATGAATGTGTATCATGCTTCTTTCACTTTATCATAAACAACCGTGTTCCTAGAAGCCATTCACGAGGATGGCTGAGAATGGCTGCAGAATATTTCATCAGATCAATATAAGCAGGCCACCAAATAATGGTCTGCATTGGGACTCTGTTGCTAGTGACAAGAAACCTAAGTCAAAGTTGTTTAAACAAAAAGAGTTCATTGATCTTATATTATTCAGAACTTGGCTTTCATTTCCTGGCTCCTCTTTCTGCCGTGTTAGTTTTCATTGCAGCCAGCAATCTTACCACCAAGAGGATGTGTCCTTCCTAGCTGGGCCCTAGCCATTCCCGAATAATCACTGTGTCTGGGAATGGGGTGCCCTCTTTGGCCGAACTTGAGTAGTGTGGCTTCTCCTGGAGTTGCGGGTTCACTCAGCACCATCAGAATCACAGAGACTGGGAGAATGTAGAAGGGGGACTCCTGCAATGAAAAGAGTGCTTATGCGAACTGAAGGAACACTGAGCAGGCAAAAACCAAAGGCTATTAGCATTTTCTCCAGTTTTTGCATATTTAGGTTACTTTCAGTTTTTTCCTCTTAGAAAAGTCTTACACATAAAATATTTTCTACATTTCTGTTTATTTCCTTAGATTCCCAGCAGTGGAATTTCCAAGCCAAAAGCTTTTGGTACATGTTATAAATTGCTTTTAAGAATGTGTATCAATTATAATGTCCAGTGTTTGCTTTAAAACATTCTAGCAAAGAAAAAAGTATAGGGGATTAGATGAGGAGAAACTGGCAAAATGGTAACAGTTGAAGCTAGGTGAGGTGCCTGGAGATTCATTTTGCTATTATTCTCTTTTGTGTATGTCTGAAAATTACAAAGATTTCTAAATTGAATTGAAAAAAAATAAAGAATTGAGGATCTAGAGAGGTTAAGTGACTTTCCCAAGCCCACCCAGTTCTGGTCTCCAGGCTTTAAATCCTGGCCATTTCTTCTACTCCACACTAAATTGGCATGTGGTCATATTGTCTGAGACACAGATTATGCCAGCGTAAGGCTTCCTGACTCTTCTTCACCCCGCAACACACCAAGGCAGGAATGCAGAGCTAATCTATGTTTGTGGGTGGGGAGGGGGCATGAGTAGTGGGTGCTAGGGAGCTAGATAACAAGTTTGGCTTGGTGATTCAGGAGTTCAATAGAGATTTCTTGAAAGGATGTTTTCAGTAAAATTTTGGAAAATACATAATAATGGGGGAGGGGAGAGAATTTATATCAATGAACAGCCCTGCAAGCAGTGTATGAAAGTGCTTACTCTGCGATGGGTTAAAATAGTGTGTTATTTTAATTGGCAATTCTTAAGGTTACTAATAACATTGAACATTAAAATTTATTTTGGTTTATTTTTCCTCATTGAAAACTGTCAATTTATATTCTTTGTCCACTTATGTTTGGGGGATCATTTTAAAAAATTGATCTTGCTGAATTCTGTATATTCAGTCTATGAAATCATTTAGTTAGTAAATTTGTTGCTAATACTCAGTTTTCCTTTTAAGTTATTTTGTTTAAAACCTATAGATTTTCCATTTCTATAGAAGAAATTAACATAATATTTTTCCCTTGACTTCTTTAAGTTTAATTTCCTTTAAACTTGGTATGTTTGTTTCCTTTGAGAAATTTGATAAATGTCAATTCAGATTTTCAAATTGTTATGTTTAATTTTTATACTTTTTAATCCTTTAGAATGCATTTTGTGTATAATATTCTTCACTTTTTTGGATGACAAACCCAAATTATGCTTAGCTTTTGTAGTCTAGATGTGAACCCAAATCTAAGCATAGCTTTCTCAGAAGTGAGGATGTAAGTGAGTTAGGGCCATCGGCCTAGCCTGCTGGACAGTCTGTCTGAGAGACACTCTGTATCCCTTAGCTTGAACTTGAGGGATTGGAATTGGCAAAGAAGCATGGTTCTGATAATATTCTCATAACCTTTGGAGGTTGTCTAACACACACACACACACTCCTTAGCTAGATTCTCAAGTCCCACCACAATAAAACTTCAGCTGGCTCTCCCAACATTATCTGCCATTCCTCAGTGTATCCTATGCCATGACCAGCCAATCTGATCTGGTTATACCCCAAACTTTTCCCTTTGGACTTTTCCACATGCTCCTCCCTTAGCCAGGCATCTCCTACCTCCTCATCTCCCTCACTTTTCAGGAGTAGGTAGTCCTTTGAAGGCCGAGTCTGCATCTGATATATTTATCACTGTAGCCCCAAAACACCAAGTGTCAATATTCCATTACGTGGAGTAACCCCTCAATGAAATTTTAACAAACGTTTTGCTTACAGACTTTGTACTTTAGTGAATATAGTGGAAGATGGAGGTTGGACCTCCAACTTGCTGTGTGACTTAGAATGAAGTGATTTGTTTCAGTGAAGGCACATTTAATCCCAAGCACTTGGCAAATCTCAAGGAGACTTTGCTTGGCACCCCAGACATCAGCCTCCATTAAGGAATGGCATTCCACATTACAGGCTTGGATGGAGACATCTGTCTTGTGGGCACGCTGAGCAACTCTGCCACAAACGTTCCATGAGGAAGCAAGGGATTTCGAAGTGAGTTAATTATCATGTCTTTGATTTTTCAGATTTGGCGGACTATGTCTCATTGTTCTGTTCCCAAAGCCTGATGTATAGACGCTGCTCAAATACGCTTTTGAGCATGGAATGAGGGCAGAGCAGCTTAACCAAGACACAGTCTCCTCTCTCTCTTTACGGCTGCTCTGAGAAGGGGAATTCAGCACATTATATGCATGCCCAGAGTCGGTCAACACAAACTCTCCTATTTGGTTGCCAAGAGTCATCTGTGACCCTGGGATTTATCTTTGTCTTAGTTTGCCCAGGCTGCCAGAACAAAATACCATAGACTGGGTGGCTTAAACTGCAGGTATTTATTTCCCGCAGTTCTAGAGGCTGGACATCTGCGATCAGGGTGTCAGCAAGAGTGGGTTCTGGGGAGGGCTTTCTTCCTGGCTTGCAGACGGCCGCCTTCTTGCTGTTTCCTCACATGGCAGAGAGAGATCTCTTTCTGTCTTCCTCTTTTTTTTTTTTTTTTTTTTTTTTTGAGACGGAGTCTCGCTCTGTCGCCCAGACTGGAGTGCAGTGGTGCTATCTCGGCTCACTGCAAGCTCCGTCTCCCGGGTTCACGCCATTCTCCTGCTTCAGCCTCCCAAGTAGCTGGGACTACAGGCGCCCGCCACCACGCCTGGCTAATTTTTTGTATTTTTAGTAGAGATGAGGTTTCACTGTGTTTGCCAGGATGGTCTCGATCTCCTGACCTCTTGATCCACCTGCCTCGGCCTCCCAAGGTGCTGAGATTACAGGCGTGAGCCACCACGCCTGGCCTCTCTCTTCCTCTTCTTCTAAGACCACAGTCCTGTCAGATCAGGGCCCCAACCTTCCAACCTCACCTAACCTTAACTACCTCCTAAAGACTCTACCTCCCGATACAATCATAGGGTGGGTTATGGCTTCAACATATGAATTTGGGGGAAAACAATTCAGCTTATAGTAATTGTGTTTGGAAGAGAATAAATGATAAGGCTGCTTTGTTCATCCCAAACCTTTCCTCCTTTGATAACTCCCAGGCCCACCCACGCAAGAAGATTTATCCTCAATGGTTTCTAGTCCATTCCTGCTCTGGACTGTGGTTTTACGACACGCTTTTGCAGGTTGTATCCTGCACAAAGGCCCCAGCTGACAGGGAAGCAGGGGCTGAAACCCAGCCTGAGCTCATGCCTTTGTCCTGGTGTGAGCAGCATCACCCCAAAGGGCATCTTTCCTAAAAATGACACTTTATGGGTTGGTGGCACCTGGCTTTCGGGCCATTTCTTACTTTAGAAGTTTTTGCTTCCTATGCATGGAATCCCAGAGAGGGCAAAAAGAGTGTGAACAGAGCCCAAGGGAGCCCTGGGCTGTGGGGGGCCCCACCGGTGGATGGATGGGGGGAGCAGCCAAGCAGGAGCAGTATAGCGGAGGTTAGGAGCGGTTCGGCTGCGAGAGCACTGGGTTCTGAGCTAGTTGTGCACTTGCTGCACGTGGCCCTGGGCAAATCATTCTACTTCTCAGAGCCTTAGACCCCATCTGTAAAGCAAGGGCAATACTTCACAGGTGGGAGTACAGATTAGCAAAAATGTCCACAAATCACTTAGCACAGTGCCTGACACAGCAGTGATCCTTGTTAGGGCCAGTAGAAGAGGCATCCTCAAGCTCTGGGGGTCCTCATTGCATCCTCTCTGGGAGACTGGAATGTATCCTTGAAGAACAGCAGAGTAAGTGTCAAAATCAAGCACAGTGGCTCTGCAGTGGGGCTGCATAGGAACACATCCTCGTTCCATCACTATTTCATCATGGACAAGGTGCCTCCCCTGTGTGGGCTGCAGGGTTTTCATCAGTAAAATGGAGAATAAAAATAGGACCTGCCTCCCTGGTTTGTAGGAAAAAGTTCGAGCTAATACGTAAAAAGTACACAGAACACTATCCAATATATCAAACATTCCATAAATACTGGTTGCATTTTTTTTCTTTAGCTTCAAATATCGGTTGGTAACTACAGGTTGTTTTCACAAAAATAAAAGTTATAATCGTCAAATTACTTAATTTTATAAAATATGTTCAATCGTGGCGTTTCAGCTAACTCTTGCAACAAGCCCTAGAGATAGGCAGGACACTCTTTATTTTTATTTCGTGGAGGAGGTTGGATTCGCAAATGGTTACCTTGGGCAAGTTTACACGTGTCAGACCCATCCCTTCAACCTAGCTCTGTCTCCAAGAATCCGGTGACCCCTCAACTGCTGGTGGCACATGGGTCCTTTGAAGAGATGTCTTCTCACTTGTTTTAGAGGTGCATCGTATAGAATTGGCAAGTGCCATGTGCTGGAAAACACCAGGTTTTCATGAGGAGCACACTCACATCTTTGAGGGCAGGCAGTATGAACTCTGAAGTCAAGCGGCAGCGTTCAAATTCCTGCTCAACCACTTAGCCAGGTGGCCTTAGGCAAGTGCTCCTCAAGAGGTTCCCCTCTGTGAATCAGGGACGCTGCCTAGGATAGATGTTGGTTATTGGTATTACTTAGTATCCATCCAGGTGTGGAATGTCCTGAGGCTGGGAAGGCTGGAGACCGCAGTTCGACAAAACAGCCGCTAGAGGTCCCCATGGAGCCGCATTGAACATCCAAGAATTCTGTTTAATCCTCCTGTCTTGGGCCAGACCAGCTGGCCCTGCTGGAACTGAGGGCCCCTCTTTGTCCTGATAAGCACTCTTCCTTCCCTTAAAGCTGGTGACCCTTCTAAGGGGCTGTCAAGGGCTAATGCTGAGACTCACAGGTTCCTGACCTTCAGTCCCCAGAAGTGGGCCCTCAGGTTTAATCCTGAGGCGAGGGGTTGCAGGCCTGTTCCAGTGGATTCCCAGGGGCCAGGATGGGCTCTGTGAGGACTCCAGGTCAGGCTGTCTCCACCCTGGGCAAACTCAGGCAACCTTTTCGTCTTTCACTTTTAGAAAAGACAAAAATGTAATCTGCATGAAGTCAGGGTGTCTTGGCAGACCCTGCAGGCCAGGAGCCAGACCCTCATAGGGAAGGAACCCTGGACATGGGCCATCACTGCATGCCTGGGATGTGGCCCAGAGGCAGCACACAGCACAACCCTGTGGGGAGGTAACAGCTAGTGGAGCTGAAAGAGAAAGGGGCACTGGAGAAGCAGGAATCATTATACGAAAATTTAATTTCCAGCTGGAAGACATCTTGTGGAGACCATCTAGTTCAGCTTCTTCATTGTATAGCTGAGGACACCCAGGCCCAGAGAGGGGAAGTGATTTGGTCAAAGTCACACAGCAAGTAAAGGACAAAGCTGAGAGCAGATCCCAGGTTTGTGCATTCCCATAGCAGCTGCTTTCCACACACCCCACTGAGGGAAGACCATTTGGTCAAGTCAGAGCACGGGGGGTGGGGGGTTTTAAAAAGCAGAGCTGAGGAACTTAGGAATACACACTGCTTAGCACATGGTTATTAGCTGGTCCTTCAGATGCCCCAGGGTCTCAGCGTTCGAAGCTTGCTCATTCCACAGGATAATTTTGTGTTTGCTCAGGTGCCCAGAAAATGCCTTTTTAAGATTTCTGAGAATAAACCCATCACCTCCAACAGTCCCAGGAATTGCAACTGTCTATTCATAACGAATGAGAGGCAGGTGCATTAAATTCTGACCTAGTGCTCAAGAACTTTGGAGGGATAAAAAGAGGAAGCACACAGGTCCCTATTCTGGGAATGTGGGGCCTCCCTCACCTCCCCATAGGAGGGCTTGTCCACACCACCTCCTCTTTCCTCCTCTTCATCTCCCACCCTTTCCACCAAGACAGTGACCCCATTCCCCATGCTGGGTTCCAATCATTCCTGGAAGGATTTTTCCCAGAGCAGTTGCCAGCAAACATTTTACAGTCCTCTCCTCCTCTCTGTGATGTAACATTTCCCAACACCTTCTATATACTAGGCACATAACCTACATCATCTTACTCATTCCTCCAACAAGACAGTACAGTAGGCATTGTTAGCCAATGTGGGACAAAAGATTTCAGATATTTATTAACTTGTTCAAAACATACAGCCAGCTAGTAGATGGAATTTGGAATTTGAACCTAGGTCTAACCTGTTCTAAAGCTCATGTTCTTCCACTACTGTGAACCAGCACCCAGAAAACTTGAGTTTTAGTTTTGATTCTACCAGCTTTGTGACCTTAGAAAAATAACTTAATTTTAAGTTTCCTAAACTACAAAATGGAAACTGGCTGGGCATGGTGGCTAACTCTTGTAATCCCAGCACTTTGGGAAGCTGGGGCAGCCGGAGTTTGAGACCAGCCTGGCCAACATGGTGAAACCCCATCTCTACTAAAAATACAAAAAATTAGCCGGTTGTGGTGTGGGGGGCCTGTAATTCCGGCTACTTAGGAGGCTGAGGCAGGAGAATCGCTTGGACCTGGGAGGCGGAGGTTGCAGTGAGCCGAGATCGCGGCATTGCACTCCAGCCTGGGCAACAAGAGCAAAACTCCATCTCAAAAATTTTTTTTTTTTAATTTAAATAAATAAATAAATAAAATGGAAACGGTACACCAATATTGACAACCTTACTGAGTCATCAAGATTAAAAAGACAATATGGCTGGGCATGGTGGCTCATATCTGTAATCTCAGCACTTTGGAAGGCCGAGGTGGGAGGATCCGTGAAGGCCAGGAGTTCAAGACCAGCCTGGGCAACACAGGGAGACCCCTATCTCTACTAAAAAAAAATTAAAACATTGGCCGGGCATTGTGGTGTGTGCACCCGTAGTCCCAGCTACTCAAGTGGCTGAGACGACAGGGTAGCTTGGCCCCAGGAATTTAAGGCTGCAGTGAGCTATGACTGCACCACTGCACTCTAGCCTGAGTGACAGTAAAACCCTGTCTCAAAAATAAATTTAAAAAATACAATATATTAATATGTGAAAATGACACACAAATGTAAGACACCCCCATTAAAGCAAAAAAGGTTCTTTTTCCAATTAAAGGGGCTTGGCTATCAATAGCAATATTTAGTAGGTTATATATAACTATAGTTGACCCTTGAGCAACATGAGTTTGAACTGCATGGGTCCACTTATGCATGGATTTTCTTCTACCTGTGCCACCCCTGAGATGGCAAGAGCAACCCTCCTCTTCCTTCTCCTCAGCCTACTCAATGTGAAGACAATGAGGATGAAGACCTTTGTGATGGCCAGGCACAGTGGCTCATGCCTATAATCCCAGCACTTTGGGAGGCTGAGGCAGGAGGATGACCTGAATTCAGGAGTTTGAGACCAACCTGGCCAACATGGTGAAACCTCCGTCTCTACTACAAATACAAAAAATTAGCGGGGCATGGTCGTGGGCACCTGTAATCCCAGCTACTCAGGAGGCTGAGGCAGGAGAATTGCTTGAACCAGGGAGGAGGAGGTTGCAGTGAACTGAGATCACTCCACTGCATTCCAGCCTGGGCAACAGAGTGAGACTATGTCTCAAAAAAAAAAAAAAAAAAAAGAGAAAGACCTTCATGATGATCCACTTCCACTTAATAAATAGTAAATGCATTTTCTCGTACTTATGATATTCTTAATAACATTCTCCTTGCTTTAGCTTACTCTCCTGTTAGAACACAGTATATAATACATACAGCATACAAAATAGGTGTTAGTTGACTATGTTGTTAGTAAGGCTTCTGGTCAACAGTAGGCTATTAGTAGTTAAGTTTTTGGAGAATCAAAAGTTATACGCAGATTTTTTTTACTTCATGGGGTTCAGCAGCCCTAACTCCTGAGTCATTCAAGGGTCAACTGCAATTCATCTTATCCATTCATAGTATCTCTCTAATCTTACCCATGTCCCCAGCTTATTTTTTTTGCCATCTTTCACAGTGGCTTTTGATAGAAAATCTTTGTGCAGCCTTTTACTTTCATTTTTTTTTTTCTGGAGTGTTTGGACATTAGGTGTGTTTTTCCTCCTTAGTGTCTCACTAAAAAAAAGCCCCAAAATTGTGCGGTTAATTTTTTAAAGGGCAATTAGTCTTTTGAGGGGTAGGGCGCACTAGGTAAATCTCCCATCAAAGTGGATTTGTGCCAGCTGTGAAGTTTGCAAACATGTCTTTAATAGCCATGCAATTTCAGCATCTGTAATACTCAAGACCATTTCAATTCCAAGTTGCAGAATCAAAGTCAAATAACTTAAGAAAAAAGCTATTGGCTCGTGAGATGGAAAAGCCCCTGGGACAGGCAGCTAGGCATGGCACGATCCAGGTTCTCAACAATGCAGCAAATGCTCTGCCTGTCTTTATGTCTCTTGCTCAGCTGTTCTCTGTGTTGGCTTCATTCCCAGGCAAGCTTCTTCCATCTGGTGAAAAAGATGAACACCAGGCGTGTCTGATCTTCCCAGAGGAAGAAGGGAGCATCTTTTTGAACAGCATTTCTGTGAGAAATGGGATCCTAAGGTGGCCTCCAAGATTGACACGCCATGGTACAATCTTCGTGATCGTAAGAAGAACCTGTGAATACGATGAGCTATCACTCCTGTGCTTTTGCGGTTTTATGTGGCAAAGGGAGAGTGTTCTGGGTGGGCCTGACCTGATCAGGCATATCCTCTAAAATCAGAGTTTTCTCCAGCTGGTTCCAGAAGACTAAGTCAGAGAGATGCTCTGTGTTTGGGCCAGAAGCAAGCAAACATCCACATTGTGAACTGCCTATGGGGGCCACCTGGCAAGGAACTGCAGGTGTTTTCTGGGACCTGAGAGCATTCCCTGGCCAATCATTAGCAGGAAAACAGGAACTCACTCCTATAACTGAGAGGAAATAAAATTTACCAACAACCAATGAGCCTGGAAGAAGACCCTGAGCCTCAAATGAGAACTGCAGCCCCAGCCAACACTGATTTCAGCCTTGTAAGTACCTGAGCAGAGAACTCAGCCATGCTATATCAGGACTTCTGACCTACATTACTGTAAGATCATAAATGTGTTGTTTTAAGCCACTACATTTGTGATAGTTTGTTATGCAGCAATAGAAAGCTAATACAACTTCCAAAAATTCTACTGTGTAAGTCAGGATCCTTTGGTTGCAAGCAACAAAAATCAGCTCTGGATAGCTTAAGCAAAAAAGGAAATTGGCTGGAACAGTGTTCGTGTAGCCACAGAATATGAGCAACTTCTGGGATGGATCCAAGAAGGAGAAACAAACAAGGGTTATGTCCAGGTCTTGTTTCATTCTGTTAAGATTTAAAGTCCGGGGAGAAAGCAGCTGATTGACATTACCTGATAGCCTCATCAAGCGATTATAATCGGCCGGCACGGTGGCTCACGCCTGTAATCCCAGCACTTTGGGAGGCCAAGGCAGGCAGATCACCTGAAGTCAGGAGTTCGAGACCAGCCTGACCAATATGATGAAACCCCGTCTCTACTAAAAATATAAAAATTAGCTGGGAGTGGTGGCAGGCACCTGTAATCCCAGCTACTCAGGAGGCTGAGGCAGAGAATTGCTTGAACCTGGGAGGTGGAGATTGCAGTGAGCCGAGATTGCACCACTGCACTCCAGCCTGGGCGACAGAGAGAGATTCCATTAAAAAAAAAAAAAAAGAGATTATAATCGTGGAGAATAGTTGACTCTTCAAAGCAAAATTGATACTATTGCTAGAAGATGGGGGTCTTGATGCCAGGCCTACAAAAACATCCCTGCATTAATATGTTCTTCCCCTAATCAGTTACAATGGCGAGGAAGACAGAATACTCTAATGGAGCAGGTTTAGTCATGTGACCATCCCTGAGCGCAGACAGGCTAGGGGTTAGCTCCACTTGTACTGCATGGTCTGGCCAGGGTTAATATGGGGGTTGGGGGGAGGAAGGGATGCTGGGTGTAAATATAAGCATATAATGTCTATTATGGCATCCCGTTTACTGAGAATCAGAGCACTTCAGTTGCAGTCTGGACTCTGAAACTAGCTAATTCTATATCTTCAGTAAGTCATGTTACCTTTCTGGGTCTCAATTCTCTCATTTACTAAATAAAGGTTAGATTAATGATTTCCAGTCCCCATCTAACTGGGACAATGGTCTGTGACTCAGTATTTAACACAAAGGTATAAATAACTGATAAGGCTTTATATATCTCTCAAGGGCATTTGCTTCTGAATGGAAGAAAAGTGTTTAGTCAGTGGTGTGCTGGGGCATACAGAATGAACTTTCATGTATAATGTCTGCCCCCACCACAGCCAATTTCAAGTTACCAATGATTTAACAACCAACTGGGAAAATTCCTGAAAATTTAACAGTTGGCTCTCATGTGCTGATATCAGCCAGCTCCCACACACCATTATTATAATTTTAGCCAAAAGAGTGACTCTCTAAGCATGTATTTTTGGGTGGATATTAGTAGGTGAGTGGAGAGGGTGTGTTTTAGGGATCAGAAATCCACTGAAATTACATTCTATATGCAGTCATATCCTGGGCCACACTCAAAGTCAGCCAAATTCAGCTCAGATAAAGACTGGTGCTGGGCGTGGTGGCTCACACCTGTAATCCCAGCGCTTTGGAAGGCTGAGGCAGGTCGATCACTGGAGCTCAAGAGTTCAAGACCAGCCCAGGCAACATGGTGAAACCATGTCTTTACAAAAAATACAGCAGAAAAAGTTAGCTGGGTGTTGCAGTACACACCTGTGATCCTAGCTACTCAGGAAGCTGAGGTGGAAGGATCGTTTGAGCCCAGGAGGTCGAGGCTGCAGTGAGCTGTGATCATGCCACTGCACTCCAGCCTGGGGTGACAGAGTAAGACCCTGTCTCAAAAAAAAAAAAAAAAAAAAAAAAAAAAAGGACCAGCAGTTACTGATATGTCAGTTTCCTCAGCCTCTACTCCCAGCCGGTGGGGGCTCCTTTAGGCTCTTTAGGCTCTGCCCTCTCCTCCAGCTTTGGTCAGACATGAAAGAGTCATGGAGCCCAAGGAGTCCATCAGAGCCATAAGATGTGGATCTGTGTGCAGGTGGTGGTGGGAGGGGGCCATGCTTGGCCCAAATGTAGCATCTTAGAAGGCAGATTCTACCTGGGATTGTCACTAAAGGGATGCTTGGCCCTTTCTGCAAACCCATTCCCCTCATTCCCCTCTCGATAACAGTAGTTGGGGTCATGCCCCCTCATTCCTTCAGTAAATTTTAACGGAGCACCTTTTATGTTCCAGGCACTGCATTCAGTTCTGGCCATTCAAATTGCCTAAGACATGGTCTCTAACCCCGGGGACTGAACTTCCCAGAGAGCATTTAAATTTTGTTTCCTGCTGCTCTCTACCCCATCTGGTTTTCGGGTCAGGAATGGTCTGGTCTCTCTCTCTCTCTCTTTCTTTCTCTCTCTCTCTCTCTCAAATTAAATACCAACTATGTACTGGACACTAAAGATTACAAAATGAATAAAACTCCGTCCATGCTCTTGAAGAGCTTGGATTATCATTGTGTGAACATCTGTGTAAACAAATAACCAAGGCAAAAAGTGACAAGTGTTTTTTAACACAGCACTAAACAATATGCGATGGACATAGCTAATAGGTTTAGTAGGTGTGAGCCAGGCTTCACAGTGAAGGGATATTTACACCTTGTCCGAGACCAAGCTCCTGGGTTGGGGAAAGGAGAGAAGGGCCTTCAGGCAAAAGGATTCCTGTGAGCCAAGGCTTGCGGTCACAAAAGGAGGGGCTCATACACAGGCTATGACTGGGGAAACCTCGGGTTGAGGCTGAAGAGACAAGGCTCCACCGAGGTGTTTGGCTGGGATCCTGCCAGCAGAAATGCACTTTGTGAGGGAATAGCCTGTGTGGGCCTCCAGCTGCTTGCCAGCCCTGGACCAGTCAGCTGAAGGGAGGCACAGGGCCTGGGTCAACATGCTGGGGTCTCAAGGGCTAGGGAAGTGCTTCCCCTCACAGGGGTCTTGGGAGAGGCTGTCTCTGGACACCCCAAGGGACAGAGACCAATCCTCTTTTTTGTGCTGTTTTCTCTGATGATCAGGAGCCAGGGAATTGCGAGGCTCAGTGCCGAGTCCCTGTTGCCTAGAAGGAGCTGTTGTAGAGAAAGAACCCCAGGGAAATCTGAATCCTGGGAGGGCCCCTTGGGAGCAAGTGGTTGTGGGAAGAGACCCAGCTCACCTGAAGCACGTTGGCGCCTCAGAACAACCTCTCCTCTAGGTGCAGACAAAGCTTTCCCACTAAATTCTGATGAATCGACCCAAAGAGCAAAAAGGGGTATTTATTGGCTCCTGTGACTGACAAGGGGGCAAAATGGGAACCATCCTTCTCTTCCTGTCTCTGGGCTCTGCTTCCCTCTTGTTGGCCTCATCCCGTCAGGCTCTCTCCCGGTGGGAAATAGACGGCCTCCACTGCTGCAGGCTGCACTACCCCACGGTCACCATTCTCTACGGGAAAATGGTGCCCCTTTCCCTGGAGTTCCAGCAAGAATCTTGAAAATGGCTCTCATGGGCCCTCCCTGAGCCGGTCTTTGTAGACAGAAGGATATGATGCCTGATTGGCTGTCACAGGGTCCATGCCCACACCGGGAGCCAGCCAGCGGCATACATCCCACTCCGTTGAGGGAATATGCGCTCCCCTCCAAGGGAAACGAGGTTGCTTCCAAAAAAGGGAGGGGAAAGATGCTGGACAAGTTAAAATAATTACTTCACCAGCATTACTTATTTGGAGAATTATGAGAATTTATTTAGCACCAGCATCTTCCTCTTACCACATGGCTGCTTATATTCTGCTTGGCCCTACACTTTAAATTGTTCCTGCTTGTAGCTGTAGCCATTTGGCTTCCATCAGTTCAGTCCCAGTCCTGAGCCCCAGTCCCTTCCCCCATACCTTGTCTTTACATTTTCTTTACGCTACCCAATTTTCCAGTCAGCCCCTCAATGGCAGGGGCCCTTCTCTGTAATGACAATGACAACTTTTCCAGCTAAAATCTCCATTCACCAGCTTCTGGGTTTCCCTTACTGTGCTCTTCCTGAGAGGAAGTTGGGGCATCCTCCTACATAGTATTGGACTTCCTGCCATCCTGAATGTTACCAGCCACCCTCCTACTCATTCATCCATCTAGCCACTCACTCACTGAGTCGCCCAACCATCCATCCATCCAACCATGCATGCATGCATCTATCCATCTATCCATCTACCCACCCACCAAAATATATCAGGAAGCAGGGATTCAATCATGAGGAAGAGCCAGAGCTTCCACCATGAGAAACTCACAGCTGCAGGTCATCATGTTCTATCCAGCTTCCTCTCAGCTCCAGCTCTGGGCCTTGCCTGTGTGCCCCTCTGCAAAGCGTGAGCCTCGTTCTAGTTGCCAACCCCATCCCACTGCACACACCAGGGCAAGGCTGGCTGTCGTGGACAGTCATTGTTCTATATATGCCCAGAATCCTTTCCCCTCATTTCTTCTATTACGAATGATTCTGCTAAGGCTGTAAACCAGAGTTTTCCAGCTCCAATCTCGTCTTGACCCCCTGGAAGCACTGGTTTATCCAAAAAGTGGGCATATGGCCCAAGGTGGGCCAATTAGGGCAATTCCTGAGATTGATATGGGGATATTGAGTATTTTGTTATCATTTGGTATGTCACAATCCTCCCAAACTCAGTGGCTTAGAACGACAACCGTTTTAGTTCATGATTCTGTCGGCCAGCAACTTAGGCTGGACTCAGGCAGTGCTTTGTCCGGTCTCATCTGGTGTCACCCACGTGGCTGCAGTCCTCTGTTGGTTCAGCTGGGTCTGGATGATGTAAGAGAGCCTTACTTGTCTGGAAGTCAGCGCTGGCTGTCAGCTGTGCCACGTGTCTCCAGCGGGTTAATACAGGCTTCTTAGTGTGGAGACTGGATTCCCAAAGCGATAAGAAATATGGCAAGTTCCAATGTGCAAATGCTATATAAGTCTTTGAGTTTTTTAAGATGAGAGAAATAACATGCTTGTATACAGATAGGAATGATCCAATTTAGAGGAAAATACTGACATGCAGGAGAGAAAAAAGAGAATATCTGGGGCAATTTCCTTGGGAAGCAAAGGAAGACGGAACCCAGTGGAGAAGCTGATAGCAATCTGATATGTATTCATTGTAATTTTAATTTCGATTTTTTCCTACTATGAGTGATTTTGGTAATCTTTCATTCATTTGACAGCTATGTGTTACTTTTTTTTCCCATGAACTCTCTGTTCAAGTCCTTTTCTCATTTTTTTAACGTTGTTTTAGACTCCCGTCAGCTTGAACATTTCACGAGGGCAAGGATTTTGTCTATTTAACTCCCAGTTATATCTTCAGTGTATAGTACCATGCTTGGCACCTGGTGGACACTTGAAAATTATTTGCTAAAACTGAATAATGTTTAGGTGCTCTTTATGTATTAA
The DNA here is from genome assembly GCF_000001405.40 of Homo sapiens. Lineage (NCBI taxonomy): Eukaryota > Metazoa > Chordata > Mammalia > Primates > Hominidae > Homo > Homo sapiens. The sequence continues at coordinate 167,524,218 of NC_000001.11, read as the reverse complement.
GGAACTAAGCCCTTTGTCACAGTGCTGCAAGTACCTTTCTTAGTTTGTGGTTTGAAATCTGTTACAACAGATTAATTCAGATTTTGTAGAATTTCCTGTAAGTAGAATCTTTCAATATGTACTCTTTTTGCCTGGCCTCTTTCACTCAGTATATTGATTTTGAGATTCAGCCATGTTGTGTGCACTAGCAGTTTATTTCTTTTTATTGTTCAGTATTATTTCATTGAATGGATATACCATAATTAGTTTATCCATTCATTTGTTGATAAATATTTGGGTAGTTTTCCAGTAGTTTATTACAAATAAAGCTGCCATGAGTGTTGATGTACAAATCTTTATATGGACATATATATATATATATATATTTTTTTTTTTCTCTTGGTTAGATACATGAGTGCAATGGCTGGATCATATGGTGAGTGTATGTTTAACTTTCTAAAGAAACCGCCAGATCTTTCAGAAATTGTTGTACCATTTTACATTTCCCCCATCCGCGTATGAGAGTTTCAGTTCTTTCATATCCTGGGCAACACTTGATAACGACCAGTTATTTAATTTTAGCCATACTAACAGGTATGTAGTAGTATCTCATTGTGGTTTTAATTTGTTTTTCTTTAATTACTAATGATGTTTAGCATCTTTTCACTTGCTTATTGGCCATTCATTTATCTTCTTTTGGGAATTGTCTATTCAAACTTTGTGCCCATTTTCTTATTGAGTTGATTACTTTACTATTGAGTTAAAATAGTTCTTTACATATTCTGGATATAAGTCCTCTGTCTGATGTATGTGTTTGGACATAATTTCTCCTAGTCTATGGCTTCTTTTTCATTTTCCTACTGCTGTCTTTCAATGAACAAAGCAAAAACTTTTAATTTTGATAAAGTCCAGTTTACCAATTTTTTCTTTTATGGTTTTTACTTTTTGTGTTCTATCACAAATATTTTTCTCCTATGTTTTATTCCAGAAATTTTATAGTTTTGGGTTTTACATTTAGGTCTATGAACCATTTTAGATAATTTTTGTGTATGGTATGAACCGAGGGTCAATTTTTTTTCCATGTGGATATCCAGTTGTTCTACCACCATTTGTTGAAAAGACTACCATTTCCTGCTGAATTTTTCTTGTACCTTTATTGAAAACCAATTGACCATATATGTTTAAGTCTATAGTACCCTAAGTACTGTATGATAATTACACCCCTTTTATTGTTTGATATCTGGCAGGGTTATTTCACTCTCTTTACTCTTCTTTGCAAGAATTTTCCTAACTATTCTTGTGTTTGTTTTAGCATTATTTTTGTATTGAGATATAATTCATATAACATAAAATGTGTCATTTTAAAGTGCATACTTCAATGGTTTTTAGTATATTCACTCTGTTGCACACCATCACCACTGTCCAATTCTAGAACATGTTCATCATCTCAAAGGAACCCTCATAGCTATTGACAGTCCCAATTCCCCACTCTCCCCATCCCCTGGCAACTACTAACCTGCTTTCTATCTCTATGAATTTGTTTATTCTGGACATTTTATATAAATGGAATCATACACTATGTAACCTTTTGTGCCTGGCTTCTTCCGCTTAGCATAATGTTTTCAAGGGTCATCCCAGTTGCAGCATGTAACAGTGCTTCATTCTTTTTGATGGCTGAGTCATATTTCATTGTTTGGATACGGCGCATTTGCTTATCCATTCCTAGTTGTGGCCATTCGAATTGTTTCCAGTTTAGGGCCACTGTGAATAATGCTGCTATGAACATTCCTTTACAAGTTTTTGTGTGAGCCTAGGTTTCCGATTCTCTTGGGTATATATCTAGGAATAGAATTGCTGGGTCACATGATACTATGTTTAACTTTTTGAGGAACTGCCAAATTATTTTTCACAAGGGCTTCACCATTTATATAACCCACAAAAATGTATGAGAATTCCAGTTTCTCCACATCCTTATCAACACTTGTATTGTCTGTTTTCTTATTTTAGCTATCCTAGTGGGTGAGAAGTGGTATCTCACTGTCGTTTTGATTTGTATTTCCCTAATGACTAATGATGTTGTACATCTTTTCATGTGCTAATTGGCCATTTGTATGTCTTCTTTGGAGAAATGTCTATTTACATCTTTGGCCAATTTTTAATTGGGTTATGTTTTTTATTGTTGAGTCATAGGGGTTATTTATATATTCTGAATCCTAGACCCTTATCAGTATATTTACAAATGTTTTCTTTCATTCTGTGGGTTGGGTTGTCTTTTCACTTTCTTCGTTCTTTCTTTTGTCTTTCTTTGTCATCATATTTCATGATTTCTTGTGAACAAAGTATTGTCTAGAGGACAAGCATTGTAAGTATTAACATCGGAATCAGTGAAAACAATCAGTATAGATCAAGTTTTTAAGTGATACTTTCTCAGAAATGTATGTGTACAGGTCATTGAAGATTATCTATAAGCAATTGGTCTTGGAAAAGCATAATTTTTGAAGAACTCTCTTGCCCTGTGAGAGTGATCTAATATGAATGAATAAAATATATTTCTGTAGTTGAACTGAAAATAGGTACATCTCTGTTGTTGAATTCTAATAATTTTATTCTCTTTAAAAATTTACATAGAGTACAATTACCAGTGTTCTTTTGAACGTGCTATTTTCTCAAAATTCACATAGCTATCCCAATAACACTCTTAAAGACTTAAGCATAGTACTTTTATAAAGCCTCTTCTTTCAATATGTCTCCTAAAGTCCCCTTATAAAATGTCTTGTTTTAAAATAGCCGTCTTTGGAATACTTTATGATGCAGAGTTTTATTTATGTATGTTGGTTGTTTCAAGCCACTTCACGTAATGGTGATTCGATGATCAATGTGGCAAGAGTGAATATAAGACAATGTAAGTATGGACCACTAGTTATGTTGAAACTCAGACCCTCTGAGGATGCAAAAGAGAACCAGCAAGTATGCATCCTTCAAGCTGAGTAAAAGCTAAACAAACATACATCGGATAGAAACAAACAACAATAAAATCCTTATGGCTTTGTTGATCACTGTGGTGTTTAATTGACTCTATTTTAAGACTTTTCTACACTTAGCCCTCTCTCCCTACTCAAGGTGCAGCAAATCACTTTTTTGTTAATAATGCATGTCTGGATCTTATCTTGGCTGTGTCTGTATTGCAGTCAATGGTTCAAGTCCTCAAGGCCACTGCCAGCACCCTGGCACATGGGGGCCCTCTGCTGTCTTTGTTGTCCTGTTGACTGCTAAAGAACTCAGGCTAACAATGTTACTACCCACATTCATGAGTTACTTGTTGCTGGTTGTCATCTGTTGCCTTTCAAGTCTTTTCTGGAATCTAATTGTTTTTTGTTTGTTTGTTTGTTTTGTTTTGTTTTTGGTCTGGAACCCAGAAGACATTTATCTAATAAAATATTAGGTGATAATTTCCTAAGAATTTCAACAGATTTAAACATTTTGTCTTTAACATGGGTGAGTTAAAATCACTTACACTATACAAAAGTTAAGCATGTTTCCATCACCACTTTTCAGATAATAAAACCTCTTTCATTTCCGTGTCCATGGGGAACTATGCACCCTAAGGTCCTCCACACGTGGGAGGGGAGAATCTGTTCAGGAACTCTCTGAAGTCAGTATTCATCAAGAAATGGGTATTTGGGATGATCACACCACATGAGCATTTCTATGAAGCGGACATTTTCACTCCAGGCTTCAATGTCCTTGATTCAGTGAGAGAAAAGTCAAAGGCCTGAAGGTTTTCCTTGATCTTTTCAGGATTAAAGCTTTTAGGAATGACAACCACCCCTTGCTGGATGTTGAAACGCAAAATAACTTGAGCTGTGATCTTATTGCACCTTTTTAGAAGTGCATCCTTTAACGAAGGCAGAGAAGACATATTTGTCCAGGTTGGATTCCTAGTGGTCCCCAAAGGGCTATATGCAATCATGACAATGTCATGTTGTTGGCGAAATTTCAAAAGTTTTGGTTGGGTGTAATATGGGTGGCACTCAACCTCGTTGCTGACTGGCTTGGGTTTGAGTCCTGGGTTGTTCTGGATGAGCTCCAGCTGGCCTGCTGTTAAAACTGGATACTCCGAGGGATTTCACCAAGCCAGCATCTTTACAAGCTTCCGAAGTCTCCCAAGTGGCACACAGATTTGACTTGTGATATAACCATTTGCCATTCTCACCTATAGGGTAGATTTTGTCTTCTGGCTTAGCGGCCATGGGTATTTCAGTGATGTAAAGATCCACACAATCTAGCTGGAGGACCTTGAGCATCCTCTCTAGGCTCGGGCAGACCAGCTCTGGGTTGTGATTTGTAGCCCACAGTTTTCCACAGTAGAAGATATCCTTCCTCTGCACCTTTCCTTCTGCTATTTTCCCCCTGATGGCCTCCCCAGCTGTGTCTTCATTTTGGTATATGTAGGCTTCATCAGTGTGTCAGCACCCCAGACCAATGACAACCTTCACTGATGAAGACTCAGACTAAATGTAGAGACAGACTACTTGGGCTGTAGTGACATCTCTACCTACCACCTACTTGCTGTGTGGCCTTGAGTAAGTCATCGGCCCCCTTAGGGGTCAATTTAGGCTCTGAGTAGGTACCAAGTCTGATGATGGGAATGCTGTTTCCATCACTTAGAGGTATGCGGTGATTTGCAGGACTCACTTTCTTCATAGTGTCCTTTGATGCACAAAAACTTTTAATTGTGATGAAGTCCAATTTATCAATTTTATGTTGGATTGCTGTGACTTTGGATTATTGGCTATTCTTGTACATTAATTTTTTTCATATCAATTTTGGAATCAGCTTAACTTGTTCTAAAACTTTTTGTTGGTATTTTCAATGAAATAGATTGATTAATTAAGAGAGAATGGTGGTCTCCTTAAAAGAGAGCTTCCTATCAAAGAAGGGTATGCCTTTCCATTTACCCAAGTCCTTTCGGCGTTCTTCAGCAATGTTTTAAAGTTTGTTTCATATAGATATATTACAATTTTTAGACGAAGTTTATGTCTAGGTTTTAATGTTTTATTATTGTAAATTACTCTGGTGTTTAAATGTTGACAACTAACACAAGTGTTTAAAATACTATGTGAGCTACAGTATTTCACACAATGATCCAAATTCAGGCCAAGTTCAGATCTGCAACCTCAGATCTACTCCAGCTCTTTGCTTTATAGATAAGGAAGCTGAAGTCTAGAGATGTTGAGTGACTGACTCAACGCCACACAGCAAGTAGGTGGTAGGCAGAGATGTCACTAAAGCCCAAGGAATCTGTCTCTACATTTGTCCTGGACTCTAATCCAGGGTTCTGTCATTTTGCCAGCCACCATAAAATATTTGACAGTCTAGGAAAACAGCAAATGTTCTTACATCCATCGAGAACTTGTATTTGCCTAGAGATGGACTTTACCAATCAAGATAGGAATTAGATAAGAATTATTTTTTTTAAAAAAAGGAGCATTAAAACAATGGTCAAATGAGAGAAAAAGCAAAATTCAGACAGACAGATACATACACACACCCCAAACCCTCAAACCTCCAGGGCTTCCTGCCTGTGAACCGAAAGGGGGAGTGCGAATTTCTTGGCCCTGTCGGCAGGTGCTTTCTCAAAGGCCCCACAGTCCTCCACTTCCTGGGGAGGTAGCTGCAGAATAAAACCAGCAGAGACTCCTTTTCTCCTAACCGTCCCGGCCACCGCTGCCTCAGCCTCTGCCTCCCAGCCTCTTTCTGAGGGAAAGGACAAGATGAAGTGGAAGGCGCTTTTCACCGCGGCCATCCTGCAGGCACAGTTGCCGATTACAGGTAGGGCCGACGTGTCGACGGCAGGGAACTTCTAGAAACTCTTTGTGTATGTGTAGGGGAGTGGGTGTGGGTAGTGGAGGGTGGTGAGGGGCTGGGGTCTCCTTCAAATCCTGCCCTCCTCAAATCAATGGGCAAGTGAGCAGTGAGGGGTCCGGCCCGGTGCTGGCATCTGCTCCGTCACAGCCGAGTTGGGCATCAGTTCAGAGCCAGCTGCTAGAATACACAGCTCCTCCAGGTACAGATTTTTCGAGTGATAAGAGAGGAAGGAAGAAGGAAGCAAGAGAGCAACCGAGGCAGGCCCAGGGTAGAGAAACGGAGAGGGAGTGTTTCACAGAAGCTGGACAGGATCGGAAAATGTCAGCCAGGCCATGTTTCGTGCTGCGACGTTCTAGTCCCTTCAGCTTCTTTCACCCTCTGGCTGGCTCCGTCACTCAGCCCCTTTCTTTCTTCCTTTGCCAACAAAGAAGATTTTGTTGGTCAGTCAAGGTCATGGCCTGAAACACTCCAATGGGCCCGGGAGTAAGTGGGGTAACCAAGGAGGAGAGGGGCACAGGCAGGAAGCACCGGGTGGCAGCCTCCACAGCGCCTTCGCCACCTCATGGCCAAGCGTCCGTGTCTAGGCTCAGCCTTGTCATGGCTGTCCCCACACCCACGCCTGGGACTGCCGGGTGACGCACCATCCCAGGCTCCGTGACTCACCCCAGCCTGCCCCTTAGGCGGCCATCTAGCCCAGCCAGAGGGCCCGGCATTGACAGAACACGGGGCAGATGAGACGATGTGCCTGGTTAAGTCACCACCACGAGCAGCGCCCAGCCAACAAGAGTGCTTGCTCCTCACCTCATTCCCGATCGTGGGAGCCCAGCTTTGCTGCAAGCCTTTAGCTTCCACCATGTTTTCTAGCCCAGGTAATGAGGAAGAAAACCAGTGAAAAGAGGACAGGACAAACTGCTCAGGGGGATCAGCCTCGTGGCATCTTCCTGAGAAGTGGGGCAGGCTGAATTTCAATCTAAAGAAACAGGGAAGGTGAAGCAAGCAAATGTCCTCGGCCCACCTGATCGCTCCTGGTAACTCACCTGGGTGTGGGAATTTGTTTAGGGGCCCTGTTGGGAGGGCAGGAGAGGCCATGGGCACTTCTGCTCCCACCAGGGAGCCAGGCACAGCCCGGGCCAGCGCCTCGGGGGATTCTGAGGCCCGTGCAGCTGCAGGGGTTTCTGTCAGGTCACAGCTGTTTTCTCAGAAAAGCCTTGTGGGGTCTAAGTCACACACACAGTGTGGCAGAGTGAGGGTGCCTGAGCTTGCTCAGAGCAGCCCATCCTTGTGTGCTGGGGACAAGGGGACCCAGAACGCTGGAATTTAGTGACTTCAGGGGAGACAGCCAGGGGCAATAGCTCCAGCCTCTGAGCTTCAGGCTTGAGACACCACACCAGGGAGCTCATATAACCTTTCAGGGTCTTTACCTGCAGTTTCCTCACTGGTCCATTTGTGTTCGGCTTGGAGAGACCAAGGTAGGGGCAAAGTGAAGTTAGAAAGAAAAATGAAAGATTGTTGGGTGGCGGTGGCTGCCAAGCGTGGTAAACAGAACCCCACCCAGCAGACAAGATGGGGGCCGTGCCTCATTTCCACAAATAGGGGGCAGGAGGAGAAAACTGCACATTGGCTGGATTTTTTGCTTCTCAGTGCCACTTACTTTGCCTCTATGGAGACTGATATTTTAGCTATTTTAGATAAAGCTAATAGACAAAAGTGTTTCAAAATATCCTAGCCCAGAAACGAGGTACGGTAAGGCAAAGCGCGACTCAGAGAGGCCTTGACACCGAGGGCTGCGATGGTGCTTTTGCTGCCTGAGGGGACACCTCCACAGTCTCCCCGGAGGAAAGGCCGCACATAGAATTTCAGTCAGGTCTTCTCTCTTTTCTTGCTCAGTTAAGTGACCCATTGCATACATCCCTTTTAAAATGTCTACTTTTTACTAAGCTGTTGCATTTGCATTTCTTTGGAAATGCCCAGATTATTAGGATCAAAGCAAATGATGACCTGGTCTGTCCACATGAGGAGGCCTCCCTGAGAGAGAATCTACCAAGACAGTCACCAGGGCTTGAGGCCAGAAGATCCTAAGATGGCGTGCCTAGTGGCATGGGCACACTTGTGCCTGCAGAGCCCTCAGTGCCTCTAACTCCCTACTCTGCAGTAGCCAAGAATGCACCCAGCGGTCAGTGTGGTGTTTGTCTTTTATCAGTGAGGAGATGGAGCTCTGACATGCAGCCTTGGGGAATGCAAAGCTTCCAGGCTTGTGAGTGGCTCTGCTTTTAGGAAGGTGGCTGGACGTGGTAGAAAGAGCCAGGCTAATTTCAGGTGGTGTCCCAGTGCTGCCGCTTCCTAGCTGTGCAACCTTAGGCAAGTTACTTAACCTCTCTGGGCCTCAGTTTTCTCACCTCTAAAGAAAGACTTGTAATACCTTCTTTGCAGAGATGTGACAATGAGAAGTAATGTAATGTGTCCAATACATAGTAGACAGCCAATAAGTAAACATTGTATTTACTATTACTATTATTACATCTCGGACTGTCTTCTTGTTCTCAAAACAGGAGATGGAAACCCATGGCTGGGATTCTTCATTTGCTTTCAATATGTTATAAAGCAGCAGTGGGCATTTTCTCCATCTGTTGCAATCCAACTCATCCCTCTTCTGATTTCTGGGCACACCCATACCAGCACAGAAACATAACAATGATTGCAGAGGTAGGCCCGATAGTGAAAAAGCAGCAAAGCTCTGGCTGGTCATAGGATGACTGTTACATCCACCATTTTCATTTTTTAAAGATACTTACTCTGTAGGGGAATATTCTCCCGAAGTAAAAACATGTCTGAAAAAATATATGCAAGATGGGGGCTGTGCCCCATTTCCACAAATAGGGGGCAGGGGGATTGGCTGGATTTTTTTACTTCTCAGTGCCACTTACTTTGCCTCTGTGGAGACTGACATTTTAGCTATCTTAGATAAGGCTCATAGACAAAAGTTTTTCAAAGTATTACTTTGAAAGGAATCAGAAACAAAATCCACCCAGTCATCACTGGTCCGGGTGGCCACCTAGATTCTGAAGCCAAAGGGCTATTGTGGGTGCACAGCGACTGAGTATCTAAATGCAAACTTCTTGAACACTAAATCTTTGCTAAAATTGCTGGGAGGTGAATGTGAGGCAAGCTTTTAAGTGATACCAGTACAAATTTTTCATCAATGGCATTTTCACCATCAGATTGTTTCGCCCTCCAATCGCCTAGCTCTGCTCATCCAAATGAGCTATTTCATTTTTCAATTTTAGCGTTTCTCAGGCTTACTAGCCTAGAGATCACATCTGCTTCTGCTAAGCATCCCCCAGAAACGGTCCTGGGGAGCTCTGGCTTAGGTGAATAACCACTGCTGTATTTAATTTTAAATTCTTTGTATTTTTGCTTTTGTTCTTTAAAAAAATACATGTAATTATTGTTGGATATATACTTTTCCAGTCAAAAGTTACCCAGCATTGTGTCTTGTGCTTTACTTAGAAGGGTCCAGTTGCCCTGAGGGAACTCTCTTAGATTAGAGTTGTCCAAACACGCACTTTGGGAATCGTTTCTCCCAAGCCTTATTTATCTAAGGCTTAGGACCTTATATAGGTCAGATAATTGATTTAATAAATACCGGAAATAGTTCAAAATAAATTTCTTAGCTCTGCTTCGGCCAAGGCTAATTTTTATTAACACTAAAGTGATGGTGTTCGTCACTTTGAACAAACATTCAATATGGTTAAAAAAAAAAATTAAACCGGTCATTAGACCTGTTAATCAAAACAAAATGATCGCTTTAGTCAGCGCATGTACATAGTATGTCTTCCGGTCTAAAAAACAACTTTAAGTTCCCTGAAAACAAAGACGCCCCTGTCACGCTCACAGCTCTACCCAGCACTTAGCATGGTACCTGGAGCAGAGTCAATGTGCAATAATTATCAATAAGAATTGTTGAATGCACTCTGGGAGGCCGAGACGGGTGGATCACCTGAGGTCAGGAATTTGAGACCAGCCTGGCCAATGTGGTGAAACCCCATCTCCACTAAAAAATGCAAAAAATTAACTGGGCATGGTGGCACGTGCCTGTAGTCCCAACTACTTGGGAGGCTGAGGCAGGAGAATCCCTTGAACCCGGGAGGCGGAGGTTGCAGTGAGCTGAGATCGTACCACTGCACTCCAGCCTGGGCGACAGAGCAAGATTCCATCTCAAAAAAATAAATAAAATAAAATAAAATAAGAATTGTTGAATGAATTAAAAGGTGAGTGAATGAAGGAAATCTAGATGTTTTCATACGATTAAATTAACTTTAATGGTTTATTTGGTGGGTATATTGAATTGGCATTGTTTGGACCTTTCCTCTAGAGAACGTAGTATTAAACAATGTTATTTTAAAAACAAAACAAAAACCAGAAATTAAACCAGTGGAGGGGACAGGGCAGTTTGAGTGATTAGAATTATTTGAAATGAGTTGTAAGGATGGTTTAAGATAAAACCCTGCCATTATTAAAGTTTTCTGGTTGGACCATATGAAATTTCCACTATTTGTTTATTTCAGATCTACAAAAAGGATAATTTCATATGATTCAACTAACATTATAACTAAAAATAAAGAAATATGCTCATTTTTTCTGATTAGGCTTTAACACCGGAGGAAAGCGGAAAATAAGCAAGGCTAACACTGTTGGAGATTGTTAACTAATGAACTAAAAATAAACTAATGAAAGGCATCAGGTAGCAAAAGACTGGATTATAGTATAAACCACAGTATCCAATCACCCAGTTTCCTCAAAATATAGAAAGAAAAAAAAGCAAGATACTTACTATTAGTCTGGTTTGATCCAGGTTACTAAATAAATATTTCAGGTAGCCAACATTTTTCTGTTCTCTTAGTTTGAGATATTTTAGTAAAGATATAAAAATCACTGACGGAAGTTAAAATTTAATTAAATTTTTTTCAAAATTCCTACCAAGCCAGCCCAATAATATTGCATTCTCACTTCTTTATATTCCAATCCAACATTTTTTACAAGTGTAAAAAATTTTACTATCTTTTTATAGTTAACATAAAAACATAAGTCATATCATAATCAAAACATAAAACATATCATTAAAAAGTTTCAAGTGCTTTTTTTCTTAATATTTTATTGTAAGCATTGTTTTCATGTTTAGCCTTTGTGATTGTTTTTAATTGCTATGTAAGCTTCCATAGCATCCATGCATCGTATTTTCTTCACTATTTCCTTATTGTTGTACATTTGGACTATTTCTGATTTTTGTTATTTTAGCTAATCCTACAAGAAAATCTTTACATATGTAGCTTTTGTTACTTTCTTGGGCAAATCCAGGAATGACATTTGAAAGAATAGGTTAAAGTAAAACAGCATTTTGCAGGATGCTCTAGACTTCTGTTGAAAACAATCCCATCAAGGAAAGAAAATGTTTCTCTAACTCTCTGTTACCATCTCCAAGCCTTTGTGTCTCCTCTGGAGCAGGCACTATGGTGGAAGGAGAGGAGGCTCTGGAGCCAGAAGTCCTGAGCCGCCTTCCCCTCCCGACCTCAGAGCCCTGTTCTTCCTCTGTGAGATGGCGGCAATGGTGCCTCTTCACGCAGGGGACTGTGGAGTGGAGATCTGATTCGGAAGTGCCTAAACACAAAAGGCACTTGGAAAGCCAGAACCATTAGCATGTGTGCCTCAGTTTCCCAATCTGCAAAATAGAATATCATTTTCCCAATGCAATAATGGGGGAACACTGGACTGACATGCTTTTTTTCTTCCTCTGTCATTACATTGCAGTGTATACTTGGGCAGAAATTTCTCTCTAGGCTTTAGTTTTAGCATCTGTGAGATAAATTATGAGAGGATTGAACATCCCTTTTAGCTACAAAATGAGTTGTGTGTGGTCTTGAAATTACAAAGTTTTAAAGAACATTTAATGACTCAGCCCCCGATCCTTACCCCACCCCACAGGTATTGGCTCTCAGAATTCAGAGCCTGAACTTCCTTCTTCCTTGCCTCTCCAAATACTTTTTAAATCTGGGCTCTCACCTTACCACAATATTTTTAACATTCTAAGTGGGAGCCTCTGCTGTGAAAAATCCAAGGACAAAGTCCATCCCTTCTGCTTGTGCGTCGGCTGCAGATTTATTGGGGGCCGTGCAAGGACTTCGGTTGGTGAGAACAGACTTGAAGAGAAAGCAAATTACTGCCCGAAGCAGCCAAATTGCAGTGGTGAAAATGTTAGGCGTTTGCACTGTCCACTTTGCTTGCCTGTTTTGATTTGTGCTACTCAGCAACTAATTTTCAGGCTCAAGGAGAAAAAAATAAATAGAAAGCATTAGAACAAAGACAAGCAGGACCCTTGCCAGTCCAGACCGCCGTTCTCTGAGTGCAGCCATCCCTTTACAGTTGCAAAATGAGTTTCCATGCCTTTGTTTACTGGATCCTCATAACCATCCTATGGCAAATAGCAGAAAAAGCAGCAGGATCTATCTCTTCTCGTAAATGAAGAAAGTGAGGCTCGTAGGTCTGGTGACTTGCCTACGAGTAGAACCAGGCCTCAAACATGGTTTCTCGGGGCCCTCGTACAGGGTCTGCACCTTGAACAGTGTGCAGCCGCTCGCCCAGGTCCGTACACCATCATATACCCAAAGACTGGATTCTGAAGCCTACTTCTAAAGGTATTCCCCTTACTAAGCACTTACTCTTTTCCTCTCAATTTTTACAGTAAAAAATAATTATTTTGATGCTGAATATTCTCATTTAATATACATTTTCTGCTGAGTATGAATATTAGGTTATTAATATAGAACTATATGTTTTTCTAGAACGTATTATGATGGTTCTAAATGGAGAACTTACATTTTCTCCAAAGCTGATAAATCCATAGTTTCCATTTTACTCTCAGAAAATGCATCTATTCTGGAACTTCCTTAGAGGGATGCGCCTCAATTTGCAGTTCAACCCACTCCTGTGTGTGCAGGTATGCACACCGCTCACCACCCCACTGTATGCAGAGGTTATAAGTAAAATGTAAATTAAATCATATTTGAGAGGTTTTGCCCTGAATAAATTGCCTGTAATTAATCTGCTTGGTAAGAGTGGATCTCCATATGGTGTGAAAGGTTTTATGTGTATGAGATTCTCTAAAAGAACAGCACACCGTCACGCACAGACTCTGAATTGAGATTTGTTTTTTCACTAACTCCTCCAGGACTGGGAGAGTTATCTTTGAATGACAAATGTCTATAATCTATTCACAATTATTTACGTCATATTTTAGCCTGGGGTTCACCTGCAGGCTCGGTGCAGGTAGTGCAAATCCTTGTGCTGTTGACTGGAGCAAAGCAAAAGATGGTTTTCTGGTGCTCAGAACAAATGCATGAAGCATTAAACAGCTGGAGATGTGAATATCTGAGACTCTTAGTGGGCCACCCCCAAAGCTGGCTGAGAGGAGGGTTGGGAAGAGGGGAAGTATTCAAGTGCTGCAGCAGGATGTCTGTGATGGGCTGTAGGTGCTGTTGCCTTTGCCAAGCCATGGCAGGTGGGGAGGAGGGCTCAGAATGGAAACCAACATCACCATTTAAGATTAACAAACCCCTACCCCCCTCTTTTGCTGTAGATACTAGAGTCTACTGTGTCTTCTTGTATTTTGCTAATTCCCCACCATGCAAAATTGTACTGGCTCCAAGACAGAATGTGAATGACAGCCCTCAGTTAGACCTGCCCTTTCATCATCTGGGCTGGGCATGATGGGAGAGAAGTATGATAGGGGAAAGAGTAGAAAAGACAGGCTGGGGGAGGGGGTAGAGGTTGCAACCTGTTCCCCTGGGTTTACTGGCCTGAGCTGCCTGCTGCAGGGAGAAGGCAGCTGAGCCAGGTGACCCATCACGTGAAAAGCCTGAGCCCAAGCCCCAGGGGTTGCAGGTCAGTGTGGGTGTTGGCAATGTGCACGCCAGCATGTATTTACCCATAGGCTCTGGTGGTTGCAGGTGTCTGTGCCCCCTGTGGGCATATGCTGGCGCATGTGGTGCTGTGTGTTTGTAGGTGTGTCCTGACATGCATGTGCAGGTGTGCATGTGTTGGTGTGTGTGGTGCACTGTATGCTCACCTGTATGCTGATGGATGTGTGCCTGCATCTGCAGGGATGTGTTTTTATGTGCAGCAGTGAGTGATTTTGTATGTATGGTGTGTGTGTTTAGGAGGAGTTTGGTGGCAGCAGGACAGCTCCATAGAAGGAAGGGCAAACATTACTTCAACTCAGGGCTGGCAGTCTGGGTTCTGAGTAGGTGAGCAGAAAGTCAGAGATGTCACAGATCATGTTCCAGGGATTCTGTGGAGAAGGGAGACAAGAAAACCTCTGTCGGATCATGGAGAGGTGTGAGTGGCTTCTTCATAGCTGCATAGACTTTTCAGGTTGGTCTGGCCTGACTCCCGTCAGAGGTCTCTCATCTTCCAAGTAAGCCTGGGGTCTTTCCTTTTTTGTAGCTTCCTTCCTCTCAATTCTCCCGACTTAGAATGCAGACGCCACTCCATCCCCCACCTGCGGAAACCCTGTTCACCCCTTAATTCTAAGCCCAGATGTATGGGGATCTCCCAGACCCACTGTTGACATTGTTACCAGCGTTAAAGTGACACAAGCAGGTGGAAAATTGTTGTTCTCAGAATTCAGGGTCAAAAACCCAACAGAAATAGTTCCCTAGAGTGAGGCGTTCCCAGAGAAGAGACTCGGCACCCAGATAGTTTCAGGAACATTTATCTGTCAGCGGAAAATGTCAACAGCTCCCCAAATTCTCACCAGTTCTTCCCACAGTGTCCATCCTATGTATTTTGGCTAAAATAGGCAAACACGCATTTAATCTTCTTTTTTTTTCACCCTCGGAATAGGTTGGCAAACAATCCAATAAGGTGGTTCCCAATGACCTACTTTGCCCATCAAGATAACCAGATGGATAATGATTTCTTTTCTTTTCTTTTTTTTTTTTTTTTTTTTTGAGACAGAGTTTCGCTTCGCTCTTGTTGACTAGGCTGGAGTGCAATGGCGCGATCTCGGCTCACCACAACCCCCATCCTGGGTTCAAGTGATTCTCCTGCCTCAGCCTCCTGTGTAGCTGGGATTACAGGCATGTGCCAACACACCCGGCTAATTTTGTATTTTTAGTAGAGACAGGGTTTCTCCATGTTGGTCAGGCTGGTCTCAAACTCCCGACCTCAAGTGATCCACCTGCCTCGGCCTCCCAAAGTGCTGGGATTATAGGCATGAGCCACCGCGCCCAGCCATGATTTTTAATATCTGATTATTTAAACCATCTGACAGGCCACTTGACTTACCAATTGAGTAAATATTTACCAAGCACCTCTCATGTGCCCCAAATCAAACCAACAGTCCTGTAGATGGTTGGCTCAACCAGCCCACTGGCCAGGCCAGTGTTTTGAAGATGAAGGTTAAATGATTGAGAGCCCATAAGCACAAGAAAGTGTCCCTGGTCCCGGAAACCATGTTCTCAATTTTTGCAAAAAAGTCTAAATTTGTCTTCAGGCTCACTTCTTTATGGTCTCATCTAATTTTCATCATTGTGTGGGGCCTGTGCTAATTTCCATGCTGAGTTTAGTAGCAAAGGAAGCATATATGGAGGATACCACCCAGGACTTTTGAGTCAGCCAAGAGAGCTTCAGAAATTCCTCCTTTGATTTCCACAGAGTCGAGAGAAATCTTTGTCTTTTCTCCCACTTAACTATCAACACTTCAAAGCCCAGACCTACATAAAATACACAAATGCTTTCTGGACAAAATGAATCTTGTCCGTTTTCTTTGGGTTTCATTGGGAACAATAAAGATTGAGCTACAAAAGGTTGGCAAAGAGGATTATCCTTTTTCTTTCTATTAAACATAGAGGCTTCAAAAGAACAGCTCAGAAAGTCAAATAATTGTATCCACCATCGCTCACCCATCCATCTCCCTGCTGACCTGGCCTGTGAAATCCCCTTTAAAAACTTAGCCAGCTCTCACCTGCCCATTGCAAATGCTGTATTGTTAAATGTTCCCATCTATAATTCCATGAGGGAGGCTGCTATAAAGCAAACTCCTTCCATTTCAACGGAGCATCTCGTCGCGCAATAGCTCTTTGGGGTGGGAGTGGTGGGGTGCCTCTAATTTTCAAAGCTTTGTAATCTCTTGTTGGAAAGGGAGCTACTTGGAAACCAGAAATGGGCTGTGAATAGAGTTATAGCCACAAGCTCTTGCAGTCCAAAGGGGCTGGTGGGGAGGACACGGAGGGTAAGATTTTGGAAGCCATTTTTGATCTTCATGACAATTTCTTGATTTTGTCGGTTTGGAAGACACATCTGTTAGTTTTTAGCTATGGCTGTAAACACAAAGTCTCAGACTTGAAGCTGACCTAATTCCTCGTTTGGTTTCAGACCATAGCTTCCTCAGAAAATTCCTGTCAGCCATTTTGAAGAGCACAAAATGGCTCCTATATGCCAAGAGATAGAGAGAATTTGCTATTTAGGGATTTTTTTTTTTTTAAGATAGGGTCTCCCTTCTTCACTCAGGCTGGAGTGCAGGGGTGTGATCACAGCTCACTGCAGCCTCAAAATCCTGGGCTCAAGCAATCCTACCACTTCAGCCTCCTGAGCCATTGGAACCATAGGGGTGCACCATCATGCCTGACTAATTTTTTCTTTTTTTGTAGATACAGGTTCTCACTACGTTGCCCTGGCTGGCCTTGGAAACTCCTGGGCTCATATAATCCACCAGCCTTGGCCTCCCAAAGTGCTGGGATTACAGGAATAAGCCACCACGCTGCCTATTTAGAGATTTTTAAATTTGGAGTTGAACATTTAATAGCAGCATTCAAGTCTGGAATAATTTCAGTTAAGAAAGAAAAGAATAGAAATCTAACCTTCTAATTGGCCAACCATCTAAAATTCTATGTGGAATGATCAACAAAGGAAGACAGTATTGAGTTGCTGGGTCCTCTCTACGGGGTCAGAAAAGAGGCCTGGTTCACCTGGCTCTCCATGTTTTCCCTGTAGAGTCCTTCAAACCCATGGTCTTTCTCTACCAACTTTGACCCTGGGTCATCATCTCTCTCTCCAATCACCATTCCTTCTCTTTGAAGGTTAAAAAAAAAAAAAATTCAGGCCAGGCGTGGTGGCTTACACCTGTAATCTCAGAACTTTGGGAGGCCAAGGCAGGTGGATCACCCAGGGTCCGGAGTTTGAGATCAACCTGGCCAACATGGCAAAACCACATCTCTACTAAAAATACAAAAACAAAAACAAACAAACAACAAAATTAGCTGGGCATGGTGGTGTGCTCCTGTAGTCCCAGCTACTCAGGAGGCTGAGGCAGGAGAATCACTTGAACCTGGGATGCAGGGGTTGCCGTGAGCCAAGATCACACCATTGCACTCCAGCCTGGGCGACAGAGCAAGACTCCATCTCAAAAAAAAAAAAAAAAAAAAAATCAGAGGGAACATACAATAAGCCATATTTAATGGAGTTCTGAATTATGTAAATTTGAAAAAAATGCAATCTAAAAATTCATAAGGTCTCACTATTTGTAGTATTCAAGATAATGTAAGATTTTACATTTATTCCTATGATAAATTAATCAGAATTTTGCAAAGTCTTTAGGAATGCATCTCTCATGTAAAGTGTAGCTACTTTGTAGTCAGAAGTGGCCTGTGGCAATATCGTGATTAGGCTGGGGTAGGGGTTAGGGTTGCTGCCACTTAGTTCTACCTTCAGTGATAAGAAGAGTAGACAGCAAGCCTTGGCAACATAGCAAAAACCTGTCTCTTCTAAAATACAAAAAAAATAAAAAAGAGAGAGAGAGAAAATATTCGCTGGGCACGGTGACACCCCCCTGTAGTCTCAGCTATTTGGGAGGTTGAGGTGGGAGAAATGCTTGAGCCTGGGAGGCGGAGGTTGCAGTGAGCCGTGATAATACTACTGCACTTTAGCCTGGACAACAGAGTGAGAGAAAAAGAAAGGGAAGGGGAGGGGAGGGGAGGGAGAGGAGAAAGAAAAAAGAAAAGAAAAGAAAGGAAAGGAAAAGAAAAGAAAAAAGAAAAGAAAAGAAAAGGAAAAGAAAAGAAAAGAAAAGAAAAGGAAAAGAAAAGAAAAGAAAAGAAAAAAGAAAGATGGCGTCTCTCTGGGAAGATTTTCTGTGACCAGAGTGGGACTGGGCTGGTATGTCAGAATCTCGGAATATTTGACCTGGAAAGTATTATAGATACCTTCAAGTTCCACTTCTGGATTTTACCAGGGGAGAAATGATGGCCCTAGAGAAAAATAATACAGATCAAGAAATTGCCATGTCATAAGCAAATGGCAAATTCAGCCCTTAAACCCAGGACTTTTGATTCTTGCTCTAGCTGCCTGTCCTCTGGGCTGACAAGCTGCCCTGTTATAAGTAAATGGCACTTCTGGAGCCAGCCACTTGGGTCTCAGGTGTGTGTGATGAGACCCTACACTAGAATGACAGCCACAAAAGAGCTGCAGGTGGCTGGGCCACCTTAGCTCATCCTGTCCATGAAGGGGATGGCTTTCAACTGTTTCAGGGGGTACAAAAAGGCATTGGATCATCCCCACAGTGAGGAAACCCCTCCCCACTCCCCCTACCAGATAGCTGTCAGTGCTGCTGAGAAGCCTACCTTGGTCTCCCTCCACTCCAGCTTCTGCAGGCCAAGTGGCCATTGTTGTTAGATTTTTTGCCCTGTTGTGCCATAGGCCCTGACCTGCCTACCTGCTGGGCAACAGGCTGCCGGAGGGCGAGGGGCAGCCCTTGTGCCTTGCCCCACATGAGCTGCACTCATGCTGCCTTCCAGAGAAGATGAATTTAGCCTTCCACCTGAATCCTTTCAGAAACGAAGCAGGCAGGCAGGCAGGCAGCAAGAAAGCTATAGACACACACATACATGCAAACACATACAAGTAAATTTAGCCAGAGTGCTTTTAGTCTATAAAGATGTTCAGTAAAAGTTTAATGAGTGAAGAAGTGACAAAAATACCATGTATTATTAGTATATCTAGGCTCAGACAATGTCTTATGGTATGTAAACCGTATCTCAACAACAACAACAACAAAAAAAGCTACTCAGGAGGCTGAGGCAGGAGGATTGCTTGAGCCCAGGAGTTCCAGGCTGCAGTGAGCTATGATCGTACCACTGCAGTCTAGGCTGGGAGACAGAGCAAGACCCTGTCTCTAAAAAAAGAAAAAGAAAAGAAAATGTCAGCTATGTACAAGGGAATCTTCACTCACCAGAGGAAGCCCTTGGAAGGTTTTGTGCAAGAGAATATTATAATAATATGTAAATATAGGTAGAATATTTAAAGAAAAGCTGTCGTGAGTTATTTGGTATTGTGAGGACTCTTCTTCTAATCTACTTGTTTTCATGAGTATGAATTTTCATTTATTGGATTTTTGTAGAATCGACAGATATATTAACTTTTCAAAAATAGAGACGTGCCCAGATTTTCCTGTCAGTTGTTCACCAACGGATGAGATCCCAAAAGGTAGGCAAGATTGATCGCTAGGTTTTAGAAGGGTTTCCTTTTAAGGGCTTTTTAATGAAGCCCATTCTAACTGAGATTCCCACTGCCCCACTGCCCTAGCGTCCCGTTAATGACAAGGAGAGGCAGATAAATGCCTCTTTGTGCCAATAAATCAATGGCATCTCTGCTTCTCTGCTGGGACTGTCCAGGACCATGGTAACCATAAGGACAGTGACCCACTGATCTTAGGCCTTGGCAGGCAAACTAGCCTTTACTAGTGATGGTGTGTCCTGTTAGGCTATGCCAGCTGGGGAGAGAAGACTAAAACCAATGAGAGAAAAACAAGTAATTTTCCTGTTAGTGAAGAGTGCCTGTTTTAATCATACATTTCATCGTCAGAAATATTATCAGAGATAGAAATAAAATGCAGAACATAGCTGCGCATTAATTCACTTTCAGTGTATTTTCTGAGCAAGCGATTGTATGTCAGCGGCTGCATTACAGTTGCTGCTCTCAAAGTACTCACATTTCTAGAGGAGAGGGATATGCCTGGCTGGTAAAGTGATAGAGGGGTGGTAACTGTGAACACTTGTGATGCCGGGGCTTGTTTTATGTGCTGTTTGCATGCATTAGGTCAACTAATCCTGTGGCACTTTTATTGATGTCCCCACTTGATAGGTGGGGAATTCAGCCCTGGGGGTCCATGGCTAGCAGGAGCACAGCCAGCCTTTGGCCCCAGGCAGCCTGCCCTCGCTCCCCCCGCCATGAACCGCATTGCCTATACACAGCACCCCGGGAGCCCAGAGGTAAGGGTCTCCCTCATATTTGCTTGTCACGGACTTGGAGGGAGGAGTTGAGGTTTGTCTGCCACATGGAGAAGGGAATTAGCAAAGGGAAGATCTGGTGGTAGGAATAGGATTTTCTGCCCCAGAAAACCAGGAAACACCAGCCGTGACTCTAATCCCTACCCCATCCCTGAAACTCACTTCCCACCCTCAGGCTAGATGAAGAGGCGGGGGTAGGGGGGCATGGCCTTTGGCACCCTAACCGGTAGCCTACCCCTCCTCCAGGCCAAGTCCTCACCTGGCCCCATGGTTCCTGGTCCCAGGCAGACCCTGTTGCCACCTGCTCAGATGTGTCACCCTTCCTTGTCCCAAGGACCTGGCTCCTAAACAATGTGTTCAGTGACGTTTATAACAAAGGCACTCTTCCCCAATCTATGTTCAGCAAGATGTTAATACTATACTACAAAAAAGAAGGAATGTACATTTTGGAAACAGTAGTTTAAGTGCACTGAAGAAGGGTTTTGTTTGTTGTTGTTTAAGTGCAGGACTTTTCCAAAACTTCTGTCTGCAAATGTGCATTACACGTTCCCAGGGGGAAGGGAGGAAGATAGAGTTATGCAATGCAATGGAAATTAATTTCACCCCTCTTGGCATCTGGTTTTTCAGGGAACACCTATTAAGTGACCTGCAGAATACAGAGTGAGGGCTCTAAGAGGAAGTTATGAGAAAGCTGGGCTAGAGGATTAAAGGAAAGCATCCTGGGAGGTAGGATATGAATGGGTAGGATTTAATGCAAAAAGGAGGAGGAGGAAACTTTGCAATTCAGGGCATGGCCTCAGCCTGATGACAAATGCCCCAGGGGGACCTCCTAAAGTCGGTTCATTTTGAATACCGGCAGGAGCAGACGCAAGCTGCCACCCCTCCTGTGTAAGGCTGAGGTAGCTGTTCCACAGTTTCCTGGGACTTGCCAGCAGGATGAAGTTCCAGTTGTTAACCACAGTAGCTAACCTCATAATGATTCCTTCCTTCACCTGCCTCACTTCCCATGTTCTTACTGTATTCATTTCCTAGGGCTGCCTTAACAAAGTGCCACAAACTGAGTGGTTTAAGGAGCAAAACCTTATTGGCTCACAGTTCGGAAGGCTAAAAGTCCAAAGTCAAGGTGTCTGCAGGGTTGGTTCCTTCTGAGGGCTGTGCAGGAGAATCTGTCCCAAGCCTCTCCCCAGCTTCTGGTGGTTGCTGGCAATCTTTGGTGTTCCTTGGCTTGTAGATGCATCATCCCAATCTCTGCCTTCATTTTCATGCTGCATTCTCCCTGTGTGTGCATGGCTGTCTCTGTGTCCAATTTTTCCCTTTTTATAAGGACACCAGTCATATTGGATTAGAGCCCACCCTAATGACCTCATCTTAACTTGATAATCTGAAAGCACCCTATTTCCAAATAAGGTGACATTCAGAGGGTGTTAGGACTTCAATATCTTTTGAGGGGACACAGTTCAACCCATAACACCTACCAACGGTTTCTGGAATCATCTCTCAAAATAAACTATCTAAACTCTAATCTTTGTTTCAGGGTCAGCTTCTAGCAGAACTCAATGTAAGACACCCTTTTAAAGATGGTACCTCAGAGGTACAGACAGATTGTGAACCTTCCCTAGCACAGTGTAACAAGTCCCTTGCAAAAATCCTGATTTGAGTCAACATTGTAATTTCTTGCTTAAATCTAAGAATATGCCTCCCAGCTTCTTCCAAGACTATCTGGGGGAGTTGTTTCTAGGGTGGCTCAATTTATTCGTTTTGAACGCTGATGGCCGTGCACCACACCGTGGCTCAATGGGTGTTGAGGACACGTTCACATGCAATAAATGCACAGGGCTTTGCCATTAGGTGGCATTAGGGGAAGGACACTTCCAGCATACTGCAGAGGCATTCTCTTCCAGCCTGGTTGCCTGTCAAGCACCTGCTGAGATGACTGGCCCAGACGGAGATTGTGGGGTTGCTGAGCCAGCCCTGTCCCCTCCTTATCTCCGGAAGATGGAATAAATGCGTGTCAGAAGGGAGGGTGCCTCCCATCTCGGGAGCACCGGGGTTGCCCTTCAGAAAAACATTGCCTGCACATTTTGTAGTCTTGAAATGAATCTGAGTGGCAATTCAAGCGGGCAGAGCTTGTTTTGGATTTTAGACAGTTCTACCTGCGTGCTCCTCTTCTCTGCTCCAGCTCTGACATCTCGGCTCCACATACAGTGGTCTGAAGTGGCATACGGACCCTGAGAAGAGGAGAGGCAAAGGTGGCAGCTGTGGCTGGCCCCTCCTGCCTTCTGGTCTCCTTGGCTGGTGAGGGAAGAACAAACACAGTTGTGTTTCCAGGTCACAGCTGCCAGGGCTCCACCTGTGGGGTGGGTGGCTCCAGTTCTGTTCTGAGTTAAGAAATGCTGCAAATACGTTCTCCTTGAAAGAGACACTAGGAATTGACCATTTCTTTCTGCAGCTTTCTGTAGCCAATAAGCATTTGAGGAACTGGAGAAGGGTTCAGCCCTGAATTGCAAGGGAAAACTGTGTGAGTGTGTTTTAGTTAAGAAAAAAGTTAATTCTAGTGAGACCTGCTTGTTTACAAAACAGATGTATAGGCCAGACAGATGTACAGGGATGACCTTGACTTTCTTTTGTCATTGCAGGAAGGTGGGGTATGTATGACCCCTGGTTAAGAACAATAGGAGGCCGGGCGCAGTGGCTTACGCCTGTAATCCCAACACTTTGGGAGGCCGAGGCGGGTGGATCACCCGAGGTCGGGAGTTTGAGATCAGCCTGGCCAACATGGAGAAACCCCGTCTCTACTGAAAAAAAAAAATACAAAATTAGCCAGGTGTGGTGGCATGCCTGTAATCCCAGCTACTCGGGAGGCTGAGGCAGGAGAATGGCTTGAACCCGGGAGGCGGAGGTTGTGGTGAGCCGAGATCGCGCCATTGCACTCCAGCCTGGGCAACAAGTGCAAAACTCGGTCAAAAAAAAAAAAAAAAAAAAGAACAATAGGATCAGAAGTCGGATGGCTGGGTCCATATATACCTCCACCTCTTCTGACTCCCAGTTTTCCATCTCTGTTTGAAAATGAGTCTGTAAGCCTCTCCCCACCTCTGCCTGTTCCCATCCCATAGCACCAGGCTGACTTAGGCAGCCACACAGCTGGGATGGGAAGTTGGCCTCAGTGAGCAGATGGTACAGGGGCTGAGCTTAAAACAAAAATCACAAACATTTCTTGGGGGGTATCCTCAAGGCCGATAACCCTCTTACTAGAGTGAAATGGAAAACCAAATGTGATTGAGCTGCCTGAGCGATAAAAGCATTTGCTGTTATTCTCTGATTTGCTCTGTTCATGGAGAGTTTAGTCATAGGAGTTTCTATTCTCAGAAACTCACAGCACATCACAATACGTAGCTCATTTGTCCTCAAAATAATTCTGCCCTGCATAAATGGGTGTGTGTGTAGGGGGGTGGTAATTATAAGAAACCATGTGTGTTAGAATTGATGTCAGTGCTTTGAGATCATCAGATAAAAGCTAATAAACAACACATATGTGTACAGGCCACCTCTCTAATTCATACCAGAAGCGCTGGTTGTAATCAAAGCATGGCATATTTTATTTTAAACTATTTTATAAATAACCTTTGAAACTGTGTTGATTGTGAAAGCCAAGATCTGATGTCCTGTTAAGGAAAGATGAAAATAGGCTAGAATTAAAGAGCAATATGAGTCTGGATAAAAGTGACAGGAATTACTGTAGGACAATAAAGCATTGGGTCATGTCAAGTTTTCATCACATGGAGAATGGAAAGCTGCATCATAAATGCTCTCCACCTAATCATCCTGAGCATTCTCATTTTAGTGCGATATATTGTCCTCTTGGAAGCAATAATCTCATTTAGGTCATGAGTAAAATAAGTTGGGTTCAGCGTTTCCATTTCAAGATATAGAGAATATTTCTCCAGTGCAGCATAAGAAATAGAATATCACCCAGGAGAAGCTTTACATAGGCAGTGATAATGTGGAAAAATCTAATAAAGAGAACCCACGTGCCCCAGGGAGGAGAAGCCCTCTGTGTGTGTGATTGTCGTCAGGTGAGCAGTTATGGCACACTTTGTAGTTTTGCCAGTGCTTTTATGTAAATTACTGTATGCAAAATCCACAGCCCTCGGGGATGTGTGGGTATGGCCTCTGTTACTGACAGAGGAACTGAAACTTCAAGAAGGCAAGTGATTTGCTCAAGATTGGTTATCAGTAGAGTTGGGGTTTGAATTCCATTCTTCTGGATTCAAATCTAAGCTCTCCCTCTGCACAGTTACATGTGGGCAGGCTGTGCATGCATATCTGTGGCCTGGAGGAGTGGGGTGAGTAACCTTACAGGAAGGAATACCCTGCACTAAAATTTGCACCTAAGCTTCCATTATTACGCCTACTTTTCATTTTCTGTTTGTTTTCCTCTTAGAGGTTAAATTTTCCATTCCTGATTTTAACCCAAAGAAAGGCTAAGTAAATTCCAGGGGCCACTCTTGAATAAGGGCAGCTGGAAAAAAATACACAATGCCCACCATCTAGCTTAACAGGATGTGGACACCTTCAGTCGTGGCTAAATCTATACAGTTTAACCCTAGCAACAATTTCCCAGAAATAAAACAGCTGCTCTTTCTGGTATTTGGTTAGTCTCCAGCTGGGTCAAGTCCCTCTTGATCGAATGCTTGGAGCAGGGTTTCTCGACCTCTGCACTAAAACACCTGGGGCCAGATAATTCTCTGTGGCTGTGGGCACCAGGGAGGCTGTTCTGTGCATTGTAGAATGTTGAGCAGCATCCCTGACCTCTACCCACTAGATGACAGTAGCACTCCCCAAGTTGTGACAACTCAAAATATCTTTAGACGTTGCCAAATGTTTCCTGGGGGCAAAATCTGCCCCTGGTTGAGAACCAGTGGATTGGAGTCATCATTTGTGTTGATCAATCACTCCGTGATGATTAGGCCATGATGGACAATTCAGGCTGACTTTATTTTGCTCATTAGGTTGACCAGAAGACTGGCAATTGATCCACTGCTAAGCACTTTCCTGACACAAGCTGAAATGATGTCCTCAGGAGCCCCGTGTGCGCATGGCTTTTGGGATGGTTCTTCCCAAGGAGGACAGCCGTAAACCATAGAAAGCAACCACTTGACTCTGGGTGTCCCTGGTTTGCAAGTGCCTCTTGTGTCCGCCATCTGCATTTCTGTCTAGATGGTAAGGTTGAGGGAGGTCAGTTTCAGCAGAAAGTGCAAAGAGCATAGATTCATGAGGCAATCAGACCTAAATTAAAGTTTTGGCTTTATCACTACCCAGCAACGTGATCTTGGGCAGGTTTCTTGACCTCTCTGAAACTGTCCTCTTCTTTATAAAATGAAGATTACCTACCTTGCAGGGTCATTGGGATAATTAAAGAAAATGTGTGTAATGGGCCCAGATGGAGCTAGGCCCATAGCAGCACTGTAATAAATGTTTTCGATTACTGTACATTTTACAAAAATGAATGACTGAATGGAAAGGTAGAAAGGCCAAATAGAGTGTCTGAGGCATCTCCATGGAGGAGGGTGCCAGTGGCCATGTCTGTCTGTGGCTGATCGCAAGACTCTTTTGACAGTCCCTGAAGCCTGTGCTCATCTTCAGCTCCCTTGAGGCCCTCTTCACCTGGCCTCACCCAGTGTCCCTGCTCTTCTGACTCCTGAGGGACCTGAGCATTCCAAAATAGATGTTAGGAAGATGTGGATTCATGTAGAAGGATGTCAAGGCATTGTTGGTTTTAGCAGTTGATCTTACCTGGGGTGTGAAAGACAACCGAAGTCTGTGAGCTGCAGTGATAGAAATGTGAGCAGATGGGCAGGATAGGAAGGCACTTCTTGACGGGAGCAGCAACAGAAGCCACTGCCTTTGGCCAGGACTGGGGGAGACACAACAGAACAGGACTGGCAGAAGATGCCACATCCCAGGGTCCCCAAGATCAAGCTATGGCACCATCACCCATCTACAGCAAGATCTGTAGCAGGAACCAGGGAGAAAAGTCTAGACCCTCAGTAAACTATGCGGCCAGGACAGTCCGAGGTCAAGCCGTAAAGGAGGCTTTTTTGGCATCTTTTTTCTTCTCCCTTGGGCATCATGGAATCTGTGCTGGGTAAAGAACCTTGGAGATCCCCTTTGCCTTGACTCCTTTGTTTCACTGGCCCTCAGAAAGGAGATGGCAGAATCACAAAGCTGGTGGCTGAGCCAGAAAGATATTGTAGGTGGAATTCAGGTTATGGATAGGGTTAGGTTCCCCTTGAAGAGGGAGTACTGAGTTTGTTCCTTGGAGAGTTTGCGGTTCTAGCTCTGTAACCCAGGACTGACTCTCAGCCCAGTGCTTTTTCTGTTGTGCCAGGATGCATCCTCATCCTATATCTTATTTTAACTCATACTGTTTCCAAATCAAATACCAACAACATTTACAACCTTTACTTTCTTATTTATTTAATGCTCCCCCTGAAAGTAGTAATTTGCCACTAAGAAAGCCTCCCCTGCCCTAGAATACTAAAGAAAACGAGAACTAAGCGAAAGAGGACCTGTAGTCAGCGATTTCACTGTATCCTATTTAAAATGAAATGGACTTTATTTTCTGCTTTGAGAACCTAAAACACCACACTTTAAAAGATGATATTTATCATATCTTACAAGGTCAAAGCATACTTATTGGGGAAAACTTGGAAAAGGTAGAAAAGAACAAAGAGAAAATAAAAATCATTTTAAAAAATGTTACCCCCAAGACTGATTAGTATGTTGGTGACTGTCCTTCTAGGCTTGGATATGTGCATTTTATTTCGTAACTGTTCTTTTTACTTAGCAATAAATCATGGTCATCTCTCCCTGTCATGAACTATGTCTCTACATCAACTTTAGTGCCTGTAAAATGCCGTAATTTATTTTACCACTGTCTTTTGTCAGACATTTAGATGGCTTCATGTTTGGACGCATTATGAATAGTGTCACTGTGGACATTCCTGTGCATACATCTGTGCTCACATTTGTGGCTATTTCTTTGGAATGCACTCCTGGCAGTAGGGTTGCTAGGTCTCCCCTCACTGTCAGTGTCCCCGCTCTCCGGGGCCTGCTTTTTTCATCACCCGCCTCCCCGTAAAGATTCCTAAGTTCCAGGGCTATCTCCTTCTGATGGAGATCTCCTGGGTGATGTGGTACACGTCACCCACACCCCTGCCACCAGCCTGCTGTCCAACAGATGGAGCTGATAACCATTTAGGAACAATCCTTAAACTTCTAACCGACTCAGTCCCTGATTAGACTTCTTGTCTTGCCTTATCCCTGGTTATGTCCCTTCTCCCTCCCAACCCTTACCCACTTCTCAGCCCCATGCAGGAGGCCCAGTTTGTCAGCTGGCCTTGCTAATTTCTCTCTTGGCCCAGCCAGAGATCGTCTAGGTTCCTTCTTCCTACTCTCTGCCCGCTCTGTAGAGTCAGACTCTCCACGGGATGGAGATCTTCAAGGCCAGAGAGATGCAAAACCTCCTTGCTTCAGGATCCGGAGACAAGCTGCTGCTTTTAAGCAGATCCCCTCTCAGGCAGGTTCAAGTACTGACCCAAAGAGCAGGGGGGTTGCAGGGCTCTAGTGATTCTTGTGTGACCCCAGCAGACTCAAGCTGTTGCAGCAGTCAGACATTTGGTGATACCTACAAAATCATCTAGTCCAACCTCTCTTCCAACAGAACTCACACTCGATAGCTTCTTTGATGAATGGAAATCCAGACTTCTGGGAACACTACTGTGATGAGCAACTCACTACCTGCCTACCTACCTACCTTCCTTCCTTCTGCTTTATTTCACAATTCTTGCCATACAAAATGAACAAACACACAAACACCACTACTAATGCTATTCATTCATTTATTTATTCAACCAATATTTATTATTTACTATGTAGCAGGAACAGTCTAGGTGCTTTTGAAACAATCATGAACAAACTGAACCACAGCAGCAACAAAATCCCAGATCCCATATAGAACTAACAATTAAAGACGGAGACAGGCAATAAACGAGGTAAACTGAAAAATATGTAGATAGTTGTGATACATGCTGAGAAGAAAAATAACACAGAGAAGGTGCATAGGAAGTGTCAGGCTGGTGGTGTGGGGATACAGTTTTGGGTAGGGTATGCAGGGATGTCCTTGCTAAGATGGTGGCATTCTAGTCAAACCCAGAAGGAAGTGAGCGAGCAAGCCAAGTGGGAACCTGGAGAAGACGGAGGTGGCAGTGCAGACTGGCATGTTCCTGGAACTGCAAAGAGGTGGTATGAGTGAGGGGAAGGCCAGTAGGAGGTGAGGTCAGACGTATTGAGTTCTGGGGGTTTGGGGAGAGAGTGACAGTTGCAAACAAGCTTGAAGGACATTTTGCTCTAAGTGAGATGGAGGTCAAGGACTTGGAGCAGAAAAGATACATGATTATATGTTTTGGCAGGATCATTCTAGCAGCTGGGCAAGGAACATGCTGAGGGGGAATAAGGGCAGAAGTAGGCATTACTTAGTGATGTTTGTTCAAGAAACATCTGTTGCGCTCCTATATGCCAAGCACTGCGTAGGTGATAAGGATTAAACGGGAGCACACTCTTCTTCCCTCTGGTAGGTTACTGTAACAACTACTCCCACCTCTGTCATTTATGAGTATTTACCCAGTCCCAAGCTCTGGGGTGAGCACACCCGTCCATTATTGCATTTATTCCTCTCAGCAAACTGTAAGGTAACAACCTCAGGATATCCTCATTTTACAGTTGAAGAAACTGAGGCTTAGAGAGGTTATGTAACATATCGTAGACCACATAGATACTAGGTAGACAGCCAAGATTTAAACCCAGGACTGTCTCACTCCAAAGCCTGCAATACTAACCACAATGCTGTTGCTGGAAACTTTTTCTTACGCTGGACTTTGAAAGTTCACCTAAGACAGCATGAGAAGTGATGGTATCTTCCAGGCAGCCACCTGGGCCACCAGCCCTCCCCTCCTTGGGATCTGCCTTCCCACTTTGTCTGAATTGAGGGTCCAACACTGCTCCTCGGACACAAGGTCCAGGTGGGGAGAGAACAGAGTCCAGCCCAGCCAAGGCAAGTCACCTGGGCTCTCTGGAACCCGGACTGCTTTGCTGTAGAGTAAAGTCCTGGAATAGGTCTCTAACCCTCTTTCCAGCTCTGAAATCCAAGGCGTATGTGATCTGAGGTAATAATTGTCTTGCCTCTCATGCTTGGTTTTTGATGAGACCTTCACATTCTTTAATAAACATTTATCTGTATCCAGGAATTATAGGAGATACAAAATGCCGAGGAATGCACTACTCATGATCTTTTTTGATCCTTTTAACAATCCAGAGACATGGGCTGTGTAAAGCCACAGTGCAAAATACAATTAGGAAAACACAGCAATAAGACCACTGTAGCTTTGAATGGTGCTGTTCACTAATTATTACCTCCCCACCCATTTTCTCATCTGACCCTCACAGCAGCCCCATGAGGTCGACAGGGTGAGGACATTATCCCCATATCACAGATGGGAAAACTGCAGCCCAGGGAGCTATGCGATTTCTCCCGAGGTCCTCCTCACACTAGTGTAGTGGAGCCGCTATGTTTATTGACCCCAAATCCAAGTCAACCCAACAGTCTCTAGAACGTTCCAATTACCTGGCCAGTCCTCACTTAGATAACATCGGACTCTTTCAGAAAAGATTAAACAAATCCTCTATTTGTTGACAGAGGTTTTGCTGAACTGGCCCTGGGGATCCGAATTGATCATGGCCATCAACACAGGCAGCAAAGACCCTTCAGAAGTGTTTTATTCACTAGCCACCTCCATCCCCCAACCCTCCATCGTCTAAAGTGTCTCCTGACTCAGTTCTGTCCCCCTGCTTGTCCTCTTCTCCTATTAGCTCTGGGTACCCAGTCCAGATCATAGCCCCAAGCTCTGTCATCATTTTGCAGCCTCCAGCCTCCCCCACCCAACTCAGCAGAGCCCTGAGAAGAAAGTCCTGGGTCCCGGAGGCTGCACCTGCAGACACAACAGATTCTGCAATGGTGAGAGCATATAGGGTATTTTGGGTCTCCAGTGGGGTTTTTGCTGATTCTGTGCCTGACCAGGGCACATGCTTCCTGGAATTAATAATTCTAGATAAAGAAGCCTAGCAGATGCCCACCTATGGAAAATGCTTCTTAAACAAGAAGAATCTCAGAATTAGGAGGCCAGCTTCTTGTTCTCAGCACTGCCCCTAACTAGCTGTGGGGCCTCGGACACGTCACTTGATGCCTCTGGTCCTGTTTTCTTCTGTACATTATGGAGGATTTGGACAGAGATGATCAGTAAGGTCCCTTCTAGCCAGACTGTCAAGGTTCAAATCCTAGCTCTGCCACATTCCAGCTGTGTGATCTTGGACAAGTTACTTTATCTTTCCTAAGCCTCAGTATCCCCAACTATAAAATGGGCACAATAGCACCTATCTCATATGGCTGTTGTGAGGACCCAAAGATACAATGAATGTCAGCCCTCAGCACAGGGCCTGGCACAGAGACAGTACTCAGCTAAGTAACTGTTTCTAAGTTGTTTATGATTTGAAGCTAAGGATAGAGATGCTTATTCTGAGAAGCAGAAAGGAACAGATGGAGAAGGAAAAAGGAAGATGGGACAAAAGGAGAAAAACTGGCCAGGTGCGGTGGCTCACACCTGTAATCCTAGCACTTTGGGAGGCCGAGGCTGGCGGATTGCCTGAAGTCAGGAGTTCGAGACCAGCCTGGGTAATATGGTGAAGCCCTGTCTCTACTAAAAATGCAAAACTTAGCTGGGCATAGTGGTGGACACCTGTAATCCCAACTACTCAGGAGGCTGAGGCAGGAGAATAGCTTGAACCCAGGAGGTGGCAGTTGCAGTGAGCCGAGATCGCACCACTGCACTCCAGCCTGGGCGACAGAGTGACACTCCATCTCAAAAAAAAAAAAAAAAAAAAAAAGGAGAAAAATTAGGG
This sequence comes from Homo sapiens, assembly GCF_000001405.40. Lineage (NCBI taxonomy): Eukaryota > Metazoa > Chordata > Mammalia > Primates > Hominidae > Homo > Homo sapiens. The sequence continues at coordinate 167,493,022 of NC_000001.11, read as the reverse complement.
AAAATAGGGCAAAATTGGGGGTGGAGAAAGGCAGGAAAAATTTGAGGGCAGCAACTGCAATAACTTCAACAGAAAAGTAGAACAATAAGCATACAGCCCCAAAATACTCAGCCCCTTTCCTGCCTCCCCTTCCTCTCTGCCCCTAGCAGACGCCATGATAGCTCCTGGAATGATGCCTTTTATAACTGTGGGGCATGTTCCTCCAGGCTGACACCTTCTGGGGGGGCCCCTGAACACAGCATGGGCTCAGCCTTCCTCCCACACACCTACCCTGGTAGGCATCCCTTTGAGATGGATCTGAGTGGTTTCCCACCTCCTTCTAGGGGTGAACTGTCAGTTCAAGAAGGAGGTTTAGGGGGATGGGATGTCCCCTACCTGGGGCTAATGGGGGCTTGGGAGGTGGCTTACGAATCGAAGCCGAAGACAGCAGCCTACGTGACCAGAAAGGAAAATTCCCCTCCCTGCTAGTTAAGAAGCTTCACAGAAGCTCACCAGACTGTTGTTTTCTTTCTTTCTTCTTTTTTTCCTTTGTGCACACATAAGCGTCTAAATTTTGCAAACTGTTGCCTACCTTTGTCTCTGAGAGCAGTGGAAAATATTGGACTAACAAAAATAAGCAACAGCCAGTGGGAGAATAATAGAGAGGCAAGGTCTCCTGGTCTAGTTGGCGCCGCAGGGGTTAAGCCTTTCTGTCGGTGAAACAGGCTAACAGCACCCCCTGAGCCTGCTGACCTCTTCCGGCTCTCCTGGTCCTTCACACATGTCAACTGTGAGCACGCTCCAATACTGACAAGACTGTCTTACACCTGAGGCAATTTTCATAGCACAGGCTGCTAATTTTTCCTCCAGGTTTTTTGTTTGTTTGTTTTTTTGCCTGGTAAAATACACATAACATAAAATTTACCCTCTTAGCCATGTTTAAGCGCACAGTTGAGTGATGTCAAGTACATTCATATTGTTGCGCAACCATCACCACCATCCGTCTCTAGAATTCTTTTCATTTTGCGAAACTGAAACTCTGTACCCATGAAACCATAACTCCCCATTCCCGCCTCCTCCCAGCCCCTGACAACCACTATTCTACTTTTTGTCTCTATGATTTTAACTACTTTAAGTAACTCATATAAGTGAAATCATACCATATTTGTCTTTCTGTGTCTGGCTTATTTCACTTAGCCTAATGCCCTCAACTTTCATCCATGTGGTAGCATGTGTCTGAATTTCCTTCCTTTTCAAGGCCAAATAATATTCCACTGTATGCATCTGCCGCATTTTGCTCATCCATCCATCTGTCAATGAGTGCTTGGTTGCGTCCACCTTTTAGTGATTGTGAACAGTGCTGCTATAAACATGGGTGCACAAATATCTCTTAAAGACCCTGCTTTCAATTCTTTTGGGTATAGAACCAGAAGTAGAATTGCTAGACCATATGATAGTTCTATTTTTTTTTTTTTTGAGATGGAGTTTCGCTCTTGTTGCCCAGGCTGGAGTGCAATGGCATGATCTTGGCTCACTGCAACCTCCCTTCCTGGCTTCAAGCAATTCTCTTGCCTCAGCCTCCCGAGTAGCTGGGATTACAGGCATGGGCCACCATGTCCGGCTAATTTTGTATTTTTAGTAGAGACAGGGTTTCTCCATGTTGGTCAGGCTGGTCTCGAACTCCCGACCTCAGGTGATCCACTCGCCTTGGCCTCCCAAAGTGCTGGGATTACAGGCATGAGCCACTGCGCCCGGCCAGTAGTTCTATTTTTAACTTTCTGAGGAACCACCAAACCGTTTTCCACAACAGCTGTACCATTTTACCTTTCCGCCCACAGTGCACGGCATTCCTTCTCCACATCCTCACCAACACTTGTGATTTTCTGTTTTTTAAACAAGTAGCCATTCCAACGAGTAAAGGGTGATATAAATTTTTTAAGAGGCAAGACGTGCCAAAACTAGGATTTCAAAAATTGTAAATATAGAATAAAATAGACTATTTTAAATGTGACAAATTAACAAATTAATTTTAGCCTGCTTATATGAGTTCTTTCAAAGATAATTTCTTTTTATTTATTATTATTATTATTATTTATTATTATTTTGAGACAGAGTCTTGCTCTGTCAACCCAGACTGGAATGTAGTGGTGTGATCTCAGCTCACTGCAATCTCGGCCTCCCATGTTCAAACAGTTCTCCTGCCCATGTTCAAACGATTCTCCTGCTTCAGCGTCCTGAGTAGCTGGAATTATAGGCACCCACCACCCCACCAGGCTAATTTTTGTATTTTTAGTAGAGACGAAGGCTGGTCTCGAATTCCTGACCTCAAGTGATCTGCCCGTCTCAGCCTCCCAAAGGGCTGGGATTACAGGCGTGAGTCACTGTACCCGACCTTCAAAAATAATTTTTTTTTCTTTTTTGAGACGGAGACTCGCTCTTGTTGCCCAGGCTGGAGTGCAGTGGCGCGATCTCGGCTCGCTGCAACCTCCGCCTCGCAGGTTCAAGGGATTCTCCTGCCTCAGCCTCCGGAGTAGCTGGGACTACAGGCGTGCGCCACCAAGCCCAGCTAATTTTTGTATTTTTAGTAGAGATGGGGTTTCACCATGTTGGCCAGGATGGTCTCAAACTCCTGACCTCGTGATCCACCCAACTCGGCCTCCCAAAGTGCTGGGCTTACAGGCGTGAGCCACCGCGCCCGGCCTCAAATATAATTTCTAAAGGAAGAAAGAGATAGAGAGGGGAAGATAGAAAGAATGAGAGAAGAAAAATTAAGAAAGATGAGGTCAGATGACGGGGAAGGTGGAGAAGCTTTGCAGGCAGAGTCTGGAATACTGCTTTTGGAAATGTGAGGCCAGGCCCCGTGCCTTCCAAATGCACCCGATCTTTCCGCCGCCGTAGGTCCCGGATATATGGATTTGCTTGGGGACATTGCTTGCTTTCACAGGGAGGCTGTGTACTAGCAAGGACACAAAGATGAGCGCTCCACAGTTCCCTATTTGGGCCAGAAGGTCAAAAAAAGGGGTGGGGTGGTGGGGGGGCACAGGCAGCTAAACTGGCTCTGCCTCCTGGGGCCAAAAGGCCAGCTTCCTCCCTGGGCCTGGCTGCCCAGAAACCTCGGCGCGGGCACAGGTCAGAGGCCGAACTGGGTGGTATTCAATCTTGGGTTTAATGCATTTTAAAAACTGCTTTTGAAGGCGCAAATGCATCACAGTTCTTTCATTTCAGGGAAACCGCCTGTGAGAAAGGGGGAGGTGGGGAAAACGCTGAGCCCAGGAGGGGGCTGCCCTGGGCTTTTGTCTAACAAAGCCGCAGCTCCTCAGCAGCGGGGCTCTTGCCCTTTGAAAACCAATCGGGCAGGAACCCTTCAGCCTCCTTTCTGAGAGCCAGTCACATCACATTTTACAGATCTCAGAAAAGTGAGCCAAGTCCCTGCGCTATGTCACTCTGGGTTTGCGTCCCATGTCTCTGACACCCTGTTTTTCTGAGCAAACAGCCTCTAGGTGAACAACAGTATTTTGCTTCTCTCATCACTGAATAGGGTCAAACTTCCCATGGAATTCCACTACCAAACCAGATGAATAGAAAGAAAGCTGAGAGACCACTAAATAGGGCATTGCTGCTATCTCAATGAGAGTGTCACCTACCCACAAAGCAGGCAGGAAATCTTTAATTAACCCTGTTTCTAGACACAAAAGCCCTCAATAACATTTCATCCTATTTAAATAAATATTTTCAAAGAAGGTGATGTGGGAACACTTTTATTTTTGCTATTGGAGTGCTAATTTAATATCATATATAGTTTAAATTATCATATAAGAACCTATAAGCAGAGTTTGGGGTGGGGAAGGGGGGTTGGATCCTTCTAGGAACTCTCCTTTATCTCTTTCATTTTTATTCCACTGTGACACTTCCCTCTTGGGAAATTCCTGCCCCGGATTTTTATTAGTCTTTTGTCTGCTGTCCGGTGTTAAAACCTCACAAATCCATTACGTGCTTCTCGGCGCTGCCTTTCAAGTTACCTCTCCACGAGGTGTGGACTAATGAATCAAACGGCAAGGGAAGCAGCTGCCCTCAGCCCTCTCAGAAGAGGCCCGGCCCACAGCCATCCTTCAGAAAACCCTCCTGGCAGGCCCTCCCTGGGCTCAGCACACCCTCGCTTCCCTGGGTTTTTATTCGGAGCTGTCTGAGCTACAAGAACATACTCACGTACGTGACATAAAAACACGCACGCACATGCAGAAAGGGAAATACTTGTTGGGCTCCATCAGAGAGAATATTTTTCAAAAATCTCTCAATATTGTCATTATGTCAACTGCTAAAGATTCCCTGCTTGACAAAAACTTAATCAGGCTTCCAAACTTTCTCCTAGGCCCATCTGTGTACTTTCTTGCAAAATCCAGGTTTAGCAAAGAACTCTGCCCAGTTAGTTGAGCACAACCATCAACCTTCAATATCCGGTTCCCCTCAGTGTCTGATCAGGGTCCTCATCCCACTCCATCCCCCAGGTGAGGTCTGATCCCCCTGGCCTGTGTTCAGCTAGAGTCCTGTTAGGTTGGTTTAGCCAGAATCCCTCTCACTCTTTTTGGGAATTTTCTATCCATTGACCCCCTACTCTGCTCCTTGGCATAAATGCCCACTTGCTGTACTTGGAGTTGAGCCCAATCTTTCTGTCCCACTGCAAGACCCCATTGCAATCATCCTTCTACCTATCATGACAGTTTTGAATGAAGTCTGCCTTACTGTGCTTTAACAGGTATCATTGAATTATTTTTCTTTAACACATCTTAGCAGTAAAATTATCTTCAAAATTTTCTTAGAATGTATGATCATCATCTCTTATAGCTGTATCCTGATTTCCACTTTACAATAGAGTGCTCATATTATCATCTCATTTGTGCCTTTAACAAACCTTTTGGGGTAACAATTGTTATTTCCATGTGATAGCTGGAGAAACTGAGTTTGAATGAGTTCCTCAGGGGAACACAGCTAGAAAGTAGTATTGTGGGGCTGGCACACAGTGGCTCATGCTTGCAATCCCAGCCCTTTGGGGGCCGAGTGGGGAAGACTGCTTGAGGCCATGAGTTCAATACTGACCTGGGCAACATAGTGAGACCCCCATCTCTACAAAAAAAATTCTAAAAATAAATTAGTCAGATGTGGTGGTAGATACTTGTAATCCCAGCTACTCAGGAGGCTGAGGCAGAAGGATTGATTGAGCCCAGGAATTTGAGGCCACAGTGCACAGTGATCGTGTGCCACTGCACTCCAGCCTGGACAACACAGTGAGACCCTGTCTCGAAAAAAACAAGGTAGTGTGGTGGGAGTAGGACCCACACTTCTCACTGCTAGCCTGGTACTCATTCTTTTTGATAATGCTGTTGTGTCATGAAATGGCACTCAATTAGTGTTGTTGGAATGGTGGGTTGTGCCTGCCTCATAGACTGAGATCGGAGCCTACTTTGGTCAGTGCCTCCAGTAAGGTTATGCGGTTTAAGCATTGGATGGAGGTGCCAGGCTGAGGCTGCCAGTGGGTCCTGGGACTTGCCTGTACCTGCTCCCTGGCAGTGTGGGTCCAGGGATGCCCACCTGGAGGAAGGGGCATCAGCTGGCCTGAACCTGCCTGCCATGGAGCTGCCTTTTCTTTCTTCGTTTTTTCTTTTGTTTGTTTTAGATGGAATCTCACTCTATCTCTCAGGCTGGAGTGCAGTGGCACGATCTCGGCTCACTGCAACCTCCACCTCCCGAATTCAAGCGATTCTCTGCCTGAACCTCCCAAGTAGCTGGGATTACAGGCGCCCACCACCATGCCTGGCTAATTTTTGTATTTTTAGTAGAGATGGGGTTGCACCATCTTGGCCAGGCTGGTCTTGAACTCCTGACCCCGTGATCCACACACCTCGGCCTCCCAAAGTGCTGGAATTATAGATGTGAACCATCACACCCGGCCGTTTTCTTCCTTTTTTTTTTTTTGAAATGGAGTCTTGCTCTGTCACCCAGGCTGGAGTGCAGTGGCATGATCTCGACTCACTGCAACCTCCATCTCTGGGGTTCAAGTGATTCTCCTGCCTCAGCCTCCCAAGTAGCTGGGATTACAGGCACCCTCCACCACGCCTGGCTAATTTTTGTGTTTTTAGTAGAGACGGGGTTGCACCATCTTGGCCAGACTGGTCTTGAACTCCTGACCTCAGGTGATCCACCCACCTCGGTCTTCCAAAGTGCTGGGATTACATAGGCACGAGCCACCATGCCCACCCAGAGCTGCCATTTCTAACTCACACAGAGGTATCAGAGCAGCTTGCAGTGGCCCGCATAAGTGGCCAGAGCTCTTTCCTGGGGGTTGCAGGGGGTTTCTCTGCTGACCCCTCAGCAGGCAGCAAGCCCCATAAGCCAGAGTGAAAGGATGTGGTAGCAGAAACTGGCCTCTGAAGCGTGGGAAACAGATCTGCTTGCCGTCAGTGGCATGCCTGCCAAATCATGCTATCCGCAAACTCGAGGCGGGCCCTGGACCGGCGGCTGGGCCTGAGGTCATCTGGGCTTTAGTGCTAGTTCTGCTGCTGACACTCTTTGGTTTTATTTTTTTCAGTTTACAAAGTATTTTCACATAAACAGTCTCAGCTGATCTTCACAACAACACTCCGAAATTGTCCAGTCCCTCGATTTTGCTCCAGTGCTCTGAGAGGTTAAGTGACCTGCTCATGTCCCGCAGCACTTCCTCTCCCTCCGAGGCCAGGGCACTTTCCCCAGAGTTGCCTCTCTCTGGCTGTGGTGATTCGGGCAGGTCCTGTGTCCCTTCTGAATTTGACTTCTCATTTGACAACCGAGGGGGCTGGTGCAAGAACCAAACCAGTTTCTTGATCTTGTGATGAAAACATGTTTTCTTTCCACTCACTTTTCCATGTTGCTAATTTCTTTGGCCTGACAATGCCTGTTCTCTTGCTGTCTTGAGAGCAGCAGAGCTGAGGCCACCTGCCCCTCGGAGCATGGTGGTGTGTCCTTGCAGGGGTCAGAGTGGTGTGTGGATGGCAGTGGGGGCCGTGGAAGGAGGCTTCTGGAAGGCGGCCCACAATGACTCTTAACCCTCCCCTCCCCAGCCTCCAGTCGTTTTCTTTCAGTTAATTACCTGGTTGTTCAACCTTCTTGGCAGCTCCATAGTTTCTTTCCCCACCCCCAACATCCACAGCCCTCTTGGTCTCAGAGCTCAGCCAGAAGGAGGCAGAGAGTAAAAGTCATATTGTTTTGGTGGGAAATAGTTAAGATGAATTATACCCACCATTCTTGGTGGGTTGGATTTGGGGCTGGTGACAGGACTGAAAGGAGGGATTCCTGAGCTTGTGCCCCTTAATTTACCTCCCAACTGCCCTGGCGTTAACCACCTAGTAAGCCATGCCGGGATACCCTCCCCACGGGAGCCTAGCACGCCAGCCAGCATGCTGACAAAAGGAGGAGTAAGGCAGCTCCCTAATCTCAGGCAGCTCTCAGTGTTTCAGGAAAGGCAGGTGTGTGAGTGGGTCGTTTTCCTGGGTCTCCCTCAATCCACACCCTAGACTAGGTTTTTGCTTCTGCTTCCACCCCCACTACAATCCAAGATGGGAGCTTCCCCACCCAAAAACAAACCTCAGCCTCTCCACTTTGTCCTTCTCCTTCTGCAATGTCAAGCGGTCAGGCCATCCCATTCATTCATTCACTCAACAAATATTTACTGAGCTCCCCAGACGCAGCGCCAGGCCACAGCGGCACAGGGACAGAGCTGTGAGCAGGGCGTGCAGGGGTCTGTCTGCTCTTGGATGGGCTGAGTTGGCTGCTCTCCCTGCAAGCTCCCTTTTCATTTTCAAATGCCCCCCTTAGATCTTCCAATAGGTCCACAGAAGGCAGAAAAGACCCCAGGTGAGTGTGGGTTGTAACCAAGTGAAGGAGTCCATGCCATCTGCATCCATGAGGGTGTGATGTGCCTGGTTGTCCCTCACAAGGGGGTGCTGAAGGATGGGGACTAAAGGATTCAGGACAGGGCCAGTGTTTGGCCTGATTGTTATTTCCTGGGTTCCCTAGATACCAAATACCTGGGTTCTGCCAATGTGAGGCTTTCACCTCTGAACAGTCTGGCAGCAGAGCAGCAGGGAATGAGCCCCTCCCTGGACAGCCAAGGACCAGGCAGTCCCTCAGCCTCAGTCTCCTCAGCTGGAGAGTCATCCCGCCTGGTTTTTCTTCTGAGGTTGTGAGAGACAAGTGAACCTCTAAAAGCCCTTCTCTTTTTTGTTTTGTTTTGTTTTTGAGACAGAGTCTCGCTCTGTCGCCGGGCTGGACTGCGGTGGCGCGATCTCGGCTCACTGCAACCTCTGCCTCCCGGGTTCAAGTGATTCTCCTACCTCAGCCTCCTGAGTAGCTGGGACTACAGGCACGTGCCATGACGCCTGGCTAATTTTTGTATTTTTAGTAGAGACGGGGTTTCATCATGTTGGCCAGGCTGGTCTCGAACTCCTGACCTCAGGTGATCCGCCCGCCTTGGCCTCCCAAAGTGCTGGGATCACAGGCGTGAGCCACCGCGCCTGGCTGAACAGGGCTCTTAAAATGCTCCTGCCAGAGCAATCCAGACAGTGCCTCCTCCTCCTCCAGAAACTTGACCTTGGCCTCTGGGCTCCCAAAGGGGAAGGGTGTACAGAGGGGACTTCAGGGAGCTGGAGAAGCCCCTGCTGTCCTTGTGACTGAGATGGAGCTTTAAGGAGCCCCCACAACACAGTCAGCCTATAGGGAAGAGGAGGAAACAGAGGGAAGGAAGATGGGCAGGGAGCTGGTGGTGTCTGCTGATTGGGGGTAAAGGAAGTGGTCTCTAAAAGGCCAAATTACCCCCAGAGAAACAAGAAAGGAACAAAGGGAGGACTCAAGACTCTGCCTGTGTGGGGCACGAGGAATGAGGCTTGAGAGAGCTGTGATCTCACCTGCGATTTTGTATTCTCCACTCTGCCTCTGAACCCCACGGCCCCCGGCCTGGCCCACCATTCAGGCTCCCCAGCCTTGACTCCCACACGGCACCAGCGGTGGCAGAGCAGTGGGACACTTGCTGTGGGCAGTCTGGGCAGCCTCTGTTCAGGAAGCCTCCTGCTACCACTGCAGCCAGCCAAGTGGGCAAGCCATTTCTCCTGTTCCTCCGGAAGTGGCTAAGGTGATGTGTGCTGGGGAGGGAGTGGGGAGGGGAACCCCTTCTTGGACTCAGTGCATGCCCTGGGTTCAAAGCTGAGGGGCACTGCTGCAAAATGCTGTGCAAATATAAAATCCTTTCATAGTTATTGTCATCGTCATCACTGGGCACATTGTGCCACCTCCCAGAGCAGGCACTGCCCTGCAGGTGATGTGGCCTTGCTATCTTATGGAAGAGCTCCTCTACCAACTAGCTGTGTGACCTCAGGCAAGTAAGTTAATCTCTCTGAGCCTCTGACTCCTCTATGAGATGGGGAGAGTGTGGCCTATTTTCTGAGCCAGTTCTGAGGATTAAATGAAATAAACATTTATAACCAGTGTTAGGAACATAGGAGATGATAATAAATTCCAGCTCCCTTGTGGGAAAAACTAGCATGAATTTTTAACAAAATATCAGAATCTTCAAGGTTGGTGGGAAAGCAGGGTAGGGAGGGGGAGGGAGGCTATTTTTAGGGTCTAGATACCACCACCCTGAGAAGAGCCCTGATTTTCTTCACTGGACACTGTGGTTGATCAACTGAAGTCATTAGCATATTGGTTAGCTCACTGGGTGCGGTGGTTCACGCCTGTAATCCTAACATTTTGGGAGGCTGAGGCAGGTGGATCACCCGAGGTCGGGAGTTTGAGACCAGCCTGAACAACATGGAGAAACCCCATCTCTACTAAAAATACAAAATTAGCCGGGCATGGTGGCGCATGCCTATAACTCCAGCTACTCGGGAGGCTGAGGCAGGAGAATTGCTTGAACCCAGGAGGCGGAGGTTGCTGTGAGCCGAGATCATGCCATTGCACTCCAGCCTGAGCAACAACAGCGAAACTCAGTCTCAAAAAAAAAAAAAGAAAGAAAGAAAGAAAGAATATTGGTTAGTTCCTTTGCAGCCCAGTTTGTGTGGTTACTGGATCAGATTAGGCACCTCAGAGAGGGCCAAAACCATGAGCCAAACAAGGGCTTACCCAGACCTTCCCCCTCCCCACATTTTAGTTTTTCACCCATCCTTGAATAGACCTGGGCTCTGTCCTAACAGGCTGTGGTAGCCTGGGCCGGATAAACTACCCTCACCTCATCTTCCCTTCCCAGGGTACGGGCAGCCCAAGGCCTCTCTCCCAGGTGAATAGGCACACAGCCCTTTGGATATTTGTCCAGAAGGATTCCTTAAGGTCACTCCATGGTCCTCCATGGTGCTGGAGGCCCGAGGTCCCAGCCTCCCTAGAAGTTGTTGCTTTCATAGCAGCTAGGTCTCCCCTGCTGTGGAGTCACGATTCTCCACTCTTAGAAGTCAGCCCTTGGCCCCAGCCAGCATGGGCTTTGCTTCTGGAGAGGCTGAGGGGAGAAAGGAAGGGAGTGGCAACTCTTAGTGCAGAAGTGTGTTTGGAAGACACCCAGAGAGGAAAGACGTTCACTCCACCCCACCCCCACAGAGGCCAGGGCAGATTCAGAACAAACCCAGGCAAAGCCCTGAAGAAGCTGCCTTGACTCTCAAGCAGCCTCTTGGCTGTTGGTGAGGGAAGACCCGCCTTCTTTCTTGATCATCAGAGTCTTGTGAGCACCAGGGGGGAATTTATGGGCCTGGTAGCTTTAGGTTCAGAAAGGTCACTGAGAAAGGAGATGCCAGCTTGATCCCTTCATTCCAGAGCACCCAGGGATGGCGTTGTCTCCAGTCGGGTGGTGTTGGGGGCTGAACCTACTGTGGGTTCATGGTCATCCTCAGGCCAGAGAACTTTTCACAGGACCTAGAAGACCTCTCATTCATGCTGAGACAGTTCAGAGGTTGAGCCTCCTTCTAAGAGTTGTCCAGAGGGTAAAAAGAAAGGTCCCCAGAAGTCTTGGTTGAGAGGCAGAAGAGGGAGTGGGCAGGTTCTTAGGCAGGGATCACACACAGTAAAAGATACAGGCAGGTCCTGCTGCAGAAGGCCCCAGATCAACTTGGTCAGAGGCCTAGAGTCCTACTCAGCACCCAACCTTGGGTTCCATCGCTGCCTGCCCTGGGCCTCAGTGTGTCCCCTTTGAAATGGGGCAGACAGGAGTCCCTGGCCACCCTCACAGAACTGAATGCAGTGACAGGTATGGTCCTGTGACCGCCCCACCCCACCACTGCTTTTCCTGGAGGAAATGGGGACAGTGGTGCCATTTGCAATGTGGCTCCATCTGGAGTATCACGTGCACCAATCAATTCAATGAGACCCTTGTGCTCACTGCTGGATTGTGCGATGAACTTACTGCATCTGTCCTCAAGAAATGTATGGTTTAGAAAAGAAGTAAGACATTTCACACAAAATGATCAGAGCAGTCATTCTGAGTTTCTCTTTCCGCCCCCACCCACATTATAGACGGCACCAAAATGTATGTTTCTCATGGGCTTGTATGAACCCATCCTCCCTCTGCTCCCAACTTTCTCCCCTGCGTCATGAAATCTTTTGGAAAGCAAATGAGTAAAAATGATTTTAATATAGGTATAAGTTTGACTCTACCTGTTTTAATAGAAGTAAGCTATTTCCAAGTTTTAGTATTCTAACTACTATAAATGACAGTTTCCTTTCAGTGCCTCTTTTTGTTTGTTTGTTTTTGAGAGGGAGTCTCTCTCTGTTGCCCAGCCTGGGGTGCAGTGGCGTGATCTCAGCTCACTGCAACTTCTGCCTCTCAGGCTTAAGTGATCCTCCCACCTCAGCCTCCTAAGTAGCTGAGACCACATGAACATGCCACCACACACAGGTAATTTCTGTATTTTTTGTAGAGATGGGGTTTCACCATGTTGCCCAGGCTGACCTCAAATTCCTAGGCTCCAGCAATCTACCCACCTCAGCCTCCCAAAGTGCTGGGATTACAGGCAAGAGCCACCACACCCAGCTCAACACCTCTTAGTGGATAATGGTTGAGAATCAATATATGTACTAGAAAGCGAATCTAAGACAATGTTATAATTGTGCTATATGTCAGCCTTGTTGTTTCACATGTAAATCTTAGAGTTTTATCACGTCACAAATGTTCCCAAGAATACACAATAAAAGTCAAGAAATTGTAGCTTGTCATGAATTAAATGAATTACTTGTAACCAAATAATTTCAAAAGCAAAATTATAAAAATGCTTTCAACTGTTTTCATAGAAAAATAAATATATATTTAATGTTTAATGAGCATTTATCTTCACATTTGATTTAATGCAGGGTGAGCTGAAGAGTTAAAAGGGTTTAAAAGGTCTTGCTTAAACCATCCTCCAAACTATGTCCCTATTTTCTTTAAAATCACCTGAGCAGGATATCCCACAGTCACTCTTGTTTACATGCTCCACAGCCTGAAGTTTCAGGTTTAAGACATTGCAAAACAACCTTTTAGAGCTGGAAGAGATCTTGTTAGCTGGAAGGCTCCTAGGCTGGTTGAGCAGGAGGAGAGCTCTGGGGGTGTCAGGGGCAGGTTGGGGACAGGAGACGTTCTTAAGAGCAGAAGTAGTACCAGTAGCGTGCATGCTGCCTCAGTTTTTCTTGGTGTATTAAAGACTTGTGTGGCCTCATCTCCACTCCTTCTCCAACTAAATTAACCCTATTCTTTTTATTTTTATTCCACTTTCTAAACGGTTTCCCATTTTCATCGCCCTGCCAAGACCTCAGCAGCTCTCTAAACCAAACACTGAAATGCTCAAAGTGAGAAAACTGTTTCTTTCTCTCCAGGGCAGGATTGTGTCTTAACTGTGGGGCTGCCCTGACAAATCACCTTTAACTCACAGGTCTACTATCCTTCCAGATCTAAAGAACGTCGGCCTAATCGGTTCTTGGCCTATTTTGGAACGGGGCATCAGACCATATGCAGTGGCCATTGAGTAACAGTGATCCAGCCCGTGCTGTTTTGGATTCTGAGTCCGCTCTCAGCAGCAAGCTAGATGTTTTGGTCTGGGGCATATGAGGCAAAAGAGAAGTAGAAAATGTGGCTCTGCAGTCACGAAGCTCATGCCAAAGGGGAGAGGCACGAAGCAGTAAAGAATGCAGTTGTGCTAAATTATTTGGTGCAGGCAAAGAACTGGCGTTTGCAGAAGCCCAGTGCCCCTGGAGCAACCTCAACCAATGGGTAGAATGTGGACTGGCAGGAGGAAGGGGCATTCCAAGTCAGGGATCAGCGGCAGTCCAGACAGGGAGAGGGTAGGTGTTGGTGAGTTCCCAAAGGTGTGGACCTGGCTGGATGGAAGAGATGTGGACTGGGGACACAGGTGGAAAGTGAGGTGACCAGAATATGAGGCCCTAAAAGCCACATGATGGGGAGCGGGGAGGTCTGTGATGTGATGCAAAAACAAACCTGAACTCCTGGGGTGATTTTTGAACAGGGGGAGGCATGGCCACCGCTGGGCCGTAGTGTGTGGCAGATGGAGGCGGATATGTCACATCATGTAATCGCCACCATTGTGTGGTCACAGAATCATGGTCGGGGAAACTAGATCAGCAGGTCTATGGGGCCCTTCAAGCTAATCTGGACTGAACTCCTTTTTTAAAAATGTCTTTTTAGTTTAATTTTCATTTCCAATTAATCCCACTCCTCCCCGTTTTCAAAGTAATGCACATGTAATTTAGAAAACTCTGAAAGTACAGAAAAGAATACAGAAACAAACAATTTCTCATCCACATCCCCAGAGTAACCATAACCAGTGCCACCTGTTTCCCTCCAGTCTGCATTTTCACGTGCTACTTTCTTTACATGGTTGGGATTAAACAGTATGAATAACCCAACTGTCCATTAGCTATGTGAGTTTGAATACTTTTAGTAACAGGATGGTTTATCTTTTTTGGTAACTAGGATCTCACTACATTTTTAGGTATGCCATGCCTTTTTAAATAGAGAGCAAAATAAAAATGTTTTTCCATTATGAAGTAATATATGCTTATCTAGAAAATATGCAATATTAAAAACTGTAATACTTTAAATCACTCATAATCCAACTGTTCAGAAATTACCACTGTGAATATTTTGGGGTATTTTCTTCGAGTATTCTTCCAAAATAATATGCATTTTAAAAACAAAATTGGAATTACACCATATACAATTTGAATCTTGCTGCCTTTATTTATCAAATCATAGATGTTTCCATTTCCACCTCACATTTATTGAGTACTTAGCATGAACCAAGCTATTTAAAGCATTTTACCCATATTAATTTACTTATTCCTCACAACAACTTTTTGAGATAAGTACAACTTTTTAATCTCGCCTTCACAGACAAGGTAAGAGGCACAGAAAGTAGGATTTGGAGACAAATAGTCTGACTCCAGACTCTGCGTTCCTGTCCACACTACTGCCTCTCCAATTGGTTTTTAGTGAAACTTCCTTCTACCAATCTGACCCGTGTTCCACTGGTCCTTGTTCAAACCCTCGAAGCCCCCCACCAAACACACACACATACACAAGTCCAATCTCTTTTCCATGAGACAGCCTTTCAAATAGGAAAGCAGCTTTAAAGTCCTCAAGTCTTTTCTAAGCTTAACATTCTTATCTCTGCTATTCTTCATGTTCCGAAGGCCCTTTGCCATGTTAGGTACTCAGGCAGGTCTGGTTCTTCCATGTCCCATTAACTGCGTAGCTAGAAACAAATGCACGGCTGTGGTGTAACCTGCCCAAGGAAGTCTGGGGTCAGCCTCTCCATCTGTGTGTGAGAGACATCAGACAGCTGTCAGTGTAGCCGGAGCTGCACTGGCTTTTCCATATAGCAGCTGTGCTGCAGTAAACACAGTGCTTCTCCACATTCTTCAGCCCCTCACAGCTCTATGGTCTGGCTCGTCTGGCCTTTTGATTCTTTGCCTGGTCCTGCAGAGCACAGCCCAGAAGAAAGGAAGAGTTGCCAAGGGCTTTAGCTCAGCTGGGCTGAGAACTTTCATGACATCCTGGTGGGGACCAAAATAGTCATCAGGACAGAAGGGGAGACCCAGGGCTGGTCACAGGATTGGCAGCAGGGCCAGCAACTGCCCCATCAGCACCAGCATTTCTCCATATGGCTTCCAAGTTTTGCACTAAGATATCCCAAGAAATTATCAAGACTTCAGAGCCAGGCCAGGCACAGTGGCTCACACCTGTCATCTCAGCACTTTGGGAGGCCAAGGCGGGGGAATTGCTTGAAGCCAGGAGTCTGAGACCAGCCTGGCCAACATAGTAAAACTCCATATACACAAAAAATAAAACATTAGCCAAAAGTGGTGGTGCACACCTGTAGTTCTAGCTACTCGGGAGGCTGAGGTGGGAGGATCACTTGAGCCCAGGAGGTCAAGGCTGCAGTGAGCTACGATCTGCTGTGCTGGAGCGCCACTGCACTCCAGCCTCCTGGGTGACAGAGTAAGACCCTGTCTCAAGGAAAAAACAAAAAACACTTCACAGCCAGTGTGCCAGAGTCCAAGCCCACAGGAGGGATCAGTGAGGAAGGAAGCTCTGGGCACTGGAACTACACAAATGGCACTTTCAAGTCAGGACCATCTTCCATCTCTGGGTCTGTTTGGAAAAAAAGAAAAGCAGCTTTGTTTGTCTTTCTTCTGGCACTGACCACTGGAATTTGGGCTCAAGGCAGGCTCCAGGTAAAATTGTCAAGGTCATGGGCTTTGTTCTTAACGTCTTCCTCCCTTTTGCTTTCTCCTGGCCCAGCCGCTCCTATTTTCTCTAAGGGTCCTGATAGAGGAGGGAGAGTAACCTGATAATTTCATATTAAGGCATTCCAGGTAGGCAGAGGTTTAATTTGTCACCCCTCTCAGAGTAATATCCTTTTAACAGTAATCTCTTGGATTCCAAAATGCTTCTATCTAAAAATATTTTCAGCAGGAGGAGAGCTTTCAGCTATCCCTCAAATTACAACAGTGGGGCCAATAGCCTCTTCCATCTATGTATGATAAGAACAAATACTACAAATTTGGCACTGTAACCTTTACATCTTTGCCCCTTAACTTCCACACGTGTGAGATGAGGATAATCATAAAACATACGGCATAGGGTTTTATGAGAATCAAATGAGATAATGCATAGAAAGCCCTTAGAATGAACCTGAAACATAATAAACCTTCTATATGTGTTAGATGTTATTATTATTATTATTTTGAGACACAGTCTCACTCTTGCCCAGGCTGGAGTGCAGTGGCACAATCATAACTCACTGCAGCTTTGCCACCTCAGCCTCCCAAGTAGCTGGGACTACAGGCATGTGCCACCACGCCTGGCTAATTTTTCTATTTTTTTGTAGAGATGGGGTTTCACTATGTTGCACAGGCTGGTCTCAAACTTCTCAGCTCAAGAGATCTGCCCGCCTAGGCCTCCCAAAGTGCTGGGATTACAGGCGTGAGCCACCATACCTGGCTGCTAGCTATTATTATCACTATGAATTGTTATTTTAATCACAGAGAAGAATCCTATATATTATACTATTTTATCCTCACAAAAATCCTGTGAATTAAGAATCATTGGTCCTATTTTATAGATAAAGAAAGAAAATTAAGAGATTAAGTATGCAGCTAAGTAAGACATGACACAGAGCCAAGAGCTCTCTGAAAGGCTCATTCTATTTGCTTGGTAGGGCTTGGGGAGAGTGCACAGTGGGCCATCCCTGGGCCTGGTGTACCAGAGGGTATAAGAGAAGCCAAGATTCAGAGTCCACCCTCAGGAAGCTCAGCAGAATCTGAGAAGGTGTCAGCAGCCCAAGAAAGGCGCCATTTCAACCCATAATGTTATAGCGCTTCACTTCTCACCAACTGCTTTTCTTCTGAAGGGGGACCCCAGGACTATTTTCCAGGACAACTCTTCCTGTTTCAACATGTAGAAAAGTAAAGAAAATAATATAATAAACTACATATACATACGTTAGTGTGTATTTCCAAAAGATAAGCACCCTTTAAAGAAAAAAAATATATACTATACTACCATTATCCCTCCTACAAAATTTACAGTAATTCCTTAATATCATCAAATATCAAGTTGGTGTTGAAATAATTTCTCTGTCTCATGTTTTTTACTTCACAGTTCATTTTATCCAACAAAGACAGTTTCTCTGTCTCTTGCATATCTAGAATTCCTTCCCCCACAGCCCGACCCCTCTCTTTATTTCTTTGAACTGTACGAAGCTAGGTTATTTGTGCCACAGAATCTCCCACAGTGTGAATTTTTGCTGATTGCATCCCTGTGGTGTCATTTAACGTGTTCCTCTGCCTCCTGTGTTTTTTCTAAACTGGCTGTTGAATCTGGAGGTTGATGGGATTCAGGTTTAATGTAGCAAGAACATTTCAAGGTGGTTATTGTACTTTCCTCAGGAGGCTTGTGATGTGTCCTGCTCTTTCTTTTGGTGACACCAAAAGCCACTGATAATCATTGCCTAGAGCCTCTATTTCATTAGGGATTATCTTTCCTTTTTCATTTGTTTGCTGGAATATTTCTATAGAGAGAAACTTACCCTTGTTAACTATTTGGTTACCCTGATAAATGCCCAGGATAAGTGTTCGATTTCTTCCCTTTATTTATAATGATTTATTATTTATAGATAAAATGACATGATGCCTGTGATTTGATTCAAAATAATCCAGGGGAGAGGGGACTGGGTAGGGATATAGAAAAACAGGAAGAGCCGTGAGCTGATCATCGTTGATGTTGTGCGACAGGTGCACAGAGGCTCATTCTACTATTCCACTCTTATGTGTGTTTGATAATTTTATAATAAAAATGGTGGGGTTTTTTCCCAGTAAAAAGTTAAGTAATAATTTGGTTCCTTAGCATCCTCCAAGGGTGAGCAATAAGTATGTTGGTTGGTTGGTTTTAGGGTTGTGATAAATGTAGGAACATAAAAATATTTGACAGTTTTGCCGGGTGCGGTGGCTCACACCTGTAATCCTAGCACTTCGGGAGGCTGAGGCGGGTGGATCACCTGAGGTCAGGAGTTGGAGACCAGCCTGGCCAACTTGGTGAAACCTGTCTCTACTATAAATACAAAAATTACCCGGGCATGGTGGTGGGCGCCTGTAATCCCAGCTACTCGGGAGGCTGAGGCAGGAGAATCGCTTGAACTCGGGAGGCAGAGGTTGCAGTGAGTGGAGATCGTACCACTGCACTCCAGCCTGGGGACAGAGCAAGACTCCGTCAAAAAAAAAAAAAAAAAAAAAGACAGTTTTAACCCATGGCAGTCGTTTTTCTTATATGCTCAAGTTGTTCCATCGTTGGCCAGTGGGAGCCTCTTCAAGCTGGCTCCCAAATACTTTTTGAACTGAGTCCAGTAGTCTTCGCTGGTGTCTGTGCTTTCAGCGGGCCAAGGTGTCCCATTTGTGTGCATTTCCTTCCCAGACCGGGGGCTCAGCCAGTTTTCTGAAGTAGGGCTCTTGTCTTTCACTAAAGATCTTTTCTGTGGCATGACTCTCATCATTCCTGCCTGGCCACTGTTATCTAAAAAGATCTCTTTGAGCCTCCAGTTAGGTTCTGTGGCCAGAAGCAGAATTTTTCTCCCCACACCCCAAACAAGTGTGCCTCTGCCACCCTCTAACCCCACTACCGCTACCCTCCCACCCCTACCCAAGCAGGTGTCTCAGTGATGCGTTGACTGTGCTGGTGGGTGGGTGGAAGGGAAAGGAGATTAAGGAGATTAAAATCTGACTTTAAAGTCTCAGGCAGTAACTTTGCCTGAGGCTGGCTCCCCCTTCCCAGCCCCACCCCCAGACTCAGAGCCAGGGAGAAGAAAAAGAGGGCAGTGAGACTATTCAGTATCTCTATCCATCTATAATTAGGCAGATTTCTCTTGCGAATGAAATCAGAGAGAAATATTTAGGAAGAAGGAAGTGGGGTATCTCTGGTTCACACGGCTTTATCTAGTCTTCCGGGGGTGGTGAAGGGAGAGGGTGTGCAGAGCAGGCAGAGCCCTCCAGAGACAAGTACAAGATGAAAACGGCATAGAAGACCAAAAGGGCACAGGCCAGGAGCAGCCATCAGATATGCAAGGTGCAACCAAGTAGAAGATGAGAGTGTAGTGGTTAATTTCCAAGGCCAGAGCTAGCAGATCCGTGAGTCAGTGTGACAAGGAGGCTGGTGACCAGTAAAACCCCCCAGCAAAGGAGTGAGGGGCTGCAATGTGCAAGAAGGGGTTCCCCTTCACAGTGAGAGCTCCTCAAAGTCTGGGGGGTCTCCAGTCAGGAATGCTTAGGTGAGGGGTTTCTATACCCTGACCAGACACACATCATAATCTTGCAGAGCACAGTGACCCTTGGCTGAAAGAGAGAACGTGGACTTGCCTGTGGCAGAGCAGAAAAGACCTAGGACTCCCAGTTCTGCACGAACTCCCCAGCTGTGTGAACTTGGTCTGGGCTGTTCCTTCCCATTTTTTTTTCTAATGGGAATAATAACAGCGCCTCATTCTCAAGCTGCAGTTGGGGTTGAAGGAGTTGGCGAGAAGCTCTGTGAATCACTGGCTGTGAGCGCGGCTAAATGACATTTCTCCTAGTAGCCTGTGGGCGTGGGTGGTCTGCAGGTAGGCAGGAAGCAACCTTATTTTCGAAACAATATGCAGGTTGCAGCTGCCCTCAGATGGGCCTTGGAGGAGAGAAAGGCCCAGAGAGAAGGAGATGGCAAGCAGGGAGCAGGAGAAACCACACTTGCCCCCTGGGCGGTGGAGGGCAGCTCGGGACAGCTGGCTATCTCAGGTCAGAGAACCACCCAGAGGGTGTAAGAGGGAGTGTGAACACAGAACCACAGCTCTTCAAGGAAAGGCCTCAGAATAGATCTCCCTGTAAGACTACAGATGGGTGTGTGTGTGTGTGTGTGTGTGTGTGTGTGTGTAAAACTTGAAGAAGACGCCTAAGGAGTAGACATCTGATATCCTTCAAGGCCCCAGCTGTAGAATACTTGTGTGGGCTGGAGGGCAAAGGTGGTCAGGCCAGAGGAGCAGGTGGGCAGGGGCTGCCGGGAAGGCCAAGGAATTCCACACACTAGCAAATGTTCACTGATCTTTCATGCAGGCAACACAGGTGTGGACACACAAAGAATCCTCTCTAGGCCATGGGGGTCACTAGGCCATGAGGACACCAAGCCGAACAGGCCCTCACAGTGTGTGGGAGTGGCAGGATCAGACACAAGAGGGTCAGACACAAGATTAGTAATGTTGTGTCTCCCTCAAGAATATCTGCATATTTAGAGCGCTTCCAACAGATGCCTTTGCCCACTTTGATTTTACTTCTTTAAAGAAAACTGTGATAAATACACAATCTGCAGTAGGACCTGACTTCAACAGCCAGCAAAATCCTAATAGATGTGCAACAATACCCTCCCTCACCCAGCTATGAAACAGAATTCTTCGCTTCGTTGTTACTGTCCCCTTGAAAAAAAAAGTCCACATTTTGCTTTCTTAATTGTAATGCATTTAAATAGATAAAATAAATTTTGCTAGACTTGCTTTCCCGCATGTGCACACACTGTGTGTGAGTGCATACAAACACATTTGGCCATAGGCATAATTCTGCCAACCTGAACTGCAGCCTAAAACACTTCCTAATTTTTTTATTGTGAGCGTTTTATCAGGACATTGAAAATAGTACCCCCAAGAAAATATAAGTGAATGATCTTTGATCTCAAAATGAGGAAAGATTTTCTAAGCAAAAATCTGATGACTTAAATTTCAACTTCTATGTGCCAAAGACACCAAATAAAAGGTAGATGGTAAAGAGGGAAAATATTCACAGTATATACCATAGGAAAAGGATGAATCCTTAATATGTAACACGCTCTTAGAAATCATTTAGGGCTGGACACAGTGGCTCATGCCTGTAATCCTAGCACTTTCGGAGGCTGAGGCGAGTGGATCACCTGAGGTCAGGAGTTTGAGACCAGCCTGGCCAACTTGATGAAACCCCATCTCTACTAAAAATACAAAAAATTAGTTGGGTGTGGTGGTGGTCACCTGTAGTCCCAGCTACTCAGGAGGCTGAGGCAGGAGAATTGCTTGAATCCAGGAGGCAGAAGTTGCAGTGAGCCGAGATCGCACTACTGCACTTCAGACTGGGTGACAGAGCAAGACTCAGTCTCAAAAAAAAAAAAAAAAAAAGAAAGAAACAGAAAGAAAAAAAAAAGAAATCACTTTGTAAGAGGGTACATCAAAAGAAAAATAAAGCCGAGTGTAGTGGCTCATGCCTGTAGCTCCAGCTACCCTGGAGGCTGAGGCTGGAAGATCGTTTGAGCCCAGGAGTTCAAGGCTGCAGTGAGCTAGGAACATACCACTGGACTCCAGCGTGAGAGACAGAATGAGACCCCCATCTCTAAAACACATAAACAAAATATAAGCAAAAGTCATCACCACACAATTCATAAAATAGGAAATACACAGGGTGAAGAAAACACATGAAAAAAATGTTCAACATTGCTACTATTCAAAAAAATGCAAATTTTAAAATTAGACTATTTTTGCTTACTGGGTAGGTTGAGTTGTTTTGTTTGCTGTGTGTCTGTTTAATGATAATACCCAGTGTGGTGAGAACACAATGAATTAGAGTCTCTCAAAAACTGCTGAATGTAAATTGGTTTTGTCTTTCTGGAAAGTAAGTCAGCCCTAAGTTTAAATAGCCCAGAAAATTTAGAGCTGAATTACTTTCCAGAAAGATAGAGCCAATTTTCTTTAAATTTAAGGGTGAGTTACTTTCCAGAAAAATATATTTGTCTTTTAGGGTACATGTTTCCATGTGTCTTAATTTATTCTGAAGAAATAATCACGCTGAGCGCAGTGGCTCATACCTATAATCCCAGCACTTTGGGAAGCCGAGGCAGGCAGATCACGAGGTTAGAAAATCAAGACCATCCTAGCTAGCACGGTGAAAACCCACCTGTACTAAAAATATAAAAAATTAGCCGGGCGTGGTGATGGGCGCCTGTAGTCCCAGCTACTCGGGAAGCTGAGGCAGGAGAGTTGCTTGAACCCAGGAGGTGGAGGTTGCAGTGAGCCGAGATTGTGCCATTGCACTCCAGCCTGGGTGACAGAGTGAGACTCCATCTCAAAAAAAAAAAAAAAAAGAAAGAAAGAAATAATCAGTGGAATAAAATATTTGTGTTCAAGGATGTTGACTGCAGCACTATAATACTAAAAATCAACGATAACCTGCATTTCTAACAATAAGGGCATAGCTGAGTAAATTATTATACATAGCAATACCTCAAAATAGTCAAAAAATAGGTAATACTAAGAAAAATCAAACAAACACAAACCCTAACATATGATCCTAATTTTGAAAAAAAGGAAAGCAGTAGAAAAAAACATTAGAAGAAAATATAGCAAAATGTTAAAGATTATGTTTGAGTGGTTGGTTTTTGGCTAATTTTTATTTTCTTTTCCACGCTTTTCTGTATTTTCCTTGTTTCTTTTTTTTTTTTTTTTTTTTTTTACAATTAACATTTTTACTTCTGTAAGCCCAAAAGTCATATAGGAAATAAAAAAAATATTTCCCCCAGTTTTGGATTGAGAAATCAAATTCTTCCTCATGTTACCCAATGACCCTGGAAAAGGCAGGTTTGCTGGGGGAGAAATAAGGAGTTCTGCTTAGGACAAGTAGAGCTGAGTTGTCCGTTAGATATTGAATGGATGTTCGAGTCTGGATTTCAGGAGAGAACTGGGGCTGTAGATCTAAATGGTGGGGTCAACAGTATACGGATGATATTTTAAAGTACTGAGAAAAGGCCAGGCATGGTGGCTCATGCCTGTAATCCCACCACTTTGGGAAGCTGAGATGGGTGGATCACCTGAGGTCAGGAGTTCAAGACCAACCTGGCCAACATGGTGAAACCCCATCTCTACTAAAAATACAAAAATTAGCTGGGCATGATGGCATGAGCCTGTAATCCCAGCTACTTAGGAGGCTGAGGCAAGAGAATCACTTGAGCCTGGGAGGCGGAGGTTGCCGTGTGCCGAGATCGCACCATTGCACTCCAGCCTGGGTGACGAGAGTGAGACTCCATCTCAAAAAAAATAAAATAAAATAAAATAAAGTACCGAGAATGAATAGATGAAATCACAAAAGAAGTGTGTAAGATTAGAGAAGAGGTCCAAGGCCTGAGTCTTGATTCTCTCCAAGACATCTAGGAGAGGCAGAGATGCCATCCAAGGAGGCTGTGCCCCAGTGACCATAGGAGGCCAATCACAGGCTTTCAAACAGCTCTGTAATGACTAGGACATATTTATTCTAGAACCTCAGATCATTTGCTTGAACACTTTCCTTTATCTCTCACTCTGCTTTCAGGCCTAATTATTGGAAGAAAAAAAAAGGGGTGAGGAGGGGAGATCTGCATTGTTCTTGAAAATAAAATCGCTTGGAAAACAGAAAATGTCAGATTAAAAAATGCAGAGTCAATGCCCGTGACTGTCTTAATGAGTGTAGTTAAGTGTCCCAACATCAACAAGAACCACTTAAGCATACTGGGAAGTAATCCAATGCCAGAGGACAGGGAAAGACTCGATTTCCTTCTCCAGTGAATTCCCTTGTTTAACTGGATCTTACAACTGAAAATCAAATACGTCTCCATCTTCCAAGACAACTCCTTAGCTCTGTGGGCCCATGGTTTGGATCTGGACATTTGGACGATTTAAATGGACTCAGTCCCACAAATGTATAAATGCTTCTTGCCAAACTTTGGGAGGCTGCACTTTTTGGGAGGCTGAGGGGGGGCAGATCACTTGAGGTCAGGAGTTCAAGACCAGCCTGGCCAACATGGTGAAACCCTGTCTCTACTAAAAATACAAAAATTAGCCGGGCACTGTGGCACACACCTGTAGTGCTAGCTACTCGGGTGGCTGAGGCATGAGAATCACTTGAACCCAGGAGGTGGAGGTTGCAGAGAGCTGAGATTGTGCCACTGCACTCCAGGAAAAAGACAAAACAAAGCAAAACAGATCACGTATTTTTTAGTGGTAGGAACTCCTGTTTTTTTTTTTTTTATTGCAGTTTGCTCTTCTCTATGTTTGGGAATGTAGCTTCCTTTCCCTGCTTGGAAGGAAAGAGAGCACTTTATTTTTTGGTTCCCTTAATTCACAACAAATCAGCCGGGTGGAGCATCTCAGTCTAGGAGCGACTGCATGACTGGGAATTTTAGCCACTGTGGATTTGTTGGTTACAATTTAGCAGAAGGCAGGGCTAAGAACAAAGGTGGGTAAAGAAAAGTGAGGGTTCTCAGCCTTGGTTTCCCTTTACTGGGAGCAAAGTATCAAGGGTAGAAATACCAGCCCTTCCCAGGTGTCTGGTGAGTGCCTGAGATGAGCCAGGTGACCTGAGCTCTCTATGCAAGTCACTGACTGTAACTGAAGGAAGAAGACTCTAAAACAGTTCCTGCTGGGCTACCAGGAGGCTCACTTTGAGGAGTCTTCGAATTAAACTGATTGATGGTCTCTCTGTGTCTGGAAGAGGTGTTTTGGCTTCATGTCAGAGCTCCCATCAGAGAGGCCTGAGCTATGAGAGGTTTGAAAAATGATTCAGAAGAAAAAATTGACTCTGTTCAATAATAAATTATAACGATGCTTTGTATTTATAGAGCATCCTTCAACTGAGGGAGTGCGAAGTTCTTTATGGGTATTAACTTGCCTTTCTCACAATAGAGAAAAGATAATTTTGTCAATTCAATATTTGTGTATCTTTTTTCTTTCCTTTTACTGGGGGAGGAGGACAGCTATTACAGGGACGTTTTCTTATATTAATTTGGAGGCAATAAATCTTCCCCTCATTTTTTTTTTACTGGAAATCTTTTCTCATTGGGTATCACATAAAGAATTAAAAATAAATAGCTATGCCTAAAATGTATGTGTATGTGCATTTATATGTCGGTGTGAGCGTAGTATCTTCATAAATATTTAATTTTTACTGTCTAAGCCTTCTCCCTCAGTTTTCATGAGCTAGAATTTATTCGCCACTGAACACTGAAGCTATTATTATTTGCTTTTGCGCCTAAATGATTTAAAAGTCAATTATGAATTGGCTAAGGGGATTGGAGAACTCTGGCATGTAATACGCCTCTCATGCTTCTATTTGTTACCAAATGTCTGGAATGAGAAAGTGTCCATGATGGGAAATAGCCCACAGAAGTACCATACCGTTATTAAACCGACCAGACGGAGGCCCTAGGTCACTGGGATACGAGCAAACTGTGCTGGGGTTCATGTGGGTGGGTTAGGAGGCTGGGGAGAGCATGACAGGGGATGTGCAGACAGACAAATAAATCCGATAATAAAGCAGAAGCTCAGAACTGTCCAAAATGATGACTGAAAGCCAGCAGCCCAAGGAGAGGCTGCTCTTAACAGCCAGCCCCCAACGCTTAGGGCTGTGCTCTGCACCAACCTGCCCTAGTGTCCTGGGGAGGGAACGTAAACAGTTCAGCGCTTTCTATTTAACTGCAAAGTGCTCATCTTCTGAGTCACCGAGGCAAAGAAGCAGGCTGGAAAGTAGTAATAATCCAATCCAACAGAATTATCTGTTGAACAGAAAATCCCCTTTGGAATTTGTGTCCTTGGAACGTTCCAAATGGAAAATGAGAGTTTTCAGGTGGGAAAGCAAGGCATGGTTTCATGAGTCAGGGTGACTCTGCGTTTGCATGAAGGGCCGCAGAAAAGCAGATTATGTTAACCTTGAAATTAGCCAGGAGCGAATGGCAAATCTTTGTTAACAAGCTTGGAGTCCACGATAAATTTTAAAAGTGCACCGCAATGAGCATCTGTAATAAATCTTCCGTTGCCTCCTGGTTCAGGTCTGGGACTGAAAAGGATAAAGGGGCCGGGCGCGGTGGCTCACGCCTGTAATCCCAGCACTTTGGGAGGCCAAGGCGGGCGGATCACGAGGTCAGGAAATCGAGACCATCCTGGCTAACACGTGAAATCCCGTCTCTACTAAAAATACAAAAAATTAGCAGGGCGCGGTGGCGGGCGCCTGTAGTCCCAGCTACTCGGGAGGCTGAGGCATGAGAATGGCGTGAACCTGGGAGGCAGAGCTTGCAGTGAGCTGAGATTGCGCCACTGCACTCCAGCCTGGGCGACAGAGCGAGACTTCGTCTCAAAAAAAAAAAAAAGAAGAGGATAAAGTACTTCTAGAACAGGAGCTAGGCCTCCCGAAGCCTTTGCATGTTAACTAACTAATCAAGGGGCTCCAGCCTGTTGGGCTCACATTGCCTGGTCTTTACTCACTTGACTTTCCACAGGCCTCGCTCTTGAAAACTGAAATTGCTGCATGGCATTCATTACACACACGTATGTATATATGTGCATATGAAAATACATTTGCATAGGTACCTATCCATATGTATATACACACATACACACGTTTTTCCTCATAAATGAAACTGGATTAAATTTTATTTCCAATATTCAGGTGACTCTTAAAACTGAGGGGAAAAATTGGGGATAAAAAGCAGGACAAGGCAATAATTATCCTGTAGCTTATCTCAAAATGGAAATTTCCCCAACAACATTAGTTCTAAATTCTAATATTTAAAAAAAAAAAGACGAATGTGGTACAGTATTAAAATGGACTTACATTTAATACACAGAACATCTAGCAGCTTGGATCAGTACAAACTGATTTTTTTTCTAAAGGCTATCAGAGTTAATTGGCAAATAGTCAGAAAACTGTGCAAGGGGGAGGAATTCTTCTGTTTGTGCATTTGTTTGATTTTAGGTACTTCTAAGTGCTGTGATTGGTAGTAATACTGAGATCTGTGCTGAGCCTCGAACTCCAAAGTTGCAACTCAAATCCCTGATAAAGTTAATTAAGTCTGAGTCTTGGGCTCTGCAGCTAGTTGATGCCAGAATAAATCTAACGTGTTGTCAGCAGACTGAACCAGAAGAGCAAAGCTCCAAAGAGGAATTTCTATGCAGTAAATATCACTTAAATTCCTCTCAAAGTTGGAGCTGGTGTCAAAGTCCAGAAAAGCAATATTCCCTGGCAATTGCTGTCAGGAGTGTGTGCATGTGCCTGGCCATGCATCATCTGAACACTCAAATTAGCAGAGGAAAAAGATAGTGAGTTAATATCACCCAGCTGACTGCTCAAAGAACTGCTTTAACTGTAGCCAGAGAAATATGGAGGGGGCATGGCCAGTCATCAATGACCTCCAAATGACTAGATGCTCAGAAGTGTCTGGCAGCCTAGGCTAGATAAATAATTCCTGCTGCTGTGAAATAAATAAATTCCCCCAAATAATTCAGGGAAACCAATTCTTTCACTGCCCAGTTGCTGAGCTACAAGAAACTAGAGCAACACTACAGGTGAAGAAGAAAGAAAGGGGCTGGGTGCGGTGGCTCACGCCTGTAATACCAGAACTTTTGGAGGCCTAGGCAGATGGATCACCTGAGGTCAGGAGTTCAAGACCAGCCTGGCCAACATGGTGAAACCCCGTCTCTACTAAAAATACAAAAAAAATTAGCCAGGCATGATGCCGGGAGCCTGTAATCCAGCTACTCGGGAGGCTGAGGCAGGAGAATCGCTTGAACCTGGGAGGTGGAGGTTGCAGTGAGCTGAGATCACCACTGCACTCCAGCAGCCTGGGCAACTGAACGGGACTCCATCTCAAAAAAAAAAAAAAAAAAGAAAAAGAAAAAAAAAAGGAAGGTGGAAGGCATCTATGAGTGACTTTCTATCTCACTGATCTCCAGTTTATAAGGGACTGGCCACTGGAGGCAGGTTGGCCTAGCAGGGTGGTGGGGAGGGGGCTGGCGCCTTCTCCAACAACTCTGTGTATGAGGCTTGTAAACACATGATTCTCTGTCTGGATAGGTCTCTGAAGGAGAAGAAAGGAGGTGGGGAAGGAAGGAAAGAAATAAATATATGGACAGGAAGATTGAGTATTGGAGGGAGAAGAGAAAAAGCAAGAGATAGTGAAACCAATAAAAAGGAAATAAACGTAAAATGGAGACAGAGGGGAAGAAAGAGCTGGAATAATACTATGTGGCTCTCTAAAAGTTGCTGCAGTTTTTTTTTGTTGTTATTTGTTTTTTGTTTTTGTTTTTGTTTTTTACAGAGCACACACTGCAGATAAATAGTGCGATCTTGGGGCCTTTTCGGTAACTGTACTTCTATTCTTCTTTCCCTTTGCTTTTGTCTAATTAAAAGTGTCTGCCTTTAAAACAGAGACAATTGAAGTTTCAAGTTAGTGTTGTCATCTTCTGTCCCCAGGCATTTCAGAGCTAGAAAAACTACAGGCAAAATTCTCTGTAGATCCTTTTTGTACCCCTCTTCTTCTACTCACCCTGTTTCCCCAGCTTTCTACTTTTAGAATAGGAGTGGGGGCTGAGAAAGATAAAAATAGCTTTTGAGAATTCAAGTTATTTGGGCCCCTGTTTTGGGAGCCAGCATCCTTGTCCAAAGCAGAAAGCAGCCAGTCCTGAGTTTGAGGGAAGCTTCTCCCCATGGAGTTTCCTTAGGGGACTATTTCTGAGCCGTTCTTGGAGGAAGCAACCCCTAGAGATGTTCAGAACTGGAACTAAACCCATCTTCCCCTGAAGAAAAACAGGTTTTTAGGAACCCATCACTCAGCAGGGAGCCCTCTGTGTTTGGAGCCAAGTGTTTGGGGAAACAAATAAGCTGCCTTCAATCAGCCTGAGTTGGAAACGCAGGAAAACCGCATCTTCATGCTGGACTCCACTGCAATCCCAAGGTGATTTTAGTTCAAGGAGAGTGGCATCTGCTTGGGGGAAATTAGAAACTTCTTATTTCCATTTATAAATTAGGCTTTACTAAGGAAGAGAACTTAAAAACAGTTTTATTGTTGTCCACTGAAAAGACAATTACTTCCAGCCACAACTGGCACATTCCATGGTAAAACTAGCGCAATCAAACACACAACACTTTCCACCGTAGGGGCTTCTTTTTGAGGCTGTCATTAAAGGCATGTGTCTTATTAGCCAGTGTCAGGATTTCTGGGATGTTTTATTGTCTCGAGTAATGAGAAGGCCATTTCCAGGGCTGTGTGCTTTTTAAGTCAGCAAACAAAACATTAAAAACAAACAAACCTCCTTTTCTTTGTCACCATTTCTCTGACCATCCCCTGTAAATTCGTAGGACACGGTACTCACAGAAAAAGGAAAATTCATTAGCCAAATGAATCGCTGATTTAAATTCAGGCAATAGGTTGACATTATCCTTAATTGAATAGTTTTAGAAAATGAATCTATGTAGATCCAGATCAAATTCTAACCAATCATTACAATGGGGTCTTTTTTCTTGAATGTTCAAAGTTGATTTTCCTCCACAAAATAATAACTCTTTGGTGTCCAAGTAATAAATTAGCACAGTTCAGTTCAAGTTCCCACTAAATTGGAGGCTGAAATGTAGGATCAAGAGAAAGGAGATGCAAGTTACAAACCTAGATTCTAAATATCCCAGCAGACTAACTCCATGAAACCATCTTTTATTTTTTGTGAATAAGTGTATGTGTGTTAGCCTCCCTCTCCCTTTCTCCTTTTAAAAAAAGAAATGATGACTTTTTCAGGTCTCTGCTTCCAGATATGAGGGGCTTTAGGTATTTGAAGTCAGAAGGGAGGCAGGAATGAGCACTGCTAATTGGGTGCATCCTGGTGTGCTAATATAAAGGACAGCCAATGTAATCGTGGGTTTCTGAGTTTGCTGTCTGTACCTGGCCTGCCTGGAGACTAAGAAAGGCTTGCTGGCCCCAGGCCATAGGTCACATTGCAGCCTTGACTGTAATTCCCTGGACAATTCCTGCACCAGAACAGATAGTGTGACCTCCTATGCTAACCAGCCGAGAGCAACCCATGCTCAGTGGCAACGCAGAAAAGCCACAAACAGAACCCAGGAAGGGTTCCTGGGATGGCCCGGCGACTGCCCATCCTCCAGAGAGAGCTGGATCAAGCAAAAGAAGCAGTCCCCAAATTCTTAGGGCCAGGGATGCCAGGTAACCTGGCACCCAAGGCTATCTGAGGAGACAGGCAATGAGGCTATCAAGAGTAAAGATGGAAGAGCAAGCACAGATGATGGAGAAAAAAATAAGGCTGGTGGGAGGGAATTAAGGAGGGAAATGCAAGGAAGAGACAACTGAGAGGAAAACCAGAGGGAAGGAGTGTATCAGTCTGAAGACAGGATGACACAGGAGAAGGGGAGGATGAGGGCCGGAAGGGCTTCAGGCCTGCAGGGAGGGAGGGCAGACTTTTCCAGGGGGTGGGAGAATTGCCCTGGCCCCCTTTTACTGGTCCCATTCTTTGGACATTGTAGAGAGAACTCAGGTGGGGGAAATGGCCCAGCGGCGGGAACCCTGGCACACCTCTCCCAGCAGGGATCGGCCCCCAAAAGGAACAGTTCTCCTCCTTTTCTGGCTTAGACCAGGGCAGGCCCCCTGTGCAGCTCTCTCCCTTGGGTTCTCGTGTATGTAGATACACTTGTTTACACACACAGGCTCCTACACAGGCACATGCAGAGACGCCTAGGTCCCCAACCTGGGTTGTGACTTCTGTGTCGAGGAGAGCCATAGGAGGCACAGCTTTGCCAGAGTTCCTGCCCATTGCTGCGGCCTGTTCCCTAAACCACACTGGTCTGGCTTCATCGCTGGACTCACTGTGTGGCCCACAGAGGCCTCTTCTATGGTCACAGGGCCCCAGTGACATTTTGGGAGGGGCTTCAGGGACGCTGGCTGGTAACCCAAGAGCAACCCTAAATCCCAACTTGGTCCATGTCCTAGAATATCAAAGGAGAATCTTAAACCCTGAGTGGGATGAGGAGCCTCCTAAGCTTGAAGAGAGCCAGGTGGGGAGAGGGCCTGGGCTCCATGCAGGTTGGGCATCAGTTAGCCTGTGACAGTGGCCAAGTCCCATGAGACTTACACCATGCTAAATATTCAGCTTTCCTCCTGTGGGCATCCTATACTCTGTGAATTGGTCAGAACCAATCTTTAATCCAGCATCCTATCAGGCACACCTCCCTCCTGCTGCTGTGTGCCTGAAGAATGCAGAGTGATTTAGATATTCATTGACCTAAAGTGCAACTAAGGTTTGAGGGTGGGGGACACAAAAGGGAGGTTAATACAAGGCATCAAAAATGTACTTTGACTATTTTCTCCTTTTTTTTTTGAGCCTGTCGCCCAGGCTGGAGTGCAGTGGCGTGATCTCGGCTCACTGCAACCTCTGCCTCCCAGGTTCAAGCGATTCTCCTGCCTCAGCCTCCTGAGTAGCTGGGACTACAGGCGCCCACCACCACAGCCGGCTAATTTTTGTATTTCTGGTAAAGATGGGGTTTCACCATATTGGCCAGGGTGGTCTCGAACTCCTGATCTTGTGATCCGCCCGCCTGGGCCTCCTAAAGTGCTGGGATTACAGGCGTGAGCCACCACGCCCGGCCGACTATTTTCTCTTATTTCAAAATTACATATTCTTATACACTATGGAACTTGGAAAATAAGGGAAAGCATAAAGAAAATTTAAATCACCCATAATTTCACAAACCAGAGATGAAACCACTGCTAACAGTTGCTGTAATTTCTTCCAGTCTCTTTTCTACAGTGAGATCTGTATTTCTAGCTGGCTACACATAGTATAAATCTAGGTTTAGAATCAAGTAGAAATAGCTCTAGAGTGCTGCCGATGCTGCCATTGGCTCTGATAGTGGATCTCATTTATCCCTGGGTCCAGGTGAGAGGTCCTGAGGACCCAAATCATGGGACAACAGAGAGAAAAAGAGAAGAGGTGACATGCCTAGGGGCGGCCCGGCTGAGTTTGGAAGCCGCAAGGTGAACTCCCTCCCATGGGAGAAAGCTGCCATGGGAGGCGGCAGCCCAGCAGTCTGCCTCTCAGCCCACGATCGCCCACGTCCCCAGCATGTCCCCAGCGTGGCAGCTGCAGGCACGGCAGGCTTTGTGGGGCCTTTGATCCACGCAAAGTACGTCATAGGCGAATGCTCACAGCGCGTGGGCTGGGCACACCAAGGGTTGCCAAACTGACAAACACACCTCCAGGAAAGCCTTTTGGCTCTGGCTGGGCTTCATTCTGGCTGCCTGGACAGCATGGCCTGAATAGGAAACTTGCAAATGTGTGTGCCCTGTCCCCCTGGTGTCTCCCAGCCCAGACTCAGGAGTAACTCAGAGATAACTCCCCGAGAGTTGAACAATGAGAACACATGGACACAGGGCGGGGAACATCACACACCAGGGCCTGTCGGGGGGTCAGGGGGCTGGAGGAGGGATAGCATTAGGAGAATATCTAATGTAAATGACGACTTGATAGGTGCAGCAAACCAACATGGCACATGTATACCTATGTAACAAACCTGCACGTTGTTCACATCTAGAACTTAAAGTATAATTTTTAAAAAAAGAAGAAATAACTCGCCGAGGCCGTGGGAGTAGTTAGTAGTGGGGCATGGGGCCAGCTGAGAAGCTGGCTCTCCTTTCTGCACATTTTGGCACACAGGGCAGATTTTTCTGAAGCACAGGTATATTGCCCTTCAACATCTGAGACATACGGCTCTTGGTCATAATCTTATTTCTTTATTTTTATTTTTATTTTTTGAGACAGGGTCTCACTCTGTCACTCAGGCTGGAGTGTAGTGATGTGATCTTGGTTCACTGCAGCCTGGACCTCCTCGGGCTCAGGTGATCCTCCCACCTCAGCTTCCCGAGTAGCTGGGACTACAGGTGCGCACCACCACACCCAGATAATTTTTCTATTTTTTGTAGAGACGGGATTTCGCCATGTTGCCCAGGCTAGTCTCAAACCCCTGGGCTCAAGCCATCCTCCCACCTCAGCCTCCCAAAGTGCTGGGATTACAGGCGTGAGCCACCACACCTGGCCCATAATCTTATTTTTGTTCAAACTTTCAGAGGATTAGGGAGGGAGAGTAGAAAACACAGGAATGATGCCAGGAAACCTACCCTGGGTTCAGCCCCAAAGACAAGAATTCGGGGAAAACCTACCTGACTTGATCATTTATTCATTCATTAAACCCTTATGATTGCCCACTGCATGGTGGTTAGCTGGGGAGTGAAGAGTCAAAGAAGAATAAAACATATCCCAGGCTTTGTGGAATTCTCAATTTTTAACGGGGACAGACCTGTCACCAAATATTAGTGAAAAATGTGCCAAGAACTACAGAGCATCTGAAAAGTTAGAAATATTACCATAAACTTACTTTAAAACAGAACTTTAGCCACATTTTCAAATAATATGCTCATGTTTTTCTTCAACCTTCACACACCATTTCAGGAAGTATCTCTACATTTAAAGCGAGTCCAGTTGTTAATGTAAAAAAGGTACAAGAGGCCAGGGCACAGTGGCTCAAGCCTATAATCCCAGCACTTTGAGAGGCTAAGGCAGGCGGATGACCTGAAGTCAGGAGTTTGAGACAAGCCTGGCCAACATGGCAAAATCCTGTCTCTACTAAAAATACAAAAATTAGCCGGGTGTGGTGACGTGTGCCTGTAATCCCAGCTACTCAGGAGGCTGAGGCAGGAAAATCGCTTGAACCCGGGAGGTGGAGGTTGCAGTGGGCTGAGATCATGCCACTGCACTCCAGCCTGGGTGACAGAGCAAGACTTCATCTCAAAAAAAAAAAAAAAAAAAAAAGAGTTGTAAGGAAAAAGCCAGAGAAAGTAGTGTATTTCTTGAACCTTTAAAAAAAATTAACAATTGGACCCATTTCTTTACATTTAGAGGTACTTCACCTGAAAACATATCTAAAGGTTACAGAAAAACATATTGACTGTATTATTTGAAAATGTAACTAATATTCTGTTTAACAATAAATTCTCCCCATGATTTTTTTTTTTTTAAAATTTTTGAGACACAGTTTCACTCTGTCACCAAGGCTGGAGTGCAGTGGCTTGATCTCGGCTCACCGCAACCTCCCCCTCCCAGCTTCAAGCAATTCTTGTGCCTCAACCTCCCGAGTAGCTGGGATAACAGGCGCACGCCACAGTGCTCAGCTAACAGATTTTTTTTTTTTTGTATTTTTAGTAGAGACGGGGTTTCACCATGTTGGCCAGGCTGGTCTCGAACTCCTGGCCTCAAGTGATCCGCCTGCCTCAGCCTCCCAAAGTGCTGGGATTTACAGGCGTGAGCCATTGCTCCCAATTTCTCCATGATTCTTGACTTTTAGGTCACTCCATAGAACAGAAACAGATGCCCATTGTGAAGGTTCAGTGAGCCAAGATTGCACCACTGCACTCCAGCCTGGACAAGAGAGCAAGACCCTGTCTCAAAAAAAAAAAAAAAAAAAAAAAAAAGAAAGAAAGAAAGAAAGAAAAAAACAGATGCCCATCAAAAGGAAATGCATTTTGCTGAAAGTAGCGCAGTTTTCCCAGGGAAATAACATTTGAGCCGAGCCTTGAAAGATGAGTAAAAGTTCGTCAAGCTGAAAAATTTCATCGTAAGATGAGTCGAACACAGGGTCATTGTGAGCCGTTGGCTGGCCCCCGCAGAAACCTGGCAGCCCCTTTCAGGTGAACCTCCAGTCCATTCTTTATTCAGGCAC
This sequence comes from Homo sapiens, assembly GCF_000001405.40. NCBI lineage: Eukaryota > Metazoa > Chordata > Mammalia > Primates > Hominidae > Homo > Homo sapiens. Next base: position 167,458,441 of record NC_000001.11, on the reverse strand, counting down.
CAGTAGGATGCTGTGCTGGGTGGCATTCCTGCCCCAGCAGGGGCTAGGCCTGAGTCACATGCAGGGCAGGGGCCTGGTCACAGCCTGGGGCCTCACCTGAGAAAGACCTGTGAGAAAACATCCCAATCCCACTCATTCCTGCCCACACCAGGGCTAGGCACGTGGGGACAGCAGGGACGGTGAAGAGCATGTTTGGGAATGTGATGTTCTGTGGTGGCTTGTTAGGAAATCATAAGTAGCTTTCTCCTGATGACCAGCTTGAACACTGGATCGCTGAGCAGGGCACAGGTGGAAGGAATCAGAAATTACTGTATTAACACCAGTATTTTGGAGGCACAGAAACAAGGGGTGAAGCAACTTCCCTAAGGTCACGCACTTTAGGTGATAGCACTGGTGTAGGCTCCCATAAAAATGTTCTTTCAGGTCTCTTCGAACTCATAGGTTCTTGAAAATGTGAGGGGCGAAATTCCTTCATTTTATGGCATTAATGACCACTAATCAATCAATCATTCTCTCAATTATCTGAGCAATTATGTAATTACTGAGTCCTAGTGATGCCTACAACTGGGCTTCCTACAGTCCTGCAGTGGTAGAAACAAAGGAACTAGAAATCACGGTGTTTACCTTGGAGCAACCTACAATCTAGTTGCATAGGAAAGAACCCATTTGACACAATGAGAGTAACAAAAACAACGAATGCAGTTGACATTGGAATGGGCTGGAGCTTTGGGAGAAGGAATCCTTAGGGGAAGATGAAAGCTAAGAAAGGCTTGGAGACCATCAATGGAGAGGAAGGGAAAGGACAGTATCTGGATGGAGAGCTCTGGGCAATATTTAGGAAGACTCAAGAGCGCCTGCTCATGAACAGATGGACAGACAAGCGTGTGCTCCCTCCTGAACTCACAGACTTACTGGCTCACCTCACAGCAGGGCTCCCCTTCCAGGCTTTGCAGGTGATATGGTTCCTTCTCCATCCAGGATAACTCCAGTGAAGGATGGACAGAGGCAAGATTCTAGCTCCATTTTGGCTGCAATGTGTCCTTGTTCTTTTCTCCTTTGCTGGTCATTCTGGTCTGTTTGGGAATTGGACTCGTTGTCTCTGGTCAACTAACCTCTAACCCTGCCAGGGGGACTAAGCATGCTACAGAGCGCCCAGGTCCCCCACCTCCCACTTCCATATAGCCCTGAGCAAACCACTTAGAGTCTCTAAATGGCCCAGAGCAGCTTGTGGCTCCATTCCAGGAGCAAAAGCACCGCTGAGAATGTGCGGATGCAGCCTGAGACCCCCACCATGCCAGCTCCTAGCGCTAAAGCAGGCTGGTACCTCACACTGCTTTCAGAATCTTCTAAGACACTGTGGGTGTGAGGTCTTCCAGGCAGGCATCAGCACCCACCAAGCCGGTCCTCAGAAAACGACTGGAGGTAGAGAAAGCAGGGCTGGAAAGAGACAAAGAAATTCCAGGACTGTCCTCACTAGCATATTCTAAACGAAGCAGATCTTCAGGCAGCCGTGTTAGGTATGATGTCCCCGAGAGAGTACACATTAACATGACAAAGTTTGAGGAATGAACATAAGATGGCCATGCAATGTCAAAGTCATGGCTCACTTGGGTGCTTCTCTGACAGAAGAGATAGAGTGTGGCACCAGTAGTCCCTGTTGGGTTCTGTGTCTACAACAGAGAGCTTTGGGGCTGCCCTCCCTCACAGAGCAGGCTTTCTGCAAATGCTCAGGTAGGGCTGGATATATTCGTAGAATCTTCCAGACCCATCCAACCCAGAAGGTGGTGGTCCCCGAAGAGTGGTGGTGTACATGAGAAGCTGGGGGAACGTGTTACAAGGCAGACCCCTGGGCCGGCCTTCAGAGAGTCTCATTCACCTGCTCTGGAAACACTGCTAAGGACTTGGCCTCTGCTGTGAGCCAAGAGGAGGAAAGAAACCCCTCTCACTCTAGAACTACCTTTTTCTGCCTCAACCACCTTTTTTCCTGTCTTTTAAAAATTTCCAAAATTCTCTGCATCTGTAGTTTTTGTTAAGTACTTTGTCATGCCACCTGGTTAGCTCAAGCCAGAGACAATCAGGAAAAAGCTCTATCAGTGGCTGTCAACTCAGCCACTTCCCTCCGTACCGTGGTCCCTCATTCCTGCAGCTGGGTGGGAGCCAGCACAGCCCCAGGCACAGGCAGTGCCGGCATGTATTCTCGGAGCTCCACACAGGAATGTCCCACTCTAGAAGGGAAGATAAAATTTAGCGCTCTCCATGCACTGGGTATGTGTGCCAGGAAAGCCCTGAAACTTTTGCTCACAGGGCTCAAAATGAAAGCAGCTGTTGATTCCGAGAGTGGCAGGTTTGACGACATTTGGAGTCCCCCTATGTGAGAACGGAGAGACCCCTGGCGCTTCCTCCCTGCTATCTGAGGAAGGGGGAGGGGGCGGGGGGTGGGAAGGCCCAGCCTCTCAGGGTTGCGTCTCTCCGGGGCTTCCCAAGGAGGCAGCGCCGGCCCTCCCAGTCTTGCCACTGTCGCCGTGCTCGTGTGCCGGGCCAGCCGGAGCCAGGCCCGATCCTGGCCACTGTGCCCACCACCGAAGGCAGGCCCCAGGCCGGGTCCCTCTCCTTGCCTGTCTGGGGGACCCTGGTGTCGGGCTCCTTTGATATCTAAAAACCAGACCCTCGGCCCCCAGCGCCGGAGCCCGGCGCAGATCCACGCCCTGGTCTCTCAGCGCGGGGGCCTGGGGGCGGGTGCGGTTCGGGGACAAGGGACCGCAAGTGGGGGCGGGCGGCAGCGTGTGAGCAGCTCAGATGGGAGATCACGCGCGATAACCCGGGCCCTGGATGGCAGCGCTCGACAGGAAACCTCGAGCGAGGAGCCAGCTGGGGGCCGGCGGGGCGGGGCTGCTGCTCCCGTAACCGCACGGGAGCCGCGGCTGGCGGCAACACGGGGCTGGGAGCCCACCTTGGCTGCATGGTGAGGAAGGGCCGGAGGTTCCTTCCCAGGCCCAGCCTCCTCTCTGTCTTGCGGAGGGCGTCCTTCACGGGTGTGGTTTGTGACTTTGGGACGGCGGTCCCGGCCGCCTGGGCTTTGGGCGTAGTGGGAGAGCTGCCCAGCCCGCAGTGCACCCGGCGTAGCTTTGACCCGGGAGGGACCCGGCCCCAAGCCGGACGCGGGGAGGCCAGGGCGGAGAGGCGGCGTGAGCGCGGCTTAGCAGGCTGAAGCTCGTCTCTTTAAAATCCCAGCGAAATATTCACCTATAGCGTATCGGTGACGGTTTTAAAATCCAAGTGGCATTTCCTCTCCCAGCCTCCGAAAAACTCGGTGCAGTGGGCAGCGGCTCGGCGGGGCGTCCCCCTGTGCCTTGCGTCCGGGCGGGCGGCCCGCAGCGGGAGGAGCCCAGGCGCGGGCACCGAGGGGCGGAGGCCTGGCCCCGGCTCGGGGAGCTCCGGGAGGAGCTTGGGCTTGGGCTAGCCGATGGATGCACGGGTTTCTTCCGGGGAAGCTGCGGGGGCCACAGGGACTCTGAGGAGGCGCCCTCAACAGCCTGGGACCGGCAGGACGGATCCCAGAGCGAGGGCGACCAGCGAGCGAGGCAGGTGCGGCCCTCCTGGCTCCCCCTCCGCCCCTGTCCTCCCTTGCGTTGCCCAGGCAGCCTGAGCTCCCAAGGCCCAGAGGGTCTCCAGCTTACAGTTGCAGTGGGACTGATTCGGTGGATCGGAAAAGCGCTTTCATCTCACTCGGCTGCTGGTGAAAGCATCTCGTCCTTACAGCACTGGATAATAACAATAGTGATCATGCTATTTACCAGCAGTAGTTGGTTTTCTGTGTTCATATATAAATGTAACCATATTCACCAAATACCATTATCGTGAAAGTTCTGTATAGCTGAGGTCCTTCCAAACCCCGGCAAGTCATCACCAGAAATGTACTGAGCCAGGGCTGGGCGCAAAGCGCTTCGCTAAATGGGCCAGCCCCTGTTCCTCCACTTTCTGCCCTGCCAGAATCTTGCCGCACACACCTTCTTTGATGTAAGGGTTCATGTTATTTGTTTTTGTTTTGGTTGTTTAGTATTATAAATATTATATACTATCATAGTTAGAGTTCCAAACACCACAAAAAGGTGTAAGGTGGAAAATAAGTGAAATTCACCCAGCCTCCCCCTCCCGTGGCTCCTCTGCAGAAGTAACCGTGGATGACATTTTTGTGTGTGCGGCCCTCCAGATATACATATATTTTTAACGTGTTTTTTCTTGTAAAATAATATAACATTACTATTTTCATTTTTAAGTGTAATTCAGTGACATGAAGTAAGTACATTTACATTATTGTACAATCATCAGCACTATCCATTTCCAGAACATTTTCACCATCCCAAACAGAAACTCCATCTAGATATATTTTTATGTATATATACATATATATGCAGCTTACATAGTGTTTTTTTCATACACAAGTATCTAGAGCTTTTTTTGTTTTTGTTTTTGTTTTTGAGGCAGGGTCTAACTCTGTTGCCCAGGATGGAGGGTAGTGGCATGATCACAGCTCACAGCAGCCTCCACCTCTTGGGCTCAGGTGATCCTCCGACCTAAGCCTCCGGAGGAGGGGGCTGGGGCTACAGGTGTGTGCCACCACACCCAGCTAATTTTGTTATTGTCATTATTTGCAGAGACGGGTCTTGCTATGTCTCAAACTCCTGAGCTCAAGAAATCCTCCAGCTTCAGCCTCCCAAAGTGCTAGGATTACAGGCATGAGCCACTGCACCTGGCCACCTTTTTTAAAACCTAATTATCTTGAAGATCTTTCATGGTAGCACATGTAGAATTATCTGTTGTGTTTTTTTTAACGGTTATATATGAATACACCAAAATTTATCAGGTTCCTAGTTGATGGACATTTACATTATTTTCTCTGTATACTGTGAGAGTTTATCCTCAGAAAAAATTAAATTCTCAGAGAAATGGCAAAATACTGCCTGGAATTTTGACATAAGGGGTTTGCTCGAAAGTAGATTTTTTTGAAATGGTGCTAATTTTCAAGAGCAAAACTTGAGGGCAGTGTGCTGCGTGAGAAAGAACAAAGGCCCGGCAAGACCTGGCTTCTCGTCCAGGCTCTGACACATGAGCTGTTTGACTGCGGGAGAGTCACTTCACCTCCCTGACCTTCAGTCTCTTTATCTGCAAAGTGGAGCAAATAAGATCTACCCGGCTTACCTCACTCAATTGTTGTTAGGATCAAATGAAATAAAAAATATAAAAGGGTTTTGTAAACTGAAAGTGTAGAGCAAATGTTTGGTATGACAATGATTGTTACAGCATCAGTCCCTGGAGTCAGCCAGAGAAAGCTACATGTCCAAGTTGGCAACAAGAGGTAAGAATAAGTGTCTTTCTCTCTGTATATCTATAATATATATATATATAATATATATCTATAATATATATATATGCACACACACACATACACACACATATTGCTCTCTATGTATATATGTACATGCATACATATATGTTTGTATTGTTCTATTTATGTGTGTGTATATACACATATGTATGCAAGTGTGTGTGTGTATCTTACACTCTATGTGCCTGGCATATAGCAAGTGTTGTCTGCTAACCTGAGAGACTTGTCCACTGGCGTTGGGGGGCTCTTGGTGGAATGAGCGGAGGGAACTGAAACATGCAACCTGCTCACCAAAGGAGATCACTTGCCTGTCATTGTTTACTCCCAGAGCGTGACTGCAGGCATCGTCCCTCCCTCATGTTTCCTTAGCACCCTGTGCCCCTCTCTCGTGGGATGATTTGTTTCCTTGCCCACCTCTCTGCTCGGCTGGGAGGCTACATCTGTGTCTGTCACCTCCACCCTCACTGCCCAGCACAGTGCGTGACATTTTCTCCTAGTAAGGATGGCCACCACATGACCACTCGTGAGGTGCCACTCCTTGGCTTGTAGGTGGCCATCTCTCCCTGTGTCTTTACATCATCTTCACGGCATCTTCCCTCTGTACATGTCTGTGTCCTAATCTCATCTTTTTTTTTTTTTTTTTTGATAGAGTCTTGCTCCCTCGCCCAGGCTGGAGTGCAGTGGCACAATCTCGGCTCACTGCAGCCTCCGCCTCCCGGGTTCAAGGGATTCTCCTGCCTCAGCCTCCTGAAGCCTCATGGTGTACCACCATGCCCAGCTAATTTTTTGTATTTTATTAGAGATGGTTTTTGTTTTGTTTTGTTTTGTTTGAGATGGAGTTTCGCTCTTGTTGCCCAGGCTGGAGTGCAATGGCGTGATCTCGGCTCACTGCAACCTCTGCCTCCCAAGTTCAAGCAATTCTCCTGCCTTAGCCTTCTGAGTAGCTGGGTTTACAAGTGCCTACCACCACACCTGGCTAATTTTTCTGTATTTTCGGTAGAGACGGGGTTTAGCCATGTTGGCCAGGCTAGTCTCAAACTCCTGGCCTCAGGTGATCCACCCGCCTCCACCTCCCAAAGTGCTGGGAATACAGGCATGAGCCACCGCACCCGGCCGAGTTGGGGTTTTACCATGTTGGTCAGGCTGGTCTCAAACTCCTGACCTCAGGTTATCTACCCACCTCAGCCTCCCAAAGTGCTGGGATTACAGGCGTGAGCCACCTCGCCCGACCTAATCTTGTCTTCTTACAAGGACACGAGTCATATTGGATCAGGGCCCCCACTAATGACCTCATTTTAACTTAGTGACCTCTTTCAAGACCTTTTCTTCAAGTACGGTCACATTCTGAGGTGTTGGGAGTTAGGATTTCAACATAAGAATTTCAGGGGGCAAAATTCAGCCCATAACAGAAATGGAGGCTTAGGGATTATTAGTGTTAATGGATGAGGAAGGAGCAAAAGAGTGAATGGGTTTCACCCTTTCAGGACAAACAACCACTTTCTGGGTGGTTTATGGGGCAAGAGTAGGAAGAGCTTGGTTTTGAGGACCAGGGGAAGAAGAGATGACAATGACTATGTTTGGCTGAATGCAGACAGGTAATGGAGGCTGGCAGTATAGCCTGGATTTTAGGGCTGATTTGAAGCCTGTCCTGGGGCTTGCCGGGGCATCTCCAGTTAGCCCAGGGGCCCAAGGCAACTGTGAACCTTGCCTTGTTCCAGTTGGCTTTAATTTTTTCTTTGAAATGTTATTACCATATTTTAAATAAAAACATAATGTGTCCTTGTCAAAAGAGAAAACCCTGCAGCTGTTCCCCATCTCATTCAGAGTAAAAGCCACTGGCCAAGGAAGTTCTACCTAACAACCCCACACGCTTGTCGCCCTCTTTCCTAGTCTCCTAGAACTTCCCCTCATTCATGCTACCTACCCCTGCTTGCAGTTCAGAGACACTGGGCACAGGTCCACCACACAGCCTTTCCACCTCTGCTCCTCTGCCCGGAGTGCCCTTCCCTGACAGATCTGCACAGCTGAAGCCCGCTCTGACCACCTGTGAAAAACAGGAGACATCTCTTTGTCACTTCATACTTTCATTTCCTTGGCTAGCACTGAGACTGTCTTTTCTTTTCTTTTCTTTTTTTTTTTTTTTTGAGACAGATGCTTGCTCTGTCACCAGGTGGGATTGCAGTGGCTCGATCTCAGCTCACTGCAACCTGTGCCTCCTGGGTTCAAGCGATTCTCCTCCCTCAGCCTCCCGAGTAGCTGGGACTACAGGCACATGCCACCATGCCTGACTAATTTTTGTATTTTTAGTAGAGATGGGGTTTTACCATATTGGCTAGACTGGTCTCGAGCTCCTGACCTAGTGATCTGCCTGCCTCGGCCTTCCAAAGTGCTGGGATTGGCATGAGCCACTGCTCCCAGTATGTCTTTTTATATGTTTGTAAGTAATCTGTTTTCCTGTCTCTGCGAATTGCCTATTTATATCTTTTGCTGATTTATCTCTTGGACTATTAGTCTTAGCTTTCATTTTTCAAAGTATTATTATTTATTCACTTATTTTTTTTTGAGACAGGGTCTCACTCTGTCAACCAGGCTGGAGTGCAGTGACACGGTCAGGGCTCACTGCAGTTTTGACCTCCTGGGCTCAAGTGATCCTCGCACCTCAGCCTCCTGAGTAGCTGTGACTAAGGCATGCACCATCATGCCCAGCTAATTTTTTATTTTTTGTAGAGGGAGGGTCTTGCCATGTTGCCCAGGCTGGTCTCTAACTCCTGGGCTCAAGCAGTCCTGCTAGCTTGGCCTCGCCAAGTGTTGGGATTACAGGCCTGAGCCACCGCACCTGGCCCATTTTTCAAGCTATTATTGATGGAATTCCAATCCTGTAAAAAGCTTTAGGAATGAAGCTGTTCATCTTAGAATTATTTATAATGGTGAAAAATTGGAAACAAATGAGCACCAATGGGGAATGGTTATGTAGATAGTGGAAAGCTTATTAGGCAACCTTTAAAAAGGATATTTATTAATAGTAAAATGACAAAGTAACATGAAATATGAATATATGAAATAACATGAAGTCTTAGATTATAACATAATACTAAATGAAAAAAACAATTCTTCAGGAAATTTTTTTTTTTTTGAGACAGAGTCTCACTTTGTCACCCAGGCTGACATGCAATGACGCAATCTTGGCTCACTGCAGCCTCCACGTCCCAAGTTCAAGTGATTCTCCTGCCTCAGCCTCCCAAGTAGCTGGGATTATAGGCACGTGCCACCATGCCCGGCTAATTTTCATACTTTTAGTAGAGAGAGGGTTTCACCATGTTGGCCAGGCTGGTCTCAAACTCCTGACCTCAGGCGATCTGCCCACCTCGGCCTCCCAACGTACTGGGATTACAGGCGTGAGCCACTGCACCTGCCCGTGGAAAGTTGTTATGTAAAATGATTACAGTTTATAAATAACAAAGACTTTGGTCAGCCATCTGCCATCATATTAATAATGGCTGTGTTTGAAAGTGGTATTATGGGCAATTCTGATTTTTTCCTACTTTTCTGCACTTTTATATTAAGTTGATTTACTTGAAAATGAAAAGAAAAATGATCACAAAGGCTGGGCTCGGTGGCTCACACCTGTAATCCCAGCACTTTGGGAGGCTGAGGCGGGTGGATTACCTGAGGTCAGGAGTTTGAGAACAGCCTGGCCAACATGGTGAAACCCCGTCTCTGCTAAAAATACAAAAAATTAGCCAGGTGTGGTGGCAGGTGCCTGTAATCATGGCTGCCTGGGAGGCTGAGGCAGGAGAATCGCTTGAACCTGGGAGGCGGAGGTTGCAGTCAGCCAAGATCATGCCACTGCACTCCAGCCTGGGCAACAAAGCGAGACTCTGTCTCAAAAAAAAAAAAAAAAAAAAAGAAAAGAAAAATGATCACAAAGTATCGCTCAAAACATAACAACTTTAATGGAAATAAAAATACAAGAAGAGAAACATTTGCTCATAAAGCGCTACCCCTAAGAAATCATACAGCCCTGTTCTTCCCTCTTCCCTTGGAACCCTTATCTATGGGAATACATAATTTGTAGGTAGTTTTGAACAAATGATCCAATTTTACAATGAAACATGAATATTTGAAATCTGACACTGAGGAGAGAATTAAGGAGGCTGTGGTACTTTTTAAAAAAATTTTTGTTTATTTATTTTTTTAGACAGAGTCTCACTCTATGGCCCAGGCTGGAGTGCAGTGGTGCTATCTCAACTCACTGCAACCTCCACCTCCTGGGTTCAAGCGATTCTTTTGCCTCAGCGTCTTGAGTAGCTGGTATTACAGGCGCCCGCCACCACACCTAGCTAATTTTTTGTATTTTTAGTAGAGATGTGGTTTCACCCTGTTGGCCAGGCTGGTAGCAAATTAAAGAGAGTAGTAAAACATTATATGTTGCCAGTAAATTAGCTGGAGTCGTTCTGCAGTTCAGGGTGATTGAGGTATCTCCAGTGGGTCATTGCTATAAGCACTGGGCAGTGTGAGTCCTGGCCTCACATTTGGTAGCAGGCCTTCTGTATCTGTCAACCCCCCAGGCCGGCCTCTCAGCCCTCAATGAAAGAAAGCTAATTGTAGAGTCAAGAATATGACCTGCTATAATGGTTCGATCCTGGGAGAAGGGACTCCACAGCCTGGTGAGGACCCCTCTCACCACCTCTGAGGATCAGCAAGTCTTTGAAGGTCAGTACCAAGTGGTGGTTAAGACCTGGACTGTGGATCCAGATGTGCCTGGATTCAACCCTGGCTGTAGACATTAGGCATGTTATTAACTTCTCTGAGCCTCAGTTTCCCTAGCTGTGAAATCAGAGTCACTGTGAAGACTGAATGAGAAAACTCACACGTGTGGTTCCTGGCCCAGAACAAATCTTCAACCAGTGGTTATAACTATTACTCTGTGTGTCTAGCCTATATCTTTTCTGCTGCAGTGAAAGTTAGTTATTCGATGAAAGGGAGCAACCCACTGAGGGGGATGGTCTGGGTGCCTGGATGCTGTGGTCAATGGGTCGGCATCACACCCAGCACCCTGCCCAACACAGACACCGCCCCCACCCCCCCACCCATAGCTGCTGCCACTGCCTTCCTAAGAACAGTGACTTCCTGTTTTCTAAGTTTTTACCCTGCAATGTCATCACCAGTTGTGCCTGAGCCTGGGGGTGGAGCTGGCAGCAGCAGGACTCAGGGCTCAAAGTTGGGGACTCAAAGGAAGGAAGGTTGGCGAGTAGAAAGCTGGCCACTCCTACCTGGATCATGAGCTACTGTGATTCATATTGATTCCATCAGTGCCTACAAACTGAGCGCTTACCAGGTACCAAGCCCTTCCCATTTGAGTGTCACACACCCTGGGAGGTCGCTGTGATTACTCAGTGATTACACAGTAGCAACACCAGGACTTGGATTGCAGTTGTCGCCTTCGTAGGATTCATTCTTACCTGCCGTGCTTCCTATCAAAGTGGAAACAAGCTGGACGGGGGTGAGGTTTGAAAGGCTGCCCTATAGAAATTGGAGGATCTGTGTGATTTGTGCTTCTGAAGGCAGAACTAGGTTCAAAGTTTTTTTTTTAACTCTGAAAATTAGAGCTCTCCACCAGTGATTGCTGGGTGCTGAGCTTCCTGTCACCAGAGATATTCAAGCAGAGGCCAGAAGTGCCTACCAAAGAAGAAACTCCTGAAAGAGGTGGGAAGCTCTCTATATGACAGGAACCCCAGAGGCACTGGGATAAGGTAGATTGAGAAGGGACTTTGCATCAGATGCACTCAGAAAATCTCTAGCCATGTGACCTATTGGAGCTGCAACGTCATTATCTGCAAAATAGAATTGGTAATAATTCTGCCCGTATTGTGCAAGGTTGTTCTGAGGATTAAGCCAGATCATGCAAGTGCAAAGAGCTCTCTAAACTGTATGCTTCATGCATGTGTTACATCATTATCATTTTGTGAAGTGAGGAGTTCTCAGAAAGTCTACACACTACTGAGCTCCCACTGTGTGCCAGGCACTTTGTACACACCCATTATCTCTTTTTATTTTTTTTGAGACGGAGTCCCACTCTGTTGTCCAGGCTGGAGTGTAGTGGCGTAATCTCCGCTTACTGCAAGCTCCACCTCCTGGGTTCACACCATTCTCCTGCCTCAGCCTCCTGAGCAGCTGGGACCACAGGTGCCTGCCACCACGCCCGGCTAATTTTTTTGTATTTTTTAGTAGAGACGGGGTTTCACCATGTTAGCCAGGATGGTCTCGATCTCCTGACCTCATGATCCGCCCGCCTCGGCCTCCCAAAGTGCTGGGATTATAGGCGTGAGCCACCGCGCCTGGCCCCCATTATCTGTTTTTATCTTCAAACACCCCTGAAGAGTGGGTATCCCCATCCTGGGCTGGGAAACCTGGCCAGGTTCTGTCCCCAACCGTGGCATGATGGTGTGGGAGGTCAGAGGGCCATCCCCTGCTGTCACTCCTTGTACCTGCAGAGCCTCTTAGCATGCGCCACTGTGCAGGGCACCCCACAAACTTTACCTCATTTCTCTGCACCCGTGAAATCGGTCTTGTCAAAGCCCTTCTGCAGATAGGAGAATTGACGCTCAGAGAGGTTAAGAAAACTGTTCCAAAACAAGCCAATAATGGGGCAGATTCCACATTTGAGTCTTAGAGTCTTTCTGACTCAAAGACTTATTATGTTCTTTGCTCTTCTCTAAGCCTGTGATGTGCGGGTGAGGAGGGAAAGGTGCAAATGAAACTATAAGGCACCATCTGTGCTTGCCAGAGCCAGTGGTGGGGGGCGGACTTGAAGTGGAACGTTTACAAGCCGTTGTGACTAAGTGTCAAAAGTGGGCAAAATGGCAAGGGCTGTGAAATCAGAGGTAGGTGGAAACTCCGGATCCTGAGCCCATAGGTCAGCTGCATCGAAGCCATAAGGCTAAGAGAAGTACCTGGAGTCAGGAGACCCAGGAATTCCCTTCCAGCTTTGCCACTAACCTGCAGGTGTCCTTGGTGAAGTTGCTTCATTCCTCTGATCTCAGTTTATCCACCTGTGAATTGGGCCCAAAAGTAGCCCCCTGTTTGTCTCCTGGCACTCATAAGAATCTAACTCCATCAGACACAGGAAGTCACTTTAAAAGTAGAAATTAGAGTTCAAATGAGAAGAATCCTTATTAGTTGGATGTGAGTAAGTCCCGCAGATGCCCAGCTCCGAAACAGGATTTGCTGGAGAAGGAGGTTGACTGCAGGGGAAAGGGCACCAGCGTGTATTTTCAGCCTCAGGGTATGGCAGGACCAGGTTGATTAAGGCCTGATCCCTGTTAGCAGAAGTTCATAGTCTGGCTCAGAGACAGACAGACAAACAACGCAATTCAAGTAAATCTCACCCAGAGAAACCAGATTCTGTAAGGATAGGTGCGTCTCCCCCAGGGTGCACTCTGGGGCTCCAGAATCTTCCTGTTAGTGGTCAGTACCATGAGACTTCCTGAATTCAGGGCTTTTTTTTTAATGAAGATGACAAAAGGCTACAAAGGGATGGCGAGGCTCACTGTCACTAATTAGACTCACAACACTTAGATACAATGACCCGTATGCCTAGATACTCTGTGATCATCTTTGGCTGCCCCCAGCCTCCTCTGAGCATCTCACATGGCCTATTCCTGGGATCTTGCTACAGGGCAGGAAGGTTCCAACTTATCGTGCATGGGCTTAAAGTAGAAATCATGGCAGTAACAATAGGTGGCAAAATGGAACACATACCCTTATGGGGTCCTTCACCCCATAAGAATTATTTTATTTTATCCTCACCCCATAAGAAGTATCATATTTGGCCAGGCACGGTGGCTCATGCCTGTAATCCGAGCACTTTGGGAGGCCGAGGCGGGCAGATCACTTGAGGTCAGGAGTTTGAGACCAGCCTGACCAACATGGCAAAACCCCATCTCTACTAAAATTACAAAAATTAGCAGGGCATCGTGGTGTGCACCTGTAATCCCAGCCACTTGGGAGGCTGAGGCAGGAGAATCACTTGAACCTGGGAGGCAGAGGTTGCAGTGAGCTGAGGTCATGCCATTGCACTCCAGCCTGGGCAACAGAGTGAGACTCCACTTAAAAAAAAAAAAAAGTATCGTATTTAACCCTCACCACCATCTAATGAGACAGGTAGTGTTGTTATCCCCATTTTACAGATGAGAAAACGAAGGCTTAGAGAAGTTCCATAATACACAGTTCAGAAGTACAGTGTATAAGAAGGACCAAAGCTTTAATTTTATTGCATCTGTTTGACAGAAATTTACATTTGTTGTAGGGTATGGCTGCATCTCTACAGAAGGCAGGGCTTCCCTCTCACATGCTGTGGCCCCTGTAATGATGCAGGTCTGAATCTCAATCCATTCATGGCCATGCAGTGAAGTCCCCATGCCCAGGTTCCACTCCAGGCCACTTAAGTCAGAGCCTCAGGGGAGAGGGCGGTGGATTGAGAGTCTGTGTGAGAATGCTCTATTAGTCTCTGGGGCTCCTTTCAGATGCTGAGGTTCTCCTGGGTGCTGTACTCTTGGGTAGGGATCAGGAACATTAAATAAAACAGCTTCTCCACTTTTACAGAAAAGTAGCTACCATGTAATACCCTGAAACCTCCTAGGAAGCAGCTGCTGGTCCCTTTGGGATGGAATTGGTAGAAATACGAAGAAGCCACAGGAGCGCGCACAGGGAAGAAGCCAGGACCAAGTAGAGAGTGGCGATGCGGTGCCTTTGAGCTGGCATCCTGCAAAACTGTCTGTTGTCCAGGGAAGCTCCTACACCTTGTGTGCGGCCTCAAGAGCTAAGACTTAAGCCCCATGAGGGCAGGGACTCAGAAGACTCGACCCAAATATCAGACATCATTGTCTTTTGATTCTCATCACAACCCTTAAGGTAGATATGATTACCCTCCATTTAATAGATGAGGTAACTGAGGCCCAGAGAGGGAAGTGACTTGTCCAAAACCACACAGCTAGTAAGTGGCAAGAGAAGTACTCGAACCCACCTGCACGCAATCCAGAGTTCATTCCATTTCAATAGTTCCCGGCACAGAGCAGATGCCCAATGAATATTTAATTAATTGCGTAACTGAATCAGGTCCTGCATCCCTGCATGGAGCTTTCTGGGCCATGACTGTCTTCCTCAGGCCCATCTCTCCCAGCACAGGTATAGTGGGACCGAGGAGAGGAGGGTCCTACACAGGGAATTATGTTGGGGTTAATATCCTCTCCTCCACCCAACCACACACAGCACACTTGTCATCAGTCATAAAACTATGCAGAAAGAAAGGAAGAAGGAAGGAGGGAAGGAAGAAAGGAAGGAAACTTGTTCATATTATTTATCTCAGGGACATGCCCAATCCCCCTGCCCCTTTGTGTTGTGCTGAGTCTGCACAACACAAAGAAATATTTCTTATTTGTGCTAAATTTACTGTCCAGTAATTTTTCTGTTCTAATTTTCTGTGACAAGCAGCTGAGTGATTTTCTCCTGGATTTTCTTCTGAGTCTCAACCAGTCCCATAAATCGCCACGGTTATCTCCTCTGCAGTCCTCACAGCAAAAAGTCACCCCAGCTTTGGTGGCCTTCATGGGGGCTGGCTTGTCCCCCAGAGGCCTTTAGATCGTCCCTAGGTCAGTGAGGACTTCCAGCAATACCTTGGGGCCAGAGGGCAGGCACACCTGGGGCTGGGCCCAGCATCTTCCTCATCACTGAAGTTCAGCCCTGAAAAATTCCATGATATCGAGTGATTGTCTACCCTGTGCCCTGCACTCTGATGCTGGGGCTGGAGGAAGAGGCAATAATGAAGATGCAGCCATTGGTCTCAGGTGCTGACAGCCTAGATGGAGGGGCATCTGAGTCCTGAGGAGTTGGGTTTGTAGAGCGCTTTGGGGGATATAGGCTCTTGAACCGACATCCTCTCACTTTTTCCTCAGGGGCTCAGGTGGTGGGACAGTCTGATTTCAACAGGTGTTGAGTGGAGGGGTAGAACGCAAGCCTAGAAAAAGATCTAGCTCAGCAGGCCAGGGGGTAGAAAAATATGGGTGTTCAAGGAAGAATGGGGGGAAAAGACAAGAGCAGAGGGACAGGGTGGCACAAAGCTGTGGTCTTTTCAGGCCTGGACTGGTTATGGCAGAGCCCTAACATGGCTGGACAAAGAGCTTGGACTCTCGTCCGAGTGGCTGGGTCATCAATGGTCTCTGGGCAGGGTCTGTGGGAGGTTTGTAGAGATCAGCTGCCTGGGGGCAAGAGGGGTCCTGAATTAGGGTTGGAGTCAAAAGCCAGGGGACAGAGGGATTCAGGGTGGTGGGGGTGGGGACACTGGCGGCTGCCTTTGAATCATCTGCTTCCATAGTTCGTCAGGGAGGCCAAAACGTTGCTGGCATGGAGGGGTAGGCAGGGCTGGCCCAGGGGCAGGAAGGGGGCGAGAACTGCTAGGGATCAGTCCTGGGCTGCCTGTGACCGTGTGCTCTGAACCCGAATACTCGGTGCCTCAGTGTCCGAGTGTGGGTGGCAGGAGGATCTGACGATGATTACATTTAAGGCAGTGTCTGAAGAAATGTTAGTTTTCACCCTGTTCAACAGAAGAGGCAGCTGACAGAGCATACATAACCTGCCCCAAATCACACAGCCAGAAAGAATGACAGCACTCCCACATATGGCCTCCACTCCCTCTGCCCTCATCTGGGTCCAAAGGCCACCAGAGGGCGCCCAGGCCTTGGGAGACAGACACTAGCGGGGCTGGCCTGGGACCTCTGCTCTAGTTACCAGGCAGGGGTGGAGTGAGATGGGTACCACACCCTGTTTTACAGGTTGAGTTGCTGCACGTTTACCTAGTAGGAAGTATGGTCAGACTAAAATCTGAGTCTCCTCATTCACAGTGCAATGATGTTCCAAATAAAAACACTAACTTTTTAAATTTTTTTTTGAGACGGAGCCTCACTCTGTGTGCCAGGCTGAAGTGCAGTGGCGTGATCTCGGCTCACTGCAACCTCTGCCTCCCAGGTTCCAGCGATTCTCCTGCCTCAGCCTCCAGAGTGGCTGTGATCAAAGCTGCCAGCCACCACGCCCAGCTAATTTTCGTATTTTTAGTAGAGATGGGGTTTCACCACGTTGGCCAGGCTGGACTTGAACTCCTGACCTCAAGTGATACACCCATGTCAGCCTCCCAAAGTGCTGGGATTACAGGCGTGAGCCACCGCCCCCAGCCCAAAAATGCAAACTTTTATTTAACCAGAGTATTTAGTGTATCTGCATTCTTCAGCCCATTGTACTCCAATGGCAGTGCCAACTAAACGTGCATTAACTACAGCTTGACAAAGGTTAATATGGCACTAGGAGTTAGGGGCCCCTGGGAAATTTGCAGTGGGAGAAGCTAACACAGAAGGGATCTTTGAGCTGCATTTTGTAGGATGCATCAAATGTTACCAAATAGTAGGGTTTCAGGGAGAGAAATGGAGGGAACATGAAGAGGGAACAGAGAGTGCAAGGCACAGGGCAAATAGTCTGGAAGAGCAAGGCGTGTCCTGGGAATGGGGTGTGTGTAGTGGGAGGAGGGGAGACAGAGAAGGCTGAGGCCATGGAGCTGGGACTAGGGGACAGGGAGATGCTGGGCCTAGGTGGGGAGGGGCACCAAAGGTACCTCTGTCTGTTGGCCATGAAACCCTTCAGGGAACAGGGAAGGGAAGCCGAGCACCAGATCCCACTGTCCTAGGCGGGAGAGTGCTTGGCACTGAGGAGGCAGGGAGTTGGGGGAGAGTTAACCCAGATTCTCCCTGTCCTAGTTAACTGTCAGATATTGAAATGATCTCATTTGACCATCATTTGACCTATTGTCTCCCTGTGGGTAGGCCTCAGAGCCACACACCTCAGGCCAGGAGTACCATTCATCCAGACGTGAACATCTTCCCGAGGCTTCCAGAGTTCTTGGTTCACACCGGGGCTAACATGGCTGGGCTTCTGCTGCAGTGGCAGGAGCTCTGTGCACAGAGAACAGCCTCATCTGCTCGCCTTGTTTCCACCTCCCCTCCCATTGCCCCAGGTTCTTTGGCCCCACAGCGGCCACATCTGCCGTTGGTGCCAATAGGTTTTCCAGGAGCTGGTTGAGGTGGGAGGGAGGGAGAGGGTTGTGATCAGGCTGAGGCATGGGGATTGGATATAGTCTCCGTGTCATGATTTATTTGGTCAGTCAGTCCTAGTGCCACCCTGGGGTAATGGGGATGTGTTCTCGTCACCTTGGGCCTGGCTGACCAGCTTTATCTCTTGGCACAGAGGCACAGAGCTTTGGCCTGCTGGATCCCAAACTCTGCTACCTGCTGGATGGAATCCTCTTCATCTATGGTGTCATTCTCACTGCCTTGTTCCTGAGAGTGAAGGTGGGTACCACTGGGCTTTGGGAGGAGGGCACGGGGTCCCCCACTTGATGGATGTTCAGAGGGGCCTTGGTCTTGGAAGGTCTCAAGCTCGGGTGGTGCCTGGGGCTTGGTATCCAGGAGCAAAGCAAGGACCAGCCAAGTGTGTGCCTTGAGTGGGCTGAGGAGGAGGTGGCAGTGTCTGGCTGAGATGGACAGGGTAGGAGGGAGAGCCTGGTGCTAGGCACCTCCATGACAAGCCGTACAAATGTGTGCACATCAGAGTGTCCCAGGGAAGGCGATGCTACTGGTGACAAAGGGGCTTACACTCAGGCAGAGGTCCTTCTTTCCAAGTGTGAATGAAGGCCATGTTAGCCTTTCTCTTGAAAAGGCCCTTTCCTCATCTGTAACTGGGGAGCTGACCAGAGCGTGGGTTTTTCACTTGGTGCCTTGCAGACCCTGGATTTCTTCGTGGGGCTGGTCATGGTGTGGGCAGAGATTGGAAGAATTTAGGAGTAAAGGGGAGAATCCAGTCCCAGTCATCACTTCAGTGCTTCTCAACCCATTTCTTGTTTGAATTTTGGACTTTGGCATAATATTTTATTTGAAAAACCAAATCTTACTGAGTTTCTTGTTTTAAGTTTGAAAATGCTGCCCTAGATGATTTCTAAGGTTGTTTCCAATGCTCTAGATCTGTAAGACATTGCAGTTTCTCCCGCCTGAAGCGGCATGAAGTGAAGCAGGAGTGAGGCTGTGTCAGCTTCCCACAGATGCTCAGGACACTAAGCGAACGCGAGGCTTCCTGGGCACCGGGGCAGCCGGGCGATGGCTGAGGGCTGGGCGAGTGATGCACGTACAGTACACTGCTCCGGGGGTCAAGATAGGAGGCGGGATCTTGACCAGCCGCCATCCACCCTGGATTGTCCTCAGAGTCCCCGGAGGAAGGGATCCTAGAGAATACTCATGTCCCCGGGGGCGCAGACCAAGAACCTTATACCTCTGCGCACGCGCGAGGGCGCTAGCCCGGGAAGAATAAACTCCAGCGGGTCCTGGGCCAGCGTGATGAATGCACGTGTCACAGGCGGGAGGAAAAAGGACAACTGGGCTCAGAAAAAGGGGCTGCCACGCCCCGGCCCCTGCAAGGGCTCAGCCCCAGGAGGCAGGGCAGCATTGTTAGTTGCCAAGGAGCGGAGTAGGGCTGTCCCTCGGGTCGCCGCGCGCCCTGGCACCCCGGCTCCCCTGCGCGCCCTCGCGGAGCAGTAACGCGCTTTGCTTTCTGTGTTGCAGTTCAGCAGGAGCGCAGACGCCCCCGCGTACCAGCAGGGCCAGAACCAGCTCTATAACGTAAGTCAGCCTCGCCGTAGACCCTCCGGAAAGGAAGGGCAGCCTCCTCCTCGGACCTAGGGAACGCGCCCGCCAGAGTCTTGGGTTTAGGTTTGGTCCCTAGCTATCACCTCTGCGACCCGGCTGCAACTTGTTTAACCTCAGTTTTCTAACCCACAAAACAGGTGTAGTAATTGTACCTGTCTCAAAGGGCGCCATAAAGATTACATGCTTTAATGTCTTGATGCATGGAACGAGCTTAGTCTAGTGCCTGCCACTAGTGAGCCCCCAAGCCATCAGCAATTTGCAAAGGCTAGAGGGGGGTGGAGAAGGAATGTATTAGAATCTTCCCAGAGGAGGGGAAAGCGATTTCACACTCCCTGTGCAATGGGACTGTGGTGAAATTGACTACCACCTCTGAGCCCCCACTTCTCTATTTGCTCATGAGAATGTTGATCCTTATCCCGTTGGACTGATCAGCCTATAGTACTTGGTGACCTTTGGGGATCCCATCCACTGTCATGTTAAGGCGTGTTCTCTGAGATGTCCTCTGGGATGATGGTCTCCAGATGGACCAGTTACCATCCCCTCCCCAGCCCCTGCCCCTCTTTTTATGAGCCACCCCAGAGAGGGAAACCACACTCCCCAGTCCAGCTGGCTCCATCCTTCTGAGGTTCCTCCGTCCTGTGTCTGACACTTTCTTATCTGTTATAGGAGCTCAATCTAGGACGAAGAGAGGAGTACGATGTTTTGGACAAGAGACGTGGCCGGGACCCTGAGATGGGGGGAAAGCCGGTAGGGGTTCCTCTACCTTCCTGTGTGTTCCTGCATGTGTGGTGGGGCTCAGCCCAGGCTGTGGGGGAGGGCTCCTCAGCTCACTCTGCAACCAGACTCGACCCTCACATGTGTGGGCCCAGGACAAGAGAAGAGATGGAGACCCACTTGCTGCCGCACCCTCTTCCTTCCTCCTTGGCTCCATTCTGCATCTCAAGGGGCCTCACCCCCGGACGTGGCACCCCACTGCTCATGTCTAAGCTCTACCCACTTCCCCTCAAACTGCTCCTTGGCCATCCTGAGATGCACATACGGTGACGCCATCTGCCCCAAGAGGACAGACCTGGTGAAGAGGTCCATACAGGAAGGGCCCAAGACCCCTGGATAACCCACATATGGTCGGGGTATGGTCCCTGGGGGGTTTGACCTCTTGGCTTTGTAGACACTATACCTGTGGGTATACCTGTGGGTAGGGGAGCAGCTGGATGACACCACAGTAGGGTAGGGTCCTCTTTGTTTTTTCCCCTTCATTCTGATTTCCTTCCTTCCTTCCTTCCTTCCTTCCTTCCTCTGTCTTTATTTATTTTATATTGACAAATTATAGTTCTACATATTTATGGGGTACAAAGTATTGTTATGATTTTTGAATATAATATGAAATGATTAAATTAAGCTAATTAACATATTTATCACTTCAAATCTTTAACTTTTTTGTGATGAGAACATTAGCAACTTACTCTTAGAGATATTAAAATGTATAGTACTCACATATTAACTATATTCAGCATGTTGTGCTGTTGATCTAAAAATAAATTACTCTTCCTATCTAATTGAGGCTTTGTACCCTGTGACTATCATCTCCCCATTCCCCCCATTCCCCAGCCTCTGGTAAACATCATGCTACCTGTCCATGCTTCAGTGAGTTAAACTGTTTTAGATTCCACATATAGGTGAGAACATGGAGTGTTTGTCTTTCTGTGCCTGGCTGATTTCACTTGGCATAATGGTCTCTAGTTCCATCCATGTTAGAGTGAATAACAGAATTTCTTCCTTTTTAAAAGCTGAATAGTATTCTATTGTGTGTATGTTCCACAGTCTCTTTATCTGTTCATTCTTTGATGGACACTTAGGTTGATTCCATAACTTGGTTATTGGTTTCTTTTGTTTTGTTTTCTTTTTTTTTTTGAGACAGCGTTTAGCTTTTGTTGCCCAGGCTGGGGTGCAACGGCACAGTCTCGGCTCACCACAACCTCTGCCTCTAGGGTTCAAGCAATTCTCCTGCCTCAGCCTCCCGAGTAGCTGGGATTACAGGCATGCGCCACCACGCTTGGCTAATTTTGTAGTTTTTTTAGTAGAGACGGGGTTTCTCCATGTTGATCAGGCTGGTCTCGAACTTTCGACCTCAAGTGATCTGCCCGCCTCAGCCAACCAAAGTGCTGCGATTCCAGGCGTGAGCCACCACACCCAGCCTTGGTTATTGTTAATAGGACTACAATCTGGAATCACAGGTGTAAGCCCCCGCGCCCAGCCGTGGTTATTGTTAATAGTGCTACAATCAACATGGGAGTATAGACATTTCTTCAACAAGCAGACTTCAAATCTTTTGGGTAAATACCCAGAAGCGGGATTGTTGGGTCATATGGTAGTTCTATTTTTAGTTTTTTGTGGAGCCTCAATACTGTTTTCCATAATGGTTGTATTAATTTACATTCCCACCAAGAGTGTTCAAGGGTTTCCTTTTCTCTCCATCCTTGCCAACTATTGTTGTCTTTTGTCTTTTTGGTAATGCGCACCCTAACAAGTGTGAGGTGATCTCATTGTGGTTTTACTTTTTATCTCCCTAATGGTTAGTGATGTTAAGCATTTTTTCATATGTCTCTTAGCCATTTATATGTCTTCTTTTGAGAAATATCTATTCATCTATGATTTATTATGGAAGTTTTACAGTTTCAGGCCTTATGTTTAAGTCTTTAATCCATTTTCAGTTGATTTTTGTATACGGTGTGAGATAAGGTCCAATTTCATTATTTTGCTTGTGGATATCCAGGTTTTCCAACACCGTTTATTGAAGAGACCATTCATTTCCCATTGTATATTCTTGGCACCTTTTGCTAATTGCTCGGCTGGGACCTATGTTACTATATTGAATAGAAGTAGTGAGTGTGGGCATCTTTGTCTTGTTTCAGATCTTAGAAGAAAGGGAGGAAAGGCTTCAGCTTTTCCCTGCTGAGTGTGGTGTTAGCTGTGGATTGGTCATATGTGGCCTTTATTGTGTGGAGGCACATTCCTTCTATACCTAATTTGTTGAGAGTTTTTAGCATGAAAGGATGTTAAATTTTGTCAAATGCTTTTCCTGCATCTAGTGAGATGATCATGATTTTTGTTCTTCATTCTGTTAATGTGGTGTATCATGTTTATTGATTTCGTTTGTTGAACCATCCTTGCATCCCAGGGATTAATCCCACTTGATCACACTGAATGATCCTTTTAATGTGTTGTTAAATTTGACTTGTTAGGGTCCTTTTAAGCACAGGGCTCAGGACAAAGGCCAGGGCTGTCCTGGTGTAAGGGCAGTGCTGCCAGATGCTGCCAGTGGTCACGCCTGTCCATCCAGCCCCTGTCCAGGCTGATCCCTGTGCTGGTTGTGTTGTTGCTAGAGTGAATGGGCAGTAGAGAGGCTGTCGATTTCATTGACCACTCCTCACCCCCACCATCCAAGTTTATCTTGCCTCCTCTCCTCTTGTCAGGACTAGGAGGGTGTGGGGAGGGCACCTTTCAGTAGGCACTCACTACCAGTGGCTGGCCCTGCTCCAAATGATGGTATGTGACTCCTTTTGTCTTCAGCCAAAAGTCCCACTTGTCAGCTTGTGATGTGTGTGGGCGTCCCGATGGCCTGCCCTGGGCAATGCTGGGCTTGGGTGGGCCCCTCTGGAAGAGCGAAGTGTGTATCCAGTTGCAGGTAACCAAGTATGAGCCATGTAGTGCCATGAGGGCCCCAACAGTGGCCTAGGCAAGGCTGGGGTAGCACAGGGAGGAGAGAGGCAGACGGCAGAGCCCCAGGAAACTGCAGTCAGGGGGCAGGATGGGGTTTGCTGTACTTTCATGGCTTGGGTTTGTGTTTCTCTCCCTCTAACGTCTTCCCGTTGTCTTTCCTAGCAGAGAAGGAAGAACCCTCAGGAAGGCCTGTACAATGTGAGTAGAGGAGACCTCACATTTGACCTTGGAAAGTTGGAGGAAGGGCTGGAGGAGGGCTCCAGAGGAAGGGCTGGAGGAAGGGCTGGAGGAGGGCTCCAGAGGAAGGGCTGGAGGAAGGGCTGGAGGAGGGCTCCGGAGGAAGGGCTGGAGGAAGGGCTGGAGGAGGGCTCCGGAGGAAGGGCTGGAGGAAGGGCTGGAGGAGGGCTCCGGAGGAAGGGCTGGAGGAAGGGCTGGAGGAGGGCTCCGGAGGAAGGGCTGGAGGAAGGGCTGGAGGAGGGCTCCGGAGGAAGGGCTGGAGGTAGGGCTGGAGGAGGGCTCCGGAGGAAGGGCTGGAGGAAGGGCTGGAGGAGGGCTCCGGAGGAAGGGCTGGAGGAAGGGCTGGAGGAGGGCTCCGGAGGAAGGGCTGGAGGAAGGGCTGGAGGAGGGCTCCGGAGGAAGGGCTGGAGGAGGGCTCCGGAGGAAGGGCTGGAGGAAGGGCTGGAGGAGGGCTCCAGAGGAAGGCGGTTGCTCCTCACTCTGTGGTCTTTGTCTGTCCAGACCTTCCCTTCTTGGATCGAGTAATGTCTCACCTGCTTGCGGCCTGCAGCAGCACCTGCTTCTAGAAAGTCTCCTTAGCTGAAAAGTGCCGAGTAATCTCCCTTCCCTCCCCAAACCCTGCTGCTGGAGTTCCCAGGTTGATCAGCCTGGGGTGTAGGGGGACACAGCAAGGTCAAGCTAGGCAAGGACGAGGTGGCTGGCCCCTTCGAGGGGCTCCTGTCCTGGGTGCTGAAGTCTTCTGAGTGTACCCCCCTATAGGAAGGTCAACCTCACCCTCCTGGGTGTGACCCTGAACCCTGATTGTCGATCTGGGTTGCCATGCAGGAGACCCTTGCAGGTGGCAGCCTTCTGTGAAGGAGATGCCTCCCCGCCCCTCCTGTGGGGAGGGAGGGTTGATCTACAGCCCGTTTGGCTGTGTAAAGAGACAACTTGCTCAGATAAATGATTCTGGGGCTCCAGGTGAGCCCTTGTTTTGCCCAGTCTCCGTGTCTTTGTCTAGAACTCCACCTCCTATCTTTTTGAGCCTAACTTGAGCCCCTCAGCTCAGTGCAAAGAGCTGGCAGCTCGGAGGAGACTCCAAAGGGCTGAGGATGAGGGGGGTGGGCTGGAGCTGGTTGTGGGCAGAGAAGTTTGTGTGCATAAGGTTTGGAGCCTTGATTGTGGGAGCCCTCCCTGTCTGCCACTGCTGCCAACTTGGGGATCAAGAAGCTTCCTGTTGTAGGGGAACCTGCTGCTTTCTGCATTAGTTGGTAAAAATCAGTGTTCCACGCCCTCTTCTGCAGGAACTGCAGAAAGATAAGATGGCGGAGGCCTACAGTGAGATTGGGATGAAAGGCGAGGTGAGTGTTGCTGTTTCTTAATTTCCGAGGGAGTTCCTCTTGGTCCTCCAGACACGCCTGCTGCAGGCCTCCTTTCCCATCCACTTCTCATCCCAGCTGCAAATGCCCATGTGGTGGCCATCAGAGGTGAAGGCGAACCTGGCTGTCACCCAGCCGGGCAGAACATAAGAAACTAAGGAAGGGCTGATGCTCTTTCAGTACAGAAAACCACATCTAGATTCTATGACAGCCTAAGCTTTGCAAAAGCAGGTCCGTTTTAATAACAGGAAGCATCGAGTGCTTAATATGTGCTGCCGTGTTCAGTGCTCAGGACCACAGGTCCCAGGACAACATGAAAACAATTCATCAACAATTAAGAATTGTTCATCAACAATTAATTGTTCATCAACAATTAAGAATTTCAAAATGGTGAGAGTGAAGCATTGACCCCTTCCAAGCAGGGGTTCTCTGTAGTTTTATTTAATTCCCACAACAACCCAATGAGAAACATGTGCCCTGCAAGGCACAAGGAGGTTGAGTGACTTACCCAAGGTCTTCTAGCTGGTAAACGGGCACGTGATTGAACTGACTATGCCAGAGCTCGTAACTGCTCAAAACAGCTGGTTGTCAGTGAGCAAAAATGACTAGCCAAGAACTTTAAGAGCTGAAGGGAAGCCCATTTATCTAAGCAGTAGGCAATATAGGTCCTGCGGGCCCTAGACCTTAGGAATCTGATGTCTGTGAGGATCTGAGTGGGGTGGAGCAAACCCAAGCCCCATCATGGCCAGGCCTCACCTTACTCTGCAGAGATGAAGGTCTGACCAGGGGCCTGAGGATCCTTCTCTCCCAGGGGCAGGGGTGCTGCTGGGAGACAGTTACCTCTGACTTCCTGGGTACCTTGGGAGGGGCCCTTGAGCAGAAATGCCACTACTGACTGCCTGACTTTCTAATCCTTTTCTCATTTCACTCCCAAACAACCAGCGCCGGAGGGGCAAGGGGCACGATGGCCTTTACCAGGTAGGAGCTGCCGGCGTCCCTTCAGTGGAAGGGGCACCACCTGACAAGGGGCAAGATCAAGGCCCCCACATTTTGCCTGCTGGTGGCACCAGCTCTTGCCAACAGCTGGGCAGGGCAAGCCCAAGGCACCCATTTAGGCCAGTGGCAACGCCACTGCCAATAAGTCCCTGGAGCACAGCTGGGACTTGGCCATTCAAGCGAATTACTTGGCTCCAACCATGCCTTGCTTGGCCATGGCAGACAGAGCAGCAGCTGTCCAGAGGGTACGCAGCCTCCCCGCCGATGCAGATGGAGGCAAAGGACCACACAAGTGATTATCCTGCCTCTTTGGGTTCTTGTAGAACCCTCACTCTGCATCATTTCCTTAGGCCTAGTAAGATGAGAGGTTGGCTGGGAAGACTGAAGGAAAAAAAGCTAAGAAAAATGGCAGCTTCAGAAAGAAAATGTTATGTAGTTAGGTGCCTGGTTTTTGCAAATCAGTGCAGGCAATTATGCAAACTAAGCACGGTCAAACTACTTCTCTAAAACATGATCCCCAGCGGGTTGTCATTTCCCTCCTTCTGGCTCCCATGGGCTGTTCATAGCTCGTTCTTCTGACTCTAGTGTCAGGATGCCCAGCTTGCCTGAGTTGAGTGATATCAAAAGGGCCCCAGAAACTTACCTGTGTGTGGCTGCTGTTGATCCTTCTCCTTCCTGGCCCCTGGACCAGGGGGACAGGCATTCCAGCAGGTTTGGGGCCAGCCTTGTGGGCCTGTTCGTGACCAAGAAAACACTAGAATCACCGGGCCTGGGAAGGGAAGGAGGCTCACAGAGGGCTGAGGCCAAGGAGCCCCTCTTCTCCCTGTGACAAGTCCAGGCTTCCTTTGGGCCCAGGTGTCAGGGACAGCAGATTCTCTGGAGCAGGTCTGGGCCCTCCCCCCTGATTCCTGCCCAATATGGGAGGTGGGAGACTCCTTTCTCTTAGGTCCAGCAGGAAGTTGGCGGGGCCCAAGCACTGTAAGGCACAGCATTTGAGGAGCTGAGAAGAGGGGTGAGAATTTAGCTGGAAAGGAGTTGCTGCAAGGCCATTCCCGGCAGGGCACAGCACCCATCTACCAACGAAGCTGTTGCAGCCAAGGCTCCTGCCCGTGGGGCCAGGGGGATTATTCCTGGGCCTCTGGAGGCTGGGTGGGTGGTCACAGGGCTGTGCTGCAGAGACACCTGTTGGCCTCTGGGTTGGCTCCTGCCCACACAGGCTACTGACCCACTCTTTGTTTTCTGATTTGCTTTCACGCCAGGGTCTCAGTACAGCCACCAAGGACACCTACGACGCCCTTCACATGCAGGCCCTGCCCCCTCGCTAACAGCCAGGGGATTTCACCACTCAAAGGCCAGACCTGCAGACGCCCAGATTATGAGACACAGGATGAAGCATTTACAACCCGGTTCACTCTTCTCAGCCACTGAAGTATTCCCCTTTATGTACAGGATGCTTTGGTTATATTTAGCTCCAAACCTTCACACACAGACTGTTGTCCCTGCACTCTTTAAGGGAGTGTACTCCCAGGGCTTACGGCCCTGGCCTTGGGCCCTCTGGTTTGCCGGTGGTGCAGGTAGACCTGTCTCCTGGCGGTTCCTCGTTCTCCCTGGGAGGCGGGCGCACTGCCTCTCACAGCTGAGTTGTTGAGTCTGTTTTGTAAAGTCCCCAGAGAAAGCGCAGATGCTAGCACATGCCCTAATGTCTGTATCACTCTGTGTCTGAGTGGCTTCACTCCTGCTGTAAATTTGGCTTCTGTTGTCACCTTCACCTCCTTTCAAGGTAACTGTACTGGGCCATGTTGTGCCTCCCTGGTGAGAGGGCCGGGCAGAGGGGCAGATGGAAAGGAGCCTAGGCCAGGTGCAACCAGGGAGCTGCAGGGGCATGGGAAGGTGGGCGGGCAGGGGAGGGTCAGCCAGGGCCTGCGAGGGCAGCGGGAGCCTCCCTGCCTCAGGCCTCTGTGCCGCACCATTGAACTGTACCATGTGCTACAGGGGCCAGAAGATGAACAGACTGACCTTGATGAGCTGTGCACAAAGTGGCATAAAAAACATGTGGTTACACAGTGTGAATAAAGTGCTGCGGAGCAAGAGGAGGCCGTTGATTCACTTCACGCTTTCAGCGAATGACAAAATCATCTTTGTGAAGGCCTCGCAGGAAGACCCAACACATGGGACCTATAACTGCCCAGCGGACAGTGGCAGGACAGGAAAAACCCGTC
This sequence comes from Homo sapiens, assembly GCF_000001405.40. NCBI lineage: Eukaryota > Metazoa > Chordata > Mammalia > Primates > Hominidae > Homo > Homo sapiens. The sequence continues at coordinate 167,430,786 of NC_000001.11, read as the reverse complement.
AATGTACTAGGATACTGCTGCGTCATTACAGGGCACAGGCCATGGATGGAAAACGCTCTCTACTCTGCTTTTTTTCTACTGTTTTAATTTATACTGGCATGCTAAAGCCTTCCTATTTTGCATAATAAATGCTTCAGTGAAAATGCAGCTTTACTAAGCTTTATTTCAGCAGTCAAGCTTGTAATGGCAATTTAGTCATCAGTAAATCAGCAGGTTGCCCTTGGGGGAGGAGGGGAGCAAAACTGCTGATTCTCAGGAGAGAACAGGACAGTTCCTGGGAACGAGCACATGAGCACAGGTGCATCCTGCGGCCCGGAATGCGGCAATATGGGTGGTGTCACACACGGCAAGTGGGCCGGGCATCCCGGCTGGGTGGCTGTGCCTTAGACAGAGAGAGTGGGGCTTGGTGCAATACAATGTGTCAGGATGGGCCCAGTCTTATGCCAGAAACAGAGAGGGCTATGGGAAAGGAGCCCTGCAGCACGGCACCAGCTTGTCAGGTGCAGGAAAACAAGCGCGAAAGGCTGGCCTGGCACCCAGGCATCAGAATAGACAGCGTGTGAGCAGAAGGTGTCCGGAAGTTATGCACAGCAGCTGACGCCACAGTGCAAAATGTCTCAGTGCATAGGGTTTGAGGGAGGGATGGAGAACAAGTCTTTTAGGCGTTTCTCTCACAAAAGGTGGCCCTGTCCCTAGCAGTGTTTCCTCTAACTGCAGTGGCTATATATAGGGCCCCAATTCAACAAGCCCACCAACTAATATTGTGTAAAGACTGAAATCTATACCTTGACATTTTCAAAAAGGAAATCCAAGACCATGACTGTTAAAGCCCCTGAAAATTTGGGATTCCAACAGGAGCCACGCACATCATCACTAGGCATATTTAACAATTCACAGGCAACTCATAAGGAGAAGGCATTTGATTTGTAACTCAGCCTCAGGGGAATTCTGCTACTCACTGGGCTTTTAAAACTGAAATCTGGTTCATCTATTAGTGAAAGAGAGTGCCTCTCACATCGAGGGCTTGTGCTAGACCAAGTTTCAAGGTCAGCTGACATATATACAGGCTGTGTGACCTGGATGGCTGGTTTGAAAAGTGAGTTGATCCAATTCTGTCAAGAATATGTCATTCTGGGCATGGTGGCTCATGCCTGTAATCCCAGCATTTTGTGAGGCTGAGGCAGGAGAATCCTTTGAGCCCAGGAGTTTGAGACCAGCCTGGGCAACACAGGAGGACCCCGTCTCTACAAAAAAATACAGCTGGGCATGGCGGCATGTGCCTGTGTTCCTCGCTACTTGGGATGCTGAAGCTAGAGGATCGCTTGAGCACAGGAGGTCAAGGCTGCAGTGAGCCGAAATCCAGCCTGGGTAACAGAAGGAGACCCTATCTCAAAATATATATATATATATATAATTTTTTTATAACATGTCTAAAGAGGCAAAAAGAAAAGCTGGCAGTGGGCAGTGAGCTATGGTGCTAGAGCTAAACTGAGGTGTGGGCCACATCAGGCTACGTGCAAGGTAACCACACAGACAGCAAGCTGGGGGAGAACTGAGATATGCTCACAGAAGCAGGGCTGAGAAACCAGTTTCTGAGAGAGCAAAGCCCTGAATCCGAGGGGAGAGCGGCTAGCCCTGGAACTGCCAGGGTTCCTGTCTTTCCTGAGGTCTGGCAATGCCTTCTCCACAGCACAACTGCACTCCCTCCATCCTAAGACACTGTTGGTTACTGATGTATCAACTTATTTCAAGGGCAAAAACACTAAATATCCATTGTAAGATGTAGATCTGTTTCATGGGTTAAAATGTGAAGATATGCTTAGAATCAAGGAAACATGGAATTTTACTTGTATTGAGGAAACACATTATATATAAAGATGGAAGCTTTCAATATTTTTCAAACGTTTATTCAAATGTCACTAAACTCAGAGATAAGATATGAATATTTCTGATCGCTTTTCTTCTTAGAGTATAATTTGAGGTCATTCTTGGAATAAGATCCAAGGTTTCTAGTTTAAAATGTTCCTATAAGCAGAGAAATACTCAAAACTGCAAAGCCTGGCTTGGCAGAGAAAAAATGGCAGATGACCTACTTAGGCTAAGAGGACAACTTCCGGGGTGATTTAAAGCCTTGTCATTTGGCCAACTGTTTAGCCACAGGCCTCAAACTGTCCATGAATAACTTGTGATGTGTTTTGGTTGCTTGGTGCTGGACATTTCAGTTGTTGATCAACAACTACTTTTGTGAACCCATGACTGAGTCCTAACACCGGATTTCCTGTTAACTTCAACCTGGGTCTTTGGAGAGATGTAAGTCCCTCCAAAAACAAAAGAGTAAGGGCATATATTATTCACATCCTGCCATAGGTAATTCAGCTTTGTATACAAACCTGGAAATGGGTTAGAATTTAACAACTTTTTCACAAAGGACTACAGGGTAACAGAATCTCATCAGTTGTTTATCCTCATTCCTTAGGATATGACAAACGAGTTTTGCTTGCTAAGTCTGTGAGCACGACACTATCTCAAAAACAGGATTTCTGTTAAAAACTTGACATTATTTTAAGAAAATAACTACAAACTGAGACATAAGCCATATATCTAAGGAATGGAATGGAAAAATATAAATTCTATGATAAAGGAGCAGGGAGAAAGGGACCCACCATTTGCCTTCCCATTTTGGTCCCTTTCCAGGAGAGCGAGCACATCTTGCGACAACGGCTCTCCACATCATCTAATTCAAGAATGCCTGCCAGATGGCCAGCACGTGATAGACAACTTCCCCAGGTTCTTCAGTAAGCTGAAGCCTTCTCTCTGTGGGGAATTCATTTTAAAATTCAAACTTTACTTTTCATGAAATGAATGAATTGTAGTAAGACACTAAATGCTAAGTGGTATTTATAAGTCTGAAGAAGCTAAGTTGTGCAGCCTCGAACAGGAGGAGGACCAGATGCCAAGTTCAGGGTTACCTTCCTTCGGAGGACCCCCCACCCGGCCCCCACCCAGTGAATGTTCAGGACTTGGCAAGAAATGCTAGAGGGGCAGTGCAGTTTAAACAATACATTTGGAAAAAGTTGAGTTCGGTCCCAGTTCTGCAGTCAAATACACAGTGAGATGGAGCTTTGAAGAGCTCCCTTGCAGGATCAATCATGGGCCTGCGTGTTTGATCACACAAAGTACTTGGGCCTGAGGGAGACTACTGCTACTCAGGGTCCCACGAAACCACACTGAGGGTCTGGGAGGGAGAAATGCAGTGGCCATAGCTCCTCCTGGAGTGCAGGAGGAAGGGTGGAGTGGGGCAGGAACCAGGGTGCTTATGGTGATTCTGGGGTTCCTGAGAGCACTTGGAAAAAACAATTTGGAAGCTGAATTATGCGAAGTCTGAGAATCTGTATGTGAAGCATCCAGAATACCAACACAGCAATTTCAAAGAAACTCCAACAATGTGAAAACACTTGGAAGATGGTTTAATGATGTTTTACAACAGAAATGAACTGTACAGTTACAGTAAGTTTAATATATATATAAAAAATTACAGCAGACAAATGCATCTACACAAAATCTACCACTTCATTCTGATTCACTGTCACCTACACAATCTTTCCCAAGCCTACAGCCCCTGCAGGCAGCCCTAGGAGGGGGAATCATCTAAAGGGCACTTTTGAGAGAGACAGCACCGCTCATATTCCCCGCCACCTCCTCAGGCTTCAGGAGGCATCAGCTAATTCCCCAAAATGTAAAGTTGCCTGTGTTTCAGGTTTTCAAAACCAAGAAAACGTGTGTCTCCCAGGGGCACAGATAACAAGGTCCAGCACGCAAGTTATCAGCTGATTCTTAGAAAATATTCCTATCAGAGGGGAAATATTTGGCTAACAGGCACTCTGGGGCAGTAAGGCTACACAATAGCCACCCAGAGTGCAGAGTTATCTAAGAGAAATGTAGAAGGACTCCCAATAAACCACCTCAGAATTGTCACTGCCTCATTCAAGCTGCTGGACAATTTTGGAAAGAATCATTTACACCACATCTTAAGTTTCCACAAAGAAGAACTCAAACTCACATTTTAAAGTACATAAAACAAAAAGTTCTAGGAGGCCGGGGGCCAATTCCCCTTGTGCCCCTCCTTTGACAACAGTGGACAAACACCCCTGAATTAATAATTAAGACAAAAAAGGAAGAAAAAAAAAGTGAGTTAAGATATTGAAAGAGAGAAAGAAAACATCTTTAGAAAAACACGATCACTGTCTCTTTAAAAGAAAACAAAATCCCAGTTGGGAACAGTAATGAGGAATATGCAATCTAAATTGACACCTGGTGGGAGATTATTATTGAATATTATGTACACTCAGAACTTTTTTCATTTTCTTTTTTATTATGAACACCTAGGCAGTGAAAACTGTTATGTTAATACATACATAGACACACCCAAAACATACAAAAATACTATTATTTCAAACTACTAAGAATAGGACAGTTCAATTATTTTCATGCTATGACTTTAAGAGCATTACACTGAAACAAACAAGAAGTTAAACGACATTTTTTTTTTAATATCCCAGAAATATACCAAAATATACATCTAAGCTTTGGAATTACTGAGGTTAGACTAATGCAAGTGCTGGGTAATCGTACTTAATACACGAGTCTAAGGTTCTGCAGGAAAGAAATTATCTTTGGTATCTGCATCAGGCTAATATTATTAACATTTGGATTTTGCTTTGGGATAGAGCTTGTGTGACCCAAGAACCAAGTACCCCCCTCCCCCAACCAACTGAGATTAAAAAGATCCATGTAAAAAGTTCCTTCATTTGCAATCCCCCCACCCCCCAAGTTAAAAAGTCACAGGCATCTACCTAGCACAAAAGGTTGTGAAGTACAATGCATAGTTGCACAGTGGTGCTGCAAAAAGGAAAGAAAACTACAATAAAGAGAAATGAAAAGCTTGATAATCTTTCTGCATGTTTTCTCACAAACAGGACAGCCACTTCCAAGCAGTTCCAGTACAGGAAAAGAAAAAAAGGCTCAGAAGGGCACCGTGGCGTGCATTCGCCCAGCCCCAGAGGTTAAAGCACCCAGCAGAGCAGCCAATCGTGCGCCAGTGTCTTCAACGTCCCCCACTCTGTGGAGTCCTCGGGCCAGTCCAGCAGCAGCTCCCACCCTCCCTAGGCCCTGTGCTAAGTCCCCATAGTGACCCTGGTTGGTGTAGGGTGGATGATGGTGGTGATGGGGTTTTTTGACTTTTGTTTTGGAAAATCTGAAATGCCAATTTGTTTCAGGGCATGCTCACAAGTTTGTGAGGGCCAAAGCTAGGGGCATGCACCTGTGCTGGACCCTGGAAGGTGGTAAGCAGCTTGCCTGCCCTTTCTGATCCAGTCAGAGGGTCCCCCCGCCCCACCTTCCCTGGCCTCACTCTTCTAAGTGCCAGGACACCACAGACTGGACTGATGCTGAAGACTTCCCTTTTCTTTGGTTCTTTTGTTTGTTTTGAGTTTATACAATCATTAAGAAATCTTTGGTTTTGGCTGGAAATTTGAAAAACAAAACAAAACAAAACAAAACAAAGAAACCACCCTCCCCTGGCTTATAGCAGCAGTATCATGACCTGGCTAAGCTTTTTGTCAGCATTAGGGGTGGGAATTGAAGGTTGGGAACTACATTCAAAGAAAAGGTGAAAGGGCTGGGGATGCAGCTTCTAGAGAGCCCATTGGATATAAGATTGTCAAATAATAATAATAATAATAATAAACTTAAATATTTGGATATTTTTGGTCATGTCAAAGGAAAAAAAGTGAAATGTGTATGCAGCAGTCAGCTTAAAGGAGCCTTTGGTGTCTTCCCTTCTACCCAAAGTCCTGAAAAGAAACAGAACCCTGAGGCCTCAGAGGAGAAGGGGTTGGCCTCTACCCCACCAAGGAAAAGGCAAGTACAGAAGTTGACGTGTGGCCAGCTGTCAGAAACACAGGGTGGGTTAGGGGTGTGGATAGCTGGCCAGCCCCTAAAGGCAGGGTGGCAGGGAAAGCAGATGTTAAGAGACCTGTGAAGACCCCTTGCAACAAAAAGGAATAGAAGATTGCAATTTGCCCTCAGTTTGCAGTAGCTTTTAAGCAGCGACATTCAGAGGCTTTAGGGGGTCCCACCCTAGGCTACAGGTCCCATGATGCTATAGGCCAGAGTTTAACATGACTGAGGAGGGAGGGCAGACTTGGCAACTCTGTAGGATTTCGAGAAAGTTAAAGCAAGTCACTCGGTCACGAGTTAGAAATGAGGTATACAACAGCTCCTGGACTTCTGGTGGGTAGAACAGCCCACGCTTACTCACCTAGCCTTCACTACTACCACAGATGAGGGGATGGAAGTACAGACTTATGCGGGAGGAGAGCGTTTCCTGCGGAGTGAGACCTCCTGCGGACTGAGCAATGCACACGTGCCCATGCACGCAGAGGTAAGAAGCTGGAAGTCTTTCTTTCCCCGACCTGACCTTAGGGAAGATACAACATTTATGTTGTCAAAAGCCAATGTTATAATATGATTGCAAAATCTTAGGCTTCCTGCACCAACCTGTTCCATGTTCTCCAACTGTTTGCAGTTTTAAACCTATTCAGGCTGGCACTAGTCCACTCTACTCTTACAAAGTGTGTGCCTTCTGCAGACTCACGCAGGAATGGAACCAAGGACATGGCATCCCCGACTGCCTACAACTACAGCCTTTTGTAGCAGACACTGTCATTTTAGCTTCTGAAAGTGCATTTCATTTCTTCCTATACTTTTAGACCATGAGACTCATTAAGGCTGGGTGGGAGCACAAAGTCTTTTCTCTACTTGGCTCTGTCCTTTTTCATTTGAAAGAGATCCCAATCTTAAGAAACTCAAGTGTTTGGACGTCTCATTTATACACAGCGCTGTATCCAGCTGTCTGCCTGCAGACTTTGGGATATAATGTTTGAGAACTCAATGCCACTGCCAATTTATGAAAGAAGCCTTAAGCTGCTCTTGTGAAGCTGTGGCTAACTTATACAATGATGAACAAGTACACAAAGAAAACAAGGGAAAACTTTGCAGCAGTCCTCAATGTTTTTTACAGTAAATTAGTTTTGGGGTCTTAACTTTTTGACAGTGTCCTGGGTTTAAACCAGAAGGTGGCCCTGGGTGGTGGAGCCCTGTGCAGGGTGGGCAGATACAGGGACACAGAAACAATCATAAATCACATCTTCCCTACCAGGTCCAAGGGACCTTTGTTTCTGTGCTCAAAGTGGTGTTCCATTACACACACCTTGTTTTCCCAGAACTTCTGTTTCAAGTGCTCTAATCTTCAACATCCCTATTACCTACTTATAAACCTATCTAGCACTTTGACAAGTCATACAATATTAATACCACCTTTACATAATGTCAGAACAATAAGATTATTAGTAAAGCTTTCATGAAGTTCTGCAACCTAATCATTTTTGATGCAATATTCAGAGAGTGATACATTTCTTTACCCTCTCTCCCTTTCTGTGTCCTATCAATAGTACACCGAAACAATGAACTACCTGACTCCCTAGAGCCCATATATAAAAACATTTGGAACAAAACATTTATAGGAGAGTAAGGGAAGATCTTTTGGTTTTCCACGTAATCCTGTTCTTGAAAATTCTTATCTTTTACAGGAGACAGATGGAGATACCACATCTAAATATTGTCTGAACTCATATAGGCTGTGTTGGTTCTATTTAAAAGTATTAGATAAAGGGAAATAATGAAAAAATTCTACCCCTATCTTTTGCCCTCCCCAAATTTCTCAGCAATTCCAAGAACATCACTGCTAGATTGAGCAACTATCCATCTTTAAAGAGCCAGCAGAGCAAAACAAAATAAATCTCTTTTCCAAAGCCAGGATAACCAAGAAGACTTCCTTCAAAAAGCAGGGGACTGGGAAAAGGGGAAAAGGGAAGGAAAGAGATAAAGTAAAGCTTTTCCAAATTTTGGCTTTTTGCTCCTATTCCCTCTGCCTGTTTTGAAAACTTAAGGATAAGCAATGACATTAGCAGTGTCTTTGGTATCTAAACCAAATCCCACTTAAGTTCTGTGGGATCATTTATTTAAAAAAATAGCCTTTCTAGAGATACAGTCTATATCCGAACTCAGGGAGCCAAGAAAGTTTGTCCCAGAGTATGGGCAGAAAGGGCTTGTGATTTTTCCTAAGCCAGCATCATTTCTCATTCATGTTCCCACCAAGAATAATTCTCTCCTCAATCCCACCAACTAATCCTTAAGGTTCACACTTTGTATCACAGGGGTGAGGTGGGCAGGTTAGCTTTCAACTTCTTGGTTTGCTTTTTATCCTGTTTGTGTTTTTGGTCTAGAAAGAACTAGCCTTGGTATGAGAAAAGTAAGTAAGGTTTTAAAGTGTTGTGTTATTAGCACAACATTCAGTAACTTGACAGAGGGCAACACAAAGAACCTGTTTCACTTTAACTTTCCTAGATTTAAGATACATCAATCACTCACCTCTTGGCTCCAAATTAATTGGTGCATGTCTATGTCTGCCTCTGTTTCTCAACTGCACATCCAGGCATTCACGCATTCATCCTTTGCCTATGCTTTTGCTATGTACAGAGGTAATGAATCATTAGGAGAGGTTGGCAGGGTCTGGGGGGCATGGGCAACCATAGGAAGGGATGTAAATGCACCCTCAGGGTCCCTGAACCTACTGGACACCCCATATGTTACCTGCATGCCACCACACACTGCTGCAGACCAGACCACAGAGGCCAAAGCCAATCACAGGGAAAATCAAGTTTCCTTTGGCAAGACAGATATAAGAAAAAACAAACACACACACGAGCAATGTTTTCCTTCTAACATAATCAACATCTCCTCTTCCCCCACCCAACCCTCCCTAACCCTATAAATTGTAACCTATAAACAGGATCCCAAATACATACAGCATCAATCTTGTTTATCGATCATAATAAACATTAGTTCAACTAAATGCTACAGCTAGAATTATTTCCACTATTTATAAAATTTTTTCACTTATTTATTTGGTTTTTAGTTTAAAACCAGTTTTGCAACAATGCTAAGCTATTCTGAGGTATTTTATGAAGGTGCCAGAAGCTAGCTGTTACCCAAATTAAGGTACCACCATTCAATGAGAAAAAGAAGGGAAGGAAAGGAGATCCAGGTGACATAATCAACATAAAATTCACTCACATTTACTGCTTTTAGCTAAGGCCAAGAGTAGAAGGGCCAAAACAAGGAACTACTTAATGAATAAGGTTAGAAGAAAACTACAAAATTTTTTTTTAAAAGCTACAGTTCACAAACCATATAGAAAACTGGGTACAAACTGGATGCTCTGAGAAAAAATATATTCCCTGCCCTCCCAGTGGAATCCTTTCAAATACCTTACTGGAAATCTCAGGGGTGTCCTATTTATATTTAATCTCCTTGGACTAAGAAATGGATGATTGGCCTTTATGATGAAAGCAATTTATTTATCCTATTCCTGTCCAAGTTTACATTTGTATTGTGGACACCATCCATGCAAACCTATATAATAGCTGATCTCAGTTATTCTTCTTACAGAAATAGCAAAGAGGATTTTTCCCTTCTCAAAAGCCAAGTTTGTAAACGCTGAGAAAGATTTACCATTTTATAAAGTGTCATCCTCAAAATGTTGTAAAACTGAAAATGACATCAAATAGCCAGGACTATGAACAGCATCACACATTAAATGCTTTCCACACACACATAAAAGCAAACTCATATCAGTTATGAGCAAATTAACCCATCAATTCTTGTCCATTTTGGAAAATTTTAAATTTTGGGTCTTTAGTATTTTTCTCCCATTAGTATCAGTCATCTTTTAATGTTTTCAACTCTAATAAACAAACTTTAAGTTCATCAAGTTTAGGTGCTGATTTAATGAGAAAGTATTTGGCCAAGCTCTCCAAATGAATTGTTGGGGCCCTTCCTCAAACTGCAGACTGGTCTTCAGAAGGCCCCCCAAGAGCCAGGCCAGAGCCACCTGTCAGCGTGAATCCCCTGCCTCCTCCTTGCTACCACACCCTACACTCAGTGATACAGTGAGTCAGCAATACTACTGACTTCTCCCTGGCAGGGCTTCTCCTTTCTTGGGAAGAAACAACAGCAAGAGGCTTTTCCTCTGTCTTCCTATCTCAATGACCTTATCTTTTTTCTTGGTCAAGAATGTTTCGTGAGGATGACCTGGTTTGGGAACAGCTTTAGACTAAGAACAGAGAGTTCTATAAGCCAAGCGTTTATTCTACACTAATTGCAATGTATAATATCAGGATTTATCACTTTAAAAATTGACATGAGGATGGGCACAGTGGCTCATACCTGTAATCCCAGCACTTTGGGAGGCCAAGGCAGGCAGATCACCTAAGGTCAGGAGTTCAAAAAGCCTGGCCAACACGGAGAAATCCCGTCCCTACTAAAAATACAAAAATTAGCCGGGTGCGGTGGTGGGCGCCTGTAATCCCAGCTACTTGGGAGGCTGAAGCAGGAGAATTGCTTGAACCCGGGAGGCAGAGGTTGCAGTGAGCCGAGATCATGCCGTTGCACTCTAGCCTAGGCAACAGAGCAAGACCAGAAAAAAAAAAAAAAAAAAGACATGAATTCCCTATATTTGCCAATGTATCCAACTTTTCCAGCAAGTTAAAAAGAAAATTTTTTAATGTTAAAGATTGGGCTGAATTTAAATATTGTGTCAAGCAAATATCTGTGCTTCTGGATAATACAGACAAGGTTTCCCTTATCTTTCCAAATAAATGAGGGATAATGGAAGAAAATAACATTAAAGAGGTATAGTTGTGCTTTTTTTTCCCCCAACAATGAATGAGAGATGTACAACAAATTGGCAAGATGATCTCACTAAGAATCTTTAATCTTATCTTCCCTTTTTTAAACAAAAAAGACTTATTTCTTACAGTGCTAGCATTAAGTATAAGTAGGTATGATTCTACACAAAATGAAAGTTGGATTCCTTTGGTTCCATTTCTTGGGTAACAAGTTGAATAAATTGGGATAGTATTGATCTTTCTGATAACAAATAAAAGGACATGTGAATTATATCAGTTAATGGATATACACAATTCTTAATTCTAAAATGCTGCCTATAGAACTTTAGAAACACTTAAACTAATACAGCACTCAACTTATTTTTTCTTAGAACAACATAGTAATATTGTTCCTGTGAGAAGCCCTTTTTTAGGTCTTTCTGCTCTGTTATTCAGATGTATACAGGGTATAAATAAAGTTTATGACCAAATTGCACCACTTGTGATAAGCAGGATTCACACAATTACATTCACCACTCCTTAGGGAGGACCCATTACCATGGGCATACATAGTATTCACTATAAATGCATTTAGAATAGTCTTTGGCTTAGTATGTGCTAACCAAATTCAGAAATATAAAATAAAATTTGCATAAACATTAAGGGGAAAAAAAAAGAATAATACAATGAATTGTGATGACCTATCTGGCCTTTCTTCTTTGAAATGCAGAAACTCCACCAAACACCTCTTTTGGTCAAATGGTCCCTGGTCCCCTTTAGTTTCCAGGCTCTCCCATATAAGGTGGCTAAAAGTTAAATTTGAGTATCTTAGCTTAGAAGATAGTTCATTCAATTCAAAATGCATTTCTTGAGATGATAAAAAAATATATACGTAAAGTAAAAAATGACTAAGGTGTTCATGAAGCAATACGATAAGTAGAATATCTAGGGATGATGGATAGGGAGTTGATTTTAAACTAAACAACCACCAAAAAGCTATATTAGTGTTTCGTGTGTACATGTGTAAATGTACCTTTCATTTCACAACTTATTTTTAAATAAGTAAAAAAAGAGAAAAAAATTTATTTTTATCTAAAGATTTATCTTTTCCTAAAGATTATTTCTTCTTTTAAACAGATTTTTTATGCTGGTCTACCCTCATCAAGTGCTTCACATAAAATCCCCTTATCCCAAATTGAGTAGAAAATATAGACAGGGCAGGGAATAAAAGACCACTGTATTGACATTTAAAGCTTAGTATCTTTTCTAATATTAAAGTCTGTTGGTGAGTTTTGTTTGGGAAAGGGATCATTTTCTAAACCATATGTGGGGAAAAAAAAACCACCCAAACAGCCTTTCCTTGCCCTTTGTCTTACCTCACTGAGCTTGAGTCCCTTGGGACTCCACACTTCCTTTGGTAGCAATTTTGAGAAATTAATGCTATAACTTCTAATCCAGTATACTGGGTACCAGCATTTCCCTCCCTGAATCCTTCCTTCTAAGTTTCACCACTCCCAAGGGAGGGACTCATTATTATGGGCAGCTACAGCATTACTGATAGCCCTAAAATCATTTCCACAGACTAAAGGTAGAGATGTCAAGTCAGGATAGAAGATTAAATTTAACTACAACAGAGAAAAAGTGAATGGAGAGGAGAGAAATTAGTAATTGACATTGTCATTCTATTTACACACCAACCTAATAAACTAGTTAAACATCAAGTTAATGTCTGCCCAGAGGATATCACAATTTACCAACATAAAAGATTAAAAACAAGCAGCAACTTTCATATAAAATTAATAAAGACAAATGAAAAAGAAATTGTCAGTAGCATCTATCTCCTCGATGTGTCTGAACTGCACGTTATCAACTAGTCCATTAGTACAGCAGCTTGCTAAAAATTGACTTTGGTTCAAGCTTAGTTAAAAAACAAAACAAAACATAAAAAAACACACCACACAAAAAGGGTGAATGGACATTTGTTAGTTTCCCTGCTTGCAGTTCACTGATTTTGGAAGGATTTTAGGGAAGGTGAAGGGTAAGAGGAGGAAATTTAGGGGTGGTAATTAAATATCTGTGAAATAAAACACGATAGAAATAAACTAAAAGAAATATTTTAAAGGGGACTAAAATGTTTCTGACCTTTTAACAGACTGTCTCCCACTTGAATCACACACAAAAGTACACATTGTGTCTGTATTTACTGCCTTACTGGACAATGGGAAAGAGACAAGTACACAGAATCCAAGCTCCCTTGTGGACACAAACAAAAGCAATCAGAATAAAAATCACCTGTAAGTTCTCTCTACATCCCCAGCTCGAAAGGGAGAAAAAGTGCAGTCTTGGGACCACCAGAGATTTAAGCAAGCACCCACAGCCACCAAATGGGAACCTTTAACTCCAATAAGAAGGGGAACTTAGATGAGCTGCACTGCAGTGATCCAGTCTTTTGGAAAATTTTTTGGTACAGATGGCATAACAACAGTACACTGACAAAAAAAGGAATTTAATCTCCAAGTTACCCTTATTCCTCTTCATCCACTTTCACAAACTCTTCCTTTTCAATGGGCTCATTTATATAGTCTACAAACACCCTGAAAATAATTACAGAGCTAATTACTTTCTACATTGAATAAAGAGATGTGTATTGCCATTTAGACCTACCTAGCAGGAGCATCATGAACAAACCAAGGAGACACTTAAGGTGTGTGCAAAGTTCCTGCTCAAAGTCCTTCTTCAAAGGTTCTACAGATCCCAGCCCGGCTAATAAGTGCCTCCTTTAGTCAGAGAACCAAGAAGAATCTCAGGGTTAGAGGAATTTATAAACCATCCAGTGGAAAGGAAGTCTGTGGCTCTCTAGAGGAAAAGGTGGTAACCTTATACCCTTCTCATCACACCTCTTTTGTATATATTATCAATGGAAAATAGTCTAGTAGAATTCCTTTAGAAAATAAAAGAAGGGAAAAGTTTCCCAATTTCAGTAAGTCAGTTTTTTTTCTTTGCCAAGTTAGTTAAAGTTTGGATGAAAAACTTCCACAAAATGGAACAAACAAACAAACACACCAACAGCAGGAGCATTTTTCAGGAGATAAGAAATCAGGAGAACCACCAAGTCAGGTGTCTGCAGTAGTCTTTGCTCTTGGGAACCAAATCCTGCCCTGCAACATGTACAGCTGTTCCCATTGAAAGTAGCAGAAAGCAGCACTGTTGCACCACAGGAACTGGGCCTCAGGGTCATTCAATGATTTGGGGGTGAGTGAGAGCTACAGTTCAGCAGGAATTCCTTCCTACACAAAAGTGCTCCAAAGGCACCACCTGATGTGGGGAGGGGAAGGGGCGTGTGTGGAATGGGAGTGTTTGCACACACTGCCTTCAGCTTCTGCACCAAGCCTCTTGCATAAGTGGCAAAAGAAAATAATTTTCTAGCACCTCTGTAAGAGTCATCAAGGATAAGGAAACCAGCAAGAACATTCCCCACAGTTAAGAACAGAAGTCTCCCCTTACCCCAAAACCCTCCCTCCCCACAGTGTGGGAGCTCACTGAAATAGGATCCAGGAGCAAGAGATAATAAACATGTCCAAACTATATATATAAAACAATAACAACAACAACAATAATAATACAGTAATACAGGCCTGCCTAAATTGTACCAGTTAAGAAAGGAACCCCCAACACAATTGATACGATTATAAACACCTTGTTATGACTTAATGGCCTGTACAACAGACCCATAAAAATGATTTTTTTTTTTTAAGAAAAAAAGAAATTTAGACAAACAAGAAATCCCCTTCCTATATTGGAATTGGTAACCCACCTTAACTTGTCATCATGACTGCTGGAAATGATAAGTAGTCCTTTCACTTATTTTTGTTTGTTTTTGATTTTTTTGTTTCTTTTTTTTTTTTTTTTTTTAATTTTTGGTTAGAAAGTTCTCCAATCCATGAAGCAATCCTGAAAAGACAGTGTTTTATTACAAAATTAGGCAAATGTTCCGTCTCCATCCTTTCTTTCTTTTTCTGGTATGTGTGTATGGGTGTGTGTGGTTTTTTTTTTTTTTTCTCCCTTCTCTCCTTTGCCCTCACAACACGGCGAGAGGAAGCCAATCACATTTTTCAGTTTATTAACCTGGCTGGCAGTCCAATCACACTGCAGAGTGAAAAAGGCTTCTGGCAGCCCAGCTCTGCCCAGCTCACTGTGCCTTGGAGGCGGTGGTGGTGGTGGACGCAGCCCCGCTGGCAGAGGCCACTGTGAAGAGAGAGTTCTGGATGGACTCAGCAGAGGTGGAGGTGGCGTGAAGGCTGGCTACAGGTGCAGAGTTCCCTGCAGATGCTGCGGCGGCAGAGACCAAGCTAACAGGGTTGCTGGTGAGCAGAGAGAGGTTCTGAGGGTTCAGGAACAGAGGGGCAGTCACGATGTTGGGGGCTCCTCCCGCATTGGCAAATACCAGGTTCCCAGTTGCATCAAGTGATGTTATTGGAAGAGAGCCACCAGAAGCAAGAGCTACAGACAAAAACCCCCCAAAACAGGCAGGAATGAAAACATTAACATCATCCTGGAGAAGCCAAATAACACATCAAAAGTCTATCATTTTCCTACAACCCACCAGGAAAAAGTATAGCCCTTCACTGAATTTTTTTCCTCAAACACAGTGCTATATTGATACCAATTGTAGTTTATTTTTAATTTTGAAGAGCCTAAAAGACTGAAATGTCTAATTTAATGGGCACAAGCAGGGGTAGAAGACAGCTAATAACTGTCTAATGAATTAGAGTCATGTTCGTGTCTTGAAATCACCAGTTTATTTCATTTACCTAGACATATTTGATAAATCCAATAATTTTGTCTTTAATGAAGACTGCTGATTTTAAACTACCTCTGTTCAAAGGACAAACTAGCTGAAGTGATTAAAGCATTAACAACAGGAGGTGAGTGGTGGGCATTACAGCCTGAGGCCTGCCTCCTGTTAGATCAGTGGCGGCATTAGATTCTCATAGAGCACGATCTGAGGTGGAAACAGTGTCATCCAGAAACCACGCCACCACAATGTGGCTATGGAAAAACTGTCTTCCAGAAAACCAGTCCCTGGTGCCAAAAAGGTTGGGGACCACTGCTTTATATTATGATATACAAGATGAAAATCATCTTGCAAAAAGGCTTTAGTTCTAAAATAAATTATGTATCACCAAATAAAGTTAAAAGGTATAATTAATTTCTCACTTCCTGAGGCTAAATACTTGATTTCTATGACTTGTGCAAAGGAGAATGATGAATCTATTGTAGCAGGAAATTAGACATAATGATGTAGGTGGGTGATCTAAGTCTAGGATGTGCTTTAATGGGTGAGAAATTTTCTATGATGCTGTTGCTTCCCCAAAGAAGGCATCATCAACATTTTATTTAAAATAATCGAGACTCTCATTTAGTATCTCAACCTGTTGTCTGGCAACATTCCTAAATCTCTCTAGCCATATAACCTCACTCCTACATGTAGATTTGAGGGATTTTCTAACGGCATTACACATTTGATTTCTTACATAAAATATAGCTGAAGGGAATGCCTCTGACTTTGGCCTTGCTCATACAAATAGTACAGAACAGTGAGACAGTGCAGCTTGAAGTTTTTCTGAGATTCCAAACTTAGTATCTTTTCAGAGTGTCAATCATGCCCTAGGGAAGACATTTTGCCTTTGTAGTATCAACACAGCACAGAAACATTCAATAAAGCAGAAGAAAAAGTGATTTATCACAAATTCTATTGCAAAAAAAAATTATTATATAACAAAAGCTTTAGAGCTAACCAATTCAGGTATGATTTAGTCAATCAGAAAGTCAATATAATGTAAGGTAATCTAGGCCATGGTTTGGTTTTGTCTGTAATTAACATTCTCTAGTACACTGTTAGAGATATTACCTGTGAAATATTAATCTTAATTTAGGTTGGCTAATAGTTATTTTTGGCCCTGAGAATTCTCATTTATGCACAAAACACTTTAATTTTTTTTTTTTTTTTTTAGAAACAGGGTCTTACTGTGTTACCCACGCTGGGGTGCAATGGTTATTCACAGGCATGATCATAGCACACTGCAGTCTTGAACTCATGGCCTCAAGTGATCCTCCTGCCTCAGCCTCTTAGCAAAACTATTTTAAGAAAAAAATTCTAATTAATTAGTGATGTCTCTCAAATTGTCTCCCTGAATCACATAACAGTAAACATTTTTAGACAGAAAGCTTAGGTACTAAACAAGTGGAACCCTTCAGTATATGGAATGAATATTGCCCTGGGTAACATGCTAAAAGGCAAAAGGAACCCAGCTGAGCTTGGAAAAGAGACATTATAATCCAAGAGAATATATGTTCTACACTAACGGCGATATAAAAAGAGCAGAACTTAATGAGAATTAAAAGCACTCCTGAGGTCCACCTGATGTGTTCCAATGTTTGTTCATTACAGGACTTTCCCATGCACAGCTTTCTCAGGAGTGCAGCTGGGAACTGGAGAGTCTTACTTGGTCAAGTTTGCCTAGAGACGGGTTTTAGATTAATACTTGGGATAAACTTATCAGGGGAAAAAAATCTGGCTTCAAGTCTACTCACATAAGATCAATATTAGCATGAAAGTTCTGGTTTTTTACCATATACCAAACTAAGTATATTTCCTGCTTTTACTCACATACTAACACCTATACTTTTCTTACAAAGCTTTTTTACGAGGACATTTTCTTAGTTCTCAAGAACAAGTTAGTCAGCATTTGACTCTTTCCCATCACTTTTACCTCTAGCAAAGCAGACTTCCTCTATCTCTGTCTCAAGCACACACACACACACACACACACACACTCACACACACGTGCATGCCACCAAATTAAGAAAAAGGCTTCTACTGACCTTGAATAGTTGCCAGTGTACTGTTGCTCATTAGAGCTGGGCTGAGAGCACCGCTCAGGGTCCCTGGATTCAGACTGAGTAAGGCACCTCTGCAAGTCCAAAAGAGGAGTCACTTTATTACCATGCAGACGCAGGTCTCATTTTGACAACACACCAAAAGGAACTTACAAAACGAAAATCCAGCTGGGGAAATAGGTGGAAATATTTATTTTTCTTTACTCTTCTATGGTTTGTGCTTCTCAGTTACTGCTTTCCTGGATGCTTACTCATACAAACGAGGTTATGATCAGCACAAAATGTAAAACTTTTATAGTCATTTTGACCCTTCTTTGAAAGACTTATTTCTCTTTCTTTCCAAAATGAAAGAAACATTCTAGAGAAAAAGATATATTTACAAGATAATTCTTATAATGTGTGACAATAACAGTATAAAATTGAGACTCCTATTACATCTCTTATCTATGCTTGAGAATTAGGAAGTAGGCAGTTGAGAGAGTTTAATGGGGAAAATAAGAGTCAAGAATTCTAGGCTTTCTTCCTGGCCCCGTCACTAAGGTAATTAGTGACCTGGTATTTTGGGTCTTCATCTGGAAACAAAGGTATGACTACTGCCCTTCCCAGGGTGTTAAGAAACATAAACTCAACTATAATCAAAGTCCTTGTATGATCACAAAACAGCCCACTTCAAAGAGATTACTGCTTTAAAGACATTTTTTTCCCCATCTAAGTCAGTGATGTAAAGTCTCCCCTGTGAGTAATTCCAGGGATGACCTCCACCTCAGACGTGAATGAGATGAGAAAGCGCCTTACCCAGCCGCAAACTGTGAGGGTGCCATCAGGCTTGGGTTTAGTCCTGCAGCAGCTGCCATGGCAGCAAGACTGGCATTTGCTGGCAACTGTGCAGCTCCTTGAAGGGCAGCAGCTGCTGCTGTTTGCAAACCTGATGCTGTCACCATCACCTGGCTGGTCCCAAGAGGGGAGGACAAAGGAGTGGAGGTGGTCTGTGTTGTGCTGGTCTCACTGGCACTGGATGCCTCGGAGGTGGAGGCTGAGGCAGAAGGGGAGGGACTCAGAGAGGGGGACGTGACTGCTGAGGAAGCTGGAGGCGCTGTGGAAATCACGGTTGCTGTGTTGTTGGAGGTGGTGTCTGAAGTGCCTGAAAAGACAAACAGATTAGAAGATGACCTTTTGTAAATGGTTTTGGAAGAATGGTGGCTTTACTCAGCCAAACTCTATAATCAATGGAATAATTAACCTACCACCTAGTAAAGCTGTCCTTTAATAACCTAGTTTAGTGCTTTTATGGAAATTAACTACAAAACCAAACATTTTAGGATCACAGCTAGGAACCCTACTTTAAGAGATATGAGCAATGAAAGAAACAGAGAAGTTTTCCATTGCCTGTTTCCTATTCAAGAAACAAAAGAATCATAGAAGCTCTAATTATGGAATACAACTGCTCTGGGGAAGAAAAAGAAAGCAAAAGAAGAAAAACTTCTGTAAAGCTCTTTTCATTCAGAAATCTCCTTAGGGGTCTCCTCAGAAAAATCAAAACAAGGAGAAGAAAAACAGAAAGTTATATGCTTTTCTAAGAATTCAGTATCAACAACAACATAGTATAAAAATGACTACATGCCTTCTCTACATTCAAACAACTATTCTGTAATAAAAATTAGCTCTCAAAAAGTCCATTGTGGTAAAAAAAAAAACAACATACAATGATACTATGAATCTCATAAAAGCATAAAAATTAAGATCTAAGAAATTATTATTTGTAGGCCGGGTATGGTGGCTCACACCTGTAATCTCAGCACTTTGGGAGGCTGAGGTGGGCAGATCAAGAGGTCAAGAGATTGAGACCATCCTGGCCAACATGGTGAAACCCTGCCTCTAATAAAAATACAAAAATTAGCTGGGCGTGGTGGCACGCGCCTGTAGTTCCAGCTACTCGGGAGGCTAAGGCAGGAGAATCGCTTGAACCTGGGAGGCGGAGGTTGCAGTGAGCCAAGATTGCGCCACTGCACTCCAGCCTGGCGACAGAGCAAGACTCCATCTCAAGAAAAAAAAAAAAAAGAAATTATTTGTGAGGTCTTAGAAAAAAGTGCCTGAATATGCTTTTGGTTTAAGGAGAATGAACATTTGGATATAAATGACTAACTGACATTAAATATATCATTACTAAACACTAAAACACATTTGCTGGGATTATTTAATGTTTGAGATCAGTGTTGTCTAACAGAAATACAAGACATATGTAATTTAAAAATTTCTAGTAGCCCCACTGAAAATGGTAAGACAAGGCCAGGTGTGGTGGCTCACGCTTGTGATCCCAGCACTTTGGGAGGCTGAGGTGAGTGGATCATTTGAGGTCAGGAGCTCGAAACCAGCCTGGCCAATGTGGTGAAACCCCGTCTCTATTAAAAATACAAAAATTAGCCAGGCATGGTGGTGGGCGCCTGTAATCCCAGCTACTCAGGAGGCTGAGGCAGGAGAACTGCTTGAGCCCAAGAGGTGGAGGTTGCAGTGAGCCGAGATGACGCCATTACACTCCAGTCTGGGTGACGAAGTAAGACTCCGTTAAAAATAATAATAATAATAATAATAACATTTTTTGGTGATGAAATCTTTTACCAAGCTTCAGAACATGCTCTTCTTTCATAACAATCTTGTTACAAATTCAGGCAATTTTGTCCTTCCAAAAATCTGTTTTAAAACCTTCTTCTGGTCTGTACTAAGAACATCTAGAATTGAACTCTCACTTCCACTCTTCAGTTTTTATCACATGTCACAGGGTTGGGAGAGACTCAGACATCATTTATTTCAGCACTGACTACTTTCTTCACCTCCTATAAAGCTGTGCAAAAGTGGCTGCCAAATGAATGAGGTAAACATAATGTTCTTATTGTTAAATAAAAAGGAAGGCTTTCTTCCTCTGTCTACCCTTCTGAAAAATATAAGTGATTTATTTTTATTGCCACTGCCCCTAAATATCATTACATCTTTGTAGATACTATGAATCCTATTTTCGTTCATTACTTCTTTGGTTCTAAATCTCTCAGAACAATCAACCACTGAACACTGGATGCTGTGTAGGGTCCTGTGTTAGGCAGATTCATATACCCTTTTTCGCTTTAATCTTCTCTTAAGACATGCCCCCTGTCACATAGTAAGGTGAACATCTTTTATTTCTCTTCCATGCTAAGCAATTTCAATGTACTTTCAATCTTTTTTTGACCAATTTCTCACCTTATCTAACCTGATTTTACCTATGGGTACTACTTCCCTTTCAAAGTTCTGAAATTGAATTGCCTATTTTTATAAGTCCTAATATCTTGAGCTCAAAAGGCTTAAAATAGTTATTTCTTTACTCTCCAGCCACCTTCAAATCATTCACCAACTGTTTTCTTAAATCCCTTAAGTTTACAAAGAAAATCCCAGTCAAATTTTATCAGTGAATTTAACCTAGGCCAGAAGATGATGACTCCAGAAGCATTCAAAATTGTTCTAGGCGTCTCCAATATAAATGTTATATAAATAAGCATTATGGTATAACAACTTAAAATTATCTTCAAATTAATTATCCCAGTCAGTGAGTCATGTTTTCATCAATATATGTATTTCATGACTGTAAATTCTTGGCAACTTGGCAATTTAATTACTTGGGTAACTTTGACTAGTGAACTTATTGTTGCTGAGCCTCAATGTCCTCAACAGCAAAATAAGATACCACCAACCACCTCACAGGGGCAGTAGGAAGCTATAGTCAAGGTGTGTATATAGTACCTGGCACTTCCCTGTGCTTCCCGCCCTGTCTTGTCTTTTCTCAAACAGCTTTTATTGAGATACAACTTATAAACTGGATATCCATATGCAGAAAGAGGAATTTAGATCTTTACCTTACACTGTGCATAAAAATTAACTAAAACAGATCAAAGGCCTAAATATAAGAGCTGAAACTATAAAGCTTCTAGTAAATAAAGTAGGACAAAATCTTTGTGACCCTGGGTTAAGCAAAGAGTTCACAGACACAGCACCAAGAGAATGATCCATAAAAGAAAAGAAAAATCAGTGAACTCAACTTCATCAAAAGTAAAATCTTTTGCGCTTCAAAAGCCACAGACTGAGAGAAAACATTTGCAGATCACATATCCAATAAAGGAACTGGAATTGTGTCAGAATGTATAAACAATTCTTACAACTCAATAGTAAGAATATAAACAACTTAGATTTTTAAATGGACAAATGTTAGTAGACATTTTAACAAGGAAGATATAGGAGTGACTAGTAAGCACATGAAAATTCATCCAGCTTTAAAATTTGATGACTTTTAATCAACTTACAGTTATACAACCATCATCACAATCCAGATTATGACATTTCCACTCCCAAAAAAGATCCCTTGTGCCTGTTTGTAATCATGTCACACTCCTACCTAGTTATCTGCTTTTTGTCTCTAGATTTTTGTGGACATTTCACACAAATGGAATCATACAATATGTAGTCTCTTGCATCTGGCTTCTTTTACTTAACATTCTGTTTTCAAGGTTCATCCACATTGTAGCACGAATCAACACCTCATTAATTTTTATGGCTGAATAATATTCCACTGTGTAGATATAACACATTTTGTTTATTCATTCACCAGTTGATGAGCACTGGTTTGTTTCCAGTTCTTGGATATTATAAATAAGGCTGCTATATAAACATTCACATTGAAGTTTTTGTGTAGAAATGTCTTCATTTCTCTTGGGGAAATTGCTGGGTAGGACGGTAAATTTATGTTTAAAAGAACTGCCAAGATGTTTTCCGAAGCTGTATCATTCTACATTCCTACAAGCAATGCATGAAAGTTCCAGTTTCTCCACATCCTTCCCAACATTTATCATCTTGGGTCTTTTTGATTATAGCCATTCTAGTGAGTACAAAGTAGTATCTCATTACAGTTTTAATCTGCACTTCCCTAATGAGTAATGCTAATGTCACATATCTCTCCATGTGCTTACTAGTCACTCCTATATCTTCCTTGGTAAAATGTCTACTAACATTTGTCCATTTAAAAATCTGAGTTGTTTATATTCTTACTATTGAGTTGTAAGAGTTGTTTATACATTCTAGACACAATTTCTTTATTGGATATGTGATCTGCAAATGTTTTCTCTCAGTCTGTGGCTTTTGAAGCACAAAAGATTTTACTTTTGATGAAGCTGAATTTACTAATTTTTTTTTCTTTTATGGATCGTTCTCTTGGTGCTGTGTATATGAACTCTGTGCTTAACCCAAGGTCACAAAGATTTTGTCCTACTTTATTTACTAGCAACTTTATAGTTTCAGCTCTTATATTTAGGCCTTTGATCCATTTCAGTTAATTTTTATGCACGGTGTAAGGTAAGGATCTAAATTCCTCTATTCCTCTTTCTGCATATGGATATCCAGTTGTCCTAGAACCATTTGTTGAAGACTGTCCTTTCCCTATTGAATTGCCTTGGCACCTCTGTCAAAAATCAATAAAGCATAAATTTAAAGTTTTGCTTCTGGACTCTTAATTTTGTTCCATTTAATCTATATATCTATATGTATACCAGTAATACACTGCTTTGATTATTGTTGCTTTACAGTAAACTTTGAAATTAGGACATGAAAATCCTCTGATTTCACTCTTTCTCAAAATTGTTTTGGCTATTCTTGGTCCCTTCCAAGAGTTTATCGATTTCTTTAAAACAAAACAAAGAAAAAACCTGTTGGAATTTTTACTATGATTTTGTTGAATCTATAAATCAAGCTGGAAGACTGAGCATGGTGGCTCATGCCTGTAATCCCAGCACTTTGGGAGGCCAAGGTGGGTGAATTGCTTGAGCCCAGGAGTTCGAGACCAGCCTGGGCAATATGGCAAAACCTCGTCTCTACAAAAAATACAAATATTAGCTGGGCGGGTGGCATGTGGCTATAGTCCCAGCTACCGGGGAGGCTGAAGTGGGAGGACTGCTTGAGCCTGGGAAGTTGAGGCTGCAGTGAAATGTGATTGCGCCACTGTGATAGGGCAATACCCTGTCTCGAAAACAAATAATAATAATAATAAAATATATAAAATAAATAAAATAAAAAAATATATATTTATGCTATAATGTGGATAAACCTTGAAATCAGAGAGAAAGAGAGATGCACATATATCTCAAGCTGGAGAAAAACTGTCATCTTAAGAATGCTTAGTCTTCCAAAACATGAACATGGAATATGAAATGTCTCTTTATTTAGACTTCTTTTAACTTCTTTCAGCAAATTGTAGTTTTCATTGTTCAAGTCTTACACTTCTTTTAAGTTTATTCCTAAGTATTTTATTCTTTTGATACTGTTACATACAAGTTATTTCCTAAATTTCATTTTTGAACTGTCCATTGATAGTACATACAAATGTAATTTATTTTTTATATATCAATCTTGTATTCTGCAACAATACTGAATTTATTGATTAGTCCTAGATACCTTTTTTTGGTGAATTCCTTAGTATTTTTATACATATAGAATAATGCAAATACAAGCAGTTTAACTTCTTCCTTTCCAAATTGTCTTCCGTTTTTTTTCTCCCCCTTACTGGAGGCTATAACCTCCAGGACGATGTTAATCAGAAGTCCACAAGAGCAAACAAACACTCTTACCTAATTCTCAATCTTAGTGGGGAAAGTATTCAGTCTTTTGCCATTAAGTATTCTATTTGCTGGAGAGTTTTAGTAAGTGCTCTTTATCAGGTGAGGCAGTTCCTTTGTATTTCAGCTTTCATCATGAATGGGTTTTGGATTTTTACAAATATCTTTTCTGTATCCACTGAGATGATTATGTGGTTTTTGTCCTTTCTTCTACTATTATAATGTGTTACATTAATTGATGTTCAGTTATTGTACTAACCATACATTCCTGGGAGATAAATCCTCCTTGGCCATGATGTATATAATCGTTCGATTTTTTCAGTATGTTGCTGGATTTGACTTGCTAAGATTCTTTTGAGAGTTTTGGTTTATATTTTCTCGAGGAATATGAGTTTGTAATTTTTTTTTCTTGTGCTATTTATCTAAGCTTAGGTATCTGGGTAATACCGGCCTGATAGGAAAATAGAGGAGAAATGTTATTTCTTCTTTGATGCATGTTTTAATTTTCAAATACATGGGGACTTCCCAAATTTCTTTCTATTGTTAATTTCTAGTTTATCTCAGTTGTCATCAGACAACACACTTTGTATGATTTTAATCCTTTTTAATTTACTGAAACTTGTTTTATGGCTAAAAGTATCCTGGGAGATGGATGTTCCATGTGTACATAAAAAGGATGTGTTTTCTGCTGTTGCTGGACCAAGTGTTCTGCAGATGGCAGTTAGAACAAGTTGGTTGATAGTGCTCAAATGTTGTATATCCTTCACGGCTTTTTTTTATTTTCCCCCAAACAGGGTCTCGCTCTGTTCTCAAGCTGGAGTTCAGTGGTACAATCTCAGCTTATTGCAGCCTCAACTTTCCAGGCTCAAGTGACCCTCCCACCTCAGCCTCCCGAGCAGCTAGGACTATAGGCACGTGCCACCACGCCTGGCTAATTTTGCTCATTTTTTTTTTTTTTTGTAGAGACAAGGTCTTACTATGTTGCCCAGGCAGGTTTTGAACTCCTGGACCCAAGCGATCCTTTCACCTTGGCCTACCAAAGTGCTGGGATTATAGGCATAAGCCACTGCACATGGCCTGAATTTTTTTTTTTTTAACGTGGCTCAAATAAATACTATGTCTGCAACTGTTATTGTTGAATTGTCTATTTCTTCTTTGAATTTTATTCCTTTTTGTTTCCTGTATCTTGGGCCTTTGTTGTTAAGGTGGCTATATAATTATAGTTGCTATATCTTCCTGAGGAATCAACAATTTTGTCACTATGAAAAATATTTTGGAAAATGAATTGGGGGCGGGGCATGTTTGGTTGAGATTATTAAGGGCTGTGGAATTTTTACAAGTTTTTGAGACACAATGGAACACTCGTCTTTCTGGAGGAGTATGGCAATGCTCACTTGCATCTATTTTAGAATGTTTACCAAGGACCTATTATGTGTCAAACGTACCTATGGGAAAATAAGATGACCACATCAATCAAACATGATTTTTCTTAGAAGATAGTGCTAAGGATATGGTTTTTCCCTTCATTTCTAAAATCCTATTCCAAATAATAGTAAAGAGATACAAAAGGGAAAAAGAGCTCTGGTGACAGGTATCAGAGGTTTTGAGATTTAGACAGATTTGCAGAAATGAGAAAAAGGATAAAACTGGATGGTGGAGAAATCAACCATAATCCAGAAGGGCACAGGAGAAGACTATGATAGAGGAGGAAATTATTCACTCTGATGGAGCCTCACAGAGAGTCCCAGCTCAGAGTTATTTGTCAGATACTGAGGTAGATGGAAATAGGGTCAGAGAACAGGGTGATTCAAGGGCTATTCACATAATAGCTCTCACAGTGGGC
The DNA here is from genome assembly GCF_000001405.40 of Homo sapiens. Lineage (NCBI taxonomy): Eukaryota > Metazoa > Chordata > Mammalia > Primates > Hominidae > Homo > Homo sapiens. The sequence continues at coordinate 167,404,630 of NC_000001.11, read as the reverse complement.
CTTTCCCTCCTTCTACCAGACCTCTCAAATGAACAGAACCAAAGTCACCTACTCTTGAAAGAAAATAAAATCTGACTATGGAACGCTAAGGATTCTAGTGTAGGTACTTGCATGCATGAGGAAAGATACCCCTCATTTTGGAAAAGTATGACAGAAAGCCTCGCTTGCCTGCCTGCTTCCTGTTCATAGGCTGAAATAAAGTTTGGCAGTTCTTTATTCACATTCACAGCTCACCGCGAGCCCTTCCATTCAGGGGAGGGGACTCTTGAGTAACAGAAGCTACACAATGTCAGGAAAAACCCTTACAGGCTACTGATAATAAGTAATGTAATCTTGCATTCATCACTACAAAAATCACCAGACAATGAAAAAAGCCAACAGCACATTACAAATGACACAAAATGAATAAACAGAGTGAATGCCAAAAAATCCTAACTTAAAAAAAAAAAAAGATAAATTACCAGAGTGCAAGAAATACATTAATTCACATTGAAAATGCTTGCTGAAGGCCAATGAGGGCAAGTTTTAAAAGGCCCCTTCTTTGAAACCTTGTAGTGAAATTTTAGAACAGTATAAGATTTTAAAAAACCCTTAAGGTTTACAGAGAGAAAAAACAAGGAAAAAGAGATTGAAATCAGACTTTTCACTAGCAACACTAGATGCTAAAACACAACAAAATTCAAAGGAAAAATACTTTTGTAACTGGACAAACTCCAAAAAATACTGTGAAGGCAAAATAAATACTTCTCAGTTATACATGTATTTAGAAGTTTTACCTCCCATGTAACCTTTCTAAATAAAATTACTTGAGAACGTGCTCCAGACAAAAAGGAATCAAAGAGGATGACAGGGCATCTGAGAAACATTGGATCTAACTCAGGAAAACAAGGAAAACAATTTAAAATAAGCAATCATAGAAATCCCAAGAAGAAAGTCTTCAGGAAGAAAGCAGATTGCATTACATAAGTTGTATGATTAAGACAATGGCCGTCTTTAATAAATAACATGATAAAGAAACATGCTACTTTTCTCAACAGAGAAAAAAAGAAGGCAGTATAAAAATATCAGAGGAAAAGAGGCTGTACAAGAAAGTTACAGTCCAAAGAGGAAAAACAAATTAAAAAGGGGCATGGTTTTGAGCAACGGCTGATAAAAGAGTAAGAAAAGAAAACCCACTTGACACTGACTCTTCTTCTCTTTCAAGGAGCAATGACACAAATTCGGCAGCTTAAATCATCACAATTTATTATCTCATAGTTTTTGTGGGTCAGGTGTCCAGGCAGAGCCTGAGTCCTCTGCTTAGAGTATCACAAGGCTGCAATCAAATACTGTACTGCACAAATACTACTGAAACTGTACATACATGTACATATAAAAAGGATTTAAAGAGAAAATAAAAATGGTACTTGTGATTGTTTTTCCTGTTTGAATTTCCTAATAATGTTTTTAATAATTAAAAAAAATTCACTCCAGGAAAAATTATCAACGTGTCAGAAAAAAATCACAAATAGATCCACATAAATAGGCTGAGTAAGAGTTCAAGAAAATGTGAGTGGTAAGAAGTATCAAAAACTGATGCAAATTTTTAGCTAGTTTTGAGTATTAAAATCTCTCTAAAATTACTTTGATTTTCCCCATATTTTAAGAAAACTGCAAAGCTATTTGTTCTTAATGTGTAAACTATTAACAAAATTTCTGTAAGAGACAGGTATTTTTAGACCTAAAGCAATATAATTTGTTGGGAAGGTAGGATTCAGTTCATAATTTACCAGGTGACTGGCAGTCAATTTGGACAACAAGGTCCTCAGAGATGGTTCTTCACATTCTTGGTGCCCAACACAATGCCAATCAATCACTAACAGTTTGCTTATTAAGTGGAAGTGCTCAATATTATATATATTCTTAACCAAGGTTCTTAAGTATATTCTTGAACCAAGGTTATTAAAACTGGAACCTGTAGGTATCCACAAATAGCCTTGGAGTGGGAGGTTGATGGGAGCTGTCATTTATAAATCTCCTTAAATTTTACTAAAAATTGTGTATATGTCTATTTTGTGTGAGGAAAAGTCTGTAGCTTTCAAATTCTTAAAAAGGTCCAACATCCAGAAGAGGTCAAGAAGTACTGTTTAACATAAGCAAAAATTAATGGATGATTGGATGCAGAAAACAATAAACAAAATGTTCTAATAATGTAGAAATTTAATATAATATAAAGCCATTTATTCAATTTTTACATCATGGGTAGGTCATAGAGCCAAGGAGGCATTGTAAACTTAAAACATGGGTGAGAAAAATAAAAGTCCCTACCTCTAGGTTAAATCAAGCTTCATTATGAAATATCATTAATCTACCCAATGATGTACTAGCAAATAACCAACCTGGTGAATAATTACAGCATGTCTTATGCACTATGTATCACTAAAAAACATCTGATGACAATGCTAAGTGATTTTAAATTTATCTGGAAAATTTGCTATTTAAAAGAGGCCAAAGGAAAAAAAAACATTCATTTTATAGTGAGTATGTCATGCACTGAGCTAGGCATCAAGAGTTCAAAAAGAATAATCAAATCTTTTGAGAAGTGCAGTCTATTGGGAAAGACAGGTGTGTAAAAATAAAATCATTTATAATACAGGTACATGGAAATGAATAGTTTCCTGGGAAAGCTAAAGAATATTTCCAAGAAAATTGACATACAAGCTGGTATAGTTTTATCAGTAACAGATCAAGAACTGCAGGCTAAGATGGACATTTCCATTGTAGGGATGTTTACAAAGGTATGGATGGAGGCCTCCTGTGTGTTGAGGGTGCGTAGGCAAAAGACTAGTGGGAGATCAGGTTCAGACCGGAAATAACCTTCACGAATTGACAAACTTGGAGGTTTTTCTGAATGCAAAAAGCCACGGCTATTGAAGGCTTTTAAGGAAAGGAGTTACTTTAAAGAAAATTGATATTTATGAGCAACACCTATCTTTAGTTAGGGCCTTAATTCACAATTTAATGGTAGACTCTTATAATAACCCAAAACGGGCCTCCCATGTGCTCAGCAGGTGCATGGCCTGGCAGCTGCTTACCTGTAACTGAAAGATTCGTCACAGCAGCACTGGTCAGAGGGAGGACAGGGCTGACTGTGAGGGTAGTTGCTGCACTGCTAGTCACAAGGCTTGGTGTGGTCGCCACCTTGAGGTCAGAAATGAAAACATGGACAAAGCACTTAAAATCAAAACTTAAAGAGGAAATGATTTTACAGTCTTTCTTTGATCTTGGAATTGAGACACCTGACATCCTATGTTGGAAAGCTGCTATTCGAAGATGGTTGTTCACTGATATCACAGATAGCTTTGCCTGGGTTTTAAAAATAAATAATAAAAAGTTCGTAAATTTCAATAGCGTTGAGACAGATATACTCTAAGTCGGTAAGAAACATTATACTAATTATCAACTTTACCTAAATAAGAAAACTATTTGACAGGATCAGGGAATCTGGGGTACATGTATTACTTTTACTTTTGACTCTGTAGGGGGGCAGTATTGCCTTAGGTTTGGTTTTAATAAAATAAAATTATGAAAATAATGTGAAGCAAACTTTTAAAAAAAACGGATTAGTTTTGAAATAACAAAAAATTCTAGTTTTGCAAGAAATACTGTCTTTCTTTTAGTACAAATCTAAAACACAAACATCACCTTTACAAAACAAAATTGTTGATTAATAATTATCTTTTTCATAACTATCTCATAACTTTATGACTACAGGCCCACCATTTAACAACTACAACCTTCACATAAACTAACATGTGCTTTTAATGCTGACCTTAGTTTAAAAAGCCTGCCAGTATGGAATGACATTCAAATAAAATAAAACCAAATTTAAAAAGAACAGAAATGCAAACTCAACAATATTCCCATCTTTTGAATCCTGACAATGTAGAAGTCAAATTCATAATCATCCTAAAAACCAAGGGAGTCATACGACCACTGTATGTCTCTTCAGTCTAGGAATAATGCAAACAGCAGAAGTTACTCAATGAGGCTTCACAGGAAAGGATCATATGTTGTTTCAAAGTAAAAGACCTGAGATGATTGTTTTAATACAAGTTCAGAACTGAAGGTTATCTGGTAACTTATTGTCACTTAATCACGTGAGTGTAAGTTTAATAAACTGGGCTTTAGGACTCAACATGAATAAAAAGTAACAAGATTTTCTGAGATAACTGGGATCAGCAGCAAATTTACTCCCATGGTTACAGAGTAATCTAATGAACTATACCAGAGAAGAGTATGATGGAAATGTGATGAAAGAATTAAAATTGTTCACTTTAAAAAATAAGATAGGTGGGCTGGGCGCAGTGGCTCACACCTGTAATCCCAGCACGTTGGGACTTTGGGAGGCTGAGGCAGGTGGATCACCTGAGGTCAGGAGTTCAAGACCAGCCTGGAGAACATGATGAAACCCTGGTCTCAACTAAAAATACAAAAAAATTAGCTGGGTCTGGTGGCGGGCGCCTGTAATCCCAGCTACTTTGGGAGGCTGAGGCAGGAGAATCGCTTGAACCCAGGAGGCGGAGGTTGCAGTGAGCTGAAATCGTACCATTGCACTCCAGCCTGGGCAACAAGAGTGAAACTCTGTCTCAACAAAAAAAAAAAAAAAAAAAAAAAAAAAAAGACTGGGAATGGTGGCTCACACCCGTAATCCCAGCACTTTGGGAGGCCAAGGGATCACTTGAGGTCAGGAGTTCAAGACCAGCCTGGCCAACATAGTGAAACCCTGCTTCTGCTAAGAGTACAAAAAATTAGCCGGGAATGGTGGTACACGTCTATAATCCCAGCTACTCGGGAGGCCAAGGCACAAGAATCGCTTGAACCCAGGAGGCGGAGGTTGCAGTGAGCCAAGATCGCACCAATGCACTCCAGCCTGGGTGATGGAATGAGACTCTGTCTCAAAAAAATAAAATAAATAGAAAAATAAATAAAAAATAAGCAAGACCAATAAGTTCTTGGGTTAATAACAACACGAGATTTCACCCTCCATGCAGGGGCACCTCAAGACCAGTGACCTCAGCAGAGAGAGAGAGAGAGCACGAGAGACAAGGAAAGAGAGAATGAGAATTTCATTACCTTGGTAATGTCTAAAATACAAATTTACATGCATTTATTTGATGTATTTATTCATTAAATTACTATTATGAAATAAACTGATTTAACAGGTCATTTGTAAAATTGCAAAAATTAGCCCTTGAGCTTGCACTCCCTATTTTTTATTCTTACCAGTGAAGTTGGGCTGGGGAAAATTGCTTTAATAGGTGAGCTGCTGGTCCCACCACTGCTTGGTGGGTTGATTCTTTTTTCTTTCTGGCGGCGGTTACAGAACCAAACACGAATCACCTCTTTTTCCATATTGAGCTGATCAGCAATCATAGTGATCTCTTCCGAGGTAGGCTTTTGATTCTGCAGGGTGAAAAGATGTAATTCCAAAAGCTATCCTTTGCAATAACTTTTTGAACTACTGGCATAATCACGTCAGGTTAGAAAATGAAGCTGGGATACATATGACCATCCACATTAGGCCACTTTCAACAAAGAGATTGTGTAGATAGAAGTTCTAATGAACATACACCTATTAAACTTATTCATATTAACTTAGGATAAGTTATCCTTAAATATCTATAGTTTTTCATTTTTAAGATCTATTAATTGTGAATGAAATTAACAAAATACCAGTACAACCACATGTATTAGTAGGAATTTAACCTTTCTCCATGCTTCATGCTATCTAATTTGGATCTCACAGTAAGAAAGGCAGGTATTTCACAATGAAGGACCTTTAGCTTAAAGAAATCACATGATTTGCCCAATCACACAGTTTAAGTGGCAGAGCTGACAAAAACTCCTAATTCAGAGTCCTCCCAATGTGCTCAAGTCTTTTCTGAATTAGAGAAGTCAAAATTTTCTTAAAAGCTTTGTTATGATATTACCTGGTACAAAAAAATAATTGCCAAATATCTCTTGCATTAACTTAAGCTCCATAGCCTAACACTCAAGGTCTCTAGTGTTCCAGTCCCAAACTACTATTCCAGGCATACAGACACTACAATTTAACCAACCAATCTACTAGAGTGTCTCCTCATACACCCTATGGTTTCCCTCACTCCAGTGTTTCTCCCCCACTCTGAGGGGGAAACGCTCATGCATTTCCTCTGCTTAAAGTACTTTCCCCCCACCTTTTCTAGTCTGTGGAATTAATTCCTATGTATCCTATGGTAAGCTGCCACCTCTCTCATACTGAGTGCTTGCATGGATGTGATTCTAGTCTCTCCTGAACCCTGCAGAACTCTGGTTCTGTCTCCTATGTTAGTAACTTACTTACTTCACCTATTTATAATCATCCATAAGAGCAGAGGCTGACATGTCATCTTTTACCACCTACAGTTTCTACTAAGTACTAATGTTAAGTACTACACAGACAATCCCATGTACAGAAAAGTAAAATCCTCACTGACCTCCAAGAAACTCTTCTCTAAGGCCACACGGATGTTGGTCTCTATGCTGGTGCGTTTCTTCCTCCTACGGCTCAAGCCCTCAATTCCTGGAGAATTCAGGGCACTTGGGCTGGAGAGGGACGAATCAGATGAGAGGTTCTCTGTAAGAATGAAGAAAATACAGAAATAAAATTAGCTGAGCACAGTGATTCATGTGCATAATATGCATATTAACAACAAAACTGACAAAATAAGCTACATCCAAGTATGAAAAGGTTTTCACATAACCTACATTACAATATTGCTTATTGGCCGGGCATGGTGGTTCACACCTGTAATCCCAGCACTTTGGGAGGCTGAGGCGGGAGGATCACTTGAGGTCAGGAGTTCAAGACCAGCCTGGCTAAATGGTGAAACCCCATCTCTACCAAAAATACAAAAATTAGCTGGGCACAGTGGCGTGCGCCTGTGGTCCCAGTTACTTGGGAGGCTGAGGCAGGAGAATCACTTGAACCTGGGAGGTGGAGGCTGCAGTGACCTGAGATGGTGCCACTGCACTCCAGCCTGGACAACAGAGTGAGACCATGTCTCCCCCTACCCACCACCCATCCCCCCAATATATATATATTTACTACCATGGATATTTCTGCTGCCCTTATTGGCATTCTTTCTGCTAGGATGGTTGACAATATTACCACTATGTTTGGATTTCTGTTTCTGAGACAGAAGAGGTTTACTATTCCTATCCTTAAACTCAGCTCTATGTCTCCAGTTCTGTTTGTTTATAAGTTCTGGGGATAAAAGGAAGAAAGTTTCTTAGAAATTACTGAACGTTTAATATTTATCTTGTAAATGGCCTCTCATTTTATTGGTATAATCTAGGGTAAAAAGAAAAGAAACAAATGAAATATTTATAAATTCTCTGAAGTTAAATCACAGGGTTCTATAATTTCACAGTTTAATAACCTTGGGCATGTCATACACATCTGAGTTTGTTTCTGCTACACGTAAAATAAGATGGAAACAGTAAACCAGTGGTTCTTATCTGTGGACTTGGGAAACAGATGCCTAGGCCTCACCCATAGCTACTGAATAAAACTGTCCAAGGATGCGTGTTTCAGGTTTGTCTTTTCCAAAGGCCTAATTTTTGTTCATATCTACAATAAGAACCATAGTTTAAGGGATCTACATGACTCCTACAGCTTTCATAGTCTATGATCCTGTGACTCAAAATTCCAATCTTCCAAAAGGAACTCTCAGCACAAAAAAACGTAAGACAAAGCTAGTAGTCCAACTTTTCTGAATGAAATGTGTGGTCATTTGAAATAACAAAAGCAGAACTATTGCAAGAACAAGTTCTATGATAATTCATCAAGGAAGAAACAATAAGCTTCTACTTCAAGCTTATCTAAATACAAAAGCCTTACTTATCCTATTCCTTCAACTGTGTGTGTGTGTGTGTGTGTGTTCCTAATCCTGGCTCAAATACAAGAGTATTTCAGGCTAAAAATTACGGCTAATTATTTATACTGTAATTACTAGAATATTTAAATGAATCAGCTTTCTGATTTATATCACCATAATTTATAATGATCCTCCCAGGATTAGTAAGCTTCAAGGTTCTGTAACAACAAAAATAGAGTAAGAAATATAAACCCCAATTTATATAACAATCCCCATGTAAAATTCCAATGAATGACAAAGAAATGTCTTATACAGTCACTTACCTGCATCATTTAGCCACTTCTCTAAAAGTGGCTTCAACTTGCACATGTTCTTAAAGCTGAGGTTCAAGGCTTCAAATCGAGAGATGGTAGTTTGGCTGAAGTCATTTCCATATAGTTTCCCCATAGCGAGCCCAACATCACCCTACACACAATACAGAGCAGGAGAAGAGGAGAGGAAAGACAGAGTTATCTCACCAGTGCTTAAAGCCTTCACTCTGGGGTGTTGCTCCAATAACTGCTTTAGACAAGGAGTCAGTAATTATTCCACTTACGGGGTCCCACATAAACTCCATCCCTAAGCCAGTCACAGTGTTACTGTGAGGACTCTTTTAGGCCTGATCGTTACAATGTTCAATACTGTCCCACATACTTTCCCATTTTGAATCTCTTCTTGCCACCTTATGTAATCATGGAGATACCAAAATTTCAACTAGGTATCAAAAATAGTGCTAATATTCTAACAAGCCCCTTAATTGATACAACCAAAGTGATTTAAGTAATTTTTAAAAATGTATTTATCTGGTCTGGGCACAGTGGCTCACACCTTTAATCCCAGCATTTTGGGAAGCCTAGGCCTACATGGGTGGAATGCTTGAGCCCAGGATTTCCAGACCAGCCTGGAGAACATGGCAAAACATCTACAAAAAATACAAATATTAGGCAGGTATGGTGGCGTGTGCCTGTAGTCCTAGCCATTTGGGAGGCTGAGGTGGAAGGATCGCTTGAGCCCAGGAGGTCAAGGCGGTAGCAAGCCGTGATCATGGCACCGCACTCCAGTCTGGGTGACAGAGCGAGATCCTGTCTCAAAAAAAGAAAAAAATTTAAAAAAGAAAAATAAAAATAAATTTATCTGTATCACCTACAGATATTATGTATAACTCTCTAGATAACCCAAGATATTTACGAACTAATCAAACTTCCCAAAAATCACTTTAAAAATTAGAAATCATCTCTTTTCTTCTTTTCCCTATCAAGTATTTCTGGACGCAGTGAAAAAAAAATCTATTTTCACTCCTAGTTTGGATTTCAAAGTTAGTTACAAAAAACAGGTATTCTAAAAGACTACTTTTGTAACCATCATAGAAATAGAAATTCACAGTAGAGAGGTTTGACCCATTTAGTCAAACCTTCATGGGCAATGGAAACTTAGTAACCTTATAGCAATAGAACAATGATGCCCTGAATATATTACAAAAGATGTCTTTCTCTATAAGCCTATAACCTTTGAAATGTATACAGAGCTTTTCTTCTTGCTGAATCTCTCTTGATCAAACTGGGAAAAAAGCGTAAGATAGTTGCTTTATATACAGGAAACAGAGGCTCACGGAGTTTAAATGATTCACCCATTCATTTCAATTAGTTTAGTGACAGGGCAGAAAGGCAACATCATTTCTGGTCCAAAGTACTATACAACTAATCCTACTATGAGACAGCCAACTCTCAACTATCCTGGCAACACTTGTTTGAACTGGGATTATCCCAGTCTTTTGATTCCCCCCTACCCCTAAATCCATCTTTTGAACACTACATTTTTTATTAGCACATTGAATACTACATTTTTTATTAGGTGGTAGTTGGGTTAAAAAAGTAACATATTTTTAAAACCCCATTTTCTTTTTGGTGAGCAACTTCTGATAAAAAGTTTAACAGATGAGAAATATTGAAATGTAAGACAAAATGAGGCACCCAGAATACCTGAACTTCAAGTGATTGATATCCTCTGCCTTCCCATATAGCCACCAGCCACAAGTGGCTATTTAAATTAATTAAAACCCAATAAATTAAAAATTCAGTTCTTCAGCATCACTAGCCCTTCCAAGTGCTCAATAGCCATAAGTAGACAGTGGCTATTGTATTGGACATCCCATGTCCAATGTACAGAACACCCCATCATCACAGAAAGTTTTAATGACAGTTCTGAATATACTGAAGTAGACTGTTTATTGATTTCATTCCAATTACCATAAAACTGCAAGAATCAGAATCAGTGGTGAGCAGGGCATAAATGCTATCCATTATACTGTATACAAATATGTCTAAAGACACAGATGATTATGTTTATCTATACCTGTATCTCTATATATTTATTAAAATGTTACTTCATTCAGGCAGGGCACGGTGGCTCACAACTGTAATCCCAGCACTTTAAGAGGCCCAGGCGGGTGGATTATTTGAGGTCAGGAGTTCGAGACCAGCCTGGCCAACATGGCAAAACCCCCGTCTCTGTTAAAAATACAAAAATTAGTTGGGTGTGGTGGCACACCCCTGTAATCCCAGCTACTCAGAAGGCTGAGGCACGAGAACTGCTTGAAACCTGGGAGGCAGAGGTTGCAGTGAGCCGAGATCATGCCACTGCACTCCAGCCTGGGTGACAAAGTGAGACTCTGTCTCAAAAAAATAAATAAAATAAAATAAAATAAAATAAAATAAAATAAAATAAAATGTTACTTCATTCAATCAAATATTCACTAAGTGCCTACTATATGTCAAGCATTGAACTTATGCATTGTGTATCACATATATTCATGTCATGGTCAGCTTGTTTAGATTACAGCTGGTGCCAACTAAACCTTGCAATTCTTTGAGTATATAAACTTATGTAGCAGTTAGATGGCAATAAGTGTTTTCTGGCATAGTAACTGCACAATAAGCTACAAATTTTCACAAACTTCTGTCTTATTATAAAAGTAACAATTTAACAAGCAAAAAATAAGTCAACAGCCTTGGAAACAGAAGGCCCCATCTCTACCAAACACAAAAAAATTAGCTGTGTGTGGTGCATGTGCCTGTAGTCCCAGATACTTGGAAGGCTGAGGTGGGAGGATCACTTGACCCCAGAAGTTTGAGGCTGCAGTGAGCTATAATTGTGCCACTGCACTCCAGCCAGAGCCAAGAGAGTGAGACCCTCTCTCTAAAAAAAATAAATAAATAAGTAAATAAAATATATATTAAAAAATCATGACAGTAATTATAAGAAATGATACTTTAAGGTGGTGGCTGGAAATAAAGCTATGCCATTCACTAACTAGAACCATGATAATAAATAATAAACTCACTTTATCATTTATTAATATGTTTTATTTCACATTTAAATTGCTTAATTGAATAAAAAGCAACAGACTCCTCAGTTAACATACTAATTTTCATTAATTCGGTACAGGCTTGGTTTAATGCTCTTTCGTGATAATCCAACTCACAACCATCTTGGGTTATCACTCACAAAAGTAAATGTTTTAAGTAGTCGATTCATATATAATCTTAACTATATTATATCCCTTTGATATTTTTAAAAAGAACATAACAAAAAAGGAACAAAAACTGAGACTGGGAAATAATGAATGTACCACATGTGATAAATGTATTATGCTATGACATGTTTTCTAATTATGCAAAGACAGCCATGGTAATCCTTTAATAAGCAATTATGAAATTAGAAAATAACTTTAAAACATCTAATAATGTGTATATTTACACAGAGAATAGAGCTTTTTTTGTTTCAGCAAATAACTTTAATGGCTAAAACTTTGTGTGTGTATATAAATAAATTGGACACAGAGCAACCTTTGAATAACTAAAATTGAAGTATCTGACTTAAAAACAGAGGTTGATAGACTGATTTTCCATTCTGCAGCAGTAGTATGTACTTTAACCCACATAGTCCAAGTTTGTGAACCATTGCCACTGCTGTCTCAAAGTCATTTCGAAAAATAAGGAATGGTCATGCCAAAAAATAGGATAAAACCACAAAACAAAACACCAGACCATAGGGAAGCTCCTTTACCTGGAGAGATGTGCGGAGGGAGAGAAAAACATAACACTGGCAATATGTTGGGTCAAATGCAGAAAGGCAAACCACTATTTGAGTAAAAGATAAGGATTTTTAAAAGCCTTAACATCTTTGGCATATCACTTACGCAACAATCTCTCAGGGAACCCCAGAGTATGCTGTGCTAATAGTTTAAAACTTGAGGCACTGCTAAATATGCTAACCTTATACTTATTTCAGCTTTGTAACTTACTCATATCAATCTAGTTCTATGTTTAGCTTTCTTTCTTTCTTTTTTTTTTTTTTTGAGACAGAGTCTGGCTCTGTCACCCCCAAAGCTGGTGTGCAGTGGCGTGATCTTGGCTCACTGCAACCTCCACCTCCCAGGTTGAAGCCACTGTCCCTGCCTCAGCCTCCTGATTAGCTGGGATTACAGGCGCCCGCCAGCACGCCCGGCTAATTTTTGTATTTTTTAGTAGAGACGGGGTTTCGCCATGTTGGCCAGGCTGGTCTTGAACTCCTGACCTCAGGTGATCCACCTGCCTCGGCCTCCCAAAGTGCTGGGATTACAGGTGTGAGCCACTGTGCCCGGCCTAGCTTTCTTTTTAAAACAGGTCAGATCATTTAAGATGCTTTGAAAGTATTAAAATGTTTCTGGATAATTTGCTTCTTCACAAGTCAAACTCCTCACAAATGTAACTGTATTTCCTCTAAAATCATGCCTATTTAAAAAATCATTACATATTCCCCAACACAATTGATTTCTTTGAGCAAAAATGAATTCCCAAAGAAATATAAGCCTGGGCTGGGCCTGGTGGCTCACACCTGTAATCTTAGCACTTTGGGAAGCTGACGTGGGTGGATTTGGTTGAGCCCAGGAGTTCGAGACCAGCTTGGGCAACATGACAAGACCTTGTCTCTACAAAAATTAGCCGGGTGTGGTGGTGTGCCTGAGTCCCAGCTACTCAGGAGACAGAAGTGGGAGAATCCCTTGACCCCTGGAGGTCAAGGCTGCAGTGAGCCGTGATCATGCCACTGTACTCCAGCCTGGGTGACAGACCAAGGCCCTGTCTCAAAAAAAAAAAAAAAAAAAAAAAAAAAAGATATATATAAAGATATATATAAATGTGTTCTTAAAAACACCCATAGTACATTTGGGGATGCTACCCTTGGATTTTGACCTACCAGGCCAGGTGGAGCATTACCGTACTTTCAACACAAAATAATTTGAGTAATATTTAACTAGTGGCTTAAAAACTTTAAATTATATTCCCTGGAAAGAAAATAACAGATTTCTCCTGATTCCATAAAGGCACCCAGTCTAATCCATACTTCAGTTTTTTTTTACCTAATGATCTTATACCATTTTACATAAATTTCATTCAGTTTAATTCCTTGCCTGCTTTAAAAGTATTATTTGCAGGCTGGGCGCAGTGGCTCACACCTGTAATCCTAGCACTTTGGGAGGCCAAGGCGGGAGGGTTGATTGAGGCCAAGAGTTCAAGACCAACCTGGCCAACATAGCGAGACCCTGTCTCTAAAAAAATATATTATTTATGACAGGTTAATCAAAGAGTAAGTCAGTGGTAGTGCTTAAAACAAACAAAAATGCTACATATCCAGACAACTGTTTAAACCATTAAATATATTCACCCTTCTTTAAAAGTCCTCGGTTAGCTGACAAATTCCAGGAAATTAATTTGGATTTTGGTTAATTTGGGGTTTTCATCTTCTATAGATTCTTGCTCGATTAACTGGTTTTAGCATAGGCTTAGAGAGTATGCGTGCCTGTGCTTGCATGCCTGTCTCCATCACCCTCTCTCTTCCAAAAAGTTATTTTTATTTTTAATTTTTATTAATTTTTACTTTTTAGAGACAGTGTCTTGCTCTGTCACCCAGGCTGGAGTGCAATGGAGCAATCATGGCTCACTGCAGCCTCGACCTCCCGGGCTCAAGCAATCCTCCCACCTCAGCCTCCTGATAGCTTGGACTACAGGCATGCGTCACCACACCCAGTTAAATTTTTTATTTATTTACTTTTTGGAGAGACAGGGTCCCACCAGAGATCAGGCTGGTCTCCATCTCCTGGGCTCAAGCAATCCTCCCACCTCAGTCTCCCAAAGTGCTGGGATTACAGATTAGAGCTACTGCCCCCACTACAAAAAACTGTTTTTAAATAAGCCTTCTAAACTTTTCCCCTTTTAGCTAATATAATACACCCCGTAATCTTTACTCTCTCAATCTTACATATGAAGTACTGAGGTCTACCACCAGATATTCTTCAAATAACAAAATCCTCCATACAATCTTTTAAAGTCTTCACAATTTAGTGATATAATTATGATTTCAGAGGCCTGTGTTCTGAAAGAAATCATAAAGCTTCTAGACTAACATTAAACCATACATTAAAAATGCAGGAAAAGGCTAACAAAAAGGTGCAGTTTAAAACCAAAAAACAACATGGCTGAGGAACATATTGTATCTTAGAAGCCTCTTTGGACATGTAAAGCAAATACAGTTGTCCCTCAGTATGCACAGGGGATTGGTTTCGGGACCTCCCTTGGATACCAAAATCCACTGATGCTCAAGTCCTCCAAATTATAAAATGTATATTTGTATATAACATACGTGTATCCTCCCATATACTCTAAATCATCTCTACGTTACTTATAATACTTAATATAATGTAAATGCTATGTAAATTGTTGTATTGTTTAGGAAATAATGGCAAGAAAAAAGTCTATACATGTTCAGTACAGACATGACCATCCTTTTTCGTCCCCCGTCCCAAATATTTTGGACTAGTTGAATCCACAGATGTGGAATCCATGAATACAGAGAGCCAACTGTATTTGGACCCAGCCAAGGAGGGGAATCAATGTAAGGCCAATTCACCCTACCTGAGTGAATCCAAGTTTGATTCGTCTTTGTTTGAAGGTCTTGGCAAACTGCTCAAGCTCCTCAAGGTCACTGGGCTCCTCCAAGCTGGGAGTATCAATTCGCTTTGGTGTTGACTGGCTCTGTGGAAGTGTCTGAATTGGGGTTGCTGCTATTGTGCGTGTTGGGGTTGCTGGCTGTTGGAGAAAGAATAAAACAATGAGGAAAAACACGTGAAGAGATATTTAGGTTTACTCCAAGTAAACAACTGAAGGAAAGAGCCACATTTATGGATAACGATGAAGACCATGTAACACTACAGAATGTACAACATAATGTTCAGTGAGCAAAGCAGACAGTGAAATTATGTATACTGTAATTACAAGTAATTATGTAATTCTATAGAAAAAACATGAATACACAAAAATGAAATGAATACACAAAAATGAAACCTATTATAACTGGGTTTTCAAATGGTCTGAATACATATATCTTATGTCTTTTAATAAATTACTCTTTATTTCAAAAAATCTATTTCATAAGTCTAGCACTTCAACTGTCAAAACAGTAGACAGCATATCTGTCTTGTTTACCACTATTACATCTCCAACCTGTGACACAGTATTATAAAAACAGTATTCAAGATCATAATTCAAAATCATTAAGGGGGAAAAGTAAACCACCTGCAGTTTAAATAGCTTATAACAGGTTTCGCTTTTGTATATCTGTTCCAGTTTTTTCCCCAAGGACCTATATCTTTAAACCTTCACTGTAATTATGGTATACAAAATTTTACTCTCTGCTTTTCTTATTTAACGTTGTTTTAACAGAGCAAGACACTGTCTCTAAAAAATAAAAATTAATAAAAATTAAAAATAAAAATAACTTTTTGGAAGAGAGAGGGTGATGGAGACAGGCATGCAAGCACAGGCACACATACTCTCTAAGCCTATGCTAACACCAGTTAATCGAGCAAGAATCTATAGAAGATGAAAACCCCAAATTAACCAAAATCCAAATTAATTTTCTGGAATTTGTCAGCTAACCGAGGACTTTTAAAGAAGAGTGAATATATTTAATGGTTTAAATAGTTGTCTGGATATATAGCATTTTTATTTGTTTTAAGCACTACCACTGACTTACTCTTTGATAGCTTGGACTACTGAAATCAGGAGTATTTCAGTTTTCATAGTTATCCTTTTTAAAAACTAAGGCAATATTCTCATAATTTACTTAACCAGTTCTTAATTGCTAGACAGTTTTTATGTTTTCACTAACATAGATAACACAATGAAAAACTTTATGCATATTAGTTATTTTTTCCACCTATGTGTGTAATTAGTTCTTTTGAGATAAATTCTCAAGGGCTTTTCTGGTAACTAGATAAACAATTTCATGGTTTTTGATACATATCATAACGTTGGTTCCCACTATGCAACACTCTTCCACATGACTTACGTTAGCAGTTTTAAAAAATGTTTTGCTAATTCAAGAAGTAAATGGTAGTTCCCTGCTGCTTTAATTTGTATTTCTCTTACTACTCAATGTCAAAATTTTCCCATGTGTCAATTATTATCTGTATTTCTTTGAATGTGAATTGGATTTACGTCCTTAACCAATTTATATATTAATGATATTTATTCTCATCCTTATCCTTAGAGAGATCCTCAAATTTTATAAAGGAAGCTTTGTCATATTAATGCAAATGCTTTTCCAATTTGCTTTCTTCCTTTTATTTTTCAGGGTACATAAACCTTTAAATTGTCATTTGGGTGAGCTTTTAATTTTCCTTTCTAATATATCCTGTTACTTCAAATCTGAGAAAGCTTCACTTATTTCTAACATTGATAAAATTCCTTTTAATCTGCTAGCTTCTTCTTTGTTGAATATTTGATTATTTAAATCCATGTATAGTTTATTTTGGGACATGAGGGTATAGTCTCTTTTTAAAAATAAAATACTCTACTTTCTTATCACACAAACTTAAGGTTATTCTGTTCTATTCACAAGCCCTGAGTGGAACACACCTCACTAGTGGGAGGCACTGCCTGACTGCATCTTAGTTGCTCAGTTGACTCCTCCTGTGAAGAGTAGCCCAGGTGAGCGATTATAAACCAGAATTACAGATAAAGTCTGTGGCTGTGAATTTTTCTTCTTCAAATTTAGATGAGTTATATAAGCCTGACCTTTACCTTATGAGTCAAGGCTTCCTCCAAAGGAACTAACTGTCCCAGAAAACTACAGAATAAGCATTACACAGGCGACAACTGGAGTTAAGTTCCTCTCTTATCCTGTTTCAATGACAATAACAAAGTTCATTTCTATGTCATGCTGACACTGCGTAATTTTCAACCTGACCATTTTGGAGGAGCCAAAACGAGCACCAACCATAGCAGACCCCTATGTAGCTGTACATTTCTCACAGCGAAACTGGTTGACAGTTACAGGTGAGTCTTAACTATCACATTGTTACTTCATCTCCGGGCCTGAAGTAGCCCCATTCTCAAATAATAAAGGACTAAAAATCGCTTGGGTACCTTTAGATGGGGTGGTTACAGATAAGTTACCCCAGCTCCAGAAACCTCAGGCTGGACTGGGCCAGATCTAGAAATGGCAGAGTAGAATTCAGTGAGCAGGAGTCAGGATGAAGCCACAACGGCCCTGCCACCATATGCAGAGAACGGAGGCCAGGAAGAAGTCTCTGGTATAGGCTTTTTTCAAAATCCCAACCTCACTCTTGCATTCAGCATATTCACAAATTCACCATTTAAAAGGGCAAAGTATATGTTTCAGCAACTACAGTCATACAACTGCTACTAATTGCAGTAGCAGTTACTACAGATAGTAGTAGATACAGAACATTCTCATCACTCCCAAAAGTTCCCTTGTTCCCTTTGCAGTTAATCCCCACCATTAGCCCCCCGTCCCTGGCAACCACTAATATGTTTTATGTACCTTAGTTTTGTCTTTTCTAAAATGCCATGTGCATTGAATCATACTGTATGCAGTCTTTTATGTCTTCTTTCATGTAGTATAATGCTTTTGAGATTCACAGGAGATGCATGTATCAGAAGCACGTTTCTTTTTACTGCAAAGTAGCATTCCATCATATGGATATGCTAAAGCTTATGTTACCTAGTCACCAGCTGATGTATATTTAGGTTGTTTCCAGTTTGAGGTGAATAAAGCTGCTAGAAACATTCACATACAAGTCTTTGTGTGGACGTATGCTTTCATTTCTAGGGACAGAACTGCTGGGTCACAAGGTACATGCACATTTAATTTTATAAGAAACTGCCAGCCTGGTGCGGTGGCTCACGCCTGTCATCTCAACACTTTGGGAGGCCAAGACACGCAGATTGCTTGAGCCCAGGGGTTCAAGACCAGCCTAGGCAACATGGCGAAACCCCATCTCTACAAAAAATAGCTGGGCATGGTGATGCACGCCTGTAGTCCCAGCTACTCAGGAGGCTGATGCGGGAGGATTGCTTGAGCTTGGGAGGTCAGGCTGCTAGAGTGGGCTGTGATTGTGCCACTGCACTCCAGCCTGGGTGACAGAGCAAGACCTTGCCTCCCCCTCACCCCCCCAAAAAGAAACTGCCAAAATAATTTCCAAAGTGTGTATACCATTTTGCAACACCACTAAGCAATGTATGAGAACTCTAGTCGCTTTACCTTCTTGCCAACACTTGGTTTTGTCATAGCCTTTTAAATTTTGCTTATTCTAGTGACTGTGTAGTGATATTTCATTTAAATTTTCCTGATCACTAACGGTTTTTGAGCATCTTTTCATATGCCTGCTGGACATTTACATATCATCTTTGGTGACGTATCTCCAATTTTTTTGCTGCCCATTCCTTTAAATCAGATTGTCTTATTATTAACTTGAATGAGTTCTTTAGACATTCTGAACACAAATGTTTTATCAGATATGTTTCATAAATATTTTCTCCCCATCTGTGGTTTTCTTTTCATTCACTTGAGAGAAGCTTTTGATTTTTATGAAATTAAATTTATCCATTATTTTATGGTGCTTTTTGTGTCCTATTTAAGAAATCCTTGCCTAACCCAAGGACACAAAGATTTTTTTCCAAGCTTTTTTCTCTAAGTTTAGGTCTATGACCCATCAAACAAATCTTTGTACATGGTGTGAAATAATAGTCAAGGTTTTTTATTTTTTTTCCCTATTGTTTCAGCTGCATTTTTTGAATGACTTTTTTTTTCCCATTGAAATCCTTTGGCACCTTTGGCAAATCAGTTGGCCATATACATGTGGATCTACTGGACCTTCTATTCTGTTCCACTGATCTCTATTTCTATCCATATGCCAGTATTACACTGTCTTCATTACTTGAGTTTTATAATTATTCTTGACATCAGTAGTCCTTCAATTTTCTTCTCAAAATCGTTTGGTTATTCTGTGTTTTCTACAGTTCTATATAAATGTTAGAAACAGTATGCAAATTTCTACAAAAAAGCCTGCTAGGTATTGGTTGAGACTGTTGAATCTAGAGGTCAATTTGGGAAAAACTGACATTTTAACATTTAACTTAAGTCTTCTGATTCATGAACATATTACTTCTTTCTATTTTATAGGTCTTTAATTTTATGCAGCAATGTTCTATAGTTTTCAACTATAGAACTATTTGTATAGGCCTTACAAATATTTTGTTGTTTACCCCTAAGTACTGTAAATTTCTTTTTCTTAATTTCAATTTCCAAATGCTCACTGCTAGTGTATAGAAATGTAAATGATTTTTATATATTGAGTTTGTATCATACTTGCTAAGCTCACTTATTCCAGTAGCTTTTTTTGGTAGATTCCTTAAGATTTTCTACATAGACAATCATGTCATCTAGCAACTAAGATAGTTTTACTTCTTCCTTTCTAATCTGTATGTCATTTATTAATATTTTATTTTATTGTCTTATTGCATTACTGGCACCTTGAGTATAATGTGGAATAAAAGTGGCAACTGGTCACTTTGCCTTGTTTCTGATCTTAGGGGGAAAGTATTCAGTTTTTCGTGAAGTATGATGTTGGTTTTTTTCTTTTCTTTTTTTTTTCTTAATACATGCTCTTTACCAGGTTAAGAAAGTTACCTTCTATATCTAGTTTGCAAGAGTTCTTATCATAAATGGATGCTGAATTCTGTCAAATCTGGTAATGTGTTAGTATTAAGTGATAACTTCCATACTGCAGACAAAGAAAGTCAGAGCTGGAAGGAGATTCAGGATCAGCCAGTTCAGTCACCTAATTTATAGATGAGAAGACTGAGGTCCAGAGAGATAAAATGACATGTTCAAAGCAACAGCTAGATAAGAAGTGGAATCAGGTCTATAATTTAAACCTTTATATGTCTAAATTTTTTTAATATAATTATAGTGTTTATATGGTCTAGTAGAAATGAGCTAAAGCACCATAAAAGCATTGAGAAAAAAGAAAATATAGAGATCAAAATCTCTTAGCAGTTTCTGAGAAAGGGTAAAGGGTAACAATGGATTTTTAACTGAGGCTCACTAGGTTTCCAGTTTAAGTGGTAATATCTACCGCCAAGTATGGTGAGGGGAGATGTCACATAGCTAGAACTCATTACTCATTTACTGCTAATGCAGTTATTCTTTAAGAACATATAAGAAACAGGAACTCTGAAGATTTTCAAAGACTATATTGATTTGGTAGCATTGAGCTGATAAGCCTAGCTTTGATTTTCTGGTCAGTTTTCGAAGACCGAATTATTTTTATTAGATTTAAAAAAAAAATTAAATAAAGTCCAAAAGTCTCCCCAAACAATATGATAAGAGAAAGCAGCCCCCATAGAAGAAAACTGACCTGGGAGGTGAGGGTGATGCTTGGCTGCGACTGTAGGAGGTTGGCTTGGCTTTGCTGAGGTAGTTGCGTTAGAAGATTTTGCGCTTGCAGGAGACCTGTAGAAGAAAAACATGTTATCCAGAAACATTAAAGATTTCTTCGAACACATGGCAAAAGAAAGAAAGAATCAGAAAATGAGCTGAAAATTTCCAGTTGATCTCTGGTAGTCTTACTGGTATCAAAACTCTTATTTATCTTATTTGCCTTACATTCAATCTTGTTTTACAACTTGGAAGAGAAGATATACAACATTAAATTAAAACTGATATGTCTTTGGCATAATCTGAATAAGCTCTGTGATAGGTCAATCCTTTATTTTAGGAAAGAATGGGATGAAAGTTAAAAAACTATTCTAAATAGAAACAGCTGGAAATTCCAAAAAGAGCTCAACTTCTTAACCTAGAATCCATTAGAAACTGCCAGCGTATGTTGGACCAGAGGAAAAGAAGCATTTTCAAGTTCTCTTTATCAAACATTTGCCTGTTGGTGATAATAAAGTTGAAATGTAAAATATTCTATTAATATCTGCATGAACACTGAACTGTCTTAGTTTCAAATAATTGATAATGTAATGCCACCAATGCTTCATGATGACAAACTGACATTCAAAGTAGAAATACAAACTCTTTGTTTGTAGAAGATGCTCAATTACTTGAATACATGGCTTTTTATTTTCAGAAACTGATAGACAGGACCAACCCAGAATGTCTGTATTTAAGGATTTAATCTTAAATACAGAGTAAAGAGTTTAAGTAAAGAGTTTCAGATAAAATGCTGTTGCTAAAATACTAAATACAAGATTATGTTTGCTGTGATAAGAGCAATGGTAGAAAGTATTCGACAAAGCACACCAAACAAAAGGGATTTTACCATTTTCTTTTGAATATGTGATAAGATTATCTGAGGCAATAGCTTCCTAATTATGATTTCATTAGGTTACTAAATTTGGATATATTAAATGTTGTAATATGTAGGACAACAGCCAGAACACTTAAGCCTGCCAGAGATTAGCCATAGAATTTATCACTTATTTATAAGTAACTAAGCACTGCCTAAATTTAAGCTATCAAAAGATACTAATATTTATTTCATAATGTAGGTCACAAATAAGATAAATATATTAAATAGATTTGAATTTTTCTAAAGAACCCTGACTTTTGCTGATCTGGGACAAGTGAAATATATATTGAAGCAAATATGATTAAATAAAATTCAGCATATATTACTACAAACATTTCTTAAAAGGCAGGTTTATGGAAGTTTAAATGACCATCCTCCTTCCCCAAGTGTCTCCCTATAGTTCAATCTCCATATAATAGTTAGGGTGATCTTTATAATCTTATTATTTCCCAATTAAAATGCTGTCATGGCCTTATATTAGAATTAGAACAAAATCTATGCAGCCCTAGGTATCTGGCCCTGTCTAGCTATCGTATCTCAACTTCTACCACTTCCTTTGACTCACTGAACTCCAGCTACTTTGGCTTTTCTTTTCCTGGATCAGGTCAAGCTGTTCCCATCTCAGGTGTTTCACATTCCTTTGCCTACAAGACTCTTGTCTTCAGATTCTAGGTGTGGTAACCTCTCCCTCATCCTTCCTCACCAGTTCCCAATTCAAATATTGCTTCTCCAGAGAGACTTTTCCAGACCATGGGCCCATTCTTCTTTAGGTTAACCATTACCAGATTACTATGATCCGCTACCTGACTAGTACTTATTGGTATCTAAACCATTTGTTTACATGTTTACTATTTGACGTCTCTTAATGAGGGCAGGGCCTGCATCTTGTTCAAAATACATCCCTAACTATCAGAGCACTATATGACACAGCAGGCACTCAACTAATTTTTGAGTGAATTAATTAAAATATCAAACTTTACTGGTTTGAAAAATACTGAAGGGTAGTCTAGAGGAACAAAACTATGTTAACTATTAAAACTAATTAAATAAAATTGTTTTGAAAAGACTAAAGAATATTCAAAAACAATAATAAAAAAAGAGAGGGCCAGGCGCGGTGGCTCATGTGTGTAATCCCAGCACTTTGGGAGGCCGAGGCAGGCAGATCACTTGAGGTCAGGAGTTCAAGACCAGCCTGGCCAACATGGTGAAACCCCATCTCTACTAAAAATACAAAAATTAACCGGGTGTGGTGGCACACACCTATAATCCCAGCTACTCGGGAGGCGAGGCAAGAGAATTGCTTGAACCCAGGAGGCAGAGGTTGTGTTAAGACAAGACTGCGCCACTGTACTCCAGCCTGGGTGAAAAAACAAGACTCTGTCTCAAAAAAAAAAAAAAAAAAAAAAAAAGAGAAGAGAGCACAAAGGTCAGAAATGAAGTTCCATTAAACATAGGCTATTTCAACATAGGAGTTTCTTTAAAGTTTAACAATGAAAGTTAGTTTAATCTGTAAGAGACAAAAGCAGATAAGTAAACAAATTCAAACCTTAGGTTTTACCCCCAAACAAGGTCAGCTGAAAAGGCTGAAAGGGCCCATAGAGGTTTAGAACTTTTTAAAAAACCAATGCTTGGCCAGGCGCCATGGCTCACGCCTGTAATCCCAGCACTTTGGGAGGCCGAGGCATGTGGATCATGAGGTCAGGAAATCGAGACCATCCTGGCTAACACGGTGAAACCCAGTCTCTACTAAAAATACAAAAAAATTAGCCAGGCGTGGTGGCATGCGCCTGTAGTCCCAGCTACTCAGGAGGCTGAGGCAGAAGAATCCTTCTAACCTGGGAGACGGAGGTTGCAGTGAGCCAAGATCACACCACTGCACTCCAGCCTGGGCGACAGAGCAAGACTCCATCTCAAAAACAACAACAAAAAAAAAACGCTTGCCACTTTCCCTTACCTAAACAATGAAAACCCAAACAAAACTCAAATGAACAACAGTTTTCTAACCAAAAACATTTCTTTGATTATTTTTATAATTAGTGCTGAGAGTAGATAGGGCAGAATAAGATAACCAATAAATTATGACTCAAGTCCAGTAATCTATCAGTAAGAATTTTCCCATGAAAAATAATTCTGAGGAAAAGGCTTAAATTTCCCTTGCTAGAAATTAAATTCTAGACAGTTACAGTTATATAATCATAGCAATATTACCAAAAATATGAACTACATCTCAAAAGTTTTAGGTTAATCAATGAAAAACAAGGGAAAACAGAATTCCAGAAATCAATATTGAAGGCTAATCTCATGCTGGAAACATTATTAAAATTCCAAAAGATAAAATCTTTGTCCTCCATCATGAAGTTAAGAGATTAGCTCTTTGGATTTTCAGCTTCTCTGATGCTATTAATTACAATGAATTCAATTCTTAGAAATGTTTATAGACGTATTTCCACTACGCTGATCCTCTACATTGTTGAATAATCTTAGAAAATGGAATCTAGGTCACATACGACTAACGAATGATTGCAACTCAGCAGCAGTGGTACAAGGTGATTCTAGGGAAACTATATAAAGGAACAACCTTTTCATTCTCTGAGTTATCTATCGTTTGTTGACTGAGGATGATACTGGTATCATGATAATGTCATAATGGTAACAGCAGCAAAGATTTAGAAAGGTTACTATGTAGGAGGCAGCTTTCTAAAAGGTGCCTTACATGTGTTTACTCGTTGACTCCCTACAACTCTTAGAGGTGAACACTGAAAGTATCCTAATATCACAGTTGAGGAAACAGGGGCCCATAAAGTTAACTTTCCCCAGGACACACAGGTAAGTGGCAGAGCCAAGATTCACAAAGAGACAGTTTGGCTTTAGAGTCTATGCTCTTTGCTACTACATTATAATGACCTTCCTGATGTTAGGGTAGTAAAACTTTTTTTGTAATTCACCCATGTAAGTGAAGGGGAAGATAAAAAGGGAAATATGGGAAACTCAGAAAGGTTAGGTGAGTTGTCCAGGGTCACTGGCTCTAAGGCCAATCAGTATTACATTATCTGTGCTATTTTCCCAATCTTATAAAAGTCTGGAAGTTGGGGGAGTGTTTAAAAACATACACATACTTTTGCAAGTACCAAAAAATCAGAATGAACAGTAATTCATTATTCCTACTATCTTGATTTGAGACAAATAAAATTGAAATAAAATGAGGTCCCAGATATGAAAAGGGAAAGACAACGCCCTTGGCTTTGCTGAAAGTGAATGAAGGCAATCTCATTCTATCTTAAGGCTTTGGCAATTAACAAATCTAATAAACACACTTTGCATTGACCTTCCTAAGTCTTTCTGATCTAGGTCACTTTCTCCTTCCCTCTTGGCATTTTCTTCCATTGCGATTACCACTCTCCACTAGTTTTTGACTTCTGAAAATGCAGTATCTTTTGAATCTACTTAATCCTTTACACCTAAAAGGTTGGTTTCACCAAGGTTCTTCTAACACTACATATATATTTTCTCTGACCCTATCAACCCTCGTAGTTTCCTAAAAACCCAGGCATTATACCTAGATACTTCTTTCCTATCATTAATCAAATATAACTGGCCACCAGGTCCTGTCCATCTACCTACTTATTTACCAATTTTCCCTACCCAAGTTTCAACATGAACTTTATTAAATAAAAACTTGGAAATGCCACTTTTCTGATTAAATCTGTGGTTTAGTAGAGTTGACAGAAGACTTTCTTATTGGAAGATATTGGGCCATTCACATTAGACTCCTCTAAGTGAGTCCAGATACAGTGGCTCATGCCTATAATCCCAGCACTTTGGGAGGCTGATGCAAGAGGATCGCTTGAACCCAGGAGTTCAAGACCAGCCTGCGCAACCACAGCAAGACATGTCTCTATAAAAAACTTTTTTTTTTTTCTCAATTAGCCAGGTGAGGTAGTACACACTGTACTCCCAGCTGCTTTGAAGGCTAAGGTGGGAGGACTGCTTGATCCCAAGAGGCTGGGACTGCAGTGAGCCATGATTGTGCCACTGCACTCCAGCCTGGGTGACAGAGCAAGACTCTGTCTCAAAAAAAAAAAAAAAGTCAAAATTAGCTGGGTGTGGTGGCGCATGCCTGTAATCCCAGCTCCTTGGGAGGCTGAGTCAGGATAATCGCTTGAACTCGCGAGGCAGAGGTTGCAGTGAGCCAAGATCATGCCATTTAACTCCATCTCAAAAACAAACAAACAAATAGAGCAAGAACGAGGAGCCTGTGAATCCATTTCCTATTTATTCCATCTCAAAAAAACACAAAAAAACAAAAAGGCCTGATGCAGTGGCTAACGCCTGTAATCCCAGCACTCTGGGAGGCCGAGGTGGGCGGATCACCCGAGATCAGGAGTTTGAGACCAGCCTGGCCAACATAGTGAAACCTCATCTCTACTAAAAACCAAAAATTAGCCCAGCATAGTGGCGGGCGCCTATAATCCCAGCTACTCAGGAGGCTGAGACAGGAGAATCGCTTGAACACAGGAGGTAGAGGTTGCAGTGAGCTGAAATTGTGCTGCTGCACTCCAGCCTGGGCAACAAGAGTGAAACTATGTCTCAAAAAAAAAAAAAAAAAAAAATTAGCTGGGCATGGTGGCGCATGCCTGTAATCCCAGCTACTTGGGAGGCCGAGGCAGGAGAATTGCTTGAACCTGGGAGGCGGAGGTTGCGGTGGGCCGAGATCGTGCCATTGCACTCCAGCCTGGGCAACAAGAGTGAAACTCCATCTCTTAAAATCCCAAAAAACAAAGAACAAAAAAACTCAAAAAATAACAGATGCTGGCGAGGTTGTGGAGAAAAGGGAACACTTATACACTGCTGGTGGGAATGTAAATTAGTTAAGCCATTGCGGAAAGCAGTTTGGCGATTTCTCAAAGAACTTAGAATTGCCATTTGATACAGCAATCCCATTATTGGGTATATACCCAAAAGAATATAAATTTTTCTGCCATAAAGACACATACCCATGCGTATGTTAATTGCAGCACTATTCACAATAGCAAAGACATGGAATCAACCTAAATATCCATCAACACTAGACTGGATTAAAAAAAATGTGGTGCATATACACAACGGAATACTATACAGCCATAAAACTTTCAGTACATATGTACACAAAGAAGGGAACAACAGCCACCAGGGCCTACTTGAGGGTAGAGGGTGGGAGGAGGATGAGAATCGAAAAAACTACCTATCAGGTATTATGCCTATTACCTGGGTGATGAAATTATCTGTACATCAAATCCCTATGACATGTAGTTTATCTACATAACAAACCTGAGTGTAACCCTGAACCTAATAGTTTAAAAATAAGAAAAAAAGTAATTGGGAGGTTGGGGTTAGGGCTCAGGAAACTTTTCTAATTCCTCAAGTGATTTTTTAATTTTTTTATTTTTTAGACGGAGTCTCACTCTGTCACCCAGGCTGGAGTGCAGTGGTTCAATCTTGGCTCACTGCAAGCTCTGCCTTCCCAGTTCACACCATTCTCCTGCCTCAGCCTCCTGAGTAGCTGGGACTACAGGCGCCTGCCACCACGCCTGGCTATTTTTTTTGTATTTTTAGTAGAGATGGGGTTTCACTGTGTTAGCTAGGATGGTCTCGATCTCCTGACCTCGTGATCTGCCTGCCTCGGCCTCACAAAGTGCTGGGATTACAGGCGTCAGCCACCACGCCTGGCCATTAATGACTCTTAAATAAATCAAATCTTAGGAAGCACTAAGCTATAGGATTTAAGGTCAAACTCCTGGAAACTTAATCTAAGGTTCTTTAATGATCTGGTCTCTGCTAATCTTTCTGGGTTCAAATTTCACTATTACCTGCATATGCAAACTTATTCTGCAGTTGTAAGGCACTACTTATAGTTCTCAAACACAGCTTATTGATTTTTCTTCCATGTTTCTAAGGTTTGCAAATGCTGTTCATTTTCCAAGACTGACATTCTCTCTTTTGTAAGCCTATGAATGTATTTTCCCAAATTCACTGTGAAGACTTATCTGAGCACAAAGTTACAGGGGTCTCTTTGCTTGGTTCCCATAGCATTGTGTGCATATCAAATCTAACATAATTTAGGTCTGTTTCCCTGCCACTAAATTGTGAGCCCTCTGCAAGTAAATACTGAATTACTTATCTCTGAATCTTGAATATATGCTAGAATAATTATTTCATGACAAAAGATTTTGGAATGAATGATCAAGAAGAAAAAAGGCAAAAAAACCCACTCAGAAATAATAAAGAATCATTAGTGATGCACTAATGTTCCTTGGGTTGAAGCCTTGATACTCTGACATTCTTCACCCTGATTACATTAACTGACCTTACAGACGAGTGGTTGTTTGATATATTAATTATATAACATTTACCACTCAAATGACTCAAAGATGTTTTTTATAACTCACGAAATTTGTAGTTTCTATTATAGCAGTCTTCCCTCCTTAAATTAAAAAAACAATGGTTAGAAGCACATACTTTCAACACTCAGTCTATATTCTTTGAATACACTTCCATGAAAAACAATCAAAACACTAGCAGCAACTTATCCAATTTATGTTTGGCATGTTGAATAATTTCACTTAGACTTTTGGCCAAACTCTTGGTTCTTCCTTAGTGATTAAGCAGATGAATGGCAGTTCAGGGCAACCTTCAATAATGTGGTATTTATGACAAAAAACAAAACAAAACTTTTTTTAAACGAAAGTTTATAATCAAATAAAATTTAATAAAAACATTGGTCTAATAGTTTCAGGGCCAAAATGATAGTAGTTCATGCATGTGTAACATTCAGCGAACAGCCTTGGTATACCACTAATAAGCTCTAAGGAGGAGCTCACCCTGCTGGCCCTGGGGCGTCTGTGAGATGATAAACTGCGCTGGCTGCAAATTGGTGGTTGGATGCACCAACACAAACTGTTGCAGGTTGAGATTCTGCTGTTGAAGCTGTTGCAGTTGTTGAAGATCCTGAAAAATTGGAATTAAAACATGGATTGGAGATTCTGAAATAAAAGTTCGCTTAATTATAAGGCTTCCAGCTGATGACTTCTGTCACATCCAAATAAAGAAGAGTAAATACTTCGCATGCTTTCATATTCCAAACAGGGTATGCTCTGTGTGTGCTTGACAAAGCACGTGAAGCAACCTGGAGCCTCTGCAACTGACTATTTTTGTGGACTGACATATATTGTTATGATAAGCCTAATTTTCAATGTTTCTTTAAAATTCCCTCAGAACAAATATACTTCTGTTTTTTATCATGTAAAGACCAATATGGGTTTTAAAAATCAAGTGAGAAAACAGTTTTTAAATATTTGATTGATCTTTCTCTTAAATAAAAATTGATCGTGTTATGTCTGAATTTCCATCAATAAAGGGCCTATAATGACTTATGACATTTGACAACAGCTTATCTAACTCAACTGAAAAATCAGTATTCAATTTTTTTGCCCTTTTCCACATGTTCTAAAGTATTCAATTTTTTAAAACCAAAAATAGCTATCCATATAAAAATTTAATCCCTAACAACAATAGCACCTTACATTGGCCTACTGTTTTATAATTTTCAAAGTGTTTTCATGAACGTTATCTTATTTAGACTAATGTTAATATAGGGTCTCACAGCTTAGGCACTAAAAACATTTATTTGGTGATGAGAAAGTGGCCAAAATCAAAACATTATCTTGATAAAGATTGTATAAAGACTAGTCTGATATTTATTCTCTACTCTTACAGTTAATTAGTTCTTTTTAAATGGTTAGTCAAACTCTTGCTACAAGTTAAGTCCATTTCTGAGTCTTTTCTGAGACGGATAAAGACAGCTGTCTAACAATTAGACTCATAATAACTCTTCATATATTTTACTGATATATCTACTTATACCTTTTTCCTCTTCTTGAGATTAAAGATTTTATTTATTTTCCTCCTTGGTACTATTGTGTATGCTTCTTAATTTTTTTTTTTTTTAGTGGCGCGATCTCGGCTCACTGCAAGCTCCACCTCCTGGGTTCACGCTATTCTCCTGCCTCAACCTCCCGCGTAGCTGGGATTACAGGCACCTGCCACCACACCTGGCTAATTTTTTGTATTTTTAGTAGAGATGGGGTTTCACCGTGTTAGCCAGTATGGTCTCGAACTCCTGACCTAGTGATCCGCCCGCCTCGGCCTCCCAAAGTGCTGGGATTACAGGCGTGAGCCACCGCGCCTGGCGCTTCTTAAATAAATTTTTATTATCTCTAGATACTTTGCCCTAAAATGTGAAAATTGAAACCAAACAACATTCTAATGCAATAATGTTAATCACTCCATAGCAGAGATGACTCACTGTCTCACACATGGGTGGCAACATTCACCGCAGAGCACATGAAAAAAAATCCATGTCTGCTGTAATTAGCTAATTAAAATAAATACAGTAATCCCCTGCTTCAAAAATATGCCAGCTAATTATTCAAGAATTGTCACTTAATATAAAGTCAGTTATTCAAATAATCAGCTATATGTTTACAATATCAACTACAATAAGCAAACAAACATTATTTCTAATTCAGTGGTAAGGAAGGGTACCGCTTACCTCACTGATCTAGAGCTCCTCAGGCAGTTAAGGCCCCACACTAACAATCAAAAAGTTAATCTAACATTAAATAAAACCTGCCACTTTATTCCTCACTTGCTGCCCCAGCTATTGGAGTTCCTCACTCACCTGTGCGATCTGTATGGGCTGAGACAGGGGGATCTGCGTCATGGGCGTGGCAGCAGAGGCGGAGATGGTGGCTCCAGCAGCACTGTGCTGCTGGCTGGCGGAGTGCTGCTGCACTGCAGCAGCCAGCAGCTGTGCCTGTGCCTGTGCCTGCTGGAGTAGTAACTGTTGCTGGGCAGGCGTCAAAGTAAGCTAAACAAAACCAGAACACATTATGGGAAAGTGTTGAAGGAGAAAGTCTCCTAATGCAAGCCAACTGCTTTAAAATAGGTAACTCAAATGATATCAGTCCCCAGCTACCCAACTTCACTTGCTTAGCAGACAGCTAAAATGTTCATCAGTGATCAAACTACCATTACTAGCAGAACATTTAAATTAAAATGGTGGTCCCCACTATGGACTTAATCATTCAAGCTTGTCCAGGGCCCTAGGGTTTGGGCAAAAAAGTAATTAACTAGTAAGCAAGAAAAAAAAAAAAGAATCACCACTGACAAGATATGAAAATACATTTACACACAACCAAACAGCAAGTGATTAGTCAGATGAATGAGGAACAAGGATGCTGGATATAACCAAGGAAAGAACTGATAAGGCCCAGCTGCTTCCCATTAGCATGAATCCCTGCCATATTCCATCATTTCCATTAAGTCCAAAGATATGACTAAAGAATATGAGCTCCATTTGTTTCTTTTCCAAGTCTCCCTACAGGCCCCTCCCTAACACAATCTTTTCTGTTATTGAAAGCACTGAGTCTCTGCAACTTTACATCTCCTTTCCAACACATTATCTCTATGAAACAGGTGGTGATAGCCGTTCTCTTTACATGCAAATGAACCCTAATGCCCAGGTTTAACAGAAGCTCCAGCCAAAGGAACCTAGAATCCCAACTCCCTCTTACTATTGTAGACACTAGTCACCAAAAACAAGACCCAAATAGTAAAGTAGGAAATGTATTTAGAGCATATTTAAAGTTGTTTTCATAATGCAACTTATTTCAAACACACTTAAAGTAGTAAATGTGTTCTACTTTTCTTTTGGTGACAAGTTCTGATTGATCAAACAAGATGGAACCATAATTTTCTGAAGTATATGTACAGTCACTTAGTGCCACAACCTCCTCTAAAAGAATCAAACACAATTTGTGCATTAGAAACATAAGGCTCAAAACCAAACCATTCAAAAACTCAATACCCTTCAAGGGATATGTGTGTATATAAAGTATAGATATATTTTTAATTTTTACATAATATATATATACATACATCTCTACTCATGGGATTTTGTGAACAATTTTGCAACAGTTCTTAAAACAGTTGTCCACTGACAAAACACACTTAACTGGGAAAAAAAGAAAGAAAGAAAGAAAGAAAACAAAAAACCCTAGGAAATTCTTGGGAGTTAATGTGATGTGAATTGAATAAAAACTATTCCTTACCATTGCCCTAAACCAACCCCCACAAAGATAATTTAATACACAAATTTTCAACATTGGAAAAATATTTTGAATGGTGCCTTAGAGAAAAGACAGCTGAAAACTTAAAAGCTTAATATAGCCAAACAGGCCAATTTATTAACCATAAAAAATAAATGACAGAACGTCTCAGCCTTTTGGCTAAGATCAAGTACAAAAATAAACAATATTTGTTGAATGCTACATGCCAAGCACCGTTCTATAAGTTTTACATGTATTATCTCCAATCTTTACAACAGTAATGTGAGATAGGTATTATTAGTATCTCCATTTAACAGAAGGAAAACAGGTAGAGGGAAATGAAGTAATTAGGCCATACGGTAAGTTGCAGAGCTAGGATATGAAGCCACATGCTTTATTTTAGATCATTACACAGTAACTTAAAGAAAAATGTTTTTCTTTTGCAGGTACTAATCCATTCTTTAACTTCTACCCTGCAGTGATGTCTTAATGCCAAATGGATAACTGCCATTTTCAGTGTAATGATCTCAACCATATGATAATTACTCCATTGCATGATGAAGCAACACCTGAAACAGGGGTTTAATAAGGTTTTTAATTTATCCAGAGCATCCACAATTCTAATAAAAGATATCCTGAAAACTTACGACAAAGATAATTCCTTTTTCAGAGCAACTTACTACCTACAGTGTAGGAAGTTCCTTAAAGACACAATAGTGCCAGGCATAGCCATGTTACTACCAGCTATGGTGAACAATTCTAATCAGCTATTGGCCAATGGCAGTTCTGACACAGAAAAAGTTTGTTATAATTCTCTCAGTGAACACTTACCCCAGTTATCTGTCCTCCAGCTAGCATAAGCTGGGTCTGGGGAATGGCTGCCTGCACTGAAGGCTGCTGGGAAGGCTGGCTTGGCTGCTGCGAATCCCCCGATTCTTCATTAGATTTAGACTGAGGTGGGGTGGGTAGGAAATAAAAGATTGCAAATGGTTGATTAAAAGAAATGTACTTAAAACCCCATCTTTTAGGAATCATTTAAAACATGAGCTTATTCAGTCATGAGTTCTGGTTTACCTCCTTTCTTTTATTTGTATTTTCCTAGTTTCACATACCAAGTTTTTAAACTTGTTAATTCTAATGCCAGCAAAGCTGCTATTACAATTTTTAAAAATAAAGTCATCCCCCACAAATTTATAGATTTTTTTCATAGCCCCCAATTCCTCAACTCTAGAAATAGGGGGTAAAGGGAAGAATATATTTTCAATTCACCTCTACATTAGACCTTCCAAACCAATATTTTAACATACACCTGGTGGTCAGTCTGAAACTTCTCCATATACCATCTCAGAGAATGATCACTTGATCCACAGAACTTTCCACCTAATATTTTACAGAACGGTAAATCTAGCAACTCCCATCAACTAACACACAAGCTCAGAGAGAAAATGCTGCAGTCAAGAGAGAGGGGCACGAAGAGAAAATTTTACGGTAATTAAAACTGGTTATGCAAAGCATTAAAATTCTGCATAGATTTGCATATTTCTCACCACCTGTTTTGGGGACTGCAGCAAGGCTAATTAACATAAATGCTCTGATTAATTCTGCCAGTCATTGAGAGATAATTACAGTGCAGGACTGTAAACATTCTGCACTGGAGATACAGCCTGTTTGCCAACATCTCTCTAAGGGATGAAAGTTTACCATGGCAACCAAGGCAATTTTCCGCCTCCTCTCCCTCAGAAAGTAAGGTCACATTATCTCTTTTTCTTTTCTCTCCTTGTTCCTACGTGTTACTAGGTCCATATTCAACTGGGTTTCATGAAATGCTCAACCCAAGGTCTTTAGTCATTAGCAACACTGAAATCAATCTTCCATAATACTGTCTTTCCCTCTTGACTGCTAGTTACCTAAACACTATAATGAAAGGAACCAGCAGGTTGATAGAAATATTAAGAGGGCAATGTCTAACACTTGAACTTTGCATGTTGTGCCATATGGTTCAAAGAAGGAAAGTGGCCAGATTTAAGTTTTAAGATTTTGATTGTCTATCCACCAACATCTACAAACAGGTTTAATTACAATTATTAGAAGCCTAACATTTTAGGATGGAGAGGAACCCTGGCAATCTTATAAATGTCCCCACTTAAGTACAGATGAGAAAAACTGAACCCAAGGAGGTTATGTGACTTGCCAAAGGTCACACAGCTAGTCAGTGGCAGAATGAGAATGCAAACCTAAGACCCTTGTGTCTCAGTCCAGTGTTCTTTCCTCTTCCCTATAAGGTCTCCCTAAGACATCAAAAATGATAAATAACAAGTCTTTTGGAAACAAACTGGCATTTAAGAGAACTTTCAGGCTGTGTGTTTAGGTATGTGTTATAGCAGTATAACTTAGAAACATTTTTACTGAACTTACACATACAACTTTGAAAGTAGACTTTTCCTGTCCATTTTTGGTTCATGCACAGTAGCATAATATAAAACTGATTTTCATTAATGGTAATAATTATCATTATTTGAATCTTCACGAGATTCACTAATTTTGAAAAGGTAATACTTCTAAGCATTTCCTATTATAAAATATATGCTCACTACAGAAAAATATAAGAAAAAATAAATAAAAGATTGACCCATAATCCCAGGTCCCAGCTTACCTGTACATTTAAAGACTGAGCAGCAGCCTGTAAACTTGTTCCAGCGAGTTGGACCTATAAGTAATCAGGGGAAGTTCTAGTTTAATACTGTTGACATTCATCACAAGGGGTTGTCATCACTAAATAAAGTCTACTATGTGTCACCGAGCTAGAACTGAGAAGACAAAGAAGTTTGTCTTACGGAGTTAAAACTTTATGAACAAGCTCAGTCCCTTCTCAACCCACCCTACCCCACCCCAACGGGTCCCACAGAAAAATGCTGTTAATCTTTTTTTGAAGATGTTTTCCCACACTAAATGAACATTATCAGCCATGCCACACTTGTATTGAATGCTCCTTACATAACATTGTTTGTATTCACAGAATGCTTAAGATTCTAAAAATTTAATTAACCTTCCACATTGTGTTAAAGAACATATAAGCTATCTATATACATTCTTTATTATTAGAAACAATCAGAACCATCTACTTATTTTAATTTTGAATGTTCCATGTATACACCAGAGTAGAAATATATTTACACACCCACACAGCCAAGTCCTTAAAACATTTATAATCATAACTTAAAACTCTTAGCTGAAATAGAAAATCTACCCTATAAACCACACATAAAAGTCTGTCAAAACATTTAATACATTTCATACATTCAGAAAGTTCAAATCATGGTTATGTGAAAATAAGGATACACATGGAATTAAGACCATCATTTGGCAACTATGATAATAACTATGATTTAGGCAGAGTCATCAATGGATAACTAATGGGTGAGAAATCTGAGGAGTAACAGGATATTTACATATTCTCAGCTATGTCTCCAATGATACTTGATACTCACAAAGGGTAAAATAGTATCTTTTCAGTGGAGAAACCTGGCAGACAAATAATCAAGTGAGCACAAACAAGAGTCACCAGGAAGGAGACACAGGCCTTCTGCTAAGATGCACTGAGAGGAATACAGCATTGCTTATGCTGCATCCCTAACAAAAGTGTAGAATCTGAATCTAATCATGATGAAAATCAGACAAACCCAAACTGAGAAACACTACAAAATAACCAGTGTACACTGTTCAAAACAGTCAATGTCCTGAAACAAAGAAAGACTGAGGAGGGAGAAAGAGACTATAAACTAGGCTAGAATAAATGGAAAACTAAACTAGAATGGTGGCAGTGGGAATAAAAAGTAGGAAACATGAAAGTCTCTGCAATGCACTACATAAGGATCCTGACTGGATTTAGATTAAAAAAAGAGAGTCATGCATTATTCCAGGGTTCAAATCTGGGCAACTGGAAAATGGTAGTACCACTAACAGGGACAGAGAAGATAATGAGTTCCATTTTGTATACACCAGATAGCATCAAGATGTCCTGAGATTAAATATAAATGTTGGTATGGAGCTCAGTGAAGAGTTAAGAGCTAAAATGAATTGACTACTATGTCCTTTATTTGAAACTGCTAGTCCTGTTAGTAGATGAGAACCCTCAAACACAAAAACAAAAAACCAAAATCTGAAGACATATGTAGAACACATTTAAAATACAGTGTAATCAGGAGAGGCCTATCTGAACAGATAATATGTTTAAGGCCTAAAGGCTAAGAAGTCAAAGAGCCCAAGGAAAGAACTTCAGGTACAAAGATTTGAAGAAGATAAAAATTTTATGTGATTTTTACTTATTACGTTTCAGGGTAAAAGTCTGTTGAGGAATGGGATATTTACACAGTCTTTAAAGTACTGCCTCACAGAGTATTACTTACCAGGAGGCAAAAAGACATATTTACAGTGGACAAATCTAATAAACACTACCTTAATAAAATAATCAAACTTAATATCACAATAATGGGACAAAGCAATATGATACGGCTTCTGAATGCACCGAGAGGGACTCAGCATCATTTCTGCTGTATTCCTTTCAAAAATGCATAACTTGGGTTCAGCCGTTGAGGGAACAATCATATTCAAGTTAAATGGGCATTCTATCAAACAGCTGGCCTCTATTCTTCAAAAATGCCAATATCATGAAAGACAAAGACATGCTGAGGAATTGTTCTGGATTGAAGAAGACTTAACAGACATGACAGCTAAACGCAAAGTATGGACTGGATTGTGGGCAGGAAGTATATAAATATGGGCCAATATTGGAAAATGATATCGTATCAATGTTAAATTTCTGGAATTTGAAATTTGCACTGCAGTTTTATAAGAGAATGCTGTTTTTAGGAAAAACATGCTGAAGTATTTAGAAGTAAATGGTTATAATGTCTGCAACTTTCAAAGGGGTTAGCAAAAAACAATTTTTTTTGGCTCGGTGCCATGGTGTACGCCTATAATCACAGTTAGATGCAAGGCAAGAAGATCCCTTGAGCTCAGGAGTTGCAGATCAACCTGGGCAACATAATAAGACCTCATTTCAAAAAAAAAAAATTTGTACGTGTACATACATACATATACACATATGGTAAAAGCAAAATGTATTTTGTATGTGTACATACATACATATACACATATGGTATAAAGCAAATATGGTAAAATAGTAACAACTGGTGATTCTAGGTGAAGGGCTTTCAGATGAACACTGTTCTATTGTTGTAACTCTTACAAATTTGAAAGTTTTTTTAAAATAGGAAGTTAAAAATAAAAAGAAGAGAGCATTCCTTTACCAACTCCATTTAGCTAGTTTCCAACACCCCTCAAGACTCAGCTCAAAAATCACCCTGAGAGAAATGTCTTAGATTGTACAGGGTAAGCTAATCATTTCTTCCTCAGTAGTCTCATACTTGACCATTTAGTCATCTATGACTTTATTCAACAAATAATTACTGAACAC
Organism: Homo sapiens; assembly: GCF_000001405.40. Classification (NCBI taxonomy): domain Eukaryota; kingdom Metazoa; phylum Chordata; class Mammalia; order Primates; family Hominidae; genus Homo; species Homo sapiens. Next base: position 167,367,391 of record NC_000001.11, on the reverse strand, counting down.
CTATTGTATTATGGGGTTCTTTGGTAAATGCTGGGACACAGGTAAACAACAAAAGGTTTCCATTTTCATGGAACTTATAGTTAATGGGGCAACAGACCTAAAGCCATCGATTTTGTGTATGTATATTATAATTATGGTAAGGAAAGGTTCAAGGTGCTAATTCTGTCAATAAGGGGCTTGGAAATAGAAGGCAAGTGTCACACTGTTAATTATGTAGCTAATCAGATGCAAGGACTTGTGTCTTGATGGGAGATTCAATGGTGTCGCAATTTCAAATAAAATTCTTTTGTTTGCAGTCCTTTGGTCTGGGTGGTATTGAAGGGTCTGTGATTTTGGTAATCAGTGGCTAGATCTAGAGGTCTTGGAGCTGGTACAGGGAGAGTTGCAATCATCTTGGAATTTGGATCCAGAAGGATCCTGCAGAGAAAACTGCACATCATCTGTGCACCCTCAGTGATTTTTTAATACATTTGGACCATCACATATTTAAGCCAGATAAAGATGCTTACTAGGTGACAAATAATTGACTAAATTCTGTCAAAAATGCTATTCCTCTTAGGAACCCAGAAAAATTACTGGAGGCTTGAATATGTTCTTAGAAAAAAAATCAACATGAAAACATTTTTTTCTTCTAGGATATATTTAAAATATATTTTAAAATTCATTTTAGATGTTAATTCATTTTAATATTTTATCTGGAAGTTAATGTCAAAGTTTTTCCATTTCAAAGATATAAACGAAGCTATGTGCCTGAGCAAAAGTGTTCCATTAGGCCTCACTGTAACAGATAATAACTGCTGCCTACATGATATCCATTTGAGTCTGTGAACAAATAAATGGGCTTTAGAACAGCTTCCAGGATTTTACCTGTTTTCAAGTAGAAGAATTTCTTTTATAGTTTAGGTGGTCTGATGACATATTTTGATGAAAAGACTTTAGTAAGATGTATATATTCAGTGCTCAGTAACTCAGTATATTAATATGTAACCTGTCTTATGTACATATGGGTTTTTCACTGAATCACTACCACTACCATCATTAGGCACCATCACTAGCACCATTACTATCAACACATATAGACCACCAAAATATTGGTCTAATATATAATTGTGAACATAAGTCAAGAGGTTGAGACACTCTGATAATCTAGCTCCCAACTGTTTTCACTGTTTTCCATTTTCAACCAGCTTCCATATTCCAAAACTATTGAGTAGCCAGTGTTTGTTTTTTTATTCCCATTCCCTCTACATTATAGCTAAAGCATGAATGAACAGAATTCATGGTCTGTTTTAGACCCAGGGAAAAAAATGTTGTGACATAGGGTAATAAAGTTGAGGCAGAGTCTTTTGAACCTCAAACTAGGGTGCGGGGGTCACAGTCAAGCAAAAGCCTCTGAGTAGTTGCCCAAATCAACTGTCATGGTCTGGAACTGTTTTAGAGGACAGAAATGAGCTTGGAGCTCAGAGCCTTACACAGCAGGTCTCAGGCAATGGTAGCTACATCTTTCTGGATGATTTTGATAATTTGCTACCATCAGATAGCCACCACAGATACCCACTTATAAAAACAATAAACCAGTTGTTATACACATTCCATTCACAACAAGGAATTCTTTTGTTTCCCACACACCTGTGGGGTCAATGACTATACACTCAACTAAACCATAGGATTTCATACTAACCAAATAGAATGACACAATTACACAATTAGCACTAGGCTTTAAATAATTTAAAAGGTCCCACATTCTGAAATAACTTCCTCAGGCCCCAGTACTTTACGCCTCTATCTTTCACTCTCACTGATGGTTGAGCAGAACATTCCTACCTGATGGAGATGTCCAAGGAAAGCCTGCGCCTGGGCTGTTGAGATTGCTCCTCCTACAGGCACAGGCTGCTTCTGAAAGTCCAGACCATTGGTTTGTGTGCCTAGAAAGCAAGCAAAATAATTTCAACTATTAAAAGAAATAAATGAAATAAAGCACTAGATTTCAGTTACCAACATTCATCAGGCACCTATTTTGCATAAGTACTTTTCTAAGTACCTCCAAGGAGAAGGGATTCAAAAGAAAGGAAACAGTAAACTGGTTTATCTTCTAAAAGCAGGACTGCATGACAAGTACACAAACACTGATAAAGCTTAAGAAACAGAAACAAAAATATAAATAATAAATTACAATCATAAGATGGTATGTGAAAATTCAGATGTGAATGCAGCAACTGGAGCAGCTAGCACAGGAACAGAGTTCAAAGACACCCTGAGGCTCTCTTCTATTTTTCAGCCTACTTGATATGTGGCTTAGACAGAAGAAATTCACTGGCGACTTTGCCAAGAGCAAGAAAGACTTATTATTAACTCTGAACACTTTAATGAATAGCAATCTGATGGCAAAAAGCAACCTTCTCCATGATAAGCATAAAGAAAACAATAGCTGTACTAATTCCTTTAATCCTAAACAACAGATTGCTGCATGTATCTCATTAGCAAGGGCCCTGCTGTAATTATATTTTTCAAAATGTTATGCGAGGCTGGGTGTAATGGCTTATGCCTGTAAACCCAGCACTTTGGGAGGCCAAGGTGGGTAGATGGCTTGAGCTCATGAGTTCGAGGTCAGCTTGGGCAGCATGGTGAAACCCTGTCTCTATAAAAAATCGGCCAGGTGTGTGGTGGTGTGCGCCTGAAGTCCCAGCTACTCCAGAGGCTGAGGGAGAATGGCTTGAGCCCAGGAGGTGGAGGTTGCAGTGAGCCGAGATCACGCCACTGCACTCCAGCCTGGGTAATAGAGCTAAAACTTGTCTCAAAAAAAAAAAAAAGAAAGAAAGAAAGAAAAAAAAATGTTATGCAAGAGCTTTTTTTTTTTTTTTTTGAGACGGAGCTCGCTCTGTCGCCCAGGCTGGAGTGCAGTGGCGGGATCTCGGCTCACTGCAAGCTCCGCCTCCCGGGTTCACGCCATTCTCCTGCCTCAGCCTCCCAAGTAGCTGGGACTACAGGCGCCCGCCACTACGCCCGGCTAATTTTTTGTATTTTTAGTAGAGACGGGGTTTCACCGTTATAGCCGGGATGGTCTCGATCTCCTGACCTCGTGATCCGCCCGCCTCGGCCTCCCAAAGTGCTGGGATTACAGGCGTGAGCCATGCAAGAGCTTTTTAACCACTTCTGCTGTGATCTGATATTAGAATAGGGCTAATTTATGGAAAGACATGCCACCCTAACACCCAGAAATATTTTCTAAGGGATTATAATACATTGTTTTCAAATTACTATATCCAGTTATTATTTTAAAAAGCCAGAACATTATGTACTGAATAAAATATAATAGGCCACAGGAATCTCTAAGAATTGTCTAGACCATGGATATGGTTCTACACTTCCATTTCCTACCACTCAAACATCCCATTCTTCCCATCCTTACACTTACATGTGCACACACATCCAGAGCAAACCAGTCAGAAGAGCACAAAGTTAGAACCTTACAGCAGTGTTTGTAAGACAGTGCTAACGTCTGCCAATATACACATCCTAATTTCTGGCAGATGTATTACTTAAATAAGAATGAATAATTAGGTATAGAACATGAAGCAGAGCCCTATTTGTTTCCTTGAGATAATTATAAAAGATATGTATGAATATTTCACTTTCTAAAAATCATAAAATCGCTTCTATTTTTTCCTAAAGTCTTCCACAAATAGAAAACTACAGAACTACTTAGACATATACAGTTAGTAAAATTAAGAATGCATGCTTGTGTCAAGTAATTGAAAACTTGCGTGAAAATAAAATGTAATTAGAATCACCTCCTTTATTTTTTATTTTTTTCCACAACGAGACATTCTAGTCAAGTAAGTAGTCACTTCCATAAGCCACATGTAGAAGTTTCACTATTTTAAAGTCATGCGTTTTGTCATTAGTTGTTATCTCTATCTCTATGCAGGATATCAGTCCCTTTGTGGAGATTTTAAGATAGTACAGCATTATATTATTTTGTCAATCATACCTCAATAAAACTGGAGGAAAAAGAGACTGTTCACCATTAGAGAAACATGCTCAAGATATATTAAATAAATCAACAAGACTAAAAGAATATGAGATTTTGAAAAACCGAGACAAGCACTTAAAAGATTAACACACTACTAATAGGAGGTCTTCCAGAACCAAATATTCCACTCTCATGGAGTTTGTGAAAATTCTATATACTGGTTCCACTTTCAAGTTGCCATAAAAATGCTATCAAAGCTTCTTATAAGTCACAAAGCACTAAGTAACAGAGACATTGATGTCTAGTATCCCTGGTACAATGGTCTACTGGTAATAGTATTTAAGTGCCCTGGTTCTGCCTTGGGGGGGAGGAGGAGCTGAAGGCATGGTCTCTGTATTGTAAAATGTTCTTACATTTTTAATGTATTATGATATTTTGACATCATAAAAACCTTTCTGGCTGGGGAGAGACTGCCCCTCCCAGGTTTAGTCAATTCTTGGAGACAGCAAAGGGCCCAGTCAGGAGCATGTCTTTGATACACAAACTAACCAATCTAGAGCTATACTTCCTCAATCAGACTCTACAGGCAATATTCTGCCTTCATCCTAGGGCCAGGTACTGGGCAACTAGAGACGACCCCTAGGTGGTCCCAAAGCCCTCTAAAATTATTCAAATTAGCCAATCCTAAACTGTTTACTCTGTCCTGACTTTCCCACAGAAACCCCAACAAAAGTAGTGGCCTAGAGCCAGTGGGTAGCTTTCCCCTCTAATTCCAGCTACTCAGAGGCTGAGGCAGGAAGGATCCTTTGAGCCTAGGAGCTCGAGGCTGCAACCAGCTACGATCATGCCACTGCAAAAAGGTGATGGCCTAACTATTCCCCTTTAGAAACTCCAGCAAAGGTAGTGGCCTAAACCTTCCACTCACTCCTATATTCTGCCTCCTCACCACTCTGGTGTCTTCCCCATGTGACCCTGCATGGTGTGCTGTGCCTCCTGTCTCTAGGACCTGTGAGTATAATAAACTTTGTTTTCCTGAGCTTTTCTTATGTCACCTATTGTGGCCACACTGGACTAACCACCTCATAACAGAATACAAAACAGTATTCAAAGGTAGTAAGGTAAAAAGAATACTCTTAGACAACTACTCAGATAAATAGAGGAATTTAAGGTGCTAAGGTAGGTTAACCTCTTTTACTGTGGCAACTGAGGCTCCACTGGGAGGTGAGAAGTAGAAGAAAGTAGTTATTACATGGAAATCATTCTTGTAAAACATAAAGACCTAAATTGGACTACAAGGAAAGGAGAGAGAAACAGATACACACACACATACCCCAACTGGAAGTTAAGTATGAGCTAGAAATGTGGAGGTAGGTACATTGCGGGCCAAAACCAAATAGCACTTGGTTTTGTGTGCCTGGGAGAAAAGGAGCACCCTACATTAGGAGACATAATAGGAGCACCTACATTAGGAGACATGAAGACACAGAGAAACAGAAGGAGCAGTTGGAAAAGTAGAAAAAAAACCATTCAAGATTAGTGTGTTTACAGAAATCCTGAACAGATCAATAATGAGTAATTAAACGAAATCAGTAATGAAAAACTTAACCAAAAAATCCCTGGACCAGATAGATTCACAGCCAAATTTTACCAGCCGTACAAGGAAGAGCTCGTACCAATTCTACTGAAACTATCCCCCAAAAATCAAGTAGGAGGAACTCCTCCCTAACTTCTTCTATGAAAGCAGCATCATCTTGATACCTAAATCTGGCAATGATACAACAAAAAAAGGAAACTACAGGCCAACATCCAGATGAACATAGATGCGAAAATCCTCAAAAAATATTAGTAATCCAAATCCAGCAGCACATCAAAAAGTCAATTCCCCATGATCAAGTGGGCTTTATTTCTGGGATGTAAGGGTGGTTCAACATATACAAATCAGTACGTGATTAACTACACAAACAGAATTAAAACAAAAACCATATGATCATCACAATAGAACCAGAAAAAAGCATTCAATAAAATCTAACATCCCTTTATAATAAAAACTCCTAATAAACTAGGCATTGAAGGAACATACCTCAAAATAATAAGAGCCATCTATGATAAACTCATAGCCAATATCATATGGAACAGTCAAAAGTTGAAAGCATTTCCCCTAAGAACAAGGCAAGGATGTCCACTCTCACCACTGCTATTCAACATAGTACTGAAAGTCCTTGCCAGAGCAATCAGGCAAGAGAAACAAATAAACAGCATCTAAATAGGAAAAGCAGAAGTAAAATTATATAAAGATTCTGCTCAAAGACTCCTAGACCTGATAAACCACTTCAGCAGACTCAGGATACGAAATCAATGTACAAAAATCAGTAGCATTCCTATACATGAATAACGTTCAAGTTGAAAACCAAATCAAGAATACAATCCCATTTACGGTAGCCACAAAATTGAAAAAAATAAAAAATAAAATAAAATAAAATAAAACCAGCTAGGAATACATCTAATCAAGGAGGTGAAAGATATCTATGAGTACTATAAAACACTGTTAAAAGAAATCACAGACGACACAAACAAATAGAAAATAATTCCATGAGCGAGGGTTGGAAAAATCAATACCTTTAAAATGTCTATACTGCCCAAAGCAATCTACAGATTCAACACTAGTCTTATCAAATTACCAACATCATTTTTTTTACATAATTAGAAAAAAACTATTCTAAAATTCATATAGAACCAAAAAGAGCCTGAATAGCCAAGGCAATCCTAAACAAAAAAGAATAAAGCCAGAAGCATCACATTACCTGACTTCAAGCTATACTACAAGGCTACTTAATGAAACAGCATGGTACTGGTACAAAAATAGATACACAGACCAATATAACAGAGTAGAGACCTCTAAAATAAAGCCCCACACCTACACCCAACTGATCTTTGACACAGTCAAGAAAAATAAACAATGGGGAACAGGCACCCTATAACGGTGCTGGGAAAACTGGCTGACCATATGCAGAAGAATGAAACTGGACCGCTACGTCTCACTATATACAAAAATTAACTCAAGATGGATTAAATACTTCCATGTAAGACCACAAACTGTAAAAACCCCAGAAGAAAACCTAGGAGATACTCTTGTAAACATTGGCCTAAGCAAAGAATTTATGACTAACTACTCAAAAGCAAACGCAACAAAAATAAAAACAGACAACTTGGATTTAATTAAACTAAAGAGACAGGACTGAGGAGATAGGTACACTGAGGGCCAAAACCAACTATCAAAAGAAACTATCAACAGAATAAACAACCTACAGAATAGGAGAAAATATTAGCAAACTGTGCATCCAAAAAAGGACTAATATCCAAAATCTATAAGGAACTTAAATCAACAAGAAAAAAAACTTCATTAAAAAGCAGGCAAAGACAGACACGTCTCAAAAGAAGACATACAAGCAAGTCAACAAACATGAAAAAATGCTCAACATCACTAATCATCAGAAATACAAATCAAAATAACAATGAGATACCATCTCACACTAGGCAGACTATTATTAAAAAGTAAAAAAAAAAAAAACAAACCCACAAATGTTGACAAAGCTGAAAAAAAAAAAACCACGTACACACTGTTGGTAGGAATGCAAATTAGTTCAGTCCCTGTGGAAAGCAGTTTGGCAATTTCTCAAAGAACTAAAAACAGAATTACCATTCAACCTAGCAATCCCATTACTGGATATATACCCAAAGAAAAATAAATCGTTCTACCCAAAAGACACCTGCATTTGCATGTTTATCACAGCACTATTCACAACAGCAGAGACATGGAATCAACCCAAGTGCCCAAAACAGTGGATTAGATAAAGAAAATATGGTACATATGCACCGTGGAATACTATGCAGCCATAAACAGAACAAAATCCATGCAGTAATACGGATGCAGCTGGAGGCCATTTTCCTAAGTGAATTAACACAGGAACAGAAAACCAAATACCACATATTCTCACATTTAAGTGGGAGTTAAACACATAAGACACAAAGACAGAAACAGAAACTAGGGATTCCAAAAGGGGGAAGGGAAGGAGAAGGCAAGGGCTGAAAAACTACCTACGGTACTAGGTTTGCTACTTGGGTGACAGAATCATTAGAATCCCAAACCTCAGCATCAGGCGATATACCCATGTAACAAACCTGTGCATTTACCCCCTACATCTAAAACAAAAATAGTTTTTTTTTTTTTAAAAAAAGTCTAGTGTGTTTCAGGAGCCAGGGATGAGAAAGCTACAAGGATGGAGTGGTTTAATACTATTAAATGGTACAGAGAAGATAAGGATAAGAGCACTGAGAAATAAATAAATCCAAAGAAAATAGAGGGAAAGGTAATAATAAAGGTAAGACCAATAATGAATACCATTAAAAAAAACTTCCACATAATAGAAACACCAACTTGGTTCTTTCAAAAGAATCTTGTCACTTTGTAACGTATAAACTTCTGGTAAGATGGAACAAGAAAATAAGAGAGAAGGAGCAAACAAACAATTTAAGTGTAACAAAAAGGCCTATCAAAAACTGCTGCAGGTCAGGTGCAGTAGCTCAAGCCTGTATCCCAGCACTCTAGACAGGCTGAAGCAGAAGAATTACTTGAGGCCAGGAGTTCAAGACCAGCCTGAGCAGCACAGTCAGAACCTGTCTCAAAAAAAAAAAAAAAAAAAAAGCTGCAGATAATAAAAAGATTAAGAATATATTGTGAAGCGTTTCATGTCAATACAATTAAAACTTAAAAATGAATAACTCTATAGAAAATATAATTTATCAAGACTGACTCAAGAAGAAATAGAAAATCCATAGAGTCCCACAGCATTTAAGGAAACTGAATTAGTAGGTAAGTAAAAATCTTCCCAAGAGAATAAAAAGCCTTGTTGATTTTACCCAAGTGCTTCCAAAAATTCAAGGAACAAATAATTCTAATCCTCCACAAACGTTTCCAGAGAACAACAAAACCAGAAACACTTCTAACTCATTTTATGAGACCAGCATAACCTCGATACCATAACCTGATAAAGTGTGAAAAATATAAATACAAGCCAGTTTCATTCATAAACATATATGAAAAAATACTAAATAATAATAGCAAACCTAATCTACTAATATAAAATATTATGGCTAAGGTAGATCTAGGGAGTCTGAGGCAGGAGAATCACTTGAACCTGGGAAGCAGAGGTTGCAGTGAGCCGAGATCGCGCCACTGCACTCCTGCCTGGGCAACAAGAGCGAAACACCGTCTCAAAAAAAAAAAAAAAAAAAAAAAGAAAAGAAAAAAGATCAATTAGGCCAGATGCGGTGGCTCATGCCTGTAATCCCAGCACTTTGGAAGGTCGAGACAGGCAGATCACGAGGTCAAGAGATCGAGACCATCCTGGCCAACACGGTGAAACCCCATCTCTACTAAAAATACAAAAATTAGCTGGGTGTAGTGATGTGCGCCTGTAGTCCCAGCTATTCAGGAGGCTGAGGCAGGGGGATTGCTTGAACCCAGGAAGCGGAGGTTGCAATGAGCCGAGATAGCGCCATTGCACTCCAGCCTGAAGACAGAGTGAGACTCTGTCTCAAAAAAAAAAAAAAAAAAAAATCAATTAATAAGATTCACCAAGTTCAATAAAGGGCGGGGTGGAATCATATAGAAATCTCAAAAGATGCATAAAACTCTTAGACAAATACAATATCCACTTATGATAAAAATTCTTGGCATAAGGACTGGGTGTGCTGGCTCACACCTGTAATCCTAGCATTTTGGGAGGCTGAGGCAGGTGGATTATTTGAGCTCTGGAGTTTGAGATGAGCCTGGGCAACATGATGAAACCCCATCTCTACCAAAAATACCAAAATCAGCCAGGCGTGATGGTGCACACCTGTAGTCCCAGCAACTTGGGCTGAGAGGGGAAGGACTGCTTGAACCCAGAAGGTTGAGGCCGCAGTGAGCCCACGTCACACCACTACACTCCTGCCTGGGGAACAAAGTGAGACCCCGTCTCACAAAGAAGCGGGGGGGGGTGGGGGGGGGGTGGGGGGGGAGGCGTGGGGGAGGGGGGGCAATCTTGGCATAGGAATACAAGTTTCTTTAACTTGATAAAGAATAAGCATTAAAATAAATAAACATCATAGTTTATGGTGAAAAATTAAAAGCATTTCCTTTAAGATTAAGAAGAAGATAAGGGGGCCAGTTACTGTTACAATAGGTAGACAGGCATGAGCAGGGCAGAGGGCTCTTCCCTTGCCCACTAGGAATGTCGGGTGATGGTCTGGCAGTTTTCATATTGCCTAAGTGATAAATTGGCAGCCGGCTTCAGGGAAAGGCCATTTCCTAATGGTCCACACCTGTTGTGCTAAAGTGTTAATTGAAGGCAGGGACCAGGGAGAAGTAATTTCTTGAGCATGTGCATTAAGAGACAAAATGGCGGAATATGACCTTCTGGGGGCACACCACCAGAAAAGGGAAGAAAACCTCAGATGGGCATGTCTACAACTTCCTAAACACACTGCGCCTGCTCACCTCCCAAGGGTAAGGAGGGCACTACACATGTGGGCAGCCCACCTCAAGGGAAGAATCATGGGAAAGGGGCCAGCCTATAAAGTCCCAGGATCAAGGTTAAACACTGCACTTGACCTCGGTGCCTGCTTGGGACTCTTCTAAGTGTACTTTCCTTTCTTTCCTGTTCTAAAGCCTTTGTAAGTAAACTTCCACCCATGCTCTGAAACTTGCCTTGGTCTCTTCTGCTGCCTTATGCCCCTCAGTCGAATTCTTTCTTCTGAGGAGGCAAGAATTGAAGTTGCTGCAGACCCGTATATATTTGCCGCCAGTGACTCAAATACCTTCTACCGGTAACACATTTGATGCTGTGAAACTTGGATATTTGCCACTGGTAACACTACTACTACTTCTATCATACTCCAAGGCCTATCCAGCAAAACAAGACAAAAAAGAAAACATCTGAGTTGGAAAAAACAAAATAAAACCCTTTGCAGGTGATTTGTGTGTACAGAATGTTCTAAGGAATCTAATAATTTATTATTAGAATAAGAGAGTTTAATGAGGATGCAGCACACAAAATCTACTTTAAAACTGCCTTTGTGGCCAGGCAGGGTGGCTCACGCCTGTAATCCTAGCAGGCGTGAGCCAGGGCGGGCAGATCCCTTGAGCCCAGGAGTAGAGACCAGCCTGGGCAACATGGTGAAACCCCGCCTCTACAAGAAAAAAAAAAAAAAAAAAGAAAAAGAAAAATTAGCTAGGCGTGGTGGGACGTGCCTATAGTCCCAGCTACTTAGTAACAGTATAGTCCCAGTACTAAGTAACATACTTAGGAGGCTGAGGTGGGAGGATCACCTGATCTGAGGGAAGTCGAGGCTGCAGTGAGCCATGATCCTGCCACTGCACTCCAGTGTGGGCAACAAAGTGAGACCCTGTCTCAAAAAATAATAATAATAATAAAATTGTCTTTGTATATTCCAAATGAAAACAATTTTTAAAGATTTTATTTATAAACACTTAAAAGATACAAAGTCCTGAAAATAAATCTATCAAAATACAGCAAGTTCCATAGGCAGAAAATTATAAAACTTTATTTAAAAACAAAGACATGGCTGGGCATGGAGGCTCGCACTTATAATCCCAGAGATTTGAGAGGTGGGAGGATCGCTTAAGGCCAGGAGTTTGACACCAGCTTGAGCAACATAGTGAAAAAAAATAGTAATTAAAAATGTGCAGTTATTATAGTATGCCAGTTGTATAGACAGATGCCAGCTCAATATTGTAAAAATGTCAGTTCTCCCCAAACTGACCTATGGATTCAAAGTAAATTCATATGAAAATCTCAATAAATTATTTTCTCTCTGTCTTTTTTTTGGAGCAGAGGGGTAGAACTTAACAAGTTGATTCTAAAATTTACATAGAATGGCATGGGGCCAAGATGTTCTTTAAAACATGGAGACGTGGATTATCAAGATATTAACATTTAGAGAGCAATAATAATTGAGGCAGTGTGGTATTAGCATAGGGATCAACACATATACCAGTGCAGAGTCTAGAGACAGAGGTACACACACCTATGAACACTTGAAACATGACAGAGGTGAGGAAGGGATGAAAGATGACAGATCAATGAGGAAAGGGTGGAGTTTTTAATAAAGGGGTAGCTGGGTATCTATTTAAAAAACAAAAAACAAAAAACTAGACACATTACACTATACTAAAAAAAAAAAAAGAAAGAAAAATGAAAATTTCAGAAGGATTAAAAGCCAAAATGTGAAATGCAAAACTATAACATTCTTAGAAGATAACATAAAAGAATATCATTCTAACCTTGGGAAAGTGAAGAATTTCTTTATCAAGAACCAAAAGATGAAAACACATAAATTTAACTACTTTAAAATTAAAAGCTCATCAAAGGGCTACATAAAGTGAATTGAAAAAAGAAAATATTTACAATCCATACAAACAACAAAGGATTAGTATTCAGAATACACAAAGAACTCCTATGAGTCAATAAGAAAAAGTCAACCCAACAGAAAAAATAGGCAAGATAAATGAACAGGAATTTAACAAAGGAAGAAACACAGATGGCCCATAAACACAGGAAAAGATGTTCAATCTGCTTGGAAACTATGGAAATGCAAATTAAAACCCCAATGAGATACCATTTTACACCTGATAAATTGGCTAAAATTGCAAAGTCGGTTAATCCCAGTTGCTATTAGTAGCAGTATAAACCAGTACAAATGCTCTGGAAAACTGGCTGGCAGTACTAAGTAACATTAGAACAAGTTCAGCAATAACACTATTAAGAAAATACTCTGGGTACTCACACCTGTAATCCCAGCACTTCAGGAGGCCGAGACGGGCAGATCACCTGAGGTCAGGAGTCTGAGACCAGCCTGGCCAACATGGTGAAACCCCGTCTTTACTAAAAATATAAAAATCAGCTGAGCGTGGTGGAGGGTGCTTGTAATCCCAGCCACTAGGGAGGCTGAGGCAGGAGAATTGCTTGAACCCGGGAGGCCGAGGTTGCAGTGAGCTGAGATTGTGCCACTGCACTCCAGCCTGGGTGACAGAGTGAGACTCTGTCAAAAAATAAATAAATAAATAAAAATAAAGAAAATACTCTGGGGACTTTTTCACAATATGTATCAAGAGATAAGTACAAAGTCATTTATAGCCATATTATTTGTAATAGCAAAAGCCTAGAAATAACCCAAATGTCCATCAATAATGGAATAAACAAACATTCTAATGTAGTCATACAATGGGATATTATATCCAGTGAAAATGAATTATAGGTATATGTACTAACATGGATGAATCTCAAACACATAATGTTGAGCAAAAGAAATCAGTAATAAAATATCCATGGTACAGTATAATTCAATTTCATTATGGAAACAGGCAAATCTAAGTAATGTGTTATTTGAGGATAAATATGTAGATGGAAAAATATTTTGAGTGAAAAGCAATGTCACCATTAACGCTAACTTCGGGATAGTGGTTATTTTTGTGGTAGAAAAATGGAATATGTTCAGGGTGGGCCTACAGAAGCCTTCTGAGGAATGGTAACATTCTACTTTATGGCCACAGTGGTAGATATGAGTACTTAAACGCTACATTCATGTTTACATACAAGTTTTTACAATTACTTTTGCATAAAATCGTAAAAGAATCAACAATAAAAAAAAGTGCAACAAAATTCTGGGTACACATCCAGATTGCAAGGAATAAAGGCAAAAGCAGGTAATAATGAAGCCAAGGTGGTGAGTGATGATCGTTTCTTTCATAAGTCAGGTACTGGCGGGACAGCGTGAGGATGATAATTCAAAGGGGCAGATAGGGTGGAAGGAAAGACTTGAGGTTGATAAAACCTGAGCAAACTTAAAAGACTGAAAGAGTCTGTGGAAGGGATATGCTGAAAAGGTAAGAACAATAGCGGTTGAAAGATAGGGCAGAAACCTGAAGGGTACGAGAAGACAATTCAAATAATGGAGGCGGTGGGGGTAAAGAGAGATATTTCTTTGTCAGATGCAAAAAAAAAAAAAAGGAGAAGGTAGGTAAAAACAGAAAAATGTAAAGTATTGAAGAGGGAGGTGGTGAGGCTCAAATCAGACAGCTACAATTTTTTCAGTAATCAAAAGGCAGATATTTTCAGAAAACGAAAGAGCAAAACAGAAATAGAGAAGACTGGAAATATGCAATGAAAAATGTGACAGGGAATAAATTAGAGGTGAATCCAAGGTTAGCACCAGTGACAGTGAAGACCCAGCTGAGAGACAGTTGGATTTATATTAAGTTCAAGCACTGGAGAGTCCTCATCTCCCAGAAAGTTCTGTTTTTCTCTTCATAGCCAGCAGTCAAGGATCAAATAGGCAAAGGTTTCTTCCCTTCATGAACAGTTCATATTACTCAGCTTTGCACAGGATTCAGGCATTTAAATGTCTTTCAGCGCTCAGCTCAAATGCTATTTTCTTTCATGTTTCCCATCTCTCTAACCCAAAAGCAATAATCTATACCTTCTTACTACGAAAACACATTTGGTACTTCCTCAACATTTTGTGGGAGTGAGGGAAGAAATAAAATTGAGCTAAAGTACATATGACACAGATGAATATGAATCTCAAGCCCGCTATACTAAGTAAAAGCAGCCAGATTCAAAGGGTACATCCACATGATTCTATTTATTTCATATTTTGGAAATGGTAAAGCTGAAAGGGACATTAAAAAGAACTAATCAAGCTCCTTGTTTTACAAATAAGAAATTTTTTCTAATATACAGAAATACTTCCACTGAAATAACCAAGCTGGATAGTAATTGAGCTCAGACTGAAATTCCGAGCCTTCCACCGATTTGTCTAGCACCCCTGCCTCAACTCTCTCCCAATTGCCCTTTCTACTAAACCATCCAATGACGAAGGACTCCAATTCAATGCTCATTCACAAATATTAGCTAAGTGACAAATCAGTAATTGAGGCCATGATCAGGCTCATAAGGGGACATAAGATGACAAAGTAGTAGAATTCTGGCCTTTGCTATCTATCTCACAGCTAGCTACTTCAACTACATTTCTTTTACATTAAAATAAAGTTTTTAAAAAGGAATCAAATCAAATTTTATAGCCCACAAGAAATATTACATTTTATAAAGGACAACTTTGTCAAAAAACGTCTTCAAATAGGAAATGCATCAAAATGTTAATAGTGAATACATTATTCTGTATTTTTCAAATTCTCTACCATGATGAGTATTACCATTAAGTTGTGATAACAGCTTTAATTTTTATTGCTAAAATTTTCCTAAAATGGGCATCCTTTCAATTTATCCTTCAATGTCATCTCCAAAGCAATCAGTCTCCAGTCTCTTAAAAGAGACACACTTCTGCTGTTTGAATTCTGCCCAGGTGTGCATCTATTTTTGCGGTGGGAGGACAGTCCTCTCCTTTATCCTATTCCTGTTGTCATTTTTCCACAAATGAGAATGGAAATCTATATCCTATGAACATTAATTTTAAAATGTATAAATGAGAGAGGAAACATTACACATTAGGGAAAGAAGGAGAAAAGAAGAGGTGGGAGGGAGGAGAGGAGAGTCAGGGAGAAAGCTAAGGTGAAACCCTCAAATAGGATGAAAATGCAGATATCCTTCACCCTCCTCTCTAGCTCTGAAAATCCTAGTCATTATGAAATATCCAGCCTGGAATCTACTTCCTTCAAGAAGACTTTAAGGGCCAGCCTAATTATAAATAATATTTCCAAAATCTTAACTCCTATAAAATCTAGTTTTCCTTAGGACGTTTAATCATTACTTAAGATATAACATTAATAGTTTCTTTTCTTTTTTTTCTTTCTTTCTTTTTTTTTTTTTTTTTTTTTTTTGAGATGGTGCTTCATTCTTCCTGACCAGGCTGGAGTGCAGTGGCGCGATCTCGGCTCACTGCAACCCTGCGCCTCCCAGGTTCAAGTGATTCTCCTGCCTCAGCCTCCCAAGTAGTTGGGATTACAGGCATGTGCCACCATACCCAGCTAATTTTGTTTGTTTTGAGACAGAGTTTCGCTCTTGTTGCCCAAGTTGGAATGCAAGTGGCACAGTTTCAGCTCACTGCAACTTCCGTCTCCCTGGTTCAAGCGATTCTCCTGTCTCAGCTTCCTGAGGAGCTGAGATTACAGGCACGTGCCACCACACCCAGCTAATTTTTTGTATTTTTAGTAGGGATGGGGTTTCACCATGTCGGCCAGGCTGGTCTAGAACTCCTGACCTTAGGTGATCCACCCACCTCAGCCTCCCAAAGTGCTTGGATTACAGGTGTGAGCCACCATGACTGGCCAACATTAATAGTTTCAAAACAGATCAACCTTTTGAGCCCAGAAATTAAAACACAGATAATACTTTTTTTTTTGAGATGGAGTTTCGCTTTTGTTGCCCAGGCTGGAGTGCAATGGCATGATCTCGGCTGACTGCAACCTTGGCCTCCCGGGTTCAAGCGATTCTCCTGTCTCAGCCTCCCTAGTAGCTGGGATTACAGGCATGCGCCACCACGCCTGGCTAATTTTGTATTTTTAGTAGAGATGGGGTTTCTCCATGTTGGTCAGGCTGGTCTCGAACTCCCGACCTCAGGTGATCTGCCCGCCTCAGCCTCCTGAAGTGCTGGGATTATAGGCATGAGCCACCGTGCCCAGCCTAACACAGATAATACATTTTCTTTTCTTTTTTTTTTTTTTTTTGAGATGGAGTCTTGCTCTGTCGCCCAGGCTGAAGTGCAGTGGCAAGATCTTGGCTCACTGCAACCTCCACCTCTCAGGTTCAAGCAATTCTCCTGCCTCATCTGTTCAGGACCTAGCTACATCTGAAGGAAATCATGACACTTTAAAGAGAAAAAAAATCTGTCTTTTGCAATGTCAGTTCCCCATGTTCTTTAGCTAAATGCATGGAAATACATTTGTTACTATAGGTCTCAGACTAAGTATCAGAATCACACAGACGACAAAATAGAATTAAATCAGAGTAAGAAAGTTGGTTGCAGAGAACTGAGTTTTCTGGAACCCTGGAAAATATTTGTAAATAGCCCATTTCCAACAAAAGAACAAAAAAGATTCATTCTCAACGGAGACCAAAATCCTGAATATGTAAAAAGGCAAGGTACTCTTTTTATTCTCTCATCTGATATGATCCTACTTGCAGGGGGCAAGGGAAACTACATTAAGTATAGTACACCTGTTCTGAAATGACTTTGCCTCCCAATAATACTTAGTATCATTGGCTTATTGGGAACTTAATCTAACTTGATGTGTATGTAATCTTTTCTTATTAATCAAAACTCACCTGAAACCCTATACAACCTTTATTTTTAATCTACTCCAAAGCAATGATTACTTTGAAATATGAATATAAAAATATTCAGCTGTTTTCTTAAATCTTAGCCAACTGATGTGTTCATGTTTACAGTTCAGTAGAAATTTCTCTTCCCTTGAATGAACAGTTTTACCTTTATAAGAAATGGCTTTAGATAAAATTATTACGCCCATATACACAAGACTATGACTGAATCATCTCCTATTTTGAATGAAACAATTATTTTTGCTTATGTGCATTTTCTATTTTTATATAATTATTTAGGAACAAACAAAAACAACAACAAATGAGAACCAGGAATATCACATAGCAAAAGATCCTGCTGTAAAAATAAATGCTGTATTCAATAAATATTTATTGAGAATTGATATTCCAGATGCTGAGGTTATAAAAATGAATACACCACAGTCACTGCTCTTAAGTAGTTCTCAGGCCTATTCATTAACTGATTAATTCATTCAAAAAATACGTATTGAGCATATACTGTATAGCAAGCACTGTTCCAGGTGTCAGAGATGCAGCAGTGGAGAGACAAAAATAATGTCCTTCGTGGAGCTTACATTCTAGTTGGGAAATAGATAATAAAAATGAAAAAATATTGAATATCAGATACAAATAAATGCTATGGAAAAATAAAGAGGAAAAGGGATAGCGAGTCTGGCCGGGGTGCACAAGTAATGCATTTATGAATTCCATATTCATAAAAATATATATACAATGTGGAAAGTATAAAACAGATACCACATAGGCTACTGACAAGAACATTAAAAGAAGACTTTAAGGGGAAAGGGAGAAGGCAAGGTCAGGGAAGCTTCCTGGAGACAACATTTCAGATGAATCTTAAGAGGATGAGATGGAATTAATTGGAAAAGGTTGAGTGAGGGAAGAAAATACCAAGCATTTCTATACCAAAAGTAGAAGACACCGTGGCCACGTTAAAAAATAAAATCTAAGAATTTTAACAATTTTAAATACCCTGTTAGGTCCTAGGGTTACAAAGTCATATTCCCATACTACAAGGAGCTCACAGTTAGGTTTGGGTGGCAGACAAGTAAATAAGTAATACAAAAGACAAGCACTATTAAAAAAAATAAGATATCTATGAAAAGTGGTATCTAAAAAAAGTGGAAGGTAGAACACAAAAAAGAATAAGGTACTGTCACTGTCCTCAAGCCATGCAAAGCAGAGCACTTACTTGCTCTTAGAAAGGTACAAAGAGTTTTGAGAGGTTTAGTGTGGCTAAGATGTAGGAGAGATGAGGTGATACAGGTAGTTCAGGGTAAGAGAGCAAGGCACAAACAACCAAGGTGACAAGTCAAACATCTAACTGCCTTAGATGTAAACACAATTTATTATTGCCCATTCTCATCTCATTATTACAAGATATTTTGACTATAAGATAGAGGAAAATACACAAAAACATTGGAAAAAAGGAGGAGGTTTCAGTTATTATTATTTCCTGGGGAAAATGAATGAAGAGTTGCCACTTTTTAAAGTACATTATTTAATCCCATTAAAATGGCTGTAATTTTTTTAAAGAAGAAATAAGTGTTGGCAGGGATGCAGAGAAATTGGAATCCTTGTACATTGATTGTGGAAATATAAAATGGTTCAGCTGCTATGGAAAAAAGTTTGGCGGTAATTCTATGTTTAACTATTTGAAGGACCATCAAAAAGTGGACCCAGCAACTTCACTGCTAGACATACAGTCACGTACCATATAAAGACATTTCCATCAGCAACAATAGAACCATGATTATAATACCCTATTTTTACTGTACCTTTTCTATGTTTAGATACACAAATACCACTGTGTTACAATTGCATACAGTATTCAGTATACTAACTGTACAGATTTGTAGCCTAGGAGAAACAGGCTATATCATATAGTTTAGGTATGTCATAGGCTATACCATCTTCGTTTGTGAAACATACTCTATGATGTTCATACAATGGTGCATTTCTCAGAATGTATCCCTGACGTTATGCATGACTATATACCCAAAATAAATGAAAACAAGTACTCAAACAAATCCGTGTATATAAATGTTCACAGCAGCATTATTCACAAGAGCCAAAGAGAGTGGAAACAACCCAAATGTCCATCAAGAGACAAAGGGACACCAACAAATTGTGGTATATCCATATAATGGAATACCATTCAGCCATAAAAGGAATGAGTACTGATAATATGCTATTACATGAATGAACCTTGAAAACATTATACTAAGTTAAAGAAGCCATACACAAAAGGTCACATACCATATGATTTCATTTACATGAAATACCTAGAATAGGTAAATTTATAGAGACAAACTATAGGTTGGTGGTTGTCAGGGGCTGGGGAGAGGGGAAAATGGAGAGCAACTACTTAAGGGGTATAGGGTTTCCTTTGGGGGTGATGAAAATGTTTTGGACCTGGATAGATTGGTAGCTGCACAACACTGTGAATACACTAAATGCCACTGAATTGTTCATTTTAAAATAGTTAATTTTATGTTACGCATTTCACCTCAATCTAAAAAAGAAAATAAAAGACTGCAGTTCTGGTATAAATCTGACAGTTTCTGCTCTACTGGCTTACTTTCCTAGAGCAGCCAGCCTCGTCTGTATAAATGGCTGCTTATGATCTGTTATGAAATGCACCCCTGTTAGAAGTGCACATGAAAATAAGATTAACAATTTCTTGAATAAGGGCCTGAGAAATTTTGGAACATGAGTTTGTGAAGGCTATTTTTCATCACCCAGCAGTTATATTTGAGATAGTACTATACTACATGTTAATGTGTAATGAAAATAATATACTACTTCAATTAAACCTACATAATAAAGAGGAAAAATACATTATTCACATATTTCTATTTATAAGTAAATTTAAGGCAGTCAAGGCAAAATTACCAATAGACTAAATTTCCGACACCCTATAGGAAATAATGACAATATCTGTGCCCATCACTACATCACCTTGATAAGCAAGGACAAATTCCAAATGAAGTTCACAGAAAGTCAAGCAACCACAGGACATAAATAATAGCTAAAAGATCTTTTAGGAAAACTTAGCTACTGCTCATTTTTTAGATTGTTTGTGTGGAGAGCGTTTCTTCCATCTGAGCTGCCATAAAATGGGAAGAATCTGGGATAATGGAAATCCTGAAAGAGAATCACTTATCACAGAAACAAAACCACAGAAAGATTCTAAGCCACTACAAAAGTAAGAAGCATAATCAAAATTCATGACACAGAATATCTATAGCAGGGGTCCCCAACTCCTGGGTTGAAGACTGGTGCCAATCTGTGGCCTGCTAGGAACAGGCTGCACAGCAGGAGGTGAGTGGTGGGCAAGATAGCGTTATTGCCTGAGCGCTGCCTCCTGTCAGAGCAGCAGTGGCACTAGATTCTCATAGGCGCGTGAACCGTAATGTGAACAGTGTATGCGAGGGATCTAGGTGGTGCATTCCTTATGAGAATCTAACTAATGACTGATGATGTGAGGTAAAAAACAGTTTTATCCCCCAAACCATCCCCTACTCGCTGTCTGTGGAAAAACTGTCTTCCATGAAACCAGTCACTGGGGCCAAAAAGGTTGGGGGCTGCTGATCTATAGAATGGATAGGTATTACTTATCTGCTAAAAATCTCCACAGTGATTGTACTTGATTGTAATGATTGGATTGTATATCCTTTACTTCCTAAGTAATAATAGTATGTGTATTTTTAAAATTACTTTTATACATCACCTTAGAGATGAATGCATTATCAGTGATGCATGACAAGATTTCTATAGGTGGCTGTTTGCTAAATTGTTAAGTCTATCTGGATGAAAGACTCAGTTAAAACAGGTTTTCATTAACATTATTCTTTTTTTAAAAAAAAATCCAGGGTCTCACTCTGTCACCCAGGCTGGAGTGCAGTGGCGCAATCATGGTTCACTGCAGCCTTGACCTCCTAGACTCAAGCGATCTTCCTCCCTTAGCCTCCCAAGTAGCTGGGACCACAGGCATGTGCCACCATGCCCAGTTAATTTTTTTAAGTTTTTTTTTTTTTTTTTGTAGACATGCGGGTCTCACTATGTTGCCCAGGCTAGTCTTCAACTCCTGGGCTCCAGGAATCCTCATGCCTTGATGTCCCAAAGTGTTGGGATTACAGGTGTGAGCCACTTATTCCAGGCTCTTAACTTTATTCTTAATTGTAGAAAAATAAGTGTCTTATGACTTACCAGCTGTTGAGACTTTTCAAATAACTTAAATATTGAACATAAATGAAATATATTTGAAGACCAAGAAAACCAGAAAGACAGACCTTATTTTAATATCCTAAAATCTTATTAATATTTTTGTTGGTGGAGAAAATTACCAAACATTGACCTTGCTCCATCTCTGTTCTGCCTCTCAACCTAGTCAGAGGCTCCCTTGCTCATCTTTCCCTGTAGGATGTGAGCCAGTTAAACGGTAGCAGCTTCCTGCCTTCCTCAGAAACACAATGAATGCTCTTTACCTTCTGAGTTTATCTGATGTCAGCCTTCCTAACTTGGATTATGACACTTTGCTACAAATCCTGCTGATAGTGTTTATTTTAATCCTAGACTTGTTTATTGCATTCTATTCCCAGTTTTGTTTTCCCTGTATCACAAGGAAATCCCTAATTGACTGTTCCTAATCCTCTCTAGACTGCTTTCTTACATTCCCTTCTACCTGAAAACTTACTATCTGAATCTGTCTTTATCTCCTTTACTCTCCCATTTCTCACCTAAAAAACAACAAAAAAAGGAATCTTCTACTTTAGGCTACTTCAGCCACCACGTGCTCTGAAACCCAACACCTCCCCTCTCCTCAAAAATGGATCCCTGACTCATCTGTTCTTTCTTATTTATTTATTTTACTTTAAGTTCCGGGATACATAGAACATGCAGGCTTGTTACATAAGTACACGTGTACCACGGTGGTTTGCTGCACCTATTGACCCGTCCTCTAAGTTCCCTCCCCTCACCCTCACCCCTGGTATGTGATGTTCCCCTCCCTGTGTCCATGTGTTCCCACTGTTCAACTCCCACTTATGAGTGAGAAAATGTGGTGTTTCGTTTTCTGTTTCTGTGTTAGTTTGCTGAGGATGACGGCTTCCAACTTCATCAATGTCCCTGCAAAGGACACGATCTCATTCCTTTTTATGGCTGCATCATCTGTTCTTTCTTTGCCACTCCCCTCCTACACTGGCTCTTTTCCCTTAGCATCTAAACATATTCAAATTGCTTCACTAGGAGGCCCTTCTAACGTCCCCTCCCATTCTTTCCTTCTCTATCATCCTCCCCTTCCTCCTAATAGATAGCTAACACTGATAGTGAATGGACTGTGCCACATACCTACTTGCTTTCCGTGTATACAACAAGACTATGAGATGGATTATTATTTATCTCCATCTTACAGCTAAGAAAAACTCTAACATGAAAAAAGTAACTTGCCTAAGGTAACACAACTAGCAAGTGAAAGGAGCAAGATATGAATCCATGGGGTTTGATTTCAGGGTCTGAGCTCTTAACCACTATGATACATATATATAGCCCCATATAGAGCTTCCATGAAAAGAGTTGCTTACATTTATCATTCCCTTTACACAACCATTCACTTTCTTAACCACAGCAATTTCTTTCCAAACCACTTAACTAAAATCTTTAAAAGGCCCACAGTAACTAATTGTCAAATTCAAGGGTCACATTTTAAGGCTCCTATGGCAGGACTTGACCACACTAAATGCTAACTCCATGAGCTCACTGGTCTGATTCACATCTGATCTCCATGGTTGTTATTTCTTAGTCTACTTAAGCACTGTCCAATAGAACTTTCTGTGATAATGGAAATGTTCTATTATATGTACTGGCCAATATGGTAGTCACTAACTACACGTGGCTACTGAACACTAGAAATGTGGTTAGTATGATTGAGGAATTGAATTTTTAATTTAATTTAATTTAATTTAAATTTAAAGAGCCACATGCAGTCAGTGTCCATCCTATTCGACAACAAAGGCATGGGCTCCTCTTCCTCTACCAGCCCTTTCAACACCTTAGAAGAGCTCCGTCCTTGGTCCTCTTGGCTGATTCCACTCTCCTCCCCGTAGCATTTCCCTGTTAAAGACTCTTACACCTCTCCTCAGGAACCTATCTCTATCTTCAATTGCCCACATCTTCACCTGCAAGCACCACAAGGCACCCCAAGTACAACATTTTCAGTGCTGAAATGTTTCATCATCTCATTGTCAAGTCTACTCCCCAACAGTACAGTTCCTACTCAGAGAATGCTACCACATCTCTCCCAGCCCCGAGGCAAATACAAGTATTCATTTTAAATTACTCCCTTTCCTTCCTTCAAAAAAAAAAAAAAAAAAAAAAAAAAAAAAAAAAAAAAAAAAAAAAAAAAAAAATTGACCCCTGGCTTCTATTGCCATTGCTCTATGCCAGGATGTTATATAATGGATCTAATTGAAAGAATAATGTAGTCTAGTTTTTGGCTTCAAGCAAGATGTAAAGTATAACATGGCTGGAAAATTCTTTTATACCAAAAATTCTTTAATATCTGTTAGGAAAAAAAATGAAAAAAGTAACATGAAATAAAACTAAGCTGCTCTCTAAGGGAGAAAATTATAGACAATCTCTAATAATCTGTACTGAAAACAGCATTTTAGAAACAAACCCTCTCTTTAATGTTCTCAATTTCTATTAGTAATGAACAAAAATGGATACTACCTTTAAAATTCTAAATTTGTTACTGGGTTACCTCATGGCAAAAAGATCAATTGCTTATTCAGTCATTTAACAAAAGTATAATCTTAATTCAGATGTCACTTCCTATTCGCACAGCTTCAGTAATTATAGCGCCCTTCTCCCCCTTGACCCCCACCCCTGACCTAAAGTTTTAAAATCCCCATGTGCACCAGTGGGCAGAGCCAGGGCAAGTTTCTCAATACGTACTGATCAGAATCTTGTAGAAGCCATATCCTGTAACTGACATCTATTAAATCAAACACTAGAGGGAGGTCTATCTTTCCTACAGGTGTTTGGTATTTGCTTCTAAACCACCAAGATCCTTCACTGAGCTCCTGAGGCTCTCTGGAAATGCTTCAGCCACTTTCAATGACCCACTAATTAAAAATTAGCTATAAAGGTACTCCAAACAAAATTAGTATTTCTACTCTCAGGCTTATAAGAGCAGCTTGGCCAGGGCAGAATGTAGTCTACACAATAAAATATGTAATAAATTTTAAAATAATAATAAAAGCAGTAAGAATATTAAAAATGGCCTCTGGATAAACGTAAGTTCAAAAGGAAAATAATCCTTAAGTGTCTGAAATTTGCAAATGCTCCATTCTGGTTTAACAAGAACTATATTGAGGTCTATTTTGAGGCTTTTCTGGAAAACACTGGTATTTTATCTGGAAATTATTTCCAAAACTAGTGCTGGTTCAAGGCATCAAGTTGTTAAATTACTATGAAGAATAGCAAGTCTATTCACTGGTACCCTGGTCTTTCAGGATTCTTTCTCTTCATCTTGGAGAAAATGATATCTGATCATGCTCTTTTATGAATATAAATGAGCATATAATGTCCTAATACCAGCCATAGCACTAGTAAATCCCAAAGAATTAATAACATCACTGGTTACTAGGAACTTTGGATGACAGTATTTTTGGAATACAAGCCCATAAATATTATTCCAAAAATACTATTGTATTTATGTATATTAGGTTACATTAACAAATTTCTTTTGACTTTTCATTTGCCTGAAATATAGTGATACTATCCTGGGGAAAAATCATTTTGATATGAACAGGAGACAGGGAAATACTGGGTAGAAGAGGGTGGTTCCCCAGCAAAGGCCCCACCCTCAAGCCTGGAAACCCATGGTCCTAAATGGGAACAGGTATTTCTGTTTTTGCGCCCAAAAGTTGCCTTTTGGCCTGCCATACCCCACTATCGTGGCTCCATATAACCCCCAGACCCCAGGCTCCAGAAGACATGAACAGTAGAGCAGAAGAACAGCAGAATGGTGTGGCAGAGAGAAGAGAAGGAATGTCTGAATGTTGAGAGGAATTCGACTGGGGGTGGTCAAAGAGGAAATCAGCTGCTGGATGGCCAAACTCTAGGGGAAGATCATCTTCCCATTCCATTCCCTTTCCAGCTCCCCATCCATCCCGCTAAGAGCCACCTCCACCGCTCAACAAAACCCCTGAATTCATCCTTCAAGTCCATGTGTGACCTGATTCTTCCTGGACGCCGCACAAGGACTTGGGTACCAAGAGGATCACTGAGCTAACACTTAAGCTGTCTGTAGATGGCAAGGCTAAAAGAGTGCACTGAAACATGTGCCCACTTGGGCTTTGGGAGTTGCAGACACCCACCCCTAGACACTATCATGTGGCCAGAGCCCAGAAAGTGCTTACCATAACTCCTGCACCTGCCAGTCTGTGTGCTTCCCTTCCTCTAAGAGGTTTGAGTGTGGGCAGCCAAACATATGAGCCACTCCCTGTCGCATGTCCTGCAAGGGGGGTCAGGGAACTCTCCCCTTTCAATTCAAATGAAAAAAGCAAGTGAAAAAGGACAGGATAGGGAAGCCTTGGATCTATCTATCATAATTCAGATGAAAAAAAGACAGTTAATTGACTGTAAATTCATTACAACAGATGAGTCAGCTGCTTTAAAACAACTTTTCACATTACAAAACAAGTATCAGAAAATCTGATTAAATATATTAACATTTATATTAAAATATATTTAAATATCCTTTTTACCTGCATTATAAAAATAATTATAATAAGCCAATGGTAAGTTTTCAAAGATAATAATAAGCAAAAGGTAATGGTAATGGCTGCAATGAAGTCTGAAGAATTGGAATACTGTCTAATTCTGTGAATGACTAAAAGATAAAAGATCTAGAAATCAGATGACATAATGGAAATCTTTTGAAGGAATTAGAGACATTTAGGACAGATTTCTTCCCCCATCTCAGCTTTGACTGTTTCTTCATGCTGAACATAAATTGCCTAGCATCATCATGATTTAAACCCTACCCAGCCTGTAAGATACAGTTTCAATTCCACCTTCTCCAAAGCCTTCTCTGATCCTCCCAGCTAGAAACACTTTTCCCCTACACTGAATTCTCATGGGTTCACATATACTTCTCATGAATCGTCTCAATTTCTGTTATATTACATTTTCATATATGTTTTCTCTATAAGATAAATTTATTGAGAACAAAATCAGTCTTTTATTCAACTTCACTGATGTTACTTAGTACTGTTATCTTGCGCATCGGAGACAAAAAGAAACAACAGGGCAGGCATGGTGGCTCATGCCTATAATCCCAGCAGGAGGCTGAGGCAGGTGGATCGCTTGATGCCAGGAGTTCAAGATCAGCATGGGCAACATGGTGAAACCCAGTTTCTATTAAAAACACAAAAATTAGCTGGGCGTGGGGGCGCACACCTGTAATCCCGGCTACTTGAGAGGCTGAGGCGGGAGAACTTCATGAATGCAGGAGGTGGAGGTTGCAGTGAGCCGAGATCGTGCCACTACACTCCAGCCTGGGCAACAGAGTGAGACTCTGTCTCCAAAAAAAAAAAAAAAAAGAAAAAAAGAAAAAAGAAACAACATAGCTCAAAGGGTAAAAGAATGGTTCTGGGCTGGGTGCAGTTGCTCACACCTCTAATCCCAGCACTTTGGGAAGCCAAGGTGGGCGGATCACCTGAGGTCAGGAGTTCGAGACCAGCCTGACCAACATGAAGAAACCCCATCTCTACTGAAAATACAAAATTAGTCAGGCATGGTGGTTGCATGCCTGTAATCCCAGCTACTTGGGAGGCTGAGGCAGGAGAATTGCTTGACCTCGGGAGGTGGAGGTTGCAGTGAGCCAGGATCGTGCCATTGCACTCCAGCCTGGGCAACGACAGTGAAATTCCATCTTAAAAAAAGAATGGTTCTGCTCCCCTTTATAGCTATCTGTGTGACCTTCATCAAGTGACTGAACCTCTCTGAGCCTCAACTTCCTTATTTATAAAAAGAGACCCTTATTTATAAAAAGAGAAAAATAATGTTTCATGAGGTTTTTATAAGGATTAAATGAGATAATCTATGTAAAATGTTTAAATCACCCAGTAAATACTTAATCAATGCTAGCCACTATCATCATATTCTAGTACAAATGATTATAACAAATTGTTTTATAATAAATTACTACTTTATAGTAAATTAATTTGTAATAAATTGTCAAATGAATGGAAAAGAGTTAAAATGTGACAATGACTTTCAGAAGAGCTTTAATTTCTTAAAAGATGACAAACTCCTAAGGACAAAATTCAAAAGAATGTAGAAAACAGAGTTGTAATACCAGAGAACAGATAACACTAGAAAGTACTGTGTTCTGTGTCAGTGCATGAACCCAGGCACAGGGCAGATAACCATCTGTCAGGAGTACTGATGAAAGAGGTCTGCCCTTTGAGTTAAAAGTGAGCAAAACTTTAATGTTTGTCCAATATTCCTTTTTCCCTCAATATTTCTTTACATCAAAATAGTTGATTTAGTTTTTTCCTACCAAACCTTGTAAAACTTCAAACAACTTCTTTACTTTTCCAACTATCATCTAAAATAGAGATGATCAGCTTTAATTTAGGAGAAAATCTTGTGGGAAAGCAGAACAACAGCCCATCAAAGATGGGCCTAATAATCATCCTAATTCCTGGAAGCTGTGAATTTGTTACCTGACACGGCAAAAGGTATTTTGCAAATCCAATGAAGTTCAGGATAGTAAGTGTTTAAAGAAAAGATGGGGACAGGAGAGTTAGAGAAGGAAATATGATGATGGAAGCAGGGTTGAGGGGAGGAGGGGGACAGGAAAGGGAGGGAAGGAAACAGATTTGACAATGCTATACATCTGGCTTTGAAGATGGAGGAAGGGGCCATAAGCCAAGGAGTGCAGGTGGTCTCTAGAAGCTGGAAAAGAGAAGGAAATGGACTTTCCATAGTACCTCCAGAAGAAATAAAGCACTTACAACACTCTCATTTTAGGACTCTGACCTCCCAAACTGTAAGATAATAAGTTTGTATTCTGTTTTACCCAGCAATTCTACTCCTAGGTATATAAACCAAAGAATTGAAAAACGGAACTCAAACAGATACTTGTACACCAAAGTTCACTGCAACATTACTCATAATAGCCAAACAGTAAAAACAATCCAGCTGCCCATTAACAAATGAATGCATAAACAAAATGTAGTATATACATACAATGGAATATCTTATAAAAAATAAAGTTCTGATACATGCTACAATACGGAATAATCTTGAGAACATAGAATAGACTTTACCAAAGGTGGAGGAGAGGGAAGAATGGGGAAATACCATCTTTCCAAAGGGAAGCATCCTTGTGCAAACAACTATGTTATAAAAAATATTACCACTCCCTTCTATCTCTTTCTTTTTTGGTGATAGTATACTATTTTGGCACAATAATCCAATGTTCCATTTTCTTCATTCCTGAGTTTGGACTGCTGATCTAGGCTACAGAAAGGTCATACAGTCGAACCCTGAACAACGGAGTCAAGGGTGTCGACCCCACAAACAGTTGAAAATCTGCATGTAACATCTGACTCCCACAAAACTCAAATACTAATAGCCTACTGTTGACCAGAAGCATTGCTGATAACATAAACAGTTGACTAAAACATATTTGTATATGTATTATATACTGTATTCTTACAGTAAAGTAAGCTAAAGAAAATCCTAAGTGAGAGAAAATATATTTACTATTCATTAAGTGGAAGTGGATCATCACAAAGATCTTCATCCTTGTCTTCATGCTGAGTAGGCTGAGAAGGAGGAACAGGAGGGGTCTTGCTGACTCAGAAATGGCAGAAGACAAAAAGCTGGAAGGGGAGGCAGGAGAGGCAGGCACACTTGGTGTAACTTTATGGAAATACACTGTAATTTCTGACTTTTTTGCTTTTTCATTTGTCTAAAAATGTTTCTATATGCTACCAATCCTTCTTCCACCATGTGCTTTAGTTTCAGTGCCCATATCATAAAAGGGTCCATGCTGTAAAAGAAGGCAAAAAGCAGTCTTTAATAGGATATAGATAGGGCTGTCCTGATCATAAACCCGATTGCATCTGCACAAAACAGTACTGTTAGCCTATTCCTTCCTGCCTTAAATCTTGGTGTGCTTTCATGTCTTTCCTTACTAATCAATGTCCTTTGTGGCATTTTTTCCCTCTCAGAATAGGGCGCTTTTGTCTGCATTAAAAACCTGTTCAGGCAGATATCCTTTCTCTTCAATGATTTTCCTTCTTTTGTCTTATCTTTTTTTTTTTTTTGCAGGGGGTGGGGTGAGGGTAGAGATGGGGTCCAGCTATGGTGCGGTTACAGGTGTGAGCCACCACAGACGGCCTTCACTGATTTTCTCCATGGCATCTGAGAACTTGAGGTCTGCTGCCTCTTCGTTGGCAGAAGCTGCTTCTTCCGTTATCCTGACATTTTTAAAGCCAAACATCTTTCTAAAATTATCAAACCATCCTTTGCTGGCATTAAATTCTCCAGCTTTAGATCCTTCACCTGCCTTTTAAGCTGTCGTATAACAACTGTGCTTCCTCTCAAATCACATTAGAGTCCAAAGGTATGTCTTTCTTATAGCAATCCTGCACCCACATAAAAGCTGCATTCTCTTTTTTCTTTCTTTTTTTTTTGAGACAAGGTCTCACTGTCACCCAGGCTGGAGTGCAGTGGCGTGATCTCAGCTCACTGTAGCCTCGACTGCCCAAGCTCAGGTGATTCTTCCACCTCTTCCCCCAAGCAGCTGGGAGTACAGGTGTGCACCACTACACCTAGCTTTTTTTTTTTTCTTTTGAGATGGAGTTTCGCTCTTGTTGCCCAGGCTGGAGTGCAATGGCCCAATCTCGGCTCACTGCAACCTCCACCTCCTGAGGTCAAGCAATTCTCCTACCTCAGCTTCCAGAGTAGCTGGGATTACAGCTATACCATGCCCGGCTAATTTTTTTGTATTTTTAGTAGAGATGGGGTTTCACCATGTTGGTCAGGCTGGTCTCAAACTCCTGACCTCAGGTGATCCGCCCACCTTGGCCTCCCAAAGTGCTGGGATTACAAGCATGAGCCATGGCGCCTGGCTTAGTTTTTTATATTTTTAGTAGAGGCAGGGTTTCACCATGTTGCCCATGCTGGTCTCGAACTCCTGGGCTTAAGCAATCTGCCCACCTCAACCTCCCAAAGTGCTGGGATTACAGGCATGAGCCACTGCACCAGGCCGGTATTTTCAATGAAATAAAAAGGTATTTAGCAAAAAGTTCAAGTTTTTCATGTCTGCTGGTGTAGCTGCAGTGAAGGCTTCATGAATTTCCTTTTCTTTTTTTTTAAATAATCGTCCTTACACTTAATTTATTTATCTTGAAATGGATGGCAACTATAACTGCAGACCTCAATCTATAGTATACATCAAGCAATTCAAATTTTTCCTATAACATTATGACTTGCCTCTGCTTTGGGGAACACTTCTGGCACCACCAGTGGTACTTCGTATAGGTCTTATGGCATTATTTAAGGTTTAGGTTATTGCACTAAACAGGATGCAAAATACTCAAGGACATAGAGAGATCACTTTTTACTGCAATACACAATTTACTGGATGAACTGTTCACTGTGACATGATTAGGGTCACATGGCATTTTAAATGGATACTCACAATACTTGAGATCATTGCAATAGCAACAAGAGGTGGTTACAAAATTATTACAGTAGTATAGTAGGTAATGCAGTTAATTTTATCCAATTACGATTTATACTGTATTGTTTACATTTGTTTCTATTTATCTAGACTGTGAATGGTGCCATGTATGTGATCGAGTGTGTGCGTAAGTTCTGATACATTTTAAGGTTTTATAATTTTAATACATTTGTGATATTTCATGGTAATAGATGATAAAATAGTATCTACATATAGTTTATGCATTCATTACATATCTTTTAATTTTTTTCAATATTTCTCAATATTTCACAGTTCATTTGTGAGTTTTTCCAAATTGTTGCAAATCTCAAAAAAATTCCAACATATTTAATGAAAAATATTTGCATATAAGTGGAGCCATGCAGCTCAAATCCATGTTATTCAATGATCAGCTGTATAACTAGGTTGGCTGGATAAGCTAACACATTTATTTTCTTTGAGACTGACCCTCAAAAGGCTCATCAATCCTTTTTATAAATCTACTTAACCTTGTAAGAGTATTTTAAAAATTACGACATAAAGTATATATAATAAAGTGGCTAGCCAGACACCTACAGTAAGAATTCAAAGAACAGTAGCTGCTGCCATTATTATTACTATTATCCCTGCCTTCCTCTCAGATGACCACCTCAACTACTTTAATGAGAAAAATGAAGCAATCTGATGTGAATGATTGCTCAGTTTTGCTTCTCCCTTCCATTTCAATTCTCTGTTACTGTATAATATTTGCTTCTTCTCCCCAGTTTTAGAGACATGGGGTAGTCTTTTTCATGTTCAGAGTCAACCCTTCATTCTGCACTTCTGATCCTAGACCTTCACCCCTACCTTGGTTCAATTAATTGTATTTCTTTCTCCACTCTCTTGCTCCCTGATGGGTCCTTCCACCTGACCTATAAACATACACAAATTTCTTCAAAGAAACACCTAATTAACACCACTATGGCACTTTTCTGTACCTCCTCTTGAATTATTTACCATAATCTATCCAGAATCAGTTATTTATCTGTCTTATCTCTTAATGAATTGTTAACTCCTTAAAGACTGAGGGTTATTTCATCTATTTGCATTGTACATCCTAATAACACTGATTATAGTACTTTACACATAGAACGGGCACTTACTGAATACATTTTTTAAAAACCTAAACTATAAATTTTCTGCAAACATAAAAGGACTATTTGACAAAAAGTGCATCATTTGATTTTGCCTCTCGAATCAATGACAGAAGGTATAGAATTAACGTATCAACACAATCTTAAAATAATTTTACAATATCATTCTCCTTAAAGTGTCACAAATCAAAATTATTACAATTGTAAACATTTCAGGAAAAAATGATCTACACAAACATATTCTGAATCCAGAAATTGTGAGGCTTCAGTTTTACTATAATGTTAAGCGTTCTTCCCCTTAAACATTTTACTTGCTTTCATAAACTACCAAAAAAAGAATAGTTAACTAACAACTCAAGAGTCTGAAGGCTCATTTGTTATATGCTTAAATAAAAATCAATTTGTAAGCATACAATTATCTAAATAAACTGTAATTTTATATCTAATATATCAAACATGGTAAGTAAATATGCAAGTCTGATAGGAACCAGTCTGCCACACATTCTATATTAAAACGAGGCAAGAAATTCACAAGACGGTTACAACAAGTGCTCCAGTCAGAACTTACCTTATACAGGTCTGGACATACACAATGTGTTGCTTAAATTTTCAGTTTTATTTTATTGCACTTCATGGGGAAACTTACATGTGGGCTGCGAATCCTAAACCTGACTTTATTTCCTGGCTGGTTTTGTGCCTCAATTTCCTATAATTTGAAATAATGGTATCTAACTTGTCAAAATAACTTAACTCGAAATCAGGTAATGCCCACAGAGTTCAAGACCAGCCGGCCAACATGGTGAAACCCTGTCTCTACTAAAAATACAAAAAATTAGCTGGGCATGGTGGCTGGCACCTGCAATCCCAGCTATTCCGGAGGCTGAGGCAGGAGAATCGCTTGAACCCAGGAGGCAGAGGTTGCAGTGAGCCGAGGTCGCACCATTGCACTCCCGCCTGGGAAACAAGAGCAAAATTCCATCTCAAAAAAAAAAAAAAAAAAAAAAAAAAGTGTTGTAGTTGCTCAATAAATGGTAACTGCTGAAACTGCTATTACAGTAGTAGCATTAAAGTAGATACAGGGATTTCCATGTAGTCTGATGTAATGGCTATTTTCAGTGTTTTCCAATCATTTGCTTATCTTCCCTTAGGGAAAAAAAAAGTATGTTTCTTCTTTGAAGCTGTTCTTTAGGCACAGGTGTCCTGCCCACTGCCCCACCCTCTAGTCTCTTAAGGGGATCAGCTGCCCTATTTCTCTCTGCAAACATTTCCCACACCTAAGCTAGGTGGCTGAAGCACCGGCACTGGCATAGGAACCAGTGCTGAACAAGAAAGAAAGATGGAGTCCAAACAGGGGACAGAGAAGTAACAAAAAGGAGACTGGCTGACAATTCAGACAGAATACAATGCTGCCCTTTCCCTTCTTAAGAGATACTACAGAAGTCTACTTGGCTAGCCTCAGTAAGAGTACTATGAAGTGTGTTAAATACAACAGGGGTGAACATGGAAGCCCCACAGCTCAGTTTCACATAAAGAGGTATGTACAGTTTAGAGATTAACATAAGCATCTCCAGGTATAGGAGAGTTTACAGCAAAAGACATACAGGCAGGAAAACTGCTACATTAGTCCAACTCAGCCATTTACCACAAATTAAGAGTGCCTCTCACTCTTACCATTGCCCATGGTTAAGCATTTTTAAAATGATAAGTCAAAAGGGATCCCTCTCTGCAAGCGAAAAACCTAGTTTTTAGAAGCAAGTACTTTCTGTTCATCCTTGCCCATAACTGTCTTCTTATTTGGTTTCATATTTTGATTTATACCTTTACCAGAAACCAGGGAAGTCCCTGTATCCTCTCTGGCAGATGATAAAGATACATAGTCTTACATCCTCTAAGCAATATACTGACTCAAGAGTATGAGCCGTGGAGACAAACCATCCTTTACAGATTTACCTTTCTCTCATGGGGCCTCAGTATTCTCATTTATATGATAATTTTCTCTTGATAAAAGGTTTAATGAAGTATAATTTTTTTAAATTACCAAATAAAAGAATGTATTAGAAATGGGTATGTGTCTATAACTACTTACTATCATAACTTTTAATATAATTTATAGCAAAGGTAGGGCAGATAAAATTTACTATTTTGATTAACATCTGTAAGAAAAAACATTTTACTGAATAGTTACTGTGTAGCTGGCATTTTGCTTAACATGCCACATATATCATCTCCTTTAATACTCACAATAACCTGAAATATATTATCCTCATTTTGTAATTGAATAAATTAAGTCTCAAAAAGATTGGGGAAATTGCCTAAAGTCACAAGCTAGTAAGTGGTAAACCCATATTTCATATCCAAAACTATCTGACCCAAAGGACAGTTTTCCTAACTTCTGCATAGTTTGTCTGATAGACAGAAGCAAAACAACGAAGCTGCCTGCAGAAGAAAGTTAAGTAATCTTAAACAAACATAATCCCTCCCAGTTCCTAAAGGACTGAATCATATTTGACAACTCAATACTCAAATTGGTCTGTATTTGCCAAATACAAGTCCTAGTTACATGGAAACTTTCTTCTTTGTGCTCTACTAGAGTTAATTAAAAAGCTAGATCAGAAAACTCTTACCTGTGTTGCCATCTCCACTCTCCATAGATGGTTTACTGGTTTCTGACGGATTGTTCATTCTTGAGTCTGCAATAAATCAGAGGAGAATAAGGTTTTTAAAAAACTGGGGATGGAGATGGGATTGAGGAGGCAAAACTGTGGCAGAGAAAAGGGTTAACTAATGTTATAGTCATATAGTTTAAGAAGACCCAGTGTATACATGTCTGGCTAAAATACTAGAAATTATAATAAAAGGTTATCTGGAAGAAATTCAAAATTCCCCAGACCCTGAAGGGATTCACAAATAAACTGTCTTTTTAAATAATTTTAAGATTCTTTAAAGAAAGACAGCAGAACTGTAACCTGAAGAAAATTAGAAAGCCTGATATGTAAAAGGAATAAATGCTTTTAACATGAAGTAAAACTGGAAAGGGGGGAAGCACCTCACATAATAAAATGTTATTCCCAAATAAAGTATCTTTTTCTATATGCAATGATATTCATTCATTATAACCAAAACAACCCACTGGTAATCTTGATAAAAGATGGGACAGTAACTCAACCTATGAACTAAAAGAAAACACGTCTAAGGTAAATTATCTCTAAATTTACTCCCCTCCCCAACCAAACTAAACAAGTCAAAGTGAGAACATATTAAATTCATACCTCAACTATAAACCAGCACAAGAAGTTGTACCGTAAGGCATAACAGATATAGCTAATAATTTCAAAACTGCATTACAACCACACCCACTTAAAGTAATACTACCTCAATATCCTAAATGAAACTGCTAATTTGAGTTTATCATTTCTGGGTTATCTACTTAATGAAGGTTTATTTCCACAGTAAAATGTTTTCATCAAGCAATATTAGGTATCCCAGAAAATACATTAAGAGAAGAGACAAGAACTCTGCTTTTCTTCTAAGTCTTTGAAAGGGTAAGAAACGGAATATACATAAATATATCTCTTATTCTACTACTGTAAACTCAAACTTAGAATATTTATGATCAAACAAGTTTACTGTCAAATAAGTTCTGCCTTTACCCACATTAACTTATTTAGTGGTTAAATAAGTTAAGAACCATTTAACTTTAGTTATTAACAGAGAACAAATATTTAAACTATACTGTTTTTGACCAAAGAGCACATTTTTTCATCTGCTTAAACATCTAACTAGAAAATCAAAACAATCACTAGACAGAATTCTCAACCATGTTCTTTACAGTCGAATTATCCCCATGCATAACAGATGAGAAAAAAAATCAGGAGTCTTTCTTTTATAAGTTTCATTTCCAACAAGAAGATGTGTAATAGCTTTTCCAATACAGTAAAAGTTTCTGTAACTGATGCTTGTCTTATGGGCTTAGGCAGTTCTGTCATAACTTTGGTTTGGTCTTCTAATGTTCAAAGGGTTAAAATTCATATGTTTGTGGTCATAAATGAGGGCAGTTCTACAACTTCCTTCTTCTCACTGTCCAGAGAAATTTAAATATCATCTGAAAGCATACTAAGGTTTGAAAGGAACAGGTGTACAACTTAGTGAAAAATCAGCTTTCTGAATGACAACCAAAATCTCATGAAAGTCAACAGAGATCACAACAAATGTAATAGAATATACCATTAGCATACATACTGCTCCATGCTTCCTTTAAATGAATTTTAAAGGAAAGTGGAAAAAATGATCAATCAGTTAACATTCATAAAAAGAGTAACAGTTTTCTCACATATGTGGGCACCGCAGAAATAAGCATAATTCTTAACAAGTCATGAGCCTGACTTTGTACAATTCATATTCTAATTTTCCCATCTATAAAGACTATGTCACAGGTATTTTAAGTGAATCATCTCAGATTCTTCTACTGAACTGTCAAGAGCTTCAAAAGCATTTAACAAAATTATCTCACATACACACAAAAATAAAACATTACTTCACATACACACAAAAATAAAATTGCACAATGGGAAGACTGTTTAAATAATACTTACTATTAACTGAAAGTAAGAGATGTAATTTCTACTTCTAAAATGATGTGTTAAAAATATTCCAAAAAGGTATTTTTCTTTCCTTTTTTTGAATTGTTAACTAAGTAAATGTCAAAGAGTAAATACAAGATTGAATTCCTGACATAAATTTGTTGTTTCTGTCATTCACTCTTTACATAGTGGCTTTTACTGTGCTGGGCAGATACTGCTACCCTGGGTTTAGGCCATGCCTTATGCATAAGAATTCAAACGTTTTCAGAAGTATCATTTTACTTTATCTTTGGCAACTATGAAGGTGACAGGAGCAGCTTTAATTTTCAAGTGCAGAAAATGACAATATAGGAAAAAAGTCATTTGCAAAAGTTTTAAATGTAAGATATCCAAGTCCCGGAGTTCATATCATTTAACTTTCCAGGTGACTAGAGTAACTAAAAAAGTCTCAATAATTCTGCATATAAACAGACATAACTCCACACAAAATATGACCACCATTAGCCACCATATATCTAAAAATCAAAGTGCCTTGATTTATTTGAAATCTTCATCACCAAAGATGGTTTTAACAAATTTAAGCTGGACATCTTCCACTCCAAAAGGCTTGCTGTTCTACAGAGAAAACTCTAAAAAGGTTTTCCAACATTTAAAGTTGTAGTTATCTAGAGTATATAGTTGATTTTAAAAAAATTAAAAAGAGGACTAATCCTAGCAAAAATTTGAAAAGTTAATAGTTTCTAAAATCTGGAAATCGATCAACAGATCTGTTGCAGCAACCAGTACAATTACCCTCTTTATTAACATTTATAAAAACTATTCTGCATTGTGACTCAACCTTATTTTTCACTGAGCATTTTGGTTTTTGTATAAGACGTTCTCATTAGGTATGAAAAACATTTTTATTAATATGTATATATTATATATGTACAGTTCTATGCCTTGTTTCAGATTTAAGATGTTTTTATAACTACATGAAATGTTCTCAATAGGAATTTCCAAAAAGCAAAAATATTCATTCGAGCTGAACTCTAAATTAACTGTATTTACTAACGATACCCTCTGAATCAGAAGAGCTAGTCACAGGGAGGGACCTACTGCAAATTCAAGTAAGCTTGTGCTTTGCAAATGCTTTCCTCCTTCCCTGCTCAGTCCAACTCTCCCCCTCCCCCGCCACAGGCTGCATATGCGATTAAGCATTTATGCATAGTCAACCCGACACACTCTATTTCCATATTAAAGCTTCTAAGAAAAGAACTGTGCTGGTACCCACCTAGAACATAGTCACTGCAGTCCAGCATTGCTGTGAAATCTTCTAGAGGAGCAGAGAGTCCAAACAAGGAAGAAACAGGTAGCAGTTTGGGGTGGGGAAAGAAGGTACTACTATTTCTAACAAATCTACAGTATGTTCTTAAGCGAAAAGAGGGGGGTTGCGTAGGGTGGAAAGTGGATTAAGGGGAAAAGCAAAATACAACTTCTGTTACACCATAGCAATCTTCAACTGAATAAGGAAACTTCAGTTGCTCAGAGGAGTTTTAGTCTCTCCTACCAGCTAGGACTGACATTGTCAAGGCAACTGAAGCATGAAAAAGTTCCTCTTTTTGTAATAAAATAGAAACAAAGATTGCAGCTGGCAGTTTCCATAATGAAGCTTAATCAGTATGCGCGTGATTAGGGCCTTATGCAAATCTCTCCTCGTTAGCACAGCAGCCAGCACTTTGAAGTCCATGAACAATTCATTTACAGAATATACTGAAAGCACTCCCTGCATAATTTAAATCGTTGCATAAATATTTATCAGGCTATTTGCATATTAATTGGCAGTGCATGAAGGGAAAAATTATCTCCTGAGTGCCAGCATAATAATTAGGAGGATAAAATGAGACTTCTTCCAATGGCCTGGCTTCTTGGACCTAACTGGAGATAGTACCAAGGGAGAAGGGAGGTACAGGAGACAGAGTTCTGTTAAAATGCCACTGAAATGACACGTACAAATTAGAAACAACCCTACAGACTTAAGCACCTTTAATCTTATTCCTGCTGGCAACAATGACTTCAGTAATAAGAGGATTTGCAAAAAGCTTTCTACACAATCCAAATAATCCCAAGGAAACAATTAGCAAGGTAGAAGCAGAACACAAGGCTGTCAAGATGGTGCTAGTCTACTGATAGGGAATTTTCCAATTCTTAACACACTTCCGTCAAGAGAAAGTCCCACTTTAAAACGAGGCAACAGTAAACCCAGAAGCAGTGCAAGGTGTATAAAGTATCTTAAAGAGTATAGAAATTCATTATCTACAAATCTTTTTATATTACCAAATTAACAGAATAGATTAGTTGAATGCTACATATTATGCAGTATCCTTCCCCCATGAAAATAAATCTCAAGTAGAAAGAAGACAGTTTGTTACTTAGAATCTCTATTGTCAAAGGGTGGGCCATGTAAATTGTGGAATTACTTGGTATTCTCAAGTATATTTCACTTAATGAACATACATACATATATATAATCCTTACTAAACTATATGTTTATTCAATTTAAAGTATATTTACAAGGTAAGTCATCAACCCAAAATTTTTTAGGCATTACAATGACAACAGCCTAATCATCACAGACAATTCAGGAGATTTATAAAATCTCCATGGAGTAATAAGCATTATTACCCCTTTCTTTCCTTATATATTATTAAAGTAAGGAAACTGAGGCACAGAGAACTAAAACACTTTATCCAATGTCACACTAGTAATTCGGAATCAGGATTTAAAACTAGAATTTTCTGATATCAGAATCTGTGCTCTTGGCTATTCCTATGCATTATGGATGAGTTAAACACGTAGGGAATTGCTGAGAGGTGGTAAAGCAGCAGACTGAATGGTTTGTTTTCCGTGTAGTGAAGAAACCAGTAAACGGCAGCAAAGACATTGTGTTTAAAAGTCAGGTGTGTACAGATACACAGAAGAGTGCACTAGATTTGAGGAGAGTTCTGAAAGGTGTCAGCCCATTAATAACTGTTTTTATTTAGAACTAGTCTTCAGGAAATGAAAGACAGATTTTAACAAGGGGCCTTTAAAAAGATTCCCTTGCAAGTCAGTAGAGGACCAAAAACCTTAAACTTTTGGATCAGCACTCTGCATTACCAGTTTTTCTGTTTTACTGAATCACAAAATGCTTATGAGGAGAGACTTTGGGGGAGAAACTTAACACAGCCATTTAATACCTGTAATACCTGTTTAAGTTCCTTCCTTCTTCGAGCCTTAATTTTATCACCTATAAAATGATGATATCCCTTTCATGAGGTTATTGTGAGATAAATGCTTTCATGCTTCTCAGACAAGAGCGTGGACTGGAGGAATGTGATGCAGTTGTGCCAGGGCAGACATCAAGTCACTGGATAAACATGTCCATCTTTTGAAAGCATCAATCTTATTTAATATTTCACACCACTTTGTATTAAAATAAGAATACATTATAGAAGAGAACACAAATTTCAAATGAGTTTTTAAGGTAGAATATGTTGGATTATACAAATTCTCCTTGGTGAGAAAAGATGAAAAGCAATGATGAATGTGACTAGATTACAGTAGATATCAATAAATGTTTATTTCCCTCCTCTTCCGCCTTTACGAAATTTAAAATTTATTATTTGCATTTATTATGGGATATTTCTGCAACTTACCATCTGCCCTTTTCTACTTTATGTAATAACATCTCTAAACTACCTTTCTACTGTGAGTGTGGTCTTTCATATATTAGCTAAGGATGACTTGCAGCCAGACAATCATTGCTAACAAAGGAGTGTGTCTGTACCCAACAGGAGCAGCACCTTCCTAGTGAAAGAGCCTCCTCCTCAGGCTAAGGGAGTCCCACAAGACCTGTAGCAGGGAGGCTATAGTTTACCAGCCCACACAGGCTACTATCTAGAGTGGGACCCCCCGCTTCCCCTCTACTGCAAAGCTCACCCAGAAAAAAAAGCTCACATTGCTACAGTGGGAAGGAAAGGCAAGAAAAGTCCCTTTCTACCACCCTTGACCTAGGTACCCTACTAATTTTAGAGGGGAAGTTTAAATACCAGGAGTTTGTCCAAGCCTCTACAGATGGATTGGGAGAGGGACTGTCACCGTCTCTTGCCTGTACTCCCCAACCATGGCACATTTATGTCCAAAAGAAGAAAATGACAGCTTTTCCCACAAAGTTCAAATGTCCATTTCACTTGGTCATCTGTCTGAAATAATAGCAAAGAATCAATTAGACTAAAACTTAACCTAGAAAGAACACCCGTTGTACAAAGGAAAATCATTTTTGAGAGGTTTGTGGGATTGTCAGTCATTCACACTTGAGCATGAATTAATCCAATCCCACTGCTTTCATTTAACACCTAGTTGAGGAGTTGATTGTAAGGCAATGGTTGTTTCTACTAGAGAAGAGGCCAATAAATGATAAAATAACTGATGTTTAGAGGACCTGGATTGGGGGTGGGGTAATGTGGGCAAAGGGTTCATAGAAGGTAGTAATAATAGGAAATAGTAGTAACATATGGAAGTATAAAAAGGAGCTGAAAGGGCAAATTCAAACTCATGTATTTCACAATTACGCCTAAAATGTAGCCTTTTTTTATTTTCTAAAAGAGGGGACAAACGCTCTTCCAGGACCCAGAATTCACGGTTAACACTACTAGTTTTTTTTTTTTTTTTGAGATGGAGTTTGCTCTTTTGCCCATGCTGGAGTGCAGTGGCACAATCTCAGCTTGCTACAACCTCTGCCTTCTAGTTTCAAGCGATTCTCCTGCCTCAGCCTCCCAAGTAGCTGGGATTACAGGCGCCTGCCACCAAGTCAGGCTAATTTTTGTATTTTTAGTAGAGACGGGTTTCACCATGTTGGCCAGGCTGGTCTCGAACTCCTGACCTCGTGATTCGCCCACCTTGGCCTCCCAAAGTGCTGGGATTACAGGCATGAGCCACCATGCCCAGCCGACACTACTAGTATTAAAATATTTTTATATTCATGATCTTATGGGCCAGTGTAGGTATCATTAGAAATGAAATTGAGGGCAATGACAACTAAATCACAAACTAGTGTTTTAAAACACACCTTTTATGTGAGAGTGAACTGAGATCGGCCTATATTCTACCTTACTAAATCATTAACATCCAGCCTGGTCATGTTCTATATGAATAGCCATTTGTACCCTCTATTCTGTACTGACCATATAACTAGTTGAACAAGCAGAAATGTCTGACTCAACAATTATTGCCTGTTACCTCCTTTCTATATCATGGGGGGTGTCTGCATCTTTTAGCACCACTGGTTTCACCCCAGCCAATCTCAACAGTACACCAATATCCTTTCCAACCTTCATCTCTTTTCCAATCTACCAATAATTTAGTGTCCTATTAACTTACTTACAGAAAACACTTAATGATATTTCAATTCTCTGTAATAAAAATACTTAGTACCTCAAGCATTATCAATAATTATTTACAAAAAAAGTCCAACAAACCCATCACACACATACAAACTAAAATAATTTTACTAATGCCCACCAAATATGAAACAACATTCCAGGACTTGAAAATTTGAGACTCAGAATCAAGTGATAGGTATTGGCACTGCCACCATTCTTGTCAACTACATCACAGACTATGTAAATGATACCCTCTAAGGTTGCATTATGGGGCTCTCAGTGTCCCCTCCCCCCACCAAAAATCTTTTAGAATAACTTAACGGAATGTCTATCATTTACTAAAAATCTAGATGGGCAGATACCATGAAAGACATGTACTTTATCAACGTGGCTATTAAGCACTGCCAAATAACAAGCAATCTGAAGGATAATCTTACTTCATAAAAAGTAAACTGAGGCCTAGTTAATGACCCTTAGGGTCACATAGCTACTAAACAGAGAGCCGAGGTATGGTGGGGGTTGGGGACTCAGGCACAATATGGAGGGCATGAGAGGAAGACAAGTAAAATAAAATATGTAAAAATTCTTATCCCATGAGACTGAGATCAGTAGTTGGTTGGCTGAACAAAATGGTCAACCTAAGTATCATAAACACAAGTACATAATGATTGTATTTTAACCCAAAGCATATAAATACACATTCATTCACCAATTTTTTTGGGCCAAAGCCTTTTGAGTTTGGATAAAAAACTCAAAAGATTTTTACGTTTTTCACTGAAAGTCACATTTTACATTGTACATATATGTATAGACTAAATACTAAAAACTCAAGAAAAGTTCCATAGAACAATGCTTCTTTCCAGGTATAAATGTATTGCGATGTGTTCTAGACTTCAACCTATTAAATTGACTTCATGTCTCATAGATTAAAAAACACTGCTTTAAAAGTGGGGCAAGAATTATATGACACATGAGGCAATCTGAGTCCATAATGCTTTTCTATTTTTTTAGAATAATTTATCCCTACTATTTTATAGCTCTCTTGCACACATCTAATTCAGTATTTTTTAGTAATTACCCTTTATCAAATCTTTCCAAAGCATTTAACTTAATTTTCACAGAAACATCATCTTTCTTTTTCTATTCTTTTCCTTGGTTTATATAGTTATTTAAATTGTGTAATTAGGCTGGGTGCGGTGACTAATGCCTGTAATCCCAACACTTTGGGAGTCCTAGGTAGGTGGATCACCTGAGCTCTGGAGTTCGAGATTAGCCTGGCCAACATGGTGAAACCCTATCTCTACTAAAAATGCAAAAATTAGCTAGGCGTGATGGCATGCGCCTATAGTCCCAACTACTCAGTAGGCTGAGGCATGAGAATTGCTTGAACCCAGGAGGCGGAGGTTGCATTGAGCCGAGATCGCGTGACTGCACTCCTGCCTGGGTGACAGAGAGAAACTCCATCTGTAAATAAATAAATAAATAAATAGTGTGATTAAAATTAGTACAACTAGCATGAACAGTATTGGGAGCACAAACAAGTAAATGGTTCTTAATAACTTTACAACTCAACTGGTAGACATACCATGGAATAAGTCTTCAGCATGCTATAGGGAATCAGATAGTGCATCAAACAGGAATGGGCTGTCAGTTAATCTCATCAAGTCATTTAAGTGGTGGCTCACTGAGAAAGCTACTCCACCAGAAAGCGGTTTGAAATGACATGTTTCTGGTCTCTTTTAACCTGTGCTATATTACATTTTTACAGCTATATACATAGCTCATCTACTGTTCACTCTAACAATCTGGCATTCTTTAAAACTAAATCTATTACAAAATCCAATCCTGAATTTCTTGGTTGTAAAAGCTTAAATCTTTGTGTAGCTCTATTAAAGTTTTACCATTTCACTAAACTTATCTGTCTAGCCTATCCTACATGATCCTATCTTACCATACTGTTTCTTTACTTCTATAACTGTCTTTCTTTCATTCTAGTTTAAAGTGTTTTGCCAAGTCACTGATTTCAATCATTAATGGATTCCACAAGTATTTACTAAGTGCTTTCAGGCACAGGCATAGGAATTGGGAAGACAAGAACGTGTTGAGGATAGGCCCCCAAATCTGGCCATAGACA
Source organism: Homo sapiens (assembly GCF_000001405.40). Lineage (NCBI taxonomy): Eukaryota > Metazoa > Chordata > Mammalia > Primates > Hominidae > Homo > Homo sapiens. The sequence continues at coordinate 167,323,043 of NC_000001.11, read as the reverse complement.
GGCCCCCAAAATGGCCATAAACAAAATCTCTGCAGCACTGTGACATGCTCATGATGGCTACGACGCCCATGCTGAAGGTTGTTGGTTTACCGGAATGACGGCAAGGAACACTTGGCTCACCCAGTGTGGAAAACCGCTTAAGGTGTTCCTGAACCACAAACAATAGTATGAGTGATCTGTGCCTTAAGGACATGTTCCTGCTGCAGATAACCAGCCAGAGCCCATCTCTTTGTTTCCCGTTTTAATCTAAATCTATAAAAACAATGCTTATGACTGGCTTACTGTCAATAAATATGTGGGTAAAGCTTTGTTTGTGGCTCTCAGCTCTGAAGGCTGTCAGCCCTGATTCCCACTCTGCACTCTATATTTCTGTGTGTCTTTAATTCCTCTAGCGCCACTGGGTTAGGGTCTCCATGACCGACCTGGTCTCGGCAAGTAGCGCCCAAACCGGGGCATTTCTGGCTCAGGCCATTCCCTCACCCCTGTACAATGCCTGTCCCCCGCCACAGCCGGTAGTGCTGCAGTAGATTTATGCTGCCCAAAAGCTGTGAGCCTTCTGCCTGGGGAACCCCCACAAAAAGTGCCAACAGGAATCTGTCAACCCTTGCCAGTGAGGATGGTAGGATTACTTCTAGGTATGTCTAGTTTAAATTTAAAAGGAGTGCAAGTACGTACAGAAGTCATAGATTCAGATTACAATGGGGAAATTCAAATTGTTATATCTACTTCTGTTCCCTGGAAAGCAGAGCCAGGAGAGCATATAGCATAGCTCCTGATTGTGTCATATATGGAGATGGGGAAAAGTGAAACTACACGAACAGGAGGATTTGGAAGCACAAATAAGGCAAAGCAACTTATTGGGTGAATCAAATTACTGATAAATGTCCTACCTGTGAAATAACTATTCAGGGTAAAGAATTTAAAGGTTTGGTAGATACAGGAATGGACATTTCAATCATTTCTCTACAGCACTGGCCGTCCACGTGGCCAATTCAATCTGCTCAATTTAACATAGTTGGAGTTGGTAAAGCCTCTGAAGTATATCAAAGTAGTTATATTTTGCATTGTGAAGGGCCCAATGGACAACCTGGGACTATCCAACCAGTTATAACTTCTGTACCTATAAATTTATTGGGGAGAGATTTATTACAGCAATGGGGAGCACAAGTTCTAATTCCAGAACAATTATATAGCCCTCAAAGTCAACATATGATGCAGGAAATGGGGTATGTCCCTGGTATGGGACTAGGAAAAAATCTGCAAGGTTTGAAGGAACCACTTCAAGTAGAAAGACAAAGTTCCTGCCAAGGTTTAGGGTATCATTTTTGATGGTGGCCATTGTTAAGCTTCCAGAACCTATATGTTTAAAATGGTTAACAGATAAGCCAATTTGGATAGAACAATGGCTGCTAAGTAAAGAGAAACTGGAGGCTTTAGAGGACTTAGTAACTGAACAATTAGAAAAAGGACACATAGCTCCAACATTTTCCTCCAGAATTCTCCAGTCTTTGTTATTAAGAAAAAATGAGGTAAATGGAGAATGTTGACAGATCTTAGGGCCATTAATTCAGTTATACAACCTATGGGGGCATTACAGCCAGGATTGCCTTCTCCTGCTATGATTCCAAAAAATTCACCTTTAATAGTCATAGATTTAAAAGACTGTTTCTTTACTATCCCCTCAGCTGAGCAGGACTGTGAACAGTTTGCATTTACAATTCCTGCGGTAAACAACCTGTAGCCTGCTAAGTGTTTTTATAGGAAAGTGTTGCCACAAGGCATGTTAAACAGTCCAACAATTTGCCAGACTTATGTAAGGCAAGCAATTGAACCTACTCGTAAAAAATTTTCCCAGTGTTACATTATTCATTATATGGATGATATACTTTGTGCTGCCCCCACTCGAGAAATATTACTTCAATGTTATGATCACTTGCAAAATTCGATTTTTCATGCTGGTTTAATTATAGCTCCTGACAAAATTCAGACTACTACTCTTTACCCCTACTTGGGGACCTTAGTAAATGACACTACCATTGTGCCACAGAAAGTAACCATACATAGCGATCAATTGAAAACATTAAATGACTTTCAAAAATTACTAGGGGACATTAATTGGACATGACCTGCTCTAGGCATTCCTACCTATGCCATGAGTAATCTATTTTCTATCCTTTGAGGAGATCCTAGTCTCACTAACCCTCAGCAATTAACAAAGGAGGCTGAGGCAGAGTTACAGCTAATTGAGAAGCAAGCGTATAAGGCTCAAATAAATAGAATAGATCCAGAGAAGACTCTAGATTTGCTAATTTTTTCAACTCAGCATTCACCTACTGGTGTTATTGTTCAAGAGCAACATCTTGTAAAGTGGCTTTTTCTTCCACAAACTAATTCACGGACTTTGACTGCTTATTTGGATCAAATTGCTACTATGCTAGGAAATGGGAGAACTAAGATTGTTAAATTACATGGATATGATCCTGGAAAAATTATTGTCCCTCTTACAAAGGCAGAAATACAACAGGCTTTTACAAATAGTCTTACTTGGCAAACTCACTTAGCTGACTTTGTAGGTATTCTCTATAACCATTTTCCTAAAACGAAAACTGTTTCAATTTTTGAAAATAACTAATTAGATTCTCCCTAAAACAACTAAATTTAAACCAATTGAAGGTGCTGAAAATGTCTTCACAGATGGGTCTAGTAATGGTAAAGCTTCTTATTCTGGCTTGAAAGGTAAAGTTTTCCAGACGCCCTATACTTCAGCTCAAAAAGCAAAACTTGTAGCTGTAATTGAGGTATTGACTGCTTTTGATATGCCTATTAATGTGATTTCTGATTCTTCATATGTGGTTCATTCTACACAGTTAGTTGAAAATGCTCAGCTACGATTCCAAACAGATGAGCAGCTGACGACTTTACTTACCCAATTGCAAACAGCAGTTAGGAGTAGAATGCACCCTATTTACATCAACTCACATTAGGGCTCATATACCTCTTCCAGGACCTTTGACTGCAGGGAATCAAATGGCTGATTGCCTAGTTGCTACTGCAATATCTAATGCCAGACACTTTTACAATTTAACCCATGTTAATGCCTCTGGTCTCAAATGCAGATACAGCATTACCTGGAAAGAAGCTAAAGCTATTACCAAGTGATGCCCAACTTGCCAAATGGTGCATTCCTCATCTTTTACAGGAGGAGTTAATCCTCGAGGATTGGAACCTAATTCTCTTTGGCAAATGGATGTCACCACCCATATTCCCTCGTTTGGGAGACTAGCTTATGTGCACGTATGTGTAGATACATTTTCTCACTTTGTCTGGGCTACATGCCAATCAGGAGAGTCTTCTGCTTGTGTTAAATGTCACCTTTTGCAGTGTTTTGCAGTGATGGGCATTCCAGTTTCTATTAAAAGGGACAATGCCCCAGGCTATACTAGCCAAGCTCTAGCTACATTTTTCTCTCTATGGAATATTAAACACATTACTGGTATCCCATGTAATTCTCAAGGACAAGCCATAGTGGAAAGAATGAATCTCTAACTGAAACAGCAGTTGCAAAAGCAAAAGGGGGGAAACAGGAACTACGGGACACCACATATGCAACTGAATCTAGCATTACTGACTTTAAATTTTTTGAGCCTGCCTAAAGCCCAGATGTTATCAGCAGCTAAACAGCATCTACAGAAACCAGCTGCAAAGACAGAAGCAAAACAACTGGTTTGGTGGAGAGATCCGACAACAAAAAGTTGGGAAACAGGTAAAATAATAAGTTGGGGTAGAGGTTATGCTTGTGTTTCTCCAGGCCAAAACCAGCAGCCTATCTGGATACCATCAAGACACCTGAAACCTTACTATGAGCCAGATACCCAGGAAGAGGTTTTGGGAGGATCCCAAAAACCCCCTGGTTGCAGCCATGTCAAGAATGACACTGAGGAGGACCTCAACTGTCATGAGCAACACCCGTCAAATACAGCCACCTACCTGGGGACAGATCAAGAAGCTGTCACAGATGATGGAAGAAAACCTGAGGAAAGCAGGACAACCAGTCACAATGAGTAATCAATCTAATGATAGCTATGATAGCGGTGATCACCAATACCGTGAGTATTCCCTTAGCAAAGGCTGACACAGAGAACAATTATACTTATTGGGCATATTTACCTTTTCTACCACTTCTATGGCCTGTAACTTGGCTGGACCCCCCCAGTGGAGGTATACACTAATGATAGCTCTTGGATGCTCAGTGCTACAGATGTTAGAGGCCCATCTCACTCACATGAGAAAAGAACTGTTATGAATATTTGTTTAGGATTTGAATGTCCGCCTATCTGTTTGAGAAAGGCCACTAGTTGCCTACCCCCTCGCTATCAATCTTGGCTGGCAAATAATGCCTGGACATAATCACTTTATGACACAGTTACACATGCTTTCTGGTCTCAGTATTTACCATAATAAATCTGCTCTTATAATTGAGGCATACGGCCCTCAAAAACAAATTTGTAAACAGGATTGGACCTGGTCAGAAAAAATGAACATACTTGTTTGGGAAGATTGCATTGCAGAACAGGCAGAGGTGCTGAGCAATGATTCCTATGGCATCATTATTGATTGGTCCCCTAAGGGGATGTTTAGCTTGAACTGCACCTCTCAGTCTGCGTGCCATGGCCACACTATGTTCAGCTCCTCTAAACAAAACGGTCAAATGGTAGAAATGGTAAGAAGTATGGCAAGAGTTCCTATTATCTGAAAACATGGCGGTCTAGTGGCACCTCAACCTCAAATGATATGGCCCACTGTAGGAGCTAAACATAAGGATTTGTGGAAACTATTAATGGCTCTTAATAAGATCAAAATTTGGGAAAGAATAAAAAAGCATCTAGAAGGACACTCTACAAACTTGTCTTTGGATATTGCAAAATTAAAAGAACAAATACTTAAAGCATCCCAGGCACACGTGACCTTAATGCCAGGAACTGGAGTGCTTGAAGGAGCTGCAAATGATTAGCAGCTATTAACCCATTAAAATGGATAAAAACTCTTGGAGACTCTGTGATTTCAATGATGATCGTGCTTTTAATCTGTGTTGTCTGTGTATAGTCTGCAGATGCAGATCCCGACTCCTGCGAGAAGTAGCTCACTGTGATAAAGCCACCTTTGCTTTTATCATCTTGCAAAAACAAAAAGGGGAGACATGTTGGGAAGAGGCCCCCAAATCTGGCCATAGACAGGCTCCCAAAATGGCCATCAACAAAATCTCTGCAGCACTGTGACATGCTTGTGATGGCTATGATGCCAATGCTGAAGGTTGTTGGTTTACCGGAAGGAGGGCAAGGAACACCTGGCCCACCCAGGATGGAAAACTGCTTAAGGCATTCCCGAACCACAAATAATAGCATGAGCAATCTGTGCCTTAAGGACATGTTCCTGCTGCAGATAACTAGCCAGAGTCCATCTCTTTGTTTCCTGTTTTAGTTAATCTATAATCTATAGAAACAAGGCTTATTACTGGCTTGCTGTCAATAAATATGTGGGTAAAGCTCTGTTCGTGGCTCTCAGCTCTGAAGGCTGTCAGCCCCCTGATTCCCACTCTGCACTCTATATTTGTGTGTGTGTGTCTTTAATTCCTCTAGCGCCACTGGGTTAGGGTCTCCACGACTGAGCTGGTCTCGACAAGGACAAGTTTCAGAAGGCTTGTAACTGAATAATAGAAATATTAAGCAATCACCAAAAGGTGTAATGACAAACTGTGAACATTCCAGGGAGAAAAAGAATAGGTCACTACAGAGTTTTAACACAGGACCATATAGTAATTTGTCTTGACATTGTTGTCTAGTATTAGAGTTCTAGCCAGGCACGGTGGCTCATGCCTCTAATCCCAGCACTTTGAGAGGCAAAGGCAGGAGGATCACCTGAGGTCAGTAGTTCAAGACCAGCCTGGCCAACATGGTGAAACCCCATCTCTACTAAAAATACAAGAATTTAGTCAGGTGTGGTGGTGCACGCCTATAGTCCCAGCTACTGAGGAGGCTGAGGCACGAGAATTGCTTGAACCCAGGAGGCAGAAGTTGCAGTGAGCCTAGACTGCACCACTGCACTCCAGCCTGGGTGACAGAGTGAGACTCCATCTCAAAAAAATAAAAATAATATTAGAGTTATCCTATTTCAACAAATAAAATGTGAGTTCTTCTCTGATTCAATTTCTTAAATCCATGAAAAAATAAGCCTTGTTTTGTTTAAAACCCAGGCAGCTTTGATTATTCCCATCCATTTTTTGAACTGTTCCATTTCATTTCTGATACTGGTAATTTATGTTTTCTCTCTTTATCTGTTACACTCAGGCTTCCAGAATCTGTGTGACACCACAAGGGTAACAAATATCTCAGAGTTCTATATCAGATATAAAATCTAAAGATACATTCCTCCTCATTAAGTTAATTATTCTTCAGACTAATCAGATGTTACTAACATTTCTTAATAATAATACAGTGGCAGTCATTCCATAAACATTAACCTCGATCTGTCTAAAATACCCTTCTTTTCCCTGTATTGTTTCGTGAAAAGTCTACCTATCCTATAAAAACTATTCAAAAGCTATGGCCTCAGGTCTTCCCTCATTCTCCTAGTTATCAAGGAACTATTTCTTCTTCTGAAATCCTATAGCAACTATGATATCCCTCTCTTTTGTTTTTGACTTTTTATTTTGAAATTACTAGAAATGCAAAGGAATCTTCAAAGATGGGTCCCATGTACCATTCATTAATTTCTCCACTGGTTACGTCTTATGTAACTACACCATTATATTAAATCCAAACAATTGCTCTTGATATAAAGTATGCTTCTATGTCATTTTAATGTCACATGTGCAGGTTCATGTAACTATCATTGCAATCAAGATACAGAACTATTTCATCACAAAGAATTCCGTCCTGCTACCCCATGACAGTCACACCAACTCCTATCCCTCTGGCTATTTCTAATCCCTAACAACCACTAATCTGCTATCCACCTTCATAACTGGTTATTTTGGTAATGTTATATAAATGGAAACATACAGTAACGTGACCATTTGAGATTGGCATTTTTTACTTGGCATTATGTATGCCTTTGAGATCCAACAAAGCTTTGGTGTGTATCAATAGTTATTCCTTTTTCTCGTTGAATATTAAGTATTCCATGGTATGGATGTACCACAGTTTGCTTGTTTTTTAATTTCAGGGTTTTTTTTTTTTTTAAAGAGATGGGGTATCTCTCTGTTGCCCAGACTGGAGTGCTGTAGTATAATCATAGCTCACTGCAGCCTTGAACTCCTGGGCTCAATCGATCATCTCGCCTCAGCCTCCCAAGTAGCTGGGACTACCAGCATGTCACCACACCTGGCTAATTAAAAAACAAACAAACAAACAAACAAACAAAAAACAATTTTTTTTAGAGACAAGTCCTCACTATGTTGCTCAAGCTGGTCTTGAACTCCTGGTCAAGCGCCATCATTCCACTTCTGTCTCCCAAGTAGCCGGGATTACAGGCATGAGCCACCATGCTCAGCAATGTCCCACTGTTTGTTAGGCATTTACTTATTGAGGGACTTTTTGGCTGTTTCTAAGTTTTAGGTTATTAAAATAAACCTGCTGTAAACATTCGTACATAGGAGGTAAAGAGGATGACAAGTCAACACTGGGGAAAAATATTGGCAAAGCACATTTCTGATACAGGACTCATATATAATATGTAAAGCACATCTGTATACATATTTTTATGTGAACATAATTTTTTATTTCTCTGGGATAAATGCACAGAAGTGAGACTGCCAGCTCATAGGGCATATGTATGTATTAGGCCATTCTTACATTGCTATAAAGAAATGCCTGAGGCTGGGTAATGCATAAGAAAAGAGGTTTAATTGGCTCAGGTTCCGCAGGCTGTATAGGCAACATAGCAGCATCTGCTTTTGGGGAGATCTCAGGAGGCTTACAATCATGGTAGAAAGTGAAGGCAGGAGCAGGCATGCCATATGGCAAAAGCAGGAGCAAGAGAGACAGAGACTGGGGAGTGGGGTTGCCATACACTTTAAAATAACCAGATCCCATGAGAACTCACTATCAAGAAGACCGCACCAAGCTATGAGGGATCCACCCTCATAATCTAAACACTTTCCACCAGGCCCCACCTCCGACACTGGGGATTACAATTTGACATGAGATCTGGGTGGGGACAAATATCCAAACTCTATGTGTATTAGGTTTAGGGATTTCGCTGTTGTTTTTTGGAGATAAGGTCTCACTTTTGTCACCCAGGCTGGAGTTCAGTGGTGTGATCACAGCTCACTACAGCCTCAACCTCCTGAGCTCAAGCAATCCTCCCACCTCAGCCTCCTAGGGAGCTGGGACCACAGGTGCACACCACAATGCCCGGCTTATTTTTATTTTTGTAGAGACAGGGTGTCCCTGTGTGGCCCAGGATGGTATGGATCTCCTGGGCTCAAGCCATCCTCCCACCTCAGCCTTCCTAAGTATTGGGATTACAGGCGACAACCACCATGCCTGAACTGTTTCATTTTTTAAGAAATTGTCAGATATTTTTCAGAATACCTGTAACACTTTACATTCCCACAAACAATGTGAGAGATCTGCTTCTCCAAATCTACTAGCATTTGGTATTGTCACTATTTTTTATTTTAGCTGTTCTAGTAGGTGTGCAGTGATAGCTCATGGTGATCTTAATTTGCATTTCCCTAGTGGCTAGTAATACTGAACACCCTTTTATGTGCTTATTTGCCATCCATACAGCCTCTTCAGTGACATGTCTATTTCTTTCTTTTGAAGTTTTGTTTTTTTTTTTTTTCTGAGACAGAGTCTTGCTCTGTTGCCCAGGCTGGAGTGCAGTGGCGCAATCTCAGCTCACTGCAACCTCTGCCTCCTGGGCTCAAGCAATTCTCTGCCTCAGTCTCCCAAGTAGCTGGGATTACAGGTGCATGCCACCATGCCCAGCTAATATTTTTGTATTTTCAGTAGAGACGAGGTTTCACCATCTTGGCCAGGCTGGTCTTGAACTCCTGACCTTGTGATCCACCTGCCTCAGCCTCCCAAAGTTCTGGGATTACAGGTGTTCTAAAAAAATCCAAAAATTTCATTTTCTAATGAATCGTTTCCTTAGGGTTGAATTTTGAAAGTTCTTTATACATTGTAGACAGGAGTCCTTTATTAGATATGTTCTTTGCAAATATTTTCTCCCACTGTGGACCATGTCTTTTCATCCTCTTAACAGAGGTTTGCACATAGCAAAATATTTTAATTTTGATAAGCCAATTCATCAATTTTTTATGGATTGTATGTTTGGTGTCACGTTTAAAAACTGTTCATCAAATCCTGCATCCTGAAGATGTTCTTCTGTTTTGTTTTTTTATGTGAGGTTTAGGTTGAGTTTCTGTTTTGTTTTTTTCTTCAGTCATTTGTCAAAAACACTGTCCTTACTCCATTGAATTGTTTTTGTACCTTAGTCACAAATAAGTTGGCTATACATCTCTGGGTCAATTTCTGGGTTCAATATTCCGTTCCACTGATCTGTGTTTATCCCTCCACCAATACTCTCAGGCTTGATTCCTGTGGCTATATAATAAGTCTTGAAATTGGGGTAACTGACTCTTCTTATTTTATTTTTCTTCAAAATTTTTTCAGCTATTTCAATTCCTTTGCATTTCCTATTAATTTTGGACTATTCTTGTTCATGTCTAGAAAAAAAGTCTGTGAGAATTTTGATAGAAATTGCATTAAACCTGTATATCAATTTGGGGAGAACTGATGTTTCCTATGTTATCTTCTAATCCCTGAATATAGTATATATCTCTCCCTTACTCTGTATCTTCCTTGATTTCTCTCATCAGCATTTTGTGGTTCTCAGCACGCACTTCCTGTACATGTTTTGTTGGATTTACAACCAAGTATATAGTCATACTTTGTTTAACAATGGGGCTATATTCTAAGAAATGTGTCATTTGGTGGTTTCATCACTGTGTGAACATACTTACAAAAAACTAGATGGTACAGGCTACTATACACCTAGGCTATATGGCATAGCCTATTGCTCCTAGGCTACAAATCTATACAGCATGTTAGTGTGAATACTGTAGGCAACTGTAACACAATGGTATTTGCATTTCTAACAAGTATTTCTAAAACGGTATTTGAATATCTAAACATACATAAACATAGAAAAGATACCGTAAAAATACAGTATAAAAGATTAAAAATAGTATACCTGTATAGGGCACTTACCATGAATGGGACTTGCAGGACTAAAATTGCTATGGGTGAGCCAGTGAAGGAGTTGTGAGTGAATGTGAATGAAGGCCTAAGACATTACTGTACACTAGTGTCAACTAGAGAAAGCCTGTACACTTAGGCTACACTCAATTTATAAAAATATATTTTTCTTTCTTGAATAATAAGTTAACCTTAGCTCACTGTAACTTATTTAATTTATAAACTTTTCATTAAAAAAAAAATTTGACTTTTAGCCAGGTGTGGTGGCTCATGCCTGTAATCCAAGCACTTTGGGAAGCTGAGGCAGGCAGATCACTTGAAGTCAGGAGTTCGAGACCCGCCTGGCCAACAACAAACGAGATGAAACCTCATTTCTACTAAAAATACAAAAATTAGCTGGGCGTGGTGGCACATGCTTGTAATTCCACTACTTGGGATGCTGAGGCAGGAGACCGGGAGGTGGAGGTTGCGGTGAGCTGAGATCGTGCCACTGTACTCCAGCCTAGGCGACAGAGCAAGACTCTGTCTCACAAAAAAAAAAAAATTGGCTGGGCACGGTGGCTCACGCCTGTAATCCCAGCACTTTGGGAGGCCAAGGGGGGTGGATCATAAGGTGAGGAGTTCAAGACCAGCCTGACCAAAATGGTGAAACCCCATCTCTATTTAAAAAATTACAAAAATTAGCCGAGCGTGGTGGCGCATGCCTGTAATTCCAGTTACTCAGGAGGCTGAGGCAGGAGAATTGCTTGAACCCAGGAGGCAGAGGTTGCAGTGAGCCGAGAGTGCGCCAGCCTGGGAAACAGAGTAAGACTCCATCTCCAAAAAAGACACACAAACAAAAAAAAAAATTAGCCACGCTTGGTGTGCAGGGGAATTGCTTGAACCAAGGAGGTGGAGGCTGCAGTGAGCCAAGATTGCACCAATGCACTCCAGCCTAGGCGACAGAGCAAGACTCTGTCTCCAAAAGAAAAAATAAATAAATAAATAAATAAATAAATAAATAAATAAATGATTTTTTGTAATAACCCATAGTAGCTTAAAATACAAAGACATTGTATAGCTGCACAAAAAATATTTTCTTTCTTTACATCCTTTCTATGAGCTTTTTCTATTTGAAATTTTTTTTTGTTAAAAACTAAGACTCAAATTAGACTAGGCCTACACAGGGCCAGAATCATCAAGACATCACCAAGCAATAGGAATTTTTCAGTTCCATTATAACCTATGGGATCTCGGTTATATACACTGTCCATCATTGACTGAAACATTGTTATATGGAACATGATTACATTTCTCTTTTGTTTTTAGTCATTCTTTTAGGGTAGGTCTGCTGGAGGTAAATTTTCTTTCTTTTCCTTCACCTAACAATGTCTTGATTTTCCCTTCATTCCTGAAGGATATTTTTTGCTAGATACAGATTTGGGGGAGTCTGAGCTCTCTCTCTACCTGAAAAATATGCCTTGGCCTCCTGGCTTGCATGGTTTCTGCTAAGAAATCCACTATCCCTGGAATTGTTTTTCCCATAGGTAAGGTGTCATTTCTCTCTGTTTTCAAGATTTTTCCTTTGTCTCCAGTTTATATAAAGTTTTATTATAATGTATCTTGGAGATTTTTTTGTTTTGTGAAATTTTTCTGTTTGAAATTTGCTCAGTTTCTTAAATCTATATAGGTATATGCCTTCTACTAAATTTGGGGAGTTTTCAGTCAGTGTTCTGAAAGTACTTTTCAGCCCTACCCTCTTTCTCCTCTCTTCCCAGCATTCAGATGAATTTTTGTTGTAGTCCTAAAGGTCCCTGAGGGTCCACTGATTATTTGTTCTCTTTTCTCTTTCTTGTTCAGATTGGGTAATTTCTATTGTTCCACCTTCCAGTTCACTCTGTCTCCTCCATTCTGTTGTAAGCCTACACAGTGAGTTTTAATCCAGATATTGTAGCTGTCTGTTCTAAAATTTCTATTTAGTTTTTCTTTGTATTTTCTATCTACTGAGGCCTATTTCTTTGCTCAGACTCCACATTTTTTTCATTTGTTTCAAGTGTGTCCATAATTACTCACTGAAGCATTTTTATGACAGCTGCTTTAAAATCCTTGTCAGATAATCCTAACATCTCTGTCATCGTGGTAATTATGTCTATTGATTATTAGGCATTTTATATTAAACATTTTTACGTACATGGACATTTCTGCTTGGTAAACTGTTCCTTTATCACTTTAAAATTATTCTCCTTTATCTACCTCCCTCCTTTTTTTGGCCTCAGAATTTACTGTTATAACAGCTCTTTTGTTTTTATACTATTTGACTGGCATAGCTCCATAGATTCATTAATTATCTTTTCTGTGTCATTTGGTTTTAGGTATGTCACTTATGAAAAGAAATAGATAGGATTTTCATTTCATTTTTTAAAAATCCAATCTGAGTAGAGGTTTGTTTAACCCATTTACTACTTCCTTTGTGATTACTGATATATTTGGCCTTTTCCCATCATGTCATTTTACAGTTTTTATTTACTTTAGTTGTTCTTTGTTGTGGATCTCCCTTCCCCCCTTTCCTGGTTTTTAATATTAAATGCAATTTCTTTATTCCCCTTTCTTCCCCTCTCTAACAGTCCAGGAGTTAAATATTCTTTTTATATTTGCTATTTATATTTTGCTAACAACTTCCAAAGTTAATCAATATCCCTAGACCATTCTAATAAGAAAAAATCTGCACATAAATCATCTTCGCACATATAGTAACTCCTTGATTTTTTTGGAATTCATCTTATTTTCTGGCATTATTTGTTCATAAATAATGTTCTATGAAAAGAATTTAGAGCTGAGGTAAATGAGACCAGAATTGACTTAAAAACAGTAAAAAGTCCTTATTGTTCTTCATAAATGATGGAATGTTTTCATATAACGAAAGCAATTCATTTTAAACTGATTATATGCGTTGAAATTAAAAATAATCAATGTTCAGAGCATCTCTAGTTAGCCAGCTAATTATCTTTAACACCTTAAATGTAACAGCTCCTAAGAGTAGGATTAAGATAATATAAAATGCCTAATTAAGCTTAATTTTAAAAATCTCAAAGAATTTCCATCAACATGGAACTAATAGGGTTCCAAATTAAAAATAAATAAGAATAGAGGAAGCAAATTAACCAAAGGTGGTGTAGTAGAAGCAAATTTGTCCAATTTACTTTAATATTTGTCATTAAAAAATGAACTTTTTTTCATAATTCAGTCCAAAAGTCATTAGATGGGGCTGAGTAAGGCAGGCATCCAAGCTTAGGAAAGTGAGTGGGGAGAAGCAATGAGGAGACTGGTTATATGGAGAGAGAAACTGTAGTAAGTAATTATTTTAAGGATAATGAGAGTGAAGTGTACCACTGTTGGGGAAAGGAACTAAAACCTTAAACAGAGAAAAAAACTAGAATCAACTCTCTAATACTAAATTGGAATTAGAAGTTTTGGTATAAAGTCAATGGTTTTCAAAATATATAAATGCAAAAATAAACACAGCTTTAAGTGAAATACACACACATATACATATATTCTATTCTCTAGTTCTGTCCATGGAGTGCCTGGGGGCAATAGTACCCCTACAGCAATAACCATACTTGGCACCCACATCTTGACTTCTAAATGCTACTTTCTACTATTAATAAAACAGGGATTCTCAAAGAAAAAAAAAAAAAACCACTAGTGGAAGCACTTTAAAAAATTATGGGAATATGTGAAAAAGATACAAGACCAGTTTGAAGGCATTCCCATTAGCCAAATTTTAGACAATCTGGATAAGGAAAAAAAAATGAATGAATTATAACTATTGCTTAAAGGAATTCATGAGTCCATACAGATATAAATATAGAGAAGAGAAAGCTTTCCCTTATAGTAGGATTCCAAATAATGTAGAATAATATAATTGGGAAATCAATATTTGAAAACCATCACAGTAATAAGTTCAGTCAAGAAATAACAAAAGGCCAGGCACGGTGGCTCATGCCTGTAATCCCAGCACTTTAGGAGGCCTAGGCAGATGGATCACTTGAGTTCAGGAGTTTGAGATCAGCCTGAACAACATAGTGAGATCCTGTCTCTACAAAAAAGTCAGCCAGGTGTTGTGGCATGCACCTATAGTGCCAGCTGCTCAGGAAGCTGAGGTGGGAGGATCTCTTAAGCCTAGGAGTTTGAAGCTTCAGTGAGCTATGATTATGCCACTGTACTCCAGCTTGGGGACAGAGTGAGACCAGGGAAGGAGGAAGGGAGGGAGAGAGGACCACTATTAAATCTAGTAAATGAAAACTTGGTGATGAAAATTTACAGTTTCCCCATAAAATAATTATTAATTACAAAGAGAAGCACAACTTTACAGAAGACAAGACTGACAAACATCACCTTAAGCGATCAAAGGTAACGTAATCAGTCAAGAAACAGGCTGGGCGTGGTGGCTCAGGCCTGTAATCCCAGCACTTTGGGAGGCCGAGGCAGGCGGATCACCTGCGATTGGGAGTTCGAGACCAGAATTGCCAATATCATGAAACCCCGTCTCTATTAAAAATAGAAAAATTAGCCAGGCGTGGTGGTGTGCACCTGTAGTTCCAGCTACTCGGAAGGCTGAGACAGGAGAATTGCTTGAACCCGGGCGGCAGAGGCTGCAGTGAGCCGAGATTGCATCACTGCACTCCAGCCTGGGTGACAGAGCAAGGCTCCGTCTAAAAAAAAAAAAAAAGAAACAAATAAAAATTTTGCACCACCTGAAAGGATGCAATAAGAATACAGCATCACTCTATGACACTCCTGTCAAAGATGCATGGCATGACTTGAATCTAATCATGCGGAACCATGAGGTAAACCCAAATTCAAAAACATTCCACAAAATGTATTCTTCCAAAGTGCCATGACCCTAGAAATCAAAAAGACTTATGGAACTATTCCAGATTGAACAACAGTAAAGAGATATGACAACTAAATCCAATGTGCAGTCTTGGATTGGATTATTTTGGTGTAAGGGACATTTTGGGGACAAGTGGCAAAATTTGAATAGGGTCTACGGATTAGTCGATAGTAACCTGTCAATGTTAATTTTCTGAGTTTTATGTTTGTATTGTGGCTATGAAGAAGAATGTCCTTATTTGTAGGGACAGTAAAGTAGTTGGGGGTGACAGAGCATCAAGTCAGTAACTTACTCTCAAAAGGTTCCAGGATGAGTTGTTTGCACTATTCTTTCATTTTTTCTGTAACTCTCAAATTATTTTGAAATTTAAAAAAACAGCAAAGAAAGAAAAAGGAAACAGATGAACAAACCACTATACAGTTTTTTTTTTTTTTTTGGTTATCCTAGTATGGCTTTGACCTCTCCAACACTCAGAAATCCCTAGTCACAAGATGTGTATTAACACTGGTAAAACCACAATTTTTACATAAATATGAAATGTACAGATATTCCACTGTCAGATTGCTCTTGCAACAATTTAAACAGTATTCTGATGGACATTTCAAGATCTTATAGAGGAGTCCACATTTTACAAGTCTACATTTTATTAATGGAAGTTCAGACATAAAGCCAGATCTAAGCACTGGGTTTTGAATAACTTTACACAGTTGGTGTCATCACTTACTTATTATTTGAAGAAAAAGTTTGAAACCATTACAACCCAAAATTCTATTAATATTTTAGAAACTTAGTTAATTTAAAATAAAATCTCCCCAGACATAAGCCAGTATTAGAAAATGAATTTTAAATGTGGTATTATAAATATATTGTCATGTTCTTTTAAAACTACCATTTTAGTGGCACTACAATGTGCTATGTCAAACTTTCCTACTTACGAGACACTATTTAGGAGAGGAAAGGACTTAACATCTGTTACGGATTGAACTGTGTCTTCCCCAAAAAGATGTTAAAGTCTACACCCTTTATACCTGTAAATACGACCTTAGTGAGAAATAGGGCCTTTGCAAATGTTAAGATCTGGTCATTAGGACTGGGCCTAATCCAATATGATTGCTATCCTTATATAAAGGGGAAATTTGAACAAAGACAGACATAGAACAGATGAAGACAAGAAGAGAGGGATGGAACAGATTCTGCTTCACAGCCCTCAGAAAGAACCAAACCTACTAATACCTTATTCTGGACTTCTAGCCTCCAGAACTGAGAGACAATAAATTTCTGTTGTTTGTAGTACCGTGTTACGGCATTACTAAAAAACTAATCTAACATCTGAACCTTAATTTTCTCATTTGAAAAATGAGAATTATGCTGTCTCCCAAGGTTATCCTTAAAATTAATATGTTATTTTGAAAGTAATCAGGAATTATAAAAATAAAGGTATTATATCTTGATAAATATTTAATAAATACAACTGTCAAACATTTTCTCCTAGTACAAGAAAAAATTTTAAGCGATGCTCTTGAGTATTTCCATGCTTTTTAATCCACAGGCCAGAAAATCATCTTTATTGTACACAGGAATAGAGTCTTAATAGTGTTAGGACTATCTGAACATGTCTAAAGTACTAGTGGTTTTCTTTTTCTTCTTTTGTCTTCATGTTTTAATCCTCAAATAACATTTTTTAAGAAGTACAAATGTTGTCTTCTGAAAACTTAAAAAAGAAGCACCTCTGGCCAGGTGAACACTATACAGCAGTCCCAGGTAGTTATGATTCAGAGACTGGAAACAATCAACTGTATTTGCTGCTGCCAAAAGCAGATGAAGAAAGAATGTGGAGGGTTAACAAGTTGACCGTTCAAACAAACAAAAAGGAAGGAATAATTCCATGCACAACGCTTTTCTTCTCTTTGCCCTACTTCCTATACTTCTACATTTCTATGTATACTAAAAATAAAAGAATACATGTGAACATGTCTACCATATGCCCAGCAGAGTAGGAATTCCAGGAAATGTTAGTTGTTCCAGCCCTGCCCCACCCTCCTGCCCTTCTACTCAGAGGATGAGTGGTAGAAGTGTACTTAGGGTAATCAACTTTGTAATCTTTCCATAATGACAGATTATCTCAATAAATTTCACATTATCTTTATAAGCTTTAGGTGAAAGAGTTTTACTAAAAAGTAAAATCAAAGTACTATCTGTTAATGCTTCTCACCTTGTATAAAGTCCTAAATATGACTGCCCAAAATAGAAAGGCATTAGGCAATCAAATGTACCTTCTCATTTAGAATAGCATAGGCTAAAATTCATGTAACTAAAAATTATTCGCTATAAGATCTCCACACCGTACCAGGAATAAACGGTTACATGATATGAGCTATTAAAAGAGGTATTTTAAATATCACATTCAGCTGGGTGCAGTGGCTCATGCCTGTAATCCCCGCAATTTGGGAGGCCAAGGCGGGCAGATTGCCTGAGCTCAGGAGTTCAAGACCAGCCTGGGCAACGTGGCAAAAACCCATCTCTACAAAACAAACAAACAAAAAAACAAAAATTAGCTGGGTGTGGTGGTGTATGCCTGTAATACCAGCTACTAAGGAGGCCGAGGTGGGATGATCACGTGAGTCTGGGAGGTGGAGGCTGCAGTGAGTGGAGATCTCGCCACTGCACTCCAGCCTGGGCAACAGAGAGAGATCCTGTTTAAAAAAAAAAAAAAATTGCCTACATTCTCTGTGTCCCCACCCTCTTTTGGCCAGCCAGGTGGTGGTAGTAATTTAATGAGATTCCTGAGGAAAGGTGAACTTCAGGGAATGAGACAGGTTTTAAAGCAAAGATTCTCCTGGTTTTGGCAAACTCAGACATTCTGGCTATTTTACTAAGAAGAGATTTTCTCTACACTTTTCATCATTACAGTTTCATTCATGATAATAAGCCTTATTTACCCCCAGGCCAGTCAGATGTGAAATGTTATATTAATTTCTGAATAATACTCTTTCTATAACATCATTTTTTTTCATTAAAGGTGTCAGCTAATTTTGAAAAGCGTTTTTAAAATGTCTTATGAAAATAAATTATTGCTTATCAACTATAAAAAGTGAAAACATGAGATAAATGTTCAGTCACAGAAAATATCCCTTTGGACTTGCCCAAATTAGTTTACTTGAACTTCAACATAGTTTACGATATACAAATATTTCATAAACATTTTTAAAGGGGGATAAGATTCATATCTTTGAATTACATTATAAAAATAGTATGATTCCCTTAGTTAAAATCATTACGGAGGAATATATGGTTTCTCAACACTACCTCACCTCTCTCTAAAATGCTGAGATTTTTGGATAGGTGAATTAGGAGAGGAAATGATTCCATAATCAGTGTTAGTTAACATGAGATGGGTTGAATTTGTGATCACATAAATTTTCGTTTAAAAAAATAAGCAGGCTAAACAGTTTAGTAACGTGCTTTGAAAGAACACAGAACTAGGTTTAAACTCCAGTTCTAGCATATTGAGCTATATGACTGCCTTTCTGAGCCTCAGTTTTTTCATCTGTAAAATGGACAGTAATACTCTCAAGAGTTCTTCGTAGGCTTAAATAAAATAATACATACAAAAGTTTCAAAGGCACATACCAGTTAATTAATGGTTAATACTGTTAACAGTAACACTGTAACATTATAAGCTATATCAAAAGAAAAATCCATGTGAAACATCACTATGGTTTGTTTATTCTCTTAGACACGTACATTTATATTTAAAGTACTTAAAAATAAAAATATAAAAAAGGCACTAGACTAGGAGTCAGATGTAGATTCTGAACTGGAGTCGGATCTCTGTTCTACACTAGCTAGCTGAATTTCTTTCGCAAGTTACTTCTTTAATCTTCATGTAGGTAATTTGTAAAATGGTAAAATGTAATATTCTCATTACTACATTAATTTTATAAAACCATTATTTACAAAGTGCTTCTATTAAACTATCATACAGGGATTAATGCTAATGATATATCATCACAGAATAAAGATGATATAAAAATATATTTATATACCCTATTTCCACTGATTTCACAACCTTTTCAAAAGAGACCAGAGTCTAATCTAAGAACTAGGGCCAATCCTAAACTATTTTCCATTGCTGGCTGGGTCGCAGGCATCCCAAGCATCACTCCATCATATCAATAAATATCAAACAAATTTCAGAGTTAAAAATAGAAAAATATATATTTGATAAGTCATTTTAATAGTCATTCCACAAAATTAAAGGTAATCATCATAACACCTGGATTTATCAGATGCTACTAAATTAATAGCTTTATTTAGCAGAAAATATTTACCAGGTATAGAAAGACTGCATTCTTTCTTTGAACTGATTCATTGAAAACTGAGAGTAGTTTGGTAATTAAAAAGGCAGGAAAGCTCTTCTTACTTTTCCAGTCTATGAACACAAAAAGAGAAAAAGGCAAAACTGAGTAAGCTGTATAAAATAACCTAACACTTAAAGAGAGAACAATTACACACAGTGGGGGACACCAGACTATCCATCAGGACACATTTAGATTAGCTGCCTTAGGCAGGCACCTCTTGTACCTATTTCCTCACCTACAAAACAGAAATAACTAGTACCTGCCCTTACTAAAGGACCATGGAGATAAATCAGAAAGTTCTTTGAATATGTGTCGTATGGTGCTATTCTTTCATGAAGCTGGATAAAACAGCCTACTCAGGTTTTTTTTAAAGGGTGCATTTCACTAACATAAAAAAAAAAACCTGATCTCCACATTTGACATTAACCTCCCCCTAATATACAATACAAGTATCTACTGGCTTTATATATATACATAGATAGACGATATAGATAGCAATAGATCCATACAGGTTGCTATGGATGTATTCTGAAAAAAGATATAAGATTATATTTTGTATTTAGAAAATGAGAAAGACCAATACTTGGTACACACAGGTGTGAAAATTTACTATCACTGGTTGACCATCCCCCTCTTTGTCATGAGGCCTCAGAATCCTCATCGATAGAATTCAAACAACATAAACCAATAAAGAAATGGTACATGCTATGACTCTTATTTAACATATACTTGTACTATTATAGCTATTTTTGATTTAGCATAATTAGTATAACTGGTATAAGTCAGTGTAACTGATTGAGTAGTATAGCTAATTAATGAAAACTATGTAAATTTTATAGATCCATACTCAGTGCTCATATAACTGGCCCACATAACTTTTTTCTGTACATTCAGTTTTGTTCCTATTTCATGAATCTGAACAGCTGAGATGCAATGGTACAAACAAAATCAAATGCAGTTCAAAGTGTCTTCTTAAAAAGGAGTTGTTGGCCAGGCGCGGTGGCTCACGCCTGTAATCCTAGTACCTTGGGAGGCCAAGGCAGGCGAATCACGAGGTCAGGAGAAGGAGACCCTCTTAGCCAACATGGTGAAACCCCGTCTCTAAAAGATACAAAAATTAGCCAGGCATGGTGATGCATGCCTGTAATCCCAGCTACTCGGGAGGCTAAGGCAGGATAATCGCTTGAACTAGGGAGTCAGAGCTTGCAGTGAGCAGAGATCACGCCACTGCACTCCAACCTGGTGACACAGTGAGATGCTGTCTCAAAAAAAAAAAAAGAAAAGAAAAAAAAAATTAGCCGGGTGTGGTGGCGTGTGCCTGTAATCCCACCTACTCAGGAGGCTGAGGCTGAGGCTGAGGCAGGAGAATCGCTTGAACCCAGGAGGTGGAGGTTGCAGTAAGCCGAGATGGTGCCACTGCCCTCCGGCCTGCCTGGGTGACAGAGCAAGACTCCGTCTCGGGGGCGGGGGATAAATAAAAGGAGTTGTTTTTGTTTTTGTGAGTGAAGGGGAGCATAGAGGCTCATACTACTTAAAATCAGAGATCAACATAAAATTCTACCATAGCTAACAGTGATGAAAACCTTATTAAGATATTTTATTACATAATACAACTGAAAAGAAATTAAATTCTTTCCTCTTAAAAAATTTTGATCTGTCCATACTTTAAGAGAATGAAAAAAACATTTAAATTACAAGAAGAAATACCTAAAACAAAAAGCACACAGAACAAAAAAACACCGTAAGGAATAGCGAAAAATTGAGAGAAATGAATACACAAAACAAATTTTTAACACATCCACCAAACCCTCCCAACCAGGAACTGTAAGGAGTAAGAAAAACCTACCCACCCTTCCAATATGATGGTTACAAACTAACAAGCTCTTTCTTGCTGTCCATTGGCACATCTTGAGACCTTTTATTCTTTTGAAATGTTCCCCCAACTTAAACTGGATGCAAATAAACCAGGTGTGGTCCTCACAACAGTAATCCTGCTAGTCCCTACTGAGTTTCCATAGCAACATGCACAGCTGGCAATGGCAAAGAGGCTGTACTGGCTTCAGATTGGTTTTAAAAGTTTCAATATTCATTTAGTGAAATAATAATTATGTTATCTCAGTTAAGAACAATTTTTAAAAAATTTTATCTTTGCTTGAAATGTTAAACAAAATAACGCAAGGTATTTTCTGCTAGTCCAAAAGTGGCTTTCAGCCCAACAGCAGTAACTAACGTGTCTGTGAAAAGTTACAAAATGCCCATCACCAAGTGATAACCATTCTTTGACTAAAGAAACATAAAATTTTAAGTGAGTATTCCCTGTGGGTCACCTAATGTAATAGGTAACATTCAGAGAGAGAGAGAGAGAGAACCAATATAAAGTCTAATCTAAACAGTAGTAAATACTATGCATCTTTTCCTTAAATAAATTTAATATGACAGTTCCTTGGTTTAATTAAAACTGTTAAGAGTTTTTACAGCTGGGCACGGTGGGTCACACCTATAATCTCAGCACTTTGGGAGGCCAAGGCAGGCGGATCACCTGAGGTTAGGAGTTCAAGACCAGCCTGGCCAACATGGTGAAACCTCACCTCTACTAAAATACAAAAATTAGCTGCGCGTGGTGGCATGCGCCTGTAATCCCAGCCACTCAGGAGGCTGAGGTAGGAGAACTGCCTGAACCAGGGGGTTGGAGGTTGCAGTGAGCCGAGATCACTCCACTGCACTCCAGCCTGGGCAACAGAGGTAGACTCCGTCTCCAAAAAAATAAAAAATAAAAATAAGAGGCTGGGTGCAGTGGCTCATGCCTGTAATCCCAGCACTTTGGGAGGCCGAGGTGGGCGGATCACGAGGTCAAGAGATCGAGACCATCCTGGCCAACGTGGTGAAAACTCGTCTCCACTAAAAATACAAAAATTAGGTGGGCATGGTGGCGTGCACCTGTAGTCCCAGCTACTCGGGAGGCTGAGGCAGGAGAATCGCTTGAACCTGGGAGGCGGAGGTTGCAGTAAGCTGAGATCGCGCCACTACACTCTGGCCTGGCGACAGAGCAAGACTCCGTCTCAAAAAAATAAATAAAAAATAAGAGTTTTCACAATGGTAATTCTTTTTGTAAATTTTTAATTTTTATTTTAGATTCAGAGGGTACATATGTAGGTTTGCTACCTGGATATATTGCATGATACTGAAGTTTTGGCTTCTATTGAACCCATAACCCAAACAGTGAATACGGTACCTGATCTCTAATTTTTTAACCCTTGCTCTCCTTCCTCCTGACCGTTTTGGAGTCCCCAGTGTCTGCTGTTCCCATCTTTATATCCATGTGGTACCTACCCCATGTTTAGCTCCCACTTACAAGTGAGAAAATGTGGTATTTTGGTTTCTGTTTCTGCAATAACTCGCTTAGGGTAATAGCCTCCAGCTGTATCCATGTTGCTGCAAAGGACATGGTTTTGTTCTTTTTATGGTTGTGTAGTATTCCGTGGTATCTGTGTACCACACTTTCTTTATTCATCATTAATGGGCACCTTGGTTAATACCATGGCTTTGCTATTGTGAACAGTGCACAGTAGCTACTCTTAAAGGGCAGTACCCGGATCAGTATCATAGCATCACCTGGAAACTTATTAGAAATGCACTTTTTTGGCCCCTACCTCACACCTACTGTATCAGAACCTCTGGAGGTGGGGGCCCAACAATCTGGGTTTTAACAAACCCCTAGAAGACCCTGAACCACTGACTTACAGTGTCAAACTTCAGAGGAGGCAAATATGAAATAGAAAATGCAATGCTTTATCCCACTCTTTGGAACTAGGTGAGGAACAGCAGCAAAATAAAATGAAAAAAAAAAAACTCTGGTCTCCTGAATTGAGTCTGTTGGCTAATATCTCACCGTCTAAAAGATATGCAGAGATAAACAGTAGTTCAGTGTGTCTGTCATTCCTACACATGTAAAGCACCAAGCGAAAATCAAGTGTTTGTTTATAATCACTCAAGGACAGGAGGGTCCTTGCACGTAGAACATTCAATCCACTACCATTCATAATGTATTACTAATCACAATCAATCTCCAATCACTGATGTCTTCCCACACAGGGCAGCAAACCTAACCATTTATTCCTTTTAGAAGAATAATTTTTTCAACATATTAAATATGTATGTAAAGATGAGTATGAAGTTTGAGTCATACATTTTAACAACACTACTTGTAAGATTTTTTTAAAAAACATACAAGGATGCAGTTCTTCCTAGTAACTAACCACACTGCCTTCATATATACTACAAGATACACTTTTCATTTTATCCTTTAACCTCAGTATATCCAATCACAACTCCTTCCATATTTCTTTTCTTTCCATAATTCTTTTTTTTTTTTTTTTTTTTTGAGATGGCGTTTCACTCTTGTTGTCCAGGCTGGAGTGCAATGGTGCGATATCGGCTCACCATAACCTCCGCCTCCCAGGTTCAAGTGATTCTCCTGCCTCAGCTTCCCGAGAAGCTGGGATTACAGGCACCTGCCACCATGCCCAGCTAATTTTGTATTTTTAGTAGAGACGGAGTTTGCTCATGTTGGTCAGGCTGGTCTCGAACTCCCGACCTCAGGTGATCCGCCCGCCTTGGCCTCCCAAAGTGCTGGGATTACAGGCATGAGCCACCGTGCCCAGCCTTCCTTCCATAATTCTAATGGGCAGCACTTCGAAGAAACTGATGAGCTACTGACATTAAAGTGACCAGAGACACACAGATTTAATGAAGAAAAGCCACTGGGTAAACTGAACATGGCATATGCTGTTAAAATTAATGAATTCAAGCAAACTGAATAGTTTTTTGAAGCTCATAATTAAAAATAAATTGCTAAATGCCGTCAGTATTATACTCCCAAAAAATGGACTCTTAAAATTATATTTTGAATGAATCTGAAGACCAGCCACAATTAAAAAAAACGAAATACAAACCACCCCAGGAAATTCAAAGGGAAGTGTTTGTTTACTTATTCTCAGGATTTATTTTGTAATCTATTTTACGATAAGAAATATGATGAAATTTACTCAAAGGTCAGATTCTTGACTTTACATACAGAGCAGGAAACAGAAAAAAAATTTACATTTAACTTGTTTTCTTCTGCTTGCTATTATCTTAAATTAGAAAATGCTTGTATCATAGATACATTTTTACTTAAATGTTCAAGGAACATTTTTTATTAAAGAATAAATTCAAGTCTCTATTTCTAACTTTAATGTGTTTCCAGCATTTACTCTAGTCTTGGAAAAAGAAATGCAAAAGAAAAAAATCCTGGAGTCATCATTACTGTCTTATTCCATATCAAAGAAGCAATATGGACTAAAACAGGAAATGGATTCACAGGCTCCTCGTTCTTGCTCTATTTGTTTGTTTTTGTTGTTGTTGTTGTTGTTGTTTTTGGAGATGGAGTTTCACTCTTGTTGCCCAGGCTGGAATGTGATGGTTTGATCTCAGCTCACTGCAACCTCTGCCTCCCAGGTTCAAGCAATTCTCCTGCCTCAGCCTCCCAAGTAGTTGGGATTACAGGCTTGCACCACCACACCCAGCTAATTTTGTATTTTTTTTTTTTAGTAGAGACGGGGTTTCACCACATTGGTAAGGCTGGTCTTGAACTCCTGACCTCAAGTGATCCACCCACCTTGGCCTCTTGCTCTACTGGTTAAAAGTTAGTGTTCCTTAGGGTCCATCCTCAGCCCAATTCTCATTACACTAGTGATTGCCAAAGTATTTTCTTCCTGCCACTAGTGGGATAGAGCTGATTCAAAATTGTTGCTTCTGTTGGTTGTGACATTTGACTGAGGGCTTACATAGTAGTAGTACATGCTGGTTGCCATTCCAACTCTCTCTAGCTGAATAAGAGCAAGGACAAGGAAAGGGCCTGAATGATTAATCCCATCCCCCTAGCTAATGGCTTGCTCAGAAGTGAACTGCATTTCAAATTTTTATTCAATTCTGGGCAGTGAAATCAAGGACAGAGCTCCTGAACCTTTCTGATATAGTCTTACTTTTAATAGAGAATACTGAGACTACTCTCTTTTCTCTGGACATTATTAACAAGGAAGCATATTTCCCTGGCTGCTGCTGGCAGTTATTTTGCAACCATGAGGGTAAAGCAAAACACAGAAGTGCAGAGTCCAAACACAGCCCTGCCCTATTGTCCTTGAAGCTTCTGGTTTCTCAATCAGATTAGCCACGCAAACTCCTTTGTATTTCAGCCAGTTCCAATTGTCTGAAGCTGAAAGCAAACTACCAATAACAAATACGTTAAATTATTAAGAGTTATTAATTTGGTGTTCACAAGTTAGAGTTACCAGAGTTTACTAAGGATTATTTCAGTGTTCTGTGAAGACATGTGGCTGCCACATACTTTGCCAAAACTCTGCAAAACTCCTGTTGTATATGCACATTATGAACAAGTTGGAATTTCCAAAATTGGGTCTGGTTATTAGTGCAAAATCAATATTAAATTATGGTTTTTAATTTCAACCATTCTTTCCTGTCTTGCACATCAACTTAGTTATCTTAGTTATATAAGCATACCTGCACCATTTCTAGCCTATAATTTTAAAAAAATCAGTCTTCCCATACAGCATATAAACATATATAGCATATTTGCACCATTTCCAGCCTATAATTTTTAAAAATCAGCCTTCATGATACAAGTTTTTAAAGTGCAAACAGTCCCCGTATTTCACACTACAGTGCTTTGCATATAATTGGAAATATGCTGGATAGTTACAGATATGATCTGACTTTTACATATACCTATGGACATATATATGAACACAGGAAAAAGGACTTGTAGTTTCACACTAAATGGTTAACATTTACCATATACATTTCTATTTTTTGTTTCAATCTTTTTAATGGACACCGAGTTTTTGTAAATTTATTTTTATTAAAAGAATTTTAGCTGAATTCTTTACTTTCCTAATATATTTGGTTAGGTCCCCAGAATCTGACCAAACACTTTTCCTTTATTACCCAAATCTGTGTAAATAATGGAGTGCAACGCTGTGTAATCAGTTTTTATTATTTTATCACAAAGAACCTCTTGAAAGAAGTTTTTCTGCTTCAGACAATGAGGAGCTAAGATGAACCAGAGTCCTAAAAATAGGTCCAACAGAGAAAATGATAAAGATTAAAAACAAGTAAGAACCACTGTGGCAGGAATTACAATATTGATATTAAATATAAAGATGTGTTACAATATGAGAAAGTTCTAAGTTGTGATGAAGATGAAATAGACAAATATGAATGAAGATTTTTCAAATACTAAGCTCAGGTTGCTTAGAAGTAACATAAAACTGGATTCTTTCTGACCATCTCTCCATTTGGCCTGAGTTTAGCTCTCATTTTACCTGAATGCAAAAAGGCTCAATGGATGAACTCCAAAATGCTGCCCTTACTACTTTGAGTCTCCACCAATAATCTATTTCCTTCAGTAAAAATTCTTTGTCCAACTCACGACTTAACTGTACAGAAACTAAAAAAAAAAAAGTTTTCTACTTGTAATGCTTTTTAGACCAAATAAAAATTTTAAAGATTTTTACATATTAAAGCAGTTACTATACACCCTCCCTTTCTGAATTAAAAACAGCAGCTCCATAACACATCTATTCACAGACTCTTACTTTTTTCATGTTCAAAGTCACTCATCCTGCAATTACAACAAAAAATTTACAACGACCCTTAAGAGGTTCCCTATTCTCCCTGGTATAGAAGAAGGCCTTCTATGGCCCATTCACTTTACACTGGTTATGATAACACCAAGCAACCAACTTAGTAGAACATTAAGAGAAATCTTTTATTACAATTTAGCCTCTGAATCATGTTCATGGCTCCACAAAAATAACGGCTAAAATGTCTTTTAAAATTTCAATAGCTTTGGTTACATGGATGGATTATATAGTGGTGAATTCTGAGATTTTAATGCACCTGTCATCTGAATAGTGATGTTGTAACCATTATGTAGTTTTTTTATCTGGCACTCTCTTCCCACGTCTGTCTCCTATGTCTATTATATCACTGTATGCACTTGCATATTCATAGCTTAGTTCCCACTTATAAGTGAGAACATATAGTATTTGGTTTTCCATTCCTGAGTTACTTCACTTAGAATAATGGCCTGCAGCTCCAACCAAGTTGCTGCAAAAGACATTATTTTGTTCCTTTTTATGGCTGAGTAGTATTCCACGGTGTATACATATCACATTTTCTTTATCCACTCATTAGTCAATGGACACTCAGGTTGGTTCCATATCTTTGCAACTGTGAATTGGGCTGCAATAAACATGCATGTGTAGGCGTCTTTTTCATATAATGATTTCTTTTCCTCTGGGTAGATACCCTGTAGTGGGAGTGCTGGATAGAATGGTATTTCTACTGTTAGGTTTTTTTTTTTTGAGATGGAGTCTTGCTCTATCACCGAGGCTGGAGTGCAGTGGCGTGATCTCGGCTCACTGCAACCTCCGCCTCCCAGGTTCAAGGTCTCAGCCTCCTGAGTAGCTGGGATTAGGCACCCTCTACCACACCCGGCTAATTTTTGTATTTTTAGTAGAGATGGGGTTTCATCATGTTGGCAAGGCTGGTCTCAAACTCCTGACCTCAAGTGATCTGCCCACCTCAGCCTTCCAAAGTGCTGGGATTACAGGTGTGAGCCACCGTGCCCAGCCTTCTACTGTTACTTCTTTAAGGAATCTCCACACTACTTTTCATAGAGCTTGTACTAATTTACATTACCACCAGCAGTGTATAAGCATTCCCCTTTCACCAGATCTGGCCATTCTTGCAGTAATAAAGTGGTATCTCATTGTGGTTTTAATTTGCATTTCCCTGATGACTAATGATTCCAAGCACTTCTTCATGTTTGTCGACCACTTGTATATCTTATTTTGAGAAATGTCTACTCCTGTCATCTACTCACTTTTTGATGGAATTATTTGTGTTTTTCTCCTGCTTATTTGTTTGAGTTCCTTGTAGATTCTGGATACTAGTCCTTTGTCAGATGTATAGTTTGCAAATATTTTCTCCCACTTTGTGGGTTGTCTGTGTACTCGGATGATTATTTCTTTTGCTGTGCAGAAGTTTTTTGATTCCGTTAGGTCCCATTTATTTATGTTTTTGTTGCATTTGCTTCTGGGGTTTTAGTCATGATTCTTTTTTTATTATTATTTTTTAGATGGAGTCTCACTCTGTCGCCCAGGCTGGAGTGCAGTGGCATGATGTCGGCTCACTGCAAGATCCGCCTCCCGGGTTCACATCATTCTCCTACCTCAGCCTCCTGAGTAGCTGGGACCACAGGTGCCCGCCACCACACCTGGCTAATTTTTTTTTTTTTTTTTTTTTTTTTTTGTATTTTAGTAGAGACGGGGTTTCACTGAGATCAGGATGGTCTTGATCTCCTGACCTTGTGATCCGCCCGCCTCGGCCTCCCAAAGTGCTGGGATTACAGGCGTGAGCCACCATAGTCATGAATTCTTTGCCTAGGCCAATGTCAGAAGAGGTTTTCCAAGGTTATCTTCTAGTTCCAGTTTTGAGTCTTAGATTTAAGTCTTTGATCCATCTTGAATTGACTTTTGTATAAGGTGAGAGATAGGAATCCAGTTTCATTCTTCTTCATGTGGCTAACCAGTTCTCCCAGCACCATTTATTAAATAGGGTGTCCTTTCCTAATTTACTTTTTTGTATGCTTTATTGAAGATCAGGTTGGTTATACATATTTGGCTTTATTTCTGAGTTCTCTGTCCTGTTCCATTGGTCTACATGCCGACTTTTATACCAGTACCATGTTGCTTTGGTAACTACAGCCTTGTAGTATAACTGGAAATCCCGTAGTGGGTGATGCCTCCAGATTTGTTCTTTTTGTTTACAATTACCTTTGGCTACCTGAGCTCTTTTTTGGTTCCATATGAATTTTAGGATATTTTTCTAATTCCATGAAAAATGATGTTGGTATTTTGATAGGGACTGCATTGAATCTGTCAACTGGCACAATATTGATTCTTCCAGTCCATGAGCATGAGTTGTGCTTCTATTTGTCTGTGTTATCTATGACTTCTTTCAGCAGTGTTTTTTAGTTCTCCTTATAGAGATCTTTCACCTCCTTGGTTAAGTATATTCCTAGGTATTTTATATTTTATTGCAGCTGTTGTAAAGGGGATTGGGTTCTTGATTTGATTCTTGGCTTGGTCATTGGTGTACAGCAGTGCTACTGATTTGTAAACACTGATTTTGTAACCTCAGACTTTACTGAATTTGTTTCTCGAATCTAAGAGTCTTTAGGGTTTTCTAGGCATACAATCACGATAGTCTGACTTCCTCTTTTCCAATTTGGATGCTGTTTATTTCTTTTCTCTTGCGTGACTGCTCTGGCTAGGACTTCTAGGACTATGTTAAATAGAAGGGGTAAAAGTGGGCATTGTCGTCTTGTTATAGTTCTCAGGGGGAATGTTTTCAACTTTTTCCCATAGAGTATGATGTTTGCTGTGGGTTTGTCAGATATGGCTTTACTAATTTAAGGTAAAAGTCCCTTCCATGCCTAGTTTGTTGAGGGTTTTTATCATAAAGGAATACTGGATTTTATCAAATGCTTTTTCTTTGTCTATTGAGACGGTCGTATGGTTTTTGTTTGTAATTCTGTTTATGTGATGTATCACATTTATTGACTTGTGTATGTTAAATCATCCCTGGATCCCTGGGATGAGACCTACTTGATCATGGTGGATTGTCTTTTTTATGTCCTGCTGGATTCAGTTAGCTAGTGTTTCCTTGAGGTTTTCTGAATCTATGTTCATCAGGGATATTGGTCTGTAGTTTTCTTTTTAATTTTTATTTATTTATTATTTCTTGTAGTTTTTTTTTAAATGTTCTTTCCTGGTTTTGGTATCAGAGTGATACTGGCTTCATAGAATGATTTAGGGAGGATTCCCTCTTTCTCAATCTTTTGGAATTGGTACCAATTCTTCTTTAATGTTTGGTAGAATTCAGCTGTGAATCCATCTGGTCCTGGACTTTTTTTGTTGGCAAGTTTTTTTTTTTTTTTAAACTGATTCAATTTTGCTGCTTATCAGTCTGTTCAGGGTTTAATGATGGCAGAAATTTCTAAAGCTTTGCTTGGTGTCCTGCAGAGTAAACCTGGTGTTCAACAACTAACAATAATATTCAAAATGGAAAGTGCAGATAAAAATTCCAAGCAATGAGGAATGGTTTTCTATTATTAAAAATTGCACCAATAAGTAGGGTAAATTTTAGCTAAATCAAACCAAGATCCTATCTTGAACTGGTATACTGGCATTTGTGTCATTTCTCCTTCTGACTTATATAATAGATATCA
Organism: Homo sapiens; assembly: GCF_000001405.40. Taxonomy (NCBI): domain Eukaryota; kingdom Metazoa; phylum Chordata; class Mammalia; order Primates; family Hominidae; genus Homo; species Homo sapiens. The sequence goes on along the minus strand of NC_000001.11, from coordinate 167,292,191 downwards.
TAATAGAGACAAAAAAGATGGTAACAGAAAACCAAGTCAAAAAAGCATTATCAACTTTATCTATAAAAAGCCTCAACAGCTCTTCCCCCGCCTCACACAGTCTCAAAGCACTGAGACACGGTAATATAAATATTTGTGTACACAGACACACACACACACACACGCACAGATTTTTCTAACATGAATTTGAAAGAAAACAAGTCAGTATAACAGCCATGCCAGATCTCAGGAGCCTCAAGCCAGCAGCACTCCTACAGTACATGGTAGCCAGAATTCATTTTGCTACTAGAGACAAAAGAGAGCACCTACAGTGTTGTTACTCTAATAATATTTCCCTGCCTCTGACTGTTTAGGAGGCTAAATGAGGCTATTAAAATTCTCTTGCTAAGCTTTAATATGCTAGTAAATAGATATTATTTTCATATTGGAAAACTTCAACAATATGCTGACATACTGTAAAAGGAAATGTTATACTTAATGTGAGGAAAGCACCTAGCACCTCCCTGCACTCTGAAAAATTAAAACCTTAAAAAATGTGTTTTTCCTTTATTATAGACTACCCCCTAGAATCTCCTTTAACTTAGAGAACATCAGCATCCAGACATTTTACCATACTCTCTGGATCCCTTCTTACAAATATATCACTTGTTTGTACTAAAATAATCCCAATACTAAGTGAAAAATTAGGTTACAGGCCACAAAAGAAAATAAAAGTGGAACAATTAATCATAACAAATAATCAGCTGTGCAAACCACCACTGAACCTTTCCCAGGGTTTTTCCTTATCACTTCACAAAAATAGCTTAAGCACCGCTGTCCTATATCATTAGATTTAGAATCAAATCTAACATAAAAGGCAACCTTTATCTCTTCTGGTTCTTGCAAATAGCAAAGGATAAAAATCACAGTTTTAGAGCAGAGAGAAATGTTAGCAATGATCAATCCAATGCTTTCATTGTATAAATAAGAAAATGATGTGCAAGGTTGCATGATTTATTTAAGGACACTGAATGAATAGCAAAGCTGAAATTCAGATCCATTTTCTGATTCTTAGTTCAGATGAGTGTTCTTCACACTGACGCCTCTCCTTCAGAAATGCATATTTTCCAACAATTTTATGAAATGACTTTTTTTTTTTTTTTTTTTTCTGACAGGGTCTCACTCTTTAACCCAGGCCGGGTGCAGTGGTGCAATTGTAACTCACTGCAGCCTTGCACTCCTGGGTTCAAGCAATCCTCCTGCCTTAGCCTCCCCAGTAGCTGGGATTATAGGCACATGCCAACCACATCCAGCTGGTTTTAAAATTTTTCTTTTGTAGCGATGTGGTCTGGCTACGTTCACTAGCCTAGTTTTGAACTCTTGGCCTCAAGTGATCCTCCCCCCTTCACTTCCCAGTGTTGGGATTACAGGCATGAGCCCCTGCTCCTGGCCAAAATTACTTTTTAAAAAGTCATCAATGTTTTGCCGATCTTTTAAAGTATACTGATCATGAGTAACTACTCTTAAAGATAATTTCATAAAATGTTCACACATTCACTCACTCAACAAACAATTTTGAGAGATTACTATGCATAGGCACTGTACTCTGCTCCATGGGGTCAGAAAGATGAAACAGACATGATTCTGACCTTGAGACGCTTCAGCTGGATGGATGACAAGTTAGGACAGACATATAGAATCTGTAATTTGAGCAAAAGCTAAGAAATGCTTTTACTAAATTTTGATAAAAGGGTATAATCATATGCATATCTCAACACAAAAGAGAACATGTGGTTTTCGTGCTACACTTTTTTTTGAGACAGGGCCTTGCTCTGTCGCCCAGGCTGAAGTGCAATGGCACGATCACTGCCCACTGCAGGCTCAAACTCCTGGGTTCAATCAATCCTCTCACCTCAGCCTCCCAAGTACATGGGACTATAGGCGCACACCACCACCACCACACTGGGCTGATTTTTGTATTTTTTGTAGAGACAGGGTTTTGCCATGTTGCCCTGGCTAGTCTCAAACTCCAGAGCTCAAGTGATCCACCCGCCTCTGCCTGCCAAACTGCTGGGATTACAGGCATGAACCACCGCACCCAGCCTTCATGCAATCTTAGTAGTTCCTTATTTATGTAGGAATCCTGTAAATAATTACGTATTTGTGGAATAAGTTTTATTACAAAGAAAATGAACTAAGTGCTTAAACTGTATAACATAATTTGCAGTTTTGGATACTGCTTTTGAAGTCTCTTCCAAGTTACTATAATTATTTTTCATTATATTTTGTCTCCCTATGTAAAAATGTAGATTTATAATTCAACTAATTTGGCAAATATTTAAATGTTTTTACATTACAATGGGGTCACAAAAAAACTGTCTAAAAGAGAACAGAACACAAGCCAGCAAATAAATGAACATCTCAGACCAAACGTTTTCAAATGGGTTTGAGTTCCACTGGCCAAATATAGAACAGAGTAAAAGTTAGTGTAACTCCTAAGACCTGAGATAGAAATTTTAAGTTATGGCAATCTGGTGTGATTGATCATAAAATCAAAATTAATTTCCACAAAATATGTTAGTCACATTAAACCATCACATTAATATACCCTCTCAGCACTTACAGCACCATGTAAATGTACACCAAACTCACTCACAAGCACCTTACAGCCTTTGGAATTTCTGTTCCTTCCACTGAAGATGCTTCTGCCCAGGCCTCTGTCTTTGTCTGAATGTCACCTCCTCAGAGAGACCCTTTGAAGTCACTATCACATCACCTGATTTTATTTTCTGTATGTACTTCTCCTAAATTTAAACCCTGTTCACTTGTCTGGTTTCTGTTTAGTCCTCACTAGAAGGTAAGCTTGCTGAGCACAGGCACCTTATAAGTCATGTTCAGTACAGCAACCTTAGTGGTAGAATCTGACAAGCACTCAGAAACATTTGTTGAATGAATGAATGATGCCTAGAAAGTCAATAAATATTACGTCAGGGATATTAGATTTAAGTCCACAATAAAACTTCAAAGAAACTATTTCAAAAAAAGAAACATGTGCTCAGACCACTCATTTATTGATTTGGAATAAAGGCAGCTCATCTAGCAAAATGCTACTACAAGTATACTCCCCTCATAGACTACCTGAAATTCAATAGTTTAAAAAAATAAAAATAAAAACATGGTTAGCAAATACTTCTTTTTACAAGTCAGGACCACAAGTGACCAAGCTTCCGGTTTGTGATGTTCTTGGCCATTTAAAGAGCACTGAGTTCCATTTTACTTATTGTTATAATGTTTCCCCCAAGATTAGCACAGGTTCTCAAATAATAAATTTAGAACTGTCTTCTATTTAATGATTGTGAAATCTGAGAACATTTTGAACGGAAATTCTAGATCCAAACTATAAATCAAACACAAAAAATTAGGATCTTGGTAAGGAGGGGGCAAGGTCAGTTAATATCTAAATTAAAATTTGTTCAGCAGCCTATAAGTAGACATAAATCTTTGTTTTTTTGTTGTTGCTGTTGTTTAGACAGGGTCTCATTCTGTCACCCAGGCTGGAGTGCAGTGGCCTGATAACAATTCACTGTAACCTCAAACTCCTGGGCACAAACACTCCTGCCTCAGCCTCCTGAGTAGCTGGAACTACAGGCACAGGCCACAGCACCTGGCTAATTTTTAACTGTTTTTGTAGAGATGGGGCCTCATTATGTTGCCTGGGCTAGACTCGAACTCCTGAGCTCACACACCTGGCCAACATAAACTTTTAAGAAACCTAGCCACTCCAAGTCAGCTCCTAAAGACACTGTATCTGTTAACTTTGAAAAATAAGACTAACCATGTTAGGAATCCTGTTGAGATTCCAGCTTCTCTTAATTTCTGAATATGAAGTCAATTCCACTGTCTGTCACAATGGAATAAGAAAACACGTTATTTCAGGAAAACTGGTGAATAATATATCTGTTAGCCAAGCATTTACTATGTACCAAGGTCATAAAATAAGCGTAGTTTACTTAGATTTACCCACAGGCTACCAATATATCTGCTCATTATTCCCTCTTGCATTTCAGTCTTTCCTTCTGAGTTCAATTTCCTTCTCTCTTAAGTACATCTTTTAAAAGAATGTATGATGGTAGCCAACTCAGTTTTTATTTGTCCAAAAAGTCATTTCATCTTTACTCTTAAAGTTCACCTGGGTAAAAATTTAAGGTTGGCAGTTATCTTTTCTCAGTATTTTATAACTTGATCGTCTTTAGGCTTCCATCATCGCTACTGAGTAGTTAAATGTGGCTCTTTTATGATCAATCATCTATTTTTTTCTACTCTCTATTAAGATATTCTCTTTATATTTGATTTTCTGCATTTTCACGATAATGTGTCTAGGTGCAGAATTTTTACCTATCTCGCTTGGAGTTTCATTGTGCTTCCTAAAGCTGAGAATTCATGCCTTGTATCAAATCTCAGCCAGTATGTATTTAAACTGATAGCAGCTGAGAACTATCCCTATTCTTTCTGTGTAACTCCAATTAGATTCATTTTGAACCTCATTCTATTTTCCATAACTTTGAACTTCTCTTTTGCATTTTTCATCTCAGAGAAAAGAGACTCAGAGAAAACAAAGCAGTACTACATATGTTAATTTCCTAAACCATTCTTCAAAACATATCTATTTGCTGAACTTGTCCATTAAGTTTCTAAATTTCAATGACTATTTTTTTCCTTTGTTGGTTGTTTTGCTGCAACTTTCTGATGTTGTCTTTTTTCCTAGGTTCTGTCATTTTGGGTTACAGGCTAATATTGGAAAACTTTAATCTGGAGGAATATGAGAAGCTTGTGTTGAAAGCACATTCCTTCAGAAAGGCCATATATTTGCCTCTGCTCCAGTTGAGGCACTTCTAGCTCAGGATCATTTTAGTTTCTTATCTCTGGGTTTCCCAGACCACACAGGTGAACAAATTCAAATAGCAAACCTGTATTTTAAAAGAGTTATGGTTTAAATTTTCAGGGAAGACTTCTATTTGGATCTAAGGCTAAGAAAGACAAGCCTTCATCAGTATACTTTGCTGGTGGGTGGTTGTTCGCCCCAGCCTACCCTTTTACTAAGAGTATAAAGTCTTTAAGAGTTACAGCTCTATACAGGGATCCTCAGCTCCATTTCCCTGCCCTGAAAAATCCAGCCTTTTCTCGAGAAGATCCAGTACAACACAAAGCTCTGGAGTGTGGTTTGAACAAAGGCCCTTACTTAGGGCAGCGCCTGCATTAGCTTGATAACCATTAATTTTTCTCTTCGATTGCCCTGGGGAAATCCTTCACATCCTTGAGCTTGCAGGGAAAACATGTAAACGAATGTTATGGACATTTGTAGACATTTCACAGAATTTTTCAGGTTATCTAATCCATTATATTGCCACAAGTCTCTGAGAATAAGCTTTAAGACAATAATTTCCATCTTCAAAAGCAAGATTTAAAACAGTATTGTTTGCCCCTTCTGTGTTTCCATAGCACTACACAAAATAAGTATGTACTTATTTTACTCCACCTTGTCACTGTGGTTTACTTGTCTATTTCTCTGCCCTGATTTTAACAGACATCTCTAGTGCTCAACAATATAAGGTAATGCATAAACAATAACTTATTACCTCAGTGATTCCTGCTTTAGCTACAACAGGAAAATAAGAATTAGCAGACTGCTTAACTTCGCTATAATTTTGAAGATAAGAATCAAGGGCAGTGACATGGTTTTCACTATGCTCTCTATATTTTTAAGACAATAAAGGCTACCAGAGGTTTTGATGAATGCTCTAAACAGGAGAGTAGGAATGGAAACTTACTGGTTGATCCTGTGCCACATGAGACAGTAACTCAGGAGCAATGAGGATAGACTTTACATGTGTTTTAGGGGCAAAACTGACAGGTATCTGATTTGACATGAAGGATGAAAGAGGGACTGACTCTAAGGCTAAAGAGAATGAACTACAGCAAAGAGATCAAAGTTACAAGAAGTTAATATTAATAAAGAACTATTTAAAACTTGGCATATATATTAAAAAGCTGAATGAAACTGACTATATCACCCCCAGTTAAAAATGTTTCATTTTACTTCATCTGATGAGTACCAGGAAATCCAATTGTTGCAATATATCCAGGATCTCTATTATTTGGCCATAATCTTCTTTTCCAGCCATACCTTTCATTATTTCTTCACCTTCCCTAATCCAGTCAAATAAAATTACTCATTTATTAATGATTTTCTGCAACTGCCCAAACTCTTCTCTCCTTTGTTCCTTGTGTTCTTGCAGTTGGCAACCCCTATAAAGATTCAGATTCTACCCTATCCTTCAAGTTCTAGCTCAACTGCCACTTCTTCCATGAAGCTTACTCGGAACAACCTTCTTGAGAAGAGTATCTGTCCTAAATCAACTCTGCAGCTTCCCAAAAACCTACCACAGCGCCTTGCACAAAGAAATTAAATAGCAACTGATAAATGAGCACTAGCCCAGGATACGGCAGAGAAGAAATTTAATTCTTAAAAGGGAAACTGGGCTTGAACTCTGATATCCCTTTAAAATCTAAGGTTTTGTGATTCTATAAAACCTTTATTAAAAATACTTTTTTTTTTTTTTGAGACGGAGTCTCTGTCTGTCACCCAGGCTGGAGTGCAGTGGCGCGATCTCAGCTCACCGCAAGCTTTGCCTCCCGGGGTTCACGCCATTCTCCTGCTTCAGCCTCCCAAGTAGCTGGGACTACAGGCGCCTGCTGCTGCGCCTGGCTAATTTTTTGTATTTTCAGTAGAGACTGGGTTTCACCATGGTCTCGATCTCCTGACCTCGTGATCCACTCGCCTTGGCCTCCCAAAATGCTGGGATTACAGGCGTGAGCCACCGCACCCGGCCAAAAATAGTCTTAAGATACATCTAAAGTACATATCGCCATTTTTTACCGGGTAAACATTTACTCAACACCCTCCATGTACCAGATACCATGCTAGGTAGGCTTAAATGTGATTCCCTTTTAATCCTAACAAAACTCTATAAAGCAGTCATTATTTTACAGATGAGGAAAGAAGATTCAGGCTGATTGTCCTAATACAAATGCTATACAAGTGGCAGAATGAAGGCATAAACTTCATCTTTTAACTTAATAAGCCTATTGCTCTTGCATATCACAGCTGCCAAGTGATTTAGAATATAATTTCCACATTTAAGTAAACAAAGAAAAATATGTTGAAAATACTATGAACACAAATGAATCGAGTATAGATAGCAAATAATGACAAGTTATTCTGTTATACTTGCAACAAAACAGCAAAGCAAAACAGTTCTACTCACAAGGTTCAATTCAATTCAACAAACATTTATTGTGAAAGGCACTAACAGAATTCTAAACTAAAACAGCTAAGGATAATATAAAAGTAGAAAGTCTACCACTGTATGTATGAGAGTTCATGGTGCCATGAAGGAAGATTTTACAAGACTAGAAACAAGTTATTCCCCAATTTTCATTAAAAAGCCCCTTTGAAGAGGAAAAATATAATCTAATATTGACATAAAATTCACAAAATGTTGACACTGCCTATATTAAAATGTATCAAATCATAGTTATACCAGTATCTATATTTTTTAAAGTTTCTTGGACCATTCACAATGGGAAAGGCAAAGTGAATACAGTAGAATATTTTCGAATACCTAAAAAATAAACTAGAAATAGATTTTAAGTCTTGATCATTATTATTCTGTCAGGTAGCAATGGAAAGAGTGCAATACACAGCTTAAGTTCAGCAAAACAATGTAACTGAAGATGGTAAGCTCTTATTATATAAAAAACCAGGACAGTAGGAGATGCAGCATGGTCTATCAGAGCACCAGCTTTTCGCTGTCATTCTACTATCAAGAACCTTTGTGATTTTTAAATAACTGACCTATCTGTAAAACTAAAGACTTGGTGTAAATACTCTTTATGGTCCTTTTCAGAATAGCAACATCCAAACAATTATCAATTAATAACAAAAAAAATTTATTACCATTTGGACATTAGCTTTAACACATATACTGTTTAGAGCAGACAGAAAGTTGAATCATTAAGGAAATAAAAATGAAGGAAGAAAAATTGTTCTGATACCACAAATACAAAATAGGACAGTTAGAGGGTAAATTGCTTTGGTCAAAATCCCTAAGAGCGGTCAAAAATAAATATTAAAGAATCTGGCCTGAATTTACTCAGCCTTATCTATCTCCACAATTCTACACCAACAGAATATTAAGCTAGTTAAATTCAAAGTATTTATTATTTGTTTACTGTAGGGATAAGGAACAAAATTAACCACTTAGGCTGTTATTATTATTTATTAAATGACAGTGAGGATCCTCTCCTTTATGATATTCCTAGCAATAACAGCAAGGAATGCTTAATGGAAAACACAGAAGACCGCTTGACACTTTCCATCTGTACAAACTATAGAAAATAGCAAATTCTTGTCTTCTTCACATGTTAATACCAGGAATTTGAACACCATTCTTGTGTCCAACTTCTCAAACACAACAGAAAGACACAGGACCCTAAAACATTCCTACCCACAAAGTGCAAATAGTCTAGTCTCATGTCACCAAATGAGAAAGCAACTATTTCAGACTCTTCACTGACTTTCATATTGCTGTCACGTCTTAAGAAATAATCACCAATACACACAATTCTGATCTTCTTATCCTAGTCATTTATCTATCTACCCAACCATCCATTCATTCCAGCAAACATTTACTGGATTCTAATCATGTTATGTGTAACATCAACATCAAGAGGTCTAGCTCAGAGATCAGCAAATGTTTTCTGTTAAGAAAATTATAGGTAGTAAATATTTCAGGCTTTGTTGGCCCATGTTCTCTGTCCATACTCTTCTTCCTCTTTTTTTTTTCCTCCTTTTTGTTGGTAATGGCTTTTTACATTTTACAAAAATGTAAAAAGGGGTCTCACAAAACAGGCCGTAATTTGGACTTAGCCAAGTATCAATGATTTAATGGATGCTCAAATATTTTTAAATAAACTTTAAGTTGATAAGATTTAGTTCCTGCCCTCAAAAAAGGGTCACAATGTACTAGAGGAAGAAACAAGTAAAACAGAAGTTCAATATCAAATAATCTGTCCTATGAATGAGGTATACACAAGATAGTAATAGGTTAATGTTCAGTAAGTGTTAACATGTGCCAAGCACAATTATTCTAAGTGTTTAACATACATCAATTTACTCCCACAAGAACAACCCTATGAAGTTCTTTTGTAACTCCCATTTTACATATGAGAAAACAGAGACAGAGATATTTAGTAAATTGCCCAAGAAGACATAATCAGCAGAGTGAAGCTAAAGTTTTAACCTGGACAGTAGGCCTCTGGAGCAAGCTCTGCATTTAACCCCATTTGCTAGGAAGCTAATGGGGCAGAGAAGAGGTGCAATATCTAAACCCTATAGGAAAGTTAGAGCAGGCTTCCCTGAGAAGTAGAAACAAGGGAAAGCAGTATTATGAGGGTGGAAAAGTACAGAAAAAGTAGAACATGGGAAGAAAATGAGGTGTGACAGGGATGATAAATTCAGGAAACACCAGTAAGACAGAGTGAAAAGAAGAGGCAAAAAAGTGACAGGAGAAGAGGCTGGAAAGATAGACAAGGACCACATTATGAAGGTCCTCATATTTAAGTTTCAACTTCTTAAAGTTAGTCCTTAAAGCTGAGTGGTTTTAGGAGTTTTAAGCAAGAGGGATGTAATAGAAATTTAAAAATTTTTGGCCAGGCGCGGTAGGTCACGCCTGTAATCCCAGCACTTCGGGAGGCCGAGGCGGGCGGATTACGAGGTCAGGAAATCGAGACCATCCTGGCTAACACGGTGAAACCCCATCTCTACTAAAAAATACAAAAAATTAGCTGGGCGTGGTGGCGGGCGCCTGTAATCCCAGCTATTCGGGAGGCTGAGGCAGGAGAATGGCGTGAACCTGGGGAGGTGGAGCTTGCAGTGAGCCGGGATCGCGCCACTGCATTCCAGCCTGGGCGACAGAGCGAGACTCGTCTCAGAAAAAAAAAAAATAAGAAAAAAAATTCTTTTGTTTACTTAAGTAACAGTATGAATATAGATTTGAGGGAGTAAGTATGAAAATAGTGAGGGAGCCAGTCCATGAACCCTAGGCAAGAGTAGGAGCTAGAATTAAAGTAGTAGCCATGAGAATGGAAAAGAACTAGGTATGAACAATATAAAGAAGGAAGCCTTGGTACTAAGTAACATGTGCAACTGAGTGAAGGAGATGAGCAGGAAAATATGAGTAGAGGAAAAAGTGTGGCCTGAAAGGGAGAAGAATGAGTTTGGATATGTTTAATGTGATGCACCGTTGAGAGAAGTTCAACAGACAGCAGAATTTACAAGTCTGGAACAAAAAGGAAAAGTCTCTACTGTTAAACCAAGTTTAGCCTAAAGCTGCCTCATTACGTATTTTAAGTTTGGCTAAAGGTTTTTCTGTACATGGTGAACTATAACAAGTGGAGGTGTAACCAGACCGTAGCCTACACCTACGCCAATCACCGAGTTTTGGCCAATCAAATGTAGTCAACTGTTTGAACCATGTTCAAATGAGGCAAATGCTGAGCTGTAACCAATCCAGCTGTTTCTGTACCTCACTCCCATTTTCTATACATCACTTTCCTTTTTTTGTCCATAAATCTTCTTCCATCATGTGGCTGCACTGGAGTCTCTGAGCCTACTATGGCTGGGAGGCCTGCCCGATTGGCAAACCGTCAGTTGCTGAATTAAATTCTTTTAAATTTAATTCAGCCGAGGTTTTTCTTTTATCACTACCTTCTTCCTGATCAAATACTCCTTAACAGACTGTCTCACTCCAGAATGATTCTCAGATGTCAGGCAACCCTCATTTCACTTTTCAGTTGTCACCCAGTTAACTCTATCACACCTAGAGCTGTATCACAGGTCTTGGTTACTCATATTTGGCTCAGAATAAGACGCTTTAAATATTTTACAGAGTTTGACTCTTTCGTCAATACCCAAATACATTATGTACATTTTAAGTTAAGACCGGTCTATAAATGGACCTTTGGAGAACTGTATCTATTCATTTAAACCAGTCACAAATGAAGACTAAACACTCCACCCTCTTCCTATGGGGATGTAATCTTGTAAGATACTTAGCATTTAAGATACTTAGCTTTGGTGGAGAGGGGGCAGGCAGGACTTGACACTATTTATATGAATGACATTGAAAATATGATTTACATTAGTGTTACCAGGCACTTTAAAAGCACTTAATAGATGTGACTCCTGTGTGTTCCTACTTTATTGATACAATACAGCATAGTAACAAACATATAAACACTTAATAAACGCCTTTGGCATGAGGACTGCTTGAAATCTAAGCTGATACTTTAGCACAATTATAATTTCACAGAAAGGGTTGGAAAGAAGGAAAATCTTACTTTTTATGCTTAGGACTTTTTAAAAAATGAGACTATTCAAAGACCATGCAAAAGAAGTTATCTTAGTGAAATGGGAAGAAAAGTCAAAGGTTCACAAAAGGCTAAATCAAAATCATTTCAAAACAAAGGAAGCAAAACTGATCTGTAACACATCTTGACACAAAGGGCCATGTAAAAGCCCAGTGTTGCCTATCGTTTTAAAGGTAACTGTCATAATACTGTTCATACCTTTAGGTAATTCTGGCTGACACTGATACAGGATGACTGACTATAGAAACTGTTTTATTGAGAGCCTAACATGTTCACTAGTGGGAAGTGTTCAGAGTTATTTTTCCACATTCTCCAAATGAATAGACTAGCTATAAAAACTAAAAGTCTGAAAAAAAAAAAAACCCTACATAACAGTAATGGCAATAAAATCTCTCTTTAAAAAAAAAAATCAAGCTCAAACACCAAGCATATTTGCTACATATCATGTCCACTTTTATTTTCATAAGATCTGGAGAGGAAAGCTTTATTATTTCTGATATCACACATTTACAATAAGTTTTTTTTTTTTTTCCCCGAGACAGAGTATCACTCTGTCGCCCAGGCTGGAGTGCACAATCTCAGCTCACTGCAACCTCCACCTGCTGGGTTCGAGCGATTCTCCTGCCTCAACCTCCAGACTAGCTGAGATTACAGGCGCCTGGCTAATTTTTGTATTTTCAGTAAAAACGGGGTTTCACCATGTTGGTCAGGCTGGTCTCAAACTCCCGACCTCAGGTGATCTGCCCACCTCGACCTCCCAAAGTGCTGAGATTACAGGAGTGAGCCACTATGCCCTGCCAACAATATGGTTTTAAATACAAATCATTTTGTCAAGTCAGAGTGCTTATCCTATGTTTCCAAACATAGTTTCCATGAATCACTTTTTTCTCAATCTAGACAAGTAAACCTGCTTGCTAACCCTTCCAGAACTTAAGTTCCATCCATCATCTGTCCCCACCCAACTCCCATCAATATTTATTCCCTCTGGAACATATGGTTTTTTTTGAGATGGAGTCTCGCTCTGAGGCCCAGGCTGGAGTGCAGTGGTGCAATCTCAGCTCACCGCAATCTCCGCCTCCAGGGTTCAAGCAATTCTCCTACCTCAGCCTCCCAAGTAGTTGGGATTACAGGTGTGAGCCACCATGCACGGCCCCCTCTGGAACATTTAAGCTGCAGTTCCCTCTACCAAGAATCACATTTTTCCTCTGTTCTAAGTCATAACTCTTCTCACCTTTAAAATATTACTCAAGCTCATATAACTAAATTATCAAGAATTTCTATATTTATCTGGATTGCGAGGGTAGGTCACACATTATTCTCTTAACTCTGTTACATGTTCTGTCATGGGGGGACACAACATCAATAAGAAAAATGATCTTTTTCATAAACTTACTTTTGATAACTTGTAACAGCTCTTGTCTGCATCACAGGGCAGAGGTCAGTTGCATTACATTATAAAACAAAAGACTGAATTTCTTTATCCATGTTAATTAAACCTTTTTTATTCACGTTTGCTATATCTCATCAGTTAACAACATTTGTTACATACCACTACCCATGATTCTGCATATTCTACACATAATGTGTGTTCATTTAACATTATCAGGCGTATGCTGTAAGCACTGTGTACCATTATAATCAGGGGGGAATAGAAGGAAATGGAAGAACATGGAGACACCAATCCTGTTCCAATAGCATTTGAATATCTTTAAGCTGTGTAATTATGTATTCCCCTTAATTTACCTAACTAATTACAATCAAATGAAAAAATATCTTTCAGATGATCATTTTATTTGCAAAGTGTTTTACTTAAAGAATCATACTCAAAGACACAAATATGTACCCATGTGAAATAGGTCTTGAAAACCAAATTTAAAATAAATTCTATTAAAATAGAATTTTATTAAATTCTATTAAAATAGAAAAACAAATGAAGGGGATAGCCAATTAAAGTTTGCAAAATGTCTGGCGTATTGTAAGCACTGAAACGCTTGCTGAAAAGTGAGCTAAGTCAACGTATCTTTTTTTAGAAGACTTGTCAGGACAGGTAAAAATAAAGTTCCCAGACAATCTGAACAGATTCAATTCCACAGCTCAGGAATTAGCTGATTTTACCTGACCTTTAGTTCCTAAACTGTGTCGAATGATAAATGTAACATTATCTTCATCGTTGAAGCCTAATCAGATTATGCTGAGCCCTAAAATTTCCTGAAGCAAAATTTATGGACAAATGACAAATACCCTAGATCTAGAGAAAGGACAAACTCAAGTCATTTAACCATTATCTATGAAATCCCTACCATGTGCCAGGTGCTGGAGATACAGCAGTGAGTAAAGCAGACAAGGTCCCATCCCTCTTGGGAGTTTTCAGTCTCAGAGATACATAATAACAAATTATGATAAATGCTATAAGCAAAAGAACAGAATCTTACAAGACCATATATCAATAATCACTTTTTCTATAGAAACAGTCTTTGTGTTGAGACGTGAAGAATGAAATGGAAATTGACTAAGCAGAGAAGTAAAAGGTCAGAGCATGGTACCTGTGAGAATCTGAACAAAAGTCTCAGTGGCTCAAGTGCAGAGGGTTTGAAAAATAAGAGGGGAGGTGGAGAAGTAGGCCTGGGGAATGTTAGTCTTTATCCTAAGAGTAGCAGGAAATAATGCTATGGAGGAGAATGACATGACTGGATTTGTGTTTTCATAGGATACAGTACCCTAGCTTCAGTGTACAGAACAAATTTAACAAGGATATGGAGGGCTACTATTGTGCTGCAAGGGGGAGATAATCCTACTCAGACTAAGACAGCAGAGAATATGGATTTGAAAATTATTAAAGGATGTCAAATAGACAGGCCTTAGTACAGTAAGAATTTGGGAAGTGAGGGAGAGGGGGTATTAGGAATTACTCCTAAGTCTTTAACTTGGAAAACTGGAATAAAAAAGGTGATGCTATTCACTGACATGTGGGACACCAGAGGATGGCATGCGGCATCAGCGAGTAGTAACTGAGGCCATTGGGATAGATATAATTGCTGGGTCGTAGAATGAAAAGAAATGGAAGCCTAGGACTGAGCTTTCACAAAATCTGACATCTCTGGACAACAAAGGTGGCTGGGGTGAGGTGGCTCATGCCTGTAATCCGAGGCTTTGGAAGGCTGAGGTAGGATCGTTTGAGGTCAGGAGTTCAAGACTGGCCTAGGCAATTTTTTTTTTTTTTTTTTAATTAGCCAGGTATGGTTGACACGTAAAAATGGAGTTAGTTCCCAGACATTCTGAACAGATTCAATTCCAGCTCAGGAACTGGCTGGTTTTACCTGATCTTTAGTTCCTAAACTGTGTCAAATGAACACAGTTACTTAGGAGGCCAAGGCAGGTAGATCACTTAAGCCCAGGAGTGTGAGGTTGCAGTGAGCTATGATTGCGCCACTGCACTCCAGCCTAGGCAGCAGAGCAAGATCCCAACTCTTAAAAAACAAAAAACAAAACAAAACAAAAAACCCAAAGTAGACAAAGCAGGAGTTACCAGAGACATGAGAAGAGAACCGAGAAAGCACGACCTCACAGCTTTCAGGGAAAAAAAGGTTTCACAAAGAGTTGGTGGTTGAGAGTGTCAAACACCACTGAGAGGTCAAATAAGAACAGGTCTGAAAGAATGCTTATTAGATTTCATGACCTGAAGGTCACTGATGATCTTAAGAATACTTCCCAGAATAGTGAACTATTCCATGGCTTAGACTGGCAGTAGAATGCAACAAGAGCACATTCTACTCACTCATTAAACTCCTTTCTTGTTTTCTTTTTTTCTGCCCATCCTTTCTTGCTCTGCACTCTCTCCTGACTTCAATATGGCTTCCTTTCTCATCTTTTTTGTTCTATCTACTCATTTCTTTCTTCTCCATACTTATTGATTTTCTCCTTTGCCTTTCCCACCCTTATTTGATGACAATATGGAACTGAAAATACTTCATTTTTTATTGAATACTTCCATTCTTCCTGTTCTTAATTTTAACACTTTATAATTCAGAATGGTTGAGGATGGTGCTGGTGGCAAAATTTAATTGCTTTTACTTATATGAAAGCTTCAGAATAACTTATCTCAAAGAGTGGGTCAATGGTTTGAACAGGAAATAACGTCCTAAAAAATCAAACTCTTCTTCTATAAGAATATAGTCCCCTCTTATCTGTGGGGGGCACATTCCAAGACCCCCAACTGAAACTGGGGCTAGTATTGAACCCTATATAACACTATGTTTTTCCTATATATATATACCTATGATTAAGTTTAATTTATAAATTAGGCATAGTAAGATTAACAATAAGAATAATAAAATAGAAGTTATAATAATATGTCAGCATCACTACTCTTGCACCTTGGGACCACTATAAGTAAAATAAGTGTTACCTGAACATAGCACTGCAATACAATGATCAGCCAATCTGATAACATAGGCCGCTACTGAATGACTGACAGGCAGGTAGTGTATACAGCATGGGATATACTGAACAAAGGAAAGATTCACGTCCTCGGCAGAACAGAGTGGGATGCCGTGAGATTTCATCTCACTACTCAGAACAGCATGCAACTTAAAACTTATAAATTATGTCTTGGATTTTCCGTTTAATATTTTTGGACAGCAGTTGACTGTGGGAAGCTGAAACCACAGAAAAAGAAACAGCAGATAAAGGGGGACTACTGTTGTCTTCTAGTATAAGCTAAATATTTTGTTCTTAGATCGCTAACTGCTGGATATAATGTGGCACAAACCACCATCTCTGTTATAAAATCTTAAGTTATTAAATAAGACTCATCTAAAGTACTTTTTCTTGAATATTTCCAGGGCACAAGATATTCTTATACAGAAACCTCAGAATGGAAAATAGCTAAGACATAAGCAGTGTTTCACAGAACCATCCATCAGTCTTTTTTAGGATGTAGCAGTCTTCCATGTATCACTTAACCAATCATTATTCTTACCCCATCTTTTTGGGCAGGGGGTGGTAGAATTTAAAATTTACCATTACTAAGACAGGGTGATAGTAAGCATAGAATTTTGGGATGTCTTTTTTTTCCTTGCCCTAAACCTTCAGAGTTCTGCCAGGTGATTCAAATGTTAAGATCCCATAATCTCGCCTGTGTGCTCAAGCGAACACTAACACTTTAAAAAGTGGGAATGAAAAATCTGAACTGTTGAATTAGACACAGTATTTGGCCCCATCTTCAATTTCAGAAAGAACAAGTAGAGATATCAGGGCCATTGCGGCCTTCTGTAGTCATACTGAAGAATGATGTACATTTAAAGTTTTAATACAGTTTTTAAATAAGCCAAAAAAAAAAAGTCTTCTGTAAGAAAACACTATTGTTCTCATCATAGTTCTATTATCAATAATTATTACAGCCGGGCACAGTGGCTCACACCTGTAATCCCAACACTTTGGGAGGGCAAGGTGGGGGGATCACTTGACCCAGGAGTTCAAGATCACTCTGGGCAACATACTGGGACTCCATCACTACAAAGAAAACAAAAACCAAATCCAGGCATGATGGTGCAAGCCTGTAGTCTCAGCTACTGGGGGAAGGCTGAGGTGGAAGGACTGCTTGAGCCTGGGAGCTCAAAGGTGCCGTGAGCTGTGATCGTGCACTCCAACCTGGAGTGAGAGCCTGTCTCAAAAAAAAAAAAAAAAAAAAATACATTTATTTGACTAAGTAAGATTAGCAGCCCCAGAGTTCATCAGTTGCAATTCATTCACTGCAAATCTCAGGACTAAAAGTAGTATGTTTCAGAAGAGTATCTTTCTAAAAGACAACAAAAAAGGTGGAAAACAAGAAGGAGCTGTAAAGGAAAATGAGAGGGTTGTCATTATTTTTAGATGGAAATGCTGTCATTAATGAAAGGCAACAAGCATTTTCGCAAGAACTGGATTTACAAGAAAGCGTAACTTTACTATAATTCATGGTTTGTCCAGAAAACTGAATATATGAACAAATGACAACCAAACTATTTTAACTCCCAACCCTTTCGGAAACACAGTGAGTCTACAAAGAAGTAAGTCTACTAATCAGCAAAGACTGAATTTTAACTGTGTTAAAATTCAGAGTAATTTTGGTCTATATTTACTAGGGCAAAATATAGACCCAATACATAGCAAAATTCATCTAAAAACAAGGACAATAAAATAACAGAAATAGGTAACTACCTATTTAAAATGAAACCTTCCTCATAGACCCACATGTTCTATAGAAATTTGTCAGAAATAGTAAATTCCAGGCAATACTCAAAAGACCTAGAAGGAAAGAAGAGGAAAGGAAGATATTAGATAAAGGAATTATCTGAAATAACCAAGTGAATTTCTGTTACTAGTTTTATAGTCAGATTCTTCATAGTTTCATTCTCTACTCAGGCCTATTAAAATAAAACCCCTTAAACTTTACCTAAAGCAACAGGGTGAGAAGCAACAGATTAAAAGCAAAACATTACATGCTAGAGATTAGAGCTTTAATAATTAAGGGAAAGGAGGGGTACGTAACTAATAAAAGTAGTCAAAAAGTTCTGCATAGAGTAACCTTCTTAATGTGAGCAAAGAAACACACAAAAAGAAAATCTCAACCTTATTACTCTTCAACTATTATAAGGAATAAGAAAACCTAGTTGGGGAAAATCGTATTTTTAGTTAGTAACTGGTGGTCATTCAGAATAAATCAAGAGTTTGCTCTACAATTACTACCCTTGTTTTTTCACATAGAGATTAAACATGAACAGTATGCTCCTGGTTCAGGCTCAATTATTCAGGAAGAAAATAAAACACATTTATTTTAAACTATGGCTTTTATATCTTTGTCAAACTCTAATTTCTTTCACTCTTACATTTTGAAATCCCTTATTTTTCTATCTTAAGCAATATGAAGCTGATGAGAGGGGAAAGACCACAAGTTCAAGTTCTTGTCCATACACTACTCATAACGTGGTTATCCTAGCTTTTCATACAGAAGCCTATGAGAGCTCCCAGTTACTTTCCCAACAACTGCCACACTTCTGCCAGACATAATAGGCAAGGCATAAAAGGTACTGGCCTGAGGCCAAGAGAAAGAAAATTCTTTGTGGCTAAAAGGGGCCCAGATACGTCTCAGGCTGCTGCTCCAGATGGGGCAAGTTGTAAGCCTTGGCAGCTTCCACGTGGTGGTAAGCCTGCGGGTGCACAGAGGGCAAGAGTTGAGGCTTGGGAGCTCCTGCCTAGATTTCAGAGGATGTATGGAAACTCCAGGCAGGACTCTGCTGCAGGAGCAGAGGCCTCATGCAAAACCTCTACGAGGGCAGTGTAGAGGGGAGTGGGGTTGGAGCCCCCACACACAGTCGCCACAGAGGCAGTGCCTACTGGAGCTGTGACAAGAGGGCCACCGTCCTCCAGACCCCAGAATGGTAGATCTACTGACGGCTTGTTCTGTGTACCTGGAAAAGCCACATGCACTCAACGACAGCCTGTAAAGACAGCCGAGGGGCTGTACCCTGTAGAGCCACAGGGGCAGAGATGCCTCAGGACCTGGGAGACCACCCCTTGCATCAGTGCTGCCCGGATATGAGACATAGAGTCAAAGATTATTTTGGAGCTTTAAGATTTAATGACTGCCCTGCTGGGTTTCGGACTTGCACAGGGCCTGTAGCCCCTGTCTTTTGGTTGATTTCTCCCTTTTGGAATGGGTGTGTTTACTCAATGCCTGTACCCGTGTTGTTATCTTGGAAGTAACTAACTTGTTTTTGATTTCACAGGCTCATAAGTGGAAGAGACTTGCCTTGTCTCAGATAAGACTTTGGATTGTGGACTTTTGAGTTAATGCTGAAATAAGATTCTGGGGGACTACTGAGAAGGGATGACTGTATTTTGCAATGTGAGAAGGACATGAGAGATTGGGGAGGGGCCAGGGCAGAATGATACGGTTTGGATTTGTGTCCCCACCCAAATCTCATGTCAAATTGTAATCCTCGATGTTGGATGAGGGGCCTGGAAGGAGGTGACTAGATCATGGGGGTAGTCTTCCCCCTTGCTGTTCTTGTAATAGTGAGTTCTCACAAGATCTGGTTGTTTAAAAGTGTGTAGCCCCTCCTACTTCTCTCTCTTCCTCCTGCTCTGGTCATAAAAGACCTGCTTGCTTCCCCTTCAGTTTCTGCCATGATTCTAAGTTTCTTGAGGCCTTCCCCCACCACGCTTGTACAGCCTGTGGAACTGTGAGCCAATTAAACCTCTTTTCTTTATAAATTACCCAGTCTCAGGAAGTTCTTTACAGCAATGCAAGAACTGACTAATACAGTTCTGAATATGGTTTTTTTTTTTTTTTGAAATCCTAATGTGTGGGAACATACTTACAAAACCAGAGTAAGAACATTCCCAGCCAAAAAAGGGGGCATTGTCAAAAAAAAAAAAAAAAGGTAATATTTACTATTTTGACATTTTTCAGAATGAAAACCATTCACCAAAAAAAGCATTTATTCCTGATAAGCAAATATAAGAATACAGAAAATGAATTTATTAATGGCAAGTATTCCTAGTCTTACAAAAAACTGTATACTGTTCATTCTAACATACTGCGGACATTCTTTTATTTCTGTGGACAGCAAACCTGTCGTGTAAAAAGTCAGAAAGTAAACATTTTAGTGTTTATGGGACACATGGTCTCTGCCACAACTATTCAACTCTGCTGTTGCAGCATAAAAGCAGCTATAGATATTACAGAGACAATGCATAAACAAATGGGTATGGTTATATCCCAATAAAAGTTTATGAATATTGATGTTTCAATTTCATATAATTATAATGTCATGAAATATTATGCTTTTTATTTTCCCCCACAAAAAAATGTAGAAATCATTCTTAGCTCAAGGGCCATACAAAAACAGAAAACACGAATTTGACCTGAGGACCATTGTTTGCCTATTCCTACATTATTTCCAATGTTTGTGGAAATAAAAATTTATAAATGTCTATAAAAATATTCTCTTTCTTGATGGTTCACTAATTCACCACTTCCAGTTCTAAGCCTTCCACAGAAACTCTCTGAGGTCCTCATTTCATCAGATTCCTTCCCTCCTTACACATCCCTCTCCCCAGGGCACAGCTTGAATGTTTTAAATCAAAATCTACTCATGTCAGAAAATAAGCCACCCATCTCAACTTTTTACACATCCTACTTCCTTGAAATACTGTAAAGCTCCAAATCTTTTCATGCTCAATCTTTGAATAAATATAGAAGTCTGACCAATCTTATTATGCCTTTTCTCTTTCAACCATCATTGAATTTTAATTCTCTACAATGAGACCCCTGTGAAGTCTTGGCAGTTCGGGTGTCTTGTTGAAAAGGCAAGTTTTAGTCACAAATACATTTAATGTTTAAAATCTCTCCATTAATTGTCCAAATGGCTTCTAAGGAAACTCAGGAAAAGAGTTTCAGTTTATTGTTTTAAATGGCTTCTCTCCCACTTTCCCAGTTAGGTGTTCTTTTTAATTTTTATTCTTTTTAAAATTTACTATTTGTCTAATGACTATTATTGTATTAATATTAGGATAATAACCGAAAATGTTTTAAGGACTTGATACCTCTTTAAATCTAAAGCCACAAGGTTCTAAAATGTTAAGTTATTTAAATAATTAAAACAATGCTAGCATAAATTCAACTTTTCACAATATTTGAAATGTGTTAACACTGGCTTGGAAAGGTACAATCACAAACCTGAAAAATGTCAAGAAATAATTCATTTCATAAAGTGACCCTGTATGTGGGGAACTGTATAAATGTGTAGTCTCTGCTGTAGAGCTTTCAGATTAGCATAGAGAAACATTCAGGAGTTAGTGAAAAACCATGTGGAAGGGGCAGAAATGTGCTGGGCAGGAGACGGAGCATTCAACAGAGAATGAAATTTCACTCTCCATCTCTCCCTATCCACAAACAAGTGTTTAAATGCACCCATATTAAAACTGTTCCCAGTAAATTCAGGATAACAGTAACAGCAAAAATGCCACAGTTCAGCAATCTGTGTTTGACTATGGAGTGATTTCTCCTGAAGACAGATGCCACCCCAAGGAACAAAAGCAGAAAAACAATCCAATGTATGACCAGAGGCAGAGGCAAAAGCAAGAAAATATTAGAACTACAAGTCTGACTCTCTGTCTGTCTCTCTCTCTCTGTCTCTTCTCTCTCTCCTCTGAGATTCCTGGCTACATCTTTAGAACATCCTACACAGACAACAGGAATGGTAATTTCCTACATAACACACAGCAAGAAGCTCTTTGCCTTTTATTTTGCTGCCAAGTACATAAACCAAAGGCTTCTTGCAGACTGCTGTACCCAAAAAAACAAAACAAGGAATACTTCCTGAAAAGCAATATTCAGGGTCCATAAAGAGTCAAAACATTTCCTCAAGTAGTTAACAGGCCTTTTTTTTTTAACTTCAGCTATGCTAGTCAGATTTTAATATAAGAAATTCTTAGGACCAAAAATGTTGAATGTGCTATGTATATTTATTTGAAGAACATATGGGGAAAAAAATAGGAATACTAAAAATTTCCTCATGAAATTTTCAAAATAAAATGTTACTACTGTTCCTACAAAGGAATTACTTCTTTAATCCCTTTAATGTTGTTTTTAACACCACTGAATCACCTCTATAATCCTAAAAGGGCAGACCCACAAACTCAGGGAGAGTTCAAGGTGGTCACTAAATGTTAAGTCACAAATTGCCCACCATTAGCTCAACGTCAGAAAAAAAAGAAAACATACGTTGTCCTAAGTTCGACTCTTACTCTTTTTTTTTTTTTTTTGAGACAGAGACTCACACTGTTGTCCAGGTTGGAGTGCAGTGGCGGGATCTCGGCTCACTGCAACCTCTGTCACCCAGGTTCAAGTGCTTCTCCTGTCTCAGCCTCCCAAATAGCTGGGATTTATAGGCATGTGCCACCACACCTGGCTAATTTTTGTATTTTTAGTAGAGACAAGGTTTCGCCATGTTGGCCAGGCTGGTCTCAAACTCCTAATCTCAGGTGATCTGCCCACCACGGCCTCCCAAAGTGCTGGGATTATAGGCGTGAGTCACCGCGCCCAACCCAACTCTTGCTCTTTACCATATTAAAATAACAGAGTTTTAATTTCAAAACAATACTAAAAAAGAAATACTATTCCTTCTCCTCCTTTGTCACTCTCTTTCCATCTCTCAGACATCCTTCAACTCTACCACAAACCACTTATTAACTGTCCGATTTCTTTCAAAGAATATAAATAAATAAAACCTTAGTCCCAATCTCCAGTCATCAGCTATTTATTCTTTGCTGTAAACTAAGGAGGTCTCTATTTCAATAGACTTGCTAACCTGACAATGTTTTTCTCAACGGTTAACAGTAGGCAAATACCTAGAACCATACACTCCTTTGCAAACGTAACTGACATTTGTCAGCATTATTAAAACAACTTTACAATTAGCAGGCTAATTTCAAGTTTGTAGAAAATGAAATTTCAATAATTTCTCACATTTTAAGTTTGGATCTACATAGGTTACTTCTTTTTTTTAATTTCCCACTTAAAGCTTGTTTGTTATTTCTCAGTTCAATCCCAATGAAAAGTAATGCAACACAACAAACCTACAGTAAAGCCATCTCCATGACACCAAAGAGCCAACATCCAATAAGTAGGAGCAGATTAGCAAGAATTTCTGATCATTACATGAACTGCTCTCAGCAATTAAATTTATTCCCACCTGCCTGTCTTGTTACACGGACAAAGGGAGGAAAAACTATAGTGAATGTAAATCAAAGTTATTACTTTAAAAATACAGGATTTTTAAGCTATAGGATTAAAAGACAGAGAATAGAGAACAACAACAGTAAAATCTCTGGATCTTTCCACTTGCCCTGGATTCCTGGGTTGCAGCTTCTCTAACAGCTCATTTTCCCTTCTTGTGAGGTTTTACTACTCGGTGTGCATTGCTCTCCACTTCCACTTCTACCCCTGTAGGTTTTTAAAAGGAGATAAAGCAACTGTATAAGAATGCCTAAAGACATCAAAGACCCAAAGCTTCACTGGTTGTGTGTGGCATAGGAGGAAGAGGAGGAAAACGTGAGGTAATGAGGATCTGCTGTATTTACCTTATGTGCAGGGCATGTGGACAACAATAGAAACCATGTAGGGTGCACTTTTGGTCAAAAAAGAACATGGCAGCCTAATGGGAGGCCTTTGTTCTTCAAAAGGGTCTCCTTTCCCCCTTTTGTGCTCCACTTAATTCATGGCATCTGAGCTGCTCTTGAACTTGACAGACTGAGAGAAAGAAAGGGGGAGTCAGACACACAAACAGAAAGGAAAATGAAAGACTTCAAAGAGAATTAATTTGAAAAAATTAGTTCTACTGCCAGTTTTTTGATGAAGTTTTGGAATTTTAAGGGAGTTGGAAAGTAATGAACTGCTGAAATAAATTTAATTTTCCCAGAAATTGTAATGAATAATAAAGTAGATAAATAAGGTATAAAATATAATTATATCCTAATAATTTGTTAGTAGATTTTTTCCTGCTACATGTATTTCTTGAAATAATAGTAAGAAAATGTCTGATATTCAACAGATTACATGAAAGATAACATTCTACAAGCAGAACCAATATCTAAGTGATTTCCCAGCTGAAGGGAATTTTACTTGAGTCACGCTGAAGAACACCACAAAACCACCAGCGCCACCTGCAGGGTAAACACAGATTAGCAGTTTACCACACTGGTATTTCAAAGCCCAAGATTTTAAAAAAGACACAGTAGGCCGGGCACGGTGGCTCACACCTGTAATCCCAGCACTTTGGGAGGCTCGAGGCAGGCAGATCATGAGGTCAGGAGATCAAGACCATCCTGGCTAACACAGTAAAACCCATCTCTACTAAAAATACCAAAAATTAGCCAGGCCTGGTGGCAGGCACCTGTAGTCCCAGCTACTAGGGAGGCTGAAGCAGGAGAATGGCATGAACCTGGGAGGCGGAGCTTGCAGTGAGTCAAGATCGCACCACTGCACTCCAGCCTGGGCAACAGAGCAACAAACACTCCATCTCAAAAAAAAAAAAAAAAAAAAAAAAAGACACAGTAACTGTGATACTTTCACAATGAAGAATTTTAAAATGTTTTAAAGCAGTAAATAACTTCAGATGAAGAACAATGCCCTAGGAATCTCTGGCCAATTTTAGGTATTTATTAATATAAAAACAGAACTGCAGAAAGATCGGTAGCTATGTACTAATACAAAGGACTGCTTCAAAATCTTAAAAGAGCTAGTTATAAGTAAGATCACTGTCTCACGGTTTTAGTTTTTTTTTCCTGATTGTAAAACATTACAATACAATCAAACAAGTCTGAAATATAGGAAACTATCCTATTCCCATTACATTTAGTATTTATTCCTCCAGGTCTCTCTTCTATGCATGTCTTGCATATATAGTTTGGTATCACATGCCATACCTACTACTTTTGTGGGTTTTTTTTTTCCTTTTTACAGCTTCCTTCCCCCCACCCCATTTAATATATTTGATAGCTCTTTTTATATCAGTACACATTATACCTTCATTTTTTGGTGGTGTATAGTATTTTACTTCAAGGATATACTAATGATTTGTGATCAATAATACTGATCACAATACTAATACTATTAATACAGGTATTGGGTTGTTTCTAATTTTTCCACTTTACAAACAAACCTCCAAGAAACAGCACTTTTCATATCTTTCCTTACTGGTGTAAAAATGTCTGTAAACAAATGGCTAGAGACAGAATTCCTAAGTGAAATAATATGAACATTTTGCGGTGTCTCACGCCGGTAATCCCAGTACTTTGGGAGACCAAGACAGGCAGATCATGAGGTCAGGAGATCAAGACCATCCTGGCCAACACGATATAACCCCATCTCTACTAAAAATACAAACATTAGCTGGGTGTGGTGGCACGTGCCTGTAATCCCAGCTACTTGGGAGGCTGAGGCAGAAGAACCGCTTGAACCCAGCAGGTGGAGATTGCAGTGAGCCAAGATCATGCTACTGCACCCCAGCCTGGCAACAGAGCGAGACTCCATCTCAAAAAAAAAAAAAAAAAAAATTAATAGTATTACCAAATTGTGCCAAAGTACCTTCCCAATATTATGTGACAGTGGCTGTTTCCCTTGATCCCAGACAACAATCTTTTAAATATTTGACATTCTGATACTGATTTTGTTTTAATAATTCTAGAACATCTGCACATACCTCTTCAAATTGAGATTATGACACACTTAATTACCGATGAAAAGATTTTGTAAAAGCACTACTTTTAAACCACCAATTATTATTTTATAGCCATATCTCAATTTCACCTTACAATAGAATTACTACCCAACCTGATTACACCCATCACAATGCATTCAGAAAGCACTGGATATTTCCAAATCCACCTTCGGAAGATAATTTGGTACCATTAAGGAGATTTAAAGGGTATGCTCCAGGTTTCAAAGGCAACTATAAAAAAGGCAGAACCTATGGCATGTGTTCATCTATGTAACAAACCTGCAGGTCCTGCACATGTATCCTGAAACTTAAAATAAATTTAAAAAAATGGCAGAATCATATAAATGCAAACTCTTCCCAAGAGAACTATTGTGAAGGTGGAGCTTTCAACTGGATTTCTGTGCATAAGCATGCAAGTGTGTCAGTTATATTTGTTTAAAAGTGCAACCATTCTAATCACACCTTGTATACACAACAAGTTGTAGAAGTATACAGGTCTGTGGATTTAACAGTGTAGCTGCAGGCTTAGCATTGACATAAATTGAAGCTTGAGTTTTAATACCTAAGGTAGGGTTTCTCAACCTAAGTACTACTGACATTTTGGACCAGATAATTCTTTGCAGAGAGGGGAGGAGACTGACTTTGTGCATTGCAGGATGTTTAGCAGCATAACTGGCCTCTAATCACTAGATGCCATGAGCACCATTCTTCAGGTTGTGACAATCAAAAATGTCTCCAGTCATTGCCAAATGTTGGGGGGTGGGGGAGGGTACGGCAAGAGACTGTCCCTATTTGAGAACCACAACCCTAAGAGTACTCCTCAAATGAGCTATATATATACATTTCACTACTGCATGCACTGTCTCATAAGTTTGATTTTTAAAAATATACAAATATTTTAAATACCTAAAAGAGTTATCAAATCTTCTTTAACCTTCACCACATGCTGCTGCCATTAGTGAATTTGGCAGCCATCTACATTGCTTGGTTTTAGACACAGGCTAAATCAATGACTCTGAATAACCTAATTACTAACTTAAATTACTAGCTAACAATGACATTTCATAATGGTTTAATAGAAGAAACGCTAAACTTGTGAGGCAAAAACTTAAGTTATCTTATCATTGTGAACTGTCCTGTTAATTCTATCTCTAAAATGTATCTTGAATCCCCTGCTTCTCTGCATCTTCCACAATCTTTGTCTCAGCCACCATCTCTCATCTAGACTCAGACCCTTTAAACTGTTCTCTCAGCTGCTACTCTAGACTCCACCAAGCTACTCATTCAACTAATACTTACTGAATGCCTGTTATATACAGCATTACACATCCTGAGAATAGATCAGTACAGGACTCTCTTACAAAATTCTTTATCCAGTGAAATTTACATTCTAGTATGAAAGTCAGAGAAAAATAAAGTAGGGAAGGACTGGCAGGGATGGGGTCTGGTATGGATTCACCAGTTGTATAAAGACCTGAAGGAGGTTAGGAAGTGAACTACATGGGTATCTGTGAGAAAAGCATCCTAGGCAAACGAGACAGCAAGTGTAAAGGCCCTGAGGTGGGAGCATGTCTCGGAGATTTACTCCGAGTAAAATGGGAAACCGTGGGAAGATCTGGAGCAGGAGAGACATGCTCTAACATTTTAAAGGAAAAAAACTGGTAACTGTCTAGAATAGGCTGTTGGTGTGAGTGCCTGGGCCATGATAAATTTTTTTAAAAAAATTTCTTAAGAAAAAAGATAAAAAAAGAATAGCTGTAGGGCTGGAAGGGTGGAAGCTGAGACTAGCTAATTCAAATGAGATTTATACCAGGGTGGAGACTGTGGAGATAAGAAGTGGCTGAATTTTGGATATATTATTAATCACAGTGATATTTTAAAAACACAAACTGGACTGTGTCACTCTTCAAAAGCCCTTCAATTGCCATTTTCTTTTCAATGTACTTTATATAAAATACAAAATCCAATATGGTCTAAAAGGCTCTATATGATCTGGTTCCTCCTTAACTCTCCAGGTTCATCTTACTCCTCAGTAATCAAAATATGTTCTGGCCACACTGACCTTTGAGGTCATCTAATACCCCAAATTCCTTTCCACTTGGGGGCCTTGGTGCATACTGCTCACTCTGCTTAGAATGCCCTTCTCCACTCTTTGCCCTACCTACATGCTCTCATATGTCAGTTCTCAGCTTAAAATTCATTTCCTCTTAATCACATGGGGCAGCATGAAAAAAGAAAAAAAAAAACACTTCCTTAAAGAGACCTTTCCTGACATACCACTATAAATTAGCTGTACTCCCTTTGCCCATTATCTTCTCTTAAAGTACCTCAAAGTACTTTTCCTTGATAGGACCCATCCAAGTTTGTAATTGCAACATTGGTTTACTATATATAGTGGTTAATATTTGTCTCTATAGACCATAAGGTATAAAGAGCAGAGATCACTTTTGTTTCACTTACCATCATAACCCAGGATTGGCCACAATACCTGGCACATAGCAATTACAAAAAATAACAAGTAATAGAAGAGCTTTCATCCCAGCTCTGCCACATATGACCTACTCACAGGTGTTCTCAAGATTTCAACATATCTTCCCTCCCTTTTATTCTTAAGACTCTATGAAGGTCACAAGAACTAGAGTAAATGAGACAAAGAAGTAGGAAATCACAAGGAGTCTTAAGAATAGTTTGTCTGAAACAGCCAGAGAGTAGAGTAGTAGGAGAGATGAATGAGGGAGGGCCTTGACTGTTGGGGTATGAAATCTGGACTTTATTCAGCAGCCAAATGGAGAGATACTGAAGGCTTTGAGTAGTAAAATATACCAATCGGAACTGTGTTTTTGGAAGTTTATATCTATCTGTGGTACATAACTCACTGAAGAGGCTAAATGCAAAAATCTGAATTAGAAGCCAACAGGTGAATAGGGCCTTTTTTTTTTTTGAGTCGGAGTTTCGCTCTTGTTGCCCAGGCTGGAGTGCAATGGCCCGATCTTGGCGCACTGCAACCTCTGCCTCCCGGGTTCAAGCAATTCTGTCTCAACCCCCTGAGTAGCTGGGATTACAGGCATATGCTACCACGCCCGGCTAATTTTTGCATTTTTAGTAGAAACAGGGTTTCATCATATTGGTCAGGCTGATCTCAAACTCCTGACCTCAGGTGATCCACTCGCCTCGGCCTCCCAAAGTGCTGGGATTACAGGCATGAGCCACCACACTCGGCCGACATGTTTTTTAAAATAGCTGGATATACAAAAACATATCTTTTCTTACATTTTCATTAATAAAGGTTTTTAGTGTTATTTGATAGCTACACTAAGCTTACATTTGTTTTAGTTATGTTTATAAAGAAAACAAAAAAGTGTTCCAACAATGGAAAACACTTTCATTTTCTCATTCATTACTGACAATGCAACCAGATTAATCTTCCAAAAGTATGGCTCAGATCATATTACTCAAAACACTTCAGTGGCTCCCCACTGTCTACTGAATTAAGTCCAAACACCTTAGCCTGATATTTAAGACTCTACATAAACTGGCCCCAATTTATGTACTTTTCTCTCCTATATTCTAGCCAAATTGAACTACTTTTGCTCCAAACATGGCCAGCTTTTTCTGCCTCTACCAGACCTTGCTTCACACTGTTTTTTTCTTTCTTAAATGCAACCCCACCCTCCATCCTTAACCCACCTGTCAAAATCCTACCTTCTTTATTGAGGGCCCAGCTCCCTTGTTACTGCCACTCTAAGCATCTTTCTTCAACCCACCTCAAGTACAAAATCCATCCCCAGGGGCTTTGTGACTCACCACATTCTACATTGAATGATTTTTCTTCATATGTTTGATCTCCTCAATTAAATTATAAACAACTTCTAGCTCCCTCTGTGAAACTAAGAGGGTACGTATGTACACAGAAGCAAGCAACTATATTTATAACTTAAACTGTTTAAGAACTTAGTCCCTTTGAGGGCAGATACGGTTTCTGATTCATCTTGTGTTTCCCGCAATTCGCTGAACAAAGTACACTGAATAAATTAGTGTTGAATAAAACACTCAACAATTTTAAATCAAATATAAAATTTGCCCTTATCTCTGGGGTCTCATTAGTTAAGCCACACTAAAAGAAAGAAGCACCAGACACAGTGGTGGGCACCCCTAGTCCAGCTACTTGGGAGGCTGAGGTGGGAGGATCACTTAAGCTTAGGAGCCTGAGGCTGCAATATGCCATGACTGCACCTGTGAGTAGCCATGGCACCTCAGCCTGGACAATATAGTGAGACCCCATCTCAAAAAAAGCAACATTTATTGAACACCTGCACTGTAATTAGCTGCTGTGCTAAGACTGTAGAGATGATTAAAAATAAGTATAAAACACCATCCCTGTCCCAAGAAGGTTCCTAAGGTTCTATTCTTAGGTACACGAAACATATTTTCAAAGCAATCAGAAAAATACAAAAGTGTTATCAAACATAATCAAGGCTGGGCACAGTGGCTCATGCCTGTAATCCCAGCACTTTGGGAGGCTGAGGCAGGCGGATCACTTGAAGTCAGGAGTTCCAGACTGGCCTGGGCAACATGGTGAAACCTCATCTCTACTGAAAATACAAAAATTAGCCAGGCATGATGGCACGTGCCTGTAATCCCAGCTACTCAAGAGGCTGAGGTATGAGAATCGTTTGAACCTGGGAAGCGAAGGTTACAGTGAGCCAAGCCAAGATTGTGCCACTGCACTCCAGCCTGGGCAACAGAGCAAGACTCTGTCTTAAAAAACAAAAAACAAAATCAAATCCTAAATTGAATATGAATTTCCAAAGAGCTGGTACAGATAACAAGTGCCATGGGAAATTGAGTGGAGAGATCAAAGTTGGTCATCCTCAATGCAAAATGCTTATCAGAAGCTTGGCTAGAGGGCAGGAAGAGGCAAGATTATCTAAAACAATGTGTTCCCCTAGACTGTGCCAACAGCTATATCTATCCCTATATCTTGCTCTTAAAAAGAAAAATAACCCATGCAGAGGACCACATCTCCAACCTACAACCGTTCATGCTCACTGGCCCCATTATCTTATGCAAGAATCCTCTGCTAGTGCACACATGAAAAATCCAGACATCTAAAAACACAAAAATAGTTTTCCAAAATAAAGAATCATTTTCTGCATCTTTCCTTTCATGAGTGGCAGGGGAGAGGGGCAGATCTCAAAGGTGACCATTTAAAAAAACCTAATAAAATTCTAAAAATAAACTGTAACTAGTCCTTATAGCGCTTGCTTGACTCATTTTAACAATTACCTCTTTAAACATCAGTAATCAGACAAATTTTAGATATGTTATGGTTGACTGGGAACCACTCTCCTATTCAAATGTTTCAAATCAGACAAGACATTTATAAATCAAATGAGAAATACTATAAAATAGTGGTTTAAAGTTGAGACCCTGAAGCTAGCTGGCATGGGTTCATAATCCTAGCTAAGTATTAAGTTTCCTCTGGGCTTCAGTTTACTAATTTCTAAAAGGAACAAAAAAATATAGTTAATTCATACTACTGTCATGAAGAGCTAATGCATTAAAATTTTAGTGCATTAAATGCACTAAAATTTTAAGTATACTAATCTAGCATATAGTGAGCAACCCAAAAACTGCTACCTACTCTTATCCAAAGTAATTAAGGGCACAGTTCAGTCAAGACTACTCAGGCAATAACATAGTAGTAAACAAAAAGTGCCAGCTTCAAAAGTGAAAACCGAACAACTTTCCTATACAGGAAATTAGCGTCAAAAGAAATGTAGAACATGTGTATATGTGGAAACTCTGTATGACAGAGCTTTGGCAATGCAGGAAAGCTGAGGAAAGAGGGAAAAATTCAACAAATCATGTTGAGAGAATTAGAAATCCATATACTTAAACAATTAGATCCTCATCTCATACCATACACAAAAATCAACTCCAGGTAGACTAAGGATCAAAAGGTAAAAAAGCAAACGTTAAGAAAACATACGAGAATCTGAAGATCTGGAAGAGACAGCTTTCTTTAATAACACATAAAAAGTACAAACCATAAAGGAAAAGGCTGATAAATACAATAGTATTAAAATTAAAAACTTGTTTTCATTAGGAGTCCATTAAAAAATACAAAGATGAATCACAGACTGGGAAAGATATTAGAACATACATAACCGAGCAAAAAAGAATTAGAATTTAAAAATTCCTAAAAATCAATGAAAGATGTAACGATTTTTTTAACAAGCAAAATATATTAACTGGCAATTCATAGAAGAAACACAATTAGCCGGGTGCAGTGGCTTACGCCTGTAACCCCAGCACTTTGGGAAGCTGAGGCGGGCGGATCACGAGGTCAGGAGATCGAGACCATCCTGGCTAACACAGTGAAACCCCATCTCTATCAAAAATACAAAAAATTTGCCGGGCGTGGTGGCGGGTGCCTGTAGTCCCAGCTACTCGGGAGGCTGAGGCAGGAGAATCGCGTGAACCCAGAAGGCGAAGCTTGCAGTGAGCTGAGATCGCGCCACTGCACTCCAGCCTGGGCGACAGAGCGAGACTCTGTCTCAAAAAAAAAAAAGAAACGCAATGATCAATAAGCATATGAAAAGATACTTAATATCATTAACAATAAAGAAAATACAAATTATACCCTTTATGAGATGCCATTTCATGTGCAATGAGGCTGGCAAAATTACACTATCTTGGCAAAGATGTGGTGCAATAAGAACTACACTAGTAGTAAGAATATAAATTGATATAGTCACTCTCGCAGTATCTGATAAAGCTAAAGATGTGCACACCCTACATACAATTCCACTTCTAGGCTTACATATGTACTGTACATTTTGTCCATGCACTCTATCTTACACACACAAACACACCCCCCCTTAATAAAACTCTTAACATGTACGCACAGGGAGATATATACTGGATTATTCTGAGCAGCATTGCTTATAAGTGCCAAGAACTGGAAACAGTCAAAATGTCCATCAAAAGAAAAACGACTAAATCAACTGTGGCATATTTATTCAACAAAATACCACACGGTCATGAAACTGAATTGCGGTAGATGGTTTACTAAACTGGTTGCAGTTACTCCCTTCCCTGTATCCATGCCATTTTGCAGTGTGCCTTTGCTGCTCCTCCCATCAAGAGCTGCATCCCTCAAATCTGGGATGGTCTCCCAATAGAATGCAATAAAAATGATGTTACTAGCCTAAGTCTCAAAAGGCCTTATATACTTCCACTCCCTCGTTTATAACACTGCTCAGCTGCCAGGTGAACAAGATAAGGCCAGCCTCCTTCGGGATAAAACCATGTGAAGCAGAAACAAGCTGTCTCTGCTGAAGCATCTTAGCCTACACAAACTTCGGCCAACACAGCAGCTGGTCATAGATACACGAGTAAGCCTGGTTAAGATCAGCAGAATCACCTAGCTGACCCAACAGTCACATGAGCAATAAAAACAGGGGTTAGCAAACTACAGCCTGTACGCAAAATCTGGTATGATGCCTCTTTTTATATGGTCCACAAGCCAAGAATAGTTTTTGCAGAAGAACATTTGCAAAAGTTTTGATAAGAAACACTAAACTTGGACCCCAATTAGGCAAAATGTTGTCCTCCCCAAATAATTCTATTCTTCTCATTAGTAGACCTGTATTGCAAGAGTTTTTAACTCAATTACTATTCTATTCGTTTATATTTTGAATTTTCTGAATTTAAAGTACATGGTAATTTGTTCTCTCTCTTGTTATATAAGTATCTACATAGTATCCATGATTTTGCCTCTTGGCCTACAAAGCCTGAAATATTTACTATCTGACCCTTCAAAGAAAAGATTTGCCAACCTCTGATTAACAGCTTACACAGGTCCTCCTGTGTACACATGTGTATACAGACACACACATATATCTATATAATCTCACTGACTGATAGACAAATAGACCTGGCCATTAGGTATGTGCTGGATATTATTAGTAAAGAAGAAAGCAAAACAAATTAATGCAATTATAATTTTTTTGCAATTTGTAAGTGCTATGAAGGAAATAAAGGATCAAGTTTGATAATAACTGGTTGTCAAACAATTGCTAAGGATCGCATACAGTGTGGCACATTCAGAAGGGGAAGAAATATGAAGAAAGTTGCTAATTCTTGTGTCTTTCAGTCACTCCCTCCAAAATATGGAGATGCTCACAAGCTATAAGAAACAGTAGAAAATGAAGCAAAATGTTACCCGCAGTCACTTCTGGAGTCACAATATAACTAGAGGTAAGAGCATATTCATTCATCTGGAGCTATAACATATTGTTTAAAGTGGGGGCATGAGAATCAGCTTGCCTATGTTTACATCTCAGCGGTGACACACATGACAATCACAGCTTAGCTTTGGAACCTTGGGCAAATTATTTTACCTAAATCTCAAGACTCCTCTTTTGTAAAATGGAAGTTAAAAACATCTACCTCTAGCCTGGAAACATAGTGAGACCCTGTCTCTACAGAAAATAAATTAAAAAAAAAAAATTATCCAGGCATGATGGCACGCACCTGTAGTCCCAGCTACTCAGGAGGCTGAGGAGGAAGAATCACTTGACCTCAGGAGGTTGAGGGTGAACTGAGCCATAATTACACCACTGCACTCCAGCCTGGGAGACAGAGCAAGACCTTGCCTTTAAAAAAAAAAAAAAAAACCTGCTTCCAAGACTTGAGTATTAAATAAGATAACACAGTTTAGCAGTGTCAGGCACATCATCAGTGTTCATTAAATGTTGGCCATTATTATTACCTCTAGTTGCCAAAGTCTTGTCTAAATAGATCCCTTAATATTTCCTACAATGCAATCACTTACAGTTTACATTTCCCATTTTCTTCAATACCCTTTTGCCTCAAATAGTTTTAATAAAAGTTTATTTCACTTCTCAGCAAATTTCTTTAGATTTGAAGCTACTATGTATGTTCAGCCCTATACGGTTCCAACATTTTCAACTGAAAATCGACGTCAGGGCTCAAAAGAAAGACATTTCTGGGGAAAGAATTATAGTAACTGACATCAGGCCAAAATGCCATCCACCTCTCATCATTTGGACATAGGTGTATGTGTTACTGTAGTGCTCTTCCTTGTTTTTACTTTTCATAGAGCAAATAAAATAGAGCCAATGCCTTAAAAAAAAATGGTTGTTTTTAAGTTATCCTCATGCTCACATGAACATCTGCTGGTCTTTCTGTTTAAATCAAAGAAAAAGTAGTGCCAATGTCAGATTTTAAAGTGAGAGACCATTTGATGCCCAAAATGAGACCTGATTCCTCACCACTACCTATTCTTGTACAAAACAATAAATGGTTCCCTGCAGGACACAGTCTACAGCTCACCTACCCAACTTAATAACAATCTTATCGCCAACAGTACCTTGAGCAATAGATAGCATCAAGAAGTGGCTCTGTTGTAAATTTAGGAACAAAATTAAAGGTCCTAGGGAGACATTTTCCACAAGCACATCCAGACAGTGAAAAGGTACAGTCACATTCGGACAGGTTTTTACTGCTTTATAAGTATCTCTCTCCCTGAAGCAACTCAAAATTATGACTGCCTCAAAATAAAGATTTGTGTAGTTATAACCAGTGCACCCAGACTCTAATATATCAATAGGCATTCACTCAGGCTCTTCAGAGCAGGAAAGTCATTGTACTGCTACATCCCAAAGTTTTCCAAATACAACCACCAAGGGGAAAAAATAAATAAATAAATTACTCTCCCTTATTCAAAGGCAACACATCCAAAGACTATCATTTCGTAACTTTTCGGGTGGCGTAAGTGAGATGATATGGTATAAACTCACTAAGCTGAAGATTCTGAGATCTGAATTCTACTCTCAGCTGCATGACTTTCAGTTACTCACTTAACCTCAGTTATTCTCAAGTTGAAATTCAAAGTTATTTGGTGTGAATATCCTCAACAATTCTTCATCTAAAAAGTTATGTTATCTCCATCATCTAGTCTCCTGCTTCAACAACAATTATTATCATTTCTATACCAGTTAGGACCCTATCAATCTCAAAGAACAGAAAACCCAACACAAACTCAGCAAAAAAAAAAAAAAAAGAAGAAATTTATTGTCTCAAGGAACTAGAATAGCCAGAAGTAGAGTTCATTTCTGACACTCAGGCAATGCCTTCACAACCTGATACTTCTCCCTTTTCCCTCTCTCTTCTCTTCTACCCCCAACACACTCAGCTTGCCTCTCTTTGTATTTTCTTATTCTCAGGCTTCCCGTTGATGGCCAGATAAGTTGTAGAACCACTCTCATCCTTCATCAGCCCCTAGGTTTAAGCACAAAGAATCTTTCTCCTACAGCTCAAACAAAAGCAAAAGCTGTGACTGGCTTCACTAGAGTAATGTGCCCACCTTGAACCAACCATGTAACTAGGGGAACACAATCCTGAATCCTGAAGCAAAGTAAACACCACCCCGTAAGCACGGACTAAAAGTAGGAAAGGAGTGAGTCCCTCCAAGCAAAAACACAGATGTTCTCTACACCTTCTCTTATCCAAGGTAAATGCCTCCCTGTTCCCATTTCCTCCTCCCATCTGCATTATCTTCTTTTAAAACCTAATCATCCCCTTAAAACCCTCACCTTGATGTTTGGCACATCAACCATATTCTTCATATAGGTGAGAAATTACTTCGTCTTTCTTGTCTCCTAAATCCAGTCAGTCACCGATTCTCAAAGATTCCACCTCCTTATGGTTCTTTTTTCCAATCCTCTTCCTCTCCAACTGCGACTCCTTTAGTTGAGGCCTCTGAATTGCTCTTGTATGGATTCTTGTGGCTATGTCAACCCATTTCCCTACCTCCATTCTCATACCACTCCAATCTATGCTTCATACCATCACTGTCATCTTTCTAAAGTTCAAGTCTACTCTTATTCTCCTTTCTTCATATTCTTTAATGTATGCTTGTTTTCAGCACCATAAAAACTATCTTATTTTTAACCATCCTCATCTAGTAATTCAATCATGCCAACTACTTGCAATTTCCAAAATGCTGTAAGCTGTTTCACACCTCTCTCTTTTTGTTCACATTGCCCTGCATACTGGAATTTACTTAGGCTAATCTATAGATTCATGGGTTCCACCTACTCTAAAACACTTAGGAGAACAAGATTCAGCTAGGCATTTCTATTCTTAGGAAACCTTTCCTGAGGTACCTAGTAGGACTTCTTGCTTTGTGCCCACACTATACCAACAGTTTCTCTTACAGCATCTATGAAACTTTACTGCATTTACCTATTTTGAGTACCTATTGAATGAGACTTGTTTTATTCCTATGGTACTCAAAAGCAAACGTGCATTAGAGTCATTTGAAAAGCTCTGTAAAAATACAGATGCCTGAACTTACACCACACCAAATATACCAAACAAGAATCTCCTAGATTTGGGGCCAGGCACGTACACTGTGAAAAAGCTTCACAAACAGATGATAATCTGCCTAAGAAAACCAATTCCCACTAAATATATCCAGCACTTCAAATTGTTCCTGGCAGTAGAAAAACAATAAATGTTGTAGAATGAATAAATAGGCAAATGAATAGTAAGTCTTACATATTGCTATTAATGATAGTCAACAAAAATCACCTAATGGAAGAAAATGAATGCTAACACACCATTTTTGAGCATTCTAGCTAAATATTTTTTCAAGACACTGGGGTAGAGGGATAGAGAAACGAACAAATGAAGAAATTACCTGAATCACCTTTTTCTCTGATAATGAGAACTAAACATTATCCTGTAAGTTCAACTGCT
The DNA here is from genome assembly GCF_000001405.40 of Homo sapiens. Lineage (NCBI taxonomy): Eukaryota > Metazoa > Chordata > Mammalia > Primates > Hominidae > Homo > Homo sapiens. Next base: position 167,254,665 of record NC_000001.11, on the reverse strand, counting down.
AAAGCCAGGGATAATAAATGTTTCTGATTATAGCATCAAGATACTCTATGGTTATGAGTCAGACTCTGAATAGTACTTGCTGATTGTTAACAATGAGTAAAATTAATACTGCCTTTTGCATGAACATTTTATGCAGTAAGAATTAAGATACATGTGAAACATGACTATGACATGAATTAAACTTAGGCAAGACACAAAGAAACAGAATTATCCCTACATCAAAATTCAATTTAATGAATATTTTCTGCCCACCTTCAGGGCCAGACACTAGTTTAGTTGTACTAGTAAGGTGAACAAGAGGCAAGTGGCTAGCCTCAGGATGCTAAGAAACAAATATTAATATATTGCAGCTAAAGCACATTAGTAACATTGATCGAACCTACATTAAATAGAATTGAGACTCCCAAATGTTTTATATGTATTCCATCATAACCTTTAAGTCAGACTAATATTATTATTTTACAAAGATTTTTTAAAAGAAACCGAGGCATTTGCCTGGTTTGAAAGAGCACTATCCAAAGTTTTCCTCTTCAAAAACTGTATAAAGTGTGAACAGGCTTTAAAAAAGAAAAAGTGCCAGTGAAGCAATTTAATTCACCATATAATACAGGAGTCTGAAATATTTTGCCCAAGGACCCAACCCAGCCAAAAGAGCTTCCATTCTACACTCTAGTCAAAAAACAAACCAATAAAAATTCCTAGATGGAGCTAAAGTCTGGGTATTCCTGAAGTTGCCTCTTTATCCTACCTGTATTAGAAAAGCAAGGAGCAAATAGAAAAAAATGAAATACGTATTAGAGGAGACATAAAAACTTTCCCTCAGCCAACATTTCTATTCTTTTCTCCACAGAGACAGGCAAACCTGGCACCAAATTAAAATGGGGTATGGGGGAAGGAGGACCTAAGATAAACTTTCTTTCTTAAAAAATAAAAAATTCTGGCTGGACGTGGTGGCTCAGGCTTATAATCCCAGCACTTTGGGAGGTCAAGGCCGGCGGATCACTTGAGCTCAAGAATTTGAGACCAGCCTGGGCAACATGGTGAAACCCTGTCTCTACCAAAAATACAAAAAATTAACCAGGCGTGGTGGCAGGCACCTGTGGTCCCAGCTATTCAGGAGGCTGAGGTGGGAAGATCGCCTGAGCCTGAGAGGCACAGGTTGCAGTGAGCCAAGATAGCACCACTGCACTCCAGCCCGGGTGACAGAGTAAGACCAAAAAAACCCAAAAAACCCATTAACCAATTATAATCCCAAGTTCCACTCTCCTGTGTGTTTGGGGGGGGGGGGGCAGAAAAATAAAGAATGAAACAGAATAGTAGGAAAAAATGACATCTTGTTCTACAAGAGAGTTAGTAAATGATTACAGGATTCACAGAGGCTCCAAGTTTTGTTTCTGACCCTGAAGTACAAACTCTTGGGCTGATGAAAGATAAAAACATAATTCAAACCATTAAAAGCAAGAGCAGTAGGCTTTTCTTTGAAGTGAAACTTTTGCCCTCTTAAGTGAAACTGTCCCTTGATAATTAGGTTTATCCAAGTTTCACAAGTATTTCAACAGTAAATTCATCATAGCATGCTCTTTGGGCCATCTCATTTTAAAATATGCATTGTAATGAACACATATGGTGATAAAAGAAGGCCATTTTTTAAGAACCCAAGGGTCCAATTAGATTATGTAAATCTGAATTAGATGTACACATCAATCAGTCAACAGTGTTCAAAGCTTCTGGCAAAATGGCGGTCAGCACAGTCTTTGGGCATAGAAATAACAGAAATGCTACCTTAGAGGGATACATGTTTTCTTCCCAGTGTCATTACACATAAGATCAAAAGCTATAAACTAGTCATCCATGTTAACCTGTTATAAACAAGAAGTTATCACAGTCAGTTACGTATTCTTAAAATAATTTAAAGATTTTCTAATGACCAGAATTACTTTAATTCATTTCACTGCTGTAGGACAGTTATGAACATTCTTTGGTTTGGAGTTTGCAACAAAGTAAAAAGCCAGATATAATAAAAGCTGCACCTTAACTATATAATTATTCAGAATATAGATATTAATTGGTTTGTGTTCTCAAATTACCAACAATGGAGTTTAATAGGGCGCTGGTTCCCCTTCAGTGAGAAAAATAAAAAATTAACATTAAAAACAGATTCAGGCCGGGCGCGGTGGCTCACGCATGTAATCTCAGCACTTTAAAATATTTCAAATAAGTATTTTAGTGGTGACTGCTGTTTTGTAGGCACAAACTACAAAGAACTACAAACATACGTGCTTCTCCTTCTTCACATGAAACCTGGACTGTTGGTCAAATATACTCTCTGTTGGTCTGTTCAGATAATCCTAATAGCAAATAGCATGGCCTTCATTTGTAAAAGCGTCTTAAAGGGATTCTGTTATAAGTTAAAAGGTAAGGAAACACATTTTAAAACATGGGGAAAACTCCAAGACCTCAGAAAAGAAATACATTTGATTTAAATAATCAGGATATGAAGAAGAGACTTGCAGCGGTGGCTCACACCTGTAATCCTAGCACTTTGGGAGGCCGAGGCAGGTGGATTACTTGAGGTCAGGCATTCCAGACCAGCCTGGCCAAAATGGTGAAACCCGGTCTCTACTAAAACTATATATATATATATATATACAAAATTAGCCAAGCATGGTGGCATGCACCTGTAATCCCAGCTACTCGGGAGGCTGAGGCAGGAGAATTGCTTGAACCTGGGAGGCAGAGGTTGCAGTGAGCCAAGATAGTGCCACTGCACTCCAGCCTGGGCGACACAGTGAGGCTCTGTTTAAAAAAAAAAAAAAAGATATAACGAAGAAACAAAAAATACAGTGAGCTGAATTATTTTACGTTATCCATTATGAAACCTGTAATATGTTCCGTGATGACAAAAGTGATATGGTGTTTTCATCTTCTTTGTAAAGCCTAATACGTAAAGAAACCTAAACATAGCCTATGTAGTCACACAAACAAGATCAGCCTGTCAGACCAGAAGTTCCAAGAAGTATGAGCCCTTTAATGGAAAAATGCTGTTTTCCTAGTACTTGATATACAGAGACCATGAGGGAAAGTCAAAAGTAAAAATTCCCCAATAACATACTAAAACTACCTCTCCAAACTAACACTTAAGTATATTTCCCTCCATACTCTACCAAATAATATATGAATTTGACAAATACTAGGCCTAATTAGTTAAGTACAAATGAATTCAAGATTAGCTTAATTTTATTTATTTATTTATTTGTTTGTTTGTTTATGACAAGGTCTCCCTCTGTCACCCAGGCTGGAGTGCAGTGGCATGATCTCAGCTCACTGCAGCCTTGACTTACTGGGCTCAATCAATCCTCCCACCTCAGCCTCCTGAATAGCTGGGACCACAGGCGCTTGCTACCACACCGGCTAATTTCTGGATTTTTTTGTAGAGATGGGGGTTTCACATGTTGGGCAGGCTGGTCTCACACTCCTGGGCTCAAGTGATTCACCTGCTTCTGTCTCCCAAAGTGCTGGGATTACAGGCATGAGCCACCACACTTGGCCCAAGATTAGCTTTAAAGCTAAAATACCTCATGTTCTACTCATATGAGATGTTCTTATAATACACCTCACAAAAAGAAAATTTCACTGTTATTAACCAAAACTGTTGTTACTTAAATCTTTACTGTTCTCTTGAGGAACACAATTCTGAAACTACTAAAATAATGTCTTAATTTGCTTTTAGAATTCCAGCAAAATAAAGTCTGTGTATATGTGTTCATTTATGCTCCTAAACTGAGCATAATTAGGGAAGGTAACAAAATTTGGAGAAATAAAATAACTTATAACTAAGAAGACAATGTTATTAAAATCCATTTTTAAAAACAGTGCTCTAGTATATCAGAAAATTGAAATGTTTAGGATATGCTGGGCCCTTATATGTTTCTTCTGTTTACCAGATTACTAGAAACCACTTTTAGAGTCAGTTTGATCCACTTTGTTGATAAGAAAATGCCTCCAGGGTCCACTAAAGGTTTGGCTATGCCAAAGTTTAAAGAAAACCAACAAACCATATTGCTACCTTTGTTATTTGTACATATCAAAGTAGTATCCTCTGAGGGGAATGTCAACAACAAATGAATTCTCTCAAAACACAAGATTACTTTTTTTCTCTAATGTTCCTGTGGCAACATTCTCAAGAATAAAAATGTTAACAGGCATCATTTTCCATTCTTACCTAAAATTTAAACACTATAATTTAAATTGAGAAATATTTGTAACATTATAACTATATAAAATTAAAACAAAAAGCAAAGTAATAATAAGCCAAAAACACTGTTTTCTTTTCTATCTGATCCATGATGGATGTTCCCCAAACATCTACAACAATTCTAACAACCAGAATTCTAACAACCTAAACAATTCTAACAATCAAAATTAAAGATGAGTGCCCAACCATTTGTTCTTCATCTCATATTTTTTTCTCTTCTCTATTTTCCGGAAGGAAAATGCCAGAACAGATTGTCCAGAATGACAGAAAAGGTCAAAATACTGCTAATGTTAAGTGTTATGTTAGAAAATATACTGAAAAAAAAAATGACACACAAAAGAATTTGATACTACAGATACTGCTCCTTTTCAATGAAGATTTTGCATTATTCTATGCAAACAAGAATAAAATGTCAATTACAAAAATAAACATAACTCCTGTTAATGAAATAAGTATCTACCATCTGACAGCAAGAAGTGGGCAAAGGTAACACCATCTTGCAAATGATGCTTTCATTATTTCATTGCTCATCACAGTGCTCCACTGCACACACAAGGCCCATCCTCACTGTAGGTGAGTCAGCATGAACTCTCACGACTGTCACTTCAGTCATTCACACCAATGACCACCAGATCTTGAAATGTATCACTCAGGACAGTTCCTCCTCTAAAACTTTAAACTCTCCCAATACTACCTCAATACTCCCAGACCTCTGGCTCTTTTACTCCCATTAAAGAGCTTTTCTGCAATTCACCTGACCTCCTGCTCTTCCATTTTCCCCTAGACCATCAATTCACTCCCGTCTTCACTTCCTTCTAAATTCTACTGAGACCACAGGGTCCATGAATGACATTCCTGTCAAGACTTTCCACTCCCTTGCTCCCCTGTCCTTCTGTTCCACATCCTAACAAAGACCCCAATCCTGGAGGGCTGCCATCTCCACTCCTACTTCTACACCTTGACCTGTCAAGCACTATTAGAAAAACAAAAAGAAGGCATAACCCTACACTGCCTAGCAAGTTTCCTCATAAATCTCTCTTTAGAACCCAGATTTCAATGGGATGAGGAGGGAATGAAAGTTATATAGCAGAGGCAGGGAGTTTAGAGGAGTTTACAAAGAAGTCTGGAGATAAGGGGAAGCAAAAGGCTGGTATCTAGAGAAAACAGAAGGGAGAAGTTCGAGAATGCTGAAGTTTAAGAGGGCTGGTTACTAGGGAAAGCTTGGAGATGAGAAGATAAAGGATGCCAAACATTCTTACAGAGGCAGAAAAAAATGGATAGGATCCACTGCTTCAGATTTTAAGAAAATAATATATGTGTTTCAGTAAGAAGAATTAATTGAAAAGGTTTTCTCACCCCAGGTACTTATCTCCGGTGCAATCCAGAGTTTAACTTTTCTCATAATAAAAGCCAAAACTCCGAAATGAGACAACATGGGTTTAAATCCTAGTTCTTCTACTTTCTCATCATGTGATCCTAGACAAGTTATTTTCTCTTTCTGTACCTCAGTTTCCTCATCTGTAAAATGGGGATAATTATAATACCTACATAATAAAGTTGTTATGAAAATTAAAGGAGTTAATACATGGAAAATACAAAGCACTTGGAATAGCAATTGGCACATAATAAGCACTGTATATTAAATGTTACCTATTATTGTAGTTAAAAGACTGAAATGCTCTTAGATGCTCTTGTGTTTGTTCAGTACTACAAGGAACATACTCCCCTCAACCGCCTTATCCCAACCTAATTCCTATTATCCCTCAGCTCTGGGGATCTTCTTTGAGAAGTCTTTCTTGACTCTTCCTCTCCCTCCTCCCCACAAACTACTGGGTTAAGTGAACCTATTCCATTACTTCCATAGCATACAGGATTTATATCCTTCACAGCATTTATCACAGGGTATTATAATTTCAGTTGACTCATCTGTTCCTGCTCCTTGCCTCCCTTTCCCTACCGAACTGTGAGTTCTTCCAGGATAGGAGCTACCTTTTCTATTTAAAGTTCAGGGGGCTGTTAAAAATAAGTCCAGCAATGTATGCAAATCAGTGTAACACAGTACCTGATGGAAATTAGACGATAAAGCCTTAGATGATTGTTTTGTGCTTTCTTGCAAGGTATAACAAAGCAAAACAAATTCATCCATTAAGTTCATCTACTAACTTGCTGTCTTGTCTATCATGAATAAATGTGATGCAGTTAAACAAGTAAACATAACTACCCACTGAGTTCTTAAAGGGCACTGTACTCAAAAGAATAATCACACATCAATTTCCTGCAATGCTTTTTTAAATTCAGAACATTACTCACACAATTCTTTCCAAAATAAATCTGATAACAGGTTAAAAGGAGTAAACTGCTGTATACTCTGTAAAGAAAAATACATTAACTTCCAACTACACACCTCTTTTCACAAACCAAAGATCATTCTATTATTAGAAAAAGATACTTCCCCCTCACTGGTTATGAGAATCTGACTAGTGTCCATTGTTGTTTTATCTCTCTGCATGCAACCTTAAAAAAGTTAAACATGGCAAAATTTAAACATTCAAAATCTGCACAGTTTGATTGCATGGTATAAATATTCTACTTGTACTTTTTGTTTAATATTTAAGCATACCTTTTCAAAGGTACATATGTAAAACACGTAGAAAAGCCAAGCTAGGTTTGTCTTTTCCAATAAGTCATAAAGACATATTCCACTTACCTTACTGACCAACAACAGAATTCCTACACCAAAGTTAACAGTATGGAATAGTATGTATACTGGATCATTGTATTATAGACAGAATTTTAAAAAAAAACTATAAACAGGTCAATGTTCCAATTGATAGAAGCCTAGTAAGTACTATATAGCTCAAAACTGAAACTCAAGTGGGGATGGATATTTTCAGGTTTGAAACAACAACAAAAAGAAGCTTTGGATGAGGAAAAAGTTGGGTAACGAGGAAATTTAGGTAAAGATTAGAATATATGCCATTTTAGAAGAATCCTTTACAAATCCAAACATTTTAAAATTCGGAGATATAAAAATTGTATCACAGGCTGGGTGTGGCAGGTCACACTTGTAATCCCACAGAACTTTGGGAGGTCGAGGCAGAAGGATCACTCAAGGCCAGGAGTTTGAGACTAGCCTGGGCAACCGTCTCTACAAAAAATAAAACAAAATTATCCAGGCATGGTGGCACACGCCTATGGTCTCAGTTACTTGAGAAGCTGAGGCAGTTACATCACTTAAGCCCAGAAGGTTGAGAGTGCAGTGAGCCCTGATCTCACCTCTGCACTTCATCCTGGGCGACAGAGTGAGACCCTGTTTCTTTAAGGAAAAAAAAAAAATTCAATCACACACACACACACACACACACACACACATATATATATAACCTGATTTACTTGTAAAATTACATTTAGCATTAAACTCTATAGCACGTGGTTCATAGTTACCAATTTATTTATATCCTAAAGCATCTAAAAGTATAAACTAATCGATTTACTGTCTATGGGATTACTGGGTCAGTTTCATTTTGATGATTTTTAAAAATACAGTATTACTCCTTCCATAAAGTACATAGGTATATAATAGCTCATTTAACAGTTCCATTTAGGTTATTTCCAAATTTCACCTTTTTAAAATGAAGGACAGATAAGCACCTTTGTTCATAGCTTTTTCCAAACTTAAGGAATTTCCTTAAGGTATATGTTTTAAGTCACTACAAAAAGACTGCACAGGTTTACACTTCCATTAACAGATATGAGTGTCCAATTTACTGCATTTGTCAGTCAGCACTGAAAATCATCATTATTTTCATTTCTTACAATCTGATTTTAAATGTTTCTCAGTGTTAATTTATACTTCTTAGATTATTTGTGAAGCTAACAATTTTCTAAGTTCACTAAAAAATTTTATAATAATAATTTCATTCAATATTTTTTAAGCAAAGACCTAAAGAGAAAAGTAAAACACACAGAAATCAGAAACAAGGAACAATATAGAAGATTAAATGAGCATATATTTCGAATGTAAATATGTAAAGTTATTCAACTGAGGCATAAACTTGGCACTAAGACTCCTGGTGGCTAAAGCAAAGAAGAAAATGTTCTAAACTTTGCTTTAGGAGGAAAGGGGGAACAGCAGCATTTGATTTCTCAAGAAAAGCAAAACTTTTTTCAGGTATTTAGGATTTGAAAGAAATCTCCTAGGTGGGTCTTCATGAAAAAAAAATTCAAAGTGACTTAAGGACAACCTTCTCAACAACAATAAATCTGATAGAAGGGCTCATTTGTTGTTTAATGTTCTATCATTATTATCATTACTTCTATTTTTGTACATGAATCTTAGATATTACAATACAGTTTAACTGACATCAAATTCTTCTCAATAACCTTGCTTATTTTTAGATTTGTAAGCAGAAATAAACTTAGATTTTCAGAAAGTATTTTTTTGTCTGTCCATTTAGTAAGGACTGAGTATGAAAAACATAGCTTCTTGTTCAGACTGAATGACTACCATAAACAATAAAATCCTATCACAATTTTCAGAAATTATTTGAGTTGAGCCACGGACAGTGGCTCACGCCTGTAATTCCAACACTTTGGGAGGCCAAAGCAAGAGGACTGCTTAAGCCCAGGAGTTTGAGACTAGCCTGGGCAATACAGTGAAACCATCTCTACAAAAAAAGTTTTTTTTTTAATTAGCTGGGCCAGGTGTGGTGGCTCATGCCTGTAATTCCAGCACTTTGGGAGGCTGAGGTGGGCGGATCACCTGAGGTCAGGAGTTCGAGACCAGCCTGACCAATGTGGAGAAACCCCGTCTCTACTAAAAACACAAAACTAGCTGGGTGTGGTGGCGCATGCCTATAATCCCAGCTACTCGGGAGCCTGAGGCAGGAGAATCACTTGAACCGGGTAGGTGGAGGTTGCAGTGAGCTGAGATCACACCATTGCACTCCAGCCTGGGGAACAAGAGCAAAACTCCATCTCAAAAAAAAAAAAAAAAAAATTAGCCAGGCATGGTGGTGGTGCACCTGTGGTCCCAGCTACTCGGGAGGTTGAGTTGGGAGGATCACTTGAGCCCAAGGAGGTAAAGGCTGCACTGAGCCACGATCATGCCACTTGCATTCCAGCTGGGTGACAGAATGAGACCCTGTCTCAAACAAAAAAAAAAAAAGAAATTTGAGTCACATAATAGCTTTTAGCCATTTTAACAACCATTCTAAAAATTGTTACTCAAAATTTCATTTTTAGAGTTGATTTCTAGAGTTTCCCATAAGGTAACATACAAAGATCCTTTAAAAAAAAGTTTCACTGAAGGGCACGGATTTTTTTAAAAAGTTTTATTTCTGCTTTGCAAGAATATGCTCCTATTCTCCTCTCTCAGACCTTTTATTTTTTCTAACATTCACTACTGTTCCTGTCATAGTTGTGTTACTTCCTAAAAGATGTTAGAAGACAGCTATGTAGTATTAAGATCCCTCTCTCCAGAAACTGAAGTTGACAAAAAGGGGAGGCTTTCCTGATTTTACCTGCACTCCCCATATACAGGCTTCCAAGGCCCAAGATCTTATCCTAGAGAAGAACTTTTTAAGGAAGGTATTATATCTCCCATACATGTTCCACCAATGTAACATACATTTAGATCAGCAGTTCTCTAATTTTTGGGTGTCAGGGCTCCTGTATGCTCTTAAAGCTTACTGAAGGCTTTCAGTAGGTAGGTGATAGGTGGATTTGTAAGATGGCCATCCAATGATTCATGAACTCCTGCTATTTGTACCCTTGTGTAGCCCCTTCCCCTTGAGTGTGGGGTGGACCAAGTGACTTGCTTCTAATAAACAGAATACTGAAAAAGGGATGAGATGTCACTTCTGCAATTAGGTTACAAAAGCTGTGACTCTGTCTTGCTAATACTCCTTTCCAGCTGGAACACTATCTGGCTCTTCTCATGTGCTTGCTCTGAAGCAAGCCAGAGAAGTCCACATGGCAAGGAATGGAGAACAGCCTCTGGCCAACTGCCAGGAAGAAACCAGGGTCCTCGGTTCGACCACCAGTAAGGAACTGAGTCCAGTCAACAACTGTGTGAGTGAGCTTGGCAGCATATGCTTCCCCAGTTGAACCTTCAGATGAGGCTGTAGCTCTGACCAATATCTTAATTGCAACCTTGTGAGGACCCACCTGAGCCATGCCCAGATGCCTGACCCACAAAAATTCTCTCCTTCTTCCTTTACATGCTATCTTCTAATCTAAAATGTACTCCCAATTCCAAAGTTCCTGAGTCCATATTCTCACACCGCTCCAGCCATTTGACTCTGTAAGCCTTTTACTACAGGAAGGACCTTTTGCTATCTCAGGTGTCCTGTGCTCAGGATTCTCAAGAGGCAGGATGAGTAGGAGATTGGCAATATGATTCAGAGTATGGGCAGACACAGCACAGTCTACTCTCGGTCCATTATCCATATTTGTGGAGGGCAGCTACGGATAAGAGGGGAAAAAAACAAATGGCTCTATGTAACAGGTGCTGAAATCTGGGTCCTGTACTATATTTATCAGTATGTTTGTGATAGTGGTCATGATGCTAATTACATGGGACATGTTATAATGAAGGCTGTCAATCCTGAAACTTAATTCAAGAAAAGAGTTTAGGCCGGGTGTGATGGCTCAAGCCTGTAATCCCAGCACTTTGGGAGGCCGAGGCGGGTGGATCATCTGGGGTTGGGAGTTCGAGACCAGCCTAGCCAACATGGCAAAACCCCATCTCTAATAAAAATACAAAAATTAGCCAGGCATGGTGGCGCAAGCCTGTAATCCCAGCTACTCGGGAGGCTGAGGCAGAAGAATCTCTTGAACCTGGGAGGCAGAGGTTGCAGTGAGCCAAGATCACGCCACTGCACTCCAGACTGGGCGACAAGAGCGAGACTCCGTCTCAAAAAAAAATAAAAATTAAAAAAATAAATTTATACCTGTTCATACTTACTTTTTCACTTTGAGAGTTCCAAGTCATTAAAAGGTTTGAAGATAATAAGAAATAGTTTACATAAATCGACAGATTCCAACGTGCTCAGCAATTATATACATTATCTCACTTAATCCTAAACACAGCTACATGAGGAAGGGCTTTTACAGTTAACTTCTCAGAGCCTAGATTTTCTTAAGTGCCTAAAACAATGCCTAATACAATAAGCACTGAAATATTTGTTGAAGGAATCAAGCTACTGGTCAGTTATTGAAACATTAACCGGTCAGATTCCTAGGCCAGTATTCTTAATTACCATGCAATAACGTCCCAAGTAAAAATATAAAACAGAGATATGAGTAGAAAGAGATGAGCATATAGTTAAGTAGCGGCACTGAAGAACAGTAGATTCTGTCTCAATTAGTAGACACTTGCTGAAAATTCAACTGAGTTAATAAAGGTAGAATTCATTTTGGGAAACAAAGGAAATAAGAAAGAAAGCGGGGGAGAGAGGCAGGTGGAAGGAGGGGGAGGGAGAGAGGGAGAATGAGAATATACGTATGTCTGTATACATTGTGTATGATTAATAGTTTTCTGAATTTTGCCCATACATATACAGATACAGCATTTATCCTACGCAAAAGGAGACATTATAAACACATCACTGTATCTGAAGTATCATTTTCATAGCAAGGCAGTAAGTTACAAACTCTGGAAGGTTCTTCATTTCTTGTTACTTTGCTAGTAAAAACAACATCTCACAATATGGAAAGTTTCACCCATATAAACAGGTTAAGCTGTGACTCCTGATTCGGGCTAATTTCACATAAAAGGTAAATAGGTAAAATTATGCCATGGAAGAAAGCATACATTTGCTTCTCTCAACTATCTTAGGGCAAAATCTTGTCAATTCTATAGCTAGATCATCCTGTGAGATGTGCTCAAACACTTAGTGCTTCAATGCGTCACCATGGTAAGAAAGCTGGTCTTAGAGTCTTTCTGTGATTTGGGTTTCTTACACCATGTTTTTCAAGTACCAGCTTTTATAGCTTTGCAGAATCATCAAGGGCAACAGGTCCTTCTATGTGTCTATAACAGGAAACACATTTTCCAAAGGTATACACTTCTTCTTGGTTCTCTTCTATCACTGCTCATAGTGCTGAAATTCTCGTGCATGGCATTTATTTTTTGACTGTCACTAAACAGGCCGAACAACTCAAAATTGCGGCTTTGAAACTCTGAAAACCAAAAGTATTAATATTGGTGCTTCTTAGTTAAACCATAATTAATGTTCACAATTACTTAATAAAAGTGTAAATGAACAAGCAGCACTTGGATGCTTCATCATCTTTAAAAATATTTTAGCACCTAACAGGTAACTTAGGTCCAAAATCCTGATAAAAGCAATTGGCAATAACAAAGCATTTCTACCATAAATATCTTCCTTAACCAAGGCATTTTTTTAGGCACTTAAGAAAACTTAGGCTCTGAGAACTCTAAAAATCCTTCCTCACATAGCTGCGTTTGTGATTAAATTAGACAATGTATCCTTCCTTTAGTCAACTAAAGTTAGCATGAAAACTGGAATCAAAACCCTCAAATTATTTTTAACACTACCACTTTCCAGTTATGTTAACTTTTTGAAATTACCTAACTTCGTTGTACCTCAGTTTTCTACACCTATAAAACACATAACAATGATGCCTACATAAGTGTTGACATGAAGATTAAACGAGACAATTCATGTAAAACATTAGAACAGTGCTTAGCATACCAAATGGGCTTCATAGGTGTTAATTAATATGCCTAATATTATAAACAAGCAAGTACAGTAATAAAAATAAACTGGAAAACCTGTTATTTTATATTGCCCAGAACCATTCCATCTTAAGCTAATACAAGTGAAGGTGTATGCTCATTAATCCTTCATCACATCCAACAAATCGTGCTGTCAACTTCTTTATCCACTGAAAAATTGCTTTCAAATTCTCGAAACAGCATCACTTCATCAGCTGAAGTAACATTTTGCTGGCATCACTGTTTACAGCCCAGTAGTAGCTAGAATCATAAAAGGTTCCTGATTAATTCCTTCCTTTTAAAACGAAATATTTAGTTATTTCACCCGGCACTAAAAAACAGATTCTACAGACCTCTTTGAGTCATGCCCTTATGAAGACAAATAGATTATGACAGAAGACATCATTCTGCTAAGGTTATTGCTTTACACTGGCAAATCAAAGGGAGATGTGTAAAATAGGAGAGGAGAGTTATCTCCTGGGTGAGAACTTTTTCAGACTATTTATTTATTTATTTATTTATTTTTAGATGGCGTTTCACTCTTGTTGCCCAGGCTGGAGTGCAATGGTGCGATCTTGGCTCACGGCAACCTCCGCCTCCCGGGTTCAAGTGATTCTCCCGCCTCAGCCTCCCGAGTAGCTGGGATTACAGGCACGCACCACCACATCAGGCTAATTTTGTATTTTTAGCAGAGACGGGGTCTCTCCATGTTGGTCAGGCTAGTCTCGAACTCCCAACCTCAGGTAATCCGCCCACCTAGGCCTCCCAATGTGCTGGGATTACAGGCATGAGCCACCGCGCCCGGCCTTTTCAGATAATTTCATTACAGAACAAGGTGTCCCCAAAGCAAAGGTTTCAGAAGCTGGGTTCTGAATGGATTTCCACATAGAAATAACGTTGGCAAACCTCTAGGGAAGGGCTTCAAACCAACTGTAAAAGGTGAACTTCATTGGGACACCAAAGGCATATATTAAATATGTTTATGCAGAAGCACAAGAAAAAGTGAATTAAAACAATAGTAGATTTTCAGTTATCTAGGAAACACTTATCTTGGAAGAAACTAACAGTTTCCACACAAACTTAGGCTAAGTATAAGCTCATAATCATTTATCTGTTGTCCTGTGTGTTAAATCAGGAACAGCAGGAATCCCTTCTCTATTTATTTCATTATTTTAAATATTTTTTCCACCTTTAAAGTAGTAAAATTACCCACGAGTATATAAAATACGCTTCCTCAATTACCTCTAAAACAATGGCCAGTATTCAACTCTTACTCTTTTTTCTAATATTTTAATTTCTTCACTGCCCTACCAAAGCATACATTTTGTAATTCTTCATCCTTTTGTTTTATATCGGACTTAAAGAAGGTTCTGTCTTTACAGCAGAGGCTTCTAGTCAGGGTTCATATCTTCACAGCCCTTATTCTACATGAATTGACTATTCATACACTTCGACTACTGGGGTATTTGTTATGTACTACTAATGTCTAAGAGAACTTGATATAGTAAGAAAAATTATCCCTCTATGTTCCATACAGGCTAATACTTTTCTACCATATATTATGTTAATTTTATTTGTAGAGTCTTTCAGAAGGCAGAACCATAAATATTTTATATAGTTAAATCTATCCATCTTTTCCTTTTATGGCATTTGAGTTGTGTGTCATGTCAAAAAAGCCTTTCCATAAAGTCCTATTCATAGCTTAAAGAAAAAAAAAAAAGCCTTTCCATCCCCAAAACTAAATAAAAATTATTTGTATTTTTGTCTTAGTATTTTTCTGAGTTTTTCTTTGAACAGTCTAATCTTTAATCTCTCCACCATTCTTTTTTGTGTACGGTGTAAAGTATAACCCTGACGACATACATTTTTTGTGTTTTTCAAATGGATGGCCGGCCAACTGTCCCAACACCATCTGGCCCTTCTACCTAAAAAATCAATTTCAATCATTCCAAGCACCTAAACTCTAGCTTAATGCTGAGAGGAAACTTTCATGTCTGTATTAAGGTGATCACTTTTTAAGTATATTGTTCTTCAAGGGGCTATGTATTCTGCTTTTAGCATTCCCAGCACTTGCTAGAATGAGCATAAAAGTGAGGGTTGGGGTGGGAGTATCAAATTTGACTACAATGTCAAAATACAACCATTAAGCCACTAAAGCAGTTTACAATGTGTATGTATACCTGTGGTACGAATTAAAATTACCCCTTGAACTGCTGCCCATGGACAGCACTTTTACATATGTTCTTTTACTCTTGTAAAGCAGTGGCATCTATACCAGATAAGCACTGTATTTATTATAACTAGGAGTTAACTATGTCTTGATAGCATGGCAAAAAAGATATGGGGAGTGAAGATTCACAGATATTCGAAATTTAAACTATATCTCCTTATTTAAAAATACTTTTAAAGTAGACTATTTAATCTAGTGTTCTTTTTCTGTCAGTTGACAAATGGTATGTCACAAAAAGAACACTACGTATGTCAGAAAAAGAACACTAGGTTAAATGACTGAATGACTGAAACTGACATTTTTGGTAGAAGGGATAGGTAGTGTTAGGACAGTTGGCTGTCCATTTGGGGGGGAAAAAAAGTTTGTCAGGGTTACACCTTACACCATACACAAAAAAGAATGGTGGAGAAAAGATTAAAGGTTAAAGATTTTTAGAGTGTGTGCCTGGATTCAGAATAGGAAAGGGGAGCCTAGAGAACAAAACTTTTCAGGATGTGCCCTGCACTGTTTAGGGCAAAGTACACTCTAGCCACCCATCTGAGTAGCCAACTAGTCTCCCTGAACAACATGAAAATCTTATCACTCTACCTTCAATGATGTGCACCAACAAATGTAATTTCAAACCCAATGCAACCCAGTATTTACTCTGAAAACATTTCTTGATAACCTACCCTATGCCAGTAACCTTGTACTAACTGTGAACAAAACAGGTATTTATGGAAGATTGCCTAAAGAATATGCAGTATCTCCATTCTTCTAATTATTCCAAAATCTTTTCCCTTTTTAAGTCAGACCATTTTGAATAGTCCTCACTCAATATCCTCATCTCCCACCAATTAACTGCCTTAATGAAGGTGCTCTGGTATGATGCATTTGGCCTATACAGGGGCATTCTGAAATTTGTTGGTGTGTCCACAGTAGGAAGACTGTTGAGGGCACTGTTTATTACATTACATAGGGTCCTGTTTATAAGGCCTCTGAAGAGAAGTTTCCTTCTGATCTTAGTACCAGGAATTGTTGTGCTTTTCTTAAAAGTTTGTTTGTTTTCAAATTTTATGGGCATAAATTGACCAAGTTTTCCTTGTTTGCATCATCTACTAAGAAGTTTACAGAGTATTTGGGCCCCACCGGAAATAAATATTAGATTTTTATATTAGGTCTTTTATATTTTTATTTTGCATTTCTTGCCATACAGTTGATAAATCTCTATAAACCAACTTGAGAGACAAAATGAAACAAATAAATAAATGGATAAAATTTACATTAATGCATCTCAAAAAAATTTTTTAATTTAAGGGATCAGAAAAAAGGTCACATGAGAAATCAAGGGCTTACTCAAGAAATTAAGAATATATGGGCTGGGCATGGTGGCTCACACCTGTAATCCCGGCACTTTGGGAGACCAAGGCGGGCAGATCACTTCAGGTCAGGAGTTAGAGACCAGCCTGGCCAACACAGTGAAACCCCATCTGTACTAAGAATACAAAAAAATTAGCCGGGTGCGGTGGCACGCACTTGTAATCCCAGCTACTCGGGAGGCTGAAGCAGGAGAATCGCTTGAACCCTGGAGGTGGAAGCTGAAGTGAGCCGAGATCACGCCACTGCACTCCTGCCTGGGCGACAGAGCAACACTCTGCCAAAAAAAAAAAAAAAAAAAAAAAAAAATATATATATATATATATATATATATACACACACACATATATGGATTTAAAAAATAAAACCAGTAACTCAATTAACTGGAGGAACAGGGGAAGAGGAATTAAGGACAAAAGGGGAAAGAAAAATTAAAGAATACCCCCAAATAATGTATTTGTAGAAATCAGACAAATGGTAGTACAAAATGACTTTGTGTAAACCTAGTCAAGCTTACCATGTAAGTCACAAAATATTTACAAACATTTCTTATTCCACAGACATCACTCAAAATGGTAAAAATAACATACCGGCAGATGAAAAAGAAAATACAAAAATTACTTGATAAAAATGGCCAAAGGGTACCGGAAAAACAACAAACAAGACCAACAGGGCTGTTACTGTAACCTGTTTCTTTTCTGAGCTCTTTCCTCATCCATCCCAAATAGTAGGACAAAAACTTATGCATGCAACAATATGAATCTATTAACTTCTCAACATTCTAAATAACCCAGCAGAAAGTCTAGGTAGGCGTTTACACTCCCCAACACGCATAAGTATGTTCTCGTTAGATAGCCTCTCTCCTTCAAGGTCACTGTCATCTTTTCTCACCACTGACAGACTTTACAATGCTGTCACTGCTGTATGTTAACCCTAGTTCACAAGTATCATCACCATCAAGCCATCTCTACTCAGAAGTTAGATACCTTCCTCCTTATTGTCAGCTTCCTTAAATTTCTTGCTCCCCAAGTCCCAGAGAACTCCAAGCTTGCTAGGAGGTTAGGTGAAATCCAGCACTGAAAATATTTCAGGATTAGTCTTATCATTTCCAAGCCCTTGTGTAGGAAATAGACCCCTAGACTGCTAAAACTCTATTATCTTTCCATTTCTCCTTTATCCCTACCTCCCATATATTTGACTTAAAAATTAAAATTGCCTTTAGAGAAAGCAGAGTAAAAAAAATATGCTCACTCCAGTTCTCTGCTAAGAGAAACATTTTTGTCCAAGAGTAGGGTATGACTCTCCAGGACCACAGTGCCACAGCTGACCCATCCCTGCCCAGACTCTGCAACCATCCCCTTTCTATAAATGAACAGCTAATAGTGGGATGCAAGTAAAGCATGTGACTAACAGGTAGACTGATCCAAGCTCCACCTGCATCCCTAAGCTACTTCTCCAAAGAGGTATAGGAATTAGCTGCGGGGAAGGAGGTGGGGCAGGCACACGTCGAAAGAGAATATTTAAGAAGTCATAAATTTTCAGGAAAACTACAAGTATTCTGAAACGGCCAAAACAGGAAAAATAAATCATTGTTGTACATTTGAAAACTAATGATAAAAGATTTTATATTTAATAAAATTTAGTAAGATTTAATTTAATAAAAATTTAATAAGAAGATGTCGGCCGGGCGCGGTGGCTCATGTCTGTAATCCCAGCACTTTGGGAGGCCAAGGCAGGTGGATCATGAGGTCAGGAGTTCAACACCTGCCTGGCCAAGATGGTGAAACTCCATCTCTACTAAAAATACAAAAATTGGCCAGGCATGGTGGCAGGCGCCTGTAATCCCAGCTCCTCAGGAGGCTGAGGCAGAGAATTGCTTGAACCTGGGAGGTGGAGGCTGCAGGGAGCCGAGATCACACCACTGCACTCCAGCCTGGGAGACAGAGCAATCGTCTGTCTAAAAAAAAAAAGATGTCCAAATTAGAGTAAAAACATTAAAATTAAAGCAATGAAGTGTTTTTCATCAACCTAGGAAAAATTTAAAAGACTAATAGTTAACAGTGCAGGAGAAACTGACACTATTAAATACTGTAGATAAAAAATATAGAGTGGTACTAAAAGCAACCTGACGACATGTACAAAATTTTTAAGTGTGTATATTCTGTTAAAGAAAGTTTATGGGAGACTACTATTTTGGACTAGCCTCCTCCACTAGGTCTCAGCAGAACAGACCAAACCAGTCTTTGGTTTTCTGTTCCTGCATTAATTCACTTAGGATTATGGCTTCTGGCTCCATCCAAGTTACTGCAAAGAATATGATTTCATTAAAATGTTTATCTTATTTAAATGAGTGAACTAAAGAATAGAGAGCAATGGGGGAAAAACAGCAAGTATATAATAGGATATGCACTATGACTCCTTTTTTAAAAATTATGTGTACATGCATGACAGGAGCATGCACACCTAAGCGTGGACATCTGTCTGCAATACATAGGAACAAATCCCAGGAAATGGGCTCAATCACCAAACCAGTCTCGTACTGGTCCTGATGGCATTATGTAACTACTAAGATGTGATTCCAACAGCATAAGCCGGCAATGGCTTTGCCCCTATAGTCTAATCGCCTGAAATCATACTTTCCAGCAACACTCATAAATTGTTAATTCATCTTCTCAGACTATTGTGATGTTGAACATGTCTCTCATAACATAAGAGCATTTTCACCAATTCCTTTCTAACTAATGATGATTGGCATATAAGTGTACATGTATAAAACAGTCTGCCAAAACACCACTCTCCTTGGCCAGAGCATGAAGAAGCAAGTACTCAGAGGGTAGGGAAAGCACTATGAAGAGGAAGATGGGGGGACTTAGCAATGTAGTGTAAAAGAAAAATTGAGAAATAAACAGCATTAACAACTCAACAAGGTGATGCAGGGCATGATTAAATGAGGTGTGAATGACTGGAAACCAATGCCATGAAATAGCTGACTTCTAATAATAGCTATTATTAGAAACAATAATCAACCGTCATGTTTCCTCAACTGAAAGCTACAGCCCTAGTTTAGTAACAGCTTGGTATGGGAGAAAGGAAGTGGTTGGTAAAAAGTGGTAAACAAATCCACCTTTTTGCATAATTTGCTTGCATATTAATTTTAAGTCACAACTCATTTGACAACACTGAAATAGTTTAAATTATGTTTTTATCAAAATAACATGTAAACAGGGTAAATCCTAATTTTCTATTTCACCAACTGGGTCACAAAAAAATATAAATGCTGCTCCAGATGAAAATTATCCCAAGGTTAACATGTGTAATTAGCTTCAGTTTCATATATATTTGTTTTAACAGACATGGTATTGCTCTGTCATCCTGGCTGGAGAACAGTGGCACAATCACAGTCCATCACAGCCTGGAACTGCTGGGCTCAAGAGGTCCTCCTGCTTCGGCATCCAGAATAGTTAGGACTATAGGCAAGTACCAACATGCTTGGCTATTATTTTAAATTTTTTTGCAGAGAGAAGGTCTCGCTATGTTGCCCAGGCCAGTTTCAAACTCATGGTCTCAAGCAATCCTCCCACCTCAGCCTCCCAAAGTGCTGGGATTACAAGCATAAGCCACCAAACCTACCCTAAAATACAATTCTTAACAAAAACCCAAAATGTTGAGAATGTATGGGTTACCAGGATCAGCAGTTTGCATACAACCAACTTCAAAAACGTTTATAGTCAGCATCTAGAAATCCTGAAAGCTAAGTTAACATTAGATCTGATAATCAATTGTCTGTGTCTCCAAAATGCAATACAGAGATAAGAATGCACAATTGATTCTAGAGCACACAATCTGGACCTGGGAACTGTACAAACACTGAGGTTAAACTCAGAATAACAGCTGTTAAATCTATAGATCTTAACAGTGGAAATTCTGCAATCCCCCAATTCCATTTGATATATGCTTCATCATTCCACTGGCCTGAAGCAGAAATTAACGGGTAAGAGCCTGATAATGATCTTAACTGCTTACTGCTATAATCAAAACAGAGACCTAGGTGTGCCACTTAGCCTCTTTAAGCCTCGGTTTCCTAACCTGAAAGATAGGATAACAATACACACCCCATGGGGGTCACTGTAATTAACATAAATGCATGTAAAGCATTTAGTACAACAACTGGCACAAAGACTTGATAAATGTTATTGCTGTTGTTACTAGGAATCAATGTATTTATTGAAAAGTATGGAATCTCGTCCACAATTTCCAACTGTGGACTTGTCACTAAAAAGTACAAAGATCATGCAAATAGCCTCATAACATGAAAATCATCTTTGGCTCTTCAGCTAAATCTCATGCTTCCTGAACCAGCTATGCTGAACTTTTGTTCCTTGAAAGTGCTGTGTTTTCATTAGTTTCAAGAATTGTATGTGCAGTTATGCATCACTTAACGATGCTATGTCATTAGATGATTTTGTCATTGTGTGATCACAGAGCATATTTACACAAACCCAAATGGTATAGCCTACTACATACCTAAGCTATATGGTATAGCCTGTTGCTCCTAGACTACAAACCTGTACAGCATGTTATTCTACTGTTGTACTGCAGGCATCCTAACACAATGGTAAGTATTTGTGTATTTAAAAATACCTAGGCCAGGCACAGGAGCTCACATCTGTAATCCCAGCACTTTGGGAGGCCAAGCCAAGAGGACTGCTTGAGTCCAGGAGTTGAAGACCAGCCGGGGCAACAAGGCGAAGCCCCGTCTCTACAAAAAAAAAAAAAAATTAGCTGGGCATGGGTGCGTGCGCCTGTGGTACCAGCTCCTCAGGAGGCTGAGGTAGGAGGCTCATCTGAGCCCTGGAAGGTAGAAGCTGCAGTCAGCTGTGACTGCACCACTGCACTCCAGTCTGGGTGACAGAGCTAGACCCTACTTAAAAAAAAAAAAAAAATTAAAAAATAAAAATATTTAAACACAGAAAAAGTATAGTTAAAAACATGGTATAAAAGATTTAAAAATGGTATACCTGTAGAGGGCACTTACCTGAATGGGCTTGCAAGACTGGAAGTTGCTTTGGGTGAGTCAATGAATGACGAGTGAGCGAATATGAAGGCCTACAGCATTACTGTACACTACTATACACTTTAAAAACACCATATACTTAGGCTACACTAAATTTATAAGAGAAAAAGTCTGTGTTCAATAATAAATTAACTAGCTTACTGTAACTTTTTTTTTTTTTTTTGAGATGGAGTCTCACACTCTGTCACCCAGGCTGGAGTGCAGTGGCGCAATCTCAGCTCACTGCAACCTCCACTTCACGGGTTCAAGTGATTCTCCTGCCTCAGCCTCCCGAGTAGCTGGGATTATGGGCGTGTGCCACCACACCCAGCTAATTTTTGTATCTTTAGTAGAGATGGGGTTTCACCCTATTGGCCAGGCTGGTCTCGAACTCCTGACCTCAGGTGATCTGCCCACCTCGGCTTCCCAAAGTGCTGGGATTACAGGCATGAGCCATCACGCTGGGCCTACTGTAACTTTATAAGCTTTAAAATGTTAAAAACTTTTTGACTCTTGTAATAACAGTTTCAAACACACTGTACAGCTATACAAAAAATTTTTCTTTATATCCTTATTCTATAAGCTCTTATCTATTTAAATTTTTTAAATTTTTACCTTTTAAATGTTTTTGTTAACAACTAAGACACAAACACAGACATCAGCCTAGGCCCACACAGGGTCAGGATCATTACAATGTCACTAGGAGATAGGAATGTTTCAGTTCTGTTATAATCTTATGGGACTGCCATTGTATACTGGTCCATAGACTGAGAAGTCATTATGCGGTACGTGATTGTACAGCTGACCCTCGAACAAAATGGGTATGAACTGTGTGGGTCCACTTAAATCAGGTTTTTTCAATCACATGCAAATTAAAAATACAGAATTCACGGGATGCAAACAGCTCATAGTCACAGGGGCTCTGAGGCCCAGGGGCCAGGCACACTTTTCACATACTCGGGTTCCACAGGGCCTGCTGCAGGACTGAGGCATGTGCAGATTTTGATATTGGTGTGTGTGTGTTGGGGGAGGAGGGCACACGAGTAGGGAATCCTGGAACCAATCCCCTTGTGGTATGCCCCTGTGTATAATGAGGGATGTCTGAGATGTCTGCATAGTGTTCCCTTTGCTCAGAACATTTTCAATTCCACTTCTCACTCCCAGTTCTTGAACTGATTAATTCCTATTCATCTTTCACATCTCATTGTAAACATGATATCCTCAGAGAGCCCCTTCCCAAATCCTCTTGTCCAGATTAGCAGTCCCCACCTTATGCTCCTGGGGTACTTCAAATCTCTCGTATTCTACTCATTAAACTACAACCAGTATTATTTAACATATGATTTCCCCAACTGACCAATATACATTTTGAGAGGGCAGAGATGTTATCTTATTCATTACTCTACCACCAGTGCTCAGTACATTACAAGGAGCAGAAGCTCTATAAATATTTGTTGAATTAAATGAATGCAGAAAGACTGGCCATATTGGTTCATCATAATCTAGTTTTTATTCACACTGAGTACCACAATTATTGATAAGCTTACTACCTTTGTTCATTCGCATTCTAATAGGATGTTTCAAGTTTAAAGTCTAAATCCCATCTTCAGTACTACCTACTGCATACAATTTAGCTCTCCTACTAGGACAGGACCAAGCTTACCATGTTCTATATTTTTAATAAATATTCAGGTACCCAGATGAAAGCCGAACTGATAAAAATATATGTTATATTTACTGGTCTTCACCCAAAAGATGTTTCTGAATAATTCCAGTTTAAAAAGGAAAAAAAAAGTATGAAAACTATTCACCTAGCTCAGCCCATAATTTTATCAATAAGAATCCTATGGGTTGGAAAAATTTAGTGATTTATTCAGGATCAGAAAGCTATTATCGTTAATGCTAAAAGCAGAATAAGGATCCAAGTCTCCTAATTCTCAGTCTGTCTTTCCAGTATAGGGCCTTTCTGGTGCATTAACTGAAAACCATTATTCAAGGTATGCTAAGCAATAAATAATCTTGAAGTGCAACAAGTAATCATTTAATGTTATCAAATCACCTGTAGAGCTTTTTTAAAGTATGGATTTTCAGACCTCTACTGTATTAGAAGTTGGGCCTTCTTATGTTGAAAAAGTTCCATGGGTCACCCCATGGTGACAAAGATTGAGAACCACTAAGTCCATCAACCAAGCATTCATTATTTGTTAAATGTCTAGGCCTACTCTGTCCCTACCAGTATGTTCCTGCACTCAAGGCTCTTAGGACAAGATTTACTTACATAATCAATTAGAGAAGAAAATAGGACTGTGTATAATGAAGTGCTGAATTGGGTAACTGAACACAAATTAAGTGCTAATTTCAGAGAAAGTATGACAGGAGCTCAGATTTGACAGATGGCTATTTGTGGAGATAAAGAAATGGACAGACAGGTCCCTTAAGATAAATAAGGACAAAAGTTTTCAAGTCATGACCAGCAGAAGTCCTAAGGACCCTGTGAAAGTGCCTCAAAAGCTACTGTGGAAAGGAGGAGGAAAATGCTTTTCTTGCTCCAATATCCAATTTTAATCAGAACAGCTCCACTTTTGCCTTTAAAAAAGAACACCAAAGGCTTTTAAAAGTTTGAAATCCCTTATTTTACAAATGCAATTAAAAAAAAAATCCATGGTGAAGTAACTTGTCCTAAAGTTACTAAGCTAATTAGTGACAGAGAAGCCAGGTCTCTGAACCCCCCAGTACCTTTTTTCACTCTACCATACCATACACCATGGCCTTCCAATGGAGGAAAAAGTGTGAGTAAAGGTTCTCACACAACGTCCCAAACACACTGGCTTGACCAAAACACTGGGTACACATTCAGGTCATGTGTCTCAAACTGGGATTGGTGTTGCAAGGATGGTAATGGGAGAAAGGCTCAGGTAAGTCTCAGGATAAATTATAGCCATCCTCCCAAGATAGATCTTCAAATTTTAGGGAAATTTCTTTAAAAATTAAAATCTGATAATATGCTGTATTTGTGGTAGAAATGGACAATAAGGGAACTTCCTTGATGGAATTGTTGAGTCATGCTATTTAAGGAAGTAGTAAAGATAATAATGCATAGGCAAGGGTAGGGGCTAGATAACAGAATGCCCTGAAATCAAGGTAAGTTGTATTTGCTACAATGCAACACCTCCACTGTATAAAGTTTTCAGAAGAGTATTAGGAGTGTCCATTCCTCCTAAGATGCTGGCTGCACCAAAAAATGAACAACCTACAGTCAGGTGCCCCACAGAATCCATCGGCTGCTAAAGCTTCTGCTTCTCTACAGCAGCACAAGTAATAAAATTCCTGATTTTACTCCTGTGCTCATGTAAGAAAAACTATTACAGAGTTACTTTAAAAATGCTTCTGCTATCAATTTGATACTCCCCACAGCATCCCTCTAACACTGGTATTATCACCATCGTATTGTTGAAGGAAATAACCTTAGAAGACAGTGCCAAAGCCAAAATGAGATATCTAGAATTTACAACGTTCAGATTCAATACTCAGTCCACACGCACAGTGGCATGAGCATAAATTTCAACCCTAGTATTAATGTTTATCAAACATTTAATTCACTAAAAAATTTTCAATTTTCACAAGGAATCTACAACCCAATAAGACCCACCCAAACATGTCTCAAATGACATGTCAAAGTGAATTCACTGACTTACTCCCCAAATGGCTCCTTTTCCCAACATCCCTACATCTGCTTATGGTAATGCTCTTTTCTGGATAACCTAAACTCAAAACCTTGATAATCTCTTTGCATCTAATTAGCTGCTAAACTTTAAGGGCTCTGATCATGGCACTGTCCATAACAAAAAAAAATTAAAAAAAAAAAATTCAGTGACTTCCTACTGCCTAGCAAATAAAATCCAAACTCTTACACCAACACAAAGGATTCAGAGCTCTCCACAATAGAGCCCCAAAGTGCCTTAATACACAGCCTAAATAACAACTAAGCTGGAAGTCTTGCTATTACCCACACTTAATGCTTATAAAAACACAGGACCTTGAGAAAGTCACTTAATCTAAGTTTTATTTTACTCGACTATAAAATGGGTATAGTAACGCTTGCCTGAAAGGACTAACTGAGGTAATGAAAATGAGAATGTGGCTATAAATTTTAAAGTACTATAAAAATACAGACATTATCACTGTGCCATGGTTATGGTAATATTATTTATACCTGCCTTGCTCCAGAAAGGATGTAAGGTGGCCCACATAAAACAAGATAAAAAGAGTTTAAAGATGGAAGCAATACAAGAAATACAAAACAAATGCATGGACAAAAAATTGATCTACTAATCAGGCTAAGAAATGCAAACGTAATTGCCTATGCATGTGCTTCTCAGGTTAATAATCTGACCTAAATTTGACCAAATCAAACTGTAGTTTGATTTGAAAAGGAAACTAAGTCAATTAGACAATTCAGTGTCCATAAGACTAAAAACAAATAGTTTCTACTGTAAAGGCCAGGTAAGAATTTCTCCCAAACGTCCTTATTCCATGTAATGTAATTGGACAATATCCTCAACACCTTTATCACGACTTATCTATTTCATAAATTAGACTGGAAGTCTCTTGAGGTCAAGTAATTTTTAAATTATGTTTGTATCTCTAGTAGCACCTACAGTAATTAGTTAATAAACCAAATACCTCTATACACTGGTTTCTATGGATCTAATCTCTCCCTTCCTATTTCAAACCATCCTGCACACCACATTACTCCTAACACACCATTTTTATCACATCAGTCCCTATTTCAAAATCCTCCAACAGCTTTCCTGCAGATAGAACAAATGCTTCCTCATTCTTTACCTATACATCACAATGTTGAACACAATCTCCCCTTCAATGGCCTTCTCTGTATTCCCATTCCTCTAAATTCTTTTTGCCCTTTAAAGCTCGGTTTAAAAGTCTCGCCTTCTACATAAAGCCTTCTCTGACTGACAGCAATGGGGCAGGAGGAGAGACTGGGAGGTGGGAGAAAGTTAGAAGTCTTGTGTTCTTATCTGTTACTGAATAGTTAAGTGACTGTGAGCAAGTCACTAAACCATTGTGAAAATATTTCCTCATCTGTGAAGCAAAACCTTTAGCAAAGATTATATCTAAATTACCTTCCAGCTATAATATATTCTAGGATGCTCTGGCTCTTTCAAACTTGGACACACTCTGATCTATTCTCCAATCTTCATTATCTGTTACATATTTTAATATGTAATTATATACACTGTTTTTCAATTTTTCCTGCTTAAGTAAACATACCAACTCCTCCGCAGCAGTCATATTTCCTTGTTATTCCCAAAGACTACAGGCATAGGACCAGGTACATAGCAGATACCTTTTATAGACTAGGATGGTAACTACTTTAAAACATTAATTATAATATTGCTTGCTGCAGTATGAATCAGCCAAAAAAGGCTGTATTTTTCATTAAGCAGACCACTAAAATAAGTGTACTAAAACAAGAAAACACCTAAGTCACTTTTCCATATAAAAATATATTCCCTTTAAGGTATCAGTGCAACTCCATTAAGGTAATCATATGTTTAAGCACAAATGAGTCGTTTAACACACAGCATATTGTTCATTTTCCAGCCATTCCTGTTTATATCTTCTATTGCAAAGAGAAAGTTCAACAGAGGGGGGGAAACCTGCCATAATAATTATTATTATTGATTTAATTTCATATACCATTTCTATATTCCAACATAAAAAGCATAAAGTTACAAAGAATTATGAAATAAATAATGTGATAAACTGCACTTGCTATGACTTTCAATATTGAAGACTTAGTAAAGCTACTACAAACACTTAGCTTTGTGGAATGTGAACATTGGCTGTTAAAAAAAAGTTAGTATAATGTATCCTCTCCGGATAAATGTCCAGGAGTTCCAGCAGTTTAAAAGAAATCTGGGCCAGGTGTGGTAGCTCATGCCTGTAGTCCCAGCACTTGGGGAGGCCACAGTAGGACTGCTTAAGCCCAGGAGTTTTAGACTAGCCTAGGCAACATAGCAAGACCCCATCTCTTAAAAAAAATTAAAAATAAGAGAAAATAAATGAATAAAAGATAATCTGATAAATCTAGAGGTTTGCTGATTCTTCTTTTGCTCAATTACTAGTCCTGTCAGCAAATGTAGGCAACACTGAAATCTTGAGTGCTTGCTTAATTGGAAATAAATAAATAAATAAATAAAACCCAAAAACAAAAGAGCTCTATTAGTCACTGAGTATACAAAGATACCAATGCTCAAAAAATTCACACCCCATAGTAAAAACACACAGAACCCCATAACCACATGCACTGTATGCAAGGAGCATCTTCAAATCAGAACTTCTGAAACTCAAGACAATTCTCATATTCCAAATTCTAAACATACTGTAAACGGATCAAGTAAGTCAGGCAATAGCTCTACTCAGGCTATTTTTGTTTCCATTGTTATTACTGCTGAAACAGTTTATAAGAGCTCATCACCTGTTTAGAACACAGAAATACTTCGGTACAAAACAAACCAATTTATTCCTAAGAAGAATTAAAATCTACAGTTATTCAATTCTCTTTACTTATGAAATGTCAATAATGCACAAAAATGTCCAGCGAAAGATGCATAAGGAAACTGCTATTCTCTGTGAACCTTAATTATTATCCCTTTCAACCACTCAAAAGGATATTTACATCCTTTAAGCAACACAGTAAGAAGTAAGCAAAATGGTGACTCAAAGTTACCCCAAAAAAAGGAAAAGGAAAAAATTCATGCAGAAAGGGTACAGAAATTCAAAGCAGATATGTCACTGAATCAAATCAACAACTTTCAACTCTAACGCCCAAGAAATAGTAAGTACATTTGCTCAGGCATTTAGCATTTAAGGAGGGATCAGAAACAAGAACATGGATAACCAAAAGGGGGCATGTTTTGTTTGTGACTTGGTCTGTTCCCTAAACGCAAATTACCTGAATAGTTCTAAATTCAAATGCAATCACTTTCATTAGGAAAAACACATTCCTGCTTAAAATCAGGCTTCATAGCAAGTCTTTACTAATCACAAAAACTGTGTAATTAACACAATTATATAAAGGCAAATTAATGAGTCACACAACATTATTTTTAATGGTGCTTGAAAGACTAATATGCAAAGATTACAACTATGGGGTTTCAAAATTAAAAAACAAAACAAAAATAACCGATAACAACAAGGCAATCACTACTACATAATATTACAGTCTTCCAAGTACAAAGGAAACATTCATGAAAATGAGTGACCAACTTAAAAAACACAAATAAATTCAAGATGAAGCAATACAGATTCAAGAAGCAGGTCAAATATTTCAATTTTTAATAGAAAATACTTAAAGATAACATTCAAATTTCCACTTCTGTTATTTCAGAACCACCTGCCTAAGATATTCAAGGGTCTATTAAACATCTTTGGTGGCTTGAGAAGAGCAACGTAACATTTTGAGCCCTGAACTTATTGCAAAATCCACTAACCAGATGAATGGCAGATTGACAATTACTTCAAACTAGGCAGCAATGAAACATATTTTATTTACACTGCTTTATACTACCTATTGATGTAGAGAATAGTAAATTTAAAATATGGCAGAACACTACACCTGAATTCATTTGAACCTGAATAATAGCTACGGTTTGTTTTTTCCTTGTCTACTGGGATTTTTGACAATGACAAAATGAAAGGAATTACAAACTAATTTGAGGGAAGAGGTTAAAAATTGCTTTTACGGTAATGGTTTGGAAGCAGAACAGTCCTTTAGAAATCAAAAACAGTTGGTCAGCTGTCACATGAATTTTCAAGACCTTGATTCAAAAGTATCATTGTAATTAATAGGTGGGAGAGTTAAGAAAGTGACAACGGGCTGGGCATGGTGGCTCACGCCTGTAATCCAGCACTTTGGAAAGCCGAGGCGGGTGGATCCCTTGAGGTCAGGAGTTCGAGACCAGCCTGGCCAACACGGTGAAACCCCGCCTCTACAAAAAATACAAAAATTAGCCGGGCGTCATGGCGCATGCCTGTAGTCCCAGCTACTAAGGAGGCTGAGGCAGGAGAATCACTGGAACCCACGAGGCAGAGGTTGCAGTGAGCCGAGATCGCACCAACGCACTCCAGCCTGGGAGACAGAGCAAGACTCTGTCTGGAAAAAAAAAAAAAAAAAAAAGAAGACAGTGACAATGGATTTCCTAGAAATACGCAGGAAACTACTTGACAGATGCAAAAGGAGACAGGCAGGTTATAAACTCATGTGGGTTCAAAAGTAACCTAAAATACTCTATCAAAATTGGATCACAAATTCAGGTTAGAAATAAAGCAATTTTATCACATTCTCAGGGAATTTTAATCATCACCTTAAAATAAACTAATAATTAAAAATATGAGAAATGTCTTACAAGAAAATCTATTAATATGTCAAAAATTCTAAGTGCAATCACTGTTGCAATGGAACAATTTTAAAATCACTAATCAAAACAAAATGAACAAACTTGTCCAGACTAAGATAAATCCAAAAAGAATTCTGAATTTTTTTTAAAAAATCTGTTTTAAAAGCACATGCTTTCCTGTGAGTATTCTACCTTATTTTCAACATTATCATTTCCACCTTAAAGAATACACAGCCCTCATTCTCAACTCTGCTTTATTCACTGAAATGGATTCTAAGGCAAATGGTCTCTCCATTAGCCTAAGCCATGCTCTGATTAAGAAACACAGTTTCTTATAAAAGTCTGGGGGATCACAACAAACATTTATATGGGTCACTTCTATGACTATCTATCTAAAACCCAAATACTCCATTTGAGAATTTTGAGGAAATGAATTTTTACAATAGCATTAAAAGTGAACCAAAATATAAGGCCAGTTAACAACATCCATCCTTTTCTGTATTACAAAAACTGTAACAGCGAAATTTTGCTTGTAAAATCCAATGTACATTTTATCATTTTGTATAAAATATCTACGGCCTCAGTAGTGATTAAATTGCAGCTATAAAGGAAATTGACCCGAAATAAATGGTTTCCCTATGAGAAGGCTTCACTGCTACACTTCACCTCAGGACAATAAATCAAATTAACTGCACCTTGTCCTCTGTCCAATGACATCATCAGTTTGACCACATCTTGGGAATCGGGTGCAAAAACATATGCTATTTAAGGCATGAAATTATATTGCTGCTTTTTGTCCATCTGACCTCATACTTCAGGTCTCTGAAGCAGTCATTCACCTGAAGGTTCTCTTAAAAGCTACAGATTTTTTTTTTTCCTGCTGCATTCAGGGCCTGCCTACTGTGAGTGAAAGAAGAAAAATGGTGAGAACTGGTTATCTGAAATTAGCTTGCGTTTAATCCATCAAACCTAGAATTTTGTTACAAATTAAACTGAAGACCAAAGTCCCACAAAATACATAGCTAGCCACTCACCAAAATGTCTTAACATAATTTCAAAGGTTTAACACATTAGTGTTAAACCCCACTCCTCTAATACTTCCCTCGACTACGCAGCGGTAAACATCCACCAGTGACAGGCAACACTAGTCACACTCACACTCACACACACCCCTACACAAAATAAAAATGTTAAAAGAAAATTTTACCACAGGAAAGACCAAAAATCAAAATTACTGTTTCCTCTAAACAGTAAAAGTTAATCTGCCTCTCACAAGCCAACTGTCCTAAGTCTAGATAAAACATAACATCAATTCTGACAACTTAAAGAGGAGGGGCGGGTGTGCTGGGAGGAGAATAAGTTCCAAGATCAGGGTAAACGCAATGCCTATGTTTATTCTTCTCTTTTCACTCATTTAATCATGACACAAATACTCAAAGAAAACATAACCCCATTTTTTTGTTTTCAGTAGTGCTACAATTAAAATAAGCAAGTCTATGACAATGATAGCACAAAATTAACGTCAGCTCCATTTTAAATTAGAATGAAGATGTCAGAAAGGTAGCACCACACCAAGAAATTATGAAACTGTTGTTAATTGGAATTTCTAATATTTAGCTACTCCACAACTCCTAGAGGAAAAAAAAAGTGTCAGTTTTACAAATACTACAGACCTTTACAAAGCCTTAAAGTATTTAACATGGGGGTGGGGAGCAACCGGGGTACCCATCCCCAAAACAAAGTGATTTGGATTAAACCAAAATAGATTTCATAGGCTCTGAAAATAAAATACAGGACAGATTTTTCCCCCTAGGCCCAATACTACTGCAAAGTATAAGAAAGTCTTTTTAAGAGAAAACAAACCATCACAGAGTTGATACTTAGCTAGGACCTGTTTTAATGCTAGTAAAGCCCCAAGAGAGTTTGTTTTGCCCGCAGAGGAGGGGAAAGTGTGTGGAAGTTGGTGGAGGTAGTCATTTTGGTTATTAGTAAATAAATCAAGCAGCAGAGAACATGAGGCCTAGGCAACTGCTAGAGAAGCCAAGGCCCAGCTTCCCCCCTCTCTTCCCAGCACGGCCTGGGTTTGATCTCAGAGCCCTGCGGATTGCCAAGGAAAAAAAAAATCATATCGAACCACAAAAGCACATGGGGCGAATGTAAAATATAAACACGGCGTTGGGCTGTGAGTGGCTGTTATTAAAGGTCTGAATTACTAAACATGAGAGGCGGGGAAAGCCAGGCGGCCATTTCAATAATATAAACCTCCCCGAATTAGACATTATTCAAATGAGAAGAGGTTCAGCTAAGCAGAGAGTAAAGACGACCCAGCACACAGCGAGAAAACACCGCCACAGAAGAAGGGAGGGGGATCCCCGTCCCTCCCCACCGACTCCCAACAGGAGAGAGGAAATCGAGAATACGATCAACTTGTCAGGCCAGCCCATTCTGGGGCAGGAGGGCAGCCCTTTACATCCAAGTTCTCGGGAGGCCTCTGGGCGCTTCTGGGGCCTCGGAGCGAGAGGCCCCGGAGGGCCACCCGCCCCGTGCGTCCCGGTCAGGCGCAGGGGGTGGGGGGAACGGAGGGGGGGCAGCGGGGAGGGGCAAAGGGAGACGGAGGTCAGACCACGCCAGGCACCTCCAGCCCAACTCGCCCGCGAAGCCCCGGCCGACAACGCAAAGGGGCTGCCGACCGCCGGCCGGGGGCGCGCGGGCCGCCCCAGAGGACATCCCCTCGGAAGGAACTTGCCCCAAGGACTCCTTCCAATCCAGTCCACCCCCCAGGGGGGGCACGCAGACCCCTGCGCGGGTTCCCCACCCCCGCCGCCCCAGGCCACCTCGCAGCGCCCACGACCGCTCACCCCTACCCACCTAGAGAGCAGGCCTGGCTTGGGTCAGGCCACCACATTGGGGACCAGTGGGGCGAGGCCGAAGTGCCTGGGGCCGTGACCCCCGGGCTCAGCCCCGCGCGGGGCGCGGGCAGGGAGCTCTCCCCGCGCGCACCCCCGGTTGCCCTGAGGGCCGCCCCCCAAGGCGGGCAGCGCCCCCCCGCCCGGGCCCGCTCCCGGGGGAAGACGCGTGCGGGTGTCCGGCCGCCGGGGTCCGCTCCGGCCCCGCCGCCTCCCCGGCATTGTGCTCGCCGCCGCCTCCATCCCCCTTCACGCCCCCCACCCCGCGCCCGCCCGGCCCCGGCCGCCCGCCCGCGCCCTACTGCGCCCCGCCGGCCCAGCAGCTATGAATATGTAAAATGTCTTTATTGTCCTCTCCCTCTGCCCCGGCCCCGCCGCCCCGCCGCGGACCCGCTCGGGTTCGGGCACGGCGGCGAGGAGGCGGCAGCGGCGGCCGGCAGAGGAGGAGGGCCGGTGCCGACGGGCAGACGGCGAGCGGCGGCGGGGTGGGCCGGGTGCAGGAGGAGGGCAGTGGATCGCAGCCCCCTTTGCCCCTTGTCTTCCCCCTCCGCCTGGCCGCTCCGAGCCTCTTTCCCCCTCCGCTCAGCGCCCGGCGGGGGCTCAATGCTCCCCGGCCCCCCATCTCCCCGCCGTTAATTATAATAATCCTGAGTACTAATAAATTATGCTAAGTCGCGGGGGGGGGCAGCGGGAGCCGGGGTTGAGTATGAATATGAATATGTAAAATGCTGTAATGATTACCTGCTGCTGCTGCCGCCGCGGCTGAACTCTCATCTTGACTCGCTGCTCCTCCGTCCGCCATTTTGAATATTTTAACCAAAATCGCCCGGTCGATAAACCCTCCCTCGCTCTGGCTCCCCTCCCCCCTCCCGCCCTGCTTGCCTCCTCCCTCCTCTCCGCCCCCTCCCGCTCCTTCCTCTCCCCGGGCGCGCGCCAGGGGGCGCGCGAGGCCGGCTCTGTTCGCCCCGGCCCCCTCAGAAGAGCTCCACCCCCTTCCCGCGCTCTGCGCACGCGCCTTCGGGGCGCTGTGGCCCTTCGGTAGCTAAAGCAGCGCCCTCAATCAGCCAGGCACCCTGTGGCTTCATTTTTCGTCTCGGCTCTGCGCATGCGCGCCTTTCTCCTGCCGCCAGAAGTGTCGCCGGCGCATGCGCTCCCTCTAGCTCAGAACCAGATTATATAGTATCCCGGGCGCCTGTGTCTTCTTACACTTCTCCCTTTTCCTCCCGCCTTGCTTCCCTCCTGGCTTCGCTCCGGTCTCCCCCAGTGGCCTGTGGCATTGTAAAAGCACGGCAAGGAGCGCAGCGGCCAGAAACGTGGGGGCGCGTGGAAGGGCAGTGAGCGGCCCGCGTGCCCTGTGCTCCGCACTTTCTTCAGGGTTTCCGCGCAGTTGAAACATTGGCAACAATGGATAAGCCGCTCCTCGCTAGGTAATTTCCGGCCCTCTGGGCAGGTAGGGGCGGAAACGACCGCCACGGGAGCCGGGCATGAGGCACCTGCTGAGCCACACGCGGGCCTCCCGCTTTAAATTTGAATCCGAGCTAATCCCCGCCCCCGGCTCTGCTAGTGCAGGAGACCCGGCCCCGGCAAACGCGAGGGGGAGTGTCGTGTGATTGTTTTAATTAGCCCTAAATCTCTTCTGCTCTACTTGCTTCTAACGCCAGGCTGGCTTCCTCGGGAGCTAGGCGTCTTATTAAGTCGCTAATTTCCGCCCTACCCTTCCTTTCTGCCTTCACGCCCCTCTAACGCCGCTCCCCCCAATCGAAACAGACCCCATATTCTGAGGCTTCCCCCCGCGCCTTCTTCCCGCCTTGGAACACCTTTTAAAACCTAGCAGTAAGCTGATGACTAATAAAAATGTCGAAATCGTAACTTCATCGTGAATTTTATTTTGCTGTGTTTCTCAGAGTAAATATGGTATTGGGGAAAGGTTTCGCGTTGCACATATCTTTCTTGGTAACTAGACATAATGTTGCTGAGTTTTCTTTATCTTAAATGGCGAAATTCCCTGGACAAAGTCCCAGGTCTAATTATTTTACGAATTTTTAAAGCCCTATTTTTGTTTGTTTGTTTGTTTTTTAAGAATAGAAAGGTGTATTTCATGGTAAGCAAAGTTTAAAAAAAATCAGCTCTAGTTAATCTGTCTTGAGAGATATGACTGAAGTTTAAATTGGGTAGAACTGCTGGTTCTACAATTAAAAACAAAACTGATTTCCAAGTGAGTGCAATTATTTTAATGGGTAAAGTTTTAATCATCAGTCCTAGAATGCTCGTTGGACTCCTTTAACTGTGCAAGTACAGTTAAAGCTATTGTCAGTGACAGGCAACGATTTGGGGGTGGGATTGATTTGTTCGTGGTAATTAAGCCTTAGGGTGTGTGCATGACTGTTTGAACCAAATAATTAGACCGCCCTGTAATCTAATTATTTAGAGCCACGCCAACCAGCACACTTAAGGAAATGAAATATTTAACTAGTTAATCTGGAAATATGGCCTAAGTTATTTTCACCAGCATTACTGTAAGGGAAGTCTCAGAATTGACAACCTTATTGGAAATAGTTAAGTACATGCCCCTGCTCTGGGGACCACAAATTTGAAATCATCTCCATTAAGAAAAAGAGCTCAAATACCCTCATTTAATTTCCTGTCTTCTATTTAATCCTAGTTTTGCTCTTTGGTTCAAAAAGTATATTAATATGACCTTCGGAAAGTCATTGAAGCTAGTGTATGTGTTATGCATTCTTTACTGTTTCACTTCTATAAAAGGAAATTTTCATGGAAAGGATTTTTATTTAAGGAAGGATAGTTCTGTGAGAACAAAAATAGCTTAAAATAGACTGTATCAAAGTTTCATTTTCCTCCTAATGAGTTATTTATGTTTCCAGCTGTCCCCAGTGCCTAGCACAATGCCTGGGCATAGTAGGTGTTCATATTTGTTGAAGAAAAATAGTGAATATACAGTTATGTATGTTAGGATTATTTGTAAAATTAATGTCATTTATTCAATAAAAAATTGTAAACATCTGCATTCTCATGAACTTACTAGGTGCTAAAGATAGGAAAATGTGTAAGACACTACTTTAACCTCAGCAAACTCACATATATCACTTTAAAAAAGAAAAAAAAAAACCCTTACAATACCCTGGGAGGTAGAAACTCTTTATCCCAGTTATCTAGGATGGGAAGATTGAGGCATAGAGATGTCAAGTAACTTGCCCAGTGTCACACCACTATTAAGTGTTAGAGCTAAAATTCAAACACAGGCAAGGGACCGTACTCTTAACCACTACACTAAGTTATTTGCTTTGGGTCAGGCAAAATCTTGGAGGTACATGTATTAGACTGTTCGTGCATTGCTATAAAGAAATACCTGACACTTGGTAACTTACAAGAAAAGAGGTTTAATTGACTCATGGGTCTGTAGGCTATACAGGAAGCATAGCACTGGGAAGGACTATGTTTCTGGGGAAGACTCTGGAAGCTTACAGTCGTGGTGAAGGCCAAGCAGGAGCTTGTACATCACACAGGAGAACAGGAGCAAGAGAAAGGGTAGGGGGGCAGGTGCCACACACTTTTACAAGAACTCACTGTCATGAGGACAGCACCAAGGCGATGGTGCTAAACCATTCATGAGAAATCTACCCCAATGATCCAGACACCTCTGTATTAGTCTGTTCTTCCACTGCTATAAAGAAATACCTGAGATGGGGTAATTTACAAAGAGGTGTAATTAGCTCACAGTTCCACAAGCTGTGAGATACACACTTAACCAGATCTCATGAGAACTCACTGTCACCAGAACAGCAAGGGGGAAATCCACCCCCATGATCCAATCACCTCCCTCCAGGCCCCACAACCAAAATTGGGGATTATAATTTGACATGAGATTTGGTGGGGTCACAGATTAAACCATATGGGTACATATAGTTCAGTATAGGAAGGGAACAACACATTAACAAACAATGTCCTTGTATATAATGTCATAATAAAAATGTAGGCCAGGTGCAGTAGTTGCACCTAAAATCCTACCACTTTGGAAGACTGAGGCAGGAGGATTGCTTGACACCAGGAGTTCAAGACCAACCTGGGCAACACAGTCCCTGTCTCTACAAAAAGCCAAAAGTTAAGGTGGGTGTGGTGGCACACACCTATGGTCCCAGCTCCTTAGCTCCTTGGGAGGCTGAGGTGAGGGATGAGGACTGCTTGAGGGCAGGAGTTCGAGGCTGCAGTGAGCTATGATGGTGCCACTGCACTCCTACCTGGGTGACAGAGTGAGACTCTGTCTCAAAAAAATGATTTTAATAAATAAATACAAATAAAAAGGTATATGTGGATGAGAACTTAACTTCACTTAGAAACAAATAGCAACTATTATAATTGCCAAAAAGTAGAAACAATTCAAATGTTTTTCATATGAATGAATAAAACATTCATACCATGGAATACTACTCAGCAATTGAAAAGAATGAACTACTATCATATACAACAACTTCAATGAATCTCAAAGGCATTATGCTGACTGAAAGAGGCCAGTCTCAAAAGGTTATATACCATGTACTATATGGTTCCATCTGTATGACATTAATGAGATAACAAAACTATAGTGATGGAAAACAGATCAGTGTTTGCCAGGAGATAGTTACAGGGGAAGATGTGATTATAAGGGATAGGCACAAGGGAAGTTTGGAGGAGGGGGGTGGTTAATGGAGTTGTTCTGTATCCTGAGTATGGTAGTGGTAACACAAATCTGTACATATAGTAAAATACACACATGGCACAGTAGTGCAGGGGAGTGGTGGTTACTTCTGCCTAGCTGTTACCATTACTGGATGAATGTTCCTTAGTAACAGCCCTAAAGTGTCAACAGGAATGTGTTCCATCTGTCTTGCTAAAGTGCAACACACAGGCTCCCTTGCAGCTAGGTGTGGCCATGTGTGACAAAATTTTGACTATTGAATTATAAAGAGTTAATTTGGTGGGATTTCTGGGAATGCTTTTTCAAGAAGCAAGTTTTGGGAGGCCGAGGCGGGAGGATTGCTTGAGGCCAGGAGTTCAGGGCCAGCCCTGACAACATATGAGACTGTGACTCTACAGAAAATATAAAAATTAGCTGGATGTGGTGGCACATGCCTGTAGTCCCAGCTACTTGAGAGGCTTAGGTGGGAGGATCACTTGAGCCTGGAAGGTTAAGACTGCAGTGAGCCTTAATCTCACCACTGCAGTCCAACCTGGGCGACAGAGCAAGACTCTGTCTCAAAAAAATAAAACAAGCAAGTTTATTCTTCCTCCTTTTTTTGTCTTCCTGCTGCCCAGAATGCAGATGTGAAGACTGAAATACCTGCAGTGTTCTTGGGCCTTGAAGTGCCATTTTTCTCAAAAGACCACACCCTGTTAGGAGCAATTAGCAGATCAGACCTTCTCCACAGGCAGAGGGAAGCACAGGACTGGGACTGGCACAGCCTTCCTTGTACTGGAGTTAACTCTTGGTGCTACCACATGGTTTTGTTAAAGACTGGGGAATCCAGACACTGGGAGATGTATTTTAATGATTATAATTGCCTTAAGTGACTAAATAAAAAATTATTACTTTTTATAAACATCCCCAACATTTCACCTGTTCATAAAGATGAACATTCTAATCTAGCAAATTAATTTGTTTTGTGGCCTAGGGATGCATTTCGTAACTAATCTTACAGCAGAGGCTTTCAAACTATGTTCTGTGAAGTCGTCAGTGCCAGCCTTGATGAAAAACAAGCCCTCTACGTCCCCTTCAGCCAGAATGGTTCTGCTTCACCTGTATTGGAGTTCAAGATGAGATTTTGTTTAAAAACATGGTATATATATATATGTGTGTGTGTGTGTGTGGGTGTGTGTACATATATACATATCTAGAAGTATATAAAATCAAGAAAAAAAAGGATGCCATTACTCTTTAGCATTCTATTGACACTTTGGCAAGGGTAAAAAGTAAATGAAATTAAATAATTGGTACAAATATTGGGGAGTCATAGAAATTATCATTTTTATGTGTAAGTTATTGTCTATGTAGAAAATACAAGAAAATCAATTGAATCGTTAGCATAGATAAAATAGTTTATACACACACACAAATAATTTCATATATATATATATATATATATATATATATATATATATATATATAATGAAATACACTGTCTTGGAAGATTCAACCAAAGTGCATAGACTGTAAGTACATCAAGCTTAAAGGTGCATATACTATAAATACTATTAAGCAAGCTTGGCAAAAGAAACTTTTAAAAGTTTTCAAGCCAGGCATGGTGGCACATGCCTGGAAGCCCAGTTACTTGGGAGGCTGAGGAGGGAGCTTTGCTTGAGTCCAGGAGTTTGAGACTAACTTAGGCAACATGGAAAGAGACTGTCTCTTAAAAAAAAAAAAACAAAAAAAGTTTTCAAGATAAAATGATGATGATCATTGGATATGAAGCACTGGAACCCTCATCTCCTTTTTGTCCATGTCTTATAGAGTATCCTGTTTTTCCAAGGAAGATTTTGATCCTGCCTCAGATATTTCCATGGTCTTTCCCCCTTGAGCAGGTGGAGAGACCTTCTGCTAAATTAATGAATGTAAACTGGTCACATGCCTTAACATTCATAAAAGGATGTCACACTTTCTGACTGTAGCTGACTACTGTAATTTATGTTCTTACCCTTAATGTACAGCATAGAATATTTCTACTTCTCGGAAATCTTTACAATTCATTACTTATCAAAAAGCTCAATATCACTTATGGAGAACTATCTGATGGATACATAGCCATTTTCTCTTCTAATTCAGTGTCAGCAAATACTGTATATGGCACTGCTCTTGCTACTTACTATCCTTTCCACGCCCCTGGGCAACTTCTTTAATCCATAACCCTTTCTTATGCTGAGCCTAGACTCTTGCTCAAACATGATTCTACCCAACCAGTGCTTTGAGCAGCCATTGGCATCTCCTAGCATTGGCATGCAATATAAAATCCATTTGCTATTTCACCTCTAGATACTCTTAAAAGCCAAACTGTCAGAAAGCCATGCACTTGAAATACATCATTTTGTCCCCTGTAAGATTCTTTCCTAGAATCGTACTTTGGACTTATGTCATCAGCCTACATTAAAATCATAAGAAGAAAAAACTCTTAGAAGTTATCATATTTACTGTAGGAGTGTTGTTGGAGTATCTGTCCTTTTTCTGAGGATTATTTTTTAGCATCTGAAGGGCAGAGATTAAGTAACTTGCCCAAGTTTACACAGTAAGGGACAGAACTAGGAATTGAACCAAAGATTGCCTGATTGCATATCCTCTGTTCCTTTCTTCTCTGAGCCCCCAGATTTGTTCGCCGCCTTAGCTGCCAGCTTCTGCCCCAACCTGCCTTCCCCTCGCATCTAGACATTCAATCCTTCACTTCGTTTCCATGCAATGAGATGCCTATTTTTCCCCCTGCATTTATTGACTACGTTTCTGCCCTTCCTGGTTTTTCCTGCCTCTTTTTATTCTTCCTCATAAGCATTCTCTAGATAAACTCTCCCTGCATTTACTCAACAACCCATTACAGTCTGACATCTGCTCCAATGATTTTACTGAAATTACTTTATTGGAAACCACTGATGAACTCCTAACTGCCAAATCTGATGACATCTTCACTCTTCATCTTGCCCCATCTCTCGGCAATTTGACAATGTTGATCGTTCCTTCCTTCTCAAAGCCATCTCTGCTTCTGGTCTCAATGACAAATTGCTCTTCAATTTCTCCTCTGATCTCTCTAACTCTGTCTTGATTTTCCTCACTGGATCCTCTTTTTCTTCCCATTAAATATAGGTACTCTCCGAGGTTCTGCTTGTGTCCCTCTCATGTTGCAAGCCTGTTTGGTGTCATTATCTGTCCCAATTTCAACTATTAATATCCCTCTGAAGACAACCTACTCCTTCAGTCCCCATCTCTCCTCTGATTGTCAGACTGTGTTACATTTGTCTCCTTCACTAGAGTATAAACTATCAAAGACTAGACTATATCTTCTTTTTTTTTATCTTCTTATTCTTAATGTTACAGTACAGGCCTAGACAGAGTCGATGCTTAACATTTTTTCTTTTTTTTTTTTTGTTTTTGAGACGGAGTCTCACTCTTGTCGCCCAGGCTGGAGTGCAGTGGCACGATCTCGGCTCACTGCAACCTCCACCTCCCAGGTTCAAGCAATTCTCTGCCTCAGCCTCCCGAGTAGCTGGGACTAAAGGCGCCTGCCACCACACCCGGCTAATTTTTTTGTAGTTTTAGTAGAGATG
This sequence comes from Homo sapiens, assembly GCF_000001405.40. NCBI lineage: Eukaryota > Metazoa > Chordata > Mammalia > Primates > Hominidae > Homo > Homo sapiens. Next base: position 167,213,401 of record NC_000001.11, on the reverse strand, counting down.
GGGTTTCATCATGTTGGCCTGACTGGTCTTGAACTCCTGACCTCATGATCCACCCGCCTTGGCTTCCCAAAGTGCTGGGATTACAGGTGTGAGCCACCGCGCCTGGCCAACATTTTTAAAACAAATTTTCTTGCCTACTTCTCGCTGTGTTTTAATGACCATCCAATGTCTTGTAAAAAGCCTTTATTTATTCATAAACATTCATCAAGTACCTACCATATACTTGACATTACTCTAGGCAAAATATTTCCTTTGGATTTCTGGAACATCCTAGGATCAGTCACATTTAGTTCAACCTTTTTATTTTCCAAGTCTACAACTATAATTCTTTATTTTACTCATTCAGATGCACAATTCTTCACATTTTAATATCTTTGACATCAAGATGCACCTTACAAAGGTTTGATAAGAAAGCACTGTATCATAGTTTAATTGGCAGCATTTTTTTGTTTTTGAGACAAGGTCTCATTCTGTCCCCCAGGCCAAGTGCAGTGGTGTGATCATGGCTCACTGCAGCCTCGACCTGCCGGGTTCAAGTGATCCTCCCACCTCAGCTTCCCAAATAGCTGGGACTACAGGGGTGTGCACTACCACACCCAGTTAATTTTTTATTTTTTGTAAACTCAGGGTCTTGCTATGTTGCCTAGGCTGCTCTCAGACTCTTAGACTCAAGCAATCCTCCTGCCTCGGCTTCCCAAAGTGTTGGGGTTTCAGGCGTGAGCCACCACGCTGGGCCTTGGCAGCATTTTCTAATGGTACATAAAATAATGGTGCATCTTACAATGACATTTTAAACTCTATGAAATGTAATGATTTTATACTGATAATTAAGGGTTATAAAGTTCATTCTATTATGTTTTGTTATCTGAGAAATGTTTAGTAATTCTGAGTGTGCTGGACTTTGTAAGGTAAGAAAAAAATATTTTTAAAGGATTTTCAATAATAAGGGTTAAAACTAAAGGAAAAGGACTTACAATGGCACAATAGTTTCACAAATCTAAACATTTCCTCTGCTCCAAATATTCAGCAAGACAGATGAAATAGAAAAAGAGAAAACCAAAAAGAAACAGACTCAAAAGCAATAATCATTTCCACAAACCAGGAAGAGCACATAAATGCAGACCAGGAGTAGGTTAGCTGCCTTGAGGCAGGCAGTGGTACTTGGAATTTTAGCACCACAAAGAGGTGCTAAAATGGGCTTGGAACTAGGCTCTGGGCTTGGAAGCATCCTGCCCTCTACACACAGGTACACACACTCTTTTTTTTTTTATTTTGGTAATTGGTAGATATTTTAATATCTACATATTACATAAATCAAAATTCAAAACTCAAACTATAGCATTTTATGATACAGAGAAATCTCATGTTTACTCCAGTCTCACTTTCCCTCTTCTTTAGGAAATCATTTTTATTGGTTTGTTGTGTATTCTTCCAATGGCTCTTCTCGCAACTATATATATTCTTATTTCTCTTCCTTTTTTTTTTTTTTGAGACAGGATCTCTCTATGATGTTGCCCAAGCTGGAGTGCAGTGGCTATTCACATTCACAGGCGCAATCATAGCTCACTGCAGCCCAAACTCCTGGGCTCAAGTGATTCTCCTACCTCAGCCTCCCAAGTAGCTGGGACCACAGGCATGTGGTGTCTCTCGCTTTCTTAAAAGGATAGCATACCCTTTTACACAAAAGATAGCACACCATATGCACTGTTCTATACCTTGCTTTTGTCGCTTAACTGTATGTACAGAAGATTGTTCCATATCAGGACATGGAGATTTTACTTTCTTTTTTATAGCTCTGTGTAGTTCATTGTGTGCGTGAACCGTGGTTTACTCGAGTCCTCTCTTGCTGTACACATGCTATTTACAGATAAATGTTCTCTGTTACTCTCAATATCACAATGAACAGCCTTGTACCTATGTCATTTCACACTCCCACACAGTTTTGTAAATGGAGGCTGAGTAAAATTGTGGCCTAACTTCTGCCTGGGGCTACAGCTTTATAGGATGTTGAAGATTTAGCCAAGTAGGAAGACAAAGACACAGTCTTACAACCAGGAAGTCAGTAAAACCACCCGCTGGATCATTCTCCTAAGATCTAGTTATAGATTAGAAGCTTGAGAAGTAGGGTGGAAGTAAATGTAAAACTAGTAAACAGGCCGGGTGCAGTGGCTCACACCTGAAATTCCAGCACTTTGGGAGGCCGAGGCGGGCGGACCACCTGATATCAGGAGCGCCAGGAGTGGTCAGGAGACCAGCGTGGCTGACATGGCGAAACCCCATTTCTACTAAAAATACAAAAAGTAGCTGGGCATGGTGGCATGCACCTGTAATTCCAGCTACTTGGGAGGCCGAGGCAGGAGAATTGCTTGAACCCAGGAGGCGGAGGTTGCACTGAGCTGAGATTGCACCACGGCACTCTAGCCTGGGCGGCAAAGCGAGACTCCATCTCAAAAAAAAAAACCAAAAAACAAAACAAAACTAGTAAACAACAAATAAGAGAAAGAGGCTTCAAAACAAATATATACATTGGATGGATATAAATATATATTTCAAAAACGAAATACATGTGTTTATATATTAATATGTTATATTTAATTTAAATATTAAATAAATGGGGAATTACATTTGTATTTAATTTATGTTTAAGTTATGTTTAACTTATATTAAGACAATTTATCCTTTATGGAGGCACATGCCACCATACCCAGACAATTATTTTATTTTGTAGAGATGAAGTCTCACTATGTTGCCCAGGCTGGTCTCAATCTCCTGGACTCCAGCAGTCCTCCTGCCTCAGCCTCTCGAAGTGCTGGGAGTACAAGCATGAGCCACCACACCCAGTAATTTATCCAATTTGGCACCTAATCCATCAGGGCATCTGCCAGCTGTGCCCAAGGCCAGAGCATATCCGCTGAATTTCTGCCCACTTCATGAAATTTTCTAGGGGACATAGGGGTACAAGGAGCTTTAATAATCCTCTGACAAAGTTGAATGAACAAAAGAGCAAGAGAGAACAATCTGCCCCATTCTGGCAAATTGAGGACTGCAGTGCTTTGTGAGAGGCATCAGAAGCACCAATCAAAAGCACTAGCAGTGCTTGGAAAGGGAAGCTTAAGTAGACGAAGGAGTGTAAAATGAGGATGCCATGGGTAACTGATCACACCTATTGAGGAGGGAATAGAGTTATGATAATGGTTATGTGTGGGTACTGGCATCAGCCACACCCAGGATTGATCCCAGGCTTGCCTCTCACTGACTGTTTAACCTCACACGAAGATCTTGAAAGCCCCTGTACACTAGGGTCCTCCCCTGTAAGATGGGGATTGCAGTGCTTTCTTAGTGCTCCCTGTATTGTGTGTACTGATAGGATTTTGTGAGATACTTCTGAGATCTCACCAGAAATACCCACAGAAACCAGTCCTACATGTAGGCAGGGCAAGAGCCAGACACAAAAGCCACACAAGTCAGCATCTTGAGCAAAAGAAATAATAGGGAGAATGCAAACTGAGGTTTATTGAGCTATTATTCTTTTATTTCACTTTAGTTCCACAAATATCATTATTCAGAGATAAAAACCCTAAGTCCTTCCTGCAAGACAATCTGAGTCTACTGAGCATTCACCAGTGTGGGTAAAGTGCACATTGTGAAGTACGTGTAGATCAGGGGAGCTCAGAGCAGATGCATCTAACTCCTAACTCAGACAGGAATCAGTGGCCAGGAGTTGTTCAGAGCCGGGAGGATGAAGGCAAAGGAGGAGCCTTGGACAGCCACTAGCTTTTTGGGTGGGTGACTGGGGATCCCTTAGAAAGACAAGACATACAAGAGGGAGGTCATGGTTGGAGGTGAGGACCTGAAGACTGTTTGAGTGTAGGACCACTGCTTTCAAATAGAGGGGATGTAGGGTACAGGAAAGGGCTAAATGTGCATGACTGAAGCCAGCCCAATTGTCCCTAGAACTGATGTTTATGGTTTCTTTTGAATAAACATAGAAATTCATCCTCCCAGTCTTGAAACTTGGGAAAGTTACATATATATAAACTTCCACTGAAGCACTAAACATTTATTTTATCTGAGTTCCTTTCTCAGAAAACCAAACATCAGCCCTCCCAGATAGTATCAAGGAACTGAAACTTACCAGATCACTGCATCTGGACAGTGAAACACCAGACCCCTCACCTGTCATGAGTGCCTAGCCAGCCACCTGCTTCCTGTTGACCAACTCCTCTTCCTTACCCCTCACTAATTCTTGTTTTCCCATACGTGGTTATAGTTCTTCCCTGCTATATAAACTTCTAATTTTAGTTAGTCAGGGAGATAGATTTGAGACCAATCACCCATTGCCTTGGCTGCAGCACCTAATTAAAGACTTCTTCCCTAGTCATACTCATTGTCTCAGTGATTGGCTTTCTGTGTGGCAAGCAGAAGGACCTAGAGTGAACCCCTGGCATTTCAGTAACATTACCTCAGTTAAATCTTATGCCATTCTTGGGAAGTGCTATGGTTAGGATATGGTTTGTTTGTCTTCACCAAATCTCATGTTGAAATTTGATTCCCCCGTGTGTCTGTGTTGAGAAGTAGGGTGTGGTGGGAGGTGTTTGGGTCATGGGGACAGGTCCTTCCTGAATATCTTGGTGCTGTCCTTGTGGCAGTGAGTGATTTCTTGCTCTGGTGAGACTGGTTTAGTTCTCACAGGAATGGATTAGTTCCCCCAAGAGTAGGTTTCTATAAATCCAGGATGCCCCTCTGGTCTGGTCCCTCTTCATGCTTGCTTCCCCTTTGACCTTCTCCTCCATGTTTCAATGCAGCACAAAAGCTCCACCAGAGGACAGTCTGGAGCCAAAAAAAAAAAAAAAAACCACGAGCTAAATAAACCTTTTTCCTTTATAAATTACCCAGCCCCGGGTATTCTGTTATAGCAATGCAAAACAGATTAAGACAGGAAGGAAGCATTATTTCCAATGCATAATGGTCAGAAGGGCTGAGGTTCAGAGAAATTTAGTAACTTACCCGAAGTTGCTCAGGCACTGAAATTTGAATGTGGAACCACCTTACATCAGCTTTTCTCACTAAGGAAAGCTGCTCTGACTCAAGAGAAAGAAAACCTAGTGTTTCTCATTGCCAGATAGTTCTGATTGCTACTTACTTTCTCATCTATTTCATATTATGATAATGTTTTCCTGGAATTGGATGATATAATACTAGAAATTGGAGATGTTTATTCACTACAAAGATTATATATGCAGGCTTCCTGTCATAATCAAGGGAAGTTGCTCACATCATTTACGATTTCCAGTCTTCTCTGTATATGATAATGCTTATTTTAGGAAATCTGTTTTTACTAAGCCTGCTGATCTTCAAAAGGAAAACAGGCAGAGGCGAGGACTGTGATATACTCTTTTGATATTTATCGAGTCTAGAGTCCACCTTAAATTAGTTTGCTGGGAAGCATTACATGTGATGAATGGTATAGTATTTAAATGATGCTGTGGATGTTTTTCCCTAATAATAAAGAAAATTACTCTAACACAACTATTTTGTTTCATTTCTTCATACAAAATTCATGTTTGAATTCCATCTTGGCCCTAAAATTTTAAATTTCCATAACAAGTTTTATACATTATTAAATTTTATACACCACTGCATTATGCTTTTGAAACTGATTGTACAATCTAATTAATTCAGAATATTAACTACAATTTCCATAAAATGAATAAGATAATGTTGATCTGGGTGAGATAGAGGGCTACAATAATCTTTTCCCCTCTCCCCAGCATCCCAATTGTGTACATATATTAAAAACCACTTCTCTGAAAGTCCCCAGTCCAATAACTGCAATGTGGAGGAACACAGCCAAGACCAAAAGTAAATTTAAAATACTTCCAAATAGACAAAATAACTGCTTTAAAAACTCGCACTTCATTCCTAGGCAAACCCTTCCAACCCTTTGTCAGAAGTTAGAACTCCATCTTTTTTAAGCCAGGATTTTCACATGAGTCATGCAATTTCTATATCCAAAGCAGATTAAAGATGAAATTAAAAGGTTAATGAGGGTAAAGTGGATGCCTAGAAACTGTCTCCCTGAGAAAAGCAAGTGTCTCTTGACAGTCTAATAACAATGGAGAGAGCAAACCTACCAAAAGTGGATACAAGAGTTCAGAGAGCATGGCAGGCTAGGGACTATTTATCTTAAGAGAAAATAGCCCTAGGTATGTCATCAGATCCTCAGGGCCTTGCCATACTAGAATACAAAAAGTCATCAGTGCTCACAATGACTTGGAATCATTAAATTCATTTTCCCCTCTGAGAAGCAAGCAAAGTGTACAGTATACTTTGGCAGACTTTCCATTAAAAACATTAAAATGTTTTAAATCTTAAAGAGCTGTTTCAATTATTTGGAAAATTGACTTACTGGAATATCACATTTCCTCATAATGTGAAATAAGTGAGGTGTCATTATGTATTATAATTTAATCCTCTTTCTTCTGTTAAAAAATAATCCATATAAACCACATTGTATCAGATATTCCAGATGTCTCAAGACCTCACTAGCCTCTGAATACAAATGGGTTCAAATTTTCTTCAATAGTCCAAAAGTTCCTATTCCCAGCACCTATCCTCATCATTGCAGGACATAAGCACACCTCATTCAAAGCTGTCCTTTCATGTTTCACTCTGCACAGAGTCACCTGCCATTCTTCTCAGCCAGAAGAAGGCTGCCTCCTAGGGCTGTCACAGCCACAAACCCCTGGGCATACCAAACAGTTTCTGGGCCCCTGGTGATCTTCTTGTACTGAGTATTCAGCTGAGCTGGGGAGAGAGCATTTCACTCTGTCACTGTGTTGAAATCTGTCTCCTGGCCCAGAGACATCACTGCTTGTGCCTCAAGTCCCACCAACAACCTTAAGGAAACTACTCTTTCAACTTTGAATTGTCCCTTCCTTCCCTTGAGGTCAGTTGGAGAACAGACACCATTCTTAACTGTTTGCTCTCTCTTTTCCAGGTACCCACCTCACACACCTTCTCAACTGCTCCTCCCCAACATGCATGACAATGAACAGATTCCTCGAGCTGCTAGCTGGTCAACAGACACACTCAACTAGAATCTGGGTCTGGCATTCGGCTAGAGCATCAAGACCCATAATGTGTATTTTGACATACTTAAGGTTTTGTTGTTGTTGTTGTTTTTTGTTTTTGTTTTTTTTTGAGACAGGTTCTCACTCTGTCACTCACGCTGGAGTGCAGTGGCACAATCTTGGCTCACTGCAACCTCTGCCTCCTGGGTTCAAGCAATTCTCCTGCCTCAGCCACCTGAGTAGCTCGGATTACAGGTGGATACCACCACGCCCGGCTAATTTTTGTGTTTTTTGGTAGAGACGGGATTTCACCGTGTTGGCCAGGGTGGTCTTGAACTCACACACACACACACACACACACAAACACATATACATGCAGGGTCTTTTAAAATTCACGAAATGTATGTATTATGAAAAAACTATGCATGGATTTCAAAAAATGTTTGTACCAAAATAAACTCATACTAACTTGTTATAACATGTCTAAATGGGATAAGTTTGAGGCACTAGAAAGATAAGACATCAGTATGAAATTAGCCCCTATCAGAGCAACATATTCTGCTAAAATTGAAGCAAGAACAAACATCAAATTTATGGTGAAGCTTGGGTGGAAGAATGGTGAAATCACTGATGCTTTATGAAAAGTTTAGGGGGGACATGCCTGAAAGAAACCAGTAGTTTACAAATGGGTAACTCATTTTAGTAAGGGGTGAGAGCATGTTGAAAATGAATGCAGTGGCAGATCATCTACATCAGTTTGTCAGGAAAATATTCATTTTGTTTGTTCTCTAACTGAACAGGACCAATGACTCACAGCACAAACAATATCCAACACCACAGACATCTCAACTGGTTCAGCTTACACAATTCTGACTGAAAAATTAAAAGTTGATTGGGAGGCCAAGGCAGGCGGATCACCTGAGGTCGGGAGTTTGAGACCAGCCTGACCAACATGGTGAAACCCTGTCTCTACTAAAAATACAAAATCAGCCAGGCATGGTGGCACGTGCCTGTAATCCCAGCTAGTCAGAAGGCTGAGGCAGGAGAATCGCTTGAACCTGAGAGACAATGTTGCGGTCAGCTGAGATCGTGCCACTGCACTCCAGCCTGGGCAACAAGAGTGAAAAACTGTCTCAATAAAAAAAAAAAAAAATTAAAGTTGAACAAACTTTCTACTGAATGGGTGCCAGAACCATTGCACCCAACTTGGCTGCAGACAAGAGCAGAGCTTTCAATGGAAATTTTATTATTTTATTTTATTTCTTTTCAGGTCTAGGCCTACAAATCAATGGAATTTTAAACAAGTGGGATTAAGATCCTGAAGTATTTCTTTGAAGAATTATAACAGGAAATGAAACATGGCTTTACCAGTACTATCCTGAAGACAAAGCACAATCAAAGCAATGGCTACCAAGAGCTACCAAGAGGTTGAAGTGGTTCACTCAAAGCAAAAGCAGAGGCCAGGCGTGGTGGATCACACCTGTAATCCCAGCACTTTGGGAGGCTGAGGCAGGGGGATCACTTGATGTCAGGAGTTTGAGACCATCCTGGCCAATACGGTGAAACCCCATCTCTACTAAAAATACAAAAATTAGCTGGGCATGGTGGCCCAAGCCTGTAGTCCCAGCTACTCAGGAGGGTGAGGCAGGAGAATCGCTTGAGCCTGGGAGGCTGAGGTTGCAGTGAGCTGAGATTGCACCACTGCACTCCAGCCTGGGCAACAGGGCAAGACTCCATCTTGAAAAAAAAGAACAAAGCAAAGGCAGACCAGTCAAGAGCAAAGGTCATGGCCATAGCTTTTTGGGATGCTCAAGGCATTTTGCTTGTTGACTTCCTGGATGACCACAGAACAATAACATCTGCTTATTATGGCAGTGTTTGGAGAAAGTTATCCAAAGCTTTAGCAGAAAAACACCCAGGAAAGCTTCTCCAGGGAGTCCTTCTCCACCACAACCAATGCTCCTGCTCATTTCTCTCATCAAACAAGGGCAATTTTGCAAGAGGTTCAATGGGAAATCATTAGGCATCCACCATACCATCCTGATGTGGCTGCTTCTGACTTATTTTTGTTTCTTAATCTTAAAAAAATCTTCAAGCCCGGTGCAGTGGCTCACGCCTGTAATCCCAGCACTTTGGGAGGCCGAGGTGGGCGGATCACCTAAGGTCAGGAGTTCGAGACCAGCCTGACCAATATGATGAAACCCCATTTCTACTAAAAATACAAAAATTAGGTGGGCATGGTGGCATGCACCTGTAATCCCAGCTACTTGGGAGGGTGAGGCAGGAGAATCGGTTGAACCTGGGAGGCAGAGTTTGCAGTGAGCCAAAATCGCACCATTGCATTCCAGCCTGCGCAACAAGAATGAAACTCCGTCTCAAAAAAAAAAAAAGTCTTTAAAGGGCATCCATTTTTCTTCATTAAATTATATTTTAAAAGACTGCTTTGATGGTTAAATTCCCAGGACGTGCAGTTCTTTATGGATTGACTAAATGGCAGGTATCATCATTTAAAAAAAGTGTCTTGAACTTGATGGAGCTTATGTTGAGAAGTAAAGCTTATATTTATATTTTTATCTTTTTCTTTTAATTCTATTATTCCATGAGCTTTTTGAAGTCCTCTTGTGTGTGTGTGTGTGTGTGTGTGTGTATACGTGGGTGTATATGTATGTATGTGCATATATGTGTATAAGTGTGTGTGTGTGCGTGTGTGAGAGACACACTTCTAAATTTATTTTTAGGCAAGGCGCTGTGGCTCATGCCTGTAATCCCAGCACTTTGGGAGGCTGAGGCAGGTGGATCACCTGAGGTCAGGAGTTCAAGACCAGCCTGGCCAACATGATAAAACCCTGTCTTTACTAAAAATACAAAAATTGGCTCAGCATGATGATGTGCGCCTGTAAGCCCAGCTACTCGGGAGGCTGAGACAGGAGAATCACTTGAACCCAGGAGGTAGAGGTTGCAGTGACAGTGAGCCGAGATCGTACCACTGCATTCAAGCCTGGGTGTCAGAGCAAGACTCTGTCTCAAAAATAAAAAATTTATTTATTTATTTATTTATTTATTTTTAAACTAATTCCCATACTGAATTCAGTTAGGGTCATTTTAAATGTGATTCTTTTATGATTTTCAAGTATATAATCATGTTATTTTCCTACAACAGTAATTTAGAAGAGACAACATTTAAAGGAAAAACTATATTCTTTCTCAAAGGTGATAAAAACTTTGTGGCTTTGAGGGCTGCGTGCTCCCCATCTTGCATTTTGATCTAAGTTCATAAAAAGATTAGAAAAAAAACTCCACTTTGCTACTTCCATAACGGGTCTAGATATTCATATTTATTGGCTACAAAGCAGCGTCAATTTTCTTCTGAATTTATACCATTTTTATGATGAGAGAAAATATGAAGACATTTTTATTTAGAAAAAAATGAGAGGGTGGGAGGCTATAAACTTTTTATTTTATGTTTTTACATTGGCTTTTATATAAAAAGATTGCTCACCACTGGTTTAGTATTCAGAGATTATATCCATTTGCATTTTTAAAAACACATCTGCTCAAGAAAATGCTTAAGAATATCTTCCCTTAATGTTTAAGAACCCCCACATATTGAAAAGATGCTTCTGGGCCTTAGGATTTCCTATCAGTTGCTACAGTCACAACAGACCATTGCTCTTGGAGAAGGTAAAAAATTTTGCTACAAAAATGGCTACCCCAAAAGCAAGATTTCTCAATCTAGCTGCCCCCTAGCAGATTTTTAACTAACTAATATTAGCGATTTTTACCTCCTTTATATAGTTGTGCCCTCAAATTTTTCTTAATTAAATGGCTTTGCATTCCAAAGATTTTAAAAAGTATGTACTGATAATAAACTTGACAGAGGGGAGGTGGATGGATGAGGAATAGGGATGGGGGCAGATTAAAGCTGCCAAGGTTATAGTTTCAAAAGAAGTTCTAATCTTTGAGGTGGAAACAGCAGAAGTATCCAGACTGAGCATTGAAAGTCTTCTAATTGAGATACTCAGAACCCTGACACAGAACACTCTGAAAAGTGTCACATATACATTCCCAGAGGGATTTGCATAAATCTCATCTACATGATCAAGCACGTGCACGCATAATATGACAATGTCTGATCTTAGCACAAAGATTGAAGTATGTTATTTTAAGTCATAGCATTGTTCCCTTACTGAATGTCATCCACACAGCATTAGCAGCTTTTGAGTTATTGCTCCCTTCAAATTTTCTAATTGTTTTAGATAAAAGTCGCAACAACTCATTTGGTAAAGGAGGCAAATCTTTTTTTTTTTTTTTTTTTTGAGACGGAGTTTCGCTCTTGTTACCCAGGCTGGAGTGCAATGGTATGATCTTGGCTCACTGTAACCTCCACCTCCCGGGTTCAAGCGATTCTTCTGTCTCAGCCTCCTGAGTAGCTGGGATTACAGGCGACTGCACTACTCCCGGCTGATTTTTGGTATTTTTAGTAGAGACGGGGTTTCACCATGTTGGCCAGGCTGGTCTCAAACTACTGACCTCAGGTGATCTGCTCACCTCGGCCTCCCAAACTGCTGGGATTACAGGCATGAGCCACCACTGTGCCCGGCCCCCATTTTTTTTAGATGGAGTTTTACTCTTGTTGCCCAGGCTGGAGTGCAATGACCTGGTCTCAGCTCAGGGAAACCTCTGCCTCCAGGGTTCAAGCGATTCTCTTGTCCCAGTCTCCCAACTCGCTGAGATTACAGGCGCCGGCCACCACACCCAGCTAATTTTTGCATTTTTAGTAGAGGCAGGGTTTCACCATGTTGGTCAGCCTAATCTCTAACTCCTGACCTCAGGCAATCCGCCCGCCTCGGCCTCCAAAAGTGCTGGGATTACAGGCGTGAGCTACCGCTCCCGAGCCGAGACAGGGTCTCACTCTGTAACCCAGTCTGGAGTGCAGTGGAGGGATCACGACTCACTGCAACTTCCTCTGCCTTCCCAGCTCAGTGGATCCTCCCACTTCAGTCTCCCGAGTAGCTGGGACTACAGGCTCATGCCACCACGTCAAGTTAATTTTTAGAATTCTTTTGTAGAGACAGGGTCTCACCATGTTGCCCAGGCTGGTTTCAAACTCCAGGACTTAAGCGATCCACCCTCCCCTGTCTCCCAAAGTGCTGGAACTATAGGCATGAGCAACAGCACCCGGCCCTGGCGGCAAATCTCACAGAGAGGACTTGGGCTCCAGCTCTTACCTTTGTTTTGAAAGAAGATAGTGATTTAAGTTAAGTGCAGGTCCTTATTTCTTGCACTAAAGAAATATTGTTTCTGACTGAAAGTGTTTTCTGTCTCTTAAGGTTAAATAGAAAGTGAGTCAAAATTCCTAGAGTACTCACCATAAACCAGTTTTTCAGTATCAGGAACTCACATTTATAGAGTACAGCTTATGAATCATGGTTTTTGCTTCTTATTTTACACATTTCTTTTTTTTTTTTTTTTTTTTTGAGACAGTCTCACTCTGTCGCCCAGGCTGGAGTGCAGTAGTGCGGTCTTGGCTCACTGCAACTTCTGCTTCCCAGGTTCAAGCAATTCTCTGCTTCAGCCTCCTGAGTAGCTGGGATTACAGGCACCCACCACCACACCTGGCTAATTTTTTTTTTTTTTTTTTTGTATTTTTAGTAGAGACGGGGTTTCACCATCTTGGCCAGGCTGGTCTTGAACTCCTGACTTCGTGATCCACTCACCTTGGCCTCCCAAAGTGCTGGGATTACAGGCAAGAGCCACTGCACCCAGCCTACATTTCAATTTTTTTAACAACCCCAAGAGGAGGTTGGTTATACTGTCCACTTCATGGGCGACGAAACAGGCTCAGAGAGGTTGAGTGACAGGCCAACATTCACACATTAAAAGGTGAGGCCAGGCTTCAAATTCAAGGCAGTATGTCTCCCTGACAGTTTCCTAGGCAGTCCAAGATAGTCCTTTTCAGTACTGTGAAATTGCTTTCATAGTGCATGCTCACCTAAGAAAAGGCTGGGAGCCAAATCTCTTCACACATGCTGTTAGAATAACAATTATAGGTGGCAAAATAGCAAGATACAAGTCACCATCAGCACTTCATATAGTCTAAACATAATATAATACCAGCTGCTCAGGAGGCTGAGACAGGAGAATTGTCTGAACCCAGGAGGGGAGTGCAGCCTGGTAGACAGAGCAAGACTCCGTCTCAAAAATAAAAAATAAATAAATAAATAAACATAATCTGCACAAATTTTCTGTAACAATAGCTAATGTAATAGTAGTAACAATAACATCTTAAATTTGTATGACATAGAACAATTGGCAAAGTGCTTTCACATGTTATCTCCATATATTGTAGATTATTTTGACCTGGACTCATATGTGAATTTCAACTTGAGTGCCAACTCCAATGACTGGTAGTGGCTGCCTGGAATTCTGTACTGAAGAGGGTTTTGAAGATCATTCTAAGATCAGTAAGAATCAGGGCCATGAATGATTAGTCACGTCTGCCATGTCAGAGGAGTTAGGACTGATGGTACATCTGTCAAATATTTGCTGTCTCTTATCTCTTCTAGTCCATTCTTTATACAAGTGAGTAAATGACTTGTGTATGGTCACATAATAAATGGCTAAGCTGAGCCCCAAACTCAGGTTTCCTTTAATCTATTGTCGTTCCTATTAAACCATGTTATATATGGAGACATGTTAATACTCTGAAGTTTAGTATTCAAATGGATTGGAATTGACTATAAAGTTTTGAGCTCGATAATGTTTAATCTGAAACAAAATGAGATGTTTTCTATAGTAAAATGCAAATAAAGTTTACATTTTATTTGAATAGTCATGTAGGAATGGCTCAGCCATGCAGGCATTATGGAATGTATATGTTACACAGATAGGGCTAAAGATATGCTGGGCTATCTTCACCTGTGTGCTAACTGATAATAATATCTGGAAGGTCTAAGAAGCTCAAAACTCTATTTCAAAGGCCAAGAACTTTTTGAATAGTGCCAGCGTGGCATCAATATGACATGAGATATCACACCAAGGCTTCAGGCTGATACAGCAATGATTGTGACTAATCTTGTAGTTAATTTAGAGTCCACAGTCTAAGATAGAAGCACATCAGCTTCTTGAAGAATTTTCCTAGTGCAGAGTCTATGCAACTTAGTATAAAATGGTAAGAGAAAATTAGTAACTATGCAAATGCAAGCAGTGACATATAGATGCTTTTGGGAATGATAGTAAAATCCACCAGATTGTTAAGGCTTATTCAGAGTAAAAACCATTGCAAAGAATTTTACAGACTATAAAATCTTTGCAGTGAGACTTATAAAGAATAGCTATGCAGCGGAGAGACTGTACTGTCCCCAGTGTAGGTCACGGGTTCAGATACTATGGTCACACTCTCCTTGGTCAGCAGTGTTATCTTTGAATACAAAAGACAAGAAGGTACATATTATGTAGTCAGCTGTGACCATCAAAGGCCAAACAGCTTTTTCTTCCAGCTGGAGCCATCTGCCTGACTACACAATACCCAGGACCCAGGGCAGTCTGGTGGCAGGATACCCCACCCCACTACTTAGCCCGAGTCACCTCTGAGAGAGCAGACAGGGATTTCTTACAGCTTTACACACTGCCTTTGTTGGTTGTTTCCAAGGTGACAAAGTGTTCTACCCTTTGCTGTAAATAAAGACAGGAGCAGAGGGATCTAACCCTTTCCTCCTCCTCTATCAGCCTCTGTCACGTTCAGTTGCATGCTTCTTGTAAGGCTGTATACAGTGAAAGCCCCGTTTCCCAGATTCACACCTGCCTTGGGTTTTTTTGTTTGTTTTATGTGCATGTGGAACTTTGCTGTCGGTCACAGAGCCTTGTGGCTGGCATTCAAGGCCCTCTGGTTTTTACTCCTACCTCACTCCAAAATGTTTTCTCATCAGGAGAGGAATAAATTCAAATACTGTTGAAGATTGTATTATGTATTTCCAATTAGTCACTGAATCTCTCTGTGATTATGTTTTCCCAGGCCACTGACATCAGGTTTGGCATATAACATGCTTTGGCCAGATGTGCTGTCAGTGGAAGTAACATGTGCCATGTCTGACAAAGGTTTTAAGAGTCATTCTCACAGTTCTGCCATTATTCTTTCCCCTTTGGTCATGAGAATGGTCCATCCTAGGCAGGGGCTGCCCCTGCGGCCTGGATGCCAGAGTGGAGAAGACATACAGAGCACAGGCACAGCCAACTGCAGCTGATACATAAGAGGTAGAAATAGAACTTTGTAGTGAGTAGGAAGCAACTGAAATTTTAGGAGTGTTTGTCACGACAGCGTAACCTAGCAAAAGCTGACCAATAAATACTTGTAAGCATGGGACAGGGGAGGTACAAGAGTGAAGGGGCCAGCTGGGGACCACATCAGCATGGAACACTCACTGTCATCTAAAGGGTATAGTAGTGACTCAGCTTCAAGTGATTATTGCCTCCTCCTGGGCACGTAGGCCCATTGCTACCAACATCCTCATTTTTAAGATATTATCAGGGATCCAGATTTTCATGTGAATGCTACCAGTGTTTTAATGTTCACACTAAGTTCAGGCCAAATAATACATGTTATACCGCCCAAAAGTGGGCATTAGGCTCTAGTTTCTAACCTCTGTTCTATGCTAACCTACCACTCTCACAAAACCAGTGTATTCATTGTTCTCCAACACTACTTATATTTCCTCCTTCCTGCTGTTACCCATACTGTACCCTCCCATCCTCCCACTTTTCTCCATAAGTCTCCTAAATTCAAGGCCTTTGTCAAGTTCTCCTTCCCCTCTTTCTCCAACCAGGATCCCCATCCATGAACTTACAGTCTGTATTGTATTTTGCATCTTGCCTGCACCTCTGATGTCATTTATTTTCTTATGCACATACTTCATTCTTTGAGAGTCTACATGCCCAGTGAAATAGGAACCATAACTTATACATTTTGGCATCCTATTGCCTCATAGACATAAAAGACACAAAATTAATGTTGTTTAATACTGATAGCTTGTTGGTTCAGATGAACACCCACGGTCAATTATCTGCTTCTGAGGTTTTTGAAAACAAAGGGTGAAATCCAGAAGGAGCCAGATTCTAAACCTTTACATGCCTATTTTTGTCGTACTAAAGCGTACAGCTGGTTAAAAAACAACACAAAGCAAAACAAAACAAACTTAGGTTTGAATGCTGCACACACAAATCTTGATAATATCTGGGCTTCTTGTTGAGTTCTGTCTGCTGTGATATACTCAATTAGGGAAATAATGTCAGGGTTAATCCAATTCACCTGGGATTAAATTTTGTATTAGCCAAACTTGTAAGACCCCTCGTATAATTTGTTTTATGCCTCAGCCACCAAAAGGAGTGACAGCATTCAGCTGAGTTTTTAAAGAAGGACATTTAATTTTCCAAGCTGTTGAGACATCCTTTCAAGCCCTTTCTGGGGGGCTCTGTGGTGCACCATAACATTGTAATATTTTTGGTGAGCCTCAGTATATGTTTGTGGAATGAACAAATAAATCAATGAAATGCTCTAATGCTGCAGTTGTTATTTCTCCAGCTTAGAAAGATTAAATTCTCACCACCATCCCCTGTCCTCTCATCATCCACATTGGTTTAACTCCTATAATTTTTTACCTTTCATGAAGTAATGCTCTTCTAATAGTTCTCCTAATTTTCCTAAGAACCTAATGTAAACACTAGGAGAATCTAGTTCTTTAATTAGCAAGTGCTTATAAGTGTTTTGTTATCTTTTAAAAGTGAGTTGTTCAGTGCAAAATGTGAAAAAGGGCCAAATAACACCCAAAGGTATTAAACCAATTACTAGAAGATATAAGATGAGATCTGTGCTAGGAGAATAATATCAGAGTCAAAACAAATCACTTGGAAGTGAATCACTTCCCTTTGGCAACTGAAATTAATTTAAACAACTCCCCTCCAACCCCCTGTGGTTTTGTTTGACATTTCTTTCAAATGCCAATGAGTACCTCACTTTGTCAAATTAGATAAATCCAAGCTGCTGGTATTATGCTGTTTGGAAGCCATATGGCCATATGTCTAGGATGTTCCAGGGCACCCTGATTTCATGTAATTTTAATGTTTTTAATAAAGGCAATTTGTTAAATGTATAACAAATGGGAAGTCATTTTATGTATCTGCAAGACTTCATAGAATTGAATTCACAAGTAAGAAAATGCTCTTTATTACCATTCAATCCAATCCAACCAACATTTACTGGCTATGACACGTCAGTCCCTAAATTAGGCCAAAGGGACCTGGAGATGAATATGTCATAATCCCTGCCCTCAAGGATCTTACAAATTAAACAATAATTACAATTTAGTGATTCATGTGTAACAATCAAAATATGTTCCAACCACAGGGAATCATAAGGGACAGTGATTAACTTCATTTAGTCTGGAGGTGGGACCGTGGCCAGAAAGGCTTCCAAGAAGGAGTGACACCTGGGCTGGGTTTTAAAGGATGAGCAGGAGTTCATTATGTGCACCAGAAATAGATCTTGGCATTCCAGGCAACGGAAGAGCCTGAATGTGTCCTGACTTCTTGCTTAGCAAAATTGGATCACCCTGCACTTTGGGAGGCCGAGGCGGGCGGATCACGAGGTCAGGAGATCGAGACCATCCCAGCTAAAACGGTGAAATCCCGTCTCTACTAAAAATACAAAAAATTAGCCGGGCGTAGTGGCGGGCGCCTGTAGTCCCAGCTACTCGGGAGGCTGAGGCAGGAGAATGGCGTGAACCCGGGAGGCGGAGCTTGCAGTGAGCCGAGATCCCGCCACTGCACTCCAGCCTGGGCGACAGAGCGAGACTCCGTCTCAAAAAAAAAAAAAAAAAAAAAAAAAAAAAAAAAGACTAAGGTGTAATCCATCTAGCATATTTCCAGTGACCCAACAGGGGCTAGTGGGCATGAATTTTTACATCTATACCTGACTCTTCCCCCCCAAAATACATGGTCAAAATAAATTAACTCTAATGATTTTATATATTTCCATATGTATAATGCTTTCAGTTATGGGTCTTATTGTAATGGGTTAAAGTAATTTGTTCTTATTCCACCCTTCTAATCATACAAATCAATATTTTAAGCTAAATATTCTCTTTCTCTTTGTGTTTCTGTTTTGTTTTTCCCCTTCAGCCTGATTATAGTAACTGGCTCTGAATTGCTGCTTCTGCTCAACTTCCTGGATGCTAGCAGTACCCAGGGATGTAAAGACCTTTCAACTAGAGCTCATAGGTAAGTGACACAATATGTAAATGAAGAAACTAATTCTAGTCGCTCTTCTGCAGGTAGCTTCCTTTGGGAACTTGGTTAGGCCACTCCACCACTCTGAGACACAGTTTTGTTGTGTTTTGTTTTGTTTTGTTTTTGAGACAGAGTCTCGCTTTATCACCAGGCTGGAGTGCAGTGTACACCATCTTGGCTCACTGCAGCCTCCACCTCCCGGGTTCAGGTGATTCTCCTGCCTCAGCCTCCTGAGTAGCTGGGACTACAGGCACGGGCCACCACGCCCAGCTAATTTTTGTATTTTTAGTAGAGACGGGGTTTTACCATGTTGGCCAGGATGGTCTTGATCTCTTGACCTCGTGATCCACCCACCTCGGCCTTCCAAAGTGCTGGGATTACAGGCGTGAGTCACTGCACCTGGCCAACACAGTTTTACTTTTTGTCAGTGTGGATGATAATCTCTTCTTTGAGGTAAACATTTTTGAGGGAAAAAATGAAATAATAATGAAAGCTAACATTTACCGAGCACTTACAACATGTGTTTCCATGTCCTTTTCTGCTAGTTTTAACATCTGTGTGTGTTCTGAGTTGGGAAAGTCAACTTTAATTGATTAATTATTCTCTTTAATCTGAGTCATGATTTCTTGCTTTTTTGCCTGCCTAGTTATCTTTGACTGGATGCCAGACATTGTGAATTACATATCGTTGGGTGATAGATATTTTTATATTACAATAAATCTTCTTAAGCTTTGTTTCTCAAGAAGAGATGCAGGCCAGGCATGGTGGCTCCCCGCTGTAATCCTAGTGCTTTGGGAGGCTGAGGTAGGTGGATCACTTAAGCCCAAGAGTTTGAGACCAGCCTGGGCAATATGGTGAAACCCCATCTCTCCCCCGCCAAAAAAATTTATATACATGCCAGGTGTGGTAGTGTGCACCTGTGGTCCCAGCTACTCAGGAGGCTGAGGTGGGAGGATAGCTTGAGCCTGGGAGGCAGAGGTTGCAGTGAGCTGTGATTGAGCTACTGCCCTCAGCCTGGGAGACCAGAGTGACACCCTGTCTCAAAAAAAAAAAAAAAAAAAAAAACCAAGAAAAAGAAAAGACAAAGAAGAAGCAGAAGAAGGAATGGAAGGAATGCAGTTACTTGGAAATAGTTTCATCCTTTTGGTCTTGCTTTTATGATTTGTTAGGTGGAAACAGGGCAGTGCTCAGCCTAGGGCTAAATACTCTCCACTACTGAGGCAAGACCTTCTTCCTGAATACTCCACCCAATGTCAAATGAATTAAGTTTTTAAAATCTGACTGAAAAAACACAATTCAGGCACAATTTCTGGCCCTGTGTTAAACCAGGCACTGTGTCCTTTAAAACCTCCTCTTAAAGTTGGTTCCTTCCCCATATTCAGCATTTGGATCAGTATTTTCTCTGCAGAGCTCTGAGATTCTCTTTCTGTGCACCTCTCTCCTGTCTCATATTCTGTCCTCTCAACTTAGACTGCTTTGGTCTCCCCAGACTCTTAGTTTTGTGTCCTCAACTCAATGAGATCACCAGTCTCTGCCTCAGTTTCCCTTCCCTGAGCCATAGCTTGGAAAATGTGTCAAGGCAGTAAACTAGGGTAATTGTAGGGCTCATTAATTTTATTTTCTGTCTCTGCAGGATCACTATCCTTTGTTACCTGATACCCAGTGTCCTGAAACTACTGTTTCATATATCTCATCCCTCTTTTTGTTACTGTTTTAGGCAGCAGGATAAAATCTGGTTCCTGTTATTCAATTATAGCCAGAAGCAGAAGTCAGAACTTTGTGTTTGATGTCACCTCAATTTGGATTAAATTACTAACTTTGTTCCTTAAAGCTTGTGTGATCTCATCAAGTTATATAAACTGCTTGAGTCTTAGTTTATTTTCTGTTAAATGGGATAAACAAACTCTTTTTCAATATGGTACCACAAGAGAAGAATGAGAAAACGTGTGAATCACAGTATGTGCTGATGAAAGAAAGGATGAGCAGCCAGGAAATATGGAAAGAAAAAAATCTCGATGAGAGATTGAGAAGGGAAGAGAGTAAGAGACATGGAGTAGAGATAGCCTGGGAGGGGCCCCTTGGGTAAAGGGGATGGGGAAGAGATGTGGGGGAGTAAATACCAGTGGAGGAGGAGATGGAGATGGCATAACAGAAGTGAGGTAAAGGGAAGGAATTCTGTAGCTGCTCAAGGTTGTGTGGTTGGGGTTCTGCATAGAGATGCCCAGCCTAGGGGTGAATGAGTCTGGAAATCTAACCTGAATGCAGCAATCCAGGCCGTCTTCCCAGAGAAAGGCACTTTTACCTTCTCTCAGAGGCTCCTTCTGCCACCAAGCTATGGCTTATGGGTACATCTGCCTGGAGGCATGTGCTTTCCTAATTTGCACAAGGTGCTGTGAAGGCTGAGAGGCCCTGTCAACAAACACTGGATATGCTGGATATAGAGACACTTATCACCTTAGAGGAAAACATCTCTTTTGGCTTGGAACTTTGGACAGTAAAGAGCTTAATGCCATTTATTCATTTGTTTATTCACTTGTTGGGGCATTCATTCATCCAACAATCATTACAGTCGGTACCACAGTGGGCCAGGCACTATGCTGGGGGCTAGGGATAAAGTGAACAGGGCACAGTTTCTGCTTTCTAGAACAGAGATGTCACAGGTTATGTGATGTGGTACCTGTGGCCTGACAGTGAGAGGAGAGAAGTCAAGGTGGGGACCAAGAGACCACCTGGACTGTAGAGCTGACCAGGTAACTATCACCAGTGGGACAGGATGACTTCTGGTTTGCACTCCCAGTGCATCCAACTCTCTCTACTGCCTATCAGCCTTAGGAAGAAGGATGTTGGCATTAGGTTCGGGGATAGCAGAGCCAGTCTGGTGAGCCTGAGAGAAGTGTTGGGAACTTTTGTTGGAATGTGGAATGCTCAGCAACTGGCATTCTCTCTGAGTACCAGTCAACATCTCTTACATTCTCCCTGAGGGGGTGTGTTCAGCTATCACAAAAAACTATCATCCACACAGGAAAGAAAGACTCTGTCCAGATTTTTAAACCTAACACCCACAGGTTGTTCCTGAGTCTCCTTTGTGGCCTCACTATCATAATTCCATTTTTGTCTTTAGTGTTCAAATCCAGGAATATGTTTAAAATGCTGTATCTGGACTTAGAAAAATAAAATCTGAAGGGACTTGCAGAGGGTGATTTTTTAATTTTAAATTTGCTGAATAGATAAAATAGTCATATGATACAACATGCAAAAGCTACAAAATGATATTTTGAAAGTAAGTTTCCCAGCTACCCAGTTACCTTCTTCAGAAGCAACTGTTACTACCTGTTTTGTATGTCTTTCCAGAGACACTTTATACAAAAGGAAGCAAATATGTACATACATAGGGGCATAGGCTTTTTTATTAATACACAAATGCTGACTCTCTATATAAATATAGATGTACGTATGGTTCTGCAGTTTGCTGTTGCACTTAAATATATAGGAAATCTCTCACCAATTTTAACTTGTTTATTGAGTAATATTAACCCTATGAACATGAAGTGGTTTATTTTTCTCTAACCATTGCTTTCATATGTATCCCATCAAATATCCCTTTCTGATCTGGTTGCACACATACTGGACTTTGCATGCTAACTTTCTGACTTGAATTCATCTTTCTTTCTCTAGTACAAGGTATCAGTCCTATGCTAGCAATGTCCCAAATGAATTACTTTCAGAAAGTGTAAGACTTAAGGAGAAATTTTTGTTTTAAATTAGGAAATACAAAACTCCTTCTTGGGTCAGATTCGTTTTAATTCTCCGAAGTTACTTGGGCTGCCAAATCACATACCTTCCCTTCTTTTTGATTGAAGCTTTGGAGCCTATATTAGTCCGTTTTCACGCTGCTGGTAAAGACATTCCCAAGACTGGGCAATTTACAGAAGAAGGAGATTTATTGGACTTACAGTTCCACGTGGCTAGGGAGGCCTCACAATCATGGTGGAAGGTAAAAGGCAGGGAGGGGCAAGTCGTGTCTTACATGGATGGTGGCGGCAAAAACAGAGAGCTTGTGCTGGCAAACTTCCATTTTCTTAAACCATCAGCTCTCGTGAGATTCATTCACTCTCATGAGAACAGTTCAGGAAAGACCCACCCGCATAACTAAATCACCTCTCACTGGGTTCCTCCCATGACACGTGGGAATTGTGGGAGTTGCAGTTCAAGATGAGATTTGGGTGGGGACACAGCCAAAACGTATCAGAGCCAGGATCCCATTTACTGGGGCTAGGTCCCCACTCAGCTAAGGAAAGGGAAGTTTAGAGAAGAGGACTCCCAGCCTCAGAAGTTCAGCGGCTTCAGAGAGTTCAGGTAGGCAGCGAGAGCAAAGGAGCCAGAAGTGAGAAGCAAAAATGGGGGAATGGTAAAAGGAAGGAGAGGGGAAAGGCAGGAGTCATAGGGTCCCAGAGGAGTGACTGCCTGGCCCAAGTGGGGCTGTTCACTAAATGTTTGTCATGTAACCTAGATCCTGCCAAGCTGCTGTCCCATGTTGGGAGAAATGATGCAAAAGAGGGCCAGGGGGATTTTCTGGGAGTTCAGCAGTGAGAGGTGCTCTGGGGGGTCTCACAGGTGGCCCATGGACCACCGGCACTAGAATTTCTTGCAGCACTTATGACATGCACAGATTGTTGAGCTTTCTTCCAAACCACATCTCTGGGGAGAGGATTTTAGGACTTCCCATGTTTACAGTGTTCCTCCTAGTAATCTAGAAGCACCCTTATATGTTGTCCAAGCTCCATATCTGACCTGACCTGGGAGAATACAGCTAGAGAAAAACCCAGGTCTAAGGAAAGGAAAGCAAAGAATTCAACTAGAAAATAAAGAATGCAAAAAAGCAGACCCCACCCTCACCCCATGGAATGTAAGATGAGTCCCCTAGAAAGAAGCATGGTAGGATGGGGGTGGCTAAGGCAGAAAGCCCACTGAGCAGCCCATAGAGCCAGAGAAGCTTCAAGAGACCTTCCTGGCTGGGCGTGGTAGATCACACCTGTAATCCCAGCACTTTGGGAGGCCAAGGTGGGCAGATCACGCGAGGTCAGGAGTTCAAGACCAGCCTGGCCAACATGCTAAAACCCTGTCTCTACTAAAAATACAAAAATTAGCTGGGTGTGGTGGCGTGCACCTGTAATTCCAGGTACTTGGGAGGCTGAGCAGGAGAATCACTTGAACTCGGAAGGTGGAGGTTGCAGTGAGCCGGAGTTTGCAGTGAGTCAAGAGCGCACCACTGCACTCCAGCCTGGGTGACAGAGCAAGACTGTGTCTCAAAAAAAAAAAAAAAAAAAAAAAAAAAGACCTTCCTGGCTTCCTTTTGGGATATGTTTCTGGGTATAGGGTTCTAGCTGGCTGGCACTTACAAATAATATGAGAAATGGGGCAGATAGTAAGGTAATTCCTGAGGTGCTGGGTCATTGCTTTTGACCCTTAGAAAGTCCTGTAATCACTGCCATCTCTCCAGCTTGTTGCTGCTATCAGTTGCCTGCTCACCACCTTTGGATTTCATTTTGGGGTCTTGTGGTACAGACTCCACTTCTCAGCATCTTGTTAACTTTCTGTTCTGTCTAAGCACTAGTTCACCCACCCTCGTGGATGTGGGGTAAAGTTTACTGAAAGTGAGGTAAAACACTACCAACTTCCAGCACTGGTTGTCCT
The DNA here is from genome assembly GCF_000001405.40 of Homo sapiens. NCBI lineage: Eukaryota > Metazoa > Chordata > Mammalia > Primates > Hominidae > Homo > Homo sapiens. The sequence goes on along the minus strand of NC_000001.11, from coordinate 167,189,354 downwards.
TACGTATTTATTTTAATGAAATTGAAACCTAACCATTGGCTGTGCTCAGAATAAACTGCATAGTGTATTGTATAACTTGATTTTGATCACTGCCTGAGAATGCCAATGACCGTTGAGAGGCCATGCTCTGAGGCTCATGTGATCAGTATGTACTACATTGTGGATTCACCAGCATCATTTGAAAATGTGCTCTGCCATGATGACACCCATGCGGGAGCAGGCAGTTTTTTGCCTTTGTACAAACAGCAGGAGACTAACTTAGGGCAGATTAATTTTTTTAGCCTGAGTATCAATTCATACTTATTTAAAGTTTAATACCCCCTATACAAATGTTCAAGAGAAAAGTCAATACATAATCTTGGTAGCCATTCTTAGACAATTATTATAACATGATGACTACCTGAAAATGAAATTTTTCCAAATTATAAAGTGGCTGCTTGATTTTTCACAATGAAAATTGTACAAATTGTTTTCAAAGGTATTTTAAATCCAATTTGTGCTAATTCAGCTTGTGCTAAGTAAGTAACATTAGCTAGAAATGCTTTTAACATATTTGAAAAGTTTCAAAATGTTTTCCTCTATTTCCTTTGTTTTCAATTTTTCCATTTATCCATTTTTCCTCTGCCTTTCTCCCTTCCCCTTGTTCTTTAATTATTTCAGAGAATTTTGTTAAAGAATCTGAGACCATGCGAAGATCTTAGTATTTTTGTTGTTTGTTTATTTGTTTTTAAAAACAATCCCTGTTCATCAAAATCTCCTAGTATGCTTTTCCAAAAATGTAGACTCCTTGGCCCTACCTATGGAAAGGAGTCTGTACTTCTTTTTTTTTTTTTTTTTTTGAGACAGAGTCTCACTCTGTTCCCCAGGCTAGAGTGCAGTGGTACAATCTTGGCTCTCAACAACCTTTGCCTCCCAGGTTCAAGCAATTCTTGCGGCTCAGCCTCCCAAGTAACTGGGACTACGGGTGCATGCCACCACACCCAATTAATTTTTTGTATGTTAGTATAGATAGAGTTTCACCACGTTGCCCAGGCTGGTCTCTAGCTCCTAAACTCAGGCAATCCACCCATTTCGGCCTCCCAAAGTCCTCAAGTTCTAGGATTACAGGCGTGAGCCACTGTACCCGGCAAGTCTGTACTTTTAAAAACTTTCAACTGGGTGCGGTGGCTCACGCCTGTAATCCCAGCACTTTGGGAGGCCGAGGCCAGCAGATCACCTGAGGTCGGGAGTTCGAGACCAACCTGACCAACATGGAGAAACCCCATCTCTACTAAAAATACAAAATTAGCCAGGCGTGGTGGCGTGTGCCTGTAATCCCAGCTACTTGGGAGGCTGAGGCAGGAGAATTGCTTGAATCCAGGAGGTGGAGGTTTTGGTGAGCTGAGATCTCACCATTGCACTCTAGCCCGGGCAACAAGAGTGAAACTCCGTCTCAAAAAAACAAAACAAAACAAAACAAAACATTCCAAGTAATTCAAAGAGGGACTCCCAGCTGAAAACCGTGGCTCTTCAGCATATGACAGAGATTCAGTTCATTGATTCACTTGCTCACTCAATGTGTATAGGGCACATCTGTGGATTAGACACTATTCTTGGTGCTTGAGATCAATCAGAAAACCAAGCTTACAAAAATTCTTGCCTTTGCAGAGCTTACACCATAGCATCTCTTAAAACAAAACAAAACAAAATAAAAAACCCATTCAGACCTCTGCACCGTCCACCAACTCAGATTACACCCATAAACTCTGTTGCCTATCTTGCACAAAATGTTTGTGGCTTGGTCATAGAAGGCTTATCTATGCCTAGATAAAATATGGAAGGATAAGAGCATGAATCCTAAAAGTGAAACCAATGGCAGGTATACAAGAGCCATCGTCAATGATTTCCTCCCTCCCCATACTGTCTTCTTGGAGAACTTGCCCTCACTCCCATCTCAGAATTTCTGCTCCCATAGTTTCTACTGAGTGGGTCCTGAGCTACATGCATCCTATCATGGCTGAGCTGCTTGGACCAGGGGCAGATACATGATCAAGCTGGGTCAATCTAATTTTCTTCTGGAAGTTTAGAATGTACACTTAGAAAATTCAGTGGAGTTGCTAATTAAAATGCTTGCAAGGGTCTAGAGTGTAACATAATGACTGATACAGGTATAAGGAAACCAATAGCACAACTGCTATGGTAGACAGCATCTGATCCATGATCTTGGGGTCTGGGATCCTGCTATGAACTGGATGTTTGTGTTTCCCTGGCTTAGTTCATTTTGTGCTGCTATAACAGAATACCACAGACTAGGTGATTTATAAAAAATAGAAGCTTATTTGGCTCATGGTTCTGGAGGCTGGGAAGTCCAGATGGTGCTGGCATCTGGTGAGGGCCTTTGTGCTGCATAATCCCATGGTGAAGGGCAGAAGGCAGAAGGGCAAACAAGCGTGTAAGACAAAGAAAGGATGGGGGCCAGAATGTATCCTTTTATCAGGAACCCATTCCCACAATAACTAACTGCTCCTGTGATAATGACATTAATCCATTCCTAATCACTTCTTAATACCGTTACTCTGGCAATTAAATTTCCACATGAGTTTTTGAGACCATAGCACTCCCCAAAATTCATATGTTGAAATCCTAACCCATAATGTGATGGTTTCTGGAGATGGGACCTTTAGGAGGTAATTAGCTCACGAGGGTAGAGACCTCATGATAGAATTAGTGACCTTGTAAGAAAAGACATGAAAGAAATTCCTTCCTCTCTCTATTCTTTGCCATGTGAGAGAACCAGAAAGACAGCCCTCACCAGAAACCAACCATGCTGGCACCCTGGTCTCAGACATCCCAGCCTCCAGAACTGTGAGAAATAAATGTTTCTTGTTTGCACCACCCAGTCTGCAGTATTCTTGTTAGAGCAGCCTGAGCCAAGATAGATACAATAGAGATAGTGGCAAACTGGAGAGCACAGGCTCTGTGCCAAGGAGGTGGCCATCATTCAACTCCAGCCGATTGCTGTCACATGTAATCCCAGTTTGCCAGTTTTTCTGATATTTACAGAAGTCCAGAATTCATGTTTTCATATGAAATCTCAAAATAATTATTTTATATTTGAAAAAAATTCGTGTCGTCCAAAGCAAACACAGTTGCAGGCCATGTCTGCTGTAGCACACCAGTTTGCATTCTCTGGCTGCTCCAGCCAGTCTCTAGACTGTCCTTGTTGGAAACAAGGACAAGAAAGTATGGCAAACCAGGGGCTGAGGACGCTGTGTTTGGTACACGTGTCCAGGGAAGCGGAGACAGCCACATTGCAGATATAAAATAAAAGAGTGGTGATGACAAAAGCAGAGATTAAAAAACAACCAACCAACAAAAAACAAACTAAAAAGTGGTAGAAAGAGAGACCTGGGTCCTGACAGCATAGTTTTTATTCTAGTTTTTTCTTCTGGTATGTAGCTCTGGACCTTGGTTTCTGTAAGATAGCCATGTTTTCTTATTATTTATTTATTTATTTATTTATTTATTTGCTTTTTGAGATGGAGTCTCACTCTGTCACCAGGCTGGAGTGCAGTGGTGTGGTCTCGGCTCACTGCAACCTCCGCCTCCCAGGTTCAAGCAATTCTCCTGCCTCGGCCTCCCGGGTAGCTGGGACTACAGGTGCCCGCCACCATGCCTGGCTAATTTTTCTTTTTCCCCCCGAGATGGAGACTTGCTCTTGTCGCCCAGGCTGGAGTGCAGTGGTGCGATCTCGGTTCACTGCAACCTCCACCTCCCAGGTTCAAGCAATTCTCCTGCCTCCGCCTCCCGAGTAGCTGGGATTACACGTGCCTGCCACCACACCCAGCTAATTTTGGTAATTTTAGTAGAGACGGGGTTTCACCATGTTGGCCTCAAACTCCTGACCTCATGATCCGCCCACCTTGGCCTCCCAAAGTACCGAGATTATAGCCATGAGCCACTGCGCCCAGCCTCTTGTTTCCTTATAATAAATCACCTTTTTTTTTTTTGCTTAAACTTCTGTTACATACACACAGTCACTAATAAAGGTTGTGGGTGTTTGTTGTCTTCTTCCTAGTCAAAGGGTAGCATTGTTACTAAGCATTAGCATAACTACTATTGACTCTTCTGTGTGTCAGTGGGTTTGATATATATCAGTAGCAACATATGGTCTTGGCATGTGGTTTTGATTTATTGAAATGAACCAATGTTCACCTAAACCAGTGGTTTCCAGACCTGGCTGTGCATCAGAATCATCTGGAGAGCCTTGGGGGAAAATATACATCCTCTGGATGACCCCAGACCTGGACAATCAGAGACTTCTCAGGTGCAGCCTGGAGACCACATTACAAGCTCCCCAGGGGATTCTGATGCAGCCAGCCCAGCACCTGTCTGAGAATCAGAGTTTGGGAACCACCATGAGAGACCACCATCAGGGATGGGCCATGCCTGAGTTGGGGTTGGCAGTGTCAGGTAGAATCAGTTGCTTGGCTGTTGAAAAAGTATCTCTTCTTTACCAAGAAGTTGAAAAAGAAAAGGGGAAGAAAAAAATGATCTCAAACAGATACCAACTTCCAAATTAGATTATCCTATGTTATAGTCCAAAAGTTTCCCACCATGCCCCCATATCCTCTCTGGAATTGAGGTAGTAGGTTGGGAGTAAGAGACTCTGGAGCCTCTTGGTTAAATTCCATGTGGGAATTACAATTGTCTAATTTCCTTTTATTACATGGTGGTGAAGGAACATTACTGCTGAAAGAGCTGTCTATGAAGCTTCTTTGTAATATGACAGAAGTGCCCAGATGAGTGAGTGGACCCTCAGATCTTGGGGCTAATAACATTAAAGACAGTTGTAATCACAGCCCTCTTAACTTAAAACACTCCAAATACCTCATAAAGGCAGGAGCTTTAGATGGTAATGTGATTTCCAATACTTAAATAAGCATTGTATCTTCTAATATGCACTTCTGGAGTGTGTGAGCTGTTGCTCAGCCAGAGCAGGGGTCACTTAGTTGTAGATCTGGTTACTTTTTTGAAGCTGTTATTGTATATGCAGGCAAGACCTGAACTGGCCGAGCATGACTTCCACCATGCTCTGTTGATCAAAACAGCCAGGCTTTCCCTGATTTAAGGAGAAGAGAAATAAACCCCATCTCTTTACAGAAGGAATGTCAAAAAATTATTAGCCATCTTTAACCTGCCTCTTCAAGTTTCCTTTCATTAATGAGGTCATCTGTTTTGGTTACTGAGGGAAACTCAAAACTCTCGGGACCTAGATACCTGATAATGCTGAACAGCTACATTTTCCCATATATTTTATTATATGGGAATGGATGGCAATAGTTAACTATCAATAAACATTTATTGAGCACTCATGGTAGACGGAACTTTGTATTGTGATAACAATTATAGAAATCAATTTTGTAGTAACAATTGTAGAAATCACAATCTTGGTTTCAGTAAATATACTTGGGCTATACTGAATGTGAATGGGACACATCTAGAAGATAAGGTCAAGGACAATATGGTTCTAAGAACTGAGATGGGAATTTATCTCAGAACCGAGGTCTCTGTGGTGCTGTGAATCTCTGGTTCTTGGCCTCCTTGACTCTTGACTTCCTGATATGACACAAGAACATTGGACTTGGCTTGGCCTTCAAGGCTTATGTCCTCCTGGTTCCACCTTTTTGTTCTCCTGGTGTTTGATTTGCTGCTTTTTCCTGCTCTGTACCCTGAGGTCTCTGCCTCACTGCTCTTGACCAGCTTCTGACCAACACATTGCCTGAAGTCTGACTTGGGTCTATTTCTAGCTCCCGAGGCTCTACCTTGAGGCTCTGCTAAAAGTGTGCAACTGTTCTACACAGACATAGCTGATCTTAGCACACTTTCTCAAAACCTTGACTTACTGGAAGAGACTTAAGTGTCATCATACCAGTGATCTTTAATCTCCTTCATTTCATTGAAGTGGTCCCTGAGCCCATTGAAGAAAATTGAGCATAATTGGGCTGTGCTATTGGTGGAGGCAAGAACTTTGAGAAGAAGTAACAGGAAAAAGAAAGCTCTTTGGGCTAGTGATGTGTTAAAGAGTCTTCATCTATAAGCCATTATGATAGATGGTATTTCAGCTGGCTAAATACTTCAGTTTCCTTTCCATAGGAGGGTTGTGCATTGCCATTTCACTGAAGTCAGGTTTGGTCACAGGACTTACTTTGGCCAAAGAAATGTGAGTGAGGTCACCAAATGGCCCCTAGGGATCCTCTTCTTCAGGCATTCATGCCCTAGTGTAACCCCCTTCTACACTGAGTCAGGGATGGCCCTGTGGTCAATAGAGTATGGCAGGAGTGACAATATGTGATTTCAAAGATAAAGTTATACAAAGCTTCTGACTTCCCATTTAGGATCATTGGTCTGGGAAAGTCATGAACTATAGTATGAGGACACTAAAACAACTCCATGAAAAGACAAACATGGAGAGCAACTGAAGCCCCAGCCAGTAACCAGCAACAACTTGCCAGCCTTATGAATGAGCTACTTTGAAAGTAGATATTCCAGCCCTAGACAAGCCTTCAGATGAGGCAGCCTCAGCTACAATCTCATGAGAGATCTTGAACCAGAGCCATGCAGCCTGAATTCCTGACCCACAGAAACTGTGAGATAATAAATGACTACATTTTGAAGTGATTTGTTATACAGCAATAGGTAGCTAATACCATGAGTATAAGTAATATGTGTTGCTTCCCACAATGTGAAAACATTAAGAGCCAACTTGTGTTTTCCCAAGTTCTCTTTCACTTCTAAAATGATACCTGTTATGCTCCACGCAGAGATTGCTTTATGAATTTGGGTCCTAGAATAAAGGCAACATGGAGTGCAACCATAGCTGATCCTAGATGAATGTGGCGCATGAGCAAGAAATAAGTTTTTGTGGTTGTAAGTCCTTGAGATTTTGGGGTGGTCTACTACCACAGCATAACCTAGCCTATTTTGGCTAATATAGCTACAGATCATCCATATTCCAAGTTAAATTCAAATTGTATCTTTTTTTTAAAGATATGCATTAATGGGGGGATTACTGGAGGTAGAAGAGATATCTGATGTATATGTGGATAGTAACTGCAGGGAAGAGGGAACTAGAGATTCGACAGTCCTGTCCTGAGCATCCTGCCCTGTCCTCTCTTTCAGCAGGCCCTTGTGTCTGAGAATGACTGCTTCTGTGATCTGATGAGCACACGTGGTGTGCATCCAGTGGCTCTGCTCTTAAACTAGGCCCATGACTACCAACAGTCATTCTTCCTGGGCTGCTGAGACCAGAAAATAAAAGTGCCTTCCAAAGGGTGAGTGGGCATTGCTCAATGACTGCTAATAGCTATTCTACATGCTGGGTAACAGTTTTTGGATGAGTTAGAAAAAAATCCAGATTTTATTGACTTTATTGCTAATTATATCATCTTTGGAAAGGAACCACCTGGAGGAAGGGAGGAGAAAAGAGTTCAAACTCATCTGCAGAGTTGTATGTCTTTTCCCAGTTTAGGAGTCATTACTTACATAATCTCTTGAGAGAGTAGCCTGGAACACCATGTGTGGCATTTTTCTAATTAAGAGATGCAAGGTAGGGGAAAAGTATATGAGCATTACTCAAGGTATAACAGAGAGATACAAAACAGGGGAAAAGTATATGAGTGTTACTCAACTGAGTAACAACTGAGAGATACGAAATGGGAAAAATGTATGAGTGTTACTCAAGTACAACTGAGAGATACGAAATGGGAAAAGTATATGAGCGTTATTCAAGTATAACTGAGAGATACAAAATGGGGTAAAAGTATATGAGCGTTACTCAAGTATAACCGAGACATATGAAGCAGGGGGAACATATGTGAGCATTGTCTCAAGCTGATTTGTGAGGTGCAATGGGCATTGTCAGATTCAGGCTCCCAGCATTCAGGTACCTTGAGAGAGGGCCAGACACTAATGCCCTGAGAGGACACAGAGAGAAACAGGAAGCCATTTGCCCCTTGATATGATGAATCCTGGGGTAATTTTGGAAGTTAGCTGGCCTTCTGTGGAGAAAGACAAAGAATCAGTCCAGTTATTCCTTTGCCCTCCTATCCCCAGAGGGGACTGAATTTTATCTCCCCGTGTCCAGGGCACCTCATTCTTATAACTTCTGTGATCATTCTGGTGCTCTTCTCTAAATCTTCTTCCCCAGGTCTGACCTCAGTTGAATTCCAGACCTGAATTTGAAGCTTCCTCTGGGTATCTCCCTCCATGTATGTCTTTCTCTCCTACATGTACCTCAAACCTCTCCATCCACCAAGCCAACTGGCTTCTCATCCTTCATTGCCAATTTCCTTTAACCTCTCTTATAGGGACCCAGGCTAGAAACTTTGCAGTCCTTTCTGACAGCTTCCATGTAGGCTCAGCCTCAAAAAGCCTATCATGCCTGCAGCCCTTCCCCAAAACATTTCTTCTAGCCAGGGTGCCCTGCTTAGACAAAGTGACCTTGCCTCCCTGTCCACAGCTGACTGGACTCGAAGCACTGGCAGCCAAATTACTGAGACTGTTGCCTCACAGAGACAATGGATATAAACTGAATTGTCAAGACCTTCCCTCTCAAAGTTCCAACTAGAGATGCAGAGAGCAAGTCGATTAGCCAGTGGGGAGTAGAAGTTAAAAGACACATAGAGGAAAGATGAGAGGCAGATATAAAATCACGTGCCACAAGTCTGCAAAAGCAAAGGGGAAGCAAGTTGTGAGACAAGAGAAGTCCTTAGTAGCAAGCTACAGAGCAATAGCAGATAGAAGACCAATGGCGTGCTGCTGCTGACGGGTGGCAAGGCAACCTCCTAATAGCACTTCTTCCAGTGCCTGAATAGCGCTTGCGGAGGGCCTGGTTTATGGCTTCTCCTCTGTCATCGTTCCCCTTGTTTGGTGCATTTGAGTGAGAGTCTGTTTTGCACATTTCAGAGTCTAACACCTCCCCCACCCTCTCAGACCCCCAATTCAATCAGTAAACAAGTCCCAGAAATTCTAACTCCAATGTATCTACTAACTGCCACCTCCTCTCTCTTCCCTTTGGCACTGCTCAGTCCAGGCCCTCGCTTTTTGTGGATTTTTTTGTTTGTTTGTTCTGTTTTTTGTTTTGAGACAAGGTCTGGCTCTGTCACCCAGGCTGGAGTGCAGTGCCACAATCTTGGCTGACTGAAACCTCCACCTCCCAGGCTCAAGCCATCCTCCCACCACAGCCTCCCAAGTACCTGGGACTACAGGTGCACACCACCACACCAGCCTACTTTTTGTATGTTTTGCAAAGACAGGGTTTTGCCATCTTGCCCAGGTTGGTCTCAAACTCATGAGCTCAAGCAATCTGCCTCTGGCTGCCTCGGCCTCCCAGAGTGCTGGGATTACAGGTCTGAGCCACCATGCCCGGCCAGGCCCTTGTTTTTTCTCATCTAGCCTGCTGTATGAGCATCCTGACGTGTCTCCAGTTCCTCCCTCACACAGCCTTCAGAGATCCTGTCTAACGCATATTTCAGTGCTTTGGTCCTTGATCATCTCTAACAGGTCCCTATTGCTGACAGGTCAGTCCACATTTCTTGACAGGGCATTCAAGGCTGATTATGATTTGGCTTCAAATTTCTCTTCAGCTTTAGCTTCCACTACATCTATCTTAGTTATCTCTTGCTGCATAACCTATTACCCCCAAATTTAGCAGCTTAAAACAATAAACATTTATCATTTCACATGGTTTCTGGGTACCTGAGAACAGCTTGGCTGGGAGGTTCAAGGTGAGGGTCACTCTCAAGGTTGTGGTGAAGTTGTGATCCAGGGCTGCAGTCATCTGAAGGTGATGGAGGATCCATTTCGAAGGTCACTCATGTGCTGCTGAAACTTCAGTCCCTCAATACGTGGGTCTCTTCATAGGGTGAGTGATCCAAGACAAATAAGGCATAGGAGACAGTGACCAAGATGGAAGCTGGAGTGTCTTCTATAACTTATTTCAGAAGTGGCACACCATCCCTTCTACTGTGTTCCACTGGTTGCACAGACCAACCCTGATACCGTGTGGGAGAGGACTATAGAAACGTGCGAATACCAGGAGGTAGGAGTTCCTAAGGCCATATTATGGGCTGGCTAGCTCAGTCTCCCTCTACAACTTTTGCTTTCTGACCTGTCATACCCTAGCATGACTCTGGGCCTTAGTTCAAGTCTATTCCCACAGTCCAGGAGACTTTTTATACATCAAAATCCTATTCATTTTTTAATGCCCAGAACAGTCACCTCCTCCTTGAATCTTTGATTTCTACAGGCAGAATGAATCACTTTTCTCTTTGAACTGACACAGTCCTCTGCTTTCTGTGTTTGGCTCCATCTTGTGCAATAGTTACCTGTTTACATGTTCATCTGCTTTCTAGAGGAGCAGGATCTTTCTTTACTTATTATTTCTATTATATTCACTGAAGAAAACCCAGAATACCAATAAGAACGAAAAAAAGAAAAAAAAATGACCTGAAATCTCAGAAATTACCCAGAGACCATCATCCTATGGCTGGAGCCTGGGCCAACACCATGGAGGGCAATACAAATGATGGGGCCTGATGGTCAGGAAGGGGCCAGGGCCCACTGTGCTTTACAGTTCCAGCAGCTAGGCCCTTGCTGGAAGGGCCTCGCATGTGTGTTCACCAGGACCACGTCTCCTCTCAGGTGCTACCCTCAGAGGGCTGCTCCAACGGCCTGGCTCACCTGTGATGGGTGCAGTGTGGAAGAAAGAGCACACACAGCCCTGGGATTTCCTGATCTTACATTGACCAGCTTGCAACTGGGAAACTTACTTCAACTCTCAGAGCTGCAGGTTACTTATCAGGAAATCGAGTATCATCTTACCTGCCATTGAGTTTTTGAACAAGGCCTGGCACATCATAGTCGCTCAAAAGTGATAGGTTTCTGCTCCTTCCCTCGGAAACAAATTATAGTAGATGGTTCCTGTTATAGACTGCACATGTGTGTCCCTGCCCAAATTCGTGTGTCAAAATCTTAACCTCCAATGTGATGGTATTAGAATGTGGAGTCTTTAGGCGGTAATTAGGTCATGAAGGTGGAGCCCTCTTCTAAGAAGAGACATGAGAGAGCTTGATCTCACTCTGCTCTCCACCATCTGAGGATACAAGGGAGGGTGGCCATCTACAACCCAAGCACTTCTTGGGCCCTCCCCAGACACTGGATCTGCCAGCACCTTGATCTTGGACTTCTCAGCCTCCAGAACTGTGAGACATAGATGTTTATTGTTTAAGCCATCCATTCTATAGCAAATTGTTATAGTAGCCCAAACTGATTAAGACAGAAATTGGTACTGAGAAGTGGGGTGCTGCTGTAACAAACACCTGAACATGTGGAAGTAGCTGTGGAACTGGGTAATGGGTAGATGCTGGAAGACTTTTGAGGTACATGCTAGAAAAACCCAATATTGCTGCAAAGGGACGGCTAAAGGGAGGTCTGTTGGAGGTTCACAAGGAGAGGGGAGACCTGTAGAGAAAACGTATTTTTTGGAGAATATGTAAGTTATCATGAGCACAATATTGGTTGAAATATGTATGGTAAAGGCCATTCTGATGAGGTCTCAGATGGAAATGAGGAGCACATAGGACAATGAAGAAAAGCCCATCTTTGTTATAGAGTAGCAAAGAGCTTGGCTGAATTGTGTTCAAATTCTATTGTTTTGTGGAATGTAGAACTTGCAAGCAATGATCCTGGATATTTAGCTGAGCAGATTTTTAAGTAAAATGTTGAAGGAGAGGCATGGTGTGTCCTGACTTCTTGTGGTAAAATGCAAGAGGAAAGAAATGACTTAAGGACAGAATTGTTAAGCAAACAGGAACCAGAACTTAAAGATTTGGAAAATTCTCAGCCTTTTCATAACACAAAAGTGAGAAAGTATGTTCAGAAGAAAACACTAAGGAGGTGGCAAACTGACATTTTAATAAGGAGATTAGTGCAGATGTGAATCATGGACTTAATCAGCCATCTCAAAAAAACATCAAGAATAGAGATGAGATTATACCAGCAGAAACACTGCCAGCTGGGACTAACAGAAACAGAGAAAACAGGAAGGGACAAGGGAGGGAGGGAAGGAAAGAAGGAAGGAAGGAAGGAAAGGAAGGAAGGAAGGAAAGAAGGAAAGAAGGAAAGAAGGAAAGAAGGGAGGGAGGGCGTGGAGGGAGGGAAGGAAGGAAGGACATGGGAAGAAGGCCCCCCGAAGGTGATTCACAGAACATCGGGCAATTCCCTAGGTTTCAACAGGGTAGAGGGCCTTCAAAAGAAGCCATGACAATGTGCCTCCCAGAGCTTTGCAGGTGATATTGCCACCCCAGTGGGCATGGAGGACAGATCATCAAGCCAAAGAGGATTATTCTCAAGCCTTAAGACCTCATGGGATTTGCCTTAGTGAGGCCCCATCACCTTTTCCTTCTCTCCAACTTCTCCCTTCTGGAATGGGACTGTCTATCCTCTGACTATCCAACCATATTGCACTTTTGAAGCACATTACTTGTTTTGTTTCACAGGTTCACAGATGCAGAGGAATTTTGCCTCAGGATGAATTGCATCTTCAGTCTCACCCAAACCTGATTTAGATAATATTTCAATGAGACTTCGGACTTCAGACTTTACAGTTGATGCTGCAACCAGTTAAGGCTTTTGGGATTGTCGGAATGGAATGAATGTATTTTGCATGTGAGAAGAACATGAAGTGTGGGGGGGCCATGGGCAGAATATTATGGATTGCATGATTTTGTCTCCCCAGAATACATATGTTGAAATTCTAATCCCCAATGTGATGGTATTATGTGGTGGGAACTTTGGGAGGTAATTAGGTTATGAGGGTGGAGACCTCATGTAAAGGATTAGTGCCCTTATAAGAAGAAACACAAGAGCTTGCTTCCTCTCTCTGCTCTCCACTATGTGAAGATAGAACAAGAAGATGGCCATCTGCAAACCAGGAAGAGAGCCCTCATCAGACACTGGATCTGCCAGCACCTTGATCCTGGACTTCACAGCCTCCAGAACTGTGAGAAATACATATATGTTTTTTAAAGCACCCAGTCTGTGGCATTTTGTTGTAGCAACCTGAGCTAAAACAGTTGCTATTGAACTCTGTTCAGAGCTCCAGATGTCCTGTGCTGGCACTGGGCAGGGTGCTCTCCTGGGCCATTTCATCAGCTCAGAGGCCTCACCTTCCACCATATGCTGAAGACCTCAAATCTACATCACAGTGAGACCTCCCCTGAGGTCTAGGCTATTAAGTTGTAAGATCTATAAAAGCTTTCATCACCTCACTTCCCTACTGGCCTTTACTCACCCTTCAAAATGATAATTGTGTTAGTCATTGAAAGATGTGGCTGGGATGAGAGTTCAGTTTACAGACTCTGCAGCTGGACTGCCTGGGTTCTGCCCTGGTTCCACCATTAACTAGCTGGTATCCATGGACAAATTGGTATCTTCTCGGTGCCTCAGCTCCCTCTTTTCTAGAATGAGGGGTAATGACAGTGTCTCCCTCATAGATTGGATGTGAGGATTAGATGAGTTTAACAGATGTAAAGTACTTACAACAGTTCCTGGCACATAATAAGCTCTTACTATATCAGGAACTAGCTTATTCTGTGCTTGTTAGTGTTTTAATTTAATTCTTAGAGTAGCCCGATGAGGCTTTGAGAGAACTTGCCCAGTTCCAGAGCTTAAGCTCTCAACTCCGTGCTGTTTTCTTGTCTTAAGGCATAAACACTGTTGAGCCTTGGCCGATTCCTGGCAGAGCCAGGCGCTCCCTCCTCCATGTTGTCACCCTACTCCAGGCTTGCTCACCCTACTGTGGGCTTGTGCATCAGCTCTCCACAGCTGCTTCTCACCTGTAAAAAATCAGGCTTCGTTTGTCTCATTCTTGCCATAGAATGCCTTGTCCAATTATATGCAAGCTTAGTACATGTTGTTAAATAAAAGATTCAATAAACGAATTCATAAACATATTAATTGAAATGGCTGCTTTACCTCCTTTCTTCTTCCAAATAGTGTATAATATGCAACTTATTTTAAATTACTGTTTCATTACAAAAGTATTACATGTTCATCATAGAAAACTTATCTGTTTATATATGTGCATGCACACACACACACACAGCGGTATCTTAAATGTGGCCCTTCCAGAGGCCATGTCCTCATCTTTGAGTCCACACTATAAGATAACTCACAGTTTTTAAATAAACTTTTTTTTAAGGGTATTTTAGATTAACAGAAACATAGTAAAGATAGCACAGAGAGTTCCCATATACCCCACATCAAGCGTCCCCTATTATTGGCATCTAACATTAGTATGGTACATTTGTCACAATCAATGAACCAATTTTGAGAAATTTTTATTAACAGAGTTCTGCACTTCATTCAGATTTTCTGTTTCCCCCAGTGCCTCTTTTCTGTCCCAGAATCCCATTCAGTTTACCACACTCTACTTAGTTGTCATGTCTGCTTAGGCTCCTCTTGGCTGTGACAGTTTCTCAGTCTTTTAAGATCTGAAAAAATACCTAGTGGGTTATGTAGATCAAGCCATTCTCCCCACCACGGCTCTAGCTGGTGTGCTTTCCCTGAAAGGAATATTCAGATGAAGCTTCTGGAGATTAAACAGGAGCCACAGAACTAGTTGGTGGAAGAACCTGAATTAAACTCTATACCTCCTGACGTCCCAGTGGTGAGAATGTCCAACCACATGGGGAAGATGGGGCCATGGCCAAGGAAGGAGGGAGACACAGCACAGCTCAGAGCCACCCCACGGCAGTGACTTGTCAGCTGGTTAGGCAAATTTTTTGGTGGTTTCTTCTCCCGGTTCTTGCATTAGGTCTTCCCAAGCCAGGGACTATGATCTCTCAGGTGAGAGTTTTTCTCCTCCTACCGTGGCAACTCTCTGCTTTCCTCTGGAATCAGACACTTGCTTTCCATTCCCCACTGTCTAGCCCCTGCCTCTCAACTATGTATTTTCGTGGCAATCCTAAGTCTGGGAGATCAAAATTAATAACCTATCTTGTCCTCGGGTCAGGGTTAACCACATTAGCCACACTCCTTGGTGTCCTCACATACTCTCTTTCTTTTTAAATTGTATTTATTTATTTACTTTTTACTGATCCTCTCCACATTAAGACTCCCTTTCTTTTTAAAATCTCTTTTTATTTATCCTTCCTTTCTGTCTCTCTCCACTCTCCTTACCGCAGCTCCTCTCCCAACACTGGACTAGGAGAGGATTGGGAACAAACCAAAAAAAAAAAAAAAAGGAATTTTTAAGCCTGTCACCTCTGGTCTATTTCTTTTCATCTTCTAAGCTAAATTCCAAATGGGTAATTGCATTAGTCATCCCCCACTCCAGCCTTCCCTGTGGAGCGAGCCCTTGAGCTCTCTCTCCCTCATTCTTTCATGGAGTTGGGGCACAGTTTATAAAAGTCCCCATCCCTAAATTCTCAATCTGTACCCTCTCTGGAACTTGTCTCTTCCCAGAAACTAGCTATTCTAATCTTAACCGAAGCTGCAAAGGCTTCTAGAACATAACTTTTCTCCTTGTCACATCTTGCAGCCATTGAAGGACACAGAAAGCTAGTTGCTACTGCTGCTGCTGTAAGGAAAATGAGTCAGAGAGCACTGGGGGAGCCCTGCTGAGAAAGGGGCCAGGGCATGGGCTAAGATGGGATAGAATGTGCCACGGGATTTAGGAAAGTGTGGGCTGGATGTGAAATTGGGCACAACCAAACTGAATTGCAGTGCTGATTATTACAAATGGAATAAAAGTTTGTCGATTTTCCTTACAAATTTGACATTTTCTCCAGGGTAGCCCTAGTTTTCTCTTTTGTGGGCAGGGCCTGGACAATTTCCCTAGGACCATTCATCATATCTTCCCACCTGGCTCCAGCCCCCAAATACACATTGAGATACATGAAGAAGCCACCATCTCTCCCTGGGGAGTTTCCCTCTCATTGGACTTCCTTGTTGTATTTTGTATTAGTCTGCACTCATGCTGCTAATAAAGACATACCCAAGACTGGGGAATTTATAAAGAAAAAGATGTTTAATGGACTCACAGTTTCATATGGCTGGGGAGGCCTCACAATCATGGCTGAAGGCAAAGGAGGAGCAAAGGCATACCTTACATGGTGGCAGGCAAGAAAGAGCAAGTGCAGGGGAATTGCCCTTTTATAAAACCATCAGATCTCATGAGACTTATTCACTATCATGAGAACAGCACAGGAAAAACCTGCCCCATGACTCAATTACCCCCTACTAGGTCCCTTCCACAAAACGTGGGAATTATGGGAGCTACAATTCAAGATGAGATATGGATGGGGACATGGCCAAACCATATCATTCCACCCCAGCCCCTCCCAAATATCATATCCTCACATTTCAAAACCAATCATGCCTTCCCAACAGTCCCCCAAGGTCTTAACTCATTTCAGCATTAACTTGAAAGTCCAAGTCCAAAGTCATATCTGAGACAAGGCAAGTCCCTTCCACCTATGAGCCTGTAAAATCACAAGCAAGTTAGTTACTTCCTAGATACAATGGGGGTACAGGCATTGGGTAAATACAGTTGTCCCAAATGGGAGAAATTGGCCAAAACAAAGCGGCTACAGGCCCCATACAAGCCCAAAATCCAGTAAGGCAGTGACTGAATCTTAAATCTCTGAAATAATCTCCTTTGACTCCATGTCTCACATCCAGGTCACACTGATGCAAGAGTTGGGCTCCCATGGCTTTGGGCAGCTCCACTCCTGTGGCTTTGCAGGGTACAGTCCCACTCCTGGCTGCTTTCATGGGCTGGCATTGAGTGTCTGTGGCTTTTCCAGGCACATGGTGCAAGCCGTTGTGGATCTACCATTCTGGGGTCTGCAGGATGGTGGTCTTCTTCTCACAGCTCCACTAGGAAGTGCCCCAGTGGGGACTCTGTGTGGGGGCTCTGACCCCACATTTCCCTTCTGCACTGCCCTAGCAGAGGTTCCCCATGAGGGTTCTGCCCCTGTAGCAAGCTTCTGCCCAGATATTCAGGTGTTTTCATACATCCTCTGAAATCTAGGCAGAAGTTCCCAAACCTCAGTTCTTGACTTCTGTGTACCCACAGGCCCAACACCATGTGGAAGCTGCCAGAGCTTGGGGTTTGCACCCCTGAAGCAGTGGCCTGAGTTGTACCTTGGCCCCTTTTAGCCACCGCTACAGCGGCTGGGTCACAGGGCACCAAGTCCCTAGACTGCACACAGTAGGGGAGCCCTGCCTGAAGAGGGCCCAGATAATAGGGGAAACAGACCTTTCAATAGAAAAACTATATGTGTGCAAAAATATGGTGTGTGCTATTATAGATATATTAATAGAATAAAAGGAGAGAAAGGGAGCAACTAATTCTGGGGAAGTCAAGGAAGGCTTCACCAAGGAATTAATATTTTTGCTAAATTGAATAAGTAGGATATTCTAACACCCACTGGTGTTCTGCAATTGAATTCTGGCATTAACCACCCAGAGTTAGGGCAGATCTCATGTGACGGTTAATTTTACGTGTCAGTTTAACTGGATTCAGGGCTGCCTATACGGCTGATGAAGCATTGTTTCTGGGCATGCCTGTGAGGGTGTGAGTCAGTGGACTGAGAGAGAGCAGAAGATTCACCCTTAAGGGGGCAGTCACCATCCAATCGTCAGTGGCCCTGGCTGGCACAAGCAGGCAGAAGAAGGGGGCTTGTTCTCTCTCTCTCCCCCTTTTTCTCTCTCTCCCTTCTGGGATGGAATGCTTTTTTTCCTCCTGACTTTGGACATAAGACTCAGGCCCTTCTGCTTTTGGACTCTGGGACTTGTGCCAGTGGCCTTCTGGGGACAGTCAGGTCTGTAGCCTCAGATGACGGGGGCCTGCACTGTCTGCTTCCCTGTTCTGAGGCTTCTAGACTTGGACTGAACCATTCATGCTACCAGCTTTGAACTGTGCTACCGGCTTCTCCGGTTTTCCAGCTCACAGACAACTATTGTGGGACTTCTCCACTTCCATGATTGTGTGAGCCAACTCCCCCTAATAAATCACCTTTCATATATCCCACTGATTCTGTCTCTCTGGAGGACCCTGAGTAATACACCCCACAAATGAAGGGCACAGTCCCCCTCACGAGGGTCTCAACTTCAGACACCAGCCACAAGTTCAGGGGGTCTCCAGGCCACCTACACTTCGGACTAACTAGATACTCAGGGATTCTCATGACCTGGTCAGGTTAGATAATTCACTGGAACGACTCACAGAACTCAGGAAAGTGCTCTACTTCCAATTACAGACACTTACGAGAAAGGATATAGGTCAGGACCAGCCACATGAAGAGACACATGGGGTGAGGGCTGAGAGAGTCCCAGGAACCTGGGAAAAAGACCACACAAGTCCTTTATTATATGACATAAAGTATGCTGGATAGAAAATTCCATCAAATGATTAAGGATTGCTGGAAGTGAAGATTTGAGGGTCATTGCCCTAAACTGATCAAACCCAAGCTGGAGATTTCTTGGTCCCCATAGACAGGGCAACAAGTGAGCTTGGCTCCTTTATCTCTTCTCTCCCGCTTCCTCACTTTTGCATCTCCCCCCACCTCTCTTTCTTGTGGTTCCTTTTCATCCATTCCTTCAATCTCTCCTCCCTGAATTGCTTAAACTATGACACAAAGCCCCAAACCCCAATGGGGCTACCATTACTTCAGGACAGTCCTCCTTTCTAACTGCCCTCCTCCCAAGGCTGCAAGTCAAATATAACAACCATGAAGTCCCATCACTGTGTCTCACATCAGTTGCCAGAGGTGAAATCATGTGGGGGTTCACAGTATCTCAGATTTTATATTCTTTAAAGCAGTCACCACTCAGAAAGAAAAATCTGGAGCTTTTTATGGTGTCTTTAGAAAGGAGAGGGAAAAATAATGTTCCCTGGGATCTCTGTGATGTTAGCTCTGCCTCACATCACACTCTTCCCATTATCGCTGGATTTATTCTCATCCTCTTCTGGGAGGTGGGAAAGAGACTGTCATTGTTGTTGCCTTACAGGCTTCAGGTTTGCTCCAAAGGCATTGCCATGAAAGAAAGGCCGATTCCTTTGATGGCACACGAACTGGCACGTGTCCTCCCGCTCTCTTTCTCTCTCACTCTATAGGAGGTTAGGGTGTTGGTAGGAAAAAATTATGAAAAGGAGGGGAAGGTTCAAACTATATGTGAATAAAAACAATTTATCTCCATGAAATAAAGTTATGAAATAAAAATGATCATTCTTTCCAGGGACATTGTGAGATTGGGTGGGGAAGGAGGAGGTTTTTTGTTGTTGTTGTTGTTTTTTCTTAAGGAGCCCCAGGACCTCCCATTTATGTATTCAACAAATGTTTACTGAACACCTACTGTAATGGTTAATTTTAGGTGCCAAACTTGACAAGATTAAGGAACACCTAGAGAACTGGTACAGCATTGTTTCTGGGTGTGTCCATGAGGGTGCTTCCAGAGGAGACCGGCGTGTGAGTCAGTGGACTGAGGGAGGAAGTCTGCCCTCAATGTACATAGGCACTGTCCAATCAAGGGGGGCCTGAAGAGAGCAAAAAGGTAGAAGAAAGGCAAATTCTTTCCCCTCCCTTCTGGAGCTGGCACACCCTTCTTCTCCTACCCTTGGACATCAGAACTCCAGACTTACTGGCCTTTAGGTCAGGTCAGGACCTGCACCAGTGGCCTCTCCCTGGTTTTCTTGGGCTTTTGGCCTTGGATTGAGAGTTACACTATCGGCTTCTCTGGTTCAGAGGTCTTTAGACTTGGACTAGGTCATGCTACCAGCTTCCTGAGGTCTCTAACGTAGAGGTAGCCTGTCATGGTACTTCTCAGCCTCCATAATCACATGAGCCAATTCCCCTAATCAATCTCCTCTTATATCTTTCTATGTGTCTGTCCATAGCCTATTCATTCTGTCTCTCTGGAGAACTCTGACTAATATACCTGCTCTGTGCCAGGCATTGTACTAGATGCTTAAAATATAGCAGGGAATGAAATTGAAAAAGTCCCTGTACTGGTGAAGTTTACATTCCCTTGAGGAAAGACAAACCAATAAATGTGTGATATTCTAGGTGGTGATCACTGCTATGAAGGAAAGTAGAACTGGTTAAGCAATTAGCGAGTGACGGAAGGGGGTGGATTTTGCTAGGGAGTCCAAGGATGGCGTCACTGTAAAGTGATGTGTGAAGTGAATTGAGGGAGTGAGATCACTGAGGAGAGAGAGTTACTAGTGGAGGCAGCAAATGCAAAGGCATTGAGGTAGAAGTCTTCAACCTCACAGCATTATTCCTCCCCACTTTTTTTAACTCTTTGTTTCCAGTTTCCCCATCATCTTCCTCCTCTTTTTCTAATCTCTTTCCCACCTTTTCTTCCCTCTCCTTCCCTTATTTTTTCCATCTTAACATCAGTTTTTCTAAGCACTGTCTTATAGTAAGCCTGATCTTGTCCAGAAAATGCTAAATTTTAAGAAAGATGGGTGGGGGTGGAGGGAGGAAATGTGTCTCAGTGAGTGACACCCAGGCTACATATCGCCGTTGTATGACCATGGCGTGCTATGTGCTTCAAGAAAGTCCTTCACTGGCTCTGGGCCACCTGCAGAGAAAAGTCGGCGCTTCAAACCATGGGTGCCATGTCCTGTCAGTGACTCTTGCCAGCTCTGAAGAATGTGCACAGTGGACGTGGGATGGAGAGGAAGAGGCTATAGAAAGCACATTTCTCTATCTGTCAGCAGCCAAACTGGAAACTCACCAGGACCTGCCAGAAAGATTTCCTGCTTCATGAATTGAAATCAGAATGCTTAACTCTGCTCAGCTCCGTCTGTGATAGAGGAGATAGAAGCTGGTTAGCTTATATACAGTTTTGGAAAGTACATTACATTTTATAAAACAACGTGAAAAATATCTCCTAACAATGTCAGGATTTCTACACCTTCTTCTCTTTAGCCTCATGCCAAAAGATATGCAGTGATGAAGTCCCTGGCCCTTTAAAAAATAACTCCCAATCATTTGTGCAAAGATCAGGTCTGCCACAAATATTAAAGTTTAGGGTGTCTTCAAACACACTCTTAAAGAGGGAAATGCCTGGTGGAGGTAGTGTCTGCCTCACAATAGAGACTGAAGATGGATTAAGAAACACATTTCTCTCAAATGTGTTATCTCTTCTCTATGATTGAAACTGCCTTTGCAAAATTATGACTGAGACAGTGAAAGAGATCTAACGTAACTGACTCCATTTTGCTTTTAACCTCCAAGCTGTCCTTATTCATTCCTGGGCGTAGGAGGAACTTAGTTTATAGTTTAAAACAAAGACGATAACAGCCCTTTCCCCAAACAAGACGCCTTTGTAGGACTAACATTAGCCACAAGATTAGAAATTATGGTTTAGGAGTCATGCAGCTGGACACTACAAGATTCTGACCCAACCTAAACTGCTCCTAAGATCAGTGCTTGAGATATTTTGCAGATGCTGCACTGGATGGATCAGCTGATACCACCCAGATCAATAAACTGGCTCATCTGATCCTGTGGCCCCACCCAGGAGCTGACTCAGTGCAAGAAGACAGCTTCAACTTCCTAAGATTTCATCTCTGACCTGACCAATCAGCATTCCTGGCTCAATGGCTTCCCCCTGCCCACCAAGTTGTCCTTAAAAACTCTGATCCTAGAATGCTGGGGGAGACTGATTTGAGTAATAACAAAACTCAGGTCTCCTGCACAGCTGGCTCTGTATGAATTACTTTTTCTCTATTGCAATTCCCCTGTCTTGATAAATTGGCTCTGCCTAGGCAGCAGGCAAGGTTACATTGGGTGGCTACATTCTTATATCCTGAACTTCCCCTTCTGATGTTGACTCTACTCTATAAGACCCAGACTGAGTCAGGTCATTCCTGCTAGGAATCTCCCCATTGCTTCCTCTGGGGAGCATCTCCCAGCACCACCTGGACGTTAAGTCCTGCAGCCTTTGCCACTTTGTAAGGTAACAATTCATTTCCACATCAGCCTCCCCTACTAGTCTGCAGGCCCCTCACAGTCTCATGAGGGGCTTGTGGTCTCATTCATCTCCACATGGTCTTGTCCACTTCGTAGGCACTGAAATGTTAAATGAATGGATGAGCAGGGGCTAATTTCAAAAGAGAATGTGTGGTCCTACCTCGGTTTTACTTCTGACATTCTCATGTCACTGCAATGGCTTTTCTCCAGACAGTTCTTGACCTGGAAGACTCTTCTGGGCGTTTGTGTTTGTCCACCTCTTGGCTTCCTCATGATCTTCTCCTTATCTTTGCATTTGTCTGATTTAGATGAGGAGGTCACTGCTTTGCATCTGTAGAGCACTCAATATATCTAAAAACTGCAAAACCCAACTCTGAGTTTACAGTCAGTAGCAAGCTGTTAACTCCTAGCACGTGGGGAATCATCTGTTAGAGTTGGAACAGTGCCCTGGGAAGTTTTACATTATTTGTGTGTCAAAGAATAGGAAGGAAGAAAAGAAGGAAGGAAGGAGATTTTAAAAAGAATGGATATTATTTAAAAAGGAAACACTTGGAAAAAATTATTTCATTTGTTCATTCCCTCACTCATATTAACTGAATAGGAAACTTTATTGCATGGGTGCATGAAATGTTACTCGAGCCCTCCTTATCACAGACACTGTCCTGGGTATGAGGAGCATAGGAGGGAGCATGACATCTGTGGTTGCAGGCGGCTCAGTGTTTATGGTCTGGCACCCCTCAGGAGGCTGGGTAATATACATGGCCCGGGTCACATAGCTGGAATACCTAGCAGCTTTCCCCCCGTTGCCATGGAGACCCTGGAGACGGGAAGAGGAGGGAAGGCCTTTCTGGTATCTTCCAGCAGCTCCCAACACCCTTTCGTCTTAGCCTGGGCCTTTTCTTCAGCTGCAAACACCCACGAGGGAAATGTGCAGCTGACCTCTGGGGTCCCCGGGCTGAGGGTGATGTACGCCACAGTGGAGGAGGACATTGGCGCTGCCTCAAGGCTGCTGAGCAGACCTGCCATGAAGAAAATTATGAGGTGAATTAAACTTTAATTTGATTTTTATTTGGTTTCAGCAACCAGTAAAGACATAGCGATTTCCCCAGCCCTCTCACTGGTTGGAGGAATGCTTTGAGAACATCTGTTTTATTAGCAGCAACAACAATAAAAGCCAATCCTATATTTGCAGAGGGGCTGTCTTCCAAGGCCCTCCAAGTACTTTTCGCTGATCTTATCTGCTCTCCTTTCCACAGCAACCCCAGAGAAATTGTATTTACTTGTAATTAAGCTTAACCGCTGACCTCTCCTGCAGCTCTCCCCACTACTGTCTGCTCAACCATTTGCATCGCAAAAAGGAAGACTAGCAAGGTGGAGATTGGGGGAGGCTTCGGGGAGAAGAAAGAGCAAGGTGGAAATAATTTTTTCCAAGTGTTTCCTTTTTTAAATAATATCCATTCTTTTTAAAATCTCCTTCCTTCCTTCTTTTCTTCCTTCCTATTCAACACTTACTGGGTATTCAGTACCAAGCCAGCATAAAGCTGTGTTCTGGGTTTTCAGGATTAGGAAGGTGTATAGAGATGTGTAGGCACAGGGAAAAAGTGAGAAAACATTTCTAGCTTGCATAGAATTCTGTTTTTCTGAAAGAATAGAAAAATATAGAAATTTCCTATGTTTTTCCTAAATATCTTCTCTTCCTTTTTCTCTTCATTTGCTAAGATACCTAAATTATTATTATTTTTAAAAAGACATAATTATCTTAATTACGTGACAGAAATTGACTATGCTTTAGGTACTAAAAGTGATGCTGTTTTAAATTCTACAAGCCCAGTGGATAAACAAAATATGGTATATTCATGTAATGGAAGATTATTCTGACAGGAAGAGGAATAAAATACTAAATGAAATACTACATTGTGGGTGAAATTTGAAAACCTTATGCTAAGTGAAAGAAGCTAGTTATAAATGACAACATATTGTATGATTCCACGTATGTGAAATGTCCAAAGTATGCAAATTCAGTGAGACAGGGAGTAAAAGTGGTTGCCAAGGTTTGGGAGGAGAGATAAATGGGGAATAACAGCTGATGGGTTTAGAGTTCCTTTTGGGGGTGATGAAAATATTCTGGAATTACCTAATGGTGATAGTTGTACAACCTTGGAGTATATTAATCAAAGTGTGCCCAGCTCTTTGTGAAGATGACTCTTTATTACCATTTTGAATCTGTTCCCCTCTAACAACACATATAATCAAAAAGTCATCAGATTAATGTGATGTTTATTAAGAATGTGTAATAACATGAATAAATGCTTCTTATAACATGAACTTTAAAAAGTGGGTTATAATGTGGGGTTGCAGTGTGCACATAACCACTGAATTGCACCATTTAAATAGGTGAATTTTGTACTATGTAAAATATATTGCAATAAAGCTTTAGAAAACATTCTACAGGCCTGGTAGCAGTGTGTAATCTCAGGGTGGAGGTCACTCATAAATTTCATTCCAAATACTTCACAGTCTGTGTAAGGGGTTTGAGATGCCTCACTATTCTTTGAGATAGGAAACAACAAGGGTTTGGTGATGGGAAAAATCCTGAAAATAAGGCATTGGATGAGCAAAGTAGGAGATGGTTGGCATAGGATGGCACTGAGCCTTCATGCACACTGGAAGCATGTTTGCACATGGATCAGCAATACATATGCAGTGAGGGAGGGTGCACATGTATTGCCAGACAAGTAATGCATATGGGGACCTGGAGGTTGGGTAGAAATGAGGATCAGGAATGTAGAGAGGGGCTCTTCACTGGGTTGATAAAATAATAATGCACCATGGCTGGGCACGGTGGCTCACACCTGTAATCCCAGCACTTTGGGAGACAGAGGCAGGTGGATCACCTGAGGTCAGGAGTTTGAGACCAGCCTTGGCCAACATGGTGAAACCTTATCTCTGCTAAAAATACAAAAATCAGCCAGGTGTGGTGGTGGGCGCCTGTAATCCCAGCTACTCAGGAGGCTGAGGCAGGAGAATCACTTGAACTCAGGAGGCGGAGGTTTTAGTGAGCCAAGATCGTGCCACTGCACTCCAGCCTGGGGAACACAGACAGACTCCGTCTGAAAAAAAAAAGCACCACAACTGAGGAGTTCAATTGCTTTTGAAGGTTAAAATACTGCAGAGAAGATTCTTAAAGCAGAGGCTGGGGAGATAAACCAACAAAAGAATAATGTAAGGCAAAATGTAATCAAGACTAATGTGTTTCCCAAGTTATAAGTCAATAGGGAAGTGCAGTCACTTTTTTAAAAAATTAAAATTATTTTTCTATTAAAGGATATTATATAAATTAAAAATATAAACAGATGCATTTATTTCTATTGTTTTTTTCCTAATCCTAGACCTTTTGTTGTTATTTTAAAACTTATATGCACACTGCAACCCAACATTGTAACCCACTTTTTTCAGTTCATATTATAAGAAGCATTTACTCATATCATTACACATTCTTAATAAACATCACATTAATTGAGTGACTTTTTGATTATGTGTGCTGTTAGAGGGGAGCAGATTCAAAATGACTAGTAATTAAAAAGTCATTTTTACAAAGAGCTAGGCAAACTTTGATTAATCTGAATGCTGAGAGAATTAATTCTTCTTTATAAAATAAAACTCAACCTTAAAAAGCATGCGATGTTCTAGCCAGGGAGACAGGAAATACATTAAAAAGCTGAACAGCGCAGAGGCAGAATTATTATCTTTTCCTTACCAGTCTCACAGCAATGATTTAAAAAAAATATTCTCAGGACAAGGGCAGATACAGGCTGGAACAAAGGAGTCAATTGAATTGTTGAATGGGGTTGTTTGAAACTCATAGCTGAAACAATAGTCTTGAAAGACAAGGTACCAGAGAGTGGAAAGGTTTTTTAAATTCCAAAAGCTGGCTTTGAACATCAAAAGCTGAAACCGGAAGGAAGCTGGGCATAAAATTTATCCACAAACCACAGAATAGGTAGGAATGTACAAGACTCAGCTGCCTCCTGAGACCTGTTTATTACTGAGATAAGAAGCCTATTCCAGAATGTAAATCAACTTTATCACTATGAACACTGTTTAGTTCAGTTGGCACTGTTGTTGATTTGTGTGTGTGTGTGTGTGTGTGTGTGTGTGTGTGTGTGTGTGTTTTTGGTAGCAAGACTTTCTTGATGAAGGAAGCAATACGGTGATTTATGTGCTGACACCAACCAGACTTAGCTTGTTGCCAACCAGCACTTTGAGTAGCTCTGTTGTAAGAGATAGTTTTACATTCCAAAAGGGGAGGGACCTGAGAGTTGGGAAAGGAAAGCAGGAGAGCAAGATACCTTGAGCTTCCCTGTGAGAATGTTCAGAGTCCTAATCCCTCTCCCCCTACCCCTGTTGGCTTCATGCCAGCAGTGGGGTGTAGAAAATGTGTGTTAGAAACCTCTGATAGGGCCTCTTTTACCAAGGACCAGCCAACATGGGCCGCGTTCACACCCAAACCGTGAAGAAGGCGGCCCAGGTCGTCACAGAAAAGTACTACACGCGCCTGGGCAATGACTTCCACACGGATAAGCGCGTGTGCGAGGAGATCGCCATTATCCCCAGCGAGAAGCTCCACAACAAGATAGCAGGCTATGTCATGCATCTGGTGAAGTGGATTCAGAGGGGTAAGATACCAGTAAGAGGTATCTCCATCAAGCTGCAGGAGGAAGAGAGAGAAAAAAGAGACAATTATGTTCCCGAGGTCTCAGCCCTGGATCAGGAGATCATTGAAGTACATCCTAACGCTAAGAAAATGCTTTTGGACTTCAGCATTTGGCAGTCTGTCCAACCTGCAGGTCAGTCAGCCTACAGTTCGGATGACTTTCAAAACGCCTAGGGGACCTGTTTGAATCTTTCTGCAATACTGTAATATTTTCAATAAACCTGGGACAAAGGCACAAAACAAACAAACAAACAAAAATAAACCTCTGATAGGTTTGATGGGAGTGGGGCCTGAGGCAAGAGGGCACTCATGCCTTGCTCCCCAAGGTGTAGCCTAGGCAGACAGGCCCTTAGAGAGGCACACATGATGCCAGAACAATAGTCACTGTAGCTGCTTGAGTGAGTTACTCGAGGACTACCTCACAGTGTCCTAGCAGCCTTGAGGTCCAGAGATCTGGTGTGGGGGAGGGAGAAATATTGTGAGAGGGCTAGAAACTTTAGAGGCCTTGGGTTAAGATGAGGAGGGAGCAGAGTAGCGTGCCTCATGTTCAGAGGCCTTGGCAGTGTTGCAGATATCTGTTACTGGAAAGGGGTCTCTCTATCCAGGCCCCAAGAGAGGGTTCTTGGATCTTGCGCAAGAAAGAATTAGAGGGGAATCCATAAAGTGAAAGCAAATTTATTAAGAAAGTAAAGGAATAAAAGAATGGCTAATTCATAGGCAGAGCAGCCCTGAGGGCTGCTGGTTGGCTATTTCTTGATTATATGCTAAACGGGGTGGATTTTTCATGAGGTTTCCGGGAAGGGGTGGGCAATTCCTGGAACTGAGGGTTCCATCCCTTTTTAGACCATATAGGGTAACTTCTGGGCATTGGCATGGCATTTATTAACTGTCAAGGTGCTGGTGGGAGTGTCTTTTAGCATGCTAATGCATTATAACTAGCATATAATGAGCAGTGAGGATGACCAGAGGTCACTTTCATCATCATCTTGGTTTTGGTAGCTTCTGGCCGCCTTCTCTACTGCATCCTTCTATCAGCAACGTCTTTGTGACCTGTACCTTGTGCTAACCTCTTATCTCATCCTGTGACTAAGAATGCCTAACCTCCTAGGAATGCAGCCCGGCAGGTCTAAGCCTTATTTTACCCAGCCCCTATTCAAGATGGAGTCACTCTGGTTCACATGCCTCTGACACATCCACCACAAAGGTAGAGAGGAAAGAGCCACGTAGCTGTGATGGCTTGCAGATGAGAAGACAGCCCTGGGACAAAGGTAACCTCCAGTGCCTCTCTTTGTTATGGGGCACTTAACTGCTCTTGGCCAGGCACTGTGGCTCACGCCTGTAATCCCAGCATTTGGGAGGCTGAGGTGGTCGGATCATTTGAGGTCAGGAGTTCGAGACCAGCCTGGCCAACATGGTGAAACCCCATCTCCATTAAAAATACAAAAAATTAGCCGTGCGTGGTGGCGCATGCCTGTATTCCCAGCTACTCGGTAGGCTGAGGTGGGAGAATTGCTTGAACCTGGGAGGTGGAGGTTGCAGTGATCTGAGATCTTGCCATTGCACTCTCCAGCCCGGGTGACAGAGTGAGACTTCATCTCAAAACAAAAACAACCAAAAAAACCTTAACTACTATTTTTACCTCCTTCATTACCTGAAACTTAGATGTACTCTGCCAGCCTTGTTCCAAGGGGTGGAACTTGGAATTGACTAAGTATTCTCTCCTCAAAAAATGGGGGAGAACTATACTCAAAGTGAGTTGAATGGGCAACACTGAATTTTCTACTATTGGTGGAATTGGGGGCTTGTGAGTTAAGTTAGTTACGAGGAAATAAAAATATATTTCTGCACTCTTTAGGTTGTGATCCTATCAGTTAGGATAGGCTAGATTATGCTGCAGTATCAGATAATCCCCAACTCTCAGGCACATAGCATACATGGGGCAGCTGAGGCTTGGTTCAAAATCATCCTCACTTCAAGACCTATGCTGATGGAGCTGGAACTTGCCTTTTTGCAGAAGGAAAGACAGCTCTGGAGAGTCTCCTGTTAATGATTAAATGCCCCAGTTCAGAAGTGACACACATCACTTCTATTATTTCCACTCAGAGCATATTGACCTGTATCAGCCACAGTGTCCCACTCACGAGGGGGCTGGAAAATATTGTCCTTCTCTATGTTCAGAAGGTGGCAATCCAAAAATATTTGATAAACAGCGCTAATGACTACCCTAGTAGCTGTAAAAGTCTTACCCATTTCACATTTAGGGCTTCAGGACAAAAAACAAAACAAACAACAAAAAAAGCAAGATATATAAAGTGCTGTGGTTTGGATGTGGTTTGTCTCTGACAAAACTCATGCTGAAATCTAATTGCCAATGTAGCAGTGCTGGGAGATGGCACCTTTAAAAGGTGATTAGGTCGTTAAGATAGGTTAATGTCTTTCTTCCAAGACTGGGTTAGTTCTACTGGGAATGGATTAGTTCCCACTAGCGCGGTTTGTTACAAAGCAGGGTTGACTCTCAGGTTTTGCCCTCTTTGAACACACCCACTTGCCTTTCTGCTTCTCTGCCCTGTTGGGACACAGCACGTGGCCCTCACCAAAAGCAGAGCAGATGCCAGTGCCATGCTCTTGGACTTTCCAGCCATCAGAAATGTGAGCCAAATAAACCTCTCTTCTTTTTAAATTACACATTCTCAGGTATTTTGTTATGGCAATACACGACAAAACTTAGGCGTATAGAATAGCTCTGTAGAGCATAGAACCTGAGGTTGAGTTTTGACTCACTTGTAAATGGAGGTATGCTCTTAGCTAGCTTACTTAACCTCTTTGACATTTAGAGTTTCCCCAGGGTTGGTGTAAAAAGTATACGCAATAACTTCCTGGCATATGGAAGTGACACAATAAATAGCTATTATTTTTATCTTTTTTTGTTATCATTTGTTTCTTTTCCTGATAGTTTATAGTCCTAATTAAGTCAGAGTGCTGGTTAGTGGATTTCCAGCTAATTAAAGTCTTTTTTTCTTTTTAAAGTTTATCTTGGCCGTGCGCGGTGGCTCATGCCTCTAATCCCAGCACTTTGGGAGGCCGAGGTGGGCGGATCACTTGAGGTCAGGAGTTCAAGACCAGCCTGGCCAACATGTCTCTACTAAAAATACAAAAATTAGTTGGGTATGGTGGTGCACACCTGTAATCCCAGCTACTCAGGAGGCTGAGGCAGGAGAATTGCTTGAACCTGGGAGGTGGAAGTTGCAGTGAGCCAAGACTGTGCCACTGCACTCCCTCCTGGGTGACAGAGCAAGACTCTGTCTCAAAACAAAACAAAACAAAACAAACAAAAAGTTTATCTTAAAAAATATACAGTCAGACACTTATATTCAGCCAACCACATGTATTTCCAGCGGTGGCCCTCTGGGCTCATTTTGAATGATGGATATCTCATCCCCCATCCTAGAATGTCCCTGTGCCATCAGAAACAGTGGGCGGTGACTAAGGAGTGGTCTACATTTGGTTTTGTGTGCTATGTGGTTGGTAGTAAATGGAAATGATTGCTTCTCCTGCCCTACCCAAACCCACGACTAACAAATGTGAAATTAAGTAAATAACAGAGAGGGCTATGAGGGAAGTATAGCAAGAGCACAGGCCCCTGCAACCTCCATGGTGTTAACCCTACACCAGCATCAGTGTGATTCACAGCTGACCCTGTCAGGATTTCCATGAACAAATGGACCTACCACCTCTTCAGAACAAATCCAGACAGTCCATGTCACATATTTTGGTTTAGGATGTGGAAAGGTGCCCACCAGAACCTGGAAACAGCAGGACTGCCCATTTCCACTTCCTGCTGGTGTACTCTGGGGTTTTAGCATGGACTAAGGGGCAGAGGGGAGTGGAGGGCTTGCTTTCTCCCCAGCTGTCTTTCAACATAGCTCTCTCCTCTTCTCTGACCACTTCCCTCTCCCACTCCGACTCTAGGCCTCCACCAGGAAGGTGGAGGAAACCACGGGCACCTGACTCAGAGAAGGGTTCAGGTACCTCCTTTCTTGTGCCCTTCCCTTCTCAAAGAAGAGGTTTGGATTTGGGCAGCAATGAAAGGAGCACTTCTGGAAGGCACACTTCTCTCAGCCAGAGTCTGAGTGTGTGTGTGTGTGTGTGTGTGTGTGTGTGTGTAGACAAACCCTGAGTTCTTTTTAATCACTGGGGACCAAGTACTATAGTTGTACACAAGATACGAGACACTGTCTAAAAGTAACCATGAAGGTGAATAGGCTTGGCCTGAGGCAAAGTGATGTTTTGTATAGAGAGGGTTACTGCTGTTTCAGGATATCCCTTGCCAAGCCCGATTATGTTGTAAATTGAACTCCGACAGAGAAGGAGGACACTTTGTGAAGTCAGTTGTGTCATCAGATCACCCATCCTCCAAACCACCCCAGGAATAAAATAAAACAGAGGCACAGAAGATTTTTTTCTATAGCCCAATCCCCAGTACACATTCTGCCGAGGGAATAAAAAGTGTCCTTCAAGGAAGGACAGCCTCAGAAATTGCATTCTCTTTTAAAATTAATTTTAAAATTCACTGGCAAGGGTGGGGAGAAAATCCTTTAGCATACCTTACAAAGCACAGGGTAAGGTCAACCATAAATAGCAGAGTCCCTCTCCTAACTTAGTTTGAAGGAAGGGTGAGACTGAGAGGGCAAGGCAGAGAAAGACACATGGAATAAAAGAAAAATTTCACAGAAAAGGGACAGCTGCATGCTGAAATAAATTAGACATACCTGCAGAATGGGAGTTTGGACTTCCCACAGGACACAGATGTCCTTGGTGAATCCTGTCTGGAAATGATGTTGGAAAGGTGAGATTCCAGCCTGCACAGAGGTTCTCTGCTTCCTAAAGCAGCAGAGCAGAACCAGGGACAATTCCTTAGGTTTACAAGGTAAAGCCCGGAGTGAGCAACTGTTAATCAGGAAACCAGCACCAGGGTTGACCAGCAGCCTTGGAAATTGTCTGGGCCAGGGTGAAATTGTGTGTGTGTGTGTGTGTGTGTGTGTGCACGTGCACATGCATGTGATTATTCATAGATACATGAAAGTTAGGGAGGGGTTGAAAAGTCCTTGATACCAGAAATGGAACCTGGGGCAGGCTCGGGTAAAGCTAACTGCCCCCTCTTCCCACTGAGGCCCTGTTCTGAAGGTATGGGAAGAGGGAGTTGTGTATAGAAAGCTAATTTTCTGACCTGCCCACTCAGGGTAATGAAATGTTGCATGTCATTTAGTTGTGTCCGGTTGGATCTGGTGTCTCTCCCTACACTATCTAAAGGCCTTTGTTCACCTGTGACTTTATGGAGACAGCAAAATGATTCATTGAGAGTGACTGTACCCACACTATTGAGACCTGTGACCTGATGGCAATTTGTATAATGTGACTATAAGCATTGAATTAAATAAATAAATGTATTGTTTTATTACAATGATGGTTTGAAATGTCACCATTTTTTTTCTGACTACAAAATTAACCTATATTCTTCAGCATGGCTTAATGGTAATACTCACTTTCATCTCCCTCAGGGTGAGCAGGACAGGCCAGGGGTAGATAAGAGCCCATCGCTAACCTTGTGTACATGGCCTCTCTTTTTTGGTTAGGTGTTTCTGCCTCACTTTCTGATTCACTGCAGCACCCTGAGCTTATTTATGTTCCGGTTCTGCATAGCAATGATCACTCCCTCATCTAGAGACTTAATTGACTGTAGACCGATGCAAGAACTCTTGGGAAACACGAGGCAGCACTACAGGGCCCTGTGTCTACTGTGATGCAAAGGAGAAGGGAGAGATGCTCCTCACATGCCTTTTTGTGCAGAACATGTCAAGTCAGGGGTGACGGCAAGCGAGGCCCTGCATTGGCACTTGGAGATCCAGGGCATCTAGAGGGCCTGGGGTTGTGCCCAAAGCTCTGGCTCCAGCTGGAGAAGCAGCGGGAAGAGGCCCAGCAGCAGAAGGCTGCCCTTGGCATGGACAGGACCACCTTCAGTGCCAGCCCTTCCTTGCTTCACAGGGAAGCATAGATAGAATTGAAGGAAGTTGTGGTTTGAACATATGTGTACCTCCAGAATTCATATGCTGGAACCTAATACCCAATGTGATAGTATTAAGAAGTGGGGGCTTTCCGAGAGTGATTAAGTTCTGAGGACTCTGCCCTCATGGGTTAGTACTCTCATAAAAGCAGTTGAAGGGAAAGCCCTAGCGCCCTTGTCCTTCCATCTTTTCTGCTATGTGAAGACACAGCAGCAAGATTCTAAGATTCCAAAATCTTGGAAACAAAAAGCACCTCCCACCAGACACTGAATCTGCTGGCACCTTGATCTTGGGTTTCCCAGCCTCCAGAACTGTGAGAAATAGACTTCTGTTCTTTATAAATTACTGAGTCTCAGGTATTTCATTATAGCAGCACAGACAGACTAAGACAGGAGTGAAACAGGGAGGACAATGGCAGGAACAGCTGAGAGGACCTCCTCATCAGCACATAAGAACTCCTTGGCACCTCCCCTAAATAACTGGTGGGGTGGGGGTGGCTGTGGGGGTGGGGGGTGAAGCATGGAAAGATGGAAGGCCCGCAATAGCTGGTTCAAGCTGGAGCCAGAGAAATACTGCTTATGTCTGTTCACCTGACCTGCCTTAGCACTCCAGGCCGAGGGGGCTTTGGATACACAGGCTATCACTTCAGGGCTTTTATATAAAATATGTAAGAAAAATATTCAATTCTCCCTGTTTGCAATTATTTTAGGCCCACCATTTACATGCAGAGTCTTCCTTCACTATGTTTTATAGATTGTAGAAACATAAAGTAAAGGTGCGGAGCCAATGGGGATGAATTCAGAACAGACCTGGGTCTGGCCATTACTCACAGATGCTGTGAAAAATTAATCTTACCAGGGTCTTAGGGGTGATCAGACTCAGTGGCGCTGATCCACACTTACGAAGTTCATAAAATACAGATGTAAAAACAAAGATGCTCATTTATTAATGCACATTGAGATTTATATCCACCAAGGTGACCAGGTATGCATGACCCTTGGACTACAATTTCTCTGATGGAAAACAACTGAGGAAGCTCATTTATAATCAGAAGCATTCCAGGTGAGTGTAAAATCAGAACAAGAATTGGTTATGGGATTCACCTGTTACTGGCAGCTGGCTGAGCTAGCCTGAGGCATCTGTCTCCACAGTGGGGACATGTATGCAGGTCAGAATGGAGAACGGACACCATCTCTAACAGGCCGTGCTAAGTTGGGCACACCCCATGCTTGCTTCTGTTGCTCTTTTATTTCCAACTCCCTGCCTGCCTACCACATTACTTCTCGAGGAAGGCAAGCTAATGTTCCAAAAGACGGTGCTATCCCAGTCACTAAAATAAAATGTAGCAACTCATCAATTCACCAAATAACCAATTTACCAAATTACTGATTCACCAAAACCTTGATTCTATTAACTGCCTATGGAGCTTATAACAGATTGTTTGTATGAAATTGCTTTAATAGTCTTTGAAGATTTATTTTCCATTTTTGTTTGGTGTGGCTCACAGGAGCTGCTTCACCTCAGCTCTCTCCCTAAGAATTTATCAGGGCTTATTTGAATGTTCATTTCATGTTTTTCACCTTTTAGGGCCTTGCACGGCTTGTATAGCATTTTATATGTGAATGGGTGAGCTTGCCCTTCAACATAGATTATGACCTTCTCTAGTTTTGAGGCCTTATGCCTAACTTGGATTTTAGCCACATTCCTAAATTTGTATATAGACCCCATTTCATGGAAAGAATTTTTGCTAGTTTCCACATATTTTATGGATACATAAAAATTGACATGCAGACAAAAACTTTGTTCAAAAGACTGACAAAGTCAGCACAAATAGGGAAAGGCAAATTGATATAAAACTGTTTAAAGGGCAAACTCTTCTTTCATGTATATGATATCAAATGAAAGAGTTTGAAATTTGAAACATGCACAAAGTATTTATTTGATTGAGCTTATTCACAAAGCCATGATTAAGAGTAATAGGGAAGGCATGTAATGCATTGGCAAAGAGAAATCTACCTTATTTTTCATAAATTCCTTGACATTTGAGATGTGCAAAATGCACAACATTTGAAATACCCAGGATCTTCTCATTACTTAATGATATAGACCAAAAGTGCCAAACACACTAGGATTTGGCCAGCCACAGTGACTCAATGGTAGCAAATTGGCTTATGGTGAAATTGCTGCAGTACTAGACATGGCTTAAAGTACTAAATTTGGCAGTTTGGGGTGAATTAATCTTTCAGCAAGTTAATATTTGACACATTGGCTTTTGGTGAATTGGTCATTTAGTGACTTGACTTTTGGATAATTGATCTTTGACAAATTGGCTTTCATCAAATTTAATTTTAGTTCTTCCTTGGATTTATTATCCTCAGTTAAGTTAACGTTAAATCTTCTCTAGCCTTGGGCATTCCTAGTTCTTTAAGATGATTTAGCAAACTCTGAATGGATCCTACTACACTGATCTTCCTGAGGGCAAGTATTTTTAACTTCTTGAGAAACACGTCACTAACACTTGCCTATATTGTTTATCAGTATTTCGCCCTCCATTTCCTTGATGCTACTGAGCAATTCATGCCATACAGAGTTAAGGTATGCGATCTTACCGCTAATCAGTTCCTGGGGTCGCCTCAGACATTGATTTTCCATGGGGGCCATACTTCTGGGGGGTGCGTAGTTTGGACATTTATGGAAGCATTTTTGTCACAATGACAAAATTGTGGGTCAACTAGCATTTTAGGAAGTGGGGGCCAAGGATGCTGGACTTCCTGAAACGCAACTGTTCTGTGTCCCATATGCCTTTGGAAAATCACAGTAGACATTTGTGTTGATGAAAATCTTACAGACTACCTGTGCCTGGAATGTAACTCTGTTTTACATATAAACGTCATGTGTTTTTTGCATGGTTGAATATATACTGAAATTTTTAGGATCATAACTATTGTGGGAATCAAGGCAAGATGATATTTTGTTTTGTTTAGAACTTTAAGCTGGGCTCAGTCGCTCACGTCCATAATCCCAGAGTTTTGGGAAGCCAAGGTAGGAGGATTGCTTGAGCCCGGGAGTTTGAGGCCAGCCTGGGCAACATGGAGAGACCCCATCTCTACAAAAAATTAAAAAAATTAGCCCGGTGTGGTGGCATGCACCTGTGGTACCAAATGCACAAGAGGCAGAGGCAGAAGAATCACTTGAGCCCAAGAGGTTGAGGCTGCAGTGAGCCATGTTTGTGCCACTGCACTCCAGCTTGGGTAACAGAGTGAGACCCTGTCTCAAAAAAAAAAAAAAAAAGAACTTTACCAAGAATTTTGGAAATGCATGTTTCTGACAGCAACCCTTCTCATAATATTGAATCGCCAATTTAACTGCAGCTATATCCCTTGTGTTCACAATGATTTTAAGTAAAGGTGCAGGCACCTGGCCCTTTGCTATGTCTTCTAGGGCAGCTGTGTACTAGAATTCACATATTTAAATATATTTTATTATCCACTACTCTCCTTTTATTTTTCTTTACATTGTAGGTAGGACATTATATTTATTTTAAAAATTATATGTGTAGGTAGGTTATATATCTAAGAACTTCATTTCTAGATAGCAAAATGAATATTATGAAATATTTCTTACAAAAGTTAAGTATTATGTGTGAAAGGGTTGAGAAGCACGGTCTTACACTAGCTTTCTCTCTGCACTGCTCCATTTTCAGATCCTGGTACTCTGCTTCTTTCTGTTTCTCTAATTGCTCTGAGGGGCGGAAGGAGCTTTGTAGTCAGCCTAGGCTTTGGGGCAGGAAAGAACAACCTCCGAGATGAATTGACCTGGCAGAGTGCTCAGAGGCCTCAAGGTCATTGACTTCCTGTGTTGTAACATAAAACATCTTCCCCTCCGGCACCCACCCACTGACACCTCCCCATCACAGCCTGGCAGCCAGAAGGACGTTTCCCTGTGAAAACATTTCACTCCCACTGGTGAAGCAGCAAAGGGATGGTGTGCTTTAAGAGAACACCAAAACCCTGGCCAAGCCCAGTGTGTCTCTACTTTGGGGCTTTTGGCTAAAAAGTACAATATCTCTCAAAAATGCCTGTATAAGCATGTCAACCTGGGAGGAGTAACCTGCTAAAGCTTCAGCATTTATGACCTGAGATGATTAGGCTAGCCAGGCTGTGGGCAAGAGAGGGCAAGCCTCTGCAGAAACTGTCTCTGCGGTGGGAAGGGAGAAGGGCTGGCCTGGGGACTAGTCAAGAAATCTTGCTGGTGTGGGCCCTGCAGAGGTCACCTGAGAGGGTAGCATGGCGGGGTGTGGGAGGGAGACACAGACTTCACCAAGAGGTTGCCAAAGGCTACTTCTGAGACATGCCACTGCCAGGGAGGGAGACAGACTGTTTCCCACAGGAATATGCCTGGGAAGCTGATGTTACCACCACATTAAGGTGGGGTTTGCATAAGGATAGCAGGTGGGGAAAAAGCAAATAGTTATCTCTGTTGCTGGAGTCAGAGGGGATTTTTATTCTTTTCCTTTTCTTTTCTACATTTCACAGACAACCGGGAGTAAATAATACATACACTGGCTGGAGTCTGGCTCTACGGTCACACTGCTTGGGTGTGAATCCCAGAGCTACCACTTAGGAACTGTGATCTTGGACAAAATACTAAACCTGTATAAGTTGTTTCCTCCACTGCAAAATGGAGATAATAATAGAACTGATGTCATAGAGGAGATTGGAGCACAAATGAGCCAACACATATAGAGCACTGTGGTCTTCAATAGCTAAAATGACTACGGTGACCTTAACTTTGAGGGAGTGAGTTTCTCTGGGAATGTTCTGGCTGAGCCATGCCTCGAGTGGAACCTTCAAAGTGGTCACTGTGTGTATCATCTTGGGCCTGACTCTCCTACTCTAGGGAGCCACAGGCATTTGGTGCTACAGACACCTGGTCAAGTACTTTCCTGCCCTGAATAAACAAATAAATGGTACCAGCCCAGCACTAGAAGCCCAGGAAGTGGGTGGCAGAAGCAAAGCAGGATAGAATGGGCAGCCAGTCTGGAGAGGGGTCACTGAGGAGAGAAATGGCCACTTTGGTACCAGAGCAGGCCTTGGGCAAACTTGTGGCTCAAAGAAGTTGGTCATCAGTGTCCTCTCAATATCCCTTTCAGCCCTACCTTCCACCTTGTTTCTTTTAAAATGATGATTTTATGGGCCAGAGTAACAGAATATTTTTATATGGGATTTTTCTCTTTACCTTCCAATAACTATCAACACAAATCCTAGCTATAAGTTGGTGCATTTTTTTTTATTTTACTTTATTTATTTATTTATTTTTTTATTTTTTTAGGCAGAGTTTTGCTCTTTCACCCAGGCTGGAGTGAAGTGGTGTGATATCGGCTCACTGCAACCTCCGCCCTCTGGGTTCAAGCAATTCTCCTGCCTCAGCCTCTCAAGTAGCTGGGATTACAGGCACCCACCACCACCCCTGGCTAATTTTTGTATTTTTAGTAGAGACAGGGTTTCCCCATGTTGGCCAGGCTGGTCTCGAACTCCTGACTTCAGGTGATCCGCCCACGTCGGCCTCCCAAAGTGCCAGAATTACAGACGTGAGTCACCGTGCCCGTCCAGCTGCATTTATTTTTAAATACCTTTCCCCTCAACTTTTTCACCTGAAATTTTCAGACTATTTTACTTTGGGGATTATACATTTTTTTGTCCTCTGTTAAATTTAACTAATATTTACTGAGCATGGGTTATGCACTGGATGACAGTAAAGTTCTAGAACTGAACCAGTATGGGCTCTTAGGGTTTACTTCAGGCACACCAAATGTGGAATTCAGATGGCAAGAAGGGAAACTTGCTTCCTATTGGGCAAGTCAGTGGAGGCTGTGCTACCAAGTCCTGAGACTAGGGAACATGCGTGAATTCTAGGCTTACAGGGATGTGTGAGCGTGGGAGTGATGGGATGTGGGGTGAGATAGGCAGCTGAGATTCACATGGAAAATGCTGAAATAACTCCTACCTTCATCATTCAGAACTCTCCTGCCTTTTGAATTCCTTCTGTTTCATCTTCAGACTTCTCACAGAACTTTCTCTCTACCACTTTCTCTTAACTGAAAGCTGATCATAGTTAAGGACCCATTTCCTTTATTGCTCTCCTAAGTAGAAGCTTCTTATCTCAGACTCCACACACTGCAAGACTCAGAAATTTAATTTTGTAGTTTACTGGGTGCAGATGTCTCCAGGGGCTTGTTTCCTACTAACCAAACTTGCAGGAGATTGGTGTACAAATCTGTATCGCAATTTTTCCTCTGCAATGACCAGTGACTTCTAGGGCATCCTGCCTGGCACATGGGGTGTTAGTAATTGTACTCATCAGTAATGGTGGCTTGCAGAATATTGAAGTTATTAAAGTTTCTGTTTCTCTCATGTAAATGAAATTTAGATGTGGACAATTAAAAGCTGATATGCTGGCTCTGTGGAATCATCAATGCTCCTGCCTCCTTCAATAAGCCATCCTTATTGTGTGGCTTCCATTCACAAAGTCACTTCAAGTTCACATGTTAGACATTGCCTCTCCAGCCATTGAATCCATCATTCTGGCAGGAAGAAAAAGGAAGGAAGAGGCCAAAAAGGACGCCCAGCTGATTCAACACTCCCTTTTCAAGGGCTTTTCCCTGAAAAGCCCTATGTATTAGAAGCTAGAATTTAGTCGTAGAGTTACCCAATCGGTGTAAAGAGAAGCTGAGAAATTCAATTCTTCAGCCAGACATATCATCACTCCCTCTTCTCTCAAAATCAGAATTATGCTACTAAAGAAGCAGGAGAGAGAAAGAACATTGGGTAGACAGCTACCAGAATGTTTCAGCTGTTGCTTTCTGGGTCAACTTCTTAGGAACTGAATAGCAATGAATTGAGAACTTCCCACACCCACATAAGATTATTACAAAGAATATCCCACTCATATGCCACAATTCCACAGCAACTTGCTTAGGTAGAGTGAATAAAGGTAAATTGCTAGGAGTTTTGGGGGTAGCTTAATCAACCCATTGCAATCAAGAGGAACATCATGTAGTAATTTGTTTTATCTTAAAAATGTATACAGATTTTACATTTTACTCCTTGGTATAGCTGTGTTTACATTCATATTTTAAACTCAACTATATTCTGGAAATACTGATATTCCAGAAAGTTGAAAAGTCTGACTTTCCGAATTTTTTGAGTACTTCAGGGTATGCATTATCCAATTTGAGCTTTCTTTGGTTACCTTCTAGTATTGAGTAATGGTCACTTTGATTGAAGTTGGACACTTCCCAAGATTACTTGCAGCAGCACAATTTTGGTGGTGGTAAATGCTTTCATAGTGTTTTATGTATTTATTAAATTATATTTTATAGTATAATTTACATTTATTTAGAAAATAGATGTCCTATTTGTAGGCTATCTTGTTAGTTTTCATACCCTACATTCTCTATTCCCCCATAGTGATTGGCAAACTTTTTCCATGAAGAGCCAAATAGTGAACATTTTTGGCTTTGCAGGCTATACAGTCTGTGTCAAAACTATTCACTTCTGGCATTGTAGTGTGACAGCAGCTATCAACAATGAATAAATGAGCTGGGTGTGGGTAGATTTTAATATAATTTTATGTATAGTAACAGGCAATGGGGAAAGAATTCTGGGAAGGTGGCAGATTAAGAAGCACCAGGAATCTGTCTCCCCACCTAAAGACAGCTGTATGCCAGTATCTTCCTATTTTGGAACTCTGGAGTCTATTAAAGGCTTGCAACTTCCAGG
Organism: Homo sapiens; assembly: GCF_000001405.40. Classification (NCBI taxonomy): domain Eukaryota; kingdom Metazoa; phylum Chordata; class Mammalia; order Primates; family Hominidae; genus Homo; species Homo sapiens. Next base: position 167,148,766 of record NC_000001.11, on the reverse strand, counting down.
GGAAGAATAGGATGGTAAATTGCAGTGACTTTTGGCCAATTTCAGCTTTTAAGCACAGTAGAAACTACCATCCCCCATCCCTAGCCCCCTGGTAGGCAGCTGGAGCAGCTGGCTTGCAGCCTGTGGGAGCCAGAGTGAGAAAAAAAAAAAAAAATTCCTTGTCTTCTAACATCAGGGATCTGTACTCCAATCACGGATTACTGATTCTGATCACAGCCATTGTTGTTGCACCTCTCCTCATTGTTGCATGCCCCTCCACCTCTGGCTAGAGTGATTTTCAGGAGACTTAAAGGGCCAGTGTCCTTTTCCACATTCATTTTTTTTCATTTTGTCTTTTTGAGAGCTAAACTAGGACATTTAAAAGTAACTGCATGTATGGTATAATTAGAAAGTGACTGCACATATTCAGGGAAAGGTGTAAGCTCAGCAAAGACCTGAGAAAACCTCAAGTTTATACCTCAGGCTGATCCTTGGCACAGAGAGAGCCTAAAAAAATTTTTTAACCCCCAAAACAATGAATAAGTTAACAAAACCCAGAAAACCCTGAAGAAGGGGGAGAATCTGATTTTCAGGGTTACCACATTATTAGCTTCCAATGTTTTCAACAGAAAATCATAGGCATGCAATGAAAAAAAAAAAACTATGGTGCATTTAAAGGAAACAAAATAAACAGAAACTTGATGAAAAAAACCTAATGGTAGACCTACTAGGCAAAAAATTTTAAAACAACCATTTTATTTTATTTTGAGACACAGTTTCACTCTTGTTGCCCAGGCTGGAGTGCAATGGCACTATGTCAGCTCACTAGCAACCTCCGCCTCCTGGGTTCAAGTGATTCTTCTGCCACAGCCTCCCAAGTAGCTAGGATTAAAGGCACACACCACCACGATCAGCTAAGTTTTGTATTTTTAGTAGAGGAGGGGTTTCACCATGTTGGCCAGGCTGGTCTCGAACTCCTGAGCTCAGGTGATCTGCCCCCCTTGGCCTCCAAAAGTGCTAGGATTTCAGATGTGAGGCATCGTGCCTGGCCCTAAAACAACTGTTTTAAAGACACTCAAATTACTAATGGAAGATATGGGAAAAGTCAAAGAAATAGTGTATGAACAAAATGGAAATATCAATAAAGATATTGAAAACTATAAAAGAAACAAGATATTCAGGAGATGGAAAGCGTAATAACTGAAATAAAAAATTCACTAGAGGGATTTAGGGGCAGATTTGAGCAGTTAGAAGAAAGAATCAACAAACATGAAGACAGGACAATGACAATTATAAAATCTGAGGAAGAGAAAGAAAAACATCTGAAGTAAAGTGAAGAGAGCCTAAGGGACCTGTGAGACACAAATGAGTAAACAAACATATGAAGTCCCAGAAGGAGAAGAGAGAGAGAAAGGGGAGGAGAGAATATTTGAATAAATAATGGCTGAAAACTTCTCAAACTGGATGAAAGACATGAAAATAAACATCCAAGAAGCTTAACAAACGCTAAGTAAGATTAACTCAAAGAAATCCACACCAAGGCACATTATATTCAAATCTTGGAAAGATAAAGACCGAGATAATCTTGAAAGCTTCAAGGGAGAAATGACTCATCATACACAAGGGATCCTCAATAAAGATTATCAGTGTATTTCTCATCAGAAACTTTGGAGGCTAGAAGGCAGTGGGCTAATATGTTCAAAGTGCTAAAAGAAAACATTGTCAACCAAAAATCCTACATCCAGCAAAACTATCCCTAAAAAGTGAGGGAGAAATTAAGGCATTCCCAGATAAAAGCAGAGGGAGTTTCAGACCATTAGACTTGCTCTGCAAGAAATGCCAAAGGGAATCCTTCAGGTTAAAGTGGAGACACACTAGACAGTGACTTGAAACCATCTGAAGAAATAAAGATCTTGATAAAGGTCAATACCTAGGGAATTATAAAAGTTGATATTATTATAGCAATAGTTTGTAACTCTACTGTTTGTTTTCTACATGATTTGAGAGATTAATGTACTTTTAAAAATTATTAGTCGAAAAACTAGTATTATTATACTTTGGTTTGTAACTTCACATTTTGTTTTCTATATAATTTAAGAGACTATAATAGATTTATTAGTTTATGGTTTGGGGCACAAAATGTATGAAGATGTAATTTTTTGACATCATCAACCAAAAGGGGTGGGGATGGAGCTGTAAAGGAACAGAGTTTTTACATCTTACTGAAGTTAAGCTGGTATAAATTCAAATTAGAGTGTTATAATTTTAGGATGTTAAGTGTAATCACCATCATAACTATAAAGAAAAGAGCTATCAATACATGCAAAAGGAAATTTAAAAAGGAATTTGAACACTTCACTACATAAAATCAACCAAATACAAAAAGAAGATAGCAATGTTGGAAATGAGAAACAAAAAGTTATAAGGCATATAGAAAACAAATAGTAGAAAGACAGAAGTAAGCCCCTCCTTACCAACAGTTAATTTAAGTCTAAATGATTAAACTCTCCAATCAAAAGACAAAGATTGGCAGAATGGAATAAAAAAACCCACAGGATCCAAATATAGTTACAGTCATGTGTTGCTTAATGTCAGATACATTCTGAGACATGTGTCATTAAGTGATTTCATCATTGTGTGAACGTCATACAGTGGACTTACACAAACCTACACAGAATAGTCTACTACATACCTGGGGTACCTAATATATAGCCTATTGCTCCTAGGTTACAATCCTGTACGTCATGTTACTGTACTGAATACTGTAGGTGATTATAACACAATTGTAAATATTTGTGTACCTAAACATATCTAGAGAAGGTACAGTAAAAATACGGTGTTATAATCTTATGAGACAACCATCCTATATGTGGTCCATCATTGACTAAAAGGTCATTATGCTGCATATGACTATATAGTCTGTCTACAAGTGACTTACTTTAGATCCAAAGACACAAATACATTGAAAGTGAAAAAATGAAAAAAGATATTCCATGCAAATAGTGACCAACAGAGAGCAAAGGTGACTATATCAGACAAAAAAGACTTTAAATCAAAAAAGTTTACAAGAGGCAAAAAGGGCATTGTATATTAATAAGAGGTTTAATATAGCAAGAAGATACACCCATTATAAACATTTACATACCTACCTAATAACGGACCACTAAACTATGTGAAGCAAAAACTGACAGAATTAAAGAGAGAAATAGACAGTTCTAACAGAACAGTTGGAGACTGCAGTACACCATTCTCAGCAATGGATAGAACAGAGAGAAGACAACAAAGGCAATAAGTACCTTAAACAACACAATAAATCAACTAGATCAAACAGACATATCTAGAGCACTCTACCCAACAACAGCAGCATACACATCATTCTCAGTTGCACATGGGGCATTTTCCAGGATAAACCGTAGGTTAGGTCATAAATTAGGTCAAAATGTGGTATATACATGAAGCAGAGTATTATTTAGCCTTAAAAAGGAAGGGAATTCTGACATATGCTACAACACATGGATGAACTTTGAGGACGTTTTGCTCAGTGAAATAAGCCAGTCACAAGAAAACAAATATTATATAATTCCACTTATATGAGGCACATAGAGTAGTAAAAATCAAAGAGACAGAAAGCAGAATGGTGGTTTCCAGGGGCAGGAAAGAAGGGATAAGAAAGAGTCACTGTTTAAGGGGTATAGAGCTTGACTTTTACAAGATGAAAAAGTTCCAGGGATGGGTAGTGGTGATGATTGTACAACTTTATGAATATATTTAACATCACTTAACTGTACACTTAAAATGGTCACGATTATAGATTCTATGCTGTGTTTTCTCTTTCTTTCTTTCTTTCTTTTTCTTTTTCTTTTTTTTTTTTTTTTTTTTTTGAGACAGAGTTTCATTCTATTGCCTAGGCTGGAGTGCAGTTGCGTGATCTTGGCTCATTACTCCAGCCTCCACCTCCTGGGCTCAAGCGATTCTTCCACCTCAGTCTCCCAAATAGCTGGGAGTTCAGGAGCGTGCCACCACACCTGGCTAAATTTGTTTACTTTTTTGTAGAGATGAGGTCTCACTATATCTCCCAGGCTGGTCTTGAACTCCTCGGCTCAAGTGATCCTCTCACCTAAGCCTCCCAAAGTGCTGGGATTATAGACATTAGACAATGCTCCCAGACTATGTCATGTATATTTTACCACAACAAAAAAATTGAAGGAGGAAAAAAGGCTATTTGACTATTTTGATAATTGCACTATGGCCATAAAACATGTTAGAATAAGAGTGGGGGACATAAAGGAAGTCTTTATTACTTTTTTTGCAACTTTTCTGTAGGTCTAAAAGTAGACCAAAATAAAAAATGGCCATTTGAAAGTGCTGCTGATAATAAAAATATTATTTATATATAATGAAATATGGCAACATGGTGAAAACCTGTCTCTACAAAAAATACAAAAATCAGCTAGGCATGGTGGCGTGTGCCTATAGACCCAGCTACCAGGTGAGGGGAAGAGGGGGCTGAGGCAGGAGAATCGCTTGAGCCTGGAAGGTTGAAGCTGCAGTAAGCCGCGACTGTGCCACTGCACTTCAGCCCAGATGACAGAGTGAGACCCTTTCTCAAAAACAAGAACAAAACAAAAAAAGAAATGAACAACATTATAAACCCATTAGACCTAATGGACACTACACCCTACAAAAGCACAATGCACATTCTTCTCAAGGGCACATCGGACATCTCCTAGATGGGCAATGTAGTGAGACCTCATCTCTATAAAAAATTAAAAAATTAGCCAGGTGTGGTGGTGTGTGCCTGTAGCTTTAGCTACTTGGGAGGCTGAGGTGGGAGGATCACTTAAGCCTAAGAGTTTGAGGCTGCAGTGAGCCATGATCGTGCCAATGCAGTCCAGCCTGAGTGACAGAGACAGACCTTCTCTCTAAAAAAAACAACCACATAAAAGTAAAAGAAACGGAAAAAAAGTACGAAATAAATACAAAGCAAGAAGGGAAGAAATAAAGATTAGAGTAGATATAAATGAAATGGAATGGAAAAGCAATCGAGAATATCAGTAAAAAGTTGGTTCTTGGAAATGTTCAACAAAGGTGACAAATCTTTAATTGAACTTACCAAGAAAAAAAAAGAGAGAAGACAGAAATTACTAAAATCAGGAATGAAAAAAAAAAGAGGCCGGGCGTGGTAGCTGTAATCCCAGCACTTTGGGAGGCCTAGGCGGGCGGATCACTTGAGGTCAGGAGTTAGAGACTGGCCTGGCCAATACGGTGAAGCCCGTCTCTACTAAAAATACAAAAAATTAGCTGGGCATGGTGGCGTACACCTGTAATCCCAGCTACTCGGGAGGCTGAGGCAGGAGAATCTCTTGAACCCGGGAGACAGAAGTTGCAGTGAGCTGAGATTGTGCCATTGCACTCTAGTCTAGGTGAAAGAGTGAGACTCTGTCTCAAAAAAAAAAAAAAAAAAAAAAAAAAGAAAGAAAACAAAAACATCATTACCAACCTTGCAAAAATTAAAAGGATCATAAAAGTATATTACAAATAACTGCATGCCAACAAATTTGATATCATGGCCGGGTGCGGTGGCTCAGGGCTGTAATCCCAGCACTTTGGGAGGCTGAGGCGGGCGGATCACAAGGTCAGGAGATTGAGAGAATCCTGACTAACAAGGTGAAACCCGTCTCTACTAAAAATACAAAAATTAGCCGGGCGTGGTGGCGGGCACCTGTAGTCCCAGCTACTCGGGAGGCTGAGGCAGGGGAATGGCGTGAAGCCAGGAGGCGGAGCTTGCAGTGAGCCAAGATTGCACCACTGCACTCCAGCCTGGTCAACAGAGAGAGACTCCGTCTCCAAAAAAAAAGGAGTTCGATGGTGAAACCCCGTCTCTACTAAAACTACAAAAATTAGCCGGGTATGGTGGCATGCGCCTGTAATCCCAGCTACTCAGGAGCCTGAGGCAGGAGAATCGTTAGAACCCGGGAGGCAGAGGTTGCAGTGAGCCAAGATGGCGCCACTGCACTCCAGCCTGGGTGACAGAGCAAGACTCCATCTCAAAAAAAAAAAATTGATATCATATATGAAACGGACAAATTCCTAGAAAGACACAAACTACTGACTCAAGAAGAAATAGAAATCCTGAATAAATCTATAAAAACTAAAGATGGAAGTAGTAATTTAAAAACTCCCCCCCACACAAAAATCCCAGGCCACATGGTTTCACTGTTGAACCAAAGTTTAGAGAAGAATTAATACCAATCCCTCACAAACTCTTCCTAAAAACAGAAGAGGAAGGAACACTTCCCAATTTATTCTATGAGGTCAATATTACCCTAATACTAAAACCAGACAAAGATATCACAAGAAAACTCCATTAAAAAAACGCTTAGCACACTAGGAATAAAATTTAATTTTAATTTTTATCCAAATAATACATCTACATTGTTTTACATGTATGTCAATTTGGATGGCCAGGGTGGCTGACATTATCAGATAAAAAAGGATTAAAGACATTGGGGTTTTAATTTTCAATCTCTTTGAGAGCAGCATACAATGGCCTGGGACAACAAGGTTTGCCTCACTTGGCCGAGCTGATGGAGGATCTAAAAATGGCTGACTTGCACATGCTGTTAGCATTAGCACAGTGCCTGGCACACAGCAAGCCTTTAGTAACCTTAGCCGTTACTCACATTATTATTGGCCAAGGTGAATGTATTTGATAATGCCAAGCACAAGTGGGAGTATGGAGAACTAGGTATTATTGCTGATGCTGAATTTATACATACCTTCTAGAAGGCAATTTGGCAACACGTTACAAAGGAGTTTTTGTTTTTTAAGTATGTATGCATTGAGGTAGTGACTTCATAGAAATTATTCTGAAGAAATAACTGGACAGATACACAACCATGTGATTCATGCCAGTGTTGTTTATAACCAAATGATTCATCTCTGTGTTGTTTTTGTTTGTTTGTTTGTTTGTTTTTTAGGGATGGGGTCTCACTATGTTGCCAGGAGGCTGGTATCAAACTCCTGGGCTCAAATGAGCCTCCCCCTCCTGGGCCTCCAAGAAGCTGAGACTACAGGCATGTGCCACCATGCTCAGCTTTAGTGTTGTTTACAACATGAAAAACTAGAAAACATAATTTGTTCAGTAATAAAGATTGGTAAAGTACGGTAGTCCCAGCCAAAAGATAGAGCATTATAAAGTTATTAAAACTCATGTTACAGAAAAATGTCTTCCATGGGAAAATGCTAAGTGAAAATTAACTTTAAAAATCATCTGTATCATATTATTTCAAATATATAAAGAGTGAAATGTTATATACTTAGAAAAATATCAATGGTGATTCTCTCCCAATGGTATGATTACAGATGGTTTTAAATCTAATTTCTTTTTTATGTTCTTCTGTATGTTCTGTGTTTACTTTTTTCTTCTTTTTGTTAATGGAGGGGGGAAAGTCAATAATGTTATTGAAAAAAAGTATAATGGTCTGTAGCACCCCAGTTCACACTTCATTATCTACTCTTTTAATATTCTTTAATTGATTCTGTAATTGATCCTTGGGTGTTAGTTTCATCTTTTCCAATCTGGAAACTGTACATCTTATAAGAAACTCTTTTGACATGAAGAGTTTTCTGTTATTCTCAATGTGTCTTTCAGACCAGAGCAATTAAACCCTCTTTAAACAGTGGCTCTACTCTGAATGGTGGCAGAAGTCTGCACAAGTTACTGATCTCGCCAACATCCTTGCACTGCAGCCCTTGTAATACACTAATAGAATTATCAATCGTCTGCAATAGGTACAGATCTTTTTTCTTGGCACTGTGAAGAGGGCACCTCAGCTGCAGAACACCATTAACACGGGATCCATTTTTCTTCTGTCTTCTTCAAAATACCTAGAACATAAAGTACCAGCAACTTAGGAAAGCTGATAGTGGCATTACTAACAAAGGCCATTCTCCCTTTCCACGAATATTCTGAAGCCATAGGTAGTAATAATGTTTGTGGTATGCACCAGCAACTCTGATATCTACAGTAAGCTTAAAGCAAAATGAGAAAATTGTTCCAGAAAATAACAGATGCTCTCAGATCAAATTTATTTCCCCAGAGGAAGACGAAACAAACAGAAAATAACCCCAGACATGATAAGGACATCCAACTGAGGAAACATCAATATTATAGACCACTCAATTAAAAGTTATGTGCCCAGGATTTATTTATGATATTAGTCCTTAATTTGGGGACCTGGGAATGGCAGATAAAATAAATTAGGAGTATCATAGAAGTCTCTGAACTTCCAGAATTCCATGTTGTACCTGTTGGAGCACTTTGTAACTGGGAAGCCACATAGGTAGGAGAGAGGGTCAGGCAGAAATGTATTTTAAGGTTAGCTCTGATAATCTAGACATGTGACTTTGAGTAAGTAATTGAATTTATCTGAACCTATTTTCTCATCTGTAAAATGGATATAGACACATCTGTCTCATAGGGTTGTTGTGAATATGAAATAAAAGAATGTACAAGAAGTATCTGGGATAGTGCCCACAGGCAGTCCACAAATGCTGGCACTTAGCATTACTGGCAGCATGCAGGGACAGTGCACAATATCCTATAGAGATGCAAAACAGACTTGGATAAACAAAGAAATACACACAAATGATTGGGTGCTTTAAGGAGGTATCTAGTTATTTATTGGAGAAAATGGCAGAAAACTTTTGTTTAAGACTAATCATGAGGTTAGACCACTGAGTAACCATGGGCTATAACCATATCTAATGTAACCAACATTCATTTGTTTATGAGAATCTTGAGTCCAACTCTTCCACATTAAAGTCCACACTAAAATATGGCAAATAGATACCATACCAGAAGAAGTCTGGAAGAAAAAAAAGTGTTGTCTAGAAATTTTAAAGATACTCTTGCGGAAACCCACAATTTCATTTTAAAAGGAAATTAAAAACAACAACAGACTCACCTCAAGGAAACTGATAATATTCTGGAAAGTTCCTAACGACTGGAGGATGGAGGTAGGTGTGAAAAATGTGTAAAATCATTTTCCTAATCCATAACATTAAATTAGAAAATACCTACATTGTTGTAATAGACACACTTAAATTATTAATTAATTATTTTTAATTAAAAAATTTAAATGTCTTTAAATATTGCTTAGGATCTAGAGCTCAAATCAATAAGGGTAACATGGTGGAAACATCGTGGCAGCTGGGGTAGACGGTATAGCATGGATTCCCTACTCTGCCTTTCCTTAGTTGATTGACCTCGGGCAAGTAATTTAACTTTGAATCTGTTTTTGCGTCTCTAAAATGATGATTACAAACACTTAGCTTTCGTTATTGTGTGACCACTGAGATTATGCAGAGTCACAAAAGCTGAGATGTATTGGCATCAGCTGACTTAAAGACCATGGAGAGTCCTGGAGACACAGGGTGTTTCCAACACAGGGTGTTTCCAACACAGGCTGTTGGAGATGAGCTGGGAGATGTTTGTGGAGAAAGAGCGGGGAAAGCTGGCGCTACAACCAAAGCAGCTGAGTCCTAGAGTAAGTCAGAGAGGAATTTCTGAAAACTTTAGACTTAGAGGCACATAATTATACTTAAAAACAAAAAAGATGAAAGTATAATGTGTGATACCATTTTATTGTAAAGATTTTCTTGATTATTTCTTAACTTTATCACACTGAAACAAACATACCATGACAGGCATCTTACACAGACAGATGCAGAGGTTAATGAAATAGTATTTTGGGGCTAAAGGGAAAGAACTTTTGAATGATCTCCATGGAACTGAACTGTCCTGTTTGTTTGCCTTCCATAGTAAATCCCACTTGCTTGGCTAGGTGTATCTGAGACAATGCAGGTGCTGTAAGGATCTGATGGCCAACCCATTCACATTCATCTAGCATGATTTCGAACAGAGTTTGTTCTTAAAGCTGAGATTTCACTGAGGGTCAGGCCTGCAAAGCCAGAGTTTTGAGTACTTAGATCATATTGTTTATTATGAGAGGGTGAAAATATTTTATTATAGTAGTTGCAATTTTGAAAAATCATCCAGTTTATAATAATATCAGAACCAATATATTTTGTGTCCAGTAAACATTATTACCGAAACTCTACCATTTTAAATAAAAAGCATTGATGAGCTTGACTGAACTGCTGGCACTTGGGATTTAAGAAAAAGAAAATTTTTTTGTAGTGGAGGGCCAGTACGTGGCAAGTGAGCTGTGCTATGTCTTGGAATTCACTGCATCTCTGCACTGAATAGGGAGGAAAGGAGGTCTGTGTGTTGATTTGCAAATAGCCCCATATTTGCCCTTGTTATTCTTCTGACACAACTTGCAGGCTCCTGGACCTTTTGATATTCCTCCATCAAAACTTACTGTCTGGGTGTCCTCTTTTCAAAGAGATCCTGGCTAATCCATGCCACTGAGTTACCCCTAATTCACAGACTTTTTAACCGCAGCTGAGGCTTTAACTCAAAGGATTGAGTGTAACACTGGGATTTAAAGCCGAAGTAGCCCCTGGGCTTCGAGTGTCTCTCTTTGTTAGCAAACTCACTAGACTTGTGTTGGAACTCTTCAGGGGAAGACATTGCATTTCCATCAACTAGAACAATTCTTGTCCCATGATTAAGTACCCCATGAATACTTGTTGAATGAAAGAAAGAGTAAAAATGAAGCTGATGAGGGAGATCTTTTATGGCAGATCTCAAATTATTGTCATTAATGTATTTTAATAAGTATTTCTTAATACCTATTAAAATTTTCTAATATCTATTAGAAAACACCTATTAAAATATATTAATAGTAGGTATTAGAAGATACCAGTTAAAATATATTAATAACAGTAATTAATAGGTATACTTTTAGACCTAATTGTCTAAATTTTGCCCTTGCCTGAAGTCCTCTTTCATCCTGACCCCATTGCTCTCTAATAGGCAGCAATTTTGCTTCTGTTTGAGAGACACTGTTGGGATAAGTAATTTGCCTAATATCTCTCTCTCTCACACACACACCAAAATAGATCTGGGAACAGATCCTGCCTCGACCCAGAAAAAGCCTGCTGAAACTCCCCTCCTCCAGCTCTTTGCCATTCCCCTCCCTGCTCCCCACACCAGCAGCCTTTGTAATAAATCGAGAGCTACATAACTACCTGCACTGTGCAGCTTTAAAAAGAGAACACTGTCTGAAAGACGCACAAATATTGTGACTCCCTGGAATGAAAGCTTCTCTCCTGGGAGTCAGGAGGAGAGAGCACACAGAAATCTTAACCTCTTTGAACATCCCGTCCTTTAAGTAAAGCTCCTATTTAAGAGCAGTCCCTGGGGGCTCCCTGCTTGTCATCTTCCTGACACTCTTTCACACAGGACTGTTTATTAGTGAGACGGCTAACACAGACGATGGAGGAAGACCAACTGGAGCACAGGCTTTGTTCAGGGACTGTATCTTCTGAATGGCCAATCCATCAGCAGCCCTGCACTCTGATTCCAGATTTCTCTGCAATTGCAGTTTTAATCTCTCCCTGGGCATAGATCTTTTTAAGGCAAAATGGTGTGGTAGAAAAAGTGGCTTTAAAATCAGATATAGCTAGGTTCAAATCCTTGCTTGCCTACTTATTATGTGATTCTGGGCATATTACTTAACCCCTTGTCTTAGCCTATTCATGCTGTATAACAAACTACCATAGACTGTGTAATTTATAAACAATAGAAATGTATTGCTCACAGTTCTAGAGGCTGGGAAGTCCAAGATCAAGGCACTAGTAGATTTGGTGTCTGGTAAGGGCTTGCTCTCTGCTTTTTAGATAGTGCCTTCTTGCTGTGTCCTCACATGGCAGGAAGAGAAAGCAAGATCCCTGGGGTCTCTTTCCTAAGGGCACTAATCCATTCATGAAGATGGAGCCCTCAGGACCTAATTTTCTCCTAAAGACCCCGCCTCTTAGTACGGCATTAGGGATTAGGTTTTGATATATGAATTCTGGGGGGACAGAAACATTCAAGCCATAGCACCCCTCTGAGTTTTCCCATCTGTAACAAGGTGGTATTAATACATGCTTTGCAGAGTTGCTGTATTGTTCAGCAGAGGTGGTCAATCAGCTTTCTAAATGGAATTCCAACAAGAAAAGTGGTCGAATTCTGGGGCCCCTTTTGCTCCGCCCCTCTCAGGGACCACCAGGGCTGGGAGCAGGAAATCACTTGCCTTGTCTTCCTGTTTAAGGGCTCATTTGCATTGCATTCTTGTTTGAGAAACGTTAATTAGAGAAAGATCCATTTAAGCCACATGTTCTCAGTGTCCTGCAAAGGCAGTGAGTCATGCATGCTGTCTGCCCTTTTGCTTGCCACAGGGGTTTTAGTTACTCTGTGTTCCTTTGAGGAATGTCTGGTTCCCCCAGAACAGCTCTTAGCCATTTCGTGTGAATGAGGTCACAGCAGGCTGGTTGCAGCTGGCATGGCACAGGGCAGGGCTAGGACCAATTATTACCATGATGGCCTTTGGAGCTGCTTTTTTTTCCCTCCCTTCTGCCCCACCCCAGCCTCTTCTTTGCCTTTCAGAGCATGGACATTTGTCAACAATGGCTGTACTGAAGCACTCGCAGCATTCCTGTGGCTTGGAGAGAGACACTTTCAGTAACTCTGGCCCAGCAGTCAGTGTAGGTGTAGTAGGGGCTATTCTTCCAAGCAGCTGGCTAAACTCTTGCACCTCCCAAAGATGCTTGGAATTCCCTCCAACCTCCAGTATCCTGTGCCACTCTCGATTCCATCACACCCTAACCATCTTGCTCACTCATGAGAAATTTTTTAAAAAGGAAAAAGATTACTCTGAAACTAGACAGAAATGAACTGGCTTCTTTGGGTCCTAAATATGATTCATGCTGGATTAATTAGCTAATCAATACTTCCATGCTTTCAAAATAAGAATAATTTTAAAACTTAAAATGCAGTAGAGGATGTAAAAGATAGCTTCCTGGGCAATTATTACGTGCCAGGCATTGTCCTAAGCACTTTCCAGATGTTACCTACCCTGTAAGGTGTATGGGCTCTGAAATCAGACTCTCAGTTTGAATTTTGGCTTTGACATGGAGTAGCCATATGGCCTTGGCTAATTTGTGATTTCACCTCCCTAAGCCTCAGTGTCCTTGTCAGTTTCCCAGTGTTGGCTCTGGGTCCTTGCTTGGCTGGCTCCTTCTCCTTCTCCAGGTTTTAGCTTAAATATTACCTCCTCCTAGAGATGTCTTCCTGATTGTCCTATCTTAAATAACGCCACACCCCATCTGCCATTGTTATCTATCAGATTAACCCGATAATCTCCTTCTGAGCACTTATTGTCTTGAACAAGAGCACATGTTTGCTGCAAGTCCTGCTTAGACCAGGCCTGGTTTCTAGTTGCAGGGGATACAGCAATGAATACCAACTCCTCCCATGGAGCTTACATTCTAGTAGGGAGAGGCAGAGAAGTAGACAGTCAGGGCGAAAACAAATAAATAATATTCCAAATATTCTAAATTACTTGTTTACTGCCCATCTGCCTTAATAAAAGTGTTAGCTCCTTAAGGGAAAGTTTGATTTGTTTTGATTTCTGTTGAATGCCCAGAGCCTAGCCCAGTGTTTAGCACATCTTATGCTTAAAAAGGAATTTATGCTTAAAAAGGATTTTTTTTTTCCTGCTTAAAAGGAAACAGCACACCCAAAGTGGTGACTGATAAGAATTTAGTGCAGGGATCATTTACAGAGGCATAGGAAGGGTCAAGGGAGCCAAAAAGATATAGTAAAGACACAGAGGGCTATGTGGGAAACAAGGTCTCCTTTATATACCACCTGGCTACTGCAGTAACCTTGTTAGCCAGTTCCAGCTTCACCTCCTTTGCATCTACTCTAGGACCAAATTAATTTCCCAAGTTCCCAATTCTGGTTCTTTTTCCCTCTGCCTAAAAACTCTAACAGTTTCCTATTACCTATGAAATGAATCTTAAACTTCTTCGCTTGGCATTCAAGGACCACTTTCCCCTCCCTTTCCAGCCCTACCGCATTACTCCCTTCGAGCACCTCACCTTCCGGCCATGTGTGAACCGCACCACATTTGGAACACCCTTCTGTGCCCTTGCTCAGGCTTTTCCCCCGGCTCAGCTTCCCCACCCCAACCTACTATCTCCCTGCTGAGATCCCCCTACCCTCCAAGGTTCTTCTAGGAGCTTCTCCTCTGATAAACCTCTTCCAGCCACCTTGGCCACATGAGGCTCTCCCTCCTCTGATATCGCACAGCACTTTGTTTATGTCTATCCATGCTTGCCACAGTCTGCTTCTTATTATAGGAATTTGGTGCATAAGGATAAGAATGTCTACCCCTCAGGATTATTGTGGGGTTATAAAGAAATAAGACATGATTTTAATGTGCCTAGACAGTTCATAGCATTAAGCAGAATTCAGTAATTGTACATTGTTATATATAATTCTATAATATTTGTCAGTTATTTTGGACATAATGTGGTAAAGTAGTTGAGAACACAACTTTGTAATCCAATTGAAAAACAACCAACACTTATATTAAATGTTTACCACGTGCCAGGCGCTACACCAAGAGCTTCAACGCAGCTATCTTTGGAGACACAGAAAGCAAAGGCATTTCTTGAGGGCTTCACTCTGATACCTGGTTTGGGGAGGTGGTAGTGATAACAGAATGGAGAGAGCAAATGCAATGGGCAGAATTACCTGGCCCAGGTGCAGGCAAGAGGCAAAGGAAGGTGTCGAACCCGACTGTGAGGTTTCAAGCGTGAGTGGTTGATGCTCTTCTGATATACTTGGCACACTATTAAATTCAGACCCAGATAGCTTGAGGGTTCTTTAACTCAGACAATTTTTCAAAAATTCTTTCTCATGAGGGAGTGGGCCTTTCTCTAACTTGAGATTGTCTCCACCTTCCATGACTTCATGTAGCATGCGCTCTTGATAGCACAGTACCCTGGTGCAGTGCTAGTGCAAGGTTGGCATTCAAGAAACATTTATCAAGCTGAGCTAAATGGAATCGAATGATTGGTTTGAGGCAACTTTCTTGGTTGCCACCAAAGGTGAATCCAACTTCTGTCTTCAGGAACCTAGAGACAGATGAAGCTAATCCAAGTGGGTCTTCTCCCTGCTCTGAGGGACTTCCACTCAGGATCCAGGGGACTGAATGGCGGGCAGTGGTGTGGCCTGGCTACTGCATCGGCTGATCTATATGCACAGCTTGCTTACAGACACTGTAAGGATCACAGTGTCTGAAAATGATTGCTGAAGTGTTTGGAACCTATGAGATTAAAATTATAGAATATTGTTAATTACCTCTATGAGGCAAAATGGCTGGATGGGTTTACACTACATCTGGCAGGTATTTTGGGGGATGGTGTGACTTAAAATACAGGTTTTACATGAAATTCACTCGTGCATGTATGTGTGTGGGAGGGTGGTGGGCAGGTGGTTTCTGTGTGGCACCTGGGACAGATGGCAGGCATCTTGCAGAGCAAGTGGAGCTGAGGAAAGACTTATTGCAGGGTTCACAAAATAGGTGATGCTTTAAAGCAAGAGCCTTGGATCAGAACTCCGAAGTGTAGATGTTCCTAAGAACAGGTATAGATTTGTATTCAAGATTCTTCACACAAAGGCAATTCTATGTAGCATGCTTTAAGGCAGGTTACTAGTTATTCAGTTGTCGTTGGTTGATAATTCTCCCAAACGACACAAGAAATAAGTTTTAAGAGTCCAGAAAAATCAGTATTTCCTCTTCTGGCAATATTCAAGATACTAAAAGCAGGGTCTTCATAACTCAGCACCAACAACATGTCACCAGCCTGAAATTTCGCCCTTGTTGTATATCTTCTGTTTGCTCTTTCGGATCTACATCCACCCTTCTCCCCACTCTCCCTGGGGCCCCATGGGGCTGACAGAATGGACCGCACACACCAACTCTCTTCCCTATGGGTTTTGGTTGGGTTTGGCCTGTGGGGAGGTTGATGGAGGTCAGAGTAAGAGGGGCTAAAGTCCTCTGCCTCCTTTCCTATGGGGTCGCATCAGGCTGGCTCCCTAGACGCAAGGTCTCAGCTCTTAAGACAGCCCCTCCACATAGCCCTCTGTGTCTCTAGGGGCCCAGTAACAGCTCCTCCCTTGTCTCTCCAGACCTAGGAGAGGCCCCTGGCCTTGGAGTGTGCACTGTGCCTGGTGGTTTCCCTGTCCCTGTACCCTGTACGTTGTACCATGTCCACTCCTTTGTAAACAGCTCCTTTAGAAAACGCCCCCTTTGAATCACCCTAATTTGGGCATGCCTTCTGCTTCCTGCTGGGATGCTGCCTGATACCTTATTTCTTATTTCTTCACAGCCCCCACATATCTCATTTCCTCCAGGGCCTTAACTTTGGATGAAGAAAAAAATCTGTTTTCCCTCTCTCTGCCCCTCTCTTACCCAGCCCTCACTTCAGGAGTCAGAGCGGGATTTTCATCTTGTAGGGCCCCTTTCAGTGCATGATTCTCTGTGCTGAATAACGTGGGAGATTTCTCCTAGTGAACTGTTTCTGTGACTCGGGAGTGGGCTCAAGTAATTCAGGTCAGTTTCCTCTTTTTATTTTCTGTAAAACAAAATCATTGACTCTGACAGTTGGTTTTATGTAGCTGAAACTCTATTTGAATTCTTAATGAATTCTTTTTTTTTTTTTTTTTGAGATGGGGTTTCACTCTTGTTGCCCAGGCTGGAGTGCAATGGCATGATCTCGGCTCACCGCAACCTCCGCCTCCTGGGTTCATGATTCTCTTGCCTCACTAGTAGCTGGGATTACAGGCATATGCCACCATGCCCAGCTAATTTTGTATTTTTAGTAGAGATGGGGTTTCTCCATGTTGGTCAGGCTGGTCTCAAACTCCCGACCTCAGGTGATCTGCCCACCTTGGCCTCCCAAAGTGCTGGGATTATAGGTGTGAGCCACCGCAACTGGCCTGTTGATGAATTCTTAAGAGAGAGTTGATTTTGTGTTCATTGTATAGTGTTCCTGGTCATTTAAGACAGACATCAATGGAAAAACTCCTACAGAGATGGCCTCTCCATTTAAACATATTGACCTCTGTGCTGGTAGTTTTCTGTTTGCCTCCAGATCTACTTATTGTCCTTCTCCAGACTACTCTGCTCTCCTACCCACTTGCTTCCAGTTAGGTTTAGTCCATGGAAGTTACTAGCATTGAACAGAAAACCAGGAGCAAAAACTGGGGTATTTATTCCCCCTACTCCTCTGCCAGGTTGTCAGGTGGCATTCTCCATGGTGATGACTCTTGCTGGGCTCTGGAAACAGCTTTGTCCCTTTGTCCCTTCAGTGCTAGGGTGGTATCAATGTTGCTAGTACACGGGTGCTTTACTATTTCTTTTTGGCTCCCTTGTTCCTTCCTATGCCTCTGTAAATGGTCCCTGCATTAAATTCTTATCAGTCACCACTTTGGGTGTGCCATCTGTTTCCTGTGGGGACTTTTACTGAGATATCTTTAATTGCCATTCGGAGGCTGGAAGACTGGCTTGCAACTTAACACGCTAGGTTAGGTAGAATTCAGAAGTCACCCTTGGGATTCTAACACTTCAAATCTCAGATATTTCTTCAAGTTCATGATAAATCCAATACACTTTCTATTGATGTGATTTCCCAAAATACACTCTAAACTCCAGGAATAAGTTAAATTAAGAATTCTGAATTCTCTGGCAGACACCTCCCTGAGTACAGGATCTCGAGGCAGCTATCTTTAGAGACACAGAAAGCAAAGGCATTTCTTGAGAGCTTTACTGTGAGACATCTGGTTTCCTCTGGTGAGCCAAACTGGTCTATATGTGGGCCATGGGGGTCATTATTGCCCCTCTAGCCTAAGAGCTCAACTAAAAGCAAACTAGGCAGTCTCCATGGTCTGTTTCCCCAGACTCACATCCAGGGATGGAGAAAAACTGGGGTGACTCTTTAAACCAATATGCTTGAAATGTTCGTTCAACACTTATTCAGTGGGGTATGGGTTGAGAGTTACTAAGAATAGTTTTTTTTTTTAATTTCTTGTCTACTTTGACATGAGTGAGATCAATTTATATATTTTGTTAGTTATAGTGAAAAAACAAAAAGACATGTATAGAGATCTGAGCTAATTGGCTCCTTATGGGTGGGCACAGGGGACCCATCAAAGAATATTCCGATTCTTCTCTCCAGAAGGTCAGCCTTCTAGAGTAGATGCCCAATTAATTGTGCCTATATCAGAAACTTCTCTATAGGAGTGAAATGAGAGCTCATCCAGAAGGTAAAATGGACCACAATCAGCCTTCTTGCTGTGGGGTGTATTAGAACAACACTTTTTAAAAAAGAGATGGGGGTCCTGCTATGTTGCCCAGGCTGGAATCAAACTCCTGGGCTCAAGTGATACTCCTATCTCAGCCTCCCAAGTAGCTGGGACTATAGGCACGCAGCACCATGCCAGGCTAATAACACCATTTTCTGTGGTGGGAATGACCCGTCGAGCATTGGAAACTAGGGGCTGAGACTGACTAAAGATGAACAAATGAAGAAAAAGGGGTAAATGGGACAAAGACTGAGCAGTATTTTTTTTTCCCAAGTCCTCTTCTCCCCCGCTCAATCAGTGAAGGAGAGATGAGTACCATCAGCAACTGAATGGTGGGCTAAAGTGATAGAGGGAAGGCAAGCAAATTAATTCAGTTGCTTTAACAGCAGCTATGTGGCATTGTGAGTTTGTGTTCAAGTCAGCTCCTGTTTGCCTTGATATATTTATCTTTGTGTTCTTTGAAATATGTGATGCTGAACTAATCTACATAGGAAGGTTACATAATCTCCACGTCCCATGAAACTCCATTTTTGGAAAAAATGATCACACAATTAACACGTACTATTTGTCTCATTGGTGGATTACTTCTTACTCTTTTTCCCTCTCATTAATCATTTCACCACCATTTGTGTCACCTGAATTGGATTTTTTGATTGATCAAGACATCTCAGACCCCTGCATAGCACAAAGTTGTTTTCAAATCCTTCAAGGTGCCGCAGCTTGAAAGGAACTGTAGAAACCAGTCCGTCAATCACTGTTGTAAAGTGCTCAAAGTGTCTCTCTGATTTGGCAACTCAACCTGCGTTTTAGGGGAAGAAATGCCTTGGGAACAAAGGTAAAACATTCTCACCAACTTAGCCCACTCAGAGCACAGAGAAGAATCAAGTGTACTATCCACTGCATTACCCAGTGATCCTCCTAGGAATAAGAAGCGAAGGTGACCACTAGATTTTATAAAAACATGTCTCCATCTCCTTGTACTGGGTTTATTTTCTTCTCTCACCATGCTCTGTTTTTGTTTTTCTGCCTTCCAGAGAGGCCTTCTCTCTACTTTACATCTTGCCATTCTCACCACAATAAAACTCATTCTCTCTTTCTCTAGTTCCCTTTGTTACTCTCAAGGGTTTTCCAAGTGTAATCTCCTGCTGTATTGTATCATAGGCCAAATACTTGTTTGTTATTTTTTATAATGAGACTATGATGGCATTGTCTGGAGGCACAGCTTTTGTGAAACAAGGTGAGACTGGCTCAGGATAATACATTTGTGTCTTTTAAAGTGGTTTTCTTCTAATATCCAAAAAGTTAAACATGACCAGAATAAAGAAGAACTATTTGCCAACATACCATTTTTAATGGAGACTCAAAACATTAAAAAAAAAAAAATCAGAACTGAGCATTGCCAGGAGAGGTCAGACTTGCCATAGGATAGACTTTCTGGGTCTCATATGAAGCCTCTACAGACAGAAGCGTGTCCTATGTTCATGGCCTTTCTGGATGTAAACTGGAGTCTCTGACAAACTACAGTGCTTTTCCAAGCTCACCTCTCTAGCCTGTGATGAACACTGCCAAATACATTAAGTGAAACACCAAAGCTTAGAGGGCGCT
Organism: Homo sapiens; assembly: GCF_000001405.40. Classification (NCBI taxonomy): domain Eukaryota; kingdom Metazoa; phylum Chordata; class Mammalia; order Primates; family Hominidae; genus Homo; species Homo sapiens. Next base: position 167,128,854 of record NC_000001.11, on the reverse strand, counting down.
GAGCAACAGAAAATGGTATCAGTTGGTCCGCATTCGGACCTCGTATTCGTATTGATGGTTCTCCCCCTCCTTGCCTCCTCCCTACTCCACCTCTGCTGCCCTTATGCTTGGTACCTCTCATTTTGGCTCTGCCCCTCTGGAAGATCCTCTCTGTATCCTCATCCTGCGATGAGTGGTGGCAACGTGTGCCCTGAGCCCTATGCTAACGTGAGTGGTTTCTTTCAGTGTTCTCAGATTTTCCCCAGCTCAGTCCTCCCTCCTTTTCTGCAGCTTGGTCCTGGTTTCTTCTTGCCGGCGTCTCCAAGCAGCAATGATGGCTTCATCGTCCATTTCTTCCTCTTCCTCCCTGTCAGTGCTTCTCCGATACTGGGACCGCCGTCCAGATGCAAACCTCCCTTCTTCTCTGTTTTCTGTCCTCTCTTTCTCTCCCTCTTCTTCAGACCTCATAAAGCTCTGGGTGAACTTCCTCTTGGCTCCAAATTCAGAGAAGTCTGACTTGGATGACTCTTCCACATCTTCCCAGTCCCTGGACCTGGCCCAATTTGGGCGCTGTGGTTCTGGGGACTCTTCCCTTTCTGAGGACTCTGGGGTCCGGCGGAAGAAGTAGGGCTCTGGGCTCTCCTCTCGGGAACTTGAGGTCTCGTTGTACGTGGACCTGGAGAACTTGTGCATCTCTCTGCCCTCCCTGGTGGAGGAAGATGAGAACCGTGAAGTGCTTCTTACAGAGTTGCCATTTGCCTCGTGGTAGGAGGAGGTGTCCTGTTCCTCTGACTGGGATTTGGAAAACTTGTAACTGGAGGATTTAGACTCTGTCTCCCTGAGCAGGGACGATCTGGTGTACTTCCCTCTGGAACTTCCAGACCAGTCACTTTGGAAAGGAGGTTTTTCCTCCGTCCTGAGGCCACTGAGCCACTTATTAATACTGCTATCCATCTCTTTGCCAACTCTGCTGCCACTTGCATAGTGATCACAGACAGCCAGGGAGGAGCATGTGTCTGTTTCAGGTTTCTGGGAATTACTGCGGGAAGAATATCGGAAGCTCCCTATGGCACTGTCAGTGTCCTCATCCCCATCACCCACACCATCATCCTCATCTTCCTTGACCTTCTTCTTCTTGAAGAGGGAGCTGCGTTTGTTGTCTGAGGCCAGCTTTTCCATTTTGTACTCAGACATCTTCTCCCTAAGCTCCATCTGCATCTCCTTCTCCTTCCGGCCAAGTTCCTTTAGGTCCACATTGTCAGCAAAGAGGCTGAAGATGGGCTTGCTGGTCCCCCTCACTTTGCTTCTGCAACTTTCCGCGGGTGAGCTCAGTGTGGTGTTGCAGGACAGCACAGACTGCATGTCAGAGCTGGGTCTTGCCTGGCTCTGAGGCAACAGGCAGCCACCCAAGGAGGAGCTGCTGTGTCCACTAAGCATGGAGACTTGGTCATCCCCCAGGCAGCTAGCCGCTGGTACTGCCTTCATGCTTGCAACAGACGGTGAGCGGGACAACAGCAGCATTTCATTTTGCTTCTGAGCAAGGGTCTCACTGACTACATTGGCAATCCAGTTCTGGATACTGGCAATGGAAATGGTGTCTCCAGGCCCCACTGGCAGGTTAGGCAGGGGTGTGGTGGGGTTGGAGGTTGAACACCCCGCTATGTTGCTTGCAGCCTGAGACAGGTGGGAGCGGTGGCTCTGGGTGCTCAGTACTGACGTCGTGTCCCCATCAGCGCTGACTGAGGGGTCTGCAGACCAGAACGCAGACAGGGGAATGCTCCCGCTGGCCGTGGAGCTGTCCGCCTCCCAGCTTGCCATAGACTGGCTCTCCTCCAGCGTCTGCCGGCTTCTCTCCAGCAGCTCCAGCCTCCGTTGTCTCTTCTTAGCCAAGGCCGAGTCCTCCCCCTTGCTGAGCTCCACCACCTCCTCCTTGTTCTCACTGCCCACCTTCTTCTGGTGTTTCAGCTTCCAGGCCTGGTAGGCTGTCAGGCTGACGTCGGAGGGGTTCTTCTCCCCTACTGCCTCCTCTGCACCGGGCTCACCGCTGCTGTCTCCCGCTCCCAAGTCTTTCTTGTGAAATCCAAATTGGATTCTCTTGATCTTCCATCTTTCCAGGGCAGTGAGCTTGTCCTTGTTCCTGCTGCAGAAGTTGTAGAAGGAACTGGCCTCAGAGCCCACGCTGTCCTCATCATCCTCCCGCACCCTGCTCCCTGCTTCTGAGCTCCTGTCTGCCGCCTCCTCTCTCTTGCTCTTGGCGTGGTACCTCCGGGAAGCCTCCTTCTCAATCTCCAGCAGCCTCTCGTTCCATGCGTCCCAGGTGCTCTCCGAGGACATCGAGTCTGCGCGGCGCCTCCTGCCGTGGTCCGGGCGGTTCAGCTCCAGCTGCTGCTTCAGGACCCAGATGTCGTGGCTGCTCACGCTCTCCCAGGCGCTGCTCTCGCTCAGGGTGCGCCGCCGCCTCCCCACCGAGGAGCCAGCGTCGCTCTCCTCCTCCTTCTCCTCCTCCCTTCCCCACCTCCGGTACCCTTCTGCTTGGTACCTCTCGTTTCGGCTCTGCCACTCCTGGATGATCCTCTCCACGTCCTCGTCCTCGAGCTCCTCCCCACCCTGGCCAGAGGAGGCTGAGCGCCAGCCACCTCCATCCTGGGGGACCTTGTCTGAGAGGAGGCCCTGCCCCTTCTTCCACTGCTCGTACAGTTTCTCCTCCTCCTCCTCGTCTATGAGGGTGAGGGGCTTGGAGGCCTGGGTGGCCTTCCCCAGGGAGGAGCCACTCAGGTGGCTGGCGCTGTCGTCCTCCTCTTCCACCGTCAGGGCGTGCACTCTGGCCCCGAGCATGCTCCCAGTGCCCTCGCCCTCCTCAGCCTCAGCTGATCCCCCCTCCCGGCCATAGTCCTCTTCTCTCTCCTCCATCAACTTCTCATTGAGCTCCCGCAGCTGCTTCAGGAAGCCCTCATTGGGGTAGATGGCCCGCTTCTTACGCACGGTCATCAAAGCCTCCAGGATGGCCATGTTGTGGAAGATCATCAGGTAGGCGACCACCAGCACTGCTGACCGGCTGATGCCCATTTCGCTGCTGACCAGGACTTTCCCTGAAATGAAAACACAAGAGAAAATGATGTAATGACAGTGGCTTCCTTGTAGTGTTCTTGTTTGTTTGTTTTCTTTGGTAAGTGCTGTTTTAATATGCTGCACTTAAGGTGTTTACTTTGCCTCTGAAGTTCATCCGGGCTCAAGACACAGGAGGGCTGAGCATCACTGACCCCATATTACAGATGGGAGACATCACAATCCCCACTGGCCCTGTATTTGAAACACTGGAGTGCATTTCTACTTTCTCCTCACAAACCGAGCAACAGAGGGAGGAGAAATACAAGAACAGGGGGAAGGGTGATAAAGCAGAAAAGGAATGAGAAGCTAAGATAAATGAATCACAGAGAAATAGAATCTTGGTGTTGGGAAGCATCATAAGTCACATCCTAAACTTGAGAATTCCCTTTACAACATCCCTGATGCTGGATCACCTGTCACACCTGTTATCCAGCCACTGCTGAATGCTTCCAGTGACAGGGAGCTCATTAGCTCACATGGACACATAGACACAATTCACTCCATTTTTGGATCACTCTAGTGCTTCAAAATTTTTTTCATATGTTAGGGAAAAGTATAAATTTCTGTAACAAGCATCCAGTACTCCTGCTCTGACATTATAAAGTCAACTATGGATACATTGTATGAAACAGGGCTTTTATACAAAAATCCTTAACAAGATTGCTATCATATTCTTCCCGAAATATATATATTTTTCTTTTCCTGGCTATTTTGAGTCCTTCAAACATTATTTGAACATCTTCTCATGTTCCCTTACTATTCTAGCTACTTTCCTCTAGGTCAAAACTTGAATTTATCAGGGTTTTTTTTTTTTTTTTTTTAGGAGTTTGTACTCAGGATGGAGCAAGATATTTCAGGTTTGGACTGACTCACTCACATAGAGTAGAATGGGCCCTTCCCCACCCTTGTTTGGGTCACTGGGGCTTTACTGATACCATATAAACTTGCAATATGGGAGGATATGTCACACAATGAACTCAAGTTATCTTTTACATCCGTCAACTGAAACCTGTAAAACGTTTTTTAAAAACTGCAATTAAGTCGTGTTCCTTTTAATGTGCAGTCATTTTTAAACTTAAGGATAATTTCACAAATTCCTACTAACATCTTTTGGTGGATGTCTGTTTTTATAGCCTACAGGAGCTTTTGCGAGTCTTGACTCTACCATTCAACAGATCAGTTACCTGCTCCTGGCCTCCTTTTCGGCTTTGCATCCTTCATGAATGTGACAAATATGCCTCCTATGCCTTCATTGTAATAGCTGTTTAAAATGCAGACTGGGACCACTGGAGACCTTCCTCCCTGCTCTCATCAATCTACTTGCCAACAGTCTTTGGGGATGTTTGCTAATTCAGTTAAAAATCCTCTCTAACAATATGAGATGGGAGGTGACTCTTTCAGTATTATATCTTTGCAGCAGTTAAGGTCATGTCTTGGTCACACAGGAGGTCAGAGACAGAAAATTCAGGGGACTTGAGGCCCAGTAATGATGAAAGGTGTTATTGCCAAGAGCCAGCAGCCACTAGAGGGAGGTAAATCAGCAGAGTCAAAGCCACAGGCCAGGGTGTGGTGGCTCATACCTGTAATCCCAGCACTTTGGGAGGACAAGTTAGAGGATCGCTTGAGGCCAGGAGTTTGAGACCGGCCTGGCAACATAGCGAAACCTCGTCTCTAAAAAAAACAAAAACAAAAAACCATGGCAAGCGCCTGTAGTCTCAGCTACTTGGGAGGCTGAGGTGGGAGGATCACTTGAGCCCAGGAGGTTGAGGCTGCAGTGAGTGGTGATTGTCCCATTGCATTCCAGCTCAGGCAACAGAATGAGACCCTGTCTCAAAAATAAACAAACAAGGGTGTGGTGGCTTACATCTGTAATCCCAGCACTTTGGGAGGCCGAGGTGGGTGGATCACTTGAGGCCAGGAATTCAAGACCAGCCTGGCCAACATGGCAAAACCCTGTCTCTACTAAAAATACAAAAATTAGCTGGGCGTGGTGGAGAGCACCTGTAATTCCAGCTATTCGGGAGGCTGAGGCAGGAGAATCACTTAAACCCAGGAGGCAAAGGCTACAGTGAGCTGAGATCATACCAGTGCACTCCAACCTGGGCAACAGAGTGAGATTCTGTTTCTTAAAAAAGAAAAAGAAAAACAAGTAAAAGCCTTATAAGGAGCATCTATAGAAGCACTTGTCTTTTTTCTCCTCTCGTCCTCAGTCAGGGCTTAGCTGTCCCTTACAAGGACCTCCCCTCCACCCTCTGACCAGGCTACCATATACTGTGGCTAGTCTCTAAGTCTCACTGGTTTTCTTTGGAGGTGGAATCACGAGACCAACTCACTTCAGGACACTTCAGGACATGACCAGCCAGTCTTCTTCATAGGAGCATCAAATACTACTTAGACTCAGTCTGGCGGAGACCAGGTTGGGGTGCCACATTTTTCCTGCTGTGTTCCTAGCACACTGGGACTCCTCTGAGGAGCCTAAAGGGCAGCCAGAGGGACAAGAGAGAGGCTGGGTGGGTGAGACTCAGGGATGTTTACCCACTTCATCCAAAGCAGCAACAGGATTTTCTGTCTTCTCTGTTAGAGGCAGGCTGATGCTGTATAGATTCTTCTCTGCACAACTCTAGGGGGCCTCTTCACATCAAAATCAAAATATCAAAATACACTTGGGTTATGGTGAAAATTTTTCCAACAGTAAAATGGTTTGAGGAAGGTAGTGTTTTTCTAATTAGCAGAGTTACCATTTTGATTACCAGCAGGGCTGATTGTGAAGAGGGTCCCTGTTTTTAAAATTTGGAAAGTACAGGCTGGGTGCAGTGGCTCACACCTGTAATCTCAGTACCCTGGGAGGCCGAGGTGGTGGATCACTTGAGATCAGGAGTTTGAGACTGGCCTGGCCAACATGGTAAAACCTTGTCAATACTGAAAATACAAAAATTAGCTGAGCAGTAGTGGTGCGTGCCTGGAATTGCAGCTACTCAGGAGGCTGAGGCCTGAGAATCGCTTGAATCTGGGAGGCGGAGGTAGTGAGCTGAGGTCACATTACTGCATTCCATCCTGGGTGACAGAGTGAGACTCTGTCTCAAAAAAAGGACCTTCAAAAAAAAATTTTTTTTTTAAGAGTACAGCTACTGGGGAGAGCATCAGATTTGAGCAAGCCTGGATTTGAATTCTCTACACTCTCAGTATGTCTTTATATGGCAGGCAATTGTGCTATACCCTCCCAATTCATAATTCCCCCTTTCTTCAGAAGGTATCCCCCTCCACACCTGTATTTGCCCAGAAGCCACCCCACTTGCCACTGCTGATGGAACTCAGGGTACACAAAAAGACCAGTATCTGACAAATTCGCCAGGAAATTTGGAAATGGGACTGAGGCAGGAAATTAGCTAGTTTAATGTCAGGCCTGTGGATGGCCATTTGCTATCTGAAGTAGAGAGAGAAAGAAGAGGGAAACCAAGAGTCCTGAGATCGTCCAGTCCTTGTTCCAGGCCTGCCCGGCGTGCCAGGCTCCTGTCTTTGGCTTCTTTCCTGCATCTTCAGAATTAATGCCTTTGCTGCTTGTGAAGGAGTTTGAGATGGTTTCCACCCACTAGCAACCAAGAGAGTCTTGATTATTACACCGTGCACCATACAAAGTCACCACTTAATCTTCCATAGGTCTCAACTTCCCAGTGTGTACAATGTAAATAACAACACCCCCTCATAGGCTCTTTGTGATTATCATGTAAAACGCCGGCGCCAGGTGTTTCTTTCCCTGTTCTGGTCAAGAACTGACTCCCAAGTCTCCTAAAGCAGAGAAAACCACAGGACCTAAGGCTCAGGGAGTAATTCTAGGGATGCCACGAACTCTCTGTAGTGGAGTAGGAAGGACCCACAAAAGCAACAAGCACAGCAACAATAAGGGCCTTTCGCTGCCTGGCAGGGAGAGTGAGGCTGAATCGGGAGGAGATGCCCGCAGGGCGCACTGGACCCTGCAAGGGATCTGGACACTCAGCGCTCCGACCTACGGTCTCCGGCCGGGGTAGCTGACGCGCTGGCTCCTGGCCAGCATGACCCAGCCCGCCTTGGGTATGCTGCAGGGAAGGCAGCGCCTGGGTTACACCCGCGACAGGAAACTTCCTGCTGAGCCCTCGCGGCTCCTGGCACCGACTCCGCCTCCGCGTTTGGGCTCGTTCTTCCTCCCTCCACCCTCCAAGGCTGGCTATCGCTTCTGGGATGCGTTCCACATTCTGGGATCTGCCTCATCCGCCCTGGGATGCTGCGGGGGACCGCCGGCTCGTGGCCGTGTCCACACGCCTGGAGCTATTGCGAGCGTACCCGCTCCGCCTCGAGGTCTGCCGGTGCGCTCCAGGACCTGCGAGCGAGGTGGGACACACTCCTTACGCCGCAGGCGACCGACAGACCCATTCAATCCCACGTTGGTCAAACGTCCTACATTTTAAAAAGAAGGAGTTTTTTGGCCGGTCGCGGTGGCTTATTGTAATTCCAGCACTTTTGGAGGCCGAGGCGGGCGGATCACCTGAGGTTAGGAGTTCGAGACCACTCTGGCCAATATGGCGAAATCCCCTCTCTACTAAAAATACAAAAATTAGCTGGGCGTGGTAGTGGGAGTCTGTAATCCCAGCTACTCGGGACGCTGAGGCAGAAGAATCGCTTGAACCCAGGAGACAGAGGTTGCAGTGAGCCGTAGATGGCACCATTGCACTCTAGACTGGGCGACAAGAGCGAGACTCCGCCTAAAAAAAAAAAAGGAGTTTTTAAGCATTGAAAAAAGGAGAAAACTGAAAACTGTATATATATGTGAGTGTGTGTATGTGTGTATATATGTATATGTGTATACATGTCTGTATATATACACATACATACCTCTCTCTCTCTCTGTATATATATATATATATATATATATATATATATATATATATATATATATATATATATGTAATTTACACGCACACATACATATACATATTTAAAATATGTGTATTTGGCCAGGCATGGTGGTTCACGCCTGTAATCTCAGCACTTTGGGAGGCCGAGGTGGGAGGATCGCTTGAGCCCAGGAGGTCAAGGCTATAGTGAGCACTCCAGCAGCCTGGGCAACAGAGCTGCATCCTGTCTCTAAAAATAAAAAGTAAAAATAATTAAAAAAAAGAAAATATGTGTGCTTGTATTTTCCCTTAGAAGTTACCCAACCTGGCCATTGGTGGTGACAGGCAATGCCCTTTCCAGGAAATCATTAACAATATTATTATAGCAATGGCTATAATTTTTAAAGCATTTATTGTGCCAGGTGTTGTCCCAAGGGAGTTATTTTATATGCATTTTTAAAACGTTATTCCTCACAGCAACTTTAGGATTTGATATTTTTGTCTTTGTTCTCTGCAGTTCCTAGGGCTAAAGGAAATGGCCCAAGGTCACATTGTATATACAGTGTAGCAAATCCTGGACTCAAACCCAGGTTTCTGGACACCATATCCTCAACTCTTCCCAGCCAGGCTGTCGGCCCCATTGCCTGGGCTCCACCTCTCCTCCCTGAGGCCTGTGACCTCTGCAGACTAGTCTCATGTCACCTTTCACTTGGATATAGCAATAGCAACCCCAAAGCACTACTCTCTACCTTCCCAACTCGGTCTGTTCTCCAAGGTGGAGGGAGGGAGTTTTCCAAAACATAAATCAGATCAAGGTGCCGCTCCAACTTCTTACCCTGGCTTTTAGCTTCCTGTTTGATGGGGAACCTCTGCCACTTCAACCTTCATCCACCATGCTCATCGACACTGGCCTTTGATTCCTGAACACACCAAGCTTTCCACCTTTGGATCTTTGCACTACTAGTTCTCTTCTGCAGGAATGCTCTTCTTCCAGTTCTCCCATGGCTAGCCCTTTGTCACTTGGCTTAAATGTCCCATTGTCAGAAGGCCTCCTCCCCCATGCTCTCCAAGGAGCTAGTCAGTCACTCTAGCACATTGTTCTAGTTAGTCTCTGCCTCACACTTATCACCATCTGACATTTTTTTCTCTTTTTTTCATTTTCTGTCCCCTCTTACAGTGTAACAGTCAAAGGCTGGAAGCGTTGCCTGTGTCTTTCACCACAGTGCCTAGAATAGTAGTTGGCACTTGCTAGGCACTCAGTAATTACTTACTGGATGAATGATTATCCTGTCTTTTCTCCTTTTCTTAGAGAAAACAGCCTTCTTAAGACAGATACCCCTCACACACGCCAACTAATCAGGTTTTCATAACATTCCCCACATTACTTTTCCCCCGTGGAATTCCAGCAGCCTGGAGCGGCAGATCCCTCTCACCTCTGTAAGTCAGCAGCGCCTCATCCAGGAACTCAGACGCCTTCCGGAAATGCTGGGAAATGTCCACCTCAGGAAAGTCATCCACCTCTACACCCAGGTACTGGATCTCCAGGCCAGTGTAGAATTCGGGGCCAGTGTAAACGCCGGTGCCATGCGCAGCATTCAGAATGTGGGTGATTCCCAGCCTCTTCAGCCTCCCCTTGTTCACAGCCACACTCCTGCGGGAAGAGGCAGGGACCTGTTTGCAAGAGTCGGAACTAGAAAGGTGTGTCACCACTGTGACGGTGAGCCTGCCTCAGCCAGTCTAGGGCCACAGCTGGGCAAGTGCCTCCTTTTCTGCCCCTGGTTGTCTGGGGATCACTGCAAATACCATTATAGAAAGAGTTGATGACTTGGCCTCAGCAAAAGGGAGAAAAGACATGCAGTTAGGCAAGGAAGGGCGAGATGAAGAGGCCAACAAAATGATGTGTAAGGAAACATTTGAATGATCCAGAGACTTCTAGTTTAAAACCCCATGCCTTGGGAATGGACATTCATCAAGGCACAAAAGTGGTAGGCACAAATAATAAAATTAAGTGTATTCCACATTAATATGGCATGCTATAATTGTCAAAATCCTTTCACATGCATTATTTTATGTTATCCTAACAATAAACTTAAGAAGTAGACAGGAACTCTAGTTTTATTCCCATTTGAAGATTATAAAACTCAATCTGAGAGCTCTTATAACTTCCCAAGATTGTGAAAGGAGAAAAAGACAACAAGAACTAGTGTTTTAGATTTCTAGTTCAGAGCTCTTTTTGCTGTAGCTGAATAAGTGCAGCTTAGTTTGAAGAGGCCCTGAGGACAGGTTGTCCGAGAAGGAACAAAAGCTTTTAGCTGAGGATACCTGGCGATGCCTGGGTTCTTAGTGACCGTAAGATGAATGCTTCTGTATCTGAAGATCTATTTAAAGATCACTTAAGACTTGGTGCCCAGCTCTGAGGATCAAGTTCTAGGCAACTGATTACTCCTTGGTGAAGATAAGACCCACTGTTCAAAGCTGTTTTCCCTATTCCCTCCCCTGAGGCCAAATTTCCTCCTTTGCTTCTGGATATCTGGATAATTACACTGGGAAAACATCTCATTAAGTATTCGATGAGTCAGCAAAAATTTGTTTCACTAATTAACCAAGTGGTCGCAATTATGCACTGGCATCCTAAAGAAATAGGATGTGAGTGAGTTGTTTTTGTTCTGGAAACCGCTGATAAACTTTTAGAAAATAATAGTTTTTGGATTATAAAAACAATGTCTACCTTAGGAAACCTGTACAAGTTAAAGGAAATCTAAAGAAGAAAATAAAAACTGCTTGTAAAAACACCTCCCAGAGAGAAACATTGTTCACATTTTCTCACATTTCCTAACTGTTGTCTATGCAAAAACATGCACACACATACACATACATCTGTTGCTCAATTAGCAGCACACTGTACATGTCTTCTCTTGTAATCTAATTCTTTCTTACTGTATTGTGAACATTTTCCAATGTTGGTAATTACATATGCATGTCAGTATTATTGTCAATGGCTCCTAGTGTCCGGTTCTGTGGTAGCTACAGATGTCATGAGATGGTGAAGTCGGCAAGACTCTGTGGCAGGAAAGGAGGCCCAGAGGCCTTCTTGAGGGACAAGAGAGTCCTGGCAAGAGGGCAAAGGATAAGCAGTCATGGCGGCATCTTGCCTGGAGACCTCCGAATGCAGGTGGATGGAGGGGCCTTTCTCTGGGCTGGGGCAGGGTAAGTGGCTAGGCAGCCTCATTGTGCTGGATGGACCTATGGGCGCCTTTGGTGAAAGTTGGGGGAGTTTCGTCTGTCTCAGGCACTAACCAGAGGGTTAGGACAAAGGGTCATGAAGAGCAGTCAGACTCACTTCTCAGCTATGAAGACATTGGGCCAGACCTCATCCACCTCATTCCAGGGCGCCTCTTGGCGATCCTGAACCAGGGCCCGCTGTAGGTCCAGGACACAGGGCGTATTATAGAGGCTGGTGTCATCCATCTTCTCCCTGACGCGGTTGTACAGGTCCTCCACCAGCAGCTGTTCAGCAGACTCCAGCATGCCTGGACACTCTGCGTCTGCTCTGACCCCCGGTGGCTTGAGTTCTAGAGGAGACAGGCAGCATTCTCATCAGAGAGTTAGGAACATCATGGCCTTCCTTGTTCCTGGGGAGAACATGCTCTTGGCCAGTTTGCTGCCAGGATTCTGGGCATGGACTGAATGCCAGCAGGATCTCCCAGGAAGGACTTTAATTGGGCCCAGGGTACCTGCTGCACTGGCCCAAACACTTGTAATCAGGGTCAGCAAGAAGACTGTATAGATGTGGGTAAAGGGGATCCAATTTCTTTTACTCCCTCCCATGCTTCTCTGAAGCTGGTCGATAATTTTTTAGACCAAGTTCCTTAAGTATTAGGTGTACTTTGATTCATACTTAATAACTCCCACAGTGCCCAGTACAAAGTGGATGCTCAGAAGTGTTTACCAGCCAGGCGTAGTGGCTCACGTCTGTAACCCCAGCACTTTGGGAGGCCAAGGTGGGCAGATGACCTGAGGTCAGCAGTTCAAGACCAATCTGACCAACATGGTGAAACACTGTCCCTACAAAAATACAAAATTAGCCAAGCGTGGTGGAGAGTGCCTGTAATCCCAGCTACTTGGGAGGCTGAGGCAGGAGAATCACTTGAACCTGGGAAATGGAGGTTGCAGTGAGCTGAGAGCATGCCATTGCATTCCAGCCTGGGCAAAAAGAACGAAACTCTGTCTCAAAAAAAAAAAAAAAAACCAAAAAAAAAAAAGTAGAAGTATTTACCAAATGAGTGAATGGCATTCATTCATAGTATAATTCACTCTGTTAGTTTGACTCTTTTACATATGGATTGCAAATAACCCTGGGAAAAGTAAAACTTTCAGCAGTAATTTATGCAATATTGCCTTCTAATATACACCTAATTTACTGATTTATTTCTTGTATTGTCTTCTTCCCCCTACTAGAATGTAAGGACCTATGATTCTCAGCCTCCCAGCCCACAGACAGGTGGCAAAGGTTGGCCATGAGCTCTCATTCTAATCTCAAAACGTGACTCAGGGCCTTTCTGACAACAGGTCAGAAAAGCTCAAACTCCAGATGAACTCAAACCCCAATTCACTCACATCTGGGGTGAATCTTTATCTTCTAATAATATATTTGCTCACAGTTTATCAAATTTGGGGAAATGTAAGATGCTTTCTTTCTTTAAGTTAGACAAAAATAACAAAGAACAAAATCGTTCCTCTCACATGGTAGCCAAAATACTGAATAGAGAGAGAGAGAGAAAAGAAGCTGGAAAGATGTTTCCTCTGTGTTCCCCATAGCCTCTTGATGGCACCATCTCTTCCCTGATGGGCAGTCTCTGGGTGGGGGCTGCAGAGAGTCCAGCCACATTTGGAAGGTAGACTTGGTCCAGCCCCTCGTGGAATCTGCTCCTCCCAGGGGTCTGTAAGCAGGGCTTGTTGCTCATGGACTGCAAATCCAGGGAGCCTTGGGTTCTGCCTAGGGCTCAGGATTTCATTTCCCTTCTCTCTTCCCTCCTCTAACCCCCCTGAGGGACCCCCACATCCCTGCATCAGGGCTCAGCTCTAAACGTTCTCTGATCTCCGTTTCAAACGCAGAAAGAAGAAAACTCCTGCAATCCCAGAGCTCTATTTTGTTTAAAAATAGATGAAGTGTTCCTATTTTCTCCACTACCCAGTTTTCTCCCCTGGCTCTCCTGGGGTCTTTCATAGCAAATTCAGTCCGCTCCCCTTCCCGTGTCTACTTAGATGTCTTTCCCTTACTACATATAAAAAGTGGGACTCCTGACACCTCATTAAAATACACGGTGTTGTCTTCCTCGGCTATTTATCTAGCAGGTTGTTGTTTCCATTTCTTTTCTTTTCAATTTAAAAACAAATGTCCCAGCCCTTCACCCCTGATGGCAACTCCTGCTTTCACTAGGTCTCTGGTTCACACTTCAGCCTCTGTAGAGCTTGCCTCTCTCCCTGCATCAATTTCTTTCTATTACCTGACATTTCTTCAGCAGAAAGTAAAGCCCACACATTTCTCCCCTACACTCTCGGATGTGTGGCATATGCAGACTTTCATTAAAACGGAAGGTTTTCAGCACACATTTTTACCCCTGTAATCACTAGTGAGCATATATTGTTTTTTCTCTCCCTATAGCCCTTCAGCCACTAAGGCTAATGAAACTTAGGTTTGATGCCCCCAGAGAAGGGAAGAATAGAAAAGAGCCAGGATAAAACAAGGCATTGCACATCTTTTGGCTTCAAACTAGACTGAATGTCCATAGCATTCTATAGACTTGAAAGTGAAGCTTTCAAAGAGAGAAAATGTTTTTTATTTTTTTTCTCCCCTCAATTCCTAAAGCTGGACTTTTACTTATCAAGAACCAAAACATGGAGAATGGTCCACAGAATGAAGCACAAAGCAGAGATGATGCAGAGTGGAAGGTTAGGGAAATTTCCAACCACAAAAGAGGAAGAAAAGACTTTCTAGAGCTATAGTGGTGCTGGGAGCAATTCAGAGAGAACTGGACCAGGGTGAAGACACTGCCTGGGTTAGTGGGCAAGATATCTTGGGACAAGATATCTTGGAGCAAGACAACAGAGACCCCAGGTATGGAAGAAAAAGAAAAAAAATCCCCCAAAGCAGATGGGTCTTTGAGAAGATGGGGCCTCCTAGAGTGCCCAGAACAGTGAGCAACAGCAAGTCAAATTTCTGGTTCTATGTGAAGTGTGCAAGAGGTCCAAATGTCCTCTAGAGACCCTGGTGGAGACCCAAATGGGTCAGGGGACCAGTACCAGAGTTAGAATGGACAAAGAGTAGCATGTGATTCTAATAATGAAAGACCAAGGAAAGGATTGTGGCCACCAGCGGTGGTTGAGAGATTAAGCCCAAAGGCCAGCTGGGCCCTGCTTCATCAGTGTGCACTTTATCCCACTCCACCCCATCTCACCAGAGTTGTGAGGCTACCCAGGGAGAAGGGAGAAGAAAGGGGAAGAAAGAAATTGCAAAAGATTATTTCCTTAAAATTGATTAGAAAAAAATTCATCTAATCCAGATAAGTATCTTTGAGTGAAAAATAACTATATGTTGTCTGCTTCAAAATTTTACTGTGTAAATATTAACATATTGAATATTGGGTGCTCCCCACCCAAGCCTTTCCCTCCTCCCCATGCATCCTTCAGTTTGAAGCATCTTTAAGCACTGGTGGAAGTGCAGGTCTAAGTCTAGACTCCCTTGGAAGAGAACCCTCTGGATGCTTCTGGCCATTTCTCGGGCTCTCAGGTCTGTGCCTCTGCCATAAGCCACCTCAGGACCCCTGAGGTAACCAAAAATTGAGCAGGAGGCCCTAGGGACAGATTGGTGCTGCCTCTCTGGTTGTCCCTGTTCACACTGATGCATAATTATTTCCACTTCCATCCTATCAAAGTTGAGGAGGTAGGGTTGGCAGAACTGCCTTCTGCAGATCTGCTCTTCCTAACGTGATGGGCAGCACCTGAGAGGCACATTGACGTCTTCCAATGGCCCCCCTCTAAGGGTCTCCAGATGACCACTGGACTTTGCTTCCACCCAGCTTTTGATTGCATTACCTTCATTGATGATCTGTTTGGCTGCAATGGCTGAGGAGAGGTGAATGGGTTCCATGAAAATGCTTTCTGTTTCTGCATCTGAGACCATCGAATACCTAAGGGAAGAGGATATTCACGTGAGATAAGCCTGTAGCATCTGAACTGAAGGCATTCTTTTAGATGAGAAACCTGGCTTTGATTTTAGCAACAAGTGGGGAACAACGAGTGATCAAGGCAAAGCCTTCCTAAGTTTAAGGACCCAAGAATACAGAACACTGGGTATCATGTGACTCAGATGCCCACCCATTTTCAGATCACAGTTGGCACTGATGGTGTGTGATGTTTAATGACATGGTGGTCTATGTTGTGGAGGCAAGAGCGTACATCTACGCTTGGGGGAACCCACCCTGATGTGGCTTCACTTTCTTGGATGTCCCGCTGCTCATTTTAAAAATTTTGTCTCCTTTTCCTCTGCTATCAATCTACAGGGTGTCCTTAATTTTGCCTCTGCCAGTCTTCTGCTGGACTGCTGGGCTGAATAGGTTGCCACCACTCTTTCTGTTCCCTTTGTTCTCCATTCCTTCTCCCTGTTTGTAAGGGAATGGGCTAATGATGAAGAACTGGCATAGCACCAAGTGCAATGCTAAAGATGAACTCAAATGCACGGGTACTGATTCTGAGCACATGAAATCGAGAGTCAGGTTGAGCCCAGGGATGCAAAGAAAGTAACTTGGGTAAATGTCATGGCAATTTCCCAAAAATAATTCGGTGCAGTTGTCAAAAAAGACCTTTAGGAACATGGAGAATCTACAGCAGACACAAGACCTGGGACTGCACTATGGCGGTGGGGATGGGACCACACCATAGTTCACTAGTAAACAACTTTCTAGTGAGTTGTCCTGTTCTCCAGGTGTTCAGATGAGCTTTGGGTCATTTTCTTTTTTCTGCTTAGTCTTTCCTATAGGTCCATAGAGGGAGGATTTAATGGATACCATTTGTGAGTGCCTTCTATGAATTTAATTCTGACAAACCCTCCACAAATTAGGTATTATTTTTATTCCTGCATTACCGATGAGAAAATTGTGGCTCAGAAAGGTTAAGAAAATTGCCTAAGGCAGTAAGTAAATGGCAGGGCTAAGTTGAGAACATAGGGCAGTCCTGCTGTAGGTCCAGTGTTCTCTCCACAATACACAGATACCATTTAGATTAGAACAGGGAGGTGGATTGGTTGGTGGAAGCAACCCCAGCTGGATTCCCAGACTCAATGCAGACTTTGACAGGTAAGTACTTAAGAAATGCTTTATGGGAAGCCTAGATGCATGCATCAGATGAATTATGCTGAGTAAAGTTGAGTTGAGCAGAATCCCGATGAGCTGAACAAAGCTAACTTGAGCTGAGACAAGTTGAGATTGAATTAAGTTGAATTGATTAGTAGAACAATTCTCTCGTGCATCCACAACATCAGAGTCCACCCTAGGGAGAATGGTGTGCTCAGTGTCAGCAAGCCCAGTGCTCTTGCCAGGAGAAAGAAGTAGCCTGGGACTCTACCCAGGACATGGCCAGACCTGCCTAGGCAACCTCAGGGACAGCATGATGTGGCATCATCATCCATAGTATCTGAGAGTTTTCTGATAGCAGTTGTGCTGGCTCATTCCTATTCTAGCACCAAGTACTCCTGTGACCAAAAATGCATTTTCAAATATGTATGACTGCGGAGTGGGGTGGATTAAGGGTGAGCTTTGTTCACTAGAGGCTGCATGGGCGGGTCTGGCCATATCCTGAGTAGATTCACAGGCTACTCCTTTCTCCTGGCAAGGTTATTTCCTTCTCCATGGCCTGGCTGACACTGGGCACAGCATTCTCCTGAAGTTGGACAACAATTTGTGGATGGTTACTACAAAATAATTGTTCTGCTAATCAACTCATTTTTTTATATTTCAGTAGGTTTTTGGGGAACAGGTTTGGTTACATGGACATGTTCTTTAGTGGTGATTTCTGAGAGTTTGGTGTACCCATCACCAGAGCAGTGTACACTGTATCCAATGTGTAATTTTCTATCCCTCACCCCCTCCCATCCTTCCCCTCAAGTCCCCAAAGTCCATTGTATCATTCTTATGCCTTTGCCTCCTCGTACCTTAGCTCCTACTTATAAGTGAAAACATACAATGTTTGGTTTTCCATTCCTGAGTTACTTCACTTACAATAATGGTTTCCAATTCCATCCAGGTTGCTGCAAATGCCATTATTTTAGACCGTTTTATGGCTAAGTATTATTCCATAGTATATATATATATTTGTGTGTGTGTGTGTGTATATATATATATATATATATATATATATATATATATATATATATGTACCATATTTTCCTTATCCACTTGTTGACTGATGGGCATTTGGGCTGGTTCCATGTTTTCACAATTGTGAACTGTGCTGCTATAAACATATGCGTGCAAGTATTTTTCACATAATGACTTCTTTTCCTCTGGGTAGATACTCAGGAGTGGGATTGCTGGATCAAATGGTAGATCTACTTTTAGTTCTTTAAGGAATCTCCCTACTGTTTTCAATAGTGGTTGTACTAGTTTACATTCCCACAAGCAGTGTAAAAGTGTTCCCTTCGCACCACATCCATGCCCACATCTAAAAGTTTTCCAAACTTTTAGATTTCTCTTCTTTCTCAGGAACACCGATTATTCTCAGGTTTGGTCATTTAACATAATTCTAAATTTCTTGGAGGCTTTGTTCATCTTTCAAAAATTCTTTTTTTCTTTGTCTTTGTTGGATTGGGTTAATTTGAAAACCTGGTGTTAGGAAAATAAAAACAAGAGAGCAATGGAGAGAAAGCATCTCAATGGCCAAACAGGTTTATTCACAGGAATAAGCCTGCAAGGGGTTTCCGTCAGGAATCTGGTGGAGACCCTGATAGCTTAAAGCTGAGGTTTTTATAATAAAGTTTCTACAAGAGAGGGGTTGGGGAAGTGCTGGAAGGTTGGAACTGTAAGGGGCTGGGAAAGGATGTGGTAAGGGCCAGTCAGTCTTTGTTGTGGTCAGGATTGTTATGCTCCGTTAAAGGTACCGGTGAGGTTGACATTTGCTTTGTTTCTGGAAACACTGTCACCAAGGTAGAAAACACAATCACCAAGGTGGAAAAATGGCATTACTATTGTTAATTCTCACACCTTGTCTTTGAGCTCTTAAGTTCTTTCTTCTACTTGTTTGATTTTGTTGAAACTTTCCAGTGTATTTTGTATTTCCCTAAGTGTGTCTTTCATTTCCAGAAGTTGTGATTTTTTTGTTGTTGATGCTATCTATTTTTCTGGAGTTTGTTTTGTTCATATCCTGTATTATTTCTCAAATTTCTTTAAGTTGATTTTCACCTTTCTCTGGTGCTTCCTTGAGTTGCTTAATAATTGATCTTCTGAATTCTTTTTCTGGCAATTCAGAGATTTCTTCTTGGTTTGGATTCATTGCTGGTGAACTAATGTGATCTTTTGGGGGTGTTAAAGAACCTTGCTTTGTCATGTTGCCAGAATTGTTTTTCTGGTTCCTTCTCATTTGGCTAGACTATGTTGGAGGAAGGATCTGGGGCTCAAGGGCTACTGTTCAGATTCTTTTGTCTCATGTGGTGTTCTCTTGATGTGGTGCTCTCCTCCTTCCACTAGAGATGGGGCTTCCTGAGAGCTGGACTGCAGTGACTATTATTGCTCTTCTGGGTCCAGCCACCCAGTGGAGCCACCAGGGCTTCAGGCTTGTACTGGGGAGTGTCTACAAAGAATCCTGTGATGTGATCGACCTTCAGGTCTCTCAGCCATGGATACCAGTAACTGCTCCAGTGGAGGTAGTAGGGGAGTGAAATGGACTCTGTGAGGGTCCTTGGTTATAGGTTTGTTTACTGCACTCGTTTTCTCAAATGCTGGTTATGGTAGCAGTGAAGTTGTCATGTGGACAGACTCAGGACCTCTGGTTAGCCAGGATGTTACAGATGATAGAATTAGCTGTTGTTTTCTCCTTTCTTAGAGCAGCATTGTTCTTTTATGAGTTGTTGTAATGGCTTGAGCTGGTTGACCTCCAGCCAGGAGGTGGCACCTTCAGGAATGCATCAGCTGCGGTAGTATAGGGGGGAAACAAACTTGTCCTAAGGTCTTCTGGATAAATATTCAGGTTTCTCAGGTGATGGGTGAGGCCTTAGAGCTTCCAAGAGATTATGTCTTTTGTCTTTGGCTACCAGGGCATGTAGAGAAAGACCATAAGGTGGGGGCAGGGTTAGGTGTGTCTGAGCTCAGACTCTCCTCGGATGGGGCTTGCTGTCGGGGATGGAGGGTGTGGTTCTCAGGCCAAAGGAGTTATGTTCCCAGAGGGATTGTGGTTGCCTCTGCTGCATCATACAGGTTGCCAGGGAAGTGGGGGTAAAGCTGGCAGTGGGTGCCTCACCCAGCTCCCACACAGCCAGCAAGGCCAGTCTCACTTTCACTGTGCCCCACCAACAGCACTGAGTTTATATTTAGGCAGCCGGTAAGCAGGGATGAGATCTTGCCCCAGGCTATAAGCCTCCCTGAGGAGAAAGCAAGCAGAGCTTTCAGGCCCTGCCACTACCCCACTGTGGTGGCTTCTGTGCTCTTGTTTGCACTTCCTGTTTGCCATTCCCCCATCCCCATTCTGCCCTGGACAATTTACACTTGGTTGAAATTATTACAAAGTTCAGCTGGAAGTTTCCTTCTCCCTGTGGTCCTTCCCCAATACCCCTGGCTGCCCTCCCCAAGGACCCCTGTGAGATAAAGTCAGAAATGGCTTCCCTGGGGACTGAGAGTGCTTACAGGGCTCTTCCTGCTGCTTCTTCTACTTTTATATGTTTCTCAGCTCTCTAAATTCATTTTACCTCTAGGAAAGGTTAAATCCTTCTCCTGTGATCTGGATTTTCAGGTTCCCCAGTGAGGATGTGTGTTTGGAGGCAGACTTTCCCCCTCTCACACTTTGGGCATTCACAGTTTTTTGGCTATCTCATGATGTTTGCAGAAGCAAGCTGCTTCTTTGAAAGGGTCTGTGAATTGTTTCAGTTTTCCTGGTATGTTCCTGTGGTAGTTCTTGGAGCAAAGGTTCATGATGTGAGTCTCTATATGCTGTTCTGTTCATCCAAGTGGGAGCTGCAAGTTAGTCCTCCCTCCTATCTGCCATTTTTCCCCCCCATAACTCTAATCAACTCAATTTAATTCATTTCCAAATTATTTTGGATGTTAAAACTAGAGAGGCCTTTAGAGATCTCATTGTTTGGTGAAGATAATAGAGTTTTACGATAGCGGTTGTGTTGGCTCATTTCCATTCTAGCACCAAGCATTTTCTGTGACGAAAAGATGCATTTTCAAACAAACGTTATTGGGGAGTGGGGGTGGATTAAGGGTAAAGTTCATGGGATATTATCTTTTGGTGTTAAAACTAGAGAGATCTTTGGAATCTCATTACTTGGTGAAGACAGTAAAGACTTAAACACCTAGTGGGGGTGGCAGTGAGCTCTATAAAGGTACAGATTAGGTGGATTAGGTGGTCTTATTTACCTGTGTCTCTAGCAGATGGAGGGTGATCAGTCAGGGTTTGATGACTGAGTGAGTGGATGTACAGACAGATGGGTAGATGGATGAAGAGCTGGATGTCTGGATGAATGGATGGACCATGGTAAGGCTGGGCCAGGTGTCCACATACAACCTAGGGGATCAAACCTGATGATTTCCAAGGGCCTGTAGTCTCTGGCCCTTCCTCCTCCCCAGCCTCAACTTGCACTGGGTTCTCTTTGGCTCACTCCTTTCCAGTACACTGGTCTTCTTTTGGCTGTCATTCTCACCAAGTTCCTCTCTGCCTAGGGACTTTGTAGAAGTCCATTTCTGCAGCCTGATGGTTAGTCCTCTCCTGCTTCCCTCATTTTTCAGATTTTAGTTCAATCGTCCCTTCTTTAGGGAAGTCTTCCTTGATCTTGCACCATACACCTGTTTTTATGGCACTTCTATCAGATGTGATTTTACACTTATTTATGAAATCATTTGATAAATATTGGTCTCCTACACTAGATCATACCCTCTATGAAGGCAAGGACCATGACTGGGTATTTTGTTGACCATTGTGTTCCTAGCACCTAGGAGAATGTCTGGCACACAGTAAATGTTTCATAGATAATTTCTGACTCACTGACTGAATATGTCTTCAATAGAACTATACTTAAGGGAATGTGGCAGTTACAACAATCAGCAATAAGATCTATCAAGTGTTTGCTGCATGCTCATCATTTTACTGGGACACCAGTAGTAAGTCTCAAAGCAAAAGCAGGATCTTGGCTGTGTCCTCTCCATGCCTACTCTCTGCCCTTCAGAGGCCAAGAGGTATACAATATCTGAGGCCTATGTTAGCAATTAGTAATTTTTTCTTATGGTAGAGTAATGGTCACCCCAGATCTGTGATACTCTTTGCCTAGAGAGGTGGGGTCTATGTCTACTGCCCTAGAATCTGGGTAGTCTCTGTGACTACTCTGACCAATAGAATACAACATGGTGGAAGTGATAATTGATCAGTTTTTGAACCCACGTCTTGAGGGAAGCTTTCCTTCTTTGGGTCTTGACACTCTTTTTCTGGGAACTCCTGAGCTGCCATATAAGAAGTCCGACTACCCCCAGAACACCAAGCTAGAAAGGCCACTGGTCAACAGTCCCTGCTGAGCTCCCAGCCAACAGCCAACCATGTGAATGATCCTCTTAGAAATGGACCTTGCAGCCCATCAGGCCACTCCAGCTGATGCCATATGAAACAGAAAAACTGCCCGGTCAAGTCCTGTCCAAATTCCTGACCCACAAAAAGGGGAGCAAAATGAAATTATTGTCCTTAGTCATTAAGTTTTGGGGTAATTTGTTAAGCACCAATAGATAACAGGAATAGTGCTATTCCAAGGGCTAGGAAGCAAGTTTTAAGCAAATGCTTAGGCACTCTTCTCCTCAGTAGTGATACACAACCTATAAATATCAGTGACTGAGGCAAATATGTTACAGATGGGAAGCAACAACAAAATAATGCCAATATGGTAGAGCAAACCTTGCCTCTATAACAGACCTGGTGGACATTCTGAGCTCCAAGGGTTCAGGACAGCTAGTTTTCATATGACAATATTTCATAAAACTAGAATCAAAGCCCCAGATTTTATATAAATGTGAGCAGTCATATTTTCCATTTCAACAATATTTATTAAGGGAGTTTTATTATTTTATTTTTCAGTAATTAATACTATTTATACTCCTATTAACAAAACATTAATCATTTTATTTATTAAGGGTCAGTATTATGTAAAATGAGGTTTGGGGCAAAACCAAACCAAACAGATCCATGTTGAGAATTATTGTATTACTGTAGGGATTACAAGGCCTTCTTCCTTGCACAGCACCACATTTCTCCTACTTGGTCCGTTTTCTTTGTTCCTTTGTGTCCCAAAGAGGCTTTCTCACATCTCTAATCAGTATTCCAAGCAACTGATACAGACTGAAAATAGACACAGGAGGCGCCCTTACCTGTCAGGTGTGCAGAAAGGCCTTGCAAGGAACTCAGCAGGTGGGACTGCCAGGATCCTGGCCTGGGATTATCCATCCGGGAGCACTCCATCCTGCCACTTTCCCTAAATAACGTTGACTTTAAATTGTGAGGATTTGGTTTTAAATAACAAATACTGAGAATCAAGAATCTGTCCTAAATATACCTACACTCTGAGGCTGTGGGTTTGATAGGGGAGAATTTGAAAAGAGAAATCTCTGTGAAACATCTTTCCTTCTAATGGGTGGTAAAGATTGAAGTTCGGCTAATGAGTCAGCAAACCTGAGAAATCATACGTGAAGAGCCTACCCGGTATACTCTTGAGAAGCTGGCAGCTTTGTAAATGAGAAAAGAGGGGGGATGAAGAACAGATTTCCTCCTCAGCCCCACGATGTTTCTGTCTTTGGCTGCTGATGCTAAAATGTGAGCAACATTAAACTCTGCTCCGTATTACCCAGTGTGGAATGTACAATGTAGATTACAAATGCTTTTACGAGTCAGCCGCCATGAGGGGGAGATGTAAACCTAATAGTCATAAAACTGTTTGCCACAGACACGGTTTATTAAGTCTAATAAAGAAAGGTGTGGGGGCAAGACCTAAAACGGACGCTTGTTTTCCACAGAGAAGGAGGACTGCAGAAATAGAAAAGAGGAAGGAGGGAGAGACCTGAACAACTGGCCCTGTTTATATTTGCAAGGTCAGTGAGATGGCAGCCCTAGAGGTTTTGATTTATGACTATGTCTGTGTCCCAACTGGCATACCTGAGATGGAGTGAGATGACACTCACACCCTGATTAGAAAGCAGTGAGGGCTGGCTGTTCAAGAAAGACAGGCAGGGAAAAAAAGGACCTAGGATCGATACATACCTCATCATAGGATCAGGAAGCAGCTGCTAAAAAGCCTTGAGGCTGAATTGAAAGAGGAACAATAAAGGGGAGTTTGATGGACTTCCTAACCAAAAGCCGGAGAGTGGTGCAGCTTGCTTTAGACCTGCGTTTTTCAAAATTGCAGACTGACCAATCCATGTATCATAAAATCAATTCAGTGGGTTGTGTTCAGCATCTGGGACAGAAAGGAAAAAAGGAAACAGAAAAAAAGGAAGGAAGGAAGGAAAGAAGGAAGGAAGGGAGGGAGGGAAGGAAGGCAAAGAGGAAGAAAGGGAGGGAAGGAGGAGGGGAAAGAAAGGGAATAGCACCACCCATTGTAAGGATAAGTGTAGTTTTGTGAACTTTTAAAAATTTATGTATATGTGTATATATCTCTGAGTTGAGATGCAAATGGCATTGTCATAGTGCAGATTATAGTCAGCAAAGTTTGAAAGCCGTTGCTTTAAACTAGTTGCCTGCTGTCCAGACACGGAATGTAGTGGAATTGGGGTCCTTCAGCCCAGACTTTCCTATAGCTGATCACTTCCTGTCAAGGAGTCCCTTGGAAGTGAAATGGAGGTAGAGGCCCAGGAGGAGGTGTCTTTCTTGATTGGGCTTTTGCAAAAAAGGACAAGGTTTCTGAGCTCTAAGTTTTCAGTGACTTCAGAGAAAATGACTACACACAGGCAAAGTTCAGGCTCTAAGGAAGAAGAGAAGTCAGTAAACGGAAGAAAATAGATTTTTAGCAAGCTGCTTCCAACAGGCTTAGTGAAAGAGCTGAGGTGGAGAAATTTTCACCAAAAAAGAAATGTAAAGGAGAAAGGATGGACAGGAGGAGCCATTTCCCAAAGAAACATAACGAAAACACAGAGAAATTACACTTCATGCCCCTGTCTCCTACCACACCCACCACAGATGCTTGCTCGCCACAGGAAGGGAAAGGAGAGCACAGTTAAAGAAATTCACTGAAGGTCAAGGGAAACAGTGTCACCGTGACAGGAAGCCTGATCGAGCCTTACCAAGCAGTTCTACAAAACTGCGAAGTCTTGAAAAGTTCAGATCTAAAAGCCAAAGCAAGGAACGGATTTTGACTTGGAAAGATATAAAGTCAAGTAGAAACCATTCTTCAAATCAGGAACAAGAGAATGATAAAAATGCCTTTGCTCCTTTAGTTGGAAAGAAGAGAAAACTGATGATAATAGCTAAGAAGGAAGAGACGGGGGGTGGGGGGACGGGCAGAGGTTGGTTTGCATTACAAGCGCACTTACTTCTTTTTTTTCAAGACAGAGTCTGGCTCTGTCCCCCAGGCTGGAGTGCAGTGGCCCAATCTCGGCTCACTGCAAGCTCCGCCTCCCGATTCATGCCATTCACCTGTCTCAGCCTCCTGAGCAGCTGGGATTACAGGCGCCCACCACCACACCAGGCTAATTTTTCTATTTTTAGTAGAGACGGGGTTTCACCGTGTTAGCCAGGATGGTCTCGATCTCCTGACCTTGTGATCCGCCTACCTCGGCCTCCCAAAGGGCTGGGGTTACAGGCGTGAGCCACCGCGCCCGGCTGTGCACTTACTTCTTAGGCTGTATTTGTTTAGGTGACTGGGAAGGCCTGACGGAGACTATAGGTAAGGGAGAAGTCCCCACCAAGCTCCCCCACTGACAGGGGGTTTTAAATTTCAGTGTCAACTCATGAATCACTTAGGGAAATTTGCCTAGCTGTGAGATGGATGAATCTCTAACCGCCCATTTTCTTCCAGAGAGTGACTCATAGTGGCTAGGTTTGAATTTAAGGTGTTTGAAGTTAGTGCCTAACTCAGGCAAAAATGAAGATTTGATACCCCATCCATTTTCTACACCCCTTTCTCAGATTCTTAATTCACCCTAGGATGAGATTTACAGATGAGACTTGAAATGTTAAGACTCCCTGCCAGGACAGCAAGCAGGGTACATCCCTGCTAATTTTGGCTGGCTGCTAGTGGCTGTTTGGATCACTGGGTGAAGTTTTGCAAGGCTCTGTTCTAGTTCCACAGGAAAGAGTAAAATTCTGTTTCCTAGGGGCTGGATATAGGGCTGTAGTGAGTTGAACGGTGCCCTCCAAAATGGTATGTCTTCCAAAACCTGGGAATGTAATCTTTTTTGGAAAAAGGATCATTGCAGGAGTAATTAAGTTAAAGCTTTTGAGATGAGATAACCCTAAATTAGGATGGACTCTAAAGCCAGTGGCAAGTGTCCTTATAAGAGAAGAGAAGACAGAGCAGACGGCCTTTTGAAGGAGTGGCAGAGATTGGAATTATGCTGCCACAATGCAAGAAACGCCCGTAGCCAACAGAAACGAGCAAGAGACAAGGAAGGAGTCTTCCCTAGAGTCTTTGGAGGCTGTGTGGCTCTGTCACCAGCTTGATTTCAGACTTCTGGCTTCCAATATGTGAGAAAATAAATTTCTCTTGTTTTTAAGCTGCCTAGTTTGTAGTAATTTGCTGTGGCAGCCCTAGGAAACTAGTACAAGGACTAAGAGTCCGGTGGTGAGGTATTTGCTGACTTGGTGCGTAATTTAACTTAAAGAAGACTTAAAATTTAACTTAAAGACTCAAACCTTTACCTGAAGTCATAAAACCAGAAGGATGGAATTTCAGGCACTTATCAAGTACAAGGAGGACTGTTCAGGATGGGGACAAATATCAGTAAGTGATACTCTGCTTCTTAGAATACAGGATTTGCTCATGGCAGAATTAGAGAAGCATGATGTCTTAATCAGTGTGTGTGGGACTCTGGCTAAATAAAAATTTCTTGACATGATGAGTTACTGAAAAAATTTTGTTGTCAGATATCTTTTTCTGGAAGGAAAAGGTATGAGAACCAGCATTTATCAAATACCTAGTATACCTTTATATATGTTGTATTATTTATTCTCTACTCCTGGGTAAAACTGGTATTCTGATTTTTTTGATTAAGTAATTTAAGCAAGCTTTCAAGGGTTTATAAGTAGGAGGGCAGGTCTGACCTCAATTTTGGTCTCCACTGCACCACTTAATTTCTTTCCACAGTATCATACTGCCTCCTAAAAGAGGGTTTTATTTATCTTTTATATATATATATATTTTTAAAAAACAGCTTTATTATTGATATACAAACTGCACAAATTTAAAATATACAAGATTTGACATATGTATACATCCGTGAAGCCATCACTGCAACCAAGGTCACATCATCCCGTGTGCCCCTTTTTAAGCCCTCCCTCTCACCCCCTCCCTGCCCTATGCCCCCCAGGCAACCATTAAACTGCTTTCTGCCACTGTAGAGATGGGTTTGCATTTTCTAGAATTTTATATAAATGGAATAATATAGTATGTACCCTTTTTTGTCTGACTTTCAAGCAGTGTAATTATTTTGAGATTCATCCATGTTGTTGTATGAATCAATAGTTCATTTCTTTTCGTTGCTGTATAGTATTCCTATGTGTAAATGTGACACAATGTGTTTATCCATTCACTCGTCATTGGACATCTAGGATGTTTTTAGGTTTTTGGCTATTACAAATAAACCTGCTATGAACATTCATGTCCCAGTCTTTGCATAGACATAGGCTTTTTTTTTTCTTTTTTGAGATGGACTGTCACTCTGTTGCCTAGGCTGAAGTGCAGTGGTGCAATCTTGGTTCACTGCAACCTCCACCTCTCTGGTTCAAGTGATTCTTTTGCCTCAGCCTAAGTAGCTGGGCTTACAGGTGCCCACCACCACACCCAGCTAATTTTTGTATTTTTAGTTAAGATGGGGTTTCACTCTGTTGGACAGGCTGGTCTCAAACTCCTGACCTCAGGTGATCCACTTGCTTCAGCCTCCCAAAGTGCTGGGATTATAGACATGAGCCACTGTGCCCTGCAGACATAGGCCTTCATTTCTCTTGAGTATATACCTAGGAGTAGAATGATGGGATCATGTAGATATAGGTGTGCATGTTTAGGTAGATGTATGTTTAATTTTGTAAGAAACTGAAAAACTGTAAAATGGACTATTTTACATTCCCACCAGCAGTATATAAGATTGTCCCAAGTACTCTACATTTTCCACCAACATTTGGTATCGTCAATCTTTTTAATTTCAGATATTTTAATAGTAATGTAACGGTAACTCACTGTGGTTTTGATTTGTGTGTCCCTAATGATTAAGGATTTTGAGCATCTTTTCATGTGCTTATTTGCCATCCACATATCATTTTTGGTGAATATGTATTCAAATCATTTGTCCGCTTTTTAATTGAGTTGTTTGTTTCCTTATTAGTAGGTTGTGGGAGTTTTAAAAAATATATTCTAGACAGAAGTTCTTTATCAGATATGTAATTTGAAAATATTTTCTCCAAGTCTATAGGTTCTGTTTTCATTTTTTAAAAAGCACTGTAGACTCATTCATCTGAACTGGTTTAGGTGTGGTTCTGTGAAGTAAAGTGGGATCGATTGGATGATAGCTCCAAAGCCTGTGCAAATGTAATAGTTTAGAGTTCAGATTTTATGAGGCCATTGTGGGAAGAGATAGCCTATGAAGTGCCACCACATGTTTGCCTTCCTTGAGAATTTCTGAAAAGGGCTAGATGATTTGGGATAAGTTTCTAGAAATCAATTGCTGAGTAGTATACACAAACCAAGAAGCGCATTAAAACCAACAGGATTCAGCAGCAGTCACTGCAAATCCAGAGAACATTTGCTCTGGATGTGGGGCCATGTTTTAAGGAAGTTCAGCCCATTGTACAGTAAAGTGGGTCTTTCAGGTTGAGCCTGTTTTTGCCTAGGAAGGGAGAATGGCTGCTGAAAAGGCTAAGGACTGAATGCCTTTGCTTCAGTGCTTTTGTCTTGTGGTAGGCTAAGGTGATGTAAAATTGTGAAACCAGCAGAATTAATCTTCCCTGCGTCCTGTTTCCCCTTTCGGTGATTCCCTTCACCCCTGCCCCTTTGTGTCATATTTGTTATTTGCCTTCCTCAATCAACAATCTGAGAAGCTCAATCACCCCAAAG
Organism: Homo sapiens; assembly: GCF_000001405.40. Classification (NCBI taxonomy): domain Eukaryota; kingdom Metazoa; phylum Chordata; class Mammalia; order Primates; family Hominidae; genus Homo; species Homo sapiens. Next base: position 167,100,396 of record NC_000001.11, on the reverse strand, counting down.
TGATAGGCAGTTAATAAAATACGTATTTCCTAGGGCAATTCTATGGTTTGTCCTCACCAAAACTCATGTTGAGGCTTGGTCTCCAATGGGGTGGCATTGGAAGGTAGTGTCTTAAGAGGTGATTAGGTTGTTAAGAGAGAGGAATGCTTTTCTCATGGGAATGAGTTCTTGCTCTTGGGGGACTGGATTAGTTACCATGAGAGGGGGTTGTTATAAAGTGAGGCTGCCTCTTGCATTTGGTCTCTTTTGCACATGCCTGCTCTCCTCTTTCACATGCACTCATGCTATGTGATGCCATCTGCCATGTTATGAGGCAGCATGAGGCCCTTGCCAAATGTGGCCACTTGATCTCGGACTTTCCAGCCTCCAGAGCTATGAGCCAAATAAACCTCTATTCTTTGTACATTACCCAGTCTCAGGTATTCTGTTATAGCAACAGAAAAGAGACCAAGACAGGCAGTTTTTAAAATAAATATATATGCCAGACTCTATTTATCTAGCCTACTGCTAATTGGACAGTTCATCATGTTGTTTATACATCCTATATCCTTAATGACTATTAGTTGCTAAACATTATAGTATTTATCTTCTGGTGCACATATGTAGTTGTTTTTGTTAAGTATTTATGAAGAGTGAGCCTGCTGGGTCAGAGGACAACCATATGTTTAGCTTTAGTAGATACTGCAAAATAGTTCCAAATGGTTGTACTAATTTACACTCTCACCAGCAATGAATAGGAGTTTTGATTGCTTCACATCTTCATTAATATTTGCTATTGTTGGTATTTAGTTTGAGATATTCTGGTGAGTATGTAGTAGTATTGAATTGTGATTTTAATTTGAATCCCTGATTTTAAATTTTTTAATTGATCTCTACCTTTATTCTTCTATGTTCAGATAACATGTTCTGTATTATTTCAATCACTAAACATTGGTTGATATATGTATGGCCCAGTATATGATCTATTTTGACAAATGCTCCATGTGTACATGGTAAGAATGTGTATCCTGTACTTGTTGGGTGCATGTTCTATAAATGCTCATTAGGTTAATTTTATTTATTGTTTTATCCAAATATTCTTGATAATTTTTGATATTCTTATTAAAAATGATTCTTTTGATTTTTTTTATTTTATCAGTTGCTGAGATAGTTTTAAAAAATATACATACAGTTGAGGGAGATTGTGGCTTTTAATTTTTCATTCAGTTCTGTCAGTTTTTTGCCTTATATATTTTGAGGCTGTGTTATTAAACATAGAAATTGAAAATTATTTTATCTTTTTGGTGAATTGAACCTTTGATCATTATGAAGTGTCTCTTTTTGTCTCTTTGTATCTAGTAATGATTACTTTAAAATCTGCTTCACTGGCTTGCTTTTGCTTACTTTACAATATCACCTTGGTACTTCTCTGATGGAGTGATGAAGTTTATGTTGCCTCCCCTTGAAACTTCATGGACATTTGTGTCAGCAGAGTACAGCAGAAGTGGTGCTATGTAACTCCTGAGGCTAGCTCATGAAAATTAATACACATCTATCTTATTCTCTTGGATGCAACTCTTGGAATTTAGCTACCATGCTTAGAGAAAGCCCAAAGTAACCCACATAGAGGGACTATCTTAGGTATTCCGGCCAAAAGCCCAGGTAAATTTCAACATAAACTGCCAAACGTGAAGATGCCTCTGTGAGTCACCCTCAGCCTTAAGGCATCTCCAGTCTTCAAATCTCTCTAGCTGAGACCTTGGACATCATGGAGCAAAGACAGGCTAACCCCACTGTGCCTCATCCAGGCTCCTGATTATGAACATAATAAAATGGTATTTTATGCCACTAAAATTTGAAGTTATGAGCAGTAGTAACTGAAACAGTGTAGTATAAATTTTTTATTCTTTGTTAACTTTTGTATATCCTTATTTTATTTTTTGAGACAGGGCCTCACTTTCACACCCAGGCTGGAATGCAGTGGCATGGTCATAGCTCACTGCAGCCTTGAATTCCTGGGCTCAAGCAATCCTGTTGCCTCAGCTTCCTGAGTAGCTGAGGCTACAGGCATGTGAAACCTTGCCTGGCTAATTTCTTAAAAAAAGTTTGGGCCGGGCGTGGTGGCTCACATCTGTAATCCCAGCACTTTGAGAGCTGAGGCAGAGGGATCACAAGGTCAAGAGATCGAGACAATGCTGACCAACATGGTGAAACCCCGTCTCTACTAAAAATACAAAAATTAGCTGGGTGGGGTAGCTTGCACCTGTAGTCCCAGCTACTCTGGAGGCTGAGGCAGGAAACTCACTTGAACCCTGGAGGCAGAGGTTGCAGTGAGCCAAGATCACGCCACTGCACTCCAGCCTGGCGACTGAGCGAGACTCCGTCTCAAAAAAAAAAAAAAAAAAAAAAAAAAAGTTTGTAGAGACAGGGCCTCACTATATTGCCTAGTCTTGTCTGAAACTCGGGGCCTCAAGCAATCATCCTACCTCAGCCTCCAAAAGTGCTAGAATTACAGGCATGAGCTACCATGACAAACCTATATCGTTATTTTTAAGGTGTGTCTCTTGTAAACAGCATGTAGCCTTTTTAAAAAAATTGAGTTTGACCATCTTTGTCTTTTAATTGGAGTATTTAGTCTATTTACATTTAATGTAGTTATTTATATATTTGAGCTTAAATCTACCATCCTACTATTTTCTTATTATTCTTTTTCTTTCTTTTTTTTTTAACCTATAGTTTCTTGTGGAGACAGTTGTTCTTTTTCTGTATTCTTTTTCTCTACTTTCTTTTCTCCTTTTAGATTGATTATATTTTATTATTTTATCCACCCTTCATGAGCTTGTTAGCTATACACTCCACTGCAAAACTTTCTAACAATTACACTACAAATTACAACATGCATCTTGGACTCCACACCCAAATTTACAGTTTCAGATAACCTCCCAAGATAACTATCATTAAACGGAGACAAAAAGGCAAATGAATGAATCAGGATTGAAAACTATATCTAGGAAAGAACTTTGAGTGTGGTTAGTAACACATGGATTTGTCTAATCTACATAGATCATAAACCTATTGAGTTTTTGAAAGGGTCGTATTTTCAAAGAAACCAGGAACTTCCAAAAGCTTTTGCATGGCATAAACCTTAAAACAGTCCCAGAGCCACCAAATTTTCATAAACAGGACACAGTCTGCAAAAGCTATACAGCCTTCAAGGAAGACATGTCTTCAACGTGGCTATGGAGGATAATGGACAAGCAAGACAGCTAGGAGGGCAGAGCTAGAGGTCAAAGAGAACAATAGACAAGGGTATTTCTCTCAGAGAGACAAATCAAGGTCAAATCTAGGAGGACTCCTCACATCCTGGGTCAACATGTTCATTAATGATATGACAGCAGTATTTCCTCTTCCTCCTTTTATAAAATGGTAGCTGTTTTTGGCAGTTATCCTGATCCGACCATAATGTGTTGCATTCAGGCCTGAGGGACAGAATGCACACCCATTGGAGAACCTAGCCTGGAACTACATATGCAGCAGTTGGTAAGTGGGATTTTGAGTTGCCTCACTTAGGAGGCAGTAAACATGTTCTATAGGTGGGGAAAAAAAAGATAACATGGATTGACTGACTAGAGGAGTACATTGTGGCTGAGACTGCTATTATCGACACACTGATTTCCTCTTTTTCTTGGGCTCATGGGCCTTATTTCCCATCCTTCTTTGCAAGAAAGCATGACCTTGCTGAGTTCTAGACGATAGAATATGAGTGAAAATGAAGTGACCATTTTCACATCTGGACCATAAAACCTCCTGGGAAATTATCCGTGCTTGTCTCCATTTTATGTTAATACTGATGAGCATTGTGACTTTAGAAGCCATGCTTTAAAGTGGTGAACCTTCAAGACAGAAGGAGTCTTAGTTCTTGAATCACTGCTCAGGTACCTGTTTTGGAACTTATTTGAGCAAGAAAGAAATGTCCTTTAGATATAATAGCTAGCATTACTCTTAGCAATACACGAAACTGTCACCTATCCCAACCACACACGAAGCGACCTCTGCCTTATTCGGGGGTATACAAGAGAGGAGGACCTATGTTAAATCTCTCAATCCTGAGAGTTTTCCTAAGTGGGACCATAATGCTGAATTTTCTTTTCTTTTTTTTTGAGATGGAGTCTCGCTCTGTCGCCCAGGCTGAAGTTCAGTGGCGCGATCTCGGCTCACTGAAACCTCCGCCTCCCGGGTTCAAGTGATTCTCCTGCTTCAGCCTCCTGAGTAGCTGAGATTACAGGCACCTACCACCACACCTGGCTAAGTTTTGTATTTTTAGTAGAGATGGGGTTTCACTATATTGGCCAGGCTGGGCTTGATCTCCTGACCTCATGATCCTCCCACCTCGGCCTCCCAACATAATGCTGAATTTTAAAGGAGAAGTCTCTAAGCTCCATTTGGGCGAAGTGCCCTGGCCCATGAGTGCTGAGCACCTGCCCTCATTCCTGTCTTACTCCACTGGGGAAGCCTTTTGACACAGGAAGCAGGAGCCAGCAAGATCCCAAGAGCATCAGAGAAAAGTGAAATCAAGCAGAATGATAAATTCTTAGAGGGGAAGTTAATTTCAGATGTTTTAGTTAGGCGCTTCCAACTAAAGGCTCAATCACTTCAGTTATTCTTCACACCAATTTGGTGACAGAGATGTGATTAAAAGTCAGGTCTCCTGTTATGATTTATGACAGAAGAAAATGGACAGGCACACACAGTATTGTTTTAGCAGGCAATTAAGCACGACATTTCTTTAACGTCTCGTGGTTTGTCTTAAAATGTTATGCACATTTTTTTCATTCTACATGATAACATAACGTCGATGATTTTAATGTAAAAGAAAGTTTCAAATTACTTGTGGTAAAAAGAGGACTCTCCAGGAAGATGCCTCATGCCTCTTGGCATCTTGCCACTTGCCCCAGGCATGCACATGTCCCAGTTTAAAAGACACAGCTTGATTATGGATAAAAAATTATTTTAGTGCTAGGGAATGCTTCCATGGGCTTCTCCTCTCCTCATCCCTTTTCTTATAGTCTACGGCCTGTCATCCCCATATCCAGCCCCAGTCCTACTGAATCAAGCAGGGCCAAATTCCTACTCATCCTCTGAGGTTCGGGTCCATCATCATCTCTTCCAGCCAAGCCTCCTATGACCTTCCAAGTCCAGTTGTTCCCTTCCCTATTGTCTAGTCCACCACATACTAGATCCTGGTCATATTAATATCTAGCACACACCTGCCACATTGCAATCAGTCTATTTGCATATTTACCTCCTCCAGAAAGTAGGACACATACAAGTACTCAATAATATTTGTTAAATGAGTGAACCGAGGTGATGGCTGCAGGCTCCCTGGAGCTAATGGCCCAACCTGTCCCCAGCCCCTCCCAGCTGGGGCTGTGAGGGTGGGAGATAAGTGGTCACTTACTGGCTAGGGGAGGGGCTTCGGAGGTAGTGGGCCTGCACCGCCCTCACGTTGGCTTCGTCCTCCTCGCTTGGGACTACCTGCTCCTCCTCTGTGTCCTTTCTGGTCGCCATGACAACCTGCCAACCTCTGAAAGTTTGGCAAGAAAAAGGCAGTTAGGGAATTAGGTTCCTGAGGTTTTGTTGGGGGAGAAGTTGTGTTGGTGATGTCACCTCAGTGGAACTAGGACTAGGAAGGTCCCGGTGGGCAAAAGACCAGCAAGGAATATCCAGTCAGACCTGGCCCAGCCACTGTTACCGGGACACCAAGAAGTGCACCCCGCCATATTAGGAGCCCACCTTGAAGTGACAATATTGAAGTGCCAGTGTGGCTCCTTCCACAGATGTCAGCAAGGGAGCAGGCAGAGGAGCCAGCAGGTTACCTGATCTCAGCTCAAAAAGTTGAAGAACAATGACTTCCCTGGACCAGCAAGATTTTTCAGTTGAAATTATAGGATGTGCATACACACACGCCCCTCACCTATGCCCATGCGCACACCTTTGTCTCTGCTGGGGAAGACACAGCTGGCCTTCGGTGTCTCTAACCAAGGCCACAGGAGGTAGGGCCTTTGGCTCAGGCGTCATCCTGGAGCCTATTAAAGGACATGAAGGATACCAGCAGCTGGTCCCAGCCATCATGGTTGTGCCCTGACACTCAGGGCAAAGCCGCTGCCCCTTGTATTGTAAGTCCTGGGCTCACCAGGATTGACAAGGGGAGAAGCACACTCACCTCTAACCTGCCTGGATGTTCCCCACCAAGGGCTGAGGGACCCAGATGAAATGACTGAAGCTGAAGCTCCGGCCAGTGAGACAGGAACCAGCCACCTCCTTCCTCAGGGCTTCTTCTCCTAGGGGCAGGACAGCTGTTAACAGGAAACCTTAGCCACCCTCTAAATTTAGCCTCTGGCCCCATAGGCTGGCAGATTTCTGGGAGGAAGGAATGCAGGCTCTGGACCCAGGCCCCAAAGCAGTCCTCACTTAACTCTTTCCCTCCTGGCTGATTCTCCAGACGCTTACATTTAGCAGCAGAATTGGAAGACGTTTGTGCTTGGTAGATGGAGAATCTAAAGAACAGCTTTTCTCTGGGTTCTCTCTTCAGACCCTCTTGCCTGGGACAGCCTATTCAAAGTTCTTCCAGAAGAGAGTCTAAATCCAAAGATATAGAAGAATAAACAAACTTACCACAGCCGCATGTCAACTAGAGAGGCCTAAAAAAAGGACCAGATATATAGAATGGAAAGGGTACTCAACAGATAGATATTGGGAGAGCACTGTGGTACAATTAAAGAGTAGTCATTGCTTGTGACCAGGATTACATTTCTTTTTCTTTTTTTTTAGACAGGGTCTCGCTCTGTTGCCCTGGTGAAAGTGCAGTGGTGCCATCACAGCTCACTGCGGCCTCAACCTCTCAGGGTCAGGTGATTCTCCCACCTCAGCCTCCTGAGTAGCTGGGAGTACAGGCACATGCCACCACACCCAGATAATTTTTAAATTTTTTGTAGAGATGGGGTCTCACTGTGTTGCCCAGGCTGGTCTCGAGCTCCTGGGCTGAAGTGATCCATCCACCTCCGTCCACCAAAGTGCTGGGATTACAGGTGTGAGCCACCGTGCCCTGCCTGCATTTCTTTTAATAGACATGTCTCAGGATGGTCAACTGGACAGTTGTGCTCACCCTCCACATTTCCTCCCCTCTACTCACACCCCAAGGTGATAATGGATTGGCAACCCTGGGTGACTTAAGAATTCCATGAGCTTCATAAATGTCAAATAAGCTGTCTTACCCTACTAACCCCTCTACCATCACAATGATCAAAGCAAAGCCAAATAGCCCACACCTCTCATCCCACACATACCATAGTCATCCTTTCATCCATTTATCCATCCATTTACCAACTTAAAATATTCATTGATTACCTACTACATATGACACTTTACTTGACCAAAATTGGCAAAACACATAGCTTAAAGTTGTCTTTCTTCCTAGTTAGGTGGAATGATGCCTGGTATATCGTATCATTAGAAATGGCTGAATGAATGAGCTCACTGTTTATTAGGAGGAATGAGACACAGACCAAAAATAACTCAAGCATAAGAGAGAATGTAGTTAGTGTCCTAAAAGAGATCCAGAGTGCTGTGTGAGTTCAAAGGTGAGAAAGAGCCCTTCTGACTGAAGAAATCAGGAAAGACTTCATAGAAGCAGTGGTGATATATGAGCTGACTTCTAAAGGACAAGTAAGATTATAATAGCAGATATAGTAGGGGAAGGGAATTACCGAGGGGGTGGCATCAATAAAGTTTTGGGGGTAAGGAAGTATGAGTTCTGGGTATGAAAATATGTCTAACTTGGTCAGAGCATAAATTACGTATTCTGGAAGGTAGACTGTGTTTGAGAACAAATGCTAGAATACCTTAAAAGCTAATTTGTTAGGTTCTGCAGAGTCAGTGATAGGACCCAAGCAGACAAGTAATTAGGAAGACTAATTTGGCAAAGATATTATAAAATGTTGGGGCTGAACAATTATTACATATAATAAGAGAATTAACAAGGTGCCTGAGTGAAATGTAATAAACAGAAAACAACAAATTTTGTATGTCAACCAAACCTAGCAGTCAAAAGGATTAATAACAATAAGTCATGTAGGATACTATGAATTCATAACACAAAGAAATGCTAGGGGAAATATTTGCAATGCTTATCACATCCAAAAGTTCCTTTCCCTAATATACAAAGATCTGCTAGAAGTCAACAAGCTAAAGATCAACAGCTCAATAGAAATATGGCCAAACGGCTGGACGTGGTGGCTCATGCCTGTAATCCCAGCATTTTGGGAGACTGAGGCAGGATTGCTTGAGCCCAGGAATTCAAGACCAGCCTGGTCAACGTAGCGAGATTCTGTGTCTATATTTTTAAAAATTTATTAAAAAAAGAAATACGGGCAAATGAGCTACCTAGTCTCAGAAAAGAAAATATATATGATGTGCAACTATATTAAAAGATTTTCAATTTCACTAATAATTTTTTTTTTTGAGACAGAGTCTTGCTCTGTCGCCCAGGCTGGAGTGCAGTGGCACCATCTTGGCTCACTGCAAGCTCTGCCTCCCGAGTTCACCATTCTCCTGCCTCAGCCTCCCAAGTAGCTGGGATTACAGGCGCACACCACCACACCTGGCTAATGTTTTGTATTTTTAGTAGAGGCGGGGTTTCACCGTGTTAGCCAGGATGGCCTCGATCTCTTGACCTCGTGATCAGCCCACCTTGGCCTCTCAAAGTGCTGTGATTACAGGCGTGAGCCACCGCGCCTGGCCAAATTTCACTAATAATTTTAAAAAGTAAATTATATATACATGGGATATCATGTTCACTTAGATTGGCGATGAGCAGAAAGTTTGATAACTGTGTCATAAACACTTGGTAACTGTGTTAGTGAGTGTGTGGGGAGATAGGTATCCTTATATGCTGCTAATAGGAGTGTAGGCTGTAAAATTCTCATGGTAGCTAGTTTAGCAATATCTATAAAAATTACAAATATGCATAACTTTCAGTGAGTCAGAAATTTTACTTTTAAGAATTTATCTTACATGTATAATCACAACACGTGTGAAATATCGTACACATAATAGATATTGGTTGCAATCTTTTCATAGTTGTGAAAGATGAGGAAAAACAATCTTAAAAGTAGTTTGGTTAAATAAATCATGTCACTCATATACAGTGAAATATCATCCCCATTTTAAAAAGATGATGGTGGTGGTGCTATACATACCGATACAGAAAGCTTTCTAAAACCTTTCATTAAATGAAAAATGAATAAATCATTGCAGAACAGTGTATATATATCTAAAATATCTATGGAAGAAACCAGCAACAGCCACTGCTCCTGGAGAATTATGGTCCCACACCACTGATCATTCTTTCAGTAGGGTGACCATCATCCAAATTTGCTTGGGACTGAGGGGGTTCCTTTTGGTTTGAAAACCAGGACAGTCCTAGGAAAAGTGAGACAAGTTGGTCACATGTCCCCAAGATGATCTTCTTTCACTTATGAACTTGCTACTTTCCCAGTCAGAATATAAACTCTGAAGGGGGAGACTTCCTGTTTTCTTCATGACTATATCTCTTGCGCACTGTGGGGTGGAGGCTGTAGAAGAGGAGAGAAGTAGAGAAACAGATCACATTGTGTCTTGAAGTGTTTCAGCAAATATGGGCAACACCCTTCTTTTACTAGCTTGGAACCCTACCTCTGAGTGCATTTCCCTTTTTATTATTTATTTCCTGTCAGTTATAAGAGAGGCCTACCCCTTTGTGAGCAGTCTAGGACTTTGTACACTTGTTAAGTAGGGAGAAGGCAGGGGAGGTGGCTGGTTTAAGGGGAACTTGAGGGAAGTAGGGAAGACTCCTCTTGGGACCTTTGGAGTAGGTGACACATGAGCCCAGCCCCAGCTCACCTGCCAATCCAGCTGAGGAGCTCACCTGCCAATCCAGCTGAGGCTGGGCAGAGGTGGGTGAGAAGAGGGAAAATTGCAGGGACCTCCAGTTGGGCCAGGCCAGAAGCTGCTGTAGCTTTAACCAGACAGCTCAGACCTGTCTGGAGGCTGCCAGTGACAGGTTAGGTTTAGGGCAGAGAAGAAGCAAGACCATGGTGGGGAAGATGTGGCCTGTGTTGTGGACACTCTGTGCAGGTGAGTAGGCCCCTTTTCTCTCCAGTGCCCAGGGGTGGGTGAGACATGGGGACCTAGGGCTGAAGGAGAGGCTCTGTCAGAGCCTTCCCAGGAAGGGCCTCCAGCAACACAGCTGCGTTCCTGCTGGGCCAGAATTACACATTCCGGACCAGTGCCCAGAATCAGAATGGTTTTTATTTACATATTAGTAAATAACATTCTAGCCCACTGCTGAAATGAAGAATTCAAAGTACTCTCAAGACCATATTTTCTTATCCCAAATTAGATTATAGGATCAGACACAGGATTTGACAATGTGGACAAAGTATTTGAAATCGGAGTTGTCCTAGAAAATCCAGGATGTGTGGATCTAGATATGTTCATTATCTAGTATATTAACGTTTGTGTTAAAACCAGAGAAAGAGACAGGAAACTGAGGCAGAAGAGACAATGCAACTTATCCCGTATCATTCACAGAGCAAGAGAAGATTCAAACCCTAAAAACAAACAACAAACTAGATGGGTCTTTTCCAAAGGCCAAAGCTCCTTGCCACTTCTGGGACCCTGGTCATTGAAAATTCTGGGACTCTGAGCATTTCCCTCTGGGAGGGAAACCTCCCAGAACAAAATCAGACATTCATGAGTATATGGTTGAATCCACATCAAGTGCTTAATAGCACAGTGTTCTGTGGGGACCTATGGAGTGTCTAAGGGTTAGAATGAAAGTCTTGGCATTAAGGTACCAACCATTTTGCTGGGCATTGGAAGGAAATAGAATGGAGAGAAGGAAGTTGAGAGACGCAGGGTTTGGCAAAGTTTAGGAATATCTTTGGTTTAGTGTATTTGGCCATCACCTTGCAATTCAGACACTGTTGAGGGCTTCCAGGATCCAGCTGCAACGGGGAGGAGAAGAGCTATACCAGGAAACTCAGGAGCACCAAGCCTGGGGAAGTGGAAACCAGGAGACTGGTTTAGAGCTCACTTTTTAGCATACACAGGAAAGCCCCGGGCCACGGGGCCTACAGCTCATTCTGGTTCTCCCAGGCCCTAGACATGCTTTTCTCTCAACACCTGGCCTTGGGGCTCTCGAGGGAAGGGCAGCCTGCTGCTGGGGAAGGGCTGGATCACACGGTTTGGAGGAAGATCTGGGTAAGATCATTCTCTCAGGCTGGCTCAAGTTCATCTGACTGAAGGCAGAAAGCCCCTCATCATCCACCAAGATGGACTGGTTGGCTCATTCCTTTATCCAAACAACTCTTTACTGAGCACATAGTTTGTGCAGGTGCCATAGAAGTGAGGAGTCTGGAATGATTAGTCATAAGTGGGCCTATCTCAGCCATCAGATTCAGGCAGGGAGGATGCTCCAGGGCCTGAGAGAGGGAGGCTGAAGGAAATACCCATCCTTCCCTGGCTGGGCCAGTGATTCTCCCATCTTCTCCTGGTAAGCCAGAAGCTCCTCCATGCCTGCACCACCCCAACCCCCAACACATATCCCCACACTTGTAGACTGGCTGCGACCCATGCATGAATAAAAATAAGAAATTTTGGCTTAGAAAAACGATCTTAAAACAAGATGCTCACCCAGCTTGGAGGGAAAAGTGGCCGTAACTCTGAATTGCCTGGAGCAGGACATTTTGCTTCTTCCTATGAGAAGGCAAGTGACCCCTGGGGAACTCACCCAGCAGAACGAGTCTTGGGCATGTTTTCAGACACACTGATGAAGTGTCTTCTACCTCCGCCCCATCCCTCCCACCACAGCCTGCCCAGCACAGAATCACGTGCCCACCAACTTTTCTTCCTCCATATCTTACATTAAGAGGAAGAAGGGGCCAGAGCAGTGGGGCAGGAGAAGCCAGGCTTGGTGGTCGACTTGAGGTATATAAACAGAGTTTACCAAATAGTGAAATAGCCATTGCCACTGCAGGTGAGCAAGGAAGACCTTCAAAGGTCGACCAAAAGCAACCAGGCGGCCCTCCCCACCATGCCTCATGAGAGGATACCACCTCTTCCTTTGCGCAGGTAAGGGAGACCCAGTTAGGAGCAGGGACATTAGGAAAGGCTTCCTGGAGGAGGTGGAGCTTGACTTGGGTTCCAGAGGACTTACTGGGCTTTTCTCTTCTTTCTCTTCCCATCTGACCTTTCCGAGGAATTGATTCTGCTAAGACCTGGGCAGGGAAGCACTGCACTGATGAATGGGCCTCAAGACTCAAGTGGTGTTGGAGGAAGCAGAAGCTATTCATAAGGTTCCATGCAGGGGGCACAAACGCAAGGCCGTGCTTTTAAAGTAGGGAGTTTAAAAGCAATCATAAAACCGACTAAAAGTTGGTCTGCTTTGTGTGTGTGTGTGTGTGTGTGAGACAGAGTCTGGCTTGCTCAGGCTGGAGTGCAGTGGTGTGATCTCAGCTCACTGCAACCTCCGCCTCCCAGGTTCAAGAAATTCTCCTGCCTCAGCCTCCCTAGTAGCTGGGATTACAGGCATGCACCACCATGCCCAGCTAATTTTTTGTATTTTTAGTAGAGACAGGGTTTCACCATGCTGGCCAGACTGGTCTTGAACTCTTGACCTCGCAATAAGCCCGCCTCAGCCTCCCAAAGTGCTGGGATTACAGGTGTGAGCCACCGTTGGTCTGCTTTTTATGATTATCATGTGCTGACAATTCTAAACAGAGTCAGTGACAAAACAGACCTCCATGCCTGGGAAATGTTCCACCCGTCCCTCCTAACACTCCACTGCCATCCCAGGGGACCAAAGGGGGCTGACCCCAGTGCCTCTTAACTGACTATGGTGTGGGCAAATGGCTTCACTTTGCTAAAGTCTTCTTGCACAGTCTTCTAGTCTGAAATGGAGGGGTGTAAAATTCACACTGTGCCCCAACAGGGCTATTATAGGTACTAAATGAGTTTGCACATGTAAAAATCTTAGAAGAGGACTTGACACATAATAACAACTCAATAAATGCCAGTTATGAGTGCAGTTATTATTATTACTGTGGGGGAATGTAAGTTACAGAAAATTAGTAGACTTTGGTGACCAATTATCCGAGAGCTCTGAGATGGCAGACACGTGCCAAGAAAGGGAGTCAGAGGTCACTGTGGATGAACCCTAAGTTATCACCAAAAAAGCCGCCATGCGCTGCCCCCTCCACAAGGCTGTTAGAGAAAATGCTCCAATGTGTGCACAAAATCAAGGCACTTCCATTCCAGGATTTTTTTTCAGCCACCAGACTTCATGAAAGATTTGATGTGCTGCAATGTGCCGCTGCATGAAAAGGGATGCATAAAGAGGCAAGCTCCAGGAGACAAAAGTCACTGAACAGCTCTGCTCAGAGCCAGTGAAACCTTTGAAGACCCAATCTCTCACACACACACACACACTTACTTACACACCCCACCTTCCTAGAATGAGAGGAAGCTTCCTTGTTTTTCTAAGTTAAATGAGAAAAACTCAGGAGAACTTTAACCTGGGAAAGGTGTAAAAGCTTTCTTCTCTCTAGAAAAAAATGTTTTTTCTCCCCCCATATAAAAAAGTTTCAGAAAACCCACAGGTGCTTGATCCATGAAGAGTTTTTGAAGGGAACCAAGTTTGCAAGTTGCTGACATTTTGAGGCTGATTGTGCCATTTTAGAACCCTTCCCTGGCATCTTTGTTAGAGGCACAATCCCAGCAGGAAGATTTTTCCTAAATGTGGTGCCCTACACTTGTCTGCTCTGAAGTGCCATGTTCGTGTGGATCACACAGGTGTGGGTTGGTCCCTGGGGTCTGCCCTATCACGATGGCCTATCTGAGCCCAGTGTCACATGTCTAAGCTCTGTGCAGTGGCCTAGCCTAAGATATGTGGTTTAGGGGCTTAGCCTCAGATGTGCACTTCTGATGAGACCCTGGACCTCAAGAGGGTAGTATTTGGGCCAGAGCCGGGGTGGTGTCAGCCCGCAAATGCAACTGCAAGATAAGCGGCCCGCCCACCATCTGCTCTGTGGCCCTGGGTCCTGTTGCCATTCCAATCCTAAATTAGCCTGGCTCCCCGCTGGGGCCTGGGCCCCACCTGCTGGCACCTGAGCACAAGTCAGAAGCCAGTGCTTGTAGGAAGAGCTCATGCACCTGGAATGAATCACATTGCCTCCCTGTCAGAGACGCAATCAGGATTAAAATGTCCTACTCTAGTCTCAGTCCCAGCCTCAATGGAGAAAAGATGTTATGAATGGTCGGTCTAAGAAGGTTAGGTGTTCAAAAGAGGAAGACTAATAGTTTAGGCCAGTGGCTCTCAACCCTGGTTGCCCATCAGAGTCACCTGGGAAGTGAAAATACAGATGCCCAGTCTCCCCCATACCTTCTGAGTCAGAATCCAGAGGGGAAGGATCTGGGTTTCTCTCTGGTTTTTGAAAAGTTACTCAGGTGATTCTGATGTGCAGTCTAGGTGTAGAGACGAATTGGAACTTAAGGAAAAGTTGGTTTAATGAACAGTTGCCTCTAATACACTGCATGTGACTTTTAGCTCAGTTTTGCATCATCCAGCTGCTTCTCCGGTTACTGTCCAATTCCCTCAATTTAGGGGGCTCAATGGTATGCATTCTCCCACATTAGTGTGCATACAAGTCATCTGGGGATCTTGTTAAAATGCAGATGATTCGGTATGTCCAGGGTAGGGCCTGAGATTCTGCATTTCTAATGAGCTCCCAGGGGATGATACTCCTGGTCCAGGGACCAGAGTCTGAGAAGCAAGGCCATAGGGAAGAATTGGTTCATGGGCACAGGTGTGATCCTCATCTTGCCTTTGCCCACCAGAGTCCCCTCTCAGGGCTTTTTGGTAATACAACCATGCTGCCTATTGTGATGCTGGTCACCAGGAAGCCTGGGGAAAGTGTGCCTGGCCCAGCATGTACTTGTAATCCTGGCAGTGTTTGACCTGGCTAATCTCTCCCGCATTTCTGAAACACTCTGTCCTGTTGGTTCCCATGAGACTTCCTCTCCTTGTTCTCCTCCTACATCTCTGGCCTTGATGTTTCCATGTCTCCTTAGCAGCCTCATTCTCCTCTGTCCTGCCATGAAATGTCAGAGTCCCTCACCCTCAGTCCCAGGCTCTCCTATTGTCACTCTACATCCACCTCCACCTCCAAAGCTTTAGTTGCCACCCATTCCCAGCTGACTTATAAATTTCTGTCTTCAAACCCAACATCTCTCCTGAGCTATTGTCTCACAAGTCCAACAGCCCACATGACTTCTCAACTTAGATTTGTGGAACACTGAAAACTCTCAAACTGAAAACAAAACTCATGATCTTTTTCCCCAAACCTGGGTCTTTCCCAGTGAGCTCTCTCTCAATAAATGACAAACTGTCCATTCAGGAATGAAAGCCAGAAACCTAGCAGTCATCTGTTACATTTTCTATTGCTGTGTAATAAACCACTCCAACATTTAGTGACTTAAAACAATAATAATCATTTATTTTCCTCTTAAATTAGCAATTTGGATGGTGTTTGGCAGGGACAGCTTGTCTTTGCTTTATGCTTTATGCTGGGTTGGCTTAACCGGCATTGGAAGACCCACTTCCAAGGTGGTGCACTCACTGGCTAACAAGCTGGTATATAGTCTAATTCCTCTCTCCAGGGGCCTCTCCACAGACAAGCTTGTGCCTCCTCATAACATGATGGCTGGATTCAAGAGTAAACATCTAAAGAGACAAGAAGTTAAAGCTGCTAGTTTCTTAGGGCAAAGCCCAGAAACTGACCCAGCATCACTTCTGCCATAGTCTATTGAGAAGCAGTCACAGAACCCAACTCAAAGGAGAGAATAAGAACACCTTTTGTTGAGAGCAGTTTAAAAGAATTTGGGGACCACATTTTAAAACCGCCACATCACCCTTGATCTCTTTATCCCCCACCTACAAATTCAGATCATCACTTTGTGTGATGATTTTAGCTCTCCAGCATTTCTTCAATCTGCCCGTTTTTCTCCATTTCCTCTGCCACCTCATGCTCCACACTGCCTCTCCTAAGCTACTGCCACAGCTGCCTCACTTGTCTCCTGAGCCTGTTTGCCCTTCTCCTAACTGCTGTCCACCCTGGAGCCAGAATGATCTTGTAAAATAAAATCATGACCATGTCACCACCTCTGCTTAAAGCCCTTCCATAACTTCCCATGACTATTAGGATAAAGACTCAAATCGTTGTCATGGCCGATAAGCGCCAGGCCCAGCCCACATTTCTGGCTGCACTGGCCATGTATGGTGTGATTTGAGTTGCTTGTAAGAGGATCTTGGTGGGGGCAGGCAATCTGGCTGAAAGGGTGGATAGCAGGATTTGTCCTCAACTACTTGGATGAGACAAGGATGCTGTTTTTACTTGTCCTGTATTTGGACAAGTTTATTTGGATTGACAGTGGGAGGCTAAAGGATATCATATGGGGAATCATACACCCCCAAGAAACCTCCCTGGTGCCATAGCTACACACTGGTTTGTGTTAGTTTCTGGAACATGCCTCGCCTTCTGCCACCCCCTGACCTCTGCATGATGCCCTTCCCTCACATCTCTTCTCCTATTTTCTCAAGGTTCACTCCTGCTTATATTTCAATCTCAGCTCAAAAGGCCCTTCCTCAGGGCACCCTCTCTGTTATATCCTCCCATCATATGCATGACACTCGTTACTATGGTGGTTTTACATTTATTTCTATGATTATTTATTTATTACCATCTGACTTCCCTGGAACAGTGAACGCCGTGAGAGCAGCAACTGCATCTGTCCCTGCCCCACGTTGTATCCCCAGAGTCTGGCATAGTGCCCAGGACACAGGCACCCAGCAGCCGTTTGCTGGATAGGTGTTAGTGAATGGGTGCCGACCCTTCTGAACCTCCCCTAGCAGCAGGCTGACTGGCTTCACCATTTCCTATCCTGCCTTTCCTGCTTTTCTTCCTCCTCCAGGCTGCCCCTGCTTGTCTCCAACCTCTGTGTTCCTAATCTCACTTGCTTCTCTCAAAATGTTCCTGTCTCACATTCCTTTCCTGGGTTTGATAGATAAGGGGCACTAGCTAGTTAGGGAGATGGATTACTCCACAGGTTAAAGTGACTTAGAGAAAGTCACTTAGTGTGTCTTCCCTGCCTCTCAGACATCACCTGCATTTTAGCAGGAGCTTCTGTGCCTTCTGTCAATGGTGGAAGTTTCAGTATTGCAAGAGCTGGTGGAGGACATAGTGGACTTGGGGGGAAGTTCAGTTGCCCCTCAAGCCACCCCGGGTTGGCAGCACTCAGGTTTTGCCCTCCATCGTCTTCTCTCTGCCTGCTCTGTGGGGCTTGTCTCTGTTCCCAGATCACCCTGTCCCCTTTCTGCCTGGGGCACCAACCGTCAAGCTTGGAACCCGCCTCCTTCCTGAGGTGTTTCCCTCTCCTCTCCTACCCAGTGACCTTTGGACTGCTTCCTCATTTTCTGCCCTGGTGAGTCAGGGATGCCATAAACACCAGGCATGGGCAGAACATGGCGACAGACAGACGCTTCCCATTAGGGCCGTCACAAAGTTCACTGGGAGAGGAGCATAAAACGTATATCTGTTGGCTAGAGCTCACGCCCTGCACGTGTCCACCAATGTATCTCCATCTGCATTTGGGGAACAGGTGACACTTGCCGTGAGCAAAGCTGGCTTTCCAACTGTGCCCTGGCCCTTCCCCTCCTCTCGGGTCCCCTCCCAGGCTAAGGTCTTGCTCCATCTGGTGTCTGCTGCACTTTCAGACTCTTCCTTGCTGGCAGCACCTTCCCTATAACCTACAAACCCACCTCCATTTCTCCTTCTTCAATCCCAAAGGGGCTAAAGAAATCTGCTCAGGATCCTCTGTGCCCCTCTGGTCTCAGCTTTCTCATCTTCCAGTGTTAGGTGAGCTCCTGACAAAATAGGCTGCCCTCACTGTCTCTACTTTTTCACCTCCTAGTTGGCTTTATTGTTAAAAGAGGGCTGTATGTTTGTTGCAGAGCATTTGGGAAATAAAAGTACACATAGAAGAAATCTCAGATTGCCCCACGATCTCAGAATCCACAGGTAACTGTTATTAATACTGTATTTTGGTGTATTTTCTTCTAGAAATATTCTCTCTCTCTCTCTGTCTGTGATTGTGTAGGACTGGGACACTGTTGTATGCACAGTTTTGCATCCTGCTTTATTCCCTTATATATGCAGTCCAACACCGTGAATTGAATCCCTCGGGTTCTACCTCCTCAATAAGCCTTCCCATTAAATCTCTTTTCCTGGTTTTAACTCAGCTCCTCCCCTACACACCTCACTCCCTTAACACTTCCACTTTAACACTTAATTGGGCTCTATTAGGATGCTGGCTGACAGTAACCTCTGACTGCTTCCTGAGCAGGGATTGTGCCACATACCACTCAATCAACAAGGCCTTATTAGGACCCAGCTCAGTGTAGACACCTGGCAGGTAAAGCCGGCAAGTGGTGGATATAAGAGAAGCCTGAGACTCAGACGCTGCCCCAGGGAGCCTGCCATCTGTTGAGGGAAGGAGCCTGATGCACAGCCCATATCAACACGAGAACTACATGTACCTGGGATACATCTGCCCGAAGTGGCTCGGGAAAGCCAGGCAGCAGGAAGGGCTGGGGTGGTCCTGGTGGGGCTTCCAAGATGGCGTGTGAACACACCTCTGATCATTTTTCTGGTGCCTTGCACTAAACTAGGACATTGGTAGAATTTTATTGGATTGATCTGAATTTATAGATGCATAAAGAATCATGTTGAATGAACGGTTCAACATTTATTGAGTCCTAAACCACCTCCCTCCCTGCCTCTCAATCTCTCCTCTCTCAGCTGCCAGTTTGAGAGCCTCCCTGCCCATAGAGGAAGGACAAACCAACCTGCGTGTGTGAACTGCCTTCTTCTCCCTAGAGACCAGCACTTTCTCAACACCAGCACATGGTACTTGGTCCTGGGGCTGGCTGGGTCCTTTCTGGCCTCCAGAATCTCCTCCCTAAGAACGTGGTTTCTCTGAGCAAATAGATTTTCCCAAGTGGAGGCATTACTGCCAGTTTCCCAAGGGCTCACATAATGTGCTATGTATGCCTCAAGCCACCGGTTCCATCAAGCATTTCATTATCCTCCAACGTATTATTTTCCATTTAGTTCTCAAGAGACCGTTTATTATCTTCTTAATAAACCTTAATTTTTTACAAGCAATCATCGAGACCTCAGGCTGGCTCTCCATATGGACCCCCTTAGGGAGGGGAAATGACCTCTCCCATTTCCAGCTGAGGTATCTTGCAGACTCCACTTCTCATCTCTGGGGCTCCTTTGGTCCTTTATTTTACTTTTGGTCAATTTCCAGCAATTCATTGAATAGGTTCTTCCACCAAGTTTCTCTGGTTTTAAATCCTACCCATCCTGTAAGCTTAAGTTCTCTATAATTCATTCATTTGCTGTCAAAAAACACGTATTGAGACCTTTTACATGTTAGGCACTTTGCCGAGCTCTAGGGATATGAAGATGAAGAAAACACAGGGCAGCAGAGGAGAGAGACATGACAACCTAGATTGCCTGTAGAGTCCTTTATGTCCCAGGGTAAAGGATATGCACTTTATGTGAAGTCATTCAACCCTCTCACAACCTGGAGTTGGATAATATGATGATGCTCACTTCACAGTTGAAGAAACTGAAGCCCAGAGAAGTTAATTCAGTTGCCTAAGGTTACACAGTTAGGAAAAGTAAGAAAGAGGATGCCAACCCGGATAGTTTGGCTGCAATGTTTGTGCTCTTGGCCATGCTGCTGTATTGTGTAATAAAGTTTTATGAGAGAGAAGCACTAGGAGGCAGGAAGCCATGGGTAGTAGGTGACACAAAGGACAGAGTTATCAATTCTTCTTGGGAAGGTTGGGGCATCTTCTTTAGGACAATGCATGTGCTATCATGCAAGAGATTGTTATGATTCCTTCCTTGCAGGTAAAGGCGCTTGCACTTCTAACCTGTATACCCCTGGAGGTTAACACATTGATACATTATTAGTTAGTAACACCTTACAGTAAATTAGCTTATCCGATGGATGCTCTTCTTGAGCATCAGAAGAGCTCAGCCTTGACAAGGAGAGTAGGGGAGAGAGGATGGAAGAAAGAAAATGTCTAGAGCATGACGGGCACAGGGCAAAGGGAGTGACTGGATGGGAGAGCCACAGCTACTGGGAGGAGGGTGGGCTCTGGGCAACTGGAGACCTGATATTCAATGCCAACCTATACAAGGAAGCGGAAAGTGAGGTAGCTGGAAGACTCTAAAAATGAGCTTCACTTCTCAACTTCCTAATCCCAGCTTAGATGTCCTACCTGGTGCTTTGGTCTCATTCACTGAGTACGGATGCAAAGACCCCCAGGAGAGAAAATGAGGGATGCAGTGCTAATAAGGATAAAGCCTGTGGAAAAAAGTAAAAGAAACTGGATTTATTCCAGATGGAGGTGAAAAAGCTGGTGATTGCAAACATCAGAAGCCTCTAAAGCTACAATGGCGAATTATTAAAAAGTCCAGCCAGATGTCTTCATTGCCAGTAATGTCAGAACAAGAGGATATTGACTGAATGGGTGGAAAGGATTTAGGCTAGCTATGAAGGATTCCCAAGATGGCTGTTGGCATAAAGTTCTTAAACACGGAATAACTTCTCGTCTCAAATTATGGAAAATGTAAGTGTGCCTCAGGGCACAGGATGAGCTTTTTAAGATGCTTCTCAGGTTTACAAAGAACATTGAAAGAGTGCTCCACATTTTCCACATTTGTGCAAGTTTTCTTTTTTTTCTTTTTTTTTTTTTTTTTGGAGACGGAGTCTCGCTCTGTCGCCCAGGCTGTGGTGTGATCTCGGCTCACTGCAACCTCCACCTCCTGGGTTAAAGCAATTCTCCTCCCTCAGTCTCCTGAGTTTTTGTAACTACAGGTGCATGCTGCCACACCTGGCTAATTTTTGTAGTTTAGTAGAGACAGGGTTTCACCTTGTTACTCAGGCTGGTCTCGAATTCCTGAGCTCAGGCAATCCGCCCGCCTTAGCCTCCCAAAGTGCTGGGATTACAGGAGTGAGCCACCACGCCCAGCTGGTTTTTTTCTTTATGAGCTCTTTCTTATTCATTCATTTCTATTTCTTCCTTCACAGGTCTAATAACATCAAATGGATTTTAACTCTCTGTTATAATGATCTCTAAAATTGATCTATTCTTTAGTTATAATCATTAGCAATTACTATTCTTTTTTGACAGCTCACCCATGGTGATGGTGAGTGCTGCCTCTTGTGATTAACTTCTACCAAGGATGCACCTCCACAACAGAGTATGAGACAAGGAAGCAGAAGTGGCTCAATATGAAAAATATATGTAATAGTAACTATCATTTATTGATTATGAGTTAGGAACTATTCTAAACAAAGTACCCATTTCATGTCACTTAATTCTCACACGGCCCGTTTCTCAAAGGAAAACTGTGTGGCACAGAGGTCTTAAGTAAACTGCTCATGGTTATATGTATAGTAAAGAAAGGAACCAGAGTTCCAACAGGGGCATTCTAGTTCTAGAATCTGTGCATTCAAATTCTATGCCATGCTGCCTCCTGAAATGGCCATGGAGAAGTTGTGCGATACAGAGCGGTACACGCTCCGGGATTAAAGTATCGAAGGGATGTTTCTGAACCAGAAGAAAGGGAGAGTTGGGAGACAGAATGAACGAGTGGTAGGAGTGGTTGATGGGAGTATATTGCCCTCCTTGGAAGGGGATGTTCAGAGAATCTGAATACAGCCAATTCGGCCATTCCATTTGGCAGAGTCTCGCCTCTCACAAGGATGTGAGGCTCCTGAGAACTGTGAGGTGCTAGAGAATAGTGGGTGTTGTTTCTATGCAGTTGCCAGCCCTAGTTCTTTTCCTACATAAAGGTCACACTGAGTTCTCTTCTATAAGCAAATACTGTACTTAGCATTTGGTTAAGAGGATCTAAGTGTATGTGTGAAGCTAGTCTATGTCCATTAATTTGCCAGGGTAAGAAGATGACTTTGTGGGCATCTATCTTATCTCCCTGAGTAGAGCAGGGGGCTGGTTTTATATGCTAGGCACATATTAAATACTTGTTGGTTGACTGAAGAAAGCAGAAGAGTTTCTGTGACAAGATTGAGGGGTGTGATGTGGTCAAGGAACAAAATAGGAAATAGGTTCTGTTGACAGCCAAGGAAAACACCATCCTCCTGTCCCTGCAGGCAAAAATTAGCACTTTTCCCTGACTGTTGGGCAGCAGCCCTATACCCTCACCAGGGCTGCCTCTATCTGAAGGACTTGCCAGCAGCTCTGCCATTTGTTAGCTGTCAAGCTGTCATATCTAGATAGAGCAAAGGGTTTAACCTTTTGGAACCTCAATTATGTCACCAGTAAAATAGGGAAAATACAAATGTCTATCATTAAAGAGAGTATGAAAATAAATGAGAGAATATCTGTAAAATACCTGTATGGTGCCTGTACCATTGAGATGTAATTAAAATAACATGAGATTAACAGGGAATTGAGAATGATTAACTCAATAGAGTGACTCATTTTTCATCCATTGATGGTTGACTTAACATTCCTTTAATCTTGAGTGAGCAGGTAATTAGACACTCCATTGTCTAAAGGAATGACTTAGTGGGTTGGTTCTCTTTGATTTGAGAGTGAGAATTGTTACTATCAGATAGAATTTGCTTGAGTTTTGGGGACCAACTGTGCATGGGCCATTTAGGTTCTGCCAGTGGCAGAAGTCCCTTAATGTGTAGTGTGTGGCCAGGGTGATAGACAAGAACAGAATCAGTGTAAAGTTCATGGAGAGGCCCAAGAGTGGTCACCGTGAGGACAGCGCTCCAGGGAAAATGCCCTGGTCCAGGCAAGGACAGAAGAGGTGAAGTAAAGATCAGTGGCAGTTGCCATGACTACACCAGGCATATGAGAAATGATATCTAGATGGGCTGTCTGCTATAGCTGGGAGCTGGGCAGACGGCACTGGAGGGCTCCATTGAAGCAAGTAACCTTCTGATGAAGGGTGACTTGTTAGTAATGATGACTAATGTGTTTTCTTCTCTTTTTTTTTTTTTGGAAATGGAGTCTTGCTCTGTTGCCCAGGTTGGAGTGCAGTGGTGCAATCTCAGCTCACTGCAGCCTCTACCTCCCAGCTTCAAGTGATTCTCCTGCCTCAGCCTCCTGAGTAGCTGGGACTACAGGCATGCACCACCACAGTCGCTAATTTTTTGTATTTTTAGTAGAGGCAGGGTTTTACCATGTTGGCCAGGCTGGTCTTGAACTCCTGACCTCAGGTGATCCATCCACCTCGGCCTCCCAAAGTGCTGGGATTACAGGCACGAGCCACTGCGCCCTGCCAGCAAATGTTTTCTGATAGACGAAGGTGGTGGAAAGACACCAGTCACATGGAGGGTCATTTGATAAGTCTTGGCCACTTTGGAATCACCTTCTGGAGCAGCATCAGTGACTTGGGAAGCCAACATTTGAACAAATTTTCAGGGGCTTCTGGCACTGGCATCACCATGAGGAAAATATGCAAATGCCAAAGAGGGGAAACCTGTTTTTTTGACATCTTCCTGTCTCTCATTCCCAATATCCAATACTCCCGGATATTATAAACTCACCCCAGGAGCTCACATGGCCCTCACTGTACAGTGCCCATTCCAGGAGGGTGGCTGACTTTCACCTTATGAAATACTGCTTAATGAAGTATGAACAACCCGAATGCTTCCCTGTTTCCCAGGAGCGATTTGCATTTTGAAAGAGAAGTGTGTTAATCCAGCTGGAATTTGCCTGGATAGTGGAGTCTTCCCAGCTGGGCGGGGGGACGGTCTTCAGCAGGACATTTTCCTTCTTTATGCTGCAGCCTCATCATGGGAACATTCAGTAAGAACTTGCTCACCCTTCTACCACCAAATCTACCAGCCCACTTGCACCTTTAGCCACATCCTGTTACAGTGGGTAGACAGCCCGGCATCTCTTCTAAGGCCTGTCCTCCCATAACACCGTACCCCCAGCCCCATTTGCCCTACAAGGACATCATTTCTGTCCCCATTCTCTCTTGGCTCATTCTCATCATCAACAAACAGTGTAAAAGTATTATTTTTTAAATCATCATACACATATTTTGGGAAAAAGGGCGTAAACTCCTCTTGACCCTATAGCCTCCTTTAGCTGCTACAGTCTCCCTGCTCTCTTCCCTTTCCAGCAAACACTGTCTGCTTCCTCTTGTCCCATCAGCTCTTGAACTCACTCCTTTCAGGCTCCATCCCCACCACCCCACTGCATCCACTAATGCCAAGGCCACCTCCATGTGGCCACATCCAATGACCATCTCTCTGCCCTCAGGTCCCTGGTTGAACATGTCAGCAGCATTTGAGTAGCTGACCTCCTTTGCTTTCAAGAAACTTTTCCTGCTCTTGGTTCTCTTCCTGTCTCCCTAGCCAGATTTTCCTACTTCTCCCTTACTGATTCCTCCTAATTTCCTCCATCATGAAGCACTGGAGTGTCCCAGGGTTCAGTCCCACATGTCTTTCCTGTCTTCATGCACTTCCTTAGTGATCCTCAACATCCTCTGACCTTAACTGATGGAGAGCCGGTGACTCCCAAAGTTGTGTCTCCATTCCGTGCCTCTGTGGCACTCCAGACTTACATAACTGCCTCATTGCCACCTCCACCAGGGTGTCTAAGGAGCATCTCAAACTTTGCAAGTCCTCAAACAAACTCCTGATCTGCCCCCTGAAACTTCCTCCTTCCTTAACTGTTGTCATTTCAGTAAACGACAACTCCATTCTTCCAGTTGCTGAGGCCAAATCCTTCTGTCTATTCCTGACTCCTGTTTTCCTCTAACACGCCAAATGTAGCCTGCAGTCAAATCCCATTGGCCCTACCTTCTAAATACATTCCAATTTGGATCACTTCTCACCACCTCCCCACAATCACCTGTGTCTAAGACATTAGCCCTCATCTGGACTATTGAGCCAACTCTTGCCTGATTTCCTTGCTTCCATTCTTGTTCCCCACCCCACTTCTATCTGTTCACCCCACATTTGCCAGAATGATCTTTTAACAATGTATGTCAGGCCAGGCATGGTGGCTCATGCCTGTAATCCCAGCACTTTGGGAGGCTGAGGTGGGTGGATCACCTGAGGTCAGGAGTTCAAGACCAGCCTGGCCAACATGGTGAAACCCCATCTCTACTAAAAATACAAAATTAGCTGGGCGTGGTGGTGCATGCCTGTAATCCCAGCTACTCGGGAGGCTGAGGCAGGAGAATCACTTGAACCTGGCGGGAGGAGGCAATTCAAGATCGAGCCACTGCACTCCAGCCTGGCAACAGAGCGAGACTCTCTCTCAAAAAAAAAAAAAAAAAAAAGTAAGTCAAATATATTTTCTCTGCTTAAATCTCTCCAGGGCATTTTCACTTCATTCAGAGCAAAATACAAAGTCCTAAATAAGGGCTACATTGCTCTATGCAATCTGAGACCACCCCCACCCCCACAACTTTTCCATTTCATCTCTCCTCCTCACTCACTTCCCTCCCACTACACAATCTCCCTTGCTGTTCCTTGTGCGTAGACTAAGCTGACTCCTGCCTCCCTGCCTGACCCTTGCTTAGCCTCTGCCTGGAAAGTTCTCACCACTGGGATCCACATGGGTCTCTGTGCCAAGCATCTATTCTGTATAACAAACCACCCCAAAACTCAGTACTTAAAATAATAACAATCTTTATTTTACTCCTGAGTCTTCAATTTGGGCAGGGATCTGCAGGGTAGCTCAACTCTGCACCCCTCAGCATCAGTTCCAACAGCTAGGTGGCTGGGTTTGCTCACTCCCATGTCTGGGAGTTGAAGTTGGCTGTCCCAAAGGACCTCAGTTGGTGTCCCAAACACAGACACCTGTCTTTCCATGTGGCTGCTTACCTCCCTTCAGAATGTTGATGGTTTTCCAGGGTGAGCATCGCAAGGGACCAGGTGAAGAGAATGGCCTTTTATGAGTTGGCCTCAGAGCCACATAACATCCCTTACACTGGAGTCACAGGTGCACCCAGGCTCGAAGAGAAGGAACACAGACCCCACCTCCTGAGGGAGGAGAGTCAACATCACGTGGCAAGAGCATGTGTGATAAAATATGCTAGTGTGGCCACATTCTTTTTCCTAACCTTGTTCTGATAAACTCATACGAGATAAACTCCTGTGAAAATATGGTCCATCTCTTTACCTCGATATAATCTTATTCATAAAATTCTTTACCACATACAAATGTTCCATAAATACTTGTTAAATGAGAGAATACATCATCATCACAACCAAAACGATGGCAGGTAATGTTTATTGAGAGTTTTCTATGCGCCAGGGAGTAATAAAAATACTTACACATGGTATCTCCATTAATTTTCCCAATAAATCAAGGAAATAAGTATTAGAGCTCCTATTTTATTGATGAGAAAACTGACGCTCAGACAAGTTGACACAGCTGGTAAGAAGTAGGGCTGAGGTTCAGGGCCAGGCAATTCATCATGCTGTGGGGTGGAGTCAGGTGGACCAAGGCCCATGTGTTTGTCCTCATCGCAGTCTTGGAGGAGAAGCTGGTTGCCAGGGCCAAGGTGGCCAAGATGGCTCTAGCTGTGGCTGGAGGTGCAAGAACAGCCCTGGACATTCCCTCAGTGGTCCTGTGGGCAGTGAGTGGGTATGTCTGTCCGTGTCGCTTACTTTTCCCTTCCACTGCCTACTTTCTTTCCAGTCAGGGTGACCGTCGATGCCATCTCTGTGGAAACTCCGCAGGACGTTCTTCGGGCTTCGCAGGGAAAGAGTGTCACCCTGCCCTGCACCTACCACACTTCCACCTCCAGTCGAGAGGGACTTATTCAATGGGATAAGCTCCTCCTCACTCATACGGTAAGGATACTTTACAAGTTCAGGCAACATGGGAATGATTATCACCTGACCAGGACCTCTTAGAAGGCAAGCACTATGAAGTCTTTCCATAAATGGTAGAATAAACACTAGCACCCAGGCTGGAGTGGGTGGGGAGGGAGCAGTGAATGTTGGGCTCATGGAGGGCCAGAGTATGTCACCTTTATTTTGAAAATGTCACCTGCCCCTAAAATATCTTTCTGGTGGCCAATCTCAAATGACCTAAATTGTATCATGCGAGTCAGTCACTCCTTTTGATTAGCATAGCCCTTGCTCTGAGGCCAAATTTTATGGGTTTTTTTTCCTGTTTGGATTCTTTTGGGAAGTGTGGAGGAGTTTTGTTTTTTTTTTCTATTTCTATTTTTAAATAGATAATATAATCTCATGGTTTGAAAATCAAAACCTCATAAAAAGTGTGCATTGAGAAGGCTCATTCCCATCCCTGCTTCTCCTGTCTCACCCACCCTCTTCCCACACCCTCATCCTCTATCCCCCACTTTCCTCCACCCCCAGGCAGGGCATATACGAGCATGGATATATGTTTTTATAGATGTATTTGCGTATATGAATATGTATATTTACATATACTACACACATACTGTTTTGCATTCGACTCTTAATACATCTTGGGCTCTTTGTGTATATGAGTATATTTATCTATCTCATTTTTCAACATTTGCAAAAGGCATTTCAATTTATGAAGGTACTATATGTACCATGAATGGACATTTGGTATGTTTCTTATATTTTGCTGCTACAAATAACGCTGCATAAATATAAATACCCTTATATGTACCTCTCTATATATACATATATAAAATAAATTATTAAAACTCTGGGTCATGTGAAAAAGGGTATGTGAATTAAACATTTTGACAAATAACATCAAATTTTTCTCATTAAATGTCTCCCAATCTTTATTTTCACCACCAACAGTGAGGACACCTATTTCTCCAACACAGAGCATTCTCAAACTGTTCGCTATTTGCCAGTCTGATAAGCGAAAAAACATCTCATTCATCATCAAATTAACATTTCTTTAATTATAAGAAGTAGAGCATCTATTCATAAGTTTAAAAGTGAGGTCTTCTTTTAAAATGCAAACGTGCCTGGCAGAGATAAGCATTAGGTCCCCGACCACTTAGAGTGGAAAGACTTAGCTTTTTCCCTAACAGGAAAGAAGGGGTGGCCTAGAACACTCAAGGCCTCGAGCGGGCAGGACGGATGGGGAAAGAGAGCAAGTCTTGGTCAGACGCACCAAGGGACCATGATGGGCCATAGCCACCTGTCCCGACTGCTCCCAGAGTCCCAGGGTAAAATCCCAGAGAGGGGAGCTGCTGCCTTTAGCTTGTAGGAGCGAAAGGGAACCTTCTCTTGCCATCATACTTATTTAGCAGGCCAGACTTGAGGTCTCTGCCTGACAGTTTTCTGGGTGTTAAGGTAGATACTAAAGTTATTTTATTGACTGCTGGGTCCCTTACTTCCAGAAGGATTTCAGGCAATTGCCTTGAGACCCTGCAAGAGTATAGAGAAAGGGATTTAAATACGGCCCCTCAAGGAGATTATTGTGACAGGTCCTAGCAGGTCTTCTAGCCTGGCGGAGGTCCAGGGAGGGAGGCTTAGGATATCTTTGATGGGAGGAGGGTTAGTGGGCAGAGGGTCCTGGGCAGAGCCAGTCAGCATCAGAAAAGAGCAGAATTGGGAAGGACCGGTATCCATGGACTGATCCACAGCCCGAGACACCTTTGCATCTCCCATCTTGTTTCTCCCTCGCTTGTCAGCTAAGCTTCCTGAAAGAGCTGTCTGCCTCAACCTGGTCTGTTGCCTGTGGTTGGGTAGATTGCACCCTGCACAAGGATATGTGCTTCATTAGCCAAGCCATGTATCCCAGCACAGGCTGTAGAGCCCCTTATTCTAATGTTGCACAAAGCGCACTGCACGCACAGGTGTCAGACTTGACATCGGGTCTCCACATTCTCTGTCCATCATGGTCTCGCTTCTATACCTAATGCTCTACAGAAATCAACAGCAACCTCTTTTTTCGCTCAATTCAGTACACTTCATTCAGCCATCTTATTTCATCTCTCATTAGCATTTCACACCAGCAGCCACTTTCCAACCTTGGAGTCTTCTTGTCTTGACTTTCTGGAAGTCTTGTCTTGGCTTTTCCTCTTAGCTCTCTGACCTCTCCTTGACCCTTCAAATGAAGTAACTTGGTGACTTGCCATTTCTCTACTTATTTATCCCGGGTGGCTTCATCTAGCCCATGTCTCAGTGAACATCGACATGTCATTGGCTCCCAAACCTTCATCCCCAGTTGCACTAAACTGACCTGTCTGGCTCTTACTGACTCCTCCACCTAGATGGATCTCCCACCGACACTCCAGATACCCCACACGTAAAGAGAACACATTGTTTATTCATAAAACATTCCCTTCCTTTGTGTTTCCTCTCTTGGAAATGACATCACCAAATATCCAAGCCAAAAAACTCTTACCCTGGAAGTCTGCCGTTCCCTTACTCTGTCCATCGGATCTTCTCCTGGCTTCATGGTCTCATTGGTGCCCCCACTT
This sequence comes from Homo sapiens, assembly GCF_000001405.40. NCBI lineage: Eukaryota > Metazoa > Chordata > Mammalia > Primates > Hominidae > Homo > Homo sapiens. The sequence goes on along the minus strand of NC_000001.11, from coordinate 167,070,793 downwards.
TCATACTCCTCAAATTCATTTCATTCTTTCCATCTGCATTGCCACAACCTTATCTGAGGACCCATCATTTTTTACCTGAATTGTTAAACTGGTTTCTTAACCAGTCCCTTTTCTCCTTCCAAGTCACTTTCCATCCTGTGTTGAGAGCTGACTTCCTAAATACATGGCTCTCTAGCACTTCAGGGTAAATGCAAACTGTTTAGTCCCATATACACGATGTCTGAGACCTGGCATTGTAGAATCTCCGGACTTCAGGCTCTGGAGCCACAATGCCCGGTTTGAACCTCAGCGCTGTCGTTTACTTAAACATCATGTGAACTTGGGGGAGGCCTTTAACTTCTTGGTGCCTTGGCTTCCTCATTTGTAAAATGAGTGTAATCATATACCTACTTTAGGGGTGTTGTGAAGATTCCATGAGATAATACATACCAAGTGCATAGGCTAGTACCTAGCACATAGCATACACTCAATAAATAGCAGCTATGATCTTTATTGCTACCTGCCCAAGCTCACCCTCTCACCAGTCCCTCACTCACACACTTACCTCCATTCATACTGAATGACTGGGGTTGATATGTTGCTTCCCACATCTAATTCTTTCTCTGTGGTTCTTCTTTTGCCTGAAATGCCCAACACCTTTATCCTACTCCAACACTTACTCTCCCAATACCCCCAGCCCTTTGCCTGGCTAATTCTTAGTTGTTTTTAGGATTCAAGGCAACTGTCACCTCTCCTAGGAAGCCTCCCCTGACTTACCACTCTGGAAGTGATATTTTCTTCTGGGGTCCTAGAGATAATCACAAGATGTTGCAAGGTTTGGTTGTCTATCACTTCCATCACTCTTTGGGTGCAGAATTCGTGAATTATCATCTTCAAATGTCAGACACCTAGTAGATGCTCAGTTATAATAATGGCTAGCACTTCTAGAAACTTAACATGTCACATAATGCCCTAACTGCTTTGTGTATATTACTACTGTAATTCTCACTACAGTCCTGAGAGGCAGGTGTTATTGTCATCATCTCCATTTTGCAGAATAGTTAACAGAATCACTGGTGGAACATTTTGCTCAAGGTCATACAATTAGTACATGGCAGAATGGGGATTTGAATTGAAGCAGTCTGGCTTGAAAGTCTGTGATTTAGCCATTACCACATACAATTTGATAAATGATGAGTCTATCAATCAATCAGTACATTCCAAAGGCAAGAGTCAAGAAAATAAAGTGGGTTTGGCAGCCAAGGCTGGCTGCCCAGCATCATGCCTGGTACATGGAAGGTGCTCAGTAAATACTGATAGACTGAATGAGTGAGGATAGGCTATGGAGAAAATGGAATGGATAAGAGAGATGCCGGAGATTACAAGAGGTGAAAGTGCTGGGATCCCAGATGGACCCATTCACCCACATGTGTACTGCGGTATGAACTGCCTAACTTCTTTCAATATTTTCATTTTAAAAATAAACTAAAAAAATATATATATAATACAAGAAATCCACAAATGGGTAGCACATATGCGAGCTATTTGTTCTGAGGGGTTGGCAGGTCTGTGCTTCTGGGCCCTGGAAACTGGGGGATGAGGGTAGTCAGGGCAGGCTGGAAGCACCAGGCAAGGGCCTTTGGGTGAAGACCTGGTGCCATTTCTTCTCTCTCCAGGAAAGGGTGGTCATCTGGCCGTTTTCAAACAAAAACTACATCCATGGTGAGCTTTATAAGAATCGCGTCAGCATATCCAACAATGCTGAGCAGTCCGATGCCTCCATCACCATTGATCAGCTGACCATGGCTGACAACGGCACCTACGAGTGTTCTGTCTCGCTGATGTCAGACCTGGAGGGCAACACCAAGTCACGTGTCCGCCTGTTGGTCCTCGGTGAGTGTCTTCATGTCTTTCAGGAGTTGTAGGAAGAGGGTGGGCAGGTGGCAGCACAGGGAGAAGAGCCCAGGTGTTGAGACGAAGCCAGAGGCAGCAACAAGGAGCTAAGACTCCTCACCTCGTCCAGGCTGTCTTCAGCAGAGGGACCGCTCCTCCCTTTGGAACTAAACACTATTCTGAGTTCTCCGCCAATGGCCAACAGTCTCGAGGACAGAGAAGGCCGACTTGGAGTGGTCCCTTGCTCTGTCGGTGTCCTTTCCTCCATACCAGCTCCTCTTTTTCATACCACACTTATTACAAAGATAAAGGAAAATCTTAAATCCTATTGCAAAGACTCATTGTGCCTTAATTGGGTGCTCAGGGGGCCACATCATGATTCTCTTATATCTTTCCCTGCCGTAACTTTGGCTACCCAGCAGAAATTCTTCATGCCACCATCTGCTCACCCCCATCCCTCAACAGATACTCCATCAGTCAGGTTCTGCTCCCTTTGAAATGTGTCCCAAGATAACATTCTTTTCATAGGAATGACTTATTATTGGAATTTATAGTTTGGGAAGGATCTGAAAGATCATCTACTTTAATATCCTCATTTTGTAGATGAAGCCCAGAGAAAGGAAGGAACTGACTCAAAGTCAAATCGTTATTGGAAAATAACTGTTATTTAATGAGCACTTAGTCTATGTCCAATATAAGAAATGGCACCACTGCTGGGAGGTAGCAATGCTTTAAACCAAAACAAAGATCTTTTTTCCCTCTTCCTTTTACATAATTGATTGCATTTTATTTTTAATTAATATGTTTAATTTAAATTAAATTTATTTTAAAATTTAATTTAATTAATAATTAAGATATTTTTATTGCATAAGGTGGTTGCCTGACGTTTTGAAAGCATTATAGTGGGTCCAACTATACAACTATGCAAACTCGCATTGTATAAAGAATAACTAAGGTCTCCTTCCACCCTACCCCCTAGAGAGGTAGCCAATGGCAACACAGGTAGGTATTCCATATTTTCCTCATGTCCTTTCAACACACACACACTCTTGCATACTTTTCTCTTTTCCTTTCTTTCCTTTAAAAAAAATGGAATCATGTTATAAAGATCACTCTGCGTTTTTTCTTTCTAACCTTGTTTCATGCGCATTTCTCCAGATCGGCACATGCAGATCTACCGATTAACAGCATACATTCCATCACACGGAGGTACCATGATTTATTCAAGTGTTCCATACTGATGAATATTCAGGCTGTTAACATTTTTTTGTATGAACAATACTACAATAGACATCCCATACACACACGTACATATGTATGTTAGGGGTCCCTTAAATAGGTCTCATTTCCTTTGGGCAATGGAAGTATTAATGCACACTCCCCCGAAATCCTCCACATAAGCATTATATAAATGCTGATCCCTCTTCCTCCCAACCAGGGCCAGCCAGAAGGATACAAATTTAATCTGAGATTATGGAACTCGGTGAAACCAATGTTTTACTTTTTTAAAAAAGAAGAAGGGTCGGGTGCGGTAGCTCAAGCCTGTAATCCCAGCACTTTAGGAGGCCGAGGCGGAGACCAGCCTGAGCAACATAGCCAGACCTCCTCTCTACAAAATAAATAAATAAATAAATAAATAAATAAATTGAGGTGGAGGATCTCTTGAGTTGGGGAGGTCGAGGCTGCAATGAGCCGTGATCGAGCCGCTGCTCTCCCACCTGGGTGACAGAGACCGGCCTCAAAACAAACAAGCGAGCAAGCGAGCAAGCAAGCAAACAAACAAAAAACACAGAGAAAAGAAAGAGCCCATTTTTTTAATGCACTCGAAGAAACAAGTTTAAATTATATACATATAAACATATATAAACATAAATAAAAACATATATAAACATTCACACACACGTTTTCTTTCCTAATGGCTTTGCAGCTAGGCTATTTTAAGGCAGCCAGCCCACTGGGGCTGGATGACCTCAGTAAACCGAGGCGAGCATGAAGCTCCCAGCCCGGCGGCCCCTCAGCCCGCGCCTCGGGGCAGCACGCGTGGTCTCAGTCTCGGTTTCGGCTGGGAAAACTGGGGCTCCGGGACCGGGGACCCGGTGCTCCGGCCTCTGGCGCCCCCTGACGTCTGTAGCGGGAGTCGCAGGCTTCGGAGAGGCCTTGGCACCCGACTGGTTCCGTTTCCCCTCCCTCCCTATCACTGCTCCTCCAGTGAATATTCAGGTAACATCTGCATTCTGCTGGGGAGGTAAGACTGATAATATACCGAGTCCCCCGGAGGTCTCACGGGCCCCACATGTGTGGAAGGACGATTTGATCTGTTAAAGATCTGTTTGATCGGAGGTCCTACCTGTTTTTGACGGTGGAAGGCTGAGGGGAGAGACCTTAGTGAGGGATCTGGACAGGGTGAGAGCAGGGGTTCCTGGGTGAGGCCAGAGGGTTTAGGGGCTGGGAACTGACACATTCCGCCCTAAGGCTGATCTCTTTGGGAGTGGCTGGTCACTTCTTTGCCATTGTCTGTACCTCTGCCTCTGGAGAGAATTAAGGATTTGCTTTCAGCAGTTTTCCCTTAGAAAATGGTGGTTTCAGCAAAGCTATAACAGTTTTTGGATGCATTCGGATGCCTTTGAGTGCTCTGTAGATGCCAGTAGGCCTCAGTTACTTTTCTTCCCTTTTTGTCTTTTATCCCAAAGAAACCTGGTTGTAGAAAGGCTCTACTGTCAGTCATGCACACTTGGTGTGACTTTGGGGACACCTGGGACTCCTCAGGTGGGATTGGTGTTTTGCCCGCTCTCCAATTGTGGAATAAAGCCTTTGCTTCCGATTCAAGGCATTCCTGGGAAAAGGCTGAATGGTTTGGATGCGTGGAGAGGGATGCTCCCGTACCTCTGAAAAGCTCAAGAGATAAAGCTTGGCTCAGCAAGCCCATCCTAGGGGTCCTCTGGGAAGTGGTGTTCACCTTCTCTTGTTCCCCGGGGACCTGCTTGTTGGCTGCTGGTAAGAGTGGTCCTTAAGCCGCAGACTCCCCCTCCCCACACTGCTCCAGTCCCAGGGTCTGGTGCAGGATAGATGAGGCCCGGCCTTGAACTTTGGACCTCTTATGTTTAGGAACCATCCAAGGGAAAGTGACAATCAGGGAGGGCCTCTAATTTCCCTCATGCTCGCCCCACACCTGGCCAGCCCTCACTATGGCAGCAGGAGATGTTGGGCACACCCAACAATAGCCTGGCTCTTTCCAAGAGGAAATACTGTGGCTGCTGGGCTAGAGGGGAGTGGTGTGTGTGGAAGGGTTTCTCTCAGCAGCTGCCGGGTGGGGCCGAGATCAGAATGCACTCCTGATGCTCAGCGACCGTGCACCTGGATTATAGAATGGGCAGCACTGTTTATTGAGCGAGCAAGCCATCCAAGGGGATGTGAAAAGAAAGACGCAGAGGAGACAGGCTTGCCACCTAGGGATTCCAGGAGCAACCCTCTCCACTGTGTGTCCTCCCCTTCTCACCTCCAAGGACACGACCTGAAGTCTCAAGCATGCTTCATGCTGCTTCTTGCCTCTGAGCCTTTGCACATGCTGTTCACTCTGCCTGGAGTACCATCACCTCTTTCTCCGACCACCACTCCCACCTCCACCACTGGCCTTGTTTACTGTCATGCTTCCTTCACGTCACAGCTGATCTTGGGTTTGGGGCTGTTTTAGGCCTTATCTGCCCCAGCAGCCTTGCCTCCTGTCTGGTCATTGTTCAGCTACTTGTCTTTTGCCCCCACTAGATTCCTTGACCCACCCACTGTGTCCTCCAAGTGCCCAGCATTGTCAGACACACAGTAGGCACCCAGTGAGGTTTGTAGAATGAACCCAGCTCCACAATGGTATCTTGACAATGCTGAGTGAAAGGCACAGGCTTAAGCTTCCCAGAAATCCAGGGAATCGGGTTGGGGTTGTGAGATGAGGGTGGCTGCCGTTCTGGGTAACCTCCAGTCTATGGGCTTCCCTCTCCTTACCTCTGCGCCCTCTGCCTGCTCGAGTCCCCTCAGTCCTCATCCTTCACCCTGCACATAACTTTACTGCTGCCTGTGGGTCCGCCCATCATCCCGTGCTTATGGCAACTGCTTCCGCCCATCATCCCGTGCTTATGGCAACTGCACGTTATCTGCAAAGCACAGGAGGAGGATGGTGCTGAACCCAGAAAGAACATTACTAAGAAGTTAAGAGTGGAAGGCTTCAGAGATCACTTAGTTCAGGGGTAGGCAAACTAGGACCAAATCCAGCCCACAGACTGTTTTTACATTTCTAACATACTATTTAAAGAGAAAAAGTAGCAGCAACAAAGACAATATGTAGTCTGCGAAGCCTAAATATTGCCACCTGGCCCTTTACAGAACAGGTTTGTAGTCCACTAATTTTACAGAATGGAACACTGAGGTCGAGGGGAAGTGAGGATTTTCCCAAAATGGCACAAATGAATTAGTGGCAGAAGGAGCTCATATGGGCTGGTGGAGAGTGCACAGGATCTGGAGTTATAAGAGCTGAGATCTAGTCCCAGCTCTGCCAGTACCTATGAGCAAGTGTCCTCTCTGGGCCTCAATGTCCCCATCTTTCTTTCTTTCTTTCTTTCTTTTTCTTTTTTTCTTTTCTTTCTTTTTTTGAGACAGAGTTTTGCTCTTGTTGCCCAAGCTGGAGTGCTATGGCACGATCTCAGCTCACTGCAACCTCCGCCTCCCAGATTCAAGCAATTCTCCTGCTTCAGCCTCCTGAGTAACTGGGATTATAGGTGGGTGCCACCACGGCCGGCTAATTTTTTGTATTTTTAGTAGAGATGGGGTTTCACCATGTTGACCAGGCTGGTCTCAAACTCATCTCGAACCCCATCTTTCTAACGGCCATGTTCCGCTATCTTTAAAATCCCATGACTGTAAACTAGAACACACATGAGGCCATGCCTTGGAAAGCTACTGCAGGCCCGCAATGCTTCCCAGCATATGTACTGCTCCTTTGTGGTGGTGACAGACCACTGAGGCCATATTGGGGTGAATTGGTTTTACAGCATTCCATCTCACTACTCAACTATGGAGTTTTCTGCCTGTGAACAAACAAGGCAGTATATGTGTGTGGGGGGTGGGTGGGGAGGGGTGGGTGGCTGTCACCAAGCCCCACCTGCCTCATGCCTTCTCTTTGGTCTCTCCTCTATATAGTGCCACCCTCCAAACCAGAATGCGGCATCGAGGGAGAGACCATAATTGGGAACAACATCCAGCTGACCTGCCAATCAAAGGAGGGCTCACCAACCCCTCAGTACAGCTGGAAGAGGTACAACATCCTGAATCAGGAGCAGCCCCTGGCCCAGCCAGGTAAGGGGGCAGTAGGGAAGGCGGGCTCCCCACGTCAAAGTGCAACACATGCAGCTGATTGGCTAGGGGCTGCAACTTGGGTTGACCGATCAGATCCCCCTGAAGGCCGCTTGCTTCCCTACCCATCCCTATCCCCCTATCCCCACCTCTCTAAGCACTGGTTTCTTGTTTTTAGACAGAGTCTCGCCAGGTGGCCCAGGCTGGAGTGCAGTTGGCACGATCTCAGCTCACTGCAACCTCCTCCTCCCAGGTTCAAGCGATTCTTCTGCCTCAGCCTCCCAAGTAGCTAGGATTACAGGTGCCCACCACTATTTTTAGTAGAGACGGGGTTTCACCATGTTGGCCAGGCTGGTCTTGAACTCCTGACCTCAGGTGATCCACCCGCCTCAGCCTCTCAAAGTGCTGGGATTACAGGCGTGAGCCATCGCGCCCGGCCAGCACTGGTTTCTTATAATAATACCTACCTCATAGGTTCTGGCAAGAAACAAAAATGATTCATGTAAAGCGCGTAGCGGAAGCCGTGGTAAATGTTAACTTGTTTTCTTTGTTCCTCATTCCTCAGTTCTCTTGGATGAACGTGCCCTGATAAGCACTCTGTGCAAAAGCATGGGTAGGATTTTAATTTGATTGTGTCCTGAAGTATACATTTGAGACCCCAAGTCTAACTCGGGGGCTCCACGCAAAGGTGGGGAATTTAACTTTCCCATTCCTTATCCAGGCCGGTCCCTCTCAGCCGTCACGGACCCCCGCTGCCCCAGACACACCACCGTTTTATGGCTCCACACAACGACAGCACCATGTTGCTGTAAGGGTCCCACCTTCTTAGGGGAGGCGATGGTGGATTCAGCTATAGTTGCCAGGAGACCAGTTTTGTACTGGGCAGCTTGGTATTGGACCTTTCAGTCAGGAAACTGAAAAAAAAAAAAAAAAAAAAAGAAAGAGCTATATAAAAATCCTACCATCCTTTCCACACCCAGAGCCAATGGGTGTGGAAATACCCTGGTGGAGTCCCAGGGCCCCTAGTGCCACCCCTGCTCCTGAGGATCAAGAAAGACAAGGCTTGCTGGGTGCCGTGGCTCATGCCTGTAATCCCAGCACTTTGGGAGGCTGAGGCAGGAGGATCACTTGAGGCTAGGAGTTCAAGACCAGTCTGGGCAACATTGTGAGACCCCTGTCTCCAAACAAAATTTTTAAAAAATTAGCTGGGCATGGCAGGACTCACCCTTTAGTCCCAGCTACTCAGAAGGCTGAGGTGGGAGGATTGCTTAAGCTCTGGAGGTCGAGGCTGCAGTGAGCCATGATCACACCACTGCACTCCAGCCTTGGTGACAGAGCGAGACCCTGCCTCAAATAAAATAAAATAAAATAAAGTAAAATAAAATAAAATAAAGTAAAATAAAATAAAATAAATAAAATATTTTTTAAAAAGAAAGACAAGGCCTGAAAGGTGTCCATCCGATTTAGCTTCTGGGAGGTCTTTCAGTTCAGTGTAGGTGGAAAAGGAGGCCAGAGGTGGAAAGCAAAGCCAGCAGGGCACACAGCTCTTCTGAGAAGATGAGGTGCCCCGGGGGTGGGGATGAGGACCCGGGGGAAGAATATCTGGTGTCCTGGATAAGCCCAGCCGGACGGATGCACACATTGGGGGTGCACTCAATCCAGGAAGAGCTTTATCACTCGTTTGGGGGCAAATCGACTTCTTAAAAAAGTTAGTAGACACTTTGGGAGGCTGAGGCAGGCGGATCACGAGGTCAGGAGATCGAGACCATCCTGGCTAACACGGTGAAACCCCGTCTCTACTAAAAATACAAAAAATTAGCCGGACGTGGTGGCGGACGCCTGTAGTCCCAGCTACTCCGGAGGCTGAGGTAGGAGAATGGCGTGAACCTGGGAGGCGGAGCTTGCAGTGAGCCGAGATCGCGCCACCGCACTCCAGCCTGCAGCCTGGGCAACAGAGCGAGACTCCGTCTCAAAAAAAAAAAAAAAAAAAAAAAAAAACAGTTAGTAGAATCCACTCGACCTAACTTAAAATAGGTCAATGTAATGTAGGTTTTCAACAAGCTTCCAGTTGTGTTTACGTATTTCTGGTTGGCAACTTTTTATCGAGTGTGTCTGGAATTTTTGTTGAAACCACCTGGCAGCTCCCCGGGGGCTCTGTGGCCTCCTCTCTCTGGCCTATGAATAGTCTAGTGACTCCAGCCATGGTCATGGTAGGTGTGCTGTGGACACTGGTAGTGTCTGATCTTCTTTCCTGCAAAGTGTGTATATGGAGACCCAAAGCTGAAGGTTACAGGTGGCAGATGCTATAATAGCTTTATACCCAGTGGTGATGTAACACAGAAGATGCATAAGAAGATCAAAGAAGGTTTCTCCAAGGAGTGGGTATTGGAGTCGACAGTGGTTAAGAGCATGCCATGGGCTTGACTCCTGGCTCGGACACTTGTTAGCTGTATGACCTTGGCAAGTGACTCAGCTTCTTTGTGCCTTAGGTTCTATGTCTATGAAATGGGTACAATGCTAGTGTTTACTTCATAGGGTTGTGAAGATTAAATAAAAGTAGATGTGAAGCATTGAGACTAGTGCCTGGTAGGCAGTAAGCACTCATTTAATGCTAAGTGTTATTAGCTGTTATTTGAGTTGGGTCCTCAAGGATGAGGAGGCTTGGCATGGAGAACAGGAAGGAATCATGACTGTCTGGTGTGGCTAAGGGGTAGGGTGCGTGTGTAGGTGTAGGAATGGTGGGAGATACTCTTGTTAAGAAACACAGTGATGAGAAATCATGAAGAGCCTGTGCGTTACGCTAGGGAGGTTCGTCTTTGCCCTGTAAGCCACGGGTACCTTCTGAGGAGCCTCACAAAGGGGCAGCCCAGCTGCAGTTCTCTCCTGCCTCCACAGGGAGACTCTTCTGGTTGTTAGAAGCCAAAACTTAGTTCTTTCATTATCCAAAAGGGAGAATCCTGAGGACAGGAAAGGAGGTGAAAAGAGAATTGCTTCTTTAATTTGTGAAAGCTTTAATTTGTGAAAGCTTTATCCTGTCTCTAGTTAAGATTTGCTGAGTCAGAATGGGGACCTGCAGGTGACAGAAAAGAATATGGTTAATGTCCATAACAACATGCCCTGGCATCTGGAGACATTGCGGGGTGAGGGCAGAGTTCTCAAAGCCTTCGTTTCCACTCTGCTTTGCAGAGCCTTGGAGAATCTGCCAATTCTGGCCAGGTGCAGTGTGGCTCATGCCTGTAATCCCAGCACTTTGAGAAGCTGAGGCGGGTGGATCGCTTGAGTACAGGAGTTCGAGACCCACCTGGGCAACATGGTGAAACCCTGTCTCTACCAAAAATACAAAAATTAGCCTGGCATGGTGGTGTGTGCCTGTAGTCCCAGCTACTTGGGAGGCTGAGGTGGGAAGATCCTTGGGCCTGGAAGGCAGAGGTTGCAGTGAGCCAAGATGGTGCCACTGCAGCCTGGGCACTAGAGCCAGATCTTATCTTAAAAACACAAAACAAACAAACAAAAAATAAATAGAGAGAATCTGCTAATTCTTCTTCCTCTGTGGGTCAGCCCAAATTATTTCTGGCTTTTAAAACATTTCAGTCCACCATGGACGATTTGGAGAGGAGGGTACCTCTGCTCTCCTACATCTGAAGACAATTTCCAACATTAGAGATTCATTCCTTTGACTAAACCCTCAGTGGAAACAAGCTAGCAGTGAAAAGAACAGGGAATCCAGAATCAGGAAACAAGAAGTCCTGACTTCTCCACTTTGGAGCTGTGAGTCACTCACAGCCTCTCGGACCCTTAGTACTGCCCTTTGAAAAAAACTGGGATTCCCCAAAAGCTGTGAAGAGGATGAGAGGAGATCCCATGTGTAATAGCTCTGAACAGACTTTGTAAGCTGTGTCCCAGGAAGCTGAGTTTCATGCACTGAAGAAACAGGAATTTGGATATCAAGGAAGTGGGGGAGGGGGTAGTTCTGGGGCCTGGAGCACTTAAGGGGAGGCGGTTGTGAAGGGTGGGGACCAGTCCAAGGAGGATCGTGAGGGCCCTTTGTGAGAGAGAGGTGGCAGCAGGGGCTTGTCGACAAGCTACAGGATTGGGTAGGGGTTGGGGGGATGCGGAAACGTTAGGTCTTGTCAACGTGACATTAGCGTCTTGGTGAGACAGGAGGTTCTCTTGAGGGGAATCTCTCCACAGCTGGAGCAGAGGAAGGTGGGAAGCGTATGACCGTCCTGTGCATTCCCCTTTCTGACCACAAGGTGTCGCCACTGCAGCGGAAACATTAGTTTTCTCCGGATATCAGAAATTACTAGTCCCTTTCCGAAGGAAAAGGGGCTTGGGAGCCCCAACTCGGAATCAAAGAAGGTCCTGTGGCACAAGACCTGCACTGGTTCATCCCAGCAGCTTCCAGTGCACACGGTTTGCATCAGGGAACTGGGGGAGGATAGCGCTGACTCATTGGACTAGGAAACCCCATGTTCCCCACCCTAAACAAGGCCTAGAGCTCAAAGCTGGACTCTGACAACTAAAAAAGTCCTGACTGTCTGCAGTGTGCTGCCTACACTAAATCCAGAGTCCGAGCTTCACACTCTTAAGTGGTGGGGATCTGTTATGAGCTCTAGACCTCCTAAGTATGCCCAGGGCCATAGAGCATTTCCTAAAGTGTGTTCCTTCAAGATGCCTCTTAAAAATAACAAATCCGATTCATTTAGCAAATGAGAGCATGAATACCACACCCCGCTGTCAGAAGTTCCCAGTGCTCAACAGCATTGTAGGAGCTCTGAAAGTGCTGCCCTTAGAAAGATTACTTAATCCTAACTCAGTGATTCCTAAACTTGCTTTTTTAGGGACTCCTTCTCCATGCCGCATGTTAATATCACATGTAAACAATGTTCCAGAAAACATACTGAGGCGTGGAATTCTAGGATAGAAGGGGACACATTTTATGAAGAATGAGCATCCAGAGAGTAGTGTCCTGGGGGTCAAGGGAAGAATTTGAAGAAAGTACAAGTGAAAAGACTGAAAGAAAATAGCACCAAATCAAAGTGTTATTTATAGGTGATGGAATTATGAATGATTTTTATTTGTTCTCTCTTCTTTAAAGAGGCATTCCTTGGCCCTTTGGATGAGATTAAAACCCCTTGCCATAAGCTCAGATAGTACCTCCATCTTGAACTGTAACCATCATTGTTTCATGTCTGTCTTCTTTGGGAGACTGGAAACACCAAGAGGACAGGGACCCTCCTCATCTCGTTTATAGCTGTGATCAGCAGCTAAAGATTTTCTGTATTGAATTGAATTGAAATAATAGTTTTATATCATTTATAAATTATTATAAGGAGCATACATTGCTTTTATCATACAAAATTTTATTTTTATACATATTTTTTTCGAGATGGAATCTCGCTTTGTTACTCAGGCTGGAGTGCAGTGGTGCGATCTCAGCTCACTGTAACCTCCACCACCCAGGTTCAAGCGATTCTTTTGCCTCAGCCTCCCAAGTACCTGGGACTAGAGGCGCACACCACCATGCCCGGCTAATTTTTATATTTGTAGTAGAGACGGGGTTTCACTGTGTTAGTCAGGCTGGTCTCGAACTCCTGACCTCAAGTGATCTGCCCGCCTTGGCCTCCCAAGGTGCTGGGATTACAGGCGTGAGCCAATGTACCCGGCCACAAATTTTTAAAAGAAAATTATCAATGGCTCCAGGGAGTTCTAGACCTGAAACAGGATTTTTGTTCCTGTTTTATAATTTCTTAATTTTGTGACCTTGAGCAGTTCACTTAACTTCTTTAAGCCTCCAGTTAACTCCATGAATTGGAGATTGAAATATTGAGGATTGCTGGAAGGATGAAAGGACATCACATTTGAGGATGTGTACTGAGCAGCACATCCGGAGAAGGAAAATCTTGAGATGCAATCTTGCAGGAAAGTGACGGTGGGGCGGAGAGAGGACAACTCCCCTGGTTTTGCCCCTAGCACCAAGTGGCAAGAGGCAAAGCTGGTATGATTGACAGGGCCAGATCTGTGACCTGAAGCTTGGACTTGTTACTGAGGATTACGTCTAGTGGTTGCTGGGCAGCCCCTGAAATGTCTGAACAGAGCAGTGACAGGATCGTATTTACAATTTAGAGCGTCTCTTAGGGATGGCGTGTAACCACCTGGTGGCAGCAGGGATCAGGCAAGGCTGGCTCTGCAGCAAAATTAGAGGAGGTAGGTCTCCAGCTCCTCTCAAAATAGCAGTTATAACAAAGCATCTTGGATGGCAGGACATATACATATGCCCAAGCACAAAGCTCTTGCTTTCAAGATGAAGAAATTCATAGGATGATAGATTGAGGGGAAAGGTCTTCCATGAGATATTCTGGTCCGTTCTCTTCGATTCAGGAGGATCAGGTGTTTTCACTCCTGCTTTCCGAAGGAAGCCTACAGCTCAAAGAAGTTAAATGGCTTGCTCAAGTGGCGGCAGATGTAGAGGAAGAGTCTAGACAGTCTGCCTCCGTCCCACCCCAACAGCACACACATTCACCACCCCCCATACCACACACACTACACATGCAACACACACCACACATCACACACCACACACATTACACCCACCACACACCACACATCACACACTGCACACCACACATACTACACACGCCACACACACCACACACAGTACACACCACACACACCACATGCAGCACACACACTACACACACCACACACACCACACACCACACACACACCACACACATTACACACTCACCACACACACTACAAACGCTGCCACATACACACCACACCACACGCACCACACTACACATGCCACACACACCACACACACGCCATACACACACCACACACACCACATACATCACACACTACACACACACTACACACACCACACACCCACCACACACCAGACACATCACACACTCACCGTACCACACACACTACACACACCACACACATCACACACTCACCACACACACTACACACACCACATACACACATACCACACATATGCCACACACACCACATACCATACACACACTACTCTCACAGAGCACAGCACACACACGCTGCACATCACTGACACACCACACACCACACACACTGACACACCACACACACTGACACACCACACACACCACATAACACACAGACACACACACACACATACACCCCACACACCTCTCTCATGGCAGAAATCCAGAGATCAGAGTTTTTGATTTCCAAAGGCTTCTTTCATATGAGTCTAAGCTAAGAGATTTGGTTTCTGAAGATCATAAAAGTAATAATATCTTCTGATTAGAAAGCATTTTCATGTAATACATAATGTGCATTATGTTTCCTGAGCACTTACTACATATCAGGCATTCTGTTGTGGGCTTATATTTATTATTAGTACCTCATTTTATGCTTGCAAGTACCCTGTGAGGCAGGTACTATTATTTCTGATTTTAGATGAGGAAATGGAGGTTGAATGAAGCTGAGTTACTTGCTAAAGACAAATTAATAAGTGGCAGAGCCAGGTGTCAAACCCAGGGTGCCTGACTGAATTCTGAGCACTTCACATTGTGGGCCCTGCCTGGTTTAAGCGTCCTGCAGCCCTGGAGGTGGACATGGGGCTCCGGCCTGAAGAAGCTCAGTGGCAGAGGTTGTGCTTCCCAAGGAGTCCAGACCTCCCATTCCTGGCTGTCTCCACTCCACTGTAGTGCCTCTCTTCACCCTGACTCTTCTTCCCCTGCAGCCTCAGGTCAGCCTGTCTCCCTGAAGAATATCTCCACAGACACATCGGGTTACTACATCTGTACCTCCAGCAATGAGGAGGGGACGCAGTTCTGCAACATCACGGTGGCCGTCAGATCTCGTAAGAGCAGCCTGCGGGGGGAGGGCTGACAAACGCCACAGGATAACTGGTGGGGGTCCAGAAAGTCAGCTGAGACCACCGTGAGGAGGAATAGGGGAACCTCTCTAGGGCCACGCACCTGCAGGTTAGCTGTGGTGACCTAGGCAGGATGACTCTGTCCCAGGCTCCCCTCACTCTGAGGCCAGTCCAGTTCCACTGGTGTTTGGAAGTGGAACCTAGGACTGACTTCTAGGACTCAGAGGCTTTGTCAGTCCCACCTGCCTAGGAACCACTCGGTGGGCGTGGAGGAAGTGCCCAGGGCAGCTGCCGCAGAGTCTGGACCACATCCTTCTGGGGTGAGACACCAAATCTAGCTTAAAGAGCTGGCTGGGCTGACATCTGAGGACTTTTGCAGAGCCAGGGTAGCCCGGAAAGTGTTAAGATGTGAAGTGGACCATATGTCTCTGTCTGCACCTCCATCCTGAAGAATATTCCTGGGCCATGGCTGGTCACATTCCTCCAAGACCATGCCTTTCATGGAGTGTTACCAGAAGCTGGTAGCTGCTGCTCCCCTGGCTGGGAGGAGACCCGGAGCTAGCTTAGAAGCTCGGCAAGTGCAGCTGCTCTGTCCTCTTGCAGCCTCCATGAACGTGGCCCTGTATGTGGGCATCGCGGTGGGCGTGGTTGCAGCCCTCATTATCATTGGCATCATCATCTACTGCTGCTGCTGCCGAGGGAAGGACGACAACACTGAAGACAAGGAGGATGCAAGGCCGTGAGTGTCTGGGCTGGTAGCCTGTTGGAAGGGTCTGGGGAGACTGGAAATATGCTTCCCAATTCCTCACAGCCTCTTCTACTTGCAGCACCCCTTGGGGTATATCACCCCCATTTTGTGCTGATGAAACAATGACCTGTCCAAGCCATAAAATGTGCATTGCAGCCCCAGGACCTGCCTCCCAGTCCTGTGGTTTTCCAGTCTGGGAGCTCAGGGCCGGGCTTCCTGTGGCATGACTAGAGCCAAGTGTGGCCTGGAGCCCCTGTCACGGGGCCAGTTCCTCCTGGGCTGGTAAAGCCAGCCTGTTCCTGTAACCCCCTCAGCTCATGCGTGGAACAAGTCTGTGGCACCTTTACTCTCAGCCCAGCCTTTCAGCCCAGTGTCCTCTGCAGCTGGTGGGTGGGGAGGAGGTCTGGAGGCTGCTCTTCCTGTAATGCACATGAGGCCCAGCTCCCTTGAGGGTCCACCTGAGAGCAAATCCTTCCCCTCTGTCCCCTGCTGCCCTGCAGGAACCGGGAAGCCTATGAGGAGCCACCAGAGCAGCTAAGAGAACTTTCCAGAGAGAGGGAGGAGGAGGATGACTACAGGCAAGAAGAGCAGAGGAGCACTGGGCGTGAATCCCCGGACCACCTCGACCAGTGACAGGCCAGCAGCAGAGGGCGGCGGAGGAAGGGTTAGGGGTTCATTCTCCCGCTTCCTGGCCTCCCTTCTCCTTTCTAAGCCCTGTTCTCCTGTCCCTCCATCCCAGACATTGATGGGGACATTTCTTCCCCAGTGTCAGCTGTGGGGAACATGGCTGGCCTGGTAAGGGGGTCCCTGTGCTGATCCTGCTGACCTCACTGTCCTGTGAAGTAACCCCTCCTGGCTGTGACACCTGGTGCGGGCCTGGCCCTCACTCAAGACCAGGCTGCAGCCTCCACTTCCCTCGTAGTTGGCAGGAGCTCCTGGAAGCACAGCGCTGAGCATGGGGCGCTCCCACTCAGAACTCTCCAGGGAGGCGATGCCAGCCTTGGGGGGTGGGGGCTGTCCTGCTCACCTGTGTGCCCAGCACCTGGAGGGGCACCAGGTGGAGGGTTTGCACTCCACACATCTTTCTTGAATGAATGAAAGAATAAGTGAGTATGCTTGGGCCCTGCATTGGCCTGGCCTCCAGCTCCCACTCCCTTTCCAACCTCACTTCCCGTAGCTGCCAGTATGTTCCAAACCCTCCTGGGAAGGCCACCTCCCACTCCTGCTGCACAGGCCCTGGGGAGCTTTTGCCCACACACTTTCCATCTCTGCCTGTCAATATCGTACCTGTCCCTCCAGGCCCATCTCAAATCACAAGGATTTCTCTAACCCTATCCTAATTGTCCACATACGTGGAAACAATCCTGTTACTCTGTCCCACGTCCAATCATGGGCCACAAGGCACAGTCTTCTGAGCGAGTGCTCTCACTGTATTAGAGCGCCAGCTCCTTGGGGCAGGGCCTGGGCCTCATGGCTTTTGCTTTCCCTGAAGCCCTAGTAGCTGGCGCCCATCCTAGTGGGCACTTAAGCTTAATTGGGGAAACTGCTTTGATTGGTTGTGCCTTCCCTTCTCTGGTCTCCTTGAGATGATCGTAGACACAGGGATGATTCCCACCCAAACCCACGTATTCATTCAGTGAGTTAAACACGAATTGATTTAAAGTGAACACACACAAGGGAGCTTGCTTGCAGATGGTCTGAGTTCTTGTGTCCTGGTAATTCCTCTCCAGGCCAGAATAATTGGCATGTCTCCTCAACCCACATGGGGTTCCTGGTTGTTCCTGCATCCCGATACCTCAGCCCTGGCCCTGCCCAGCCCATTTGGGCTCTGGTTTTCTGGTGGGGCTGTCCTGCTGCCCTCCCACAGCCTCCTTCTGTTTGTCGAGCATTTCTTCTACTCTTGAGAGCTCAGGCAGCGTTAGGGCTGCTTAGGTCTCATGGACCAGTGGCTGGTCTCACCCAACTGCAGTTTACTATTGCTATCTTTTCTGGATGATCAGAAAAATAATTCCATAAATCTATTGTCTACTTGCGATTTTTTAAAAAATGTATATTTTTATATATATTGTTAAATCCTTTGCTTCATTCCAAATGCTTTCAGTAATAATAAAATTGTGGGTGGAAATTCTTATTTCTTTTTTAATGTGGATTTTGTTTGCAGTAAGATAAAGCTTGGGTCTCATGGATCATCTCTACTCACCATAGCACTCTTCTGCTTCCTAGGGGAGGTGAGACAAGGTAACAGATTTGAGAATCCTGGGGTCCCTCTGCTTGTGGCCGCAGTAGGGTCAGGCAGTGCCTCTAGTGGTTGCTGGGAATAGGACAGATTCCTGCCTGCTGGTGGAGGTATATTCCAGGAGTCTGCAGTGTCAGGACACCAGGAGGCCTGGGTGTCGGTCCACGTGCTTGAAGGAAGATGGTGGAGATGCTCTAGCCAGTTCTGCTTCCTATGATGCCCCTTCTGAGAAAGGGGCGGGGCAGTCCTCTTGTTCTGTCACAGAGAACTGTGACGCTTCCTCCTCCAAGGCAACTTCGCTCCGCTGTGGGCTCTTGGCTTTGACATGGACTCTCCTGCGAGATATTCAAGGTCTGTTCTTCAGTGTCCTTTCCTGTGCTCCCTCCTGTCCGAGCACTTGTCACACAGTACTGTGTGCCTATTATACCTGTGTACAGGTCTGTCTCTGCCTCACCCTGTATGATTTGTAAGGATAGGAACTGTAGCTTCTTTATGGCCTGGCATGTGTTGACCCTTGACAAAGGTTTGTTAAATGAATAACATTTGGTATCACAGTATCTTGCCCAAGGACATCTCCTAGCTCTCTAGATACTCTGAGGTGCCTTCCAGTCCTCACGGTGCAAGGTTCCACAAGCATGTTCTTGAGGGAGCCACGGAAGCAGAGGCGGCCACCTTCCCCCAGGTTTGACTTGACTTCTCTCTGCCCCTCAAAGGACTCTGAAGGTTCACCTGCCTTAGCTCCAGGCTTAGGGAAGAAAAGGAGGGAAATCGAGACCCACTGCATTAATTCAACAACAAATATTTTGTGAGCATCTACTACGTGCCAAGCAGTGTGCTGTTTGCAGAGTATATAAAAGTCACTAAGAAACTGTTATTCAGGAGGAGCTAAAATCTAATGGCGGTCACAGACATAGAAACATAATTACATGAGCAAGAGAAGGGGCTACAGGACACAGGAGGGCCTGAGTAACTCAGCCTAAGGGAGTTCAGGAAAGCTTCAGAGAGGAGGTTGCATTTGGGCTGCATCTTGAAGAAGAATGAGGAGTTTTACAAGTGGAAAAGGGCTGGTGCTGACATTTCTTCTGTCCTCCAATGCATGTTTCTATTACTTGGGTGTCAAATCATATTATCACTCAGTAAGACTACAGTTTCCTGCTGAATTTATTTCGGTCCACAGACTCTGGGAATTGGACTGTTGTAGGTTCTTATACAATCAAAATTAGCCCAGCAATGCAGTCTCCTTAGAATGTTAGGCATCCCTTCCCAAATTATGGTTTCCAGCTGCTGGTTCAAAGACTTTATGGTGTTTTAGAAGAGAGACAAATGCTACCCATTAATTGAGGGAAGATTGTGTACTATAAACCCTTATTAGGCACTTCAGACAGTTTTCCATATAATCCCCACTCGCAGTTTCAAATACTTGGGCATATGCCAATGTTAGGTGTTCATGTTATCACCTAAGGAGGGACTCTGGCTGCCCAGAGAGGAATCCATGAACTGATACACAGCTTGGTAAATTAGCCACTCTTCAGGATCTTGTTATTTATTTATTTATTTATTTTTAATTTTACTTTAAGTTCTGGGATACACGTGCAGGACGTGCAGGTTTGTTACATATGTATACATGTGCCATGGTGCACCTATCTACCCGTCATCTAGGTTTTAAGCCCCACATGCATTACATATTTGTCCTAATGCTCTCCCTCCCAAAAAGTCTTGTTCTTAAGCTGCTTTTGTGACACAGTGACAGGGCCTCAGCTCTCAAATGCAGAGTCACATTAACCAAGCTCACAGTGCCTGATGTACAATGCTTATAGCAGCAGCACTTGCTCTGGGCCAGGTACTGTTCTAGGCCTTTTCCATAGAACATCTCATAATCTTCACCCTATGAGATAAGTGCTATTATTCTTCCCATTTTACAGATGAGGAAGCTGAGACACAGTGAATTTAAGCAATTTGGATCAACACAGAATGTCAATTTGCTATTTATAGCTGTCAAGTAGACCAGCCTTTCTGTCCACCTGACCCAGGCCATCTCACCCCATGGGCACTATGCCCTCAGTTGCTTACTGGGCATGGAATCAGAATAAGAGAAGTCGGCTACTATCAAGGAGCTCTCATCTTTGATGGCAGTCTGTATCAGTAGGTGTCATATCCCCTGTGGAAATTCTGGAAGATTCTCTGGTCTTGGCTCCATCCCTGGATATTCTGGCTTGGGGCCCGGGGCATCTGCAGAAGTGATCCTATTGTTAAGTCTGGTCCGATGGGGAGGGCCTCTTTGGGGACGCTTGGCTATTGAGTTTGCTCACCGAGACTGCCTCTCCTCAGGTAGGTTTCCAGAAAGACTCAGCCTGGTTTCTGTCTGTGACGGCCATTTGTCTGCACTTCCTCAGCTCACCGTGTCATCCCTTCCTACAACATTTTTTCTCATGCATACACTGCCTTTTTATTTGCTAAAACTTTCCTCCAGCTCCAAATAACTGTTAGGTCTGGGAACTGGTCTTTCCTCTTGAGGGGATACTGAATATTTCTGCTCGGATCTAGGATTTTAAAGTTTATCTCTAAGAGGTAGTCTCATTTCCCTGATTTCCATGTTGTTGAGTAAATTTTTTGTTTCAATTAAGATGAGCTAAACTGCTATAAAAGTGGACTAAAAAGCTATAATGACTCAAATACAATAGAAGTTTCTTTCTCACACAGTTGAGAAAGACTCAGGGGCCCACTCTTCTGTTCATCTCCAACTATTTACATTAGTGGGACTTCTATCTTCAAGGGCCTGGAAACTGTCTGAAACCAGCCAGCAGAGAGGAAGGAGAGCAGAGCAAAGGTGCAAATGCTTCCTCAGACTTGATCCCGAAGTGACCACCCTGATTGTGCCCACATGCCGTTGGCCCATTGGCAAGCACTAGTCACAAGGCCACACATTGTGCAGGGAAGGCAAGGAAATGCAAACTTGTGACCTTATTATATGTGCTCAGGAAGAAAAAAAACAGCTATTGGCTTCTGCCACAGTTGCCTCTTCCTAAGTTCCACATACCCTCTCCATTTTACAGATGAGGAAACTGAGGCTCAGAAGCAGAAACTCATTGGAGGTAGCATTGCTAGTAGGTGATGGAATGAAGATTAGACTCAATTCTGTCTGATTCTGAAGATGTTGCTCTTTCTACTTGAAAACATTTTCTCTTGATTCCGTGTATGAACAGGATGATGGAATGGAGGACATGTGGGAGTGGAGACAGAGTTAAGGTTTTTTGTTTTAAATTTGTAAAATTTGTATATGGCAGTTGTTACTTATAATACAGGCATCTCAGGTATAACAATATATATGCATTTCTGAAAAACCTTGCATTCTTCAAAATCACACACTAAAACTAATAGGACATACAGGAAAGTTAGGATTAGAGGAAGAACACATAAAACCAATGGAACTTTGAAAACCAATGGGCCTTTGCAACCAGATCACTTTCAAAACATTAACAACCCTTGCAAAAACACAAGTGATGTTAAATCTTGGTGCTAAATCTGTTAGCACCAAGCATCACAGTCAGTCACTCTTAATGTGGGCACTCATTTCTACAGAGACCTACTCATCACAATTAAAAAACTATCCATTGATCCACTTGTCTATCTTTTTGCCAATATTGCACTGTCTTGGTGAGTGTAGGTTCATGATATCATCATTTTTCATTGTAGAGTCCTCTTGATTATTTAAGATTGTTTTGGCGAGTCTAGATCCTTTGCTTTTCTACATAAATTTAAGAATCAACTTTTACATTTATAAAATATATGCTTATGATTTTGATTGGGATTGCATTTAATTAATAGATCAAGTTGGGGAAAATTGACATCTTAATATAGAGTCTTCAAATTTATGAAAATGACATATCTTTTCTATTAATTAGGTCTCTTTAATTTCTCTCAGAGGTAATTTTTAGCTTTAGCCATAAAGGTTTTGCAAGTATTTTGTTAAATTTAAAAGTGTTTTATATTTTTGATACTATTATAAATGATATTGGTTCTTAAATTTCTATCAGTTTTGATTAATTTATTTTGAAGTTCTGTTATTAGGCACACACATTTAAAGTAGCCATGTCTTCCTACTGAATTGGCTTTTGTCAATAGAGAAATATTCCTATTGATCTCTGGTAAATTAATATGACAACGTTTTTATGCCTATTGTCTTTATGGTATTTTTTTCATTATTTTACATTCAACTTATCTCTGTTATGATATTTAAAGGGGATCTTCTTTTTAAAATCCATTCTGACAATCTCTGCCTTTTAAATTGAATGGTTTAAGTCATTTATATGTAATTATTGATATGGTTTTGAAAGTCTACCATTTTCCTGTTTGTTGTTCTATGTTTTGTTTTGAGTTTTTGCAGTTACAATTCCCTTTTCCCTCCCTATTTTGAGTTAATAAAATATTTTAAAACATTCCAATTAAATTTTATATTGGATTAGTAATAATACATTTAAAAGTATCTATGACATATATATGTAGGGAGTATACACTTAACTAATTATTAGTTATGTTTCAGTTTTTCTCTCAGGAAAATGGGACTTGATATATTAATCTCACACAGGTTCCACTGAGAGGCTAGAGAAGATCTGTCTGGCTGAAAGGTAGCTGCTGTAGCTCATACAGAAAGCCTGTGAAAGCAGGTCTCTGATCTCTCGCAGCAAAACCTGCCCTCCCTGTCTTGCCCAACAAAAAGTAAAGAAAGAAAAAAAGAAAAATTATGGGAAAATCCTCCACTTGGGTCTCAGCATTACTCCTAAAGTCATTGCCATTTTTGTGGGATGGGATGTTCACCCAGAGTTACAGAGGAACAATATGTATTGGGAGGAAGAGAAAGAAGGAGAGAGGAAAGTGATGTTGGGCTAGTCTAAGGAGCCACCAAAGTGAAGGCTGTAATTTCTAGACTCATTTTGGCATTTCTGACCCTCATTGGTATGGCAGGGCCTAAAGCTCCTTCTGATCCTAGACAGCAAAGATTGTCCCCTCTGGCCTTGCCAGGAACAACACAGCTCCACAGTTGCTCCTCTTCCCTTCATGAGGAGAGTGCACATCCAGATTTTCACCCTCACTGTCTTGGAAAGTCATTCCCCCCAATGATTAGAAGCTGCAATTCAAATGTCTGGGAAGATAAGCCAATGAGTTGAGGTAGATGAAGGCCAATAGCCATGGTGTCTTAGCTGTAGAGCAGAGAGATGACCAACTCAAACTGAGGTCTGAGCAGCTTTGATCACCAGATGCCAAGGGAAATGAATCAAGGGCAACATGCCTGACCCATTGAACTTGTCTCCCCTCTACTTCCTTAGCTTTAAGGTAGGAGAAATTGAAGATAAGAGATAGTGAGAAGGCAGTTGATATCTATCTACTCAATAAAGTTCAACAGAGACAAACTAACTTGAACTATTACAAAAATTTTCTTGTCTGCTCCTGGAACTCCTCCTTTTTATTATTTGAATAGTGACAAATCTACTTCTAGCAGCCAGATCTCTTAACTCTTCTTTTATATTTTCCATTACTGTATTCCTTCCTAATGCCTTTTGGGGAGTGTTCCTTGACCCAATCTTATAGTTCACTAATTCTGGGATAGAGGCTGGCTTAGTCTAGGTTTCTGTGAAAGCAGAGCCTGAGATCATGATACCTGTCTTACTTAGGAGATGATCCCATAGCAATAGCCCACTCCATAACACAGATTTTGTTGACTTTTTTTCTGTCCCACTTTTCTTGTTCCATAACTTCTGCTTCCTGGGCAACTAAGGCTCATTCTACTAGGGGCCCTCTGAGAAACTGTAGAATATGCCTCAGGATTGTAGCACTGAAGGGAGGAACAGCTGGGGCATTTATCTACCACTTCCATCCCATAGGGATCTACTGGCTAAGGGCTGTTTCTGGGGCTGTTACCTCCCCCACACTTCCCAGCTGCCCCCCATAGGTTGGTAGAAATCTCCTGAGGGAATAAAGAAAAGCGTAGCATGCACTTGAGTAGGTGCAGAGGCATCATGAGTGGACCTGTCCATTATAGCTGAACTACAAGCAGGTGACCAAGGGAATGAGGTGTAGGGACCACAAGCACTTGCCCAGGCCCTCAGGGTGGACAGCCTACAGGCTTCTCCACCTCAGGGAGACCCTGACCCTGGGAGACTGCTTATACCTCAGCTTCAGGCATTGCTCCTCTTCAGAAGCCTTCGCTCCTGATTGCAGTCACTCGGCCTCAAGTGTGGGCTCGGGGGAGTCCCTCTCTTGTTATTTTCTCTGGCGAGGCACCCTCTTTGAAGCTTGCAGCTGATTCCTGTAGTGTTGGGCTGCAGCAGCCCCTTTTCTCTTTACCAGCAGTAACTGGACAGGGAATGATTTGCTCAGAGCAATACAATGACAAGAAAAGAGCCCCTGAATGAAAGTTTTTCCCAACCTGAGAGTCCTCCTAGATGCCACTTTTTTTTAAAGTCAACTAGTGGCCAGTTTTGAAGACATTATCCCTTTAGCATCTCTCCTATGAGTCTTCCTCCTCCCCATTCTCCTTTCTGTTGCAGCATTGTTCTGGGGCATAGAGACCTGGCCTCATCTGCTTATATATTCCTGGTTTGGAACAAACCTTGTTTTCTGCTCATTGGTAGCCCTTCAAGCCAACTTTATGCAAAACCAGGGAAGTGGCCTCTGCATGGGCAAGTGTCTAAATTAAGCATTTCAACCTACATAAAAACATGTCACCCTAACCCCACTCCACCCTTCTAGGCTGGCTTAAATTTAAGAATATTTGCACTTAAATCCGACTAAGAATATTTGCACCCCAGAAATTTCAAGAGATTATAAGTTTGGACTTACTGCTGATCGATACATTTCAAAACTTCCAATAAAAGAAATAGTACTTACAGAGAGTTGTACAAAGTATAGAATATTCTTTACTTTTTCCTTGTCTCAAGCCAAGCCATCGGATCTGCATCTTCGGTTGGAATCACCTTGAGTCCCTCTGGAATTCTTTTACATAACTACTTTAGCATTATTCCACTGGTCATCATTGTAGGAAATTGTTAGAAGCAATATTAGGTCTCTCATTTTTGTATTTATCATTAGAGTATTGTTGAGGACACTGCTCACTACATTGTAAATTACTTGTTGATGAAAATCCACCAGATAATTTTCTCTCAGGTCTGCTTACTAGGAAAGTTTTTGCTGCTCAGTTTTTTGGGTTTTTTTTCCACGATCTTGGCTCACTGAAACCTCCACCTCCTGGGTTCAAGAAATTCTCCTGCCTCAGCCTCCCAAGTAGCTGGGATTACAGGCATCTGCCACCAAGCCCGGCTAATTTTTGTATTTTCAGTAGAGACGGGGTTTCGCCATGTTGGCCAGGCTGGTCTCGAACTCCTGACCTCAGGTGATCCACCTGCCTTGGCCTCCCAAAGTGCTGGGATTACAGGCGTGAGCCACTGCACCCGGTTTCTTCTTTTTTTTTTTCTATTCCCATTAGGTCATAAGTTTTTGCTACATATAAGCAAGTCTGCTATAGACACATTGTGTTAAGGACACCATGAATTATATACAACTTGTGCTTTCCTCATTGCAATGATTGCTAGGAAGTTCAGAGTCAAACTTATATATGTCAAGGAACTGTTCAGGATTTTTCTAAATGGAGTTGGTGAACTAACTTTGTCCATGATTTCATCTCGCTCTCTCTCCTTTTTTGCCCTCATTTTATCTTCACAGTGATTTTGACTTTATTTAGTTCTCATCTTTTATGTATTTGTGGAATCCACCTTAAGTCCTCTTGAAAACAAGATGGGATTGAGTAGCAGTGAATACGAATAATAAAAACAGCTGTGGGGAGTGAGGTATAAGCGCCTGGAGTTGGGGTTGGGGAGGGAGAGTTTTGGCTGATTCAGCTCCTTGGGAGTCACAGGCCTGGATGAGGGGCATGACATGGAGGACATGCCCTGAGTGAGGGTGTGTGGTGAGAAAGCAGCTGAGGACGGGTTCTGTGGACAGCTTTATCACAGATGGAGGAGATGACAGTGAAAGGCCTGCAGCATGGCTGGAGGAAAGGAAAGCCCGAAAGAGGTCGGTCTGGGAAGCAGGAGAATATAGGTTCTTCCCTTTTGAAGTATTTTAAACAAGCCCATCATGTTTCTATTCTGCCCTTTTCCTCATAAAATCAACAAGAGGAATTGCACAGTTGAAAGACTTAATTGAGCATAGTTTATTTGGCTTGGCAGGCTTCTATGATTTTTTTTTTCTCTCCTGAACTAAAAAAAAAAAAAAAAGGCTACCCACGGAGAGAGAAGCTTTTCTGTTTCCACCTAAAGTTCACTTCCCACATTCCCAGCAGCCTTGGCAGACCCCTGTCAGTCTGGTCTATGGCGAGAGTAAGCGAGCCTTCCTGCACTTCCAGTCTGAGAGCACGCCCTGGTCTACCAGCGGATCCCGCGGGGAGTCAGGGCCCCAGCCTCTCCAAGCTCCTGTGGCCGAAGGTGACGTCAACACCCACTGCGCGCCTTCAGAGCGGCAGCGAGGCGGAAGTGGATTTCTGTAGAGAGGCACCTGGACTCATAATTTAGTGTACTTTCACTGCCTCCCCCACTTGGCAATCAAAACCGGAGATGCTTTTGAGCTTTCTTTTGTGCTGCCCGGAGAGGAGATGGGCTTATTGTGCCAACGGGCAATTATTTCATATCGCTCTACAGAGCACAAGCTGCAGCTGTCTTGGAGCAGGAGCTTTGCAAGGTGGATTCAAAGTGTCTCGTCTCACCAGGCATCCAGGAAGAGGCTTCAAACACCCTGCGGGAATACTTAGTGAGCAACTTTCTAGACACATCAGCCTCAGTGAATCTCAACTAGTCAGTCTCCCTGTCTCAGTATCTTCAGGTGTGCATATACCTGCTAGAGGTTGTCCAGGGTGGGGACAGTGTATTAGAGGAACATGAGCAATCGGCTGAGGAAATGAAAGAAGAACTGAATTTTATAAAGCATATTCAAAGGCATGACCCATTTTAATCTTCACAGCCACATTATCAGCCAGGCATTATTCATCTTAGTTTACAGATGAGGAAACCAACGCTCGGGATATTAAAGTGACTTGTTAAGGAACATGCAGCTGGTTAGTGACAAAGATAGAGCCCAAACTCAGGTCTAACTATGTTAGTTCTGGGCTGTCTTATAGATTTTTTTTTTTTCCCCAGAAAGAGATTGAGAGAACCCTTAAATAAAGATGTTAGTTGCTTAAGTACAATTCATACCATGAGCCTTAGTCTCTCCCTTCAGGAACAATCTATATGGTTTATCAGCTCAGGGCAGCCTTCCTCCTCTCCCAGCATGTTACTTTCATCTTCTTGTTCTGTCTTTTCTCTAACTGGCTTTCATTGTCTTTTTTATGAAACTAAAAACATCCTGCAGTCCCTTTGAACCTGTTCCATGACAGAGGAGAGCTCTGTGGCTTGGCCGGGGAACAGTTAAGCGGAGCAGAGAAACAATGCCACCATCAAATATCGCCCAAGGTCCCATTAATAAGGGTTGTTCTCCAGACCCGACAGGACCAAAAAGCAGGGTTGCATTTGTGTTATTTCTGCTCCCTTAGCTTCTCTACAAGTTTGATACCATGGAAATAATTGAGGAAGACCTAAAAACCAGGTGCTCCGGCTTTGTGTGACTTTGAACAGTGGCAAGGTCTCTGGAGTTTTTTTTCCCTCTTATTGATAAAAGAATCAGTCAGGAAGAGGTTCAAGATCCTCTTCTAGCGCCAACAGTCATCTGTATGGAAGAAACCAATATTTTTACCTCTGCTTTTGACTTATCAGTGGGGTTGACCTGCAATTTCTGAATATGGCAAATGGGAATATGGGGAAAATCATATGAAAGAATAGTCTATTCTTTTAGAGATGGTCTTTCAGCCTGAATCAGGAGAATAACATCATTTCTTTTTCCATTACTTTCTGAGGAAGGAAAAGATGTTCACTCTTGTAACTCCAGTGCCTAAAACAGTGCTTGGACATAGCGTGTGTTCAACAAATATTACTTGAAT
The DNA here is from genome assembly GCF_000001405.40 of Homo sapiens. Lineage (NCBI taxonomy): Eukaryota > Metazoa > Chordata > Mammalia > Primates > Hominidae > Homo > Homo sapiens. The sequence continues at coordinate 167,042,706 of NC_000001.11, read as the reverse complement.
TAATGAATTAATAAAATAAACTTAAATATCCAAGAAATCCAATATTTCTTAAAATTCAAGACTCTAATTAATATTTGAAAATCTTTGTTTTTGTCCATGTGCTAAGTACATGTCTGTGATACTCCATGGTCCCCATACCCCACCCTCCAATTGAGTTTCCATAGGACCTGAGGTCTCTTTGGCATAGTCAGATCTTGCTAGAATTTAAGGCTGTGTTAGTTAACAAAAATATAATAACTTGAAGCATGAGGAAAAGTCTCATCAGAGACACAAACAGACAATGCACAGGAAAAGAAGTGAGAATTACACTTAACCCTGGGAAAAGATGCTCAACATCATTCACTTATAAGTGTAAATTGAAACTACACTAAGATACAATTTCCCACCAGTAAGATTGGCAAAAATCCAAAATTTGGACCACATACTTTATTGGTGAGGCTAGGGTGAAACAAACACTCTTCTACATTGCTGGTAGGAATAAAAGATGGCATCATGATGATGGAGGGGAATAGGGGGAAATTTAGCAAAATTATATGTGCATCTACCATTTGACTCGGCAATCATACTGAAATTTATCTTTCAGAAATCTAGATTTTAGAACACTATCCCAAAGCCACAGTAGCAAAAATATGATAAAAGATGTATGTATAAAGTACTGTTACAGCATTATTTGTAATAACAAAAGACTGGCATCAATCAGAATCGACAGCACAATAGTTAAATAAACAATTCTTCGGCCACATAATGATACAGTGCAGTGTAAAATGGGGATTATCTCTATACAGTAAGTGATCTCTAGGGTATATTGTTAAATGAAAAAAGCAAAGTAAAGAAAAATATGTGTAGTAAGCTACCATTTACATATAAAAGAAAGAGTAGAACCTATCTACCTATCTCTGTAGGTGTGCATTTGCTTACATTATAAAAACCAACAAGGGAATAAAAACTATTTTTAAATAGCTGTATAGAAGAGGAGAGGGAGGAATATCTTTGAATATTCCAAAGATTTGTCTTTAGAAACATAAATTATTTTTTAATTATAAAACAAAATTAAATAAATACATAATCCCCCAAAGCAAAAATAAAATGTGATTATATTTGTGTAGCCAGTAAACACCATTATGAAACAAAGAAAAATAATTTCAAATGACTTTATTTTATATTTTTTCATGTCAGATGGGTAATGTGCCCATGCTATAATAAGGTTCGAGGGTGGCACATCTCACACATGCACATACAAACTCAATCATCACACTTAAGCTACAAAAGCAACCTCGAGTGACTTTTTTTTTTTTTTTTTTTTGAGAGCATGTATCTGATCTTGGCTCACTGGAGCCTCCACCTCCTGGGCTCAAGCAATCCTCCTACCTCAGCCTTCCAAATAGCTTAGACCACAGGCGTGCGCCACCATGCTCAGCTAAGTTTTTTAACTTTTTGTAGACACAATCTCTCACTATATTGCCCAGGCTGGTCTCAAACTCCTGGTCTCAAATGATCTTCCTGCCTTGGCCTCCCAAAGTACTGGGATTACAGGAATGAGCCACCACGCCCAGCCTTCACATGACTTTAAAACAGCAATTTGGCCACATATTCCCATTGAGATCAATCCTAAGGACAAAAAGAACAACAAACACAAAAACAAAACCTTGAACTGTTCTCAGTAGTCATATTGTTGGTGGTAGAGTTGGTATTGCTATTTTGAGACTACTGTGTTGTAGGATAAAGAAAAGTGATTATTTGGTTTCATTGAGAACTATATATTTTTGGTGTGGTTGAAAGGAGATATAGATGCAAGATTGATAAGTTTAAGTAGGAACCTGTAGACCTGTATTTCATTTGGCATGAAATCATGACATTTTTCATCTTAAAAACATATTTTCTAGTTCTGCCTGCTGAAGAAATCCAGACAGAATTTCTGACTGTAGTCAGGCATCCCCAAGACCAAACTTAGGTTCAGTGATTCTCTAGAAAAACTGGCAGAACTCAGCAAATATGCTGTACTCATGGTTACAGTCCATTACAATGAAAAGATACAGATTAAAATAAGCAATGGAAAAAGGCACATAGGGCAGATTGCAAGAAAGACAAGATACAAGCTTCCATTTTTCCTGTCCCAGTGGAGTCATATGGACAGCCTTAATTTTTCCCAGCAATGATGTGTAGCAGCGCATACAAGGTAGTGCCAACCACAGAAGCCTTTTTTTTTTTTTTTTTTTTTAAATCTGGGGTTAGTGATGTGGGCATGAATTTCCAAAGGTCAACTGATACTGCATGGCCCAAGGCATCTATCAAAAATCACATTGTTAGCATAGACTACCTGGTATGGTACTATAGACTACCTTCCAAGGTCCTAAAGAAACAGACATTCTTACCAGGAAAGACATCCCAAGGCCTTCAAAGTTATCTCCCAGGAGTTGGTCAAGGGCTAAACTTTCTGTGGAATGTACAGGGTTTGGGCAACCCATGCCTGCTGAGTTAATCCTTTGCTGCAAACTGACAGCAAGGCACCACTAGTACACAGATTGTGGTAAATACCATTGCCAACAAACAAAAATAGGGCTTTTTGGAGAAATGGCTGAATCCAGGTCTAGGGAAGGTGAGCCTAGAATATATTCAACTCAAACAACTCAACAGGAAAAAAACAAATAACTTCATTAAGTTATTTGTGAGCAAAGGACGTGAATAGACGTTTCTAAAAAGAAAACATACAAACAGCCAACAGGTATATGAAGAAAATGTCCAACATCACTAACAATCAGAGAAGTATAGATCAAAACCACAATGAGTTATCATCGTACCCCAGTTAGAATGGCTATTAAAAAGGAAAAATATAAAGGAATAAGGAAGCTATCAAAGATTATTAGAATTGTGTCACTAGGACTCAGATGTCAATCTAAATAAGTTTCCACTGGCCAAAAGACAGGATGACTTAAGCAATGATAATAAAGATAATTATTACAGTAAAAACTTTAAAACCACATATCCATTTTTATAATGATACTAAAATAACCACAACAACTCACTGGTGCCCTTTGGAAGATGCTAGGAATAACCCACATTATTAATTTAAAAATAGGTAAATAAAACATTTGTTCTCTCTTTCTTAAATGATTAGAAAAACCAGATATTTGATATGGTGTGTTGGCAGAGGGGCTTCTCTTTGCAAAAGTATTTCCGCTGAAAAGAAAAAGAAAAAGAGAATGGGATAGAATTATAGTATCGTTATGTTTCAAAACCTACTGAAGTAGTGGATTTGGACAATGATCATCACCCTCAAAAAAGAAAACAACAGAGACTGTCCCTCCTATTAGAAATACAAACACCACCCGTAAAGGCCTGAGGTGGGGGAAAAATGTGACTAAGTATCTAGATGTAATTACCAGTTCATAAGTGATACAGGCCAGAGGAAAACATGTTAAATGATCTTTTAGGGCAGCCATGCAGTCAGCAAAATCAAGACTATAGGAAACTACAGTACAACTATGGAAAATTACAGAGCTTGTTTTATCACAAAATTTTTTAAGTTTGCAGAAAATGAAGGGGAAACCTACAGAATAAAAGAGACATATCAATAAATTAGAATATATGATACTTATTTGTATCTCAATCCAAACAATCAAAGTGTAAAACAAAAAGCAAAATCAAAATCATTTCTAAGACAAGTGAGAAAATGTGAAGACTGACTACTGAATAATATTAAGGCATTATTATAAATGGATTTTAGGTGTGTACTGAGATTGCCTGATTTTTTGGGTTTGTTTTTGTTCTTTTTAGTCCTTATCTTTCGAAGGCACAGACTGAAATCCTTATAAATTAAAATAATATGTTTGAAATTTGCTTCAAAATAATCTGGTGGGAGGTATAGGGAATGGGTGGGGGTATAGGTGAAACAAAATTTGCCATACTTGTATTGATAGCTGTTTAATCAGGGTGAGAGGTACACTAGATTCTTTATATGTTTTCTCTACTTTTGTATGTTTGAAACTTTCTATAATAAAAAGTTAAACCAACAAAAACAACAATAAAAACAAAAGCCCTATATCAAATAACAAGATGGCCCCAGCATTTTGATTGAAAAAAAGTATAGGGAATCTCCCTTCCTTCCTTCCTCCCTCCCTCCCTCCCTTCCTTCCTTCTTTTTTTCCTTCCACAAATATTTATCCATTATCTACTCTGTTCCAGGCAATGTAAAAACAGCAGTGAACAGCTATAGTAACCAAAACAGCATGGTATTGGTATAAAAATAGACACATAGACAAATGGAACAGAATGGAGAACTGAGAAATAAAGCCATGTATTTACAGCCAACTGACCTTTTACAAAGCCAACAAGAACTTACATTGGAGAAAGGATACTCTCTTCAATAAATTGTGCTGGTAAAATTAGCCACATGCAGAAGAATGAAACTGGACTCCTAGCTCTCACCATATACAAAAATCAATTCAAAATGGATTAAAGCCTTAAACATAAGACCTGAAACTATAAAAATACTAGAAGAAAACCTAGAGTAAACTCTAGGACATTGGTCTATGCAAAGAATTTATGACTAAGACCTCAAAAGCACAGGCAACAAAACCAAAAATAGACAAATGGGACCTAATTAAACTAAAAACTTTTTGCCCAGCAAAATAAATAATAAACAGAGTGAAGGGACAACTTGTTGAATGGGAGAAAATGTTTGCAAACTACCCATCTGACAGGGTACTAATATCCAGAATATAAAAAGAACTCAAACAACTCAACAGAAAAAACAACTCCATTAAAAAGCAAGCAAAGAATGTGAATAGCTATTTCTTAAAATAAGGCATACAAATGCTCAACAGGTATATGAAAAAAATGTTCAACATCACTATCAGAGAAATGCAAATCAAAACCACAATGAGATATCATCATACCCCATACCCCTTTTTATAATGGCTACTATTAAAATGACAAAAAATAATGGATGCTGCTGAGTATGTGGAGAAAAAGGAATTCTTACACATTGTTGGTGGGAATGTAAACTAATACAGCCACTATGGAAAACAGCATGGAGATTTCTCAGGAAACTAAAAATAGATTGACCCAGCAATCCCACTACTGGGTACCTACCCAAAGGAAAAGAAATCAATATATCAAGGAGATACCTGCACTCACATGTTTATTGCAGCACTATTTACAATAGCAAAGATATGAAATCAACCTAAGTGTCCATCAGCAGATGAATGGATAAGGAAAATGTGGTATATATACATGATGGAGTACTATTCGGCCATAAAAAAGAATGAAATCATGTCATGTACAGAACACTGATGGAACTGGAGGTCATTACCTTAAGTGAAATAAACCAGACACAAAAAGACAAATATCACATATTCTCACTTAAATGTAGGAGCTGAAATATTTGATTATGTGGAGACAGAGAATAGAAAGATAACAAGAAGGGTAAGTTGAGGGTAGACAAAGTTGAAGAGAAGTGGGCTAAAGCACCCAAGTGTACACTTATATAGAAATAATAAATTTAATGTTTGATAGCAGAGTAGGGAGACTATAGTTAATAAAAACGTATTATACTCAGGTGATGGCCACCCTAAATACCTTGACTTGGTCACTATGCATTATATATATGTAATAAAATTTCACATGTACGCCATAAATTTGTCCAAATTAAAAAAAAAGCAGTGAACAAAGAGAAAGACAAATTTCTTTTCCCTGTGGTGGGAAAAGGTAATCCTAAAAAAAATGAATGAGTAAAACAAAGTATGTCCAATGCTTATAACTACAATGGTGGATAATAAATCAGGCCAGGGGGCTACAGAATGTGGATAACTGCTATTTTGAAGAAGGGGTCAAGACCTCATTGAGAAGGTGACATTTGTGTCAACACCTGAGGAAGGTGAGGAGAGAGGTATGCAGATATCTACAGGAAGAGTATTCTGGGCAGATGAACCACCTAGGGCAAAGGCCTTGAGGCAGAAGTGTGCTTGGAGTATTTAAGGAAGAGTAAGGAGGACAGTGTGGCTGCAGCAGACGGAGCAGAGGTGTGTGGGAAGCAAGGCCAGGGAGATAGTGCAGGGTCTTAGTGGCTACAGAAAGGACTTTGACTTTGAACTTTGACATGACTTAAGATGAAGAACCAGTACAGGTTTGTTTTTTTTAAGCAGCTTTATTGAAGTATGCATTAATTTCCTGGAGCCGCCAAATAAATTGCCATCAATGTGTAGCTTAAAACAGTAGAAATTTATTCTTTCACAGTTCTGGCAGCAATAAGTCTGAAATTGGGATATCTGGAAGCTGAGCTCTGGGGAACTATAAAATTTTGAGAAAGGGAGATAATGAAAAAGCAGCTAAGACTGAGGAGCAACCAATAAGGCAAGAGAGAACCAAGAGGATGCGTGGTCCTAGAAGCCAAGTGAAGAAACTGTTTCAACTGTGTCTACAAAATATTGCTTATAGGTCAATTAAGTTGAGGACTGAGACTTGGACCATTTGATTTAGCAATGTGGAAGTCACTGGTGGCCTTGATAAGAGTAATTACAGTTAAGTGACATGGACAAATGCCTGATTGAGTTCAAGAGACAATGGGAGGAGAGAAATTGAGGACAGGAAGAAAAGATAATTCTTTTGAGAAGCTTTGCTCCAAAAGGGAGCCAATAATGAAGCAGTAGACAGAGAGGGGCTCAAGGGTTATTTTTATTTTTAATGAGAGAACTAATTGTACAGTGATGGGAATGATCCAATTGGGAGGGAACCGTTAATGATGCCAAAGAGGGGAGAACTGCTGGTTCAACACTCTGAGTCTGGGATAAGATTTAGAGAAGAGGAGAGTTATTGGCCTTAAGAGGAGCACCAACAAGTTATTCATTCTAACAGGCAGGGTTGAGGATGGAGTGGGGGACACAGCATATGGTGGTGAGAGCTTATAGAAGTTCTCTTCCTCAGTGAAGTGTGAAGCTAAAAGTGAGGATGGGAAGGAGATGTCGGCATTTTAAGGAAAGAAGAGAAGGTATGAAAGAGTCATCTAAAAGAAGAGTTAGCGAGTGAGTGGACTAGGAAAAGAAAAGCATGACTTGAGAGGCAGTGGATGAGGGAAATGCAGTAGTGTTAAGGGCCTCATTGAGGGTGGTGGTCATGAATTCACAGTGAGACCAGGTAGCATGGCAGTGTGCTTTTCTTCAGCGTTATTCAGATGTGTAGGTGTTGGTGTGAAGTGGGCAGAGAGTTGTGTTTAGCAAGGCTTTAGATTGTGCCACACAATTATTTAGTAAGGGAAGTGGGAATGTATACCAGGGAGTGATCATAACACTTGATTGTGGACTTTGAACATGGTAAGGGTCAAAATGTGAACAAAAGCATTGTATGACACAGGAAAAAATATGATTAAATTAATGGGTTGTAGGTCCCATTAAACCTACAAGTTCAAAAATAGGAGAATTGTTTAACTTGGGGTGCCAGAATTTATGAGCTAAAAATGGAGGTGGCGAGCAGAGAGTATAATGTTGAAATGGAAGGTGTGGAATTGTGATATTGGTATATGTCTAAGAAAGTGGACAGTAGAAGCAGGGTGAAGGGCAAATTCCTGAGGAGAGGATGTCAAAGAACCAAGACATCTGATCCATGAGAAGATCATCTCATGGAGACTGAACTCTCCAAGAACTAAGGCAGAAGTAGTGTTGGAGAGTGTGACAGAGCTCAGAGCTAAAATAATCAAAGAATGAGTGGGAGTGATCTGGTGGAGTAGATGACAGCAACAATGAGGAAGAGTGGTGACATAACTTGTCAACCTGACCTTCCCCTGAAGTAAGTCATAAGACCCTCATGTGAGAGGTGCCCTTCCTGTACCTGGAGGAAAAGGAAAGGAACATCCTTATCTCTGAAGATCAAGAGATGCCAAAAAGCATATGAACAGGCAGGCCTCGCTAAGTTTCTCCCAGTTCATTACCATTAGACCATACCAATTCATCCTATCGTATTTCTCCATGACTATCCATTCTTTATGAAATCTATGAAAAAAACACTTAGGTTTAATTGTTTATTCAAGTCTTTATTTATTTATCAAGTCTCCCATGTTACATAGAACTTATAAATGTGTATGCTTTTCTCTTGTTAATCTGTTTTTTTTACAGGATCTCAGCCATGAACCTAAGATGGGTAGAAGAACAGATATCCTCCCCACCTCACATAACAATTTCCATTTTTTCAAAGAAGGAATAAAGAATATGACTGTATGCCTGACTGTTATAGTTCTATAGGTGTATAATACTTTGGAAAAATACCCAACAACTGGCCACATTGATGTCCTGGGGAAAGGAATTAAGTACATGGGGACAATGGTGTCATCCCTAGGGGTTACCATGTATCCCTGGTAACTTTTGAATTTGAGCTGCATACATACAATGCCAATTACAAATAGTAATAGTGATATTAATTTAAAAGGATGTCTTTTTGTTTTCAAGTTGGGGAGACAAAATATACATACACTTCTTATTATAAAATGGAAAGTGTTTAGTGTCCTAAGAGAGGCAGAGATGAGATTGCATTCCAGACTTGGCTAGAAAGTCAGGGCTGGTGGAAATTTAGGTACAAGTGTGAGTTTGTATTTTGTTTAAATATACTTCAATGGAACTGGAATGAATGCCCCAGTCTCCAAGTTCAGGTCATGTTCAGCAGTGCTTTAGCCTCCAACAAGTTTTTTGGGTAAAAGCAGGTGCCAGAAAATATGTAAAGTTCCATAAGGGTGCTGCTAGCATCTGGTAAAAGTCAAGGGTTTAATATTACTAGTTAAAAGCTTTTTAAACACTCATCACCTTCTTTTGTGATCTGTTCCAGTGTTGAAGTAGCTGTGCTTAACACCATTGTGTGCCAGCGGGAGACAGAAAATGCATGTTATTTTTAGCAAAGTCTAGTGCAAATGGTGGATGCTCTTTGGACTCTGCTGGCAGATTTGATTCTTAGCTCCTGGAAAGCCAAATTTATTTAAATTGCCATCCTTGTATGTCGTCTCAAAGAGTGAAATGAACTTTTCCAGTTCCTCAAACTGTGATGTGGTGGGTGAATAAAATCCCAAGGTGGCATCCAACTAGGACTGGATTGAACGTTTCTTTCTTTTTTCTTTTTTTTTTTTTTAAAGCTAAGTAAGGACACAGAGTTTCAGCTCAGCAGCTGATAAAGACAACTGATTTACTGGAAAAGCACACAGAACTCTTCCACCTTTATTTTCTAAAACAGGAAAATTCTCAGGCAACTCATTAACTCTAGCTCTTCCCAAATCAACTGTCTTAAAGATTAAGATACCCTAACTTGAGAGGAAGAAAACTCTATACTTCAATATTTTACTGCCCAAGTCACCAAAAAGCCTCTCATAAAATTTCTCTTTATTATTAATTAAAGAGACAGGGTCTTACTATGTTGCCCAGACTGGACTCGGACTCCTGGGCTCAAGCAATCCTCCTGAGTAGCTGGGACTACAGGTGAGCACCACTTTTCTTCCTTGAATCTATTAATATGGCAAATAACATTTATAGATTTTTGAATGCTAAATCATCTTGCTCTCCTGAAGAAACTCAACTTGGACATGACTTTTTTAATATATTGAAACACTCTATTCCTTGTAAGTTTAGAATTCAGCTGTTAAACTCTGTGGCTTTGGCATTTTATTCTTTAGAATACTTTAAACTATTGCTTCAATTTCTCTGTTTCAGGAAATATAGGCTTTCTTTCTTCCTGAGACACTTCCAGTGAATTATATTTTTCTGGGAATTTGTTTCCAATTCATCCAAGTTCCCAAATTTATTGGTATGGAAAGTTCATATTATTATTTTATGTCCTTAACCCCTGCTGGTCTGAACTTAATGTCCCCTTTTGGAACATAATGTTGTTTGTGCCTTCCCTCTTTTTGCTTGGTTTATCTCACCAGAGTTTTATCTATTTTAATATTTTTCAAAGAGCCAACTTGGGCTTTGTTGAACCTATTGTACCTTTTCTATTTCATTGATGCTTTCTTTTTATTATCACCTTCCTTCCATATTTAATGGGCTTATTCTTTTTCTAACTTCTTAAGTTGGTATTTAATTGTTGAATTTTCAGCCCTTCTTTACTTGTAATATAAATATTTTCTCAATACTTCTATATTCTAATATGTAGTGTTTGATTATTGTACAGTTGTTATGAAGAATTTTTACTATCATTTAGTCATAAGAAGGTTTTAGAATCCATTATTTCTTTCAGACTTACAGGTTTTAAATGTTATAAAAAATTTTATTGATAGATGAATAGTGGAGAAAGAACATGACTGTATGTCAACTTCTTGAAATTTATTGAGATTTAATTTATGGTTTGGTCCATTATTGTTTTTTGAAAAAGTTGCATGTCTGTTTGAAATGAATGTGATTGAGAAATTGTCCATTAGATCAAATTTGTTAGTTTAAAATTTCAAATATTCCATATATTTACTGGGTTTTGGTATGCTTGACTTATCAATAATAGACGTGTTTAAATCTTTTGGCATGATGATGGATTTGTCTGTTTTTCCTTGTATTCTATTAGTTTCCATTTTGCATTTGTTGAAATTATTATAATAGGTGTATAAAAGGAAACATCATTGAATTAACCAGGAAATATAAAAATGTTGAGTATTTTATATTTCCTGGTTAATGCAATGATTTTTATACTAAACATTCTTTTATTTGATATTAATATAATTATGACAGGATTGGTATTTCTCTATTTTTAAACTTTTATTTTAGGTTCAGTATATACATTTTTTATCCTTTTTCTTTTTTCTTTTTTTAAAGACTGAGTCTTGCACTGTTGCCCAGCCTGGAGTGCAGTGGTGCTATCTCAGCTCACTGCAACCTCTGCCTCCCAGGTTCAAGTGATTCTCCTTGTCTCAGCCTCCTAAGTAGCTGGGATTACAGGCACCCGCCATCACGCCCAGCTCATTTTTTTTATATTTTTACTAGAGACGGGTTTCACTATGTTGCCCAGGCTGGTCTCAAACTCCTGACCTCATGATCCTCCCGCCTCAGCCTCCCAAAGTGCTGGGATTACAGGGGTGAACCACTGTGCCCAGCCTATCCTTTTATTTTTCATCTTTCCGTAGCAATTAGCTTCAGGTGTAAATCTTATAAGCAGCATGTTACTGGATTTTTAAAAACTCAGAATGGCAAACTTCTAACTGGTGAGTTTAGTCCATTTATATTTATTTTAAGTATTGATATGTTGCATTAGATTTTACCATTTTACTTTATACTATTTTCCTTGTTCCCCAACCCCATGTTTTTCTTTTTTTTCCCTTGCCTCCAGAGGTATGAGTTAATTTTATTGTTGTTGATTGCATTTTTCCTTATTCCAATTGTTTTCTATTGGTTTGGAATTATTTACTTTATATATATTCTCTTAATGGCTACCTCTGAAATTTTGCCACACCTATTTGACTTAATAATATCGAGTGTAAAATAATATATTAATTTCTTAATAAACCATTCAATAACTTAGAATACCTTAATTTCATTTAACTCCCCTTCAGACTTACATGTTATTATAGATCCAGTATTTTAGTCCCATCCTTTTATAACCTCACAAGTTAATAAATATACTAATAATTACAATTTTTATACAAACAATATTTGTCTAGATTTGCACGTTTGCCATTTTATGTCCTTGCTATCTCATCATGCATCTCAGACTGTCCTTCTAGGATAACTTCAGAAGTCCTTTATTATTAGTTCAATTGGTGGCAACAGATTTTTAAATATATAAATGTATTTATTTGATCCTCTTTTTTCAAAGATAATTTATTGGGTACCCAATTCTAGTTTGATAATGATTTTCTCTCAACATTTTGGAGATATTATTTCACATCTCCTGACTGCCTTTGCTGCTGCCAGAGTTTTCTGTCATTGTCCCTTTGTAGGTGATATTTTTCCGTGGCTGCTTTCGAAGTCTACTCTGGTGTTCATGAATTTTCCCTTCAATATCTTTGGGATAGGTTTTTATATTTATCTTGAGGATTCATGTTTTTCATTATTTCTTACAATTTTCAGCCATTATCTCTTTAAATATAGCCTCTCATCCATCTCTCTATTCTTAAACCTCATCTTTTTCCTTCATATCTCTTAACATCTCTTTCTTATGTTCCATTCCAGTCTCTTTTTTCTACGTTTCTTCAGAACTATTTTCCAACGCAGTAATTTTCTTTTCAGTTGTGATTAACTTCCCATTGTGGGTTTTTTCACTTCAACAATTCTAATTTGTTTTTTGTGTTTTTTTTTAGTGTGATTTTCTTTTTTTATATTTTTTTGGTATTTATTGATCATTCTTGGGTGTTTCTCGGAGAGGGGGATTTGGCAGGGTCATAGGACAATAGCGGAGGGAAGGTCAGCAGATAAACACGTGAACAAAGGTCTCTGGTTTTCCTAGACAGAGGACCCTGCGCCTTCCGCAGTGTTTGTGTCCCTGGGTACTTGAGATTAGGGAGTGGTGATGACTCTTAACGAGCATGCTGCCTTCAAGCATCTGTTTAACAAAGCACATCTTGCACCGCCCTTAATCCATTTAACCCTGAGTGGACACAGCACATGTTTCAGAGAGCACGGGGTTGGGGGTAAGGTTATAGATTAACAGCATTCCAAGGCAGAAGAATTTTTCTTAGTACAGAACAAAATGGAGTCTCCCATGTCTACTTCTTTCTACACAGACACAGTAATAATCTGATCTCTTCTTTCTTTTTCCCACACTTCCCCCTTTTCTATTGACAAAACCGCCATCGTCATCATGGCCCGTTCTCAATGAGCTGTTGGGTACACCTCCTAGACGGGGTGGCGGCCGGGCAGAGGGGCTCCTCACCTCCCAGACGGGGCAGTGGCCGGGCGGAGGCGCCCCCCACCTCCCTCCCGGACTGGGCGGCTGGCAGGGCGGGGGCTGCCCCCGACCTCCCAGACGGGGTGGCTGCCGGGTAGAGGGGCTCCTCACTTCTCAGACGGGGCGGCTGGGCAGAGACGCACCTCACCTCCCAGATGGGGTGGCGGTCGGGCAGAGACACTCCTCAGTTCCCAGACGGGGTCGCGGCCGGGCAGAGGCTGCAATCTGGCACTTTGGGAGGCCAAGGCAGGCGGCTGGGAGGTGGAGGTTGTAGCGAGCCGAGATCACGCCACTGCACTCCAGCCTGGGCAACATTGAGCACTGAGTGAGCGAGACTCCGTCTGCAATCCCAGCACCTGGGGAGGCTGAGGCAGGCAGATCACTCGCGGTTAGGAGCTGGAGACCAGCCCGGCCAACACAGCGAAACCCCGTCTCCACCAAAAAATGCAAAAACCAGTCAGGTGTGGCGGCGCGCGCCTGCAATCCCAGGCACTCTGCAGGCTGAGGCAGGAGAATCAGGCAGGGAGGTTGCAGTGAGCCGAGATGGCGGCAGTACAGTCCAGCCTCGGCTTTCACAACTTTGGTGGCATCAGAGGGAGACCCGGGAGACGGGAGAGGGAGAGGGGGAGGGGGAGGGGAAGGGGGGGAGTAATTTGTTTTATTTCTGGAAGTTCCTTTTGTTTCTTGTTCTTCAAATACATCTGCTTGCGCTTCTTTGTGAATGAGTCTTTTATGTAAACATTTCATGCATAGCTCTTTTATTTTCTACGTCTGACAATTTCAGTATCAGCAGTGGGTAACTGTTACTTGCTGATTCTACTCTCACAGTGTGTCACCTTTTTTAAGGCTTTGTTTAATGAGCTTACTGCTTGATTTTGATTTGTAGGAATCCTGGGAAACGAAAATGGACAAACATTTCTTAAGAGAGGATTGTAACCTGTTTCTGACAGTGTCCAAGGGTTGCCACCAACCTGATACAATTTCACCTCCCTGAGAGGCAGAAGTCTTAGGCTCAGGCTCTCTACTTTGCTGCTGACCCTAGGCTCAGACTAATGATAGCAGTGCTATTTGCACCTACCCCCAACTCCCAGGCCATCCCTTCCCAACTTCTAAGCTTCCTTAAAATTCCTTCAGTCCATCTACAGGGGTCAAAATGAGGCAGACATGCTTAGAGTGATGACCACTCACTCAAAAGAGGTCTACTTGAACTAGTGTACTGCTTCTAGGAGCTCAACTCCCATATCCTCTTTAATCTCATTGTCATGAGTGAAGAGTCACAGGAACTCCTAGTCTGCTAACAATCGTAACCTTCCCATCCCTATCTGCTTTGACTCCACCAGGACCAACTTTCTTATGTTCTTTATCCTTGTTTATATCAGTTACTACAAGAACTACCAGACTCCTAAGTCACTGCTCATCTCCCACACCCAAATCTCCCTAAGGTTCTGTACATCTCTACTGCAGTCTCTTCTCCTCACCAATTCCTGAACCCTTCTACCATACCCCCTACAACTTATGGTTCATTATCAGCAAAACTGCTTTAATTTCAACCATTTTTCTTTCTTTTCTTTCTTTTTTTTTTTTTGTTGTTGTTGTTGAAACACAGACTCACTTTATCGCCCAGGCTGGAGTGCAGTGGTGCAATCTCAGCTCATTGTAGCCTCAACCTCCCAGGCTCAAGTGATCCTCCCACCTTAGTCTCCCCAGTAGCTGGGACTACAGGCACATGCCACCATGCCTGGCTAATTTATGTATTTTTTGTAGAGATGGAGTTTTGCCATGTTGTCCAGGCTGGTCTTGAACTCCCGAGCTCAAGTGATCCGCCTGCCTCAGACTCCCAAAGTGCTGGGATTCCTGGCATGAGCTGCCGTGCCCAGCCTCAAGCATTTTTCTGATTTCTCCCTTCATTTCCTTGCTAAAACTTAAATCTGGCTCTTTCCTGAGAGCAGTATTCCCTTGTAGCCTTCTCAAGTACTGGCTATTTTTCTTTCTCATACCTCTGTTACCACTGGACCTGGAGGTGAGATAGTGCCTCCTTGTTTCTCACTGTTACTTTCTATCTTCCTTCTCTCTAAAACTCTCGGCTTTGATTTTCATGTCATCAGATTTTAACACCTATCACCCTCATTTTGATGTCACCTATCAACCCTTGGGTTAACCCCACCTCCACCCTCCATTTTCTCAATAATTTTGGCTCCTGGGATACTACCACTCTCTCCAAGTCTTAATTACTGGTAATTTCAATGTATATGGAGATGATTCTTCCAACATCCTGACCTCTCATTTCTTTAGAAAAAAAATTTTTTTTATTTCCATAGGTTATTGGGAGAAGGTGGTGTTTGGTTACATGAGTAAATTCTTTAGTGGTGATCTGTGAGATTTTGGTGCACCCATCACCCGAGCAGAATATACTGCACACAGTTTGTAGTCTTTTATCTATCACCCCCTTCCCACCCTTTCCCCCTGACTCCCCAAAGTGCATTGTGTCATTCTTACACCTTTGCATCCTCACAGCTTAGCTCCCACTTATTAGTGAGAACATATGATGTTTGGTTTTCCATTCCTGAGTTACTTCACTTAGAATAGTAGTCTCCAATCTCATCCAGGTCACTGCAAATGCCATTATTAATTCATTCCTTTTTATGGCTGAGTATTCCATTGTATATATATACACCACAGTTTCTTTATCCACTTGTTGATTATGGGCATTTGGGTTAGTTCCACATTTTTGCAATTGTGAATTATGCTGCTATAAACATGAGTGTGCAAGTATCTTTTTTGTATAATGACTTCTTTTCCTCTGGGTAGAAAGCCAGTAGTGGGATTGCTGGATCAAGTGGTAGTTCTACTTTTAGTTCTTTAAGGAATCTCCACACTGTTTTCCATAGTGGTTGTACTAGTTTACATTCCCACCAGCAGTGTAGAAGTGTTCCCTGTTCACTGCATCCATGCCAACATCTATTATTTTTTGGTTTTTTGATTATGGCCATTCTTGCAGGAGTAAGGTGGTATATAACATTATGGTTTTGATTTGTATTTCCCTGATCATTAGTGATGTTGAGCATTTTTTCATATATTTGTTGGCCATTTGTATATCTTCTTTTGAGAATTGTCTATTCATGTCCTTAGACCACTTTTTGATGGGATTTTTTTTCTTGCTAATTTGAGTTTGTTGTAGATTCTGGAAATTAGTCCTTTGTCAGATGTATAGATGGTGAAGATTTTCTCCCACTCTGTGTTTACTCTGCTGACTGTTCCTTTTGCCATGCAAAAGCTCTTTAGTTTAATTCCCAGCTATTTATCTTTGTTTTTATTGCATTTGCTTTTGGGTTCTTGGTCATGAAATCCTTGCCTAAGCCAGTATCTAGAAGGGTTTTTCCAATGTTCTCTTCTAGAATTTTTATAGTTTCAGGTCTTAGATTTAAGTCCTTGATCCATCTTGAGTTGATTTTTGTAAAAAGTGAGAGATGAGGATCCAGTTTAATTCCCCTACATGTGGCTTGCCAATTATCCCAGCACCATTTGTTGAATAGGGTGTCCTTTTCCCACTTTACGTTTTTGTTTGCTTTGTCAAAGATCAGTTGGCTGTAAGTATTTGGGTTTATTTCTGGATTCTCTATTCTGTTTCACTGCTGACTTCTCAGTTCCTTAAATGCCTCTCCTCCAACCATCTTGTTCTCTACCTCCCTCAGGAACTCATTCATAAAACAATACCCCGGTTATCTCACTGTCATTAACTGTGACCTTCTATAATCTTAATTTCATGCATTGCACTCTCTGACCACCAATCTCCTGTCTTTCTAGCTCACTCCTCCTGGTACCACAAAATCTCTTATCTATCCTTCAATCTTACCTCCAATTCATTGATCTAGTAATCTTGATAATTTATTCATCTTCCTACCCAGTCTATATTTTTTACTGAGGTAAAATAGACATACGCAATTTACCATCTTTACCATAAGTGTACAGTTCAGTGGTAATAAATACATTTATATTCCTTTTGCTCCTTCATGTCCCCCATGCCCTTCCCCTTCCTGGCCTATGGTAACCACAAATCTACTATCTTCATCAGATCTGCTTTTTTAGCTTCCACGAGTGGGAACATGCAGTATTTGTCTGTGTTTGGCTTATTTCACTTAATGGCCTCCAGTTCCATTCATGTTGCTGCAAATGACATGATTTCATTCTCTTTTATGGCTGAATAATATTCCATTGTGTAGATATACCACTTCTTGTTTACTCATTTATCAGTTCATGGCTATTTGGGTTGTATCCATTTTGGGGCTATTACAAGTAATCCTGCTATGAACAGTCATGTGCAAGTTTCTGTAGAAACATGCACAGAAATGGAATTGCTGGATCATATGGTCACTCTGTATTGAATTTTTTTAGGAATTGCCAAATTGTTTTCCATAGCAGCTGTACCATTTATATTCCCACCAGCAATGTATGAGGGTTCCAATTTCTTTACATCCTTACCAACACTTGTTTTCCTTTTTTTGATGATAGTCATCCTAGTGAGTATGAAGTAGTATCTTTTTTGTTTTGATATGCATATGCTAATGATTAATGATGTTGCACATCTTTTTGTATGCTTATTGGCCATTTGTATTTCTTCTTTGGAACAGATATTTGAAATATCTTTTCAAATCTTTTGCCTATTTAGAAACCGGGTCGTCTTTTTTATTGTTAAGAGTTCTTTATTACTCTGTATACTAGACCTTTATCAGATAAATGATTTGTAAATACTTTCTCCCATTCTGTGTGTTGTCTTTTTCACTTTCTTGATAGTATCTTTTAACACACAAGTCTGCTTTTTAGGACTTAGTTTTGATATATTCCAAATTATTTTTTCTTGTTTGTTCTTTTGGTGTCCTATTAAGAGACTGTTTCCTCATCTAAGGTCATGAAGATTTACACTTGTATTTTCTTCCTCTAACAGTTGCATAATTTTAGCTCTTACATTAGGTCTTTAATCCATTTTGAACTAATTTTTGTGTTAGGTAGGGTCCCTGTCTCAGTCCATTTGTACTGCTATAACAAAATACGTGAGACTGAATAATTTATAAAGAACTGAAATTTATTTCCCATGGTTCTAGAGATTGGGAAATTCAAGATGAAGGTGGTGGCAGAATTGGTATCTGGTGAGGGCTGCTCTCTGCTTCCAAGATGGCACGTTGTTGCTGCATCCTTTGGAGGGAACACTGTGTCCCCACATGGTGGAAGGGACAGAAGAACAAGAGTGTGCTTCCTTCAACCTTGAGCCTTTTTACAAGGGTGCTGATCCATTCATGAAGGCTCTGCTCGAAGGCCTCCAAAAGGCTACACCTCTTAATACTGTAGCACTGGGGATTAAGTTTCAACATGAATTTTGAAGGGACATCATCATTCAAACCATAGCATATCTAAATTCATTATTTTGCATGTGGATATCCAGTTGCCCTAGAACCATCTGTTTTAAAGACTATTCTTCCCTCCATTGAATGGTCTTGGCACAGATACATGAGTTTATTTCTGGAATAGACTCTCAATTCTATTCCAATGATTTACATACATCTGTCCTCATACTTAAGACCACTTTTATTAATGCACTGTAATTGTTTACTTCCCCCATTAAACTGTGAGTTCCTTGAGATCAGGAGCCACATCTTTATTCATCTTAGTATTTTTAACTCAGCATTTAACAGACTCTCACAACATGTTCATTGAACAAATCAAACTAACCACTTAGTTTTGAGGAAAAGAATGGGAATGGAGTCTACAATAAAGATGGTTCCCTTTCCCATGTAGTACTTTACCTTATGAAGTGGCTTTGAAATTCTGACATCCCTTCTCCATTACTCAAATTGGCAATTATTGATTCTAACATGTAGTGAACACCTTCTCATATAGAAATATGGGCACCACAAAGTTTGCAATTGAGAAAAAGAGATGTCATGAACCAAAATAGCTGTAATTAAAAACAGTTAAATGTTATAATAAAAAGGAAATACTACTGGAGTTAGAGGGGGCAGAAATCACTGTCAACCAGGATATCCATGAGTATACCAATCGCTCACCTAGTCTTCCTGAAGGGCAATTAATACTTCAAATTCAATGCCAAAAGGTTTTTTTTTTTAAAGAGGAGACAGGGTTTGAATTTTACTAATAATATGGTTTGGGAATTTTGATTATCTTTGAAGGGAAAGACCAGCTGTTCTCTTAAAATAAATCCCTGGGGCCTATTGAATTGTTTTCATTATTTGACATATACCTCAAAAGTACAACCAATACTATTATTTAAATTAAAAAATTAACTTGAACAATTCACAGAGGACTGAATTCAGGTGACAGAGAACAAGACTTAGGCATCTGAAGTCATGAGTCTGAATATTTAGACCTTCCTCATCTTCTCCATCCAATTATTAATAAGCTGAGTTTTTCAAAGTTATTATTATTAGTTTTGTAGAGGCAGGGTCTTGCCCTGTTACCCAGGCTAGAGTGCAATGGCATGATCACAGCTCAATGCAGCCTTGAACTCCTGGACTAAAGTGATCCTCCTACCTCAGCCTCCCTAGCAGCTAGGACTACAGGCATGCGCCAACATGCCTGGCTAACTTTTTAACTTGTTGTAGAGCTGGGGTTTTGCTATTATGCCTCAGCTGGTCTCAAACTCCTGTCCTCAAGTGATCCTGCTGCCTCAGCTTCCCAAACTGGTGGGATTAAAGGTGTGAGCCACCACCCTCTGAAGAAGTTGATTTTTAAGAAAGACACAATGGTTTCAAAGCTCGGATATGAAGTTTTTAAAGACAAATATACTACTAGAAAATATAACATATAAATTTAGTCTATGAATTGTTCTCGTTCAAAGATCTGGTATCAGAAACAGATGAATGCGAGATGGAGGACAATATAGTGCATTAGGAACATGATCTATACAAAAGGTCAGCCAATTAAAAAAAAAGGAACATGGTCTTTGGAGTCAGACTGACTTGGAATAACAACAGTTCCTTCAGTTAGGAGCTATGTGACCTGAGCATTTTTTGGTCTCTAACATGTATCGCCTCCTTCAGAGTGGTAATAAGGATTTAATAAGATGACACATATAAAACATCCACAAGGTAGGTACTCAACAGTTAGTAAAGGAAAATATGGGTATTAATAAAAACCAGAGGCCCAGGACAGTCATTCTCTGTAATCAGAGGGACCAGAGTTTGGAGTGAGACAGACTTAAACCAAATTGTTGCCTCTGTCAATGTCATGTGTGGTCTTGGCTTGTGGTTTAAAGTAAAAGGGGTTACCATACCTGTTTTACTCATCCTAGGTTATATATTACCCCAGGTTGAGAACATAAGCCAGTTTAAGTCAGTCACAGAGTGAACACCTGACTCAATATAATACCTGCTTGCTTTGCAGTCCAATGGATGAGAAATTCATTCAATATCTAGCCATGTGATGTGATTTAGGGTAAATTACTTAACCTTTCTAATTTTGCCTTCGCATCTTTCAAGTGCCTTCTTTTGCCAAAGTAAGTATATTTCAAAAACTTTTTAAGGTAGCAAAATTCTGTGTCTGTTAAAGGCTAATTTTCTTAGTTATTTGCAATAAAGACAGCCTGCAGGTCTCCAGTGTAAGGTTCCCATTTCATGACAGGAAGAAACAGATTAACACTATTTTAGAACCTTTCATAACAGATATTCAATACCTTTATTATCAGGAGAAAGAATGATCAATCTATAACATTCCCAAAAGTACAACTCTAAAAATGTCAGTTTTGTTCATATAGGACTCCAAACTTTAATGATATACCCATCATACAGCCAGGAAGCAGAACAATCCCTCAAGAAAAAAAGCACAAATGCCAAGATGCTCTCCAACCACAATTTTTTTAAATCTATGAAACAATTTCCTTACAAATTAAGTAGTTTTTATAGTAGTGACATTTGTCATTGATGTGATCTGTTTAATATGACTGTAGTAAGAAGGAAGTTGGGCCTGTTACTGTTTTCAGAAATTGAAAAGAGTACCATCATTAAGATAAGGAAGAGAAAGATTTGTATCCATCTTTTTGGGACATGTAAGGTGAGAGTGAAGTGTCACAGTTGGAGAATTTGTGGATATTGCTGGAAGAATTGGAAATGCTCTCTAGTAAGCGGGTAATTCCTCTTCCCCGAACGCTGCTGTTTTGGCCAGAAATTTTTGCCCTAGATGGGTAGTCACCTAGGATATTGAAAATACAAGAAAAGAGATATAGCAATTTTATAATTTTATTACAAAGAGATGCCTCAATTAACTGACTCATCCTACTGTAGGCCTTTCACTAAGCCATAATTCAACAGAAAAATGTTTTTGTTTTTAGCCCAGGAAACTTTTAATTGAAGTTCTTTAGGTACCACTTGAAATTTCATGTCACTAGCTTTTAAAGTTTCTCACCCCACAAAAGATACCATTAAAATCAAAACTATAAAGCTATTGCTGCTACAAGAAAAACAGGTTTTCTTTTAAATGCCCTAACAAATTCTGAGAAGTTACAATGTATCCAAGTGACCCAAAAATGTACACATCTAAATTGTTTAAGGTGCTAATGCCAAATAAAACCCTCAATTCAACAAGCTTCTTATATCCTAAAGCTAATTTAGATATCACTGTTTAAATACCACACCTGGGATCTTAGTAATAGGCTCTAACATCCTTTAGGTGCATTTTTGTAAAATATAAGTTGCTTACCAATGGGTGTGTTTGATCTTTGTTCCTCATTAGAAGAGTTGAAATGAGAGAATCCTGAACTCCCAACCCTTAGCTTCTGTAAGTAACAGGAAAATACCAGGGGGAAAAATGTTTATTTCTTATTCATTACTGGATGGTCTGTCTTCAATTTCATATTACTCTTTAAAAATGCAAACTAACACTCAAATACTTTTCCAATGTCTTATCAATTTTTGCTGCAAAGGGGGAGAAAATAGGATAGACTTTGGAGGGAGATTACGAAGTATAGGGCAAAAAAGGGTTTGCCTTTTTTTTTAAAAGTGAGATTATAGCACGTTTGCTGATAATGAATTAGAACAGAGGGAATCCCTGATGATACAGGAGGGGAAAATTACTGAAGCCATGTCCTTGAGTGGTAAGGGAAGGAAATCTAATATACAAGCAGACAGATTGGTTTTAGATAGGAACACAGAAAATTCATTCATTAAAATAGGAGTAAAGCAGAGAATATGGTAGATGCACGTAGATGAGTGGTAGGAATATGTAGAAAATCTCTCCCAACTGTTTCTATTTTCTCAGAGAAGTAGGAGGCAAAGGAATCAGCTAGAGCAAAGGTGAGGGAAGAGATGATGAAATCTGAAGGAAAAAGGTGGTGAGAAATAACTGTCTAGGAGAGTAGGAAATTAATCAGACTAGAGAAATGGGTATGTCAGGCAACAATAAAGGCCCCTTGAAGTTGGTGGTGATGAATAGTCAGTAAGATCGGTCAGCGTGGTAGTTCCTTTCCAGCCGCATTTAGTGTCACAGGCATAGGAGGAGAGTAGGTGAAGAGTTACATGTAATCAGGGTTAGTATCTGTCAAGTATGAGGAAAAAAAGAGGGCCAATGGAGTTGACAGTGCATGCAAGGCAGTGGAAAAGATAGGCCAAGGAATCTGAGTTGGGAAGGAAGGAGGTGAAGAGTAGAGACAAAGGTGGTAAAGGAGGAGACATGAGTCTACAGCATTACTAGTGTGAATGGTGTCCTGGAGTTGTGCAATGAAGTGGCCCTGTAAGGGAGTATAAAACAGTGGAGGCATAAATGAATTGTATATCCCAGTAGAGACTAAATAATTGTTAGCACAGGGGTAGTAGAAGATGGTGGTAGTCTGAGAGGGGGATGTTTGAAATTGAGATTATGAAGGAGGTACCACTGGGGTCCAGGATATGATTGTTAGGTAGAAGACAAGATTATTGAAGGAGAGGAAATCAAACTGAGAGGTTAGGCAGCTGGAAGGACTATGTGTAGGGAAATTGAAATAAATAATTCTGATGGAAAAACCAGTTTTCTGGATTGGTGTTGCTCTAAGAATGAGGGGAACCAACTCAGGAGTCTACTGACTCCAAAAAGAGGCCATTTGGAGTCTACTGACTCCAAAAAGGTACTACATCCTGGATAACAGGAAATTCAATGCCTAGGAATTTTGGGGAGACTATATAAAGAAGTCTGGAGGCCACGATCAAGGACAACTACTTCAAATCTAGGCCCTATGACACATGAAGAAGCAAAAGATGTCACCATTTGAAAAGGTTAATAGAGAAGCAGTGTCCTTAGAGGAGGGTCAAGTTTTAGTTAGAACCAAGAAGGTAAATAGACTTTGCCCCAAAGAAACTGAAGATACCTGAAATTTTGCTGATAACTAAGGCTGAGAAAACCCACAGGAAGGTTTCTCAGGAGTTGGGAAGGGCTGGGAAATAGGACCAGCCAAATAAGGTGAGTCTGGGAGATGAGAGAGAATCTGAGAGTCCTAGGCTTCCTATAGTAACTGATATAAACAATGAAAAGGCACATTATTGAGATTAATTCTGATGATGTGAACACAGATAGTGGTGATGAAGCTAAGGTAGGGTTTCTCAACCTGGGCACTAATGATATTTTAGGCTGGAAAATGCTTTGTTGTGGAAGGCTGTCCTGTATAGATAGAGTGCTTAACAGCATTCCTGGCCTTTATCCACTAAATGCCAGGGGCACCCCCTCCCCAGATGTGACAACCAAAAATGTCCCCAGGCTTTGTCAGATGTCCCATGGAGGACACAAATGGAGTCGAGAACCACTGGGCAAAAGGTTTAAAGGGAGGGTAGAGAAGGGTCTTGCCCAGAGTACATATGGAGAGCTCTGAAGTCCTTCCGTTTTTATTTTTAAATTATCATACAGTAAAACTTTTTTTGGTGTACACATCTATGAAGTTTAATGTATGTACAGAATTGTGTAAACACCACAATCAGGATACAGAGCCATTCTATCACCTCAAAAACCTCTCTCATGCTCAATCCCTTTACAGACACCCTGTTCCCACCCCTAACTCCTGGGAACCACTAATTTGTTCTTGTTATAGTTTAGTCTTCAAAAAAATGTCATATGAATGGAATCATACAGTATATTCTAAAGTACGTAATTTTGGAGACTGCTTCTTTTGTTCAGCATAATTAACTAGGATGAATCTAGCTGTTTTCATCAGTAGTTCATGCCATTTTTTGAGTTTCCTTTTCAGTAAGTGTTTATTTTAAAATAACAACATTTATTATCTATTAAGCTCTAAGGCAGGGAGGCCTTGGTACTGTCATATATTGCTGCATTTAATCCTAACAAATACTAGCCCCTATTATTGTTCTTGTTTAATACATAAAAAATTAGTACAGACAGTTCAAGTATTGTGCATAAAGTCACAAAACTTGTATGTAGCAGAACCTAAAATAAAATTCAGGAATTCTGACCCTAGAGCCCATACTCTTAACTGCTATGCACTTAGTGGTTTAGAGGCCTACTAATAAGTAAACGGCAGGGAGGGAAGGAAGGTGGTAGAGAAATTAGATAGCTTTTAATCAAATCCTAAATCAGGTCTTAAATATTTTTGAGGTAGATGTTTAGAATATTTATATTACTTACATTCAGATATTTAATTTTTGGAATAAATCTTTGGAAATGTTTTACATAAAGATTAAATACCAGTTTTAACTTTCTTAAAACTTTGTTAAATTGGTAGGAAATATACCAGAGAAAAAAGAATTTTACACAAGACACAACTGGATTAGGAACTGTTTGACATTCCATGAAGTACTTCAAAATAATGTTTAAGGGGAGGGAAAGAACCAAACAAAGGCTGATCTTTTGTTTCTGTTGGCCAGAATCACATTGAGTAGAACAGCTAAAGAGACCAGCAGCTCTTAAAAGTCAGTTCCTTACCTGGTAACGCCCTGCATCCAATACAACCATTTTGGGTGTCACACTATTGCTGGCCTCATAATCTTGTAGTGGTACATGAGCCTCTGTGAGCTGGATTCCAAAGAGAGTGGCCAGAGAATTACTGATGCAGTACCTTTAAAAGAAATAAAAATCTCACTATCAGAATCTAATTTAATTCAACTAAAAGTATTTGTATTTTAAAATCTCTAACAAAAAGAAAGCATCTGAGGTACTGTTATAAACTGGGAAAAAATAAATTTGGAGATTCAGAGAAGACATATAAATAAATAGCAATACATATAATAAAACAGGTTATTACTGCTAAGCAATCTTTTGATTGCCAGATAAAATTTTAGGTTCATTTTAAGGGCATGGCAATGAAGATAAAGATTACCAGGATTCCCAAATGTTTAAGGCAAGGAGAGGGCAGCGGCAGAAATAACACTACAACCATAAACACTAATCTATCCTGTGAACTAATATCACCCACTGGGCTACCAGAGCACCCAGGTTATCTGGGGCTCCCGGTACTTTCACTACAAAACGAGAACAAAAGACCTATGTGTTAGAGTACCCCAATAAGGAAGTGGTTCTGAAGGTTCACCCATATTGCTAGGAGAGGTGACATGGATAGAAAATAAAAGTAATATGATGTACAAAACCACCTTTATTTTTATTTTTTATGAGTACATAGTAGGTGCATATATTTATGGGGTACATAAGATGTTTTGATACAAGCATGCAATGTGTAGTAATCGCATCATGGAAGGTGGTATATCCATCCATTCAAGTATTCATCCTTTGTATTATAAACAATCCAATGATTCTCTTTTAGTTATTTTCAAATGTACAATTAAATTATTATTGACTATAGTCACTCTGTTGTGCTATCAAATACTAGGCCTTATTCATTCAAACCATTTTTTGTACTAATTAACAATCTTCACTTCCCCCTCACCCCTCTAGTACCCTTCCTAGCCTCTAGTAATCATTCCTTCTACTCTCTATCTCCATGGGTTCAATTGTTTTGATTTTTAGATTCCACAAATAAGTGAGCACATGAGATGTTTATTTTCCTGTGCCTGGCTTATTTCACTTAACATAATGACCTCTAGTTCCATCTATGTTGTTGCAAATGACTGAATCTCATTTTTTTAATGGCTGAATAGTACTCTATTGTGTATAAGTACCACATTTTCTTTATCCATTCATCTGCTGATGGATACTTAGGTTGCTTCCAAATCTTGGCTATTGTAAACAATGCTGCAACAAACATGGGAGTGTAGATATTTCTTCAATGTATTTCGTTTCTTTGGGGATATACCCAGCAGTAGAAGTGCTGGATCATAACGGTAGCTCTATTTTTAGTTTTTTGGAGAACGTCCAAACTGTTCCCCATAGTGGTTATATTAACTTACATCCCACCAACAGTGTATGAGGGTTCCCTTTTCTCCACAACCTTACCAGCATTTATTATTGCCTGTCTTTTGGATATAAGCCATTTTAAACCAGGGTGAGATAATATCTCACTGTAGTTTTGATTTGACCCCCTTTGTTTTGAAAGAGCATTGTGGAAACAGAGTTACCCCGATTGCCAAAGCTATAGCAAGCAAAACGGCACAGAATAATTTAATCAGAATACAGTATTATGAAGAAACTCCTTTCCCCAACTTACGCAATCTTCTTGCAAACAGCTAAAGCACAGAAGAGAATATCATTTTCTTCATGCCACTTGCACCTGTACAAAAAAATGGACTTTAATATCCTAACTGAAGTAGCACTGCTTAAAGGTTTTTATATGCCAGATTTCTATCTGAAATCTTTTAAAAAATGAGGTTACTTGAAGACTAAAACTTCAAATTTAACACAAAGATTTTTAAAAAACAGATTTTAATGCTACATTCTCTGATACAAATTCATGATACTACGCAACCTACACATAACCATACAGTCAAATTTTACCTTGAAATAAAATGAGTGCTTCTGGCACATTAGTGACAAAATGCACTCATTCAACAAACATTTATTCAATGTACACTATTTTCTAGGCCTTGTGGTAGGCACTAGAAATACAGTATTGAAAAAATAGAAATTATTGTCCACACAAAACTTACTTTCTAGAGGGAAAGACAGATCAAGAAAGATATGCAAGCATAATACACAGTAAATTGGAAAATTGGGAAAGTTCTAAGGATAGAACTTTATTTAAAAATAAAAAGATAATATAAAATATTGGAGAGGAACAACATTTTAGATAAAGTGTCAATGAAAGGTAACACTGAGAAGGTGGTGTTTCAGTGGAGATCTCAGGAGGTGATGTTGGTGAGGAAATGACGGAAATAATTTGTGTAAGTCAATACAAGGTTACAAACACTAAAATAGCACACTTTCATGACAAGAGCTGTTATAAACTTGTGTATATCTTTCCAATGAGTACACAGTCTATTAAGACTCAGAGCAGCTCTACTTGTACAATACAAAGCTTGCCTAAACTTAGCAAAAGTCTTCATTTAAAATTATAAACACACTAAACAGTGTAAAAAGTCCATTATTTGCACTGGATGAAAGTTATTTCATGCATGGATGAATGGAAGACTACTTAAAAATAAAATTAAGAATTTCCCACTGTTTTTCCAAAGAAAAGTGAGCCTATAAATGTGGTAGTTCACAAAACTGTAACATGAAGCCTTAGATTAAAACAAAAGTTAAGTTATATAAACATACTATGTACCGGCAAAAAATAAAAATTAAGAAAACAAAAAAACTCTAAACTGGCTGGGCATAGTACTCTCTAAAGTACTCTGCCTTTCTATACACTCTTCTGTATCCTGTTAGAGCTATTAGTTTGCTTTTGTTCCCTGGATTATCTCATTCTTCTGGATTGGGAGTTGTGGTCTCCCTGTTTTGTTCTTTTTCATGTTGCAGGCTTTTCTTGAATGCCTGATTATCCTTGATTGTGTTCATATTTAGCTATGAGGCGCGATCTCTGCTCACTGCAACCTCCACCTCCAGGGTTCAAATGATAACTCGTGCCTCAGCCTCTTGAGTAGCTGGGATTACAAGCATGTGCCATCATGCCTGGCTAATTTTTGTATTTTTAGTAGAGACAGGGTTTCACCATGTTATCCAGGCTGGTCTCGAACTGCTGACCTCAGGTGATCCACCCACGTTGGCCTCCCATAGTGCTGGGATTACAGGCATGAGCCACTGCGCCTGGCAGGCTTTCATTTCTCTGAGTCACTATTCAGGCCATTTTTTATTGGAAAGGTCCCCCCTTTCAACCCAAATCTCTGCTCTAAGAAATTCTATCTTCACAGAAGAAACAAATAAAACATTTATTCCATATATTAGTTAACAGTTTTTAAACCCTAACAACACTTAAGTGATGTCTTCTGCATATGATTTTTCATAACTTTTTGAAACTCTTTTGGAATTCTACCAGAATTTACCATACATGACTAGTATCTTCACACTAGAGTCTTATTGGACAGGAGATTCTGAGGCCAAGGATGATCGTGTCACTCCCATATTTCCCACAGAAACTTTCCCATACAAGTGCCTTATGTACAAGAGCAGCTCCAATCCTGCTAAGTATCAAAAGCTCATTAAAATGGACTAAGAAAAACTATTCTAAAGTGATAAAGTATAAAACTGCATCTCTTAATACTACTATTGCTGGGGTTTCTGGTTCAAGATGGTGAATTAAACACCTGCACAAATTTATCTCTTCTTGGTCCCAAGACGCTGTGAAGATGACAGGCAAAGAATAAAAATGGTACATGTCCACAATAAAGGAAAAAAGCAGGAAGAGGCCTCCATAGAAGACATTTTAACAAATCTGTGGCAAATAAAATAAATGGTAACTGATGAAGCTGGAAAGAAGTCACAGTCTTCAGTGCTCAAGAGGCTAGCAGCAGAAGAAAGTCTGCCTATCAGAACTCTGGAGAGGCTCTGGACTTGTGAACATGTCTCTACTCAGAGCAGAAAGAGAAGACATGAGGCTGAACTTCTGTAAAAAGAATAGTCTACTTCCCAGAACCCCCATGAAAAAAAGTAAACTGTTCTTGGAAAACCAGGCAGCAAGAATGGCTGCTGGTACCTTAGAGCAAAGCCTTTCATATTCTAGCATTTAGGATTTTGCCTCCAACTAAACATCTCTCTTGTCTGCTTTCCTTACAGGAAAGCCTCATCAGTTAACAATCCCCACTGAACAATATGGAACACTCGGCTTTGTAGCCTCATTTCTAAATATGAATGCAATCAAGGATAATCAGGCATTCAAGAAAAGCCTGCAACATGAAAAAGAACAAAACAGGGAGACCACAACTCACAATCCAGAAGAATGAGATAATCCAGGGAACAAAAGCAAACTAATAGCCCTAACAGGATATAGAAGATTGTGTAGAAAGACAGAGCACTTTGCAGAGTGGTAAAGAAGACCAAATACTTCACAGAGATTTATGAAATTATTACATCCAGAATCCCAGTTTTTCTCATGTCTTCAACCCTCATCGACACTGATGATGGCTATGATGATTTGTATAACATAGGAACACTTACAGGCTGAGAGGTACTGAGACTTTGAAAAGCCTCTGCCCACATTTTAACTTGTCAGAGCTCGTCAGGGCTTGTGCCGAGTCCTCTTCTCTTTCTGCTGTTTGCCGAGGTGATCTCATCTACGTGCTGTGAGGTCCATCAAGGCAGAAGACTTGTCTTCCTGTACTGTATCTTCAGTGCCCAGCACATAGTGAAAAGAATGCTGACACTACCCAAACCGCTTCACTGAGCTCTAGCAGGACGACAGTTGCTTGCCTGCTATCTCCAGATGTGATGCCTCACCAGGACCTCAGAACACTGTAACCTTGCTCCTCTCCTCCTCATCTATCCAATAGTATACACCAGAAACCTGGGTGTCATCTTTCATTATTTCTTTCTGTTTTCTCTCCCTGGGTCCAGTCCATCAGCAAGGTCTACTGACTTTAACCTATCTTAAATCAACCTATTCCTTTCCATCTCTCCCTGTGTTCTTGCACGTTTAAAACTTTTTCTAATGGTTTATGACCCCCAACTGCTTCAACCTCATCTTGTGCATTCTCCTCTTCACTCATTACTCCCCAGTCACACTGATTGTCTAACAATTTCTAGCAAACACCAAGCCTTTACCTCAAGGCTTTTCTATCTCTGTCCAGGGTGCTCTTCTTACCATTTTTTGCATGGCTGCATCTTTCTCCCACTTCGGTTCTAATGTCACACCCTCAAATTCTTCTTGACCATTCTATAAAGTGGTCTACTTTTCTATACATTCTTCTCTGTCAGAGTGTCTTGTTGATTTTCTTCTTAGCACTTATCAAAAGCTAAAATTACCATTTTCTTTATTATGTACTGTATGTTTCTTTCCTACTTAACTGTTAGCTTCTTGAAGGCAGGGACCACATTAATTCTGCTCACCTTTGGATCATCTTCTGGCACAGAGGAGGTGCTCAATAAATATTTGTTGATTAAATAAAGGCTGCCATGTTTAGTCAGCTGATCATAGACAGTGAATTAGTCCAAGAAGAATTATGACAAGAAGCATCAGGAGACTAGGGGACCTATAAAAATTATAAATATTCTAGCCTCCAAAATGCATGTTATCAACAGACTGTTTACTTAAGATTCTAATATTCAATTTGCCTAACTGTACTCAATTTCACCAATACAAAATCTACCCATTTCTCTTAGAACTAGACAAAACATTTATCACAAATTTATTACAAACTTTAAGGTCTTTTAGTAAGCATTTAAGAGCAGTGGTTGGAATAAGTTTCATTTGCTTATATTAACAGATTCTAACAGTTTCTATTGTATACTACAATCCAAACTCCCTTGTAAAATATCATACATTTGAATCTTATTATGTTATGAAGCTCAATAAAAAGTAGATCCATCCTGTCCAAAGAAGTTTAGTAAAGTGCCTACAGTACTATGTAAGAGTTTTACCTTTAACAAAATCCCACGGCATGGACCTCAAATAATGTCTCAAACTAGAGCTACTCTAGTCTTGTTGTAGAGTATAGCTACTCTGCTGAACTCAACACTGTATTTCTTCAATTATAAAACACATTTTCTTGACATTTTAACCAAAATTAGAATGCATCTTACAATTGAAGGTATTGCACAATGTCTATTTGACAGTCTAGAAATAGTTGCCATTGCCTAACCATGTACAAATTTAATTATTAATCTTGATGGTAACCAGACATTTGCAATCCTTCAACATTTTAGTCAATAAACCATTTAAAGATTATTTGAGGACATATTAGTTTGTCCCTGAAAACTTTCTTTTGACCTCTTCTGAAAAGATCAAGAAAGAACTGGCATCAAAACTTGCAGAAAGGATATGCTTAGAAGAAAACCCCAGAGACAACAGTGGAGTTCTTTTTTAAGAAATGCTGTATCGCCAACACTCTTAATGGCACAGAGGACAATAATGTATAAAAACATGGACAATGAATGACTCAATGTGAAATTTTAGAAATACTTCAGCCTGTAACTGAGGTAATGGTACATAAATCCAAATATCTTAACACATCATCCATAAGCTTTACAGATTAACAAGAACAACAACAACAAACGTGGGGAAAACAAAATCTACACCTACAGCATAACTAGAAGAACACTACAAAACTCAGTTGTCTATAAATAGAAAAATGAAAACTGTAATTTCCAATGGAGCAATTTCTCAATCTCCTACCCCAACCTTTATATGCAGTAGAGTCCAGAAAAAACTTGGGGAAGGAAGAAAGAAAATGGAGAGCCTAAGATTAAATTAAAATCATTCTTACAATGAGGAAGCCCATTCTTTACGTAAATATTCAAACAGTCCTAGTAGATCAGAGCACTGACTATAGGCAAGTGCCATGCTAAGTGAAAGAGGAAGGGGGAAGGGCCCTTTAGAAATTAGGTAGAAAAAAAAAAGCAAAGGGGGAAATTTAAGATCATGCAGGAAATAAAATTCTAAGAACCTACAACCACACTCCCACCACCCTGAAAACATTCATTAAAGAACCTGTACTTTGTCACATTGACAGAGAGGAAGGTTCTTGGAAAAAAGACTCTCAATCAAACCTCCCGCTAAATTATCAGCCTTGTCCAAGAAACGCAAAGGAGCAATGTATCTTCATCTACAGAAAGCTATTATGGGAAGAAAACAAGCTATTATAAGAACAAAATAGCCAGGCATAATGGCTTGCACCTGTAATCCCAGCAATTTGGAAGGCTGAGGCAGGAAGATCACTTGAGGCCAGAAGTTCGACACCAGCCTGGGCAACACAGCAAGACTCTGTCTCCACGACAAATGAAAAATAACTAGGTACGCATGGTGGCACATGCCTGTAGTACCAGCTACTCAGGAGACTGAGGCATGAGGACTGCTTGACTCTAGGAGTTCCAGGCTGCAGTGAGCTATGATTGTGTCACTGTATTCCGGCTGGGGTGACAGAGCAAGACTCTCTTTAAAAAAAAGAAAAGAAAAGAAAAGAAAACAGAAAAGGAGAATCAAAACACTTTAGCTGATAATTTCTCATACCCCCACCCCCCAAAAAAACATGAAGGAGGGGAAAAACCTAACATTACTGTATTAGTCTGTTCTCACACTGCTGTGAAGTAATATTTGAGACTGGGTAATTTATAAAGGAAAGAGGTTTAACTGACTCACAGATTTGCATTGGTGGGGAGGCCTCAGGAAATTTATAATCATGGGAAAGGCAAAGGAGAAGCAGCCACCTTCTTCACAAGGCAGCAGAATGGAATGAGTGCAAACAGGGGAAATGCCAGATGCTTATTAAATCCATCAGATCTCATGAGAACAGCATGGGGGAACCGCCATGATCCAGTTACCTCCACCTGGTCCAACCCTTGACACATGGGGGTCATAGGGATTACAATTCGAGGTGAGATTTGGGTGGGGACATAGAGCCAAAGTATATCAATTACCATTCCATGTTAAATTAAATATCCTCAAAAAGAATGTGAGAATATAAAAACACACCCTGAATGAGAAACTTCAAAACTAGAAACAGAAATAAACAAAAAATGAAGAAATTACTTAACTCAAGAAAGAGAGGGGAAAAAAAAGACAAAAACATTACAGAAAAGAACTAAATTACCAACTGCCCAAGGCTGAACAGATTCATTTGTAAAGTTAATAAGAGAAACTGAAGAAAGCAGAAACTATCATGAGAATAAACAAAGTAAAAAGGGTCAGAAAAAGTGATTAAAATGAAAGGCAAAGAAGATCAAACATACATATATATTGGACTCCTTTTAAGAAGAAACATTAGACAGTGGAACAAAACTAACATTAAACTATGATCTAAAAAAAAAAAAAATCTCCAGAAATAGAACCTGATTCTGCATATTGAAAGGGCTCACCAAATGTCTTAGAAAATGGACCTGCATATAAACTCAGAGAAATAGCCTAGTAACAGTATTAGACTTTAAAAATGAAAAAAGACTAAAGTCTCCAGGCAAAATGATCAACTAACTCCAGTCAAAAAGATCAGATAACTAAGGCCAAGAAAATTAACTGACCAAATTTCACAAAAGGAACACACAAAGCCATGAAATGAAGTTGCATTTTCTAGAAACTCAAGGAAATATGGTGTACACCATTAGAAAAAGTTTTAAACATGCAAGAACACAGGGAATACTCTTCCATGAGCCCCTGATCAATTTACTGTATCAAGGTTCAGCAAACTTTAACTTTTAAGGCATCAAATATCACAGCAGCCAGCTTACAACTACAGGAA
This sequence comes from Homo sapiens, assembly GCF_000001405.40. Taxonomy (NCBI): domain Eukaryota; kingdom Metazoa; phylum Chordata; class Mammalia; order Primates; family Hominidae; genus Homo; species Homo sapiens. Next base: position 167,009,170 of record NC_000001.11, on the reverse strand, counting down.
ATGCAATGAAACACAGACAGAAACACAGTAATAATAGGAGATTACTGTCAACACAAGACATATCAACTGGATAAAATATACCTAAAGAAAATGTAAACAATACAATTAATGTAGATGATGTATGTGTGTGGATCTCAAATGCTATATCCTGAAAAGAAAGTATATTCTCATATGCCAAGAGAACAGTCACAAAAATTGATTATATATTAAGTCAGCAAAAAAACCCCAAAGACCAGTAACTTCCATAAAGTAAAAATATTATAAACACTTTCTGATCACAATGTAAAAACACTGGAATTTACTAAAAGAAACAAAATGCAGAAAGTCCTTTTCACCTGGACATTTAAAAGCCTTGTTTTAAAGAGATGGTGGCTGAGAGTTAAAATGACATAATTTATTTAAAATGGCAATGAAAATATTGCATGCAATAATCTACGTAAATTCATTGAAAACAATGATTAAGAGAAAATTCACTCTACTAAACACATCAAAAAAATCAGGCAAAAGATAAATTACATTTCCAGCCCCCAAAACTAGAAAAAGAACAACAACATACAAAGAGAGTAACAGCAAAAATTAATTAGGAAGAGAATAGAAAAACAGGTCTAATAAATTAAAATCCTATTGTTTTGAAAAATTAAAAAAGACAACACATTTGCTTACAAAAAAATGAGAGAGCACAAATATACAATGACAAGATAACCATTGAAACAGATGAAATTTAAAAAAATTTTAAGAGACCACACTTCCTTGCAGATCTTTAAACAAATAACTTTGAAAAGCTATATAACATGTATCATTTTCTAGAAACATACAGATTACCAAAATTTACCCCATTAAAATTAGAAAGCCTAATAAAACCAATTTCCATAGAAGAACAGAAAAAGTTATCAAGGAACTGCTCCTACAAAAATGCGCCAGTCCCAGAGATGCACAATCTGTGTGAGAAAAATTTTAAAACATATTTGAAAGACACAAAAGTAGATTTGAACAATGGAAAGATGTCCCTAGTCTTTGGAAACAACTCAACAATATAAATATTTCAGTTATCCCCAAGTTAATTTATAAATTTAATGCAATCCTAACAAGCTTTTTTTAATGAAGCTAGAATAAAGTGACACTTCTGAATATTATTTTTGTTTACAAAACGGAAATGCTTTAGACATTCAAAAGCTAAATTAGCAAAAATGGAATACAAACAAGCAAACGAACTTAACTATTAATATATTTCAAAAGAGTAATTTGTACTGAAAGGGGAAAAAAGAACCTAAATAACTTCTGAACAAAGTATTTTGACTATATACTTTCAGACTAAAAGCGATTATAAACAAACTCTAAACAGTTGTATGTCTTTTTTTAAAAATAGTGGTACCATATAATTCTAAAAAATACTGACAGCCAGGGTTCTCATTCTCAGAGAAAGGAAATTTTTTAAAAAGTAAAAAAACTAGAGAACTCTATGGTATTGGATTGAAATTACAGGTTAAGTGTGAACTCATGATAAGATAGAGATGGATAAAAAGATTGAGAGACCTAGCTACAAACAGATGTATATGGAGTGTGTGTGTACATACACACACACACACACACACACACACACACACACACACACAAACATATATTTCCTAGCTCTCTACTAAGGGGATCTAGAATCAATGATACTCTAGTAAGAAATGAGCACACCTACCACCCAGATTCTATCTCCTAACTGTTATGCTCCACTAAAAGAAACCAGAGATTCTTGGGAGAAATGGCTAATCCAGGGCTGGAACAAAGAAAGTACAAGATAGGCCTGGAACATATTGTGCCAAATAGAAAGCAAAGAAGCACTGTTAGATAGAAAGCAATGAAGCAATGTCAAAAGGACACACAAACCCCTGCTTGAAGGTACTCCCACTGGCCATATATGGAACAATTTGATCATAAAAATAAATTACAATAATAGATTAAAATGTACTGAATAGGAATCCATGAGTCCATGCTCATATAAATGAAAAAAATAAATAAATGGGTAAAAAGGAGAAACTTTTTTTTTTTTTACAGTGGAATGCCAACCAATAAATGCAGAAGGAACAATCAAATTAGAAAAATCACCTTTCACAATGATAGTAATAATTGACTCAGGCAAAAATCAGCACTTGATACTAAAATTTGTATATGAAAGTTTGAGGAAGAGAATACCTACCCAATTTGAAAGTATTTCCCCACAAAATATTTATTAATTATATGGTAAAAAGCTGGGAGCAGTGGCTCACGCATGTAATCCCAGCACTTTGGGAGGCTGAGGCGGGTGGATCACGTGAGGTGAGGAGTTCAAGATCAGCCTGGCCAACATGGTGAAACCACATCTCTACTAAAAATACAAAAATTAGCTGGGCATGGTGGCGGGTGCCTGTAATCCCAACTACTCGAGAGGCTGAGGCACGAGAATCACTTGAACCTGGGAGGTGGAGGGTGCAGTGAGCTGAGATTACACTACTGCACTCCAGCCTAGGTGATACAGCAAGACTCTGTCTCAAAAAAAAAAAAAATGTATATATATATATATATATATATATATATATATATAGTAAAAAACCAGTAACTTTCCAATAGAGAAATATTGATAGGTACTATATTAAACAAGTGATCAAAGTTATCATCATCAGTAATTGGACAAACTGACATCATATACCTCCAGATATGACACACTGAGCAGTCAGTCACATAATCCCTTCTGTGGTATTCCTGCCAAAAATGCATAATCTCAATTTAACCATGAGGAAATACAGATCAACTAAAAGTGAGAAACATTCTATAAAGTAACTGGCCTGTACTCAAAAATGTCCAGATCATGAAAGTGAAAATAAGACTGAAGAACTGTTCCAGATTAAAGAGATATAATAACTAAGTGCAACATGTGGTCTTGGACTGGACTCTAGAATTTTTTTGGCTGTAAAAGACACAGTGGAATAACTAATACAATATGAATATGGTCTTCGGATTAGATAATAGTATTGTGTCCTATATTCAACATTCCTGATTTTGATCATTACACTATGGTAATATAAATGTTCTATACACACACACACACGCACGCACTCACACAGTAAAAGCCTACAGCACCCAGTATTCCCAGGCAGTCTCTCATCTAAGTACTAACCAGGCCAATCCCTGCTTAGCTTGTGAGATCAGACAAGATCAGGTGTGTTCAGGGTGCTATGGCCGTAGACTAAACATTCTTATTCTTAGGAAACACATATTGAAGTATTTAGGTATAAAGAGGCATAATGATAGCAACTTACCCTCAAGTGGTTTTGAAAAAGTGTATATATATTTAGAAACAAAATTATAAAGAAAATGTATTAAAATGTTAGCAATTAAGGAAACAGAGAATAGTAAACTTTGTGTTATTTTTGCAACTTTTCTGTAAGTCTAAAATTATCTCAAAATAAAAAATACTTTTGCCAATTTATTTCACTTATATATTCTTTTACATGTAAGTACAAGAGTTCTATGTAATAAAAATCTGTCTAAATAAATTTAGGGATATTCTCTCATCAGTATAGAAATTCTAAGTGATAAGAAAGAACAGTTTATTTGGCAGGTTTGTTTTTAGTGATACACAAGTAACAATATATCTTACTATCAATGAAATTTTATATTCAGGGAAATACAATGATTCCAAGCTTTCATGGGAAAATATTGCATAAAAAGGCAAAAATAGTCCTACCATATTTTCTCAGTCTAGAAAATAAGTCAAAATGACTCTAAAACAAAAATGCTAGCAATACCTTGTGTTGCTAGAATAATCCCACATGGCCACATCTAGGAGGCTTCGAATCCAAGTCTTAGAGGGCTCCTTGAGAAATTTTTGTTGGTAGATCCCCACTACAAGGTCCTCTACAGTGAGAAGTTGTAGATCTTGCCTGATTTCTTCCATTAGTAAATGGAAAAACACATACAATTAGTAAATTTAGATACCTGGAAGATATCAAAGTGGAAACAAATACAGATATTAACTATAAAGCACTTCTGCAGCAACCCAGAGTTTTACTTACCTGATGCCTTTGCCATATGCTTCAAACACCAGTTGACTCTGGTTCTATCATCAGACTGGAGAAAGCAAAAAACAAAAAACAAAACAAAAAAACTACTTGTATCTTCTCCTACTTTGAATGACTTCTAATGCTGTCCTTTCAAAATGTGGGGGTTGGGAGGTAGGGGGCACAGGAGAAAGACTGAGGAGTTTGTGCCAATGAAATGAAAACTATAAAAAATTGACATATATTAGAAAAGACTACAGCTATTATTAGTCAGTTACATTTATACAGAAATGTTAAGATACTTTATGAGAAGCAAGAGAGACCTAGGGTATGCAAATGAAGAAACCAATGTTCAGAAAAAGATCAGATAATCACTTCACGGTTATACTAAGTAGCAAGGTTAAAACCCAACTTTTCAACTCCAAGCCTGGAAGAATATAATCTCTCTAAATATTACAAACAAAGAAGGAAGGGATTGCTACAAAGACAGTTTTGAAGAAAAGGTATTCTTGTTTCGAAAGATAGGTGTACGGAATAGAATGGAGCATCCATTCTTAAGGGTAAAAAGATACTGTAGATATTTCAGAAAGAAGAACTCAGAGAACATGAACTCTACCAAAATAGATATATGTTTAGCTTTTGCAGTCTTCAAAATCCCTCCAAAATTGGAGACATTTTTAAAATAGGCACTATACCTAATTACATTCAAAACAATTCAAAATGAGTGTGTTTTAAGACACACAATATACAGACAAAAATACACAGGCAAAAATTCTTTGTTTTATGGATCTTTTGGTACTATAAATTGATACCTTAAAAGAACTTCTTAACCTGAAATTACCTTGCAGTAGATAGGTGGCCAGTTCCCTGGGTTGGGATGAATAAATCTATAAAGGTTTTGTAACACAGTTGCTTGGTTATGCCCACGTTCAAAATTTGAAATAGGAATCTTGTGACTAGAATCACCTGAGGGAAATAAAAAGGAGAAGTTCAAACTTTGAGCAAGATAAATATTATGGGGTAGGTATAGAAGTGGGGGTACAAGAAGAGAGTAGTGGGTAACACACAGTTAAGTACTTGTACAAAGCCCCGTTTTTGTTAAGGATTTTACATATTTTAACCCACAGTCTTACAGCCATTCTATGATTTGATTTGATGTGTGTGTGTCTGTGTGTGTATGAGAGACAACTGAGAATCACAGAAATCAGTAAGTTAATAATTGGTAAACAGTTGAGTCATGACTTAAACCCAGGTTTGTTCAGTAACCAGGCCTGCGGTGTTTTACTATTCCCATGCTGCCTTTCATAAATTTTGTATTAGTAAGGCTTGAGAACTTAACAGTAATGACTGCTTTATAAAAAGTTATATGATGACACCCACTTCACATGAAAAAAAGACCAAGTAATTTAGACCAACTTTCCCACAGAAAATAAAAAAGCGTGAGGATATTAAGATCACATAGAGCATTAAGGAATTAATGGGTTAAGATTAGAGAATATATCAATTCAGAGCGGTGAGATTAGCTTTAGGGAAGTTTTTCCTCTGGATCATTTGCCAATTCCAGAAGAGGAAGCTGAATGACTGAATAGAGTGCTTTTAACAGCTTCTAGGCCTGGCCTTCTAGGCCCCCAGGTATCTTAAGCAAACACAAACCCTTTCCAGAGGAAGTTAACATTATCATAAGTCTCAAATGACTCTGAAATCATTACTTCCACCAAATACTCCATGAACAATCAGGTACACAATAAAACAAGAACGAGAACAAATATATAGTTGACAGAAAGATACCCACAGGTACTCCAGATTTTGAATAGACAGATTTTACATAATTATGTCTGAGGCGATCAAATTACCAATTTTAGCATAAAATTGTTAATTATGTATAAAGATTCAGGAAGCCAGGTGTGGTGGTGTGTACCTGCAGCCCCAGCTACTTGGGAGGCTGAGACTGGATCAATTGAGCCAGGAGTTTGAGGCTGCAGTGAATTATGATCATACCACTGCACTCCAGCCTGAGTGAATGAGCAAGAACTCCATTCCCCTTTACTCTCCCCCAAAGAGATGCAGGAGTTGTTCAACTTCTAATGATAGATTAGGGAAAAGCTGAACAAATAAAACACCTTCTTCAAAGACCCGCAGAGACAAAAATGCGGTGAATGAATCATGGGCCCAAAATCTTGGAAAGGAAGAAATCTTAGAGAGCTGAATCTGGCAGTTGGGTTTGTTTCTTCCCAGGGCGTTACCAATTCTGGAAGAGGAGATTTAGAGGCTGAGAAACAGAACAGAGTTTCCAATAAACTCAGAGCTGGTAAGAACTAAATATTTTATTGCAATATTACTTACATAAAAATTTATAATTAAAAAAATATTCCATTGTCTTCTGGCTTCCATTGTTTATGCTGTGAAGTCAACTGTAAATTTTACTAATAATCCTTTGGTGATTACCTGTCCATCCTTCCCCCTTTTCTAGTAAAGGCCAACTACAAATTAACTTTTGTGATGTCTGAAACCCAATTTAAAACCACCTCAATCCATGAAAATGCATTAGGGTAATCTGAGATGCTAGTGACTCCAGCTTTCTGACAGACACAATCATAAATCTTCTTTGGAGAGAAATAACAAGATTTCATATACACTGTTTAGCACTCGAAAATAACTAGACATATGAAGAGATTCTGTTAGCTTGACTGAACATCACCATAACCAACAGACTATAAAATCAACTCCAAAAAGAAGATCCCGATAAGAGGATTATCCAACATAACACTTTTAAAATAACTAGGCTTATTATGTTTAGGGAAATTAAAGGCAATATTAGTAATTTCTGTAGAGCCATAAAAAAGAATCAAATTCAAAATCTTAAAATCTATTCCCAAACCCATTTTATAATGGCAAAATAAACTTGATAATAAAATTAGATAATCTGTCTTTAACATAAATGGAAAAGTCCTAAAACAAAATAGTAACAAACCAAACTCGGTATATTATATGTAAAATATATAGTGACCACACTGGGTTTGTTCCTGGAAGACAAGGTTCGTTTAACACTAGTAAAGTACCACATGAGGCCGGCACAGTGGCTCACGCCTGTAATCCCAGCACTTTGGGAGGCTAAGGTGGGCAGACCACTTGAGATCAGGAGTTTGAGATGGGCCTGGCCAACATGGCAAAACCTTGTCTCTAATAAAAATACAAAAATTAGCTGGGCGTGTGACGTGCACCTATAATTCCAGCTACTCAGGAGGCTGAGGCACGAGAATCACTTGAGCCTGGTAGGCAGAGGCTATAGCAAGCTGAGATCATGCCACTGCACTCTAGCCTGGGTGATGGAGTGAGACTCTGTCTCAAAAAGTAAATTAATGGCCACATGAACAAAAGATAAAAATCATATGACATGCAGAAAAAGCATTCATTAAAATGTGCAACTGCTATCTCCCTAGCCAGATAGGGAATATAAACATATCTTGGAGATGCTGTGGGTTCAGTTCCAGACTGCCACACTAAAGCAAGTATTGAAATAAAGTGTCACACAAATATTTTGGTTTCCCAGTGCATATAAATGTTATGTACTCTAAAGTTATGACTATATTAAGTGTGCAGTAGCATTGTTTTAAAAATGAACATACCTTAATATAAAAATATTTTATTGCTAAAAATACGAATGATCACCTGAGTCTTCAGTGACTTAACAATCTTTTTGCTGGCGAAAGATCTTTTTTAAAAAATGTTTTTATTTCCGTAGGTTTTTGGGGAACAGGTGGTATTTGGTCACACGAGTAAGTTCTTTAGTGGTGACTTGTGAGATTTTGGTGGACCCATCACCCGAGTAGTATACACCGAACCCAATTTGTAGTCTTTTATCCCTCACCTCCTTCCCACCCTTCTGCCCCCAAGTCCCCAAAGTCCCTTGTGTCATTCTTATGCCTTTGCATCCTTATAGCTCAGCTCCCATTTATGAGTGAGAACATGTGTTTGGTTTTCCATTCCTGAGTTGCTTCACTTGGAATAACAGTCTCCAATCCCATCCAGGTTGCTGCGAATGCCATCAACTCATTCCTTTTTATGGCTGAGTAGTATTCCATCATATATATACACACATATATATACTACAGTTTCCTTATTCACTTGTTGATTGATGGGCATTTGGGCTGGTTCCACATTTTTGCAATTGCAAATTGTGCTGTTATAAACATGTGTGTGCAAGTTATCCTTTTCGTATGACTTCTTTTCCTCTGGGTAGATATCCAGTAGTGGGATTGTTAGAATTTTCAAATGGTAGTTCTACTTTTAGTTCATTAAGGAATTTCCACATATTTTTTCCCATAGTGGTTGTACTAGTTTACATTCCCATGCTGGTGGAAGATCCTGTCTTGATGTTACTGGCTGCTGACTATCAGGGTCATGGTTGCTGAAGCCTGCAGTTGCTGTGGCAATTTCTTAAAATCAAACAATGAAGTTTGACACACTGACTGACTCTTCCTCTCATGAAGAATTTCTCTGTAGCATGTGATACTGTTTGATAACATTTTACTCACAGAACTTCTTTTGAAATTTAAGTCAATCCTTTCAAACCCTGCTGCTACTTTACCAAGTTTATGAAATATTCTTAGTCCTTTGTCATTTCACCAGTGTTCACAGCATCTTCACTAGGAGTAGGTTCCATCTCAAGCAACTAGTTTATTTTCTCACCCATAAGAAGCAACTCCTTACCCATTCAAGTTTTATTGTGAGACTGCAGCACATTTTCAGGTTCCATTTCTAATTCTAGTTCTCTTCTATTACTTCTTCCACTGAAGTCTTGAACTGCTCAAAGTCATTCATGAGAGCTGGAATCTAATCCTTGCAAACAACCTTTAATGTTGATATTCTGACCTCCTCCAATGAATTATGTATGTTCTTAATGGCATCTAGAATGGTGAATCCTTTTCAGGTTTTCCATTTACTTTGCTTAGATTCATAAGAAGAATCACCATTTATGACAGCTATAGCCTTATAAAACATATTTCTTAAATAATAAGACTTGAAAGTTGAAATTACTCCTTGATCCATGGGCTACAGAATGAATATTGTGGTAGCAGGCATGAAAACATTAATCTCTTTACATCTCCACCAGAGCTCTTGGATGACTAGGTCTAATGTCAATGAGCAGTAAAATTTTGAAAGGAATCTTTTTTTTTTTCTGAGCAGCAGATTTCAACAGTGTTCTTAAAATATTCAGTAAACCATGCAATAAGCAGATGTGCTGTCTTCTAGGCTTTGTTGTTCCATTTTTACTAGCACAAGCAGAGTCAATTTAGCATAATTTCCTAAGAGCTCTAAGATTTTCAGAATGGGTAAATGAGCCCTGGCTTCAACTTAAAGTCACCAGCTGCATTAGTCACTAACAAGAGAATCAGTCTGTCCTGTGAAGCCAGGCACTGACTTATCCTCTCTAGCTATGAAACTCCCAGATGGTGTCTTCTTCCAACAGAAGGTGGTTTCATTTTCGTTGAAAATCTGCCATTTGCTGTAGCCACCTTGATCAGTTATCTTTGCTAGATCCTCTGAATGACTTGCTGCAGCGTCTACGTCAGCACTTGCTCCTTCACTTTGCACTTTTATGTTATAGAGATGGCTTCTTTCCTTAAACCTCATGAACCAAACTCTGCAAACTTCAGACTTTTATTCTGCAGCTTCCTCACCTCTCTCGGCTTTCACAGAATTGAAGAGAGTTAAGGCTTTGTTTTGTATTAGGCTTCAGCTTAAGGGAATGTGGTAACTGGAGAATGTTGATCTATTCTGACCACTAAAACTTTCTTCATATCAGCAATGGGGCTGTTTCACTTTCTTATCATTGGTTGTTCACTGGAGTAGTACATAAATTTCCTTCAAGAACATTCCCTTTGCATTCACAACTTGGTCATTTGGCACAAGAAGCCTAGTTTTTGGCCTACTGCAGCTTTTGATATGCATTCCTCACTAAGCTGAATCATTTCTAGCTTTTGATTTAAAGTGAGAGACATGCAACCCTTCCTTTCACTTGAACACTGAGAGGCCATTGTAGGGTTATTAATTGACCTAATTTCAATATTGTTGTGTCTTAGGGAATAGTGAGGCCCAAGGAAAGGGAAAGAGATGAGGCAATGGCCAGTCAGGGGAGCAGTCAGAACACATACAACATTTATTAATTAAATTTGCCATCTTATATGGGCATGGTTCATGACACTCCAAAACAATTACAATAGTAACATCAAGGATCACTGATCACAGATCACCATAGCAAACATGATGATAATGACAAAGTTTGAAATATTGCGAGAATTACCAAAATGTGACACAGAGAAAAGTAAGCACATGCCACTGGAAAAATGATGCCAATAGACTTGCTCAATGCAGGGCTGCCAGAAACCTCAATGTGTAAAAAAATGCAATATATGCAAAGTGCAATAAAGTGAAATGCAATAAAACAAGGTGTGCATGTAGAGGGAAACATCTTTATCCTGATAAAGAGCACACACCAAAAACGGGGGTGGGGAGAGAAAGAAGAAACTACAGCAAATAGCATACTCACTGGCGAAACACTAGAAACTAGAGGTACTGGTCAGCATACTAAGACAAAGCAAATTTTAAAAATTTTAAATGAAGATATGTAGATTAGAAAGAACAAAGTGATTTAACAGATATGATTAAGTAATCTGCTAAAAACTCAAGAGTTTACCAATGGGTGGGACAAAACCAAAATATAAAAGTAAACAATTAGAAAATATAATTTCAAGGGATATCATTTGTAACAGCAACAAAAGGCATGATAAACTATAAATTTAACAAATGATATTCAGATTGTTAATGGAGAAAATTATAAAATTTTATTGAAAGATATTACGGATCTAAAAAATAAGAGGGAAGCCCCATGTTTACAAATATAAAGATTCAATATAATGAAGATACCAGTTTTCTCCAAAATGACCTAATGTAAAACATGAAGAACTGATTCTAAATAGTGTATGGAAGAACAAAGGGTCAAAGCAGCCATGATATTCCAAAAGAATGAGGTCGGGGGCTTATCTATATCATCAAACTACTGTGTTTAAGAATATGATATTGACAGCAAAAAAGTAGAACAGAACAGAATAAAGAGAACAAAAGATCCTCCTACACACAAACAGAAACATGATATGATACAGGTGGCACTACATATTGGGGTACAAATTGATTATTCAATAAATGATGCTGTGATAAATGATTATCCACATGGTTAAAAATTAAAGTGAATCTCTCCCTCATACTATACACAAGTCAATTCCAGGTAGAATAACAACTTGAATACAAAAAATAAAGCTCTATAATTTTTAGAAATAGAGATTATTTTCACAACCTTGGGGTAAAGAATTCTTGAATAAGACACAAAACGCCATAAATGATAAAAAATATCGACACATTTACCAAATTAAAAATAAAAACAAGCTGGCACAGTTGTGCATGCCTCAAGTTCCAGCTACTCAGGAGAGTGAGGCAGGAGGATCACTTAAGCCCAGGAATTCAAGGCTGCAGTGAGCTACGACTGCATCTGTGAACAGCCATCATGCTCCAGCCTGGGCAATAAAGCAAGACCCCATCTCTAAAAATCAAAAAATGTTTAAAAAGTCTGTTCATTAAAAGACACCATAAAGAGAGTAAAAAATACAAGACACAAACTGAAAACAGGTATCTGCACACAATTTTTAAAAATCCATCAGCAGATAAGATAAACTTCCTCAAATCAGTAAGAAAAACAAATGATTCAATAGAAAACGAGTGAAAGATATTGAGTTAAAAAACACAGGAAAGGAAATATATATATCACGCTTGTACAACCCACGGCATGCAGGCCTCATGCGGCCCAGGATGGCTTTGAATGCAACCGAATACAAATTCATAAACTTTCTTAAAACATTACAAGATTTTTTTGTGATTTTTGTTTGTTTAGCTCAACAGTTATTATTAGTGTTAGTGTATTTTATGTGTGGCCCAAGGCAATTCTTCTTCCAATGTGGCCCAGGGGGGCCAGGCGTGGTGGCTCACGCCTGTAAGCCCAGCACTTTGGGAGACCGAGGCGGGCAGATCATGAGGTCAGGAGTTCAAGACCAGCCTGGCCAACATGGTGAAACCCTGTCTCTACTAAAGATACAAAAAATTAGCCGGGCATGGTGATGCACACCTGTAATCCCAGCTACTCAGGAGGCTGAGGCAGGAGAATCACTTGAACCTGGGAGGCGGAGGTTGCAGTGAGCTGAGATCATGCCACTGCACTCCAGCCTGGGCGAGGGAGCAAGACTCCGTCTTAAAAAAAGAAAAAATGTGGCCCACGGGAGCCCAAAGATTGGGCACCCTGAAACATACAATATGTTAATTACATAAATGTTGAAACAAGTAAAATTAAACACATCATTTAAACAAATATGTACATGTAGTAAAACTATTCAGAAAAGAAATACACAAAATTCAAACGCAAAATTCAGAATCGTAATTTTCTCATAAAGAGGGAAGGGAATGCCATCAGGGAGAGATACAGGGACTTTCAATGGCACTGGAAATGTGCTATTTTTTCAGTTGACTTGTGGGTGCTTTTTTATTAATGTTCGTTATACCTTAAATAAATGTTATAATCTGTTCTGTGTGTAGAAGCTTCCTTTGAAAAGCTGATGGACCTTTTGTATAGGAAGCTGAAAGCAATTTTCAAAATTTTGATGTTTTAAAGCAGAATTTCTCTCAAGAAAAATCATTAACCAGTAAATTGGAGAGAAGCAGAGCTCATCTGGTTAAAGTGGGGAAGGAGAAGCACCAGGACCTCCTATACTCTCACTCATAGTTCATAAAAGATCAGACAGCACAGGAGTATTTGAGAGATCCATATGCATGTTCCTTAAATACCACTCAAATTCTTCACATCCACATGTAAATTTGTTCCAGTGTGTTACTATACAAAACATGGTCTCCTCCAAATCAGCTCAATTACATTAGCATAGGCATTTTTAGTTATTATGGTGACAGGTGTGACTCTAATAGTCATTTTTATCTTATTTAATTGGCACATTTCCCGGGATTATCAAATTGGCAATTTAAGACACACTCAAATTGGTAAGCTCCAAACATTTTAAGTTTCCTGGAATGAGAAACATTGTACTCAGTTTTGACTAGGTTGAATAATAAATTAAGAAAACATTTCTAGAATCTTTAATAGATTTTTTTAAAGAACCATGCTTTCTGTTAATCTGATTAATTTGAAAAGGTTGTAAAAATAGGTCGTCAAAAATAGATTTTTAAGAAGGATTTAACAGAATCAAAATAGCAAAGGAACAGTAAGCCAGTGACAGTCTCAGAAATGAATGTCTGGCACATAGTAGGGATTCCAATGCATTTAACAGATGAATAAACCTGAAACAGAGTCTAAGTAAAACTTGAAAATTAATTCACCGGCTAAGTTTCCATTTTTTTTTTATTTTTTTTTTTTAACTGCCATCTAGTTCAATAACCTCAGATGATGTAACAGTTGGGGATATTAGCTATGTTCACACTTTAAAGCAAGTACAGAATTTTTCTTCCATATTGTAATTACTTTCCATTCAAAGCTATATAAGAAGGAACTACTGCCAAGCACGGTGGCTCACGCCTGTAATCCCAGCACTTTGAGAGCCTGAGGCAGGCAGATCACCTGAGGTCAGGAGTTTTGAGACCAGCCTGATCAACATGGAGAAACCCCCGCTCTACAAAAAATACAAAAGTAGCCGGGTGTGGTGGTGCATGCCTGTAATCCCAGCTACTTGGGAGGCGAGGCAGGAGAATTGCTTGAACCCAGGAGGCGGAGGTTGCAGTGAGCCTAGATCGTGCCATTACACTCCAGCCTGGGTAACAAGAGCATAAATCTGTCTCCAAAAAAAAACAAAAAAGGAACTACTAGAACAATTCTCCCTTACATTTCTTATTCCATAGCCTACAGCCCTGATTCCAGTCAAACAAATAAAGAATTAGTACATATTAAGAATTCAAAATATACAACCAAATATAAGTCCAAAATATGTTCATTTATAAAGAACAGTGTTGTAAGTATTATAGCTGCTGGTTGTGGCAGATTTGAAAAACTTATTTTTAATTTCAAACACTTCTAGAGGCTAGCTGTCCACGTTTCTAAGCAAAAAAAAAAAAAAAAAAAAAATTACTGGGTGGGCACGGTGGCTCATTGCCTGTAATCCCAGCACTTTTGGGAGACCGATGTGGGCGGATCACAAGGTCAATAGATCGAGACCATCCTGGCCAACATCGTGAAACCCTGTCTCTGCTAAAAATATAAAAATTAGCTGGGCACCGTGGCATGTGCCTGTAGTCCCAGCCACTCCGGAGGCTGAGACAGAAGAATTGCTTGAACCAAGGAGGCAGAGATTGCAGTGAGCCAAGATCACGCCCCTCCACTCCAGCCTGGTGACAGAGCAAGGCTCCGTCTCAAAAAAAAAAAAAAAAAAAAAATTACCTTACAGACAGGAATCATTAAATAGTCCCTATGCACTGACACTTTTAATATACATTTAAAAATAAACCTATTCCGATTTTCATTCTATTTAAGCAGAAAATCACTTAAAACCTAATTCCCAGAAAAAGGGTTTAGTTCAAGGGCTTAGATATACACAGTCATGCCCTTTGGTTGCAAAATACTTAGAAAACTGTTTTCCTTATCTAAAAAATTCAGAACTCGTTTTATTTTTGAAGTATTAACTTATAAAACACAATTGAAATGGATGTCCCTGAAAACAGTCCTAAATCTAGATAATCTGAGACCTCTTAAAAGGTTTTCCTAAGTACCCAGCCACTAAGAACAGCCAACCTTGAGGTCAAAGGATATATACAGAAAATAAAACAATTCCCTGAAAAGAAAAGGGACAGTATACTATCAGTCTATAAAAAATTTAAAGATCACAGACACCATCTATCACATCTATGCAGATTCTCTAACAATAACCTAAAGTTATTTTCCTCTTATTTTATAGTTTGTGTGTAAAAGGAATAAGTCTAACCAGGTATGAATAGATTCAAGTCACAAATCCTACCCCATTCCTTTATACTTACTTGCAGCCTGACAATGAAATCGAAATCCTCGTGGAATTTCACCTATAATACAAAATATCTTGTTGAGAAGCAAAAATTTTAAAGTTCTCTAGTGCTACAGTAATACTCTACAAGATGACCAAGTTATCACACAGAAAGGTAATTTTTATTACATGAAAATACAAAAGATTAAACTTTTATAGGGTTTATTTTTAACCAAAGGTATGAAAACTGTTAAAGAATTTGGTATATTGTCTAAGCTACTTTTAAAAGTAAGTTACTCCTTACAGAGAAAGAAATGCTAGATAAAGAAAGCATGTGTCAAAAGAGTCTTAGCTCCACGTCCATGAATGGGCCTCAGGGGGTCATAAGGGCATTGATACAGCAAGGTGTATATGCGTTTCTCAGAGGAAAAACAGTCCCCAAATTCTATCTTTTTAATATTTTACAACCCATGTGGGGAAAAGCAGCTCTTTGACTTGTCCTAAGTAGCAACACTCACAAGTGTGAGTAGGATGATTAGCTTTTCTGTCATCTAAAAATGAGGAAAAAGTGCTGGGATGTCCTAATTAATTTTAAAGTAATTGATAATTGACAAAACTAAAAATGAAGTCATGTCCCCAATCTCTTCTCCCTATATATTTTTCCTACTTACCTTCAAGGGTATCAAATCCTATGTCTTCATACCTACCTTGCTTTTTAATGGGATGGAACAGTAGGAAGAGATGCTGATAATATCTGAGAGCTGATTAAGTATTAGGCTATTTCCATATTTGTCATCTATTCCTTAGAACAATCCTCCAATAGATATTATCCCCACTTTACAGATGAGCTAATAGGTTCAGAGGGGTTAAGTAATTTCTTCAAGGCTACAAAGCAATAGCAGCTTAAAAAGCTAGTCACCACTGAGGTGAAGGATGAGGTAGAAAAAGAAAAGATCATGGCATACACGGCTTTTAGAAAATCCCAAGATGTAAGGCCATAGGTAGGTGAATAGCAGGCTATGAATTGTTCAGATAGTCTATCCATCTGATTTTAATGGTAACTTGAGGTTAAAAGCCTAAACCAAAAAACCCTTTGTCAACACCTAATTCCTAACAGTTTTTCAATAAGCATTATGAAGTCTTGTTACATTAAGAACACAGCTGTACATGAGCTTGTAAGAAAAAGTACTATTATCAAATAAAGTCAAGATTTAAAAAAAAAAACCATACACGTTTAAGATCTAGCATCTACTCTGACTACTTACCAGGATTTATAAAACTGTGGAAATCTGCCATAATACCTTCTTGGAGAGAATACTTAACACAGCCAATTTCACAAGGGAGGAAGCGCTGTTCACAATGAGGAGGTAGCTCGCCATGGCTAAAAATGTTCAAAAAATAAAAAATGCCTCCAAGGAGAGCTAAAAAAAAATTGTAAGATAAAATGAATAAATGAATGTCTCAAATTTACCTCTTCCACAAAAGCCTCTTTAGTTGAAGGGAAAAAATGTTTTAGAACAATTTTCTTTCTGTTCCTATATTCCTAAATGAGCTGGAAAAGAGAAAACCAATCAGCCGTACCAAATAAAGAAATCAAAATTCTTATAATTACAATTATCAAGGATTAAAGTAACCACTCTTTGCATGAAGCAACAAAATTATTCCAACTTGCAGCCAGCTCTACATAATTCGGCCATAGATAAGCCCTGAATCTCAGGAATGACACAGAGCAGTGACCCATATTCAACAAATATATAGGTCTGGGAAACGAAGCTGAGCAGAATCAATGTAGAAAGATTGTAATATAAACTATGAACAATTCAGTTCATTCTTTTTTCACTTTTTACCAATATATATAAAACCACCTATAAATCCTCTAAAGGAATAAAGGAATGTGAGAATGTGTGAAGTGTTATTTACCAAGACTGGACACATTTAAGACTGTTAAAAGTTTACCAGTGTTCAACAAAGGCAGAACACAATAAAAACAGCCAGAAGGAATAGCAACAACCCTTATTAACTATGTTCTCTTCTTGGCAAGTTCCATAATTCATTTGTATCTTTATAAGCCCCCTCCACCACCCAGGATTTTTAAATATTTTATTCTTAATTGACAAATAATAATTATATACATATTTATGAGGTACAATGTAGTTTTGATACATGTATACATTGTGGAATGATTAAATCAAGCTCATTAACATATCCATCACCTCACTTTTTGTGGTGTGAATATGTAAAACCTACTCTTACCAATTTTGAAACATACATTAACGTAGTCATCACACTGTAGAACAGATCTGAAAACGTTCTTCCACCTGTTTACTTTTGTTTTTAACTTAAGTATATTTAAGTGTCCAATTATAAACAAGTCTAAAAAATACCTATGTTTAACAACATATAAAGTGGTAGAAACAGAGAACAGATTTTTGTTAAAAAAAAAACCACTCTCCTATTTTATTTCAACAAATTACCTAATCTTTTATAATGTCAGTACCACAATATTTAACACTTGCAGTTATTTACTTTGAAACGGAGGATCAAAATGAACAGAAAATATTTTTACTGACAAATATAGTGTTTTGGGCACTCAAATTTATCTCAGCAAAATATTTCAGGATTACTCTACCTTGATCACCTTTTAAAGACAAAGCTGACATATCTGGAGGTGAAACATTCTGCTTTGGTACAAGCATGCCTGGCCTCCTCAGTGGTGTGAAAACAGGTTTCTAAAGAGGAAGAGAATGATTGGCCACATAAACTCTTGCTGGGCACTTTTAGACCATACATTAAAATTTAGCTAAATAACTGCAAAACAGCCTATAGATTACCAAGGTCAATGAATCCAGTGAATAAATATATCTGTCAATAATACCAACACCCAAAGGCAGAATAACAAATTATAAATATTCTGAATCAGAAGGGGAGTGGTAAATAACCAATGCCACTACTACTGAAAGCCATTTTGCCCACTACTGATTATCCAAGGTAATCATCCTGAGCCACCTACTACATGCCAGGCCAGTGGCCAAAAGCACACTATGCCCCAAAGTACTCTAATTTTGCTTGTTTTTCACTTAAAGTCAAAACCAGATTATGTTGTCTCCAAGTCTCACATGAGGTACACATACACCATAGCTTTAGTTTTGAGGAGAGATATCTTGTAAGAATAAGGCTTGCAAGTATAAGTACAAGCTCAACTGAGCTTCTACTCATAAATCCACAAAATAAAACTATCTCTTGAATTTCAATCCAATGTTGACAGTTTAAGAATGGAATTTTACCATGTAAGAATGGAAAAAACAAAGGGTAGGGTAGCACCAACAATTACCTGGCACTTTCCTGATACAAATCAACAAGAAAACAAATTTTATTTAGTACTTTAACATTCTACTACACAGAAATTTACCCAAATAAACTTCATTCAACTTTTTTTTTTCTTTTTTTTGATACAGAGTTTTGCTCTTTCGCACAGGCTGGAGTGCAGTGGCGCAATCTCGATTCACTACAACCTCTGCCTCCCGGGTTCAAGCGATTCTCCCACCTCAGCCTCCTGAGTAGCTGGGACCACGGGCGTCTGCTATCACACCCAGCTTTTTTTATTTTTTACTTTTAGTAGAGTTGGGGTTTCCCCATGTTGGCCAGGCTGGTCTCAAACTCCTGACCTCAAGTGATCAGCCCACCTCCGCCTCCCGAAGTGCTGGGATTACAGACGTGAGCCACCGTGCCCAGCCTATTCAACTCTTGTAAAACATACACACATACACCAACTAATCCAAGTCTTGTTATTTCAATATTTTAAACACAGCAGCTGGCTTTGTTTCAGGTGTCATTTTTAAAAGAATGGTATATTTTGCTAAAGAAAAAAAGACAGAATGGTCTAAACTAGTTTTAAGCCCCCACTGCCCACCCCCCACCCCCCGCCAAGGCTCATTAATCACAGAAGAGTTGAAAGGGACACCTTGATGTCATCTAGTACAACCCCTAGATGTTACACTCCCATTAGCGATCAAAGTGTATTGTCTACAGGTTTCCTAACAGGAATTCCCCAGGCCTTTCACCATCAAATTACACCAATGTGTGCATGCCCTAGTTGTGGAGGCTGTTGGTTTTTTTTAACAGGCATTCTGACACCAGGGGAAAAGAAGAACGTCGTCTTCGCACTAACCGAACCCCCAAAGCAGTCCACCCTTGACATTCACTCATTCACTCATCCAGCCTTTACTGAATATGCCTATGTGCCAGGCAGATGGCGGCTCTTCTCTCGTTAACTTTACCTGCTTCTCTGAGGGCCCAGGGTCCTTTCCCTGAGCGGCCCTCCATTCTCGAGCCATTTCTGCGTATTTCTCCTTTTCTTCCTCCCTCAGAAGCTTTTGGGGATTGAAGGAGCAAAGAAGAGAAACAGCCGTGAGGATCCCGTGCTCTAGGGCCCGCAGGCAGATGCTGGGGCATTACAGGGAGGTGGTTCTGGTGTCGGTTTGCCCAGGGCCACAAACGGGGGCCTTCCTCTTCCTCTGGCAGGGCCAAGCCGCCTGACCTCCTCGAGGCCTTCTGCCCTCCCGCCTCACCCTCCGGCTTGCCCAACTGCCCTGCCCAGCCCTCTCACTCCGCTCCAGCCTTACCGCCCAGTCTGAGGAGCAGTAAGGGATGGCATCAGCAACGCGAGCCACAGGCAGGCCTCGTCGCCGTAGTTCGGGGATCTTCTCCTGCACGAAGAAATAGTAAGCATTCCGGCTGGCCTTACGGTTCGGCATGGCAGCGCGGTCAAACTTCCTGGCCTCAGACAGAACAAAGCACCGGCGCCCTCGCCGGGCTCCCGCCCTAAGTAACAGAGGTAGGCGCCTGCGCACGCAGCCCGCAACTCTCGGCCAATCAGGAAGCGACGCGCAGTCGCATTGCCCCGCGGGGGAACAAACAGCCTGAGACTGGAAGATTCCGGCTCGTGCCGCCTTGCGGGTGAGGTGGGGGGAGAGCGCCGTCGCAGGTGCCAAGTGCTCTGATTGGCTGGGTGCGTGGCAGGCGGAGGCATTGTCACGTGGGAGGCCTGGAGCAATTTCTGTACATTATTGCGTAATGTGCGACAAAGTAGGTAGAGAAAAAGAGGAGCTGCGGGTGTTTCCGCGTTTTACAGGTACAAAGGGCCAGCCAGCTTTATGCCAAGCACTGTGAAAAGTGTTGAGGAACATGTATGAGGAACATGACAAGGTCTTCCTTGCCCTCAAGTTTACAATCGAATGAGGGGAGAGGATGACAAAAACCAGTGAAGCAACAAAACTCGAATTTTTTAAAAGTACATTCAAAAATAAGTGTTAGAAGGAAACAGAGGAAGAGGTTGAGATTTAAAATATCCTTAAAGTTTTATAGATTTCCTCATAAAACTGTTTCCTTTTTGTCAATTTTATTCCTAATTAACAATATGAGTTTTTATGAAAAATTTCTTTTAAAAAATTATATTTTCTAATTGATTACTACTGATGTCTAGAGAAGGTATTGATTTTAGTGTTGGTCCTGTGTATATAGTCACACTGCTGATCTCTTATACTAGTTTACATCGTGCTAGTTGGTTCTCTCGGTTTTCTAATTACGTTTCCCAGAGAAAATTCCTTTCTCGGGTCAGCTTTCTAAGTGTATGTATATATGGGGTATGTATATGTTTTAAAATCAAGAATGGCAGTTGAAAATTTGCTAAATTTCTGGATCTTTTCAGGTAATCACACGGTTTTATCTTTTAAATTTTTTTTTTTTTTTTTTTTTTTTTAGACAGGGTCTCAGTCTGTCACCCAGGCTGGAGTGCAGTGGCACGATCCCGGCTCACTGCAGCCTAGACCTCCTGGGCTCAAGTAGGACCTCCCATCTCAGCCCCCCGAGTAGTTGGGGCTACAGGTGCACACCACCAGGCCCTGGTGATTTTTCTGTTTTTTGTAGAGACGAGGTCTCCCTATGTTGCCCAGGCTGGTCTCACACTTCTGGGCTCGAGGATCTGCCTGCCTAGGCCTCCCAGAGTGCTGGGATTACAGGCGTAAACCACTGAACCTGGCCTAATTTGTTAACATAAAGAATATTGCTAGTTTTCTAACGATGCAGCCTACCATTCTTAGTATAAACTATTGTTGATCATGAGGCTTTGCTTATTTTTTAA
Organism: Homo sapiens; assembly: GCF_000001405.40. Lineage (NCBI taxonomy): Eukaryota > Metazoa > Chordata > Mammalia > Primates > Hominidae > Homo > Homo sapiens. The sequence continues at coordinate 166,987,967 of NC_000001.11, read as the reverse complement.
AAAACATAATATAGAATTTTGGCTTCCTTGATTATAGTAATATTGAACTGTATAGATTTTGTGGTATTTTCTTTACCAAATATTGGTATCAGGGTTGTGTTCAGATAGAATAATAGATGGGAATTATCTATTCCTTGACAGGTTGGTAGAGCTTATTAGTAAAACTCTCTGATCTTTTACATCTTTGGAGGGTGCGTCCACCTTTAACTACCATTTCAATATCTTTTGTATGGTTATTAGTCTTCTCAGTTTTCTTAGTTTTATTCACCTAATTTTTGTAATTATATTTTCCTAGAAAAAGTGTCTATCTCATTTAGATTTTTCTAGTGTATTGGTATAAAATATGGCAAGGATCTGAAGCAGCTGGAACTTTCATACATTATTGGTGGGACAACTGGTTGACAGTTTCTTATACTTATCATAGGACCCAGCAATTCCATTCTTCTAGGAAAATGAAAATATATATCCACAAAGCCTTGTAGATGAATTTTGAGAGTAGCACTATTCATAAGAGCTCCAAGCTGGACAACCCAAATGTTCATCAACAGGTGAACTGATAAATTGTGGCACATTCATTTAGTAGACTACTACTCAAGAATGAAAAGGAATGAGCTATTGATATTCGACATGGATGAATTTTGAAATTTTGTTGAGTGAAAGAAGGCATACATAAAAGTATACATAGGATGTGATTCAATGTATACAGAACTTGAGAAAAGGTAAAACTGTAGTTATAAAAATCAGATCAGCATTACCTGGAGCCCGGAGGTGGGGAGGGGAGATTGAGAACTGACACAGGGAACCTTCTGGGTTGTCAGAAATGTTCTCTACCTTAATTGTGGTGTTGGTGGCTATTAGTAGTATATATTTGTCAAAATTCATCAAACTATGGACTTAAAATAGGTGTGTTTCATTTTAAAGTCAATAAAGTTGACTTTAAAAAACATTGGCATAAAAACAAATGTAACAGTTGATTGTAATTTTAAACACACACACACACACACACACACACACACACACACGTCCCCTTCCTTTTCATTCCTAATTATTTATGCCTTCCAGATTTTTTCCTTAATACTTGCCAAATTTTGTTTATTTTATTGATCTTTTAAAAAACACTTTTGATTTTATTGATCCACTTTACAGTTTTTCTTTGCCTTTTCACACTTTTCTGCCTTAAGTTTATTAATTCCTTCTTTCTACTTCAGGCTGTTTTATGTTTCTTTTTTTAGTTTCTTGAATAAAAAGCTTTGTTCAATTTATTTTCTTGCCTGTTTATTATGTTTCTAATTTTTCCCTTCTCTGCGTGAGCTGGATTGATAACTATTTTTTGCTGTACTTTCTCTTCCACTGGTTTTAAAGTTATACATTCTATTTTTCTTCATTCTGCTGTTACCCATAAATTTTAGTGTACTTGTTTTAAAACTTACATTTTTATCACAACTTTTACAGCTAATAGGTATTCACATCCCCTCTTCCCAAACAGACAAGCAGCTTAGAAAATTATTACTTCTTCCCACTCAGACTCTCTCACTCCACGCACCACCGTCCCACTTCTGTCTCCCATGTTGGTATCATCTGGGATTTTAATTTCACATTGCTTTTTTTTATAACAACATTTAGATATGACTGAACTATAATAAACACAATATATCTAAAGTGTATAATTTATTGAATTTAAACTTACGTGTACACCTGTGAAACCATCTGCCATCAAGATAATGAACATATCCATCCCCTAAAGTTTCCTCACTACTCCTTTACACTGCTTGAAGTTGCCCATGGTTTACTGATGCTCTCTTCATTTTTTTCCTTCAGTCTTTTTTCTCTGTTTCATTTTGCATAGTGTCCATTGGTGTCTTTGTGTTTAGTAATACTTTATTCTGTAATGTCTAATCTGCATTAATTCCATCCAGTGTATTTTTCATATCAGATTGTTTATTTTCATCTCTAGAAGTTGATTGGGTCGTTTTAAAAAATCTAAAAATCTTTAAGCATATCTCTACTTAACATAGTCTATCCTTCCTTTACGTTGTTTAACATGGAATACAGTTGCAACATGTAATATAATTATGATAACCATTAATTCTTGTCTACTCATTGTATTATCTGTTTCATTTCTGGGTCTGTTTCTACTGATTGATTTTTCTTCTTATGGATTATGTTGTCCTGCTTCTTTTGTATGCTTGGTAATATTTGATTGGATGCTGGTCATTGTAAATTTTACCCTGTTTAATGCTGCATATTTCTATATTCTTATAAACATTTTTGGGCTTTGTTTTGGGACACAGTTCTGTTACTTGGAAACAGTTTGAGTCTGGTTTTCACTCTTTTTAGGCTTACTTTTCTGCTTTGTTATTTGAGATCAGAGCAATCTTTAAGGCTAATTTTCTCCTCTACTGATATAACATCTTTCTGAGTACTGTACTTGATATTCCATAAAATTTGGAGCCAAATTCCACTTTGGCTGATGGGAATATAAACTATTTCTAGTCCTATGTGAATTCCAAGGATGGTTACTTGTAATCCTTTCAGGTTGTTCTTTCTTTGGCTCTGTGTAGTTTTTTCCCACACATGCACTGATCAGTATTCAGCTCAGGCTTCAAGGGAGATCCTTACCATATCTCCAGAGCCTTTTTTTTGGTGATTGTGCTGTTCCCTTGTTTCTGGTACTCTGCCCTGCAAACTCTATCCACTGTGGCGCACCTTGACACCCACCTCCATCTCCTCAACTCAAGGAGACTCCACTGGGCTCTGCCTAGGTAACCCATTGTGATACTGCATTCCGGTACTCTCTCCAGGCAGCTACCTGTGGCAATCACAGAGCTCACCTTGTTTGCTGTGGTTCTTTCAGGGGTTACTCATCTCTACTCCCCAGTGTCTAGTGTTTGGAAACATTGTTTCATATATTTTGACCAGTTTTTTTATTAGGTTGGTGCAAAAGTAATTGCAGTTTTGTTTCAAGCTACTGGATACATTCATTTCCTGTTACTCCACCTTGGGCAAGATGGCTTTTTCATAGTTTAACATTTTTAAAACCATATCTAGATTTAACTACCAAATATTTAGATGGGTGAACAGGGCAAACCTCTATGAGGAGCAGGTGGCTTTTATAATGGGAAAGGATGGACGGAATAGAGCTAGTCATGTGAAGAATTGAAAGAAGAGAGTTCTAGACAGAGGGAACAGTATGTGTAAAAGCCTCAGGTGATAAAGAATTGGGTGTCTCTTCAGAACAGATGGAAGACTAGTTAGTGTTGCTGTACTGTATCTAGTCAGGTGAAGAATGGTGCCTGCTGAGGTTGGAGTGATCAACAGGGATTTCGGCTTGACCATGACCATTGTAAGGGGTTCGAGTATTGCTCTAAGTACAATTGTTGTTCATTTAGGGGGGTTATTTTATATTTATTTATTTATTTTTAATTGACAGATACAAATAGTATATATTTATTGTGTACAACATATTTCAAAATATGTATATGTTGTGGAATGGCTAAATCGAATGACTTAACATATGCAGTACTTCACATACTTATACTTTTTTGTGGTGAGAACACTTGAGATCTACTCTATTTAAGGGTTTTTAAAAAACATGTCATGTTTTCTATTTGGAGAAAGGGTTCAAAGCATTAAGAATGGGCATGGTGAGACCAGTTAGAAGGCTCCTTCAGGAGTCCATGTGGGTGATGATGGCAACCTCGAACAGAAAGGAAAGGCTGGGCTCAAATTGTATTTTGGGAAAAATAGAACTAGCTAATGGATTGGTTGTAGGAGTAAGAAAAAAGGAGGAGTCCTAGGATTTTGGCTTGAGTAACCCATGGGCACTTAGTGCTTTTACTAAGATAGGGAGGACTTTGGGGCAGAGGGAGACAGTGCTAATGCCAAGGAGGGTCCAAGGTCCAAAGCTCCCAATAATTTCTGTTATCTGCTCCTCTCCTCATAGGTCCATTTTTTTTTTTTTTTTTTGAGACAGGATCTCATTCTGTCAACCAGGTTCGAGTGCAGTGGTGCAATCACAGGTAACTGCAGCCTCAGTCCCATGGGCTCAAGTGATCCTCCCACCTCAGCCTCCCGAGTAGCTGGGACTACAGGTGTGCGCCACCATGCCCAGCTAATTTTTGTATTTTTTGTAGAGACGGGGTTTTGCCATGTTGCCCAGACTGGTCTCATACTTCTGGGCTCAAGTGATCTGCCTGTCTCAGCCTCTCAAAGTGCTGGGATTACAGGTGTGAGCCACTGCTCCTCTCCTTCTTTGATAAAATTGATTTTTTTTCTATTTTACTTAAGTCCTACATAAACAGAACAGCTTTCCCCATTTTCCAACCAGATTGATTTTTTTCTATTCAGAAATTCTAAAGGGTGGCAGGTTTGGGTTGAAATATGTGGAGGGGGTGGATCAAGAGTTCTATTATGGACATGTTCATTTTGAGATGCCTACTATATATTCAAGTGGAGATGTCAAGTAGGCAATTGACCATGTAAGTCTGGAGTTCTGGGCTTGAGAAAGAATCCAGAAGTAAGCCACATAAAGATGGTATTTAAATTCATGAACTAGATGAGATCATCTAAGGAGAGAGTGAAGAGAGAGAAAAAAAGGATCCAGGATGGAGTCCTGAGGAACACTAGCGTTTAGAAGCCAGAGAAGGAAGACCCAGTAAAGATGACTGAGAAGAACATGTGAAAAAGTAGGAAGAAAGGCAGGAAAACCAAGAGAGGGGAGTGATTCCAGTAGCAAGTGGTTCATTTATTCAATAGATATTTATTAAGAGCTCACTGAATACCAGCCTCTATTTTAAGCACAATAGGTTGAATAGAAAAAAGCTTATAGTGGAAAAAAACCCAGGTAATAAATAAATAAACTATTATGTATATAACAAGATGTCAGAATATCTTTTTGGACAATAAGTCCAATGAAGAAAAATAATGTAAGATAAGGGAATAGCAACAGTTAGAGGGTACAATTTTAGGGTGGTTATTAAAGGCCCTATATGAAGAAATGAAATTTGAGCAACGACTAGAAGGAAGAGAGCAAGCAAACCATGAAGATATCTGGAGAAGAGCATTCCAGGCAGAAAGAATAGCAAGTGCAAAAGCTCTGAGGTGGGAGCATATCAGGTATGTTTGAGGAAAAGCAAAGTAAGTCACATGGCTGGAGTAAAGTGAGTGAGGGGGAAAGTAGAGAGAATATTAGAGAGGGAGGTAGGGCCAGATCATACAGGATTTACAGGGCCTCCATAAGGACTTTAGATTTTTGTCTAAATTGGGGGAAACCACTGGAGATTTGGATGACTATTACTTTTTTTTTTAATTAAGTATAAGGTGTGATTTTCAACCAGGTACGTGTTATGCAAACCACTGAAGAGCACCACAAGTGTTCTTGGAAAATGTGGCTGAGTTTTTTCCTGATGGTAGTTTAAGTGAAGGCCAACATTATTCAGCGTGCATCTTCCCTCCTGTGCTAATAATAATAATAGTAGTAATAATAGGTGACATTCATTGCAAGCTACATCCAGCTTTCTGCTAAACACTCCACAAGGGTTATCTTATCTCCCCTTCACAACAACCCTATGAAATAGATTCCATGATTATCCACATATTGCAGAAAAGGAAATTGAGGCTTAGAGTGGTGAAGTGACTTCCACATGCCACACAGCCTTTGAGTGACTTTGACATCTATGAGATCCCAAGTTAACACTCATTCCAATCTGTTTATCTTAGATGTTCAAGGTTATTACCTGATGCTTTGCCAAAGTTAAGTGATAAATTTCTGAGTACCATCTAGACATTGTTTGAATGTGCTCTCAGATCTTTAGTAACTCAACCTGATGTCTGGTTGATTCCTCCTGCTTGCAATATACATGTGAATTCTACCTCTTGTGACTCCTTGCAATGTCTTTCTCAATTGATGTTAGCATTCTCTTCGTGCTGCCCCTTGTTAGGTGCTTGTTACTTCTTGAGCTCTTGTAATGAGCTCTCCCATGGAAGAGACCTCAATCTGTTGTCTCTGTCTCCATCAATTCATCCTACACCCTGTGGCCAGAATAACTTGGTTGGGACACAGGTCTGATCTTGTTCTACTTAGAAATTCTCATGGATGGTACATTGCCGGTGGAATTACATCCAAATCTGCTATCCTGGTTTCCCTTGGTTCAACCTCAGCCTACCTTTCCAGCCTTATTGCTGACTCTGCCTTTTGTAAACCTATGCTCTGGGCAGCAGTTCCTATTCTCACCTCTGCCTATTGCTTGTGCATCTGTACTACCTCCTGCTCCCTTTCTGCCCCTAGAAATTCTGTCCAGATGATGTTAAAGCTTAGCTCAGGGGTCACCTTTTCATGAAGATATCTCTGACCAGGACTACTGATAACTAATTGACCCTCCCCCACTTAATTTTCCTACCATATTTGGTACATGTCCTAATACAGGCCCTGTCACACCATCATAAAGACCACATATTTGCCTCCCTCCCTCCCTCTCTACACACATGGAGACAACTCAAATGTAAGCTATTTGACATAAGGGGCTGTGATTCATTCATCTTTGAATTCATATTCGTTTTTAATTTCTAGATAGCATAGTGTCTAGAATATAGTAAGTATTCAATAAATGTGTGGAATAAATGAATGAATTCAGGGAAAAGAAAAGGAGAGATGACGAAAAGGTAAGATGAATACACTGGGGGCAGTTTGTAATTAATTAGACAAGTACACATTGATCATCTCTATGTAAAAGGCACCTACTCAGAATTGGGGAAGGAGTACAGAATTAACACTTCTATGAGAGATCCTCGCCCCGCTACTTCAACACAAAGGTCAGGGCTGCTGTTTTCTAACCCTGGTCTTTAAAGCCCACATGCCACTTCTCTTGCTTGAGCAGTTTCTTTTCATGGTGCTCCATGTTCTGGCCTTCTCATTCTAGCTCTCTTCCCTGCCCATTTGCTGGGGGTGAGGTCATCAGATGACATATTTGTTCTGGCTCATTTCCCTCTCTCAGGTTCTGTCTTTGACCTATGCCAGGAAGAAGGCCTTTAGGAGAATGTGTAGGGCTGAGCTCTGAGAAACAATCTTCTGGCTAAATCACCAAGACCCAGAGCCCAAGGCAGCTTCATCGTGTAAACTGTAGGGCAGCCAGTTACCCTTTCTTCCTATAGCCTTTTGGCTGTAGGAAGCTGCTTGACCACTAGTATAAGAATTGCTCTGCTGCTCATCTGGGGGGCTGTCAATGCTCTTCTGGTCTCCAAAGGATGCTAACCATGAAATAAAAACAGAAACAAAAGCAAAAACTGGAGACAGGGCTCCTAAAAGAGCAGTAACCTTCATCTCTGGCTCTGTAACTTTCAGAGAAATTATAGGTTGCACTGTCAGTAAAAGCTCCCAGGGCTCAACTGCTCATAATTAACTTGATTAACTGCTCACGAATGAGACATAATGAGAGCAGGTGTACATGTGGGGGCTTTGTATCTGGCTGAAGATACAGGCCTGACAAAACACCTGTCACTCCTTCTCCTTGCTTCTCTCCTTTCTGCAGGGATGTCCTAGAGACTGGAGGACAAATTCACAATGAGTAAATTTTGGCATGGGCACAGCTTTTGTCCAGCACCTTTTCCTATATTATAGAAATATTAGAGGGTATAGAAAATTATAGGCTGGGCACAGTGGCTCAAACTTGTAATCCCAGCACTTTGGGAGGCTGAGGTTGGAGGATTGCTTGAGGCCAGGAGTTTGAGACCAGACTGGGCAACATAGCAAGATGCAGTCTCTAAAAAAAAAAATACAAATTAAAAATTAGCTGGGCATGGTGGCATGCACTTGCAGTCCCAGCTACTTGGGAAGCTGAGGCAGGAGGATAGCATTGAGCCTAGGAGTTCAAGGTTGCAGTGAGCTACGATGGCACCATTGCAGTCCAGTCTGGGTGACAGAGTCAGACCCTGTCTCTAAAAGAAAGAAAGAAAGACAATTATAAAGAAAAAATATAAATGAATGATGATCTTCCCAGAGATAACCATTGTTACTCATTTATTTCCTTTGTCCCTTTTAAATGTATTTTTTCATATTTGATACCAAGCTCTAAATATACTTTTATGTTCTTTTTTTCTGCACATTATCCTTGGATGGACCTTTTTAGGGAATGCTTTGGTAGAGAGCTAATTCAGGCAAGGGCTGCCCCCACTGTTGAGCAGGATCTAGCTTTAGGATGGGGCACACAAAGCATCACCTAATTCAGCACCCAGCACCACTGCAGTTGGATTTGAAGCCTGAGACTGCAGGTTCTTGGATTAAATCTGCTGGAAGTACATGGAATTTTCAACACATTCTCCCAGGCTTTTACCTTTTTAAATTTCTAGATAGTGTGGTGTCTAGTGTCCACTGTTCTTGCCAGTTCAGATTTTGTTTTGTTTTGTTTTGGCATAATGCATTTGTATACTTGCATTTCCTTTCTTTAAAGCATTTTCTTAATCAAACAATTTATTCAACATGAAAAGACTTCAAGATTGAAAATGTTTTTGGTTTTCAGTATACGGTGCCTAGAGTCTCCAGTTTTTTTAGTTCCTTGGTTTTCTGGGTTCCAGTTTTTTTAGTTCCTTGGTTTAATTTAGTTTTTTTTTTAACTTATAATTCATTGAGGATGGTTTTGAAGGTATGGAGGATGGGAAAGATAACAAACCCAAAAGGTAGCAAGAGAAAAAAAAAGATGGACCAAACTTACATGAGAAAAATGGTATCTGTTTCAGAGTCATACTTCGTATATTCCTCTTGGAATGCAGGATCAGAGAGGAGAAGTAGAAATATGATTTTATCTGTGTGCTTTAAACAGACTCACGTTAAGCAGTATTCATGTGCATGCATGCCTGTGTGTCTGCAATGAAATCATGTTTTAAAGAGGATTCAGCTACATTATATTTATAACTATGTGGTTGCTACCAGCTACCAGTATGTCTCCTTGTGGTGGTTCACTTCTCTTTTCTCTGTGTCCTAATTCTGTTCTCTAGTGTAGAGCTTTGCTGAAGCAGCCTGTTAGTCCCCCCACCACATACAATCCCAGCTGTGGCTTCCTGGGAATCTTGTTCTGGTCCCATACAGGTCATTGTTGTGACATGTTTGTCTCATTGCAGTAGAAAGTTTGAAGTATTGCAGAGCCAGACCCCTTCCTTGGCTGTGATGAATCAATCTCTCTATTTGGGGTCCTGTCCTATTAGGTCAGAATGAATGAACAACTGGAGCTTAACCAGATACAAGGCTCATTAGAAAACATCAGCTCAACAGCTTCTCAGGAGAACAAAAAGATAGGTATTGCTTCTTAAACATTACTGTGCATTGGAAGCACCTGGGGAAAGTGGTTAAACTGCAGATTTATGGGCTCCACCTGGAGTTTCTGAGCTCATTATTCTTAGTAGAGCCTGTGAATCTGTGTTTAAGCAAACACAGTAATATGATCCTGATACTGGAAGTTCAGAAACCACATTGGGACTCTGGGTGCCATATCCCATCACCCACCACCAATATGGCAAAATAACACCATTTTCCCATCCTCTTTCCACCTCCATCCCTTAGGCTACATGTTTTGAATCATTACATATATTTCAAAATTTATATTAACCCTTCATCACCTTGGTAACAACATGTGCAAGGTGATGGAGGGGCACACATTGTGATTCACTCCAGTTTAGCATCCCCTTCAGGATGGCCTGGGCGCCACTCACTCAGGAAGATTCAGGATACACCATGTGTACCTCTCTGGCTATAAAGTAGACATGCAGGGCACTACATGGAAAACACATTTCTGGGATGATGGACAAGGCAACTGCATTCTATGATTCATTGTGGCACAAGCTCTTCTCCAAGTCTCCTGATTCAACTACACAGACACCTCCTCTGAGCAGACATGAGTTCATTTCTGTGGGCATTCACGTTCCACTTCATATACACATCCAGGCTTCCTTCACTCAGTCCATCTCCCATTTTTCACATGTATAAACTTGCTCATATGTCCAAGTTTTGCATAAAATGCCATTTTTTTTGAGACAGGGTCTCACTCTGTCACCCAGGCTGGAGTCCAGTAGCGTGGTCACAGCTCACTGCAGCCTCAACCTCCCAGGTTCAAGTGGTCCTCCCATCTTAGCCTCCAGAGTAGCTGGGACTACAGGTATGTACAACCACGCCTGGCAATTTTTGTATTTTTTGTAGAGATGGGGTTTCACCATGTTACTCAGGCTGGTCAAATTCCTGAGCTCAAGCAATCCGCCCACCTCAGCTTCCCGAAGTGCTGAGATTACAGGTGTGAGCCACTGCACCTGGCCAAAATGCCACTGTTATGTGTGCTTAGATAATAAACACTATTCAAGCTCTTTTGTGCACTGTGACACACACACATAGATGCAGTAAATGGCACAGCATAATACAAATATATCATCTCAATCTTCTGGTGTAGATGTTCTTTTTGTGGTGCAAACAGTATATGCTTTAGAGTCAGATTCAAATCCTAGCTCTGCCACTTACTAGTTGCCTGATCTTAGAGAAGTTAGTTAAATGCTCTGGGCCTAAGTTCCCTCTTTAGGGTTAAATGAGAAGGTTTGTTAAACATGTAGAACTCTGCCTAGAACCTAAAGGAAACCCACAAGTGTTAGGTACCTCCTATATTTTTATTTTTCTGTATATGAAAGGAAATAGTCCTCAAATTTCTCTCATGCAGTACATAGCATGAAAAAATCATCCTGGCCAAAATAAGCAAAGAAAGAGTTTATGAAAGGATATTGGGTGGCTCAAAGAATTGCTGGGGAAGTGAAGAGCCAAGTGTAGAAGAGAGGCTAGAACCCAGAGAGCCTGCAAGACCACAGCCAAAAATCACACCTTGGAGCATCCTGGTGGCTTGACCTCTGCCACAGCTGATCATGTACACTGGATGCTGCTGCTGCCTCAGTGACAAAATCAATTCTCCACTGTCCTTGTTTCTTATATCCACCACTTGCTCCAGAATCAAAAAGCTCTGAGGGAGAGGTCAGCCTGGCTATGCCAGGGGCCCGGGCCTGCATTCCAGCTGGGATGGTCAGGGAGGTGGCTCTAGACTTTCTGGCTTCTGCAGTTGGAATTTCTCAGAATAAGAAGGGAATTGAGATGTCAGGCAGCCATAAAAGACAGCTGCCCAGGGTCTATTCTTCCCATTTCTCACATGTTCACATACATATTCTCCCTGTCTGTGTACACATTCACTCTTAGGTGTGGAGTCTGTCTGCTCCAGGAACTCCCCTCCAGCCTGGCACCACTCTGTTTTCAGATGCTACTTGAGACCTTTCTGCTATGTCTCTTTCCTCTGCCCAGAATGCCCTCGCCTGCCCCCTTTCCACCAGGGATCCTTGAATGGCTCAAATCTTGTGCTTTCTGCAAATGCCAGCTCAGATGTTACCCCTCCTTTATCGTGGTGCCCCCTCCCCACCCACGACTAACTTAGTCCTTCCTCTATGTTCCCAAGGCACTTTCTCTATGTCTCCATTATTGCACTTGCCCCGTTTTACTAGGAATAAGTATCATGTCTTTAATGGTCTGACCTTCCTCCCTTTCCTCGACCCAAGATGAGGCTCCTAAGGGCAGGAAGTCTATCTCATTCCACTTTGTAACCTTAGTTCTTAGCACCTAGTAGAGGCTTCATAAATATATTTCTTAAGCAAATCATACATTTCTCAGTTCTCTCTCAACACATACATTTTGAGACACAAGACAAATCCGTCTGACAAATAGGAATAATCCATGTGAATGCGTGCTGGAATCTATAAAGTGTTGGATGGATTTAAGCCGTTATAATCATTTATCTCATTCTGGTTTTACATATTTTCTGTTAAAGGGCCGGATGCCCTTATTCTACCTCATATTTTAACAGGAAAAAGTAATGACGCGAGATTCCCGCCTACCTTTTTCAATTCTGCGGAGCCTCTTGCCTGGTTCCTTGCACTGTCAAAAAGGAAACCAGACGGAGGGGCGGGGGTACCGCAGAAGCGAACATTCTAGCCTAGAGGACTTGCTAGTTAAGTCCTGTAAGAAGTTACGCCAAGTCCCCGCCGTCCCCCACCCTCGCCGCTGTCACTCTCTCCCCGTTCAGGTTGGCTGTGGCTGCCCGCAGACACAGGCTCCCCTGCTCGAGTCCCCAGCCAGCGTTCTCGCCCGGGTTCCCGAGCGCGGGCGTCCCTGGGAGAAGCCGCGATGGTCGCTCCCCGCTCGGCGCGGCCCGCGGGGCGGCCTCCCCCGCGCCTCTCGCTGCCTGCCACCCAGAGACCCCCTCTCTCCGCGTGGCCTCAATCACTCCACGCTGACCTTTGGGCCGCCGGGGGCCAGCACGTGACCGAGAAACTTTGGCAGTCGCGGCAGCGGGCGGCGGGGCGGAGGCGCGGGAGGCGGTGCGGCGGCCGAGCTCCCCCGCGCGGCGGGCTCTGCGGCGGGGAGACGCTCGCCCCGTGCCGCGCTGCCTGGGCATGCGGATGCGCCGCCGAGCGCTGCGCGGACCCCGGAAGCCCGCGGCAGCGCGCGCTCAGCCGGCGGCGCGATCCAGCCCCCGGCCCCGCCTGCGCGGCCGGCCCGGCGGGCGCTGCGCCCAGGGACGCCCGGTGCCCGCCGCTCCGCCGCCGCCCGCTGCCGCGGGGTGACAGCGATCCTTCTGTTCCAGCCATTTCCCACTTTCCTCACTCCGTAATTCGGCTGGGAAGTTGGGGAAGATGGATAGGGTCTTGCTGAGGTGGATTTCTCTCTTCTGGCTAACAGGTAAGAGTCCTTTTCAACAGAAACGAATAACTTTGTATATTCCTGTAGTGGTTCTGTTCTCACCGCGCCCCCCGCCCCCCCATTTTCCTCCTTACTGACCATGTTTAAAGCTGCTTAGCGGTCTGGTGGAAAGTGGGGGAGGGGGCAACGTGTGTGTTTGTGTATGTGTTTGTGTGTGTGTGTGTGAGAGAGAGAGAGAGAGAATGATGGGGGCGGCGGGGGAGAAGCCCAATGACAAGTGAGACGCATCTAGATGCAGGTGTTTGACTCATTGGCGCTGAGGTTGTTCTTTCGAATGCATTTCCCCTCCATAAAACGGTTCTCCTTCGGTCTTATCCTGAGTTTGTAATGCTGTGAGTCTTGTGAAAAGCCTGGCTGGAATAAAGGAAGCTCAGAGGGAGCTGATTAATTAAATGAACTGGTTTTCTGGAGGTGGAGGCTAGAGGACTGTCTCCTTAATTTCTTCCCTAGAGAAGGAGGGGGACCCAGGGCATTCTCTCTGTGGCTCTCTGGAGGGTGCAAGGAACTGGAGGTTGGGAAGAAGATGGGGATGGAACCTTCACTGGTTGTGGAGTTTAGAGCCTGGCTCTCTCTTACTTGGTATCATTTGGGGAGTGGTCCCAAATGATAATTAGAAAGCAGAAGAGCCTTTCTAATAGGTGCACTCTCCGCTCCCTAAAAGATAATTTGCAGAGAGATTTAGAGGCATTGGGCTTCTCCCCAGCATCAAAGTCACTGGTCTAGCTGGGTCCTCTGTGCCCTCCCCTCCTTTTTGGTGAACTTTCTCCCCATTCTGCTGGGGTCAGTAGATGCTCTTGTTCTTAACCTATTTCCCCACATGAGGATTCCGATTCCCATAGGGATACAGGGCCTTGGGGTGGCCAGCCCTGAGAGATTCACAAAGCAGCCCTGCTGAAGGGAGTAGGATGGGGGTGAGGAATGTCTGGATAGCTTGGACTGGGTCAGAGGCAACCATTCAAATCAAGGTGGAGGCAGAATGATGGAAGAAATGGAAAAAGGGATCAGAAAGGTGAGGACAGGATGGGGGTGGAAGGCAGGAGAGAAAAGGGACAATAGTACCACATGAGAAGTTTTGTCACCTCTAGCATCACCAGCCAGAAGATCTGGACAAAATCAAGGCACTAGGCAAAGGGGAACAAGCTTAAAATAGCTAAAACAAGTCATGTAAAGGGGGTAAAATACATTTAGCAAGAAAAGGCAAATACCCCATTTCCCTTAGCTTCAGAATAAGATTCTTCATTGCCTAAATATTTTTCCCATTTCAAATGAAATGCCCCTAACATTGCCGTTGCCCCACTGCTGGGTTTAGGCTGGGGGAGGCATCCTCAGCAGAGTTAGCCTCTTCTTTTGGCTGCTTTGAGTTCATCCCTCCCACATTATTCAGATATGAATCATCTCTAATTTCAGGGTTTGGCTGATCCATGCCACCCCGCTCCCCTGGCCTCCCAGTGCCTTCCACTCCCACCCTCACTGATTCTTCACATCCTTAATCTGCCTCTACTCTCGGTTATCAATATTCTCAGGGCACTTAGTCCTTGAGCCTGTATCACAACAGCACTGAAGTCAGCCAGGCATCGGGGGGGGGGGGGAGGGGTCCCTGAGTCAGAGGTGCTCTTTACAGACACGCTGGGGTCTGCCTAAAAGAAGTACTCTGGGGGTTTGCAGGGAGTGAGAGAAGAAGGGAAACATAGAGCTCTCTTTAGATGGCTCACAGCTTTTTATGAAATGGAATCATATCACTGGAGGGTACTACAGGAACTGTAGTTCAGCCCTCTCAGTTTATAGAGATGGAGTCCTAGAGAGGCAATATGCACATAGCACGTTCATGATTGATTAGGGACTAGATTCCAGTTCTCTCAAACTCCAGACCAGTCTCATTTGCCCTCTCCTAAGCTGCCTCTCTGGGCTTTTTGCTGGAGGGCTTTTTGTTTTATTTTTGTTTTGAGGGAGGTGATGGCTTTGTCTGTGCCTTCTGCCACCTGCACCTGGAGAGGCTGTTCTGCTTGGAATCAGGCAACAGGTTAGTTATCAGGACCAGCTCAGCTGTCAGATGGCTGGGGATTCTTTGCTCCAAAAGTGAGACTGACTCCTGGGATCCCATTGATCATCCTCTGCTCCCTGCTCCTGCTTTCTCCTCATCCCATCACTGCTGTCAGAGGTGTGGACAGACAAGCTGCCTCTCAGCCTCAGCAAAGTAGAGGAGCAAACAATGGCGGCTGGGGAGGGGAGGGAGGAGACAGAAGCAGACAAGGAGGAGATGAATTCAGACTCATTCTTCACAGAGAACCATGAGACGAAAGGTGAGAAATTTTAGTCCAGCCCAATCAATGAATTCTCTTTTGAGGGGGTGGTAGAAAGGAAGGGAGACAGGGAAGAACAGATTAAAAATGAGACAGAGAGCCAGGAAAAAAACCACATTCATTCTTCCTCTCCCTCCCTTTCTCTCCCCACCATCTCTCTCCCACTCCCTCTCTATTTCTCCTCCTCTCCCTTCTCCTCCTGTTTCTCTTTTTTAATGCAAGCTGAGCGATTTCTAATCAGCACTTCAGTTTTTTCCTCCAGGCTCTAGCAGCTTCTTCCTTGTCTTTCATTACTAAAATTCTGTATGTCTTCCTGTTATATATTTAGCCTTGTGATTCCTTATTGCCATTGTGATGTTGCTTCCTGTAATATATTGGTTTTGTTATTGTTGCTGTTGTTGTTGTTATTTTGAACAAAACAAAATGCTTACCAGCTGCTATTTTAGCAACAGGTGCCATCTAGCAATAAGACTTGAAGGAGGGTTCACTCTGTCTTTGTTCCTGAATATGGGTGGTGTTTTATCCTTTCCTGGCAGCAGAGGCTGTGAGAAACGCTGGAGCTGTGTCGACACTCTGGGAACACACTCCTGGAGCAAGCGATGTGTTTTCCTGGAGGCTTCTTTGGGTATCTCTATGACAAAGATTGCTTGATGAATTAGCATTTCTTTTTCTTTTCTTTTTTTTTTTTGAGAGACAGAGTCTCACTCTGTCACCCAGGCCAGAGTGCATTGGCACCATCTCGGCTCACTGCAACCTCTGCCTCCTGGGTTCAAGCAATTCTTGTGCCTCAGCCTCCCAAGTAGCTGGGATTATAGGCACGCGCCACCACACCTGGCTAATTTTTGTATTTTTAGTAGAGTTGGGGTTTCACCATGTTGGCTACGTGGGTCTCAAACTCCCAACCCCAGGTGATATGCCCTCCTTGGCCTTCCAAAGTGCTGGGATTACAGATGTGAGCCACCATGCCCGGCCCTTTATTAGCATTTCTTTTGATTTCACTTGTTTGTCTATTCTACAAGCACATATTAAATTCCTGTGATTTCTAAGTATTATACTAAGTGCTGAGAATGAGGCACTAAAAGACATAGTCCTTGCCCTCAAAGCGTTGTCAGTCTAGTCAGTGATTCAAATAAGTTTTCAGCTATGCACAGTTGTTCATGCCTGTAATCCCAGCACTTTGGGAAGCTGAGGCAGGTGGATCTCTTTGAGCCCAGGAGTTTGAGACCAACCTGGACAACACAGTGAAACCTCATCTCTACAAAAAATACAAAAAAATTAGCCGGGCACGATGGCTTGCACCTGTAGTCCCAGCTACCCAAGGGCCTGAGTGGGAGGATTGCTTGAGTCAGGGAAGTAGAGGCTGCAGTGAGCTGAGATTGTGCCACTGTACTCCAGCCTGGGTGACAGAGTGAGACCTTGTCTCAAAACAAAAACCAAAAACCAAGTTTTCCAGTCACTTTGTCATGGTAGTTAAAGGTCCTTTGATGAGAGCCACACCCCTGCTGTGAGAGCATAGAGGAAGCACACTCAACCCAAACCAGGACTGGTGCAGCAGCTCTGAAACAAATTCCCAGAAAACGTGATAGCTGAGTTAAGATATTTGTTCATGAATAGTCAGTGAGTGACTTACTCCTATGTCCCAGAAGTTATGCTGGGGTTGAAAAGATGAATAAGTCATAGTCCTTGCTTTTAAGGTACTCAGTCTGGTGGTGGAGACACCAGTTATGGAGTAGCATTGTGCAAAAGCAGTGATAAAGATCTGTACTCTGGAGTGCCTTGAAGGGGCCCCCAACCCAGCCTGCAGTGGGAAGGGAGGTATAGGGAATGATCATTAGTTGGTCTGGTTTCATGTTCAGGTAGACACCTGGTGACTGAAGGATAGGCTTGGGTGTAAAGAGTTAAAATGTTATTAGCCCTGGAGAAAGAAGAATCGCTTTTAGAGACTGCTGACACCTCAACTTCCGTTATCTCTTTTCCTGTCCTGTATATCTTCCAATTTCTCTTCCTCCTCTGTTCTACTTTTCTCTGTGGAACGTACCTCGTCCATCTTCTTTCGTCACTTTAGCACAGCTCTCCCAGCTCGGCATTGTCCCCCAGCCTGGATGCTTCTCTCTGGACTAGGAGAGGGAAGTTATTTGAATATCCTCATCACTGTTTACACTTTAGACATAGGAGTATTCTGGGTGGCTAGTTTATATAGAATTGAGTATCAGTATGAGTAGTCTTGCACTACTCGCACTACGGTGCAAGTACCTAGTGCTTAGTTCAGTGTTAGTATTAGTACCAGGACACCGTAAGTAGAAAGAGCCCTGACCTGGGAGCTGAGGATTAGGTTCTAGTCCCACCTCCTCCATAAATCACTGTATAACCATGGGTTTGGATCTTGGTCTTAAATATTGAGCAAGGTGATTTTTAAAGTTAACTTCAGCTCTAAGATTCTAGGGTTCTGAAATTTTCCCCATTAAAATTTGATGAGTTGTAAATGAAAGCTAAAGAGTGACAGGTACATGATTCCTTTTATGATTTACCCAGGAAGAGCCATCAAGGGAGACCCAGTTATTTATTTTTTTTCAGACTTTCTCAAACCATTAATGATTGGAATGAAAAACAGGTAGAAAGGAAGAGCTCTTCCTCAAATTTTCAGAAGAACAAATGGAGCTGTTGCTGGACAGGACAGGTTCTACTCTGAACAATTAAATGTGGTCATATTGGGAACTGGTAAAGTGAGGCAAGTACTTTGGACGAGATGGGATGAATCTTACTCCAGCCAATCTGGTCCTAGAATGTCCCTTCTAGTCCCAAATTTTTGTTCTGGGACTTACCTGTTCACCCCTTCCAACTATTTTTACTCTTATGCCTTCTTTCTCCCGATGTTTTTCTCACTTATTTACATGCTATGATGCTTTTCTATGTGTTAAATGGCTTTCATAGACATTATCCCATTTGATCTTGCCAAGTAAGTAAGGCTGGTATTGCCTACCTACACTTAAGAAGACCAAGGCTCAGAGGAAATAAATGACTTGTCCAAGCCCATGATATCTTACTGGTTAAAAGAATAAGAAATAATGTCACTGCCTTAATATGACTTGGTTATTTGAAGTGCCTGAATTCAGGGAAACATTCTTTTCTGGTTAAGGTAGATCAAACTGTAACTCCTGATTTAGGTGAACATACATGGTGTCTATTATGGGGCATTGGATATTGAGGCACAGAGTTCATAGAACTCAGGGAAATAGTGCAAGAAAAGTGAGAAAGAATGGCAGTTAGTTTTTCGTAATGAAATCCTAAGATCTAGTGGGAAAGGAGCGAATGAAGAGGACTCCAGCAAAGCACGTGAGAACAGAGGATGTGCCCCAGTGACAGAGCAGAAACTGATGGCACATCAGAGCCCATCTGGGACTAGGGGCTGCTGCTGTGCTCTCAGGAGCCACACAGGATGTAGCTACAGCATATGCATGCTTAAAGTCTCAGTCTTCAAGATAGTTTTTGGCTTTCTGAAAATGAAAGAAAGTGTTTTGGATGACTAGAGTTCTTTACAGGCCAAGGAACAAGGAAGAACTCAGAAGAACATGCCGCTTCCTCTATTCTCCTTCAGCATGTGGAACCCTACAGAAAGTGGTGCTGAATAAGGAGTAGGGCCCTTGCATTCAGCTGAGACCCTGTATCATCACTCCTTCCATGCCCTTGCCTCACCAGGAGGCAGCGTGTAGGGGGGATGGTGAGGCTCAAACTGACCTGGATTTGATGCCAGCTTAGGATTTTGTCTTTTTTTGTTGTTGTTGTTGCTTTAATAATGGAAAGCTAACCTACCTTATAGGGTTGTTGTGATAATTAAAATTAAATTATATAAAACTTCTAGCACAATGTTTGGCACACAGTAGGCCCTCAATACTGATTATGAACCCAAACTAGATGTATTTGTCAGTATTTTGATGCAGAAACAAGCAGCGCCCAAATCTCAATAGCTTACAACATACACTTAGTTCTTGCTCATATTATATGAGACCTGTAGTCAGCTGTGGGTAGCTATGGATTGGCTAGGTTTGATGGGGTTGGCTCAATTCCAATTCTCTTCTTACTCTAAGACCCAGGATGAAGGAGCAGCCACTATCTGAGCATTTTGTTCTCACAGTGGAGGGCAAATGCTCAAGGGGGTCAGGGCAAGGGCAGAGCCAAACCACACAAATGCCTTTAAAGCTTCTGCTTGGCCATATCTATGGCACATCTGCTCACAACCCATTGACCAAAGCAAGTCATGTGGCCAAGCTTAAGTCTACGGGGTAAGTATACTCTGCCTACAGGGACCAATGCAAGGATGGGAAGGAAACAAATCATTGGGAATAAATACTATAATCTGTCAACTGGGTTAAATTATTCAACACATGTATGGAGTACTTACCATGTATCAGTCTTTAGAAGTCTGCAGAGGGAGCTTTTTATTAGTGGGGGAGATAGATGGTTAAATAAGAAATTCTCAGGGAAAGTGATGTGATTCTTTGGGGTACTGTGACTGCTGTAAGAACAGGAAGAAGCTTCTAGAGGCAGTGATAGCTGAGCAAGTCCTGAAGGATAAGTAGGAGTTGGCCAGAGAAGAGTGGGATGGGGGAAGGAGAATCTGCAGAGAGAACAGCCTGTGCAAAGGCCAAGAATCAGGGGAGGGCATGATGTTTTCTGAAAACTGAAATACTTTAGTATGGTTAGAGTATTTAGTACTGTAGGAAGAATGGAAGGTAATGGCCCCATCTGAAAGGAGCTTTTGTGCTCCTGAAGGCTAGAGGGAATATTTTAAGAATGAGAGCAAGACAGTGGCACAATCAGATGTGCATTTTAGAAATATCATGTGAGCCTCAGTGTGGAGAGTAGATTAGACATGGACAAGGCTTGTAGCAGAAATCAACTAGGGGACACTTGCAGAAAGCATGGCGAGACACAATGAGATCCTCAACTCACATGGCACAGTGAGGATGAGAGAATTGGACAGAGTGACCAGAGGTGGAGCACATAGGACTGACTTAGATGGATGTGGTGGTTGAAGGGGAGAGAGTGTCAAAGTGCCTCCAAGTTTCTGGCTGGGGACTGCTGGAGATGCCATTCATCAACATGAACTAACACAAGAGGAGAAATGTGTTTTGTTTTGTTTTGTTTTGAGACAGAGTCCCACTCTGTCACCCAGGCTGGAGTGCAGTGGCATGATCTCAGCTCACTGCAGCCTCTGCCTCCCAGATCAAGCAGTTCTTGTACCTCAGCCTCCCAAGAAGCTGGGACTACAGGCACACATCACCATGCTCGGCTAATTTTTGTATTTTTAGTAGAGACAGGGTTTCGCCATGTTGGCCAGGCTGGTATCGAACTCCTAGCCTGAAACAATCTGCCTGCCTCGGCCTCCCAAAGTGCTGGGATTATAGGTGTGAGCCACCGCATCCAGCCAGGAGAAATATGTTAAGGAAAGAAGATGAAGTTTCCCCTCCCTCCCTTCCCCCTCCGTTTCTACCTTCCTACTGTCCTTCCTTCCCATTTAAAGTATAGCCTAAGCTGCTATAACTAAGAAATCCTAAAATATTGTAACCCACACAAAAGAGTGTATTTCTCTCTCCTGTAAGAGTCCAAATCTGTGGGGATAAGCCTACCGTTTCCAACATGCAGCTTCCGAGACTGCTCATAGCCATTTCTCAGCAGGAAGGGGCAAGAAAAGCAGAGTTCCAGGGCAAGCCACTTGTTTTGAGAGAAGTGGCCCAGACGTTACACACATCGCTTCTCCTAACATACCTTTGTCCTGAGCCTAGTCACATGGCCACACTTAGCTAAAAGAGAGGCTAGGAAATATATACTACTTGGCTGGCCAAATTAAACCTGGGAATTTCTATTACTGAAAGGAAGAAGGAGATGGTTAGTGTCTCCATCTACAGATGGATGAGTTTGAGGTGCTTGCATAACATCC
Organism: Homo sapiens; assembly: GCF_000001405.40. Lineage (NCBI taxonomy): Eukaryota > Metazoa > Chordata > Mammalia > Primates > Hominidae > Homo > Homo sapiens. Next base: position 166,966,963 of record NC_000001.11, on the reverse strand, counting down.
TGATAGACAGTGAAGTTGTATATTTGATTCTGGAGCTTAGGAAAGAGATCTAGACAGGAGATACAGATAACAAGTTGGTAAAGGCTGATAAGAGCTTTGTTAGAGGAGTTTTTTCCTGTCTAAGTGGCTGTTCCATCCCAGAAGTCTGACCCACTTGGAAACCAAGACAGTTTTCAAAGTACCTCCACATTGCAGGGTAAAGACTGACCTCTTTTAGCACTGCTTTGTCCCATTGGAACTGCGTGTAAGCCAGCTAGACAACACCTATGAACTCATTTCAGATCTGTGGAAGATGAGGCAAATGAGACAGAAAGAAAATGTTTCTAGCTTTTACCTACGCAGTGATGGCAGAGTACAAGAAAGGATGGCACACTTGGACACAGAGAAAATATGCTTGATGAATAGCAAGATTTGTGTAAACAAACACCAGAGTTATTGGCAGCAAATAATAACTATGCCATGAGCAAAAATCCACCTGGGCAGTGGCAGCACTGGTATTTACCATGGCTCTTTGGAAAAGAGTGACATATTGCTGCTTTTGAGACTCTTGGGGGGAAAACATACGAAAACACTATCATGTTTTTAAAAATTTCAAGATGGTACATCTGGTTACCCTAATCCTAAAGTGGATTGAGCAATCAGGTATATCATGGTAACAACAAGAAACTGATTCTGGCCAAATTAAGCAGGAAAGGACTTTATTGGAAAGAAGTTGATTAACTCACAGAATCATTGGCAAAGCTGGAGAATGAGGCTCAGAAAATAGGCAGATTCCAAGGCAATGTCTACTATTCTTGGTAAAGCCTTTTTATTTTAGTTTTTTAGGTTTTTTTTTAACACAAGTTTATCAAGGCGATGAATAGTTCCTATTTCGAGAAGAAAAAAAGATTCAAGCTGCATCTTCTTTGTCTTTATACTTTTAGCCTTGTCTTTAAATATTTCCCAAAATGTTTTATTCTCATCCCGACAATGCTACTAAGGGCTGAACAAGCTTTCTTTCCTTGTCTGAATTATGACCAAACTCAGAGGAGATGTTTACTCATCTCCCTATTCATCTCCTACACTTAAAAAACCTGCCCATTGGTTGTTCCTAAAAAGTATCTTAGGAAATTGGGACAACATGTTAAAACTGTAAAAACAAAAGATGAATGTCTTAAAGAATACCTAAGTTGACCAGCTTGGCCAACATGGTGAAACCCCACCTCTACTAAAAAAAAAAAAAAATTAGCTGGGCATGGTGGCACGCACCTGTAGTCCCAGCTACGTGGGAGGCTGATGCAGGAGAAACACTTGAACCCAGGAGACAGAGGTTGCAGTGAGCCAAGGTGGTGCCACTGCACTCCAGCCTGGGTGACAGAGAGAGACCCTGTCAAAAAAAAAACAAAAAAAAAAACAAAACCTAACTTGAAGGCAGGCAAAGAAAGATTTGTACAGGTTGGGCATTGCTAATCTGAAAATTTGAAATCCAAAATGCTCCAAAATATGAAACTTTACGGGTGCCTACATAATGCCAAAAGTGGAAAATTCTGTACCTGATATATTTGCTTTCTGATTGTTCAATGTACACAAACTTTGTTTCATATACAAAATTATTAAAAATATTATATAAAATTACCCTCAGGCTATGTGTATAAAGTATATATGAAACATAAATGAATTTTCTGTTTAGATTTGGGTCCCATCCCCAAGATACCTCTTCATATGTATGCAAATATTGCAAAATCCAAAAAAATCTGAAATCTGAAACACTACTGGTCCCAAGCATTTCAGATAAGGGATACTCAAACTATATTGTTATACTGAATGAAGAAAGAATCTGAAGGCCAAGGTATGCTGAGGAATGGGCAATTCTGAGGTCAAATCCTGCTTTTGGTACTCAAAGAGTTAAGGGGTGGGTGAGCATTATACAATATTTCTAAAGATGCCTGTCTCTAATGATGATAATTTTCCATGACCTTTAGCAGCAATCTTTGTTTCTCTAAAATGGGGCTATGCTTATAGATCTGCCTCCCAAAGATGCTGGCAGGAATAGCTTACAACTAGTGGGGGAAAGGAACTTGCTTTGAAAAAAATGAAAGTGCTAAAAATAAGAATAGCATTGCCTTAGAGTCTGTGTTTGTTATTCTTGCAAGAACACAGTTCATCATATATAGAATCTTTTTCTTTACATGAGAATTGGGGCAGGACCTTTTTTTGCACATGCAGCGAGACATTGTCTGCACTTGAAGCTGATCTTCCCTAGCCTGGTGACTGGTGACGAGGTACCTACACCTGGAGATTAGCTGAGATGGGGGCTGAGATGGGGGAGAAGAGCTGTCACTCTTCACTCTACCTTTAGGCAGGTTTCCTAGTTATTGGCCAGAATCCATTCTCTGAGCTGGGGACCACCTGCTAAGAAAGGCCCCTCAGACTCACAGGTTCGGTTTTCATTCATTCATTAATTCATTCCACATTTTTTAGCTTCACCTATATTCTTTGCCTTTGCTGTATACTAGGGATACAAAGTCAACCAAATCCTGGCCCCTGCCCTCAGGGACCTTATAGTTAGAAATGAACTTTATATTGAATTTCTCAAGATGAGGGACTGGTCTTTTAAATCTGTTTTGCCAGAACTTAGCGTAGTGTTTCAAAATACATTTTTGGTCGAATTAAAATTAGATAGTCAAGGGTGGTTTTCCTGGAGGTCAGGGCACCAAAACAGTTAAAAGAATAGTCTGGTGGTCTAAGAATGATGACTCCCTCCTCTGCAAAGCAGAAAACCACCTGTGGTCTTCAATTCTAGTGCTTCTTTTAGTGAGGAATTCTTAAATTTTTTTTTTTTTTTATTTTTAGATTTAGAAGGTCTAATTTTTACAGGTATACTCTCTCCAGTATAATTCTTTACCTTGCTTCACTTCTTTTCCTCTCTTGCTCTCTCTCCTAAGGTGCCTCTCTCTAGTTTTCCAGAATACCTGCTTTAGTTTATAGGGTGAAGCACAGGTTCTTTCTGCACCTCTGTAAATTTCTTTATAGGAGTTTGAAACTCAAGTCCCATATGGTGTTACCAGTGCCTGGACTTGGAGGCCCAGCCTTCCTGTTGTACCAGCGTGTGCTTGTTTACGTGTGGGCAAGACCCTTTTTCAGTGCTTCTCTATGTCTGCCTCCCAGGAACTCCTTCAGTTACATGGCCTGATATTTGCCCAGGAGGAGGGGATAACATACTTATAGTCAAAGGGTTGGAAATATTTCAGTATGGCTGGAGCATACTGGGGGCCATGTCAAGGAGAAAGTTTTATATGCCATGTTGGGGTATTTCAATTTTGTCCTGGAGGGAATGGGGAATCGATGGAGGCCTTAAAGCAGGAACTGACATGATTGATGTGTGTTTTAAAAACGGTATTCTAGAAAAATATGGAGAGTGGATTGGGTTGGAAGTAGGAAGACCATTTAGTTGGCTATTCTCAAACCCAGGTGGTGGTGAGGACCTGTGTGAAATGATGGTGAAGATCTTTGGAGCCAGTCAGTCTAGGTTCAAACCTAAACTGTCACCTGCTAACCTTGAAATGTTAGGCAAGATACATACATACATACATTATCTGAGCATCAGTCTCTTCGTCTATAAAACAGGTGTAATAACAATGCCTACTTTATAGGATTTTGAGAGAATTCATTAGGATACTACATGAAAAGTGCTTAGCACAATCCCTGACACACAGTAAGCATTTTACAGCTATTTTCTAGTAGCAGAAATAGAAACTTGATTTAAGGGAGTGACAGTGGGAATAGAGAAAGATCAAAGTTGAGAGATATTTAGACTTAGCGACCAACTGAATGTGGTCAGGGACAGAGAGGAAATTATCAAAACTAAGATTTCTATCTAGGGCAATAGATTAAGTGGTATTTTGGCAAAAGAGCAAGGGATAGAGAAAGGATGAGTTTATAAAAAAAGAGCTAGGGTGGGAAAAGAGGAGACGATGAATGAGGTTTAGACATGTTTAATTTAAAGTGTTTGTTAAATATGCAGATGAGGCTTAAGGGAGTTGGGGGTGTGAGACATAACTGGTAGTTGGAGCCTTGGGAGTAAATCAGATTTCTTAGATCAAATGCACAGCTTATCACTACAAAGAGGCTGAAAATGTTTAATTTATCTGGAATTCAAATGTATAGTTACATATTCTTATTAGCCTGTATAGACTCCAGCATAAGAAGTACTTGTTCTTGGTACCTGGTTTTTGGCATCTGACAAGTAGGAAAATTGAAAAACGAAAACAAAACTCTAAGAGGTAGGACCCCAGCTCAGGATACTCCCCTACTCCCAGGGCAGACCTCTCGGGAATGGGAGCCAGAGAGAGGGTATCTCCAGGTCAAACTTCAGTGTCCACAGGAGACTGGCAATCCTAGTCCCCACCCAAATTAGCTACCAGTTCTGAGGGGCCTGATCTATGTGGGTCCCATGAGAGGTATTTTTTGAAGTTGGATGGATGGCAGCATCACAGTTTCAGATTTGGATCAGCCATGCATGAAGGTATAGGAAACAATACCCAACCCTCAGGAGAAGGGGCTGGTATTAGGGCCCCAGACAAGCAGGCCAGAGTTCAGGGCAAGGGTTCTCAGACCCAGTGGAGCAACTGGATTGCAAATCAGGATACCAAGGTGGAAAAACAGTCTCTAAATAAGGTAAACACAGGTTGAGAGAAAGAGATGCTGCCCAGTTGTATAGGACACCTAGACACCAGGGATCCAGGGTTAGGGCCAGAAGAGCAATTCTAGACCCTACCCTCCAGTGGGAATGGGGGTCCCGATAAACTTGGTCAGGGCAGTTTGGGGACTGGATGGCATTCATCTAACAGTTTGAAACCTGTAGTGTGGAAGCAGGGATTGGCATTTTTACTTTTATCTCCAACACTTCACTCTGTGGTTCTCAAAGATCCAATAAACTCACATTTACTTGGAATTCTAGTCCTGTCTTCTCCAGATCTACCTTTAGCTTAGAGTCCCATTGTGCCTGTACATGTATACATGTGTATGCATGTGTGCATACACGTGCAGGGTTACTCTCTACTTCTGAGTTCCAGGAGGTGCATAAGTGATGTGCAGTGAGGAGCATACCCAGGCACTGTCACTATTGAACTCCTAATGATGTATTCTAGCATTCTTGTGCAGTTTTTGCCCTGTACACACTCGGCATCTGACACCTTGATCTCTGTACTTGCGTAGCTCTAGGTTTGTAGCTTCACAGAAGTCATCAGACTGCTCTTGATAGCCTCAGCAACATTAGCAACTACATTTATTGAATGCTCACTGTATACCAGGTATTATTCTAAATACTTAGGATACAATCTTACTTAACCCTCAAACAACTCCATAAGGTAGTTACTATTATTCTGGTTTTGCCAGCGAGGAAACTGAAACTCATCAGAGTTGAGTAGTTTGCTTGAGGTCATGTAGAACCTGGATTCTTACTTAGGACTGACTGCAAAATCCATGCCTTTAAGTATCATGCTATAAAAAGGCAGATGTTTCTGAGAATGTATTTTTTATTTTTATTTTTTTGGAGCATGAGTTTATGTTTATGTCATAGAAGCTGAGAATTGACCAACCTCTATTAATAATTGATTAAGAGAGTCCAGTGGCTTGCTCAAGTGGCTAATCTCATTAACAGAGAACAGAGCTTGGAAGGAGGCTATTCTTAGTAATTATCTAATGAACAAAACCCCAAACTTCCTCTCTAAAAAAATAAATAAATCTCACTACACTTTTGTAGAGCACCCACCTGGGTGATGAAATGGTCTGTACACCAAACCACTGCAACACACAATTTACCCATGTAACAGACCTGCACATGTACTCCTTGAACCTAAAACAAAAGTTGGAAAGAAGAAAAAAAGAAAGGCTAAGAAATGTGATTTCCCAAGCAGTGCCAGAATAGCAGTGGAGCAGAAAAGGGGTGTGGTCAAGCACACAGCCTTGTATGGGAATGGTGCCTGTGAGTGGTTATCCAGCCTCAACCACTGCTAATTGAAGTCATTTCACCTCTCTTGTCCCATTCTTATTACCTGAAAAATTGAGGTGTAACTATTTGAAGAATAATTACAAGGTTAAAAAATTAATGCGCTAGAATTTAAGGAGAAACTATAAAGAAATTTATTTTCCTAATCTAGCTTCATAAGTGAGGGAGAATGGAATTAGCCACATCAACATTTAGTGGTGGTGAAGGGAAGCATGGGAACTAGGGTTCTTCAATGAGCTTCCAGATGGAATTGTTTGCCTTTTGATGGGGCTGATCTACATAATCTGGATGTAATCAAGCCTGGTGGTGATGTATGGTTATCAAGATTCAGGATGGGAGGTGAGGGGAAAGTTTGGCAAGGTGAGGGAGAATTAGCATTTGAGACCTACTCTTTACCGGTCACAGTGCTCTTCTACTGAGTCTCCTCTCTGAAGGTGCCCAATGAAAGAATGTTTGTTAACAACTCTGAGAGTAAGCATTATGGTGCTCATTCTATAGGTGAGGAAAATGAGTCTCAGATTGCTTAAGAAACCATCATTAGTGTATGGTCAGATGAGATTCAAAGCCATTCCTATTTGATGCCAACACTATTTTACTACACTTCTGACTCATTTAACTAGTTTCATCTGCAAAGTCCTAGAAATTCCCATATTAATAGCCATTCACTTGCTCATACATTTCTTCATTTATTCTGTAGGTAGCTATTGAGCACAGGGTAGGTCCAAAATGCTTTGAGATTTGATAAATCTCAAATACTCTGTTGTATTCGCTTCCAGATGTTACAGAATGCAGAAACCCTTTTCCCCAACAGGAATTAGGACCTACTTTTTCATTGTTCCTTTCATTGAATAGAGACATTGGTCTGGATGTCAGAAGATATGAGTACAAACATGTATCTTGCCCTTGTCAAGGGTCCTTCAGTAAAGAGGCATATTCATAAATAAGTTTATGCTTTAGCTGTGGGAGTGAATTGGCTTTGCAGGATGTCATTGTGAACACTGGCACTAATAAAGGACAGGACTCCATGGAAAGTAGTCCTTTTTTGCATGTCTCTGCCCCAAGCTACTTGAAGCTGACTTAGCAGTCTCCTGGATTCAATTTGGAACTTCTTTATCATATCTTCATATTCGTTTTTTCTGCCTCTCATCATATTTCTATTTCTGCTTCTAACCTCACATCAAGCTAGAAACTCTTGACTCTCCCATTCAACTGAGAAAGTTATGTTCCCTTTGCTTGGAATTTCTAGATCTTATCATTGAGTTCATGTGGGACCTTTGCTTCTCAAACACTCCCCTCGTCTCTCATTCACTGAAATTTCTCATTCTTTCTTGGTCACCAAGCATCAGGTTGGATCTTTTTACCACTTAAACTTCTCATCTGCTTTTTAGCCCCCACTTTTTTTCCTTCTTTTGATTATCCTTCAAAGCTTTGAACTTAGTCTACTGCATTTGATCTGAAATCCTCCATTTCTCTCAAAGACTTATTTTCCTTTTCATCTCTGTCCCCTTTGCTGGGTCACCACTGGAAGGGAAGTCACTTCCTCCTGAAGTGATACTTCCTGGCTTCATTGTCATTATTTATCAAATATTTGTTGAGTACCTATGGGCTTCACAAGCCAGGGCAGCAAGGGAAGATACCTTCCACACCTGACGAGTCTGACAGGCCTGACAGGCATGAAAAGAAGTACTCGGAAGACTGTGAGAGTAAATGTTTAGAAGAAAATGCTGGGTGTACTGATAGCACAAAGGAGGAAGTGATAAACTTATTGGTCAGAGAAGGCTTTACAAGAAGCCCTTGAACTGGGTTTTAAAAGATGCAAAAAGTTGCCCAAGCAAAGAAGTGAGGAAAAAGCATCCCAGAAACAGGAGACATCATGTGCAAAGACCTGGAGGCATGAAACAGGATATCCCACTGGGGAAGCTATTAGTTGTTTGATATTCTTGGAGCTTGGTGCTCAAAGAGAGGTGTTTCAAGAGGTGAGAGGTGAGGCTGAGGCGGTAAGAGGAACTAGATGACGGAGTACCTTGCCAAGGACTTTGGGTTTTATCCTGAGGGCTATGGAGGATGAGTGAAGGGTCTTAAGAAAGAGAGCCATAACAATCAGTTTAGAAAGATCATCTGAACTGTAGCAAGAAGAGTGTACTGGATGTTGACAGATTAAAGGCAGGGAGACCAAACAAAAGATTATTGTAATATTTTGAGGAGGAAATGAAGAGAGTCTAAGGAAAGGCAATAGTAATGGGGTTAAAGAGGAGGGAAGAAATATTAAAGATGTTAAGAGATTAAGTTGATGTGACTTAATGCGTGACTGGATATAGGGAGTGAGGTTGTATTGGTCCGCTCTCACACTGCTATAAAGAACTGTCTGAGACTGGGTAATTTGTGAAGAAAGGAGGTTTAATTGACTCACAGTTCCACAGGTTTAACAGGAGGCATGACTGAGAAGACTCAGGAAACTTACAATCATGGTGGAAGGCAAAGGGGAAACAAGCACCTTCTTCACATGGCAGCAGGAGAGAAAGAGAGTGAAGGGGGAAGTACCACACACTTTTAAACCATCAGATCTCGTGAGAACTCACTCCCTACCACGAGAACAGCACAGGGGAAACCCACCCCCATAATCCAGTGACCTCCCATCAGGCCACTCTTCCAATTTGATGTGAGATTTGGGCAGGGACACAAATCCAAACTGTATTAGAGGGCATATTTCTGCACAAAGCAACCAGATGGATATTAATGCCATTAATTATAATTGTGAAAATGAGGTTGAGGGGACACAAGTTAGGGAAGTGAAATGGAAAGGTGTGATCATGTGATGGAAGGTGAGGTCCAGGATATGGACACTGTTCGGACATGTTTATTCTGTTTTGCAGCCATGGTCGAAGGCCTTCAGGTCACAGTGCCCGACAAGAAGAAGGTGGCCATGCTCTTCCAGCCCACTGTGCTTCGCTGCCACTTCTCAACATCCTCCCATCAGCCTGCAGTTGTGCAGTGGAAGTTCAAGTCCTACTGCCAGGATCGCATGGGAGAATCCTTGGGCATGTCCTCTACCCGGGCCCAATCTCTCAGCAAGAGAAACCTGGAATGGGACCCCTACTTGGATTGTTTGGACAGCAGGAGGACTGTTCGAGTAGTAGCTTCAAAACAGGGCTCGACTGTCACCCTGGGAGATTTCTACAGGGGCAGAGAGATCACGATTGTTCATGGTAATAATGCCCCTATTTTGAATCTAGGAAATGGGAGGGAGGTTAGTTTCATTCTTCCCTTCCCTTATGTCAATATGGTGATATTCTAGCCTCTCACCCTTTCAGACCCTCAAGACTTTTATTTTATTGGAAATGGGAGCATCAAGAGACCTATCATTGCCCTAACGGGATGGTGAGGGGGAAAAGGGTGGATCGTGTAAAATCTCCTGAAGACATACAGATGAACTTTGGAAAGAGTCTTTCCAGAGCCCAGCATCAAGCCTCAGGAGCTTGTTTTTAGAGCTGAATTGACACGGGTTTTAGGGGAAAAACTTCTTCAGCCAAACATCCTATACCTTGACATCAGCCTTTAGGGTCCTTTCCCAAATGTGGAAAGCAGACTTTTTTGCTGGGAGAAGGGACGTATGCATACAAATAACAGAGCCAGGTAGATGCTTGGCCCAAGCCCCAGGTGGCTTTGCATCAATTCCACCCTTTCTCTTGCTCTCTAAAGCTCTGGACCTCAAAAGGTCCCAAGAGTCCGATATGATCTATTCGATTATTTGAATTTTGAAGAACTCCTGTGATTTTAGCTTATTTCCATGAGTTCAGAATAATTCTGGCATTTTCCTGGCTCTTAGGGGCCTCTGCAGGCCTGGTTCAAAGCCATCTCCTACTCCTGAAACTGCACTAGAACTAGACTGGTTTCTGACAGGCTCTAATTGTCCTTCCTTAGAGATGCTAGTTTCTGTTATGGTTCTGTTGGTCTTGTTTGTTTGTTTTAAGCAAAGCACACATCTTTCAACCACCATCCAGATAAAGAAAGAAAATACTGCAGATACCCCAGAAGGTTTCTCCCTTCCCAACCCCCATTGTTTAGTGTTTTTCTTTCAGAGGACAGAGTTTTAGGACTGAGTCCTTCTTTTTGTGATAACAGATGCAGATCTTCAAATTGGAAAGCTTATGTGGGGAGACAGCGGACTCTATTACTGTATTATCACCACCCCAGATGACCTGGAGGGGAAAAATGAGGACTCAGTGGAACTGCTGGTGTTGGGTAAGTGAAAACAACAGGTGACATTTTCATCTTAGACCACTTGCACTTGCACTGTATCCTATCCCTCTTCTCACTTCTCCCCTGTGTGCATTAGCAGGTTGCATACACAGTCTTATCTTTCATGCACACTCCCTTTTAGAATATGCTCTTTATGAGCAGTAGCTGTACTTATTATGTCTTACTTCTTGAAAGCTATGACCCCCCCGCCCCCACCTTTTATCATTGTCCTGAATATTTCTTCTGCTTTCTTCATTTTTTTCTCTCCTTTCTACTTTCACCTTTAACCTTGATTTCTCTCTTTGTCTTGTTATATGCTAATTTTGAAGAAAATGCTAGAGGCCTTTGAAGCAAGGTAGAGATTACACAGATAAGAATTCACTGATGTGTCAGAACCTCTGGAGACATCAGGAATCTTTTCCCACTGGATTATCTCCACTTAAAACAATCATAAGAAAAGACAGCTGTAAACTAGAGAGTTTGGTAATAAAAGATGCCCAATAAAAAGAGCTGCTTGGGAGATGTACTAGTGTTTAATTGGAAGCCAGATATCTTGAAACCTGAAAGTGTCCAAGTTATGCTCAAAGCAAATACATCTAATCCTTATTAATATTAATCTCCTCATAAATGAAAACTCATTATTTTTGGCTACTTTCCTTTTTTGTGGATTGGAGGAATGTCAGTGGGAGCTGACCTCTGTATGAAACTGAAAATTGAGCACATATTTTGTGCTCTATTAATGTTGTTTGAACAAGAAAATTAGAACATACAGAAATAAGAAAAGAAACTGCATAATTGTAGGGAAAAAGGTAGTTCAGGATATACACCTAAAGCCATTTTCAAAAGAAATTACATTTTTATAGCTTCCAAGAAACCAGGTGATAGCAATTTGGAGTAATTTGTAAGGGTGCCTCCTATTAAAAGTAAATGAGGTTGAAGGTAGATTTGTACCCTATATAAAAATTGTAGAGAAACTCAATCCCTAGGGAGAAAGTGGCAGTTGTTATTTAGGATTTTTAGTTTTAGTCTTTATCATGATTGTGTGACTTTGGCAAAACAACTATTCTGATGCCTTAGCATTATGTTTTGTTATTGTTTTATTTTTAAAAATTATTTTATTTGATTTTATTTTTGAGACAGAGTCTCACTCTGTCGCCCAGGATGGATTGCAGTGGCTCAATCTCAGCTCATTGCAACCTCTGCCTCTCAGGTTCAAGTGACTCTCGTGCCTCCAAGTAGCTGGGACTACAGGCGTGTACCACCATGCCCTGATAAGTTTTTGTATTTTTTAGTAGAGACAGGGTTTTGCTATGTTGGCCAGGCTGGTATCCAACTCCTGTCCTCAAGTGATCTGCCCACCCTGGCCTCCCAAAAGTGCTGGGATTACAGGTGTGAGCCACCTCGCCCACCCAGCCTCATAATATTTTGTAAATTGGATTAAGGTGATAATGGTCTGCCTTATTAGAAGGTTGACTTAATTCAAACAAAGTCTTTGGGTCCAATATATAAAGTGTAACTTGTGACTTGTAAAAGAATGGAAATATGACTGATATTCAGCAGGAAATGAAAAAGTAAAAGGCTTATATTGACATTGTAAAGAACATAGGGAGATCAGATCTGGGATCTGCTGTGACTCTATAAATCAAAAAGGAATAAAAAGACACATTTTTGCTTAATCACAACCCTAATAGCCAAGTTTGAAGGAACAAGTGGCTCATTGAGCCCACAATTAGCTAATTGTGAACATAGTTATTTGGCCAGGGCAGCCATTTGCAGAGAAGTAGTTGCCTGTGCAGGAAAAGGAGGCCAGGTAAAAACCACTTTAAATAATTTGGTCCCAGTTGTTCTGCAAACATGGGGAAATAAATAGAGTGAAAGCTTTGTCATCTGAGGATGTGTTGAAGTATATGAAGGGCATTCCTCTGGATCAAAACATGCAAAGCAACTTGGGCAAAAATGCTATTCTCAAGGAAAAAAAGGGCCAGCAGCAGAGAGGTGAGTAAAACAGAAGTTCAGATGACAGTAGTCGCCAATTATGGGAGGAAAGATGAAGAAAAAAAATCAGTATTACTCTAAAGGAATCATAAAGGAAAACTTACCAAGGCTGCAAATCCAAACTCGTTGCAGTAGAAGCAGCCTGTCTATGAAACAGAGACATGCTAGGGCTCTTGGTAGGGAAGAAACACATCATTCTGTTTTGTTCAACATTAGAGATGTTCAAAACATGATAAATTTGTCATGGAAACTTTTTAGGGCAACACTAGCTGTGTTACTTATTTAAAGGGGTTAGTTAGAAATCTACAAAAATTTTTCTGAGTCCATAAAGCACTGTATTTACTTTCCAAATACAAAATTCTGAGTCTTTTTTGTCTTCACATCCCTTTATACAATATTTCAAAATGCCATCACAGTTGTAAAATTTCTTATTTTGGGATTATTTCATCCTGCTGGCCTATTTGTTAAGTATTCTTTTTATGTGAGACCAGGAGAGCAAGCTGATTTCTGAGTTTATTTCTAAGGAGATGAAGACCTCTGTGAGAAGATAACTGGGACCCACAGTTTGCTAATTATAATGTTCATGAACCACTGGCTCAGTCATTGAATTTTATATGAGGAATGATTGGAGGATTTGGTCTAGCAAAAGTGGACTTGGAACAGTGAGCATGAGAAGTGTCTCCAAATATTTGAAGTGAAATTATATAGAAGAGAGAATGGAAACATACTCTGTCTGGCTAGATAAAATGGAATCAGGAGTGGAAGTAACAAAGGGAGGGAGTCTATCTCACTGTAAAAGAAGAGCTGGAGACATCTAACATTAACAACTGGAGACATCTAAAGATGGAATAAGTATTCTCAGAAATGAGTTCTATGTCCCTGGAGGTACTTATGCACAGGAAAAGGTATTCAGTTAAGTTACTTTTGAGCTTTATTTCTATTGTAAAGTTCTTGGTTTAAAAAGTAGATGAACATGATTGATGTGACTCCCTTGATGAATAAGAAAATGATCTCCCAGGAAATCAATCCTCATGACAGAGAAAAACAAAGTAACAGATTGGTTACAAGAACATGCAGGGTGATTGATGTTCATTCACAAGGAACCCAGAAGAATAAACTGTGGTCTTTTGCAGTAGGTCAGGGCTAAGAGGACTAATCCCTCAAGAGTGAAGAAAAAAACTATTGATGGTGGCTTGAAAGAGTCAACTGCTGTAGCTTTTCTTGGAGATGATCACAAAATGGGGAGCAGAAAACAGGTTGAAATTACAGAAGATTAATTAGTAAGAAAAGATGGGTTAAAGATGTAAATTAGAGGCAAAGTTAAGAAGAATTTGGTTTCTTCATTATACTCAGAAAGGTAAGGATGGAAAAGTTGATGGAGCAAGATTGTGAAGTATCTTATATGCAAGACTAAGAAGTTTGGACTAGATTCTGAAGACTTAGGAGAACCAGTGAAGAAATCTTAATAGAGGAATCGGATTAGATCTTAGGGTCAGAACAATTATTAGCAAGCAGGGTAGGTGAAGTTCCTGTTGACCCACTTTGGTCAGTTGTCCCCTGCTTAGCCTTTTGAGACCAGGGGCTCTTCATAGTTACTTTATCAAGACACAGAGAAGAATTAATTCTCCAAAGTAAATTAAGACACTGTTACATAAAAGAAGAATAGATGTGGGATGCCAAAAAAACAATATGTGTCTACCAGAGGATGCCATTACTACATCTAGCACTAATACTAATGTACACTGAAAATAAGTTGTAGTTTATAAAATTGTTCTGTAATAATCTTGTAGGAGGGCAGGTATTATTTTCCAAATGAAAAAAGTGATGTCTGTGTTTTATGCCTAATATCCTAGTTAAAAAAGTGTCATCGATCAAACTCAAGTGTTTTGATTCCTAGCCTTATCTCTTTCCACAATACCACATGACCTGTCTGTATGAAGAAGCTATAGAATAAGCTATGTTAAAAAAAAAATGTGGTTACTGCTTGAGGCCGTGGGTAATGTTTGTTACTTGTTCCAGGTTTGCTTCAGTATTTCACTTTATTTCTTAGTCAAACTGCCCACAACCATTGACCGAAGCTCTAACTTCAAAGGCATAGTTGTTATTGTCTAGATTGCATTCCTTCCCACTGAGCATGACTCACCCCTCCTTCCACCCTATACATCTGACCATCCACAAATCGCTATGGATGGCTCTTTCAGTGGTTTCAGAAATATCCAAAGATATGTGATTCACAGAAATGGGAGGACAACCACTGATTCAACATTAAACACAAAAACTATACTGAACACCCTTTAATGTCTTTTTGATGATTCAGAAGGTAAAGTCATTGTGAAGATGGAAATGCATAGTGTTTTGGTGCTTTAAGATGACAGTGACAGGTATCTTAGAAATATTTAGACAGTCATTTGGGATCATAGGGCCATACCAGCAGTCACAGAAGATGGGAGTGTCTAGAAATCTGCCATCCAAGATTAGAAATTTGTCTAGGATCCATGGTAAGGACAGGCTGTTTATAATCTGGAACCACGCCACTGTTTGGACAGGAATAAAGTTCCCTGGGGCATCTCCAGCTGGCAGGCAAAGGACTTCACCATTTCAGGAAGGCTCAAACAGGGAAGTTATTTTAAAATCTAAAAGCAGCTCTCCTTGTTCTTATGTCTTTCGATGTACAATCTGAGGGCTTGACCCCTTCTTTCTGATGTCCTATGTGGTAGCTTATTTTTTAAAGGCCTTTAATTAGAAAAAGGGGAAAAAGGCCTGGGAGGAAATGTGACTGGATGAACACCCCTGCCTATGGGCCAAGAATAGAATAAGAGGATATGAGGGAAGGGGTGTTTAGATTCATCCTAAGGAAGACATTCCTAATGGTAAATAACAATTTTTGGAAACTATGGATGGTTGAGGGAAATTATAAGAAACTCCTCTGATGAACTTTTAATATGGAACAGGTTCTCTTGTCGGGGATATTACGATAAACAAGATGGTTTTTTGGAATACTTTCTATGATTCTGGCTTTATTTAAAAGATCCATAGATGGCAGAATTAATTCCCTGTTGAGGGTGATACCTCAAATACTGCTGTTTTGTGTCATTTTAATATTGTTTCTGTTTTAGAAAAAAAGATACATGCTTATTGTAAAAATTTCAAACAAAACAGAAAAGTACAAAAGAAAGTATCTCCTAAAGATCTCACTATCCAAAGGTAACTGCTGTATTTTTCAGAACTCTTTTATTGTAAGGGATAGAGGCTCAAACTGGCTTAGGGGAACTCTGGTAACAGATAATTTGATTTACGTAACAGATAAATCCGGGGGTATTCCTAGCTTCAAGCATGGCTAAGTCCTGGTTTTCAGATTATGTGTTAAAGAATCTCTGTCTCCTCATCTCCATCTCCTGGCTCTGCACTCTCTGTGTTAGCATCATTTCCAGGCAGGATCTCTCTGCATGGGGCAGAGATGATGGCCCCCAGCAGATCCACCCTTCCATAGTCTTTAGCACCTTCCATCTCAAGAGGATAAAGTGCCTCTTTCCCCATAGTTTCAGTAAAAGTCCTGTTGTTGGGGGTGGCCTGTGTGTGAGAGGACTGTAGTATACCACCCAACCCCAACTGAACCTATGAACTGAAGGGAAAAGTGAAAAAGAGTAACTTCCTAAAGGAAACTCTGGCAATTTGTTTCCAAATGAAGAAAACAATGTCAGGCAGGCAAATAACAAACATGAACATTTTGGGGAATTCATCCATTTGTGCTTCTTTATGGTCCAAATGCAATGCTAATCCAGGAGGCCAGAAATAGGTATGCTCCCAGCAGGTCCTTGTGAGTAAGGCGCTCATTTGGGATTGATTCTTCCCCATGAATGTAAGCCCACAGAATTGCCTTTGTTTTCCTGTCACGCTCCTATTTTTTTCTTCTATCTCCTCCTGTGATTTAACCAGAAGTACAGTTATATTACATAGATAAGTGGTAAAGGAATGGGTAGGCGTGTGTGTGTGTGTGTGTGTGTGTGTGTGTGTATTTTAGATCAAATTATTCACAATACTGTGCCTGAAATTGTTATTCTGCTTTAAAATAAACTTCTCCATCCACTAGTATTAAAAAGCCATATAGTATAAAATCAGTGAATTCTTGGGAGGGGACGTCTCAGAATTTGCGATTGACTTTAGGGATGTTTAATGGGAGCATGTGTCTTAAGGCTATGCAGAAATGCCCCCACACCTACCCCTGTGTTACTGCTGCCTCAGTTTGAATCCTGTCCACCCCCTACCCCTGTGACTTTAGTTCAGTCTCTTCAGAAAGGCTACTTGTTGCCAATGTTTCCCCTCTCTCCTTCTCCTTCTCTTTGCCAGCCCCAGCCTGGTGCCGCTAACCAAGGAGATTTGACGATTAAAAGGGCCTCAGCTCCCAGAGTTCCCATGGCAACAGCCTCCTTGGAGGTCTTTGTTGCCTGCTAAAACTTTGATCTCTGAGAGTGGCTGCTGCTGTTTCTTTCTAAGATTTACAAACAGAGGAAGAGGGAAAAAGAATGAGGGAGAAGGAAGAAAAAGTTTACTCCTGGCAGAAGGGAGAAAAGGAATTAATTACAGAGCCACACTTTCGCCATAAATTTGGAGGCTACTTCTTTGGAACATCTTTTGACTTGAGCTGTACCTACATTTTCATTTGTAAACTCAATTATGCATCAGATATGCTTCAGATTATGCGTCAGTAGAGTTGATTCCCCAAAGAAAGCAGAATCATCCTTTCTATCATCAGCAGACACCTGTGCCTTCAGGTTTCCAGAACAGCTGAAATAACTCCATAGTTTTCCATGAGAGACAGAAAACAAATGAGGAGTGGCTTTTCAGGCCTCAGCCCCACTGCCTTTTCTCCCAGCACTCTCTCCTAGCTTTGGCCTGCTCTGCCCTGAGCTTACCTAGATGCCTCTGCTGGTCTTGTTTTTAAAAAGAACCAGAAAAAAAATGCATTGAAGGGATGGAGGAGAGGGAAGAGCCAGAAAAGTTAGCCAAGTGTCAGCTAGAATCTGATTCTGGTTAATGACTGCCAATAACATTCATTCTACTGAATGAAGAGTGGAGTAGGGCTTGTGGTTCCTTCAAAGATGTGGGATCATGCCTTTCATTCTTTGCAAGAAGCTTCCTTTGGCCTTCAGACCTTTCTACTCCATAATCTCAACCTTGCTCTTTGATAGGCACCATGGAGTGGAGTCAGTTTTGCTTCAAGTATGATTTGTATTTAAATTATGATTTTAAAAAATGATTATTTTTTGCATATTATATCCCTAGCACAGTGAGGATACAAAATAAAGAAATGACAGTGTCTTGTCTCTATAAAAATTACTGTCTTTTGGTGAAGATAAAAGATATATTTCTGAAGCAGTTAGAGAACAATACAAGAAGATATTAAAGCTGTATTTGGATATTAAATATGTAGGCCATTGATTCTCAAGAAGGGGCAATTGTTGCCTTTCCAGGAGATATTTGGCAATGTTTGGAGATAGTTTTTGGTTGTCACAACTTGTGGGATGCTGTGGCATCTAGTGGGTAGAGACTAGGGAGGCTGCTAAGCATTCTACAATATGCAAGGCAGCTCTCCCATTCCCCAAAGGAATTATCTGGCTCCAGATAGAAATAGTGCTGAGGCTGTGAAACTGATCTTGACCAAAGGTCTCTCTGGATATTGGATAAAGTCCACTGTGAACAGCAGAGGCTTCAGGGTCAGACAGCCCTGGACTCAGTGCAGCAATATGAACTTGGACAAGTCAACGTCTATGAGCATGGGTTTCCTTAGCTGAATAAATGGGGAGGGGTAATAAAATTTACACGGAAGACCTATTGTGAAGATTAAATGCACAAAGAACTTAGTAAATGTTAGCTTCCTTCTCCCACCCCTTACCACTCCCCACACCACATCGCCAGCGTTTCATCTCTAATCTGAGGGAACCCTCTTTAGGGAATTCTACATTTGGAGACTCCTGCTAAAGAGCTGATTTTCCTTTAGCCCATTCCACGGGCAGAGGCTTTAATGGCCATCTGTGAATTGGCAATCCTATTGCTAATAGATTCACATTTTCTCAATGACATCTGTACTGTATTTTGCCAGTGGTGACCCTAATCAGCCCAGTGGAAATCTTCCTGCTAGTGGGTTTGAAAGCATTCTGTCCCAGCATGCTATCTTTTGGTTGCTGTTGGAAGCCCCCATTTCTCAGTGGATGACCCTTAGTTAATTGCAGGGTGTTTACTGCCTAACCTAAATACAAGGATTAGGTCACACAGGCCAGGCCATTTGATGAAGTCTGGAGGGATCTGAAGAACACTGGACTTGGATTAGGATCTGGGTGAGCTTGGGAAGACTTTAGATAGGGTGACTTTACAACTTATCATCCAAACTAGGATACTCTTGAGAGTGAAAAGGGGGGACTTTTAATAATTTCTGGCAAGACAACAGGCATAAACCGGAACTGTCTAGGCCAACTGGTATGATGGTCACCCATCTTTAGCTGCTGACCACCTTGAAGGGTCTCCCATAGATTGAAGAGAACAGAAGATCCAGAGGGTTGGGGGGGAAATTAGTGTCGGCTCACCTCCACCTGCTGAACCCTGCTGCTATCTGGCATTTCGTTCCTGGGGACCTATGTATGTGCACGTACATCTCCATTCATCTAGGTACCTGAATCGAGCAGAGGGGCCCAGCAAAGAGGTGGGGGTTTGACGTAATAGTTGTTTTCTGAAAAAATTGCCCTAAGATTTTTGAACCATAAATGACGTCGTTCGCGGCCGTTCACTGCCCTGTGTTAAGAGAACAAATGCGGTCTTGCAGGCGCTATTTCCCCTTCCCTAAGCCCCCAGCCACCCCGGTCGCGCCCGCCGCCCCCTCCTCGCAGCCTTTATTCCGCCTCACTATTTTTGCTTCACTTGTTGCTCATCACTGTGGGAGGAAACTCGGCCTTCAATTAGCGCGCATTCCTGGCGGCCCGCGGTTACCGTGGTTACCCCGGGCAGGAGCCGGAGCAGCTGGGTCAGCCGCGCGCTGCATTGTAGTCGGGTGGACCCGCGCCGGCCCGAGCGGGGGAGGAAACGGGGGCTGGGGGCAGGCGCGAGAGTGGGTGGCACCGAGAAATTGGCTCAGCCCCTGGAAAGAAAGAATGGCAGCTCTTGAAAGCCGGGCAGGAGACAGTTGTCCCATTTTTCTCCAAAGCCAGCTGCCGCTATTCAGGCGTGCAGGCTTGCGTTCACACGGGGGCTGTGCCTCCGACTTTGCTGAATTGGCTTCCCATGAGAGGGTCTGGGAAAGGCCCCATGCCAACCCCTTCACACTAAGGGGGCTGGCCACGGAGGAAAGGGCAGGAACTCTGACAGTTTGAGACCTACCAAGTGTGTGCCCCTCTGTGTCTGCCTGAGACCGCCAGGGCCTTTTTTGGTTAAAGAAAGTGGCCATTCTTGCTATCTTTGTATCTGTGGCAGTCTGATGGATGGAGCACAGTGACTTCAAGACACCACACTGGGCTCCAAGAAACTCACTTTCCCCGTTCCATGACATCCCACGCTCCTCCACGGCATTTTAAAGTCAATCTAGCAGTCTTCTGCATTTCACCTCAGGCCAAGTCGACCATGTTATATTTCTAATAATATTTTGTATTTATTCGCTCTCTGGGGGTGGAGGTTGAATCACTATAGCACTTTGTGAAGTCAGATTACTTTGCAATCATTTTTGTTGTTTATTAGTTTGTAGCAGCATGGTGAATGCCTTTCAATTAGCCCATACTGTGTTATGATGTATTCAGTGATCATTTTTTCCGGTTGCAACTTTAAAAGGTGCTGAAAATTTCAGTTATCTCCAACATTTCCTACATCCAAAAATTGTATTTTAATTACATAAGTAGAGCAGTAGTGCCAAAAACATGAACACATTTCAGGGTCATTCACTACAAATATTAGGAGACTAGAAGGCAGTTGGTGCACATTTCTAGATGAAAGATAAGCAAAGTTTTGGGGTGGTGAGATATTGGGAAAAAAACTGGAATTGGGGTGAGTACACCTGGTTGTATTCTTGGCTTGATCATTAGTGAATTGTGTGACTTGGGGTAAGATTCTTAACCTCTCAGAGCCTCAGATCCCTGAAACATAGGGTAGAATATGGACTAGATGACCTCTAAGATCCTTTCTAGTTATAAAATCTGATTCTAGGATTCTGTGGGAATAGAAGTCAGCTCCTTAGGCCAAGCTTATAACTACTGCCAAAAACAAAAACAAAAAACAAAAAACCAACCTCAAAGCATTTATTAACAGTTAATTGTAGATGGTCCAATACTAGTTATTTTATGGATAGAATTCGGTTTCAGAATTATTCTCCTTTAAGACTATAATTTAAAGTGAACTAAAATGTAAAGGACACAGAAAGAAAAAGTAAACATATGAAATGCTTAAGAACATAGTTTATAAATATATATAAAAGAAAAGGGGGCTATATCCACATTTGTGATAGTCATAAACTATATTTATTAAATGCATGGTTACCATGGGAATATAGAATAAAAACTGGGATGTGTGTGCCCTTGGGAAATTTCCAATCTATTTGGGATTCCAAATAGCCATAGAAACAACTTAACACTTAAAAGCATAGCCATAGAAACATCTTTACATTTAAAAGGGCCAGAGAAAGGCATCTGTTCTCCTCAAAGACATAGGAGTGAAACATTTTGGAGGGTTAGGAGATGACAGAACAGGGGGTGGATACAGTACATCCCTGAAAATGGATCTAGGGCATCTGAGGAAAGCTTGAAAGTGGGATGAAGCTGAGATGTGCATTAAACATAAGGGAGAAGAGGGGAACCACACGGAGCTGGGGAAGAAAGGCATTCCTCACTGTCCTAAACAGAAAGTTCATCTGTATAGTGTGTTGGCAAACCCTAGAAGGACTCCAACTTAATAAGTTTAAAGAAATGGAGGTAACTCTGCTGTCAGCAGTGGTGTCATAAAGATAAAGGAAATGTTATACTTCCTTTTCCTAAGTTCCAATGCATTAAACAATGTGTTATCAAGTGATTGAGTAAGCAGGTTCTGAAAACAGGTTTGTCCTAAATCCTGAACTTCTTTACCTTCCATTGTAACTTTGAAGGCTTGGAAATGATTAGAGCTTGGATTTAAGTTTTAAGAGTAGAGACCAAAACAGTCTTTTTGGCTGAAAGTTTTATGTGTTATTTTATCTCTGTAATGACTTCCTCAAAAATACCCTAGGATAACTTCAAAAGTGGCAGTGGCAGAAAACAACTGAAATGGGGAATTTTATAGGTAAGATAGGTAAGTTATTTTATTCACAATGCATATTTCTACCCTGATCATTTAATCCAAAGCGTGTGAATGTGTTTAGCTCTAGAGTTTGTGACAGTATGATATGAAACTGGCACTTGTGTGTGTGCATGTACAAAGTATTAGTATGCCTGATTCGTTTGGTCTATTCAACTTTTTGGTGTGGGATAGGGTGGTGCTTTTGTCTCCTTAGATAGCAAGATGGCATTTGGGGATATTCCAATGACTGGAGAATGCTCCTGGCATTCTTCCCTGAGTTCAGAAGTGTTAAACATTGTGCAGTATATAGAATAATGCTGCATGAATAAATGAATAGTTCTTTCATATTTTCATTAAAAGCCTACTTCCACCTGAGGTTGATAAAGTCACTATAATGCGCAGCAAATCATAAGTCCAGCTAGAAACCCTGCATATTGAACAAGGGGATTTGCTATTGGAAACACTTCAAGTTCCTGATGGGTGGGTGAGGTGCCTCCTCACGCTGGGCTTCTGGAGATGCCAAGCGTAGAGCATAGTCCCTGCTCTGGAGGGGTTTCCATCTTGGTAGTGGAGGCACTCGTAAAAGTAAAGGCACATTGCAGCCACGAGATAACTGCTTTAGTGAAGGCATGTGCAGTGGTCCTAGGGAGCATGGAGGAGGAAGCACCTTCTTAGTGCAGCATTCTTACAGGGCTGTGTCAGAACATATCTCAGTCTTGTGGTCTTTGTGGTAAGGAATTGAACAAAGCAACTGAAATGCTTATCTGAGCAAAGAAAGTAAATCAAGTTTGCTTTGAGGGGGCTAACCTACCAAGAAAAAGGTGTAAAAAAACTTGGGGAAATGCCACTAGGACATAATTTGTTGTGAAATGTGCAAAGACAATGTTCTGAGTAGAAGTGGGAAACCAGGCAAGGACTAGGTCTCCAGGGAAAGGCCCCATGACCAGGCAGAACCTGATGTCAAAAATGCAAAGAGGGCTGATGAAAACTAATTTGGCGGGAAGATTTAATAGTTCTTGTGGCACAGAAGCACATAACTAAAGCTGAGTTCTGTGTGGGCTAGACTGTGAGCCTCTCAAGTGTCTCAAGGGAACACATCTTGTCCCCTGTGTCTCCACCTAGCTAAATATAAATTTCTTTGTTGAATGAATGAATGATGAATGAATAAATGAGAGACATTCCAACAGTGAGCTGGTTTGCAGGAATGTGTACAAAGAGTTCAGTTGAGGATAACTTCAAAAGTGGCAGTGGCAGAAAACAACTGAAATGGGGAATTTTATAGGTAAGATAGGTAAGTTATTTTATTCACAATGCATATTTCTACCCTGATCATTTAATCCGAAGCGTGTGAATGTGTTTAGCTCTAGAGTTTGTGACAGTATGATATGGAACTGGCACTTGTGTGTGTGCATGTACAAAGTATTAGTATGCCTGATTCGTTTGGTCTATTCATGTGGAAATTTCTTAAAAGTAATGGATTCTGCAAGATTTGGGGAAAACTGTTTGAGCGCTTACATAAAAACTGTATTTTCCTCTGATAGTTTGAGCTGTGGTTTGAAAAGAGTAAATGTGGCCTTCTATTTGCAGGGCTTGCTTTCCATCCTTTCCTCAGACATTAAAGTGACTTGTAATTGCCACTCTTAAACTGAATCCTGGAAGAATGACAGCGATTCACAAGTGTTGGTAAAGTGCTGCTGAAATCTGGAATGTATTTACTGCAATTGTTTAGACTCTGTAAGATCAGGCCTTCATTGGATATGATAGAAGAAAAGATAAAGCATTTCTAACTAGCAATAACATTTCTTAGGAATTGTTAGGGAAGAAGCTGGAAGTGGAATATTTTCAGAAATATTCAGCATAAATATTCAGCATAAATCCACTTTTTAAAATGCCTTTAGCTCCAATAAAATATAAGTAATGGTGTAAAAGCTATAGAGCCTTTTTTTTTTTTTTTTTTTTTTTTTGAGACGGAGTCTCGCTCTGTCGCCCAGGCTGGAGTGCAGTGGTGCAATCTCGGCTCACTGCAAGCTCCGCCTCCCGGGTTTACGCCATTCTCCTGCCTCAGCCTCCCGAGTAGCTGGGACTACAGGCGCCCGCCACCACGCCCAGCTAATTTTTTGTATTTTTAGTAGAGACGGGGTTTCACTGTGTTAGCCAGGATGGTATCGATCTCCTGAACTCATGATCCGCCCGCCTCTGCCTCCCAAAGTGCTGGGATTACAGGCGTGAGCCACCGTGCCCGGCCAAAGCTATAGAGCTTTGCACCGTCTCTGCTGTTGACATGATATATTGGTATTGTCTGCTCTCCCAAAACTCCTACTATGTTTTGAATTCTGAAGATATTTAATTTCACCCACTTTACTGCACATATCACCTACACTACCCTGTGGCTAACACTACACAGGTGCATTATGGGAAGGCTTCACCTTCTGAAGCATCAGATATTGACTGTTGCTTCAGGGAGAATGAGAAGCTTGATGTATGTCTTCCTGTTGGAGTGAAAAGCTTTGTGAATCACCTGTCCATATGTCTGATACACCCTTTCCTTATTTTAATTTTTTCCATTACAAAAGTAAAAAAGTCTAAAGTAAAAAAATGCAAGTTCCTTCATTGTTCTTCCATGCTGCTCATTCTAGCTCCCTAGAAATAAGAAGGGCTAGCAATTTCGTGCATAATACTATTGTTTCCAATTTTAATTTGAACATAGGTGACTAGATCTTGTATTTACTGTTATTCTGTGTGTGGAAGTAATGTTAGAACACCATCAAGGTAACCTAAACAGCCTGTGGGGAAATGCAGCTTTGTGTTTTACCATCCCATAAATTTATCTGTGTGTGTATACCCTTCAGAGGTTGCAAACTCATGATTTCTGGGCTCTATGCAGCCTGCAGACATACTGTGTATGGCTCACCCAGTGTTTTAAAAATAATGAACTGGTTGCCAACATTTGAAAATCAAGTTATTTCACATAAAATCTGGGGCCTGGAAAATATTGAAAAATAGGATGATCTGAAACCCTGAAGACACATTTCTATGGGGCCACAAGTGGCTAGAGGTGACTAGTAGCAGCCTCCTGATGACATCTCTAGCTACTCCCTGTTATATTATATCTGGCCAGCTGCACTCATTTGCATTACCTGCTGGTGCCCATAGACATTTGAGTTTTTAACTCCAATCACTGAGTATCAGATTTGGGAACTAAAAGTGATATAGAGTGACCACATAATTAATTGTCCAAACTAGAATACTTTGAGAGTAAAAAGGGGTGCTATTAAAAATTACACCTGGACCATAGGCATAATCCACAACTGTCCTAGACAAACCAAGATAGATGGTCTTTCTGTTTGTAGACTACTCCATTCAACCCCTTCATTTTACTAATGAAAAAACTGAGACCCTGAAAGGGAAAGTAATTTGCCTGTAGTAATCACCAAGTGAAGTAATGATAAAGTTGCCCTGAGTATTCTGACTCCCAGTTCACTGCTTTTTCCGATATAACATGCTCTATATAATATGTATAAGCACCACATCCTCCTTGAATGTATGGATTTTTATAGTTAATTAATTATCACGGTTTGCTATAGGAGCCCACGAATTGGTAGCTTATATCATCAGTGACATTTCTATCATGAATTTAAGTAATGATTTGGATCATAGCATATCCAGAGATGTTTAAAACATTGGTAATCTTGAGAAGTGGAGAGTAAACACTAGCAAAGTTTCTGATTTTACAAGATACACCAAGATATATATTTACAAGTGCTAATTATGCAGATTGAAAAAAACAATAAAAATCCACCATCAAGTACATATCTGATAACTGGATTGCTAAAAAAACAGTATGTATTGACTTCTTGATCATTGATTATTGCCTGGTCTTCAAGAAATCTCCAGGAGCCCAAATTCCCAAATCTTTGACTAGGTGATTATTACCTCGTTGAGTTTCCGAGAGATATTTTTATAGAGAACACTCAGAGGAGACCAATGCATGCTGTCTCTTAATCACTTTCTCAAGCTTTGGCCCCAAATATTTACTAGTTTCCTACCCTAGGGAACTGCGTAAGCCTTAGGGGCATCTCTTAGTCTTTTATGAAGGCTTAGGTCAAAGACTAGCCTGAGAAGACACCTTTTTCCAATGTCCCACTTGACTCCTACTTGTCCTTCCAAGAGACCTTGCAAGCAGCAGAGCAATCTTACCATGTCAGCTGCATGAGATGGGGGACAGAAAGAAGGAAGCTGTATTTGCCAAGGCCAAAAGCAGAGTTGGCCTAAGTCACCCATCCCATACTTCCTTACCTTGGAATATACTCTGGTCCCCATTAGCTTTTTAAATATGGGACCATCACCCACATAGACTAGGACACATGCTACCACACTGGCCTTGTAGAGTTGAGGAGAGCCAAGAAAAAGTGAGCAAAGACCCCTCTACCCTGCTCACTAAATCTTACCCCAGCTCCAGCATACTCCCCTAGTGTCCTGGAGGAGCCCCTTTTTCTTTGACCTTTGTCAGAGCTTCTTTTCTGTGGGTGACTTGATAGAGGAAGGGACAAGTGACCAACCATGACCTTAGATTTAAAATATGAACCACACACATGAGTAAACTTTTCTCTAATGCACCTCAACAAACTTTAACATGAAGGAATTGTTTTCTAAATGAGCCATATCTATATGGATGAAACAGATCACCAGAGCTGTGCTGTCCAATAGCAACATGTGTCTACTAAGTCCTTGAAATGACAATATTTTAGTGATAGTCACATAAGCTAAAAATAGTATCACATTAATTTCCTTTGTTTCTTTTTACTTTTTATTGTACTTCCTGGAAAAGCTAAAATTATCCACATTGCTTGCATTATATTTCTGTTGGCTGGTGCTGTTCTAGAGGTATATGTCAGGTACCTAAATGAAGTAGAATTTAGTTGCGTGTTTAGGTGCTACAGTGACTTTTTACCACCATCACAAGTCTGAAAGGAGGGAAATTTGCTAGTTGTTTATGGTACTACTAGTTTAGAGATATAATGTCAGGGGCAGAAGTTCATAACAGGACTTCACCTTGATATGAGAACATGATGAAAGCATTCATCATGTCTTTCTGTAAATCAGGCTAGTTTTAAAACGGACTAATCTGCTCCCTTATGTCTTCCAGCCTCTTGTTTCCTGCACAGCTCTTTGCTTCCCAGAGTCCTTGAGGGGCACCTGTTCTGAATCCAGCTTTTAAGTTTCTTTGCCATATTACGCAGAAGGCACTTGGGTCCATATAATGCCAGCTGTGGGTGCCATATGGAAAAGCCATACCATCTACATATGTACAGTGTATTTCAGAAGCCAGAAGGAGTGTAGAGGAATGTGTAACTGATCTAGTTTTATCTTTCCCTTGCCTTTGAAAATTTTAATCATTGAAATATCTTTAGGCCACAAATAGAATCATGTAGTGAGATAATTCTGAGTTAAAACCAAATATGTACTTTTGTTTTTATATGGACATAGGACTGTGTATGGATGTATGAAAATGTAGATTGAACATTTGGATACAGACGGGCTTGACTTTCCAATGAAGTGTATGGAGACGGATGTATAAATGAATGGAGATAGTGTATGTCAGTCTGCTCAAGCAGAGATTTCCTCCTCCTATAAATAGTTGGAGAGAAAGTTCTGTTTCTGCTTCCGCTTAGTTTAGGTGCAGAGTTCACTTAGATGGCTGCCAAAGATTGACAGGGAAAGTCATTCTCTTGTCTCAGCCTAGCTTTGGTGATGTGCTTCTCATATCACAAAGAGCATGCACTAATGGCCGCACGTGTGGATGGTACCAACTGGAGCCAGGCTTTAGGCTATGTTTTCCCTTGGAATAACCACTTTCCTTCTTCTTTTCCTTCCACTTCTTCTAGGCAGGACAGGGCTGCTTGCTGATCTCTTGCCCAGTTTTGCTGTGGAGATTATGCCAGGTATTCGGTCATTTAACTCTTTATTTGCTTGATTTGCTGTTATTCCATCTGTCTTGCTTCTGCATTAGTCGCTAATTGCTTCTTTACTTTATTGCCACATTTGTCTATATGTCTCTGATCTTTTCCAGGATTAACTAAACCCATTGGAAGGGCTTTTAAATTGCATTCCTTCTGTTACTAGGCCTTAAAAGAATAATGATAATTAAAAATAGGCTGAGATGGCAACCCAGTCCTTCAGTGTCAGGCATGCAGGCTCTTTGGCAATCTCCATGCCCATTTCAGTATTTCAGCTGTACCCATATACCTAAAAGTATTTTTAATAGAATCAGTATTTATCTGCCTTCCTTATTTCCTAAGTTATATGTTTACTGATTCATTATTGTACAACCATGTTACTCTGAATTGCCTTTTATAACATCATCAAACTTTTTTTTCAAACCTTAGGAAAGCTATGTACCCCTCCTCCCTTGAAAAATACAAATTTGCAGACCTACATTACTTTGTACACAATTTCAGGGACTTATTAGTCCCTTCGAATCCCTATGGGTCCACGGACCATATGTGAAGGACATCTGGGACGAACATACATCTCTGTCTTTTTATGTACCTTCAGTTGAATCCACCAACCTAGACAAGCCAACATCAGTTTGGTACAGCTTTATGGTCTGCAGTTGAGGGAGGCACAGAGAGAAGCAAGAATGAACTGTGGGGAAGAACATATCTAAACTCAAACAGTAGGAAAAGGGATGATTTAGTCTTGTCTTGGAGGGTTTCTGCCAAAGTTTTAAGAGCTGCCTAATAGCAACAGAGATATAAAATATCCCTGGGTATTGGTTTTTAGCTTAATCCAAATTTTTAAAAACATCCAGATTCTTTACCATTGAGCTTCACTAATTATTCGTCTATGAATTCTAGTCCCTTTCCATTAGGTGGCCAACCCAAACACAGACATTCTTTTTACTGATGTTGCTCCCAAGGACACAAATGTATGCCTCTTTGTAATCCCCTTATCCAGAATTCCCTCAATTTGTAAGCATTTGTTCATCACAAAAACAATGTTACATTGCAGTGCTTGAAACTAGATGTTACATGTCCCAGTCTCAAGAAAGAGTTACTGTGTTTTTCATATCTGGCCCCATATGGCTAAATTTCCCTCCCTTTGATTCCAAGAATCCTTTCACAGATAATATTCTTTTGTTTCTCACATATAACTTTCCAGTCTTATCCTTGAATGCTTGACCCAAGTTGTAGCCACCACTTCATACAGCTCATCTAAACCTAAGAGCTCCTATCTATCTCAGGCTATGTTGCATTATTGTGTTGTTACTAAGGCTTAGGCCAAAGCCTTCTGCTATCGATTGTCCTCGGCATGAATGCTCTCTAGGCCACTCCAGCCAGGCACAAGGCCTTCCCATTCCCTCACTGAAGAGATGTTGACCTGTTTAATTTGAATGTATTTCAGAAAGATTAGTGAGGAGGGACATTCAGGAAACATGTTGTTTGTTTCCTCTCTGAGGAAATTATGATCTAAACAAAGTCATTTTGTTAACCATTATTATACAACCCATTATTTAATAAAAATATCATATTCTCAAGCTCCCAGGAATGTCCATTTAATTGAAGGAATATTTGATAATCAAAATCTAAGAAAAACAATGTGTGCTTGAGGTTCATTGTAAAGGGATTTGGGATAGATGGCTTTTAACCAAAATGAATTGCTTTAGTCTTTTTGGCTTTTAAAGGAAAGCATGGCTCTCCCCAGTCTGTCCAGGCCTCCAGGGGAAGTTGGGTCCTGTAGCCAAGTCTCTAAAGTATGATGCTGAGACAAGTCACCTGAGGGCCACAGTAATTTTTATCTAAGCCACTCGCAATTTGTTTCCTTTCTCTTAATCTTTTGGATGGGCAAATGAAATGGAATTCACATTCAGCTTCTGGCAGAGCTGTGAAAGAGGCGGAGTTAACAAACATACCCAGATATACATGTCAGCCTTGCCATTTATCCAAGCTCAGAGCCACTTGAGCCCTTGGCTATGTTGGCTGCCTAGCATGGGCAGCTTGAGTGTGATCAAACCAAACTCATTCTCTGTTCACGGGGACAGTGTCTTCTCTATGGAGACCACGTCTCTAGTTTTCTCTAGCCATGGATTGTTGTCCTGGTATAAGCAAAGAGTTTGGATCTCAGAACTGGTGCTGAGTACAGGAAAGCTGTTCTAGGGACAGTCAGCAGGGAAAGCAGGTGAATACATTACAAAAGGGGCCTGGAACCACCTAACTATAAACTACATCTAGACCCCTAGACATAGAGACTGTTTCCTCAGGACTTAGACTTTTATAGAGAGGATTAACTTGACAAAAATAAAAATAAGTATTCACAGAACCCACCACTTCGTAGCCCAGCAGACAAGGTTCTCCTTCCCCCCAGCCAGGATTCTTTCAGCTCTGGTCCCATCCTTATTCTGATGCTACAGTCAATAGTGTAAATCCTTTCCCCAGTATAGGACTCTGAAATCCCCACATTGTTTTGTGCCGATTATTACATGTACCCAATGTAACATAGATAACCTTCTTCCCTCTTCTCCATTCCCCGGGACTGAGGGTCTGCACTCCTGACTCTCAGAGTTCCTCTTGAGTGTTGGGGCTCTGTCTCCTGTTAAGAGAAGCTTTCTTCCCTAGGTCCCTCCTCCTCTCCCCCTTTCACCGGGAGATGCCAATCAAAGTGCACCCTGCCCTGGAGGTGGGCTGCCTCGAGTGTGGATTTCTTTGTGCATCCTTCCAGAGTGGGTGTTTGTTGGCCTGGTGCTCCTGGGCGTCTTCCTCTTCTTCGTCCTGGTGGGGATCTGCTGGTGCCAGTGCTGCCCTCACAGCTGCTGCTGCTATGTCCGCTGCCCATGCTGCCCAGATTCCTGCTGCTGCCCTCAAGCCTGTGAGTACAGTGACCGCTGGGGAGACAGAGCGATCGAGAGAAATGTCTACCTCTCTACCTGACAGCTGTGTGCGCTGGGTTCCTCCTCCACCTCCTGTCCTGCCACCCCCAAGATTGGTCATTCCAGACTCTTCTCCGCTGGGTGCCCCTGGCCTCAGGGATGACCATTCTCATTTGCCTTTTCACCTACATACACCTCTCCACACTTCTTATCCATATCTATCACTCCATGCATTTGGAATTCTCATGGACACTATTGATAAAATGGAAGGGCAGGTTTGGCGTGGTGAGGTTGTGGTGTAAGACTGTTCCCTCTCCCTGGGGCATTCAAACTAGAGGAAACCTTCTCTGGTCGTTCCCTTCCCATGCAGAGAAGTTCCTTTTTATATGAGAAGAGTGTGCAAACTGTGGCCTTTGGGCACCCACCCAGCCACAGATTTGTTTTATTTACTCCCATGATGACATGGGCCACAATAGGGCCTAGTTCTTATTTGAGGATTCACAATTTTTACCTTACTGGCCAAGCCCATATAGACATTAAGTTTGGTACCCCTCCCATAAACCAAACACATCTTGAAAGAGAGAGGCACACCAGTTATCTTTAGTGTCTTCAGGAATAAAGCAGTTTCTAGGAAGACTCAGGTTATTTGCTCTGCTTTTGAAATCACAGAGCAAGGACCATGTGCAAGCCCATTACTTGCTTTCCTTCTCAAGAGAAGGTTCAGGATCCTCCTTGAAGCAGCCCTGGGCAGTCCCTGTGCTAGGCTGCCTCCAGAGGGGCCGAGGCAGCCTCCAGACAGTGTGGGTAAGAGTGGGCTGCTGCTGTCACTGGGGATGCTGCTGTGACAGCTCCCAGAACCACTTAATTATTTAGTTGCCAGGTACTAAACATTGTAATTCCTTTTGTCGTTGCCGTTTGGTGGAGCTGGAGAGTCCGAGGGAGTGGGGGAGAGTGATTCTGATGAATCAGTTCAGTTTTAGAAGAACAAACGCTCACACATGCACATACACACATCCAGGAGCTCCCTGAAGTGCATCCTCAGGGATTTTTGGTGTGAGGGTTGTGGAGGGTGGGACGACGTAATCTCTCTTGCTCTTGATCTCCCTCCACAGTGTATGAAGCAGGGAAAGCAGCAAAGGCCGGGTACCCTCCCTCTGTCTCCGGTGTCCCCGGCCCTTACTCCATCCCCTCTGTCCCTTTGGGAGGAGCCCCCTCATCTGGCATGCTGATGGACAAGCCGCATCCACCTCCCTTGGCACCAAGTGACTCCACTGGAGGAAGCCACAGTGGTAAATGTAGTTCCAGACTGCCCTGCCCATGCTTGTCTCGGGCCCCCACAGTGGTTCCTTGTTGTTAAGAACAGTCAGTTCAGTGATGTGTCTTTGGAAAATAGTTTTCTCTGTTCCAGAAATGGGATCCTTCCAGCTATGTCAGATATCTTTTAGGGTACATTCATGCTTTCCAAAGGCTGCAGGACATTGCTGACCCCTGCCTCCTCCCTAGACTCCTCAATTACTAGAACTGTAAGAAAAGAGACAAGATATCCCTTGAATGTTGATTATTCAGTTAGCAAATAGTTGTTTCATCCCTACCTACAGGAGTCCACTACTACTGTGAGGGCCTGCAAGAAGTGTAGGACATGGTTTCTCTGACAAGCAGCATGGCCTGGTCAGGGAGAGAACGGACCTTTATTAGGATAATCAGATGCTAAAGAGTATGCTAAAGACAATCAGTTCAAAGAAGAAAGAACTGGACTGGTCACAAAATCTTCAGGGAGGAGGTGAAATTTGAGCTGAGCCTAGAGGAATGAATAGGATTTAGGAAAGCACATTCAGGGGATGCTGAGCACCCCAAGTGGGAAGGTCAGCGTGATGAAATCCCAGAGCTGGGAGAACACAGTGTGAGTATGTGACAGTGTCCAATTTGTCAGATTGACTGGAAGAAGGTAGAAGGATACGACGGAGCCAGACTGGGGAGGGCCTTGAAACCCCTCCAGAAGATCTGGGGCTTGGTGTGAGAGCCACTGTGGGCAGGCTCCTGAGGGCAGAGGTGGCACCATGACAAAGGGAGTGGCAAGTGGGAGACAGTAGAGCCAGAGACCATGAGCTAAGGTGTGGTTGAAGTGGTTGAGATATGTGAGCATCTAGATTATGATGGAGACAATGGGAGTGAAATGTGTGGGTAAAGCTGAGAGACACTGTGAAAGAAATAATGAGATATTGCGGAATGAAGGAAAAGGAGGCTTCAGGATGACCCCAAGTTGTCTAGATCATAGATCATAAGACAGAATTGAAATAAGTGGTAAGGAGAGCTGATTTAGCTGAAGGTTAGCCCCATTTGAGGCACTATTAATTTGTGGTTATAGGCAGGGGTAGGTAGGAGGTATAGGTGGAGGGGCAGGGTAGGGTGGAGAGGTGGAGGGGCATTAAAATATAGCTCTTCTTGAGGCATTTGAACAGGATTACAGGGCAGTGAAGCTTAGGATTGTATGTGCTATAGATTTAGAAGGTGATTTTTAAATCCCTAGATGTAGATGAGCCGCTGGAGTTGGTAAAACAGACATTTCTTCCCTGGAGGTATCTTGACTGCCTCCATTGTGAAGTGGGGAAGGGTATCTAGCCCACCTAATGAGCTGCCAGTGCCTGATTGTAGAATGAGTGGCTATCCTCAGTGAGTAATTAGGATTTGTATTTTTCTCTCCCAGGAGCTATTAGTAGAATTCTGACATCTGATACAGAATGAGTCACAGACTGAGAAGTAAAAGTTAATGATCAGTGACACACAGATAATTAGAGAAATAAAGACGATGTAGTCCATTTCCATGAAAGATGAAGTGGGCAAAAGAGACATTAGTGGAACTTATCTCATACTCTTTGTCTTTTTTCTAATCTTTCTTCCCACCAGAATCCTTTCCCCCTTATTTTTTAATGGATTATCTAATAAAACTGTTCTTATTCATAGAATAGCAAATACTTACTCTCTGTCATTTTCTGTCTTTTTCCAGTTTCTCTTTGTTGCAGTTCAACCATTTTGGTCTCATTCTGCCATACTAACCAATTGTAACTAGAAGTGGCATTAAAATAGAAATGTCAAGGTAAGGTAGTTCCAGGGTTGGTTAATAGAACAGTTCAGGTGGCAGCCCTGAAGGACCTAGTTCCTCTGTCTTTTCTTCTGTTATCCTGAGCACATCCTCTGTCCTCCTCAGCTGGCTTACCTCATGATCTCTTGATGACTGCATAGTTCCAGGTAATTAAGCAAATTCAGAGATTGAAAGTGGTATTCTCTTCCTTGTATCACTTTTCTCAAGAGTGAGAAAAACTTTTCCAGCAGACTTTCCCTTTTAGTTTTATCAGCAAGAATTGGGCTCTTGCCCATTCATAAACAAAATTGGCTTGAACTACTCAAGATGCACCTCTTAGGCCTAAACAACTATTTACTTTGGAAGTGAACAAAATCACGGTTCTGTTAGCAAGGAAAAAGAGGAAGGGTGGCAATCAGTGTCACCGCAGCTAGTCTGGCCCATGCTGTCATGGTCTGGCTGGTGGAGCCAGGACAGACTTCTTCATGATCCTCACCAGGCATGCTTCTGTACTCATGGTCCCATGGGGAGTGTTAGTGATAGTGTTTGGCTAGTCCTCCTTTAGCAAAGGTGGCTTATGCCAGTGTTCCATGTAGATTATTCTTTAAAGAACATTAAAAATGTTAAGAAATGTTAATTTACAAAAATGTCAATTTAGCCTATTTTATATTTATATACTACTTCAATTTTAGGGTAATTATTTCACAACAGTAATTTTTCAGATTACATTTGTACACAATAGTCTTTTGAACAATGTGTGGTTGAAAAGGGCATCTTTGATGAACTATGTATAGTATAGCCAGTTGGTTCCTGAATGGAAGAGGTAAGAGGCACTCTAGTTCCTTCTCCCATTCTTCAAGGCAGCTACTTGAGACCTTGTTACCATGCAGGAAGACTGCCTGCTCCTGTGCTGCTCTGGATCCATCCCTTTAAGCTTTGTCAAGGCTCTCTCTGTGTTGAACACCCACACTCCGCCCTGTTCCCACCTCACATCTCCATTCTTTTCATCTTTAGTGACTCCTTCCTGTCAGCATTCAAAATATGCTAAAGTCTCTCCCATTAAAATACAACAATTCACAAAAATCCTGTGGTCCTCAGATGTTGCTTTCCTGTCCCTTTACTCTTCTTCACAGCCAAACTCCTTGAAAGAGTTTTGAATATTAAATGTTTCCTTTCCCTCTGCTCTCACCAACTCCCCAGCTCCCTTCCATCTTGCTATTGCTTTCACCATTCCAGAAACCAGCTCTTGCTAAGATTGTCTGATTGCTAAATTTAATGGATCCTTTTCAATCATTACCTCCTTTGACTTCTCAAAAGCATTTGCCACTCTGAGGCGCTCATCTTTCTTTGCCTTTCTCAGCACTGTACTTTGTAATTTTTCTTACCTATCTCTGTGTATGCTGGGTGTTCTTCCACTGTACATCCTCCAGATGTTCCTGTTTTGTTTGAGGTCCTCTCCCTGGGAAACCTTATTCACTCCTGTGGCTTCAATCATCATCTATATGCTGATGACTTCTGATCATTATCTCCAGCCTCTCTTTTGCTCCTCAATACCGTATATCCAACTGTCTTCTGGACATCTCCACCTGGGTGTTTTGCAGGCATTTCAACCTCAGCCCCTAGGAAATTGAATTAATCTGCTGCTTCTTCACTTCGAACCAGCTTCTACATATCTTATCTCAGTGGATGGCATTGTTGTCCACCTTTTAGCCCAAACCAGAAGCAGAGACTTCATCCTTATCCCTTCCTTCTCCCCCACTTCCCTCATCCAATTGGTCACCAAGTCCTTTAGATTGTAACTCAAAATAACCTTGAGTTGGTTTCCTTTTCTCCATCTCTACTGAAACTGTCCTAGTCCTTGCTGCCATTACCTCCCACCTTGCTTAACACAATCATCTCCCACCTGGTCCTTCCACATCTACTCTGCTTTGCTCTAATCCATTTTGTTTCCACATCTACCTGTCCTCCACCCATTCTTCATGCAAAAGAATTGAGTAGGCAAGTAGGGTTTTGAAATGTCATTTTCAAAATTAATAAGGATGTGTATCTATATATATGCCTACTGTATGTATACAGAGAATATGCAAATTTTAAGAATCACTTCTCCCACAGCTGAGCTGCTGTCACCTTGGGGGTGGAATCTGGCAGCTGTTCCATCATCCATAAACAGCTTTACTTAGCTTATTAAGATAGGACAGGAAGAACAAGGCTATATCCATGAGTATCTGCCTCGGAGACTTCTTTTGCAAGTTTTACAAGTTGGATTTTGGCTGTAATGAGGAAATTAGCTGAAAACTACCTAAACCTTAATTGGGTCAAAAGTATCAGCAAAAATCCTTTAACAATAAGAATTTTTAAAATTATAGTTTGGCATCAAAGTGAATATCCCAATATCCCCTCTCCAAAAATTGAAGTTGGCAAGGCTAATAAATTAGAGGAGGTGAAGTATGAAGAGCCACAGCAGCCAAATGACTTGGGCCAGACTGAACTTGAAAACAGATAAATCATCCATCAATCTTAAACTGAAACATCACTGGGGAAAAAGGTCATTTTCCAAATATGCTGAACTTTGGCCAATAGTCTAGGACATTTCTTATTAAAACATCACCATACGTCCCAGAGAGTTCTGTGATCTTCAGACAAATTACAGATAAAAATCAATCTGACACCATGCTATTTGCTGTCAAATCAAGAAAAATTTAATGAACGCTAACAAATTTTACCTGCCGTCAAGGAATGTACAGTCTACCAGGTGGTTGCTGGGGCTTGTAAGTGGAAATAAAATGAGTAAGTAATACAAGGCAGTATAAGATTGATCCATAATGCCAGCTCAGAAAGGAAAATCTCATCCTTGGAGAGGAGGGACCAGGAAAGGTTTTCTGGTGTTTCATATGCTCCTCAGAATGTATGTGACATAGAGCCAGATTCTACCAGGATCAGAGAATAGTTTAGTATATTTGAACTTGTAGCTTATCATTTTTAAAAAGTCCAATAGCTTTTAGAAGGAGAATTGCCCAGGTTTTTAGCTACTGAAACCAAATGGATGATACTCCTAAAGTCAAAAGATCAATACTTTGCCTCTGTCTTTTTTGACAAATTAGAGGAATTTAGATTTCTGAAGTCATGGGCTGCTGTGACTAAGAAGTCAAGGCTGAAAGTATCTGGTACAGTGGAGTCTCTTTATAATGCCAGCACTGAAGGCAAAACTATCATCTTCATTTGAGGCTATAAATGGTTACTGTAACTTTTCAGGGACATGATAACCTATGCATACACAATCAAATCTGTATCATAATGAGGAGTGTAATTTGTTATAATGACATAGAAAACTATGCTCTAGTCCAAGTGGCAATTAACTGAGGATCCTCCAGCTGCTTCTCAGGGTGGCAGCCATCTCTCACCGACCATGTCTGTCTGCCAGGGCACAGCTGGTACATTGTTCCATATAGCAACAACTTTATGGGCCCCCTCCCCCATGACCTCTAGTGCAGTATCACTGAATGTTTACCATAACAGTGCTTCAGAAATTAGAACACCTAGATAAAACCACAGCTCCAGGTAGGGTAGGCCCTTTTCATAATGCATACAGACATGCTAGTTTTCCTTAAAAAAATTAATAATAATAATAATCATGATACCCAGACTTTTCTACGATCCAAGCCTTTCCCTTCCTGATCAAAATTCTCCAATAAACCGCCCATATGGCCTCATCTGCTATATGTTGTAGTCTCTTATAATATGGTTTCTATTCCCAGTTTCTCCTCATTCATTCACTCATTCCTTCATTCATTACAAACACACATATTTCAAATGTCTACAATGTGCCAGGCTCTATGCTAGGTGCTGGGGATACAGAAGCGAACCTAGTCCTTGCTCTCAGGAAGTTTGCAGTCTAGAGGGGAAAACTCTACTGAAAATGCACTTCTCAAAGAAACCATTAACCCTGCCCCAATTCCCAGGCTGACAGCAATGCAACGAACATTTTTTAAGTTCCCCACTATGTGTAAAGCATGGTTTTAGGCACATGGAGATCCAGAACCATAAGGATTCTTTTCCTTCAAGAATCTTTGAGAAGATTAGACATTTATACAGATAACTTGAAACAAACTAGAATATATTAAGGGCCATAATAAAATTCAAACTGAATGATTTGTAAGTTAGAGAGAGAGACAGAACTTTTCAAGCTATGAGAATCAAAGAAAGCCCTTTGGCTGAGGCAGCATTTGAGCAGCTCCTGATAATGATAGAGAACTCAAAGTGCTCCACTGATTTGGTCTTAGTTGTCCTCTCATCTTTAAGAGATTATTTAAAGGTTGGCAAGTATTCATTGCATTTTATAGACATGAAAACTGAGTCCTACATAGGTCACCATTTCTTTGAGGTCCCTCAATAAATAGCACTGCATGCCTACACAATGCCCAGTTCCCCACTTCCCAGGCTGGAGTCTCATCCATCAGACATAACTGCCTCCAGAACAGACATAGCAGTTCTGTGGGATAATTGCATTTTAATTGAACTGTCTGTACGACTCAGTAAATGCCTTTGTAGAGATGGAAGAATGTTTAGCTTGATAAATAAAATTATTTCTGCTAATCATTGCTTCCACACAAGGATTATGGATCTAACCTCTGGGAGAAAGTGCCACTAAAAAGTGTGTGCTGAGATTCATTAATTTTTTTTCTAAGTAATTCCACAATTTGAGATGAATGTGGACTGCCCAGTATATTCTCATATAGAAAATCGGTGCACCTGCAAATGGGTGTGTGGGTGACTTCTGTTTTTAGTGCTTGGACTACAATTAGAGTGCTATGGAATTTTATATTTTAATCTTCCATGTAAATAGCTTGCGTGGGAGGGTTTTGTCCGCAGCCAGGGTAACATGGCCAGACACTATACAGCAGGGTTTTCTCTGAATTTACATGCAGTCATATGGTTTCTTTATGGTGTTTGCCCCACTTTGGGAACAGGGAATGCTGGAGTTAGGTCACTAGCTTACATCCCATTGAAAAGTCCTTAATAGCTGGAATATAGGACCATGCTGTGCAGACCATACAACCCATGGCATAGCTAAAGCAGTTCTTACTCTGGGCTTTCCTTCCTTGTTTTTCTCACCTGTCTCTTCTCACTACCTCTCTTCTTAGACTCTAGAGAGGCAAGATGCCCAAATATGGTTAAGCTTCCATCAGACTACATGGTTCCAGCCCTGGCACTGCTAAATTTTTCCTGGGCAAGTTATGAAACCCCTCTGACCCAAAATTTTCTCAAACATAAAATGTGGCTGATAACAGTACTGTTTTAGGTGGTTCTGAGGAACAAATGTCCATGTAAAGCATTTAGCACAGTACCTAGCACATTTTCAGTGCCCAGTAAGTACTGACTAATTACCATTATTTTTCAGTACCCATCCCATCATTCCCTTCTCTCTTTCGTTTTTTCCTCTTTCTCTTATCTGTAAATTAGGCCCACTGGTATCTATCACTCTTGGGGCTGGTATTGGGCTAGACTGATACTTAAGTGATATGGGGCTTAAACAGCCTTTGTCTCTGACAATATGAGTGATAGAGATGTAGGAGATGTTCTCTCTCCTGCTTTAGTTTTGTTTTTTATTAAGCCCTGAAAATAACAGCTGCTTGTAACCACATCGCAGCAGGTCAAATTAATCATGTCTAAAACACAGTATTCCTTCTCCTAAAAGGAAAATGCTAAAGAAATGAAATGGAACCATAATTAAAAATCCACATAGTTTGAATTTTGTTTTGTACTACTATGTATATGGTCTAGAAATTAATATTAGCTCTTATACACAACTCAGTTTAAGGAACTTTTGCATTATCTCCTAGGCAACTCAAAGCTTTCAGGCCAACTTTGTCAAGGCCCTTGATGTTTGAGTATCTGTAAGTTACCTGTGCTCTCACAAAGTGAAGGTGGGATCCTCAGATGCTAGAGTGACGCATGTCCTCAATCTAGAAAGTGGTCTTTTTTTAGTGTGAATATGCTCCTCCAATGGAACGCAAAAGCGCTGAGAAGATGAGCACTAAGTGGAGCTGTAAGAGGTCAAAAGATAGGAAGCAGAAGTTAACAAATGACTAAAAATAGACTGTAATGGAATTTTGTTGTTGACCTTTAGGTCCTCCATTCCAGTGGCGCCATCTGATAAAGGGGATCACAGATATGGTCCCATATGTATAAATATAGATCGTTATTTCTGGGTGATTTCAAAAAGAGTTGTTATAATTGGAAACCCTATTTTCTACTTGGTAAAATAAATGGAGGCCTCCTTCTCCTGATATTTTCCTTTTTCAGCTCACCTTCTTGTGCTTTTCTCAACAGTTCGCAAAGGTTACCGGATCCAGGCTGACA
Organism: Homo sapiens; assembly: GCF_000001405.40. NCBI lineage: Eukaryota > Metazoa > Chordata > Mammalia > Primates > Hominidae > Homo > Homo sapiens. The sequence goes on along the minus strand of NC_000001.11, from coordinate 166,927,150 downwards.
AAGAGAGAGACTCCATGAAGGTCCTGTACTATGTTGAGAAGGAGCTGGCTCAGTTTGATCCAGCCAGAAGGATGAGAGGCAGATGTGAGCATCTGTTAGTTTTCTGTGATCTGTGCATTATGCAGGAGTTAGTGTGTAAAGGGGATTTGGGGGTCACCAAACTTGGGCAGCCCTGAGCTTGCAGGCTTAGAATTAGCAGGGGTGCTGGTGACACTACTGAAGAAAGTAGCTCTCAGTACACAGAGGGGAAAAAAAGGTCTTCTGGTGTGAAGAGTAGAGCAATTCGGTAGCATCTTGGTTTATGTTGGTTTTCTCCATGGGGCAGTCAGTATTTCTGGGGCTGTGTTATCCATGCCCCATGGATAGAACCAACATTCTTTGAATATATTTTATTCAAACTTTCTTTGAATAAAGAACCAACTTTCTTTGAATATATTTTAAAAGGAGTAGAAGGGAAAGACTATTTTAATAAAGCATTCCAAATAGTCTTTCCCTTCTACTCCCTTTAAAATATATTCAAAGTAATGTCTTAAGATGTGGAAGCTTAAGTATCAGTTTTTTCCAACGTGAAGGGTGCTAGCCTTGGATAATACAACCACCAACTCGCTGCATGGAGGCCTCCTGAAAGTGAAAGAACAAGTCTGGCACGTGAATCTGGAAAAAAGGTTGTTGCTCCTCGAAGATGCCAAACAACAGAGATTAAGGGGCAAGCAAAGAGGCTGATCCTCTTGTCAAAAGAACTTTTTGAATACTAAGTCTGAGGTGGCCGGGCCCCAACCCTTAACTCACCCCCAGCCCTTGGATACTCTGCAGCTGACACAGCTGATTCTTGGGGTGGATTCCAACTTATGTATCATGGGAGGTAACATAGGGCAGGTCCCACATGGACAGGCTCATTATCAGAGGGTGCTGGCGGGTGTGGAAGTGAGGTCATTATGCTGTCTCTTTACCCTCCTCTTCTTGGAACTAACGAGAGACTTGACGGAATTGTTGGGGAAACAGTCCCAGACTAGAAGAGCTTTATTCAGATTAAGGACAACATATTCCACCCAGTTTGCAATTCTAAATTCATCCTGTCTGCGTTGTATCCATTGCTGTATCCTCCCACCACACCGACTATAAAAAGACCATTTCCAGATTGGAATGTCAGGAATGCAGATGTCACTGCACTTGACAAGCTAGTTGTAACAATGTTGTCATGGATCCCTGTAAGGGGCCAGAGACAGAGTGAGTCAGGGACCACAGAGGAGTCTGTGCAGGAAATTTGCGAATCTCACAGCTCAGAGAAAAAGTTAACAGCTAAGGTTAAAACTAAAGGAAGAATTCTGGTTTAGGTGATGTCTCCTGTCTCTCTACTTCATTAAAATGGTCTCTAGGGGCTTAATGGTCATAAGGTAATGGACTCTTAGAGTCAAAGGGGGTCTTAGAGATGGCCTAGGTTAACCTTTGTAGTGTGCAGGTGAGGAAACAGAAGCCTAGGGATGCGGTGACACAATTAGGACCAGATTCCAGCTCTTCTGATTCCCAGTCCTGTGGTCTTTCCAGAAGAAACTCTTGGGCAAACTGTGGATGGCTCCATGGCTGTAATGTGGATGGCTCCATGGCTCCATTCTGTTCAGAGACCACAGCCTTCTAGCTAGTAGGACTTTAGAATGTCAGAGCTGGAAGGGACTCTGAGGTTGTTGAATCCGTCCCCTTCACTAAGGTAGAAAGGGAAAGTAACAAGCACCAGTACTCAGTGCCAGTGCCAGAACTGGAACCCTGATCTCCTGGAACCTGCAAGTTAATATTATAACAACTGCATAGAGATAAAGTAGGAATACTGTTTACTTTGAGAAGTCCTGTTCCTGAAGAACATAGTAAACCATGGGCTGGATCATGGAACTGGGCAATCTTGAAATCTCATTATAAAATGGATCTCATGGTTTCAGGTTGGGGCAGGAGAGTAACAGATTCTGTAAGAATTGAGTTTGAGGTCCAGGCTCATGAATTTGCTAGCCAGTATGGTCCTCATTTGCTTTGCCCTTCTAAATGGTGGGGGTTGTTTAGGGGATGTTTTTAGTCTGGGAAGTTCTAGTATAGGGCTCAGCAAACTATATCTCCTGGGCCAAATATATTTCACTTCCTTTTTTTTTGAGACAAGGTCTTGCTCTGTCACCCAGGCTGGAGTGCAGTGGCGCAAACACAGCTCACTGCAGCCTCGACTTCCTGGGCTCAAGGGATCCTTCCACCTCAGCCTCCCCAGTAGCTGGGACCACAGGCATGTGCCACCATGCACAACTAATTTTTTAATTTTTTATAAAGATGAAGATCTTGCTATGTTTCCCAGGCTGGTCTCAAACTCCTGGGCTCAAGCAATCCTCCCTCATTGGTCTCACAAAGTGCTGGGATTATGGGCATGAGCTACCGTGCCCAGCCCCACTTCCTATTTTTATAAATAAAGGTTTATTGGAATATAGCCATGCCAATTCACTTATGTTGCATCTATGACTGCTTTCATGCTACAGTGGCAGAATTGAATATTTGTGCCAGTATGGCTTGGAAAACCTAAAATATTTACTCTCTGGCCCTTTACAAAACGAAGTTTGCTTACCCCTATCCTAGAGTTACATTGTGGATGTCTGTGAGATGGGGGCAGGTCGATGTTTATGTTCAACTTGGCAGAAATTTTAGCACAATATACAACTTAGACAATCCATCACTGTGAATAGTGAAACATAGATCGTCCTCATTATCTAGATAAATAAAAAAAATCAAGTATTCCCTGAAGTTTAAGGAAAGTTCTGAGCCAACAATGCTATTTTTCAGTAGGGTCATTTGGTGCATTTTAAAGGCCTCTTCTGTGTGATCCCTGGGATACTGGAATTCATGGGGATCATGAGAAAGGAAAAGTTCTAGATTTTATTAATCAATAGTATCTGAGTTATTTTCCTTAAAATAGGCATAGTCCCTTCTTCTTAGATGGAAGAAAAGGTTAAAAATTAAATTATAATTAAAAATCAACTGATTGCATGATAAAATTGAATGGCATTCGTGGTAAACGCTCTGCCCCTGGTGAAACAGAACTAGGAGGCTGTGTTGGGAGACCCTCCCTCATCTTTGTGCAAAAATCCCGTTCCTCCAAGGACTCTTGGGGATAGCAAGGGGGGAAAGTAGAGGGAATCTGAGACACATATTTCCACATCTTATCTTGGCCCACCTCTCACTCAACAGCTAGGCCTGAAATTTGGTAAATGTTGTTTTTGATAATATTTTGAAGTTCTAATTAAAGGACTTTAGAAAACCAATGGATTCAGTTACATTGCAAATAGATTCAGTAGATTTATTTTTTAAGTACAATGAAATTCAATACATTTCAAAGTTTTATAAATAAATAGTTGAGTTTTTGTTTATTTTTTCCTTTCCAGACTGTGATTCTGGTCCTTGTTCACAAGTGCTTTTGCAAAAAGCTACTTAGGCCACTTTAGGAAATTAGAAAGCTGTGACTAGATACCCCCATTTGTATTTTTGGGCTGGGGCCAGAGTATAAGTAGAGGCCCACAGGTATAAGTACAGCACACCCTCCTCTTCTTTCCATACTTCCAAAATGCTGGCCTAGCCACTCATGGACACATACCCCTGGAAAACTTTTTTGGGAGAGGGGAAGAGGTCTGCCCAAGTGCTGGAAGTAGGCTTGGTGCTACTTGAGCAGGATCTTCCAGGTTCCTAAATGAGCATGGGCTAAGTCAGGGGGTATATGGATACTAGGTACAGGTTTCCCCTTGACTATTCAACTATTCTGTGGACTTCCTGCTCTGTGGGGAGGGGCACAGCCAAAGGAGGCCAGAATGCAGTGCCTCTACAGCATATGGCAGTACTGGCTCTGAAGGTCCATCTTAGGACTGGGCCAGCAGTAAGGAAGATGCTGTGATCTATGGCTTCTGTCTCTCTTTTTCTGTTTTTGGCTTAACATGTCTAGGATCAACACAGCTCATCACAGAATTATAAAGGAAGAAGAAAACATTTGAACAAGGATGATGATGTACTAGGAGGAGGCCAGCAACAGAGATCCTGAGTTCTGGAAAGCCTGCCTTAGGTGCAACAATAACAAACTTGTTCTCCTATTCCAAGAACAGAGCATGTAGGAACCTCCCTCTCTGTAAGCAAGTAGGCTTCAAACTGGAGCCAATGCCTGCTGAGCTAAGAATACAAACACCACTAGTTCAGGCTTACAACCCACCCTGGACAGCAATGAGGCAGGAGTTTCCTGGAGCCTAGGGTCTCAGCCCTTAACAGGATTCTCTTCCTGTCTAAAACAGAGTAACACAAAAAGCTCTATCATGCCTGATTTTGTCCCTGCAGATAACAACACCATCTCAGAACTCAGCTCCCTACATGAGGAGGACAGCAATTTCCGCCAGTCTTTCCATCAGATGAGAAGCAAGCAGTTCCCTGTGTCTGGGGACTTGGAGAGCAATCCTGACTATTGGTCAGGTGTCATGGGAGGCAGCAGTGGGGCAAGCCGCGGGCCCTCAGCCATGGAGTATAACAAAGAGGATCGAGAGAGCTTCAGGCACAGGTGATGGCTGTGAGGGGCAGGTCTGGTCGGTGTGAGGGGGCAGGAGCTGGAAGGCAGGGTAGATCGGAGGCAAGGAAGATGCCATCCAGTAGCATCTCTGTCTCCCATTCCAGGTTATCCTGACACATCTCTCTTTCTACAGGATATTGAACATCTCACATTTGTCAAGACAGGGAACACTTGTGACAACATGTGTAGAAGTAATTATTCAAGACCTTTGAAATGGGTCCCCTAGACCCTTTAATGAACATTAATATATCTCTGCCCTTCTCATATATTTTATCCTATAACCTCTACAAAATCCCACCCATCATCTCCATCTTTTTTTTGTTTTTTTCGGTAGAGACAGGGTTTTGCCACGTTGACAGACTGGTCTTGAACTCCTGAGCTCAAGCGATCCACCCACCTTGGCCTCCCAAAGTGCTGGGATTACAGGCATGAGCCATCATGCCTGGCCATCTCCCTCATTTTTGATCATTTAGTATATGAAAGGTAAAATGCCAAACACTTCTCTTACATTTAATTCTCATAACTCTAAAGGGCAGCTACTATTAATGCCCCTATTTTAAGCTGGGAAAATGGAAACTTCTAGGTGCTAAGGCACTTACCCAGGTGATGTGGCCTCCCACAACAATTGTGGGAGGCTAAGATTTGCTATTCCCCCTAAATAGCACCTTCACCACTCATCTGTCCTTTACCTTAAAAGACAGTGAACATTGCCTTTCCCTTACAAATTGCAAGTGTCCTTCTCCCCTCCTGCCCCAGTAGGTAACTTGGCCCTTGGCTCTGAGGGAAGAAAAGGCCTCTCTGTGTGTCACCACACATTACAGGGACTCCTGGGACCATAACTGTGTGTACTGACACCTGCGCTGGCTTTGAGGGTGGAGACGTGTGGCTGTCAACCCGAGGTCACAACATAATGACCAGAAGGCAGCCCCACGGTGGGTCAGTATTCCATAGGATACAGAATATGTTCTATCCACACAACCCCATTTTGATGCGTGGCACACGAGTGGAATAGACTCGGTTGCCCCTACTTGACGTTCTGGGGTGTGAGAGGAGCCTGGAATGCTTCATCCAGCCTGGAGCGGAGCTGAGGCTCAGGCCGAGGTCTCCTGAGCGTGGCCCCAGGACACGATGGGTGCTCTTGGGAGCCCTACCTGGAGCTCCAGGGAGGGACCGGCCGTCTGACCCCCTCCTTCTCTGCCCGCAGCCAGCCGCGCTCCAAGTCGGAGATGCTGTCGCGGAAGAACTTCGCCACGGGGGTGCCGGCCGTTTCCATGGACGAGCTGGCGGCCTTCGCTGACTCCTACGGCCAGCGGCCCCGCCGGGCAGACGGCAACAGTCACGAGGCGCGGGGCGGGAGCCGCTTCGAGCGCTCGGAGTCGCGGGCGCACAGCGGCTTCTACCAGGACGACTCCTTGGAGGAGTACTACGGTCAGCGCAGCCGCAGCCGCGAGCCCCTGACCGATGCTGACCGCGGCTGGGCCTTCAGCCCCGCGCGCCGCAGACCCGCCGAGGACGCGCACCTGCCGCGGCTGGTGAGCCGCACGCCAGGCACCGCACCCAAATACGACCACTCGTACCTGGGCAGCGCGCGGGAGCGCCAGGCGCGGCCCGAGGGCGCCAGCCGCGGTGGCAGCCTGGAGACGCCATCCAAGCGGAGCGCGCAGCTCGGCCCGCGCAGCGCCTCCTACTACGCTTGGTCGCCGCCCGGCACCTACAAGGCCGGCTCGTCGCAGGACGACCAGGAGGACGCGTCCGACGACGCGCTGCCGCCCTACAGCGAGCTGGAGCTGACCCGCGGCCCGTCCTACCGCGGCCGCGACCTGCCCTACCACAGCAACTCGGAGAAGAAGAGGAAAAAGGAGCCCGCCAAGAAAACCGTGAGACTGCGTCTGCCTCCCCTCCTCCGAGGGGACTGAGCGGGAGCCTCCAGGCAGGGCGAGCAGTGTCGCTGTCTGGGGGCCGGGGAGGTGGCGAGGCGGGAGGGTCCTTGCCGGAGAGGCCGCAGGGGCCTGCCTGGGCGAGTTCGTCCGCGGATGCTAGGCCGGGGGCTTTTTCAGCCTCACTCTGTCCAAGGCCAGATGAAGGAAGGAAGCAAGGGCTGGGAGAGTTGAAAAACAGGCAGAAAGTTGAAGGCGTGTATATGGTTTTACAGGGAGCATTAGGTATTTAACCAACTCAGAAGCCTTTAGCATCAGGGATCTCGGGAGCCATCACCACCACCGGCCTTTAGTGGGCTTCTGAGGTCTGTGTGCAGAATCTTCGATGCATCCTTCTATGTGCATTCCTCCCCAGCCCTGCTTGGGGCGAGGGTTTGTAACTTGCATCCGATTTCCAAGAACCCACATCCCAGAGAAGGCTAAGAGCCACTGCTGTTTGCAAAGGACAACTCATGTCTGTCCTCTTTTGATGTTTTATTGAGTGTAAACTGCATTGTGCCCGTATATGTGAAGGAAATCCTTTGGTCCCTATCCAGTTCATTGTCTCTTTTGTAAGTGGTCTTATATAGACTTCATTATTTTCAAAATGCCAAGAGCTGCCTACTCCATCCACAGCCCCAAAATGGGAGCCCTGGACCTCAGAGAAATGTTGGGGGACAGTCACAAATGTCCGCTGTGGGGTACCAAGGGCCTCTGACCCCCATGCTTTGGAGATCACTCTCCAAGCACAACTGCTTCTCCCCCTTCGCAATTACCCTGCCTCCCCACCATTCCGTTTTTTATGAATCCAAGCTGGACGTTTTCTTTAGTGTTTAGTATGGGGAGAAGGAATATGAACAGAAAAAGATTTTGACACAATTATTAACCCTTCCAAAGGAATTCAGTGTATTTTATTTTTCCTTAAATAAAAAAATGCAATAACCAAAGTACTATGAGTAGGGAAGAAACTTTCAGGCGATTTCAGGTTTATGGAATACCAACCACACTTGCTGTTGTGGAGCTCTAAACATAGTAGTTATCCTAAAGGGGGTGAGAAGTTATTCTGTGACCATGGAACTAAGCCTATCAGATGTATGCTGGCTTTAGCCTCTACTGAGGCTTAGGATCAACCATCACAGGTCTAATGAAAGGTTCTGAGAATCAGGGGTGCCTGGCACTGAACGGGTTGTGGACTCTGCCCAGAGAACCATCTGTTATTCGTTGTTTTCTTTAACTAGCATGTGGCTTAATGTTGGGCTCTTTCTGCTCTTTCCTAGAATGACTTTCCAACCAGGATGTCCCTTGTGGTCTGATGTTGTCAACATTTCTCTGGATAATGAGAAATCAGACATGGACTACGGGGACAAGACACAAATCTAAGAACCAGCAGGCCCAGGACCTTCTCTGGCCATCACCTTGGAAGATTTGCTGATCTCTGCTTTGGCAAGGGATGGCAGGCAGCCTTTAAGGGAGGCTGATTTCAAACCTCTGTGCCCATCTAACTAGTTTGAGAAGCTTACCAAGAAAGCAAGAATGTGTGAGAACATTCCTACATACAGAGTTTCTCAACTATAGCGTTTATCCTGCCCAGCCTCCTCCCTTAACAGAACCAGGACTCCATTTGCAATTCTGAAAGAGAGTTAGCTCTGGACTGCTAAACTCCAGAAATTGCCTATGCCTACAATATGCTTTTCTATACCTCCTGTGCTATACTTAGAGACAGAAGAATTTATTACTACTATTAGAAGGCCTTCTTCTGACAAGGGAAGATAGCTTCAAGTCAAAATATACCTTTTATCCCCATCACTTTACAGTCACTAGTCAATGACTGTTGTTACACTAAAATCAAAAGGCCTTTGGTGAGCTCAGTGACAGTGACCTCTGGGACAATCACAGAAATGACTTCACTGCTGTTCTGAATGACAATTCTTAAGTGGCTAGGACAAAGCAAAAGCGAGTATACCTTTTTGAAAAGCTGTCTAAGTGGTATTTCCTTTTCCATTCTGAGAACGTAAACTGCTTTTTCCTTTTCTGCTGCACATGTCAATATCGGAGTCTTAGACATTAAGGGCTCTTCTCTTCCTCCCCTCTCCTGGACTTCCCACAGGTTGGTGCCACACACACAGCCCTGCCTCCCTCTGCACTCTGATTAGATTGTCATTGAATGCCTTGTGATAAATGCTTAAAATATACACATGAAAGAGAAGAGGGAGGAAAGAGGAGAAAGCAGTAATGCATATAGAAAAGAATGAGAAGGAATTTAAAAGGGAAATAACATCATCTCATTATATTTTGAATGTGGACCATTTCACCCACAAACTTCACTCAGTCTTTTCCGGTTTTGTGCTTCACTTGCCGTTAATTGTTTCTGCCATCCCAGTTCTGCCATTCTAGGACATGGGGGATGTGGAACATACAGCATTTGGCCTGACTAGACTGCCACTATGGCTGCTTTCAAGAGATTAGAGATACTGCTTTCTCAGGAAGGAGTACTTCCTATTCCCACCCTTGCCTAAATGATAGATTTTGCCTAAATCCCAAAGCTAGATCTCTGGATTTTATCGTTTGTGTAGATAGCAAAAATGGCCACGAACTCTTTCCTTCTCATCAAGAGGTGCCATCTTTTTTCCAACCCCTTGAATCTGGAGTTGGCTATGTGATTTGATTTAGCCAGTAGCCCAACAAATGTGACACAAGCAGAGACTTGAAAAGTTCTTGTGCATGGGGCTTGTCCTCTTTTGCTGCTCTTGGGAACCTTGCAACTACCATCAGGTGAACAAGCCTGGACTATCCTGCTGCATGACAAAAGAAAAGGGCCCAGTTACCCTTGTCACCCTATCTGACAGCCCGTCAACTTCCAGCTGATGCAGACATGGGTGAGTCCAGGTGATACCAATAGAAGAACTGCCTAGCTGAACCCAGCCCAAATTTCTGATTCCTACTCGAGGCGTGAGAAGTTGGTGCATTCTTTATGTTCATTTCTCTTTAAGAACAAACCTGACTCGTTCTTGTCTGAATGTTCATCCCTGAACCTCTTAATCCATCCAAACTTGTGTTTCTCATAGCCTCCACTATTGTTGACAAATTTTTATCAAAGCTTTTCACCCTGCACTCTTGTGGAGTGGAGGATAATGCTTGACTTTGCTATCCCTTAATCCAGCAGTGGTTTCTTCCCTGTCTATGGATCCGTGGACAACCTCTGAAGATCTCTTCTTTACCATCCTTTTGGTCTTCTCCAGAGCCACCCTACTGGGGCTAGACCCTATTCTCAAAGTACCATTCCTCTAGTATCCATTTGTACTTCATGACATTTCCAAAAAAAGTCCTATGTTTGCAATGAAATAAGAAAGTGGCTGGGTGAGGGTCGGAGGGATGAGCTGGTATGTGTCATTGCTTGGAGAATTGACCTACCAAAGGACTTCCGTGTTGCTTTGGCCAGTCCCAGAGAAATCAGGAGAACAGTTGAACCCAGTGCTGGCACTTCCAAGGGCTGGAAGACACAAGCCATAACCCTGGTGCTGAGTTTTAGACTTGCTGGTGTCCCTGGCCTCTGAAAGCCTAGGTCTAGCCTGTCTGTTTGGACCCCAGTTCAGATGGAAAAGATGATAAAAAACATTTCTTAGTCACCAGCTTTGGATTTCAACTTGCTCAGGCAATTTTGGAGAATATTGGGTAGCTGTGGTAGCTATTATCGCTTTATACTGAGCACTGTGTCAGGCTTTTCACCACCAAAGAGCCTCATAGCACCAGCTGCAGAGACCAAAAATAATGTTTTTTTAAAGCTACGGACGTATGATTTTGGTGAAGGTTGAGGGTAGCAATGGGAAAGAAAGAATTATTAAAATTGGAAACCTGCAATTCCAAAGACAACAAAACTACAGATAGACTGAAAAGTACAAAGAAGATAGCAGGCTACTGAATTAACCTTGGGAGTTGGGACCAGGTTGTCCTTTGTAGAACTGGATAAATCATTCAGACTTCCAGGCTTTCAGTAGAGAGAAAAAGCAGTTGTTTCTGGGTATATGGACAGGAGTTAAGGCTGAGTTGACAAGTCAAAACTTCTTGTCCTCAGCACCCCTGACTTTCCTCTATGTGTCCTTTTGTTTCTTCTCCTTTGAATAGTGTGTCCTGCACAGGAAATGGTTATATTTGTTAGCTTCTTTCCTAGGTCTTATTGGAGTACAAAGTAAATCTTGTGTAAGACATAATCTCTGTCCACTAGGACCCCGTAATTTAATAGGGGAAATAAGACATGCTCAAGAAAGGAGATTTTATACATAGAGTATGAAATAGTGCTATGGATAAATTATAATAAAACCAGAGATTTAGTTTTTTTAAAAAATGAGAATACTTTGATATTAAAGTGTTGTATGTGTTTGTCCATCATCTTATTTAAACATAGACTTGGTGATCTGAAAAGCCAATACTCAAAAGTCTGAACTGAAAAGAGGTGAATTAGGATCGGGAAAGGGTGAGCAGCAGGGGTCCCAGGGGGATGATGCATAAGCTGCTGTGCTTGCCTGTGAGTCACTACTGAGTCAGGAACACGCTGGAGGAGGGAGTGTGGATGCAGGTGGCAGGGAGGTGTCCCCTGGTAGATGAGCTGCTTCTCTAGGCCATGCATGGATTCATTAGGAAGTTGGAGACAATGGCCATGGACCTGGTGCATGGCAGCTATTCCATCCAAGCACGTTCACAGGGGAGCTCAGCGTGGCTGCTCCTGGGGCTCAGTTCTGCGGCTGTGAGTGCTGCTGCCCATATTCACCAACACAGGGCAGGCCTCACGGAGATGCTAGGCCTCACATCCCCCTTCTCATGATCCTCACTGTGCACTTGACATAGGATTAGGCATACTGGAGATGAGAAAAGGCTGCCACCCAAACCCAAGGCACCTGACCACATCTGTAAATATTTCTGAATAGTCCACAAAATTTCACATAGGTAGTCTGATTAGATCTTGCCTTTGAGAGAAGCTGAAGTCACAGATACTGTTGTAATTTACCACCGCCCCTCACCCAATTTTTTTTAATAGGTGAAGAAACCATCACTGCCATTAATGAAGTCACAAACCTATTAGGTCTTTAGACTCCCAACCTCTGGATCTTTTCTGCTGATTAGTGTTTCCCAAAATTGCCTAACCACAAGAATTAACTTGATAGCTGCTGTTAAAAAGGTATTGTTGGACCCTGTTTTGGAGATTGATTGGGTGGGTCTAGAGCCAGAATTCATATTTTTAATATGCATTCCAGGAGACTCCTGTGATCAGATGCATTTGGAAATCATTGCACTAAGTCATACCTCTGGGTACTCCAAACAGCTAGTCCTGAGGCTTCCTTGGGCCTTAGAATTTTTTCTTCAAATGTCCTGGTGAGGTCCCTCTCAATCCTTTGGGGCTGGCTGTGGTGAGTCACTCAGAAGTCTGGCTGTGACCTGGATGGGCTCACCAGAGTACGCTAGTGGTAGTGGGAAAACAGGCAGAGAGAAAGGAGTGTCAGGAGCACTCCCAGGGAGGCTGTTGTAGATATTTCCATTCCCAGAACAGTGATCTATTGTGACAGTCTCAGAACAGACAACAAGAATTACAGGTAATTTTCTCATTCTCTTGATATATTTTTAGCAAAACTTAAATCATGAATAGAAGGAAAAGATGCCATTGGGGAAATAGAAAAACTCAATCATTTTATAAAGCATACAAATCATAAGGATGACTGGCCAATAGCACTCCCACTTTGGTCTTACCTAAAGTTGGGTGGACAAGAATAATAAAAGTCCTCATTTTATATCCTTCCAAAATCAGATTTAAATGCTGCCAGCATCTTAATGGAAGTCTGAAATTGATTGATAGGATGTAGAAATCCAAATTCACTAAAATAGGGGGCCAGCTACATAAAGTCCTAGAAGGAAAAAGTGCCTCGCTTTTTTCTGCCATTATCCTACCCCCTAGTCATCTGGGGAATTGATCTATGAAGCTTGAAGAAGGGGCATTTAACATCAGAGTGGTGCAAGGGCAGTGTTGAGATGCTTTAAGCAGCAGCCTGAGCTTTAGCACTATTTGAAGGGGAGAAGGTTAATACTAATAATATTTGTGTTATTTTTATGATATATTACTGTTTACAGAACACTTTCATTTGATCCCAACATCAACTGCTGTGATAGAGGCAGGGCAGATGTTGTGGTCTCATTACATAGAATGTAAAACTGAGGTTGAAAAATACTAAGTGACTTGTCTGTAGTCAAATGGTTTTTAAAATTATAAAGCCAGGCCTTCTGACTGTCTTGTCTGGTGTCCTTTCCAATTCCTTAAATACTCATGGGACTGGAATCTGGGTATTCCAGATTCCAGTTTCTCTTCACAGCCAGACATCTGGTGAGAAGAGCCGTAGACTTGATGCTTGTTCATATGTCATGGATGTGGCGAAGCCATGAAGACAGATACTGTTGCTGCTTCATCCAACTAAGCACCATTCATTCCTCAAATGCTAATCTAAGAGGGAGTTGTAGCTTCACTCAAGGAGAGTTTCGTTTTCTTTTTCTTTCTTTTTTTTTTTTTTGAGACAGGGTCTTGCTCTGTGGCCCATGGTGCAGTGCAGTGCAGTGGTGCTATCAGCTCACTGCAGTCTCAAACTCCTAGCTCAAGCAATCCTCCTCCCTCAGCCTCCCAAGTAGGTAGGACTACAGATATATGCCACCACGTCCAGCAAATTTTGTTTGTTTGTAGAGATGGGGTCTTGCTATATTTCCCAGGCTTGTCTCAAACTCCTGGCCTCAAGTGATCCTCCCACCTTGGCTGCCTAAAGTGCTGGTATTACAGACATGAGCCACTGAACCCAGCTGAGAGCCTCACTTTCATCACCTGTGCTGTGAGGGGTAATATATGCTTCAGGTTTTCTGGAGAATCCTTCTTGCAGAGAAGTTTCTGAATGAAACGACAGATTCATCTGGATTCAGAACTCCAGGCAGAAGCTGCTTAACAGCAAAAATCTGGCATCTTCACTACATTTTAAGATTTTAGGTAGAACTAAGAGGGATCAGATATAGAGGAATAAGGAATGTGAGAAGGAAAAAGATATAGTAGTTTAGCTAAATTTTTCTTAGAGTTTCTTGGTGGGGCTGGCCATGAAGTAACTAGTCTGACTCATTTCTTCTGGGAAGGCTAAAAGAGACACAGATAGCTTCTCTTTTACCTTGGCTTTAAGGAAAAGCCATTTTATTAACAAAAGTATTAGACACGACTGCATAAGAAATTTGCTGTGTGAGAATAAAGAACAAGGGAGTAGGAGGGTGGGACAGAGAAGGGTGAGAAGTTGGCTTCGTGAGGGCCACCTGTCAGTTGTCTTTGTGCCTTGTGACATCAAAACTGAAATGTTTGTATTACTGTTGTCCATGACTTTTTTTTTCTGTGTCAGACATACAAATTGAATTTGGTTGTAATGTTTTAAACGTAATAAAGAATTCTTACCTACATTTGTTACCAAGAACTCATAATTAACACAACTATGGTTAATCATGATCTGACATTAAATGGCCTCAGCAAGAGAAAGAATCATATGATACATGTCCTTCTCTGATTGTTGTAAGTACAGTAATAGAGGAATACATATTGTGGGGTTACAGAGGGGGCTGGTACTGACAGAGCAAAAGGTATGCTTTTACAGATTGTAATAAGCTAGATAAATTCTGTTGTCACTCTTACTGCTCTCCACAGACTGTAACATTCAGAAGGAGATGAAGGGTAGGAAAGGTGGTTGGATAAGGTGATGGTACCTAGCTCATTTCCAAGAGGGGCACAAGCATATGCCTGCTAGAAATTACACTTGGGGAAGGGAGGAAGGAAGCTATTCGTGGGAGGACATTTCAAGTTCTGTTAAGATTTGAGAAATTCCACAGCACCATAATTAAGAGGAGGCAATTAAAAACCTTTGTTAGCAAAAGAAGTGATAAATACCTCTGAGAACTATTAATCCTGTTTTGGATGGCTAAGCCCTCTCAAGGGAATTCCAGATTTTAGTGGCCTTGTCAAGCAGAAAATCTGTTTTTGCTTGAAGCATCTGGGCTCAATTTTTTTTAAGTAGTTAACTTAAAAATGTTAACATGTAGATTTAACTTAAAGATAGACTCTAAAACAGTTTGATTACCTCTGGATTTTGTATTATTTTGTGTTTTAATTCCATTTAGGTTTTTCAGCTTTATAAAATATTTTTGTTTTTATTTATAAAGTATTTGTTTAGAATCACCCACGTGTTTTTTCTACACATCTTTTTTTCCTATATTTCAGATCTTCCTTTTGAAATATTTTCTTTCTGAAGGAAGTTTACTTCAGTAATGATTTGTTGGTAGGATACTCATCAGTCTTTGTTGATGTAAAAGTCTTTATTTCATTCTTGTTCTTGAAAGATAATTTCACTGATTATGATTCTAGATTGATAGTTATTTTCTTTCAGGACATTGAAGTTATTATTACACTCCCTTCTGACTTTTATTTTTGCTTTTAAGAAGTCAATTACCAGTTTAATTATCCTTCCTAATCTGTCTGGTCTCTCTGACTGTTCTAAAGATTTTTTTGTCTCTAGTGTTCTTTGGTTTAATTAACATGTGACCAGGTGTGGATTTCTTTTTATTTATCCAAATTAGGATTTGTGGTGTTTCCTAAATCCGTGGATTGGATTTCCCATTAAATATGGAAAACTCTCAGCTATATTAACACATCAAATATTTCCTCTTCTTTTTAAACTCTCTCTTGAGAATTCCAATTGTTAGATTTTTTTTCATTCTATGCCCCATATTGTTTAATCTATATTTTGTATTTCCTCTCTCTGTGTTTTCTATTCCCTATTCAGGTAAATTTCTTCAGGTTTATCTTCCAGCTCACTAATTTTCTTTTCAGCTAGCTCTAATCTCCTTTATTTGAGTTTTAATTTTAATTAATATGTATTTCATTTCTAGGAGTTTAGTTCTTTTTCAAATTTACATAGTCCCTGTTGTCTTGTGACTTACTCTTTTTTTTTTTTTACAATGCCCTCTTATTTATCTGAATATCTTAAAGATACTAACTTAAAATTTTATATCCAGTAATTCCAATATCTACAGTCTTTGTGGGTCTACTTTTAGAGTTTGTTACTTCTGCTAACTTTCACTCACAGTTTTTTGTTTCTTTATGGGTTTTATAGTTTTTTATTTTAAGCTCATGTGTGGTGCAATGCCATATTACATTGTGCCAGTCAAGAAAAACCTTTCTTGCTCCTTATCTGCCTTACATTTCTCCATAATGACTCTATATATACACAGCAACCCTGGGGAAGCCAGGAAGAGTGAATGATTGAGTAAGGAAGAAGTAAGTGTGCTAAATGGGAAAAAATGAAAAAGGCACACATACACGCATTGTGCATTTCTTTCTAATGCAACCTGTAGACTGCAAACAAAATCTTAAGATGGGGAGGGCAAGAGGCTTTAACTTTACATATTCTTTAGAGTTTGATAATATAAGAGAATGGCTGTCTTAATTATAGACATAGACTGTTTTAGGGTTTAAGAGTGAACAGAAGGCTGTTAATTGTTAAGAGTGGCCAAATAAATTATGGATGTAGATTTCATTCAAGAGGCAAGGAAGGCCGGGCCCTGTGGCTCACACCTGAAATCCCAACAGTTAGGGAGACAAAGGTGGGAGGATAGCTTGAGCCAGGAGTTCAAGACCTACCTGGGCAGTATAGTGAGATCCCATCCTCCACAAAAAGGTAAAAATTTAAAAAGACAAGAAAAAAAAGAAGCAGCAAGGAAGGACTAGACTCATAGGATGGATTAAAATTAGGCAAAACAAATAATTCATTTTTCCCTATGATTATCTAATTCTAATCCAATTTTTATATGCTTTCATTTCAAGAAATAAGAAGTAGGCTAATTTCAGGTTCTCTTAGAAAATCTTGGCAGAGACATCCTAATCATACTCATCACACCACTTAGGTGAAAATTATATTTTCTGCTGAATTGGTTATAAGCATTTCCTGAATACTTATCAGGTGGCCTAAGATGACTCACCAAAAATGGCATGAGGTGTAGAAGTAGCTAGGAAGTTGCTTAGAGGTGAGTGAGTTGGTCTGACACGCCATCTAGTGGCACACATCCAAGAGAGTGACTCTATTGCTAACCTTCCAGTATTGGATGGAGGTGTGCCTCACATTACTTAAGGGAAAAGCTACATATGAATTTATATAGCTTATTTTAATGCTATATATGAATTTATATAGATGAATTTGGCTTTTGAAAAACAAATTAAGTGCATTAGGAATTTTTTCTTTAAAAGTGATATGTTTTTCTTACACTTTGCAAGTTTAGAACTTGCCATATTATGTTTTTGAGGCAGGCTTCTGTGGATATAATGTGGGGAAAACCATGAGGTTTTTGCTTGGGATCAAGTGGGATTTAGGTGCATGCCTTTTGTGATTTAAAGCTATTTTAAAGTGTGCTTTTAACACCATGGAATTACAATTGTTTTCTGAAGTCAGGTCAGGACTCTGATTCTGCAGAATTATGGTGAAGCCAGTTTCTCTTTAACAAGCAAAAACCGTGTCATCAAACTGTACAACCAAAGGACCTAAATAGTCCATTCCCTAGTCTTCAGCTGTACAAAGATGAATCAATCTCTCTGTCTCTTGTTCTCTCTCTCACTGTCTCTAAAAACCAAGCAGAGGAGAAAATTCCAGACATGTTAAAACACTTTACTTTTTTTTAAAACAATCCTTGCTCTCTGGAGATATTTTCTCACATTTTGTTACAAATTTTGTGTAGAAGCATAGCCACAGTGGATTTTTTCTGGCTCTTTTTCTTTCTCTGAGACGTTAATGTCCAGTAGAGCAAAGCTAGAAGGATATATATATATATATATATATATAAATATATATATTTATATATATTTATATATATATATATATATATATGTATGTATACACACACACATATATATGTCAATTTCTATTAACCTTGTTTTTGGAAAAACGCTTTGTTCAACTGAATGTAGTTAAATTATAATGGACATTAATATACAACCCCACCCTCCCAGCCTCTTTTTGTTGCTGGTATGACTTAGGCACCTAGCTTTTCTCATTCCCTCAGGCCAAGGCGATAGCCTCTTATGTTTCATTCCTTTGGCAGCTGTATTAGTAAAAAAATTTTTGGTTGCAAATGACAGGAAGATAGCTCAGACTAGCTTAAGAACAAGAAAAGGAGAAATGGAGCTCATCTATTAGAGAGATCCTGGAGTAGCTCACAGGCTGGAAGAGCTGTAGGAACTGAGAACAAACCTGGGTCTCAATGTAGTAAGATTTAAGATTCCCTGTCCATCATCCACACCTACTTGTGTTTTTACATCAATACATTTTCTCAGTGAGGATAGACTTACTCCAAAAGGCAGGAATATAGCCACTAGCAGTCTGAGAGTCACAACTTTCCAGCTCATTTGACCAAGCAGGCAAAAGGCTTTACTCATGAGAACAATCCTGGAGAAAGACTGCAGTCAACTCATATTGAGTCATGTGCCCATATCTGAGCTAATCATGTGGCCAGAGATGTGGCAAGTCTGTTTATGACCAGGAAGGTGAGACTGCGATGGACTGGATAGTGGGATAGGAAGATTTCTCCAAAGAGAGAAGAGAGTTGTTATTAATAGAAGAAGTGAGAATAGTGATGCTGGGCAGACAAAACACATACACAACACCAACAGCTATCTGCTACTGCATCCGAAAAGATTCTTTATCTGCAGCCACAGAGCCCTGAACAACCAGCCTTTCCGGCTTCCTTTTGTTGCCAATTCCCTCACACGTATTATTCCAACCCAAGGCTTCAGGGAGGCTGTTTTTACCACAGTTCAGTGACAAATCCTACCAGAGCCTTCCATATACCAGTGAATGTCCTTGGTTATACTTGTCTCGTTCTGAATTTAGAAATCCATCTCTGTGTCACTGCCTTCATTAGGACCTTTCGTCTCCTCCCTGGATTCTTCTGGTACCCTCATTTCTTGTCTCCTACTTCCTGTTGTCTCCTAATTATTCACCTTCTACTTTTTTTGTTAGAGGTTCCAGACAGTTTCAAGAAAAATACTTAATGCTGGGCAAGGTGCTTCTCCCTTCCTCTCTAAGTTCCATAGAACAGGGGACATTTTGCTTCTCTGTTGCTATGGACTGAGTGTTTTGTGTCTTCCCCAAATTTTTATGTCAAAATCCTAATCCTAATGTGATGGTATTTGGGCATGAGGCCTTTGGGAGGTGATTAGGTCAGTAGGGTGGAGCTCTTATGATGGAATTAGTGTCCTTATAAGAAGAGACAGGAGAGAGATTACTTCCTCTCTTTCTCTGCCATGTGAGGATACAGCAAGGTATCTGTCTGCAAACCAGGAAAAGGACCTTCGCCAGGAACTGAATGTATTGGTGCACTGAGCTTGGACTTCCCAGATTCTAGAACTGTGAGAAATAAATTTCTGATATTTAAGCCACCTAGTCTATGGTATTTTTGTTACAGCAGCCTGAAGTGACTAAGACACCTATCCACCTCTTCATTCCTTTCTGTATAAACAGGAAAGGAGAACTACTTGGATTCCTTGAGTGTCTGAAGTTCATCATGCCACATTTCCCAGTGTAAAGTAAGTGTTTACGCACCCCACATTCTCTTTTCTGGTCCTACACCTTTCACTTCCTGTTCTCAGGGATGGCCAGCACGTCTGTGCTTCCTTCTCTCATGTGAAGGAGAACATGTGACTTGGGCAGAGTCCTTTCTTTGCATCTCAGCTTCAGACCAAAGCGGCCTTCTCTAACATGGTTATCAGAAACCCTGCATTTTGGGAGTTGGTTGTTCTTTGGTGAGCTCCCATTTAATTTGTAGCCTTTATGTATGTACAGCATTGGTCATGGAAGAATAGGGCTATGTCACTCAAAATATGTATAATTTTTACATTACATTATATAACTTTTAAAATATATTTTCTTAAAAAAAACTTAATTGCTTCCAAGCAACCGATATCTCACATTCCTCTGATTATTGATTACCCATGATACTAAACTTTCTTTCGATTCCAGAATTTGATACAGGAATTCAGACAAAATATTGAAAATGTTTTAGCAAATTTAGAGCAACAGATTGTGGAGTGGGGAGACTCCATTTATTAAGAGATGTTCCCTCAAAAGAAATGAACAGGCCTACAGCACGCTCCATGAAGAGAACTTGGAGAGTGCTCATTGTTCCATGGCGATTCCTGAGACGTAAATAACTCTCTCACATGAAGGTGGATTTTCACAGTGATCCATACTCAAGTCAGTCACAGTAGGCCATGGGGAATTTTCAAAAGGAAACCTCTTCTCCAGACACTTGAGGGCTATTGTGTATATTTTCATTGCTTCAGAGAGAAACGTCTTGAAGAACTGGCAAACAGCTGTTCATCACAGCAAATATATTTCTCATTCCAAGGAACTCATCAACACATTTTTTTTTCTCTCTCTCAAGGAAGTTCAGAACTAAATGGAATGATTTAAATTCTTGACTTAAGGAGACCAGCAGCTTTGATAATGCTGCCAAATTATCCTCACAGTATCAGAAAGAAAAAATTGACCTAAAGACTTGCGCTGTAAGAATTGTAAGTGGTGAAAGGGAGCTACTTAACCCTGGTTTTTGGTAGAGGGCAGTCTGGCAGTGGGCAGTGCTGACCTGCACAGAGGACAGGGGCAATGGGGCACTGGGCTGCATGCCATGGAGGCCCTGAACTGATGGGTGGCTGGGCCCCCTAGGTCCAGGCGAAACCCTAGAGCATCACACAGTTTATTCGTGAGGGTGAGCCTGAGGGTACATCTGAACTCTCACATACAGCCACGTCATATCTTGATAAGGACTCTCAGTCATGAAATTCCAGACCTCCAAATGTTTCCTAAGCAGAAAACTCAAATAACAAGTGGTTCAGTTGAAATTAAGATACCTGGCAAGACTGAAGTCTGACTTTGCCACTTTCTGCTTAAAACCCTTCTGGCTCTCCATAGTCTTTTTCACATATTGTCAAGTGCCTTAGAACACACAAAGCTCTTTGTGATCCCACCCTTTTCTGCCATCACAGCTTCATTGCCAGTCTCTACCTCTACTTCTTTTCTACGTCTTTGCTATGCTGTAATATGCAGAAACATTTGTAGAGCTTGACTACACTGTGTTGTTCTATACCTCTGTTCCTTTATTCCAGAATACCTTCCTTCCCCTCTCTGAGCACTTTCTTACATACATTTTAAGATTCAGCTTGGATGTTGCATCTTTTAGGAAGCCCCACTCCCACCAGGCTGAGCTAAGAGCCCCAGGTCCATGCTTCCTCTGCAGTGTTCGCCCTGTCACCATGTTCAATGCATAAACACAAAATGATCTATTTTTGTGTCTGGTTGCCCACTGGAATGCAAGTTCTTTGAAAGTATTCTTTTTCTTGGTATCCTTCATACCACTGTGGTATGTGGCATGCAGTAGGTCTTGTAGTGTGAGCTTAACTAAACCAAAATGAGATCATTTTATGATATCCTGAGAGCTCTGACCTCAGGAAGGCTGCGGAGCAGTCACTCCCATGCAGGTTGAATAAGCGCAAACACTTTTACATCCAGGTCACATCTCAGCCAGTACAAATGATCTCAGTCACTTTAAGACTTTCAGCTTAGTCATACCCTAGAACAGAGGTTGGAAAACTTTTCAAAGGGACTTGCCAAAAAACTGATTCCTTTCACATAAAAACCTGGAGGAGTGAGGAAGGCAAGCGATGAGGATTGTTTTCACTTATAAGCCGTGGGCAAAAGAGATTCTGAGATAGAGTATGGCCACAGATTTTGGAATTAGAAACACCAGAGGCCCTCTATCAGTTTCCAACCTTGGCTGCTCACTCCAACTGATGATTTATTTGTAGCTATAGAGGTTCTAAATGATGCTGTGGCTGGGACATGAAGGAGGCAACCAGTCCAAAAGCTGTTTGTATGTGTTTTTATCAGCACATACAATTACTATTCCCAGGCTCTAGAGAACCATAAAAAAGTATAAGCTATGTGTATAAGTTAGAGACATCAGGGTTGGACATCTCAGAGGGGCCTGGAAAACATCCTGTCGAGGTAGAGGGAAGGGTAAACCACTGAACTACTAGAGAAAGCTACTTAATCTCTGGTAGACCCTGGGTCTGCTCCCTCTCCACCATATCTTAGCCTCAGTTTCATTTAGTCTAAAAGGTAACAAATCAGTGTGATAGGCAGAAAATTTAAATGTTATGAGCACTCCTCAAACTCTTTCTCCTTCAGTGCATACCAAATGCTGAACAGCTGGCTCAGCTTCTGCAATTTTGTGGTATTAAATGATTTAATGGGTTCACAAGGAAAGAATCCAGTGGAACCTGGCTTGGCTCAATTGATTTACATGGAGCCAGCTGACCGTGGGAGAGAAGAGGATGAAAGAGATCATGGCCAGAATGGGCTAGCAGAGTTTGGAGAGGAAAAAAAATAGATTTTGAGTATAACCAGTATTTATACGAGATTTTGAGAGAGAGATAAAAAGAAGCTTTTAAAGTTTTTAAACTTTTATTATGAATACAATCCCCTTTGGGATTTTTGAGAGACTTTAGAATGTGCAATATAGGGCCATAGGTTAAACTGGTTATAACAATATTTAAAAGTCTCCTTTCTGAGTAAGACCTTTATCTTGTTACCTAGCACAAAGGGATTTTTTCTTTTGCAGTTTTTTTGAGGAGGTGTCTCCATGCTTGGCATGAAAACCAGGGGAGGAAAATACAAGATGCCCTACTGTGTACAGTGAAGTGGGGTTTTGGAAGATGTGCTCCAGAGAACGGCGTCTGGGCCCCCACAATCTCCCCATGTTGCACAGACTCTCTCTGACTCCTGTGATCTGGCCCTGGCTGTCCTGGAATACTACCCTCTACTCCAACAGAATTTTTAATTGTTCCACAGTGTATTTATGTACATTGTTATCTGAGCCTCTGAGTAAAGCAAAACAGGCATGATTTTCTCTGTTTTACAGATCCAATAGTCAAGACCACAAAGAGGGGAATGACTTCTCAAGGTGACTTAGAAAATAGCAACAAACAGCAGTGGAATTGGAGCTAGCATCCAGATCTCCTGAATCCTTGTTCATTATTCCCCATGACACTCAGTTCTTGCTTTGTAAACAACTATGGAGATTGTAGAAGCTCATATGAAAAGGGGGTGCAATGAACAAGAAGTGTAGATTAAAGAAGTGTGGAACCTTGAGTGTCAATTGATACAGTGCAAGCCATGTGGCTGCCTGCCTACTAACATGCAGTGGTAAGAAGGGCCTGCAGATCCACTGGCAGGGGGCAGGTTCAGAGTCACACCCAAGAGAGATCTATAGATGAGGGCAATGGGCCAGATCTAACAAGATGAAATGAGAAGGGATAAATGCAAAATCTCACATTTTGATCTGAGAGATAATTGCACAAGGACAAGATGGGGAGATATTGCTTAGGAGAGTCTTATCCTTTTATTCAAGTTATTTTAAAAAGTATTTGTTGGGCACTAATTATGTCTATACAATGGTTTGGCACTGAGCTTACAGCAGTGAATAAGATTAAGACAAATAAGGCCCCCTACCCTTATGGAGTTCAAATTCCAGCGAGGGAGACAGCCAATACACAAATACTCAAATGATTTCATAAAAGGATCAGTGTTGAAAATAACTCAGGATCATGGACATTGACTGTTAAGAGGAGGAAAATATTAGAAGGGTGGTCAGAGAAGGCCTCTCAAAGGATGGGACATTTTCAAACTGTTACTTGAAGGATAAGAAGAAACTGAGATTGAGAGGACCATCGGGCAGAGTTCCAAGGAAAGGGAGAACAAGTGAACAGTGCTTGAGGTAGGCATGATTTCAGAATGTTTGAGGAACAGAAGGGAAGCCATCATGGTTCAAAATTAGTGAACAAGGAAGGACATAGGAGCTGATGTTGAAGAGGCTGCAGGGGCCCCCAACATCACCTAGATCATTTAGGCTGAGAAGGCCATTATAAAGATGCCAGAGTGCTAGGCACCCTCCCCAAATCTCTTCTCTTTTTTGTCCTTAGAAAAAGGTTCTTATCTGGATAGCTAACCAGAGACTAAATTTCCCAGCCTTCCTTATTGTGAGTTGTGGCCATGTGACTAGAGTTATCACCAGAGCAATGTGAACAGAAGAGATACGTGCAACACCCACCTTACTTGACTGAAGGGAAATTACTTGCCTTTAACTTCCTTCCCTTGAGTGACCAACCATGCAAATAAGGACAATGTACTAGCCTTAGGCATGGTGGAGCAACAAGATGGGAGGAACCTGGCTCCCAAATGACCTCATGGAGAACTGGCCTGCCTGGCTGGACTAAGTGAAAGAGAAATACACTTCTCTCTTATTTAAGCCACTGCATTTTGAGGTCTTTATTATAGTGATATAGTCTTTACTGTAATTAAATCAATGAGAAATGTGGACTTTTTTCTAAGTTGGAAACCATTAGAAAGTTTCAAACAGATGAATGATGTGGCCTATGTTTGAAAAAGACCATTCTGACTTCTGTATGGAGAACAGATTACAGGAAGACGAGAGTGGAAGAAGTGAGAACAGTTGGAGGGCGAATGCAGATTTTGTGTGGGGGACAATGGAATAAGACGATGGCAGTGGAGAAGGATATACAGGATAGATTATGAATGTATTTTGGAGGTAGAGAAAATAGGCTTGTTGATTTATTCAATTTTGGAGACAGTGAAGGAAAAGGAAAAAAAAATGATTCCTAGGTCTTTGACTTGAATAACTAATGAAACAGCAGTGGAATTTCTTGAGGTGGACAAAACTGAAGTGCAGGGTAGGATAGGATGCTTTGACTGCAAAACAAACAAAACTCAGAAAACTTGACATAAACTGGCAAAAACAATAAGGACATTTATTAGCCTACAAAATGTAGAATGGGCTACAATAATTGGTTGTTCCAAAAGTTTAAATATGTTGCCAATATCTTTTTAACTCTACTCTTTGCCATTCAAGTTTAAGCTTCATTCTAATGCTGGTTCCTCTTGTGGTCGGTGACTGAGACAATGTGTTTCCTCACTCACCTCCAACAAGGAAGAGAGAAGTCATTTCTCTAATTATATAATACAAGTCTTTGTAGCCTGAACTTTCTGACTTAGCTTGTCATGTTCTGATTGGCTTAGATGAATAAGGAATAGGCTTGGAGTTACTGCCCTCTGATTGGCTTAGATGAATAAGGAATAGGCCTGGAGTTACTGCTCTCTGAGTCATAGCTGTTGCATAGAGGGCAGTATATGACACCCAGGCAAATTCAGGTTCTGTTGGGAAGGACAGGAAGAAGGGTTGATTCAGAGTTTATGTTATGCACTTTAGCTTTTTATTTCTTCTTCCTAATCTGTAAAGTGGGGAGAGAGACATGTGCAGCCTTGGCAGACAGAGGAGGTCCAGGATCTCACAGAAAAAGAGAGACTTTTGCATCTGTCAAAAGAAAGAAACTGGCTGGGCCTGGTGGCTCATGCCTCTAATCCCAGCACTTTGGGAGGCCAAGGCGGGTGTATCACCTGAGGTCGGGAGTTTGAGACCGGCCTGACCAACATGGAGAAACCTCATATCTACTAAAAATGAAAAATTAGCCGGGCATGCTGGCACATGCCTGTAATCCCTGCTACTCGGGAGGCTGAGGCGGGAGAATCGCCTGAACCCGGGAGGCGGAGGTTGCAGTGAGCCGAGATCACGCCACTGCACTCCAGCTAAAATCTCTCTGGCACCAAGGAGGAAGGTCACTCCTAATATCAAAGGGACCCATACGACAAAACTGCTGCATGGATGAGGTAATGTGAATGTCAGTGGCTGTATTTTGTTAACACAGATATCTGTCTGCAACCAATGAGACTAAGCAGCCTTGTGGGGGAACTAGGGAAGAAGGCAGAAAAATAAAACCCTGCTGGCCCTGGTTTTTGTGTTTTAGAAATCCAGTCTTTTGGCCTGTGAGAGAATGATCACAGAAGATTCTAAAACTGTCTCCCTTTTGGAAGTCACGTCTATAACATTTGAGAAATCAGCCCTTGAATATAAAAAAAACAAATTGGGACAGTGCCATTGAGGGCAAAAGGAGCCTTGGTTCAGGATGAGGGAGGGAAGAGGAGAGGACCAGCAAGAATAATGTCTTGGTGTCAAAGCCTCACCTGCTCTCCAGGCAGACAGATTCTCTGGTTGGGGGGCTTTCTTGCTTGTCATTCTATGAATAAGGAACTTGTTCAAAAGCTGTTCATAGTTGGCCATGGAGATGAGCTGTAGGAGAAGTTCTTAGTTAATGTTTGTAATAACCCCGAGGGACCTAGTGATTGTAAGGTTGATGGGGATCCGGCCATCTGTTCTCCCCCAAGAGGAAGGGAGCAGAGTTTATTTTCAATCGTTGTTGTTGCTGCCAAGAACCTGAGAAACTCGGGGAATGTGGAGCATTTGAGGCATGCTCAATTAGTTTGTGTTAGATATACAGAGTGTGAGCCCCTTGTAGCCACAGACTATACTTCCAGGCCACCAACTCTGATTGCTAAAAATGGAAGGTGACCAAAGAGACCAGGCAAAGCTATAAAGCTATTGGGGCTTTGCTTCTGCTTTTGAATGTGCTTTTGGTGTGCTCCACCTGTCATCTTGTATTCCTTCAGGAAGAGCTTGGTCTAGGGATTTTAAACATCAGAGTAAATTGTTACAAAAGTCGAATGGAGAAGGTGGGAAAATCCAAAGCAAGCAATTTTTCATTTAACCTTAGAAATAAACTGGAGTTTTAATATAAAAGTAACGGTAACTTAGAACTACCCATACCACCCCACAAAACAAAAGCTCTACACTTTCATCTATTTTTTCTACTTCTGTTGGTGGCCTCATCAACTGCAGGTAATTAATATAAGTCCTAGGAATCATCACAGACTTCTCTTACTTTCTCACACCAGTACAGGAGTCAAATGTCCAAGTCCCAGAGTCAGACCTCCTGAATTCAAATCCCGTCTTTGCCACTTTCCAGGTCTGTGAATTAAACAAGTTATGTAGCCTTTCTGAGCTGTGGTTTACCCATCTTTGAATATGGATAACAACCCTATCTGCTTCATAGAAAGAAATTAATATTAGAGAATATTGTAATTATCCAAGCAATTACTGAGTCCTGTTGATTTTACCTTTTCAATATCTGTTGCATTTGTTATCTATGGCAATCTCAAAGTGTGTGCAATGAGATGAAATGTTTTATTTGTGGGGGTAGGATGCTTGTGAGAAAAGACATCAGAGAGCAAAAGAATAGTGGGAAATGGAAAAGGGACAGACATGAACAACTCAGGGTTTTTGAAGAGGGCGATGGGTGAGACAGGCCTGGGGTGGAGGGCATGAAAGATGGCAATAGAGAGAAGGAGGCTGCCATGGGGGTGGGGGGAGCATGAAAGGGTAGCAATAGAGAGAAGGAGCCTGCTGTGGAGGGCATGAAAGGATAGCAATAGAGAGAAGGAGGCTGCCATGGGGGTCATGAAAGGGTAGCAATAGAGAGAAGAGAGGCTGGGAGGCTGACCTGAGTGTGGAACTTTGGAGAGAGATATATACTGACATTTGAATGACCTGGGTGTCTTGTTGAAAGTACAAATTAGGATTCAGCACAATTTAGGTGGGGCCTGAGATTCTGCATTTCTAGCAGCCTCCCAGATGACATCAACTGTGCTGGATTTTAAATGACTCAAAGTATCAAGGGAGTAGAGCCAATCCTTGCATTGTCCTTTGACCTATGTAGCCATCTTTGGAACTCTTACAGATCTGTTTGCATTCTGCTCTCATGGAGCTTGTCCCAAAATAATTCTTCATCTTCCCCTAGCCCTCTTGTAGATATTCACATAAGTACCAGAGCAAGGAGAAGAAGGGTTGTATTGAAAAAAGCTAATATATACATATTTTGAAATGATTTTAAAAGCAGATCTAAATGCTTGAATGTTTGGTAT
The DNA here is from genome assembly GCF_000001405.40 of Homo sapiens. NCBI lineage: Eukaryota > Metazoa > Chordata > Mammalia > Primates > Hominidae > Homo > Homo sapiens. The sequence goes on along the minus strand of NC_000001.11, from coordinate 166,899,677 downwards.
CAACTGAGCCATAAAACATGAAGAAATATTTGATTTTCTGAAATCCAGCTTTTTCTATGAACAAGTTCTTGAGAGGACAGCAAAAAGGCCCATGGCTCATCTTAAATCTGCTAACTCCTGTCAGCTTGTAAAGTGAAATAGATTACACTCAATTACAGCTTACACAATCACATAACCAAAGAATTTGGTTAGCACGTGTATGTTCAAATTCCCCCAGACTGTAAACTCCTTGAGGATAGCAATCGTGTCTTTTTCTTTTTCTTTTCTTTTCTTTTTTTTTTTTTTGAGATGGAGTCTCATTCTGTCACCCAGGCTGGAGTGCAGTGGCACGATCTCGGCTCATTGCAACCTCTGCCTCCCAGGTTCAAGCAAGTCTCCTGTCTCAGCCTCCCAAGTAGCTGGGACTACAGGTGCCCACCACTATGCCCGGCCAATTTTTGTATTTTTAGTAGAGACGGAGTTTCACCATATTGGTCAGGCTGGTCTCAAACTCCTAGACCTCAGGTGATCCACCTGCCTTGGCCTCCTAAAGTGCTGGGATTACAGGCGTGAGCCATTGCGCCCGGCCAATCATGTCTTTTTCATCTTTTTATTATTATCATAATTATTGGCTTTTTGAGAGAAGGGTCTTGCGTTGTCACCCAGGCTGAAATGCAGTGGGGCAATCATGGCTCACTGCAGATTTTACCTCCCAGGCTCAAGGGATTCTCCCACCTCAGCCTCCAAAGTTGTTGGGACTACAGGTATGTGCCACCATGTCCGGCTAATTTCTTTTTTTTTTTTTAAGATGGGATCTTCCTATGTTGCTCAGGCTGGTCTTTGAGCTCCTGGCTTCAAGCAATCTACCACTTTGGCCTCCCAAAGTGCTGAGATTACAGGTGTCAGCTACTGCATCTGGCCTCCTTTTTGTCTTTGTTTCCTTAACACTAAGTACATACTAGGGACCCAAATATTTGTTAGGAAAAAAAATGAATGTCTTTGGCATTAAGAAAAGTAAATGATCTCATCATGTCATATCATGTACAAGTGATAAGAGAAATAATATGCAAAGCTTCAGAGTGTGCCCTCCTTATCCAGAAGAGGTGGAAAGATTGTCAGATGAAACACTGGTGAGAGCAGAAGCTACATTACACACCAGGTAGGGAGGGTGTGCTTTGAGCCACCTGGTTATCCAGCCATTCTGGACCTTTGGCTGGACACAGGCTGGAAGAGTTCTGGGAGCTACTTTGGGCCAGGGTGGGAAGACCACAAAGAGAAAAGAATAGCTTTGGGGTGGAGTTTTGGTAGAAAAGACAAAGACACAGAATGATCTGCAGAGTCCGAGGAAAGTGGATGTGGGGATCAAGGGGCTTTAGAGAACCCTGAGGCAGAAATATTTCTATTTCAACATCCTGTATGTGGAACACTTCTAAGTCTTTGTCTCCAGCCTGGACTCTCTCCTGAATTCCACCTGCACTGCTTCCTAGACATCTCAACCCTGAAGACCATAGACTCCTCAAAAACAACAGGCATGATACCAAATTCGTGCCCCAACTAGACTTCATTTCCTATGGGTGTCTTACACTGTTTAATCTAGAAACTGTGGAGTCATTGTCAACTTGTTTTCTTTCATTGTGCAGTGCAACCCTGATGCTAGCTACCCAGAATGAGTTCAAATGTCACAGGTTAAGGGCACATTCCATCACAAGACTGCCCTTACCTCAGATGCCAGCTGCAAGCTCAAGGGTTCCCAGGCCACCTGCACTTTTGACCAACTGGCTACAAATTTTGGAGTTTCCCATGATTACTTCAGGTTTAATAATTTATTAGAACAACTTATGGAACTCAGGGAAACATTATGCTTCCAATTACAATTTTATTATCAAGGTACAAATCAGGGCTAGCCAAAAGAAAGATGCATAGAACAAAGCCTGGGGAGGTCCCAAATGTGAAGTTTCTCTGTCCTCAGAATGTGTCACTCTTCCAGGACATTGATGTATATTACCAACGAGGAGGCTCACCTGAGCACTGTTGTCCAGAGTTTTTATTGGAGTGTCATTAAGTAGGCATGATTGATTGAACTATTGTCCATGTGATTGAACTCAATCTCCAAGTCCCCACTCCTCCCCTCCCTAAGGTTGGGAGGTCCAGTCGGTTTCACTTGGCTCAAAACTCCAAACTTTTAATCACATAGTTAATCTTACTGGCATGGCCAGCCCCCATCCTGAAATCATCTAGGGGCACACCATGAATCACCTCATTAGCATAAATTAGGGGTGGTCCAGGAAGCCCAGCATAAGTAACAAAGACACTCCTGTCACTCAGGAAATCCCAAAGTTTAGAGTTTACCTCCCCGGAACCAGAGATAAAGACCAGCAAAATTATTTAATATACAACACACACCCACAGCCAACCCATTACCAAGCCACGCCAACTTCCCCTCCTAAATATCTTTTAAATACAGCTCCTCTGTTCCATCTCTACTGACACTGTGTAGGTCTATATTAGCTCTAATGTGGACTATAGCAATAGCCTCTTAACTGGTCACCTTACTGCTAGTTGTATTTTCCCACCAAGTCATCCTTTACTCTGCTATCAGAGTTGCTATTCTAAAGCCCCAACATGATCATATTCTTGTCCTGCACAAAAACTCTCAATGGTTCCCAATTGCGTATAGCAGCAATGTGCAATAGAAACATAATGTAAGCTGCATATGTAATTTCAAAGTTTCTGGGAGCCTAATTTTTTTAAAGTAAAAAAAGTAGGCTGGGCATGGTGGCTCACACCTGTAATCCCAGCACTTTGGGAGGCTGAGGTGGGTGGACCGCCTGAGGTCAGGAGTTCAAGACCAGCCTGGCCAACATAGTGAAACCCCATCTCTACTAAAAATAAAAAGTTAGCTGGGTGTGGTGACATGTGCCTGTAATCCCAGCTACTGAGGAGGCTGAGGCAGGAGAATCACTTGAACCTGGGAGGCGGAGGTTGCAGTGAGCCAAAATCGTGCCATTGCACTCCAGCCTGGGCAACAAGAGTGAGAATCTGTCTCAAAAAAAAAAAAAAAAAGTAGATGAAGTTAATTTTAGTAATATAATTTATTTGATCCAAAATTTCTAAAATATCATTTCAACATGAGATATATATATATATATATATCTGTTTCCATTTTTGACTTTACATGAACAGAATTAAAAAAAATTAAAATTCTTCCGCTTAGTTGTAGAAGCCACATTTTACCTACTTGAGAGCCACTGACTGTCTTGTTCAATAGCACAAGCCTACAGTACAAAGAAAACTTCCAGCTTGTGGCATCCAACTCCTTCACATGCTGACTCCTGTCCACCTGTATCCCATCTCCTGCCATCCCATACCTCCTGCCAACAGCAGCAGCACCAGCACCTTCTCTGGCCACACCAAACCATCTGCTCTTCCTCCAAATAGACCATTCTATTTCTCACTTCTACACCTTTGTCCATGCTGACTTGTCTGCCTTAAAAGTTCCTTCTCTCAGTAACAGAGCCAGAAAAAGTGACATATATTGTTGAGCATTGATGGAGTTCAGGACGTGCTACTTTAAAATATGGTACCTTGGCATTTCAGAAAACAGCAGAAGCAGAAGCTACCCTCACCTCCCCATCACTTGTCTGCCCTGAAGCAGGACATAAGACCCTCATTTGAGAGGTGCCCTTCCTTATCTCTGAAGACAAAGGAACATTCTTATCTCTGAAGACATAGGAACATCGAGAAGAATGGAGTATGCTTATCTATGAAGACATGAGAACACAGAGAAGAATCTGAACAAACGGGGCTTGCTAAGTTCCCTGCAGTTTATCGGCATTAGATTATACAATTTTGTCCTCCCTTTGTATTTCTCTATGACTGTCCATGATTCATCAAACCTAAACATAATAATATACAAGTCTACTTGTTTCTTTGGGTCTTCATTTCCAAAGCCTCCCATGTTCATAAATATATTAAATAAATGTATATGCTTTTCTCTTGTAAACCTGTCTTTCATTATAGGGGCCTCGGCCATAAACTTAAGATGGGAAGAAAAGATATTCTTTCATCCCCTACAGCATTAAGGCCTGATTTTGCCTCCTCAGTGAAGATATCTCAGGCATTCCAGACTGAGGTTCCTCTAAGCCTCTGCACTTCTGTGGTGCTTTAATACCTCTTTTGGAGTAAAGTATATTTTCTGCATCAAAGATTGCAACACATGATGTGACACCTCTATTGACAACTAGGCAGACTATTGAAAATAAAGGAAAAATGGTTTTTGCAATTATAGTACTTATCATATGATATTGAAATTGTGTTTGTACATGCCTGAGTGGCGAGCTTCTCAAGGACACAGTTTCTCACCTTTGTATCCCCAGTTCTAGTTCAATGCCTGGTGGCTGTTAGCTCCTTCCCCACTTATTAGATTAAACAGGACAAATCTCTCCCCGTGCATATAGCAAATACTCCTGGGACAGGAAGTTCATGAATCAACTGTGTACGCTGCTTCTTCTTTCCCTTAACCTTCACTGCATTTTGCTTTATTAAAACATTCCTAGAATGTTTATTCCTATTCAAGGTATACATAATCAATGACAATAAAAACTGTTACCAATTGTATAGGGGTTTACGTTCTGATTTAGACTAAGAAGACAAAATATAAAGGACGGAGGGAGAGACATCTTACAATTAGAAGGAAGAACCTGGCCAGCAGGGAGGTTTTTTGTTGGAGTTGCTGAAAGCATACCTCGTGTATACGCAGGTACTGCTGGGTACAAGATTAAGTCGTTTCAGAAAGAAACCATAGTACAGCTACTTTGGAAGTCAGTTTGGCAGTTTCCTACAAGATTAAGCATACTCTTACCATATGATCTAGCAATCACATTCTTTGGCATTTACTCAAATGAGTTGAAAACGTGTCCACACAAAAATCTGCACCCAAATGTTTATAGAAGCTTTATTGCCAAAATTTGCAAGTAACAAAGATACCCTTCAGTAGGTAAATGGATAAATTGTGGGATATCCAGACAAAGGAATATTACTCAATGCTAAAAACAAATTAGTTATCAAGTCATGAAAAGATGTGGAGGGAATTTAAATGCATATTACTAAGTGAAAGAAGCCAATCTGAAAAGGGCTATATACTGTAGGTTCCCAACTATATGACATTCTGGAAAAGGCAAAACTATGGAGACAGGAAAAAGATCAGTGGTTGCCAGGGGTTAGTGGGGAGGAAGGGGTGATAGGTGGAACACAGAGGATGTTTAGGACAGTGAAAGTATTCTGTATTAAACTTTAATGGTGAATACATGTCATTATACATTTGTCAAAACTCATAGAACATACATCAAGAGGGAAGCCTAATGTAAACTATGAACTTTGAGGGATAATGATACATCAGTGTTGGTTCACTGTAACAATGAATCACTCTAACAGGGGATGTTGATAGTGAGGGAGCTTATGTGTATGTAGGGGGAAGGGGATACATGTGAAATCTATACTTTCTGCTCAATTTTGCTGTGAACCCCAAATTGTTCTAGAAATAAATTGTATTAAAAAAATCAATGCCATTGAATGAGGAAAATATCTGTTCATGAGCTTCTGTGGTGCTTGAGGAAAAAGTAGTTTCCTACATTCTCCATGGCTCAGAAGCCTCCCTGAATCCCAAGATGGGTGAGGTAGGTACTCCCTGCACCTGCCACCCCCCAATTCACACATTTGCCATTCATCTTCTCTGCTAGACTGTGAGCCCCTTGAGGGCAAGGACTGTGTTCGGTTTTGGTGCTGCACCTTCATTGTCTGGTGCAAGGCCTGGCACCTATTAATGCACATGTGCTCAATCAGCGAATCAGGGTGTGGACAGCTAGCTAGCTGTCCTAAAGCATGCTGACTCCAGCCATACCTCTGGACACTTCATAGTACAGTTCTGCAGGAAATCAGTGGTGCCTGATGCTACAAGTGGCATTTTCTCCAGGGAAGATGGGGCAATTTCTTCCTGTGGTATGTTGGGCTGCGCTTGAGACCCCATCTGAAAAGGACAGTTTCTGTTTCTGTAAACAGCATAAAAATGGAGAATGTAAAAACACTATGATGGAGTTCTTGGTGGACAGAAATCTCTGTAGATGAGGAAAATAACATATCAGCCATGGGGAAACTGATGGAGATTTGGGCGGATCTTGTTTCAGGCCCAACTCCTTCCCTTACCTACTGACTGAAGGTGCACAAGTCACCAATCTCTGCAAGCCTGTTCTTGATGAACGGAATGAGAAAGCACTTGGGTTGGATGATCTTAATGCTCTCTTTTACTTTTGTGATTTAACAAAGCCCCACAGCAAATGAATTATTTTTAGCCTTGGTTGTCTAGGTGAAGCAATTCAGCAGCTGTCTCTTGTATGCTTTCATTTATTACCTTGTTTAAAATAGTTATTGTTTACAGTAATTTTTATTTCATTATGGTGCTGGGATTTTCAGTTGCTCCTCTCTAGATCTACTGCATGCTGTGCTCTGCAGACTGCCTCTTTTGTGCTTCCTTGCCATTTCAGTTTGGCCAGTGGAAAGTACTGGAAGGAGATCAGTGGGCAGGAGGAGAGAGAGGCCAGGGTATTTCTTCTCCATTCCTTCCCTGCCATACTAGTTTCCTGGGACTGTCATAACAAATTGCCGTGAACTGGGTAGCTTAAAGTAACTGAAATTTATTCTCTCACAGTTTTGGAGACCAGAAGTCCAAAATCAAGGTGCCAACAGGGCTAGCTCCTCTTGAAGGCTCTTAGAGAACATCCCTCGCACACCTCTTCCCTAGCTTCTCATGGCTGCTGGCAATCCTTGGCATTCCGTGGTTTGTAGACACATTACTCCAATCTCTGCCTTTATGTTCACATGACTTTTCACCTTGTATCTTTCTGTGTCTCAAATCTCCTCCTTTCTCTTATAAGGACACAAGTAGTTGGTGTCCACCCTAAATGCAGGAGGACCCGTTAAGCCCATCCAAAATCCAGGATGATCTCATCTTGAAATCCTTAAATACAATTGCAAAGACCCTATTTCCAAATAAGGTGAAATTTACAGGTACCAAGGGTAAGGACTTGGACATATCTTTTGGGGGCCACAATTTAATCCACTACATCTGTCCTGATGTCATCTCTCTGATGAAAGCAGAGACATCTAGAGGAGTGATATATCTTCCATAATTCAATTCTCATGAGTAACACTCTTCTCTTTGTCCCTTTTGCCCTAGGAATAGTAATAGTTTCCCTTTATTAGCTAGACTCTGAGTGTCACAGAGACCCTGTGATAAGAGATTAAATTGTTAAGCATGCTTCTAGTCAAAAATAATAGGCTGGGCACAGTGGCTCATGCCTGTAATCCCAGCAATTTGGGAGGCCAAGGCGGTGGATCACCTGAGGTCAGGAGTTTGAGGCCAGCCTGACCAACATCTCTACTAAAAATACAAAAATTAGCCAGGCATGGTGGTGCATGCCTGTAATCCCAGCTACTCAGGAGCCTGAGGCAGGAGAATCACTTGAACCTGGGAGGCAGAGGTTGCAGTGAGCCCAGATCACGCCATTGCACTCCAGCCTGGGTGACAGAGCGAGACTCCATCTCAAAAATGATAATAATAATAATAATAATAATAGTAATAGCATAAGAATAAATTTGTATTCCTGGAAAATAACTGACAAAAAGTGAAAGTGAGCCTGGACATAGAGTTCATAAAGATGAAGCTAGGCAGGAAGGTAGAGTGAATTTTATATTTTTCTTTGAAGAAGAATCATCTTATATTTGATTCACTTTTTCTGAGCATTTCTCAGAGTTCACTTGTTAGAATTTAGTGGGAAAATAAGAAGTAACAGTCATTGTGAGGTAAAGACTCTGAATTTAATGTCATATCAAAAAATAGGTCTAATATATAAGAATTATCTAGGATTTTTAAAAAAGCTCTTGATTTTGTACTTTAATATTGATATACTAAATTAGAATCCATAGATATGTTCTACATATCTTTACACCAAACTCTTAACACACAAGGGATTAATTTATGAATATTTGGAGTAAGACAGTCTTGGTTCGTGTTCCCCAAAAGGCATACCCTGAAATAAGGATTTGAGGAAAGTAGTTTATTGTAGAGAGTTTATTGGGAAAGTGAGACAGGGAAAGGAAGGACGTCAATAAAGAATACATCGTTAAGGCAGTTATCATTTCCTGCAACTGGAGCTCAATCCAGATGGGTGAATGTGGGAGGCTATATAGGAATGTCTCCTTCACCTGAGTTGAGAGGTGAGGAATCTGGACTAGTTATTCCTCAACTCCTTGCCCATCTTCAGTTGAGAACTGCTTCTGAGGGCATGACTCTCCAGAACTTCTGGCTTATCCTTTTTTGCCGGGCTGAAGAAAAGTCCTCAGGCAGAACTTTTGGATATTCATGGTGACAGCATTGGCTTATAGAGGTGAATGTGAGGGGGATATAAGTGGGACACTGGCAGCAGCTGCTCAAGAAATTTATGTCATTAAAGAAAAAGACAAAACCAAAAATACACACATCCTGGCAATGTGGCAAACTCTATTATATATCCCTAAATCTTCCTTCTGTCTCTGTCCTTGCCGTTGCTACATTGTGGGCAGAGTGTAATTCACCACCTCCATGACTCGTGTTGTCCAATGGAAGGTTAAGAGACATGATAATAGCAGATATTTTAAATGACCTGCATGCAGGAGGTTTCTTGTGACCTCCTGTGCCTCAGTCGTCTCTGCTTTTACTTAGAATTCCACTTTAGGGAATCAGTCCTACAAAAATACATGCATACAAAAATTAATTATGTAAAATTATGGTCATTGCAGAATTAATTGTAAAGGCCAAAAAAATAGAAATAACATTATAATATAAGAATGGGTAAATAAGTTACAGCATATTCTTACTGTAAAATTTTATGCAGTATGTCCTTAAATGGAAAGATGTGAATAATATAAAAATTTGGAAAAGCAAATTTCAGAACTATATATAATCCCCATTTTTTAACAACAGAGATGATAATTATGCATATTCAAAGATACATATTTGCATCTTTCTTATATACATATAGAAAAAACTGAATGTAAAATATATCTTTGGGCATTGCAGTTGAGGGAAGTAAAGGAAACCCCTGCTAATAGTTCTTTTAAATGTCATACATGAAACATGTATCAGATGAAAAAAAGAAATTTTTATTTCAATAGGTTTTTGGGGAGCAGGTGGTGTTTGGTTACATAAATAAGTTCTTTAGTGGGGTTTTCTGAGATTTTGCTGCACCCATCACCCTGACAGTATACACTGTACCCAATGTATGATCTTTTATCCGTCACCCACCTCCCCCACTTCCCATTCCCAAGTCCCCAAAATCCATTGTATCATTCTTATGCCTTTGCATCCTCATAGCTTGGCTCCCTTTAAGATGAAAAATTTGATGAGCCAAAGATACAAAATGAAAGTAAAAGGTTTTTTCCTTGTCTTCATACCAGTCTCCATACCACAGATAACTAATTTTGTAATTTATTCTAAAAACTCTTTTAATGCATATGTTCACACCATATATGTATCTGTCTGTTCTTATAAAAATGTTACATGTGGTACTGCAACTTGTTCTTTTGACTCTTGAGGTCACAGAACTACCTCAGTCTTTTCACAGAGGCATCCTTATTCCATCATACAGGTTTACTGTTATTTAGTTAACTTGCCCCCACTTATGAATACTGGGTGTTTCCAGTCTTTTGCTGTGGCAAAACAATGTAGCAATAAATATTCTTGTACATATATTTTGCTAAACATTTGCAACTATATCTATTGTGTAAATTTCTGCCAGAGGGATTACCAGTGAAAGGAGATGTGCATTTTAAATTCTGAAAGATATTGTCAAATTATCCTCCAGAAAGAACACACCAATGCACATTTCCACCAATGACTTAGGAAAGTGTTCATTTTCCCTTTAGGTTTGTCGCATTACGTGTCATTAAACATCTATATTTGCGAAAGAGGTGAAAAGAGTCTTATTTATTAATTGTTGTTTATTTGTATTTATTTAATTCGGAGAGACTAATTTGTCATTTGTTTTCTGACCACTTGTGTTCCTTTTTCTAAAAACATTAATAACCTTTGACTGTTTTCCTCCTGGTTTGGTCATCTTTTTCATACTGACTTGTAAAAGCTCTTTGATAATTGAGGAAGTTTAACTTTTTACCATTTGTTCTGCAAACACATTTTTCCAGTTTGCTATTAATCTTTTGACTGTTTATGACTTTTTTTTCCCATACAGCGTTTTGAAATGTTTATATGGTTGAACATGTTAATTTTGTTTCTTTTTGGCTTCCGGATTTTGTTCTTATTTAAAGCAGCCTTTCTCACCACAGATTATAAATTCTTTTGGAACTTTTATCATTTTTTTATGTTTAAATCATTGATCCAGCTGGAATTTATTTTGGTGGAGAGGAATGTTTACTTTTAACTTTGTAGGTATCTAAAATTGTTTGAGTTTTCTAAAATGAGCAAGTGTTCCTTCTGTAAAAGTGCCAGTAAATGAAAACAGATGAATGAAATGAAAAGATAAGGCATAATAACCCACAGGACAAAGCCTAGAGACAGAAAGACGAGGTAAGAGGTATTTTAATCATCTCAGTTGGGCTATTCATTCAATACATTGACCACCTATTATTTGTCAGGCCCAGTGCTAGATCCCAAAGACATAATAAGGGCCTGGATTGAGAAACGGACAATGGTAATGAGAATGAGGGGAAGAACTGATGGAAGTGTTTTAGCCCATAGAATGATCACCATGGCAACGGGAGCCTGAATCATCACTATGGAGACACAGTGCTTCAGATTATGACTAGAGGGATAGTGTGATTTTGTCAGTGAAAATTTTGAAAAAGGTAAACAGGTATGTTACAGATGTTTCAAAATGACACTATTACTTGCCAAATTGAAGTTAGTGCCTTGGTTTTTCCCACTGTTTGGGGAGACTAGAGACAAAATAATTCACAATTCACAAATAACATAGATTAAGACAAGCACAAGCTTTATTTGGTCATTTCTGCTCATGACTGCACCAGATAGGAACAGCCTTTCATTCAAAGATGTTAGCATCCAATATAACACACATCACATATGCGGCCCAGTGTCCTGGACCTCTGATCCCCAGGCTGCTTGGTTGTTTGGAGAGACTACTCATACATTTCTTCCCTGCAGCAACCATGAAGACCTCTGTCCAACACTTATAGCCCAAGAGAAACACATATATTTGGGAGTGAAACTTGGTTTTAATGGGGAATTTGATTAGGGATTGAATTATTTGATTATTGCCAATATGTGGCAAATGTGACTTCCTTAATGAGTACAGCTGAGGTTGCATTCATCATTATGTCCAAATAATAATGTCTCTTTGCCCCTCCATCTGCACGCAGAACTTCCAGCCTCACTTTCAGGGGCACTGAGAACTTCAGCAGTCGTGGCATCTGAAGGGGTTCACACAGGGTTTAGGCCAGTCTGTAACAGCACTGTGTTTCTGCCACTGCCTGGCTCTGGTCACTGCTCACGCCACTGCCAACCCTGTCCTGCAGTGTCCAGCCACCATGTAGGCTTAAACAAAGTGACTGCTTCTCTTTTATCTGTTCACCTTTAGGCTCTTCCCTAATTCCCTACGCACAACTGAAAGTAGATTGTCACATATTAGGTGTGAATTTTCTTTTTCTTTTCTTTTCTTTTTTTTTTTTTTTTTTTTTTTGAGGTGGAGTCTCACTCTGTCGCCCAGGCCAGGCTGGAGTGCAGTGGCGTGATCTCTGCTCACTGCAACCTCTGCCTCCCTGGTTCAAGCGATCCACCTGACTCAGCCTCCTGAGTAGCTGGGATTGCAGGCATGCGCCACCATGCCTGGCTAATTTTTTTTTTTTTTTTTTTTTAATAGAGACGGGGTTTCACCATGTTGGTCAGGCTGGTCTCGAACTCTTGACCTTGTGATCCACCTGCCTCGGCCTCCCAAAGTGGTGGGATTACAGGTGTGAGCCACGGCACCTAGCCAGGTGTGAATTTTCTTAAAGCGTCGGGATAGCCAAAGGGAAACTCATAGCTGGTTACCAGAGGAGACTGCTTTGGGGAACAAGGCCCAGGCTCAACCACCTCCATGTGAGTGAGGCCAGTTTATCTCCATCCTGGAATGCCCTCAACAAGAATCTATAACTTTTTATAAAATGATTCTGTAAAATTGGTTTCTGATTTGAGCCATAGCAAACATCTTGGAATTTGCCTCCTTTAATTCAGTGTACTTAATGTTTAGGCTCTCCAGGAATGTTTGGGGTTCCCAGCCCACAGGGGTCCTCTGCCCTGGCTGATGTGGTAGGTGTCCTGCATCTATCAGCCTGTCACATAGGTGCCCTATTGCTTATTAAATAAGGTTTAGGGGGAAAACTATGAGGAATGGTTGCGCATTAGAATCTCTGGAGGGCTTTGAAAAATAGTGATACCTGGATTCCATTCCCCAGACATTCTAGTTTAATCGTTCTGGGGAACGGCCAGAGCATGGAATTTCTAAAAATTCTCCCAAGTGATTCTAACACCGAAGTTGAGAACCATTGCTCTTATGAAAGCTATTGTAGGGTGAATTAAGTAGAAATAATCTGTTCAAGCAAGCAAATTCCAGTAATCTCCTTTGGTTATATCTGGCTCCAGAAATGATGGGCAGACACTGCATGTTTTCTGTAGTCCCCCTTGGGCTCTCCATAGCAACCAGATGGAATGGATTCCATTGCCCTGGCCTGGTTGGTTCCACAGTATCCCCTACCTAACATGGAAATTGTTGGAATAGACTAGACATTAATTTGTGTGGACATGTTAAGTGTTTCATAAATGTCTCCTAACATCATTATTATCTGTTGAGAAGCTGGCTCTGCTTGGCATTAGAACATACACAGACAGTTCCTTCTTTCCATTGTCCTCTTTTCTGCATATAGTGGAAAAGGTTGAGGCTCCTATTATTGGCATTCTGCAAAAACCTGCCATGCAGGCCTAAAGCAATACAAGTACTTTGAGGTTTGAGGCTACCCAGGAGTCCGTTATATCTAGCAGTGACCGCCATTACTATTTTGTATTGGGTAGTCATCCCTCAGGTTGAAATCACTGCCATGGAAGCAGCCAAATTTCATGACCCTGGTTTACACCAGCTGTCACCCTCTTCACAGGCAAATGGAACATCACAGGCTTCCAACAGATTCTAATAATGCAGAAGTAGCAAAGGGCACACTTCTGGAATTTTTTGTTTGAAGTTGCAAGCCCCGCAAATCCTACTAGGAAACAGAGCAAAGCCAGCTGGGTTAGGATCTACCATAAAGGTACAGTTCCACAAAGTCCATTTTAAATAACATATGGAAATTGCAGTAGTCCTAGTTTCATGTGGGTGAGACCTGCCTCATCTTCTTGAACTGGGGTCAACCATTCAGATACTATTTTCTAGGTTTGTACTCTACAAAACAATTGGTAACTTGGGGAAAGCAATAAACTCAGGTGTCATATATTTGTAATTAAAAAAGACAGGACTGGGTACAGTGGCTTACACCTGTAATCCCAGCGCTTTAGGAGGCTGAGATTGGCCAACTGCTTGAGCCTAGCAGTTCAAGACTACCCTGGGCAACACAGAAAGTCCCCTCATCTCTACAAAAGAAAAAAAAAGAACTGGGCATGGTGGTACACACCTGTAGTCCCAGCGGCTTGGGAGGCTGAGGTGAGAGGATCACTTGAGCCCAGGAGATCGAGGGCTGCAGTGAGCCATGATTGTGCCATTGTACTCCAGGCTGGGCAACAGAGCAAGATCCTGTCTCCAAAAAAAAAATCCATCTCTATAAAAAATAAAATTAACCAGGTGACAGATCAAGAGGAGAAGGAGGAGGAGGGGAAGGAGGGAGAGGAAGAAAAAGAAAACAAAAAAGATTATTCTGCCTAAATCTCTTACCTATCTGATGTGCATCTAGTGAGGACAGTGCAGCCTGTAGAGGGGGAGTCTCTCAAAATGTGGGTGCAGGGCATGCGTGAGCTCCATCCCCACAGTGTGCAGAAATCATGGAGCTGCAGGGAGGTGTAGTAGAATGTGGATGGTTGAAAGGATGGCATCAGCTACATTGGTTGGAGGGCATCAGGGAGTTTTCAGACCATTCCAGCTTGTCTCAGATGAAATCTTTAGGAAGAAATGGACAGGGGCACTCACACTAGAGTAAGCAGTAGAACATGGTAGCTAGAGTATGAGTTCTGGAATGGGGCTTACTGGGCTTATGTCCAGTTCTACTAGATGTGTAACTGTGGGCAATTTTCTTAACTCTCTATGATTTAGTTTATCTCCCTGTAAAATGGGAGTAACAATAGTAGTACCTACCTTGTGGGGGGTTGTGGCAAGGATTTTAAATCATCGCCAAAAAACATATTCAGTACAATGCTTGGCAGATATTAAGTGCTCACTGGAGTTAACATATTTTTGTGGTTATTGTGGCAAAATGGACTCTGGTGTCAGTGAGATCTAGGTTCCAGTCTTAACTCTGCCACTTCCTGTGTAACCTAGAGCAACTGAACTTTCCTGAGTCTCAGTTCCCTCACTTATGGCCTGGGGATAGCAGCAATTCAAACCTCACTGGATTATGGTTTGGGCTAAAGGAGGTAATGTAGTAGACCCACTTCGTAGCAGGGAGTTCGTACATATCAGCTGTTGTTATTTCCTAGAGCCTGATGAGAAAGAGCTCACAATGGGTTGCACTCTACTCTCTTCCTCACTCAGGACCCAAGGTGGGTGGTAGGGTGGGGGAGAGGGTAAACTCTACAGGTGGCCTCTGTATGCCCTGCCTTTACACTCAACTGCTGTCAGGCCCCTTTGGTCCGCAGCTCCCAGGTTGTCCCCAAATGTGACAATTCGTCAATTTCTTCCTGTAGGTAACAACCCTGCCTGTAATATGTCAATGATTTTGAGTCTATCCCTGCCGTTATTGGAGGGTCTGAAAGTGGCACCTTTGGACAACCAAGATATTTTATGAGTCCAAGGGGTAGGACTTCCCAGGGTCCGCAGAAGAAATGCTCAAGCGTCAGGTGGCCACCAGAGACCTGCTGCCGGTGGCCAAGGGTATCATCCCGGGCCAAGGCTCCAGGTTGGGACGCGGAGACCCACGACCCTCCTTGGGATCCCGGGCATCCTGGAGGAAAGGTGAGGGCGCATCACCCCCTGGCGGCAGCCGGGCAGACTCCAACCGGCCGAGGTGATGCTGCGCTCAGGGCCGTCTCTTCTTCCTCTAGCGAAGGCAAGCGGTGCTGCTGCAGAGACATTTCGCTCGCGCCGGGGCCAGCTCTGCATTCTCGCTTCGTTTCTCGGACAACAGCCGCTTTAGTGCTAAGAGCAGCACCGTGCCGCCCGCCCATCCCGACCCCAAAGCCAACTAATCCTCCCACACCCGCTTTCTGCAGGCGGCGGGGTTTTCCAGCTGAGAGGCCGTGAGCGCCTAGAGTTGGGTGACCACAGGGAGAGTCCTTCCTGAGGGACAAGGGCCACCCGCGCCGCCCGCGCCGCCAGAGCCGGTGAGTTCCTGAACCTGAGAGAACCTAGGACGCACCTGGGCAGGTGCCTGGGTGGCGGCCCTTGAGAGTCAACATAAGTCAACGAGGCCAAGACCGAACCAGCCGGCCTGAAAGTGCGCGATGTCCTTCCTGTCCTGAGTGAGTGGGCATTATCCAATCTGTTGAGGGCTTGACTAGAACAAAAAGAAAGAGGAAAGGCCAATTCTCTCTCTTGAGCTGAGACGTCGTCTCCTTCTGCTCACTGCCCATGGTCTGGGGCTTCCTGCTCCTTAGCCTTAGGAGTGCAGGACTTATAGCCGTGTCTTCACCTTCCCGCAGTCGCCTCCATTCCTCGGGCCTTTGGACTAGGACTGAATTATACCACCAGCTTTCCTGATTCTCTAGCTTGCAGATGGCAGATGGTGGGACTTCTTAGCTTCCATAATCTCATGAGCGATAATAAACACACACACACTTTTTTTCTATTGGTTCTGTTTCTTGGCAAACTGGGAATAGAGGGTGACTTTCCAAATGTACAACAAACATCATACTTCCTGGTGAAATGTGAGGAGTGCCATGAAAGCCAGGTGCTCTGCCAAGAGGCCCACCGTGAGTACCAATGCTCTGCACTGCAATGGAAGTTCTAGTCTTGAGCTGTTGAATACTGTTGCCACTAGTCACAGGTGGTTATTTAAATTTAAATTGAATTAAAAATTCAATTCCTGAGTCTCACTAACTGTATCTCAAGTGCTAAATAGCCATACATGGCTGCCGTATTGGAGAACCCAGCTCTAGGACATTTCTATCATTGTAGAAAGTTCTATTGGACAAAGCTGGTCTAGCCAATGCAAAAATCAAAAAATGAAAAAAGAGGCCTAAGAGTTGGAAAGAAAAAGGCAAGCTTTTCCTAATCTGTAGACAATATGATTGCCCAGATAGAATATCTAAGAAAAATCTGCCGGTAAACTATTAGAAATAATAAAGGAGTTTAGCAATGTCAGTATACACAAGATAGGCATAATAATAGCTATGACATATTGACTATTACTACACATCTGGCACTATGCCAAGGCTTTCATGTACTCTTACATGTTACAATAATTTAATTTTTACAAGAACCCTGAAGTAGCATTACTATCCCTACGCTGCAGATGTGGAAACTGAGGCAGAGTGATTAAGTAACTTGCTCAGAGTCACACAGCTAAATTAGAAGAAGCCAGGATTCAAGCCTCAGGCAAACTAGCTCTGTAGTTTGCACTTTAACACCATGCTATTTTGCCTCCATTGGATTCCGAAGTCCCAACAAATCAAATTAGACAACATAATAGGAGGCTGGGCATTGTGGCTTATGCCTGTAATCCCACCACTTAGGGAGCCCGAGGTGGGAGGATCGTTTGAGCCTAGGCGTTCAAGACTATCCTGGGCAGTATAGGGAAACCTCATCTCAACAAAATAATTTAAAAATTGGCTGAGCATGCTGGTGCACACCTGTAGTTCCAGCTACGCTGGATGGAGGCTGAAGTGGGAGGATCACTTGAGCCTGGGAGAAGGAGGTTGCAGTGAGCTGAGACTGCACTACTGCATTCCAACCTGGATGACAGACCTAGACCTTGCCTTTAAAAAAAAAAATCTCTTCACGAGAACAACATTTGTAAAAGAAATTAGGCATAAATCTCCAAAAGATGCAAGACTGAACGCCTTACTTTGGGGAAAGTCCTGGCTCTCAAGGATAGAGAATGCTGTGTGGTATAATTGTGGCTGTAATTCCAGACAGTGAACCACCTCCTACATTTCCACCAACAAATCTGGCCAAATCTTCTGAAATTCATTTATCAAGTTCCTTCCCTGGGGTCAGATTTTTCAGGGCGACACCAGACAGCAATTCATCTTTCTGGATCAGCACTTGTGGCTTTCCCTTCTTCCAGAGGGTGATGTCAGTAGTCTAGTCTTCATCGAGCATAGTCTTGCTATGTTAGTAGCAACTTCAGTGACAGTGCATCAGTTTGGAATCTCTACCTGCCGAGAGTGCCAAAGATTTCTCCAATGCTTTACCTTCGTCACTATACAAACATATATTTTTTAGCACTGTAGAGAAGCTCTTATCCACATTCTGAGTAGTGATCAAAGGCTTCAAAATTTCCAAATTTTATTTGGCTACGTGGTTACAGAAGTCTGAAGGGGTTCTTTTCCAAACCTTTCCAAACATGAAACTTCTAGCCTCCACAACTGTGAGATAATGTTTCAATTGTTTAAGCCACCTAAACTGTGGTATTTTGTTGTAGATGTCTGAATGGACTAAGACAAGTACCTATAAAACTTAAGAGGGTCTTAAGCTGGGGCCCATGGGCCCCAAAAAGGCCCATGATAGAACTGTGTTCAATAAAATTGTTTTAAATGTAATCCTACGTTATTTATGCATTAAAACATTATTCTTAGAAGGACTCCAAAGGTATCACCAGACTGGCAGTGAGATCCATAGCTTTGAAAGAAAAAGATTAAGAACCTCTTTACCTCCTTCCATCAGGCATAAAATAAATAGATGTAGTATCAGGGCAAGATGACTCTCAACTTATTTTCAACCATAAATTTTACTAGGGCCTAATATATTCCATGTTTATAACCTTTAACTATATTAAAATCTGTAGACTGATGCAGATATAGAGGAGGAAAACATTACATAGAATTTTCTAAAATATTTAATTCCAACACACATTTATGTTGAGTTTGAGCCACCATGTACCACAGTATAACCATATGTATAGGTACCATATGTATAGTTACCATATGCGTGTACCTTATGTACCACAGCATACATATAAGTATTACAAATTACAGCCAATGTTATAAGTTCAACAAGAAAATTGAATATATGATTAATAATATTTTAAAGCTGAACTGTAAGAGTCCTTCTAGTAAAGCAGAGCTGCTGATGTCTGAAATGGAAACAACTCGCACATTTGCTGACAGTGCTTTGAGAAGGCTAATGAGTCAATGGTAATGGGTAAGTGGAGTAAGAAAGTCAATCAAATATTTTTGCTATGCTAGGCCCTGGCCACTGTAAAGAAGGAGTCTATGATTTATTAAAAAAACTAAACTAAATCTAAATATCATATAATGGATAAAGACAGAATAATAACTATATAATCTTCGGAGCTGGAACATCTCAGAACTCCTTCAACATCAAATCTTAATGTCAATCCAAAAGACAAGTGTTGGCAATGATGGGGAGAAATTGAAATCCTTGTACACTGTTGGCAGAAATGCAAAATGGTGCAGCCACTATGGAAAACAGTGTAGAGGTTCCTCAAAAAATTAAAAATAGAATTACCATATGATCTAGCAATCCCACTTCTAGGTATTTATCAAAAAGAATTAAAATTAGGATCTCAAAGAAATATTAGCATTCCTATGTTCATTGCAGCACTATTCCCAATAGCCAAGATGTGGAAATAACCAAAATGTTCATTGACAGATGAATGGATAAAGAAAATGTGGGAGGTGTGTGTGTGTGTATACACAATGGAATACTATTAGCCTTAAAAAGGAAGGAAATTCTGCAATATGTGACAACATGGATGAACCTTGAGAACATTATGCTAAATGAAATAAGCTAGTCTCAGAAAGACAAATACTGCTGCATGACTCCACTTACATGGGTATCTAAAATAGTCAAATTTATAGACTCAAAGAGTGGGATGATGGTTAACAGAAACTGGTGAGAGGGGAAATGAGGAGTCACTAATCATAAACTTTTAGTCAAGCAACATGAATAGACTCTAGAGATCTGCTGTGCAACACTGTACCTGTAGTCAATAATAAGGTATTGTGCACTTAAAAATTTGTTAAAAGGTGGGCTCTGTGTGGTGGCTCACGCCTGTAATCCCAGCACTTTGGGAGGCTGAGGTGGGCAGATCATGAGGTCAGGAGATCAAGACCATCCTGGCTAATACGGTGAAACCCCATCTCTACTGAAAATACAAAAAAAATTAGCGCGGCGTGGTGGTCCGTGCCTGTAATCTCAGCTACTCGGGAGGCTGAGGCAGGAGAATCTCTTGAACCCAGGAGGCAGAGGTTGTAGTGAGCCGAGATCATGCCATTGCACTCCAGCTTGGGTGACAGAGCAAGACTCTGTCTCAAAAAAAAAAAAAATTGTTAAAAGGGAAGATCACGTATTATGTGTTCTAACCACAATAAAAAAAAGAAATCCTAATGTTAAAAGACCAGTGCTTAATAAAATACAGAATAGGAATGGGAAAAATTAAGGAGGTACAGGCCAGGCTCTTATAAATATGTAAGTAAACTAGCTATGAGAATACACTTTTTAGAGGGTTTTCCTTTGTTTGTACAGAATTATATTTATGAAGGAAAAAAGTTGTATAGAAACAGGCAGTGTATATGAATAATACCACCAACCTTCAGTTATCTATCTAATGAAATGGAAAAAGATATGGATAATATAAAGGAAATTTTATTTTATATAAGTGGAGAATACATACACATATTTACACACATAATCCATATACTTGGAGAAATATTCATAAATACTTAGATGTCAGGTAAGGTTGGATCCTCAGATGTCTGTTCTCAGCAACTTATTGAGTTGACTCTACTAGTTACTCTCAAACCAGCCTGTAACCAGCTGGATGATCCAAAAAAAAAAAAAAAAAAAAAAAAAAAAAACTAGACTAAACATTTGTCAAGTTTCTTGCTCTTTATAAAGCATTTTGACACACATTCTCTGAAGCTATTTATTAGTTGCACTATGCATTGTACAAATATTGCTATAATAAAAGATTTAGAATTAGTTCCTTTAAAGTAACCTTCCAAATTACAAGTGGTTTTAATATTCATTTCCTTTCAAAAAAATTTGTTTTTTAAAGTTGAGGTCTCACTCTGTTGCCTAAGCTGGAGTGCAGTGGTGCTCTCATAGCTCACTGCAGACTTGAACTCCTGGGCCCAAGAAATCCTCTCACTTCAGCCTCCCCAGTAGGTGGGACTACAGGCATGTGCCATCACCCCTGGCTTGGTATTCATTTATAATATTGTGTCCGGCATTGGTTCCTTCCAGTGGGTTCTTGGTCTCGCTGACTTCAAGATGAAGCTGTGGACCCTCGCGGTGAGTGTTACAGTTCTTAAAGATGGTGTGTCCGGAGTTTGTTCCTTCAGATGTTCATATGTGTCCTGAGTTTCTTCCTTCCAGTGGGTTCGTGGTCTCGCTAACTTCAGGAGTAAAGCTGCAGACCTTCACAGTGAGTGTTACAGCTCGTAAAGGTAGTGCAGACCCAAAGAGTGAGCAGCAGCAAGATTTATCATGAAGAGCGAAAGAACACAGCACCCACAGCATGGAAGGCCACCAGACTGTATTCCCGCTGCTGGCTCAGGTGCCCAGCTTTTATTCCCTTATTTGGCCCCGCCCACATCCTGATTGGTCCATTTTACAGAGTGCTGATTGGTGCATTTACAAACCTTTAGCTAGACACAGAGCGCTGATTGGTTCGTTTTTACAGAGTGCTGACTGGTGTGTTTACAAACCTTTAGCTAGACACAGAGCGCTGATTGGTGCGTTTTTACAGAGTGCTGACTGGTGCGTTTACAAACCTTTAGCTAGACACAGAGCGCTGATTGGTGCGTTTTTACAGAGTGCTGACTGGTGCGTTTACAAACCTTTAGCTAGACACAGAGCGCTGATTGGTGCGTTTTTACAGAGTGCTGACTGGTGCGTTTACAAACCTTTAGCTAGACACAGAATGCTGATTGGTGTGTTTTTACAGAGTGCTGACTGGTGCGTTTACAAACCTTTAGCTAGACACAGAACGCTGATTGGTGTGTTTTTACAGAGTGCTGATTGGTGCGTTTACAAACCTTTAGCTAGACACAGAGCGCTGATTGGTGCGTTTACAATCCTTTAGTCAGAAAAGTTCTCCAAGTCCCCACCCAGCCCAGAAGCCCAGGCGGCTTCACCTCTCAATATTAAATTGTTTGGTCAGATGTCCATTTATGTATATTATATTGTCTAACATTACAGTTTAAATGGACATTTAACTGAAAAACTGTAGTAAAATTAGTGTTAATAGGTGTATAAGTGCTGAGAGAGAAAGGGATATTTAATTGAGCTAGACGTATGAGTATTGTCAAGCATGGGTTCAAAAAGAAAATCTTTGAGGCCTATCTTTCTTCGTGGCTAGAGACAAATGAGAAACAGGGATTCTTCCTGGAAGATGTACCCAACTATCTGTAGCCTTTCCTAGTCCTGTTGACTTGATCCTTGAATAGATTCATATATATGTTTGAACCTGATTCAAAAAAAATGGAGGTAGCCAACCATAAGTCTCAAAACCAGCAGAGAGGAGATATGCGTAAAGGGGAAGAGCCATGTGATTTGTTAAAGTCAAGTTAACTAGAATGCTGAGTCCAAGTGTGGGGTTATGTGGGAAGGCCAGTGGTGTGTGAGGTACACAGGTAGGGTGAGTTCAGATCATGAGAACATTTGAATGCTGGAGTCTGGAATTTGTTCAGCAGAGCGTGGGGAGCCATGGAAAACTTAAGTGGATATTTTTTAAATGTGTCAAAACTTACCCAGAGTTTTGACACAGAGAGGAAGACTTTGCCTGACCTTTGTATCTCCTTTCACCTGTGTATCTCCAGTACTCAAAGAGTTCCAGACACATAATAGGAGCTCACTGTATGAATTCAAGTGAAGAGAAGGTGCCCGGCTGGCATTGCAGCCAGGACAGGGCTTGTGGGTTTAGGTTGGGCAGTGAGGAAGTTGAATGAATGAACTTAAGGGGACATCTTTGGAGAAATTACACAAGATCTAAAAGCTATCTAGGATTATTTAAAAAACTTTGGGAGGCAATTTGACAATATACACCAAGGCATTTATAAATATTCCCATCATTTGATCCAGTAATTCTATGTGTGGGACTCTATGCTAAAGTAATAATCCTAAAGGAGGAAAAGTTTTATGCATAAAGAAGTTTTGCTTCATTATGCTATATGCTTCAAAAGCAATATTACAGTATTGCTTTTTAATAGAGAAGAAATGGACACAGTCTAACAATTGGGAAACAAGTTGTGTACCTTCTATCTGTGGGGGTATTTAATATGTTGTCATTAAAATTATTCTAAAGACAATGTAATACTACAGATAAATCCTTAAGTTTAAAAACGTGCAAAATTGAACATAGAATATTTTAAGTCATGGGAGTGTGCGAAGTGAAGGAGAAATCTCTCTCAGTTAAGTGTTTGTCCGGGAGTGGTAAAACACTTTTTCCTTCTTTTTATCTTTATCTTTCTGTGTATTTTCCAAATTTTACATAGTTACCTCATTTACTCAAATACTTATTAAGCATCCACTATGTGCCAGGCGCTGCTCTAGAGAATTGCGGGTAACAGTGAATAAAACACAACTCCTGTCCTCGAGCCATAACATTTACAAGATAAATCAACTAAATGTCATATGAGACGGTTAGTGCTCGGGGAAAAATAAGGCAAGGAAAGAGTAAAACTGATACTGCATTTACTTTTTTAAATGGAGGGGTAAGGTACTCCTCCAGGCAGAAGAACAGCAGGCTGAATTCGGAATTGCCCCAGCGGTAACAGAATGAAAGAGCTTGGGACACGCCAGCCTGTCAGCAACGTTGCAGCCGAGGCGGGGCGCGCGGGTTTAGGATGGGCGCGCGACAAGGTGAAGCGGATCACGTGACTCGAGGGGCGGGAGGAAGAGAGCAGAGTTTGGCCGGGCACCTTCCCTGCGAAAAGGCGGGCGGAGCCGAAAACCAAACAAACGACTTCTGAGAGATTGGGGGCGGGACTGACGGCGGCCGGCTTAGCTTCCAGAGCCAAGGCCTTCCGCCGAGTTGGTTTTTGGGTTGTTGATCGCGGTGGCCGGGCGGTCTGCGGTCGGGCTGAGACACGCGGAGCAATGGCGACCTTTGTGAGCGAGCTGGAGGCGGCCAAGAAGAACTTAAGCGAGGCCCTGGGGGACAACGTGAAACAGTAAGAGCTGCCCTAGCACAGCGTCCAGGCCAACACGCGGGTGCTCTCCTGGCCTCGGGCTGCCAGCCCGCCCCGGAGACGCCCGCGTCGCCCGGGGGCCTGTGCAGCCTGGAGTCCGCGGCGGCGGGGCTTCGGGGTTTCTCCGGCCGGGGCGGGGCGGGCCACCTGAACTCACCGCCCTGGAGAGACCGGGCCTCCTGGGCGCCCGGGAGACATCGGCGGGCGCCGTTGCTCGGGACTGTCTGCCCTGGGTGGGGCGGGAGAAGCGCACTTCGCACCCAAGGGCCTGCTGAGCAGGTGCGGGCCCCAGCGCGGGCGTGCGGGATGCGGGAGGCTGACTTGGGCGGAGTGAGCCGGAGCCCTACGCGTCCAGCCAGAGGGCATAGCGCAGGGCGGCCCGCCCCTGGAGGGCTTCCTGGAGGTGGAGGCCTGTTGAGCTGGTGTGATCTGCTACGGATTATTGGTAAGCTCTTTTGACAGCAATTTCGTAAGGCAGACGGACCCTCTGGTGAAATCACAGTCATTGAACACTACAATTATAGTGATGATAGCAGTAGCGGACATTTTAAACATTTTAAGCTCTCTAAATATATTATCTAATCCTTACAACAGATGTGAGATAGGTACAGTTGTTATTCCCATTTGACAGATGAGAAGACTGAGACCTAGTGCGGACAAGTAACTCTTCAAAAGTCACTGTCAGAGTTGGGACCCACGCTTTTGATTCCCGACTGATGCATTAGAGGGGCTGTAAAGGATCCCAGAGACGCTCAGCCAGACCTTCATCCAGGTTATGGCAGGGGACCTAGTGCACAGTCAGGTTAGGTGCAGAATGGCCAAGGGTAAAATCAGTATCCAGTCAAAGCCAAAGCCAAAGAGCAAAAAAGGAACCTCTGGGATACAAGGAAGAGTTTGGAAATTTTCAAAACGTTGTTATTACAACTTTATTTTTCAAAAATATAGGAAGCAAATATAAACGTTTAAAATTACAGTGCCTGTGTTGTTGCTGCTAGATGGCTTCTCTGGTATTCTACACATTTGCATTACTCAGTGGATGCATACTTTTAAATGATGTTGGTGGAGGAGCAATTTGGGAATACTTAATTTTTCTCCAATACTTTCTTTTCATCCTTCTCTGTTCTTTATTATTACTGGATTGAAATTACTTAGGTTGGATGTCATACATGAATTTTGGAGTTTTTCCTTCATGTGAAATTTTGGGGTGGCAGAGTTGACAGTCTACTTTTCATCCTAACAAGATAATAATGGAAACTATAAAAAGATTAAAATTAAAATCTAAACTGTTATTTTAGCATAATTATTTAATTTTTGGTGAACATTTATTTACGCCCAGAGATATGTTTCACTTTGTGTTTGGGGGTTGGGGTCTTGCTCTGTGGCAGAGGCCGAAGTACAGTGGCCTGATCACACAGTTCACAGCAACCTTGATCTCCTGAGCTCAAGAGATCCTCCCCTGCTGTGAGCCTATAACTGGGACTGTAGGCACGCCCCGCTAATCCTGGCTAAAGTTTTTTTTTTCAGAGACAAAGTCTTGCTGTGTTGCCCAGGCTGATCTCAAATCCTGGCCTCAAGCAGTCCTCCCGCATTGGCCTCCCAAAGTTCTGGGATTACAGGCATGAGCCACCACACCCGACTATAGTGTACCACCGAAAATTGTCTTTCGATATTGATGTTCACTGTGCTTATTGAATTAAATATTCTTACTTATTTTAATAGGTAAAATTGACAGCTTTCACCCTAATTACTGTAGCTTTTTACTTTTGTAATACCGACTGATAAAATTTACCTTTTTTTTTTTTGAGATGGAGTCTTGCTCTGTCGTCCAGGCTGGGGTGCAGTGGCATGATCTCCGCTCACTGCAGCCTCCACCTCCTGGGTTCAAGCACTTCTCTGCCTCAGCCTCCTGAGTAGCTGGGATTACAGGCACCTGCCACCACGCCCGGCTAATTTTTGTATTTTTAGTAGAGATGGGGTTTCACCATCTTGGCCAGGCTGGTCTTGAACTCCTGACCTCGTGAGCCACCCGCCTTGGCCTCCCAAAGTGCTGGGATTACCGACGTGAGCCACCGCGCCCAGCCAAAATTTACATTTTTAAGCACATAAGGGGCATTTCACTCTGTTCCATCTAGAATGCTTACAAATATTTGAAAGCAAACGTTTACATACCAAAATAAATCTGAAGGACCTGGCTTGTGTATGATTGCCTTTAACCCTGATTAGATGCAATGGTGACCTCTGTCATCCCATACTCATCAGTTACAGGTTCAGGGCTGCCAAAAGTGTTTTTGAAGTTAGCATTCCTTATTTAGTTTTTAAAGGCCAAAGCCGACTGTCTGATGTTGGTCAAATACTGATGCTGAAGCTAAATTTGGTGCATCTGGAGTGTGAATCCCCACTAAAATGCAATCAAAAGAGATTTTTATGCCAGAAACAGTTAATGGTAACGTATAGTTCTAAATTTGTTTTTCCATTCTCTCATTGTTCTTTTCCCTTCTCCTTAAAAAGTACCTCTGGGTTAAATAGTCAGTAATACTCTTGTACTGTACAGTCATTTCTTATATTTCCTCCATGAGCAGTTTGCTTTGGTTTGCACAACCTATTTAAGTGTGGTCCTCGGTGGTAGGCAAAACATACAGGGTTATGCACGGAGGCTGGATATGAGTTATTTGCTATTTATCCAGTGGTCTGAACATCCTTCATGTCTGACTGGTTGGGTTGTGTGCCCAAGCTGCTTCCAGGAAGACATGGGCTTTGCTAGGCAACTCACTTTGTATAGTAGCCAGTAGAATGCCATGTTCAAATAGGTGCCTGATTTCTTTTGAGGATTTGATCATATGTTATTTATTTATGCATTTATTTATTTATTTTGAGAGAGAGTCTCACTTTGTCACCCAGGCTGGAGTGCAGTGGTGCGATCTCGGCTCACTGCAACCTCCACCTCCTGGGCTCAAGTGATTGTCCTGCATCAGCCTCCTGAGTAGCTGCGATTACAGGCGCCCACCACCATGTCCGACTCATTTTTGTATTTTTAGTAGAGACGGGGTTTCGCCATGTTGGCCAGGCTGGTCTTGAACTCCTGACCTCAAGTGATCCACATCCCCCTTGGGCTCCCAAAATGCCAGGCTTACAAGCGTGAGTCACTGCGTCCGGCCATGATCATATGTTATTTAATATTCTTTAGGTATATCCAGTGCTTCGTAATCTGACCCACTTATACTTCTACCCATTGTCCTGACCTTCACAGGGATTGATTGGCTTTGTTTTTGGTATTTGTCCTTAGTCTGTGTTGCTATAAAGGAATAGTTGAGGCTGGGTAATTTATAAAGAAGTTAGTTTGGCTCACAGGTCTGCAGACTGTACCAAAAGCATGGCACCAGCATCTTCTGGTGAGGGCCTCAGGTGGCTTCACTCATGGTGGAAGGTGAAGGGAACCTGCATGTGCAGATCACTTTGGTTTTTTTTTTTGGAGACAGAGTTTTGCTCTTGTTGCCCAGGCTGGAGTGCAATGGCACTATCTCGGCTCACTGCAACCTCTGCCTCCTGGGTTCAAGCGATTCTCCCGTCTCAGTCTCCCAGGTAGCTGGGATTACAGGTGCGTTCCACCACACCTGGCTAATTTTTGTATTTTTAGTAGAGACAGGGTTTCATCATATTGGTCAGGCTGGTCTCAAACTCCTGACCTCAGGTGATCCGCCCGCCTTGGCCTGCTAAAGTCCTGAGATTATAGGCATGAGCCACCGCGCCCGGCCTGCAGATCACTTTGTGAAAGGAAACAAGAAATGGGGAAGGTGCCAGGCTCTTTTTAAACAACCAGCTCTTGGAGAATCTCTTGCAGGAACTCACAGAGTGAGCGAGCTCTCACTCATTACCACCAGGAAAGATAACACCAAACCATTGGTGAGGAATCCTCTCCCATAACCCAAACACCTCCCATTAGGCTCCACCTCCACCATTGAGGATTAAATGTCATCATGAGGTTTGGTCAAATATCCAAACTATAGCAGTATTGTTGAGGGAAACAGTCATTTGTCTGTGGCTATACAGTGAGTTAACAGAGGGACCAGGATTGGAGAGCAAGTCTTTTAACTCTTGGTAGCTAGTTCTAGCTCTTTGGGCTAAAAGTTTTGCCACTGGAGAAAATAGTTTGCGTTATTTTGACAGAGCTTCCTGGTAGAGCCTTGTTTTAGTTCTGGAACAAGTTCACTCTTTCCAAATATACATTTGCTTCTTATAAAATACTGACATAGGACTTTTAAATAATAGAGTTTTTCTCCAGGTTACTATTTTTTTATTTTATTTTTTTTGTTGTTGTTGGATAGAATGGGATAGGAAAAGACCTTTGGTTTTCTGTGGAGCTTTATTTTATTTCTTTCATTATTATTCCTGTCCTTTAAAAAAATGTATAAAAGTGTCCACTGTTGGAAAGTTACTGTTGACCTATTGACTAATGAATGTGCAGCTATCAAGTGGAAAGGGTACCAAGCTCTAGAGCTGCATGTGTTCTGTTGTTAAGTGAAATGGGCCTGAAAGATGGCAGTGTCGTGGGTTTTGGGCCACTTAAGACCCCATAAAGGCTATGGGTTTTCTCCTGAAAAACAACAACAACAACAACAACAAACATCAACCCAAAGCTTTGCATGCAACTACATATGATCATAGTCAATTACATATAGAGATACTAAGATGACTTGAAGCTAATCCACACACAGAGGGAGATCTGCCATGGGCATTATATGGCAGTGAAAATATTAAATCATCCCGTTGAGAAATCTGATTTTTTTTTCCTGTTAGGAACTCAAGTATTGAGTAATTTTTCATCCCATTCCATAATAAGAAGCAGCTTCCTTAAGTACCAAAACCAGGGTTGTGGATGTGGTGTGATAAGTGACATTATTTCACTCTAATTCCTAACACTGTTGTTAAAGTGTAAAAGGTTAAGTCATTTTTTTTCTACCAGTTACCAAGTAATTTTTATTATTAGGTGTTGATTTTCACTTTAAAAACTACAGATATCCCCAGGCATTTTCTTTGTGCTGAGATGTTTAGAAACCCATTTTTTTTTCAGCCAGTTAGATTGAAAGTTGAGTTTATCTGAAGGGAAGGATGTCACCTAAAACAAATATAAATGACTACTCCCCTCTCCGTTAAACACACACAGTTTAAAATATAAATCTTAAATGCAGGATTCTGGAGAGTAGGTCTATTAGAAAGGTGACAGTGAGAAACAAGGGTATAGCTATAATAGTTTTGGGCTAAGTGAATCATGAGTCCAATTCTGTGACTACCTGCCAATTCCCTTTTATTTGTTTTGAGACAAGGTCTTGCTCTGTCACCCAGGCTGGAGTGTAGTGGTGTGATCATGGCTCGCCGCAGCCCTGACCTCCTGGGCTCAATCAGTCCCTCCACTTCAGCCTCCCAGGTAGCAGGGACTACAGGCATGCACCAACATGCACAGCTAAGTTTTGTATTTTTTGTAGAGAGGGAGGTCCTGCCATGTTGCCCAGGCTAATCTCGAACTCCTGGGTTCAAGCGGTCTGCCTGCCTTGACCTCCCAAAGTGCTGGGACTACAGGCATGAGCCACCGTACCGGCGAGTCCCCTTTTAGGGAGGATTTTCCTTTCTTTGTTGGTATTCTGATTCCTAGGTGTATTAGTTTGCTAGGGCTGCCATAACAAAGTACCACAGACTGGTTCGCTTAAACAACAGAAATTTATTTTCTCACAGTTCTGAAGGCTGGAAGTCTGTGATCAAGATGTTGGCAAGAGGCCTCTCTCCTATAGATGACAGCCTTCTTGTTGTGTGTTCACATGGTTATTTCTTTGTGAATGTATCTGTGTCCTAATTGCCTCTTCTTATAAGGACACCAATCATACTGGATTAGGGCCCACCCTAATGGCCTCATCTTAATTACTATTTAAAGGCCCAATCTCCAAATAGAGTCATATTCTGAAGTACTAGGGTTAAGGCTTTAACACAGGACTTTTGTGGGGGGACACAATTCAGCCCATAGAGCCAGGGAATGCAAAATTTCCTTTCCTCGGAGTTGGAGCATGTATGCTGAACTTGGGGAAGAAGCAAAATGTGTTCATGCTGTAGTCCCAGCTACTCAGGGGGCTGAGGTGGGAGGGTAGCTTAAAGCCAGAAGTTCAGAGCTCTGATTGTTCCCCTGCACTCCAGCCTGAGTGACAGAATAAAAAACCCCGTCTCTTTAAAAAAACAAAACAAACAAAAAAAACTAGAAGCAGCCAAATCTGTGGTTCTTAGTATTGTTTCTGCCTCTGCAGATACTGGGCTAACCTAAAGCTGTGGTTCAAGCAGAAGATCAGCAAAGAGGAGTTTGACCTTGAAGCTCATAGACTTCTCACACAGGATAATGGTAAAATAATTATCTGCAGAGTTATTTTACTATTCTGTAGTTTTCCTAGATTTGTAGTAAAGTCTTTTCCCTTTTTAAAAAGTAAAATTTTGGTTTTGTGGTGTATAAGGTTATCTTAATAATGTGGATACTTTAAGTATAAAGCATGGCAGAATAGGGGATATCCAAAATCTTGAGAAGCTAGACCAAAGTTGTGGTTTCCTTATGTTGAAAATGTTTTGAATTTGATTGTCACTATCTTTCCTTTTTCAGTCCATTCTCACAATGATTTCCTCCTGGCCATTCTCACGCGTTGTCAGATTTTGGTTTCTACACCAGGTAAGGGAGTGGAAATACTTCCAGTGTGTGTAAGTCAGCAAAGCACTAGACTTTAGCTTTCTCTAATAGACACAGCTAGTGTTTGTAAAGCAGATGTTTTTGAACTACTCAGAAGAAAAGTTTTATTAGGTAGATACAAATTCTTTTACAGAATCTTTTTTTTTTTTTAAAGCAGAAACTCTTTATTTTTAAGAAAAAGGTATGATTTCTCATTTTCAGTTCTTGGCATACATTTTAATTCTTTCCAGTGGAACCCAAACCTCCTGAACCCCTTTCAGTGTCATCCAAAGCTTGAATTTCTGTTTCTGGAGAAAAAGTCTGTTCACAAATGAGCTATGCAATTTGATCACCATTTTTGACACCAAACTTTTCTTTGCCAAAATTGAATTGTACAACACCAACACTTCCTCTATAATCTTCATCTTATGATGCCAGCTCCTACATCAGTAAAGTGTTTTTCAGCCAAGCCAGATGTGGCACTACTCTTTTCTAACACCCAGAAGGAAGGACTGTCTGAATGTTTGTTTTCACAAGTGCTTTCTCCCTAGGTGGTATTGTGTAATCCTAGGCATGTCCAAGTCCTAGCCCCCGTGGACCCCTTGGTCCGGGCGTGTTATGCTGGGAGAGCTGGGCAAGGCTGCTCTGTGTGCCACCCTCCCCCGCAGGCCAGTTTGCTCAATGGGGGAAATAGTGGTGTCCCTCAGAATAGGGCTTGAGAGAGCCAGAAGGCAAGCAAGGAGATAGCCCGGGAACAAGAGGGCGCAGGGTGAGCACCACAGCAGGGACTGCCCAAATCTACGGAGCCTTGTAAAGCAGGTTATGTCCCTGTACTTATATTACCTTTTGATATTGAGTCCCCACTCAGCTACATTTTAGATTACTTAAGTAAATGAGAAGTGAGGAAGAGGGTGGGAGATCAGGATGAAGAAGGTAAGGGAGATGAAGAGAGGGCAGTTGGTGTTAGGTGTCCTGTACCTAAGGGATACCTAACTTGAAAGGTGTCCGTAGTGGGGAGGTGGGGGAACCCAGCATATGTTGGGAACCTGGACTTCCACTATGTTCTTAGGTAAGATAGCACCTGAAAGGTCAAGCTTCAGCACCTGTGTTTCACAGATTATTGGTAGATAACAAGAGGTAGGGGATAGTAGCATGTTGAGGGGGTAGGTGGAAACGAAACCTGTCACTTTAACCTGAAGAGAAGATTAAGCTGTAAGTCACCTCTCTCAACCATCTTATTTTAATCAGTCAAAAACAAGTAATTAAATACATTGAAAACTTTCCTCATGATAAAAGTCATACTGGACTTTTTAAAAAAAATTAGGCCAAATGATTTATTCAGTAGTTTTTATATTTCTAAATTGCAATTTATATCTATTCATAAGACTACAAAAGTTACCATTACAATTGTGCTTACCAACTCCTGTTGTAGATTAAATTGAAATTTTTTTAAGGGCTTAGGGTGATTCTGATGATCATATATCGAAAGCTCATGTTTTATCTATAAATGGCTGGTATTTTTTAATCCTCTCTCTCTGTTTACTTCTACTGTATGATAAAGAACTCAAGCCAGGGCGTGGTGGCTCACGCCTGTATTCCCAGCACTTTGGGAGGCTGAGGCGGGCGGGTCACTTGAGGTCAGGAGTTCGAGACCAGCCCGGCCAACATGGTGAAACCCCTACTCTACTAATAATACAAAAAAGAAAATTAGCCGGGCGTGGTGGCGCACATCTGTAGTCCCAGCTACTCAGGAGGCTGAGGCATGAGAATCGCTTGAACCTGGGAGGTAGAGGTTACATTGTGCCACGGCACTTCAGCCTGGGCGACAGAGTGAAACTGTGTTTAAAAAAAAAAAAAAAAAATTCACATAAGATCTCCTAACACCTCGTTCTTTGACCCTCAAAGAAGTCGTTGTTAATGTGTAGTAAACTGTGAGCACCTGCTTGTGGGGTTGTTTTAGAGAGCAGTGACTGCCTCCCTCCCCTCACCACACTCATCACCGCACATTCTTACACTGTGTCAGATTTTTGATGTGCTATTTAATTTATATACAAGTAGACTTTAGCCATTCCTCTTTTATGTCCAAAGTTAAATCATAATCTATTTTGTTACATAAAATTTAATTTGATCAGAAAAGCCAATATTGTGAATCTTACTTTTTAGGGAAGCATATTGTAAATTGCCACATATGCCAAAGATAAATGGAGTGATCAGAAGTAAAAACCCTGGTTGATAAGAGTCAAGAGACTTAGGTTCAAGTGTAGGTTTTGCCACTAGCTTACATAATATAGTTACTTGGGCTTTCAAATTTATAAAATAAGTACAGCAATATCTACCCCGTAGGATTATGAAAAAACAGATGAAAGAACTTATAAAAAAGTGATTTTAAAAATAAAAAATGCCAGCCAGACACAGTGGCTCATGTCTGTAATCCCAGCGCTTTGGGAGGCCAAGGTGGGTGGATCACCTGAAGTCAGGAGTTCAAGACCAGCCTGGCCAACATGGTGAAACCCCGTCACTACTAAAAGTACAAAAATTAGCCAGGCATGGTGGTAGGCACCTGTAATCCTGGGTACTAGGGAGGCTGAGGCAGGAGAATTGCTTGAACCTGGGAGGCGAAGGTTGCAGTGAGCCGAGATTGCGCCACTGCACTCCAGCCTGGGTGACAGACTAATACCCTGTCTCAAAAAAAAAAAATAAAAATAAAAAAAATTGCCAAACAAATGTTGAAGTGGTATTCGTAAGTACAGGTGGCTGATTTTAATTAGATAAAAACCTTTGATATTCTGAATGGTTGTTAATAGTTATTTTAAAATAAATGAAGAAGCATTTGGATTTTGAGAATGTATTCTTCCATTGAACACCCCAAATTTCTCAAAATGAAATTAATATTTGTTAGCAACAAAGAGAAGATTTCTATTACAAGTAAAATATAGTTGTTTGTACCTCACAATTTTGGATGGGTTGTTTTCTAGTTTTCTAAGCTAGTCAGGAAAGATGATATTAATAATAATATTTGTTGAGTATAGCATACTAGACACTTTATATGCATTATCTTTAATCCTCACAACAATTCTGCATGGTAGGTGTTAGCCTGTTTTTATAGATAAGGAAACAAAATTAAGAGAAGAGAAAACAAAACAAAAGAAAAACTTGCCTTAGGCCTTATCCAGCTAGTAATTGGATGTGTTGGATCAAAACTGAAATCTAAGTGCTACTAAAAAGCCTTCCATTTTGTCAGGGTTAGGCCTTAGCGTGCTTCGCTTGGCCACGCAGCAGCAGCTGGTAAGCTGTGAGTTTGCAGGCCTGCTCCTTTGCATCATCGTCTGCATGTCCAGCCTACTTTCCTGTCATCACTTGGCATCCAGTTTCATTTATCAGGAAGGGATTTCTTGGGAAAATCATCTAAGATTGGCTGACCTTATCAAGTGAGATCTGTGCATGCCAAAGATAAGAGGAACCTGACTTCCCAAACAGTTCTTTTTAAACTGAGGAATCTGGAATATTTTTTTTTTCAAAGCGTTAAAAACGTTTCTTTCCAAAAATATCAAAATTGTAGGAACATTTTACTATGATTATGGGTGATTTTTTCTTTCTTAAAAATTTTTTTGAGTTTTCTTTTTTTTTTGGAGGCGGAGTCTCACTCTGTCGCCCATGCTGGAGTGCAGTGGTGCTTTCTCGGCTCACTGCAAGCTCCGCCTCCCAGGTTCACGCCATTCTCCTGCTTCAGCCTCCCGAGTAGCTGGGACTACAGGTGCCCACCACCACGCCCGGCTAATATTTTTTTTTTGTATTTTTAGTAGAGACAGGGTTTCACCATGTTAGCCAGGATGGTCTTGATCTCCTGACCTCGTGATCTGCCCGCCTCGGCCTCCCAAAGTGTCGGGATTACAGGCTTGAGCCACCGCACCCGGCCTTGAGTTTTCTTTTTAAGTGTACTGTAGTGAGGTTGTGTTACTTTTTTTTTTTTTTAACATTAAACAATATATGTTCATGGTTAAAAAAATATCAGTAGCACAGAAGGTTTTATGATAAAAGCTTGTTCCCACCCCTAGACCTATTCCCAAAGGCAACTACTTTTTGTTTTTTGTTCTTCTGGTGGGACCTCTTTAGCCCTCATAGTTGCTTAAATCTGTTTCTGGATTAACTGATTTTAACATCTCTGTCTTATTGCTCTGTGTTTGAGATTTCCTGAACTCTTTGGGCCTTTCTGTTGAATGCATTCTTTAATTCAGCAATTTTAATAGCATCTTGTTTCATGGATGAACATGTTCTGAAAGTTTTCTGCGGATACCTGTTGGAAATTTATCAGAATTCTTTTGCATTTCCTGTCTAGGACCTCTTTTTTTTTATTTTTATTTTTTTAGCTTGCTCTTTCTTGTCATGTGAAAGAATATTGTCAAATATCTGGTGATTAATTATTGTCCTTTTCATGTTTAAGAATGAAGCATAAAACTGCCTGGAGACTTTGCTTTAGAGTAAGCTGACAGGAAGCCTACTGTTAAACTGGGGGTCTCCCAAATTCCCATATACAGAGAGCTTTGCTGTAGGGTACCAACATCCATACCAGCTACCTTAGTAAATCCCAGAAATTGTGTTCGGTTTAACTAGAGAAGAGTCCTTATTCCCTCCCCACCTTCCTTCTAACCCCCTGACTTAGCTATTATAAATACCCTGCTCTGTGTCATTCTGTGCATGGGAATGAGCCTTCCTGGGCCTGTGACCTGCATTGCACAGAAGGGCCCTGCACTTGGTTTGTACCATCATTATCTTGAAATTCTTAATTTTTAAACACGAGGCCCAGCACTTTGATTTTGTACTGAACCCAGTTTTGGGGGTGAGTGAATGGGTTTGTGTGGATGATTTAAGGATATAGACATTCCATTAATTTTGTTTTTAGCCTTACAGATCCCTCCTGGTTTCCACTCACTCACATTCTCCCAATCCAGGTTGTGGGTTTCTTCCAGGCAGGTTGACGTGCTTCTGCCTCACTTGCCACCTTCCTTGCCTAGCCTAGGTTACAGCTTCTATGGGTCTGCTTCACGAGTCTGCACCCTTTTAGTCCATCCTAGAAATTTGTTGACATCTCATCGTGTCTGCCACTCATTTTCCTTTTTAACCTCTGTTGTGCAAGTGTGCCATTTACCTTCCTTACTTTCATATTTTGTAGCGTCTTGGGAGAGGAGATAAATACATGTGCTCAGTTCATCATCTTAGACCAGCAAATTCTGTCCTACATCTATAATAATACTACTGCTAATAAACAAAACACCCAATAAACATTAATTGAAAATATAAAAAAATTTGTCTTCCTAAAAAAATTTTAGTTGCAGCTAGGAAAAAAATGTGATTTGAGAGGATCGATAATTTTATTTAGAGAAGTAGAAAGAGAAGGTTTTGATTTAAGCATTCATTAGTTATTTGCATTTCATGAGCATTCCATGCTTTTTACCCCAAATGAAAACAAACTTAGCAGTTATCAGTTGTCATTATTTTTACTTATGGTTATATATTTCTGTCTCCTAGATGGTGCTGGATCTTTGCCTTGGCCAGGGGGTTCCGCAGCAAAACCTGGAAAACCCAAGGGAAAGAAAAAGCTTTCTTCTGTTCGTCAGAAATTTGATGTAGGTTGTTCTTTAATAGGTCTTGATAATGACTGATTGAAGTAGTGGCATGTTGGGACTAGCTTTAGTTTTTAAATGAATATTAAAATACTGGTAGTAGAGTTGAAAAAAAGGAGTATGATTTGGGAAGAAAAGCGTTTCAAGGATTGTGAGTTCTAGGTGTCTGAATTTTTATAGTTCTTGTTTGTTACTGCTTAAATAGTAATGTTATCATTAGTACCTAATGATTTTTCAGTTATTCAAAACAATGCTTTTGTCTCTCCTGTTAAGTATTTTTCTTGAATGAATAATGTTTCTTGGATGAAGACATCTGTCTCAAGGGCTCAGGCAGCCTGGAGGCCTTTAATGGGGTCCTGGTGATGTCCAGCTGGGCCCTGAGCCTTTTGAGGACTAGTAGAGATGTCATGAAGGCATTTGGCTATAAAATTTGTAAGCATTTTAAAACAAATTGCTTTTTTCAGTGTATATTTAGGGAAAAAAACTTCCCCGAAGTAACCCTTTTATAGGTTTATGGGGTATTGATAGCTTTATTGATTAACATCAATAAACAATTATTTATTTTCACCTTGACTATATGCTTTATATCAGTAAGAATGTAGAGGCCATTGGGATCTCTAGAGAGACATGTCTGATTTAAAAAGAGATGTTCAATATAAAGTAGTTTTATACTTGGAAAATGGAAAAATAACCATGTTGTTTTCATAATATCAATTTCAAACAGGGACAAACCATCTTCACTACAAAATCTTTTATATTAGCCTTAAGCAAAAGGTACTGGGGCATAACTCCAGGTGGTGATGGAGAACATGAATGGGCTATCAGAATCTCCCTGAGGAAGGCTGAGATTTTATGAATGAAAAAGACTGAGAAAAATAGTCATGACTGTATCTTAGGTTCTGTGTTGAGAATTCTAAGTAGAAAATAACAGCAATTAAGTAGTTACTCTACATAGCATTATCTTGGAATATTTGTTACTAGATCTGCCATATTGGTTAGCTAGGCTTTTTAAGATTTAATTGAATCATTCATTATATGTTTATACTTTTAGAACCTACTTACGGTTAGATTTAAAATGCTCTGATTTGTTTGAATATAGTTCAATACTTCTCCTTCTCTTTCAGTTATTTTTAACACAGTGCCATACATTCTGTGATCACCAAGGTATTAATTGAATAGAATAAACTACTACGCAAACTACCATTATTCCCCTTAATCCATGTCTTCATTATTACCTTGTATTGGATGTGAATCTGTGATTATTTGTGCATGAATTAACTCTTTTTTCCCTTAACCCCTGTGGTATAGTTTTGGTGGCATTAATTTGGAGGATCTCAACTTCAGTACAGGAGTTTACTTTGTGTCTTGTTTGCTACTGTAATGAGTAATTTTAAAAAGTTTTTCTTACTCATAGCATAGATTCCAGCCTCAAAATCCTCTCTCAGGAGCCCAGCAATTTGTGGCAAAGGATCCCCAAGATGATGACGACTTGAAACTTTGTTCCCACACAATGATGCTTCCCACTCGAGGCCAGCTTGAAGGGAGAATGATAGTGACTGCTTATGAGCATGGGCTGGACAATGTCACCGAGGAGGCTGTTTCAGCTGTTGTCTATGCTGTGGAGGTTGGTTTGCTGTTGGCAGAAATAATCTTACAGGTTGAATGTGATAGGCTTGTGTGTTGTTTAAAGTCGGTATTGCAAGAAAAGAATCCAAATGTCACTCTGATTTCACAGAATTGTCATTGTTGAAGTTGTTTTCTGTTTTTTTTGAGACAGCATCACTTTGTCTCCCAGGCTGGAGTGCAGTGGCACGATCATGGCTCACTGCAACCTGGAAATCCTGGGCTCAAGCGATCCTCCTGCCTCAGCCTCTCAAGAGCTGGGAGTATAGACGTGCGCCACCATACTCAGCTAATTTAAAAAAAAAAAATTTTTTAGGGATGGGGGTCTCTCTCTCTTGCCTAACTGGTCTCGAATTCATGGGCTCAAGTGATCTTCCCGCCTTGGCCTCCCAAGGTGCTGGGATTTACATGTGTGAGCCATAGCACCTGGCTAAAAGTTGTTTTCTTTTAAGAGGAGAAACTCATTATAATCCAAATAGTTGTCTTCAGTTAATAGACTAAGCTTTTCAGAAAGGTTATTTATGGCATAACTCTTCTGGTTGATCTGATGTTTTGTCAACAGGGGAATGGTTTTTAAGGAAAGAAATGAAATTGAGAATCCTATAGATTAAAGTCACTTGTTTTTGCTGTGATACAGCACTGAAGAGTATTAGTCTTGGCATCTGAACAGCAGAATTCTTGTCTCTGCTCATGATTTCATTTGTCCATTCATTTTATTCATTTAGTTACTTGACAAAACTAATTTGATGGGGTCTATAATGCACGAGTATGGTCAGGTGACATTGGATTTTCAATTCTCTGAGCCCTATTTTCTTCATCTGTACTTCAAAAATAATAACAGTTGTCCCATGAAGTTATAAACATTAAATGAATTCTGCGTGCAAACCAATTTAAATAGTACAATAATGTCTTGATATAAGTGGATTTTCCTTGGTATAATTGAAACACCCTGCCTGATGCTGGCTCCCCTATTAATAATGGTAGCCTGGGACGAGTTCTGTCACTCTATTTTCACAGGCTTCCTCAACCTTTTCTTATATACTTGGCTCTCATGAAAGTGAAGAGAAATCAAGTACCTAATTTATTTTGTGCTTATTTCCTATATATCTGTTGTTTATGTGGCTTTTGAGAGAGCCAAGGTTCTTTTCACGCAAGGATTTTGGTTCCAATAATATCAGATCTTAAAACTTTTTGTCCTATTTTAAACAAAGTTTCAGCATAGTTTGTCTCTTTTTAAAAAGTCATTTTTGCTCATGCCTGTAATCCCAGCACTTTGGGAGGCTGAGATGGGCGGGTCACCTGAGGTCAGAAGTTCGAGACCAGCCTGGCCAACATGGTGAAACCTTGCCTCTACTAAAAATAAAAAATTAGCCAGGCTTGGTGGTGGGCACCTGTAATCCCAACTACTTGGGAGGCTGAGGCAGGAGAATTGCTTGAACCTTGGAGACAGAGGTTGCAGTGAGCTGAGATCGTGCTATTGCACTCCAGCCTGGGCAATAGAGCAAGAATCCATCTAAAAAAAAAAGTCATTTTTGTGTACTTCTTTTAAAGCCATCTAAAACTCATTTTTGAGAGAGAGGAGCCAATTTAGAGATGTAAAGACTTTTCAAATTTCATGTATAGCAAGCCCCTCTTAAAGAGAACTATTAATACATGAAAATAAGCATGTCCCCCTCTTTCCCATACCCTCCTACTCCTTTGGTGTGGCTCCGTGGCTCTTCATGTGAACATTCATTTGGTTCTAGCATATACTAACCTATTCTGCATCTCCATCTAAATGCCAATAAATGTTTTTTGGTCAGTGGAAGTTTTATGATTTGCTTTTAAAGAGGATATCATGCTATTTTTCTTTTTGTATGTTTACAGAATCACCTTAAAGATATACTGACGTCAGTTGTGTCAAGAAGGAAAGCTTATCGGTTACGAGATGGTCATTTTAAATATGCCTTTGGCAGTAACGTGACCCCGCAGCCATACCTGAAGAATAGTGTAGTAGCTTACAACAACTTAATAGAAAGGTAAATGAAGTTTCTTGTGATTTTCTTTCCATCTTTTGCTAGTTGTTTATACTCCTCTTATAGACCATTGTTAAATAATTGATTGTGTTTTCATAGGTTTAAGTACCTTTAATAGGAGTACAATTTTATTTTTTAAAGTCCTATACTTGCCTGAGATCTAGTGAATTATTTTGGTACTCCTTTTATGAGAAGTGAAGTTGCAGAGTTTGGCTTCTGCATGCGGGTTTAATGTGCTTGTCCCCCCGCCCCGACTTTCTTAGGTGCAGTGGAGTAGTGCATAGGTGGTGCATCCTGAGGGCTCCCGAGGGGCATCACCTGCCCAGTGGGGAAGTGAGCCTGCTTTCAGTTAGAGGCAGGGCCTGTGATTGTTGGGTCACAGCTGGGTGTCTTGGTGGTGGGAGGAGGAGGAGGAGTGGTAGATGTTTCTCCAGGCCCTCATCTGGCTCTTGTAGGCATAGCTCAAGATAGTGGTCTGTGCCTGGTGTCATCACTTGCTTTTGGCCTCCTGCTGTGCAGACATGGTCTCTCAGCTCACCTCTGGGATTCCTGTGTCGTCTTCCCATTGAGGGCTTCAGGATGTCTCTATGTCCTGAGTCACCCCTTTATGAAACAACCTAGATTACTTTCATCCCTGTGTTGTCTTTCTTATCCTTCCATCTCCTTTTGTCCTCCACTTCCCCCAAAGGGAATTTAGTCTGAATTTTAAGCCTTTGGGAAAGGAAAAAAAAAGTAGTAATGTAATTTTCTTTATGGTTACTGAAGTGACTTGAATTTCTTGTGATTTGCTGGACTTTGCGTATCTGGTTAGTTTGGGAGAAGAGAGGTAAAGAGATAACTGGGACTTGCAAGTTCAGAGAAAAAAGTATGTATGACTGGGAAGGGTGGCAGGGTGATTGGTGAAGTAACAGGAAGGGAAGGCAGGAGGTGTAGGTGGGAAAGCTAAGAGAGTTGGATAGAGGGAGTGTTGATAGCACATGTGGGAGTTTGTGCCAGTGCCCATTTCATGACTCTGAAGACCTTTACAGGGGTCATGGGCCTATTTTAACCCATCTTAAATTGGGTTTACTGTTTAGATTGCCATATGTGGTGATTTATTGTCTGAATCCCATTCAGGCGTATCTGTTTGGGATCATTCTTCTCTAGAAAAAAACAAATCCCCAAAAGTGGCTCCTTGTAGCGGGTGATGTTGGGAGCAGCTTCTGGCCCTGGCGGGACTCCCAAGCCCTCT
Organism: Homo sapiens; assembly: GCF_000001405.40. NCBI lineage: Eukaryota > Metazoa > Chordata > Mammalia > Primates > Hominidae > Homo > Homo sapiens. The sequence continues at coordinate 166,858,957 of NC_000001.11, read as the reverse complement.
CTGCCCTGCTGGCCAGTCTCTGAGGGCTTTTGCCTCTCTATTGGCCACTTGTTACTCTAACAGGGCTGCTTTTGTCTGATGCTTCAGTCCCACGCTAACGTTCCACTGTGCTTTCCTCTGAGTTACTGCTTTACTCTTTTGTTTTACCTCTAGATACGTCCTCAGCATTGTGTAGGTTATCTCCTACTGGGTTATGAAGTAAAAACTATGTCTGACTTCTCAGTTTGTATCTAGCTCTATTTTGGGAAATTGGCAGGTTCTGGATTAATTTTCCCCACTCTCCATTTTTGCCTGTTGCTTCTGTGCTATGTCTTCTTTTCTTCTAATTTATTTTAGAACCAGTTGTTTCCAGTACCATTCACCTCCCTCTTTATTTGTTTTGAATGTTATATTCCTGTAGTTAAGGTCTGTTAGTTTTTTCAACTGGAAGTTCAGTATCCTGAGCTAGGTAAATATTTTAACATTGTGGAAGAAGGAGGGTAAATATAGTTGTATTATGTTTTATTTCCAGCCTTTAAAAATTAAAATTACAGATTATTCATGTCTACAGGAGTAGACATTGAATGGATTTCTAATTCAATTAAAGATTTTTTAAATAAGATTCTAGCAGGCCACTCCTGTCCTTGTTGCTCAGTTGTCTCTGTGCTGGGACTATTTCTGAAATTTTTATTTTCAGCCCTCCAGCTTTTACTGCTCCCTGTGCTGGTCAGAATCCAGCTTCTCACCCACCCCCTGATGATGCTGAGCAGCAGGCTGCACTCCTGCTGGCATGCTCCGGAGACACTCTACCTGCATCTTTGCCTCCGGTGAACATGTACGATCTTTTTGAAGCTTTGCAGGTAAGTCTTGGCTCCTTAAAGTTTACCTAGGTTTATGGATAGGTTAAGAGATTCTTTAAGTCTACAAAGGTATTCACTGGTTTTTTCCACTTCTTGGCTTTGTGTTTTTCAGTTTTGTCTGTTATAAAAGCCGTTATTAATACTAGCCTCATTTTTCAAATCCTGAGCCCATCTTCTATCTCCCCAATAAAGAAAGAAAAGAAAAAAAATCCCTTGTTCTGCTATTCCTGTTTCAGAAGCTTGTTATTTCCTTATTATTATCCAATTGGTGATTCATTTTAGTGTATGACTGAAAGTTTATAGATTGTGTGTATGTTTTGTTGATATAAACCCTTTTATATGTCAGAAAAATAAGTCTACTCAAGTATAATTGGACATGCGTTAATTTTTTAATCCCAGGTGCACAGGGAAGTCATCCCTACACATACTGTCTATGCTCTTAACATTGAAAGGATCATCACGAAACTCTGGCATCCAAATCATGAAGAGCTGCAGCAAGACAAAGTTCACCGCCAGCGCTTGGCAGCCAAGGAGGGGCTTTTGCTGTGCTAAATTAGGATTTGAGGGTGTGGGACCCTCACCGAATTCATTGATTACTGAAAATTGAATGTTTTTTGGGTCCACATTTCAAGGCTGAAGTGTATAGTGTATATATAACCTTTCCTATGGAAATGTGACATTGAGTACATTTTGTGTTGCTGTTGTGAAGCCATTAATATAAATCTTTGGTAATGACCCATATCTCTATATGTATGTGTTCCCAGTTGTGGGAGCAGGCACTAATGAAATCCTGTGCCTGGAATGGAGATATTTAGGTACCTGAGGCTTAGTGTCCTGTGGTCTGCATGTAAGATAGATGACATCCTAGAACAAAGAAGCTGTTTTAACTTAATCCCCCTGATCAGCAGGATATCTGTGTGTTCAGTGACATCATACATTCTGTATCTAGAAGTCTAAAATTTCTGCCTTTCTCCTAAAGAATGTGTTCTTGCATTTTGGTTGAAATAACCTACACAGTGTTAAAAATCAGATACCTCCTTTAGTGACCAGTTCAAATTTTAATAGCGATAGGTAGCCCCTGAGAAATTTATCACTATAACTCCACAGGAAATATGACTTGGAAGTGCTCTGTGTACTAAACAAAATAAAGCCCCTCTTTGCATTTAAAACCAAAGTCAAAACAAAACTCTTGTAATGCAATTAATTAACTTTATGTCTTCCCATGACTCAAGTTTTGTTAAATATGCCCAAAAACTTTGATTGGCAGTTTCTTCGGTTAATTATTCCTATAGAATGTATTTTAAGAAATCTATACAAATTGGATATATGCTTGGTAATTCTCCAGTTTCTAGGAGGTACCTATTTCTACCGTTTCAAGTGATGAAGTGAAAATAATTTACATTCGATAGTGTTACTGATAACAAACCTACTTAAGAGATATGTTGCTTTTTACTTAAGGGATAGTGTTGATAGATAAATTAGAATGTATAGATAGGTTTGTGAAAGTCTAAATAATGGTTGTATAGATATGTATATATGGTTCACATATCTGGATCTGTGTATTTGATTTTGTACTTTAAATGTGACAAATAAACCTTTTGGGAGAAAACTTTGTTGTTTATTAAACATTATAAGGAATATTGCCTTCTACAGAAATACAAAAATTGCCTGCTCTATGAGGGCTTGGCAGAGACTTCTCAAAATAATGTACTAGATGAGAAAGATTAAAAAGCAGATTCCAACTAAGGTATGCCATTTCTTTTTTTTTTTTTTTCTTTTCTTTTTGAGATAGGGTCTCACTCTGTCACCCCAGCTGGAGTGCTGTGGTGTGATCATGGCTCACTGCAGACTGGACCTCTGGGCTCAGGTGATTCTCCCATCGCAACCTCCTAAGTAGCTGGGACTACAGATTCACACCACCATGCCCGGCTAATTTAAAATTTTTTTTTTTTGTAAAGACACGGTTTTATCATGTTGCCCAGACTGGTAATGAACTCCTGAGCTCAAGCAGTCTGCCCACCTTGGCCTCCCAGAGTGTTTGTTAGGATTACAGGCCTGAACTACTGCACCTGGCCAGGTATGTAATTTCTTATGTATAGATTAAGACTTCTTAAAAAAAAATCAATAGCTTAGTTTCAGTTCTTGGCACAAGCCATTAGTTTTAGGTGAGAAACTACGTAAGAATTTTTAGGGCTTGGAAGAATTTAAACTGATACTCGAATATAGTTTTTTGGTTTGGACTACTCAATATACCTGGGCCTTAATGCTGCCTAGGGAATATGTGTGAAATTTCATAGTTCCATAGATGGAGAGGCAGCTAGGAGCCTTGACCGTGTCCTGCTGCCCACTGCAATGTCAGGTTCCATAGGCTGTATGGCTGTACATACAGCACAGAGGAAACTGCAAACTGGAAAACTTCTCACTACTCTCTAGGACCTGGCCTGAATTCCTAGTCACCTACCCACCTGGTGGGACCATAGAATGCTGGAAGACTGCCTTTGCCTCATGTATTTCAGGTCTACACTCTACTATCTGCTCTCCATGCCAATTTTCCTATGAAATCATTTTCTAAGGAGGGGAGATGATGGGGTAAAGTGCAGGGCAGTAAGGTAGAAACAGTAATACTTAGCATTTTCACAAGAGCCCCTGAAACATCTGAACTCTGTCCACCAAAGGCTGGTTCCATCTGTAACACCACTGCCAGCTGTGGGGACTCGAGTGCAATCGCTTCTCTAATTAGGTTAAGAAACAAATGCTTATTATCAAGCATCATGTAGAAAAATAATTATTTTAACGAGGGAAAAAGCTGTTGGAAACCATATAATTTCAGACTTAGAATAAAACTTATTTTTTCCTGCAGGAATTTATCACTGTGCAAAACCAGGTGTGATAAAGCTGGCTGTATTTTACCAGGCAGGTGGGAGGACTCGCTTAGCATGTTCTTTTGTTGTTCTGAATTAAAAAAAAAACATTTTAGGTTCAGAGGTACAAGTGTGCAGGTTTGTTATTTAGCACGTTCTTATCACCCACTTCTCTGATCAACCAAGGACAAACACTTTTCCTTTCCATTGCCTGAAGTGATGACCACAGGTAAATGCCGTGTCCTACCATGCCTTTGACTCATTCCAAAATGCCTCTGGGAGGAAGAGTAAGAGTAAGGAAGCTTAGTCTAGGGGTCAGACTTGGAGAGTGGCTCAGCATTTAATGCTGATGGGTTGAAAAGGAAAAATAACACTGCCAGATTATTCCTGGAGAATCAACTACTACTTTATGGGCACTGTAAATTGTCAGGACTAATTTTATTAAAAGTGCATAATTAAGACTTGCGGGTTCATCATACTTTCATTTAAAATTCAGATCCCTTTATGGGATTTCTTTCATGTGATTTTGGTAATGTACCACTGCTGAGAGCATACAAAACATGACTGAGGAAAAAAGCTATTTATGTCAAACTTGCCCCACTGCACACGTTCTTCCCTGTGTCTTCACAGATACCAATATTACTTACACTGCATCTCATGAACACTTTTTGACTGAAAGATGTAATATATTGGTACCAAACCGGATGGAGAATAAGGTGTAGCCAATACCTTGAATGTAACTTTTCACAATGCTAATAGGTAAAGAAATAAAATCACCATAGCCTATTGTCTTTATTATCAAAGTTTATTGTTGGGGTCAGTTCCTATCTACTAGGGAGTACAACTATATCTCAATATGTGCTATAGTAATTCTAGGGTAACAGCCATTCTGCAAAATAGTTGTACTGGGGCTCTGTTAGGCATAGATCATAATTAAGTCAGTGGAAGAATGAGCCCAGAGAAACCCTGGCAGCAGAGCCGTTACTCTAGGAAAGTTCCAGTGCTATGCAACCTGTAAGGCATCATCGCTCAGCTGATGATGAGACTCACAGAGGTGTTGGTGGAGCGAAACAGGAGTTGAACCCATTTTCTACTCTTCTTGGCAGGGTAACTATGGCTCCAAGGAAGGAACCCAAAATTAGGTCTTGTAAAATCTTTTAAGCTCCCAAAGCAAGAGAAATAAGACATGAAGAAAGAGCCAGTAACTAGGACAGATGAAAAATTAGGTGGAATTGGAGGGAATGGAAACTTCTGGAATGCAAAGTAGCTGGGTTTAGACGCCATTTGAGATGACCAAGAATACAGTACAGGTAAAAGCAAATGGGGCAACAATTCAAATATTGAGTTGTTCAAATACTAGAGGTTAAGTAAAATTTCCCCCCTTGGGGGAAAACTGGTTGAAAAGGATCAGAAAGGTGAATCAGTAACAGGACAATGAGTACCTGAGTAGAAATAGGTGTTTCAAGATGCCAAGAACAGTTTAAATATACAGGTGAGCTGAGTCTACAAGAAGGAAAAGTGGTTATGGCAGCCTGTTTCCAGATCTGATCATTGGAATGACATTTCTAGCAATGGCTTTGTCTGTGAGGTCCTGGCATATTTTGTGTAGCACAGATCCCTTTAAAGGAATGTTTTCGTAACACTCAAACTTATGTGGGAATGCAAATTACTATAGTGTAAAAATTCAATGACTTCCCACCTATTCCTGCAGGGCAGGAGATCAGAAGTCTTAAAACAGCTGTGGCTAAAAGCCCAAGCCCTCCCACTGCCCCGTGATAAAAATATTAAAGAAATTAACAAAACAAGCATCAGATGAGTCAATGGGCCTTGTACCATGTAGACAACAGATAATTTATAGCGACTTCTTCTGCAGGCAGCCTGAGAAACAAGAGCTTGCATACGAAATCCTGCCCTATCATTAAATATAATAATGAAAAAAACAGGGCCATTAAATGAGACCCTAAAAAAGTCTAGCTGCCAATCAGGTTGGGAAGATAAATAAAACAGCATAGTTTATTTTAACCTATATCTTCCACACTAACCTAGTTTGTCTATAGAAAAGCCATCTGCTGGCACCAGGCCAGTATGTCTTAATTTTCTTGTTATTCTAAGTATCTCATTTTTCCAAAAGAGGAAATGTGTAAGTAGCAGGTGTACATAGGTGACACATTTCTACAAAGCCTTCTCTGTAGTCTTGACCTGTGTGGGGACAGGGTCTACTTTTGGAAGCATTTTCAAAGGCAGAATAAAACTTTACTTGAGGTTTTCTCCATAGAAGGACACCAGAGTTGTGCCCATATGATGAGTCCCTCGTTGGTGTTGAATAAATTGTCTTTTCTCCAGGAAATAACCTTTGTTCTTTCATATTTACAGGTTTCTTTTGATGGACAGATGGAGTAATCTCCAAAACAAGAAATGGGGCAGAAGCAGTTTCTTTTCTGATCATGTCTCTGATGAAATGATAGGTCCTAGACTTTTCTGATACCTTGTATGGTGTGGGGAGGGGCTGGGCTGTGTCCTGGGATGGATGTACAGGCTGCTGTCTGGACCGGGGCTGTTCAGAGCCCCGTGGCCTTTTCCTGATGTTCCCTGCGCATCCAGCGCATCCACACTTTCAGGAATAATCATCTTGAGGAATTTCATCCCCAGCTGTTTAAATCAGAGTTCCATTTGCTGGAAAACAGAGAGAACCTAAATGAATTAACCCTTGGCTTTTTGGTATAACTTTTAACAAACATAATAATTCCATCATTCAGATTTCCAAATAGAGGCCAAGACGTAGTTTTATGCCCACTTGGTCTCCCAAATCTCTTGTTCACTGTGAATCTGTCTACTCCCATCACTTCCTCAGGAGCTGCAGAGAGAATTGTGGCAGACTAGAAGAGCAAAAGCTCATGACCAATATTACAGGCCAACATTCATAAATGCAACTTAGCATAGCTTTTTCTCCTTTCCTCTTCTGGAAGTTTTTAATCATGTCCCTGAGGTGGTAAGGAGCTTAGGAAATTAAAAGTGCACAAAAATGTTATCTAACAAGGAGAGGGAAAAGCAAAAGGTAAATGAAGAAAAGATGGAAACTCAATGTAATTCAGTTTGATATCCAATGCAGGCAATATAAGGGTCAGCAGAAAAGGGAGGCTGGATTCATGGGGTTTCTCAAAGCAAGGAGGACCCAAGGGGGAAAAAAAAGCAATTTTGGTGATTTTGAATGTAATAGTAAGAACTTCTTGCTCCATTGTAATTCCAGGGATCCCAGAATTACAATGGGATTCAGCAATATGAGTACAATTTAATTTGGAAGCAAGGCAGGAGACATAAGTCACTCTTTGAAACACAGATGGACTTATATAGCTGAAGTGGGTAAAATAAGGCTCCCATTAGCATTTCATTTGGAGAAAAAAGCAAGGAAGATGGAAATACCTAATTATACTTTAAAAGAAAGAAAAAGAATGTGTGAAGATGGTTGACGGTTTCAGGTCCTCTGTAAAAAAGGTGGCTTCTTCCTTCATATAAAACACTGTCTGGAGGATCAATTTAATTTATAATTAGGGAGATGAGAACGAACAGGTAAATGAATTGTTTGTTCTTTGTGGGTGTCCCCCCTGCTGTACATGCTCATCCTCCTCCTCTCTGGAGGTGTAGGTGGGTGGGGTCATTTCACTAGTGTTGTCTCAGTTAGGCCTCCATTCCTACTTTCCTTTGAAAGCTGTTCTTCTTGTGTACTCAACCCAGAAAATTCCAGGCCTATTGTCCTCAGCCCTCACTAGAGTCCTAGATACGCACCGTTTTATTTTCTTTTTTTGGTGTAAAGATTCAGTTAAAAAATATCTTCCTTCAGACATCTGCTGACTACAGGAAATTATTGTCATAGCCCATGTGAAGGTCATAATGAGACTAAGATGACGTTTTAAAACTCCTGAACTCTGTAGGGAAAAGCAAGTAGAAGCTATTATTCTTACTCGCTGGTAACATACTGTAGATAGCTCCAGGACTGAGACCCGAGGCCCGGAGGACACACTTAGTGTTCTCCCTATGTCACAGTCCTACAGGCCAGCAAAAGTGAGTACAACTGTCCCAGCATGTCAGTTACACATACTGGCCCTAAATGTTCAGCATAATTTAAAAGGGAAAGAAAAAAGTTGGCTTTTCAGACAAAATTTTGTGTGAACTGAACAACGTCAGACTATGCTTCTTTGGGTCCAAATAATTTTAACTTTACAGCTCTCAGATGTTCTGGCAGCTCATTCTTTGTTCATTTCACCTATTATACAAGTGTTTCTGGGTCCAAGCCACAGAGCAAAATAGACACAAATAAATCAAATAATAAATGTTTCATATAAAGGAGAAAATGCTAATGGTCTGTTATCTATACCAGCAGTCCCCAACTTTTCTGGCACCAGGGACTGGTTTCATGGAAGACAATTTTTGCAGGGACCCAGGAAGTGCGGGGTAGTGGGTGGTAGGATGGCTTTGGGATGAAACTGTTCCGCCTCAGATCCTCAGGCATTGAGGAGCCTGCAACCTAGATCCCTCACATGTGCAGTTCACAACAGGGTTTGTGCTCCTATGAGAATCTAATGCCGCTGCTGTGACAGCGGGCGGAGCTCAGGTGGTAATGCTTGCTCACCTGCCGCTCACCTCCTGCTGTGCAGCCCAGTTCCTGACAGGCCATGGACCAGTATGGTCCGTGACCTGGGGGTTGGGGACCCCTGATCTACACTACTGCACTGTAGGCTCTAAGGGAACTTAAAAACAGAAAAATAATGGAGAGAAGGTGTTTGTAGAACACAGACATGTCAGCAAAGGCACTGAGTATCTACTCCTGAGTGGTTACCTTTCCCTTTCCCTTCAGTTGCTCTCAGCCATGCTTTCGGTGTCACAATCTTTTGGTGGTTCTCCTCCTCCTGGCAACTCACTCTCGATTTCCCACAGGACATCGTCTTCCTCCTCCAAGTTGCTGGAGATATGGCACTTCTTGAACCCTTGGACGATGGACTCACTTGAGATGCTATTCCACGCGACCATGACCCACTCCAGAAAGAGGCCCAGGGGTGGCTTCTTAGCATTCCCGGTTGGGCTCAGCGCCAGGTTCCCAGCCAGAAGCCAGTTGGAGTACTGGGCCCGCACACTGTCATTCAGTGGCTTGTAGACCACGACATCCAGCACCTGAAGCTGTGAGGTCAGACCCCCTGGGATGATCACCATGTCAGTGTTCATGCTTTCCATGGAGTTCTTCACGGAATCTGTGGCATGGCCCCGGAAGCCATTCAAGATCAGCATCCCTCGCTGCTTGGGCACTGCTCCTGTCCTCCGTCTCCACACCACTTCCAACCAGTCCTGCATCAAGTCTTCAGTCATCCACCCATACCGGTGGCAGCGAATTTCCATCCCACTGGGAAACTTCCCCGGGGGGATATATGTTCCCCTCAAAATGATGTACGGTGGTAACTTCCTCCCATCAGCCAAGACACCAAGCATTGCTGTGATTTTCAGTTTTTCCCTGCCTGGTGTCTTGACCAAGACAGGCTTTTCGCCCTGGTTATCAACAGTTACCCGTGATGGCACCTCTAAACAAATGGGCGTCTCATCTGCATTCCCCATCTGAGCTACCTCATAGTCATGCGCCCTGCGCAGAGCCAGGACACTGCGCTGGTAAGTGACGAGTTTCTCAGTCAGGTCTTCCGGCAGGTGCTGGGGCACGGGCACTTTATGCCTCAGAGACAGGTCATACCTTCTCATCATTCTTCGACACCAACCCAAGCTTGCCTTGAACCCTTTCTCTGGAATGTTCATTTCCTGGGCGATTTCGAGAGCTTTCAGCTGCATCGCCTCCCGGGTGATGGGGTCCCCTTTGGCCTGCATGTATCTGACATATTCGGCCACACGCTGGTCCACCAGAGCAAACCTCCCATTCTTGGGGCCTCGGAATGCCCGCCGCATGGCGTGGGCGTTTTGAAGCTGTGGCTTCACTTTGCGCCAGTCTCGAACGTTTTTTTCCAATACTCCAAACTGCTTGGCAGCCTGGCAGTTGTTGGTACTCTCAGCATATTCCACTACCATCAGCTTGAACCCTGCGTCGTAACTGCGGCGCATGCCCCGGCTGAACTGAAACTTCCCAGCTATGTCATCAGCCGAGAGGTCATACCCTGGGAAGCCCATGGCCATGTAGAAGGGGTACCCCTCACTCCACTCGGGCAGCTCTGTGATATCCCGAGGCAGACGGAGGCCAAAGCTGTCAAAGTGCTGAGGCTGAGGAAACTGGGAGGTAGCATTCATTGGGTTTGGCCAGTCTGGAGGCTTTACGTCAGATTCTTCATTTTCTGGGAGACAAATAGTGAGGGGCAAAAATAATGCCAGTAAGTAAAATGGCTTATACCCTGATTTTTGGGGGTTGAAATGCTAAGAATACCTTAATCTGAAGTTCACCAAAAGTAGTAACTTTAATAACAGGTAACATTGCCTAAGTCCTTTTCCATATGCCAATTTATGTGGACTACCCACACCTAGTTCTCTTAATAGAGTAACTCTAAGTATCACTGTTCCTTCTTTGCAGATGAAGAAGGGGAGGCTACAGAGGTTACATAATGCACCAAGGTAGCCAAGCCAGAAAGTGGCAGAGCTGGGAACTCAACAGAGGAACCAAGCTTGGACCAAATAATTTGGGGGCCATGTTTGCATCAAAATACTTTTTATGTGAATGAGAAGCCAAATGTTAACCATACTACCATATAATATTACAGAGATGCATCATGGCCTGAATCATATCCCTTTAGAACCAAGAAAACCTACAGCAAAAACCACACTTAGCAAAGTTAAGCTTATAAGGCAGAAAATTAGTTCTTGCACATTAATGGTGCAACCAGGTTTCACTTTATATTTAGAAGGTGGTCACAGAAGTTGAATATGATTTGGGGAAATTACCCTATCTCACCCAAACTAAAATGTCATCAGTTGTAGGATGCATCATTATGTGCCATTAAGAAAGAAAACACTACTAATTAAGCTATGACATGCCACTGATTTTAAGAGGCATTCTCAATTTCAGAAACAGTAAAGCAATGGGAGAAAAACATGTCTCAGAGTCAGTGAAATATGGCATTTTAAACTCTTACTTCCGGAGAAAAGATAAAACTATTTTGGCCGTCTGGAGGCAATGCTATATTTATTCAACTGTGGCCTCAATAACCATTTTTCTTGACAAAGGACTAGGTACTTCTTAGATACATTTGCTCAAATGTATGCTATGATTGCTATTGCTTTTTCTATCCAGTATGAGATGGACAGGGAGCCAGGTAACTCAGGAAGTGTGCTTCCTCTCACTATTCTTAGTTTGCAGAGGCACATGGTACGCCACTGAGGGAGCCCTGTTCAGCCAGAAGGTGCACTAGACCAAATGCTGCACAAGCCTCATTTTGCTTCATCCACAAACAAGGTCATACATCAAGTCTTGTTACTCAGAGCTGATAGAGGAAGAATGGAAGCTCTGAGGTAAAAGCAGTTGCCTGTCACACACTGTCACACATTTAGCACTGCAAAGAGGGAGATTTCAAAACTCCAAAACCCATAATCCTTCTACCTCTTAAATACCCCGTGGAATGTACACTGAAAATCCCACTCCACAATGTTCCCAGCTGGATGGACGCTGAACTGCTTTACTTGTAGTACCTGCAGAGGTGCCTCCTTGGAGCTGCCACTCGTCAGAATTCTGAGACTCCTCCTCCCCTTCCAAACGGGTGATCATGTCTGGCTTAGGGAATGGGAATTCTGTTTATAGGAAATAAAATAGGTAACAGCTGTGTGTTACTGTCCTGGAGCACTACCAAAATAAGTACTTCAAAATACTTAAGAGCCACTCTCCCCTTCTTTGTGAAAAACAAGGGGAAAAAGGCTCAGGGATACTTAAAGAAAAAAGATAATGGAAAATAGGTCTGTCTAAAGGAATGGGTAGATCTCTCCTAATGAGGGATGGTATTGGCACCAACAATAAAAGAACTGCATTTAGCAGGGAGAAGGGTGAATGCAGCTGCTGATCCAATTAACATTTTGGTACCTGTATAAGCAAACTGGGAAATCTCTTCAAATGATTACATTCTGCTGATAAGATGTGTGATATCAATTTGGGGTGGAAGTTGGGGAGAGGAGCAAACAGTCTTTGGGAGGGTATGTCCCCAAACTTCTGAGGCTGACAGGGTAACATTAACGCCTGCCTTCTCTCGTAAGGAACAGTGAGGCACAGGCCCAGATCCATGGTGACATTTCTAAGGTTACATGGTTTTTATCCTTAAATGTGAATGCCTGGGTTGAATGGGGGCAGTTCTGAGGCAGCACGGATTGCCGAGTAGGGTGACACAATATTGATATACTGCCCAAATCAAAAATTGGAATAAATGGGCACAGACATTGAGGAGGCAGAGTCTAAGTTCAGGAGAGAGGGACATTGGATATACCAGAGAAGAGAGGCATGGAAACAATTCTCTGGGCTCAGAGCTTCCAGGAGACAAAGGAAAACACAGCTTTACCCAGGGACAGGACAGTTTCATAATTCATCCTCATGACTTCCCGGTAGAGGGCCTTTTGTTGCTCCGTCAAAACTTCCCATTCCTCATCGGAAAAATATATGGCCACCTCATCAAATAGGGCCGGTACCTGGAAGAGTGAACAGCCCTTTCACAATGACAAACAGGCATATGCAGACAGACTTTCAGAGCGGACAGGACCTTACAGACAGCCCAGCACAGCCTGTCCTCTCACAGGTCAGGTGAGGGACCCTGACCCAGGGGAAAACGGACTGTCCACATTCATACAGCTGCTGGAAGCCAACAAGGGCAAGAGCACAGTCCTTCTGTGCCCACCACAGCAGCTGCCACCCTCAGTTCAGATAAGGTAAGCAGCACTTTGAGAAGAAAACTAACTCCCTACCATGATCACCGGTTGGAGGACATGGGACATCGCACCCTCATGCACTGTGGTGAGAGCTGCTCACGGCTCACCTCTGACCCAAGACTTAAGCCACCCACACCCAGACAAAGTGTCCCACCAACACAAGCACCCCCAATTCCCTCCCACCCCAGAAAAAGACCCTCGGCCCCGGGCGGGGTGAGTTGGGTTTGTAAATCTGAATAGGATCACTGCCCTCCGTGGGATCTTTGTGGGTTTCCAGGGCACTGCATTTCCAAGGGTACTAACCAAAGTGTTAGACTTGGAACCCACAGCTGCCCAGGGAGGAGCCACTGAGAGAAGGGGCCCTATTTGGCCTTTCCAATCCACAAGAGCATGAAGAGGAAGAAAGAAGGGCTAATTACAGCTTAATATATGTAATGAGATGCCAGAGCAAACTCATTCACTTTGATCCTGGACCAGGTAGGCAGAAAGCCCAAAGGACTGCATCCCTCCCCTGTTCCTCTGCTTCCTGGCCCAGCACCAGGGGGCTCCTCAGTAGCCCAAGGCAGCCAAGCCACCCAAACCAACCTCCTCTTTTTGTTTTTAACTGTATTTCTTATTACAGTCATTAAAAATCCTACTCCAAAGCTCATCCTATTTAGTGATAAGAAGGCACTGGATGGCTTGTTTCAGGCTGGTTATTTTGTATTCTTGCCTTCAAAGCTATTTCCCAAAGCTGTATCTTGGGTCTGGGTGATTATGATACTGTTTTTCCTTAGCTTAGAAAATTAGTGTCCATATGCTATATAGCCTGCAGCCACTTCAGGGGTCAGGCCAACAGTCACTTACATACATTGGCCTTTCCTCCCTGACCCAAGGAAGCCCCCTTGTTCTCTCCCCACCTCCACAGCACCTCATACATAGGAAGCACGTACTAGGAAAGGGCCTGTAACTGCTTCATTTATTCCCTGCAATGGGCCTGTGGAGGAGTAGATACGCCTATTTTTTTTTTTTTTTTTTGAGATGGAGTCTTGCTCTGTTGCCCAGGCTGGAGTGCAGTGGCACGATCTTGGCTCACTGCAACCTCTGCCTCCTGAGTTCAAGCCATTCTCCTGCCTCAGCCTCCCTAGTAGCTGGGATTAGAGGCACAAGCCACCATGCCCCTACTTAATCAAGGAGAATATGGGCTTGGAGAGGTCTCATTTCCAGGCTAATGTCATAGCCAATAAATGGTGGGGTTGCGTTTTGGGGCCACCACCGCCTGACCCCAAGGATCCAGCAATACCGAGCACAGCTGCCTCCCTGATGACTAACCCTCAACTCTCCCCAGCTCTGTGCTCCACTTGTACTCAGCTGTGTGCAGTTCCCTGAACAACCATTCCCCAACGCCCCCACACCTTGGCCCATATTCTCCCCTGGCCTTGGAGGGCCTCCCCTTTCTTGGTCTGGCTGACACCCACCCATCTTCCAGGACTCAGCCCAAAATCCCTGCTCCCGAGGAAGCCCACTCTGTGCCACGCTGTGAGCACACCCACATGTCCCTGAAATGTCCTGGGCTCCACACTCCCGGGGCACTCATCACACTGCAGAATTCTTTTGGTTGACTTGTCTGCTCCCTCCACTAGAATCTGAGCTTGTTGAAAGCAGGACCTGTACTTACTCCTTTTTGCTTCCCTAAGCCGAGGACACTTCCTGTAGCTAGTAGTCACTGAAAAATGTGCTTTTGAATATACGATCTAGGCAAATCTCTGGATTTCCCTTCTCTTGTTCTACTTGGAACTGTTTCAAAGAATCATTAAATTTTATCTGTCATAAAACCAAACCTACTCTTTGGAGTAAGAATGGACAAACATCCCTAAGTGTGAAATATGAGGAGGTAAAATGGATTCGTCTTCAGGCTTTCCTCAGACTTCCTCACCCTGGAAAGCCAGTCAGCCCAGGAATTTTCCACCCTACTCCTTTCCCAATTCCCAGGCTTTTAAAGAACTGTCTCTTTGGCCTTTTTTTCTCCCTGGGAAGTTCCAGATCTAGGTCATACCTATTTATAGTCCCTTTCCCTTTGCTGATAAAATGGGAACAGGACTGTCTATGCCTGTCATTTCAGAGGGGCCATCAATACTCTTAGGGGGGGTAACATATTCTAGGCCTGGTAAAAACATCAGGTACCAGGAGCCCTGAAGCTGCAGGAAGAAAGCTGGGGGCTGGTGCAGGATTCATCTCTTCCTATTAATGACTGAGCCACGGAGGATCTTCAAACAAGCCCACATTATGCTCCAGAGGCACAGTGTAGTGGCTTAGACATTCTCCTCACAGCAAGCCTCTGTGAGAATGGAGCGATCCTTCAGCCAGGCCCTGCTGCGCAGGCCTCCCCTCGCTCCACAGAGGCCTTTTATCTGGCTCAACATAGCAGAAGGTAAACAGGGCCGGCCCCGGGCAAAACTGAGAAGTCAGGCAGTCTGTGTACCACCTCCAGACACCCCTCCTTGGCCTTGCAGGTAGGGACCTTCAGTCCCTGCCCTCCTCCCTTTCCTCAGAAGATCAAGGGCTCACTGGATAAGTGTTCTTCCTCTAGCTTGTGTGCACTGCCTTGCTCTGCTCAGGAAGTTGGCATTCCAATGCTATCTCAAAGGGTAAATGTTGTAAAGTGCTTACACCTTGCACAGCCTCGCTAAAGCCTTGCAGCCACCCAGCAAAGACGCAGGGATCTCGGGGGAAGGGGTTGGGGTAGTTTGTACTGATCCACTGATGGAGTGCCTGCTATGGGCCAAGCACTGTATAGGACACTCAATCATATAAATATATTCTCTCACTGAATCCGCTAAACTAGGGACATGGGGATCACTACCTCACTTTTATGGGTAAGGAAACAGAGTGGTTAAGTAACTTGTCCAAGGTCACAGAGCTAGAAAGTCTGATGCCAAAGCTTTGCTTTCTTAGCAGGCCACTCAGGCCTTAGCATGGTGGCTGTAGAGAGCCTGAGGCCTCCCTTAGAAAGATGGGCTAAGGCCTCATTCCACAGAGCTAAGGAGAAAGCTCAAACTCGCTGGCGTAGCACTGCATGTCCTCCTGGCTGGCTCTGGCCCCTGGCCTGGCCTCCTATACCTGATCCCCTTCCACTCCCTGCCATGAGTTTCAGGTTCCAGCTGCAGGAGCTGCTCCTAACTCTGCACCCAAGCTCCTCTCCTCAGTGCTTTTGCCTGTGCTGTCCTCTTGCCTGGAATGCAACCCCCTTCCCTTCCCTTGGCTGATTCCATAATGACTAAGACTCAGTTCAAAGCACATTTTTTATTTTTTCTACTTAAAATTGTATTTCTATTTCAATTCTATGGAATTTTATCCTAATATATTATCATAGTTCTTATGCTTGAAAAGCTTTCACTGATCACCCTAACATAATTCTCTATAACCAAAATACATATTTTAAAAACAGATTCTTTTCTTCTAATGCTCTAGAGCAGGGTTTCTCAACCTCAGCACAACTGACATTTTGGGCCAGTTACCTCTTTGTTGTGTGTGTATGTGTGTGTGTGTGTGGTGGTGGGGGGGCATCCTGTGCACTGTAGATATCTAGCAGCTCCCCTGGCTTCTATCCACTAGATGCCAGGAGGATCTCCCAGTCCCCAACGCACCCCCACCAAGTCAGACCAACAAAAGTGTTTCCAGATATTGCCAAATATCCAGGGGTGGGGAAAGGGGGTAGTGTTTCTAGATGTTGCCAAATGTCCAGGGGTGGGGGCAAAATTGCTCACTGCTCAAGATTAGGCCTTGTCCAGGAAGCCCCGGAGTTCTCAGCCTGAATGAGGCATCCCCTCATCTTGGCTCCTGGTGCATCCTTGCAGACTTCCACCACTGCACTCTGCACACTGTGCTTACTATTACTTATGTTTACTTTCCTGCCTTGCTCACAAGACTGGAAATTCCATCAGGAAAAGAGTCTCTCTTTACGCCCAGCACTGTGCTTGGTAACTGTGGATGGATGGCTGATTGCCTGGAGGCCACAAATGCCCAATCCCCAGCACCACCAGCTGCTGGACTCCCTCCTCCAGCCCTTCTGGTTACTTCCTTCTTTTCCCACCTAAGCATGGTTGGTCTTCATCTTGCTCCTTCCTCACTGTCCCAACATTCACTTTCATTGCACCTGTTCTCCAAGGCTCTCCATTTAGATGTTCTGGGTTGACCAATCTAGCCTCAAAGCCCTGAGTTTTGACTGCCTTGAGTTCTTGTTCCAGGCTAAATAGACCTGACGCCTGCTTGGATCAGAATTGGGAAGAAGGATGTGGTGGGCAAAGAACACTGATGAGACAAAGGCAGCGCGGTGTCCACAGCTAGACTGGCAAACTGAGAGCCTGTGGTTGCACTGTTTTTTTTTTTTTTAAATTAAGGTATAGCATACATATGGTAAAATGCATTACTTTTAAGGGTGCAGCTCAGGAGACCTGTTTTGAAGAACAAATGTCAGTGTTCATGTGTAACCTTAGGGCAAGGCAGATAATCTTTCTGCATCCCAGTTCTCTCCTCTGGTAGGGAACAATTTAGAAGTACCATGCTTGTATGGATAGGGGCTCTTCATGGAAGCAAAGGATACTATGTATACTGACAATGTTTATACACAACGGAAAATAAGCAGAGAAAAGGAATGTCAATTTGTTGCTTATTTAAAATGTTTACTATTCATGCCTAATTACCACGAAGTCCAGTAACTACGGTGAATAACTATCTGTAACTATAAGTATCTACTGCATTTGCATTTGTATAAACCGACCTCTATCATACTATTCTGCGTGTATACCCTGAATCTCTGTATTCCCTGCTGCCCACCATTTCTATCCAGGTCAGCTGGACAGGCAGCTCTCCTGTGTCAACTGTGGTAAGAGGTGCTCACACAGAACCAACTAGCCTAACCTCTCATGTCAACCCAATGACTCGAGTCTTATTTAAAATGGTTCCCTTCAACCAGCAGTAAGTCAACAAACATTTACTTGGTGCCTACAATGTGCCTGGCATCAAACGCAGTGCAGGATAAGTGGGTGAACGAGAGAGACAAGGTCCTGGCTTCTAGGACTTCCAATTGAACGATGACAAGCTACATGGCTGAGGGACTGTTTCCATAACACCTCCTCCATTCTTTGCACTGCCTTTTAAAGCCACAGAGCTGTTTTCTCAGGAATGCAAACACACCGGGCTGGGCTATTTTTACTTCCCACGTCTGTCTGAGGAGGAGACTTAAAGCAAGCTGGGCTCTCAGGCCTGCATCTGCTGGCTGTGTGGACTCCACACCTTCTTACTTACCCATCCGCCCTCAGAGCAGATTCGTACTTTCTGCATGTCTGCCGGGCCGTCCTCTAGTTCCCGGCTCTGAATCTCTTCTTCCTCTTCCTCTTCTTTCAGGCTCAAATTGAGAGGGTAGGCTGTGGACTCCATCTCTGCAAGCAAGATTCAGGTTCAGAAAAACCAGGTGTCACTGTGACCTCCCCAAAGCCTATGATGGGGGAGGCTGAGCCACATACAAACCTCTTTAGCCCCAAGCACTGTTCCCGCTGGAGGGAAGTAAGGAAACAAGAGTCGGCCAGGAAGCTACAGGGTGACATGTTTAATTATGATAAGAGAGGCTGTGGGTAGATAACGTATCTGGCTGCCTTCAAATATTTAAAAAGCTATCTGGGGAAGAGAACCCAGACTGGTTTGTAGAGACTGGACGGCAGAACAGAGGCCGGCCAGTGGATAAATACTCCTGGAAAAGGTTTTAAGCAGTGAGAAAGGCAGTACTTTCTCACAGCCAGTGCCACCCAAACAGGAATCAGAGGCAGGGGAAAGGTGCTGATTTCCTATCAGTGAAGGTGTCTGAACACAGATTGGACACTTACTCAACTGGAATGGGTGCTAGAAGCCAGTTAAGCATGGGCGGAGCGGTTGGCTCAGTAGGCCCATTGCCTGGATTTTCCAAATTCAAAGGTTCTGTCCACGAGCTGGTTCAGAAAATAGGGTCATTCTACCTTAAGGGACTTTGCAAACGCAGGAGTCAGTGAAACATAGTGAGGGTTATGCCTGGATACCCAAAAAGGTGCAGAAATCGGCTGGGGCCCACCCCGACAGGGAAATAACCCATTGCCTCTGGGCTGCAAATTCTCTATTCGCTGACTCTTGGCCAGTACAAAGGGCCGCACTCCTGCCCTCTATGGGCGCGGGCAATTCCTAGGTGTGGAGTGCGGATGCATCTTGAGGGCTGCATCGGGGAACCTCCAAAGAAAAGATCCCTCTGGAGTTCAAAGTCGGTTCCTTCGATATTTCCAAAAAAGATAGGCGAACGCGGCATGGATGGGTCTAGGCTTCAGATGCCTGCAGCTGGGGCCCGAACTTGGCGGCGGTCTCCCTGCCGGCTCCGGGGCAGAGGTGGGAGGGGCCGCCTCCCCGCGCTAAGGTGCCGCAACCAGGGCCGCCGCCCGCCCTGCCCCGCCTGCGCCACCGCCGCCGCGCCCCCGGGCGCGTTCGGATTTCTCCAGCCATCTTGCCCCATTTCCCTTTCTCCGCGGAACCGCGCCGGGAGCGCTTCCGCTGCCCCCTCCGCCCGGCCCGCCTCCCCACCTGGCCCCCTCCCGGCCCCAGCGCACCTGCCGGGCGGCGAGAGCCGGCGCCGCCCGCCTCCCCGGCGGGCCCGCAACAAAGGCGGCGGCGGCGGCGGCGCAGCCTCGGCGCCCCCGCCTCTGCCGCGGCCCAGCCGCCCGGGACCCGGGGGAGGGGCCGCGCCGCCGCCGCCCCCGCCCGCGCGCACTCACCGCCGGGCCCAGCGGCCAGGGCGCGGGGTGGGGACGCGAGGGCTCCGGCCCGGCTGTCACAGCGCCATCCTTTCCGCCTCTCCGTCCTCCCGTGCGCGCGGCCCCTCGGGAGGGAGCGGGGAGGACACGTGGTGGGAGGAGGGAGGGTCCGGCCCGGAGCTGAGGGTGTTGGGAGGCGAGGGGAGGAGCGCGGCTGATGTCAGCAGGCCTCGGCGGCGCCGGGGGACGGCGCCCGCGCGAGCTCCGGGGCCCTCCTCTAGGCGCGGCTTCCGGCCGGTCCGGGCAGTCCCTGGCGGGCCTGGGTAGCCGTGCCCTCGGCCTTCCCCGCCCCGCCCGATGCAGGCCGCTTCCAGTGCTGCGTGTGACCTCGGCGTGGACGAGGCAGGAAGAGCCCAGATTGATTTTAACCGAGCGTAGCGTGGGCGCACAGTTCCATGTGCTCATTTGCAGTCACCAGCGGGTTGCACTTGCTTGGACGAGCTCTCCAGGCGTTCTCGCCGTGCTTCAGGCAATGAAAGGCTAGACCGGCAAGAGCGTGTAGGGGCATGAGGAGGGGTCTTTGGGGAAGAGTATTCGTATTCTGGCAGCGGGCTCCTGTCCAGAACTTCGTCATATACATGGAGAAGGAACTTCCTGATTTTTGTAGCTGTTGCTTAATATCCCAAGCATGTAATTCCTTGGATGAAGTGGGTGTATAGAAGGACCTTTCTTCTCCAAAACGTCCAAAGGAGTTGTTTACTCTCAGCTCTGTGGGCAATACAACAAAAGTGACCTGAGAAGCCCTGAAGCCCTTTTCATTCCAGAAAAAGATTCTGGGTATGGGTTTTTGTTGAGAACTTGTTGAAGAAAAAATTATTCTGACACTTGTTAAAACAGTAAGGAAGACTTTATACAGGGTTATTGCTATAGGTGTAAAGATGATCACACTGGGGGGAGAGATGAGGTCTAACACGGAATACAGTAAGGACAGCTGGGGATGTATAGCCAAGGAGCAGAACGAAGGGGTCAGTAGATGGAAAGTTACTGATACGAGACATCAAGCACCTAGAGGGATTCTTGCTGAACCCACTTAACAGGATTCTTGCTGAAGGCAGGCTAGGGCGATCAGATATCAAGGGTGGGGGAATGAGAAATTTGATCAGATATCCAGGGTGATCAGATATCAAGGGTGGTGATTTCTCTCTAACCTAACTTAGCAGGGTTCTTGCTAAAATAGAGCTGGGCAGGCCAAAGGTTCGGGGTGAGTGGTCAGGGGACCAGGGTGGAGGCCTGCTGAAGAAGAGGACTTAAGCCTGATTAAACTTTGGTCAAGGAAAGAGTCCGTCAAACTCTTCAGATTGTCTCTGAGACCTGAATATCTGTTGGAAAAGACCTGTCTTTCCAAGTTTTTGTGGCCACTACTACTTACATGTGAATTTTACTTCTCTCAGTCATGGGAGAGGTCACTGTGCACTGTGCTCTTAACACGTAAAATGTAGCATGACATAACGTACACATCTTGGAAGTGCAATCACGGTGACAACCCAAGACCGTAGAAGATCTAATCTGTGGGTGGAAAAGATCGTTCAAATATTGGGAGGGAGGCTAGAATTTACTTTTTTGTTTTAATGAACAATTATTTTTGTGTAAAAGTAAGTATTTGTAGAACAGGAGTGACATGTTAGTTTGAATTGATTGACATTGCCCTCTTAATTTTTCTGAGGAAATGGCAGATTCAAACAGAAAGTGAGGAGGACATTAGGAAGGGAGAAGAGTAATAGGGATGTTGCTGGCACCCCAGCATCTTAGAAAAGAAATTAATACAGTTTTGAGATAGACACACACACACACACACACACAGACACACACACACGAAAAACCCTACTATGTTAGAGTTTTAGTCTCTGAGAGCCCTAATGTTCTCATGGGCTTGGATTAGGTGTCCCTGGGAAGAAATTAAGAGTGACCCACCCGAATTCTTGACTTTGAGCCCACAGCCCCATGATCTCAATTACTGTTAGAGGATCTTAGAGGATCCACCTTTTTACGGGTCTGTAATTGCTAACAAGACTTACTCTAGGAGCAACGTGCTGGCCTAGGCACAATACACTACAGACTCATGTTTAAGTGGTTTTCTAAGTCATTGTGCTTCTCTTTGCTGGTGTTTCATCTGCAAAAAGAGAGTTGAACCATATATTGTCCTAACATTCTCTCAGCTCTGTTATTGTTCCCATTCTCCATAAGACTTTATCTGAGTCTGAATGGGGAGTGATTGAAGCCAGTCTTTGAGACAGTGCATTACTCTGGTAATTCAATAGGATGAGTTTCTCTTAGTTGGTGGCTAATATCAGCCGAACATCCATTTAATCAACATAATAGTTCTTTAATGATGCTGTTGGTCTGACTTCATCCTTCCTCCTATTGAATTATTATAGTACCCAAACTATAGGAATTCCAAAGAGCCTCAAATTTTACAAAATACTCATTTCTAACTGTAGTGTTCCCTGGTGAATACACATTTCTGATTTCCTTCAGCAGAGGCCCCATGGCCAGGTCAATATAGCCACGGGCCCACATACGTCTGTTCCTCGGGGACCGCTGTAGACTGAAGTAATAGTCTTGGTACTTTGTGTCCCTGTGGTAGTGTTATAAGCCACACCTTTGCTGAAGTGTCATGTGCAGAATGTACTTCAATGCACCTTCACTTGGCCTGCTTCTATGGTGAGCTTCAGCCAATGGAATGTGGGAGGAAGTGACTGTGTGTGAGTCCTGAGTCCTAAGAGGCCTCAGAAGTTTCTCTTTGCACCTCTGGGAGCTTTTGATCTCTGCTATGACAAAAGCATGCTTAAGTAGTCACTGCCCCTCCAACTTAGGCATCAGAAGGAGGCATGTGTTACAGAGCTATCCTTGCTAATATGAAGACCAGTGACCATTAGAAGAGATTATTGTTGTTTTAAGCTACTGAGTTCTGGGGTGCCTTGTTATAGAGCAATTTTAAGGGTGTAGCTTATTGAGATGATGACAAGAGGCAACCTTGGCCTTAGGGCTCCCAGTCTTGGCCCTCAAGGAGTTGCTCTGAAGCAGGAGAAGGAGAATTGACCATTTTGTGGTACATATCCTCAGGTATGTGGACAAGGAAATCCTAGATGGGGAGGAAAGGAGGAGAGAACCAAATGGGGAAGGAGCATCACTGCTGACTGTATCTTTCTCTTTCCTGGGATTCTGGCACTTCAGAGGAAGAGCAAGATATGAGCCCTAGCCCTAGAAATTACCCCATAAGAAGCCAGGCATGCTGGCTTGTATCTGTAATCCCAGCTACTCAGGAGGCTGTAGGAGGATTGCTTGAGGCCAGGAGTTCAAAACCAGCCTGAGCAACATAGTGAGACCCTATCTGTTTTCAAAAATATTACCCAATAAAGCCAGAAGTTATTCCTGGGACATCTTGATAAAATGGTAAGGAAAATCCTGCTCTGGTCAGTTCCTTGGAAGGACTTAGAAGTTCTTGGAGAGGAGGTGTGTTGTTAGAGCACCTCAGAGAGTTAAGGAACACTCAGTGGTTTCTTTAGAAGAGGAAAGGGAATTATAACACTTAGGGTCATACTATTATAGCTACTGTAACAAACAGACCCCAAATGCATAAAGGCACAAACACAACAGAAGTGTGGTTGATGTAATAGTCCAGCGTGTTTCTGCCACAGGTGACTCCTGATGCCGTGATTTAGGATCCGTGTTCCTTCTGTCTTTTGGCTTTGTCGCCACCTGGGGCCTGTGGTTTTCTCCATCTGCCAGAGTGAAGGGGAGAGAAAACAAAGAAGGCACAACCTTTTCTTGCCCCTACAGTGACACATGTCTCTTTTATTCACATTCCATTGGTTGGGATCAGTTACATGGTCACACCTGTATGAGAGAAGTTTGGAAAATGTGTGTGTTATCTCTATATAGAAGGGGAGTAGAGGGAGGGAGGGGAGGAAGGAGGGAGGGAGGAAGGGAGGGAGAGAGAGAGAAGAAGGAGAAGGAGGAGAAGGAGAAGAAGCAGAAGCAGAAGAAGGAGGAGGAAGGAAGGAAGAAGAAGAAAGAAGAAGAAGGGAATTGGCTCATGTGATTATGGAGGCTGAGTCTCATAGTGTGCTGTCTGCAATTTGGAGAGGCAGGAAAGCTGGGTGTTATAATTCAACCTGAGTGTGAAGGCCTGAGAACCAGGAGCTCCAGTGTCTGAGGGCAAGAGAAGATGGACACCCAGCTCAATAAAAACTTTTTGTTCTGTTCAGACCCTTAGTGGATTGGGTGATACCTGCCTATGTTGGTGAGGGCGAATTCAAATACTAATCTCTTCCAGAAATACCCTCACAGGAACACCCATAAATAATGTTTTACCAGCTATCTGAGCATCTCTTAGCCTAGTCACGTTGACATATAAAATTAGCCATCACAGGTATGATATTTCTAGGTGTAAACTTTTTGATATTTATTCTGCTTGGTGTTCTCTGAGTTTCCTGGATCTGTTTGGTTTGGTGTCAATTGCTAATTATGGGAAATTCTCAGCTATTTTTTTCTGTTTCTCTCTTTCTGTCTTCTCCTTCTGGTATTTCCATTATGTGTGTATTATACCTTTTGTAATTTTCCCATAGTTCTGGTATTTTTTTCTTTTCTGTTTTTTTTTTTTTTTAATTTTCAGTTTGGGAAGTTTCTTTTGACATATCTTCAAGTTCACTGATTCTTTCCTTGGCTGTGTCCAGTCCACTAATGAGCCCATTAAAACATTCGTTATTTCTGTTATGATAGTTTTTATTTCTAGAATTTCCTCTTTCTTCCAACTTCCATCTCTCTGCTGACATTACCCATTTGTTCTTCTTTGTTGTTTACTTTTTCCATTAGATCTCTAAGCATATTAATCATAGTTATTTTAAATCTCAATTTTCATAATTCCCAACTATCTGCCATGTCTGAATCTGGTTCTAATGCTTGCTTTATCTTTTCAAACTGTGTGTTTTTGTTTTTGCCCTTTACCATGCCTTGTAATTTTTTTTGTTGAAAACCAGACTAGATCTATTAGGTAAAAGGAACTGAGATGAATAGGCCTTCAGTGTGAGGTTTCATGTATATGTGGCTGGGAGTTAGGCTGGGTTTATTGTTTGCTGTGCTTGTAGTGTTGGAGTCTAAAATTTCCTCTCATGCCTGTGTTTTTGTCTGCACTGCCGTCTTTGGATTTCTGTAGACTCTTTCCTAAATACAGTCTGAGGCTTGCATTTCTTTTATCTGTAAGCCGCTGTTACTAGACAGGTGCCTGATTGACATGGTGGTAGGATTTGGAGGGAGAAGAAGCATTCTTTGATCCTAAGATTAGGTCTCAGTCTTAGTGAGCCTGTGTCCCTGGGCTGGGACCTTCACAAGGGCTTCTCAGCTTCCTCCCATTCCCCACTAAGTGAGACAGGAAGAGCGGGCTGGATTTTGGCATTTCCCTTCCCCAGGTCTGGTAGACTCTGGTAAAACCCATGTTGGTTAGGCTCTGATAAAATAGTTTCCCTTGAGGGCAGGCTGTAGTTGAGAACAGAATGCTCTGGGATTGTTTCAAAAGGGTTAGATGTCCCGTTCTCCTTGCCAGAAGCATTAGGGGAACATTCTCTGATTTTAACCCTGAGAACCTGATGGAGCTTCTGGGGGTAAAACTTCTGAATATGTGGGGGCTCCACTACAACTGCCCCTCCCCTGGTGGGGAGAGGTTACCTTGCCTGCGGGTCCACATTGAGCCTCTGACAAGTGTTCCTACCATACAGGCTCCAGCAGTGGCTTCTGCACCTGTAAGCCATGATTCTCTATATCCCCCATCTCTCCATATGTTGAGGTGGCAACTTGCCCTGTGACCTCCATTTTCTGATGGATCTAAAAAAAAATGTTAATTTTCAGTTTGTTCAGCATTTTTTCTTGTGAGGATGGGAGTTACTACTTCTAAGCTCTTTATATGCTTGGACTGGAAACTGCTTCTCTTATTAGAAAAAAATTCTTTTACTCATGGAAGAGAATGAAAATCACTTGAAATTTTCATCAAACACATATAACTGATGAAAATGGTTGTTTCTTAGGAAAAGCTGAGGGAATGACATCAACTTGTGGCTCAGTGAAGATAACTAAGTAAGGTGATAAATATATTAAATGTAATATTTATCCATTAGGTGTCCAAACTTTCACTGAAGGAATGAATTTAGAGATTTTGGAGGAGTAAATGGGTGCTTACTTGTTGTTTAGTCTTCTCTAAATGTCATTGTTCCCAGCCTAGCTTTTGCTAGGAGCTAGAAAGGAGACACTTCTCTAATGAGAGAGCGAAATGCTGGTGTCTTATATTGCCCACCGGAAGATTCTAAGTGCTTTGGAATCCACTTCAGCGGAGGAAGAGTTGATATCTAACTACAAAATTACAAAAATTAAGTGGCCTGGATAAAAAGGCATCTGTAGACAAAGTCAGACTTTTCTTCATAAGTAATTTTAGATCAGTACATGTTTGGTGGAATCCCTAAAGTTCTAAACCTCAAGCATGGTAAAATAATTTTGATCTGGAAAAATTTTAAGTATATGTTAACAGTTTGTTAGCAGTGGCAAATATCCCAGTTACTGGCAGCAAATGCATATGGGTCTGCAGCAACCTCAATTCTTGCCTCCTCAGAAGAAAGAATTTGACAGAAGGACATAGGCAGAAAAAAGAGACCAAAGCAAGTTTCAGAGTAGGAGTTGAAGTTTATCAAAAAGCTTTAGAGCAGGGAAGTATACTTGGAAGAGACCCAAGTGGGCATCTTGGAGGTCAAGTGCTTGGTTTAACGTTGAACCTAGGATTTTATATACTGGCCTACTTCAGGCATCTTGCTCCCCTTTCCCTTCATTCTTCCCTTAGGGTGAGCTGCCAGCAAGAGTGGTGCCCTGCTTGTGCTTGGTAGGTGAGCATGCATGGTGTGTTTACTGGAGTTGTATGCAGGCTCACCTGAGGCTTTCTTCCCCTTTCCGGTGGAATGCCCTTGGAAGTTCATACTCTACCATTTTGCCTCTTAATGTACATGCTCTGGTCGCAGCCAGCACCAGGGAGAGGCAGTTTGTCAATAGATGAAATACATGAAATTGGTAATTGGCAGCTTCCAATAAGATCTCAGGAATTAGGCAAGTGGGCTTGCCAATTATCATTTTAGAGAGGCAGGGTGCCAACTGCCAGACTATCACCTGATGGTTGCCTGATATTCCTGGTGGGTTGGGGGAGCCCTGTCCTGCCCTGCTAATGCTTGACTAGCTACCTACTGTAACAAGTTGTCTTGTAGAAGTTATAGAAGAGTAATAGTCCCATGAATATAATTTCTCATCTGCTATGGTTTGGATGTGACTTGTCCTTGACAATGTGATTGTGTTGAGAGAAGTTTGGGTCTTGAGGTATCCACCTTCATGAAAGATTCATGATGTTCAACGGAGTGAATGAGTTCTCACTCTGGCAGGAAGAGAGAAGATTTAACAGAGTAAACCAAAAAGTATCTGAGACAGGTCAGATTAATTTAGCGGTTAGTTTTTCCAAGGTTAAGGACCACGGCCTGTGACACAGCCTCAGGAGGCCCTGAGAACATGTGCCCGAGGTTGGGTTACAGCTTGGTTTTATATATTTTAGGGAGACAGAAGCTATAGGCAAAGACATAAGTCAATGCATGGAAGATATACCTTGGTTCAGCCCACAAAGGCAGGACTTCTCAAAGTGACGGGGGCTTCCAGGTCTTAGGTGGTGTATTAGTTCATTTTCATGCGGCTGATAAAGACACACCTGAGACTGGGAAGAAAGAGAGGTTTAACTGAACAGGTCCACATGGCTAGGGAGGCCTCAGAATCATGGCCTGAAGCAAAAGACACTTCTTACATGGTGGTGGCAAGAGAAAAATTGGCAAGATGCAAAAGTGGAAACCCCTGATAAAACCATCATATCTCGTGAGACTTATTCACTACCACAAGAAAAATATGGGGGAAACTACCACCAGGATTCAATTATCTCCCACTGGATCTCTCCCTCACTACATGGGAATTATGGGAATACAATTCAAGATAAGATTTGAGTCGGGACACAGAGCCAAACCATATCATTCTGCCCTTGGCCCTTCCAAATCTCACATCCTCACATTTCAAAACCAATCATGCCTTCCCAACAGTCCCCCTAGCTTTAACTCATTTCGGCATTAACCCAAAAGTCCACAGTCCAAAGTCTCATCTGAGACAGGGCAAATCCCTTCTACCTATAAGCCTATAAAATCCAAAGCAAGCTAGTTACTTCCTAGGTACAATAAGGGTACAGGTAATGGGTAAATACAGCCATTCCAAATGGGAGAAATTGGCCAAAACAAAGGGGTTACAGGACCCATGCAAGTCCAAAATCCAGCTGGGCAGTCAAAGTTTAAAGCTCCAAAATGATCTCCTTTGACTCCATGCCTCACATCCAGGTCACATTGATGCAAGAGGTAGGTTTCCATAGTCTTGGGCAGCTCCACTCCTGTGGCTTTGCAGGGTATAGCACCCCCCATCTGGCTGCTTTCACAGCTGGCATTGAGTATCTGCAGCTTTTCCAGGTGCACAGTGCAAGCTGTCGGTGGATCTACCATTCTGGGGTCTGGAGGACAGTGGCCCTCTTCTCACAGCTCCACTAGGTGGTGCCCAGTAGGGACTCTGTGTGCGGGCTCTGACATTTCCCTTCTGCACTGCCCTAGCAGAGGTTCTTCATGAGGACCCCACCCCCACAGGAAACTTTTGCCTGGGCATTCAGGAGTTTCCATACATTTCTGAAATCTAGGTGGAGGTTCCCAACCTTAGTTCTTCACTTCTGTGCACCTGCAGGCTCAACACCATGTGGAAGCTGCCAAGGTTTGGGGCTTGCACCCTTTGAAGCCATGGACTGAGCTGTACCGTAGCCCCTTTTAGCAATGGTTGGAGTGACTGGGATGCAGGGCACCAAGTTCCTAGGCTGCACACACCATGGGGACCCTGGGCCCACCCACGAAACCATTTTTTCCTCCTAGGCTTCCAGGTCTATGATGGGAGGGGCTGCCATGAAGACCTGTGTCATGCCCTAGAAACATTTTCCCCATTGTCTTGGGGATTAACATTTGGCTTCTTGTTACTTTTGAAAATTTCTGCAGCCAGCTTGAATTTCTCCTCAGAAAATAGGTTTTTCTTTTCTACTGCATTGTAAGGCTGCAAATTTTCTGAACGTTTATGCTCTGTTTTCCTTTTAAAATGGAATGCTTTTAACAACACCCAAGTTACCTCTTGAATGCTTTGCTGCTTAGAAATTTCTTCCATGAGATACCCTAAATCATCTCTCTTAAGTTCAGAGTTCCACAGATCTCTGGGGCAGGGGCAAAATGCTGCCATCTCTTTGCTAAAACATAACAAGAGCCACCTTTGCTCCAGTTCCCAGAAAGTTCCTCATCTCCATCTGAGACCACCTCAGCCTGAACCTTATTGTTCATATTACTATCAGCATTTTTGTCAAAGCCATTCAACAAATCTCTGGGAGGTTCCAAACTTTCCCACATTTTCATGTCTTCTTCTGAGCCCTCCAAACTGTTCCAACCTCTGCCTGTTACCAAGTTCCAAAGTTGCTTCCAAATTTTTGGGTATCTTTTTTAGCAATACCCCACTCCTGGTACCAATTTACTGTATTAGTTTGTTTTCACACTGCTGATAAAGACATACCCAAGAATGGGAAGAAAAAGAGGTTTAATTGGACTTACAGTTCCACATGGCTGGGGAGGCCTCAGAATCACAGCAGGAGGCAAAAGGCACTTTTTTTTTTTCCCCCAAGATGGAGTTTTGCTCTTGTTGCTCAGGCTGGAGTGCAATGGCACGATCTCAGCTCACTGCAATGTCTGCCTCCTGGTTTCAAGCGATTCTCCTGCCTCAGCCTCCTGAGTAGCTGGGATTACAGATATGCGCCACCATGTTTGGCTAATTTTGTATGTTTAGTAGAGATGGGGTTTTTCCATATTGGTCAGGCTGGTCTCGAATTTCTGACTTTGGTGATCCACTGCCTCGGCCTCCCAAAGTGCTGGGATTACAGGCATGAGCCACTGTGCCTGGACTAAAAGGCACTTCTTACATGGCAGCAGCAAGAGAAAAATGAGGAAGCTGCAAAAGCGGAAATCCCTGATAAAACCATCAGATCTCGTGGGACTTATTCACTACCACGAGAATAGTATGAGGGAAACCACCCCCATGATGCAATTATCTCCCAATGGTTCCCTCTCACAATATGTGGGAATTATGGGAGTACAATTCACGATGAGATTTGAGTGGGGACACAGAGCCAAACCACATCAGGTGGATTCAAAAATTTCCTAATTGGTGACTGGTTGAAAGAGGCTTTGCCTGAAGAGTTGAAGTTAGCAAAAAGAAATGCTTGAGTTAAGATGGGGGGGTTGTAGAAGCGAAGATTCTTGTCATATGGATGAAGCCTCCAGGCTTCAGAGAGAATAGATGGTAAATGTCTCTTATTGGATCTTAAAAGGTGTTAGGTTCTCCAGAATAGACTGGGTAAGGGGAGGGGATTCTCTACAGAATGCAAATTTTCCCCCACAAGAGACAGCTTTGCAGGGCCATTTCAAAATATGTCAAAAGACTGTATTTTGGGGTAAAATATTTCGATTTCCTTCAGGGTTAACAATCTGTCATGTGATGCTATTCCAGAGTCAGGTTGGAATTTGGTATCTTATTGCTGCAATGAGTCTGTTTTTCAGTCTTGTGATCTCTATTTTAATATTAATGCTGTCCAGTTGTGCCTAAACTCCAAAAGGAGTAGGGTATAATGAGGCCTGTCCTACCTCTCCTTCC
The DNA here is from genome assembly GCF_000001405.40 of Homo sapiens. Classification (NCBI taxonomy): domain Eukaryota; kingdom Metazoa; phylum Chordata; class Mammalia; order Primates; family Hominidae; genus Homo; species Homo sapiens. Next base: position 166,828,786 of record NC_000001.11, on the reverse strand, counting down.
CATTATGGTCTGAACTAGTTTTTCAGGTTTCTTTCAGGTCCCCTTGGCCAAGAGGGGGGTCCATTTAGTCAGTGAGGGATGTATAATTTTATTTCTGGCTTACAGTTCCTTTGTGCATTCTCAGCTTCCCCCTTTCTTGCTCCATGACTTGAAGAAGCATGGTGCCCTCACTGGATGAGCTGCCCAAACTTGGACTTCCCAGCCTGCAGACCCATAAGCTAAACAAACCTCTTTTCTTTTAAAATTACCCAGTTTCAGGTATTCTGTTATAGTAACATAAAACTGATTAAGACACCATCTATTGGGTCATTCCTGTCAGCAGAGGAACATGTTGTGATATCACTTATTTAAAAGAAAACATTTTACCAAATATTAAAAAAAAACCATATTTACCTCATAACTCCCTCCAAGTACCTTTTCTTTGCTGCCTTTACCACAAAAACCCATTTTTTTTTTTTTTTCTGAGACAGAGTCTTGCTCTGTCACCCAGGCTGGAATACAGTGGCACAATCTTGGCTCACTGCAACCTCCACCTTCTGGGTTCAAGCAATTCTCCTGCCTCAGCTTCCTGAGTAGCTGGGATTACAGGCATGTGCCAACACACATGGCTAATTTTTTGTATTTTTGGTAGAGATGGGGTTTAACCATGTTGGCCAGGCTGGTCTTGAATTCCTGGCCTCAAGTGATCTGCCCACCTTGGCCTCCCCAAATGCTGGTATTACAGGTGTTAGTCACTTCACCCAGCCAAAATCCCTTTGTTCTTGCTGTCTACTGTGCCTCTCTCCCATCTTTCCCTTGAACATTCTCTAATCATGTTTTGTCTTCCAATGCTTTTCTGCAGCAGAACTTGTCAAGGTCATCAGGAAAGTCCATGTTGCTAAACGGAATGACCAATTCTTAATCTCCACCTTACTTGACTGTGGTAGATGGTTACATGGCTGGCCCCCAAAGATTCATACGTCTCAGGATCCATGCATTGTGTGCTTTCTTCTCTCATTAATTCTGTACTTGGCCATGGGACTTGCTTTGACCAATGGGACATCAGCAAGTCTGAAGCAAGCAGAGGCTTGACAAGCACTTGAGCATTGGTTCTTGCTCTCTTGGAGCCCAGTTGCCAAAAAAGAAGTCTGGGCTAACCTGCTGGAGAGGTCATGTGGAGGAGAGTCAAGGTGCAGCTGCCCACATTAACCACCAGGCCTGTGAACAAGGCTATCAGGAAATAACCAGCTTCCAGCCAACCTGGTGTCTGACTGCAGCTGTGTAAGTGATCCCAAGCAAGACTAGCAGGTGTACCACATAGCTGAGCCCAATCTGAATTGCTGACCCCCAGAATCATGAGTAATAAAATGGTTGCTTTAAGTCGCTAGATTTTGGGGTGCTTTTTAATGCAGCAATAAACAACTGATATGCTTGACTCACAACAGCATTTGATAAAGTTGATCATGGCATGCCTATATATAAATATGTGTATATATTTATTTTAATTATGGTAAAATATACACACAAATAACACAAAATTGACCACTTAAATTATTTTTAAGTGTACAATTCAGTAGCATTAAGTACATTTACATTTAGTGTACTCATTGCCACTGTCCATTTCCAGGACTTTTTTTTTTTATCACATCAAACTCTATCCATTAAACAATAACTTCTATTCCTCCATTCCCCATCCCCAGGCAACACCATTATAAGTTCTATCTCTATAAATTTGCCTATTCTAGTACGTCATATACATAGAGTCATACAATATTTGTCATTTTGTGTTTAGCTTATTTCACTTAACATAGTGCCTTTGAGTTTCATCCATGTTGAAGCATGTGTCAGAATTTCCTTCCTTTTTAAGGCTGCATAATGTTCCATTGTATGTATATTCTGCATTTTGTTTATCCATTCATCTGTTGATGGACATTTGAGTTGTTTCCACTTTTTGGCTATTGTGAATAATGCTGCTATGAAGGTTGGAATACAAGTATCTATTTGAGTACCTGTATCATGACTTACTTTTTGAAACCTTGTCTTTACTTGGCTTCCAGGATATCACTGCTATTGTTTTTCTCTTGTTGCTTCTTCTTAGCTTTCTTTGTTGTCCTCATTTCCCACATAGCTGACCATTTGAATGCCTCAGGGCTCATTTCTTAGACTTCTGTTTCTATACTCATTTCCTTATTTCATCTGTTCTCCTGGCTTTACATACTCACATTTGAAAGAAGACCCACATTGATTGATGTTCCAGCTTGGACCTCTCCTCTGAACTGCAGACTCATATATCCAACTGCCTGCCAGAAATTTCTATTTGAATGTCTAATAGGTATGTCAAATTAAATCTGTCCAAACATGAAATCCTGACACTACTCCCAAGTTATTCTCCTATAGTCTTCCCATTCTATTAAGTGACAGCTCCATAATTTCAATCGATCTGGCTGTTATTCTTAATTCCTTTCTTTTTCCTTTCAGCCATTAGGAATTCTGTAGGCTTTGTCTTCAAAATACATGCATAGTCTGTCCTCCTCTACCATCCCCATCCTTGAGTAAATTGCCATCACTTCTCACTAGGCCACTGACAATGACCTCATAGCTGGTCACTTGGCTTCTACCTTTCTCCCCTACAGCCTGTTCTCAACACAGTAGGCAGACTGTTTTAAAAAGGCGAGGTCCTTCCTCTGCTCAAATCCCTCTAATCAGCATAGTAGGATTCATAGCTATTACTGTGTCTACTAAGGCCTTCCATCCCTTCTTCCTCTGAGCCTTGGCACTTGCTGTTCCTTTCCCTTGGAACACTCTCACCTTCTCCGTTCCAATGTCCCCATCCAGCTAAGGCCCTCTGTGATTCCTCTTTATAAAGTAGTTGCTTTCCCATGCCCCACATTCTCTATCTCCTACATTCCACTTCATTTTCTCCATTGTACTTAACACCATCTGAGATCCTTTATGTTTACTTGTTTATTTATTATCTTTTTCCTGACTGGAATGTAAGCTCCATGAGTAGAAGGACTTGGTCTACTGTGTTAATTGCTGCAACCCTGGCAGCCAGAGCAGTCCGTGGCAAATAGGATGCCCACAAGAAATTAATGCTCAATAGATGAAGAAATCATGAGTAACTCTGCCTCCTGGTGTTTATACTAGAATGTAAATCTGCAAAATATACCTTCAGGAACAGGATGAGATGACCTTCAGAAAGTAGTTATTTGATGTATACATATTAGATTATGGAGATTGTCTTAAAGATAATACATTTCATTTTAGTACAGAATAGCTAATTATTTTTTCTGGCAGTGGTTACAGAATCAGACTGTTTGTTTATTGCAGCCACTTCTGGTCTGTGATATACAATCAGGAATTTTATTATCCTATCATTCACTGATGCAGTGGTGGAAAATAGGGGAGGGAAAGGAATGTCAAAGAATAATTCTTTAAAAATGAAAAATATACTCATACTTGGCTGGGTGCAGTGGCTCACGCCTGTAATCCCAGCACTTTGGGAGGCCAAGACAGGTGGATCACTTGAGGCCAGGAGTTCAAGACCAGCCTGGCCAACATGATGAAACCCTATCTCTACTAAAAATACAAAAATTAGCCAGGCATGGTGGTGCATGTCTGTAGTTCCAGCTACTCACTCGGGAGGCTGAGGCAGAATTGCTTGAGCCTGGGAGGCTAAGGTTGCAGTGAGCCAAGATTGTGCCACTGCACTCTAGCCTGGGCCACAGAGCAAGACTCTGTCTCAAAACAAAACAAAACAAAATACTCATACAAAAATAGAATGAACATACATCAAAGGTTTATTAAGCTTGTTAATAAGGGGATCAACAAGATGGTAAAACTGGTGTCAAGATCATTTGAAGAAGTTTTAGGCACTGAGGAAAGAATGTTGAATGCCAGGTTATACGCAAACCTGGGTTACTATCATACTGGCCAATAAAACCATAATTTTGTGGTTCTCCTTTCTATAGTATAGGAATTGTTTGCATTGCTACCTAATGAAAATCTGCAAGTTATCATCTAACCTCACAGTATCTGGGCCCCAATCAATAATAAATAGCAAGTCAAACAAAGGTATGTCTACTAGAGAATCAAGTAATTTTGGGGTGAGCCTGTTAAACAAAGCTTCAGTCTCACATTGAAAGGGCATGCAGGCCGGGCACGGTGGCTCATGCCTGTAATCCCAGCACTCTGGGAGGCCAAGGCGGGCGGATCACGAGGTCAGGAGATCGAGACCATCCTGGCTAACATGGTGAAACCCTGTCTCTATTAAAAATACAACAAAAATTAGCTGGGCATGGTGGCGGGCACCTGTAGTCCCAGCTACTGGGAAGGCTGAGGCAGGAGAATAGCGTGAACCCGGGAGGCGGAGCTTGTAGTGAGCCCAGATCGTGCCACTGTACTCCAGCCTGGGCAACAGAGCAAGGCTCTGTCTCAAAAAAAAAAAAAAAAAAAGAAAAAAAAAGAAAAAGGGCATGCAGTTCTCCTTCTGTCTAATTCCCAAGTTTTGGATAATTTTTCTTAACAGTAATGTAGACCAAATTAATCTAAAAGTAATTTCTACTTAATAAGTTAGAATTTTTTTAAAAGAAGAGATTTCTAATTATAAAAAGTAGTGTGACCTTATTTTTAACCCCAGAATGAGAACACTCAATTTGACACATTCGAAGTTGAGGATGGATAACTAGTAAGGCAGCTTATTTGAAACCAAGATTTCCAGACAATTGTGAAGGGTGCTCAGTATGAGAATACAGAGTCTCCCCCGCCATTCATTTTTCCTTTAAAACATTTTCTTGATTAAGGAGTTTTTGTTTTGAGGTGTGTGCAATGTATTATCGTGCTCAGAAATCCATGTAGGCAGGGAAATGAGCATGCTGTGGAACTGGTCCTAACAGACCTCACGGGATTGTGGCTCTGTGGCTGGACATGGTCCTCCATAGAATGAGGTTGTAGGGGCTGGAGCCTCCACCCTCACAAATTTGGAACTGTGTTTTCTGCTCTATCAATGGTAAGAAACTACCAGAGCAAAAAGAATATGGGAAAAAATGAGGAAGGAACTGCATTATCTCATATAATTTTTTGCATCACAGTGGGTATTGTTATTTCCATTTTACTGAAAGAAAAGCAAAACTTAGAAATATTATGTAGTAATAGATTGATGCAGTTAGTGGCAGGACTGAGTTTATTCATCTCCAAAGACAGTTATTTTTTCTTTTTCTTTTATTAAAAATGTTGGTCACAGCCGGCCCTGGTGGTTCACGCCTGTAAACCCAGCACTTTGGGAGGCCAAGGCGGGTGGATTACCTGAGGTCGGGAGTTTGAGATTGGCCTGACCAATATGGAGAAACCTAGTCTCTACTAAAAATCCAAATTAGTCGGGCGTGGCGGTGCATGCCTGTAATCCCAGCTACTCGGGAAGGCTGAGGCAGGAGAATCGCTTGAATCCGGGAGGCGGAGGTTGCTGATGAGCCAAGATCGCGCCATTGCACTCCAGCCTGGGCAACAAAAGCAAAACTCCGTCTCAAAAAAAAAAAAAAAAAAAAAATGTCGGTCACTGCTTCCATCTGGGTGGCTCAGCAAGGCAGATGGTTCATAGTTCTTGTCTGTGACCCTTGTGTTACCGTCTTAGGTTTCTCAGTACACATGGAGCTCTTGAAACATGGCCTGGCACAAGGTCAGCACTCAGTATATGTTGGCTATTACCTTCCTTATCTCCCCTCCATGCCACCCCACTCTCCACATTGATAGCAGTAGTCCAGACCTACACAAGATTTGACACTTCAGGGTATGTTCACTCTCATTGTTTTATTTGATCCTTGCAATACTCCCATGAAATTGGCAGGGCAGGTATTATTTCTACTGTTTTACAGATGAGAAGACTGAGGTTTATGTAGAGGAAGCGCCCTTCTCATGATAACATCAAATATTAAAAGGCAGATGTGGAAAATAGAGGCGTCCCCGTGGCACCGCACAATACCACTACCCCTTTAGCCACACTGTTGTTTTTCATTCGTGCTATTTACGTGCTCCCCACAGCAAGCCTGAGTGACGATGGCACGTTCTCTCTGGAGCGTCTCTTCAATCTTTTCTACTTCTTCCCCCTCTCTCCTTCTCCTTAAACTTTCCTTTTGAGAAAGGTGCTTTGGAAACCTAAAAAAGGGTAGCATCAAACCCTAAAACCACACATGCTGCAGAGTGAGGGAGGGCTGAAGGCTGAGCGCCCTGCCCCTGCTGTCCATTTTGGGTAGGGCAGGAGCTCTGAACCAAGCCGGGACGGGAGGGGAGGAGGGCGTATCTAAATTACCCCAAGAAATAGATACTGAGGTAAAGTTCACAATAATAAGCTAGGAAGCAACCTCTGAAGAAATTCACTTCCTACTTGTTCTTTGTAGCACCCCTAGAAAAAAAACACTGTGAGGATGTTGAAGAATCAGGTGGGATTATTAGAAGTAATAAGAATCGTATTAGTAAAAATGCATATTAATACTATTACAAAATCCTGGGTTTTGGAATGAGACACATCAAGGGTCTAATACCAACTTTGTTACTGCTGAGCTTTTTTGGCCTTGGGGAAATTACCCCCACCTTTGTGGCCTCACTTCCCCCTTTGGTTAGAAGTAAATCAGCCAATCTGTGCCAAGTGCCTCCCGTAGTATCTGGAACACAATGGACACACGGTGGAAAAATAAAAAAAGAAGACAGAGATGGGACAAAGATACTGTGGTCATTAAAAACACTTAACAATGGACTACCTTAATGGAATATATATTCACTTCATACATTTAAAAATTTAAAACTATTTTATATATTTATTCCCGATTTTTGCTGCTTTTATCTTTTTAGACACATATTGATTATGGAAATTGGTGAACTTGTCCTTAAAAGTAATTACCTATTCAACTCCATACCCATCAAGAAGAAAGATGTCCCTCCCACAGAAGAGAAGTCTCCATGCCTGGTGTATGAGCCCTAAACAAACCAAAGACCAAACCGTTTCCTTTAACCACTTCACTCCATTTCCCACAGGTGGCTCAAGACAGAGCTGAAGCGATTAGGGGAGGCTTCCTGGAGCAGGAGGTGGGTACAGAGTTGAAATAAGTAGAAAGAAGATAAGGAGTTAATGAATATGCCTCATATTATTCTTCAAAGGCCTTTCGATTTACAAAAAGTTTCGAAGGTTAGAGGATCCTGAAGGGAGAAGTAATATAGGTGAGACCAAAAGGATGTTTCAAGAGAACCTGAGGGAAAGAGGCCATTTGGTGTGATAATTACGTTTATAATTTATGGAAACTTCAGAAGGTTTACAATATGATAAAAGCTTAAAGATATTTATTGTTAACTAACAAAAATAGCCAAGCAATGATATCATAACCTGTGATCTATTATATCCATTAGAATTATTAGATTAGTAAAAGAAAAAAATGCAAGTTGGATAGTGATACTGTTTGGACCTGTGTCCCCACCCAAATCTCGTGTTTGATTGTAATCCCGTGTTGGAGGTGGTGTCTGGTGGGAGGTGACTGGATCATGGGGATAGGGTTCTCATGAATGGTTTAGCACCATCTCCTTGGTGGTGTTTTTATGATAGTGAGTGAGTGAGTTCTCATGAGATCTGGTTGTTTAAAAGTGTGTAGCACCTCCCTCTTGTCTCTCTTCCTCCTGCTTCCAGCCATATGAAGATGTCTGCTCCCACTTTGCCTTCTGCCCTGAGTACAAGTTTCCTGAGGCCTCCCCAGAAGCAGATGCTGCCATGTTTTCTGTACAGGCTGCAGAACTGTGAGCCAATAAAACCTCTTTTCTTTATAAATTATCCAGTCTCAGGTAGTTCTTTACAAGAGCGCTAGAATGGACTAATACAGAAAATTGGTACTGAGGAGTGGGGCATTGCTGTAAAGATACTTGAAAATGTGGAAGTGACTTTGGAACTGGGTAAAGGGCAGAGGTTGGAAGAGTGTGACAGGCTTAGAAGAAGACAGCAAGATGAGGGAAAGTTTGGAACTTCCTAGAGACTTGGCAAATTGTTGTGACCAAAATGCTGGTAGTGATATGGATAACAAAGTCCAGGCTGATGAGGTCTCAGATGGGAGATGAGAAACTTATTGGGAACTGGAGTAAAGGTCATATTTGTTATGCTTTAGCAAAGAACTTGGAGGCATTGTGTCCCTGCCCTGGGGATCTGTGGAACTTTGAACTTGAGAGTGATGATTTAGGGTATCTGGTAGAAAAAATTTCTAAGCAGCAAAGCATTCAAGATGTGGCCTGGCTGCTTTTAACAATATAGGTTCATATGCATGAGCAAAGAAATGATCTGAAACTGGAACTTATATTTAAAAGGGAAGCAATGTGTAAAAGTTTGGAAAATTTGCAGCCTGATCTTGTGGTAGAAAAGAAAAGCCCATTTTCTGGGGGAGGAATTCAACCAGCTATAGAAATTTTCATAAGGAAAAAACAGCTAAGTGCTAATATTCAAGACAATGGGAAAGGCCTCCAAGGCATTTCAGAGAACTTTGTGGCAGCCCCTCCCATCTTAGGCCTGAGGCCTAGGAGGAAGAATGGTTTCTGGGGCCAGGCCCAGGGCGCCAGTGCTCTGCATAGCCTCGGGACACTGCTGTCTGTATCCAGGCAGTTCCAGCTCCAGCTATGGATAAAAGGAGCCCAGCAGCTCAGGCTGCTGCTTCAGAGGATATAAGCCATAAGCCTTGGCAGCTTCCACATGGTGTTAAGCCTGTGGGTGTGTACAGTGTAAGAGTTGAGGCTTGCAAGCTTCTGCCTAGATTTCAGAGGATGAAAAGCCTGGATGTCTAGACAGAAGCTTGCTGCAGTGGCAGAGCCCTCATGGAGAACTTCTACTAGGGCAGTGCAGAAGGGAAATCTGGGATTGGAGCCCCCACACAGAGTCCCCACTGGAGCACTGCCTAATGTATTTGTGAGAAGAGGACCACTGTCCTCCAGATCCCAGAATGGTAGATCTATCAACAGCTTGCACCCTGTGCCTGGAAAAGCTGTAGGCACTCAACACCAGCCCATGAGAGCAGCTGTGTGGGCCAAACCTTGCAAAGTTACATGGGTGGAGCTGCCTAAAGGCTTTAGGAGCCCACCCCTCACACCGATGTTCTCTGGATGTGAGACATGGAGTCAAAAGAGGTTATTTTTGGAGCTTTAAGATTTAATGACTACCCTTCTAGGTTTCAGACTTGCACGGGGCCTGTGGCCCCTTTCTTTTGGGCAATTTCTCCCTTTTGGAATAAGAGTATTTACCTAATACTTGTGCTCCTATTGAATCTTGGGAGTAACTAACTTATTTTTCATTTTACAGGCTCATAGGCAGAAGGGACTTGCCTTGTCTCAGATGAAACTTTGAACTTTGGACTTTCAAATTAATGTTAGAATGAGTTAAGACTTTGGGGGATTGTTACGAAGGCATGATTGTATTTTGCAATGTGAGAAGGACATGAGATTTGCGGGGGCCAGGGGCAGAATGATATGGTTTGGATCTGTGTCCCCACCCAAATTTCATGTTCAATTGTAATCCTCAGTGTTGGAAGTGGGGCCTGTTGGGAAGTGATTGGATAATGGGAATGGAGTTCTCACAAATGGGTTAGCACCCATTTGTTTCAGGCACTGTTTTCCACCACACTTTCTTTCCCCCAGCTTATGGTGGGGAGACCAAATAAACCAGGAAGATAGGAAATAGAACTAAAATTAATCCCTTCAGTGCTGTTCTCATGATAGTGAGTGAGTTATCATGAGAGCTTGTTGTTTATAATAAAAATGTGTTGCTCCTGCCTCCTCTCTCTCTTCCCCCTGTTCTGGCCATGTGAAGATGCCTGCTCCCACTTTGCCTTCCACCATGAGTAAAAGCTTCCTGAGGCCTCCCCAGAAGCAAATGCTGTCATGCTTCCTGTCTAGGCTGTGGAACCATGAGCCAATTAAACCTCTTTTTTTTTTTAATAAATTACCCAGTTTCAAGTATTTTTTTTATAGCAGTGTGAGAATAGACTAATACAGACAGATTCTACTGGAGCTCAATCTCTCTTAGAGTAGAGGAGGGAACCAAGCTGGTGGACAAACCATTGCCATCTACAATAGATGAGTGCAACACATTCTAAGGGGCTGCAAAACACTATTGCTATATTTGGAAGGAGAAATAAAAGATAATGCCAAAACTACAGAGCAGAACCTTGTGGAAATTCTGAGCTTGTTGGAAATTCTGAGCCTTGTAGAATTCTTAGCTTGTTGGTGACCAGGCTTTCTTGGGCCATGGTGTGCAAGATCTTTTGGGGTGAACTCTTAGAAGGGTGCCAACTGCTAAGGGTGCCATAGCTTATACACTGTGGGGCTCAGTGTCTACTGGTAGCAACAATGGCAGCAGTGATAACAATACTAGTAGCTAACAGTGGCAGATGCCCTCCTCCTTTCTTCCTATTTCTCTTGCCATTCCTGACTCTTGCACAGGATGATCTTTTTCTGTCCAATAGACATAAATAACCTCAATAGATATAAATACACTTCAAAGCATAGATAATAACAAGAGTAGTAAAGTAATAGGGGAAGGGATAACTTTGGGGTATTTATCACCTATGTATTTAATTTAATTTACTTAATTTTGAGTTTAGTTTGATTTTTACTGATGGCTGTGTTTAACAAACACTGACCAAAAGGCCTGAAAATGTAACAGCTGGCCCTTATGAGCAGGTTCATGACTGGAGGACAGCTGAAAGAATCAGGTACTGGATATTTATGAAAAATGGGTGTTAGAGTTACCAATGTGGATAGGTTTGCTAGGCAAGGAAATAAAATGACTTTTATTCAGTCATTCCAAATTGAAGAGAGAAGAGAAAATGATACAGTTTATTTCCATGAAAGCTGTTAGGTTAGTGGCAATCTAGAATTATTTCTTAAGATCTGTCATTGTCTTCATAGCTCCCTTTTTTTTTCTCCCTCACAGGTTTTCTCAATAGTTTTTTTTAAAAAAGCTTTATTGAGATATAATTCATATACCATAAATTCACCCATTTTAAGTGTGCAATTAAATGGTTTTTCATATCTCCTTTAACTGACCTTCCTTGGAAGCTTCTCTCATTTTTTTTCCTCCTCAGGGAGAAAATGGAGCAGATCACCATGTTGATTTCCTGTCTTAAAGATTACAACTACTTGATCATATTACATAATATTACATTCTGTAGTAACTTTGTTCAGGATAATTAAAACAAATATTTGCAGCAAAGTGGATTCCTCCTAGATAAGCCTCAAGCTGAAGGGAGAGAGCCCCTGACAGTAGAATGCCAGGTTATCAGTGCAGTATTTGGTATTAGTCTTCACATAACTTCAAGGTGTCTCTGAGACCACACTCTTAACATTGATTGGGTTTCAGGCACTGTTTTCCACCACCCTTTTTCCCCCCCCAGCTTATGGTGGGGAGACCAAATAAACCATGAAGATAGGAAATAGAACTGAAATTCACTATGGACTTTTATGTTAATGTCTTTATATAAATTATAATTAATAAAATTACTGATGCCAGTGGCTGCTGTCATCACACTGGTTGCAGCAGGGGCTGTACACTCCATAGAACTGGCGGAATCCCTGCCTTTTCTGAGTTGGGGCAGGAGCTCCCTGGGTGCAGCTGCAGCCTCCCAAAAAAAGGCTGCAGACCCAGGCCTTTTGCTCTATGGAGCAGGCAGAAGACACGCCCTCCTGGGCAGGGCTACAGCTGCCCATACAGAGGTTTCTGGATCCGAGCCTCCCTGTGCTCTTGGGGCAGGCTGGGAGCAGGCAGGATCTGCCCTCTGGGGTGCAGCTGAAATTGCCTGACCCTCAGCTGCAGACCTGGCCCTCCCACTCCATGGAGCAGGCAGGAGCTGGGGACAAGCGGGAGCCCTGCCCCTTCCTAGTTGGCAGGGCAGGGGCAGGAGCTCCCCAGGTGCAGCACCTGGGTATCTCTGCAGCCAGCATCATCAGGCCGGGAATGGCCCGCCTTCCCCTGCTGGCTCAGAAATGTCTGCTCCTGCTGCCTGGTGCCACCTCTTCTCTACCGGCAGCAACTCCAATCTCAGAGCAGGGTTGGGACCGAGCCCCAGGGGCATGAATGGCAGACAGATTCCTGGGTGGAAGTGGATGGGTCCCCAGTAAGGCTCCACTTTCAGGCCAGGGAGGGCCTGAAGGCTGGGGGCTGGGCTGCCAGTCCCCTGGACTGGAGTGGGGACTCATGGATCCTCTTCTGCTAGCCCATGGCCAACCATGGACCAACTGGCATTCACTTCCTCCCCTCTGAGGTCCATAAAAGCCCAGGGCTCAGCCAGAGCAGGGCAGAGGATGGCCAGAGGATGAAGAGGGCAGAGAGAGGACAAGATGACCAGCTGCAGAGAGGAGTACCCTCTCTGCTGATAGCTAGAGATGATGGAATGACCAGCATCAGAGAGGAGCTACCCTCTCTCTGAGAGCTGCAGAGACGACCTGCCTGCAAGAGGAACCATGCTCTCCCTCTCCAGGGTCTCTTCTTGGCTGAGGGCTGCAGATATTGGGATGACCAGTTGCAGAGACGAACTATCCTCTCCAGGGCTTCCTCTGCTGAGACCTGAACACTTGCTGGATGACCTGCCTACAGAGAGGAGCCCATCTTCATCTTGTTCACCTTTTACTTGTCTTTGTACCTCATTCTTCCTGGACGCAGGACAAAAACTTGGGCAACAGTGTTATGGTCACAGAGGTTTCTGGCCAGAATATTGACAACCCCAAAGATCCCATAACATTACTATTAAATTCTTCATTTTATAGATGAGGTAATTGAGGCTTAGAGTGAATAACTTGTCTGCAGTCATACAGCTGGTTCGTGGTAATGTAGATTCCCTTGGTCTGCAGTGATGCTATGCAGGACCTCATGTTGGTAAATCAGGAGTTCTGTAAAGCCCTGGAGAGGCACTGTGGCAAGGAAAGCAAAATGCATCCAGAATAGGTTTCAGTTTAGTAAGGACAAATTGCTGCCTCCTCTATGGTGGAAGAAATCTGATGCACTCAACTAGCCACACAGTGGCTGGCCAGCCTCTGCAAGAGATGATACCATATCAAAGCTCAGTATTGGTCTCTGCTACTGGCACATTGAACACTCAACAGTGGCAGAAGCTAGATCAGCTTTAGCAAGAGGAAGCCCATGCTGTTGGGCCTTTGCATAGCACTTGTCACTGATATCATGGCCACCATGGACCCATGCATAAGCAAAGTAGTGGCCAAGGAAAGAGCCTGGTCAAGGAAAGAGGATCTCTGCCAGGTTAGTGGATGACTCCCTCTTGGACATCAGGTGAGACACAAATCTAAGCACTTTGTGGTCATTCCAATGGGTCCATTCACATGCCTCTTCCCTATACTTGTCTCCAATCTGCCAATCTTGCTTTTTCCAGCACCCTGATCAATCGGTTAATCCATTGTCCATTGCACAGGAGCCCTAGTGCATCTCATTTTTCCTTTCATACGAGAGAAATAACTGAGTATACTGTTCAAAGTTCTGCCCATTGGGAGGATTTCACTTCCTCACTGTCCTTCCAGACCATTTACATCGTTTACCTTCAGCTTGTACCAACATATCAAGGCAATCAATCCGTGAACCAAGCCTGAGATTTTCTTTCTCCATTGGTTGATTATAGGGCCCCTGAGGAATTAAGCTGAAGGAAAGATGTCTATGCATTAGAAATAAGTGACATTGGAGTCTGGAGCATGCAACTTATCTGTGCTCTCCTGACCTACTCAGGCCAGGTCCAAAATGTTTTCTTTCTGTCATACTCTTTTAACCTTCTGACTCAGTAGATTTGATAATTTCTAGCTCATTAAGGGCAGCTTCTGTGGTATATCTAGGACATATTTTTCTTATAACAGAGGGCAGGAATGCAAAGGCCAACAGAACTAAGCATGTGCATTTAGAATTTCTGGCTGCTTATAGTGTACACATTCCACTCACATTCCATTATCAAGAGCAAGTCACCTGGCCAAGCTTGACACTGGAGCGTGGAAGCATACTTCACCCATGAGGAGGCAAGGCAAGGGAAGGGCTGTATAACGCTCTGACAAGGGTGGGAGCAGAGAACTGTAGTCTGCCACATTCCTGGAGCTTTTTTTCACCATTCCTCTCCATCATTATCTCTTCCTAAAATATTTATTGTTTATACCACTCTCCATCTTCTGTTTAGTTATATAAAGTTTTTACATTATTCTTTGGTTTAGGTATATTATATATTCCTGGTAAGCTTGATAATAGGAACCAGGAATTATATCTCCCTCATATATTTTAGCATAGTGCTAAGAGCATCTTAGTTCCTCAATATAATTAACTAAGGGGTTGATAGCACCTATATGATAAAATCATAAGCCACATCAATTTTCATCTGGTAGCTCTATGATCCCTGAGGATATACTTAAGAGACATTTACCTATTATTATTTTACATATATGAGAAATACCTCTTTTACAGCTGGTTCAGAGAAGTGCAAGTTCTAAGAAGAAAAATGAAAGCTCATTTATTCATTCAACACATATTTGTTAAATGCCTATAGATATACTCCTCCTTCAAAGAGCTTAGAGTTCAGCAGGTGCAAACCCTGGGGTGTTTTCTGATTATCACAGAGAATGGACTCTGATATGATTTCAATTTAATAAAATGATGTGGTGGGAAGGACATCAGGGGCATATGATCTTATTCCCTCATAACATTAATGTGGAAAGTTAGTTTATATTTAACCACTAGGTGGTAACATAATGGTGTAGTTAAATATAATGTACTCAGATTCTGTATTTGCCAAAAAATTCTAGTCAATTATTACCAGCAGCTGTTAGGCAAAGGAGATAACGAGTCCATGAGGAGATTAAGCAGAATGTTTTTAGCCACCAGATGCTATTAGCTTTTTTCTTCTGTAAAGTGGATTAATGCAAGATTCTAGTTTGTTTATATAGTTGTTAGAACTCAGCTCTTTATTATGCCATCTTGTAAAGCAACCTGTGGCTAAATGCTAATATCTGGCTAGCTTCTGTTTTAGCTAAGACACTAAGGGTCAAGGGCACCTGAACTGCTTTGTGCACCGCTGACCACAGCCAGTGCACTTGCTTCCATGGGAGATGAAGAAGCCTCTCAGAGCATCACAGAGAGTGCTGGAGCTCTCAGCTCTGTTATGTTTGCCCTGATCTGGGATTGTGAAAGAGATAACACTATAATTTCTGAGGCTCAACCTGATTTTACCTTCCATGCCTATCCAGGCCTTATGCAACACAGGTAGTTTTACAGTCAAAAGGACCTGGTTGACATTTTGGGCTGGATGATTAAAAACGAACAACAATCTGGGTTTGAATCCTGGCCCCACCACCACTTATTAGCTGTGTGGCTTCAGGCAAGTTATAGTTTTGTAGGTGCAAATGGGGGAAATACTAATTTTACTACAAAAGGTTGTTGTTGCAAGGCCTAAGTGAGAATCTATATCTGTAACTCTGTCCATATCTACATCCATATCCATATCTACTAGTAATATTGTCATGCCGTATTAGGCACCCAAAATTATGAATGCACGTCCCAATCCCTTTGCTCCTCATATCAATCAGTTTTACAAACAGGCCAATCTTCTTGCTGACCCCAAATATGGTTTTCTCATTTCCATCTTCAGAAGGTGATGAAATACTAACTGCTAGAAAAATGAGTGCCCTTTCCTCAATCTTCACTTACCAAAATTCTATCCTTCCTTTGAGATCCACTTAAAATGCAGCTCTCTATCATAATTATTACATGTCTTAACATTTTACAGTCTTATTTCGTTCTCTATTTTAGTTGTGTTTTTGTTTTTTCAAGAAAAGTAGATACATTATGATGATGATGATGACTTTCCTGTTAACATGTATAACATAATATAAAAATGCTTAATTTTTTTAACTTTGATAAATGAAACTATTCTAAAAAAAAAAAAAAGATCGCAAATAGCCAAAGCAATCCTAAGCAAAAAGAACAAAGCCAGAAGCATCACATTACCTGATTTCAAACTATACTATAAGGCTACGGTAACCAAAATAACATGGTACTGGTACAAAAACAAACACATAGACCAATGGAACAGAATAGAGAACGCAGAAATAAAGTCACACACCTACAGCCATCTAATCTTCACAAACAAACAACCAGCAAAAGTGATATTCTAGTTCTTCTTTTGTAGAAAACTATAAAAGGAGTAATTTTATCCCTAAAAGGTAAAAGGCAATGCTGCTTTTTGGGGATAAAAGTTCTTCTTTTGTACTTTTCTTTTCTTTAATACTTTCATCTTTTATTTTAGATTCACAGGGTACATGCGCAGGTTTGTTATCTGGGTATATTGCATGATGCAGAGGTTTGGGGTATGATTGATCTTGTCACCCAGGTACTGAGCATAATATCCAATAATTAGTTTTTCAACACTTGTCCTCTTCCCTCCCTTCTCCCTCTAGTAGTGCTCATTGTCTACTGTTGTCATCTTTATGTCCTTGAGTAACCATTGTTTAGCTCCTCTTTTATAAGGGAGAACATGTGGTGGTTGGTTTTCTGTTCCCGTGTTCATTTGCCTAGGATAATAGCTTCCAGCTGCATCCATGCTGCTGCAAAGGACACGATTTCATTCTTTTCTATGGCTGCATTGTATTCCAGGGTGTATATGTACCACATTTTCATTATCCAATTCACCATTGATGGGCATCTATGTTGATTCCATGTCTTTGCTATTGTGAATAGTATTGTGATGAAATGTCTTTTTGGCAGAAGGATTTTCTTTGGATATATACTCAGTAATGGGATTACTGGGTCAAATAGTAGCTCTCTTTTAAGTTTTTCTGAGAAATCTCCAAACTGCTTTTCACAGTGGCTGAACTAATTTACATTCCTTCTGTATAAGTGTTCCATGTTCCCTGCAGCCTTGCCAATATCTGTTATTTTTAGATTTTTGAATAGTAGCCGTCCTGACTGCTATAAGATGGTATCTTATTGTGGTTTTGACTTGCATTTCTCTGGTGATTGAGCATTTTTTTCATATGTTTGTTGGTTGCTTGTGTTCTGAGATGGAGTCTTGCTGTGTGCTGGAGTGCAGTGGCGTGGTCTTAGCTCACTGCAACCTTGCCTCCTGGGTTCAAGCAATTCTCCTGCCTCAGCCTCCTGAGTAGCTGGGATTATAGGCACCTGCCACCACACCTGGCTAATTTTTGTATTTTTAATAGAGATGGGTTTCACCATGTTGGCCAGGCTGGTCTTGAACTCCTGACCTCATGATCCACCCGCCTTGGCCTTCCAAAGTGTTGAGATTACAGGCGTGAGCCACCGCACCCAGCCACATGTCTTCTTTTAAGAAGCGTCTGTTCACAACCTACAGAATGGGAGAAAATTTTTGCAATCTATCCATCTGATAAAGGTCTTACATCCAGAATCTACAAGGAACTTAAACAAATTTACAAGAAAACAAACACTAACATTAAAAACTGGGCAAAGGACATGAACAGGCATTTCTCAAAAGAAGACACTTATGTGGCCAAAAAACATGAAAAAAAGCTCAACATCACTGAGCATTAGAGACATGCAAATCAAAACCACAGTGGGATATCATCTCACACCAGTCAGAATGGTGATTATTAAAAAGCCAATAAACAACAGGTGCTGGAGAGGCTGTGGAGAAATAGGAATGCTTTTGCAATGTTGGTGGGAATGTAAATTAGTTCAACCATTGTGGAAGACAGTGTGGCCATTCCTCAAAGACCTAGAACTAGAAATACCATTTGATCCAGCAATCCCATTACTGAGTATAAACCCAAAGGAATATAAATCATTCTATTATAAGGATACATGCATGTGTATGTTCATTGAAGCAATATTCACAATAGCAAAGACATGGAATCAACCCAAACATGCATCTGTGATAGACTGGATAAAGAAAATTTGGTACATATACACCATGGAATACTATGCAGCCATAAAAAGGAAGGAGATCATGTCCTTTGCAGGAACATGGATGGAGCCAGAAGCCGTTATCACCAGCAAACTAATTCAGGAACAGAAAACCAAACACCCCATGTTCTCACTTGTAAGTGGGAGCTGAACAATGAGAATACATGGACACAAGGAAGGGAACAACACACACTGGGGCCTGTCAGTGGGGTGTGGGGGTAGGGAGAGCATCAGGATAAATAGCTAATGCATGCTGGGCTTAATACCTAGGCGATGGGTTGACAGGTGCAGCAAATCACCTTGGCACACCTTTACCTATGTAACAAACTTGCACGTCCTGCACATGTATCTCAGAACTTAAAATAAAATAAAATAAAATAAAATAAAATAAGTAGCATCTGTTCATATCTTTTGCTTATTTTTCAACAAGGTTATTTTTGCTTGTTGAATTAAGTTTCTTATAGATTCTGAATATTTGATCTTTGTCACATGTATAGTTTGTGAATATTTTCTCCCATCCTGTAGATTGTCTCTACTCTGTTGGTAGTTTCTTTTGCTGTGCAGAAGCTCTTTAATTAGGTCCCACTTGTCAATTTTTTTTTGTTGCAATTGCTTTTGAAGACTTAGTCATAAAATGTTTTGTAAGACAAATGTTCAGAATGATGTTTCCTAGGTTTTCTTCTAGAATTCTTATAGTTTGAGGTCTTACATTTAAATATTTAATCCACCTTGGGTTTTTTTTTATATGGTGAAAGGTAGGTATCCAGGTTCATTCTACTGCATATGGCTAGCCAGCTATCCCAGCAGCATTTATTGAATCAGGACTCCTTTCCCTATTGTTTGTTTTTGTTGACTTTATCAAAGATTAGATGGCTGTAGGTGTGTGGCTTTATTTCTGGGTTCTCTATTCTGTTCCATTCATTGGTCTGTGTGTCTGTTTTTGTACCAGTACCATGCTGTTTTGGTTACTGTAGCCTTATATTGTAGTTTGAAGTCAGGTAATGTGATGTCTCTGGCTTTGTTCTTTTTGCTTAGGATTGCTTTGGCTACTTGAGCCCTTTTTGGGTTTCATATGAATTTTAAAATAGTTTTTTTCTAGTTCTGCAAAAAATGACACTGGAAACTTGATGGGAAAAGCATTGACTCTGTAGATTGTTTTGGACAGTATGGCCAGGCATGAGTCTTTCGATTTCATAATGAGAAGATAAATTCCTTGGGACTGGAGACTTTGTCATAGACTTCAGTTGTATTCCCCAATGAATTTAATACAGTGCCAGGCACATGCAAGACTTAAAACACTTAGGGATTTGAACTAACACAAGGACTGCTTGGCTCTTTAAGAGCAACTCACAGATGTACCAGTTGCAAGTAATTTGAGATTTAGAAGATGACACCGATGCAGGACAGGCAAGCCCTCAAACTGGGGCTTAACACAGGAGGATTCTTGGCTTCTCCCAGTAAAGAATTTAGGAGTGAGCCAGTGCTGTTAAACAGCAACTTTTATCAAAGCAGCAACTGTACAGCAGCAGCAGAGGTACTGCTCCTTGAGGAGCAAGGCCACGCCACAGGAAGTGTACCCAGAGTAGCAGCTCAGAGGCAATGCTGCACTAATATTTATACCTACTTTCAATTATATGCAAATTAAGTGGTAGTTTATGCAGAAATTTCTAGAATGAGGGTGGTAACTTCCAGGTTGTCAGGTTGTTGCCATGGAAAGGGGCAGTAAGTTCTGAGTGTTGCCATGGCAATGATGAACTGACATGGCACACTGGTGGGTGTTGTCCTTTCCAAAGCTACTTTAGCTCTGAACCTTTTTTAGCTAGTCTTCAATTTGTCCAGTATCTGAGCCTCACCTCCAGAGTTCAGTCCCGCCTCCTACCTCAACACCAAAAGTTCAGTTTAGCTACTCTGATTCTGAATTATTCTTTACTCCAGGCTTTGGTGAAGTTTTTCAAGACCCTTGAAACATGTTTATTGAAATACGTAATATTGATAAACATTCTGTAAAAAATAAAGTGTCATTAAAGATATGCCTGGAATAACTTAGACACAGCCAGTAATTTTTTTTTCTTTCTTCTGTAAAACGTTTTATTTTAAGAATGTGGTTTGATTATGTTATTAGAAGACACCCAGCCAGCTCTTAGGCATTTCTCAGACAATTTACCTTGACGAAATTTAGTCCCAGGTTGTCTTGTTGTCTTCCCTCTTCTAGCCATGATTGCCTTTGTTTCTGTGGATATAGACGCTCACATGTGATCTACGATATTTGTCTTATTTGATAAAGCTAAACATTTTTGACAAGTTAGATCTGTTAGAGAAAATTCTAAGACAAGGATGTAAAAACAGATTTTGGATTCTGTGCTATTTATATTTGTGTCACAGACTCCTCTCTCATCTCATCAGTTTAGAGAATGCACTGTTGTTTATAATGATGAAATATTTTGACGTATTTCTTTAGAGTCCCTGTATCAGGAATACTTGAACTGTTCCTGAATATTTCTATATTCACTTTATATACCATTCAATTTTATAATCAACTCACCACTGCAGGTATTTGTACCTTCCACCAGTAATAATGAGTAAATACTCTATAGTAGCAATTTTCACTTCCAGAGAAAAGAGGCAAACAATTGTGCAAATTGTATTCTCTAGACTGTATAACATCCAAATAAATTTTTAAAAGTAAGAAACAGATTAAGCTATATACATAGTCTATTATACATTCCTAAACTTAAAGAACAGTAATACAGTAATAGTATGTATCCAGATACAAAATTTCTGAGTTTAGAAACTTTCTGATTTTAAATTGAACTGATTTTATTGTTTTCTGCCATTGAATTCCAAAACCTCTTCTAATTAAAAAAATTAAGCATTAAGTGAAAACAATATTATTTATATCTGTGTAGTTGTTTCAAAATAAAGATTCTTTTAAATGTCAGGCCCTGATACAATGGATAGATAGGTTGATACATAGAGGGATCAATAGATATATAGACATATACAAACTTTTACACATACATGTATATGTAATCGCTTGTATTATATTTATATTTAGTTTTTATTTCTGTTTACAACTAGTTTATATCTACATACATATGTGTATGCTATATACAAGCGCACACACACACACACACACACACACACACCTACACATATGCATTATGGCTTGAATGTATCCCTTCCAAAATTCAAGTGTTGCCAATGTGATAAGAGTATTAAGAGGTGGGGCCTTTAAGAGGTGATTACGCCATGAGGGCTTCTGTGTTATGAATGGGATTAAGGCCCTTATAAAAGAGGCTTCGTGTAGCTTTTGGATAGCTTTGTCTTCTGTCATCCACCATGTGAAGAGACAGCATTCTTATCCTCTGAAGGTTGCAGAATGAAGGCTGCATCTTGGAAGTGGAGAGCAGCCCTTGTCAGACACCTGAACCTGCCGGTGCCTTGATCTTGGACTTTCCATTACCCAGAACCGTGAGAAATAAATTTCTGTTCTTCATAAATTGCCCAGTCTGTGCTATTTTGTTATAGCAGTGCAAATAAGCTAAGACAATATGTATACAATAGTCTTGAGTCTTTCATTATAGTCTCATAGTAATGGAAATTTCCCAAAGTAAATTCATCACTTTGTAGTTGGGGTTGTCTATAGTCTTGGTTTTACTTTGTAATCCAAAGAGGGGCCTAATAGCAGAATGGCTAAAAACTTGAGTTTTGTTGTCAGGCAACTCGGATTCTAGAGCTGACTCTGCTTCATACTAAAAGTCTTGATTTTCTTACCAATAATATAATGGAGATAGGAATACTTATCTATCAGATTGCTGTGAGGGCTAGATGAAATATTCGTGTGAAATGTTCAGCCAGGGAATTGTACCTCTGGTAGTTATTATTAGTGTCATTATTATAATATATATATTTGTCTTTTCTGTCATATAACATATCTGCCATTTTGCAATTCATTTTCTTTCTAAAAAATTATTTATTTATTTTTATTATTATTATTTTTTAGAAATAGTCCTGCTCTGTCACCCAGGTTGGAGTGCAGTGGCACAATCATAGCTTGACTTCCTGGGCTCAAGCAGTCCTCCTGTCTCAGCCTCTCAAGTAGTTGGGACCACACATGTGCACTACCACACCTGGCTAATTTTTTGTAGAGATAGTGTCTTACTGTGTTGTGCAGGCTAGTCTCAAACTCCTGGGTTCAAGCTATCCTCCTGCCTCAGCCTCCCAAAGTGCTGGATTACAGGCAACATGAGTCTACATGAGATCTCATTCTGCCTTTCAGGTCCGACGCCCTCCCCTCTCCTCAACTTCCTGTGCCACTTCAGTACTCAGTATATGAATCATGGGCAAAACTAGTTGTGTATCTGAGATCTCTCTATAGTCTAATCTGTCATGCCAGCAAATGTCTCCAGGGAAGAAAAGGCTGATGATTTCTGTTCACCTAAAAAGGGCTCTTTCAACTCTGGAATTGCAATTCATTTAGAACCCTTTGTTTTCAAGCTCTTCAATGTCTAAGATTTTTGTGACTTGTCTATTTTTTTTTCCTAGTTGTTGAAGTGGGAGTGATGAACTGCTGATATTTGTGTATCCCACCTGGAAGCAAAAGTTCTTAGTGACTTTTAAAGACAGTAAGTACTGGCCCTGGTACATGACTTTTCATATGGCCCTTGCTCATATACTTATTGTTATATTACATATATTTCTATATAATGTATAATTGTGTAATATTTATAATATATAGTACATATATGTAATATTAAGTATACTACATTTATATTATATAATTATTGATATATTAGTAATTAGTATATTTACATACATATTAAAAACACAAGTTTAGAGCATCAAATTGAACATTATTTCTTTTGGAACCATGCAAAAACATATGCTAAAGTATATGAGCAAGGGCCATATGAAAAGTCATGTACCAGGGCCAATGCTTACTGTCTTTAAATGTTAATATTCATATATATGACTATTACTGCAAATGAATTCTTACTCAGAAGTTTAATATATAATAACAGATAGCAGTGGAGCTTCATTGGTCGAATTGGAGGTGAGGGAGGCCTGCTTGCTTGGCTTTTCTACAGTGATAACCTCTTCTCTCTAACTCCTAAGATCATGAAAATTATGACTTGAAAACCACTGCTTTCTATATCTTCATTCTAATAATGATAATTATTTATCAGATTATTAAGCTTACCAAAATAAAATAATTTGCATTGGTTTAGGTAAGCAAGTCTATTTTTGCCTTCTGGACAACCTTGCCGACAGAGCTGTTAAAACTTTCCATCTGCAAACTCTGTCACCCCTAGTTTCAAGACTACAGCTTATGAAGGAATAAGGTTTATGATTAGCCTGAGAGGCCAGCTGTTATAGTCTGGTATTAATCTTATTATTATAGATCAAAGACCTGATATACTTGGTTGTATGCCTTTGGAACCTGTATACTATTTGATTTGCATTGGTTTAACCTCTCTCTCTTCCTTGAGACCAACATCCTGCCCCAGTTGGTTCCCTCCATAATTGTTAGGCATCTGCCTCAGTTTACTGACTAGCACATTGTTTATGTACAGTTATGCTACTAGGAATGAACTCTGTGTTTGACTTCAACCTACCCAAGTGGGGACTTATTACCCTACTTAGCTCTTGCCAGATGGCATCTCTGGGGGATAACTTCTTATCTCTGTCCCCTAGCCAGCAGCTGTGATCTTTTTTAGATCACGTCAATAAAGATATTCCTACCTCAAAGAACAGTGCTGCCTTCCTTACCACTAGGCTGACTTGGACTTTCACCTGACTAGATTTCACTTTGTTGAAGGGGTATTTGTCTGATGGGGCTGATTTTCTTGTCCTTTTTAACCTCTCGGTTCTGGCTTCCTTTCCCTATCTTCATGAGGCCACACTGCTAAAGTTTTAGCATGTTTTAAATCTGAGCCTTAGAAGTTAGGACGAAACTGAACATTATGTAGAGCAGCAGTTCTTAAAGTCTAATCTGCAGATCTCTGCAGGTCTCAGAGAAGCTTTCAGAAAGTCTGTGAGGAGGAAACTATTTTTATGATAATATCCTCTTTATTTGCTTTTTTCACTGTGCTGACATTTGCACTGATGATGCAAAAGCAATGGTGGGTGCCTCAAGACAAATCAAAGCAGTGGCACCACACCATTTAGTAGTCGTTTAATTCCTCATCTATGCATTTGCGTTAAAAAAGTCAGTTTCACCTAAGTGCCCTTGATGAATTATTAATTAAATCTTGACCCTTGAGTCTTAACATTCTGTGTAATAGAAAGAGAAGTGTGCATACAGCACTCTGATACATTCTGAAATATGATGTCTATCTCCAGGAAAAAGCACTTATGCAATTGTTTAAGTTATAAACTGAACTAGTGGCTTTTCTCATGGAACACCATTTTTTACTGGAAAAAAATGACTCTTACACAAACTCTGGTTATTCTGATTCGGGTATTTGGCAGACATTTTCTGAAAAACGAATGAAGTCAGCCTGTCAATTCAAGGAAAGCAACTGACAGCATTTGTCGTCAATAATAAAATTAGAGCATTCAAGCAAAAATTAGAATGTAGAAAAACTTGTGTCTGCTACTCCAAGCTTGATAGCTTCCCAATACATAAAGGCTTTACTGCTGAGCAATGTGATCCTTTGATATTGTATAATATTATAGTGTCAACATTTGGAAAATCTTCATAACTCAGGAAACTAATGTTTTCTAAATGACCAATGCATGATGTTGCAGAATTATGAATGGTGAAAATGTATGTTCAAAGTGCAAGATAGATCAATCAATTTTAATGTAGTAGATTATAAATACAATTCCAGGTTCCATGCTGTAGCTAACATTTAAGAAACTACCACTTGCTGACTTTTGTTTTATTGTCAAAGATAAATATCTATGATTATCTGTAAAGGCTACTAAAACATGATTCCCTTTTCCAACTACATCTGAGTGAGGCTGTATTTCCTTCATAAACGTCAATCAAAATAACATATTTAAACAGATTAAATGTGGAAGCAGATATTAGAATCTAGCTGTCTTCTATCAAGCCAGGTTTTAAAGAGATTTGCAAAATACAAAACAATGCCACTTTTTTCATTAAAATTTCTTTGTTATGAAAATATAGATTTTTTCATAAATAGGTTATGTTAATATATGTTGGGTTTATTACTATTATTTTAAAATGAACAGTAAATAAATATTTTTAAAATATCTTAGTTTTAATTTCTAATATGGTAAATAGCAACAGACGTAACTCACATAAAGGAGAGTTTTTTTGGGGGGTCTTCAATAATTTTAAGAGTATTATGGGGGTTGAGAACCACTGATATTTAAAATAAGGGGAGAAGTGTTGCCATTTACTAGATGGCTAAAGTTTTAGTTTTAAAATATCATTCCAGATAATTTATATAATTTGTACCTTTTCTACATGCAATAAATAGCCAAGAGGTAATTTGTTTTGTGAAAAGTGCTACTCATTAGGGATAACCTCTTAAGAATAGGTTTAAATATTAATAGCAAATCACTACACAACAAAACAAATCAAGGCTAGAAAGGAAATAAGTAATCTTCTAAATTTAAAGAGAAAATGCCAAATAGACACAGAACGCCATTACCAAATTCCCAAAGGCAGAAACTTGGATTTAGATGATTATAAAAAGGAAGAAAATTCTAAGATGGAATGTGTCTTATATAAAAATGAGCCTCAATTCTTATCTAGTAGGAATCTGAGATCATTAACAAAAATGCTTTTACTGATCATAATTTTTGCAGTGAGGGAAATTGAGAAGGAATTAAACAATTTTTCATTATAGATATTCATCCTGTAGGGTATTGCAATCAGCTTGAATTTGTCAAACTATTCCCATTTGAAGTGTAAAACTCTGAAGTTGAAGTTGTAGAGTTATTAAAGTGAGTAGCACCTAGAATTGGAGCTCAAAAGAACCCTTTTCTGGATGGAGGAAGATCTACCAAGCAAATGGAAAACAAAAAAAAGCAGGGGTTGCAATCCTAGTCTCTGATAAAACAGACTTTAAACCAACAAAGATCAGAAGAGACAAAGAAGGCCATTACATAATGGTAAAGGCATCAATTCAACAAAAAGAGCTAACTATCCTAAATATATATGCACCCAATACAGGAGCACCCACATTCATAAAGCAAGTCCTTAGAGACCTACAAAGAGACTTAGACTCCCACACAATAATAATGGGAGACCTTAACACCCCACTGTCAACATTAGACAGATCAACGAGACAGAAAATTAACAAGGATATCCAGGAATTGAACTCAGCTCTGCACCAAGTGGACCTAATAGACATCTACAGAACTCTCCACCGCAAATCAACAGAATATGCATTCTTCTCAGCACCACATTGCACTTATTCCAAAATTGACCACATAGTTGGAAGTAAAGCACTCCTCAGCAAATGTAACAGAACAGAAATTATAACAAACTGTCTCTCAGACCACAGTGCAATCAAACTAGAACTCAGGATTAAGAAACTCACTCAAAACCGCTCAACTACATGGAAACTGAACAATCTGCTCCTGAATGACTACTGGGTATGTAATGAAATGAAGGCAGAAATAAAGATGTTCTTTGAAACCAACGAGAACAAAGACACAACATACCAGAATCTCTGGGACACATTTAAAGCGGTGTGTAGAGGGAAATTTATAGCACTAAATGCCCACAAGAGAAAGCAGCAAAGATCTAAAATTGACACCCTAACATCACAATTAGAAGAACTAGAGAAGCAAGAGCTAATACATTCAAAAGCTAGCAGAAGGCAAGAAATAACTAAGATCAGAGCAGAACTGAAGGAAATAGAGACACAAAACACCCTTCAAAGAATCAATGAATCCAGGAGCTGGTTTTTTGAAAAGATCAACAAAACTGATAGACCACTAAAAAGACTAATAAAGAAGAAAAGGGAGAAGAATCAAATAGACGCAATAAAAAATGATAAAGAGGATATCACCACTGATCCCACAGAGATACAAACTACCATCAGAGAATAGTATAATCACCTCTACGCAAATAAACTAGAAAAGCTAGAAGAAATGGATAAATTCCTGGGCACATACACCCTCCCAAGACTAAACCAGGAAGAAGTTGAATCCCTGAATAGATCAATAACAGGTTCTGAAATTGACACAATAAGTAAGAGCCTACCAACCAAAAAAAGTCAAGGACCAGGTGGATTCACAGCTGAATTCTACCAGAGGTACATAGAGGAGCTGGTACCATTTCTTCTGAAACTATTCCAATCAATAGAAAAAGAGGGAATCCTCCCTAACTCATTTTATGAGGCCAGTATCATCCTGATACCAAAGCCTGGCAGAGACACAACAAAAAAAGAGAATTTTAGACCAATATCCCTGATGAACATCGATGCAAAAATCCTCAATAAAATACTGGCAAACCGAATCCAGCAGCACATCAAAAAGCTTATCCACCATGATCAAGTGAGCTTCATCCCTGGGATGCAAGGCCGATTCAACATATGCAAATCAATAAAAGTAATCCAGCATATAAACAGAACCAAAGACAAAAACCACATGATTATCTCAATAGATGCAGAAAAGGCCTTCGACAAAATTCAACAGCCTTCATGCTAAAAACTCTCAATAAATTAGGTATTGATGGGACATATCTCAGAATAATAAGAGCTATTTATGAGAAACCCACAGCCAATATCAAACTGAATGGGCAAAAACTGGAAGCATTCCCTTTGAAAACTGGCACAAGACAAGGGTGCCCTCTCCCACCACTCCTATTCAACACAGTGTTGGAAGTTCTGGCCAGGGAAATCAGGCAGGAGAAAGAAATAAAGGGTATTCAATTAGGAAAAGAGGAAGTCAAATTGTCCCCGTTTGCAGATGACATGATTGTATATTTAGAAAACCCCATCGTCTCAGCCCAAAATCTCCTTAAGCTGATAAGCAACTTCAGCAAAGTCTCAGGATACAAAACCAATGTGCAAAAATCACAGGCATTCCTATACGCCAATAACAGACTAACAGAGAGCCAAATCATGAGTGAACTCCCATTCACAATTGCTTCAAAGAGAATAAAATACCTAGGAATCCAACTTACAAGGGAAGTGAAGGACCTCTTCAAGGAGAACTACAAACCAATGCTCAATGAAATAAATGAGGACAGAAACAAATGGATTAACATTCCATGCTCATGGATAGGAAGAATCAATATCGTGAAAATGGCCATACTGCCCAAGGTAATTTATAGATCAAATGCCATCCCCATCAAGCTACCACTGCCTTTCTTCACAGAATTGGAAA
Source organism: Homo sapiens (assembly GCF_000001405.40). NCBI lineage: Eukaryota > Metazoa > Chordata > Mammalia > Primates > Hominidae > Homo > Homo sapiens. The sequence goes on along the minus strand of NC_000001.11, from coordinate 166,800,564 downwards.
AAACTACTTTAAAGTTCATATGGAACCAAAAAAGAGCCCACATTGCCAAGACAATCCTAAGCCAAAAGAACAAAGCTGAAGGCATCATGCTACCTGACTTCAAACTATACTACAAGGCTACAGTAACCAAAACAGCCTGGTACTGGTACCAAAACAGAGATATAGACCAATTGAACATAACAGAGCCCTCAGAAATAGTACCACACATCTACAGCCATCTGATCTTTGACAAACCTGACAAAAACAAGAAATGGGGAAAGGATTCCCTATTTAATAAGTGGTGCTGGGAAAACTGGCTAGCCATGTGTAGAAAGCTGAAACCGGATCCTTTCCTTACGCCTTATACAAAAATTAATTCAAGATGGATAAAGACTTAAATGTTAGATCTAAAACCATAAAAACCCTAGAAGAAAACCTAGGCAATACCATTCAGGACATAGGCATGGGCAAGGACTTCATGTCTAAAACACCAAAAGCAATGGCAACAAAAGCCAAAATTGACAAATGGGATCTAATTAAACTAAAGAGCTTCTGCACAGCAAAAGAAACTACCATCAGAGTGAACAGGCAACCTACAGAATGGGAGAAAATTTTTGCAATCTATCCATCTGACAAAGGGCTAATATCCAGAATCTACAAAGAATTTAAACAAATTGACAAGAAAAAATCAAACAACCCCATTAAAAAGTGGGCAAAGGATATCAACAGAAACTTCTCAAAAGAAGACGTTTATGCAGCCAACAGACACATGAAAAAATGTTCATCATCACTGGCCATCAGAGAAATGTAAATCAAAACCACAATGAGATACCATCTCACACCAGTTAGGATGGTGATCATTAAAAAGTCAGAAAACAACAGGTGCTGCAGAGGATGTGGAGAAATAGGAACACTTTTACACTGTTGGTGGGACTGTAAACTAGTTTAACCATTGTGGAAGTCAGTGTGGTGATTCCTCAAGGATCTAGAACTAGAAATACCATTTGACCCAGCCATCCCATTACTGGGTATATACCCAAAGGATTATAAATGATGCTGCTATAAAGACACATGCACACGTATGTTTATTGTGGCACTATTCACAATAGCAAAGACTTGGAATCAACTCATGAAACACTTGAGCCAGAGCTTCCCACAAAAATCATGAGAGAATACAATTATTGTTACTGTTTTAAGTCACTAAATTTTGGGATGATTTAGTATGCAATAATAACTACTAATCACAACAAACATCTACTCATTTTTAAATTTTCAATTATTTGTTCCATCTTTTCCTTTGAGAAATCCAGCTCTTGGATCTTCTCCCCCTCCTTTAATTTTCACAGTGCCTACAGAAAGAGCTCTCTATATTGGGGAGACGTGGTGTCCAAATATAAGTTGTTCATTGACTTGACTTGCCATTTACTTATATGGACCAACTGATTGGCTTTCACTCCTGAGTGGAAGCTGACATGGTAATTTTCTGTTATTGTAAGAACAGAATCTAAAGCAGGGAGTTCCTGGGCTTAACCCTACACACAGCTATGTGTCAGTGTGGTGCCTGAGGTCAGACAACTCGACATATCTGTCTCATTGTTTTTAAGATAATGAAGAGATATTACAATTTCCTGGCATCTGAGGGCTCTTCTACAGGACAATCACTTGGTATTCACAATAGTCTTATGTATATAAAAATTGAATTTTGAAACAGATTCATTGGCAGAGATAGAAAAACCACATTCCTAAATGAAAACCAAACAAAGGGTTGGTTCCTTTAGGCACAATTAAGTCCAGGTAGGACCTTTTTTGAGCTCACAACATTGGGGTGGAGGAGCTTGGTAGTCACCATTGTGTGTATAAAAGGGCCCACAAGTTCTGAGTGGTTAGCTCATAGAGTGATGGATAGCAAACTTTTGATTAAATAATAATCATGGTGAGGGAGTCTTATTCCTATAACTTCCTGATGAAAACCAATCACTTCCTCCCCCTCAGCTTCTTTATAGAAGAGTCCATGTCTTCAGATGCTTCTCTAGAAGATTTAGGTTTGTCCTAGAATGCAGAGACAGCATGCAGGAACCTCCGAAAATTGTGTAACTAAAAGGAATTCTGAATTGTCATTTTTATTATTAGCAATCTCAGTCCTATGGTTACAGGAGATAAAAGTTTTCTTCAGGAAACACATAGGAGATTTCAGGTCATTTACGAGGTACTTGAGGAATTACAATTCCTGAGTGTCTCTTTTTTTGTGACCACTTTGTCCACAGACATTAGGAGCAACCAACCAACTTCATATATTTATTAGTTTTGCAAACATGTTTGAAAGTTTTACATACACAGTCACCTAACTCCTTGCTTTTTGTAAGTGGTCGATTAGGAGTATCCGATGGAGATATTTTGCAAATTTCTATTGCTAGATCATACCATGGATTATCAGTGTTCTCTTTACTCCTAGAAATAGAGTCATTGGCATTTTTGTTTTTATTTATTTATTAATAATAGTTACTATTCTTATTTCTTCCTAAAAACAGAGGTTTCTATTGCATTTGGTCCACAGTTGGTATTTCACATTATTTAAGGGTGCAGGGCTCTTGGCTGGGGCCCCTGAGCAGTACTTGGCAGGGCTTGTGGTGGGGGGAGACGGAGCCTTGCAGTTGGTTAGTCCCAGAAGGGGAGAAGGAGGGCTGGGGGCTCCTTAAAATCTGATGAGGGACACAAATGGGGGGGTTGGTGAGCATGGGGAGGGGTCAGGCTTAGCCCCAATTGACTCACTACCCCATTGTCTTGCATAAGCCTGTTTCCCCACCCGGCCCCTGTGCAGGTCTGAGGGTCCTAGGGAAATCCAGTCACTCATGAGCCTAAGATATTTTAGCATCCTGGCCTTGGCCTTCTCCCAGGGCACCCATTTCCCAGCACCCTCTCCACTGTCCCCGCCCCATTCCCTAGGAAAAAAGAAATATTTTTCTTTTGTTAATACTTCTGAAACTTCTGTAGGTACAGAAACCACAAACTGATAGGTGGACAAAAGGGAAAAGGAGAAGCAACCGGAAACCTCCTGCTGCCGGCTCCCCTCGCTGCCCAGACCTCTTCTCCCCTGCACCGCTCAGCCCACAGCCTGAATGTGCCCTGGCAACGACCCCCACTTCACATTCATCCAGATACAGCCTTGACCCCTTCCTCCCAAGCCCGGTGTCTCAGTCCTGTGAAGGAATTAAGGCAGGAGGGAAAAAAAAATTAAAACAAACAAACAAAAATAACCCTGCTGCTTGACCCCACGCAGCTACTCACAGACCCTCGGTTGGCAGCACTGAACAGGTTAAAAAAAAAAAAGAAAGACGAAAATACAGGAAAATCCCCCAAACCCAGACAGGGCGATGATGTAGGGAGCCAGCATGTTCGGGGGCCTCAGTAGTGGCCTCCTCCTGGGAGCAGGGGGGATCCTCGGGGGCCTCCCCTGGTCCTGGGCAGTTGCCGGCATCCAAGGGAGCCCCACTGGCTGCAGGCCTTGAGGGCAGTACTTGGGATAGTATATCTGCTGGCCCAGGCCAAAGCCCTGGACGCTGTGGTTGGCACTCTGCGTGTCACCCATATGCAGGGACATGGAGGAGTTGTCACACTTGTGGGCTCCCAGTTTGGTGTTGTAGATGTGCTGCGGGGTCCCGGGAGCCGTCATGCCCCCTGGCTGGAGCGTTTGTTTGCACCCATCTGGAGGCTGATGGTCGAGTGGTCCAGAGGGCAGGATACGGTTCTTGGGGTGGTAGAGATGCCTCATCGTGCCCTAAGTTGTCGCGCCCGACTGGCAGGCACATATGTTGGTGCCCATCTGCAGCTCAGTGAGGCACTGGCTGGCCTTCAAGGTGGCGTCGTCGAAGTTCCGCTCCTGCTTCTCCGAGTATTTGACCCCGACGTCCACCCCATTCTGCAGCAGCTTTGTCTTGACCTTCCCTGCCAGGGCTAGAAGAGACAGCTGCACCTGCGTCATGTTCCTACTCTCAAACAGGTCGTTGGCCTCGAACAGGTCCATGGGGTTCATGTCGTATCCAACCATGGCCTTGATGAAGTTGGAGAGATTTTCTAGCTGGTGCCAGTTCTGCATGAGCCGTTGATCTTGGGGACTGAGCCCAGCTTGTTCATGAGTGTGCATAAGACAATCCCTTCCTTCAGACTCTTCTGGAAGTCGGGGCTGAAAGAGAGGCGGGTGAGTCCCTCGATCCAGCTGCAGAGCGCCGCCTGCTTCTGAGGGTCGCATTTGAACAGGAGCTGGTTCTTGATCTCGGCAAAAAGCTGGTAAGAAGGCCCCTTGTTGAACTGCGTGGAACTCATGGCTGATGGGAAGGGACAGGGTAAGATGGACCCATTAGCATTTTAAAATCTAATTGAATTACAGCGCCAATTCCAGAAACTCTAGAACCAATTCAGAAAACATATTCTCAGAAAAAACATTCTTAAATTTCTTCCTCTGGAATCATTCTTAGTACCAAAATCTATACTGGTTTGAGTTCTCCAGAGAAATAGAACTAAAGGAAATATCTACATATCTATATATTTATTGATATATAAAGTTGTTTCTTTCATGGGCCTGGAGTACGTGGGTCCAATCATTAGATATATAGATGGAGGGAGGAAGAGAGAGAGAGAGAGATTATAAGTAATTGGCTCATGAAGTTATGGAGACTGAGAAGTCCCACAATCTGTAGCTAGTAAACTGGAGACCCAGAAGAACCTATGGTATAGTTCTAGTTTGAGTTTGAAGGCCAGAGCACCAGGAGTGCCAGTGGTGTTTCTAAGTTTTGGTCTGAGTCTGATGACAGGAGAACACCAATGTCCCAGCTCAAAGACAACCAGAGAGATGAGAGTAAATTCTCCCTTACTACACTTTTTTGTTCTATTTGGTCCTTCAGTGGATTGGATGAAGGTCATCCACACTGGGGGTGGGAGTGGAGGGCAGGCAATAGAATGTGGCAGAAGTGATGTTCTGGGACTTTCAAACCCAGACAACTGGCAGTATCAGTTTTTTTCTTTGGAGGAAGATAGCATATTATAAGGAAGATTGGACTATTGAATAATGAGAAACTATGTGGAGAAAGAGAGTGAGATAAATTATGTGGAGAAACACCAAGGAATCAGACATGTGAGTAAAACCTTCTTGGATATTCCAGCCCAGCTAGCCACCAGGTGAATGCAGCTGAGTTATCCCACCTGTTGCCATATGAAGAAAGAATGCTTCAGCTGAGGCCTGCCTGAATTCCTATCCTATAGACTTGTAAGAAATAATAAACCATGGTGGTTTAAGCTACTAAGTTTTGGGGGTGATTTGTTACACAGTATAGATAGTTAGAAGGATACAGCAATGGTCCCATAACAATTGAACATCCAACATCAAACAATTTGGGGTTCTTATGCCACTAAACCAACAAGCGGAGAAGAGGATTACTGTATTGGCTGGGGTGACTGCTCTCAGTTAACATTGGGAAATGGAGTTGCTGATACACAACAGAGATAGAGAAGACCGTGTCTGAAACTCAGGAAATTCACTGGACATTTTCTGAATGAAAAGCAAATCCTTGGGATGATTGTTGCAATTTGTATCACAAGAACATTTGGTAATCTTTATTGAATTTGCTTAAGAGAGGAATTAGAGTGATACTGATTATTTTTAGAATTTTGAATGTCTTTTTATAGAAATGAAGAAATATTAAATGTATATGATAAAATTATATATTGATTATAAACAGGAAAATATTCCAAGTATCTAGGTCCCTAAGATGCAGTTATTCTAACATAGACTTTTAGGTTATTTTGTTATTGTTGGGAAACTGTACGGAGTATTAATTTCGGGGCCAGATAGAAAATATATCAAATATATTAAAAGTTATATATAGTAATTACTGTATAAATCATAAGGAAGGGAAAACAGGCAGAGTTGTTAAGTAGGGAAATTTGATAGAAGCAGGCAAACGAGGGCAAGAAGTAGAGGAAGAAAAAAGAGAAAAAGCAAATGTTAGGTATGAGTAAGAACAAAACTAACAAGCCCCAAGTTCTCAAAGTTGGCTCAGTGTAGGAACCCTGCAGAACCTTTAGCTTGTTTCTCCCTGTGTCAGTTCATTCTTCTTTCTGCTGAAAGTTATTTTATCAAAATACTTCTGATTATGTCATCTCCCTGCCCCAAAGCTTCAGTGATGCGCTCTTGCCCTCACCACAATCTAACTTTTGAACCATTCTCTTCAAGCCTGGACTTCAGCCTCCCCTCCCAGCTTTTTCTCACCCACTCACCAGAGTGCACTGACTGAATTCCCAAAAGTAGGACCCGTTCTTTAATTGCCTTTGTGTTCACAAAGATGATGGATTCAAATCACAATTCTCATTAGGATGTGGATTGGATGTAAAATCTTGTCAATACTAGAAAAATTGTCACTTGCACAGTGGGGAATCCCTAGAGGCTAGATTTAAACTGTAGAGACATGGACTAGTTTTGTCTTGTTTTCTTCTATGATTCCAGTGTCTAGCACATAGTAGGTACTTGAATATATTCATTGAATGAATGGCTGAGACTTTTAGAAATATGCTTTTTTGACCTTAATTTTGTGTGAGACAGTAACGAGAAGGTAAAAAGAGGTCTTTCAGTTTGTGATCAGCTCTTGGGAATACTTACAGCTTCAAGAGGTTCAGTTTAGGCTATAAAATATCCCACTTGAAAAAAGAAAGCATGGGATCTTCTTCAATTAATTGGTTGATCAAATTAGGACTTCTGGGCCGGGCATGGTAGCTCATGTCTGTAATCCCAGCACTTTGGGAGGCTGAGGTGGGTGGATCACCTGAGGTCAGGAGTTCGAGACCAGCCTAGTCAACATGGCGAAACCCCGTCTCTACTAAAAATACAAAAAATTAGCCGGGTGTGGTGGTGATCACCTGTAATTCCAGCCACTCGGAAGCCTGAGGCAGGAGAATCACTTGAACCTGGGAGATGGAGGCTGCAGTGAGCTGAGATGTGCAACTACATTCCAGCCTGGGTGACAGTGAGACTTGGTCTCAAAAAAAAAAAAAAAGAAAAAAAAATTAGGACTTTCCACTTCTTCATAGAGCCAAATCTACATGAGATAAGGAGGCCAGTACTCCTTAGAAAATTCAGTAACAGAAGGCAGGCTGAGGTTGTATCATCATCACTGAGAGTTCCTGTACCTCATAAACAATGTCAACACATTCTGACTTTCATTTGGGATGTCCCTTGAAAGATTACCCTTATCACTTCCCTTCCTGAATAAATCCTGAATCCATTTCTACGTATTGTTCCCCATCCCCACATTAAAAACAACAAACCAACAAACATAATATTAAAAGAATCCATTCCTAAGCCTAACAAAACTCTTCTTAAATGTACCCTGGAGAATGGCATGATGAACACTTAAAAAAACCCAAAAACCAAAAAAACAAAAAATCAACCAAACAACAACAACAAAAAACCCAAAACAAAACTACTTCCCAAAAAGTGTTTGGGAATATTCTTCAATAATACATCAATGTAGGCTGGGTGTGTGGTGGCCCATGCCTGTAATCCTAGCACTTTGTGAGGCTGAGTGGGGAGGATTGCTTGAGCCCAGGAGTTCAAGACTGGCCTGGGCAACTGGTGAGACCCCATCTCTTAAAAAAATATCAATGTAGCTTGAAGAATCTTGTGAATTGTGAGTTGATTAATATAAGAAATGTCTAAATTGCATGTTATTTCATTGCTGCAGCCACATTAGTTTAATCTAGTGGTTGCCTACTTTCGTTCTTTAACCAATCTATACCACTTTTGGCCTATATTGTCGAGAATTATCCTATAAAAGTAATAAGGAAAAAAACAAAGAGAAGAAGAGCAGCACAGACACTTTTAAGCCAAAATGACATAGAGGAAGGGGCTTGGCCACTACTGAAGATGTAAATTCTCGTGGGTTTGACAATCCACTGCCCTACTTCAGGATGGCTTTCCTGGCTCCATCCCATTTTCCTGGTCCCTGCAAACAGTACTGATATGGGGAGCATGAACCAAAGACAACCTCTTTGTCCAGCTTGGGATCTGAAAAGAAAAGAGAGAACAGGTTGGGCTTCACTCCTATTGCAGAGGCAATTTCATCCATGTACTTCACATATGGCACTCTATGAGCAACTCATGGCCTTCTCAAGAATCTAGAATCAGAAGAAACAATTGCAAACCTCATGCCAGATTCTGTTCACTATCCTCATCTTCAGGTACTATTTCCCTTCCTTACACCACATGGAATGTGGTAGATGGAAAAGCTTACCTGAATTAAGTCTGCTTTTCATGCCTATTTGTGGCCTTTTATATGCCACAAATAGCTTCGTGTTTAGTCTCATGTATTGGTTTACAAGCACACCTTCTATTCTTCAGTAATTGCTGAAATTGTTAGATAGTCATAGGTGTGTTGTGTGAAGTTTTGGCTTTTTAATGAGTATTCTCCTTTTCTAGTGTATATATTTTTGGTCATTTAATTTTTTTTCCCAAAGCTGGTTGTTAACGTATGATATTAAGCCACTTTGGTCATTAAGTGTTAATACATGAATTAAGAAAAATACAGCTTTTGTGATAGAAATCCGACTTCTATATTGTACATAGCTCAGCACAAGAGTATAATTAGCTTGTTTCAAAATGCCTTTGAAATATATAATTTTTTTCCCTTCAATCAGAGTTATCATATGTTCCTAGAATTTGGGTTTTCAGAGTAGAGATAATTTGATATGTGTGAAGAATCTCAGTTCTACACTTGTTCTTAATTTTGATCTTTGAGAAAAATTTTCCACTAAGATTAATCTACCTGGAAGTTTCTCAACTCACTTAAATTTTTATGAATAATTTTTTTTACTAATTATTTATATTATTTTGCTTGAGTTTGGCCCTTCAAAGGAATACATTGATCCTTTATTACTTCATTGGTTTCCTAAGGCACCTCATTTATAAGACTAGAACTTGTTGGTAACCAGGCAAGCACCAAGCACACATTTTGTCACCCTTTTTGTTTTGCTTCTTTACACAGTCACTGGAGAACTGAGGTTATAGGCATCTCTCATCTATGTATTGCCACTGGCAATCTATAAATGGCTGTAATTATGGATGACATTAAGTGTAAACAGCCACTCTCTTTTGAAATCTTGGTTATGCTCTGATTTTTCAATGACAAAATATAAGGGCATGTAGTATTATCACTTGAAGAAATTGATCTGGTTTCATTGTGGTTAAATTTCTTACTGTTTTCTCCAGTTGATCCTGTTCTGTTTGATGTCAGCTTGTATGTCATGCACTGACAGTAATTTGTTCAGTTCTGGGAAAGAAAATCTAGAATTTGGAGATGATTCTTAAAGAGTCAAATCACAAAATAAGTTTAGGAAGAAACTGACGTGCATTACAGGTAACATCTGTGTGTGGAAACTTTCCTATTTACCAATCTTGTCATGGAACGTTTCCTAGAGACACGGTCACTTGAAGGACAAGTTTAGACAAATGAGTAGTAGGAGAGTTTTTTAGACTTCTGCTCTTTGTCAGAGCCATGAAATAAAAATTATCTTTTTAAAAAATATGAAACAGATTATTTGGATTTATTCTCAATTTTTCAAAATCTTATGTCTTGTGATGCTAAGCATTTAACCAGAGGCTTTTTGTTTGTATTGGTGTGCATTGTTTTAGAATCTTTTGAACATCTCAAAAATCCAGAGATCTTTTTGTGCTCACATATTTTTGTTATGTTCTCCTACTGGCTTCCGGGGATTCACATGTTCAAAATAACCTTCTTAAGTCTTGGAAATAAATGTGCGATCCCTCAATATCAGTTTTTTTTAATGGTACATACAATAATGGAAAATATTCTAATCCAACAATTCTTCTGATAAAAAAGAAGGAAATGGCAAAAAAAGAGGAGGAGTTATAGTGGATGGTGTATGGTGGAAAGAACAGCATTGTTGGAAAGAGCAATTTAAGAGATGCCAAACAGAACTAAGGATGTTGGACTTGTGTGATCTTCATCTTTCACTAGTTATGCAACCTTGGAGAAGTTAACCTCTGACACTTTGTTTCCTTATCTATAAAATGAGGATAATATCTATTTTACACACTGTGAGAATTTAATTAGATAACTTATGTAAATTTAGCACTTGCCACTTAGACTTCAGAAGGTTATTTTGAACATGTGAATCCCCTGAAGCCAGTAGGTGAACATAACAATATGTGAGCACAAACAGTTCTCTGGATTTTTGAGATTTTCAAAAATATTCTAAAACAATGCACACCAATATGCACAAAGAGGTCTAGTTGGGATCAACCTCTAGCCTTATATCCTACTGCTTGCTCATCTACACTTGTCCTTCAAGCGACCTTGTGTCTGGAAAACTTTCTGTGACACTCTATACCTCTCCCTTTCCTCCAAGTCAGAGGGAATGAGGGTTGCCTCTTTGATCCTTCCATCTTCCATAGTGACTGCAAACCTCTATCAGATGCCTGTCTTTATCATTGTTCATTTTAATTGGTTGCTTGCCTGTTGTTCCCAACTTGACTTTAGGGCAAGAAGGATTTATTTTATTTTATTTTATTATTATTTTTTGTGCTTAACACAGTTCACTGCACACACTGGGCAAATACAATATGTTAATATAGTATTTGGGCCAGGCACAGTGATTCACACCTGTAATCCTAGCACTTTGGGAGGCTGAGGTGGGTGGATGACTTGAGCCCAGGAGTTCAAGACCAGCCTGGGCAACATAGTGAGACCGTGTCTCTATAGAAAAAATCCAAAAATTAGCCAGGCATGGTGGTGCATTCCTGTAGTCCCAGCTACTCAGGAAGCTAAAGTGGGAGGTCAAGACCTGAGCCCATGGATGTCAAGGCTGCAGTGAGCCATGACTGTGCCACTGCACAGATGTGAGTGAGACAACAGAAGTGAGACCTTGTCTTGAAAATACAAAAAAAGTGGGGGTCGCTTCCAAGATGGCCTTTGCTCTCTGAGGTGGAGCCCTGCCAACACATAAAGTCTGGCTCTACTCTCCCAACAAGCAACTCCCAGAAGTTAGGCAATAAGGATGTTGGAGAGCCCAATCTTACAAACCCAATCTTGTCGTGCAAAGTTTTCTAGAGACAATGTAATTTGAAGCACAAGTTTAGACAAGTGAGTAGCAGGACATAAGGCTAGAGGTTGATTCTAGCCAGACGCTGTGGCAAGTGCTAAATTTACATAAGCTATCTATTTAATTCTCACAGTGTGTGAAATAGATATTATCATCCTTTCCTCTTATGGAAAATAATAGATATCATCATCATTTTCCTCTTATGGAAAGTGTTCATTTTACAAATGGATTCCTTACTTTTCAAAAATATGCACTGTGTGTTTCTTTTCATGGCAAGTTCCCATATTAAAATTTGACTCTTTTAAATAAATACTTAATTATAGTGTATATATAATGCTATGTATACAGCAGGCATTTAATTCATTATAGTTTGACATTTTTTTCAGATGGTTCTGTTATCTCCAAAAAAGTTTATCTGACCTGTCACCCAGTTATTTTTTGTCATCTTCCAACATACCTCTTACTCTACAACTTTTCTACTGTCATTCCTAATACAGGATAAAAAAATCACAGCTCAAGAACTCATTCTAAAAACACCTACATAATACATACTTGTGTGAATTTATGCTTGACCAGTTAGCCAAGCATGTCTGTAGTTATAAGTTGTAATTATATAGAATTGGAAGAATAATATGGGAATTTTTTCTAGAATTATTCTAGGTCTAAGAAATAACAGTCAACTTTGTATAACTTCATTTCGACCCTTTCATATGATCAGATTTTAATTTCAATGGGATTGTATTTGAATGTGGGATTGAGAAAAGGGTTGAGAGATGAGAATTTTTACTTTTGTCCAAACTGTTTACTAGAATAATAATAATTATTATTATTTTAGAGATGAGGGTCTTACTGTTGCCCAGGCTGGAGTGCAGTGGCACAATCATAGCTCATTGTAACCTCAAATTCTTGGGCCCAAGCAATACACTCCACCAGCCTTAGAAGTAGCAGAGATCACAGGTGCATAGCACCACATCTAGCTAATTTTCAAAATTTTGTAGAGATGGGATGTTGCTATGCTGCCCAGGCTGTTCTGGAACTCCTTGGTTCAAGCAATCCTCCTACTTTGGCCTCACAAAGCTCTCAGATAATAGGTGCAAGCCACTGTACCTGGGCTGAAAGAATTTTTAATTATGAGAAATACAGCTAACCAGGGAGGTGAAAGATCTCCACAATGAAAATTACAAAACATTGCACAAATAAATCAGAGAAGACACAAACAAATGGAAAAACATCCCATGCTCATGGATAGGAAGAATCAGCATAATGAAAATGGCTGTACTGCCCAGAGAAATTTACAGATTCAATGCTATTCTTATCAAACTACCAATGATGGAACCAAAAAAGAGCCCGAATAACCAAGGCAATCCTAAGCAGAAAGAACAAACCTGGAGGAATCATGTTACCCAACTTCAAACTATGTTACAAGGCTCCAGTGACCATAACAGCATGGTACTGGTACAAAAACAGGCATATAGACCAACGGAACAGAATAGAGAGCCCAGAATTAAGGCACCTACAACCATCTGATCTTTGACAAAGCTGACAAAAACAAGCAATGGGGAAAACACTTCCTATTTAATAAATGGTGCTGTGATAACTGGCTAGCCATATACAGAAGAATGAATCTGGACCCCTTCCTTACACCATGTACAAAAATCAACTCAAGATGAATTAAAGACTCAAATGTAAAACCCAAAACTATAAAAACACTGGAAGACAACCTAGGCAATACCATCCTGGACATAGGAACAGGCAAAGATTTCATCACAAAGACTCCAAAAGCAATTGCAACAAAAGCAAAAATTGACAAATCAGATCTAATTAAACATAAGAGCTTCTGTACAGCAAAATAAACTATCAACAGAGTAAACAGACAACCTACAGTATGGGAGAAAATATTTGCAAACTATGCATCTGAGAAAGTCTAATATCCAGCCTCTATAAGGAACTTAAACACATTTACAAGAACTTAAACAAATTTACAAGAGAAAAACAAACAATCCCATTAAAAAGTGGGCAAAGGGTATGAACAGACACTTCTCAAAAGAAGACATATGCAGCCAACAAGCATATGAAAAAAAGCTCAATATCACTGCTCATTAGAGAAATGCAAGTCAAAACCACAATGAGATACCATTTGACACCACTCAGAATGGCTATTAATAAAAAGTCAAAAAACAATAGATGCTGGCAAGATGGTGGAGAAAGGGAAAAGCTTATACACTGTTGATGGGAGTGTAAATTAGTTCAACCAGTGTGGAAAGTAGTACAGTGATTCCTCAAAGAGCTAAAAGCAGAACTACCATTTAACCCAGCAATCCCATTACTAGGTATATACCCAGAGGAATATAAAGCATTCTACCATAAAGACACATGTATGTGTATGTTCATTGCAGCACTGTTCACAACAGTAAAGACATGTAATCAACCTAAATGCCCATCAATGGCAGATTGGATAAAGAAAATGTGGTACCTATACACTGTGGAATATTATGCAGCCATAAAAAAGAACAAGATCGTGTCTTTTGAGGGAACATGAATGGAGCTGGAGGCTATCATCCTTAGCAAACTAACACAGGAATAGAAAACCAAATACCACATATTCTCACTTACAAGTGGGAGCTAAATGATAAGAACGTATGAACACAAAGAAGGGAACAGTAGATACTGGGGTCTACTTGAGCGGGGAGGGTGGGAGGAGGGAGAGGAGCAGAAAAGATAACTATTTGGTACAGGACTTAATACCTGGGTGAGGTAAAGATATGTACAACAAACCCCTGTGATAGGTGTTTATCTATCTAACAAAACTTTACATGTTTACATGTACCCCCAAACTTAAAATAAAAATTTTAAAAAGATATTTTCAATTATTCCATTAGTCCCTCAACTTTCTTTGTGGTGGAAGTCTCCCTTCACTACTTACAGACTTACCTTGTGTCTATTCCCACAGTGTTTAACTTTTACCAGTGGCTATATCTGGAAAGTATCGGATAATAAGCTCCACCAATCTGAAAATGATTTAACATATAAGCTCTTATAGAGGGATTGTATTTTACTGAGGGGCTAGTGAAGACTGATAAGTCTTTAAAACCCAAGAAAAATGGGGTTTGTTGCATTTCAGATATTGAATCTGGACTGACAGGAATATATATTGCATTCTGGTTTATCTGGGTGCCTCTCAAATTATACCATGTGGTCAGAAGTCCACTCTGCTATGATATTGAGTAGGGCAAGACATACTTTTAAATACAGGTACAGCCCATTGGTTCTGAAGTTTTAAAATGGGAATAGTGCCTCCTCCTGGCTGCAGTAAGCCAGTGAAAACAAGTGTTGCCTTCTCCAGCTAGGAGGGAACACAAAATTCAGCATGGAGCACTGGCTGTCCAGGATTGCTGAGCCATCCTCCAAGAAAAGAAAAGACAAGGTGTAGTCTGTGGTGAAGATAATAACATTAATGTTCTCTTCAGTGCCATCCGCAAAGATGGTCTATGTCCAGGTGAACTCCTTCACATTCAGTTTTACCGGCACTCTTCTAGAAATTATGTGGTTGGGCAGATCATCACTAACAGTAACCTGATGGGTGAGAAATCTGTAAGACAAAGTGAGATTCTAGGGAGTGAATGTAAATTTTATTTAGAAAGGAGCTAAGTAAATGTCTCTGGGAAGAATAACAATGCATCAAATTATATTCCTCCACAGGGAACTTTGGGTTAAAATATTTTAATAGAATACATAGATTTGCATCAGTCTATCCTTCCAGTGTTTGTGGTAACCTGTTGTGGACAGTGGGAAATTCCAAAGGATTAACCAGCTTTGGGTGAGTTTGTTCTCTGAGAAATATTGATATCTAGCAATTAAAAGTGACTTTGGGCCAGGCACAGTGATTCACACCTGTAATCCTAGCACTTTGGGAGGCTGAGGTGGGTGGATGACTTAAGCCCAGGAGTTCAAGACCAGCCTGGGCAACATAGTGAGACCGTGTCTCTATAGAAAAAATCCAAAAATTAGCCAGGTATGGTGGTGCATTCCTGTAGTCCCAGCTACTCAGGAAGCTAAAGTGGGAGGTCAAGACCTAAGCCCATGGATGTCAAGGCTGCAGTGAGCCATGACTGTGCCACTGCACAGATGTGAGTGAGACAACAGAAGTGAGACCTTGTCTTGAAAATACAAAAAAAAGGGGGGTCGCTTCCAAGATGGCCAAATAAGAACAGCTCTGGTCTACAGCTCCCAGCAAGATCGATGCAGAAGAGAGGTGATTTCTGCATTTCCAACTGAGGTACCTGGTTCATCTCACTGGGACTGGTTGGACAGTGGGTGCAGCCCACGGAGGGTGAGCCGAAGCAGGGCAGGGCATTATCTCACCTGGGAAGGGCAAGGCATTGGGGGATTTCCCTTTCCTAGCCAAGGGAAGCCATAAGTGACTGTACCTGGAGAAGCAGTACACTCTTGCCCAAATACTGCACTTTTCCCACTGTCTTCACAACTGGTAGACCAGGAGATATCCTCCTGTGCCTGGCTTGGTGGGTCCCACACCCACAGAGCCTTGCTCACTGCTAATGCAGCAGTCTGAGATCGACTTAGGATGCGGGAGCTTGGTGGGGGAAGGGGCATCTGCCGTTGCTGAGGCTTGAGTAGGCGGTTCTATGCTCACAGTGTAAACAAAGCAGCAGGGAAGCTCAAACTGGGTGGATCCCACTGCAGCTCAGCAAGGCCTACTGCCTCTATAGATTCCATGTCTTGGGGCAGGGCATATTTGAACAAAAGGCAGCAGACAGCTTCTCCAGACTTAAATGTCCCTGCCTGACTGCTCTGAAGAGAGCAGTGGTTCTCCCAGCATGGCATTTGAGCTCTGATAACGGACAGACTGCCTCCTCAAGTGGGTCCCTGACCCCCGTGTAACTTGACTGGGTGACACCTCCCAGTAGGAGCTGACAGACACCTCATACAGGCAGGTGCCCCTCTGGGACAAAGCTTCCAGAGGAAGGGTCAGGCAACAATATTTTCTGTTCTAAAACCTCTGCTAGTGATTCCCAGGCAAACAGGGTCTGGAGTGGACCTCCAGCAAACTCCAACAGACCTGCAGCTGAGGGGCTTGTCTGTTAGAAGGAAAACTAACAAACAGAAAGGAATAGCATCAACATCAACAAAAAGGACATCCACACCAAAACTCCATCTGTAGGTCACCAGCATCAAAGACCAAAGGTAGATAAAACCACAAAGATGGGGAGAAACCAGAGCAGAAAGGCTGAAAACTCCAAAAACCAGAATGTCTCTTCTCCTCCAAAGGAACACAACTCCTCACCAGCAAGGGAACAAAACTAGATGGAGAATGAGTTTGATGAGTTGACAGAAGTAGGCTTCGGAAGGTTGGTAAAACAAACTTCTCTGAGCTAAAGGAGTATGTTCTAACCCATTGCAAGAAAGCTAAAAACCTTGAAAAAAGGTTAGACGAATGGCTAACTAGAATAACCAGTGTAGAGAAGAGCTTAAATGACCTGATGGAGCTGAAAACCACAGCACAAGAACTTTGTGAAGCATACACAAGCTTCAATAGCTGATTCGATCAAGCAGAAGTGATTGAAGATCAAATTAATCAAATTAATGAAATAAAGTGAGAAGACAAGATTGGAGAAAAAAGAGTGACAAGAAACGAACAAAGCTTCCAAGAAATATGGGACTATGTGAAAAGTCCAAATCTATGTTTGATTGGTGTACCTGAAAGTGATGGGGAGAATGGAACCAAGTAAGAAAATGCTCTTCAGGGTATTATCCAGGTGAACCTCCCCAACCTAGCAAGGCAGGCCAACATTCAAATTCAGGAAATACAGAGAACACCACAAAGATACTCCCTAAGACACATAATTGTCAGATTCACTAAGGTTGAAACGAAGGAAAAAATGTTAAGGGCAGCAAGAGAGAAAGGTCGGGTTACCCACAAAGGGAAGCCCATCAGACTAACAGTGGATCTCTCTGCAGAAACCCTACAAGCCAGAAGAGAGTGGGGGCCAATATTCAACATTCTTAAAGAAAATAATTTTCAACCCAGAATTTCGTATCCAGCCAAACTAAGCTTCATAAGTGAAGGAGAAATAAAATCCTTTATAGACAAGCAAATGCTGAGAGATATTTGTCACCACCATGCCTGCATTATAAGAGCTCCTGAAGGACACTTGGGTGGCTGAGGCAGGAGAATCACTTGAACCCAAGAGGCAGAGGTTGCAGTGAGCCGAGATCATGCCACTGCACTCCAGCCTTGGTGACAGAGTGAGATTCCATCTCAAAAGAAAAGAAAAGAAAAGAAAACAAAAAACAAACAAAAGCAAAATCAAAACCAAAAACAAAAAACAAAACAAGAGCTCCTGAAGGAAGCACCAAACTAGATAGGAAGCATAGGAACAATCGGTACCAGCCACTGCAAAAACATGCCAAATTGTAAAGACCATCAATGCTATGAAGAAACTGCATCAATTAATGGGTGAAATAACCAGCTAGCATCATAATGACAGGATAAAATGCACACAGAACAATATTAACCTTAAATGTAAACGGGCTAAATGCCCCACTGAAAAGACACAGACGGGCAAATTGGATAAAGAGTCAAGACCCAGGCGGGGCGCAGTGGCTAACGCCTGTAATCCCAGCACATTGGGAGGCTGAGGCGGGCAGATCACAAGGTCAGGAGATAGAGACCATCCTGGCTAACATGGTGAAACCCTGTCTCTACTAAAAAAATACAAAAAAAAATTAGCCGGGCATGGTGGCAGGCGCCTGTAGTCCCAGCTACTCAGGAGGCTGAGGCAGGAGAATGGCGTGAACCCGGGAGGTGGAGCTTGCACTGAGCCAAGATTGTGCCACTGCACTCCACTCCAGCCTGGGTGACAGAGCGAGACTCTGTCTCAAAAAAAAAAAAAAAAAAAAAAAAAAAAAAAAGAGTCAAGACCCATCAGTGTGCTGTATTCAGGAGACCCATCTCATGTGCAAAGACACACATAGGCTCAAAATAAAGGGATGGAGGAAGATCTACCAAGTAAATGGAAAGCAAGAAAAAGCAGGGGTTGCAATCCTGGTCTCTGATAAAACAGACTTTAAACCAACAAAGATCAAAAGAGACAAAGAAGGTCATTACATAATGGTAAAGGGATCAATTCAACAAGAAGAGCTAACTATCCTAAATATATATGCACCCAATACAGGAGCACCCACATTCATAAAGCAAGTTCTTAGAGACCTACCAAGAGACTTAGACTCCCACACAATAATAATGGGAGATTTTAGCATCCCACTGTCAATATTAGACAGATAAACGAGACAGAAAATTAACAAGGATATCAAGGAATTGAACTCGGCTCTGGACGAAGTGGACCTAATAGACATCTAGAGAACTTTCCACCCCAAATCAACAGAATAGACATTCTTCGCAGCACCACATAGCACTTATTGTAAAATTGACCATATAATTGGAAGTAAAACACTCCTCAGCAAATGTAAAAGAACAGAAATCACAACAAACTGTCTCTCAGACCATAGTGCAATCAAATTAAAACTCAGGAATAAGAATCTCCTCAAACCACACAACTGCATGGAAACTGAACAACCTGCTCCTGAATGACTACTAGGTAAATAATGAAATGAAGGCAGAAATAAAGATGTTCTTTGAAACCAATGAGAACAAAGGCACAACATACCAGAATCTCTGGGACACATTTAAAGCAGTGTGTAGAGGGAAATTTATAGCACTAAATGCCCACAGTAGAAAGCAGGAGAGATCTAAAATCGACACCCTGACATCACAATTAAAAGAACTAGAGAAGCAAGAGCAAAGAAATTCAAAAGCTAGTAGAAGACAATAAATAACTAAGATCAGAGCAGAACTGAAGGAGACAGAAACACAAAAACACTTCAAAAAAATCAATGAATCCAGGAGCTGGCTTTTTGAAAAGATCAACAAAATAGATACACTGCTAGCAAGACTAACAAAGAAGAAAAGAGAGAAGAATGAAGTAGACACAATAAAAAAGATAAAGGGGATATCGCCACCAATCCCACAGAAATACAAACTACCATTAGAATACTATAAACACCTCTACACAAATAAACTAGAAAATCTAGAAGAAATGGATAAATTCCTGGACACATACACCCTCCCAAGACTAAACCAGGAAGATGTTGAATCTCTGAATAGACAAATAACTGGTTCTGAAATTGAGGCAATTATGAATAGCCTACCAACCAAAAAAAGTCCAGGACCAGATGGATTCACAGCCGAATTCTACCAGAAGTACAAAGAGGAGCTGGTACCATTCCTTCTGAAACTATTCCAATCAATAGAAAAAGAGGGAATCCTCCCTAACTCATTTTATGAGGCCAGCATCATCCTGATACCAAAGCCTGGCAGAGACACAAAAAAGAAAAAAAAGAAAAAAAAGAATTTTAGGCCAATATCCCTGATGAAGATCAATGCGAAAATCCTCAGTAAAATACTGGCACACCGATTCCAGCATCACAACAAAAAGCTTATCCACCGTGATCAAGTGGGCTTCATCCCTGGGATGCAAGGCTGGTACAACATATGCAAATCAATAAACGTAATCCATCACATAAACAGAACCAACGACAAAAACCACATGATTATCTCAATAGATGCAGAAAAGGCCTTCAACAAAATTCAACAGCCTTTCATGCTAAAAACTCTCAATAAACTAGGTATCAGTGGAACGTATCTCAAAATAATATGAGCTATTGATGACAAACCCACAGCCAATATCATACTGAATGGGCAAAAACTGGAAGCATTCCCTCTGAAAACCGGCACAAGACAAGAATGCCCTCTCTCATCACTACTATTCAACATAGTATTGGAAGTTCTGGCCGGGGCAATCAAGCAAGAGAAAGCAATAAAGTGTGTTCAAATAGGAAGAGAGGAAGTCAAATTTTCTCTGTTTGCAGATGACATGATTGCATATTTAGAAAACCCCATCATCTAAGCCCAAAATCTTCTTAAGCTGATAAGGAGATCAGCAAAGAGATCTGAGATCCTGAGAACTTCAGCAAAGTTTCAGGATTCAAAATCAATGTGCAAAAATCACAAGCATTCCTATACACCAATAACAGAAAAACAGAGAGCCAAATCGTGAGTGAGCTCCCATTTACAATTGCTACTAAGAGAATAAAATACCTAGGAATCCAACTTACAAGGGATGTGAAGGACCTTTTCAAGGAGAACTACAAACCACCGCTCAAGGAAATAAGAGAGGACACAAACAAATGAAAAAACATTCCATGCTCATGGATAGGAAGAATCAATATCGTGAAAATGGCCTTACTGCCTGAAGTAACTTGTAGATTCAATGTTATCCCCATCAAGCTACCACTGCCTTTCTTCACAGAATTGGAAAAAAACTACTTTAAACTTCATATGTAACCAAAAAGAGCCCACATAGCCAAGACAATCCTGGGCAAGAAAAACAAAGCTGGAGGCATCACGCTACCTGGCTTCAAACTTTACTACAAGGCTACAGTAACCAAAACAGCATGGGACTGGTGCCAAAACAGGTATATAAACCAATGGAACAGAACGGAGGCCTCAGAAATAACACCACACATCTACCACCATCTGATCTTTGACAAAACTGACACACACAAGCAGTGGGGAAAAGATTCCCTATTTAATAAATGGTGTTGGGAAAATTGGCTAGCCTTATACAGAAAACTGAAACTGGACCCCTTCCTTACACCTTATACAAAAATCAACTCAAGATGGATCAAAGACTTAAATGTAAGACCTAGAGCCATAAAAATCCTAGAAGAAAACCTGAGCAATACCATTCAGGACACAGGCATGGGCAAAGACTTCATGTCTAAAACACCAAAAGCAACGGCAACAAAAGCCATAATTGACAAATGGGATCTAATTAAACTAAAGAGCTTCTGCACAGCAAAAGAAACTACCATCAGAGTGAACAGGCAACCTACAGAATGGGAGAACATTTTTGCAATCCATCCATCTGACAAAGGGCTAATATCCAGAATCTACAAAGAACTTAAACAAATTTACAAGAAAAAAGCAAACAACCCCATCAAAAATGGGCAAAGGATATGAACAGACACTTCTCAAAAGAAGACATTTATGCAGCCAACAGACTTATGAAAAAATGCTCATCATCACTGGTCATTAGAGAAATGCAAATCAAAACCAAATGAGATACCATCTCATGCCAGTTAGAATGGTGATCATTAAAAAGTCAGGAAACAACAGATGCTGGAGAGGTTGTGGAAAAATAGGAACACTTTTACACTGTTGGTGGGAGTGTAAATTAGTTCAACCATTGTGGAAGACAGTATGGTGATCAAGGATCTAGAACTAGAAATACCATTTGACCCAGCAATCCCATTACTGGGCATATACCCAAAGGATTATAAATCATTCTACACTAAAGATACATGCACACATATGTTTATTGCAGCACTATTCACAATAGCAAAGACTTGGAAACAACCCAAATATCCATCAATGATAGACTGGATTAAGAAAATGTGGCACATATACACCATGGAATAGTATGCAGCCATAAAAAAGGATGAGTTCATGTCCTTTGTGGGGACATGGACGAAGCTTGAAACCATCATTCTCAGCAAACTATCACAAGATCAGAAAACCAAACACTGCATGTTCTCACTTATAAGTGGGGGTTGAACAATGAGAACACATGGACACAAGGAGGGGAACATCACACACTGGGGCCTGTGGGGGGTGGGGGGTTAGCGGAGGGAAAACATTAGGAGAAATACCTAATGTAGGTGACGGGTTGATGGGTGCAGCAAACCACCATGGCATGTGTATACCTATGTAACAATTCTGCATGTTCTGCACATGTAACCCAGAACTTAAAGTTTAATAATAATAAAAAAAGAAAAAACAAAAAAGTGACAGTATAAAGGTAAATGTTACTAATGTAGTCAAGTAGAAAGACCTATTACATTACAAAATGAGAGGACAAAAATGATCATATTAAGACTCGTGTGATTGCAACAGTGTCTGTGGGAGTGTATGGCTATCCTTCTTTATATTAACTAATTAAGAAAGAATTTACATTAAATTATATGAGTTTTTCTTTTTGAGATAGGATCTTATTCTGTCACCCAGGCTGAAGTGCAATGGCACGATCGTGGCTCACTGCACTCTCAGCCTCCCGGGCCCAAGTGGTTGTCCCATCTCAGCTTCCTGAGTAGCTGGGACCACAGGCATGTCAAATCATGCCTGGTTAATTTTTCTAAATTTATTTTTTTGTAGAGATTTTCTCCCTATGTTACCCAGGCTGGTCTCAAACTCTTGAGCTCAAGTGATTCTCTCCCCTTGGTTTTCCAAAGGGCTGGGATTACAGGCATAAGTCACTGCACCTGGCCAAATTATGTAAGTTTTTCTTGATGAATTATGTATTAGTCCATTTTCACACTGCTATAGAGAACCACCTGAGACTGGGTAATTTATAAAGAAAAGAAGTTTAATTGACTCACAGTTCCACATGGCTGGGAAGGCCTCAGGAAACTTACAATCTGGCAAAAGGCAAAGGGAAAGCAAGACGTGTCTTACATGGTGGCAGGAGAGAGAGAGAGAGGAAGGAACTACCAAACACTTTTAAACCATCAGATCTCATGAGAACTCACCCACTGTCGTGAGAATAGCATGGCAGAAACTGCCCACATGATCCAATCGCCTCCCACTACGTCCTTCCCTGGACACCTGCAGATTTGAGATGAGATTTGGGTGGGGACACAGAGCCAAACCATATCAAATTAGTTAAGTGAAAATTTACTGAGTGCTAAGTGCATGATAGGTGTTGAGGTTACGGAGGTGTTTATCTCTCGGAGTTACAATATAGTAATAAGTATCATGATGGGAGATATAAAGTTGTGTGTGCGTCCATCTTTTGTGCCAACAACCAAAAATAAATAATAGCCAAGGGGGAACAAAGGTAGTACAATGTACATAAAGTGGGAACAATCGAAGATGCTGTGACATTTTAGGGACTGAATTTCTCCCTCCTGTGCTTACTGAGTACCATCTCCCAGAGGTAAATAAGAAGAGGTGGTGCACATCTCCTCCACACAGTACTGATTTGATCAAGGTTCTTGTAATGCTTTTAAAACTGGAACTCTGTAAGGTACCCATCAGGCTTAAAATTTGCATTCTGGCCAGGTGACTTGGCTCATGCCTGTAATCCCAGCACTTTGGGAGGCCGAGGTGGGCAGATCACTTAAGGCCAGGAGTTCGAGACTAGCCTGACCAACATGACGAAACCCTGTCTCTACTAAAAATAAAAAAATTAGTTGGGCATGGTGGCTTATGCCTGTAATCCCAGATACTCGGGAGGCTGAGGCACAAGAATCATTTGAACCCAGAAGTCAGAGGTTGCAGTGAACCGAGATTACCCCGTTGCGCTCCAGCCTGGGAAGCGGAGGGAAACTCTGTCTCCCCCTACCAAAATAAATTTACATTCTATGTCTGGTTGTTTAACCTACCCCAATTGTGAAGTTTAAATTAAATCCTACACCATATCCATGCTGTGGTTTGCAGAATAAATAGCATAGTTAAATTTGGCATTTAATTTAATTTTCTGAGAAGTAGTTGATCAAGAAATGGGAAGGAAGTCAGACTACTCTTAAAGTGAGTGAAGACAGCAATATCTGTGGGTGACCTCTTATCTCAGATTCTGTTCCATATCCATGCACTCTACCTTGTGCTAAGGAACACCTGGAAAAGAGAAAAAAATACAAAACAATCATTTCACTTTGCTGATCTGTATTTTACTAGCTCAGAAATGTTTAATTGAGTAATGGATTATTTTATCTGTTTTTGTCATTTTTACCTCCTACATCCTCTCTAACACTTTAGAAATTTGCTTAAAATTCTCTTTTTTCTCTGTCTCTCTTTGCAGAAGTCTCAACTTAGAAGTATGCAAAATATTTACATTTCCTAATGTCTCGCCAAGCACCAAAGTAAATGGCTTTATTGGAGGCTAATTATCTTTAATAAAATAGGTTTGAAGTATTTAAATATGAATGGCCTAGTTGGATGAGGCCACTATTCCTTAGTAATGCCTAGAAGTCTAGGCTCTAAGTGAGCTGTGAATTGTGTAAAACATTGAAGGATTGTTTGCATCTAGGAACAGAATGTTTAAATTAATTAATGATTAATATTTCAGAGTACATATTCTGGGTCATACCCTGAACAGGTGTTATGAATGCAAAAGTGAATAAAAATTGTTCCTTATTGTACTCAGCTCATGGTCTAGGGGAAGAGGCATGGGTACCAAACCAGCTTAGTAATGTAGTACAGTTCACATGCAATATCTGCTCCGGAATTCCCAATGCTGAGTACAATTCTATTTAAAAACATTTGTACAAATTTATGGGGTACATGTGCAGTTTTGTTACATGCATGGATTGTGTAGTGGCCACATCAGGGATTTTACAGTATTCATCACTCAGTTAACGCACATGGTACCTATTAACTAATTATTAACTAATTTCTCAACAAATACACCCCTTCATGCCCTCACCCTTCCAAGTATGCATTGTCTATCATTCCAATCTCTACATCTATTTTTACACAGTTTTCAGCACCCAATTATGAGTGAGAACATGTGAAAGTTGACTTTCTGTGCTTGGTTTGTTTCACTTAAAATAATGACCTCCAGTTTCATCCATTTTGCTGCAAAATCATGATTTCATTCTTTTTAATGGCTGAATAGTATTCCATTGTACATCTATACCCGACTTTCTTTATGCATTCATCTGTTGATGGACACTTAGGTTGATTCCATGTCTTTGCTATTGTGAACAGTGCTGTGATAAACAAACCAGTGCAGATATGTTTTTGGTACATTGATTTCTTTTCCTTTTGGTAGACACCCAGTAGTGAGATTTCTGGACTGAATTGTTGTATCTTTAGTTCCTTGAGAAATTGTCACACTTTTTTCATAGGTGGTACTAATTTGCATTCCCACCAATAGTGTATAAGCATCCTCTTTTCTCTGCATCCTTGCCAACATGTTGTTTATTTATTTTTAATAATAGACATTCTGATTGGAGCAAGGTGATATTACATTGTGGTTTTAATTTGCATTTCTATGATGATTAGTGATGTCGAACATTTTTCATATACTTCTTGGCCATTGGTCTGTCTTCCTTTTAAAAATGTCTACTCATATACCTTACCCACTTTTACTTGGAATTGTTTCTGTTGTTGAGTTCCTTGTATATTGTGGATATTAGTTCCCTGTCAGATCAATAGTTTGTGAATATTTTCTTCCATTCTCAGGTTGGTTTTTTTACTCTGTTGATTATTTCTTTTGCTGCGCAGAAGCTTTTCAGTTTAATAAAATCTCATTTGTCTATTTTCGTTTTTTGCATATGCTTTTGAGGTCTTAGTCCTAAATTCTTTGCCTAGGCCAATGTCCAGAAAAGTTTTTCCTAGGATTTTTTTCTGATATTTTTCATAGTTGGAGTTTTTGTTTTGTTTTGCTTTGTTTTCTTGAGATAGTGTCTCTCTCTGTTACCCAGGCTGGAGTGCAGTGGGGGTGATCGTAACTCACTGCAACTTTGAATTCCTGGGCTCAAGTGGCCCTTTACCTCAGCCTCCCAAGTAACTAGGACTACAGGCATGCACTAACACACCTTGCTAGCTTTTTTTTTTTTTAGAAACAGGTCTATGTCGCCCAGGCTGGTCTCAAACTCCTGGCCTCAAGTGATCCTCTTGCCTTGGTCTCTCCAATGTCTGTCTTTAATCCATCTTGAGTTGATTTTGTATATGGTGAGAGATAGGGGCCCAGTTTTTTACTGTTTCATATGGCAATCTAATTGTTCGAGCACCTTTTATTGAAAAAGTTGGCCTTTCTCCAAAGTATGTTCTTGTTGGCTTGTCAAAGATCAGCTGGCTGTAAATGTGTGGCTT
The DNA here is from genome assembly GCF_000001405.40 of Homo sapiens. NCBI lineage: Eukaryota > Metazoa > Chordata > Mammalia > Primates > Hominidae > Homo > Homo sapiens. The sequence goes on along the minus strand of NC_000001.11, from coordinate 166,774,526 downwards.
TATTTCTGAGTCCTTCATTCTGTTCCATTGATGTATGCATCCGTTTTTATACCAGTACCATGCTGTTTCAGTTACTATAGCTTTGTAATAGAATTTAAAGTCAGGTAACATGATGCTTCCAGCTTTGTTCTTTTTGTTTAAGATTGCATTGGCTATTTGTGCTCTTTTTGGTTCCACACGAATTTAAGAATTGTTTTTTTTTTTCTAGTTCCGTGAAAAATGATGTTGATATTTTGATAGGGATTGCATTAAATCTGTCAATTGCTTTGGGCAATATGGCCATTTTAATGATATTAATTCCTCTGATCTATAAGCATGGAATGTTTTTCCATTTGTTTTTGTTATCCACAATTTATTTCATCAGTGTTTTGTAGTTTTCTTTGTAGAGATCTTTCTTTCACCTTCTTGGTAAAATCTATTGGGTATTTTTTTGTAGTTATTTTAAATGGAATTGTCTTTTTGATTTCTTTCTTACATAGATAATTATTGGTGTATAGAAATACTACTAATTTTTGTACATTGATTTTGTATCTTGCAACTTTAATTCATGATCAAATCTTTTTGGTGGAGTCTTAGGTTTCTCTAGATATAAAGTCACATCATCAGCAAACAGGGATAATTTGACTTCCTCTTTACCAATTTGGATGCCTTTTATTTCCTTCTCTTGCCTAATTGCTCTGGCTAGAACTTCCAGTATAATGTTGACTAGAAGTGTAATGTGGGCATCCTTGTCTTGTTCCAGTCTTGGAGGAAAGGCTTAACTTTTCTGTATTCAGTATGATGCTAACTGTGGGTTTGTCATATATATTTTGAGATGCGGTTCTTCTATGTCTATTTTGATGCTAAGTTTTATCAAATGTTTTTTCTGCATCTATGAGAAGATCATATGGTTTATTGTCCTTGATTGTTTATGTGATATAACACATTTATTGACTTGCATATGTTGAACCATCCATGCATTGATTTTTAAAAATTTGCTGAGACTTGTTTTGTAGCCAAACATGTGGTCTATCTTGGAGAATGACTCATGAACTGATTGTTGAAAAGTATGCATATTCTGCAGTTGTTCAGTAGAATGTTTTGTAAATGCCTCTTAAATTCATTTGGTCTAAATTACAGTTTAAATTCAATGTTTTTGTTAATTTTCTGTCTAAATGACCTGCCTAATGTGAGTGGGGTATTGAAGTCCTCTACTATTATTGTGTTGCTCGCTATCTCTCTCTTTAGGTCTTATAAGATTTGTTTTATGAATCTGGGTTCTCCAATATTGGGTGCATATAATTTAGAATTGTTCCATACTCTTGATAGATTGATCCCTTTATCATTCTATAATCACCTTCTTTGTCTTTTTTTTCATTACTGTTTTTGACTTGAAGTCTGTTTTATCTGGTATAAACGTAGGTGCTCCTGCTCGCTTTTAGTTTCTGCATTCCTGATATGAAACCTACTTGATCATGATACATTATCTTTTTGATGTGCTTTTAATTTAGTTTGCGGCTATTTTGTTGAGGATTTTTGCATCTATGTTCATCAGAGACATTGGCCTGTGGTTTTCCTTTTTTGTTTTGTCCTTGTCTGGTTTTAGTATCAGGGAGATAATGGCATCATAGAATGAGTAAGGGAGAATTCCCTTCTCCTCAGTTTTGTGGAACAATTACCCAATGATTGGTATTAGTTCTTCTTTGTATGTTTGGAAGAATTTGGCTTTGAATCCATCTGGCCCTGGGCTTTTCTTTCTTGGTATTTTTTTTTATTATTACTAATTGAATCTCACTATTTGTTATTGATCTGTTCAGGTTTTCTATTTCTTCCTGGTTCAATCTTGGGAGGTTGTATGTTTCCAGAAATTTATCCATTTCCTCTTGGTTTTCCAGTTTGTTAACATATAGTTGTTCTTAATAGTCTCTGATGATCTTTTGTATTTCTGTGGTATCAGTTGTACTGTGTCATTTTTCATTTTTGATATTATTTATTTGGGTCTTCTCTCTTCTTGGTTAGTCTAGCTAGTGGCTTATCAATTTTGTTTATCTTTTTCAAAAGCCATTTTTTTCATTTCATTTATGCTTTGTGCTTTTAGTCTCCATTTAATTCTGCTCTGATCTTTATTTCTTTTCTTCTACTAAGTTAACATTTAGTTGACTCCTGCTCTTCTTGTTCCTTGAAGTACATTGTTAATTGTTAATTTGTAATATTTCTACATTTTTATTGTAAGCATTTAATGCTATGAACTTTCCTGTTAGCACTGCTTTTGCAGTATCTCACAGGTTTTGGTAATTTCATCATTGACCTAATGGTTGTTCAGCAGCATGTTGTTTAATTTTCATGCATCTATATAGTTTCCAAAGTTTCTCTTAGTATTAATTTCCAGCTTTATTTCCCTGTAGGCTTAGAAGACATTTCATACATTTTTGATTTTTAAAAATTTGTTGAGACTTATTTTGTAGCCAAATGTGGTCTATCTTGGAGAATGCCTCATGTACTGACTGTCAAAAGGTATGTATATTCTGCAGTTGTTCAGTAGAAAGTTCTGTAAATGCTTAAATTCATTTGGTCTAAATTACAATTTAAGTTCAATGTTTTTGTCAATTTTCTCTCTAAAAGACCCACCTAATGTTGTGAGTGGGGTATTGAAGTCCCCTACTATTATTGTATTGCTCTGTCTCTCTCTCTTTAGGTCTTGTAAGATTTGTTTTATGAACCTGGGTTCTCCAGTGTTGGGTGCATTTAATTTAGAATTGTTCTATACTCTTGATGGATTGATCCCTTTATCATTCTATAATCACCTCCTTTGTCTTCTTTTAAAATTACTGTTTTTGACTTAAAGTCTGTTTTATCTGATATAAATGTAGGTGCTCCTGCTTCCTTTTAGTTTCTGTTTGCATGGAATATCTTTTCCACTCCTTTACTTTCAGCCTGTGTCTTTACAGGTAAAGTGAGTTTCTTGTAAGCAGCATATAGTTGATCATTTAAAAAAAAACATTCAGCCAATCTGTATCTTTTAAGTGGAGCATTTAATCTATTTATATCCAAGGTTAATATTGACATGTGGGATTTTGTTCCTGTCATATGGTTAATGGTTTTCTAGCTGTTTCTTTCTTTTTCTCCAATTGTCGTTTTTATTTGGTGGAATTCTGTGATGGTGCCATTTGATTCCTTTGTCTTCCTCCATTGTGTGATTGCTTTATCAGTGAGTTTTCTACTTTTGTGTGTTTTCATGAGGTTAATGTCATCCTTTCACTTCCAAGTTTAGGACTCCCTTGAGTATTTCTTCAACAGCCTGTCTAGTCGTGATGAATTTGCTTGTCTGTGAAATACTTTATTTCTCCTTCATTTATGAAGGTTAATCTTGCTGAATATAGAATTCTTGGCTGCCCACTTTTTTTCTTTCAGCACTTGAAAATATTATCCCATTCTCTTCTAGCCTGTAGCTTCTCTGCTGAGAAGTCCACTTTTAGTCTGATGGAGTTTCCTTTACAGATGACGAGAATGTTTTCTCTTGCTGTTTTATAATTCACTTTTTCTCTTGACTATAGACAGCTTAGCAATGTACTGGGCAGGTGAGCTACCTCTGGAGCCCTTGGGCAGATGGATTGGCATGGGCAATGGCAGTAGCACTGTTGAGATGCTCTTCTGGTTCCCAAGGGCTGTGTGCTTATGTTGGCAGTGGGTACAATGAGTTGTGTAGGCCAGCCTTCAGGCCAGCAGGAGGTGTTTGCAGATAGGAGCCAGAGGAGGTGGTAGTAGGGTGTTTATGCCCAACCTCAGTGTCCCAGGAGGAGTGCTAGGGTGTCTCAGGTGGTGGATTGGGTTGTCTAATCCCCAGGACCCTGGATCCTACACTCTGTGTCAGAGGGGAGGGGGCCGAAGCCAGGCAGAGATGGACTGAGTAAGCTTGCACTGAGGTCTCCCAGTGGCAAGTGCATGCACTGGCCATGATGGGTAGGGGTGTGGTGATCATCAAGCTCCTGGCAGAATGCTTGGGTGAGGTGCAGTCCCTGCTGTGCTGAGGTCCTGCCATGAAGGGGAGGGAGGCTAGCTCTAAGGGCTGCAGGCTTGGCCAGTGGTTGGGGGACTTATGCCTCTCTCACACCACAGTCCCAGAGGGGCTAGCTACCCAGTCCTGCCTGTCACAGCCGATGCATAAGACCTGTGTTGGCAGTTTGTGCCTAGCCTGCAACTCAGCCCAGAGCTATATGAACCCCAAGCTGGCTCAACACCAAGCCTCTGTTGCAATTCTTGTCCTGCTCAAAACCTGAAGTCTGTGTTTGCTTCTAGCACTGGTAGCTGCAGTCCATGCCACACTGACTTCTCAGTTCTGGTAGCAGAAGCCTACCTCCTGCTCATGCCCTAGTTCTGCAAGCAGCAGCCTGAGTTTCCTTAATTCCCAGGACCGGCACCATTGGTTCCCAGGACAGTGCACAGTCTGTTTTAAGCTAGGATTGAGAATGGCATCTTACTGTATCTGCTTAGGTTACAGAAAAAGTGTGGGACTCAGAGTTCCCTCTGTGGAGCCATTTCTTCTCACGGTCTCTTGGCTGCTCTCTAAGTTAGATTCAGATCTTGGGAAGGTCATGGTGGTCTCCCATGGCCTGGATTGTATGATTCATCCAGTGGAAAATGGTTCAGTGAAAATGGACTGCAGAAAGACTCTCATCCACCCTCTCTTATACTGGGGATCACTCCTGGTTCCCAGCTGATTCCAGCCAAGCAGGCTGTCTGTTTTCTTTATCCTTTCTAGTTTTAGGTGTGTCTTGTAACTTTTTTTGTTGAACTTTCGTGTTCCCTTTTGAATAATATATTCAAAGTGAGATTGTCTACACACTCTTTGGAGTTTTCTAATGAATGAGGCATGATTGAGATGCTTCTAGTCAGCCATCTTGAAGAAACCCAATTATTTTCTCTACAAAATATTTGGGTGCTCTTTAGTCACAACTTGGAAATACAGACTGCTGAACTTTTTGATACTTGTGTGAAGAGAGAAGAATTGCTCATATTCAGGAATCTATAGGAATTGAAATAAAAGCATACAATAGCAAATATAAATAATGCTTACATATTGTAGGTATGGTAGGTCATAGGTACAGTAGGTACAGGCTTACTTAGAGTAACTCATTTAATCTTAACAACTAACTGTGATTTGCACACAATTATTTACATTGCAGGAGAGAAATCTTGTGTGGAAAATTTTTATAACTTATTTAGGGTTACCCAGCTAGTAAGGAGTGGACCAGCAGTTTGAACCCAGATAGCTGGGACTGGGGCATCCATGCTCTTACCTTCCATGCTTGAAGACTCCTTTGACAGTCATTGTGGAAAATTTTTCCTTAACTAAAAGTACATTTTATTTAAACATTTGGTTAAATGTCTCATAGCTCAAGCAGTAGGATGTGGAGGTATAAGCATAGCATCACCATGTCAAGGCCAAGGCTTAGCAATCTCATGGCTAAGTTCTAGTCGAGGCAAAGAAAAAGGAAAAAATCCTCTTTCTTTCTTTGAAAAACAAATTTTACCTTGAAAATCTGTCTTCCTAATACTATATTTAATGGTCAAAAACAGCAAAGCTCAAGGTTACTATTCCTGATCACCTTAGGGTGCTGGGGCCTATTTTTCAGTTTACCCTATGAGTTAGGTTTTGTAATTTTACAACTAAAGCAAATTCTTCAAACAGGAAGGTTTTCTATGGCTTTAATCACACCATTTCTTTCAAATCAGTTGAAAAAGAAGAAAAGATACTTCTTTCCACAAACATACACTTAGAGTACATTCAGGAATAATGTACCATGAATCTCCAGAAATAGTCTTTCAGATGACCTATTTTGGAAGAACTGCAGTAGCAAAAAGCAGTCAGTGTACTGCTTGCTGCACACCATAACCGCATCAAAGATGAGGGCTTCCTAGGCCAGGCTCAGTGGCTCACGCCAGTAATCCCAGCACTTTGGGAGGCTGAAGCAGGTGGATTACTTAAGGTCAGGAGTTTGAAGCCAGCTTGACCAACATGGTGAAGCCCTGTCTCTATTAAATACTATGAGTGGTGGTGCCTGCCTGTAATCCCAGCTACTTGGGAGGCAGAGGCAGGAGAATTGCTTGAATCTGGGAGGCGGAGGTTGCAGCAAGCCGAGATTGTGCCATTGCACTCCAGCCTGGTCAATAAGAGCGAAACTCTGTCTCAAAAAAAAAAAAAAAAGTTGAGGGCTTCCTGCCTCCCTCAGTCTCTACCACTACTGGTTGGTGAAAGATAAGTCATAATCTTTTTTCACAATACACACCTTCAACTGGGAACAAAGAGACAACCTTAATCTTTGACCACTATTTTTACACTTCCATCTTTTTTCCAGAATTTGAAGAACAGATGATTTATTCTTCTTACCTGGGGTAGGATCTAGTGCCTAATTTTCTATTAAAAGTCTTCAGGAATTTTCTCATGAGACTTTTAGTGCTGCCTGCTCTACTGAAAATAGGCTGTGGTTATGACTGTATAGGACAGCAAATGCACCTGATTTACTAAACTCCTAGACTTCTATACGTGTAACCAAGTGTAACTAAGAAACTCGAATTGAAAACCATGTCCACAGTGCTCTAAATGCATGATTCTGCCCTTTCTCCTAAGAGGCGCACGGTAAAACTAAACAATATCAACAATGTGTGAAAATTGTGGTGATCCCTGCAGTGAGAAAAAACATTGCTTTGATAGTCATGAACTCTACTGACTCTTCAGTGAACAGTGTCATTATGCTACACCCGATCTTTTCTTATCAGAAATTTGATGTATTTTTTAAGGTTGAAATGCCTGGCATACATCCTGACATACTTTATAACTTTAGAATTATGCAAATATTTGGGACAATGATCAGGAGCAGGATAGTCATTATAGTTTCTAATTTGCTTAGAGGCATTGCAGATGGCAGATTTGTACACACTTGGCTTTCAGCCTTCAGGATTCCCCTGCAGGGCATAAAGACACCTGAACTGAACAACACGAGGCTTCCAGGTGTAATAATTTGTTGAAAGTAGAAAGCAGTTGATTCTTCATTATCTGCAATAATGAAGAAGGCCAAATATTGAAGATAAATAATGTCTTCAATGAATTTAAGGCTTTGATCCTACTTTATCATGAAGAAGAACATACTTTGGGTTTCAGATGCTGAATCTGAGGAGGAACAAAGGCATCACAGGCAAAGATACATCTCTACTTTCTAAGCAATCTAAGAGATTGCTGGCAATCTCTTTACAAGAAGTGTGGGTCCTGTTATGGGTCGAATTTTGTTCCCTATAAATTCGTATGTTGAAGTCCAAGCCACAGTACCTCAGAATGTGACCTTATATGGAAACAGGGTCTTTACAGATGTATTAATACAATTAGTTAAGATGAGGTCATAATGGAGTAAGGTGAGCCTTGTCTAATATGACTGATGTCATTATAAAAAGGAGAAATGTGGTGATAGACACAAACACAGGGAAAACTCCATGTGAAGATTGGGACAGAGATAGGAGTGATGTTTCTACAAGCCAAGGAATACCAAAGACTGCCAGCAAACAAGCAGAAGATAAGAGAGAGGCATGGAACAGATTCTTCCTCACAAATTTCACATGGAACTAATCCTGTCAACACCTTAATCTTGGACTTCTAGCTTCCAGAACTGTGAGACAATAGATTTCTGCTGTTTAAACCACCCAGTTTGTGGTACTTTGTTATAGCAATCTTACAAAACTTATTACTATTAAAAAAGTCTATGCCACAAACTATTTTATTTGATCCTTACAACACATATAATACAGATATAATTATTATCTCCATTTTAATTTGAGAAACTGTGGTTTGGAAATGTTAAACCGGTAAGTCATATATCAATTAAGTAGGGAGTTAATGCTTGAACCTAGGTTTTCTATATCCAATGTCTAGATTTTTTTTCATGATATGATGGGGTCTAAAAGAAAAAAATACAAACATTTACATTTTATAAAGGGTAGAATAATTCCTTTAAAATAAGACCCATACAATAAATCACACAGCTATCAAAAATAAATCTTACAGCTATTAAAAATGTGATATTGAAGAGGAAAAAGTGGAGGATAGGCTAGTGAAAATTCCTTGGGTTTCCTTTGAGGGGAAGAAGGTGCAAAGATAAATTGAGAAATAAAAGCTAGAGTAGAAACAAATAACAATGGTGGAGAATCAAAAAACAATGCAACAATTACATTGTGAACCCACCAAGGTATAAAACATTTACCTTTGTGAACAATAAATTAATATGTAAAGAAGAAGACGTTATGATTTAACAAAAGTAGAATAACAAATAAACTTTTAACATTGTACATTATTATTTCCAAGTCTAGTCTCTCCTTTGAATAGAATTTATGGCTCATTGCACATTAAATGACACTGAAATGGCTTAGGAAATCTTTGAATGTGTGTGAGTTTTGCCTTACTACAAACAAGAGCAGACTTTCAGGGGTCTGTCTAGAAATATTTGTATGTGAAAAGATCCCTGTTGGTAGGGAGTGGTCACATAAACCCAAAGGCCTGAATATTCAAAGCCTAGGAAGCCCTATCCAGATCCCACCTCCCAGCAGAGCTGCTAAAATATTTCCATGGCTATAATATTGAGCCAGTTTCCTGGGCCTCGAATGTTGCCCATCAATCAAACTTTCTCTAGACCATTTTTATTCCACTCTGCAAATGGCTATTTCATACATTCTCTGTCTTCCAAACTCTGCATCTCCTTCCTCATGCTTACCTTTAGCTCACTACCTTGCTTCCTATGTTGCCAAAAATGGAAACAATCAGAAGAGAACTTCCAAAAGCTCTCGCCATCTCGTCTACTCAGCTAGCTGCATCTGTGCCCATATATTTCACTCTTCTGTTACTAAGGTTCCTAACCAAAGCCAATGTCTTCATCTGAGTCATAGATCACACTTTTTCTCACCTATTTAAGGACATCACATCGGCAATTCTATCCCCCTCCCCAACTTGCATTATCAACTTTCCCCTTTCTTTTTAAATTTAATTTAATTTTTAAAATTTCCAGCTTATCTTTCCCCTTTCAATGAGATCATTCTTATCAACATAAAAACATGCTGTCATTTTTCTCATCTTAGAAAAAACTCTTACCTCCACTTCTCCCTGAATCTTCAGCCTCTACCTACCTCATTTTACAGTAAAACTTCTTTAAAGGATTGTCTATACTTGCTGTCTCTATTTTCTCATCTCTCTTTATCTCTTGAATCTATTCTAATCAGGTTTTTACCCCACAACTTTATGAAATTGCTCTTTCTGAGGTCAGTGACCTCCAAGCTAGCTGCTGATCCTATGGGATTTTGTAAATCCTCGTCTTAATTGACATATCTGCAGTTTTCCCCTAGATGATGACTCCTTTCTTTTGGCTTCCAGGACACTCCACTTGCCTGGTTTTCCTTTTCTCTTTCTCATTGCACTTCCTGAGTTTCTTTATGGTTCGTCTTCATCTTGGAGACCTCTAAATGTTGCAGTTCTCCAGGACTCTTTCCTTGGTCTCTTCTAACTACACCCACTCCTTGGGCAATCTCATCTGCTTTTACAACTTTACATAACATTTATACTCTGACGTCTTTAAATTTTTATCTCTATCTGGGAGCTCCCCTTTGAACTCCATAAATATGTCTTCAATTGCCTACTTAAAATTTTCACTTGGTTTTATTTTGGTTCTCTCAGAAGCAGACCCTAAAACAAGGATTTAATGCCAATACCTATTCTTTTTTTTTTTTTTTCTTGGAAGATAGAAGATATCTCAGTAGGTGAGTGGGAGAGCAAGACAAGGAATGAAAGACCAAAGGAATGCATTATCAAATCAGCTACTTGGGGCTGACTGGGGCTTCATTCTGTGGGGAAACTCAAGGAAATGCTGTAGAACACAGACCTCAGAGTTAAACTCCTCAGGGAGGATGGAATAATCATATACGCCAAATCCTGTCGGTTGCTGTTTGAAGCTTGATCCCAGGCTCCCAGGCATTTTTGGTTTATTCCTGTGAGCAGAGTAGCTTTGAGGAAAGCCCACAGGCAAGTGATGCAAATTCTGGCAATTGGAAGTGGGCAGCACATGCTGAAGAGGTCCAGGCTAGAGAATAAGGGCAGGGTGCAGACAGAATCACCATGGCATCCCAAATTCCTCCTTCCTCTCGCCCTACCAAACAAACCAATTTCTCCTGCAGTCTTCTCTATCTTGCAGGATCTGTCCTTAGGATGTATCCACAATCCAGTCACTTCTCACCAGTCTACTACCACTAGCGAGATCCAAGCCACCATCATCTCTTGCCCAGGTTGTTGCAAACGCCTCCGAACTTATCTCCCCAGTTTTGCCTTTATCCATCGTCATATATTTTCAGCACAGCAGTCACAGAAATCCTTTTGAATTATGTCTCTGGTTTGCTCACAATGTTCCAGTGGCTTCCCATCTGGCTGTTTGCTCCTTCTCTGATATCATCTATTGTTTGCCCCACCATTTCCTCCTCTCCAGCTCCACTGACCTCTTTGCTGTCCCTCAAGCATACTAGCCATCCTTCTGTATGTTGTTCAAATTGCTTCAGTTCTCTCCCTGCAGACATCTGCATGCCCATTCCTTCCTCCTGGTTTTTACTGAAAAATCACCTTCTTGTGAGGCTTTTCTGGCTACCTAATCATTAAATCCTACACTGCACCACATTTTATATCCCTCTTGTGGACTTTATTTTTTCTTCCTAACAACTATCATCATCTAATATACAACACATTTTATGTATTAATATTTATCTTATCTTGTTTATTGCTTATCTCTTTTATGAGGGCAGATATTTTTGTCTGTTTTGTTTACAGTTATAACATATATGTTATATTACATACTTTGTTTACTGTAAACTCCTATATATATGTTACAATATGTTATATATATAAGTGCCTGACATAGGAGAAGATTGGTAAGCATTTGTTGAAAGCATGGTAGTAGCTTGTTTGAGAAATAAGAATGTCCAGTGCTGCTATTAGGGTAGAGTGGGTGAACCACAGGTGTGGCTTTCCCAGGTGAGAGATTTGGAAGTCACCCAAACTTACCTCATATATTCAGATTCCTCCAATGCTACTTTTTCTTCAAAGCAAATGGGCTGAAGTCTTTCCTCCAGACAGCGCTTAGTGGCAGCCAGTCCACTGACCCCAACTCCAATCTCTGCAATGCTTTTCACTTTCATGGTCTTTTGTTTCAGAAGATCAATTGCTCCTATGGGGATAAAAATCAGATTCCATTGTCAGGTAGCTTAGTTGGGACATCAGCATTTCCTAAGTGGTGGTAAGTTTTATTAACTTCAGCTTATATAAACTCTTCTCCTAACATCATCTTCTCAACGAACTGAAAGGGATAAAGATTTTGTACAGATCTATTGCAATCTTAGGAAGATGCTTAAATTTTACCTTGCTAAAAGAAAAATCTTGTAAGAATTTTCAATTTTTTTTTGTAGAAATGATTCAGATTTAGAAATTATTGTCAAGAATTGAATGTTTATAGAATGAATGAGTGGCATGGATGAATCTTACCTGTTGGTGCTAACTAGTTAGAAAATACATCCTCAGGACTTTATCAACTCATTGATGCTAGCTAGTTAGCATTAACAGTGCTGTCAGAAACTGGTTCACTTTGTTAACTCTGGGCCATTATAATGTCACAGTGAATGGATTGTTTTATTTCAGCCTACCATCAAAAGGCTCATCCCACTCTTTTCCTTAAACCTTTATACTCTATCTCATTTGGTACAATCTGTTTGATTTGGTTCTTATATCCTGATCCTCATATTCCTTGGAACGTTTTGTGTTTTACTATGGCTTGGCAGGAATGGATGCAGCACTTTCTATCCTTTATCATTACCCCATAGTCAGGCTCCATCAGATCTTTTTTTTTTTTCCTTTTTTTTCTCTTTTTTTATTATTATACTTTAAGTTCTAGGGTACTTGTGCACAACGTGCAGGTTTGTTACATATGTATACATGTGCCATGTTGGTGTGCTGCACCCACTGACCCATCATTTACATTATGTATTTCTCCTAATGCTATCCCTCCCCCCTCCCCCCACCCCATGACAGGCCCTGGTGTGTGATGTTCCCCACCCTGTGTCCAAGTGTTCTCATTGTTCAATTTCCACCTATGAGTGAGAACATGCGGTGTCTGGTTTTCTGTTCTTGCGATAGTTTGCTCAGAATGATGGTTTCCAGCTTCATCCATGTCCCTACAAAGGACATGAACTCATCCTTTTTATGCCTGCATAGTATTCCATGGTGTATATGTGCCACATTTTCTTAATCCCATCTATCATTGATGGACATTTGGGTTGGTTCCAATTCTTTGCTATTGTGAATAGTGCCGCAATAAACATACGTGTGCATGTGTCTTTATAGCAGCATGATTTATAATGCTTTGGGTACATACCCAGTAGTGAGATGGCTGGATCAAATGGTATTTCTGGTTCTAGACCCTTGAGGAATCGCCACACTGTCTTCCACAATGGTTGAACTAGTTTACAGTCCCACCAATAGTGTAAAAGTGTTCCTATTTCTCCACATCCTCTCCAGCACCTGTTGTTTCCTGTCTTTTTAATGATTGCCATTCTAATTGGTGTGAGATGGTATCTCATTGTGGTTTTGATTTGCATTTCTCTGATGGCCAGTGATGATGAGCATTTTTTCATGTGTCTGTTGGCTGCATAAATGTCTTTTTTGAGAAGTGTGTGTTCATCAAATCTTATAATACCTTATTACAAGGCATATCAAATCTAAGCTAGTATTAGTGTTCTTAGGAAAAGCTGGTCATTACTACTCGCTTTTTTTTTTCCTAAGAGCTATAGCTTTGCAGATGACACTATGGACCAACTGTCCATGTTCTCTGCTTCCTAGTGATCCTTCCTGACAGTGTTCTTGAGCTTTTTTGAGCTCCATGCATAAGGGGCTTTAGCCCCATCGTGGTCATCATACGGGACATAGCCATTTGCATATGTTTTAAGCAACTTGGGTGGGTTCACATCTAACCATTAGGACCTCCTGAGGATACCATTTCCCTTCAGGGTATCCCAAAATGACAATCTTCTTTCCAAACACAGGTTTTGTCCAAATTCATTTTAAATCTCGGGTTATTTTGTTCTTCCTATAGTGATGTTTAAAAAAATTTTTAGGCAATGAACTTTTTAAAAGCCTCTTATCTTGATCAGGCTCAGGTAATGTAAAAATACAAGGATGTTATTCCATTTGAAATTTTAAACAAGACATTTATTTAACATTCTTGTATGTTTTACAGAAATGTTAATTTGACATTTGGTTTTGTGTTCCATGTATTGTTACATAAATTGTGTATGTATTGTTTTTTAAAATAGACCATAAACTCCTAAGAACTATGTAAAAGGCCTCTGTTGAATTCCTGATTAGTCCAGGGTCTTGCACATAAAGGAAAACACAAATGTTTACTAGATTAAGAAAAGTAAATAGTTGTTGAACATAGTAAGCATTAAATAAATCATTGTCATTAAATAAGTCATTATAATACTTTATTAATGAATTTAAAAGAGCAGAATCTAATAGCTATTGCATTCTTTAAAAACTCAGGCTCATACTTCAAATCAATATTGGACCTGTTATGATAATAAATTATTATATCTTCCCTGCTCTAAGACATTCATAGCCATTAGGAGACTTGATTTAGAGTCTTGGCTTTGACACTCAGTAGGTGGGACACTTCGGCATGCAATAGAATTGTAAAATTTTACTGCTGTCCTTTTTTAAAAGCAGTAATTCTTGAACTTGTTTCTCTTTGCCCATGAATAACTTTGAAATGCTGGTAGAAGTCATGGAACTTCTAATTAGAAAATCGCATATACATTATGCACACAAGATTTTGCATACAAATCAGAGATTTGTGAACTCCCTGAAACCTGTTCATAGGTCCATGGACTGTCTCTAAGGTTGCCCAGTTGTGCTATCCATGAAACACAAAATTGTCCTACAATGAAGATGTTTACAGCTCCATATTGAGATCATTTGATTCTTTAATGACAAATTTTCTTAGATGGGAGATCATCCTGCCTCAGCAAATAATGTCAAGATCAAGCTCCACTGTATGGGCTACAGAAAAATATGACCATAAACTCATTGAAACTTCTGACATATTAAGAGACGAAATGCCATATATTTAAAATTGCCAGGTAGTAAATTGATTATCACTTTCCCTTTCTCTTGCCATACTCAAATTTCTCTCTTGGCTCTTTATAAACTACAGAAGAACATGCATCCTCAGGGCTTTATCAACTCATTAATTCCTTTCTTCCCCCACTCTGGCCTGTACTGTGAAAATAAAAAAACAACTTTGTATTATGTCTAAGTCAAGTGGAAACCCATAAGGAAAGAAATCATCACGTGGTAAGTAGAGCATTGGCCAGAGAGCCAGGGAACTTAGGTTTCCATCCTGGTGCTGCCTTCAACTGGCTCTGTATTTAATGCAAACCAGTTAGCCTCTTTGGTTCTGTGTCCTAATCTGTAACAAAAAGGACGGCCACTAAGGCCATATGTTGCTCCCAAATTTCATGGTATATGGAAAAACAAGCAAACAAGCAGGTAAGGGCTGGAATATTGGTAAGGTACAGTTCTATCCAGATTATTTTGCTTGGAAATATTTAAAGATGCTAACAAGCATTCACTGTAACTATTGAGAAGTACAAGTACCTGAATAGTCACCCTCTAATCTCCCTCTAATCTGCACTGGTTCTGTAGATAAAAAGCATTTATAATAATACAATGTAATAGAAACTCCCTTAATTAGTGAAACCTTATGCCATCAGCAGCAGAATGACACTTTTTTAATGGAGAAGAACCTCATCACAAAAGCAATAGATAAAGTTAAAAATATAAAAACAAACATAAAACGATCCAAAAGCACAGAATTCTTTGATATTCTCTAGTTTTACAAAAAAAAAAAAAATGTAAACTCAGCATTCCATTGTTGTAGGCCTCTAATTTGGTGCTTTCTTTTAGCATATTTCTGTTCTGTGCATTGGAAGCTGTAGGTGGTAGACAACGTCACAGATTTATTCAATTTACTGATATTTTCAAATCATGTTTTTCTTGTTCCTGTGAAACTGCCTTTATTTTCTTGTATTCTCAGATATGTTTTTGATGGACCATATCTAAGTCTATCTTTTAAGCTCATATACAGGTAACAGGATCTCTATTACTATGTTTCTGGGGGAGGAGGAAAGGGTACTATTTAAATGGCAGATCACTTCTCACATCTGCACTTCTCTTTTATAAGTAGGTATGGAATAAAAGGAGATAGCTATATAATTGTAACTGAGATCATATCATTCCTAAAGCATTCACAAAACTTTTGTTTTGAATGTATGAAACACAATAAAACTAACCTTAAGTAAGAAGAAAAGTCAAATGTGACTCTGATGTCCTGTGTCACAGAAAAAAGCACTTCTATATTCCTGGAACTGGAAGAGTGAATGTGCTGTCTCTTGTGCTGTCTCCTGGATAAAGTTTACCTTTTTGTGATGGTTCATATATAAAGACTCCTCCTTGTTTTTCTTTCTTCTAGGCTTGGCTTTCATAAATTGGCTACAGTTATAGAAATTAGCATGCTATCAACATTTTTTTTTTTTTTTGAGACGGCGTCTCGCTCTGTCGCCCAGGCTGGAGTGCAATGGTACTTCTCAGCTCACTGCAACCTCTGCCTCCTGTGTTCAAGTGATTCTCCTGCCTCAGCCTCCTGAGTAGCTGGGAATACAGGTGTGCACCTCCATGCCTGGCTAATTTCTTTTTATATTTTTAGTAGAGATGGGTTTTCACCATGTTGGCCAGGCTGGTCTTGGATTGATTTCAGGTGATTCACCCACCTCGGCCTCCCACAGTGCTGGGATTACAGGCATGAGCCACCATGCCCATCCCCAACATTTAAAAAATTGAGTCATTTTCATTAATTTCACATAGCAAGAGTGAGTTAAAGGTTCATATTAGGTAAAATAATATGCTATAAAGTAAGCATTTAATTTTACCGGGAGTTTTCAAAGAAATATTAAGTTTGATAGCTCAGATTTGTTTGAGAACTGTTGACATGCATACTGTGTTATCCTGATTTCTTCTCTCTGGCCCCAGTTCACCACCACCACCACCACCACTTGTGCCTCCTCATTTAGGAAAATTTTCTCTTCAATCACCCACTCAGCACTTTCTTCTGTGCTACCACTCTATCTGAGGTACATTTTATTTCACTATGTTTAAAATTTTCCCTGTATTTCAATTTTTTTTTACATGTCCATCTCTCCTTGTAAGATGAGATTCTTACATTGAGTCCATGTCACTCATCTATATTATCAAGATGGAATAAATGAGACTAGAGAAAAAGGATTGCAAGGAATGATAATACGAGATGGCTTCTGATGTCTAAAAAGAGTGAGTCAGTATTTAGTGCTTCCAAAACAAAGTAGTTAGTAGGCTTTCTAGTCAAATTTCCCCACACTAGTACTATGATTTACCACTTTATGTTACTGCATGGGAAATAAACCTTATTTAACAGGCCTGTTAAAAATGCATTAAAGCAGTCAGTTCTTGAAAAAAACTCCAAACCCCCAAAACAGAATTGCCACATGAGCCAGCAATTCTACTCCTGAGTATGTACCCAAAATAATGGAAAGCATGATCTCAAACAAATACATGTACATAACAGCATTATTCGCAATAGCCAAAACATAAAAGCAACCCAAGTGTCCATCAATGGATGAATGAATAAACAAAATGTGGTATATACATATAATGGAATATTATTCAGCCTTAAAAAGGAAGAAAATTCTGGCTCATTCTACAACATGGATAAACCTTGAAGACATTATGGTAAATGACATAAGCCAGTCACAAAAGAACAGCTATGCATGATTTCACTCTAGTCAAATTCATGGACACAGAAAGTAGAATAATGGTTGCCAGGGCTGGGCGGGGAGGAAGGAATGGGGCATTATTATTTAATCCGTACAGAGTTTTAGTTGGGGAAGATAAGAAAGTTCTGGAGATGGATGGTGATTATGGTTGCATAATGTAAATGTACTTAATGTCACAGAACTGTGCACATGAAAATCGTTAAAGTAGTAGATTTTATGTTTTGTATATTTTACTACAATTTAAAAAATGCAATCAAAAAAGCAAAGCCAGCTCCAAGTTTTTGCATCCAGAGCTCAGGCATTTCGTACTTGTCCCTACCACTAGAACACATCCCCTAGGTCCCACTCTGGCTTCTTCATCTGTGGCCCCCTGCACTGTCACACACATTACCACAGCAACTTGCTTCCACACAGACTCAGTTCAGCTCAAACTCACTCCACTGCTTCCGCCGTGAAGGCTTTGAGGAGCACAAACCACACAGCTCTAGCTTTATCCTGCTTAGGAAGAAATTTTACTATCATCCACTTCTGTCCAACCTATTTTGTTGGGAATCTTCTGCTGAGAACTCTGAGAAACATATCTTCTTGTCTGGTTAGCTTTTTACTAGCTCAAACATAGAGAAAAGTGTAAAAAATACTATAAAGCAGGGCTTCCCAACTGTGTACAGAAGGTCACTGAGGACTGACAAATAGGTGATTGGTGTGCTGAGATATTATGAATTCCTCAGTCCATGGTGGTGGCAAGAAGTGTCCTTGGGACTGCTGACTTGCTGGCCAGTCGCATTAAACTTTCAGCAGCTTCATATGTTGACTCATTGTGTCATAAACATTTTATTACATTTAATGATGTGCTACAAAGTAAAAATGATTGGGAAGCATTGATATGAGACATTTGTGTACAGCAGCTAGATTTAACATATACTGTCATTTTGCTGTGTTTGCTTTAACATTCTTGAAGGCATAGAGCATTACAAGCACAGCTAATGCTCCGTCTCCTCCATCTCACTCCCTTCTTGTTTGCCCCAAAGTTGACTGCTCTCCTGGAAGTGGTGTGTATTCTTCCTGTGCATGTGTACATATGGTTTTCTGTTCCTGCATTAGTATGCTAAGGGCAATGGTCTCTAGCTCCATCCATGTTCCTGAAAAAGACATGATCCTGTTCTTTATGGCTGCATAGTATTCCATGGTGTACATGTACCACATTTTCTTTATCCACTCTTTCCCTGCTGGGCATTTAGGTTGATTCCATGTCTTTGCTATTGTGAATAGTGCTGCAATGAACATTTGTGTGCATGTATCTTTATGGTAAAATGATTTATATTCCTCTGGATATTTACCCAATAATGGGATTGCCATGTAAAACAGTAGTTCTGCTTTTAGCTTTTTGAGGAATCACCATACAATTTTCCACAATGGTTGAACTAATTTAAACTCCCACCAACAGTGCTTAAGTGTTCCCTTTACTTTGCAACCTTGCCAGCATCTGTTGTTTTTTTTAACTTTTTAGTAATAGCCATTCTGACTGGTGTAAAATGGTATCTCATTGTGGTTTTGATTTGCATTTTTCTTTCTTTCTTTCTTTCTTTCTTTTTTTTTTTTTTTTTTGAGATGGGAGTTTCACTGTTATTGCCCAGGCTGGAGTGCAATGGCGTGATCTCGGCTCACTGCAACTTCCGCCTCCCGGGTTCAAGTGATTCTCCTTCTTCAGCTTCCCGAGTAGCTGGGATTACAGGCATGTGCCACCATGCCTGGCCAACTTTTTTTTGTATTTTTAGTAGAGAAGGGGTTTCTTCATGTTGGTCAGGCTGGTCTTGAACTTCTGACCTCAGGTGATCTGCCTGCCTTGGCCTCCCAAAGTGCTGGGATTACAGGTGTGAACCATCACACCCAGCCTGATTTGCATTTTTCTAATGATCAGTGATATCGAGCTGTTTTTCATATGCTTTTTGACCACATGCATGTTTTCTTTTGAAAAGGGTCTGTTCATATCCTTTGCCTACTTTTTAATGGGGTTGTTTTTCTCTTGTAAACTTATGTTCCTTATAGATGCTGGATTTTAGACCTTTGTCATTTACATACTTTGAAAACATTTTGTCACATTCTGTAGGCTGTGTGTTTACTCTATAGATAGTTTCTTTTGCTGTGCAGAAGCTCTTAAGTTTAATTAATTGTCAATTTTTGCTTTTGTTGCAATTGCTTTTGGTGTCTTTGTCACAAAATCTTTGCCTGTCCTTATGTGTAGATGGTATTGCCTAGATTGTCTTCCAGGGTTTTTATAGTTTTGTATTTTACGTTGAAGTCTTTAATCCATCTTGAGTTGATTTTTGTATATGATGCAAGGAAGGTATCCAGCTTCATTTTTCTGTATGTGGCTAGCCAGTTATCCCAGCACCATTTATTAAATAGGGATTTTTTTCCCCATTGCTTGTTTTTGTCAGCTTTGTTGTAGATAAGATGGTCATAGGTGTGCAGCCTTATTTCTGGGCTCCCCATTCTGTTCCATTGGTCTGTGTGTCTGCTTTTGTACCAGTACTACGCTATTTTGGTTACTATAGCCCTGTAGTATAGTTTGAAGTTGGGTAACATGATGTGTTCAGCTTTGTTCTTTTTGCTTAGGATTGTCTTGGCTATTTGGGCTCTATTTTGGTTCCATATGAATTTTAAAATAGTTTTTTTAGTTCTGTGAAGAAAGTTGTTGGTAGTTTCATAGGAATAGCATTGAATCTGTAAATTGCTTTGGACAATATGGCCATTTTAATGATATCAGTTCTTCCTATTCATGATCATGGGATGTTTTTCCATTTGTTTGTGTCTTCTCTGATTTATTTGAGCAGTGTTTTGTAATTTGCATTGTAAAGATCTTTCACCTCCCTGGTTATCTGTATTCCTAGGTATTTTATTCTTTTTGAGGCAATTGTGAATGTGATTATCTTTCTGATTTGGCTCTTGGCTTGGCTGTTTTTGGTGTATAGGAAAGCCAGTGATTTTTGTACATTGATTTTGTATCCTAAAACTTTGTTGAAGTTGTTTATCAGGTGAAGAAGTTTTTGGGGTGATACTATGGTTTTCTAGATATAGAATCATGTTGTCTTGCAAGCAAAGATGGTTTGACTTCCTGTCTTCCTATTTGGATTCCCTTTATTTATTTCTCTTGCCTGATTGCTCTGGCGAAGACTTCCAATACTCTGTTGAATAGGAGTGGAGAGAGGGTATCCTTGTCTTGTGCCAGATTTTCAAGGAGAATGCTTCCAGCTTTTGCCCATTCAGTATAATGTTGGCGGTGGGTTTGTCATAGATGGCTCTTATTATTTTGAGGCATCTTCCTTCAATACCTAGTTTATTGGGAGTTTTTAACATGAAGCGGTGTTGAATTTTATTGAAAGCTTTTTCTGTGTCCATTGAGATAATCACATGGTATTTACCTTTAGTTCTGTTTATGTGATGAATCACATTTATTGATTTGAATATGTTGAACTAACCTGTGTCCTGAGGATGAAGCCTACTCAATTGTGGTAGATTAGCTTTTTGATGTGCTGCTGGATTCAGTTTGCAAGTATTTGTTGAAGACTTTTACATCGATATTCATCAAGGATATTGACTTGAAGTTTTCTTTTATTGTTGTGTCTCTGCTAGGTTTTGGTATCAGTATGATGCAGAATGAGTTGGGTTAGAATCTCTTCTCCTCAGTTTTTGGGAATAGTTTCAATAGGAGTGGTACCAGCTCTTCTTTGTATATCTGGTAGAATTTGGGTGTGAATCAGTCAGGTCCTCAACTTTTTTGGTTCATGGGCTATTTATTACTGTTACATTTTCAGAGCTCATTATAGGGGTCTGTTCAGGGAATTAGTTTCTTCCTAGTTCAGTTTTGAAAGGGTGGATATGTCCAGGAATGTAGCCATCACTGCTAGGTTTTCTATTTTGTGTGCATAGAAGTATTTGTATTTATTTCTCTTGGTTATTTTTATTTCTGTGGGGTCAATGGTAACACTCCCTTTGTCATTTCTAATTGTGATTTTTTGGATCTTCTCTCTTTTCTTCTTCAGTAGGCTAGCTAGCAGCTTATTATTTTTTTCAAAAAAAAAACTGGATTCGTTGATCTTTTGAATGGTTTTTCGCGTCTCAATCTCCTTCATTCAGTTTAGCCCTGATTTTGTTTATTTCTTTTCTTTTGCTAGCTCTGGAGTTGATTGGTTCTTGATTTTCCAATGCTTTCAGTTGTGATGTTAGGTTGTTAGTTGGAGATCTTTCTAACTTTTCGATATGGGCATTTAGTGCTATGAATTTCCCTCTCAACACTGCCTTATCTGTGTTCCAGATATTCTGGTATGTTTTATCTTTGTTCTCATTAGTTTCAAAGAACTTCTTGACTTCTGCCTTAATTTCATTATTTACCCAAAAGTCGTGCATGAGCATGTTGTTTATATTTCCATGTAATTGTATGGTTTTGAGCAATTTTCTTAGCCTTCACTTCTATTTTTATTGTGCTGTGGTCTGAGAGTGTGTTTGGTATGATTCCAGTTCTTTTGTATTTGCTGAGGATTGTTTTATGTCCAATTATGTGATCAATTTTAGAGTATGTGCCATGTGGTGATGAGAATAATGTATATTCTATTGTTTTCGGATGGAGAGTTATGTAGAGGTCTATTAGATCTGTTTGGTCCTATGTTGAGTTCAGGTCCTGAATATCTTTGTTAATTTTCTGCCTCAGTGATCTGTCTAATACTGTCAGTGGAGTGTTGAATTCTCCCACTATTACTGCATGGGAGTCATTGTCTCTTTGTATGTCTCTAAGAAGTTGCTTTATGAATCTGGGTGTTCCTATGTTGGGGGCATATGTATTTAGGATAGTTGGTCTTCTTGTTGAGTTGAATCTTTTACCATTATGTAATGCCCTTCTTTGTCTTTGTTGATATTTGTTGGTTCGAAGTCTGTTTTTTCTGAAATTAGGATTGCTAACCCTGGTTTTTTCTGTTTTCCATTTGCTTGGTAGCTTTTCCTCCATCCCTTTATTCTGAGCCTATATGTGTTATTGCATGTGAGATGAGTCTCTTGAAGACAGCATACCATTGGGTCTTGCTTTTTTTTTATCCAGCTTGCCACTCTGTGCCTTTTAAGTGAGGGCATTTAGTCTATTTATGTTCAAGATTAGTATTGATATGTGTGGATTTGATCCTGTCATTGTGTTGTTAGCTGGTTATTATGTTGGCTTGTTTGCGTCGTTGCTTTATAGTGACACTGGTGTGTGTATTTAAATGCTAACATCTTATAAAAAGTATTTTTCATCATTTTATCTCTATTTGTTTCATTCTGTATAATCTCCACTGATGTATCTTCCAGTCCTCTATATCTTTTTTCAGCTACATTTAGTCTAATTTTTATGACTATCTTTTTCATATATGGAAATTCTTTTTTTCACAGTCATTTCCTTATGACTTAGGTTTCTTCTATATCTTTAATAATTTAAAACTTTATATATTCTTTGAGATTGCTCTTTTTATTCCATTTTCTTGCATTAGAGATTGGTCTGTTAACCCAATATGTGGAGAGCTATTCATCAGGTTTTTTTTTTGTGTGTGACTGCTGATACTGTCTCATTTTGTATCATTTTCATGTATATGATTTGTAATTTTTTGTTATGATCTCATCTTCAGTAATTATTTTTTCCTTACCTGTGGGAGTCTATACTGCAACCTGAAGTATAGAAGAGCAGTTTTACATCTGCTTTTGCTAGGTACTCTAGCATGTTTATGGTCTTTTAAGTTTTTGTTTTAGGAATTTATTCAACATGCGCATGGTATAAATTTGAACTCCAAACCCATGTGTGCCATATGCCTGGTGTTTCTGTCTTTCATGGAAGCCTATCACTCAGAGTCCTAAGAAAACATAGGCCTCCTCTGATGCTTCTTTAGGGCTCAGGGCAAAATTATTCTAGTCGCTTTTTTACTCAGAGGTTAGCTTTCTTAATACTCTGGATTTATGCAGGGGTTATACTCTGACATCTTTATCTCATGTGGTACTTGCATCTAGCTTGGTGTAAAGCTCCAACCCATGGTCTATAGGATCTGTTCAGCCCAATATCTCCTCTGGTCTTCTTGACATTGGGTCTTGAATGGGCTGCTCTGGCTTTAAGTTCCCTCTTCATTTCTGGACCAGAAATTTCTCATCTTTATTTGAATTCACTTTTTATTCTCATTTTTTTTGAAGGGAGTGAATGATTACTCATCTTAGCTCAGTCTACAAGTTGTTAGAAAAACAAATCTCTAGATCCTATTAATTTTTATAACCCAGAGCCTTTTATTAATCTCTACAGATCCTCTTTCACTTATGCATTAGAAATTAAGATATACTTAACCATAATGTGTGTATTTATACACACATTATGAGCATTATATATGTATATTTGTGTGTGAGTGTGTGTGTGTGTGTGTGTGTGTGTGTGTGTGTGTGTGTTCAATTATGTTGATCTTTCCCCTTTCTGAAAAGCCACTGGTTGAGGCTTTCAGTCATTGGGTTTGTACAGACCTAGAAAAGCACACAAATGAGGGCAGCTCCTGCACTGTGCAGGCCAACTGTTCCTGCACCAGCCAGCTGGAGCCCAGAAACATATAGAAGCCATAGGGACAATCCATTACCTTGAGTAGTATAAACGTCAGGACCCTTATGAGCCTTTGATGTATAAAAAACGTCTACCCAATGATATTTAGCAAACTAAATGGCTGGGATGCAGGCAGACACTGAAGACAGGCTCTGATGTCTGCTGGCTGCTACAACACTCTAATAGAGCAAGGACACATATGAATAGTTTGTTCTTAGTGCCCCCTTCTTGTATCCCTCTTTCTTTAATAATAATTCCTTCTAGTACACCATATGGTCATATTATTCTTTATGCTAACATGTAAATGATAGATCACTTTTTTAATTATTATTATTATACTTTAAGTTTTAGGGTACATGTGCACAATGTGCAGGTTAGTTACGTATGTGTACATGCGCCATGCTGGTGTGCTGCACCCATTAACTCGTCATTTAGCATTAGGTATATCTCCTAATGCTATCCCTCCCCCCTCCCCCCATCCCACAACAGTCCCCAGAGTGTGATGTTCCCCTTCCTGTGTCCATGTGTTCTCATTGTTCAATTCCCACCTATGAGTGAGAACATGCGGTGTTTGGTTTTTTGTCCTTGCGATAGTTT
This sequence comes from Homo sapiens, assembly GCF_000001405.40. Taxonomy (NCBI): domain Eukaryota; kingdom Metazoa; phylum Chordata; class Mammalia; order Primates; family Hominidae; genus Homo; species Homo sapiens. The sequence continues at coordinate 166,750,423 of NC_000001.11, read as the reverse complement.
ACTGAGAATGATGATTTCCAATTTCATCCATGTCCCTACAAAGGACATGAACTCAACATTTTTTATGGCTGCATAGTATTCCATGGTGTATATGTGACACATTTTCTTAATCCAGTCTATCATTGTTGGACATTTGGCTTGGTTCCAAGTCTTTGCTATTGTGAATAGTGCCGCAATAAACATATGTGTGCATGTGTCTTTATAGCAGCATGATTTATAATCCTTTGGGTATATACCCTGTAATGGGATGGCTGGGTCCCATGGTATCTCTAGTTCTAGATCCCTGAGGAATCACCACAGTGACTTCCACAGTGGTTGAACTAGTTTACAGTCCCACCAACAGTGTAAAAGTGTTCCTATTTCTCCACATCCTCTCCAGCACCTGTTGTTTCCTGACTTTTTAATGATTGCCATTCTAACTGATGTGAGATGGTATCTCATTGTGGTTTTGATTTGCATTTCTCTGATGGCCAGTGATGATGAGCATTTTTTCATGTGTCTTTTGGCTGCATAAATGTCTTCTTTTGAGAAGTGTCTGTTCATGTCATTTGCCCACTTTTTGAAGGGGTTGTTTGTTTTTTTCTTGTAAATTTGTTTGAGTTCATTGTAGATTCTGGATCTTAGCCCTTTGTCAGATGAGTAGGTTGTGAAAATTTCTTTGTATTCAAGCTGAGGTCTTAACAAAGAAAGTAAAGTATTATTATTGCACTTCTAAGTATACCAGACACTATGGTAACTGCTAGGCTTTCCATTTAGTTAAAGGTCATTTGTTGATTCCCACAGTATGTTCATGGTATATAATATTTTTGATGTGCCATTGGATTCAGCTTGCTAGTATTTTGTTGAGGATGTTTCATCTATGTTCATCAGGGATATTGACCTGTGTTTTCTTTCTGTGTTTTTATCTGGTTTTAGTATCAGAATAACGCGGGCCTGGAACAATGAATTTAGAAGAATTCCCTGCTTTTCAAGTTTTTGGAATAGTCTGAGAAGAATTAGTGTTAGTTCTTTAAAATTTTGATGGACATCATCAGTGAAGTAATCAGGTCTTGGGCTTTTATTTGTTTGGAGGCTTTTTATTACTGATTCAATCTTATTGTTTGTTATTGGTCTGTTCAGGTTTTCTATTTCTTCCTAATTCAATTTTGGTAGGTTACACATGCCCAGGAATTTATCCATTTCCTCTAGCTTTTCCAATTTGTTGGCATATAGTTATTTGTAATAATCTCTAATAATTCTTTATATTTCTGTGGTATCAGCTGTAATGTATCCTTTTTCACTTTTGATTTTATTTATTTTGGTCTTGTATCTTTTTTCTTCATCAATGTAGTTAATGGTTTGTCAATTTCGTTTATCTTTGAAAAAAACCCTTCATTTTGTTGATTGCATATTTTTAGTCTCTATATTGTTTATTTCTGGCTTGATATTTATACTTTATTTCCTTCTGCTAATTTTTGATTCTGTCTGTTTTTGCATTTCTGGATCCTTGAGATACATAGTTAGATTGTTTATTTGAAATATATATTTTTCATGTAGGTGTTTACTGCTATAAACTTCCCTCTTAGAATAACTGCTTTTGCTGTATCCCATATGTTTTAGTATATTGTGTTTCTATTTTCACTTGTTTCAATACATTTTTGGATTTTCTTTTTAATTTATTTACCTACCTTTTTTTTTCTCACTGCCTCTTTGATCAGGTCTTTATTCAAAAGAAGCTGTCCAAAATGATTTGACCTTTATGGAATAATCAAATTTAAGAGTTTATGCAGCAGGCTTCTTTTCCTCTGTAGTAGGTTTCTTTTCTGCTGGCTTCTTTCCAGGGGCTGGTTTCTTGGTAGCTGCTGCCCCTTTTTTCTACCAGAAGCTTCTTCTGCTTCTTAACACCAACAGCAGCCTTCTTTCCTTTCTTACCTACCACAGGCTTCTTGCCTGCAACCCCCTTCTCATCCGATTTGGCTTCTAGTGCTGCAGCTGTTGCTGCTGCCTTATCCACTCAGAGCTTGTGATTCCTGGCCTGGTGAAGAATGGTGTTCTGACGCGTGCATGGTCTTTGCATATGGGTTTAGCTTCAACATGATTCTCAGGTTTTTCAGTGGGTTCTTCTTTAGGACTCTGCAATGAATCTTTTTGCATGGTGCTCAAAGGGCTCTTTGGATCTCTGGGCTTTTCAAGATTCTGCTAAAGATCTGTATTGAACATCTTGTGCATGGGAAGATTGTAGTTACTCTTGAGGGAAGCAGCTTTATGCCAAGTGCTATACAATTCATCTAACTTCTGGAAAGCACTTTTGGTCCAAATGCAGAAATGTCCCACATGCCCACCAGGAGCAAGCTTCAAAATGTTCAGTTTGCTTACATTAAGCAGAGTAATTCCAGGGATGTTTCTGAAGGCCTTGATGATACCGTTATCCTCATTATAGATGATGCAGGGGCCCCTGCACTGGATACAGTGACGATTTCTCATTTTGCTGTTGCCAGCTCTCATTTGCTGAGAGGCATAGACCTTTTTGATATCATTCCAGCCTTTAAGTTTCTTAAGAAGCGAAACAGCCTCCTTGATCTTGTAGCCTTCAACTTTATCTTCAACTACCAAAGAAAGTTCAGGAACTTCCTCAATATGATGATCTTTAGACATGACCAGCGCTGGTAAGGCTGAGGCAGCCAGGGCAGAACAGATGGCATATCGTTTTTGGGTTGTGTTCACTCTGTGATGCCAATGGCACCAGGTTTTGGTTGGTGCAAACATTTAGCCTCCATGACACATGTTTCCAAAAGCACCCTGGCCAGAACGGTGAGTCCCACCACCTCGAACTCTGGGAATGTGAGCCACAGCTCTGCCAGTACCCCAAGACTCAGCACTGGTCTGACGACCTGCTAATTCACTGACAACGTAGGGCTGTCTGTTGTTTTTGTGCAAGTTGGTGTGAACAAAGTTCACAATATCCAGTCAAATAGGAGCCTTGAATACAGCAGACATAGTAACATTTTTGCCAGATGACTCCCCCTTTTGGGAGTACACCTATATCAGTGGGTGAGCACATGCCATGGTGGAGAGAGGAGACAGCCATGTTCCTCTCAGCCCAGCTGCTGCCACAGGAAAAGTACTACCTGTTGTTAAAGTCTATGTTGTTTAATTTCTATGTATTTGTACAGTTTCCAAAATTACTCTTGTTATTGATTTCTAGTTTTATACTAATGTTGTCAGAAAACATACTTGATATGATTTTGATTAAAAAAAATTTTTGACACTTGCTTTGTGGTCTAACACATGGATTTTCATGAAGAATGTACCTTGTATTGATGAGAGGAATGTGTGTTCTGCAGGTATTGGATAAAATGTTTTGTAAATGTCTATTTGGTTCATTTGGTCTATAGGGCAGTTTAAATCTGATATTGCTTTGTTGACTTTCTATCTAGATGATTTGTCCAGTGCTAACAGTGGAATGTCAAAATCTCCAAGTATTATTGTATTGAAGTTTATTTCTCCATTTAGAACTAATAATATTTGCTTTACATATCTGTGTGCTTCAGTGTGGATGGATACAAACTTATAATTGTTATATCCTCCTGCTGAATAAATCCTTTTATCATTATGTAATAACATCTTTGTCTCTTTTTTCAGTTTTTTACTTAAAGTCTATTTTATCTGATATAAGTAAAGCTACCCCTGCTCATTTTTGATTTTTGTTTGGGTGGAATATCTTTTTCCATTCCTCCATTTTTGGTCTGTGTATATCTTTTTAGATGAAGTGAGTTTCTTCTAGGCAGCATATATTTGGGTCTTTCTTTTTTATCTATTCAGCCAGTTTATATCTTTTAATTAGGGAATTTAATCAGTTTTCATTGATGGTTATTGATACATGAGAACTTACTCCTGTCATTTTCTTAGTTGTTTTCAGGTTATCTTGCATATCCTTTGTTTCTTCCTCTTTTATTGTTTATTTTTATAGCTTGGCGGTATGTTTGCAGTGACAAAAGTTGACTCCTTTTTTTTTCTTCAAATTTCTGTATATGCCTGCTACTGAGTTTTATACTTTTGCATGTTTTATGATGGTAGTCATCATCCTTTTACTTCTAGATGTAGGACTCCCTTAAGCATTTCTTGTGGGGCCAGTCTAGTGGTGACAAATTTCCTGTTTTTCTTGTCTAGCAAAGACAATCTTTGCTGGGTATAGTATTCTTCGCTGCTGTTTCTCTTTTAGCACTTTGAAAATATCATCTCATTCTCTCCTCATCTTTAAGATTTCTGCTGAAAAATCTGATGTTAGTCTAATAATGATTCCCTCATATGGGACTTGACATCTTTCCCTTGTGATAAATTTTAGAATTCCCTTGTTGTCTTTGACTTTTGACTGTTTGACTGTAATATTTCTTGGAAAGGATATTTTTTGGGTTGAATCTATTTGGGACCTTTAAGCTTCCTGAATCTGGATGTCTATACCTTTCCCAAAACTTAAAAAGTCATCACTTATTAATTCATTAAATAGGTTTTCTATGCCTTTTTTTCATTTCTTCTTTTTCTAGAATTCTTATAATGAAAATATTTGTTCACTTAATTGTGTTCCATTAGTCTCATAAACTCCCTTCATTCTTTTTTATCCTTTATTTTTTGTCTGACTGGCTTATTTCAGAAGACCTGTCTTCACATTCAAAATCTTTCTTCTGCTTGACTTAGTCTGTTGTTGCGCTCAATTGTATTTTTTATTTTATTCATTGAATTCTTCAACTCCACACTTTTTGTTTGGTTCTTTTTATGATATCTAGTTCTTTGCTGAATTTGTCATTAAAATCACAAATTGTTTTCCTGATTTCATTGAATTATTTACCTTTATTCTCTTGTGTCTTGCTTAGTTTTCCTAAGATTACTATTTTGAATTCCTTTTCAGGCATTTCATAGATTTTCTTTGCTTTGAAGTCTGTTACTGGAGAATTATTGTGTTCCTTTGGCGATGTCACGTTCCCTTGCTTTTTCATGTTTTATGGGTCCCTACATTGAAATCCGGGTATCTGCTGAAACAGTTACCTCTTCCAATTTTATCTAGTAGATTTCATAAGGAAAGACTTTTTTTTCTGTAAGTGCATCCTATTGTGTCAGTTGGGTAAAGTACTTTGGCTTTGGTTGTGGGTGAGCACAGTGCTGTAATCATGTAAATCTTTTTTTGACTGTAATCAATGCCAGCAGTATCTGTGAGTGCCTCAGTGGCCAAGACCGTAGGTGTTTGTGGAGGCAGTGGCATGGCTTTACTGCAGATGGGAGCCACTGGAAAGGCTATTTCTCAAGCCCTGCAGGGAGTGGGTGCTGCTAGATGTAGCAGCTCCTCAAGTCAAGGTTGTGGGTTCATTGGTGGTGGCAGGAGCTGGGCAGTCTGGTCCCTGGTTTCTGGGGCACATGCAGTACACCGTGGCTCTGGTGGTGAAGGGGACAATGTTGCTAACAGTGGTGGGCACTAGGCAGGTGGGTTTCAGGTCCTGGGGAGTGTATGCATTGGCTCCCCTAGTCTTGGGGACATCATCCCCACTGTGCTGGACTGGCTGTTGCATGAAGTTTAGGACACCATGTGAGTTTAGGTGCTAGTGTCACATCTGTACTGCTAGGTCAAGCTGGGGTCATGGCATTGCATCTTTTTATATGAGTGTGGTAGGATGACAGCAGATCCCATGATGTGGAGGTGCAGGAGGTTTGAGCACCAGGGCAGGGGGCACTCCAGCAATGGCTCTGTTTTCAAAATTGCACCATGGCACAGCAGCACTGGTCTGAAAGGGATACAGTGTGAGTTCCTTCACTGAAACAATATAGCTGTGTTGGTTCCATGCAGCTCCCTAAACTGGCTCAAGGCCTAAAAGAGTTGTGAAGTTCTCCTGTAGTTAGAATTGCAGGTATTCATGTTAGTAATGGGGACTTCTGGGACTTGCCTGCTTACATTTCCCCTACAATGGGAAATGTCTCTTAGTTCCAAGCCAATCCCACCTGGTCACTTTACTTCCTTCTTCATGCTGCCATCTCAAATTTCCATGTTTCAGAGGGTTTTCATCTTTTCCTTGCAGAATTCCAGTGTTCTCCCTTAGACACTCTACTCGAAGTGCAGTTATTTATTTGTTGTTTTGGTTCTTCTTTGTAGAGAAGACATGCATTGGGCACCTCTAATCAGCCATCTTGATGACATTACAACACTGGTTCATACATTCATACATACCTTCCTACATACATTATTGAATGAATGTATGAATTGCCAAGCAACACTGAAGGTGGAAATTGGAGATTTGCAGATGCATCAGTATCCCAGAGGTGCGGTTTTACTCCAGCAGTATTTAAGATGAGATGTGGAGACTGATCTAAATCTTGGGCAAATATATTGCAAAGTGGATGCTGCTGAAGAGCAGGCTGCAAGAGGTGTGGAAATCTACATGCACTCATTGATCTTAGGCAGTTATGAGGTGAATGGAACTGGGAGAGCATAGAGATGACTAAAAGCTAGTGCAGTCCAGATGCATAAACAACACAGTCCAGACACCACCCACTGATGACAGTGGGGCTTTAGTGCACTTCTTCCCCACCAGGATCACCTGAAGACCTGAGAAGAGTTGCTCTGTGGGTGACTACCGCTGAGCAGGGAAGGGAGGAATGAGGTGAAACAAGAAAGTGGATCTAGCACATTCTAAGTAATTAGGGTAGTTTGAAATGAAGAATTGTCTCTGGTTTTATGTAGGTGTGGTTTTACTTACGCTCTGTTAGCTGGTCATATACCAGACTAGTGATCTTATAAGAGGAGTCAGTGAGTTAAACCATCCACTGAGGAACAAGAAGAAAATATTATCTTTCTACCATATTTTTGTTCTAAATGTAAGACTTACATTAAACTTTACTGTATTTAATATATGAGTTGATATTGACATAAGTCTTGTGGCAAAAGGTCTGAGGCACAGGCCATTTGTGGTGACCCCAAAGGATGTGGAGGGCTTGGCTGTGGCACCCTCACTTAAGTTATCTGCTCTTGGCATACTGTGGCCTGTGGCAGCTTGCCTAGGCTGGGTTCTATAGGTTTATAGATTATATCATTTCAATTCAATGAAACTAGCCTTCACAAAAAGGACATGTGGCTTAAAAAAGATCATTGCCAGGAAATCCTTGATTGATGATAATATTAATAATGCAAACACAAGTTAACAAGAAAGTCTGAGCTGACACTTCTCTAATTCCTATTATGAGCTCTTCAATCACCACATTAAGGCATGAAAAATAATGATAAGCTCATCATATTTGTACTGTTTGGACAGCACAGGGAGGCACTGGGATGCTATATACCTGTATACCCTACCCTCAGCAGACTTCTCCTAAGTCCATCAGTGGCTATCCCATTTCATTTATAGTATAATTTGATTTGTGAAGGATGATTTATACATATCTATTATAAACATAAATATTATAAAAACAAATTATCTCTCTCTGTATATTTTTGAGACAGAGTCACGCTCTATTGCCCAGGCTGGAGTGCGGTGGTGCGATCTTGGTTCAGTGCAACCTCTGCCTCCCAGGTTCAGGGGATCCACTCACATCAGCCTACCAAGTAGCTGGGACTACAGGTGCGTGGCACCACACAGCTAATTTTTGTATTTTTTGTAGAGACGAGGTTTCGCCATTTTGCCCAAGCTGGTCTCAAACTCCTGAGCTCAAGTGATCCACCTGCTTCAGCCTCCCAAAGTGCTGGGATTACAGGTATGAGCCACCGCATCCAGCTTTAATGTAAATTTTAAAATTGTAATTACAAGATTAATTTATTTCCAAATGTTATTTTAGGTTCAGGGGTGCACGTGCAGGTTTGTTACATCAGTAAATTGTGCATCACGTGTTTTGGTGTACAGATTATTTCATCATGGTAGACAGTTTTGAGCATTTTACCCCATAGGCAGTTTTTTGAGCCTCATCCTCCTCCGACCTTCCACTCTCAATTAGGCCCTGGTGTTTATTGTTCCTTTCTTTGTGACCACATGTACTCAATGTTAGCTCCCTCTTATAAGTGAGAATGTGTGGTGTATGGTTTTTGAATGACAGGATTTTTACATGAAACTTATTACATGAATAAATAAAGAATAAAATTATAAATCTGACAGTGAATAGAAGCTTTTCACTTTCATTTACCTTTCTAATTCAATGGCTAACACAATGGCAGGAAGATAGGGTGGCAGAGAAAGATGCAAACAGAGAAAGATGCAATTTTGACTTAAGAAAGTTCTGAGAATAGTTGCACAGGTTTGATGATGCATTTTTCTCTGAGTGTGGATGACTTTCCAAATTCCATTCCATTTCTGCTGTGAATGTTAACAATGCTTTATAGGGGTGTCCCAAGCAAAGAAGCTAGTGGTTAACATTGATTTCAAAAAAAGAAATTGTCATCTTGGTTTCAATCCTATTCTGGGTAAACCTAGTACTTGAGAGAATTTACTTGTATTTTGTGATATGAATACTTTTGCATCTAAGATAAAATAAAAGTGTGGAATTAAAAGATATTTACAGTTTATTCAGAGGAATAATAAGGATTTATTTTTAAATAATGTAAATCTCTATTTTCTGTAAAAAGTACTGTTACTTACTGAGAATTTATAATATTATATCTTCTTTACAAAGAACTTTTGGGGTGGAAGACAGCTTAGGTGAGAAGATTGAAGCCTTGGGAAGTTAAGTTTAGTGCGTTGCACTAAAAAACCAGAGGCTTGAAGGTAGATAGGCCTGAATTTGAATTTTTTTTTTAAACCACTCACTAGCTACGTGATGTTAGGTAGGTGAGTGAACTTCTTTGAGTCACAGTTTATCATGCTGGGGAATGTGCATAGCATCTGCCTCACAGTTTGCCTGGTGTATATAGGCCCTCACAAGTCCTGGTCACCTTGCCCTTGCCTAAAGTCACAGGATTTTGTGGCTGACAGGCAGGGTGGGAAATATAATTCATGTTTATTTCCATCATTCCACATTGATTGGATTGCTTCCAAGGAAAGGGAGACTCTTCCCTCCACAGAATTTTAATGCTTCACTCCCCGTAAGTTTTATTGTGTGTTTGCAAAATATTTATTTCCAGTAATAAGATGGACTTTTTTCTATTTTCCCTCTTAGGCATGCTGAAGAAATGAAACATTCCACCTCTTTCCCACCAACCTGCTGTGTTTTCTGTTAGAATGAGCATAGATTGTAGCATCAGTGTGGTCCTGAGCAATATTCTTGCCGCAAGAATAGAAAAGCAAGTCATTGGGGCCTTCTCTGAGTACAGCAGCTCAGGAGTGGACCATGCAATCACCTTTTGTGAGAGCACCCCTCTTGTCCTCCCACCCCACATTCCAAAGACTAGACTGGCCTGAGTTGGCTTGTAACCCCTGGAAAGCATGGGAAATTGGCTGGCAGTTCTGTTATGCTAAGGGCAGGGAAGACAAAGGATTTTGATAGGACTGTGATGCAATTTGTTTCTTCAGGATAAACTTCAATAGCACTGCCAATGTGGAAAATGAACAAGCAGCTTTCACAACTTTACCCTCCTCTGAAACTAAGGAGGGCAGAAATGACCCAAGTGCTGGTTATCACGTGTTGTGTATGTGTGTGTGTGCCTGTGTGTGTAAAATCATTCAAGAATACTATGACCCAAGGAAAGAGCTTCAGAACTAGAGGAAATAAAGTTTTCTTGGGGCACTCGTGTCCCAAGTTCTTATGAATTTTTAGATTTAAAATAATAATTTGCATCTGGGGGCAAAAAATAATTACTGGCACTTAGCAGGGACTACCATTAACATAGAAGAAAAATGTTAACTGGTATGTGCAAGAGTACTTGAACAGATAATTGAATTAAAGCTCTGTGGGCTTATTTATACAAAAGAGAGGACCAGTCCTGCGGACATGATTTTGTGACTTGGATTTCAGGGCCAAATCTGCTCCTGTGAAGACTCTGGTCCTTGTTGATGGGAGCAGCAATACTGAAAAGGCAAAAAGTAAACCAACTGTGGTTAGTAAGCATACTAATTTTATAGTTTTTGTCTGACGCATTATTTTAGGTTGATTCATTCAACAAATATATATATAATTGACATATATTACATATTTATATTAATATGCATGTTTATATTTAAAATTTATATTATATTTAATATAATTATATTAAGATACATTTACTTACTACATAACAATATATTATATATTTAAATAATAGTATCAAATATTTAAATAAATATAAATAATATATTTATTATTTAAATAATACATATTATATATAATATACATATAATTAAATAGTTTTAATTATATATTAATTATATATATTATATTAACATATATATTATAATTATATAATATATAATTATAATATATAATATATATAATATAATTAATATATATTAATATATAATTATATAATATATATAATATAATTAATATATATTAATATATAATTATATAATATATATAATATAATTAATATATATTAATATATAATTATATAATATATATAATATAATTAATATATATTAATATATAATTATATAATATATATAATATAATTAATATATATTAATATATAATTATATATATTAAATATAATTAAATAGTAGTTTTAGATTCACAGCAAAACTGAGCAGGAGAAACAGAATTTCTGTAGCTCTCCTGCACCCACATAGGCATAGCTTTCCTTATTCCCATCAGAGTGGTACATTTATTATAATTGATGAACCTATATTGACATATCATTATTACCCAAAGTTTATGGTTTACATTAGGGTTCACTCTTGGTGTTGTACATTCCATGGGTTTGCACAAAGTCATAATGACATGTGTCCATCATTATAGTATCATATAAAATAGTTTCATCCCTGTAAAAATCCTCTGTGCTCTGACTATTCATCCCTCCCTGGCCCTTAACCCCTGGCAACCACTGATGTTTTTACGTATTCATAGTTTTACTTTATCTAGAATGTCATATAGTTGTAATCATACAGCATGTAGCCTTTTCATATTAGCTTCCTTTATTTAGTAGTATTCATTTAAGTTTTTCCATGCCTTTTCATAGCTTGATAGCTCCTCTTTAGCACTGGATAATATTCCGTAGTCTGAATATACTACAGTCCTATTAAAAATCCTTTATCTTCCCAGCCGTTAGCATAACTGAGAACTGCCAGCCAACTTCCCATCCTTTCCAGAGGTTACAAGTCAACTCAGGCCAGCCCAGTCTTAGGAGTGTGGGGTGGGAGGGCAAGAGGGGTGGTGCTTTCACAAAAGGTGATTCCGTGGTCCACTCCTGAGCTGCTGATCTCAGAGAAGGCACCAATAACTTCCTTTTTTTGCAGCAAGAATACTGCTCAGGACCACAATGATGCTACCATCAACCACAGCTAAAGTCTATGCTCATTCTAACAGAAAACACAGCACGTTGGTGGGGAAGAGTTTGAATGTTTCACTTCTTCAGCATGCCTAGGAGGGAAAGTGGAACAAATCTTGGGTTTGGAACATGTACTAAAATAGATTCTTATTTTGTAGCATTCATGTTCTTACCTTCCTTTAGGTTTCTTGAAGAAGTTATGTCATTTACTTTATGTAGAAGCCACATATTTGTACATTTGAAATACATTTGGTCACTATTAGTATTGATATCAGCATCTCCAAGTGTTTAAAAGAACTTAACAGTTGTACAGTCATAGGACCCCAGAGATTTTTTAAAAAAAATTATTTGACATCTTTTCCAATTTAATTTTTGGTTACTCGCTTCGTCACGTTTTAGTTTTTCTTGCAATAATTTTTAAAACTTAAATTTTAAGTACATTAATGTGAAAGCATAGTCGCATAGCTTTTTGATCTTTTCTGTATACGTTCTTACATCTTTTTCTCTCAATTTTGTTTGTGTTTTCTCCTACTTTGTGTAGAGGAACTTTATTCTTAGAACATCCAATACTTTATTTAATGTCTCATTTACAATCTACATTTACATATCCCATAAATAGGGATGTTTGTGTTTTGCATCTTTGGCATTTGTGAAGATTTCTGTATTTAGTTTCTTTTCTCCCTCCAGACTGTGAGTTTGTAGAAGTGGGAGCCACTCTGGCTTGCTCACTGTGATACTGGAGTGCACAGGACAGTGCCCAGCATCTAACTCCCCAGGACAGGGCCAGGACTCAGCCCATAGGCCTGTTTACACACATGGTTTGAGCTGGAAGATTTAAAATAAGCAAGGAGGCCATAATCAGTAGAACTAAACTGATTAAAGCAAGAAAAATTTAAAAGCAGACAATACAGAAGCAAGAATGAGGTGAAATTTATCTACAATTAATATATTAGTAAACAAAAGACTGTAAGTTTTTGAAGCAATAATGTACTAATCATGAAAATAGTGAATTAGAAAATAGTAGAAAAAAGTAAAATTAATTTATAATGCTAAAATATTACTCTGAGAAGCAATAACAAAAACAAAACCCTTTAAGAGTGATAGATGTAATGATGCAATGGTGCTGACTAGTCTTCCTGATTATGTTCTTTTCCTGTCCTGCCTACACCTACACTCTTTGGGATAGGTTGTGAGTTGCTTGGGGCTGTGTAGGAGGGGCTAGAATTGGGGAAAGTTTGTGCAGTGATCTGCTGTAGAAAGGTATTTCTTATGACTTTGTTAAGTTTAGGTTAAAAAATTGAGGCAGACTTGAAATGCTGTCATGCCAAAGAATCTCATGTGGCTGTAAAAGGACAATGTTTCCTAAAGTACTACAGGTTAGAGCAAGGGTTTGCCTTTTACAAATGCTATTTTAGGACTCTGAAGCCATGACTCCTGTAAAGTATCACCCTTCTCTAGTCTTCATCACAGCCATTCTAAGGCTCATTAAATTAAAATGTAATAACTACATCTATTGTTTATGATCAGGCCCCCTTGCTCATTCGATATCTGAATCCTGTTGGCTAAAACCTAAGATAGGCTTCCTTACACTAAATTATTTAACAAATACACATTATACACATTATCAGCTGTGGATATTCACATTTTGTGTCGTTTCTCCTAAATATATGTCCATTTGCTTGGAGTGGTTTTTCCTTCTCCATTAGATCAGAGCAAGCCAAGGGCTGTGACCTTAGAGGTTACTTATTTTCTAATATCCTTACAGAACTTTTAAGCATTAAATGTAAATACAGTTGAAAAACTAAAATAATACAGCAATTTATAAAACATAAAACTACATAAAACTAAAATCAAATTCCTGTTTATCACCAACTCAAATATGGCTTATAAAAATGAGGTTACAGTGTTATGTTGTTTCCACCTGACAATGTTTTTTGGACCTCCTTTTAATTTCATCATTATTATTATTATTTGAATAGGCACTGGAGAAACATGATAAAAATTTAGAAGGTATAGAATTACATCACTTTAAAAATAAGCCACCTGGTTCTTTTCTTCAGAGACAATCACTGTGATTTGTTTCTTGAGTAATGAATATGCATATATAAGCTTATGTATTCCTTTTGCTCCTTACAAATTTTAGCATACTATACACATAGCATATTACTGTTTCCACTTGTTGATATCTTTTGGAGTTGAAAATATGAGGGAGTTTTACTCTTCTAGACAAATGTGGTAGACTTCAGAAAGAAGCTCACCTTGGAGAACTTAAAACTGAGTGATTGCTTAAAGCTTTCATATTGGACTGGTCTGGAAGTTTGTAACACCTGGAGAATGAATCTATATGTGAATATTTGAGAGTGACTAGAAAATCTCTGAGAGTTGTCTGAGATTTTATCTAAGTTCTAGTTGACAGGATGTATTTAAAGGGTCATTGGTGCAAAAGAACGAACCTGATTTCTACTTGTACCCTACAACAACCAGCAAAACAGACAGTTTCATTTGTCAATAAATTCTTTCTTATGGACTATTTAGTTGTTTCCAGATTTTTACTCTCACAAACAGTGCATAGGTAACTATCCTTTTGGGGAACAATTTTGCCAAGGTGTATTTTCAGGTAAATTCCTAGAAGTAGATTACTGGGTTGAAGGGGATTTTTTTGAACAAATCTTGCTAAAACTTTTTTTTTAATTTTAACTTTTGTTTTACATACAGGGGAAACATATGCATGTTTGTTACATGGGTATGTTGCACCCAGATAGTTAGCATAGTACCGAATAGGTAGTTTTTCAAACCAAACGGATCCTTCCCCTCCTTCCCCCCATAGTAGTTTGCAGTGTCTATTGTTGTCATCTTTATGTTCATGTGTGCTCAATATTGAGCTCCCACTTATAAGGGAGAATATGTGGTATTTGGTTTTCTGTTCTTGCATTAGTTCACTTAGGATAATGGCCTCCAGCTCCATTCATATTGATGCAAAGGACATGATTTCATTCTTTTTATGGCTGCATAGTATTCCATAGTGTATGTGTAACACATTTTCTTTATTCAGTTGACCATTGATGGGCACCTAGGTTGATTCCATGTTTTTGCTATTGTGAGTAGCATGGTGATGAACATCGGTGTCCATGTGTCTTTTTGGTCTAAGGATCTATTTTCCTTCAGATATACACCCAGTAATGGGATTTCTAGGTCCAATACTAGTTCTGAGTTATTTGAGAAATCTCCAAATCGCTTTCCACAGTGGCTGATCTAATTTACATTCCCACCAACAGTGTATAAGTGTTTCCTTCTCCACAGCCTCATCAGTATCTGTTGTTTTTTGACTTTTTAATAATAGCCATTCTGATTGGTCTGAGATGGTTTCTCGCTGTGATTTTGGTATGCATTCTCTGATGATTAGTGATGATGAGCATTTTTTCATGTTTGTTGGCTGCATGTATGTTTTTGAGAAGTGTCTGTCTTTTATTTATTTTTTTTTGAGATGCAGTTTTACTTTGTCACCCAGGCTGGAGTGCAGTGGCATGAGCTTGGCTCACTGCAACCTCTGCCTCTCAGCTTCAAGGGGTTCTCCTGCCTCAGCCTCCCCAGTAGGTGGGATTACAGGTGCATAACACCACACCCAGCTAATTTTGGTATTTTTAGTAGAGATGGGGTTTTGCTATGTTGGCCATGCTGTTCTTGAACTGACCTCAAGCAATCCATCTACTTCAGCCTCCCAAAGTGCTGGGATTACAGGATTACAGGTGTGAACCATCGTGCCCGGCCACGAAGTATCTGTCTTTTGAGAAGTGCCTGTCCATATCTCTTGCCCATTTTTAAATGAGATTCTTTGTTTTTTGCTTGTTGACTTAAGTTCCTTATGGATTCTGGATATTAGACCTTTGTCATCTGCAGTTTGTAAATATTTCCTCCCATTCTGTAGACTGTCTGCTTACTCTATTGATAGTTTATTTTGCTGTGCAAAATCTCTTTAGTTTAATTAGGTTCCACTTTTCAATTTTTGTTTTTGTTGCAATTGCTTTTAGGGACTTAGTCATAAATTCTTTGCCAAGACCAATATTGCTAAGGGTATTTCCTAAATTTTCTTCTAGGATTCTTAGAGTTTGAGGTCTTACATTTAAATTTTTAATCCATCTTGAGTTAAATTTTTATGTATGGTGAAAGTTAAGGTCCAGTTTCATTCTTCTGCATATGGCTAGCCAGTTATCCGAGCACCGTGTATTGAAAAGGGACTCCTTTCCTCATTGCTTATTCTTGTTGGTCTTGTTGAAGATCAGATGGTTGTGTGTGGCTTTATTTCTGAGTTTTCTATTCTGTTCCATTGTTCTATGTGTCTGTTTTTGTACCAGTATCATGCTGTTTAAGTTACCATAGTTTTATAATATGTTTGAAGTCATATATAGTTTTTTTCTTTTTGCTTAGAATTGCTTTGGCTATTCAGGCTCTTTTTTTGGTTACATATGAATTTTAGTACAGTTTTTACTAATTCTTTGAAGAACGGCATTGGTGGTTTGAGAGGAATAGTGCTGAATCTGTAAATTGCTTTGGGTAATATGGCCATTTTAATGATTTTGATTCTTCCAATCCATGAACATGAAAGGTTTTTCCATTTATTTTTGTCATCTCTGATTTCTTTTAGCACTGTTATATATAGTTCTCCTTGTAGAGATCTTTCACCTCCGTGGATAGCTGTATTCATAGTTATTTCATTTTCATTGTGGCTACTGTAAATGGGATTGCATTTCTGATTTGACTCTCAGCTTAGACATTATTGGTGTATAGAAATGCTACTGATTTTTGTACATTGATTTTGTACACTGAAACCTTCTTGGAATTGTTTATCAGTTCTAGTAGTCTTTTGGAAGAGTCTTTAGGGTTTTCTAGGTGTAGAATTATATTTCAGCAAAGAGAGGTAGTTTGACTTCTTTTCCTATTTGGATCCTTTTATTTCTTTCTCTCACCTGATTGCTCTGGCTAGGACTTTCAGTACCACGTTGAATAGGAATGGTGAGAATGGCCATCCTTGTTTTGTTTTAATTCTCAAGGGGAATGGTTCCAGCTTTTGCCCATTCAGTGTGATGTTGGCTGTGAGTTCATCATAGATGTCTCTTATTATTCTGAGTCATGTTCCTTTGGTGTCTAATCTGTTGAGGGTTTTTATCATGAAGGATATTCAGTTTTATCAAAAGCTTTTTCTGCATGTATTGAGATAATCATACGGTTTTTGATTCTAATTCTGTTGATGTGGTGAATCACATTTGTTGATTTGCATATGTTGAACCAATCTTGAATCACATGAATAAAGCCTACTTGATTGTGGTGTAATAACTTTTGATGTACTGTTGAATTCCATTTGCTAGTATTTTGTTGAGAAATTTTGCATCTATGTTCATCAGGCATATTGGCTGGAAGTTTTCTTTTTTCATTGTGTCTCTGCCAGATTTTAGTATTAGGCCGATGCTGGCTTCATAGAATGAATTAGGAAGGAGCCCCACCCCTCTTAAATTTTTTTGGAATACTTTCAGTAGGATTGGTACCCGTTCATCTTTGTGTGTCTGGTAGAATTCAGCTGTGAATTCATCTGGTCCAGGGCTTTTTTTAGTTGGTAGGATTTTTGAATTACTGATTTCATTTCAGAACTTGATATTGGTGTATTCAGGGTCGTAGTCCCTTCTTGATTCAATTTTGAGAGATTGTGTATTTCCAGGAATTTATCCATCTCCTCTAGATTTTGTAATTTTTATGCATAGAGTCATTCAGAGTATTCTCTGCGGTTCTTTTGTAAATTCTGTGGGATCGGTTGGAATGACGTCTTTGTCATTTCTGATTGTACTTATTTAGATCTCTCTTTTTTTCTTTGTTAATCGAGGTAGGGGGGGTCTATCAATCTTTTTTTTTTTTTTTTTAGAATAAACTCTTGGTTTCCTTGATCTTTTGAGGTTGGTTTGTTCCTTTTTTCTTTCTTCCTTTAGGTGCAAAGTTAGATTGTGAATTCAACTTCCTACCTTCTTAATGAAGGTGTTTAATGCTATAAACTTTTCTCTAAACATTGCTTTAACTGTATCTGAGAGATTTTAACATGTTGTATTCCTATTTTTATTAATTTCATATCAGTTTTTGATTTCTGCCTTAATTTTTATGTTCACCCAGGAGTTAGTCAGGACCATGTTGTTTAATTTCCATGTTTTTGTGTAGTTTTGAGAAATCTCCTTGGTATTAATTTCTATTTTTATTTGCACTGCTGTTTGAGAGTGTTCTTGGTATGATTTCAATTTTTAAAAATGTATTGAGACTTGCTTTATGACCAATCAAGTTGTTGATCTTAGAATATGTTCCATGTGCAGATAAAAAGAATGTATATTCTGTCATTGTTGTGTGGAGTGTTCTATAGATGTCCGTAGGCCCAGTTCATCAAGTGTTGAGTTGAAGTCCAGAGTTTCTTTGTTAGCTTTCTGCCTCAGTGATTGGTCTAATGCTGTCAGTGGAGTGTCGAAGTGTCCCACTATTATCATGTGGTTATCTAAGTCTTTTTGTAGGCCAAGAATAACTTGTTTTTGCAAATCTTGGTGCACCAATGTTGGGTGTGTAGATACTTATGATGGGTGTGTAGATACTTATGATAGTTAAGTCTTCTTGTTGGATTGTACTCTTTATCATTATGTAATGCCTTTCTTTGTCCTTTTTAATTTTTATTGATTTAAAATCTGATTTATCTGATATAAGAATAGTGACTCCTGCTTGCTTTTGTTTTTCATTTACATGGTGTATATCTCTTCATTCCTTTACTTTAAGTCTGTGGGCTGAGATTATATGTGTGTGGCATTGCATGTGAGATGGGTCTCTTGAAAACAACAGAAGGTTGCATCTTATATTTTTATCCAGCTTGCTACTTTATGCCTTTTAAGTGTGGTGCTTAGCCCATTTATATTTAGGGCTAGTATTGATATGTGAGATTTTAATCCTGTCATCATTACGTTAGCTGGTTGTTATATAGACTTGATTGTGTGATTGCTTTATAGTGTCCTTGGGGTGTGTGCTTAAGTGTGTTTTTGTGCTAGCAGGTGCTGTCCTTTCAATCCCATGTTTAGCACTCCCTGAAGGACCTCTTGTAAGGCTGGTCTAGTTGAAATGAATTCCTGGGCATTTGCTTGTCTGAGAAGGATTTTATTTCTCCTTCACTTATGAAGCTTAGTTTGGTGGGATATGAAATTCTTGGTTGGGATTTCTTTTCTTTAAGGAAACTAAAAATAGAAGGAAACCTCTTCTGGCTTGTAAGGTTTCTGGTGACAAGTCCGCTGCTAGTATACAGACTGCTACAGATTGGGCTCCTTCTGTATGTGACTTGACCCATCTATCTGCCTTTAAGGTTTTTGTTTGTTTGTTTTGTGTTTTGCATTGACTTTGGTGAATCTGATGACTATGTGCCTTGGGGATGGTCATATTGTATAGAATCTAGCCAGGGTTCTCTGTATTTTTTGGATTTGCATGTCAACCTTTCTAGAAAGATTAGGGAAATTTTTATGGACTATATCCTCAAATATATTTTCCAAATTGTTTATTCTCTCTTCTTGTTTCCAAGGAATGCCAATGAATCATAGATTTTGTCTCTGCATAATTCCATATTTATTGGAGGTTTGTTCATTTGAAAAATTCTTTTTTCTTTATTTTTATCTAACTGAATTGATTAGAAAAAGTGGTCTTTGAGCTCTGAGATCCTTTCCTCAGCTTGGTCTATTCTGCTCTTTAAATTTCCAATTGTATTATAATGCCCTTGTAGTAAATTTTTGATCTCTAAAAGTTCAGTTTTGTTCTTTGTTAAAATGATGATTTCATCTTTCAGCTCTTGAATCATTTTCCTTGATTCCTTGAATTCCTTAGATTGAGTTTCCACTTTCTCCTGAATCTCCATGAGCTGTCTTGCCATCTAGATTCTGAATTCTCCTTGTCATTTCAGTCATTTCCAACTGGTTAAGAATCATTGCTGGGGAGCTAGTGGATTGTTTGAAGGTAAGAGGATGCTGTGGCTTTTTGGATTGCCAGCGTTCTTGCATTAATCCTTTCTCACCTGGGAGGGTTGGTGGGTGTTTCCTTAACTGTGGTGTAAGTTGAATATAGTCAGTTGGCTTTGTTTCTGGATGTTTTCAGAGGGTCAAGGCTCTGTGCAGGATCTTTAGTTGTGACTGACTTGCCCTTGGTTTCACAGGATATGTTAGCAAAATATTTTTGGTGTTGTGGTTTGGCCTGTGATCCAGTAGATGGTGCTTAAGAGTAATGGCGAGAGATAAGCTCTTAACTCAGCTGCATGGCTCCTTTGTACTCCCTGGCATTTGCAGCCCTTCTGCATGGTGCAGTGGGAAGAGAGGTGACCCCCTCACCAGGTCTGCTGCTGGGCCTTGGGGAAGCCCCTTCTGGTCATTGGCATTGTGTCTGCATTTTTATTTTAGGTGTTCCAGGCCATGGGGCTCCCTCAAGCAGAGGACACAGCAGGGAGACAGGCCAACACTTTCCAGGCTGGCCCTGCAGAGGGAGGCTTGTCTTGCTCCTGCAGCAGCCTACAAGCCTGCATGACTCACCCCTCTCAGTGCCTGAGTGTGTGAGCTCCTACTTCAGTGCTAACCACAGATCCCTGCCTGGCACTCCCAAGCTATGCTCTGGGGCAAGTTCAGGTTTTTTGTTACCTCACCAGCTTGGGGATAGCAGGAGTGGGACCCACAGTGGTGGTGATGGCAGAGGGCTGTCAAATGCCTTTGGGGGCTCTACTCCAGAGAAACAAAGAGGCACAACCAATTGGAATGATAAGCTGGGCGTCGAGCAACAGCACTGCAGGCCCAAGCTGGCCCTGCTTGGTGAAAAGCAGAGCAGGGGTCAGGGGGAGGGCTGTGAGGAAGACATCTGGCCTGCTCTCCACAGGTCAGCTGTGGCTTGTTGGAGGTGCAAGCAAAGCAATCAGGCTCTTTATTCCCTCTCCAGCCCAGGGAAGCAAGGGTTGGTACCACAATGGTGGCAATGGCAGAAGTCCAGTCGGTGTCTCTGGAAGTTCCATCCCAGGGAAATGACAAGCCACCACCAACTGAAGTGATTAGGCAGTGGTGGGGTGGCTGTGCTGGGGACCCAGGCTGGGAGGGGCAGCAGGGGCAGGGACCCACATGGAAGACAGTTTGGCTGCCTTTTTGTATGGCAGCTGTGGCATGTTGGAGGCCCATGAAAGTTCTCAGGCTCTTCGCTCCCTCCCCATCCTGAGGGCAGCAGGTACAGGGATTGTGATAGTGGCAATTACAATGGGCCTGTTTGTTACCTCTGGGACCTATGTCCTAGAGAAATGGAGAGCCGTAATTGGCCAGAATGATCAGGCTGGGGTAGGGTGGCTGTGCTGGGGGCCCAGGCCTGAGGGCCTTGCTCGGTAAGGTACAGCAGAGGTGGGGCCTAAAGTCCATTTACTCCTCAGCACTGTGGATGTGGCCCCTATACTAGGGGTGTACAAGGGAGTCTGGCCTCCCTTGTTGGTGAGGCTACAGCAGCTGGCACTTGGGTGCTCAGGGATCCAAGGCCTGTGGGGCTCAAAATGGGCTGAATTGTGGCTCTGTCCAGACTCCAGGCAGCTCTCCATGTTGGTGTGGAGGTCCAGGAGGGTCAAAGGAGATCTCCTGTGCTCATGATTGAAAAGGTCCATGGTGGAGATGTGGGTCTCCAGGGCCTCTCACTCACCCTTTCCCCATGGTATGGAGCCTGCTCTGGTTCTGTGCCAATCCAGGGTGGGTGGCTGTCCTGCTTCACTCCACTCTGCTCTCCATGGTTTGCCATGCTTCCTGGATGAATCCCAATGTGACCTTCTGGATGAACTACTTGAAGAACTAGTGCTTACTTGCCACTGTGTCTCCTCTCCATGTGAGAGGCATGCACAAGCTGCTTCTAGTTAGCCATCTTGGCACTTCTGTATGTTAACACTCTTTATCCCAAAGTTGTACCACATTATCCTCATGCCAACAAGCATAAGGATGCTTATTTTTCTGTATCCTTGGTAGACCAGTGTATTATTAAATTTTTTTATCTTGAAAATCTGGTAGGTAAAATAAATAATATATAATTTAAAAACTTCAATTGAAGTAAAATATACATACAGAAAAAATGTAAATAACTCAATAAATTTTTTAATGAAACATACCTGTGTTACCAAAACCCAGATCAAGAAGCAGAGCATTAATAATACTCCATGTCCTCCCTTGCAATTACCACCTTTCATCAAATATAACTAATGTCTGGACTTCCAAGAATGTAGATCAATTTAAGCTGTGTATAGAAATGTATAAATTATATATATATATATATATATATATGTGGTATATATACTCTTGTGTCTAGCTTCTGTCAATCTAGAAGAATAATGAGACAAGTCTTAATCATTTTAGGAGACTTATTTGCCAAAGTTAAGGACACACCCGGAGACAGGTCTATGCCTTTTTCTGCAGATGATTTTGAGGGCTCCAAATTTAAAGGGGAAGGGGTGGGATATTGAGAAGTATGCAATTTTCATGCAAGAGTCGGGTAGGGAAAAATTGTCATTTATGCCTTTGTTTTGGCTCAGTGAATCTATATTTTACATAAGATAACATAGATCAGGTTGGGCGTGGTGGCTCACGTCTGTAATCCCAGCACTTTGGGAGACCAAGGTGGGCTGATCTCTTGAGGTCAGGAGTTCGAGACCAGCCTGACCAACATGGCGAAACCCTGTCTCTACTAAAAATACAAAAAATTAGCCGGATGTGGTGGTGAGCACCTGTAATCCCAGCTACTCGGGAGGCTGAGGTGGGGAGAACTGCTTGATCCAGGAGGTGGAGGTTGCACTGAGCCAAGATTGCGCCACTGCACTCCAGCCTGGGTGACAAAGTGAGATTGTCTCAATTAAAAAAAAAAAAAAGATAACAGACAAAATGGGGCAGGGGAACAATCAGATGTGAATTTATTTTTGGTGGCCCGTGGGTGACTGCACCTGTAAAGATAAGCTGTCAATTTGCATTGCCATGGTGAAATTTTAACAGCTCACTAGGAATTTCGTTTTGAACAAAATATGGGGGAGGTGTGTAGCTTTTCATCTTGTAGCCATCTTATTTAGGAACCAAAGCGGGAGGCAGGTTTGCACAACCCAGCTCCTAGCTTGACTCTTCCGTTTGGCTAAATGAGTTTGAGGTCCCAAAATTTAATTTCCCTTCACGCTTCTTTCATTCAACATTTGTGTGTGTGTGTAATTGTAGATCATCAATTATTATTGCTGTAGTATAGTATTGGCTGTATGTGACTACATGACAATTTTATTATTTGTTCTACATTGAATTTTTTAAATGACAAATATTATGAAAAATTTCTGTGAACATTCCACTACATGTCTTTGGTTAATATGTGATTTATATAGTTCTTTTGGCTATATGCCTATGAGTAAAATTTCTGATTTGCAAGTATATATTTCTCCATGTTTAGTAACACTGCCAGTTTTTCAAAGTGGCGGTATCAATTTATCTTCCCAGTGACAGTATATGGGAGTTCTTGTTGTTCTATTTTTTCATCAACATTTGGCATTTTTCATTTTTCTTTAATAGCCATTCAGGGATGTATAATAGTATTTCATCTGGCTTTAATTTGCATCTACCTGCTGATTAACGATGTTAAGTACCATTTTGGGTATCTTCTTTTGTAAAGTGTTTTGTCTTTTTCTGATTTAAGTCCAATTTTTCATTCTTCATGTTAGCAATTTGCACTTTCTCTTCTTAAGCAGATTGCTAATATTTTAAATTTTTATTAATCCTTTTTAAAGGGATGACTGATTGTGTTTACTAGTTGCATTTAATCTGTTCCTTTACTCTGGAGCAATTTCTTAGTCTTTCCCTTTTATGACCTTTACATTTTTAAAGAACATAAGATAGCTATGTGTGTATTGTCCCTCCATTTGAGTTCCCTGATGTTTATCATGATTAGATTCAGATTATGCATACTTGGAAATACCATCAAAATAATTTTAGGTTCTTTTTGAGCATGTGAAATCAGGAGGCAAAAGATATCAATTGGTTCTATTATTATCAAATGTTAATTTGGTAACTAGGTTGGTATGATATCTACAAAGATTCCCCACTGTAGAGTTACCATTTCTCTCTTTGTAATTGGTAAGTATTTTGTGGAGAAATACTTTGAAGCAATACATTTGCTTTGTGAATATATCATTCTTTATTGTATTTTCATTAGTTGCCTTTGATTCTTGCCTGAATAAATTATTAGTATGGTGGTTGGGAATTAGTGAATTTTGAATACTATTAATGCTTCTATATTTATACATAAGCGTTTGAAGGTAAAGAGTAAATGAGATTTTTAATGTGATTTTTAACTTGTCTATTGACAATTTAAAAATATATATAATTTTAATATAATAAACTTTTAATTTTTGACCTTTGTGATGGTTAGTTTTAGGTGTCAACTTGACTGGATTAAAGAATACCTGGAGAACTGGCAAAGCATTATTTTTGGTGCACATGTAAGGGCGTCTCTCAAGGAGATTGATTAGTGAGTTGGGGTTTGAGTGGGGAAGATCTGTTCTCAATGTGGGTGGGCACCATCTAATCAGTTGGGGGGTCTGAATAGAACAAAAAAGGAAAGACAATTTCCTCTTTCTCTCTTTCTCCTGGAGCTGGAACACATTTCTTCTGCCCTTGCACGTCCAAACTCCAGGCTGTTTAGCCTTTGAACTCCAAGACTTACACCAGCTGTTATAAGATCACCAGGTTTGATTACCCATTGCACAATAACATACCAATACACTGAAATAGCAGGGGTTGAAGCAGAGAAAGAGTTTAATAATCATAGGGCAGCCAAATGAGGGTATGGGAGGAAACCTCAAATCTGCCACCCTGAGGGGTTTTGAACTGGAGTTTTTAAGATAATTTCGATGGGTAGAGTACAAAGGAGGTGGGGTCACTGATTGGTTGGGGAATGGGGGAGGAAATCATAAAGACATAGAAACTGCATTCTTGCACTGAGTCAGTTCCTCGGAGAGGGTTTTCAAACTGGCTGGTGTCAGTGGACCCATTGGAATACAGAATTTGGAAAATATCTCAAATGGAAAAGTTGAGGTTTCTTTAAAGATGTTATCTGTAGAAACATTTAAGGGAAGTTAGAACCTAGTGACAAGGAGTATGTGACTTTTAAGCAGTAAGAAGCTATAAGGAAGTGCCACCGGTAGAGTGTGTCCAGGTTCTTGACATCTTGACAAAGAATTAGACCACATGCACAAACAAGGCAAGAAAAGAATAAAGAAACCAAAACAGAGATTTATTGTAAATGAAAGTACATTCCATAGGGTGGGAGTGGGCCCGAGCACAGGGGCTCAAGAGCCCTGTTACTGAATTTTCTGGGGTTTAAATACCCTCTAGACATTTCCATTGGTTACTTGATGTATGCCCTACGTAAATAAAGAGGATATTTCCTGTCATAGCTGATGTGTTTCCATTTGATTTCATTCTAGGAAGTCTTTAGGTTCCCTGTCTCCAGGCCCTATTCGCCTTCCTTTTTTCCCCCCTGAAAGATGTGATCTCCATAAATCTTTATGGGAGGTGGCAGGTCTGATGCTCTTTCTTCTGTAACTGCTTCATGCTGGCTTGGAGCATAGTCCCTACCTATTGGGGATCACAGAACTCTCGCCATGCTCTGTCTAGTGGAGGCAGTGTACTCCTTGATGGCCAGGGGTGGTGTCTTCACCTGGAACTGGCTGGTACCCTTGTCGCATGATCATGTGAAGCTTGATGGTGCGATAAGATGAATTTGGTTAAAAGATTTAATGGAATTTCAGCGGGTGGATACCTATGCTGTCAGGAATGTTTGTTATAGAGATTTGCAGGAGAAAAACAAAACCTGTTCTGTTCTAGGATCTATGTGTTTCCTTAAAGTCTTAGCACAAGAAACTCCATTTTGGTTTGGTTTGGTCTGTTGGGGCTAGTGCATGAGCTCAGTCCAAAACAATGGCCTCCCACAATTTTTTTAAAAAAATTCTCCCTTTTTGGTCAGGTCCTCACATAGTGAGAGTATGACCACAACTTAGGGCCTTAGCACTACTCTCAGTTACCATCATTTTGGGTTTCTGGTCTCAGTATGTCATTCATAGGTTACAGTGTTCTCATGGTCGCACATTTCTTTCAGCTCTTGTCATTCCAATTGAAGAGAGACCATTTGACATCTTAGAGATGGCTGCATGCAAACATTTAAAGCCTTTGAGAGAATACAGCATGCCAGGGAGACTATTATTATGACTATAATATGACTATATAATGACTGTCCTCTTGGAGATAGTATGCTCCTTACCCAGGGTCCCCATAAATCAAACCTCCTAAAATCAGAGATCAAAGAATGAGCTAGATAAAGGGTCTACTCGCTTAACTAAGCAGTCTCTTTGTTAATCTGCTACAACTGAATCTCTATAATATCTGCTGTTTTCTCCAGACACTTTTCTGTTTAGCCAGTTCTATTATTCAGCTTAACTTTCACAAGAACATTTAAAGTCTGTTGTGTAACCATAGCCTTTACAGTAGAATCTGCTATAGAGCCTATTATGAGGGATACATTCTAATCATTGACTGTTTTACTCCAAACCATGGAAAAAGGTCCTAACAAATGATGCCCTTCTACAAGAGTGAAGGCCTCCTGGCAATGTTCTCTTTAACCCATAATGTGGGTTAAGAGGGGTGAACCAATGTTCTGTTTCTGACTGATTATGAAGCAGCATATGTACCATTAAAGTTTCTGACCTATACTGGGCCTTAATCTTTTCTCTATCAGATTATAAGTTTATCCATGCATAAGGCTGCCGGCAAAATCCTTCACAAATAAAAATATACCCCGTAAGTGCACACAAGAGACCTCTTTTTCATTTCTATTGTTCATAGAAGCATAAACAAGAAAAAATATTCATAGATAAGTGTCTCATGATAGTAGAAGCCTTGATCCATGATCTTGAGAAAAGCTGTTCACATCAAGAATGTCCATCTTCTTCTGAGGAGAGACTTCCCTGGTTAGTTTTACCTTAAGGGTTCCAGTGGGTGTACAGTTCCAAGAGCGTAGAGGGACACTTCTCAGTTTGAGATTATGAACCTAAAGTTCAAGTTTCCAAAGTTTGGCTGCAATGTGGATGGAAAGGACAGTCTTTCTCTGATGTTCTCAGAAGATCAAATTTTTGGGTTCTAGATTATGAAAGGGTTGATTATCTTCAGTGAATCATAAAAAGCTTTCTTTACCTGGTGAAAATGCACTGTGGCATAATAACTTAGTGTTATAACATCAGCCCTCTTGTGTGGGAGAGCACTTATATAACCAGAAAACATGCATTGAAGGTAAAAATGGAATAAAATCCCGTTATAAAATGTTTGAATGGTCCATCAAGTGACCAAATGTATCTGAAGCTTTGATTGTTTTCCCAGGAATATGAGATGAAACATTGGTTATAAACTATTTTAGCAATTTATAAGTCACCACACCAATATATTCAATTTGTATCATTTTATCTTTTCCATAATGAGTGATGGAATGCAGAACTTTTAATAATAAAAGCTTTAAGGACTCAGGAAGGACAAGGTGGCCATCCTGGTTCTCTCATGAGTCCATGCTTAATTAACATTAGACTTATATCCTATTGAATACCAGTCGTTTCTCCAATTTAGGTGCATAGCACTGGTAACTGATGGGTTATCATAGGTAATTTGACTCTTAGACCATGGAGTTCATTCAAATTGTGTATCTAAACAATTTCAGTATCAGCTGATTTAGCATGAAAATCTGGCAAAGTATTTTCTTGCTATTTAATTAATTTTTGTTCTACTTGGGTTAGCAGCTTTATAACCCAGTCAGTCTTTTCATTAAAGTTCCAGGAATTCTTACCCAGTTCAAATGATATGATTATAAAGTTATTAGAAACTTGTATTCAAGAGTGCTTTTTAGGGTTCTTTTCTTCCTTTCATGAACCTTCTCAAAGACACCATATTCTAGGATTTTTGTGCTTGTGAAATTTTCAGAAACTGCATCAGTATTAAGTAATTAACTGTAGAAATGACTTTAAATAATTATAGTTAAAAATACAATTGACAAGGAAATTTGGTTATTTCTGTGGTTTACAATAACATAATATCCATAATTATGATTTATAGCATATAATCAGACATATTAGAATTTTAGAAATCTTATACAATTTTTAACATATATTAATATCACTCACTAAAACCCAATGAGAAAATTAAACGTTTTTAAAAATTATTTTTGATGGTGCTTCTCATGTAACTAAACAGGTCAAGTAATTCTGTTTACCTCTCTTTTGGAAGCTTCAGGGGCCTTCTGCAGCATCTCAAAGTTAAAAGTCAGAAAAAGACAACCTTGAAGCTGAAATTTGATTTGGGAAGCCTATCAAATATGTTAAAGGTTTAAAACACTTGATATTATGAAATAGAATACCAGATTACAAGTCATTCATTTAGCCAAAATAATGACTCAAAATTTTTTTAAAAGGCAAAAGCCTTTACTCAATGAGAGATGGAAGGCTTTCCAAACAATCTGTCTCTTGTCTTTCCCTGCTTTGTTTCAGCAGTTTTATTTAAAGGGCTAACACAAATCTTTAATTATCTTTTTTTTTTTTTTGAGACAGAGTCTCACTCTTGTTGCCCAAGATGGAGTACAGTGGCATGATCTTGGCTCACTGCAACCTCTGCCTCCCAGGTTCCAGCAATTCTCCTGCCTCAGATTCCCATGTAGCTGGGATTTCAGGCATGTACCACCATGCCTGGCTAATTGCTGTATTTTTAGTAGAGACAGGGTTTCACCATGTTGGCCAGGCTGGTCTCAAATTCCTGACCACAGGTGATCTGCCCACCTTGGCCTCCCAAAGTGCTGGAATTACAGGTGTGAGCCACCACACCCAGACATTATCTTTTAATATTACATGAAAATCTTGTTCAAGAGAGAAAGCTAAATTTTACCCTAGCATTAGTATACTATTAATGTTAGCACCAATTTTTAATAAAACTTTATAGGCAAATCTTTCCAGTCTTAATCAGTTTGACCACAAGGTGAGATTCTCATAAATCTTTTATAACCCTTTGCAAATTTTTGTTAAAGAGCACATCAATGCTTTAAGAAAACCCTGTTTGTGCTTTTATTTCGATGTTTAATTTATGGAAAAACCAGAAAATACCCCTTTAAATTTAGCCAATATGTTCACACACAGAATTTTTTATGAG
Organism: Homo sapiens; assembly: GCF_000001405.40. NCBI lineage: Eukaryota > Metazoa > Chordata > Mammalia > Primates > Hominidae > Homo > Homo sapiens. The sequence goes on along the minus strand of NC_000001.11, from coordinate 166,721,818 downwards.
ATTTTATTTTTTTTACAAACCTTCTACAGTTTGTTCAAACCTTTAGCTTTATCCTAACTTAAAACAATGCTTTAACCATTTGGGCTAAAAAAATCCATATTCCCATGTCTTCTTATAACCTTTTACCAAAAACGCATTTCACTATGCTTACACACTGTTCATGTAAAACTGTTTCTTCAGTAGTCTCAATTAAATGTTACAATGTTAACTCTTAGCAACTTTTACTTTGGGTGAAAACCTTGGTAAGTTCAGGATTTTAATTATGTACTAGGTGTGGAGCCTAGGGCCCAGAGAGAAGTTCAGATAAGGTCTATCTCTTTCCAGCATCTAATTCCATGTGTCCTAGGCCTTACTTAGCTGTAAAGCAGGCAAGGTGGACAGTTAAGAGTCATAGTGGCATTTTATGAAGCATTTAGGAGGCCTAATCTCCTTTAAATTGTACAACATTTCTTGCATAAATTCTCTTTTATAAATGATTTCACAACTTACACAGACCATCTATAACATGCTTGGACTTTCTGGCTGTCCTAAACATCTCCCATTTGAAACATCCAGTTATTTTACTTTAGGACGAGAATTTACCGTACAAGATCTTTCTTATATAAAATATTTTTTCTTTATAACCTTCTTTGCATAGCTAGGGGGCATGGCTAATTTCACATGTCCCCTGGTCTTATCTAGAATCAATTGCTCCAAAATAAACTGAACAATTTTTAAAAGTCAAAGAAGTAGTATATGAACTTAAAGCATTTAACAAACCTAATATCTGACCTGCATAATTTAGACCAAATGTTTGTATTTTGAAGATATTTTTATTTTACCAATAATCTTTAACACTGTCTTTATTTCCCAAAGATTATTTAAGTAACATGAACTAACTAAAAGACATTACACTTTTTACTTTTCTGAAAAAATATTTGCTTTAAGCTCTTATTATTAAATCAATTAATTAAACCTCTTTTCTATTATATATACAACACATATAAATACACAGACAGGCAGATGATAAAGGACTCATTCCCTAAGCCAGGAATTAAACCATAAACCTGGGCCACCATTGTGAAAAGAGAAAGCATGGCCACATGGTTATAAGGTCAAGCTTCCAAGGACATGACTGACCAGTTTGCTGGGCTGTCTTAAATAGGGTACCTATGGGGTCCTAGGTACACATTTCATCCTAAAGTACCCCTCTGTATGACAGAACAATACAGAAAGATACACAAAGCACACCAGATTCACTACAGCTTAAGATTAGCCTCAGAATTCTTTTTGGTATTAATAAAAATTTTACAGAGGAGGTAAACGGTGACTTTCAACTTTCATTTAACCAGTTCACACAAGAGAGAGAGAGAGGCCAGAGTCTGAATGGTAAGAAATTTTTACCCTTTTGCCAGCATGTTGCATTTCTGGGTTCTCTCCTCCTGAGCAGACCTAGCAACCTTGCTTGACTGTATGCAAACAAACACATTGATATGAATTAAGAACATTCACAAATCATTTACAAATTTTGGAGAAATTAGAGAGAGAGAGAGAGATGACTCAAATTCTATTTACAAAAGTATACTCAACATACCTAACATATTAGGAAGTTTAAACTCCAAAAAGTTAAAAAGCTGCTAATTCCTGCAGGCCTGACAAAGGTAGCCTAGGGATCCCAGATAAATAGAACAAATGATGACCTGCTAGAAATGCATAGGAGACAAAATAACTATTCACAGAACCAAATAAAAACCTTCCATTAGAACCTAAAAAAAAAAAATCATGGTTTTGTATATATACATACACAAGCAAAGCCCAAAGGAGAATAAAGAGCAAATGAATGAAAATTAAAAACAAAAACAAACAGGAAACCAACATTAAGTTTTTCCTATTCAATCTACCTTGGAGGTTACAGTGTTACCCAGGGCCCCCAAAAATCCACACAGTGAATGTTTTATTCCTGATACACAATTCAATAGCCTTAAGCCTACCAATATTACCATACATCTTGTACAATCAAGAAATTCACTGTAGGCACATGACCAATAAGCACTCAGGTGCCAGCACTATCCACACAAAACTGTAAACATAGTGTAAAGCAATGCGAACGTGTATGTGAAATTTGGCTCCACACTAAATCTGGCTTCATGCTTAACTATGTTTAAAAAAAGGATTGCCAAACTGCCAATGCATTTCTTTATAATATTTCTCATTTTACTTTAATCAAGACTAAAAGCTTTAACTATGAAAATGTTAATTAAGCAAATATATTCAATTCTCTGTCAGGTTTTAAGGAATATTTTATTATCTAAACTTTTCCACATTGTCCTCCCCTACTTACTGGTCCCTTAATACATTGTTTCAAAAATAACCTTTTCAAATCTGTAATTTGAACTAACTTTTAGATAACTACTCAGTTAGGCAAAAGTATTCTTTTTCTCACTAATAACACAACACTTTCTGACACATTTTGTATACAGAATTACCTATTAACTAGAATTCTGATCCTTAGTAACCTAAAACTTTAGCGAAACCATAAGAAGCCAGAAGTCCCGAACTGTCACATGTGGGCATTTATAGATAAGAACAATTCCACAATTTTTAGAAACATATTTCCTCATATCATAACTTTTTTAATTGGAAAGATCCAGATATTAAATGAGCATCAGAAATAATTTTAAGATTTTAATTTACACAAAAAGTTTGCCTACAATATTTGTTCCATTCACTGTACTCAATTCTTTCACTTTAAACAATTTATCTAGATTACTTCTGTAAACTGAGACATTAGACACTATAATTTAAAGTTAGTTATTTCCTTGTTAACCATGTTTTTAATAGCCAGTGAACATCAGGTGCTCACCTAAACCTAAGTAACAGTCTCAAAGTTAAATACATAGGTAATTTTGCCAGTAACTCAGAAGATTTAGCTAACATTAAATTATTCTTATTTGTCAAAAAGAGGCATGCAAACCAAGATCATTTTGTTTTGTCTGGGTTTGTAGTTTTATAACCTTCTATGCCAAACCGTGACATCTTAAAATATCTAGTAGAGACAAACATAAAATCCAGACAAAAATGTGTGCTGACAATTCTGAAAGCATTTCCATTTTTATTTTACCAATCATTTTTAAAATCAGCTTGTTTAGTAAAGTTACACTTAAGTCATGTGAACTTGAAAATTGCTTAGATTGATTTACTTAATTCATGAGCACTCTTACTTATAAGCCAATTCAGTAGACACAACATAAAACAATAAGTGTGCATATAAATAAACACATCTAGACATGTATATACACACACAAATGAAGATTCAATAGCTTTTACCTTGGAATCCTAGCCATGAGTTAGCAATACAGTTTTGCTGGTATTACTTTGTCCCAATAGATAATGCAATGAAGGCTGTGAATCAAAATTTCAGGTAAAGCAGTTTCCATGGCAGTTTTATTTTTAAAGGACAAACCTCCCCAGACTCCAAAGAACACTGGAATCAAACAGCACCAAAGGAGAGCGTCACACATTAACCATGTTCCCTGATGAGAACAGCAGCACAAAAGTCTGAATACATGCAACTCCATCCGACTTTCTCACTCAACAGCAAACTCCAGATTCCAAACAATATTGGAGCCAAACAGTATGGCAACTGTGAGAGAAAATTCTAAGAAGGGCTTAGTAAGAGACCACAGAACCTCTGCTGAGGGCATCCCCTTTGGAAAGGTTGAGGTCTGGAGGATGCCCCAGGGTATCCCCCTTTGGGGTCCAGTCTGACCTTTGGTGGGCACCAGTGCCACTTTCCCTCCAGAGGCAATGGCCTACTATGAGCTTTCCTTTTGCCCCTGGATGAAGGCCTCAACTTCCAGCATCCTTATAATTTGATAAGGCCATGCTTTCCCATGCTTCCCATTCCACTAGTAATAGCCATGAACTAATGATAGGAACTGGAGGCTGGGTAGGTTTCTTTTGTCCTTAGCCAACTGAGTTGGTTAAGGGAAGAATTTAGCATAAGAAAAGGTTTACATCACTTGAAACGTGTGAGTTCACCCCAAGCTGTGCCACATGTAGGGATCAGGGACCACCAGCAGAAAAGATAGTCCTTCAGAGTGGCCCTGGCCAGAAACCTGCCATTTCCTCTGTGTTTAGCTGCTATCCACCAAGGGTCCCAAGTTTGAAAGGAAAAGAGAGAGAGAGTAAGAGATTCCCCTGTATGGAGCAGAAAGGAAAATGAAAAGAAACAAATCCTAAACTTTGGGCTAACCTCCGGGCTGGTTTGCCAAAATATGTTACTGGTGCAGGTGTGTCCAGGTTCTTGGCATCTTGAACAAAGAATTGGACAAAATGTACAAACAAAGCAAGGAAAGAATGAAGCAACAGAAGCAAATATTTATTGAAAATAAAAGTACATTCCACAGGGTGGGAGCAGGCCCAAGCATGGGGGCTCAAGAATCCCGTTACTGAATTTTCTGGGGTTTAAATACCCTCTAGAGGTTTCCATTGGTTACTTGGTGTATGCTATATGTAAATGAAGGGGATATTTCCTGTCATAGCTGAAGTGTTTCCATTTGATTTAGTTCTAGGAAGTCCTTAGGTTTCCTGCCTCCAGGTCCTATTCTCCTGCCTCAGAAGAGGGCTATAGGGCAAGCTGGTTGATGCTTAGCAATGCTTCTATTCAAAGCTTTTGCCTTTGTTAAAATCCTAACAATTTCTTTTTATTAATTTTGTGAGGATGGTTTCACAGTAACATCTTGTGTTCTCAGGTTTGGGGCCTTGGGCTGAGAGTTACACCATCAGCTCCCCTGGCTCTGAGGTTTTGGAACTTTGACTGAGACACACCACCAGCATCTCAGGATCTCCAACTTACAGACAACCTGTTGTAGGACTTCTAAGCTTTCATAATTGCATGAACCAATTTCTCTAATAAATCCTCTCATCTATCTATGTAACTGTGTATCTATCTATGTGTCTATCTATCTATCTATCTATCTATCATCTATCTATCTATCTATCTATCTATCTATCTGTCTATCTATCTACTATTCATCCATCCATCTATCTATATCCTATTAGTTCTATCTCTCTGAAGAACCCTGACTAATAAAGATTTTGGAACCAGGAATGGCTGTTGGGGAAAATAATTTTAAAGATGGATTTTCATAATTGGTTTTGGGGTTTTTGGAATTTTCTCTCTAATATGATTAGACCTAAAAATGCTCAGGACACTACCTTTCTTTTTGAGGCAGGGTCTCTGTTGCCCAGGCTGGAGTGCAGTGGCACAGTCTCAGCTCACTGCAGCCTCAACTTCCTAAGCTCAAGTCATCCTCCCACCTCAGTCTCCCACGTAGCTGTGACTACAGGCATGCACCACGATGCCTGGCTAATTTTTGTGTTTTTGGTAGAGATGAGGTTTCATCACATTGCCCAAGCTGGTCTCAAACTCCTGAGTTCAAGCAATCCACCTGCCTCAGCTTTCCAAAGTGCTAGGATTAAGGGCATGAGCCACTGCCTGGCCACTACTTCTAAGATATAGAAAGCACTCTGTACTCTTATAGTCCATGGTGTGAAATGTTTATAGAAATACACAAAATATTCATATTGGATATGCAAATCAGCTATTTACAAAAGGCAAGGAACCTGGTAATTCTGTATATGACACTTTCAAACATTTGTGTAAAACCAGGGAATATAATGATGTTGGTTGGTTTCTTCTAATGTTGCTGAACAAAGCAATGAAAGAAAAGTTTGAGTTCAGGGATTCAAATTCCTGGCTTCCTCTACACATAGATAACCAAAGAGCTTCTGTGTATGCCCTAGAGAAGAATCTCTCCTGTAGCCATAGGGCTGAAATTGCTAAAAGTCAAACACAAGCCATTCCACAGGGTGGGAGTGGGCCCAAGCACGGGGGCTCAAGAGTGCCATTACTGAATTTTCTGGGGTTTAAATACCCTGTAGAGGTTTCTATTGGTTACTTGGTGTATGCTCTATGTAAATGAAGGGTATATTTCCTGAGAATTACAACTAAAGTTGAATTCTCAGCTTTGTGAGATGTCTACTGTTAAAATGAAAGCATTTGTAGAAAAAAATGGGATCCTTATTGGTTTTATGTTACATGTATGTCTTTTTTTGAGAAGTGTCTGTTCATGTCATTTATCCATTTTTTAAATGGAGTTATTTGTTTTCTGCTTGTTAATCTATTTAAGTTCCTTATAGATTCTGGATATTAGACCATTGTCAGATGCAGAATTTGCAAATATTTTCTCCCATTCTGTAAGCTGTCTGTTTATTTTTATTTTACTTTTTGCTGTGCAGAAGCTCTTTAGTTTACTTAGTTCCTACTTGTCAGCTTTTTTTTTTTTGCAATTGCTTTTGAATTTTTCATCATGAAATCTTTATCATGGCCTACAACAGTAGGTTTTTAAATTGAGGTCTTTTTCCTTTTTTGATGTAGGCATTTATTGAAATAAACCCTCCTCTAATAACTATTTTTGCTGTATCCCATAGGTTTTGGTATGTCATTTTTCCTTTTTTGTTTACCTCAAGAAATTAAAAAATTTCCCTTTTAATATTGTTATTAATCTGTTGATTATTTAGGAACATGTTGTTGAATTTCCATGTATTTGTACAATTTCTAATGTTCCTTTTTTATTGATTTCTAGTTTTATACCAATGTGATCAGAAAACACATGTGATAAGATCCCTATCTTCTTACATTTATTAAGATTTGCTTTGAGGCTTAACATATGATCTATCCCGAAGAATGCTCTATGTGCATTTGAGAAGAAGGTGAATTCTGCAACTGTTGGATTTAATGTTCTGTAAATGTCTGTAAGGTTCATTTGGTCTAGTTTTTTTTTTATATTTATTTATTTATTAAAGAGAGTCTCACTTTGTCACCCAGGCTGGAGTGCAGTGGCAGGATCTTGGCTCACTGCAACCTCCACCTTCTGGGTTCAAGGAATCCTCCTGCCTCAGCCTCCCAAGTAGCTGAGACTACAGGGGTGTGCCACCACGTCTGGCTAATTTTTGTATTTTTAGTAGAGATGGGGTTTCACCATGTTGGCCTGGCTGGTCTCGAACTCCTGAGCTCAAGTGATCCACCAGCCTTGGCCTCCCAAAGTGGCAGGATTACAGGCATGAGTCACCGCACCCAGCCTGGTCTAGTTTAAATATGATGTTTGTTTGTTTTGTCTGGATGATCTGTTCATTGCTAAAAGTGGGTTGTTGAAGTTCCCTACTATTGTATTGAAGTCTATCTCTTCCTTTAGATCTAATAATATTTGCTTTATATATTTGGGTACTCCTATGTTGGAGATATATATATATATATATATATATATATATTTATAACTCTTACATCCTCTTCCTGAATTATTTCTCTTGTTATTTCCTCTTCCCTGTTTTTTCCTTTTAACATTGTATAATGACCTTTTGGGGTTTTAAAATAATTTTTGACTGTAAACCAAAAATAGATTGTAAGGTCATTTTTTAATCTGACATAAGCATAGCTACTTCTACTCACTTTTGATTTCAGTTTGCATGGAATATCTTTCTATTCATTAGACCTTACAATCTATTTTTGGTTTAGAGTAAATAACTACATGTCCTTACAGATAAAGTGGAGTCTCTTGTAGGCAGCATATGGTTGGATCTTATTTTTGATCCATTCATATAGTTTATATATTTTAATTGGAGAATTGAATTCATTTACATATAAGATGATTACTGATAGGCAAGGACTTACTCCTGCCATTTTATTAATTGTTTTCTTGTTGATTTGTAGATCCTTTGTTCTTTTCCTCCTCTGTTTACCTTTGTGGTATGGTGGTTTTCTGTTGTGCTAAGCTTTGATTTCTTTCTCACTTTTGTTTGTGTGTTAGCTGTAATTTCTTTCTTTGTGGTTAGCATGGGGCTAACATGAAAAAATTGTAGTTTTAATAGACTATTTTAAGCTGATAACTTAACTTTGGTTGCATAAAAATACTCTAGACTTTTATTATCTCACCCCACAATTTATATTTTTGTTGCCTTAATTTACATCTTTGTATATTGTGAGTTACTTAACAACTAATTGTAGTACTTTTTTATTGTTTTTACTTTTGGCCTTTATGCTAGGGATTTGAAATATTTACATAGCACATGTACAGTTTTGGAATATTCTGATTTTGATTATGAATTTACTTCTAACCGCGAGTTTTTTTTTTTTTTTTGACCGAGTCTCACTCTGTCACCCAGGCTGGAGTGCAGTGGTGTGATCTCAGCTCACTGCAATCTCCGCCTGCTGGGTTCAAGCAATTCTCCTGAGTAGCTTGGACTACAGACATGTGCCACCATGCCCAGCTAATTTTTTGTATTTTTAGTAGAGACGGGGTTTCACCATGCTGGTCAGGCTGGTCTCGAACTCTTGACCTCGTGATCTGCCTGCCTTGGCCTCTCAAAGTGCTGGGATTGCAGGCATGAGCCACTGTGCCCAGCCTCTACTAGTGAGTTTTATAATGTCATGTGTATTTATGTTAACAATTATTATTCTTTTAATTCTAGTTGCAGTGCTCCTTTAAGCATTTCTGTAAGGCTCTAGTGATGATAATTTCCCTCAGCTTTTGCTTGTCTATGAAGGACTTTCTTTATCCTCCATTTCTGAGGAATGGCTTTGCTGGGTATAGTGTTGTTGACTGACACTTTGAATATAGTCCATTCCTTTCTGGTCTGCAAAGCTTCTGCTGGGAAATCTGCTGATAGTCTAATGGAGATTCCCTTTATGTTACTTGATGCTTTTCCCTTACTGTTTATAGAATTGTCTCATTGTCTTTTACTTTTGATAATTTGGTTACAATGTACCTTGAAGAGGATTGTTTTGGGTAGAATCTATTTAGGATTTTTGAGCTTTCTGGACCTGGGTGTCTATATTTTTCCCAAGACTTGGGAGGTTTTTGGCTATTATTTTGACAAATATGTTTTCTGTACCTTTATTTATCTCTTCTCCCTATCAAATGGCTACAATGGAAATATTTGCTTAATTTTATTCCATTATTCCCATAGTATTCCTTCATTCTTTTTTATTCTCATCTTCCCCACTCTGGGTTATTTCAGAATGCCTGTCTTCAAGTTCAGGAACTCTTTCTACTGCCTGATCTCATCTGTTGTTGAGTTCTCAACTGTATTTTTTATTAAATTCTTCAGCCCAACAATTTCTGTTTGGTTCCTTTTTTAAAAAATAATATCTAGCTTTGTTGAATTTATAATTCAGTTTATAAGTTGTTTTTCTGCTGTTATTGAATTCTTTATCTGTATTCTCTTGTATCTTGCTGAGTTTGCTGAAGAATATTATTTTGAATTTCTTTTCATTCATTTCATAGATTTCTTTTGCATTGGGGTCTGTTAGTGGAGAATTATTGTGTTCCTTTGGAGGTGTCATGTTTTCTTGTTATTTCATATTTCTTGTGTCCTTACCTTGATATCTGTGCATCTATTGGAACAGTCACTTCTTGCAATTTTATGGAGTAGCTTTCCTAGGGAAAAACTTTTTCTGGTATAAGTGTACTAGATTGATTGTTGGGTAGGGCGGATTGGCTTTGGTTCTGGGTGGACACAGTAGTGTAGTCTTCATGAAGTTTCTTCAGCTGTTATACATAACAGTGATGATATCTGCAAGTGCCTCTGTGGCTTAGGGTGCAGGAGTTTGTGGCAACAGTTGTGCAGCTTTGCTGGTGCCAGACTTGCCATGGATGGGGCTTCTAGGCTTGTGTGTGTGCATAGGGTTTTAGTGTGCCCAGAGTTGGCTTCTCTGTTGTGCAGAACTCCATGTTTCTTGGGGGGCTGCATGGGCTTGGGCACTAGAGTTAGGACTATTCCAATGGGCCTAGATTTCAAGTAGCTAGGGTCGTGGTGCTGCACCCACATGTGTGAACATGATGGAATAGTGGCAGAGTCTCTAGAGCAGGGCACACTCTATTAGTGGCTCCAGTTTGAAGATAGTGCTGTGCTGTAGCAGCTTGGGTCATGCACAGGGAGTGGGAAATGCATAACATTGGCTCCTATTCTAGAGCAATGCAGCTGTGTGAGCTCCAAGCAGCTCCTTGAGTTGGGCTCAGGGTCTGTTAGGACTGCTAGATACTCCTGTAGTAAGAAGTGCAGGTGTCTGTGGTGGTCATGAGTGCTTCTGGGGGTGTTTGGCTTAACTTTTTCCTGCAAGGGGAATGGAGGAAGGTGGAAATACAGTTCCACAAGTGTGTGCTCTGCTGGCCTAGAAGTCTTGATTCCTGAAGAGGGAATACTTCCACTAGGATATATAATAATTATTTAATTAAATACAGTAATTAGTTAATTAAACTGGAAGTTAAAACTGCCACCTGACCATTTTGGACTCCTCATGCCTTAGTCAACAGGCTAAGAATAGAGTCACAGTGTTGGTTACAGTGATTGATTTAGGATACCAAGCAAAAATTGAACTACTACTCCACAGTGGAGGTAAGGAAGAGTATGTCTAGAATGCAAGATAGTCATTAGGGTTTCTCTTATTATTACCGTGTGATTAAGGAATCACCACACTGTCTTCCACAATGGTTGAACTAGTTTACAGTCCCACCAACACTGTAAAAGTGTTCCTATTTCTCCATATCCTCTCCAGCACCTGTTGTTTCCTGACTTTTTAATGATTGCCATTCTAACTGGTGTGAGATGGTATATTACCTGTGATTAAGGTGAATGGGAAATTACAACAACCTAATCCAGGCAAGACTATGAATGGCCAAGACCCTTTAGGAATGAAGGTTTGCATCGCCCCAGCAAGTAAAGAACCACAATCAGCTGAGGTGCCTGTTGAAGACACAGGAAATACAAAATAGCTCGTAGAAGAAGGTAGTTATAAATATCAGCTACTACCCTCTGACCAGTTGCAGAAATTAGGACTAATTGGCATGCATATTTCCTCCTTGTTTTGTTAGATTACGTTTGTGTTTATGTATACATATATTAAGCAAATATCTTTGTTTTTATTCCTCTTACTATTTTTTCGTGCAACATAAGATATATTGGCTTTATATCAGTACTTAGCTATTGTTAATTTTACATCATGGTATTTAAGTTATGGGATATCAGGAGAAGAAAGAACACCCAAAGAACTTTACCTCCTTTTCTGGGAAAGAGATTAGTGTTTTCTGTTGTATGCAGGATAATTGTATCATGATAGGCAGACCAATTGCCTCTTTATTGTCTTTATTTGGAGATTAAGTATAGCTTAAGGAGATGTATATAGGTGCCAAGTTGATAAGGGATGGACTTGTGATGATTAATTTTAGGTGTCAACTTGACTGGATTAAGGAATACCTAGAGATCTGGTAAAGCATTATTTCTGGATGTGTCTGTGAAAATATCCCAGAGAAGACTGACATGTGAGTTGGTGAGTAAGTGGGGATAATCCTCCCTCAGCTGGGTAGGCATCATCCAATAGGTTGGGGTCCTGAATAGAGCAAAAAGTCAGAGGAAAGGTGATTTCTTTTTTCTCTCTTTTTCCTGAAGCTGAAACACTCTTCTTCACCTGCTCTTAGACATTAGAACTTCAGGCTGTCTGGCCTTTAAAGACTTACACCAGTGGCCCCCCAGGTTCTAGGCCTTTGGCTTTGTGCTGAACATACACCAACAGCTCCTTTAGTTATGAAGCTGTTGGAATTGAACTTAGCCAGTCTACCCATACCTCAAGGTCTCTAGCTTACAGATGGTCTCTTGTGGGACTTCTGAGACTCCACATGATTACCTGAGCCAATTCCCTTATAAATCTTATCTATCTGTGTATCTATCTATCCCTCTCCTATTGGTTTTGTCTCTCTGAGGAACCCTGAGTAACATAATCTTCAATCCAGCAATATTCCTAAAATAACATTATTTCCAGTAGTTAAATTTTTTTTAATTTTTTAATATATATTTTTATTATACTTTAAGTTCTAGGGTACATGTGCACAATGTGCAGGTTTGTTACATTTGTATATGTGTGCCGTGTTGGTGTGCTGCACCCATTAACTCATCATTTACATTAGGTATATCTCCTAATGCTATCCCTCCCCCCTTCCCCCACCCCTCAACAGGCCCCAGCGTGTGATGTTCTCCTTCCTGTGTCCAAGTGTTCTAATTGTTCAATTTCCACCTATGAGTGAGAACATGCAGTGTTTGGTTTTTTGTCCTTGCGATAGTTTGCTGAGAATGATGGTTTCCAGCTTCATCCATGTCCCTACAAAGGACAGGAACTCATCATTTTTTATGGCTGCATAGTATTCCATGGTGTATATGTGCCACATTTTCTTAATCCAGTCTATCATTGTTGGACATTTGGCTTGGTTCCAAGTCTTTGCTACTGTGAATAGTGCCGCAATAAACATACGTGCACATATGTCTTTATAGCAGCATCATTTATAATCCTTTGGGTATATACCCAGTAATGGGATGGCTGGGTCAAATGGTATTTCTAGTTCTAGAACCCTGAGGAATCACCACACTGTCTTCCACAATGGTTGAACTAGTTTACAGTCCCACCAACAGTGTAAAAGTGTTCCTATTTCTCCACATCCTCTCCACACCTGTTGTTTCCTCACTTTTTAATGATAGCCATTCTAACTGGTGTGAGATGGTATCTCATTGTGGTTCTGATTTGCTTTTCTCTGATGGACAGTGATGATGAGCATCTTTTCATGTGTTTTTTGGCTGCATAAATGTCTTCTTTTGGAAGTGTCTGTTCATATCCTTTGCCAACTTGTTGATGGGGTTGTTTGTTTTTTTCTTGTAAATTTGTTTGAGTTCTTTGTGGATTCTGGATATTAGTCCTTTGTCAGATGGGTAGATTGCAAAAATTTTCTCCCATTCTGTAGGTTGCCTGTTCACTCTGATGGTAGTTTCTTTTGCTGTGCAGAAGCTCTTTACTTTAATTAGATCCCATTTGTCAATTTTGGCTTTTGTTGCCATTGCTTTTGGTGTTTTAGACATGAAGTCCTTGCCCATGCCTATGTCCTGAATGGTATTGCCTAGGTTTTCTTCTAGGGTTTTTATGGTTTTAGGTCTGACATTTAAGTCTTTAATCCATCTTGAACTAATTTTTGTATAAGGTGTAAGGAAGGGATCCAGTTTCAGCTTTCTACCTATGGCTAGCCAGTTTTCCCAGCACCATTTGTTAAATAGGGAATCCTTTCCCCATTTCTTGTTTTTGTCATGTTTGTCAAAGATCAGATAGTTGTAGATGTGTGGTATTATTTCTGAGGGCTCTGTTCTGTTCCATTGGTCTGTATCTCTGTTTTGGTACCAGTAGTGTAGAGGGAAATTTATAGCACTAAATGCCCACAAGAGAAAGCAGGAAAGATCTAAAATTAACACCCTAACATCACAATTAAAACAACTAGAGAAGCGAGAGCAAACACATTCAAAAGCTAGCAGAAGGCAAGAAATAACTAAGATCAGAGCAGAACTGAAGGAGATAGAGACACAAAAAGCCCTTCAAAAAATCAATGAATCCAGGAGTTGGTTTTTTGAAAAGATCAACAAAATTGATAGACCACTAGCAAGTCTAATAAAGAAGAAAAGAGAGAAGAATCCAATAGACGCAATAAAAAATGATAAAGGGGATATCGCCACTGATCCCACAGAGATACAAACTACCATCAGAGAATAGTATAAACACCTCTACGCAAATAAGCTAGAAAATCTAGAAGAAATGGATAAATTCCTCGACACATACACCCTCCCAAGACTAAACCAGGAAGAAGTTGAATCTCTGAATAGACCAATAACAGGCTCTGAAATTGAGGCAATAATTAATAGCTTATCAATCAAAAAAAGTCCAGGACCAGACAGATTCACAGCCGAATTCTACCAGAGGTACAAGGAGGAGATGGTACCATTCCTTCTGAAACTATTCCAATCAATAGAAAAAGAGGGAATCCTCCCTAACTCATTTTATGAGGCCAGCATCATCCTGATACCAAAGCCTGGCAGAGACACAACAAAAAAAGAGAATTTTAGACCAATATCCCTGATGAATATCGATGCAAAAATCCTCAATAAGATACTGGCAAACTGAATCCAGCAGCACATCAAAAAGCTTATCCACCATGATCAAGTGGGCTTCATCCCCGGGATGCAAGGCTGGTTCAACATACGCAAATCAATAAGTGTAATCCAGCATACAAACCGAACCAAAGACAAAAACCACATGATTATCTCAATAGATGCAAAAAAGGCCTTTGACAAAATTCAACAGCCCTTCATGCCAAAAACTCTGAATAAATTAGGTATTGATGGGACATATCTCAAAATAATAAGAGCTATTTATGACAAACCCACAGCCAATATCATACTGAATGGGCAAAAACTGGAAGCATTCCCTTTGAAAACTGGCACAAGACAGGGATGCCCTCTCTCACCACTCCTATTCAACATAGTGTTGGAAGTTCTGGCCAGGGAAATCAGTCAGGAGAAAGAAATAAAGGGTATTCAATTAGGAAAAGAGGAAGTCAAATTGTCCCTGTTTGCAGATGACATGATTATATATCTAGAAAACCCCATCATCTCAGCCCAAAATCTCCTTAAGCTGATAAGCAACTTCAGCAAAGTCTCAGGATACAAAATAAATGTGCAAAAATCACAAGCAGTCTTATACGCCAATAACAGACAAACAGAGAGCCAAATCATGAGTGAACTCCCATTCACAATTGCTTCAAAGAGAATAAAATACCTAGGAATCCAACTTACAAGGGACGTGAAAGACCTCTTCAAGGAGAACTACAAACCACTGCTCAACAAAATAAAAGAGGACACAAACAAATGGAAGAACATTCCATGCTCATGGACAGGAAGGATGAATATCGTGAAAATGGCCATACTGACCAAGGTAATTTATAGATTCAATGCCATCCCCATCAAGCAACCAATGACTTTCTTCACAGAATTGGAAAAAACTACTTTAAAGTTCATATGGAAGCAAAACAGAGCCTGCATTGCCAAGTCAATCCTAAGCCAAAAGAACAAAGCTGGAGGCATCATGCTACCTGACTTCAAACTATACTACAAGGCTACAGTAACCAAAACAACATGGTACTTTTTTTGGATATTTTATGAATACAATTATGTTTGAGAATAAAAGCATTTTTCCTTGTCTCAGATATTTGTGTCTGTCTTTTTTTTCCTTGCCTTGTTTAACTTGATAGGATCTCTAGTGCAATGTTGAATAGAGGTGGGTTAGTGGGAATTCTTGCATTATTACCAAGCCAAGAAGAAAATGTTCCATATTGTATTATTTAACAAAAACTTAGCTGGATGTTTTTCTCATATATTGCCCATTTTAGAGGAGATTCCCTTTTAATTTTTGTTTGCCAAGGTTTTTTTAAAATTAATAAATAGATGTTGAATTTTAGGAAATGATTTTTCTGCACCTATTAAAATAATTAGGAGGTTTTCTGTTTTATTTGGGCAATATAAAGAATTATATGAATTTTATTAATTTGCTTGTGGCACACAATTTGAGTCTAGTCTGACATCATTTATCAAGTATGGAATGTTCTCAGCCATTTTCTTCTCCAATGTTTTTGCTCTCTTTTTCTCTCTAAGACTGTTATGTTGGACATTTTCATTTTACCCATCCTGTCCTTTAGTTTCTCTTTCCTGTTTTTTAAACCTTTATGTTCTCATACTGCATTTTGAATTATTTCCTTAGACATGTCTTTCAGTTTTCTGTTTCTGTCTGTCAGTGTGTCAAATTGCTGTTTAAGCCAGTTTCTCAATTTCAATTACCATAATCTTATTTTTTTGATGAGTTTTCAAATGTGTGATTTTTTAAAAATAGTATCTCATTCTTTTATACAGATTCATTTCTCTCTTTTTCTGTTGACTCATTTTAAGTATAGTTATTTTAGGCTCTCTATATGATTCTTTTTCACCTCCATTCTTTTCCCACTCTCTCCATCACCTATACAAAAATGCAAAAATTATTGTTTCAAAATGAGAGTCAGTGCATTCCCCTGTTCAAAACTCTTTAAAGGTTTTTCATCATCATTAAAAATTCATCCTTGTGTTCCTTCTGCCTGGGTTTTTCTTCCCCTAGATATTCACACAACTCGATTCCTCCGTTTCTTTAAGTCCCTGCTCATATATCACCTATTCAGGGAACCCTCTCCTATCAGACTTCTCTGTTGCTCTGAATAATATCCTCTTTGCTTTATCTCTAATTCCAGCTGCAGCTGTAGTGGACAGTTTTGTGAGGGCTTCATCTTATCTCAGGCTAACAGTGTGTGCCTTAAGCTCGTCCATCAAGTCTTTCACTTTATGTTTGGGGACTTCTTCAAAGCTTAGGATTCTTGTGTGAGCCCATTCAGCCCATATACACATGCAGTTTGGAAGTACTTAGGAATAAAACCCCTATGGGCAACTCTCAGCTAATAACAATTGGGAGCCAATGAATAAATTTCCTGTTTCTTGTGCTTATAGGGACAAATCAAACCACTGTTTCACTTGGCAGCAATAAATACATAATTACATTGGCTTCTTTCTCCTTCCTCACCCACTTTTTCTGTTCCATTACTTTTGTTTCCTAGAATCACCTCCCAGATTAACTACCTGGTTTCTTTTCTCAGGCTCAGCTTTTGAGGAAACTCCCACTCAATCCATTTGGATTATATTATTTAGTCCATAGAAACTGTTTAATATTTTCCCTTAAATTCTTCATCTGATTTAAGAGAGTAAACCTCGATTTTTTTCACATTTGTTTGATAGATCATGGACAGTTTATTTTAGGTATGTTTCCTTTAAACAATCTGAGGTTGTATTTTCTATCATAACTCAAGATGAGAGTTTTTTTGATGTGGATGGAAGCTTAATTAATTTCTCTAATTTACATAATTTGTGTTTCTTGTATCATCTTATATTTTTTTCCTTTGTGTAAGAATTTTTCTTATTTTGCTTTATATGCAGTGTTTGATTTTATTATTTTTAATTGACACATAATAATTGTATGTATTTATGGGGTACAGTATAATATTTTGACATAAGTAAACAATAATCCTCCTATCTAGCTATATATTTGTATCTATAAACCTCACCTGTGGCTATGTCCTATCCCATATGGAGTTTATGAATACACGGATTCTTGTCCTTATACAGAAAAATCAAACCTGTTTCCTTTGGCAGTAATAATGTACACTCACACTGGCTTCTTTCTCCTTTCCACCCCATATATACCTATGCTCCACCCCATATACACCTATGCTCCACCCCATATACATATACATTATATATATGACACACACATATATACACATATGTATACACACAGTTATACATATATATGTATACACCATGTTTTCATTAGACATTCATCTGTTGATGGACACTTTGGTTGATTGCATGTCTTGGCTCTTGTGAATAGTGCCGCAGTAATCATGGGAATGCAGATATCTTTTTGACATACAGATTTCCTTTCCTTTGGATATATACCCAGTAGTGAGATTGCTGGATCATATGGTCATTCTATTTGGAGTTTTTTGAGGAATTAATGATCGTGCTAATTTACATTTGTAGCAACAGTGTATGTGTTCCCCTTTCTTCGCATCCTTGCCAATATGTTATGTGGTTTAGGAGGAAGTCATAGATCTACTAGTGGCCACATTGAAACGTTTCCAAAATATTTTTTAACCTGTAATTTCCTAAGTTTCTCAGAGTCAAGAGTTAAATTGCACTTTCAAGCCCTTTGTTCACTTTGTAACCTTTAAATTACTGCACTGTCAGTTCTCTCTCTCAGGGAAAGCCAGGACTTGGGAAAAGGAGAAAGACCAGAAGATAAAGTGTAAGTACTGCTTAGACAGCACCATTTTGCTTTGCCTGTAATTGTCAAAGCAGCAGAACTGCTGGTCTTCTGCTATACTGAGAGAAATAGTTGAAATAGGTAGTCTTTAACTTTACTAAAGTTCCAACACTAGCACAACTGTGGGTTTGTACTGTTAAGAAAGACTCTCTTTTCATCTTGTTTATTTAAGGGGAATGCTTTTTACTTTGAGAGTAAGAAAAAAGCAGAAGTGGCCTAAAAATAAACTCTAATCTGTTAAAGTTATCTAAATCCTTTCCTTAGGCAGTGGGACATTGCAGTTAATAAAGAAACTATGAGCTAGGCATTTTATTTGTCTCTGAATATCAAAATAAGGCTACAGACACAAAACATCTTGCAAAGAAAAATGACTCAGATCACAAAACATCTTCCCATGATGGGATGTGGGATCTAGGCTTCCAAGATCCCACAGATTTTGTGAGCTTTCTGAGAAAATTTTAGAGAAAATTTATCATTTGTCTACCAATGTAAACACTTTTAATCATTTGCTAACAGACTAGTGAATGTTTGATTATGTTTATACTGATCATCTACTAGATGCTATTTTTCTTTTTGATGGCTTTTATTGATTATTAAAGGCACATAATATTAATGTTGCAGAACTTTCTCCTTAGTTCAGCTAAAATCAGGTTCTTGTCACATGACCAGGATAGATTAGGCTCAATGGGCACATAGAAGGGTGAGGAGTGGAATTTATTGGGCAAAAAGGAAAAAGGAAAAGTAACTCTCAGCAAAGTGAGAGAAATTCCTGCTAGCAGGACTCGCGCCTTACAGATTGAATACCAGGTCACACCACTCAGGAACTGGAGAGGCCAGGCTCCTCCTCACTGCAAATGGCATGAACTTCCCTGAGGCTCCATCCCATTCTCCCAGTGTGCAGGTGGGCATTATTCAGAAAGAAGCCTTCTGAAAGGACAGGCTTCATCCAGGATCAGCAGTCCGGTTTTTCAGCCTTCAAGCCGCTTTAGGCTTGAAGGTGGGGTTTCATTGGGGACCCTTGGCTGTCTCCTGTCTCTATCATTAATAGTAGGGAAGTATACATTTACTATATTTTTCTAAGTTCTCACCAAGAGAAATAAGCATGTGCAGTCATCAGGACTAGTTTAGATGAGACCTGTTAGGATATAGGGAATAAACTTCCAGAGGTCTATGACAATCCAGGGTTCCTCAATTTTGAATAATTATTATAAAAATTGAATCACAAGCTCATTTGCCCTAGACTGTAAGCTTCTTGAGAGCAGAGGCCATGTCTTATTCACCTTTGTAACTCCAGGGCTAAGGATAGTGTCTGGAATGTAGGCTTACAATCACATATACTGAAAGAATACAGTACTTTAAAGGTGTCAACCTTAAATAATGAAATTCAGAAAATATGATTAAGCAGAGTTTATTTGAGCCCAAAGCTTGAGGATGATCACCCAAGAGCATACATTCAAGTTGCCCTTAATCCATTCTTTGATTAGCAGCAGTTACAGTGGGCTTTTAAGGAAAAAAGAAAAAGCAGTTTCTACATTGTTTAACAGGAATTTACATTAAAATAACATAAGCTATCCATTGGCTATACATTGTTCTTTGTATCACAAATTCTAGAAAAATGACAATAGTGAGTGAGGAACAAAAATGCTTTTTTTTTTTTTGTTTCTAGTCAGGAACAAAAATGCCTTTTAACATTTGCCTCTGGGCATGGGTAGGGGGAAGCCCGAATGAAGTCCCACACTCATGTCTCTCTGGGCCTGATAAATTTTGCATAGCTCACATAGCTCAAATTGCTCTATTTTTCTTTTCTTAAAGGTAAATATATTTTTTATTTGTTGGTCATCTAATGCCAGCTTTTCTAAAATTACAAAAGCTTAGAAATAAGGTTGCTAGATTTAACTGATATTAATTATATAGCGTGGCTTTAAGCTCAATTTTTAGAAAAAGCTTCATTTTGAAAGGGCTTAGGAGCTAATTATCTAATATTTATCTCTAGATTTCAGTCCTACCTTTGTAGTTCTCAAGCTGTGCTAAGGGGAGAATTTTTATTGGCTTGTGAAATCTGTTTTTTCTTAATTACTTCGTTGTCAGCTACCCCTTGAGCTATTAAATAGATGTTACACAGTCAAAACTGGCAAGCTGTCTTTGCATGGCTCAAGGGATTATGGTTGTATACATTTATAGACAGAGGATTTACCTCTGCAGGAGAGAGAAAATGACAAGGTACAAGATTAGGTTAACCCCACAGTGGAAAAATGTAAATACTTGTCAGCAATGAAGAGAAATATTCTTGTCACATTATAAAAACACCTAGGTGACTTCATTGTTTTGAAGCAGTTACATGGCCCTACCTACCTATCAGAGAGTGCTCAATATTCATAAATTATACATGGCTGAGGTGGTGTTTTTAAAAATGTATCTCAAATGCACCTTATTTTACTCAGTGGGATTCACTTTACTTTCATCTGCTTATTAATTGTAATCTGCTTCTTACAAAATTCCTTTGTGTTTGGAATTCTTATTGCTTTTTTTTCATTAATCAAATAAATGTTTATAGAGCTCCTACTATGTGATGCTTATTTTTCTAGGTGGTGGAGATAAAAAGAGGAAAAGACATGGTCTCTGCCCTTTAATGGGTAGTAGAAAACAGACAATGACAATACACTGCAAGATACTGTACTATGTTTCTAAAGATGGTATGCGCAGTAATGCCAAGGGGAGGGGACACCTATGCTAAGTATGGAGTTTGCCCATCTAGTTGTTATCTAGTGAATCACTGCCACTTGGTCAGAATCTATCTCCTACAGTAGTTCAAGTTGGAAAATGTAGTAAAATATTCTGAAATTGCTGTCTGTATAAAACATCACATCGTCCCTGGTCTCAGTTTTTAAGTTTCTTTAGTCCATGGCATAGAAATACCCAAATTCAAAAAGTCCATAAGCCTAAGAATATGCTTCCAACATCATATTCTTTGTTGTGTTTGCTGTCATCCTGACATGAAGGTGATTGAGAAGATTTTAAGATGAGGTCATCATTTCTTTAATTTGAAGCATCTGCAGTACACATAGGTAATGGAGTGAGGAGTGGACTAACTGTGCCATGTGTGGGTGTTACAAAGGAAGTGGAAAGGCATCATTTGCATTTCAGGTCCAATCAGGAAGCTACCCTGGGAGCCAGGGGCAGAAGAGAGAACAAAGCGGTATCTGGAGAACGCAGATAGCTGGGACAGAGCTCAGAGGAGATAGACGTAGCCTCAGGGCCATGCAGGGGTAGAGAAAGCCATCCCTAAGGAAATACGTGGCAGAGGCATAGCAGAAAACTTTAGAATAAGAGGATTATAAATTGAGTTAAAGAGGACTCAGCACTTATCTTTTGAGTGAACAAAAATAGACCAAGAATTTATTGTAATCTTTTTATAAAGAAGTAGATTTCTAAGATTTCACAGAAGAAACTTGGTTTTTGTCTCTGTGTGCTGCATGAAAATCAGAGCCCCTCTATATGATTTACTGTGAGCATTTTTGGAGACATCTGTCCAGATCTTAGCAATTATCTTAACTGGCCCCTCTCAATTCAAGGAGTGGGTTTCCAGCAGCCATGTAAGTATAAAACAAATCTGCCCTCTGAAGAAAGCCATAGTTACTTGCTTTAGAGATGAGAATTTGACCCAGGTGAGTCAATTACAGACCCTTCACTGGGAATTTAGAACAGAAACTGAGGAACATTTAACTTCCCTCATGTGTTGGACCTGCAACTTTTGCTGGGAAGCTATGGGCAGCCATATTCTACCTTGCAGGCTGGGAGCAGAGGAAGCTGCTCTAGGCAGAAAGTAGAGAAGGAAACAGCTGTCAGAACAGAGACCTGAGAGGGAGAGGGTCCTGCCTGGGTTTCAAGCAGTTTTCCAGTTTCTGGAGCCAGTCCTTGAGGCTAGACTGTGCCTGGCCTATTAGTCCTGCATGCTTATCAAAATGCCCTCTTTTTTGCTTAATTTAGCTCTGTACAACAGCAGACCTGGAAAATACGGCATTCATGCTTGATTTAACTGTAAAATAAACCATAGATAATTCTTATCCCAAAGTGTGGATTCCATCATTTGCAGCTAATCCCTCTGTTGTCTCACAAAGAACTCATGTGTCACTGATGCAGTCAAATACCTGGGCCAGTAAGCGCCCACCTGATGACCATAGTCATGGTCTGGAGTTCGGGGTAGGTATGGAACGCCCTCTACAGAATGCTGCTATCTTCTGGCTTTCAGTCAGAGTATGCTGGGTTTTACAGAGTAGTACACGTATTTTAAACAACTTTGTTTTAATTTAGGTGTTTGAAGAATTATTCTACTAATGATTTTGTCAATCACACATTAATAGCTGCTGACATTTATCTGTGCTAGTTATTACTGTGCTCAGTATTTTACACAGATTATTTATTCCCACAGCAGCCTTATGAGGACTGTACCGTGATAGTCCCTGTTTTCCTAGTAAGCAAACATAAGCCCAGAGAAGTTAGATGAGTAGCACAATGTTACCCTGCTAGAAAGTAATAGAGCCACGATGCAAACCCACTTCCCTCAGACTCTGATCTGACCTACTAATGTTCTATTGCCCTGAAGACCCTTCCTTGCTCTCCACAGCTGGGGTGGGGAATATGCTGAGGGGATGTCTTTAACTTTCCAGTGGAAGCTTCACTTTGGGGTCGAAGCCACTCCAACGGTTGTCTTCTCTTCCTTTTCTACCACCAACTTTCTTTTCCCAATGACTGGCTGTTGTTGTTACTCTTATCCTGAGTTGTGTGGGGTCATTACTGCAGAGATGCAAGGGCACCCCTTGGATATCTGGAGAAAGACAAAAACAAGCAAACAAACAAACAAAAAAACCCTGCTCTTTGAAGTTTGCTCCTAAAATCCAAAACTAAAGACATCAAGATACAATAAAGGAAATACTTGAATGCAGTCTGTGTAACTCCCTGAAACAGTCACAGGCAATGTCTATCACAGTATCTAGCATTAACTAAGCCTACCTAGCGGCTGAAATGGACCCTACTGAGATACCTTGTCAGGCAGCATGTTGCGCTGAAACCAATGCATTCAAACCGGAGTTTAAAGTTCATCCAGGGTCATGAATGAGCTATTCATGAATGAGACAGCCCACGATCCTCAATAGATTTTGGTGGCTTTAATATGTGAATCTATAAATGTGTTTTTTTTCTTGAACTTCTAAAACACCTTAATCTACATACTCACTCCAACAATTTACTGAGTGTTTCTTAATCTTGGCTAACAGATAGACACACTATTTTACTTTTTGTTTATAAATTTAGTTTTAGTTTTTCAGTATATAATTTTTGTATGGCTTAAAAATGGACACTATATAACCAGGCACACAGTGAGAAGTCCTCCTGTCTGGTTTCATTGATATCCACTTTTAATAGTTTATTGAGTGTCCTTGTAGTGCTTTGTAAAAATGTAAATGCAAACAAAAATAAATGTAGACTCTTATTTGTACCTTTTCTACACCTAATGCAGTATATTATTTACACTGTTCTGTACTTTTTTTTACTGAACAAATATCTTGGAGATTGCTTCATGTTATCTTATTTTTTCTGGCAGTTGTACCATATTCCACTGTATGGCTGCACCATAGTTATTTAATCAGTATGCTATAGATAGATATTCGGAATTTGGGATACACCTGATGCTTTGCAATTATAAACAATGCTGCAATAAATAATCTTAATGAGCTTTCTGTACATGAAAAATAATTCTTGAGAATCTGTGATGTTTACTTAAATTATTTTAATTATCTGGTTACTTACGTACAGACATTAAAACCAATTATAAATTTCTTATAATAATAACTCTTACATAACAAATTTTAAATTTAAGTGAAAACAAACCCCTAACATTAATTTAACTAATAGATGCCAGTTTGATGAAAGTATAAAGCTGCTCGCAATAAGACCATGGTACCAAACCACTCCTGTTCTCTTGGCATCAGTGTGACTTCATGAATGTGTGCTGTGTGATGAGCTGATTTTCTTTTACACAACTTTTTTCTTTTTTTTATTATTGTACTTTAAGTTCTAGGGTACATGTGCACACCGTGCAGGTTTGTTACGTATGTGTACATCTGCCGTGTTGGTTTGCTGTACCCATTAACTCATCATTTACATTAGGTATTTCTCCTAATGCTATCCCTACCCCCTACCCCCACCCCACGACAGGCCCCGGTGTGTGATGTTCCCCTTCCTGTGTCCATGTGTTCTCATTGTTCAATTTCCACCTATGAGTGAGAACATGCAGTGTTTGGTTTTCTGTCCTTGTGATAGTTTGCTCAGAATGATGGTTTCCAGCTTCATCCATGTCCCTGCAAAAGACATGAACTCATCCTTTTTTATGGCTGCATAGAATTCCATGGTGTATATGTGACACATTTTCTTAATCCAGTCTATCATTGATGGACATTTGGGTTGGTTCCAAGTCTTTGCTATTGTGAATAATGCCACAGTAAACATACGTATGCATGTGTCTTTATAGCAGCATCATTTATAATCCTTTGGGTATATACCCAGTAATGGGATCGCTGGGTCAAATGGTATTTCTAGTTCTAGATCCTTGAGGAATTGCCACACTGTCTTCCGCAATGGTTGAACTAGTTTACGTTCCCACCAACAGTGTAACAGCGTTCCTATTTCTCCACATCCTCTCCAGCACCTGTTGTTTCCTCACTTTTTAATGATCACCATTCTAACTGGTGTGAGATGGTATCTCATTGTGGTTTTGATTTGCATTTCTCTGATGACCAGTGATGATGAGCATTTTTTCATATGTCTGTTGGCTGCATAAATGACTTCTTTTGAGAAATGTCTGTTCATATCCTTTGCCCACTTTTTGATGGAGTTGTTTGATTTTTTTCTTGTAAATTTGTTTAAGTTCTTTGTAGATTCTGGATATTAGCCCTTTGTCAGATGGGTAGATTGCAAAATTTTTCTCCCATTCTGTAGGTTGCCTGTTCACTTTGATGGTAGTTTCTTTTGCTGTGCAGAAGCTCTTTAGTTTAATTAGATCCCATTTGTCAATTTTGGCTTTTGTTGCCATTGCTTTTGGTGTTTTAGTTATGAAGTCCTTGCCCATGCCTATGTCCTGAATGGTATTGCCTAGGTTTTCTTCTAGGGTTTTTATGGTTTTACGTCTAACATTTAAGTCTTTAATCCATCTTGAATTAATTTTTATATAAGGTGTAAGGAAGGGATCCAGTTTCAGTTTTCTACATATGGCTAGCCAGTTTTGCCAGCACCATTTATTAAATAGGGAATCCTTTCCCCATTTCTTGTTTTTGTCAGGTTTGTCAAAGATCAGATGGTTGTAGATGTGTGGTGTTACTTCTGAGGCCTCTGTTATGTTCTGTTGGTCTAGATCTCTGTTTTGGTGCCAGTAACATGATGTTTTTGTTACTGTAGCCTTGTAGTATAGTTTGAAGTCAGGTAGCATGATGCCTCCAGCTTTGTTCTTTTGGCTTAGGATTGACTTGGCAATGCAGGTCCTTTTTGGGTTCCATATGAACTTTAAAGTAGTTTTTTCCAATTCTGTGAAGAAAGTCATTGGTAGCTTGATGGGGATGGCATTGAATCTATAAATTACCTTGGGCAGTATGGCCATTTTCACAATATTGATTCTTCCTATCCATGAGCATGGAATGTTCTTCCATTTGTTTGTGTCCTCTTTTATTTCATTGAGCAGTGGTTTGTAGTTCTCCTTGAAGGGGTCCTTCACATCCCTTGTAAGTTGGATTCCTAGGTATTTTATTCTCTTTGTAGCAATTATGAATGGGAGTTCAGTCATGATTTGGCTCTCTGTTTGTCTGTTATTGATGTATAAGAATGCTTGTGATTTTTGCACATTGATTTTGTATCCTGAGACTTTGCTGAAGTTTCTTATCAGCTTAAGGAGATTTTGGGCTGAGACAATGGGGTTTTCTAAATGTAGAGTCATGTCGTCTGCAAACAGGGACAATTTGACTTCCTCTTTTCCTAATTGAATACCCTTTATTTCTTTCTCTTGCTTGATTTCCCTGGCCAGAACTTCCAACACTATATTGAATAGGAGTGGTGATAGAGCGCATCCCTGTCTTGACAACTTTTCTCTGTTTGCACTCTTACAAACACTTTGTTTAGCCTTCTCTTTGTTGCTCATCACTTACATATTAAATTCTTCTTATTTGTTCTGAGACAATTAAAAACCTATGCCTGTTAGCATTGATGCAGTCATGAGCATAAACAAATTTGGTCACTGGTCATCCAGCTGATATAGAATGCGTTGATATTGATTTTTGAGAGTAGCATGTCAATTCTTTAAGAGAAAAGTCACACATTCTCATAGAGAAGCACTAATAAATGGATTACTATATGGTGAGAATCACGTCAGTGCCCATCCATGTGAGCTCTTTACTAGACCCTAAGCAAGAACTTTCCTCAGCACTGCTTTTTTATCATAATGACACAAGGCTGTGGCAACTAGTAAAGCTAGATGCATCGTGGCCCTGCCCCCAACCCCCAACAGCCCCTATCCTGACTTCTGTGCCTCTGTCTTTTACAGGTCTTCTGTTTGCAGAAGGACCTGTTGCTTCCTGCAGTCCTCCTATATTTTGCCTCCCATCTTGAGGCAGGGAGACCCAATAGTAGCTATTATCCTGCTGCTATTGACTTGGCAGACTGCCAGATTTTACCAGCATTGAGCCAGTCAAGTCCTGGGCAGCCAGTTTAGGCTGAAATAAGAGGGGACAAAAGGCAACCACAGAGGTGGGCTAGGTTCCTTAAATACAGGTCAAAAAAATTTAGTATAGTAGTAAGGACTGGCAAGTGGGGGGAGGTAAGAGGTTGGGTCAACTGCCTAGTGAGTTAGCTCACTTAAAGCTATGAGCAGGGTACTATTCCTCTTTCTGTAGGCTTTCTATAGTGGGAGCAGTAGAGCCTAGGCTTTCTTAAAAAGCTCTGATTCCTTAAGAGAGAATACAGTGGCTGGGTTCCATGACTCCTCTTCCAACTCATATCCTCATCATTGTACTAAGCAGGGAGCAGATTGTGCCCCCTTGGGAATTCAGTACTTCTTGTGCCATGTGTCTAGTTTATCTTCTTAAAATCTTAAGTCTGGGATGCAGATGAGCAGTTAATTGTTTGGAAGAGAGTAGATGGAACATGGGATAATCCATGAAGGCAGAAGTCAGATGGTGGTGAAATCTCATAAGGTTAGGAAGTTTCCAGGTGTTTTTTGTTATCAGCAAAGGATTTGTCTCTTTAAGGAGAGGAGCCAGATAATGTTTTCTGCTCAGATGTTCTTTCTTGTTTCCTGGTTCTGAGAACAATAGGCTTTGAATTACTTCTTGCATGTTGGAGTGGATCATAGATTCTCCATTAATGAGAGATGATAGAGGTGACAGTGGCACTTACAGGTGTGGGAAACAGTAGCAGAATCCACAGTTACTGTAAAGTGCTGTTCTGGTTGAAGTACAGTAATTGGCTACAAGCAGTCTAGTAAACATGACAGTGATCTCTGGATGTATCATCTATTTTTCCAGCCTTTAGCCTCTTTAGTTATTAACGTCTTTATTATCTATTTCATATGTAATTAATTTTCAGTTGATTCTTCTTATAAATTCAAGTATGTTGAGACAAACTAAATTCCCAACAGTTGGTAGATTACTGAAATAAACTATGGAAGTTTACAACAAAATTGATATAGTATGTTCCAATTTTTGCGAGAAAACAGTTTGTGTATTTGTATGCATAAAAAAGAATCAGAAAAACTTTCCACCAAGTTGCTGACAGTCATTATCTCCCTCACTTCATTAAGGTCTCTGCTCAAATGTTCTTCCTCAAAGTTCTTCCTTGACCAGTCTGTTTGAGAAAGAAGTCCTCTTTATCTCTGTTCCAGGTCACTTTCTAGTCTCTTATCTTGCTTTATTTTTCTTATTGGTCTTTCCGCCTCCATGATACTGTTTATTTATCTGTTGAGTATTTTTCTCCCCCTAGAGTGTGTGGCTCACAGGAAGAGATTTTGACTTTCTTGTTTACTGCTATATTTGTAGTGCCTAGAACAGTGTCTGGAGCTCAGGAAACGTTTGTTTCAGTGATGAATAAATAAATAAATAAATAAATAAATAAATAAATAAATAAAATTCCGTAAGTGGAAAATATTGCTAGCACAGTATTAGAAAAGTGGTGCTTCCTTGGGGGTCAGAATAGGTTCATGCTTCAACTGGTTTTGTCTGCTGATTAAACAGGATGTCTAAGCCATAGGGAAGGATTATCTAAGGGGTGGATTTTCTGAGAACATAAGGATCTATTATGTTTTGAATTTTACATAGGTGGGGTACCAAGGTGATAAGCCATTGTGATACCCACTTGAATTCCAGCAAACTGGGGAAACTGTAAACCTGTGACTCCCAGTCTTTGAAGGGTCATCATATGAGTGTGAAGCTACTGTATGGTGAACAGTGAACAGTGCAGGTCAGCAGGTCTCCCACCTCCTGCAGCATTACAGCCACATAGACGTATTTCCTGATTGACTGGAGTTTCCTTCAAGCCTTTGGAAACAGAGATAGGGCAGCTGTGTCAGAGGCGTGTG
This sequence comes from Homo sapiens, assembly GCF_000001405.40. Lineage (NCBI taxonomy): Eukaryota > Metazoa > Chordata > Mammalia > Primates > Hominidae > Homo > Homo sapiens. The sequence continues at coordinate 166,693,403 of NC_000001.11, read as the reverse complement.
AACCAAAGCAACTCCATCTTGAATAGGAGCTGGTTAAAATGAGGCTGAGACCTACTGGGCTGCATTCTCAGATGGTTAAGGCATTCTAAATCACAGGATGAGATAGGAGGTCAGCACAAGATACAGGCCATAAAGACCTTGCTGATAAAGCATGTTGCAGTAAAGAAGCTGGCTAAAACTCCACCAAAACCAAGATAGCCACGAAAGTGACCTCTCTGATCGTCCTCACTGCTTTACTCCCACCATAACAATTTATGCCATGACAGTTTACAGATGCCATGGCAATGTCAGGAAGTTGCCCTGTATGGTCTAAAAAGGGGAGGCATGAGGAATCCACCCCTTGTTTAGCATATAATCAAGGAATAACCATAAAAATGGGCAACCAGCAGGCATCGGGCTGCTCTGTGGAGTAGCCATTCTTTTATTCCTTTACTTTCTTAACAAACTTCTTTTCACTTTCGTCTATGGACTTGCCCTGAATTCTTTTTTGCATGAGATCCAAGATCCAAGAACACTCTCTTGGGGTCTGGATCAGGACTCCATTCCTGCAACAGCTGTGTGATTTGACCCGTACAATCTACTCTGGATGTTACTGGGTCTTAATGTCTATTAACTGTGGTGCCTTAAGGCAGCCAACTTCACATATGTGTTTCATCACTCAAACAAGAAGAGATATTAATGCTTCCTGGCATCTAAAGGCATTATATAGAATAATTAGTTCATGTTTCAAATTGTTTCACATTTATAGGTATCATTATTTTGAAATAGATTCCTTTAAAGATTCAGGAAAAGCCACATGTCAAAACTACTAACCTTGTAATGTGTTTTCTTACTCATTTATTCCCCTCAGGCATCGGCCTGCCCAGTGGGAGTGATTTAATCAGGAGTGTTAGTCAAGACTTCAGTGGGTTCATTTCTTTGCTGGGTGTTGTCTGAGAAAAGAGAGACTGTCAAGGCTTTTTTATTCCCTATAAAAGGATTCATTTGTTTTGAGGGGGGTCTCTCTGAAGTGGACCAAACCATTCTCAGCAACGCTAATCTTATTGTATGTATTTATCTGGGGGTTTCTAATAGAGTCAAATAGTTCATTCATCCAGGAAGGACAGATCCTAGAGTTCACATCTAGCCCTGGCTTTACAAATACCTTGGGTCACTTCCTCACCCTATAGTGTCTGAGACATCTAGAAAACCAAGGACAGCAGAATATTCTTTAGCCCATCCCTGAATTCACAGGTTGCTGCTGCCCAAGTGCCTTTGAAATAAAAAAGATGTTTGAAGACTTTGAGCCACATCCTCATTTCTAATACAACTTTTATTTCTAGGGTCAGTTTGACAAATTTTGTTTCACTTTTATGAAATAATTTATCATCAAAATTAACATTTTTTGGTGGGCATATTCAGTGTGCTGAAGAGCTATAAATATTGAGAGGCACTTTAATTCAGAATATTGTATACACTAATGTATATATACACTAATTTCCCTAAGAATTGAAAATGTAGAGTTTAGGAAGTTCAGAAGTATTTGCTTTGGAGATTTCCTGGTCTTGGGTTGAATAAACATTCAGGCACATCACATGACTGCAGTGGGGCTTCTGTTCCTGGGCTGGCTCAATAGCTCTGTGCCTGCCATTTTTCAAAGATTGAGATCTAACTTGCACTATTTTTTTTTTTTTTTTTTTTTGAGACAGGGTCTTTCTTTCTTACCCAGGCTGGAGTGCAGTGAAGCAATCATGACTCACTGAAGCCTCAATCTCTTGGGCTCCAGAGATCTGCCACCTCAGCCTCCCGCATCGCTGGGACTACAGGAAAGAGCCACAGCACCTGGCTCTAACTTGCACTTTGACTTCCTCAGGAGAATAAGGATGCAACAGAGAATGATAGTAATCGTGATATCTAACACTTATAAGGCACAGTGCTGAGACATACCACTCATGCTTTATTCATTTACTCTTTGCAGCTCCTCTGTGGGGTAGGTACTGTTATCCACATGTCACAGACGAGACACAGAGACTCATTTGGGCGAGGCAATTTGCCCCTTGTTACTTAGCAGTAAGAGGTAGGACTGGGATTTGAACCCATGTCAGTCTGGCTTTGGAGCCTGAGGCTTTCAGCAACAGTATGTGTCTAGACCCCTCCCACTGCTTACATTTTTGGGGACTGAATTTGAACGAAGAGTTAAGTATGATGCTATTAAAACTATCCTAGAAGGTCCGAATAGGGCAGCTGAAAGTGATTGAGGATATATCATATACTGTACATATTTTTGCTATAACATTTAAATATTAAATATTACCCTTTTTGGATGAATAAAGACATCAAAAAGGAATTTAAAATAAAAAATATTAAGGAAGAAGGGATACTAATGGCTAATCAAATAGCATGGCAGGTTTTTATTTTAAAGATGGCATTTGGTCTTGAACTCCTGACTTCAAGTGATCTGCCTGCCTTGGCTTCCCAAAGTACTGGGACCAGCCTGGCCAACATGGTGAAACCTCATCTCTACTGAAAATACAAAAAATTAGCTGGGTGTGGTGGCACCCAGCTGTAATCCCAGCTGCTTGGAAAGCTGAGGCATGAGAATCGCTTGAACCTAGGAAGTGGGGGTTGTGGTGAGCTGAGATTGCACCACTGCACTCCAGCCTGCCTGGGCAACAGAGCGAGACTCTGTCTCATTAAAAAAAAAAAAAGAAAAAATAAAAAGAAAAAAAATTGGCATTTGGCTGGCTCTTATGAAACCCTTTTTCCCATTCGCTTTCCTGGCTTGGAGACCATGAAGCTCTACCAGCCATAACTTTGTGATGCTTTTTGGGGCAGCATTCTCCTTTTTTCTACACTGATTCATAAACAACAGTTCTCAGAAAATGGTGGACTCAGTCTAGTGACGGTGGGGTGTTGAATGAAGGGAGTGTTTGGGAATGAGGATGGCATTCTGAAAGGTGTTGTATCCACAAATAAAGCTCTGCAGGTTCAGCAAAACTAGGAAGAAGTATTGACAGTTTAGTTTTTTTATGTGCTTTACAGATTCAGTTTATCAAAGGATCAGGTATTATAAGTAGGAAAAATGTGACAAAATAGAGCTGAAATACATGAATGATAACTAGAATCTAGGAAATTAATTAAAAGCTGAGTAAATCAATCTGCCCTTCATCTTCTGTTCTTAGAAGAGATTTTGACACAATTGAATAAAGAAAGACATGGTCCAATGTCAGGGAAATAATAGGGGATTTTTCAGAACAACAGAAATGTCCAATATTGGTTTGCTTAAATAATTTATAAGCAAGTCACAAGAGTATGTATGGTATAATACCACATTGGAAGAAGAAATAATGTAGACATTCTCAAGGTACTGTGACATAATATCAGTTGGAAACACAAATGAACTTGCCAACTGCAAAGTTATCTATCTTGGTTTCTTATAAATTTTCTTTACACTAGAGAATATGGAATCAGGATCACAAATGGGCCACATAAATGTGATTGACACTTAACAGCTTGACATGCCATGTTAACAGCTAACATTTACTAACATAGCCACCTGTTTGAGTGCTCATGCTGTGGCAGGTACTATTTTAAACATCCTTAACTTATTTAAAGTGAGGTAGGCACTATATTATCACTCACATTTTATAGACGAGGGAACCAAACATAACGAGAGCAAATAACTCGCCTATGATCACAGAGCTGGCAAGTGGGAGAGCCAGGATTGGAACTCAAGCTGCCTGGCTGTAGAACACAAGATCTCAGAAACAAAACTGTTCTGCCTCTTGTATAAATAAACAACAGGGAGTATCCAGGTAGTATGTCAAGTTTACACAAATATGAAAATAGAGGACCACCCCAAACCCTAGAATAAATTTCCAAGAGTCTCTTAAGATCTAGGTAGATCAAGTATTTTAGAGAAACTTAGATTCTGCTACTTCTTAAGTAGTTGTCATCATTGAGTACTTATACAACCAACCAATACATACACTAAAGAACCTGCCAACTGAAAGTGCAGAATGGTGAAATAATCAGCTAATTCAGTGAAAAATTTCCTCAAATTGTTATTTGCTCCATTATACCATATTATTTTTCTGATATTTCACCCTGTAACAAAGTTATAGTAATACTGTTATAGACTCAAATCACCTCAAGCCCATAAGCATAAATTTTGGTAGTTAATTATCTCTAAAATGATGAGAATCATTAATACTATTAAAGAAGCAAGTCCTGGGGCAGCTGTTATCATTTGAATTTTTAGAATTTTCAACAGTTTTAATTTTCTTTTCTGAAGAAAGTTCAGAAAAAAGTATTTAGAATGACGTGAACTTTTAATAAAAGGGTAATTTCTGAAAAATACTTGCTAATAAACACATATACTTAGGAAGCTAATATAAATGTAATATATACTAATACATACTTAAGACAGAAATGCCTTAGGCTTAGGCTGCTAAGTCTCTGCTGAATTTTCTTTTATGAGGTTAACCACATCAAAGTCATAAAAAAGTGTTCTGTTATTCTGAATTGATTTCTGACCTATTTCCTAAATTATAACTTAGCAAACAGTGTGTATGTGTTGGTTGGTTGGATAAGTAGTCAATCTAAAACTCTTTGAAATTTTTGCCTAGGCTATAATTAATGGATGTGAATGAAAAGGAAAAGGAGGGGACTTTTACTGGAGAGGTCAGGGAAAAAGTAAAAGAGTCCACAGTTGGAATAGAAGTGTGAAAATGAATGTACTTAGGTAATGGAACAAGGAGACAAGCAAGAGCTCCAGTCCACAGCTTTACTTAGGAGAGAAGCTTAAGATAAAGCTGACAGTCTGTTCCTCAGTGGGCTTACAGTTTAGAGTCCTGACTCTTGAGATATCTGTACTATGACCTGGCTTTGTGTAGATAGCTTTGTCTTGCTTTAAGAAAAATTGATAATTAAATTCTGTTAACATCTTCACACCTTCCATTATTTTGGGATTGTGGATGCCAATCTCCCACTGAGGTTGAAATTTAGTAATACAGATCTTGAAATATTGTCATAGTCACAGATTTCTAGTGAAAACATTCTAGCAAATAGGAAAAACATAGTTTCATATACCTTAATTTATAAAGTGTTTAGGAATAATGAACAGAATCTCTCTTTTTCTCACCTAGAAATCCTTAAGGGTAGCTGAGATATTATGTAAACTTCTGTCTTGTAAACTTTATCCCCTATCCTCAAAAAGAGGATGCTGGTAGAACTCCTATGGAAATAAAATTAGGATTTAATGCTCCTGCATCAAGATCCTCCAAGTTCTTATCTAGTAGTGAGGAGTCTCCAATTCTTTCCATTCTTCATGAGAGAATACTAAGGTGCTGTGGATCAGAGCGGAAGTGAGGGTGAGGTTGTAGGATCTCACTTGGTGTTCTTATAGCTCTTCATTTGGTACTTCACTTTTCTCCCCCATAGATTTTCTTTTTTTCTACGTCCTTTGGTACCACAATAGTCCTGATTTCACACGTGTTGGTAGCCTCTCTTTCCATCCTTGTTCTTCCATCTCCAAAATTTCTCATAACAGTGCTCTGTTTTGGCATTTGGGGTAATAATTGCTCACAGCCCTTAAATCCCTTCTGAGTTCAGAAACAAGTCAGAATTAAGACACAGGAGTCAGGCATATGGTAATGAAAACACCAACTTTATTTCTGATAAAGTTGAAGATAGATTGTGGCGTTGACATGCAGCTGCAGTTGGGCTTTCTAATAGTTCTTCCTAAGTCTTGAACCTAAGGAGACCCATCAAGGGAGACTTTAGGTTTGCAGAGCAGATGCATTTACCCAAAATTGCTGTCACACATGTGGGAACCAATAGTCAGGGAATGAAAGACAGAGACATCAGATGCATGAAGAACCTTTATTCTGCTTGATGAAGAGAGGAGAGACCCCACTGAATGTCAGAATCAACACTCCCAAATAGGATGCAAAGGTGGAGGCATGCCTCTAGTGAAGGCTTCCTCATAGTGCAGTAAATCAGCATCATGCATGCTTTCTCTTGACGTTGTTCTATCTCCATCTATGGCTGCCACTGTGAAACTATTCAGTTTACTATTAAATAGTTCTAATTATTTGGAGCTGCTTTTTAAAAGTTGGTTCTACCTTAGAAGAAAAAATGGGCCTTGTCCAATTTCAAACCACCGGCCCTTTGGACACAGAAGTCAAAGATCAAAGTGATAGCACCACAGCAAAGCTATAGATTTTTCAAAAATGTAATTACGGAGTTTTAACCCAGAATAACTGGAAGATTTCACTCTCCCTCTTCCTCTATATCTCTTCTTCCTCCTTAAACTTATATCTTTAAAATGCTTAAAAAATTTTGTTTTAAAATGTTTTAAAACATGTTTTAAAACATATTGCCTATTTATTTTAAAAAGATAATATGGTTTTAAAGACATATTACCTAAGCAAAAAGAACAAAGCCAGAAAGATTACATTACCTGACTTCAAACTATACTACAAGGCTATAGTAACCAAAAGAGCATGGTACGGGTACAAAAACAGACACATAGACCAATGGAACAGCATAGAGAACCCAGAAATAAAGCCACACACCTACAGCCATCTGATCTTCGACAAAGGTACAAAAAATAATTAATGGGGAAAGAACTTCCTATTTAACAAATGGTGCTGGGATAGCTGGCTAGCCATATGGAGAAGATTTAAACTGGACCCCTACCTATCATTATGTACAAAAATTAACTCAAGATGGATTAAAGACTTAAATGTAAGACCTCAAACTAAGAGTCCTAGAAGAAAACCCAGGAAATACCTTTCTCAATGTTGGCCTTGGCAAAAAATTTGTGGCTAAGTCCTCAAAAACAATTGGAACAAAAACAAAAAATTGACAAGTGGGATCTACTGAAACTAAAGAACTTCTACACAGCAAAACTATCAGTAAGTAAACAGACAACCTACAGAATGAGAGAAAATTTTCAAAAACTATGCATCTGACAAAAGTCCAGAATCTATAAGGAACTTAAACAAATCAACAAGCAAAAAACAACCCCATTAAAATGCAGGCAAAGGACATGAGCAGACACTTCTCAAAATAAGACATTTGCTGAGAAGTGTTTTATTATTGATTATGCAATTGATTTTAGATTATGTGCCATGTGGTAATAAGAAGAATGTATATTCTGCTGTTTTTGGGTGGAAAGTTGTGCATATATCACATATATTTAGAATAGTTAGATTTTCTTGTTGAATTGAACCCTTTACCATTATATAATGCCCTCAGATTTACAAGGGAAAAATCCAACAACCTCATAAAAAATGGGCAAAGAACATGAACAGACACTTTTCAAAAGAAGACATACACGTGGCCAACAATCATATGAAAAAAACTTCAACATCACTGATAATTAGTGAAATGCAAATCAAAACCACAATGAGACACCATATCACATGTTATCAAAAAATAACATGCTGGCAAAGTTGTGTAGAAAAAGGAAGGCTTATACACTGTTGGTGGGAATGTAAATTAGTTCAACCATTGTGGAAGAAGTGTGGTGATTCCTCAAAGACCTTAAGAAAGAAATACCATTTGATCCAGCAATCCCATTACTGAGCATACACCCAAAGGAATGTGAATCATTCTGTTTTAAAGACACATGCACGTGTATGTTCATTGCAGCACTGTTCACAATAGCAAAGACATAGAATCAATGGAAATGCCATCAATGATAGACTGGATAAAGAAAATGTGGTATATATACAACATGAAATACTATGCAGCCATTAAAAAGAATGAGATCATGTCCTTTGCAAGGACGTGGTTGGAGCTGGGGTTCATTATCCTTAGCAAACTAACACAAGAACAGAAAACCAAATCCTTCATGTTCTCACTTATAAGTGGGAGCTAAATGATGACAACACATGGACATATAGAGGGGAACAACACACACTTGGGCTGATAAAAGGGTGGAGGGTGGGAGGAGGGAGAGGATCAGGAGAAATAACCAATGAGTATGAGGCTTGATACCTGGGTGATGAAATAATCTGTAAAACAAACTCCCATGATGCAAGTTTACCTATGTAACAAAGCTGCATATGTACCCCTGAACTTAAAAGTTAAAAAAAGACATACATGCAGCCAACAAATGTATGAAAAAATGCTCATCATTGCTAATCATTAGTGAAATGCACATCAAAACCACAATGAGATACCATCTTACGCCAGTCAGAGTGGCTTTTGTTGAAAAGTAAAAAAATAACAGATGTTGGAGAGGCTGCAGAATAAATGGAACGCTTATACACTGTTGACAGGAATGTAAATTAGTTCAACCACTGTGGAGAGCAGTTTATAGTTTTCTCAAGGAGCTAAGAGTTGAACTACCATTTGATGCAGCAATTCCATTATTGGATACATACCCAGAGGAAAATAAATTGTTCTACCAAAAAGACACATGCACTTGTATGTTCATTGCAGTACTATTCACAATAGCAAAGATATGGAGTCAACCCATGCCTATCAATGGTGAGTTGGATAAAGAAAATAGGATACATATATACCATGGAATACTATGCAGCCATAAAAAAGAACAAAATCATGCTCTTTGCAGCAACATGGATGTAGCTGGAAGCCATTACCCTAAGTAAACTAACACAGGAATAGAAAACAAAATACCACATGTCCTCACTTATAAATAGGAGCTAAACACTGGGTACACATGAACATAAAGATGGAAACAATAGATACTGGGGAATACAAGAGGTGGGGAGTAGGGGATCAAGTGTTGAAAAACTACCTACTGGGTACTATGCCTATTACATGGATGACAGAATCATTTGTACTCCACACCTCAGCATCACACACTATACCTTTATAACAAATCTGCACATGTACTTCTAGATTCTAAAATAAAAGTTGAGAACAAATTTTGATCTTAGAAGGGTCTAAATAGACAGGTGACCCTGCTAGTTAGTTGTTGCTAAAAAAAATGGTAAAGGTTAGCTAATTCTAATCTAAATTTATTATTTTTGATAGATATTTCTCAACTTTTAACAGTTTTTAGTTATTTTTTTTTTCTCTTTTAGTTTTTAGAAACAAAGTCACACTTTGTTATCCAGGCTGGAGTGCAGTGATATGATCATATATCACTGCAGCCTCAGACTCCTGGGCTGAAGCAATCCTTCTACCTCAGCCTCCTGATTAGCTAGAACTACAGGTGCACACCACCAGGCACGATTAATTTTTTATTTATTTTTTGTAGAGATGAAGTTTTTCTATATTGCCCAGGCTAATCTTGAACTCCTGGCCTCAATAGAACCTCCTTCCTTTGCCTCCCAAAGCACTTGGATTACAGGCTTAAGCTATTGTGCTCAGCTGTTAACTGTTTTATAAATTGCAATCCCTTACAATAAGTTAACTCATTTTTATTGGCATATATTTCAAAGTTTACTGTAAAGGGTTCAACAGAATGTTCAAATGAATATTCTTTCGAAAGTTTGTTCAATATATTTTTGCACATTAAAATTCATTTGGCCGTAATATAAAGAGTAGAATTTAGGGGCCTCAATCAGTCCTTTGCCTATGAGGAGCAGATTCAAAATAATTTACCAGAAATAATCTTGACCCCCGAAGCAAGCACTCCTTGAACTCAAGTCTTAGGCGGGTGGACTGAGCTTCTTTAGGGACAGCTGCACCACCCAGTCTTTCAATTACACGAAGAGTTTGAGCCCCATTCTACTACACGTTAAAGAATAAGACCCTGTGATCAAAATTACTGTCTTAAAAATTGCTCTACTCTAGACACTTTCTGGGACTATGCTTTAAACATTTATAAAAATTTCTTTTGATAGAAATAATATTTAGCAAAGATTGTTACAACATAGTGTCCTCTATTATAAGAAGCCCCCATAGAAAGTTCTTCCCTATTTTAATACCTAGGATAGTTACTATTCTCTTTAGCAATTGAATTGTTTTTATTTCATAAGTCTTACCATTTGCTTATTTAAGCTTTCCTTTTTGGTTTGGTTAATAAAAAGTTAAACTCAAATTTATGGCTTATCTGTGGCCCACATATAAATCATTATAGAGAATGTGTTTTTCCCTAAAATTGGGAATTTTGAAAATTCCCAATTTGCAAGAGTTGAAGAAATAGTATAATTAACACTTGTATACTTTTTTCCTAGAATTGCCAGTTGCTTATATTTTGTATCTTTTATTTTATCTCTCTCTTACACACACATACATCCTTTTTCTTGTACCTTTTGCAAATAAATTATAGATATCATGATTCTTTACTCATTCTATTTCTGCATACATCTCCCAAAAATAAGAATGTTTTACTATATAACTATAATACCTTTATTATATCAGATAATATTAACATTAATTTAAAAAGATAATCTAATTTACAGTGTGCATTTAAATTTTCCCATTTGTACCAAACTCTGAATCCATGTTCAAATATTGCATCTGGTCATTATGTCTCTTTAGTCACCATTATATAGAAAATTTTTCCTGGTCTTTTTTAGTTTAGTTTTTTACAGATGTCTTCAGAATGTTGCACTTTCTTCATTTTTCTGATTGTTCCTGATGATTAAATTCAAGTTAAACATTTTTTGCAATGATACTAGATAGGTAATGTTGGACTTCTCATTGCGTCATGTTAGGAGTTGCAAAATTTCAGGTTGGCCTTCTATTAACAGTGCTGTTTGATCACTTAGTTAAGATGATAACTGTCAGATTTTCCCATTGAAAAGACACATCTTCCTTTTGCAATAAATATGTTATCTGTGGGGTGATAATTTGAGACCATACAGTGTACTTTTGAGCTTTACTCTGGTTTAATTTTGCCTCTACCCTTTTAAAAATTGAATACCACTTTTAATTACTGTTCATTGTCATATTATATGTAAATCTGTAAATACTTCAAATTACTACTAAAATAAAGAAGAGATAAGATACACATTTTCAAACCTCTCTTCATATAAAGCATTTAGAAAAATCATTATCAGAGTAATTTTTTTTCATTTAAGTATTCATATATGAGCTAGTCTATCCAATAAATGTCTTCTCCCATATAATTAACTGTCTTCATTTTGATATAATTCAAATAAAAATGAGCTGTTCTTCTCTAGTTCCTTAAACATCTATGTCAATGTGAGCTTGATAACATATCACTGGCATGGATGCCTCACATGGAAACAAAGAGAAAAAGGGCAGCACAGACTAGAGGAAGAAGGTCTAGTGTGTTTGACCACACGTGTTCTCAGGGGTTTGAGGATCCGGTCTCTTTCAGTAAGAATGGCCTTCTGGGCCCTGGTCCATTTCCCTGGCCCCTGTAGGCAATATTGACATGCGGTGCAAGGCCCATAGAAAATCTCTTTGGCTAACCTTGTATCCCAGAGGAGGAGAGAGAACAGGTTGGGTTTGACTCTAATTCAGATGCAATTTCATCCATGTAGTCAATACATGGCACTTGATGTGTATCTCTTGGGCTTTTTATAAACCTGGAATAAGAAGAAAACATTAGAAGCCCCGTGCCAGATTTCAGTCACTATTCTCCTCTAAGTTTACACTGGAATTTGTTTCTGCTTCGTTTATTGACTTCATTATCTTCTACTAACCAAATCATCCTCTTATCAAATTTCATGCACATGCCTTAATTTCCTTAGAAGAATACATTTCCTAAACAGAAGATGTGAATTCCTGATATCTTTAAAGTTCCCAAAGTACCAAGTAGAGTCACGTACACACAGAAATTGTTGGATATGTGAATGGATGCAATCTTAGATACTGATTCCCCTTCTAGACACAAAATGCAGTTTCATTACGTAAGCCTTGGTAAGTGAGGAATATATGATTTGAGTAGAGTGTTAAACTCTGTTGCGTACTTCATGCTTCCAAGCTACATGAACTATCTTTTCCATGTATTAATCCTGGACACAAATTCTGCCCTTAAGTAATATTCCTAGACAGTCATGAATTAGTTTTTATTCACTTTTATGTGACTTGATCCACATACTTGGAAATTAAACATCACTCTGTTAAATAACTCTTGGGTAAAAGAGGAAACCAAATTGGAATTACAGACTATCTTAAAAATATCAAAACTTTTCAAAATGTTAGGAGAGAAAAAAGTTAGTATTATCCAAGAAAAAATAATGTAAAGTAAATGCACCAAGTAGCCAAATAATGAAGTTTGAAAGGAACACAAAACAAAGCCAAGGAAAGTAGTAATAAGGCATTAAGGTGAAAGACTAAATTCATAAAAAAGGAGAATTGAAAAATCTCAAAGGTAGTTGCTTGAAAAATAAAAATAAACATAAAATAGAGAAATTTTTGAAGGTTTAGTCAAAAGAAGAAAAAGACAAATACTATACATATAAAAATAAATAAGAATTTTATACAAAAAATAAGAGCAATTAAGATAAGAAAATATTGTGCATAACTACAGGCTTAAAGTTTGCAAAATTAGATAAGTATGATAATTTTCTAATACAATGTATCTTTACCTTTCACAAGAACAGAAGAATGCAACTAGACCCCTAATAAAGCAAACAATGGAAAATGCGGTCTAGGAATTATTTCTAAAATAAGCGTGGGGTGCTAATGTCAATTTTATCGATTTTTTTTACTTCAAATTTCCAAGTAACTTGAACTCCCCATTCTATTTAAGTCTATTTAAGTTGTTTCTGACCATAGAAAAGCACTAAACTTTCCTTATTCATTTTGTAAAGTTCGTATAAGCTTAATAACATAATAAAAATCGAAACAAAAGTGAAAACAAAAAGGAAAATCACAGACCAATTCCATCTAAGGGAAAATCACATACCATCTAAAATCACATTCCATCTAAGGGAAAATCACAGACCAATTCCGTCTATAAATTTAATATACCGTTAAATTCTATCAAATAGAATTTAACGGTATATTGAAATAATTATACACAATAACCAAGTAGTCCGTATTCCTGGAAATTAAGAAATGTTTAGTATTTGGAAATATATTACTATAATTCATGCCATCAACAAATCAATGGTGAAAATTCATATCATTTAAAAATATAGTCAAAAGGCACTTGCACGTGTATGTTTATTGCAGCACAATTCACAATTGCAAAGATATGGAACCAATCTAAATGCCCATCCACCAATGAATGGATAAAGAAGATGTGGTACATATGCACCATGGAATACTACTCAGCCATTAAAAAGAATGAAATAATTTCTTTTGCAGTAACTTAAATGGAGCTGGAGGCCATTAGTCTAAGTGAAGTAACTCAGGAATGGAAAACCAAATACGGTATGTTTTTACTTTTAAGTGAGAGCTAAGCTATGAGTACACAAAGGCAGACAGAGTGATATTATGAGCTATGGAGACTGAGAAGGAGGAGGGAGGGATTGGGAGGTGAGAAATCAAAAACTACATATTGGGTACATGTACACTATTCAGGTGATGGGTACACTAAAATCTCAGACTTCACCACTATACAATTCACCCCTGTAGCGAAAAACCACTTGTACCCCAAAAACTATTGAAATACAAAATAAAATAAAAAATAAAACTAAGGAAAAAAACATGGTCAAAGGCACTTGATGAAATTCAACATGCGTTTCTTTGCATAAGATAGGAAGAGAAGGATACTTTCTCAGCCTCCAGTAGACAGTATCATACCTAATGGTGAAATACTAGAGGTGATCTCAACAAAATCAGTAACAAAGCAAGAATAGGTATAGTCTTCTCTATTATCTAAGATCATCCTGTAAGTTACAGCCAAGGTAGTAATACCAGAAAAAAGAAATAAATAAAAGGAAAGAAGAGTCTAAATTACAGTTATTTTCATGGTCTACTCAGCAAATCTAAGATAATCAAATAAATATTATAATCAGCAAAAATTTAAAGTAAAATGTTATTACAAAATAAATGTATATAAATCAGTAACTTTCCTAAAAACCCAAAGTAATCAGACAGAAAATACAAAGGGAAAATCTATTTTAGCAAATAAAAATGAATAAGTATAGACTTAAGTAGAGACATGAGATCATAGGAAACGTAAATGATATTTACATGTCATATTTAGTCTTACAGTTTATATTGGTGGCTTAGTTATTAAATTATAATAATGGTATTTTAGCATCTCTTCCAAAATTCCCCTAAGGATGCTCTTAGAATGGAAATTTATTACAAAGTGCACAAAGTAGGTGTTTAACAATTTGAAATGAATGTACATCATCTTAAGTTACTCTTCACTTAATTATACATCTGTAAAATATTTTTCTTTAGATTCTGAATTTTGCTAATTTCTCATGTAGTTTTTGTGATCTCACTTCTCGCAATGAATAAAGTTTCTTGACATTTCTCACTTTTGGAGATTGCTCACTGCATAGATTTTTTATTTTTATTTTTATTTATTTATTTTTTTGAGACGGAGTTTTGCTCTTGTTGCCCAGACTGGAGCGCAATGGCGCGATCTTGGCTCACTGCAACCTCCGCCTCCTGGGTTCAAGCGATTCTCCTGCCTCAGGCTCCCCAGTAGCTGGGATTACAGGCATGAACCACCATGCCTGGCTAATTTTGTATTTTTAGTAGAGACAAAGTTTCTCCATGTTGGTCAGGCTGGTCTTGATCTCCCAACCTCAGGTGATCTGCCTACCTCAGCCTCCCAAATGCTGGGATTACAGGCATGAGCCACCATGCCTGGCCTTCATTGCATAGATTTAATATTCTATGGCTGACCAACAAATGATGAGATTTATGTTCCATAGCCAGGCATTTTTATACATGAACTCCATGTACATTTTTCACAACGAACTAAAATTATCTTAGGAGATCTCATTTAGGTGTAAAGTACATAATGAGAAAAATCAAGTATCTCTGTCTAAGTAGGCTTCATTTACTTTAACCAACAATTAAGTTTCTTACTCTTTTGCCATTTTCTTTTTCCTCCTGTTGATGTCAGCTATCATGGCACTTGTGGAGAGTAATTTTTTCAGTACTAAGAAAGAGATAGAAATAAGAGGATTGTCAGGAAAGCTGGAGAAAACAAGTAAATGAAAACAGTGGTTTTGAAAGAACACAGTTATAATAATCAGGTCTTTATGGAACATATAACCAAAGCCTTTTATAAAAAAAAATTCTCAAGGAAGATATTTTCCTTTCTATCATTCTCGGGTTGTGGAAGGGAAGTTAGCCTTCCCTTAAGAAAAGTATGTTTGGAGTTGTTTCTCAGTTTAAATCTGCAATCAAAATTCTTAAATATTAAGAATTCCCTTGATATAATTTTTAATTTCCCAGAGATCTTCAAACTGTACTGTGATCTGCCTCAAAAGTCCCTCTCATTATGTGAATAGGTCCTGGCATTGATCTTACATCTCAAAAATGATTTTTCTCAGTTCTCAGAGCAATTGGAAAAACTCAGTTCTCACTTATACATTCATGAATTTCTCAAGGTTGCAATAACTATATTTGTTAAAAAGAAAAGCAAGTAATAAAAAAGAAGATGAATGTATAAGTGCATGTTTGTGTTTTGTGGGGAGAGAGGACATGACAAAGGTTAGAGTGGGAAAAGACAATAAATCAGGGTAACAGAACAAAGAGAGGCAGGCCCATCAACTTCTAAATTATTCCCCTCATTGCTTCATCAGGTGCACATATCTGTTGGTACAAAAGTAGGATCTACTCATGAATATTGTTAAATGTCTTATGAAACATAATATAGAGGTTGAGTATGCAAGACATCGAAGAAACAGACTTGCAGAATAGAAAGGCAACCTAGTACATTAAAATGCTATTTTATACATACGCATACCTTGTGAAGCAGCAATTATTTTCCTCAGTATACACCCCACAGAAATATGTGTATTCAACAAAAGACATGTATTAGATTGTTCAGGGCATCCCTGTTTACAATAACTCTAAATGCCCATCAAAGTGGAATGGGTGATTGTGGGTATATATATACACAAATCCATATCTACAATGGATAAGTGTATATATATATATATATATATACAAATCCATATCTACAATGGATAAGTATATATATATATACAAATCCATATCTACAATGGATAAGTATATGGAATGCTATATAGTAGTGAAAATAAATTAGTACAAAATATGGATGAATCTCACAAATATCAAGTTGAGTGAAAGAATCCAAACAGAATACAACACACATTGTGAAAAAAATTGAAAAGTGAAAATGAACTGCTGCTATTAGAAATGAAAATAGTGGTTACTCTTGGTCATGCTGGGGACAGAAAAAACTGCAGGGGGAGCTTCTGAGTGCTAGTCATGTTGTTGAGTTTTTTGTTGTTATATATTTTTTTAAACTAAGTGATGGTTGAGTAGGTGAGTGTTGTTCAATTTGTGAAAATTCAGTAAGCTAAACATTCATGGCATGGTACTTTTCTATGTATATATTATACTGAAATAAATCTTTAAAAATGTTTATT
Source organism: Homo sapiens (assembly GCF_000001405.40). Taxonomy (NCBI): domain Eukaryota; kingdom Metazoa; phylum Chordata; class Mammalia; order Primates; family Hominidae; genus Homo; species Homo sapiens. The sequence goes on along the minus strand of NC_000001.11, from coordinate 166,676,991 downwards.
TTAAAAAATGCAATCAAGTACAGGTAGCTAAATCCAGTAAGCATGATAAGTGACTTTGTAACTATTCTCTTTTATGGCTACCATCATATTATCCATTTGTCACCTTTCAACATTCCACTGGTATTTATTGGTGCTCATATTTCCAGGCATGGATTCATAGTGGAAGTCAGCAAAGAAAATGTATACTTGCTAGAAGAAAGAGGAGCAAGATATATGTATATGGAAACCAACATATCTGCCTAAAGTAGTGATATACTGTAGATATTTTTAAATGAGAATAAAATGTGTTATTATTAGAAATGACTTCACTGAGGGAATAACCACATGGCTTTAGAAAGTGAATGAGGTAAGATACAGAAACAACATAAGCCACTTAGATATGAGCTCTGGCCTCAGTGTACAGCAGTACATCTTTTAAATTCTTGACTTGTCTAATTGATAATTTTATGTCTCAAAAGTAAAGGATTCAGTGAAGGTATCTACTATTTTCTATCACATTTTGACTCATCAGGAAAGAAGTGTCTGGTGATGTATCCTGATTAGATACAATTCTGACTTCTCATTAATCAGATCATGGAGAACTTGGTAACAATTATTTAGGAATCCGAGGGAAAGTTGTCCAGATGACTTCATCAATTTACTCTGGTTAGCAGAAACTACAATGCAATTCTATCAAACTTGATCCTGATTTCTTTTTTTCTTCTTCTTTTTTGTTTTTCACCCACTGGGTTCAAGCAATTCTCCCACCTCAGCCTCCCAAGTACTTGGGATTACAGGCATGCGCCACCATGCCCAGCTAATTTTTGTATTTTTAGTGGAGATAGGATTTCACCATGTTGGCCAGGCTGGTCTCAAACACCTGACCTCAAGTCATCCGCCTGCCTCAGCCTCCTAAAGTGTTGGGATTACAGGCGTGAGCCACCGTGCCCAGCCCTGATTTCTTTCTGATACCAATTTTACCAATTTGCTCTGAAGCATCAAAGGTAAGGACTTTGGAAATGAGTCAAGAATATGAACCAAATACTTGGAGTTGTCCAACAAAGTAAAATAACTTCGCAACCTTTCTGAAATACTTTCATAAGTATATTCTCCCTTGTTTGTTTTCCTACCTTCTCTATTTTCTGTTTCCTTAAAGTCTTATGATAAATTAGCTTTCTACTGGAAATAAATAAATGAATGGATACAAAATACCAAAATGTAACCTGATTATAATTTTATGTGTTTTTATAATTCCTGGAATGCTTTTCTTTTAATAGGATTCTCTTAGAAGTGGAAAATCAAAACTCTAGATAGTCCCAACGTAGTCCATTTTTAATGGTGAAATTTCAGGCACTTCAATAGAGTAAGGGAGAAGATGTATTGAACAGAAGACCTTCTGAGTGCTCTTAACGTCTTACTGTATAATTAGGAACCTACTTTGCTCATGCAGAAGACCACCACTTACCCTCGAATACTTGCACAGCGCATCGGCTCTGGAGTTCTGAAATGGGAATGATGGCTCCCACTGGCTGGAGAATGCCAATGAAGCTAGGTTAGTGTTGGCTTCTCCAGCTGGGGAGGGAACATAAATTTAAACACGGAGTACTGGCTGTCCAGGATTGCTGAGTCATCCTCCAAGAAAGGGAAAGACAAGGTGTAGCCTGTAGCAAAGATGACAGCATCAATGTTCTTTTCAGTGCCATCCTCAAAGAAGGCTGATGTTGTGGTGAACTCTCTCATGTCTGGTTTCATCAGGACTCTTCCAGAAATTATGTGGTTAGGCAGATCATCATTCACAGTAGCCTGATGGCTGAGAAATCTGCATGGCAAAGAGTGTAACATCAAGAAGGGAGTATAAATTTTCTTCATAAACAAGTTTTGGTTGGCAAATGCTCAGGAAATCACCATAGTATTTTAACAATTTTTTATATTCTATATTGGCATTCCTGAAAAGGAGATACAGTTTATTGCTTACAAACTTGATTTTCAGAGTCAGAACTAGACTAATAATGGTCCTGTCACTTACTAGTTGTGAGACCTTGGAAAAGTCTCATAACATTTCAGTCTCAGTTTCCTAATCTGTAAAATGATAATAATAACAATCAGATCAGATTGTGATAATCAGGTGATAATACACCCAATTATTTTTAGCTAAATATACTTTTAGCTAATAGTATTTTTTTCCAGGAATAAAGCTTTTTGATTCTTAACAGATATAGTTTCACTCAATATAATGTAAATATTAACACCAGTTGGTCATTAATATTTTTCAAGGGCCTACAAGGTGCAACTGTGTGATTTTAAGAGTGAATCTTCATTGGAAAAACTTATGTTCAGTGACACACAGATCTTTGGTAATTGTAATTTAGTACTTGAGCTATAATTTAGTAGCAAGAAGTCATATTTTCAGTTCCACTTTACTATTAATACACATCTTTCATCTTCTGAATACTTTTTCCTCAGGAAAGAACCTGGAGTCACACATCCAACATCAGTTAGTCATAACGCTATGTATGCTTTTTCTTCCAGATACTTCTTAATACTATTTTTTTTATTTTCAGTGCTTTAGTTCAAGCTTTTATCTTTTGCCTGGGGTGTTTTTAAATTTTTTAAATAAAGGAAGCTGTGTAGGGAGAAAAGGGAAGAGGACCAAGAATAGATACATGGATAACACCAAGTTTTGAGGGACAAGTGGGGAAAGGGGAGCAAGAAAGAAAATAGAGGAAAAGTGGTAACAGAGATGAAAGAACAAGAAGAGGAAGACAGGGGATGAGAGGACTGGATAAGGTCAGAGAACTGGCTAGCATGTAGTGGGATGAGAGTGTAAAAGGAAGAGGCTGCAATCACAGAATGGGCCCTGGAATGACATCCGGATACACTGTAGTTCTGGGTGATAAGTTCCAGGATGGCCATGGGTGTGGTTGACTCAAGTGAAGTGGACACGAGACCAGTGCAGTTGGGGAAGTCGAGGGGCTGCACTGCATGGGTATTGAGTAGTCATACATACAGATATTGAAATTGTCCTGGTTGACAATAGGTTTGAGGGTGACAGTCATGCCCTCCAGAGGAATCAAAGTTTTCAATCTGGGAGTGAAGAGGAAGTGGTTAACAGATGATAGTGAAAGAGGAAATAGAGGGTGGCATAGTTAGATGGTGTGAGTCTCAAATAAAACAAGTATTAAAGTTTGTCTCTACTCCCCTACTCCCAACCCCCCACATTGTTTTCTCAGTAGAACCTTAGTAGAATGACCTTAAGTTACTAGTAGGAAGGAAATAACTTGAATATTCTCTATCCAACTAAATGCTACCAAATATTAGAATGGTACCCTTTCATTCTTATTTCTTAAATATAGCTTATAGATTCTGCTTGGTCTAGTAGCTTTGAAATACTGTTTATTTGTTTTAAATCCTAGGCCTTATCTGTGTTGAGGCTGTAGCCCATAATTGTCATGGTTAAGCCTTGCATTTCATTTATTTTCTACCCATCTGTTGATCATGAATGTGGGGAAAATTTTTTCCATTATTCTATTATAATGAGTGAAGAGTGTGATATCAAGGGGATTCCCATTATCCCAAACCCGGTTCCATATCCATGCACCTTGTCTTGTACTGAGGAAAACCTGCAGGAGAGAAGTCGTTGCCAAATTACCATTTTATTTCTTATTACTGTTATCTCAGAAGCTCAGATGCATTTTTTTCTAAACTGTCAAGGGAATATAATTAACTTCTCATATCATCTCATCCCCCCTCCCTGATTCTCTTCCTCCTCTTTCACTCTATACATTTCTCAGGTCCAATCATTTAAAGTCATTTTAATTCTTTTATTGTTTTTTCTGTTTCCATTTTAATGTTCACTTACAGCTGTGCTAGATATCTGGAATCTCTTAGGTCTCACAATGTGGAAAAAAAGTTAACATGAATAATTTATTATGTTGAGAGCTACAAGTTAGTATCCAGGTTCCTTCTCCTTTCTATCATTCTACAATTTAGACTGATGGAAAAATATATGGATGCAAAGACTGAGATAACAACAAAAATACAGGCTGGGCATGGTGGCTCATGCCTGTAATCTTAGTGCTTTGGGAGGCTGAGGCAGTAGGATCGCCTGAGCCCAGGAGTTCAAGATTGCAGTGAGCTACAATAGTGCCACTGCATTCTAGCCTGGGTGACAGAGAGAGACCATGCCTTTATTAGGAAAACAAACAAACAAACACCAACAACAAAACATGCACACACACACACACACACACACAAATCAAAAATGCAATGTAAAAATGCACATCTTGAATTTTTTCACATTTACAAATGGAAAATTTAACGTGAAAAGTATGAAGTCCATGAAAAATAGAGGATACATTTTAAAAATTCTCTATTTTGAATTATTTAACTGAGATTTTAAAAAGGCTACTGAGTTTTTAATGAAAATAAAATCACTAGCTTGTGAGGTCTTTAATCTCAGAGATTATGACTCATTTATCATTATATCTTACATACAATGCTTGGCAGGGGGTAAGATGGCACTCAGAATGATTGATTGAATTTCATCCATACAGAAGACTTTAAGTAGTGGAAATCTTGTGTCTTCTTCCTGGAAATCCTAAATCAGAAATGAAAATTAATTTTGAGTTTTGAAAAGTAATCTCTCTATGCTCTTTAGGGGTCAATAACATTCCCTGCAGAGAAGAAAATAGCTAATTTTTTTCCTACTCTTCATTTTTTTCAGTCAGTGGGAGCCCACAGAATTTCCACCCTATTCCTTGCTCTTGTATCAGCAGTGTATTTTTACTCATGCTTGTGTATATATTTCTATGTTTAAACGTTATTTCCAGTATGAAAATTTTGGCATTTTCTGTAAAATTCATTTCAGTTTGAAAGTTTCCATCTCTCTAGCGTAGCTACACCTCGATAACTCCCGTTATCTGACTCTAGTTTGATTGCTATCTTCCATAATTTCAGTGCATTATGGTATGGGAGGGTACCATTATTTTGGTTTTCTACATTCTTTCACTCATGGTGAAAAGTCAGAAGAAGAAAGTGCTTTTACCAGGTTGGAGAGCAGCAGTCAAGGTTGGGGCTAACAAAAGCCTAGACTCACCATGGGCCATGCTTTGCAGATATCAAGGTTACACCAAGAACAGAATCAGTTTAGAATGTCAAACCTGTTCAGCAACATGACTGATCTCGCCAGCCACATCTGCTCCAGAATCCTCAATGCTGACCACAACCACTCTCTTCCCCACAAAATAGTCGAGATGCTTGTATGCCTAGGTGTGGAGATATGGACCTTGGAAGTTCTCGATCCCTATAAGGAAAGGGTAGAATCTCTTAAATCACAAACAGAAATAGGAAAGACTGTTTTAGAAAATTTATTTCTAAACTTGAAGTATATGTTACTTAAATCCCTTTCTTTGTTGGTTGGTCAGTTGCTGCCAATGTTTCAAAATGAGATTATCCAAGGAATGAAATATCCAGTGGCAGCAATGATATGCCTAAGACAAAAATCAGAGCATATTAATGTTTCCTTTCAAAAATCCAGCTTTAAATTTGCTCAATATGATGACTTGTCACTTTAGGAGGTATTACCTTTTCCTTACTCTCTACTGATTCATGAGGAACTGTTGTTCTATTTTTATGACTCCATAAATTGATTTAAAAAATATGTAAAGATACTTAGCAATATAGAGCAGTGTTGTCTAAAAGAAATATAATTCAACCACATATGCAATTTTAAATTTTCTAGTAGTAATATGAAAAAAGTAGAAAAAAGATATTAACTTTAATAATATATTTTATTTAACCCAACAAAATCTAAGATGTTATCAGTATATAATTGATATACAAAGGTTCTTTTAATTTTTAATTTTTTATACTTTATTATCAATAAATTGTTTTAGGCAGGTGAGTTCTTACATACTCCTTAGTGGATTCGGACTTCCATGGCCATTGTCCTGCTTACAAAGGTATTATTGACATATTTTTTACATTTTTACTATGTCTTCAAAAGCTGGTGTGTATTTTACATTGAAATTACATCTCAATTCCTGTTAGCCACATTGCAAATGCTCAGTAGCAACATCTTGCTAGCAGTGACTAAGATGGTGCAAATCTAGAGTAACAGAAATTTCAAAACATCTTTAAAAAATTTGGCTGGGCCTGGTGGCTCACACCTATTATCCCAGCACTTTGAGAGGCTGAGGCGGGCGGATCATGAGGTCAGGGGTTCGAGACCAGCCTGGCCAACATGGTGAAACCCCGTCTCTACTAAAAATACAAAAATTAGCCAGGCATAGTGGCATGTACCTGTAATCCCAGCTACTCAGGAGGCTGAGGCGGGAGAATCGCTTGAACCCAGGAGGTGGAGGTTGCAGTGAGCTGAGATGGCGCCATTGTACTCCAGCCTGGGCAACAGAGAGAGACTCCAACTCAAGGAAAAAAAAAGTATTATTTTTCAAAAATATTAAATAGTATTTCAAAAATAAAAAGTAAAATTTCAAAAATATTAAATAAAAAATTGTCACATATTTTATCATTCATTGAGTCTTGTAATGACCTCCAAAATATTTCCTGAATTTTTCTCCTCCTTTTGCGTCCTACTACCATTACTTTACTAGAGGCTTTCACCATCTCTTTAATGGACTATTAAAAAACCCTCTTTATTGATGTTCCTGCTTTGTCCCCTTCTTCCGTATCAATTAATATTCCACATCACTGCAAGACTGATCTTTACAAAATAAAAGTATAATCATGTACCTGCCCCTCCAAACATATAAACACACACACAGACACACACACACACACACTTCAATGGTCTTTTATTGACTCCTACATATCTCTCCCTGCACACTCACCTGCTTCAGGAACATCAAGTGAGTGTCGTTCCCTGAGCTCCTGCGACTATTTCACATGCTATTGCTTTTCTTGTATGACTTCCTCTTACAGGAATGCCTGCTCCCAGACCTTGGTTTTCCTGAGGAACTCTTAGTTTCTAGTTCAAGTGTTATTTCTATTATCAGATCTTTCCTGGCTATTCCAGAAAGTTGCTACACCCTCTTTTTTTTAATCCCCACTGTACCATGTAAACAGTTCTGTCCAATGCTGTAATACTGCAGATATTACAATTCTTAGAATGCAAAGATTTTTCTTGTACACTCATCAGTTAAACACCAGGGAAATCCTTTAAGGGCAAACACTTTTAATTGTAATAGCCACTGCAAGTCATGATCCCATCAAAGACATAGGATTTCTGCTTCCCATCGGTTTCTACCACAACATCCCACTGGCCAGAGGATGAAAAATCTGGGTGCTTCCTCACTCTGCACACCTTTGACTGGGAATAAAGAAACAAAGACAGCCTTGGTTTCAGAGTATTGTTCTCAGTCTTCCACTTTTTTTCCCCCCAATTCTGTGTCTTAACAAATAAAATAGGCGGTGCCTTTTATATTCAGAGTTTCTAGATCTTTAGGAATTTTGTTCACATAAATGTCCTAAAATGATCCTTTCCAGACATCAAGGTACCTTAGAGAAAAAAACACATTAATTTTTCCCTATAACTTATATTCTCTATTTAATAAAATTAATTGAAAACTAGATTTTAGGTTCAAATAATGAGACAATGCTTTTCCTCTGCTGGGAAAACTAATATTAGATTCACTAATCTTGAGACTAATAGAAGACATGCTATTTTTCTCTGAATTGTAATGGAAAATGCAAATTGAAAATACGCCTTAGCTTTCTCTGGCTTACACAAGCTTTGCCTTCAACAATCTGTAGGTGATGAGCATACTTTTCATTCCTTACCAGAAACTGGATGTGCTTCATGAGGTGAAAGTGCCTGGTGTACATCCTGAGATACTCCATCATTTTGGAATTGTGCAAATAGTTGGGATAATGATCAGGGAAAGGGTAGTCGCTGAAGGCTGTCGTCTCCTTTGAAGCGTTGAAGATCATAGATTTGTATATCCCAGGCCTTCCACTTTCAGGTGTTTCCTGTGGGAAACAACAAACCCATGGCTTTCAGGATTCAGTAGCACAACAAAGAATGGTTAGGTATGATCAGACAGGTGGTTTTAGGCTTATTTTTTCCTTGAAAAAATGTACTTGACAGTCAGTTTACTGTAATATTGCCCAACAGGAACAACGGAGGCATTGGACTCATTTCTCTACAAAGAGAACTCTTTACAGTTCAGAATTTTGCTTATAATGACAGACCTAAATTAATACCAGTAATTACATTATAACTTAACAGGAGGAAGATTATAGATGCTAAAATGCAGCATAACAAACAAAATTAAAACAGACAAAAAGGGGTTGAGAAGAGAAACTTCCAAAGGGTAAAAAAGACACCACAACTAAAAGAATTTGGATTAAGAGAAGCCCCTGGAAAAAAGCATTATGAAAGTTGAGAGAAAAAAAAATCATGCAAATGTGATGTATATTAAAATGTTAAGGGATAGGCCGGCGCGGTGGCTCACGCCTGTAATCCCAGCACTTTGGGAGGCCGAGGAGGGCGGATCATGAGATCAGGAGATAGAGACCACGGTGAAACCACGTCTCTACTAAAAATACAAAAAATTAGCCGGGCGTGGTGGCAGGCGCCTGTAGTCCCAGCTAATTGGGAGGCTGAGGCAGGAGAATGGCGTGAAGCCGGAAGGCAGAGCTTGCAGTGAGCCGAGATTGCGCCGCTGCACTCCAGCCTGGAGAGACAGAGCGAGACTCCATCTCAAAAAAACAAAAAAAAAACAAAAAAAAAGAAAAAAGTTAAGGGTTAAAAACAAAAAGTATTAGAAAAATATGTTGAATACTTAAGAGAAAAAAGGCTGCTTTTTTAAAAAAATGAATTATACTTCAAGAAGACTTTTTTTTTACTTATACTTTCTATTTTTATTATTATACTTTAAGTTCTAGGGTACATGTGCACAATGTGCAGGTTTGATACATAGGTATACATATTCCGTGTTGGTGTGCTGCACCCATTAACTCGTCATTTACATTAGGTATTTATCCTAATGCTATCCCTCCCCCAGCCCCCCACCCCCGACAGGCCCTGGTGTGTGATGTTCCTTGCCCTGTGTCCAAGTGTTCTCATTGATCAATTCCCACCTATGAGTGAGAACATGTGGTGGTTGGTTTTCTGTCCTTGTGATAGTTTGCTGAGAATGATGGTTTCCAGCTTCATCCATGTCCCTGCAAAGTACATGAACTCATCCCTTTTTATGGCTGCATAGTATTCCATAGTGTATATGTGCCACATTTTCTTAATCCAGGCTATCATTGATGGACATTTGGGTTGGTTCCAAGTCTTTGTTATTGTGAATAGTACTGCAATAAACATACATGTGCATGTGTCTTTATAGTAGCATGATTTATAATCCTTTGGGTATATACCCAGTAATGGGATTGCTGGGTCAAATGGTATTTCTAGTTCTAGATCCTTGAGGAATCACCACACTGTCTTCCACAATGGCTGAACTAATTTACACTCCCACCAACAGTGTAAAAGCATTCCTATTTCTCTACATCCTCTCTGGCATCTGTTGTTTCCTGATTTTTTAATGGTAGCCATTCTAACTGGTGTGAGATGGTATCTCATTGTGGTTTTGATTTGCATTTCTCTGATGACCATTGATGATGAGCATTTTTTCATGTGTCTGTTGGCTGCATAAATGATGAAGACATTATTATTATTATTATTTTTAATTATACTTTACGTTTTAGGGTACATGTGCACAACGTGCAGGTTTGTTACATATGCATACATGTGCCATGTTGGTGTGCTGCACCCATTAACTCATCACTTACATTGGGTATATCTCCTAATGCTATCCCTCCCCCCTTCCCCCACCCCACGATGGGCCCCAGTGTGTGATGTTCCCCACCCTGTGTCCAAGTGTTCTCATTGTTCAATTCCCACCTATGAGTGAGAACACCCGGTGTTTGGTTTTCTGTCCTTGCAATAGTTTGCTCAGAATGATGGTTTCCAGCTTCATCCATGTCCCTACAAAGACATGAACTCATCCTTTTTTATGGCTGCATAGTATTCCATGGTGTATATGTTCCACATTTTCTTAATCCAGTCTATCATTGTTGGACATTTGGGTTGGTTCCAAGTCTTTGCTATTGTGAATAGTGCCACAATAAACATACGTGTGCATGTGTCTTTATAGCAGCATGATTTGTAATCCTTTGGGTATATACCCAGTAAGGGGATGGCTGGGTCAAATGGCATTTCTAGTTCTAGATCCTCGAGGAATCACCACATTGTCTAGTTTACAGTCCCACCAACAGTGTAAAAGTGTTCTTATTTCTCCACATCCTCTCCAGCACCTGTTGTTTCCTCACTTTTTAATAATCACCATTCTAACTGGTGTGAGATGGTATCTCATTGTGGTTTTGATTTGCATTTCTCTGATGGCCAGTGATGATGAGCATTTTTTCATGTGTCTGTTGGCTGCATAAATGGAAGACATTATTTTTAAGAGTACGCTTACTTCTATTCATCTGGGATACTATCCATGATATAAAACCTATTGCTTTAAGCTATGCATGAGTATAATCATGATTACACACACCTTTCTTGGTACAGGTAGTTTCTTCGGCATCCATTAAACAACACAAAGCAACATAAAGAGGATGATTCTATGGTAGAGAGGAAAAAGTCAGAACCAGAATTCAGATCTTAAGTCTTATTACCAAGTGTGCTAGAGGCTGGAAAACTATAGAGAATTTCTGAGTTTTAGCTTTCTCATCTGTAAAATTTGCATACTGATACCCTAAGTATTCCATATGGGGTTGTTGGGGGGATAAAAGTTAATAGGATTGTGTAAGCACTTCAAAAAATTTCAGGTTCATATGAATGTAAGATATCACTACTTTGAAAAGAACACTTAAAGAATATCTAAGTTATACGTCATCAGAGTTCTGTTTCCTAGTTAGAAAGAAAACACTTCTCTCATAGTATACAGATACATCAGAGTTTATGAGAATGTTTATTAATTACCTCGTATCTCCACAGTCCTCCAATCTCATTGCTTTTTTCAAAACATACAGGCTCGAGTCCCTCCTCCAAGCAGCTCTTAATGGCATCTAATCCGCTGACCCCAGCACCAATCACTGCATTTTTTTTTCTCATGCAAGGTCTGTTGAATAAAGAAGACATTCAGTTATGTTTTGGCAGACAAGATCAAGGTTTATTGCCATGTCAGTGTCCCCTTTTATTTTAGCATAATCATCATTTCCCTCGATAGAGGTTTGCTTGCTTCTAGTCTAGCTTATATTATTTTATTTTGGAATACATATATTTAGAGAACAGGCCTTTGGTCATTTTATTAGAATCATAAAATATTTGCCTCATTTAATCAAGACAAAATTTGCATGAATTTCAGCTGATTCAAAATCTTTTATTGTAGCTATATCTCAGATTTTTACACTCTATTAAATTTTATTAGAATATAATTTTTATATAATAAAGGCAACTCTAGTATAGCCTGCTTACTAATAACTAAAAAAATGCTCAAGGTTGGCCAGAAATGTACATAGGAATACTATGTTGGGTCCTAATTCGAAATCAGAATAGAAGCTGGCCTCTATAAGGCATTACTCTATTTCAACCTAATTAAGTCAGATTAATTATATTTTATCACTGCTGTCCTGAATGTATGTCCTGAATGTCTGTATGGCAGTCCAGAAACAGAAAATATCAGACTTGTTAAACAACAATTTCTCTTGTCTTCCCATTTAGTATATTGACAGAAATATTTTAGGGCTCTTGGTTTTGATGGCTGTAGTGAGCAGTTTCTTAGAGAGTGTACTCATTTCTTGTTGTGTCAAAGCTAAACATCTCTACCTGGCTTTCAAGGCTCTTGGTAAATCTGGATTCACCCTATTACTTGATCTTAGTGCTCATTCTTTGACATCACCCTGCCATCTTGCATGTCATCCTTATACTACCCAACACAATGTGACCTTTTTATTTGAGTATCTTCCTGCCTGTTATTCGTTTTGTTCAGAAAGTCTTTTCCATATATACCCAATTACGTCTATTTATCAAGACTCATTTCTGTCAATTGAGAGAAATGCTGTTGAAGCTCAGGTGTTTTATTGCCTCTTTGAAGTTTTTCTTGACAATTTTAACTCTTTTTGACCTTCTTTTACCCATTCATACTTGGCAGTACACAATTTAAAACTTCACTACAGTTTTCTATAATATTGCATTATTTCGGGTGTGCCATATTTCTTCTTCAGCTTGATAGTGATGTTGTGAAGATAAGGACATCATCATTCTCTTCGAGTCCTCATCATAGTGCCAAAGGATAGCACAGGAACTCAATGACAGAGACATGGGCTTAGTACTCATAAGGTCAAGCCCTTCTTAATTCAGTCTTGTTTTGATGAGGGGATTCCTGCCTTAGCCCCCAGGAGGGGTGCATTTTGGGGGTATTACTTCTGGTTTTTCCTTCCTCTGTACCCTAGTTCACTTCTCTTAGTGGGAGGACGAATGGCTTCTCTGATGGACAAGGTGGCAGGATTTGCTGTCTATTGGATGACCTGAAGCAAGCCTGAAGCACTGCCCCCTCTCACTTAGCCTCTTTCTTCTGTCCTTCAGGGTGTGAAGTATACTTGTGGTCCTCCATGCATCTGGCTAGAGATGAGTGCTTTGAAGAATTTATTCTTCCAGGCAGCTTCCAAAGTCTAGGTTTGGGGAGAAGAAATAGGAATCTTATTCTAGTTATGGGGATGAGTCACATTCTCCAATCCAGCTTGATTGGGAAGACCTTGTCCTTTTGGCAATAAAACCGATGCTATATTTTAATGCTCACTTTTCTTCTGTGTCTATTTTGTACTTAGTTAGAAACAGTGAGAAATATACATTTATATTGCTTGTACCTCCACATCCATAGCAGTTTTACATGCATTTTCTTCAAGGAAGTTTTATTTTCTTTTCTAATGTAGATATTCTATGTTTATTTACAAACGGAGCTAATAAGTAATTTAATCGGTGTAAAACAAACTCCCACTGTCTTAAATTTTATATCCACTTGATATCTAGAACATTACCTATTCACATACAGTTATTATAGCTTATGAACTATTACAATGGACTCAGGAATGTTTTCCATTTTTTTCTATCCCACAGTTAATACATATTTGCAAATTTAGAAAATCATAAAATGTCAAATTAAAAGAAAAAATAAAAATAAAAATTGCTTATTTCATCAACTCAGAGATTATACAGTATATATAGTTTTAGATTTCATCTCTTTCTCTTTCTCTCTCTCTCTGTGTATACTTATTTGTATCTATCAATCTATATGTATTTTAAAATTTAATGTACTACTTATAGCATGTAACCTACTTTTTCATCTAACAGTTTTGTGAATATATTTCCATACACAGTTGACTTTCTGTAACCGTGGGTTCCACATCTGTGGATTCAATAAACAATGGATCAAAAATATTCAGAAAAAAACCCAACAAAAATAACAATACAAAAATAAAAAATAATACAAATAATACGCAATACAGTGCAACTATTTACATTGCCTTTACCCTGTATTAGGTATTATAAGCAATCTAGAGATGATTTAAAATATATGGAAGGATGTATATGGGAGGATGTGTGTAGGTTATACACAAATACTATGCCATTTTGTATAAGAAACTTGAGGCCGGGCGTGGTGGCTCACACCTGTAATCCCAGCACTTTGGGAGGCAGAGGCAGGTGGATCACGAGGTTAGGAGATCGAGACCATCCTGGCCAACACGGTGAAACCCCATCTCTACTAAAAATACATAAAATTAGCCGGGTGTGGTGGCAGGCACCTATAGTCCCAGCTACTTGGGAGGCTGAGGCAGGAGAATGGTGTGAACCCGGGAGGTGGACCTTGCAGTGAGCAGAGATCGTGCCACTGCACTCCAGCCTGGGTGACAGAGCGAGACTCCATCTCAAAAAAAAAAAGAAAAAAATAGGAAATTTGAGCATCCCAGGATTTTGGTATCTGAGAGAGTTCTGGAACCAATCTCCTGAGAATACTGAAGGACAACTGTATACAGGTACTAAAAAATATTTGTTAAATGAATTAATAAATTTTAATGGTGCAAAAATTTCCATTATATTGCACATTTTAGATTTTTCCAGATTTCTAGTATTATTAAAAAAATTCTTACTTTCCCAAAGCTTTTACTGAAATTTCAGGATATATTGTTGCTGTTGGAAGAGTGGTTAAACCAATGCAATAAAAGTTTATGGAGTAGAAGATGGAAGAAGGCAGAAAATTCAATAGACCCAGCTAACCACAGTCTTGTAATGTCACAAAGGAAGGGTCATCTAACTTACTGTCTTTGAGGAGGGGGAATCATCCCCTTCCCAGATTCTTGTGGGGTGCAGCTGTGCCATTGTTGATTTTCCTGTCCTGAGCCCCTCAGGTTGGGTTGCTAATGTACCAAGTGACTAAGTTGCAGGAGACAGTCTCCTCTCTTTGCTGGCCTCTTTTCTGTGATGCCCCCAAGGTGCCCTCTCAACTTCCTGAGGAACCTTGGTGTTGCCAGTGTGCCTTCCCATCCTCAGTCCTCTTTTATACTTAACCAGCCACTGGTTTTTTATGGAAGGGTAGGATCTTTGTACCTGCTCCTAGAAGAACCCAACCTTTTTTCTTGGAATGGGATCACAACAGATAAAGGTAGACTATTTCCACTTGACTGTTATAAATCATTTCTGAAGGAGATCTGTCTCCAATTCCCCGCTTTGGGGCTCTTTAGCATAAGAGAAGCTCCCTTGACAAATTTTGTCAGGAATCTGTGATGACAAAGCACTGCTCTCATTACCTAGGTGACGTGTTCCTTTCTTTGTTTATTAGGATTCTCCAGAGAGACAGAATCAATAGGAGATACACACATATAAAGATATAGGTATAGATAGGTATATGAGAGGATATTTATTAGGGGAATTGGCTCACCTGATAGTGGAGGCTGAGAAGTTCCACAACAGGCCATCTGCAAGATGGAGACCCTGGGATGCTGGTAGCATTGCTCAGTGTAAGTCTGAAAGCCTCAAAACCCAAGAAACCAATGGTATTACTCTCAGTTTGAGGCTGAAGGCCTGTGAACCTGGGTGAGGGTCTGCTGGTGTAAGTCCTGGAGTCCAGAAGCTGGAGAACCTGGACTTCTGATGTCCAAGGGCATAAGAAGTATGTTCTGGCTCTAGGAGAGAGAGAAAAGAATACGCCTTTCCTCTGCCTTTTGTTTTATTGGAGCTATAGGCAATTGGGTGGTGGCCAACCACACTGAGGGTGGATCTTCCCCACTCAGTCCACCGACTCATATACCATGCCTCTATGGAAACATTGCCACAGACACATCCAGAGACAATGCTTTATCAGCTCTCTAGGTGTTACTTAATTTAGTCAAGTTCACATTTGAAATCAACCATCACAAGTCCATCCATTGTCCAGTTGGCACCTATACAGATCTCCTTAAACCATATTTAATCTCCAAAAAGGCAATAAAAAAGGAATAGTTCAGCCTAACATGATACAACTATCCTGTGTACAGCCAAAAATGTCCTAATACCTTCACTAAAAGAGGAAGTAAAGTTCCTGGGTGTGTTTACTCTTCTTCTGATATCACATAACTTAAATACTATGAAGTAAAATTAACAGGGCTTAAATACTGATATAAAATCAATAAATCATATTATATCATAAAGAAAAAAGAGGAATGAAACAAAGATATTTGCTTAATATATGTATATATGCAATACATAAAAATGTATTCTTAACAAAAGAGGGAGAAAATACTCATGACAATTACAGTTCTCATTTCTGTAACTGGTCATGTGGTCATAGGTAGTATTTACAGCTATCTTCTGCAACCCATTCTGTATTTCCTTCGCCTTCAGCAAGCACCTCAGCTGGCCATGGTTCTTTACCTGGTAGGGTGGCCCAAACCTTTCCTGAAGAATTTGGACCATTTGTAGTCTTGCCTGGATTGGGTTGTTGTAATTTTCCTTTCACCTTAATCACAGGGCATAGTAATACTAAGAGATTCCCTAAGGGATCTCCTATATTCCAGACATACTCTTTCTTAACTCCAATTTCCTTTTGGAGGTTTGGGTCAATCACTCCAGCCAACACTTTAAATCTCTTTGTAGCCTGTTGGCTTAGAGACATGAGAAGCCAAAATGGCTGGGTGGCAGGCTTAACTTCCAGTTCAATGGAATCATTGTTGTATTTCTCTCCAGGGCTAAGATCTGTAGGCCAGCAGGGCATGAAGTTGCAAGAACAGGAATTTTTGTTAGTGGTCTACTATGAGTAATGGTGAGTTGTCTCACTTCCATTTTTTCCCTTTGATGCTTGGACCTGTGAATCTTGGCTATAAGAGAAATAGTTCCATACATTTGATGCTGGTTCAGAGCATATACAGCTTTCTAGAGAACTTTGCTCCAGCCCTGCGAAGTATCGTCACCTAGCTGTCAGTAACTGTGACTTTGAGAAACCATCGCACTGTTCTATGAAGACTGCTGCTTCAGGATGATGGTGTACATGGTAAGATCAGTGGATTCCATGAGCATGAACCCTTCTCCCAAAAAAGTGCATGGCATACTTCTTTGGCTGTGAAATGAGTTCCTTGGTCAGAAGCAATGATGTGCGGAATACCATGATGGAGGATAAGGCATTCCATAAGTCTGCAAATAGTAGTTTTGACAGAAGCATTGTGCACAAGGAAGGCAAATTTATATCGAGAGTGTCTATTCCAATAAGGACAAAACACTGCTCCTTCCATGATGGAAGCAGTCCAATGTTATCAACCTACCATGACGTAGCTGGCTGATCACCCCAGGAAATGGTGCCATGTCAGAGGCTCAGTGTTGGTCTCTGCTGCTGGCAGATTGAATACTCAGCAATTAAGGTAGCCAGGTCATTGTTGATGAGCGAAAGTTCATGTTGCTGAAACCATGCATAATCTCCATCCTTCCAGCTTGACCACTTTGTTCAGTGACATTAGGTGTAACCAACCAAGGTCATTATATTCCTTAATTTTCCACAAATGTTTGAAAGTATTATATAAAGAGTTATCAAGTTCCTTGCCTCTTATAAGTGGTTGATTAAGAGTATCAAATACATGCTGGCTCACACCTGTGATCCCAGCACTTTGGGAGGCCAAGGTGGGCAGATCACTTGAGGTCAGGAGTTTGAGACCAGCCTGGCCAACATGTTGAAACCCTGTCTTTACCAAAATATAAAAAATACAAATACAAAAATTAGCCAGGTGTGGTGGCTCACACCTGTAGTCCTAGCTACTTGGGAGGCTGAGGCACAAGAATCACTTGAACCCAGAAAACGGAGGTTTCAGTGAGCTGAGATTGTGCCACTGCACTCCCACCTGGGCAACAGAGTGAGACCCTCTCTCTCTCTCAAAAAAAAAAAAGCAGTATCAAATACAGTTATTTTGTGTAGCTCTATAATAGCTCACACCGCGGACTATTAGTGTTTTCTGTACTATTAGGAGTAGAGTTCTTAGCGTTTTGAGGTCTAATCAGATTAGAGAACTAGTCCCAGAAACTCCAAAACCAATGTAGGAAACTCATCCTTAAAATTCTGTTCCTCCAGAACCACAATCTATGTTTGTCAGTGTTCTCTAGAGAAAGAGAACCAATAGAATAGGTTATCTACATCTATATAGGTATAGATATAGATATAGTCATAGGTATAGATATAGGCACAGGGGAAGAGATTTATTGGAGGAATTGGTTCACCTAATTATGGTGGTTGAGAAGTCCCACAACAGCCTGCAAATGAGAGACCCTGGGATGCTGGTAGCATGGCTCAGTACAAGTCTGAAAGCCCCAGAACTGGGGAGGTTGATGATCTAATTCTTATTTTGGGGCCAAAGGCCTGAGAAACCAGGGGCCCACTGGTATAAGTTCTGAGGTCCAAAGCCTGGAGAAGCTTGATTTATGATGTCTAAGGGCAGATGAAATGTGTCTGAGTTCCAAGAGAGAGGGAAAAGAATTTGCCTTTCGTCTGCCTTTTGTTTATATCTGGGCCCCCAGCCAATTCGATGCTGCCCACCCACATTGAGGGTGAAGCTTCTCCACTGGGTCCACTG
Source organism: Homo sapiens (assembly GCF_000001405.40). Taxonomy (NCBI): domain Eukaryota; kingdom Metazoa; phylum Chordata; class Mammalia; order Primates; family Hominidae; genus Homo; species Homo sapiens. The sequence continues at coordinate 166,658,910 of NC_000001.11, read as the reverse complement.
ACTCATAGGCCAATATTCTATGGAAACATCTCCACAGACACTTCCAGAAGTAATGCTTTCCCGGTTCTCTACATATTCCTTAATCCAGTCAAGGTGACACCTAAAATTAACTATCACACCTTATTAGGAGAAATTTGTGAAATTAAGGATCCACATAATCATCATGGACTACACACTGTTTCATTAGTTCTGGGTGTAGCAGTAGACTCTAGTAGAAAGTATGTTAGACATTCACTTTCTGCCAATATACAGCAGCTCAGTGTAAAGGTGATGAAGGAATATTGTCTGGACTAGGTGGATAAAAGTTTTCAGTGCCCTTGGTCCACAGTCACCTAAGAGGGCTGTTTCAAAATGTTTTATTTTTATCCTTAACAGAGATGTATAAAATCAGCAATCAAAAGATGCGATTCTGTCCACTTAAAGGTCTTTCATGGGTGAAGGTTTTATACAGTATTTAAATCTCATCTTGATCTTTGAATTGCCTCATTGTTTCATTGTTTCCCTACATTATGAAGGAAAATATATTCTCAGGGCTCTTCTGCCTCTCTTCATATGCCTTAGAATAGATTAATAAATGGAGGACAGTTGGTAGTTTTAATATACACCTACAAAATGTCTTTTTTTCCCCCTATTAGTCCTGTTTATCTATTGCATACTGTGAACAGGCATGTTTTCTGAAGGGTTGCAGGGTTCCAGACCTCCTAGATTCTCAGGTGATTAAGATCCTGGCAGGGTACTATAATTCCGCCATGACCTGGGAATGCACTACTATCCACTTCCAACCGTTAGGACTCAGGAAACAGTAACAACAAAACTTCCCAAGCCCTACCCAGTCTCTGATAAATTGAAGGCATAGGCCAGAGTCGGTGTGATGGAATACTATAAAACCCAAATTGATTATTTTCAGAACTTTTAACTTCATGTTTCTCTGTGCTTCTTCTCTACACCATTCTTTTATTCCTTTCCACCTGACCTGTGTGAGTGACTGACCTTCACATTCCTTCCCTCGTGACCTTATTGAAAAATTCTTTTAGAAAAATATCGGGTTAACATATTTACATGATGCCTGAAGTTTCAAAATTGTATTAAGGGAAATCTCTTTGGGAGATGTTAATAGCTGCAAAAAGGTGAAGTCATTTTTTTTAACTTTTATTTTAAGTTAAGGGGTACAAGTGCAGGTTTGTTATATAGGTAAACTGTGTCATGGGGGTTTGTTTTACAGATTATTTTATCATCCAGGTATTAAGCAAGGTACCCATTGGTTATTTTTCCTGATATTCTCCCTCCTCCCACCCTCCACCCTCCAATAGGCCCTACAGTGTGTTGCTCCCCTCTTTGTGTCCACCTATTTTCCCCAGTTAGCTCACAATTATAAGTGAGAACATGTGGTATTTGGTTTTCTGTTCCTGTGTTAGTTTGCTAAGGATAATGGCCTCTAGTTCCATCCATATTACTGCAAAGGACATGATCTCATTCCTTTTCATGGCTGCATAGTAGTCCATGGTGTGTATGTACCACGTTTATCCAGTCTACCACTGATGGGCATTTAGGTTGATTCCATGTCTTTGCTATTGTGAATACTGCTGCAATGAACATACACATGCGTGTGTCTTTATGATAAAACAATTTATATTCCTTTGTGTATATACCCAGAAATAAAGCCAAGTCTTTTTCTGAGCAAATAAGTTATTTCTAAAAAGTTTTAGAAAACTAAATTTGTTTACCCAAGCCTTTAATGAGGGATTAAATGGTCTCAAAGATGGGGCTTTATTATGCCATACACCCCAACTTCTGGATCCAGTAACCTGTTATCTTATGTAAGGTTCCCATCTTTACAGATATATGTTCACATAGAGAATCAATAAAGCTATTGATCCACAGTGGTGATTAGACTATAGCATTGTCATAACTTGCTAGGAATCACTTTATAATCCCATGGTTTCAATTTACAGTACTCTAGAATAAATTCTCCAGAGTGCGGTCTGGGAAATGAGATACAAAAGTGTAAATTATGATTGTGGTTTAAATCAGTATATTCATTTTATATATGCTGCTGTAACAAATCACCACAAACTTAATGGAGGGTCTGGGACAGAATTCATTTTCTCATCTTTTTCAGCTGTAAAAGGCTGGTTCCAGTGTCACATCACCTTCTCTCATTCAACTTCCTTCCTCTCTCTTTTAAGAATCCTATGATTGCTTTGGACCCACCTGAATAACCCAGGATAATCTCCCCATCCCCAAATCTTTAACTTAATCACACAAAGTCCTTTTTGCAATGTAAAGTAACATAGCCACAGGTTTCAATGATTAGAACATAAATGTCTTTGGGTGGCCATTATTCAGACTACCACAATTGGGGTTGGGAGGTCTTTGCCCGATAATGAAAGAGAGACTTAACATATGAAAAGTTGAATGGTAACATTTTAGAAATTAGCCATTGAGAAAGATATTTTGGGGGTAGAATTGGTATCATGATTACCTATAAAGTTCCTGGATTCTTATGTCCTAAATCTCCAAGGACTAGGATTGCAGAAATTTATCTGTTGATTCAGATCAAGAGTGAGTAGTGACCTATCCTCAGGCCATGCAGGGACCCTGAGGGCTCCAGCGAGGTGCCTATGCTTTCTTAAGTTTGGATTCCCTAGAGATATCTCGAAGGTGTTGCTTTTTATCACTCTATTCTTGGGTTTGAGAGTTTCATAAAGAATAATCTAAGTTATTTCAGATTTGTGAATTGTAAAACATGCATGGAAGTAGCTAAAATGCTAAATGTTTGTTTACAGATAAACCAGCTTTTTCTTTTCTTTTTTTTTTATTATACTTTAAGTTCTAGGGTACATGTGCACCATGTGCAGGTTTGTTACATATGTATACATGTGCCATGTTGCTGTGCTACACCCATTAACTCGTCATTTAGCATTAGGTATATCTCCTATTGGTTTTTTGTCCTTGCGATAGTTTGCTGAGAATGATGGTTTCCAGCTTCATCCATGTCCCTCCAAAGGACATGAACTCATCTTTTTTATGGCTGCATAGTATTCCATGGTGTATATGTGCCACATTTTCTTAATCCAGTCTATCATTGTTGGACATTTGGCTTGGTTCCAAGTCTTTGCTATTGTGAATAGTGCCGCAATAAACATATGTGTGCATGTGTCTTTATAGCAGCATCATTTATAATCCTTTGGGTATATACCCAGTAATGGGATGGCTGGGTCAAATGGTATTTCTAGTTCTAGATCCCTGAGGAATCACCACACTGACTTCCACAATGGTTGAACTAGTTTACAGTCCCACCAACAGTGTAAAAGTGTTCCTATTTCTCCACATCCTCTCCAGCACCTGTTGTTTCCTCACTTTTTAATGATTGCCATTCTAACTGGTGTGAGATGGTATCTCATTGTGGTTTTGATTTGCATTTCTCTGATGGCCAGTGATGATGAGCATTTTTTCATGTGTCTGTTGGCTGCATAAATGTCTTCTTTTGAGAATTGTCTGTTCATATCCTTTGCCCAATTTTTGAAGGGGTTGTTTGTTTTTTTCTTGTAAATTTGTTTGAGTTCATTGTAGATTCTGGATATTAGCCCTTTGCAAGATGAGTAGATTACAAAAATTTTCTCCCATTCTGTAGGTTGCCTGTTCTCTCTGATGGTAGTTTCTTTTGCTGTGCAGAAGCTCTTTAGTTTAATTAGATCCCATTTGTCAATTTTGGCTTTTGTTGCCATTGCTTTTGGTGTTTTAGACATGAAGTCCTTGCCCATGCCTGTGTCCTGAATGGTATTGCCTAGGTTTTCTTCTAGGGTTTTTATGGTTTTATGTCTAACATTTAAGTCTTTAATCCATCTTGAATTATTTTTTGTATACAGTGTAAGGAAGAGATCCAGTTTCCTCTTTCTACATATGGCTAGCCAGTTTTGCCAGCACCATTTATTAAATAGGGAATCCTTTCCTAATGTCTTGTTTTTGTCAGGTTTGTCAAAGATCAGATAGTTGTAGATATGCGGCATTATTTCTGAGGGGTCTGTTCTGTTCCATTGGTCTATATCTCTGTTTTGGTACCAGTACCATGCTGTTTTGCTTACTGTAGCCTTGTAGTATAGTTTGAAGTCAGGTAGGGTGATGCCTGCAGCTTTGTTCTTTTGGCTTAGGACTGACTTGGCAATGCGGGCTCTTTTTTGGTTCCATATGAACTTTAAGTTAGTTTTTTTCCAATTCTGTGAAGAAAGTCATTGGTAGCTTGATAGGGATGGCATTGAATCAATAAATTACCTTGGGCAGTATGGCCATTTTCACAATATTGATTCTTCCTACCCAAACCAGCTAACATCATAATGACAGGCTCAAATTCACACATAACAATATTAACTTTCGTTAATTAAATGTAATTAACAAAATTTATTTGTTAATTTTTAATTGTTAATTTGTTAATTTTTAAATGTAATTAACAAAATGTAATTAACAATATTAATTAAATGTAAATGGGCTAAATGCTCCGGTTAAAAGACACAGACTGGCAAATTGGATAAAGAGTCAAGACCCATCAGTGTGCTGTATTCAGGAAACCCATCTCACATGCAGAGACACACATAGGCTCAAAATAAAGGGATGCAGGAAGATCTACCAAGCAAATGGAAAACAAAAAAAGGCAGGTTTGCCATCCTAGTCTCTGATAAAACAGACTTTAAACCAACAAAGATCAAAAGAGACAAAGAAGGCCATTATGTAATGGTAAGGGGATCAATTCAGCTTTTTATTTTCATGCCAACTAGACAAACATGCTTATCCCATATCAATCCTAGAAGGGACCGAGTGCTTAAAGAAAAACTTGGGAGGGAAGAGTGGGAGAAGGGAAGAGCAGCACTATGCATCAACCTGCTCATCCTTAGTTAAGATGATTGTTTGGTTTCCAGGTTGCTCATTATCTAATTTTTCAAACAGTAAATACAGAATGTAAAGCATTTTGCATCACACTTATACTGAATGCTTTGGGCAGTGATTCCTGGAACTTGGATGTGGGAACAAACTGGAAATACCCAGGAAAACTGTCCTGACAGGAAGAGAGGTCTCTCTGGTACCAACTCTTTTCTGAATTTCCTGGCTTCTGGTATGTCCACCTCTCTGGTATGTCCCTGAGGTGGAGTGCTGTACACAGTGTGCCTTGACCTCAACTTATAAAATCATGTGGCTTCCCCCGACTTCATTTACTTCTTTCTATGTTAATTCTCTACAGATTATTACTGGATCAAGAACCACCTGTTAGTCTCCTGCTACACTTGAATTGATTAAATTAATTAATGGACTCATTCCTTTTATTTAAAAAACACTTGCTAAATGCTTCCTGGTTTACCAGGTATTACACTAGGGAATGTAGATAAAGAGATGATAAAACATCTTTTACCCTTAAGCAACTCAAAGCCTAGCAGAGGATAAGACATACAAACACATGGATTTAAGGGAGGAGACCACCCCTCATATTGTCTTATGCCCAATTTCTGCCTCCAAAGAAAGAAGAAGTAAAAACTAAAAGGCAAAAATGGAATCCACAGGCAGATAGCCCAGCACCATGCCCTGGGCCTGGTAGTTAAAAATCAACCCCTGACCTAACTGCTTGTGTTATCTATAGATTTCAGACATTGTAGGGAAAAGCATCGTGAAAATCCCTGTCCTGTTCAGTTCTGTTCTGATTACTGGTGCAGGCAGCCCCCAGTCACGTACTCCCTGCTTGCTCAATTGATCACAACCCTCTCACTTGGACCCCCTTAGAGTTGTAAGCCCTTAAAAGAGACAGGAATTGCTCACTTGGGCAGCTTGGTTTTTGGAGACGTGAGTCCGCCGATGCTCCCAGCTGAATAAAGCCCTTTCCTTCTACAACTCGGTGTCTGAGGGGTTCCTGTCTGTGGCTCCTCCTGTGACAGATTGAAAATACAGCTTTTTATAAATGCAGTAGAAATATGTACAAAGTACAGAAGCAGCACTAAAGAGAGAGTGGTTGACTCTATCAGAGTATGATTGAAAGAGAAGGTCATGACTTCAAGTCTAAAACACCAAAAGCAATGGCAACAAAAGCCAAAATTGGCAAATGGGATCTAATTAAACTAAAGAGCTTCTGCACGGCAAAAGAAACTACCACCAGAGTGAACAGGCAACCTACAGAATGGGAGAAAATTTTTGCAATCTACTCATCTGACAAAGGGCTAGTATCCAGAATCTACAATGAACTCAAACAAATTTACAAGAAAAAAACAAACAACCCCATCAAAAATTGGGCAAAGGATATGAACAGACAATTCTCAAAAGAAGACATTTATGCAGCCAACAGACACATGAAAAAATGCTCATCATCACTGGCCATCAGAGAAATGCAAATCAAAACCACAATGAGATACCATCTCACACCAGTTAGAATGGCAATCATTAAAAAGTGAGGAAACAACAGGTGCTGGAGAGGATGTGGAGAAATAGGAACACTTTCACAGTGTTGGTGGGACTGTAAACTGGTTCAACCATTGTGGAAGTCAGTGTGGTGATTCCTCAGGGATCTAGAACTAGAAATACCATTTGACCCAGCCATCCCATTACTGGGTATATACCCAAAGGATTATAAATGATGCTGCTATAAAGACACATGCACACATATGTTTATCGCGGCACTATTCACAATAGCAAAGACTCGGAACCAAACTAAATGTCCAACAATGACAGACTGGATTAAGAAAATGTGGCACATATACACCATGGAATACTATGCAGCCATAAAAAAGGATGAGTTCATGTCTTTGGAGGGACATGGATGAAGCTGGAAACCATCATTCTCAGCAAACTATTGCAAGGACAAAAAAACCAAACACTGCATGTTCTCACTCATAGGTGGAAATTGAACAATGAGAACACTTGGACACAGGAAGGAGAACATCACATACTGGGGCCTGTTGTGGGGCGGGGGAGCGGTTGAGGGATAGCATTAGGAGATATACCTAATGTAAATGACAAGTTAATGGGTGCAGCACACCAACATGGCACATATATATATATGTAACAAACCTGCACATTGTGGCACATGTACCCTAGAACTTAAAGTATAATAAAAAATATATATATATATATATAAAGAAAGAGAAGGTCTTAACATCTGAATTGTGTTTTGAAAGACCACTACAAATTTTCCAATAAGACTAAAAAAAAATCAAATTTCAAGAGGAGCCCATAGCAGGTAGCAATAAAGGTCTGGAAGAATATGTTGTGCTCATAAATGTGAACACTAAGATGCAGGTAGGAAAGTAGCAGAAGGTGAAACTGAAGAGGAGGCAGGGAGCCATGACTGGAGAGTGGGATGTACCATACTAAGGAGGTTGGGGATTCTCCTACAAATAGTGGATAATTGAAAGTAGGAGATGACAATCAGATTAAATACTTTGAAATATAATTTTTTTCTCAGTGAAGACGGCAAGGCCAGAAAAGGAAAATGTAATAGGCTATTCAAAAAATACCATGCCCCACACACAAGTGCATGTGCATGCACACACACACAAACCACACACACACAAATGCACACACACACACACTCACCTGAGGAAGTTGTAGTGAGAATGAGGAAGACAGATCTGATAAATGTTTAGGAGGTAAAATCAACAAGATGCCAACACATTGGGTAAGGAAAGTGTCTAGGATTGCTTGCAAGTTTCTGAATGAAAGATAATAAATGGCAATCTGTGTCACCAATCATTATAAAAAACATGGAAGTAAGAGCAATTTTGGACTAGGGTAAGATATGAGTTTAATTTTAGATAATTTTGTAACAGACAGATAAAAGTGTCCTAGTAGGCAGTTGATTGTATAGATTTCAAGGTCAGTGGAAATATTCACCTACATAGAAGGGCCTGTTAAAGCCATGACATCCCCAGGAAGAGGATTTAAAGTGCAAACAGTGCTGAAAAAGACCTCTGGGGAACATCACCTTCCAAGAGGAGGGCTGTAAGGGAGACATGAGAGAGAATTGTTTCAAAAGAATGAAGGATTTTCTTTGTGAGGTCAATAGAGACAATATTTATGTAGTAATATTTCATTTGTTTGTTTGTTTGTTTACCCTGCATCCATTACCTCTCATTCTTGTAAAATGAGAGGTAATTTCCCTTTGGTGAAACATTCTGGTTTCCTTTTGGGAAACAATCTCTTCTCCATTGTGTGTGGTCTCAATGGAAATGTCAGACTCCTGGGCTGCCATGTTCCAGCCAAGCCCATTAAGCTGATCTCATTCTCTTTCCTGGGTCTTTGAATCTTGAGTAGATTAACAAGAAATATGGCATGGAAGTCATTAATGCTGTTCTTCCAATATTCCTGGCTCTCTGCCTTCTGGAAACCTGGCACATTTCACTTCTTCACCCTCTTTGAAGTTAAGCATGGCCATGTGACATGTTTTGACCAGTGAACCAGTATACAACTCACAATATCCTCTGCAAATGTTGAGTGCTACAGTTAGTGACTGCTTTGTCCACCTGGATTTTAGAGTAAGGATGACATGAAGCATAAATGAGATAGCTTCAATTCCTTTTAACAAGGTATAAATCTTGTTTTAAGCTAATGAAATTTTGAAGTTGTTACTGAAGCTTTAACCTAAACTTTCTGACTGTTACAGAAAATGGTACTTGGAAGTTGGGTGCTGCTGCAACAAAATCCTAAAATATGTGGTATTGGCTTAGTATTCAGCTAGCAGATGGTAAGGACACTGATATGGAGGCTGGCAGAATGACCATCTGTGTTATGAACTAAATAATTTTTTTGTGGAACTATTGTTACAATAGAAGGCAGATATTATATTTAATATACTTATAGCTCTAGGGGAAGAGTCTGGAAAAATAATTCATTAGTTAATGTATTAGTTGGCTGCCAACTGATAAGGTATTAAAGAAATAGATGAGCTCAGAAAGAACTGATTTTCTTTCAAACAATAATAAAAAGGACTAGAGAGAATCCCAGAATTCAGGAAATGAAAAATTGAGAAAAAAATTTCTCACTCATGACTGAAAAAGATAAAATTGAGGTAAACTTTGAGTAACAAAGGCCAGATAGAATTCAGGCTTGCAACAAGGATGAGATCAAACATACATCCATCATATCCACTGGGGTAGAGGGAAAAATAAGGAGGCTCCTCAGAAAGGCAATTGGAGAGGTCAGTGATTCCATTATCTGGTCTCCTGGAATTACTCTGGTTCCTGCTTTTCTTTAACCAGACCCTCTGTGTTCTTTTTCATCCTGTAAGCTAACCAATAGCTTTCCAATTAATATCCCCATATAAATCAGCCAACAAGAGTCAGATTCAATTACTTGCCCCCATAAAACCCAAAACAAACCCAAACAAACAAAGAAATCTCCTGAAAGATACCTCAGAAGTAATGCACAGACAAGTGTATAGGTGCAAGATTGGAACTTGAAGGGTTCAAATTTGAATTTGCAGTGCAATCTATTTATTAAACATTCTATTTCGTTTTCCTCTCCCTGAGCCCACAGGAAGACTGTACTTCTTAGGGTTTGTTGTTGTTGTATGGAGCAGGGAGTCTGAGGATTATAAGGATTTTGGAATACTTATTCAAGAAAATGGGACCCAAATCAGATCAAAGATAAATCAAAAGGTCTGCCTGGAGTTGGAAACCTTAAAAATGTAATGGCACTAATTTTCAATGAACAATCTTAGCATGTCAGGTGCTGGAATGGATAAAACAAATTTCAGAATTTATTCATTCACTTATTCACCCAACATTTACTGGATGCCTACAATGTGTTAGACATTAGTCTAGATGCTGGAGATAAAGCTGTTACCAAAACAGATGTTTCGTGCCCTACTGGAAATTATATTCAAATATATTGATCCAAGGTGTAGAATGATGGGTACATGGGAGTAGGTAAGTGAAGTGATATATCAAGTGGTGTATCACAGGGTCCGGATAGGGTATGGAGACAGTGAGCATAGAAGGTGACTGATAAGGAGTGAATAAAAGGACAAGGCCTTGATAAGGTAATGAGTAGATGTAGAGGGAGTCACAGAAGGAGTTGGAAGGCTAGAAAGCCAAATTATAATAGAATTTTTATTTAACATTTAAGATTTCATACGTGGAGTAATTAGTGGTGATGACAAAATTCATGGTAGAAGGCTGATGAAATAAAGTACACACGACCACTGCGGTCAAAGTCAATAAACTGAGGCAAGAATGTCTGGTGGTATGGACCACAGAAAAACTCCTAAAGTTGCATAAACAATATTTGGTGATAAAGTGGATTTTGCAGCTGCAGGGAAAGAGAGATTCGGGGGTTGATTTAAGGTGAATAGGATTGAAGGGAAAGTGACATTACTTGAGACTAAGTTCACTTTTGCACATGCTAAATTGAGGGAAGCTTGCCAGGCGTTCGTGTCTGTTCCACAGGCAGGGAGAAGAATGGGACTGATCTCCAAAGAATGGTCAGGGCTAAAGCCATAGTTTTGAGAATTATCAGTAAAAAAGTGTTAATGTTAAGTCATGGGAGAGGATGTGTTTACCTAGGGGAGAGGATGCAAAGTGAGACGAGAACAAAAGACTAATGCCTGGGATTTTCCCATCTTTAAGGAATAGGTTGAGGGGAAAAACATAGGAAGAGAGACTGAATAAATATCTGGAGGGAGGAATGGGAGTTCAGACTTTTCTGTCAATTCTAAAGATTTCCAAGTACTTGTGACAGGCAATACAATGTGTTTATTAAAATTTTATATCCTTTTCATCTTCCTGGGCACACAGGAAGATTATATTTCCTAGGGATTGTTGTTTTGTTTTGTTTTGCTCTTAAATTGTGGCCATGTGACTAGGTTTGGACCAACTGGATATGTACAGAAGTGATGCAAGTACTCCATGCCTGAGCATGACAACCCCTCATCTTATCTATTCTCTCCCTACCTCTTCCATCTATCTCAGCAATGGAAGCCATTAGTTTAAGATGGAAGTGATACCCTTCAGAAGAAGCTTGGGTCCTTGAGTCATTGCTTGGTGCATGCCATCAGGGAGGGCATCTTGAATAACATTAGACTATGATATGAGAGAAAAACAAACCTTTGTTGTGTTAGAGCATTGAGATTTGGGGATTTTATTGCAGCAAGGCATCTCCTATCCTGATCAGTATAGCACTACATGAATAGCATAAACTTTTCTTCCTTAAGGTCTTGCTAGGCTTTCTTGTTTGTTCTTGGCTTTCCTAGAACTGTGGGATATTCTGGCTGCATATAAAAATAACCTACAGAACTGATAACTGTTCCTCACACACAAAAATCTGACTCAGTTTTTCTGGTAGGGACCAGAGATTGATATTTTCAAGAGGTAGTCATGCTGATCTTAATGTACAGACAGAGTTGAGAACCACTCCCTTAGAATTCAAAAGGGATTTAAAGCTAAGTATCTACATGTCCTGGTTTACCTAGACTAGTCCTGGTTTTGCCTTTTGTCTTGGTGTTAGTACTAACAACTTCACTCTTGAAATGAATTCATCAATAATATGGACAGACTACTTAGAAGTTATCTAGATAAATCAAAATTTCTTGAGGAGTAAAGTAGATAGAAAATCTCTTGTAGTTTGGAAAAGTACCACAAGAGATTCTGATAGACCTCCAGTTCTGCTTTATTAGAAAATTTTATTTTCAAAGATATTACAGAATATTCTTATAAAAACTGTAGATCTTATTGTAATAAATCATATGAATAAATAATAATAATTTTACCTTTTTTATTTAAAAGAGGAATTCCTTTCCATGTATGTTTAATAAACATGAGTTTCATTGATAAAGCCAAACTAATCTTTAGTCCTCAAGACATTATTTACTACCTTCTGCTTTCAGAGTTGTTCCTAGAGACTGTGACCACCAGTAGACAGGGTGCAACTGTGGTTAAAGAGAGAGGGTATCATGTAAGAGCTAACATATGGTATTGTGCTTCTTCTTTGAAGTTCTTTGCTAATGTAATCTGCCTTGACTTGGAAATTTCAAGGATACTTTAGAACTAGATTCATGATAAATTAAATTATTTTAGCATTTGATTTATAAATAACATTAAATAGAAATCCAAAGCCGAGAAGTGGTGGCATAGTCTTGGGATTTTACAGTAGGAATATTCTAGAAGGATATTAGCCGATTTTCCTTTTAAGCTGCTGCTCCACATATGGAAATAGCTCTAATTTACCTTTTCCATATCTTTTGGACATTCTTTTCTGAAACAATGGTCTCCTTGATGAGTTATTCTTGTACATGAAAAACACTTCTGCCAATTTTTCAGCAATCACAGTGGGGTCTGTTGCATTACAGAAATAAGTCCAACCACATGAATCCTGGACAGTTTTCAACTGTACGTAAGCTGTGGTTGTGGTAGATGGCAAAATCACAGAAAACACTTATAAAAATGTAAGAAGACATAAAGCTCTGCTCTACATAGGCATACTCAGGAATCTTATCGAATCTTTGAACTCAATGGAGAAACATTTAATGCAGAATTTTCAACCAATGGTCCAGACCATGGCACTATCACAGAATGATAGAGTTATTTCCGGGATTTCATTTAAAATCACTATCAGTCCAATTCAAGGTACTTCCAGATCCCCTCACTTACATGAATTTCCATAGTGAGACGTGAGTGCCCCATGGACTATCTCCCACAGCCACCTTTATGAAAAGCATATATTTAATAATTATTTATCCATATACATTTATCAATTTAATGACAATGTCACAACTTTCCCACTGATTTTGACTCCTTTGCTCCATTTAATACAATCTACAAAAATCACTTAACAAATGTCCCCGAATTTAACATATTTAGTCCCAAAGATTCTCCAAAAATGTCTTTACACACAAAACGATATATCTACCTGTTAAAATGGTATTTAACTAAAATTCTATAAAGTTTCATTTGCTGTATCATTAATATGCCCTAAAATTCCCATCAAAATTTGAATTGCCTATAGTAACTTGAAAATCATACAGTCAAATAATTATGCTGAACTAAATTGATTACCACCAACACCCCCAAGTAATGTTTTTAAATTTGCGCACATTTATGGGGCACATAAGAAATTTTGTTACATGTATATAATGCACAGTGATCAAGACATGGTATTCAGGGTGTGCATCATCTGAGTACAAAATATTTTTGTTAAATATACTAATCCCATATATAATAATCTATTATCAAGCATTGAATTTATTTCTATCTTACTGTATGTTTGTACTCTTTAACTTACTTCTCTTTATCCTCCCCACATCACTCACCCTTCTCGGTCTCCATTATCTATTTTTTCCACTCCCTACCTCTATGTGTTCTAATTTTTTTTAGCTCCCACATATAAGTCAGAACATGTGATATTTGTCTTTATGTGCCTGGCTTATTTCACTGAAGATAATGACTTCCAGTTCCATCCATGTTTCTGCAAATGACATTATTTCATTCTTTTTTATGGCTGAATAGTATTTCCTTTTGTATATATACCACATTTTCTTCATCCATTCATCTCTTGATGGACATTTAGGTTGATTCCATTATCTTAGCTCTTGTGAATAGTTCTGAAACAAACAAACAAGTGCAGATATCCTTTTGGTACATTGATTTCTTTTCCTTTGGGTAGATACCCAGTAGTGGGATTGCTGGGTGCAATGGTAATCCTATTTTTAGTTTCCTGAGAAACCTTCAAACTGTTTTCTATAGTGGCTGTAGCAGTTTGCATTTCCACCAACAGTGTATAAGAGTTCCCCTTTCTCCACATCCTTGCCAACATGTTATTTATTTTTAATACTAGCCATTCTGACTGGGGTAGGATAATATCTGATTGCAATTTTGAGTAGCATTTCCCTGATGATCAGTGATGTTGAGCATTTTTTCTTACACCTGTTGTCCATTTGTATGTCTTCTTTCAAGAAATGTCAATTTATGTCCCTTGCCCACTTTCTAATGGGATTTTTTTCCTGTCGAGTTCCTTGTATAGTCTGAATATTAGTCCCCTGTTGGATGAATACTTTGCAAATATTTTTTCCCATTCAACAGATTATCTCTTCACTCTATTGATTACTTCTTTTGCTGTGAAGAAGCTTTTTTGTTTGACTAAGCTCCATTTGTTTATTTTTGTTTTCGTTGAATGTGCTTTTGAGCTGTTAGTTATAAGTTATTTGCCTAGACAAATGTTCAGGGATTTTTTTCCCTAGATTTTCTCACATTTTTATACTTTTGAGTCTTATGTTTAAGATTGCAATAGATTTTGAGATTTTTTTAATATGACGAGACATAGGGGTCCAGTTTTACTCTTCTACATGTGACTGTTGAATTTTCCCAGCACAACTTATTGAAAAGGGTGTCCTCTCCCCAGCATAAGTTCTTGCCAACTTTGTCAAAGATCAATTGGCTGTAAATATCTGGTTTTATTTCTGGATTATCTATTCTGTTTCATTGGTCTATGTATCTATTTTTATACTAATACCCTGCTGGTTACTATAGCCTTGCAATATATTTTGAAGTCAAGTAACATGATGCTTTCAGCTTTGTTCTTTTTGCTCAGAATTGTTTTTGGCTATTTGAGCTCTTTTTTTATTCCTCATGAATTGTAGAATTGTTTTTTTCTATTTCTGAGCAGAACAATCTTGGTATTTTGATAGGGATTGCATTGAATCTGTAGATTGCTTTAGGTAATATGGTCATTTTGACAATATAAATTCTTCTAATCCATGAGCACGGAATGTTTTTTCATTTGTTTGTATCATCTTCATTTTCTTTCATTAGTTGTTGTAGTTTTCCTTGTAGATATATTTCACCTCCTTGGTTAAATGTATTCCTAGGTATTTTATTTATTGTTTTTTAGCTATTGTAAACAAGATTGCCTTCTTGATTTTTTTCTCAGCTAGATTCTTACTGATGTATAGAAATACTAATGGTTTTTGTACATTGATTTTCTACCCTGCAACTTTATTAAATTTATTTATCAAATCTAAGAGTTTTTCAGTGGAATCTTTAGGATTTTTTAGATATAAGATTATATCATCAATTAAGAGGGAGAGTTTGACTTCCCCTTTTCCAATTTACCTGCCTTTAATTTCTTTCTTTTGCCTCACTGCTCTGGCTAGGACTTTCAGGGCTATGTTGAATAGGAATAATAAAAGTGGGCATCCTTGTCTCATTCCAGTTCTTAGAGGAAAGGCTTTTAACTTTTCCCCATTTAGTATGATGTTAAGTGTGGGTTTGTCATATATGGCCTTTCTTATTTTGAGGTATGTTCCTGCAATGCCTAGCTTGTTGAGGGTTTTTATCATGAAGAGATGTAGAATCACATTGAATGTTTTTTCTGAATCTACTGAGATGATAATATGGTTTTTGTGTTTCATTCTGTTGATGTGAGGTTTTATGTTTATTGATTTGCAAATGTTGAACTATTCTCAAATTTCTGATATAAATCCCACCAGATCATGGTGTGTTATCTTTTTGAAGGACTGTTGTATTTTGTTTGCTAGTATTTTGTTGAGGATTTTTGCATCTATGCTCATTAGGGATATTAGCCTGTAGTTTTCTTTTTTTGATGTATCCTTGTCTGGCATTGATATCAAAGTAGTGTGGATCCCATAGAATCAGTTAGGGATCATTTCTTTCTTTTTGATTATTTCTAATAATTTCAGGAAGATTAATATTAGTTTTTCTTTGTACATTTGGCAGAATTTGGCTTGAATCCATCAGATTCTGGGCCTTACTTTGTTGGGAGATTCTTTTTTTTTTTTTAAAATCAACTTTTATTTTAGGTTCAGGGAGTACATGTGCAGGTTTGTTACAAGGGTATGTTGTGTGATACTGAGGTTGGGGTTCAATTGAATCCATCACCCAGGAAGTGAGCATAGTACCCAAAAGTTAGTTTTTCAACCCTTGATTCCCTTCCTCCCTCTTCTATCTAGTAATTGGCATTGTCTATTGTTGCCATCTTTACGTCCATGAGTGCCCAGTGTTTAGCTGTCAATTATAAATAAGAAGATGCAGTATTTGGTTTTCTGTTCCTGCATTATTTTGCTTAGGTTACTAGCCTCCAGCTGCATCCATTTGCTGTAAGGACACGATTTCATTCTTTTTTATGGTTGCATAGTATTCCATGGTATATATGTACCACATTTTCTTTGTTCTGTCCCACTGTTAATGGGCTACTTTGAGTAGTGCTGTTTCGAACATGCAAGTGCATGTGTATTTTTGGTAGAAAGATTTTTTTTCCTTTGGATATATACCCAGTAATGGGATTGCTGGGTTGAATGGTAATTCTATTTTAAGTTATTTGAGAAATCTCCAAACTGCTTTCCACACTGCTGAACTAATTTACATTCCCACCAATAGCATATAAGCATTCCCTTTTCTCTGCAGTCTCATTAGCATCTGTTTTTTAAAAAATATTTATTAATAGCCATTCTGACTGGGGTGAGATAGTATCTCATTGTGTTTTTGATTAGGATTTCTCTGATGATTAATGATGTTGAGCATTTTTCCATATGTTTGTTGAACACTTGTATGTCTTCTTTTGATGGGTGTCTGTTTATGTCCTTTGCCTATTTTTTAATGGGCTTATTTGGTTTTGCTTATTGAATTAAGCTCCTTATAGATTCTGGATACTATACCTTTAACAGGTGCATAGTTTTTGAATATTTTCTCCCATTCTGTAAGTTGTCTGTTTACTCTGTTGATGATTTCTTTTGCTGTGAAGAAACTCTTTAGTTTAATTAGGTCTTACTTGTCAATTTCTATTTTTGTTGCAATTGCTTTTGAGGACTTATTCATAAATTCTTTTCCAAGGCCAATGTCCAGAATGGTGTTTCCTAGGTTTTCTTCTAGAATTCTTATATTTTGAAGTCTTACATTTAAACCTTTAATCTGGGCAGGTGCGGTGGCTCATGCCTGTAATCCCAGCACATTGGGAGGCTGAAGCAGGAGGATTATTTGAGGTCAGGAGTTCTAGACCAGCCTGGCCACCATGGTGAAACCCTGTCTGTACAAAAAATACAAAAATTAACTGGGCATGGTGGTGGGTGCCTGTAATCCTAGCTACTTGGGAGGCTGAGGCAAGGGAATCACTTGAACCTAGAGAGGCAGAGGTTGCAGTGAGCTGAGATCATGTCGCTGCACTCCAGCCTGGGCCACAGAGGGAGACTCTGTCTTAAAATAAATAAATAAATAAGTCTTTAATCCATCTTGAGTTAATTTTTGTATGTGGTATAAGGTAGGGGTCCAGTTTCATTCTTCTGCATATTGGCTAGCCGGCTATCCCAGCACCATTTATTCAATAGGAAGTCCTTTCCTTAATCTTATTTTTGTTGGCCCTGTGGGAGATCAGATGACTGTAGGTGTGTGGCTTTATTGTTGGGTTCTCTATTCTGTTTCATTGGTCTATGTGCCTGTCTTTTTTTTTTTTTTTTTTTTTTTTTTTTTTTTTTTTTACCAGTACCATCTATTTTGGTGATGCCTTTATCTTTGTTCTTTTTGCTTATGATTGCTTTGGCTATTCAGGCTCTTTTGTGGTTCCACATGAAGTTTAAATTAGTTTGCTTAAATTAGTTTTTTTTTTCCCTCGTCTCTGCCAGCATTTGGTATCAGGATGATGCTGGCTTCATAGAATGAGTTATGGAGGAGTCCCTCCTCCACAGTTTCTTCAATAGTTTCAGTAGAAATGGTACCATCTCTTCTTTATACATCTGGTAGGATTCAGCTATGAATCTGCCTGGTCCTGTGTCTTTTTTTTTTTTTTTTTTTTTGGCAGACTTTTTATTACTGATTCAATTTTGTAACTTGTTATTATAGGTCTGTTTAGAGATTGAATTTATTCCTGGTTCAGTCTTGAGAGGTTGCATGTGTATAGGAATTTGTCCATTTCTTCCAGGTTGTCTAGCTTGCGTGCACAGAGTTGTTTGTAGCAGTCTCTTTAGTTTTTTTTACTATTATATTTCTTTGTGGTCAGGGGTAATGTCTCCTTTGTCATTTCTGATTGTGTTTATTTGGATCTTATCTTTTTTTCTTCATTCATCTAGATAATGGTCTGTCTGTCTTATTAATTTTTTCAAAAACCAACTCCTGGATTCACTGACCTTTTTTATGGTTTTTTTTTTTTGCATCTTAATTTCCATCAATTTAGAATTGATTTTGGTTATTTCCTGTCTTCTGCTAGCTTTGGGGTTAGTTTCCTCTTCTAGTTCCTCTAGTTGTAATGTTAGATTGTTAATTTAAGATGTTTCTGACTTTTTGATGTTGGTGTTTAGTACTATAAACTTTCCTCTTAACAGTGCCTTAGCTGTGTCCTAGGGAGTCTATGTTGTATCTTTGCTGTCATTAGTTTTAAAGAATTTTTTGAGTTCTGCTTTAATTTCATTATTTACCCAAAAGTCATTCAGTAGCAGGTTGTTTAATTTCTATGTAATTCTATGAGTGATTTTTTAAATTCAATTTCTATTTTTATTGTGCTATATTCCAAGAGTGTGGTTGATGTGATTTCAGTTTCTTTTAATTTGCTGAGCATTGTTTTATATCTGATTTTGTGGTCAATTTTAGAGTGTGTGCCATGTGCAGATGAGAACGATGTATATTCTGTTGTCTTTGGGTGCAGAGTTCAGTAGATATCTATCAGGTTCATTTGGTCAAGTGTCTAGTTCAGTCCTGAATATCTTTGATAGTTTTCTGCTTTGATGATCTGCCTAATATTGTCAGTGAGATGTTGAAGACTCCCACTATTGTTGTGTGGTTATCTAAGTCTCTTCATAGGTCTCTAAGAACTTGCTTTATGAATCTGGTTGCTCCTATGTTGGGTGCATATATATTTAGAATAGTCAGGTCTTCTTGTTGAATTGAACCCTTTACCATTATATAATGCCCTTCTTTGTCTCTTTTGATCTTTGTTGTTTTAAAGTCTGTTTTGTCTAAAATTGAAATAACAACCTCTGCTTTTTTCTGTTTTCCATTTGCTTGGTAGATTTTTCTCTATCCCTTTACTTTGAGCCTATGGGTGTCATTGCATATGAGATGGGTCTCTTTTATTTCTGAGATGAAATTTCGCTCTTGTCACCCAGGCTGGAGTGCAATGGCACCATCTCAGCTCAGTGCAACCTCTGCCTCCCAGGTTCAAGCAATTCTCCTGTCTCAGCCTCCCAAGCAGGTGGGATTTCAGGTGCCCACCCCCAGGCCTGGCTAATTTTTGTATTTTTTAGTAGAGATGGGTTTCACCACATTGGCCAGGCTGGTCCTGAACTCCTGACCTCAGGTAATCCACCCGCCTTAGCCTCCAAAAATGCTGGGATTACAGGTGTGAGCCACCGGACCCAGCCTTTGAGATGGGTCTGTTAAAGATAGCATACCGTTGGGTCTTGATTCTTTATCCAACTTGTCACTCTGTGCCTTTTAACTGGTGCACTTAGACCATTTACATTGAGGTTTAGTATTGATATGTGCAGATTTGTTTTTGTCATCATGTTGTTAGCTGGTTATTATGCAGACTTTTTTGTGTGGTTGCTTTATTGTGTCACTGGTGTACATACTTAAGTGTGTTTTTTTTTAGTACCAGTAACAGTCTCTCCTTCCATGTTCAGAGCCTCTTGTGAGGCAGGTCTGGTGGTAATGAAATCTCTTACCATTTGCTTGTCTTAGAAGGATCTTATTTCTTCTTCACTTATGAAGCCTAGTTTGACTAAATAGGAAATTCTTGGTTGGAAATTCTCCGTTGGAAATTCTTTTCTTTAAATTTGCTGAATATAGGCCCCCAATCTCTTCTGGTTTGTTGGGTTTCCGCTGAAATGTCCACTGTTAGCTTGATGGGGTTTCCTTCGTAGATGACCTATCCCTTCTCTCTAGTTTCCTTCAACATTTTTTCTTTCATTTCATCCTTGGAAAACCTGATGATTATGTGTCTTGGAGATGGTCTTCCTGTGCGGTATCTTGCAAAGATTCTCTGCATTTCCTCAATTTGAATGTTGGCCTCTCTATGGAGGTTGGGGATGTTTTCCAACATCCTAAAATATGTTTTCCAAGTTGCTTGTTTTCTCTCCCTTTCTTTGAGGGATGCCAATGAATCATAGATTTGGTCTCTTTACATAATCTCTATGTCTCAGAGCCATTGTTCATTCTTCTTTATTGTTTTCTCTTTATTTTTGTCTGATTGAGTGAGCTTGGAGAACCAGTAGTAACAAGTCCCTTTGTTCCTTCCCCAGCCCAAGGGCAGTTAAGACAGTACCACTGCAGCTGCTGTGGCAGAGGGGTTGTGAGTTGTCTCTGGAATTTCCTCCACAGATAACTGCAGAGCCACCTCTGACTGAAGTGTTCCAGTTGGGGCAGGGTAGTTGTGCTGTAGTCCCAGGTTGGAAAGTCTCACTTAGTGAAGAGAAGAAAGATGGGGGACTCGTGTGGAAAACAGTCCAGCCACTTTTCTGTCAGGTGGCTGTATTATGCTGGGGATCTGCACCAGTCCCTAATCACCACATGCTATCCAGAGCCTGAGGGCAACAGCAGCCAGGGCTATGGGGCAGCAAATATGGCGGCCCGCATCTCCCTCTGGAAGCTCCACCCCGGGGAAGTACAGAGTTGCTACTGGCCCAGGATCCCAGGTAGCGGGGTGGCTGGAACCCCAGGACAGTGGGTCTTATACTGTGAGAAGCAGTGGAAGCAAAGCCTGCAGTCCATTGTTGCTCAGGCCCTGAATTTGGCCCTTTTCCTGAGGGCATGTGAGGGAGACTGACCTCCTCTGTTGCTGGAGCTACAGCCACTAATGCCTGGATGCCTGGGAATCCAAGGCTGCTGGGACTCTGCATGTACCTGAGTGGTGGCTCTGCCCAGACTCCATATAGCTCTCCATGTCAGTCTGAAGGCCCCAGTGGAGTGGACTTATGGGGGGATCTCCTGAGCCCAGGTTTGCACAGGTCCATGGCAGAAGTATGGGTCCCCCGGAACTCCCACTCACTTATCATTTCTCTTTAGTAGTGGTGGGGGGACTCCTCTGACTCTGTGCTAGTCCCAGGTAGGCAGTTGTCCTGTCTCATTCCTCTCCGTTCTCTGTGAGTCGAGTTGATTTCTTGATGAATCCCAATGCTTCCACCTGGACTTTCCAGTCAAAGAGTCAGTCTTTACTCACCACTCCTTCTTCTCTCAGTAAGAGCAGCACACACTATCTGCTTCAAGTCAGCCATCTTGGCTCCAGAATACCATTTCCATTTTCTAACTCTAACTCTCATGGTAAATACATGAATTTTATATAATTTAATGCATTTTATTCAAATTTTAAATAATTCCTAACTAGAATAAAAACCAGTATTCAATTATTTTAATCCTCCTGTATTAGATCTCAGCTTTTGTATTGTTAACATCTTCTCAGACTGCCTGGTTTTCTCCCTGGTGAATTTCCTGATGCCACTGCCCAATGGCATGTCACTTGTTGATGCTGCTTTCTTGGGAGTTCACCCCTTGAAACTGAGGGTAACAAGTGCTGTTCTAAAGGTCATTTATTTTCCTGATGATTTGATAATGATAGGTTCAAATCGGGGATGGAGGCCAGCTGAGATCTAGTCTTCTTAATTTTGATAGTGAGCATTAAAGAACTATATACTAGTCATTGTTTTAGAAGCTGGATGTAAAACAATGAATAAAACAAAGTCCTTGTCCTCCAGAAGGTCAGAGTTTAATGTTCTATATGTGGATACCTGAATAAAGCTTCAGAATTCTTTGTGAAAAAGTGACCCATCAATTTTTCTGATATGATTCCATGAGTGTAAACTGGAGCTGATACCTCTAAATGAGGACAGGAAGGTCTCAGCATTGGTGTTCTCATAGGAAGGCGAGTTGGGGAATAGGCAGAGGGGCTATGGGAAGGAGGAAACTGGGGGAGTTGTTTTGATTTTGCATATGCATATTAACTTGACAAAATCTAAGAGGAATAGGGAAAACAGCTGGAGACCATATTCTGGGGCTGGGGTCAACACTGTTACTGGAAAGAAGCAGGGGAATTGGAGTAATATAATTAAGTATTAATAAAGTTAAGCCACCCTTTTGTTACTTAAAATTCTCCTTCACCACCTAAAGTGTTTTTTTTTTCTTTGCATCTACAAATTCTCATCATAGCCTCTAAAGGAAATCCTCATGGTATTTCCAATTCTCCATTACTAACCCTGTTTTCTACCCTCATTTAGCAACTATAGCTAGCAGTCGAGGCTCCCTCAACTTCTCTTTGTTTTTCCGGGCTTAGTTATTCTGGAGGCAAGGTTCCTGTGGAGATATGTTTTGCTAGCATTTAAGAAATGATGTTTAGTGTAGCTTATGGCAGTATCCATTTCTTTCCTTTGCTTTTCCTATGTCAGAAAATATGTACAATCTTTTTCCTGAATTTGGCTTGTGATTTATGGAGACATTTTTAAGCAAAGCCATTACCATATTTTCCTCTTTGTTGCCATTCTGTTTCAGTTTTTAAATTGTTAATTACCAGGAAAAATGAATTGCTCATATGTATATATGTATATATTTAGAGGCCATTATTCAACAGTAAGAATTATATGTATATATAATCCATTCATAAGTATATATTTATATATAATTCACATATAATGTATATGAATTCATGTATTCTACATATAAATTATGATTCATATAGAATATAGTGATATATTTTTATAACAATATATAATTCTTTCATCATTATATATTATATTGTGAATTATATATACATATATATAATTCATACCATTGAATAATGACCTCCAAAAGATATCCATGTCCTAATCTTCAGAACCTATGAATATACCACCTTATATGGCAAAAGTGACTGAGGATGTGATTAGGTTAAAAATCTTGAGATGGGGAGACTATCTTGGATTATCTAGGTGGGTCTAATCTAATTACATGGGTCCTTATAAGAAGGAAGCAGGAGGATCAGAGTTAGCGAAAGAAGACGTAAAGATAATGCAAAAGTCAGAGAGAAAAAAAGATGCTGCTGGCTTTGCCCATGGAGAAAGGGTTATGAGCCAAAGAATGCAAGCAGTCTCCAGAAACTGGAAAAGGTAAGGAAGAGATTCTCCCCTAGAACCTCCCAGAAAAAATGTAGTCCTGCTGACATCTTAATTTTATCCCAGTGAAACTGATTTCAGACTTCTGACCTCCAGAAATAAAAGATAATAAATTCATGTTGCCTTAGGCCACTAGGTTTGTGATAATTTATTACAACAGTGATGGAAACCTAACAGAGACACATTAACAGAATGAGAGATTTGGGGGCATTTGCAGATGGTTTAAGTAATGCAATGTCTATTTGTTCTCCTGGTAGAGCAACGAATCACTGTTTTGAGCCCATTATCATTATCCCAAAACACAGTAGTGTCTAGGTTTTTAATCTTTTCTATCTTTCTACTTTTTCTTAATTTCATATCAATTGTCTAATGGGGCAAGGGAAGTAAAGGCCAGAAAACAGTTCTTAAAGGAGTTGTAATTTTAGCCAAGTTTAAAGGACTGAATAGCAGCTTACAAGTGAGAAAAAGGAGAAAGAAGATTTTCCAAACAGAATAGTCTGTACAAAGATGTGGAGTCAACATGAACGTGACCTATTCAGGGACTTAGAAGCAGCTGGTATGCCTGGAGTGTAGGCTTATCCCAGGTGTCTGGGAGCAAGGCTGGAAGTGTCGGTGCAGGGAAATTCTCGAAGGGTACTGTCTGTCCTGGCTGAAGGGGATGTAAGGAGGAAGAGGATCAGATTTTCCCTCTAGATCTAACCACGGTGTTGTTGTGGAGGATGAATTGGAGGGAGGCTAGACAGATGGCATGGGCTTGGATAAGGAGTCTATTTCAATAGTCGAGATGGGAAATCATAAGCTGAACTCAAACAATGGCAGTGAGCTTGAAAAGGATGGGACAGACTTTAGAGATGTGCAGAAGGTAGCATCAGCAGGCATCAGAAACTTACAGCCCATTACAAGAGACAAAGGAGTATAATAGGACTTTTAGATTTTTGATATGAGCTAAGATAAGGAGTGTGGGAGAAGAGCAGTTTCTTTGGAAATAAAATGAGTTCAGTTTTAAAAATGAGAGTCTGAGATGCTTTTGTAGAAGACAGGAATAAACATGAGATTGTAGCTCAGGAGAGAAGTCTACACTGAAAGATGAAGATATGGAAATTAGGTTGCAGCGCAAGATTGTACCTGAATGAAATAACCCTTGGAAGGAGGGAATGATAGACGCTTGGATCATCAATATTTAGGAAATAAGTGGGTGTGAGAATGAGGCTCACTCACAGAGGAGGCTAATCCAGGCATACTCTGTTCTTGTGGGGCTTGTAATATTAAAAAGCAATTAACATTCATGAGTTAGGGTTCATCCGAAAGCATCTTGTTCTTGAAACACATGTATTATTACAAAATAAATTGGTATTCATGAATTAGGATGCATTTGACTACACCTTGCTCTTGGAACATGTACTATGTATCAAAGTAGTCAGCATTGATACATTGTTTCAGTATACCTCGTTTTTAAATATGTGAACTATGTATTACATAAACCCACATTGTACAGCAAAGAAAGCAATAATAAAAAAGTAAGCTACCATGAAAAAATTCTAAATTAAAAAAAGCACTCTGTAATTTGGTTGAAAGTTGCAGATCTGTTTAGAAGATTAGGGGAGAGCGGGCAGATGAATTTCTGCAGAGTACCAAAACATACCCATGTAAAGTGAAGCAGCTGGTACTGTGTGATAGACTGTATGTAGAAAGGGCCAAATGCAGTGGCTCACGCCTGTAATCTCAGCACTTTGGGAGGCTGAGGTGGGTGGATCATCTGAGGTCAGAAGTTCAAGACCAGCATGGTCAACATGGTGAAATCCCGTTTCTACTAAATATACAAAAATTAGCTGGGCGTGGTGGCAGGCGCCTGTAATCCCAGCTACTTGGGAGGCTGAAGCAGGAGAATCTCTTGAACCCAGGAGGCAGAGGTTGCAGTGAGCCAAGATTGCGCCATTGCACTCCAGCATGGGCAACAAGAGCAAAACACAAAACTTCGTCTCAAAAAAAAAAAAAAAAAAGTCCAAGATTCCACCTTTAGCCATATTTTCTAACCATCTCTAAGCCTCTGCTTTTTTCCCACAAGGTGGTTGTTCATTCACGTATTAAAAAGTAGATTAAAGTGGGAAAAAAACCATTGCTCATCCTCCTACAATATGATTAAACTAGATAATATATGTTGAAATGCTTCATTATTTGCTATACCAAATTTAGTCTACTTTTAGTCTGGAAAAAAGTTTAACACATATTAATTTACCCATATTAATTTGAGCTTTACTGACCAGTGGGATGATGCTTATAGAATCCAGTGTAAAAAAACATGCTAACAAAGCATGAAGGAAAAAACTATAAAACGAAGGCATTTGAAGGCTTTTTATTTTTCAGATTAAGTCACATTCTTTATGGTCACTAAAGTACAACAATTATAAACATAAGCATTGTTTTTTAAACCAATGGTCTTAACATTTTTGTTCCAGTTTTTAACTGTCTTTCTACACTTAGGAAGTATATCAATTTCTGATTGATGCTATAACAAATTATCACAAATTTAGTGACTTAGACAATACAAATGTATTCTCTTGTTCTGGAGGTCAGTAGTCTCACTAGGCTAAAACCAAGGTGTCAGCAAGGCTGTGTTCAAGCTGTAGGGAATAATTTGATCCTTTCCTTTTCTATTTTCTAGAGGCTGCCTGCATTCCCCGACTCATGGTCCTCTGCCTCCTGAAAGGCAGCAATGGCCTCCCCGGACCTCTGCTTCTTTTGCCACATCTCCTTTGACTCTCTTGCCTCCCTCTTTCCCATTTAAGAACCCCTGTGATTACACTGGGCCCACCTTGGTCATACAGGATAATGTCACCATCTCAAGATCCTGATCTTAATCACGTCTTCAAAGTCACTCTTTTTTTTCCCATGGGTGGTAACATAATCACAGGTTCTGAGCATTAGTTGTTTAAACAGTTGTGAGTAATTATATTGTTCGTAGTAATGTTGTTCTTATCATTCTGAGGTGCTCATGCATGTATTGTGGGATAAGGCAGCCACCATTCTACTTGAGTTACTGAGAGAGATGTGGAGAGACTTTTTTTTTTTACTGTGTGTAATAAAGTTTTGCTGTGTGTAATAAATGTCCAGTTTATCATTATGAGACATTAGTAAATATCTAAATCTCTTTATGATGTTTTTAGTATATTTTACCAATGTTTCTTCTTAATGCTACAGCTGTGCAGGCTGCTCAATTCCCATCCCTCACCCTACTCAGTTTTCACACTCTCATTCCATGGTGGTTTTGATTTTAACTGGGGGACAGGAAGAACACCCCTTTCTTGAATAATAGGCTGAGTCTTTGGAGGATTTCACATAGTCAGTCGGGGGAGAAGGCATTTGGGGCAGAGAATTCTTCTGGCATCCTCGAAATCACAACAGTGTGGAAGTCACCTCTTCTACATAGGGACAGGATCACCTCAAAAGCCAGGCAAAGTTACCATGTCAGCCAGCATGCCGTTGAGTTTGTTACTTAGATATCCACATAGCTTTAGCTTAATAGAATATAGTGACTGCTTTGTGCTAAATATTAAAAGTTTAGAATAATTAAATCATTAAAACTTCTGAAATATATTGCACTTTTTTCTTTAGTTGTTTCTTCAAAAGAATAATTTGTGAATGAATTGAAAAGAAAAGAAAAGCATTTTTATTTGTTTCTAGTAAATTAAAACCTAAAACATTTAAATGTGTGTTTCTCAACTTCTATGCTGTAAAATGAACTTTCGTTTCTGAGTGAGAACTTTATAGAATCTCCCGAAAGGAAGGTTAAGGTTAAAAATAAAATCAGTGAAAAAGCAAAACTTTATGTGTAAATTTATTTTTATTTATTTTATTATTATTATTATTATTGATAACAGGGTCTCACTGTGTCGCCCAGGCTGGAGTGCACTGGCACTACCTCAGCTCACTGCAACCTCTGCCTCCCAAGTTCAAGCCGTTCTCCTGCCTCAGCCTCCCAAGTAGCTGGAATTACACGTGTCCAGCACCACACCCAGATAATTTTTTGTAGTTTTAGTAGAGACAGGGTTTCACCATGGGTAAATTTCTACAAGAAGAATTCAGCTTAATGAAAACAATTTAAGTATACTCTGTGTTGCAGCATCATTTTTAAGGCTTAAACAGGATTTTTTTAAAATAAGATTTTCTTGTGCATTCATAACATTATGAATATATATAATTATACCCATTTTAAAAATAATAAATCTACTTGTAAAGTCTATCTAAACATTTCCTTATGGCAGTTATAGTAGTACTAAATAATATTGGACATATGCTATTGACTTTAAAAGATATAACGATCAGGATGAGTAGAAACTATTCCATGCTTTTCCCCCTCAGTGTTCTTTCATTTATTTCCATTTACCGTAAGGAGTATATCGAAAGTATGCCAAGCCAGCAGCCAGAAATGCCAGGCTCACTGGGGCCATCTTTATCCAAGAGAGCTGTTAGGATGGGTGGCTGTCCTCACTAGTAATGCGAGTCCTCAGGGGCTTGATGATCCTCTCTCTCTGGGTCAGGTTAGCTCTCCGGGCCCCATCCCATTTCTCGGGCCCATGGAGGTGGTACTGGTATGGGGTGCAGGGGCCAAAGAAAACCTCCATGGCCAGCTTTGGATCTGAGAGAAAGAGGAAGAGCAGGTTGGGTTTCACCCCTGCTGGCATGGCAATCTCATCCATGTACTCAATGTGATCCACTTGGATTGTGTGGCGGGGTGTCTTTACATATCTGAAACAAAAGGGAAGAATGTAGAAGACTCACAGTCCCTGGACAGAGATTTATATCATCCAAGAATCACAAAAAGTTTAAACTCCTTCTACTCACTTTAGAGGTGAAGAAACTGAGAACCAGAAAGCTGAATTGACAAACCCAGCATCACTCAATCATTGAATGGCAGGGCAGACTCACAATCCAAGTTTCCATGCTCACTGTCCCTTCATGGTGACTGAACTGATGATGTTTGAAGGGATCCCTATCCTTTAAGATGTCCATTTTTTAAAATGAAGAATTGTCATCCAGTAAAATACTTCTGTGTATACTATGTTGGCAGGATGGAAAATTTTTAACTTTTACCCTCCGTGTGTCTTTGTAGTTAACCAGGGGATAGATGATCAGCAGTCATTGATAACCTGGCTCCAGGAGTTTGATGACCACAATGGGAATAAGAATGTGGGGAACGTAGTCTCCTTTGCAGAGCAAGGTGACTCTGCAGCACTGCTGAGAATGGCAGCTTCTTGGGTAGCTCTCCCTTGCCCCAGATGCTTCAACTCTGAGCATACATTGCATGATGCAATGGGGCTGCGTAACCTTAGAGGCCCCATTTGCATTGTAGATATTGTAGATTTGATGTTTATAATGAGAATTTGACTTCCAGCATTTGGAAGTAAAGTGTCCTGAGGAAGGGCTGCCCTTTTTCTAATTTGCAAAAACTTATTTTATGAGATAGCAGCAGCCCTGTGCACACCTGCTGTACAACACAGGGCAAGGGTAGCATGTCTTTCTGATGCAGGAATGCACAAAGTGTCATCTTAGAGATGTGTGGGAGCTGGCACCTCTACTGCATGTATTGAACTTTTGTTCATGTTGTAGGACCTTCCCCATAACATGGAGTTTGTAGCCCTCACAATTTTTCAGGTACTGTTACATAAGAAGAAGCAGCAGTGTTGCCATTTAAATTGCTCTCCATTTACATTGTACATAATCCTATTGGAAATGCTTAGCAATATGACTAATACAATAGGCACAAAATACATTTTAATGAATTCACTTCTTCTTCCAAGTATTGATGAGTGCAACACTTGAAGGCCTTTTCAACGAATGGTTTTCTCTGTGTTGCAAAGTTTGTAAAACTGTAAAGTGTCTGTGTGTGGGGGCAGTTAATGGGAATGAATTTCATATCTTTGTATGGACACACACACACATAAAGTCTTTAGAATGCTGAAATAATGTGGCAAGGTTATTTATTAAGATATGAATTTGTATCTTTTCTATCTATATTCCTTTCTTCTGCTCTCTGCAAAAGTGGCCAAGCCTTTCCTGTTGCCTTGTTTCAGAGATATTTTTTGTTACATGACCAAAGAAGTACCTTATTTGCAAGACAACTCCCCTTCTAGTTTGTTATTTCTTAAATTCTGGGCTCATGGAAAAGAATAATATAAATGTATTTTAAGTTAACAAGAGAGGAAAGGGAGAGATTTCACACAGCAGGAAATTGAAAACTGGTCTGAAAAAGTCTAGGAATCTAGGGCAAGATGTCAGAGAGAGTAGCTGTGTGGGTTCCTAGGGAGGCTGAGCTCCAAGCCCATCTTAGCTGGAGCCCCCATTCTCAGTAAGGATTCCTGCACTCTACTTGTGATAGGGAAGCCAAAAGCCTCCAGACATGAAGGGTATACTTTAAACTTAGGCAACAAGGATGTCAGTAAAGAACACGATGTGGTGAAAATCAGAAACTATTCTCACATTTTGGGAAATCACATAAGCTTCTTGAGTTCCTGGGAAGAAATATTCATAATGAGATCCTGGGAGAAATATTCATAATGACTGAAATTGATATAGAGGGCTTAAATTCAAATTTAGTATGACTTAAAGAGAATAAATATATGACTATTTGTTGCAAAACTGAGTTAGGGAACTAAGATTCATACTTGTTTTGGTGTTGTATAACAATATAGTGTAGGAAATGGAGAAAAATGCCTGCATAATTCAATGAGATGAAGCATATATTTAGAATTTAAGATTTAAAATTTTGTGATCCCTATGAAGGTCTCCAACTAGTTGCTACTAATTATTAATTTACCGTTTTTCCATAGCCCTTTTCCTCTGGGCAATATCTGCCATCATGTTCTCCGCTGAGGGTAATTTGATCAGCCCTAGAAGAGAAAATTCAGAGTTTGTCAGGATTCCTAGGAATAAGAGGGGTGCATTTTGCTGAAAAGAGAGAACTAGTGTTAAGAAAAAACAGAGTATTAACTTTAGGTGAAATATTAGGCCTTTATCCAACATTTATTCACATACCTTTGAACACTCGTGTAGCCCAACGAGATTGGAGCTCTGCAATAGGTAAGATGATGCCCAGTGGTTGGATAAGACCGATGACAGCCAAGGTTGGCTTCTCCAGGTCAGGAGGGAACATAAGCTTATACAGAGATACTTCATTGTTAGTAACCTTGATCAGACCATCAAGGAAAGAAAAAGAAAAACTGTATCCTGTAGCAAAGATGACAACATCAATATTCTCCTCTACAGTGCTGTCTTCAAAAATGGCATCTGTTTCTGTGAACTCCTTCACGCTGGGCTTTACTTGGACTTTTCCAGAAATTATGTGATTTGGCAGGTCATCACTGACAGTTGGATGCTGACTTAAAGCCCTGTATGTAAAAATAAAAGTCCTGAGTAAGCAAATATACAAAAAGAAAATAATGCATATGAGAAGGGATTGAAGCCAACAACTTCTATTTTTCCTCTGACTCTGTACCTATCCTACTTTTTGCCTCTAATGGCAGAAGTGGGTAATTTTACACCTAAGTGCTTTAGTGGCTACCTCAGCTCTACATTTTTTCTAGTCTTACATTGTCTTGAAAACTTGTGTATATTTTGATTCTGTGCCATAATGCTTATTTGTTTTAGTGCTAAAATATTTTAAACTACTTAGAATTGAGGGAAAAATGATATATGACTATGGATCCCAGTTTGAAAAGATGTCATAAATTATTATTAGCCTTCTCTCCACCTTATTTTCTACCAAATTCTTATCATTTGTAGGCAAAATCAGTACTCAAGTTAGATATATAATAAATATGTCTGTAGCAGAATTAGCTATAAAGTTGCCTGATATAAGTACCCATTCAAATATTTGCTAAATGGCAAATTGTTGTCTTAAAGAACTGTACCTCCAAGCATTGAAACAACATTCCAAAGAGGGACAATGAGAAAGAGGAGAGGCAAAGATTTATGTTGAAAACATTTGCCTTCTCAGAAACGCCATGCAGTGGATTTTCACTCACTCTTATTAGAGAAAACGGTGTCACATTACTGCCTTGTCCAGACAGTCTTCTGTTTTAAGAAAGGAGGAGCTACTCAGTAACAACCAGTGGGAGGATCTGTTATAGGTACGTAAGACCTAGACTGAAAATGAGGTAGAGGGAAAGAAGTGAACAGAGATATAGGTCTAGACAAGCCAAGCATATATAGAAACGTGTGGAGCTAAGTTTGATTTAAGAAACTTTAAGGGAAGGAGTAGAGAGTAAAAATGCAAGGCCACTGTTTTCTACTTAATCTGAGGGTAATGTGAGCATTACTAGACATACGTAAATAAAATTCGACCCTTATAGTTACCAGGTTGAAAATAAATTCTTGATTGATTAAAGACGTAAGTATCAAAATTTTTAAAAAGTGAGAATCTTGCCGGTAAATTTTGGAGACTATTTTTACAATCTTGGGGCTGGGTAGACCTTCTTCATCTAGTTTAAAAACTCAGAAGTTATGACAGAAGAGATGGAAATATATCAGTATTGAAAGTTAAGATTTCTCTGTATTTAAAAAGCTAAATCAATGGGAAAATGATATGATCAGAAAAAAATGTAACAGATGATTCTAAAAAGTATTGATTTCTGTAATATGCAAAGTATTCTTACAAACACAAAAACTCAAAATTAAAAGGAATCTCTGACTCTTGGTTTTTTATTCCACCAGGTAGATTAATTTTCTAAATTGTAGCTCTAGTCAAGTCACTCATTGTTCTCTTTTCTTTCTTCTTCACTCCTTGAGTTTGTTGAGGCAATTTAACACATTTATTAGAATTTTCCTTATGCTATACATCCTTTGTTTAAAGTCTTTTTTTAGCACTTACATTACACAATCCCAGATGGAATATATCTATCATCTATCTATCTATCTATCTATCTATCTATCTATCTATCTATCTATCTATCATCTATCTATCTAATCTATCTATCTATCTCTATCATCTATCTATCTATCATCTATCTTTTGTATTTTTTAGCGGTGGCTTGGGAGTTTCTGCAGGGGAGGGTTTCAAATTGTTCTGAGATGAAACTGACTAGGATTCTGAAGAAAGAAGCACTAAATGCCAGAGTGATCATTGCAAAGTGTTTACTAGGGGAACTTATGTACAGAGGAGGCTGCTGTGTATCCTGGTGATGGACAATAAGACAAGGGATGTTCTGCTTAGGTATATCCACAGTGAGAGGGTCAGGTTATGATATTTATCTGAGAGCTTAAGGAATCTGGCTTAGGTCCAGGGTTAGTATCCTTTGGTGTTTGGGGCAATAACCTAAATACCTTTATCAGTGGCTGAAAATGTTCAAGGCCCAGGCCTGGGTTTAGGCCTGCAAGGGAAAACATGCAGCTGGCTGATATCTCTTGATCAGGAAAGAGAAAAAAGTAGGGGCAATGGAGGAATCCTACATGATGGTACATGTATGTGAACGGGTATATTTGTGTGCATGTGTGTCCACAATCCATCCTGGAATTCAGTGGTCTCTTTTCAATCTGAAAAAAATTATTCTATTATTTATTTAAGCACCAAGTCTTCTCCACCTATTCCAATTTCTCTTAATCTATCCAGTAACCATTTTTCCCTCAATTTATCTACTCCTGTCTTTAGTTGCCAAATGATATTCTTAAGCTCTGAATAATATTTCATGTTTCACTTGAATTCCCCTTAAGATCTCTTCCTATTCCAATGCAAGTTGACTTCTTTTTCCTCCTCAATTTGCCTAGCTAGGCATGTGCTCTGATGTTCTGAATCATTTCTCTGGATACCGATTCATTTACATGGGATGGTACATTTTTGATAGCTCATTGGGGCTGATGTCTGGTTATCAGAATGCTCCTTGTGGTCGCTGTTCTACAGGCGGTAAAAGGTGAAGAGGACTACTTCTTTCTGTCCAAGATATAGAAACCAGTAATGCATTCTCTTGCTGATGTACATAGAGAAGGCCTTCCTGTCTCCTCATTTTTAGTCCTTTCCTGGCCTCAGGAAGGACTCAGCCTACTCCTTCATATTTTTCTTAACCTGTGCAGTGCTAGTGCCAGGCATTCTTCATGAAGGGCTGACTTTGACATTTACCAAAGTCCACACCAAGTTCTTTCCAAGATCTGCCACTCTCCCATTCTCATCTTGGAGGTTCCTGAAGCTGTTCTCCAGACACTTGTCTGACCCATTTAGGTGCAATGATATATATTATATACGTCATAATATAAGTGATTTATATTAGCGAGTGTATGAGATTACTTGACCGAAATACATGTTAATTGCCAGAAGCTGAACTGTCTTTAGGGTAACTTCCCTTTTACACATACACATAATTGCATAAAGTAAGGCCCCTTGGTGATCATCTGTGCTGAGGCTGCAGGCCACAGTGCGCATGATTAAATCTTGAGTTCATTATTTTCTCTAGCTGGTTATTTATTTGTGGTGTAGTTAGTATTTTCTGGAGAAAACTATTGAACCGAGTGAAAAATGAACTATCCATGGGATACCCATTATCCCAAACACGGTGTAAAATCCATGATCCACGTCTAGTACTAAGGAATATATGAGGGAGGCAGAGATAGAGCAAACCAGTGAAGGAGAGAGAAAGAGAACATTTTACAAGATATTATTTTATTCATATGCTACCCATTATGCAGATTTAACAGTGTTGGCTACTAAGGATTAGGTGGTAAAATACTACACAGTGGTCGCCATGCTGTGCTTGACCAGAGCTGCCCACTGATTTCCAGATAAAGGCTGCATCTATGACAACAAATTTCTGAATGAAAAATAGAAAATTGTATTCACTAGTTTACATGTTTCTGATTTACTATTTAAAAATGCTTCCCTGGACATTGACATAGCTATGCTTCATATATAAATAAGGATTTAAATTTAGAAGCGAATTATCATCATATTAACTACTACAGACTTCCACTCTATTGTATGCATCAAACCAAAGATACAAACATTAGAAACTTTAATACATCAGATTGTTCAGGATTAGTGTCCTGCTTAACTGAACGTAACCAGAATCCCTCTTCAAATCTTTCTGTAATATATTTGTAAACTTGTCTGCATGCTGATCCAATTAGGAAATATATTAATTTGTTTGATTGTAGGTACTTTTGCAGTCTTGGGGACGTTGAATCTCAGTTCCTACTGGTCAAATCTGTAAAGTACAAGATAGATTAGATGGGTGCTAGTGACCAAACATTTACCTTTTTAAATGCTTATTAATTTTTTAAAAAATAAACTAAACTTCAGTAATTCACTTAGTAATTTCTTCTAAAAACTAACAATAAATGATGACAAATAAAGACAAATAAGTAACGATAATCAGGATATCTGAACATCCTCATAGGTAGGGCGCTTTATTAATTAAGGCTTTATTAAATGTGGCCAGCAATCCTGAATGTGAAAGTATCTCATTTTTTTAATAAACTCTGAGTATTATTAATTTTTTAAGAGAAGAAAGAATATTGAATAATCAAGCATAAATGGAAGTCTTAGATAACTTGGTTTTGCAGGAAATAAACTATGTCTAAAGCAAAATTTAGTATTTTATCTTCCCTCATCATTGTAGATACAACATAATACTTTAGCTCAAGAGAATTACATATTTATCATCATCATTAATTCTCCTCTGTTTTCTGTTCTTTAATTCTACCACCAAAACCCGCTGATCCCAGATGGATTTGCAATTTCTCATCTTTACCACTATTTGAATTCTATTTCAGGACTAAGGCACTGCTATGGCAGTAAAAAAAAGTCAGATTAATTATCTAACATTTTCTTTAATCTATGCTAATATTTTACTGAACTGGCTCAATTAATAGTAATTTGTTTACATGTATTTTTCCACTGTGAATATGAAGGATTTATTTTGCATTTATCCTCTGCTCCCCATGAATTTAAACACCTTGAGGCCAGGGTCCATAGATTTCACTTTCTTTTCTGGTCCTTCACAGACTAAACCTACATTCTGGATGGCACCTATAAATGCGGAGATTTCCACTAGTGAAAGTTGTGTTTCCATTAGTGAAGTTGTTCAAAACAAACAAACCTGTTTTGCTACACGACTGAGCTCCACCGCAATATCCACTCCAGAATTTCCAATGCCGATCACTATGATTCTTTTCCCTGAAAAGTCCTCGGGACTTTTGTATTCCCGACTATGGAAATAACAGCCTTCAAATTTCTCAATGCCTGTGGTGGAAGAACATTTCTTATTATTAGGAGTATTTTTCACATTGCTAACTCAACACATAGAAAGTTATATTCTGGTTCATCTGGAAGAGCAAGACTTTGAGTCTGGGTTAGCTATATGGAACATTACCCTATGTCCTAAAAATGTAATTTTATATTTCACAGAGCTCAGGAAAGCAGGGAGTAAACTCAGACTTAGTACCAATAGATGCTAAATATAGACTAGTGACCATATAAAGTATTTAGTAAATAGTAGATCTATCTGTCTTGGACCTATTCCAAATTGAAAGTTTCACAACAATTTCACTATGATCTAATTTATTCATGATTACATTGTCCTCTGCAGTCTTAGGCAAAATGATGAAGCTGGAAACTGGTTGTTGTTTGGTTTTGTTTCATTATTCTATGAGGAAGTATAGGGCCTTTCTTCATCAACTTGACATCTCCTCTGACTTCCAAGTGCCTAATACCCTCATGTTGTCCCTGGCTCTGCTGAGAGCTTCAGAACAGCCCTAATCTGTGTCTGGCATTCTCGGACATTGTCTCACTCTAGGCGTGTTTGTATCTCTGTCCCCTGAAACCTATTAAAATATATATGTCCCACAAGTGTCTCTGTAGGGTATGTCTCTCAGCCAGGAAGCAAGTCAAAAAGAAGCTGATACATATACTACAGTTATTAATATAACCTATATATTTTGTTATAATTATATAATAATTTCCAGAATATATTGCATTTTAACATTTAGAAAATCAGGTATTTTTATTTTGTAAATGTTTGTGTTGGTGTGCAGACACAGAAAGGTCAGGTATTTGTCATACATGACTGAGCTAGTCAGTTGGACAACCAAAATTCAAGTTTAAGTCCCTTGATTTTCATCTAGGACTCTTCTGTTTTCAGTTTGCCTCAACCTCCAAAGAATTTCTTATGATGGCTTGTTAGACATCATGGAAAGGCACTGAGATATCAAGTATTTCTTGATTGACTTCTGATAGCAATTGATGTAAAGGGAGGGGAAAGGGATCAGAAGTAAAGGGAGAGGCTTTAGTTAGAGGGGATAGGGAAGCTTTTTTGTTTTGTTTTGTTTTGTTTTGTTTTTTCAAGTAATAATCTCATTTGAGATGGGCACCATTTTATCAAACAGAATTCAAAGGAAACAGTAAGTTGCCAGTGTGTTTTTATCAACCACTGCAAACCAGTGATGAATGTTATTTAAAATTTTGTCTCATACTCTAAAATTTCTAAGTTTGTGGATTTGCCAGCTTTTTGCTTGATTTGCTTACCATTTGTCCCTTATTTTTAGTAATTTCACTTTCTCTGAAAGGAAGTGAGATAAGATGAATGGACACAAAACTAAAACCAGTTGAAAGTGGGCCAGGGCTAATTGTTATCATTAATTAGAATCTATTTAAAACTATAGAAAGTAATAAACAAATGTTATGTGTTTGCCTATTTTTGTTGTTTAGTTTTGTCCTGTTAACAGAAATATTGGGCATTTAGTTGTTTGTTATTCAATGTGACCAGAGACTAGTAATAAAGTTCATGCTCAATCATTTTGCTCTGTGGGTTATCTGGAAAGTACTTTTCTACCAAACAGATTCTTAGCGACATACCTGGGAAGGACTGAAGTGGTAAGTAGGGATCTGTGTGGTGTCCACTGCAAACTAAGACCCCATCAAAGACCAAAGTCTCTTGTTTCTCTTCAGTCTCCACAACAACATCCCATTGTCCATTGATAGAAAAATCTGGGTGCTTCCTCACACTTTGCACTTCAGTCTGAGAACAAGATGATACACTATCACAGTCCTCAGGTTTAATCCCTCCTCCCCAAAACCCCATAAGTCTGAGTAATATAACTTATCTGAGACTCTTCTATCTTCATCAGAGGCATTTGCTCTCTCTTTAGTTCCCACTCCCATAGTGACTGCCTTTGCCGTGTGTGCATTTTCAAGATATTGTGGGTATTTTATTTAAAAATCCAATTTTCCATAGAAATAGAAATAGTTGATACTTAATGGGGAAAAAACAGAGGAGTGACTGAAGCTGCAAGAAAAATATCTTTCCAGGATGACTTCCACATGAAAGAGACTAATATTCCTTATATTTTTCATATTTTAGCACAAACTTCTCCAGTTTCCCTGCACTTGGCTTTTGAGTTTCAGACAGGAATTAATATCCCACCATGACTATAGAGATAGATTTTTAAGTGTGAGTAGGGGGTCACAGTGGTAGATTATGGGAACTACATGGATCTGAAAAAAGTCTTCCTTGTGTTGTTTATATGACCTTCATTCTTATTCTACTTACACACAATATAATATGGCTCAATTACTACTGCCACTATTGTAAGTCCTTCAACAGTTGAATTTAAGGCTGACAGAAAGGACCCTTACAATGCCACACCAAAGTCTTGTTAGAATAGGTTCTGTTGGGCAAAATTCTTCAACCTTATATTCAAGTGAAATATTCAAAACATTACTTCTTTATAAGTGGTGATTTTCTAGGGTGGAAGCTCACTGATGATCTCTTCCTCTGATCATACCTGAAGATGCCAAATATAGCTCATGTGTGTACAACTGAGTGTGTCTGCACACATACATGCATGTGTGCTCACATGCACACACACATTTACTATGCAATGATTCATTTAGATTTTACCTTAAAACGAATGTAATTCAGGAGGCCAAAGTGTGTGGCATACATCCCGAAGTAGTCCATGAGTTTGGAGTTGTGCATGTAGTTGGGAAAATGATCAGGGACAGGGAAGTCACTGAAGCACATCATCTCCTTGGAAGTATTGATGGTCACAGATTTGTAGATACTAGGCATTTTCTCTGAAGTATTTTTCTATAGAAGAAAGCTTCTCTTAATAAAATAAGCTTTACAATAACAAGGGAATCTAAATAAAATATTTTAGAGAAGAAAAGTAATCGGGTATAATAAATAACATTGCCTTTTACTTTTCCATGAATATTTTCTCTCTTCTGTCCATATCTACTAGAGAAAAAAGCTACTCTGAATCAACAATAGGCTTATGCTTGATTGCTCAATGGAAATGATAGAAGTCAGAAAAACTGGAATGTTATCTTTAAAATGCTGAAATAAACTTCAATACCCAGTGAAAATATCCATCAAAATTGAAAGTGAAATAAACCTGCATTCAGACAAACAAAAACTGAGAGAATTTCTTGCCAGCAATCCCACACTATGAGAAACATGCAAGGAAGTTCCTCAGGCTAAATGGGAATGAA
This sequence comes from Homo sapiens, assembly GCF_000001405.40. Taxonomy (NCBI): domain Eukaryota; kingdom Metazoa; phylum Chordata; class Mammalia; order Primates; family Hominidae; genus Homo; species Homo sapiens. Next base: position 166,620,394 of record NC_000001.11, on the reverse strand, counting down.
CAAAGATGGAACCATGCAAATACAGGAAGAAATGAAAACACTAGGAATCATAAATATGTGGATAAACATAAAAATATTGACTAAAACATTAGTAACAGTAATATCTTGTGGGGTTTATAAAATATTCAAGTAAAATACATAATAACACAAAGGTCAGAAAATGAGGCTAAACTGTTATAAGAGCTTTGCCTTCTTCAGGTAGAAAGTAATAAGTCAAGGATATGCATTAAAATTAAAAAGGATAATTCAAAAATGGATATCTAAATAATTAATGTACAAAAAAATGAGTAAAACCAAAAGAAAGAAGGAAATGAAGAGTAAAGAAAGAAAGATATAAAACAAATCAAAAGCATACCAGATAGTAAATTAAAACCCAATATATTAATGCTTGATTATATGTAAGCACTCCAATTAAAACAAAAAATAAAATACCAGACAAAAGCCTCTTTATTTTATTTACAAAAAACTAAAGGCAACTGGAGTGGCTACATTAGACAAATTAGATATCGTGGAAATATTAGAGATAAAGAGAAAGAAATAATAACAATATAAAGGTCAATTCTACAGGAAGATATTAAAATCTTAAATTCAAATGCACCTAGTAACATAATTTCAAAATATGTAAGGTAAAAATTAACAGAATCAAAAGGAGAAACTAATATACAAAGTTTTTCTAGGAGAAACTCATAAACTCATATTCATAGCTGGAGAATTAAACTCATCTCACTAACTAATAGAACAATAGAACAAAATTTGGTAAAGGCATAGAATATTGAAGAACATAATTAAACAACTTAATTGATATATATGGACAAATAAACGCTACAAATTTACACATTCTTTTGAGGTACCTATAACATATTTTCCAATATAGGCCTGTGTTGGGACACTTAAAAAGTCTAAATAAATTTTAAAAGATTAAAGTCAGAGTATGAGGCCAGGTGCGGTGGCTCATGCCTGTAATCCCAGCACTTTGGGAGGCCGAGGCAGGTGGATCACTTGAGATGAGGAGTTGGAGACCAGCCTGGCCAACACGGTGAAGCCCCGTCTCTACTAAAAATACAAAAATTAGCTGGGTATGGTGGCGCACGCCTTTAGTCCCAGCTACTCGGAAGGCTGAGGCAGGAAAGTTGCTTGAACCCAGGAGGCAGAGGTTGCAGTGAGCTGAGATTGTGCCATTGCACTCCAGCCTAGGTGACAGAGTGAGACTCTGTCTCAAAACAATAAAAAATAAAAGTAAAATAAAATAAAGTCACAGTATGTTCTTCAATAACAGTGGAATTAAATTAGAAATTAATGAGAAAAAAATAACCAGAAACTCTCCAATTGTTTAGAAATTAACACATCTAAATAACCTTGGGGTCAGAGACTATATTACAAGGACATGAGAAAATGTTTTGAACTGAAAAATAATGAAAAGATAATGCATCAAACTTGTGGATGAAACAAAACAGTGATTAGAGAAAAATGTATAGATTAAATGCATATGTTAGATAAGAAGAAAAAGCTGTAAATGAAATAGCTAAGCTCCAAATCAAGAAGCTAGATAGGAGCTCCCAGAGAGCTGAACCCATGGAAGCTGACAGGAAGGTGAATCAGTAAAGATAAATTTTGACGTTTTTTGTCGACGATAATTGGTGCCCTACACAGGTGTCTCAGAGAAGACTCAGAACTCCCGAAGGAGTTGCCTGAACCCAGATCTAAGGTACCAGCAGGGGCCCATTGAAAGATCCCCCGACTTCACGCTTCCCCTCTGGTGGAGCTGCAAGAATTATCAGTGGAATTTAAGATAGTCAACTAGACACAGCCAGGAAACACATCTCCCTCCAAGAGACTAGGACATGGGAGGACTGGCACACTCAGAGCAGATCTTCAGAAGGAAGAAATGAGAGTGGATGGAGGGAGGACGCAGGTGCTGGCCTGAAGAGGGAGGAAGCTGAGAAGCCTGCATGAGGCAGCTGAGCACCAGGACTCATTCCTAACCCCCAGCAACTCCTGGGAAAGGGGTGAGTTGAACAGGTGACCTGCTCTTACTGTAGACTTCTGTAATCCTAGCAGCAAGAGACCCCATACCTCCCATGGACACTTGAGCTGACAGGAAAAGCTGCTTACAGAGGTGGTGGGGCAGGACTCAAGCAAATTCAGAGCCCAGAGGGTTAGGCATAGTGGAGCATGGCTGGAGCACCCATCTCCCAAGGCTCACTGTGTTCTTCTAGGAGACTTTAGCTTTAGTGTGACATTGGACTTGGACAGAGCAGGGTGGTCTTGCCTGTAGGATCAGGACAGTCTGATCTGAGTACCCCATCTGCTGGCCTCACCTGGGGTCCCAGCCTGGCTGCACCCGCTGGCAGTGCAACCATGGATGCCCAGCTAGGGTGCTTCCCAGGTCTTTCATCATAGCTCCTTCTTGGGCTGCCTGCATCCAACTATAGGAGAACTCCAGCAGAGAGCCACCCTTCCCCCACCAACACACAAGTAAAAGTAATAATCTGTATACCAAATCCCTGTGACATGCAATTTACCTATATAACAAGCATGCACATGTACTGCTGAACCTAAAATAATTTTTTTAAAAAACAACCTAGATATACAATAAAATAAACATAAAAATGAAGAAAAAGAAAATAATAAAAATATAAGCTGAAATCATTGAAATATAAATTAAATGAGCAGTACATGGCATGATATTGTTTGTTATTTTAGAGGATTAAGAAAATTAATAAATCCCTAGCAAGATTAACTACCCCCAAAAAGAGAAAACATAAATTGTCAATATTAGGAATAAAAATAAAATAACACTATAGAATCTAAACATAATAAAAAATATTTTAAGAGGTTATTATGAATAATATCCCTCAAACTGTTGACTTAGAAAAAAGGACAAATTCCTTGAAAAACAATACTTACCAATCTGACATGAAAAGAAAAAGAAAATCTGAAATCCTTGTATCTGTTGAATTTGTCATTAAAAAGCTTCTTACAAAGAAAACTGGCTCAGATAGCTTCAGTATTGAATTCTTCCAAACATTTAAAGAAAATAAAATAATGCCAATAGTACAGAAATTATTTAAGAAAATAGAAAAAGCAGAAACATTTCTCAACTCATTTCATAATCTTGAGTTAGAATGACCTTGATATCAAACCTGACATAGGCATTATAAGAGGGGAAAATTATAATACAAGGTCTCATAAACATTGATGAAAATTATATTTTAGCAAGTTAGAAATATCAGAAAAAAATTAATCTAGCAATGTAATCTAGCAATGACTAAAAATATTTTCAAATGATCAAGTAGGTTTTTCTGAAGACAAAAATTTATTTTATCATGTGAATATTAATCTATAAAATGTGTTGCACTAACATAACAATGCTAATTATTGAGATGTTGATCTCAGGTGATGTAGAAAAATCATTTTATAAATGTTAACATATGTTTGTGACTTTAAAAAACTCTCCATAAACTATTTATAGATGGAAATTTTCTTAATCTACAAAAATCTTAGCTAACATCATGCTTACTGGTAAAATACTGAGCAGTTTTTCTTTTAGGCGAGGTTGGGAAGAGTAAAAAGATATCTTCTATTAGCACTTTTATGTAACATTATTCTTAAGGACCCAGCTAATGCAATAAAGAGCAAAAAGAAACAAAAGTCATAAATATTGGAAAGTGAGAAGTAAATCTGTTATTAAGCATAGAAGTCATGATTATGTACATAGCAAATCCAAAATAATCTACATTCAAAGCATTACAAAATTTAGCAATGTTGCTGGTTACAAGGCTCACATAAAAATTAATGGTTTGATATACTAGCAACAAATTGAAAAGTGAAATTTCATAACAGCTGTTATTTACAATAACATAAAAAACATCAAATACTTAAGAATAATCTAACAAAAGATATGCGAGGCTTCTACATGATTGCTGAGAGAAGTGAAAAAGTCATAAATAAATAGAGAGAGATACTATTACATAAATGAGATGACTCAGCATTATTACAAATTTAATCCTTTCCAACTACATCCATAAAGCCAATGCAATCCCAAATAATATTCCAGCAGATATTTTTGTGAAATTGACAGCTATTTCTAAAACTTATATTAAAATGTAGAGATCCTTGAAAATTAAAGAAAATACTTATGAAGAAAAACAAAAATACCAAACTTTACTATAAAGATACAGCAATGATGCATGGATAGAAACATGGACCAGTGAAACAGACTAAGAAACAAACTCACACATAAACAGCCACCAAATTTCCAAAAATGAATGAATAAATAAAAGGCACTATTGTAACTCAATGGGGGAAATAATGGTCTTTTCAATAAATGGTGCTATATCCACTGGATATCCGTATGTGGGAAAAATGAACGGGATCCTTATATCTCACCATACACAAAAAGTAATTCAAAATGGATCATAAATCCAAACATTAAAGGTACAGCAATAACAGTTCTGAAGGAAATACAAGAAACCATCTTCAGGACTTTGGGATAAATAAAAGTTTCTTATCTATAATACAAATAATTACAAACCATTAAAAAACTGGATAAAGTGGGCTTCATTAAAATCTTGAGCCTCTGTCAAAAGTTATACTATCTTTATGACAATAAAAACACATAACACATACTAGGAGATATTCACAACAAATGCATGCAACAAAAGACTCATATACAAAATATAAAAAACAATTCTTACCAAAGAAAAAAGATAGACGAATTAGATTGACAATGGACAGAAGACTTGAACAAATTTTTAACAAATGAGAATATCTATGCCAATAAGCATATTACAAGATGTTCAGCATCTGTACGCATGAGGGAAATACAAAGCAAAACTACAATCAATACCACTCCATATCTACCAGAATGGTCAAAATAAAAAGACTAACAATACTAAGCATTTGGAAGGATGTGGAGCTCTCATACGTTATTGGTGGAAATGTAAATTGATACATTCATTTTAGAACACTGCTTGGCAATATCTACTGATGCTTAAACTTTGAGCCAGTATTTTACTCCTAGGAATATTCCCAAAAGAAATAAATTCGTATCCACCAAAAGGCATGTGCAAGAATTTTCACAATTGCCAAATAGTAAAAACAACCCAAATTTCTACCAAAAAAGAAAGAGTAAATACATTGTGGTATATTCAAACAATGGAATACTATGCAACAATTAAAGTTTTTAGATGAATTAAAGCTATTCTCATATAATGAATACATTTGACATACACAAATGATGGGTGAAAGAAACCAGACACAAAATTTTATCAACAGGAGACTAAGTGAATAAATTGCAGTGTTTTCATATACTGGAATACTACACATTAATGGTAAATAGAAAAATAAACTACTGCTACATACACGATTTGAATAAATCTCAACCACATACATTAAAAGTCAAAAAAATACAAAAAATAGTATAAATGCATTATTTCAAAGACAATCAGGAGTAATTAATGGTGATAGACATCAAAATAGTGGTTATTCTGGGAATGGCTAAGTATTGACTAGGAAGAAACACACGGAACTATTTTAAGATTCTGGATATAGTCTATATCTTACTTAAGCAGTAGTTGTATAGATATATAAATATGTAAGAATTATCAAGCTGTACACATAAGATCAGCTTACTTTATGTATTTTAATGCATACATTACACCTCAGCACAATTTTTAAAATAAGAAAGATAGAAGGTTTTACATTGAACAATAAAGTAAAATCAGATTTTATGCAGGCAAACCTAAAATAAAATGAAGTAAAATTGAAAATTAAGTGATGGAAAAATATGCTTATCAAGTTATAACAAAAATATCTACTTTAGTAATATTTTAATTTTACTTTTAATTTTAAATTCATGCATACCTGTGATTAATAGCACACAATATAATTAAAGGTAAAAGGAACAAAAAGATATTTCATATGGATAAAAGGAACTATCCACTAAGAAGATATAATAGACACAAACCTTTTTTAAATATATGATAAACATTCAAAAAGAAATAGAAAAAAGTCAACATATAAGAAATTATAAAATATTTTTTAAAAATCCATGTATCTAGAAACCTGGTACAGTTTGCTGTGATCTCCCATTGGAATATTATTGAGTAGCTTTCAAACTGGACAATTTTCTTTAGCGTTTCTTTGTTTTATTCTCAACAGAGCAATCAGGGTTGTCTTTTATAATTAAAACACAAGCTGTAGAACATTGCTCCTTTATTTAAAACCATCTCATGGTTTTAATCTATATGGAAGTCAAAGTCCTTATCATGGCCTCTAAATGCCAATATGATCTGGACTCCCATTCCCCTTCTGACCACCTCCTAGACTTCTTCCTCTGGGCCACTACGGTCTAGACCCACTGGCTCCCTGACTTTTCTCTAACATACAAGGCATGCTCCCACCTCACAGCTCTGCACTTGAAGATTCCTCTGAATCCCCTTCCCCAGATCTCTTCTCAGCTTTCTTTCTTACTTTACAATTCTTTGTCAAAAATCATTTTGAGGCTTTTCATGACCACTTATTTAATTTATATTCGTGAAACTCTCATTTCCTGGTTTATTTTTCTCTATTATACTTACCAGCACTAACCATGCTACTTTTTAATTTAATTATCCTTTCCCATTAGAATGTAAACCTTTTAAGGGCAAGGATTTTTGTATTCATATTTACTAATATATTTCCTGGCACCTAGAAAAGTTTCTGACACATAGTAGGGCCCAAAAAATATTTGTTGAATGAATGCACTCTTAAAGAAGAAACAAAATGGGTATTATAGGACTTTTAGAACTGAAGGTCAATTAAAGCCACACACAAGAAAATCCAAAGGTTATGGAGGAATGGAGGAATATTTGAATGACCCTAACATCAGGTTGGAGGGTCTATCTGAATGCTGCTTGGGCACTGATTTGCTCTAGTGGCACCTGAGGAAAGTCCCTGTGGGGCAGCAATGTTGATAACTTTGCCTCAAGCCCACTCTCCACATTCTGGATGGAGAGTGTTCTGGCTCTTGAAACATGGCCTGGGTGGGCACAAGAGCCAGGAGCAAGAGAACGAAATCTGCTCATTCATGCACACCCCGTGAGAAAGCCAGCCATGACTGGTGAGCAGAGTGGCTCTCTGGTATTATCAGAACTGGAAAATACTGACCAGAAGTGCTGGACTTCAAGGGCACTTCCAAAGATGGCAGAATGAAGCACCAAAAGAAGATGAGACCACCCAGGAACTTAAGCCTATTCAACGTTTGGCACCAAGTTTGAATTCCTCATGGCAATAAATCTCCTGCTGCCAAGAACTGAGAGAAATAAAAAGTCATTGCCCTCTGATTGACAAGATAAGATACCATGCAGTGGCCAGTCAGTCAGCAGGTGTGACCACAGAAGAGAAGATGAGATTACATGGGAGAAGCCCAGCAATAGATCATCCTACCCTACCCTATACCCATGCTAAGTCAGGGGAAAAAATAGTGTGACATCTCTAACTTTGAGCACAATATCATCTGATCAGTTGAAAGAATCCTCAACCACTATATCTTTCTAATATTTTTGATGACCACATGGAATCTCAGCTACCCTGAAGAGAATCTGATAAATTTCATGGCTTAATCTGAAATTGACATATATTCATATAATTCCTCAGTTAATCCATAATATAAGCAAGAATATTAGAGTCATTACATAATTCCTAATATGTGATGTGCTGTATGTTTCCTCTGAGGAAACCAGCATCAAATTGTTCTAGCTATTTTTTTTTAAAGTTACATGCCTAAAACCAAATGAAATCTAAACTTACTTGAAATTTCCAGAGATGTCCAATATCATCATTTCTTTCAAAGCAGGTGGGCTCCAGATCTTCATCCAGGCAGCACTTGATGGCCCCCAGTCCGCTAATTCCAGCTCCAATCACAGCAATCGCTTTTTGGCCATTGTGTCTCAGCTGGTTAGTAGAAATTTAGAGCTCTGTCACTGTCATCCATCCCATTTAAAAAAAATTACTTGTCACAAGGACCTTCAGTCTGTTGCCCTAAATTTTCACTATTCTTATTAACAATGAGAACACCAGTATGTTGATTACCAATCAGGGACTATGATAGGTATAGGGACACAAAAGTATACAGAAATAAATATTCCTTCCTCCCACCAAATTTCTCGGTATAGTCAGAGAGAGAAATGCAAACATATAATTTTCAGGCTATGTGATAAATGTAATAGTACCATCATACCCTGTGTGCTATGAGCAGGCAGCACAAGGAAGGAATATCTGACCTGCTGCGGAAGTGACACAGTACAAAAACCTAAGGATGAATGACTAGGAATCAGCTAGGTAAGAGGCCAGGAAGGGAGGTGTGTGTGTGTGTGTGTGTGTGTGTGTGTGTGTGTGTGTGTGTGTGTATGCTCGCACATGTGCATGTGTGTGTGCATGTGTGTGGATCGTGTGACATTCCAGGTAGCAGAGACAACATGAGTGAAGCCAGAAGTGATAAATGCAGAAGAATATGGAGAAACATAAGAAGTTCAGTGAGATAAGGACATCCATTAGATGTACGAAGGTTGTGTCCATTTGTGATCCTTGCTAGAGAAGTTTCAGTGTGCTGGGTGTGGTGGCTCATGCCTGTAATTTCAATACTTTTGGAGGCCCATGTGAGAGGATCACTTGAGGCCAGGAGTTCAAGACCAGCTTGAGCAACATAGAGAGACCCCATCTCTCAAAAACATTTTTAAATTGAGCTGGGCATGGTGGTGCACATCTGTAGTCCTAGCTGCTTGGGAGGTTGAAGTGGTGGGATAGCTTGAGCCTAGGAGTTTGAGGCTACATTGAGCCATGATTGTACCACTGCACTCCAGCCTGGGCGACAGAATGAGACCCTGTCTCTAAAAAGAAGGAGAGAGAGAGAAAGAGAGAGAGAGAAGTTTCAGTGGAGTAGGAGGGTAGAAGCCGTCTTACAATAGTTTGAGAAGAAAATAAGACCAGATTAAGTAGACACACTGACCAGTAATTACACTGTAGAAAAGCCTATGAAAGCAAAGTAAATCCAACATATTGATTTTTTTCTCTCTTATTTAATGATCTGATAAAAGCTGACTGAAATAACAGAAATTTCTTTAAAACTATATATTCAAAATTATTATAAAAATACCAAAACTTAGTATCTCTAAGCCATAGATTGTACATTCATTCATTTACTCCTTATTTATTTGTTCAACAAACACTTATTGACTCCTAACAGTGGACCAGGTACTGTGCTTGTTGCTGAGGCCACAGAGAAGAATATGACACGGTTCTAGACCTCAAGGCCTCAACCTAAAGGGAGAAGAGGGTGGTGCAGATAAAGTTAAAGACACTACATTGCAACTGCTGAGTTTAAGATACATGCTGTAGGGAAAAGAAACAGAGATCAGACTATTACCGTGTCTGAGTAGAAAAGGAAGACATAAGATACTCCATTTTGATCTGTACCCTGAACAATTGTTTTGCCCTGAGATGCTGTTAATCTGTAACTTTGCCCCAACCTTGAGCTCACAGAAACATGTGTTTATGGAATCAAGGCTTAAGAGATCTAGGGCTGTGCAGGATGTGCCTTGTTAACCATATGTTTACAGGCAGTATGCTTGGTAAAAGTCATCGCCATTCTCCATTCTCGATAAACCAGGGGCACAATGCACTGCGGAAAGCCACAGGGACCTCTGCCCCGGAAAGCCGGGTACTGTCCAAGGTTTCTCCCTGCTGAGATAGCCTGAGATATGGCCTCGTGGGATGGGAAAGACCTGACCACCCCCAGCTCGACACCTATGAAGGGTTTGTGCTGAGGAGGATTAGTAAAAGAGGAAGGCCTCTTGCAGTTGAGATAAGAGGAAGGCCTCTGTCTCCTGCCTGCCCCGGGAATGGAACGTCTTGGTATAAAACCCGATTGTACATTTGTTCAATTCTGAGATAGGAGAATCCCTGTGGAGGGAGGTGAGACATGCTGGCAGCAATGCTGCTCTATTACTCTTTACTCCACTGAGATGTTTGGGTGTGGAGAAGCATAAATCTGGCCTATGTGCACATCCAGGCATAGTACTTTCCCTTGAGCTTATTTGTGACACAGATTCCTTTGCTCACATGTTTTCTTGCTGACCTTCTCCCCACTGTCACCCTGTTCTCCTGCCACATTCCTCTTGCTGAGATAGTGAAAATAGTAATCAGTAAATACTGAGGGAACTCAGAGACCGGTGCCAGTGCAGGTCCTCCGTATGCTGAGTGCCAGTCCCCTAGGCCCACTTTTCTTTCTCTATACTTTGTCTCCGTATCTTATTTATTTTCTCAGTCTCTTGTCCCGCGTGACGAGAAATACCCACAGGTGTGGACGGGCTGGCCCCCTTCACCCGCCGCCCAACATGGGTGCCTTTCTCCAAGGTGAAGTTACGCTAAGAACGTGAGCATTGAGGACAGTGGATGAGAGATTCCCGGGTATGTCCACTGTCAGCACAAGTAAATAGAATAGATCACTTAGTCCCACTCCAACTTTTGATTTTTGCTACTGCACATTTGCCAACAGGCATTATTGTTCCAATGGATTTTGTGGAGTGGTCATTCCTTCTTCATAGTACAATTAAGACTTTTACATTGTACTTAGATCAAATGGCTACATTAACTGGTCAGACAAGATTACGAATAATAAAATTGTGTGGAAGTGACCCAGATAAAATCATTGTTCCTTTAAACAAGGAACAGGTTAGACAAGCCTTTATCAATTCTGGTGCATGGAAGATTGATCTTGCTGATTTTGTGAGAATTATTGACAGTCATTACCCAAAAACAAAAATCTTCCAGTTTTAAAAATTGACTACTTGGATTTTACCTAAAAATGCCAGACATAAACCTTTAGAAAATGCTCTGACGGTATTTACTGATGGTTCCAGCAATGAAAAAGCAACTTACACCAGGCCAAAAGAACGAGTCCTTGAAACTCAATGTCACTCGGCTCAAAGAGCAGAGTTGTTGTTGTCAATTCAGTGTTACAAAATTTTAATCAGCCTATTAACATTGTATCAGATTCTGCATATGTAGTACAGGCTACAAAGGATGTTGAGACAGCCCTAATCAAATATGGTGTAGATGATCTGTTAAACCAGCTGTTTAACTTGTTACAACAAACTGTAAGAAAAAGAAATTTCCCATTTTATATTACTCATATTCGACCACATACTAATTTACCAGGGCCTTTAACTAAAACAAATGAACAAGCTGACTTGCTAGTATCATCTGCATTCCTGGAGGCACAGGAACTTCATGCCTTGACTCATGTAAATGCAACATGATTAAAAATAAATTTGATATCACATGGAAACAGGCAAAAAATATTGTACAACACTGCACCCAGTGTCAAGTTCTACACCTGCCCACTCAGGAGGCAGGAGTTAATCCCAGAGGTCTGTGTCCTAATGCATTATAGCAAATGGAATCACACATGTACCTTCATTTGGAAAATTGTCATTTGTCCATGTGACAGTTGATACTTATTCACATTTTTTATGGGCCACCTGCCAGACAGGAGAAAGTACTTCCCATGTTAAAAGACATTTATTATCTTGTTTTGCTGTCATGGGAATTCCAGAAAAAATTAAAACGGATAATGGGCCAGGATACTGTAGTAGAACATTTCAAAAATTCTTAAATCAGTGGAAAATTACACATACAACAGGAATCCCCTATAATTCTCAAGGACAGGCCATAATTGAAAGAACTAGTAGAACACTCAAAGCTCAATTGGTTAACCAAAAAAGGAAAAAGACAGTGAGGACTACAACCCTTCCCAGATGCAACTTAATCTAGCACTCTATACTTTAAATTTTTTAAACATTTATAGAAATCAGACCACTACTTCCGCAGAACAACATTTTACTGGTAAAAAGAACAGCCCACATGAAGGAAAACTGATTTGGTGGAAAGACAACAAAAATAAGACTTGGGAAATAGGAAAGATGATAACATGGGGGAGAGGCTTTGCTTGTGTTTCACCAGGAGAAAATCAGCTTCCTGTTTGGATACCCACTAGACATTTAAAGTTCTACAATGAACCCATCAGAGATGCAAAGAAAAGTGCCTCCGCAGAGACAGAAAACCTGCAATCGAGCATCATCGACTCGCCAGGTGAACAAAATGGTGATATCAGAAGAACAGATGAAGTTGCCATCCACAAAGGAAGCGGAGCTGCCGACCTGGGCCCAACTAAAGAAGCTGACACAGTTAGCTGAAAAAAGCCTGAAGAAAACAAGGGTAACACAAACTCCAGAGAATATGCTGCTTGCAGTTTTGATGATTGTATCTACCGTGGTAAGTCTCCCCATGTCTGCAGGAGCAGCTGCAGCTAATTATACTTACTGGGCCTATGTGCCTTTCCTGCTCTTAATTTGGGCAGTCATATGGATGGATAATCATTGAAGTATATGTTAATAATACTGCATGGGTACCAGGCCCCACAGATGATTGCTGCCCTGCCCAACCTGAAGAAGAAGGAATGATGATAAATATTTCCATTGGGTATAATTATCCTCCTATTTGCCTAGGGAAGGCACCAGGTTGTTTAATGCCTACAACCCAAAATTGGTTGGTAGAAGTACCTACTGTCAGTGCACCAGTAGATTTACTTATCACATGGTAAGTGGAATGTCACTCAGGCCACAGATAAATAATTTACAAGACTCTTCTTATCAAAGATCGTTAAAATGAGCTTTGGGCCAAAGGGAAGCCATGCCCCAAGGAAATTCCCAAAGAATCAAAAGACCCAGAAGTCTTAGTTCGGGAAGAATGTGTGGCTGATACTGCGGTCGTATTACAAAACAATGAATTTGGAACTATTATAGACTGGGCCCCTCGAGGCCAATTATATTATGATTGTACAGGCCAGACCTACTCATATTCACAGGCCCCATCCGTCTGGCCCATTAATCCTGCCTTTGATAGTGATTTAACTAAAAGGCTGGACCAGGTTTATAGAAGGTTAGAATCACCCTATCCATGGAAATGGGGTGAAAAGGGAATTTCACCATCTTGACCAAAGTTAGTTAGTCCTGTTACTGGTCCTGAACATCCGGAATTATGGAAGCTTACTGTGGCCTCGCACCATATTAGAATTTGGTCTGGAAATCAACTATAGGAACAAAGAATCATAAGCCATATTATACTATCAACCTAGATTCCAATCTGACAATTCCTTTGCAAAGTTGTGTAGAACCCCCTTATATGCTAGTTGTAGGAAACATAGATTAAACCAGATTACCAAACTATAACCTGTGAAAATTGTAGATTGTTTACTTGCATTAATTCGACTTTTAATTGGCAGCACCATATTCTGCTAGTGAGGGCAAGAGAGGGTGTGTGGATCCCTGTGTCCATGGACTGACCGTGGGAGGCTTCGCCATCTGTCCATATGTTAACAGAAGTATTAAAAGGAATTCTAACTAGATCCAAAAGATTCATTTTTACTGTGATTGCAGTGAATATGGGTCTTATTGCAGTCACAGCTACTCAGAATTGTGGAACTCTGAGACCCAAATAGATCAAAAATTGGCAAACCAAATTAATGATCTTATACAAACTGTCATTTGGATAGGAGATAGGCTCATGAGCTTGGAATATCTTTTTCAGTTACAGTGTCACTGGAATACATCAGATTTTTGTATTACACCCCAAGCCTATAATGAGTCTGAGCATCACTGGGACATGATTAGATGCCATCTACAAGGAAGAGAAGGTAATCTTACTTTAGATATTTCAAAATTAAAAGAACAAATTTTTGAGGCATCGAAAGCCCATTTAAATTTGGTGCCAGGAACTGAGGCAATCGTAAAGGCTACTGATGGCCTTACAAATCTTAACCCCATCACTTGGGTTAAAACTATCAAAAGTTCCACTATTGTACATTGTGTATTAATCCTTGTATGCCTGTTCTGTCTGTTGTTAGTCTACAGGTGTATCCAACAGCTCTGAAGAGACAGAGACCAAAGAGAATGGGCCATGATGACTATGGCAGTTCTGTCAAAAAGAAAAGGGGGATATGTAGGGGAAAGAAAGAGAGATCAGACTGTTACTGTGTCTATGTAGAAAAGGAAGACATAAGAAACTCCATTTTGATCTGTACCCTGAACAATTGTTTTGCCCTGAGATGCTGTTAATCTGTAACTTTGCCCCAACCTTGAGCTCACAGAAACATGTGTTTATGGAATCAAGGTTTAAGGGATCTAGGGCTGTGCAGGATGTGCCTTGTTAACCATATGTTACAGGCAGTATGCTTGGTAAAAGTCATCGCCATTCTCCATTCTCGATAAACCAGGGGCACAATGCACTGTGGAAAGCCACAGGGACCTCTGCCCTGGAAAGCCAGGTATTGTCCAAGGTTTCTTCTCCCTGAGATAGCCTGAGATATTGTGGGATGGGAAAGACCTGATCATCCCCCAGCCTGACACCTATGAAGGGTCTGTGCTGAGGAGGATTAGTAAAAGAGGAAGGTCTCTTGCAGTTGAGATAAGAGGAAGGCCTCTGTCTCCTGCCTGCCCCGGGAACAGAATGTCTCGGTATAAAACCTGATTGTACATTTGTCCAATTCTGAGACAGGAGAAAAACCGCCCTGTGGAGGGAGGCGAGACATGCCGGCAGCAATGCTGCTCTGTTACTCTTTACTCCACTGAGATGTTTGAGTGGAGAGAAGCATAAATCTGGCCTATGTGCACATCCAGGCATAGTACCTTCCCTTAAACTTATTTGTGACACAGATTCCTTTGCTCACATGTTTTCTTGCTGACCTTCTCCCCACTGTTACCCTGTTCGCCTGCTGCATTCCTCTTGCCGAGATAGTGAGAATAGTAATCAGTAAATACTGAGGGAACTCAGAGACCGGTGCCAGTGCGGGTCCTCCGTATGCTGAGCGCCAGTCCCCTGGGCCCACTTTTCTTTCTCTATACTTTGTCTCTGTGTCTTATTTCTTTTGTCAGTCTCTCGTCCCATCTGATGAGAAATACCCACAGGTGTGGAGGGGCTGGCCCCCTTCAACATGCGAACAGTGCTTCAATCTTGCTGAATCATTTGTAGTGACTTTGTAAACTCATGCCGTTTCTTCATGAAAATGTCATTTGTTGAAAATGCTGTTTACACTGCAGAAGTGACCTCCCCTTTCTCTTGGTTATTTCCTATGTAAAACCTTCCCCAAACTTCTCAGGCATCATTAAGCCCAACCATCTTGGTGACCATACAGTGTTTTGCATACATCTCTATCATTGCATTTCCCATATCATTTTATTAGTTATTATCCTGTCTTATCTTGATTGAATAATAAGCACCTAGAGATTTGAGACTTATAGCTAATAAATATCTACAGAATAAAATTTGAGTGAATGAATTAATTTCTAAACTTCCCTACTTTTCTTTTACTTGCTAACATAGTCGGGCAATCAGAATACTACATCATGTAATTATAATTAGATAAAATATGTTAATGCCTATCCCCACGTTTCCCACCACAAAACAATATATAGTATAAGGCAAAGATGAGAGACCAACCTTTGGAAAGAAGGAAATCCAAATTTAATTTCAGCTTCTTAATGAAAGTAGATATATTGGCTCCTTCTCTCTTCTTGAAAACAGTCATTCCACAGCAACTTGAAGATATGTATAGGTTATCAGATTAGTTAATGTATAATCCCTTCCCATGAGTCTTACAATTTGGATTTAAAAAATTGCCATGAGCCTTTTAGGGATGGGCTGGGACCATGTCTAATGTGATGGTATTTATAATTTACCTACTAATATTGGTCTGCAATACATTTTAATGCTAATTGACATATTTTAAAGACCACTCAAATGAAATCATTTTCATTGGCTGGGAAAAGTATAACAAATATGTTGGGAAATAAACAATCTCATTAATTCACTAGTCAGAAGTCAAAACCTTTGTATCTTTTTAGATAATTTAATATTAAGAAAAATTATAGTGTAGACAATGAAAATGTCCATTTAAGGCATATAACTTTTATGAGAAAACAAAATAAGATAAAAATTACAGAAGAAATATATCAGATTGTTACTAATTATTAAACTCATGTGAGAGAACTATGAGTGATGGTGTTTTTAATCTATATACCTTTCTATACAAAATACATAAACATAAAACAAGTAAAAATGGTCGTTATTAAATACCTAGATTTTGGGCTCTCACTTACAACCTAGGAAGAATTTTAGACCCACATCTTTGAGTTGAAAGGGAAATTTAAAAGTCATCTAGTCCATTTTTTTAACAAGCTTAGGAATCCTCTTTACAGTACAGCTCACTTCGTTTATCAAGTCTCAACCACACACCATGATGAGGCTGCTGCTGTTTCATAGACAGTATATTCATTTTCAAAAAGCTCTGATTATTAGAAAGTTCTTTCTTACCTTACATTAACACCTGCTTCTCTTATATACAATAGTCCTTGTTCTGTGCTTCTATTCTGTTTTCCGTATGATGACTTTGAGACAACTGTCACCTTATCTAGCCTTCTCTTTCACCAAAGAAATTTCCTCATTTCACTTAACTGGTTTTTTGTTTGTTGTTGTTGTTTTTGTTTTTTTGAGACAGAGTCTCACTCTGCCACCCAGGCTGGAATGCAGTGATGTGATCTCGGCTCACTGCAACTTCCGCCTCCTGGGTTCAAGTGATTCTCCTGCCTCAGTCTCCCAAGTAGCTGGGTTTACAGGCGTGCACCACCACACCCGGCTAATTTTTGTATTTTTAGGAGAGACAGGGTATCACCATGTTGGCCAGGCTGGTCTGGTGCTCCTGACCTCAAGTGATCCGCCCACCTTGGCCTCCCAAAGAACTGGAATTACAGGTGTGAGTCACTGTGCCCTGCCTAACTGTTCTCTTAATACAAGTTGTGACATGGTACCTATTCTGGGCGCTAAATAAATATTTGTTGAATTGCCCTTGGAAGTGAGCTCCTGTCATAGTCACAATCTCCACCCACCATTCAGAGAAGGGAAATAAAGGGCAGGGGTCACTAGGGTCATCTTAGAATTCTGCCTATCACTATAACCTTCTCTTCCTTCCCGCTAATCTTCACTTGCTCTATATAGAGGCATTTTGTAACAGCACCACATAATAGGATATCCTTTTATCAGTCAACACTCTATGACATACAACAGCAGAATGAAAATTTTGTAATGGGAAAAAAATCTCAACATATGATTAACTGATAAAATCAGAAATGTAAAAGCAAACAGAAAAAAATTCAAATGAACAGAAGCTCTTTGAACATACATTCTAATTTAACCAAGTAATGTAAAACTTAGCATTCCATTGCTGCAAGTGTCGGACTTTGTGCTTTCTTTTTTTTTTGTATTTCTTTTTTTATTAATTTGTTTATTTTATTTATTTATTTTTTAAATTATACTTTTTTATTTTTTATTTATTTATTTTTATTATACTTTAAGGTTTAAGGTACATGTGCACAACGTGCAGGTTTGTTACATATGTATACATGTGCCATGTTGGTGTGCTGCACCCATTAACTCGTCATTTAACATTAGGTATATCTCCTAATGCTATCCCTCCCCCCTCCCCACTCCTCCCACCCCACAACAGGCCCGGGTGTGTGATGTTCCCTTCCTGTGTCCATGTGTTCTCATTGTTCAATTCCCACCTATGAGTGAGAACATTCTTTCTTATACTATATTTCTGTTCTATGCTTCAGAATTTGTAGGAGATGAAGGACATCACTGGTTTATTCAATTCACAGACATTTTCAAATGACAGTTTCCTGTACATCTAAAATGTTACATTTTCTTCTCGGTGTTGTTTTTCTCCTTCCAAAAAGATCCATGGAGCAAACTCTCTCTTCATGCCTTTGAGCCATATCTACACCTAAAGTATAAATCACAGAAAAGCATGGAATCTTACACCTATGGGCTTCTCCCCGGCCCCCCGTCCTATTGAAAGCAAACATCATCTCTCATACCTGCTTTTCTCGTGCTGATGCCTCACGCTACTCTTTTGGATGTAGGTATGGAAAAAGAAAGCGATAACCATGCAGTTACTACTGATAAACATTTTTTTTTCTGAAAGCATTTACAAAAACTCTTGTTTCTGAAATATAAAATGCAATAAAACTAACTTTAAGTTAGAAGAGAAGTTAAATTTGATTTTAAAGTTCTTGGTTTGGCAAAGAAATGTATTTCTATAGTCTGAAATGCTAAGAGTAAAGGCACTGTCTACTCTGCTCTCAGCTGAATTAAGTTTATCTTTTTGTGATGGTTCATAGACAAACAGGACTCCTTGTTTATCTTTCCCCTCTGCTTGGTATTAGCAAGTCTGACACAGTCGTGGAAATTTGCATGCTGTCAATATTTTCTAAAAGCAGTATCACGGTTGACTTCACAGGGCAGAATTGGGCTAAAGTTTTGTATGAGGGAAAATAAACTACGAATTAAGAACTTAATCTCACAGGAAACATTCAAAGAAATAGTGACTTAGTGCAGATTTGAGAACTGTTGCCACATCTGCTGTGCTATCCTGATTCCTTCTCTCTGGCCCCGGTTCACCTTTACCACCACCACCACCGCTTGTGCCTCCCCCACTTAGGAAAGTCTTCTCCAAGATCACTTGCTCAGAGCTCTCCTCTGTGCTATATCTGTATCTGGGGAACATTTTATTTCCCTGTATTTTGTAAATAATTTCCTGTATTTTTATATTTCTTATATATTTATATCCTCTCATAGAGCAGGGTTCCCCACACCCCTGGGCCAGGAGGACGTGAGCAGTGGGCAAGCTGGCAAAGCTTCATCAGTATTTACAGCCACTCCCTATCACTCACCTTACCTTCTGAGCTCTGCCTCCTGTCAGATCAGCAGCAGCATTAGATTCTCATAAGAGTTTAAACCCTATAGTGAACTGCACATGTGAGGGATCTAGGTTGCATGCTCCTTATGAGAATCTATACCTGATGATCTGTCACTGTCTCCCATCACCCCCATATGGGACCATCTAGTTGCAGGAAATCAAGCTCAGGGCTCCCACTGATTCTACATTATGGTGAGTTGTATAATTATTTTATTATATATTGCAATGTAATACTAATAGAAATAAAATGCACAATAAATGTAATGCTCTTGAATCATCCCAAAACCATCCCTTACCCCTACCAGTCTGTGGAAAAACTGTCTTCCATGAAACCAGTCCCTGGTGCCAAAAAGGGTGGGGACCACTGTCTTGGAGGATGAGATCCTTACATACAGAACCCATGTCACTCATCTGTGTTATAACGATAAGGGAACAAAATGAGAATAGAGAAGAAATTGCAAGCAGTAACATCATGAAATGGCTTATGATGTCTAAAAAGAGAGGGCCAGTATTTAATGCCTCCAAAAATAAGTAGTCAGTAGGCTTTCTACTTAAATTTCCCTGCCATTAGCATGATGTATCACTTTATGTCTATGCATGGGAAATAAACTCTCTTTTAGAAGCAAGTTAAAGATGCATTAAAATAGCAGAGCCAGCTCCAAGTCTTTGCCTCCAGTGCTCAGGCATTTCATTATGGTCCCTACCACTAGAACTCATCCCCCAGGCCCCATTCTGGCTTCTTCATCTGTGGCCCTCTGCACTGTCACACACGTTACCACAGCAACTTGCTTCCACACAGACTCAGTCCAGCTGAAACTCCACCACTTCTGCTGTGAAGGCTTAAAGGAGCACAACCCACACAGCTCTAGTTTTGTCCTGCTTAGGAAGAAATCTTACTATCTATCATCCACTTTTGTCCAACCTATTTTGTTGGGAATCTTCTGCTGAGAACTCTGGATCAATATATCTTCTTGTCCAATTGCCTTTTCAGTAGCTCAAGCATATAGAAAAGTGTAAAAAATAATATAAAGCAGAGTGTCCCAACTGTGTGCAGGAGGATGCTGGGGAGTGGGAAATGGGTGATGGGTGTGCTGGGATGTTATAAATCTCTGAGTCCACGGTGCAGGTGAGAAGTGTCCTGGAGCTGCTGGCTCTTCTTGGCCTGTCACATTAAACTTCCAGCACCTCTGTATGTTCACCCATTGTGTTATGAACATTTTATTTCCAATGTGGGCCATGAAGTCAAAATAATTGGGAAGCATGGATACAAGGTATTTTTAAACTCACCAGCTAGATTTAACATGTATTGCCATTTTGCCATGCATGTTTCAGAATACTATTTGAAGTAAGAGCTAAGGCTCCATATTCTGCTCACCCTTAATTTCCCTTCTTCACCATTCCCCAAAGATGACCACTCTCCTGGAGGTGGCACGCATATGTAATATACGAAACGTAATGTGCATATGTACACTTAGCAGTCTACACTATTGTGTGCTTATCAACTTTACCTACTCTCCACTGCAAGAATTCTTTCACACTTAAGTGTTTAATTAGGCATGGTACTTTTACAATTAAAATTTGGCTTATTTGTACTTTTTTTAGAATTACTGATATATTCTAATTTATTGCTGCCTTATCAGGTTGTGTTTTCTATTTACCATGTCTTTTCTTTGTTAATTTTTTCCCTTTTTGTCTTGCAGTTTGATTTATTGCATTTCTTTCTCTTTTTTTTAATGCAACCTATGCTCTTTCCTTCTACTGGTTTGGAAGCCCATATTTTATTTCTGTTTGTTTGCTGATTACTCTTAAATTTTAATATGCATACCTGAGGAATCATGGCAGCCAGTGAATAATGTAAGAACCTCAGAACACTTTATTTCTGATTACTATTTACTCCCCCAGTTTTCACTTATTCCAACTTACTGTTTTCAGATATTTTACTCCCACCTATTTAAATTACCAGTTATAATTTACATTAGATTTTAGGTAATTATTTCATAAACTGTTTGTTTGTTAGTGCTTTGTACGTGGTTGCATCTTGCATCCCATTGTTTCCTTCTTTGGATCTGTGAATGATAATCTCTCAATCATTGTAAAAAAATAAAATAAAAAACAAACAAAAAAAACCCAGAAACACTCCCCAGAACTAAAGCTTTATTTTGCCCTCTTGAATTATAGTCTAGCTAAGGATAGAATTTTAAATTTTGGAGCTGTTTTTCCCTCACACTTTAAAGATATTTTTCTCCTCTCTTTTTATGCCGATAAGAAATATGCCAATATAATTATTGTTCCTTTGCTTATGGTGGATTTTTTCCCCACGTCTGAGTATATTTAAGATTGTTTTCTTTGCTCCTAATATTAATGCAGGAATTTTGCTCCTTAGCTCAACTAGGTCTGGGTTCTTGTCTCACAACCAGGAGGAATTAGGCATGTGGGCATGAAAGAGTGAGTGGAGTAGAATTTATTAAGTTAAAAGTAAGCTCTCAGCAAAAAGAGGGGACATGGTGGGTGGTCTCCTACCTGAAGACAGGAAAGTTCTCCCAATATGGCTGAGCCCGGGGCTTTTTATGGGCTCAGAATTAGGGAGTGTATGCTGATTGGCTTGTGAGTATGCAAAAAAGGTCGAAGTGAAGACCTCACTCAAAGGTGGGCATGGCAGGGTAGAAAACCAATTAGGAAAGGGTGAGAATATGTATAATAGGTGAAGGATGGGGAGCAATCAGAGGAAAATGCACCAAATGGTAAGGCGGGTTCTCAGTCTCGTCTGAGGGTTTATCTCGGTCACTTTCTGGCTCGAAGGTCAGGTTTCACTGGGACCCACCCCTTTCTGCCTGGGCATTTGTCTGCCTCCTGCCTCTTATAAGTATGATAAACTTTCATTATAATACCTTTGCGTTGGAATTTATTTTAAAACTTATTTGCTCAAAACTATTCAATATGAAGATTTATGTTAGTAGTCTTGAAATATGCCTTTTTGCCATTCTTTTAATTGTTTCTTTCTGGACTTTCTATTAATTATATATTCAGCTTTCTTGGACACATAAGAAATCATTCTTCTTAGGACATCATTCCCAATGTGTCCCAAGTTTTTCTTTAATGTTTATATCACTTTATTTCTCACATTGCAGATCGATAATTCTTTCAATGTATCTTCTAGTTCTCTGATTTGTTTTTCAGCTATGTCTAGTTTAATTTCTGATTTTTTAATAGAAATACTATTTTTTCTTTTTTATATTGTTTTTCTTATGACATATTTGTTCTTCTGTCTTTTTAATAATTTTAAATTCCTTTTTTGTTTCCTTGATATTGTTCTATTGTTCTGAGATTGTTCCGTTGTCTTGGATTTGAAATTGTCCTACTATCTCAAATATTTGAGGTATTAATTATCCTGTTTTTGGCACTGTCTCATCTTAGATAATTTCCATTTACATGGTTTGAAAATTTGATCTCACCTTCAGTGGAGATTTTTTTTTTCCTTTGGGAGTTCCTTATACTTTCATGTATATAAAAGAAATTCTATACCTGCTATTGATTGCCATATACTCTAGCTATTTTGGAATCTGTCAATTTCTTGCCTTGGAACTTTAAATACCATGTGGAGAGTGTAAATTTGGTCTCCATACTCATGTATGTTGTAGGCCTGAAGTTTCTGTTTCTCTTGGGAGCTTATTTTCCTAATTCAGAAACCCATATAAAATTAATCTTCTTGATAATTCCCTGTGATAAAGGTCAAAGTTATTCTATACTCCATTTTACTCACAGTGGTGTCTTCCCTTTAAGCTTCCCTTAAGCTCCCTTAAGCTCTTGGCTATATGCAGGGATTATACTTTGAAATCCCCATGTCACATGGTCCATGTGTTCAGTTGGGGTTTCAAATTCTAGTCTGGAGTCCACAGGGCCTCTTTAAGCATGGTATTTCCTTTGGCCATTTGGACATGAAATTATGAAGTTACTGCTCTGACTTCAATTTCCTTCTTCACTTCTGAATCCAGAAATTTCCTGTTCTTTTTTTTGAATTCACTTTGTGCGCTCATATTTTCATGT
Organism: Homo sapiens; assembly: GCF_000001405.40. Classification (NCBI taxonomy): domain Eukaryota; kingdom Metazoa; phylum Chordata; class Mammalia; order Primates; family Hominidae; genus Homo; species Homo sapiens. The sequence continues at coordinate 166,597,497 of NC_000001.11, read as the reverse complement.
TTGTTTGTAGTGGAAAGAGGTGAATAGTTGTCCATGTTGGCTCAATCTACTAGGTTGTTAGAGCTAGAAGTCTCTTAATCATTTAGATCGCAGGGACTTTTGATAATTTCTACAAAGTTCTCTTTTATTTATATACTATTAAGATCTAGTTTAACACATATTTATGTATTTATACTCTCATGTATATGTATGTATCTCTCCATGTATATGTGCATATATATATATATGAATAAATATTGTTTTATTACAAATTCATCCCCATGAACATATGTGCATGCAGGGTAACTCACCACATAAACGGCATTTGTGTTTCCTAATTCATTGATCAGTCTCAACTGCTTTTTGGCTGGTATACATGAGACCAAACCAATTTCTTGGGGTATAATAGAAAATTCAGACTCTGGGGAAAATGAGATATCCCTTATGGAGGCTCAGAAATCTGTTTTTGTTAGAGACTCCCAGAATTTTGTAAGAGTCATCAATCAGCTCCCATGTACGTCTGAAAGTCCTTTATCGCATCCCTGAGTAAGGGCCACCCATTCCTTCCTTAACACTCTCTAGAAATGGGGATCTTGTAACTTCCTAAGCCAGCCCATTCATTTTCAGGCAGCTCTGATTACTAGAACAATCTTCTTCACTTTGAGCTGAAATGTATTTCTCTACCATGTCTACTGATCAATCCTAGTTTTGTCTTCTGAGATGACATAGAATAAGTGCATGTTCTTTATAAGACAATTCTCAAATGTTTGAGAAAGCCACTTTCAATTTTTCTTTTCCTTTATGAAATATTCCCTTATTTAATGATTCCCCATATCTTGTGATTTGAAATCCCATTACTATCCTGGTCATCTTTTCTTGACCTGCTCCAGTTTGTTAAGGCTTTTCACAAGATGTTGTGCTCAGTGTTCCATATAATAGACGAAAGCACAGTGCAGGACCATGGATGAACTAGATTTCCTTTCCTAGAGGAGCTTTTGTGGAAAGTTTTTGCTTTAGTGAGTCATTAATAGACAATACTTGATGAGAAATTACATAATGGACACAATGTACATGACTCCAGTGATGGATACACTAAGAGTCCAGACTTCGCCACTATGCAATACATCAATGCAACAAAATTACACTTCTACCCCAAAAATTTATTTTAAAAACCCACAATACTGTAAGTTTGTCCAGATTTCCTTCAGATTTTTAACAGCAATTTTAATCTTCATAATAATCATATTTAATATCATAAGTGAACAGAACTTAGTAAGTTATACATATATATTTTTTAAGTAATACAAAATAATAGTGTATCACACCTTATTTGGTGCCAATCCAAATATTTGTACAAATGGATTGTTATAAAACAAGAGGCCCAACAGAAGATGAATTCACAGTGAGCTTTTTTGGGTCTCAAAAGAAAAGCACCTCTACACTGGCAAGCTATGGCTGCTAGCATATGGGTGGCCAAATCAATAAAGACCAACTTACAACTTTTATGTTTTGTTGAGGAAATCTCCTAGAGATCTCAAATATTATTGCCTCTGGTTTAAAGAAAATATTTAATCAGAAGAAGCCAAAATGCATTTAATGCTAAGAATCTTATTCATATTCTGGGGGTTTTGTCCAATGAATAGAGCATGGCCATTAGTGTTTCTAGACAGTAAGATTCAGATTCCAATAAGCATGTGATAAAATAGCTCTGGATGAGACAACATCTATTTGGGATAATATTAAAGTATAGAGAATAACCACCAGTCCCTTGGAGTTGTGCCTGAGGCAGAATGTCTTGATGCCGGTCAGGTGGAATGAAATTTAGATTGGCTCCACTTCCTTTGGAGAAAGGAATTGCTAAGTAGAAAATCATTGCCTTCAGTTCAATAGTCAGGTTTTGAGCCACGTACTGGGTTAGGTATTGAGGTAGAAGCCTGAATAAGATACAGTCCTTATCTTCAAAAAGTTTGTTGTTAGTGACAAATACAGACCTATAAACCAATAACATAACATGATCCAGGTATATTAAGGTGCTCTACAAGGGAGGGCAGGGATCACATAAGGCCATGGCTTTGGTGGTTAGGGAAGGAAGGAAGGCAATGCATTCCATTTTACACATGGTAAGTTTGGTGTGTGCTTACAGCAGAGAGTTGGATATATGGATCTGAGTGTACTGTGGAATGATTGGAGTTAGGATGTAGATCTGAGATTCATAAACATATGCTGTTATGATAGTTAAAACCAAAAGAGTGGGTAAAATTGCTTAAATGGGGAACATCTACTGAAAAGAGGAGTAGGTCAACATTTAAATGGCAGGAGGAGGTTGTAAAGGCAACTAAAAATGAATGATCCAAGAGGTAAGAGAACCAGGAAAGTGATGATGAAGATGATGAGGATGTGGATGTTGATGATGATAGCGATTAGGCTTTATTCCTAATGCTTTTTTATTCGTTAATTAATTTTGTCCTCCAATAATGCAATTTTTATCCAAATTTAACAACCATGAAATTTTGGGTCCAGAGAGAGCCAATATCTCACAGCTAGCAGGTGGCAGAGTGAGTATTTAATCCCAATGGAATGGCTCTTCAGTTTGTACTCTAAATCAGGGATCCCCAACCCCAGGGCCATGGACCGATACTGGCCCATGGCCTGTTATGAACCACGCCACACAACAGGAGGTAAGTGGTCTGCTGGAGCAAAGCTCCAGCTGTATTTACAGCTGCTCCCCATAGATCACATTACTGCCTGAACTTCACTTCCCATCAGATCAGCAGCAGCATTAGATTCTCATAGGAGCATGAACCGTATTGTGAACTGCATATGTGAGGGACCTAGGTTGCATTCTCCTTATGAGAATCTAATGCCTGATGATTTGTCACTGTCTGCCATCACCCCTAGATGGGACCATCTAGTTGCAAGAAAACAAGCTCAGGGCTCCCACTGATTCTACATTATGGCAAGTTGTATAATTATTTGATTATATATTACAATGTAATAATAATAGAAATAAAGTGCACAATAAATGTAATGTTCTTGAATCATCCCGAAACCATCCCCCAACCCCCACCAGTCAGTGGAAAAATTGTCTTCCATGTTACTGGTCGCTGTTGCCAAAAAGGCTGGGGACACCTGCTCTAAATAATGCACTGTTCTGCTTCTGGGAGTCAGAAAGGATAAAATTGTATTGGAGTGGTGGTCTGTGTTGTTAGAAGTAGCAAGGAGTCCAGTAGAAAGGTCTGACCAGAATTAGCTCCATGGGTGCATGACGTGTGCTGTCCCATGGCCCTGCTGTCCGGACCTGGCAGTTGGCACTACTCTGCCATTAGTGTCTTTAAATTCTTAGTGAATTTTAGGCAAAACGTCCTGCATTTCTATTTTGCACTGAATCCTGAGAATTATGTAGCCAGTCCAGGGTCTGAGTTATAGAAATAGCTTTTTGTTTTCATTTAACCCCTAACACAAGTAGCTCAAACAAAGAAATGTGCAAGAGAAGCCAAGTTTCTGTGGTTAAGTGTGAAAGAAAAGTGAGACCAAGGATCTGGGAATACAAAAGCTTGTTTAAATAGAAAAGGGTGAAATAAGATAATAGTCAAAAAGTTTGCAGGGTAAAGAGAGAATGATTGATTCTTGCTTGATTTTCTTCACAGCCTGAGGGAGAATTCTTAAGAAAGTGGGTCAGGTTGAAGATGTTAGGGAGGAGGCATAATTGTGGTGGAACCCAGAGAAGGAGGAGGAGGAGGTGGATTCCAAGGCTCCTAATGGGGATGCTGGCCTTGACCCTGAGAAGGGTCTCCTCCCAGACTGGAGGGAAGTTTGATGCAAGGGTAGATGATACAGGAGTTTGAGTCAGCTCATAGTTGATTGCCTCAATTTTTTTAATGATGTAGGAGGTAAAGTGGTGTTCTGAAGGAGATGGGAGCTGTGGATGGGGTCTCAGAAAGGGTAATTTTTGTTTGTTTGTTTATTTTTACAGACAAGGTCTGGCTCTGGCACCCAGGCTGGAGAGCAGTGGCATGATCATAGCTCACTGTAACCTCAAACTTCTGGGCTCAAGCAGTCCTCCCACCTCAGCCTTCTGAGTAGCTAGGACTACAGTGTGCACCCCTATGCACAACTAATTTTTCATTTATTTTTTGTAGAGATAGCATCTTGCTATGCTGCCAAGGTTGATCTCAAACTCCTGGGCTGAAGTGATCCTCCAGCCTTGGCCTCCAAAAGTGCTAGGATTACAACAGGCATGAACCACCATGCCCAGCTCTTTGTGGGATTTCAGGAAAGCTAGAAGACTGGAGGGAGCTACTGAGAGGAATGTGAGAGGGAGCTGACATGAGACAATACAAAATCCCTGGTGAGTCCCATCATGAGGGCCCTGTCTAAAATTGCAGCCTCCCTGCTCATCCTGCCTGCTCTATCACTTCTGATCCTCCTTAATTCACTCTATTTGTCCCTATACCATTGTCAGCTTTAAAAATATTCTATATTTTATTATTTTATTCAGTTCCATGTTGGCCTCTTATTACTAGAATGTAAATTCCATAGTTGTCCATTTTGTATGCTGATGTATTCCCAGTAGGCAGGACTGGCATGGAGTATGCACTGGTACATATTTATTGAATGAATGCATGAATTGCCATGCAGCATTGAAGGTGGAAACTGGAGCATTGCAGATGTATCAATATCCCATAGATGTAGTTTTTCTCCAGCAGTACTTAAGAGGGGAGTAAAGATTGGTCTGGATCTGGAGTAAATATATTGCTAAGCTGATGCTGCAGAAGAGCAGGGATCTCATTGATCTTAGGGAAGTAAGGATGTGAATGGAGCTAGGAGAGCATGGAGATGACTAAAGTTTGGCACAGTACAGATGGAAAAATGACCCATTCCAAATGTCGCCCATTGATGACAGTGAGGCTTTAGTGCACTTCTTCCCCATCAGGATCAACTGAGGACCTGAGAAGAGCTGCTCTGTGAGTAACACCTTCAGTGCTACTGCTAAGCAGGGAAGGGAGGAAGGAGGTGAAACAAGAAAGTAGATCTAGCATGTTCTAAATAATTACTGTAGCTTGAAATAGAGTATTGTCTCTGGTTTTATGTAGGTGTGGCTTTACTTATGCTTTGTTAGCTAGTCATATACCAGATTAGTGATCTTATAAGAGAGGTCAGGGACTAAACCTGCCATTGAGGTGCAGGAAGAAAATATTACCCTTCTACCATATTTTTGTTTGAAATGCAAGAATTGCATTCCGCTTTACTGTATTTAATATATGGGTTAATGTTGACATAGGTCCTGTGTCGAAAGGTCACAGGCCATTTGTGGTCACCCCGAGGGATGTGGAGGGCTTGGCTGTGGCACCCTCACTAGGTCTTTTGCTCTCGGCATATTGTGGCCTGTGGCAGCTTGCCTGAGCTGGGTTCTATGGGTTTATAGATTATATCATTCCAGTTCAACGAAACTGAACTTCACAAGAAGGACATGTGGCTTAAAAAAGATTATTGCCAAGAAATCCTTGATTGATGATAATATTAATAATGCAATCACAAGTTACAAGGATGTCCTTGTTGACATTTCTGTGATTCCTATTATGAGCCCTTCAACTTCCCCATTAAGGAGTGAAAAATAATGTAAACTCATCAGATTTGCCAAGTTCTCCTGTTTGGTCAGTGTGGAGAGGCACTGAGGCATATTCCACGATGCCCTACCCTCAACAACTCCTGCTACAGCCTCCCTCTTTCACTTACAGGATGATTTGGTTTGTGAAGGATAGTTTATATCAGAAGTTGTCAAACTATGGCCCATGAGCCAAATCTAGCCCACAAGCTAAGAATGGTTTTTACATTCTAAATAGATGGGGCGGGGGGGTGGGGGGAAAGAATATTTCATGACACTGAAAATTAAATGAAATTCTAATTTCAGCACCTATAGATAAGTTGTATTGGAACACAGCAATGTTCATATTTTTACATGTCACCTATGGCTGCTTTTGCACTACAACAGCAGAGTTGAATATTTGTGACAGAGACCTTGCAGCTTGCAAAGCCTGAAATACTTATTGCCTGGTCCTTTACAGAAAAAGTTTGCCACCCCTTGGTTATGAGCACAGTTTGTAGAACTCATATATTATGTAAAATAAAAATCCCAATTAAAAAATTCTTTATGTTTATTGCAGAATTACCATGTGAAATTGATTACATGAGTAAATAGTGGATATTGTGGGCACCTGGAATACAATCAGTAATGAAAGCAAAGGGGCCTGCCCTTTTGCAGCTTATATTCTAGCAGAGGGAGACAGATTGTCGATAGTTAAAACAATGATTGGCTGGGTGCTGTGGCTCATGCCTGTAATCACAGCACTTTGGGAGGCCAAGGTGGGTGGATCACCTGAGGTCAGGAGTTCAACACCAGCCTGGCCAACATGGTGATACCCTGTCTCTACTAAAAAAATACAAAAATTAGTTGGGTGCAGTGGTGAGCACCTGTAATTCCAGCTACTCGGGAGGCTGAGGCAGGAGAATCGCTTGAACCCGAGAGGCAGAGGTTGTGGTAAACTGAGACCGCATCACTGCACTCCAGCCTGGGCAACAGAGCAAGACTCCATCTCAAAAAAAGTGATTAAATAGCATGTAGGAAGGTGAAAAAAAAGAAAAAGTAAGGGAGATGGAGAGTGTAACCGGTGGGTGTGAGGTATGTCTGCCTTATTATTCAATTTGTTTTCTTTTTAAAAAATATATTTAAGACCTACAACATCATGTTTTGAAGTACATATACATAGTGAAATGATTACTACAGTCAAGTAAGTTAATTTATTTTCTTAATCTTTATGACTTATTACCATTTTTTCACTCCAAACTTATGTTATATAAAGCAAAATAATTTAATGGTCTACAAAGCTTATGTGTTCCTCTGAGTACCTGGGAAAAGGAGAAAATACAGAAAAAATGTTCTAATCCTTAGTACATCTACTTTCCAGAAACAGAAACTCAATTGTAAGGATGCCTGAGGAAATTCCTTGGCAGATAATGCACATAATCCTCTGAAATGAACCCTGGTCACAGGTCAGCAGTTTTTTTTCAATAAGATTCTGTAGAAATAAGCAATGTTTTCCACAACATCCAACTGTATTATATATCAGCAACAGTAGCTGAACAAACAGCTAAGCTACTCTTCTGGCTCTCGATCACTACCAACATTACTTCCTTCATTTTAATCCAATGGACAATGCATGTGAGAACATTCTTTAGAACTTATTCTTATCTAATTAGCAAACATGGAAACACATGATGACAACATCACTATGGTCATCTGTGTCTAGTTCAAGGCCAGCTGGAAAGGTCTGCTCCACTCCTTGAAGTCACCGTCTCTCCTCGTTTTTATACCCACTCATTCATTATTTAATGAATGCCTTCTGATGGGGGGCTAGCAACAAAGTACCATGAAGGATAGAAATCAGTCAATAAAAAGAAAGATACAAATGAACAATATAAAGAAAACTGCAAGAAAGAAAAAAAGCAGAAGATATAATCCCAATGTTTGAAGAATTTTCATTATGGAAGAAATTACTTAAAACGCTATGTTCTCAGCATTAGAAATGATCCATCAATGAATCTTTCTTTCAATTTTGATCCCCTTAATTTAATAGTTTAAATAGGTGCTTTTTATCTTGCTGAGAAAAAATAAATTGAAACTTTCTACTAGGGAGATCTTTCAGTAGCCTGGTCCTTGGACACAGGTAGCTCTTATAATTTCAGGGTTTTTTTTTTAAGGATTTAATTCCAATAATGCCTATCTATCCTTTTAAAACTTTTAAAAGTACCTCTGTATACGGAATACTGCAGCTAGTTGCAAGCCATGTTCCTTTATAATATAGTCTGACCTGTAACATGATGTGAGAACTTCTTTAGGGACTCCTAGGCAATTTCTCTCTGTTCACTTTTCCCCTGACTTCTTCGTTACTTGGATAATAATGTGCAATGCCCAAATTTACAAAGGTGCCAAAGGGTCATGCTAATTAAATACATTAAGATGATGGTCATATGAGGAGGGAAATGTTACAGAATTAAGCACATAAAACAATTTTATGACTTAAATAGAGTAGGCCTAATGTAATGATAAGCGTATGGTATGAGACAGAATCAGATATTTTAAGCTCATTATAAATGATATCTCTTTCTTCTCATTTATGTACAATGACTGGGGTTTTGTCCTTGAAAGATATTTGACAACAGCAGGAGCTTGGGTTCTTTGTGTTGAATTACTGTATTTAAGTGAGTCAGATATGGTCCCCGGTGAAGAAAAACAAAATTGAAACAATGAAAGACATTAGGGGTCAGAGAGAAGTTACCAGGTTGGGGTTGGAGACTAGAGACTGGAACTGAGGGACAGTAGGCAAAATCAATATGTAATAAGGTTTAAAACCCAGTAATTTAACATTAGAAGGGAAAATATATGATTATAGGAGAAACAATAGAAGACAGAAAGCAAATCACGGCTTAAAGTGCCCGGAAGAGCTGACCCCACTTGGTGAGTCACCTCTTCCCGGCTACGGAGCTTGTAGAGTTCCAATAAAATCAGATTATCCTGACAAACCCTTTCTCTCAAAATTCCCAGTAGCCAGTTACTCTTGATACTTGAGTAATTTCTTAACAGTTGTTCAGCTATTGGTTAACATAGCATTCCTATTTCCTTCTAGATCATAAACATATTATGATATATCCAGGAAGGGCTCGAGGAGATTATATCATTACAAAGATCACTTTTGGGTCAAATGGGACCAACGTGTTTTGCAAAAGGGACTGGTAGTGATGCAAAGTCTTAAGACTGACCCCGGTGAAGAAAAATAGACAATATGCAACTCAGGGCAAAATTGAAATTTGCTGGGCCTGTCACCAGGGAAATGTCAACCGAGTCTTGGTAACTAAATTGAATGACACTTCCACAGGGGTGTATATTTTGGTCTATTTTCTCAGTGAGTCCTGCAAAAAGATTAAAGTAGGAGAAAAGTGAAGACCGTCAGTAGAAGCAGAAAGAACATAAAAGCTCCTCTGTTGAGCATTTTTCCCCTACGTGCTTCTAAGGCTGCATGTACACTGTGTGGGAGAGCCAACCCTTGCTAGCCCAAATGAGCAGCACACACAGTAAAGATGGCCCACGGGGAATGTTGCTGAGTCCTACGGTGATGTACTTCCTGGAGGAGATGTAAGAGCTGAGCCCTGGGAGAGCACACCTGTCCCCCATCAGTGACTGACCACAAGGCCAAGTTTGCCTAACTGCAATCACCAAGTCGTTATGCTCTCCCCACATTTAATGTCTGCACATGTATTATTTCTCTGTGTATTTATACTAATTCAGTTTTGCTCTATGAACTTGTATTGTGTGTGCTACTTGAGACTATGGGTCTGTCAGTCTTATCTACCACTGTATCCTCAGTGCCTGGAACAGAGTTGGGTGTCATAGTTAATTTTATATGTCAATTTGCCTAGGCTGGGGTGTCTCTGGTCAAATACCAATTTCGATGTTGCTGTGAAGGTATTTTTTAAAAATGTCATTAACATTTAAATCAGTGACTTTGAATAAAGCAGATAACTCTTCATAAAATGAGTGGGCCTCATCCGATAAGTTGAAGACCTTAAGGGAAAAAGACCGAGTGACCTGAGAAGGAAGGCATTTGCCTCCACACTCGAGACTGCAACATCAATTCTTCTCTGGGTCTCCAGCCAGCCAGCCTGACCTGCAAATTTAAGACTTGGTAGTCCCCACAATATTATATAATATCTATCTAGGTATCTCCTATTGGTTCTCTTTCTCCAAAGAACGCTAATACAGTGGGCACGCAATAATTATCTGTGTGATAAATGATTAGGAGGGAGAACGGGGATGTGGCACAGCCATGCCTGCTCCAAGTAAATAAATTGTCCTAGGAGTGTTGGGATAGTATATTCTGCATTAAGACACTATTTCATGACATCAATTGCCTGGAGAACTCATCAAAGTATACATTATCTTTTATAGGTGGTCCAAAATAAATTAGTGAATTAAGAGATATGTAATGGAGACATGGGCTCTTTGTTTTGATAATTCAGAAGAGTTGAAAGCATGGGTTTCTTCTACAGCAGGAGTGGCTTGGCTCCTGACAAATAAGCCCACTCCAGCTCAGGTGGAGAATTCCTTTCAAACTGGGATAGAATGCCCCGGGCCATTCAAAGAGCTGAGTATACATTACACATAGGTGAGCTGGGATGTTTTCGGATTGCAGTTTAAAAAGTTTAACCCAACATAAGAATAAATATAGAGAAACAGTACATTTGCCTATTTTTGAAAACATCATATTAAAAGCATTTTGGCTTAATGAAATTGTTAAGAGTTCTCATGTATGATGTAAATGTGTACTATAAATAATTTCCTAAAATTTTTCATATGCCTTCAGCTGTGTTGCTGGTTTCACTCAAACACCACTCTCTGAAAAGAAGAAAATTAGACACTGAAAAATTGCTTTGGATGGAAAGAAAGACTGATACTTAACCTTAATTGTTGGTAAAGAAAGAATTATGATTTGGGAAATTAAGTCTGTACCTTGCGGAGTTTATAGTGCAGCTTACAATAAAATTGAAAAATGTAGGTTTTTCTACTCTGAGCTCATTTTACCCTTAACACTCAGCAGTTTTCTATACACTTAATGAAGGTTGACAATTCAGTCCACTTTATTAAAAATATTTAATTCCTCTTTCTGTTACATATCTTAGTTTATTTTTTATTGTCCAACCTACGGATCGGATCAGTAAACTTTTTTTGTAAAAAGCCAAATAAATATTTCAAGCTCTGTGGGCCACATAGTCTTTGTCTTAACTGCTCGAGTCTGCTGTTATAGGTTGAAAATGGCCACAAAAATATCTGTGAACAAATGGGCATGGCCATGGTCCGATAAAACTTGATTTACAGAATCAAGCAACAGGCTGGGCTGGATTTGGTCTGTGGGCTATAGTTTGCCAATCTCTGGTATAACCATTTGTGTCACTTTATTTTCTCTTCTACATAGACTTTGTCGTATTCAACCAATTCGAGAGCTTTACTCATTTACAATTATTTTCATAAGTGATGTTTGGGCTTTATTTCTGTCATTGTGTTTTATAGTTTCCATATTTTAATGTATCCATATTTTTCCTTAGCTAAATGAACAGGGATTTCTTTGCTTACCTCTTATCTGGCATTTACAAAGTTGTATGTATTGGTTTTGGTTTTATTGGTTGAAGTTTTCAGAAGTGTTCTGTAAGCTATGCTTGTGTCATCGTCATCAGGGAGTTCAAAGAATTCTGCATCAAAGAATGATTTTTAAATTTGTTAATGCTTAAAAAAATCAAAATAATGTTATTTCATGACATGAACAAATTATATGAAATTCAAATTACAGTGCTCATAAATAAGGTTGTGCTGGAACCCAGCCATGTTTGTTAAAAACAAACCACGGTCTATGGCTGCTTTTGTGCTACATTGGCAGAGTTGAGTAGTTGCTGCAGGACTATATAACCCACAAAACAAAAATATTCGCTATCTCAACCTTTGCACACAAAGTTTGCTAACCCTTGCTCTAGACTCTAGAGAAAGAGGTTGGAAAACAATGTGAGCAGTGTATGTTGGTTGCTGTTAGTTGGTTCAATACTATAAGAAAGAAATAAGCACAGATGAGAGTTGGCCAGTTTGCAAGCAAGAACAAAAGAAATAAAGAGAATCTAAAACTTTGTGGGCTTATAGGATTGGAAGAGGCAATGGCTTCTGAACCCAATAAGTAAAATATGAAACTGGGAAGACCTTTGAGTGGCAATGGTTGATTAAAATTTAGCCTTAGGAACAGAATTAAATTAAGGGTACAGCCAACCTACTCATTGTTAAAGCCTTGGAGTAGACTAAGGTGCCAAGGTCTAGCCAAGGCAGTGATGCCAGGAAATCCTTTTGGTTGAGCAAAATAACTCAAGGTGTTCTCTCCCATTAATATCTGACAAGGCCAAAGAACATGCAATTGATTCAAGGCAGGATTCAGGGACAGAAGTAGAAAAACAAGAGGTAGGGATGTGTGTGTGTGTGTGTGTGTGTGTGTGTGTGTGTGTGTGTCAAGGTGGAGAAGCATAGTTGTGAGAAGCCAAAGAAATGCAGTAACTATAGGAAGCATGTAAAGAGAGGGCAGTGGCTATGGCTATTGGTACTTGGAGTAGTCTGGAACCAAACAGATAAGAAGCTGAAGTTGTGACAGAGTTGTACTGACAAAAAAGCCATCTGCCTAGACTAAAATAGATTGTAATTGTTTGAGATTAAAAATGACATTGGACTGCCAAACATCTGTGAAGATAGACTGTACACAGGAAAAACTGCTTAGTCACCGAGGAGAGCAGAGTCCCTAAGACCCATTTCAGGTGTGACCAAGAAAGATAACTGAAAATGCAGAACTGCCCAAGTGGTGGAACACAGAGTACACCAAATTTGCAGAAAGTGGAATCAGGGCCAACTCAGAAGCACTCCTCACTCCCAGTGGTGTCTCAGAATTACCACAGTGTAGTCACAAGTGAATGATATGTTTCAAGTACCCCCTTTTAAATTGGAGAATTTATTAATAGCATGAGTTAGTCTCTCTTCATCTCAACTTGTGTTAAGATAGTTTGAGATTTTAACTCCAGGTTTCTATTAGTATTTTTAAATCCCATCATTATTATATAACTTATTCTTCAGAAGATGACATTGGCCTTTGTGTTTTATATTGTACTTGGAAATGAAATAATTGTTAGACATTTCTATGTTTACATGGTTTCAGAGAACAATTCCATTCTTACAATTTCTTTATTCTCAAGCTCTTAATTTTCTTCATTTCTCTTGGTAATTTTTCAAGAAAATTGAAGGGACTGTGACTGGGCAACTGTGTTGTTTCAGGCACAAGATATAACCCTTAAGAGTTCCTGGATTTTAATCTCCATGCCTAGTGATTCAGTGTGCAGCTGTAGGCTAGACAGCTTAACATATCTGTTTCATTTCCTGAGTATAAAAGGATATTAAAACTTTCTGACCTCTGAAAGATTTTGTACAGAGTATTATCTGATGTCAAAAATTATAACACACATGCAATGATTGTTTCTTTCAAATAGAAACCATCAAAGATTTAGGATAAGCATATGGTAAGAGACATGTTCAGAAAATGCTTTGCATTTACACCGAACTCCTCCAGCATATTTGGGTTCAGTGGAACTTGATTATTTGGGCATAAGTATTTATTGTGAATATCCACTGGTGTGAGCTAGGTGTTGTGTGTATAGAAGCTGTTAGAGTAGGTGTTTTTTTACCCAGCGCAGGGCCAGCCTCAGGCAGAACTGGCTGTGACCAAGGAAGAATCTCTCTCTAGGTCTTTGCCTCACCTAAAGAGGGTGCTGACCTGGTTGTCTCAGGGTCCTGAAGGTCTGGTATCTACCATCTCTACATTGCCCATGAGATTGCTCTCAAAGTGTGGTCCTCAGATAGCAGCAACAGTAGCGGCAGCATCTTACAATTTGTAGAAATGGAAATTCTTTGTCCTTACCCCAGATCTGTCTAATCATGATCTTTGGGGGTAAAGTGCCGCAATCTGTATTTTAAAAAGCACTCTAGGGGACTATGATGCATGTTAAATTTAAGAACCATTGTTGGAGAGGATTATTTGTCAGTGAGAGGTCAGACCAAAACTATGAAAAAAACAAAACAAAATTCTCCTTTTTGCTTGTAATTACCCTTATGTGATTATGTCTGTAGCAATGTGGGAAAAGAGGAGACATGGTAAAGACGTGTCTCCTTGGAAGTCTCATCTACTGAGAGAGGTTCGAGGTGGAGGCAATTGAAATATGTATCACATTCAAATTTGAGTTCCAACATCACCTTTCTGGATTAATAAAGTAAAGAAAGCTTAAATAAAAGTGGAAATTCTTGCTTCATTTTCAACCTATAAAAAGAGACTTTAAGTGCAAGCAAGGTAAGGAGTTTGAGTACAGTTCTACAGACCACAAAGAGTAAAATTAAGGTTTTAAGCACAGGAATGATGTGACCAGATTGGATTTTTAGAAAGTCAACTCTGGTGGCAGTTTGGGAGATGGTGTGAGGTGACAAGAGAGGCTGGATGCAGGGAGACCAGGACCAGGGCACAGGGGAGAGAAGTCGGGGGTCGGGAGGCTGTGATTCTGACTCAGATGAAACAAAGGAATAAGAATCAGTGTGGTGAGCAGAGGGTCTCCCAATTATGTCCCCAGACTACCTCTTCAGGTTCATCTTCCTCACCCAGTCCCACATTCTGGCATGCAGGCTGATCTACTCGCACACACACACTGCATATTTGATGCCCTTCTCTTTTGCTGGAAAAAGCTCCTAAACATCTTCTTGTGATCTAAATCAACTTTCCTCTTCTCTGCAAATCCTTCCTGATTTCCCTTCATTGAGTTCTTTGCTCTATCCTCTGAGTTCCAACAGCATTTTGTTTATATTTTGGTTATAGACTGAGGCACCAATGCTAAATTGTTAATTATCTGTTTACATGCCTATTATTTCTCATTGTGAGTTCTTCAAAGACGGGGATAATATCTACTTGTTCATTTCTTCAACAAACATTTTTTAAGGACCAGTTTGTGGCAGGAACTGTTCCAGACAAAACAGTGAAGATCCCTGTCCTTTTCGTCACTTTGAAGAGGAGACAGAAAAACAAATAAATAACAGAGTAATAGTTGTTATGTATTATGACAGGAAGCAAAATAATGCAGTATAAGGAGGATAGGAAGTGACTGTTTTGAGGCATGCTGTCTTACGCAGAGCAGTCATGAAAGACCTGACAGACAAGGTGACTTTTTTTTTTTTTTGAGACAGTCTTGCTCTGTTTCACAGGTTGGAGTGCAATGGCACTATCTTGGCTCACTGCAACCTCTGAGTCCAGGGCTCAGGCAATTCTTGATTCTCGTGCCTCAGCCTATTGAGTAGCTAGGATTACAGGCATGGGCCACCATGCCTATTTTTTTTTTTAAGTAGAGACAGAGTTTCTACTAAACCAAACCTGTTGGCCAGGCTGGTCTCGAACTTCTGGCCTCAAGTGATCTTCCTGCCTCAGCCTCCCAAAGTACTGAGATTACAGATGTGAGCCACCACACCCAGCCCCAAGATGACATTTGAGCAAACATCTGAAGGATGTGAGGGAGTGTGCATTGTGGACCCTCTGGGGGAAGCATTTTCCTGGAAAGGGGCATGGCAAGTGCAATGGTCATGAAGTGGGAGTGGGTTTGGCTTGTTCAAGGAGTGAACATGGAAAAGAGTAGTGGTAGATGAGGTCAGAAGAGCAGTGGGGAAGCAGATCAGGAAGGACTTGTAGGTCATTATTAGGGTTTGGCTTCTACTCTGAGTGATGTGGAAGCCACTGGCAGTTTGAAGCAAAGTATTTCATAATCTCGCTTACATTTTAAAAATATCAATTGGCCGCTATAAGGAGAAGAGACCACAGAGATTAAGGGGGAATTGAGAAGTCCAGTGAGGAGACTACTGCAGTAATACCGACAGAAGATGGTGGCAAGGGCTCAGGTGGTAGCAGTGGAGGTGGTGACAAGTGATGAGATACTGGATTTATTTTGAAGGTGACAGGATTTGTTGATAGACTGAGCATGGGGTATGAAAGAGAGGAATCAAAAGATTCAAAACTTTTTGGTTTGGGACTGAAAAGATGAAGTTTTCATTTATAGAAATGGGGAAGCCAATCTCTAGAGTAAACCACCAGAGTTTGGCTTAGTTAAGTTTGAATATGCTGAATAGACACGTGGTTAATGTAAGTGTAAGCTTTAGACTTCAGCCTTTTAAAGTTAGGTCGAAGGCTAAAGGTCTGTGATTGGGCATCATCAGTACACAGACGGCACTAAATCCACAAGATCAGATGCTATCCAGTGAGCCTGTTTATTCCCAGCACTCAGCACAATGTCTGATGTAGTGGATGCTCAATAAATATTTTTTTGAGTAAATTAAAGAAAGAGTAATATATTTCAGATAAAAAACAAGCTTATACAGAATATCAGGACTAGGTTCACTAGTAGTGATTGAATCAGAGACTAAAATACTTCATCTCTTTGATTAATTATTAAAGTGTTTGTAAATGTTGCAAATACCTTCTACTCTTTTCACCCACATCTGCTTCTTATTCTTCTGAGTGTGTTTATAGAATTTTGTATGTCTACTATGTGACTTATTCAATGGATTTTCAATAGTTTTAAAATAACACAAAATTATGTGTAGTTCCTGACTTCTGTTATTTCCTCTTTTTCTCTCCACGCCACCCTCCGTACCTTAAAAAAACCTCAAACATACCTGAAATAGCCTGTTACTTCAATATCCATGATTCTATAGAATGTGGCCCTCATGGAAAGGGTTTCTGGTGATATTTTTCACTGTTAACATTTTCTAGATTATTTGAAGAGATACTTTTTCTTAGCCTGTGCTTCAGATGCAAAAACAAGAATTTACCAATTGCAAGAAGCCAACAAAAAATGTGTTTAGTATAAAGAGATGCCTAGGAGTACTTGGAATAACTCAGAATATTTGTCGTGTTACAGAAATTAAATGTGCAGTTCAAAAGTAATTTCTTACACAAACCACTTTACTTGAAATCTCTGTTTACAAAATCTCCATTTTGGCCAAAATATCCGCACATGGGAAATTTTGGAATTATTGGACAGTTCACTGCACTAGTCTAGTCTGGATTGAGAGAAAAACACTTGCATATGCTGGGCTCTTAATTATTGTGTACCATTGTTGGTCTATACTGTAATAATGCACAAAGGAGGATTATCCTTTAACAATGATGAAAATGAGGACAAAGATGAGAAGGACTGCACTGATACTTTTAAGCCAAAATAACAGAGAATGAAGGCTGGTCACGAGTAAGGATACGAGTCCTCAGGGGCTTGATAATTCTCTCTCTCTGGGTCAGGATGGCTTCCTGGCCTCCAGCCCACTTCCCTGGCCTCTGAAGGCAGTACTGGTAAGGTGTGCATGGTCCAAAGAAAACTTCCATAGCTAGCTTTGGATCCCACAGGAAGAGTGAGAGGAGGTTGGGTTTCGCTCCAATTTCAGAGGCAGTTTCATCCATGTAATCTACATAGTACACTCCGTGTGTATCTTGAGGATTTTTCAGCAATCTGACACCAAAAAGGAAAAAATCAGAAGCCTTGTGTCACATGATAACTTCTATCCCTCCAAGCAGTTTCCTGTAAATACTGGGTAGACCTTGTGTGAGGAGATCATCTATAGGGAAAAGATGATGGCTATCAGTGGCTTAATAGCAACTGTGTCATTGACGGTTGCTTCAAAAAGCAAGAGATAAGTCTGGTTTCCTTATTTTCTGCTACCGTGGTTTCAGGAGTTTCTAACGAAATATTCATGTAGGTGTATTTTTCTCCTTCAAATACTTGGAAAGGTTTTTGGATAGCAATAGGTGTGTTTCAGAAGATTTTTGCCTTACTAATCATATTTTTTCCTTTTCCTAAATTCTATATTTTTGCCATGCATTTGGTTTTCATTCAGGAAATAACCTCATCTTGGTAAATTGGTGGTGGGAACTATGCTCTATGAATTGTACATGACAGTTATTTAGGTATATGTGATGTTAATTTTATGTATTACTGAAATGCAACTCTTGGCTAACCTTCTTAAATCAAAGTTACTGGATAACTGACTGTTCTTAGGATGTAAGCCCTTTGATCTTAGAAAACACGCTGTGACATTTACATTGTAGATTCTCAACACATACTTGTTGAATAGAAATAAATTACATCCCAACCCTAGTGGTTGAGAATAATTTTCCATTAAGAAGGTCTGGCACAATCTACAAGCTGCTGAACTCACATCAGAATTTTAATTGGATTCTATGGTGATTCGCCAACTCATTTCTCACATTGATTTATCTTCCCAATTCCTTAAAGGAAATAACTCCTTAAACTCCTTAAAGGAATCCTGGGAAATAAAACAATCTTTCAATTCATATTACATTTTTCTATGCCTTACATTTATAAGGCTATCATAAATTTAAAACTGTATGCTGTGGCTGCCATTCCATGAACTTTAAACAAATTTCTGAAGTTTTCATGACGGACCATTCTGTATCCATTTCACCCCTAAATATTCCATACATGATACTATGCTTGGTTAAGGGGAAATTTAAAAGTTGATAATTTGAGATCTCACCTAGGTAAATAGATCAAGACATTATGATGAGTAAAATAAAAAAAATTTGGTAAGCAAACAGCTCCACCTAAACCCTTTCAATTTACTTTTACCAAAAAACATGTTTCTTATACCTTTTCCAACTTTTTTCTCTTCTTTCTTATGTCAGCCATCATGTCACTCACTGAAAGTAGTTTGTTCAATCCTAGGAAAGAAATTCTGGATTTCAACATGGCTTTCTTATTGAGAAGATGCGGTTTCAGGAAAATATAGACACCCCAAAGGTCCGTTTGGTAAAGAACATCATGAGTGAGGTAGCACAGGCATGGGGAAGATGAATCCAGGGACAGCTCTGGAATGCCCTCCACTCATTGTTTTAACAGTGCACATGCCTGCCAGATGCAAACATACAACTTTGTCACATGCCTGATGAGTTCACATTTTGATTAGCAGACCTCAAAGCCCTCAAAGCCCACGAAGAAGGATGGACTAAAGGGTTGAGTCTCACCCAACTGACAAGGCACAAATGAGCATGTTTGTAGTTCCATTATCAGAATATATACTCTGGTTCTCCTTTAAACAGGGAGTTAAACTTGTTCATTTCTATTACTACTTAGTTTACAAATATGGATTGTAGCTATTAATGGTAATTCAAAGTCTTCTGATTGTTTTCTTTACACCAAAGTTTCCTACTAATTTTCCATCTTAATGGATGGAAGTCACCTTCTTACAATTCTGTTTCATTCCTAAAATGGGTGACATCCTACATTTTGAAAAACACAGAATGTTCCAGGAAATAAGGAAAAGTTTTTAAAAGAGAAAGAGACAAATAAACAGAATTACTACAATATGACTGGCATCATTTTATAAAGGTAGGTTTTGAATTTGTCATCACTGATTCATTCTTGAGCTTAGAATTAATGGTAAAATAAAGAATAATAATAA
Source organism: Homo sapiens (assembly GCF_000001405.40). Classification (NCBI taxonomy): domain Eukaryota; kingdom Metazoa; phylum Chordata; class Mammalia; order Primates; family Hominidae; genus Homo; species Homo sapiens. The sequence continues at coordinate 166,578,389 of NC_000001.11, read as the reverse complement.
CGGATTACAACAATGGCTAATCTCTATTTATTCGATCAATATTTACTGAATGCCTCCTAAAGTCAAGGTGCTCAATTGTTAATTCTTACCATCCTGCAAAGTAGATATAAGTCTTCCCATTTTTACAAATGAGGAAATTAAGGTCAAGTAGCAGGTCAAGATCATGCAGCCAGTACATGGTAGAACTAGTTTTTAATCCCAGGTTTATTTGATTATAAAGCCCTTGCTCTTTGAATTGTGCTGTAGTGTTATTCCAGTGGCTCTGTGACTCTGCCAAATTTACCTGCTTGTTTTCTTTATATTTTGAATGGACACTTGAAAGATAGGCAAAAAATGCTTTCTTTAATTTTCGCTTATTCCAGAATGACCCTAGCAACATTGGGAAGTAAGAGAGCTATTATTTCCCACCTCTACTTCATGTTGAGATCTTTTTTTTTTTCCCTGCTGCTCTCACTTTCTATGCTACATACATCCCTGTAGTGCTCTAAAGAATTACTTGCCAATACGTTGTCATTAATAACTTACGAGAGTACTTTTTATTTTTCATATTCACACAGGGATCATGAAGATTAAATAAGTAGCCATCAAACACTGAAGTAACAGATCTCAAGTGGCAGAATTTCAGATATTGTAAAGGTTTTAACTTCAGAGATGCTTTACGGCAAAGGACTTTTGCAATGTCTCTGAAATCACACCACCTGATGGCAACCTTTTCTAAATATTCCTAAAGTCAGCACATACCTTTAAATACACATACAGCCCAACAGCTCTGGACCTCTGAAGAGGAAATGGTGGCTCCCACTGTTCGAAGGATGCCAGTGAAAGCTAGTGTTGGCTCCTCCAGCTGAGGAGGGAACACATGTTTAAACATGGAACACAGCTGTCCAGGATTGATGAGTCTTCCTTCAAGAAAGGGAAAGACAAGGTGTAGCCTGTGGCAAAGATGACGGCATCAATCTCCTCTTCTGTGTCATCTTCAAAGATGGTAGTTGTCTCAGTGAACTCTGTCACATTCGGTTTCATCACAAGTCTTCCACAAATTACATGGTTGGGTAGATCATCACTCATAGAAATTTGATGGCTCAGGAATCGGAATAATACAAATTGAAGTACAGGAAAATTAATAGTAAGTCATTTTGCTTACTATTAATTACTATTTGCTTACCATTAGTGACTCAATGCTTAATGAAAGAGCCGCATTTTTGTTTTACAGAAATATTTCTTTTCCTCAATTCCTTTTCTGAATTACTTACTGCAGAAACTTTCTGTATTTATCAGAATGCCAATGATATTTATTAATGCTTACTATATGCAAAGGAAAGATTTTAAAATGTCATATAAAAGCTTATACTGGTAATACATTAATATCTAACTTCTTTTAAATAATTTCATTCATTAGAAAGTTTTAAAAAATAGTTGCCAAGGTGTTTGCATTGGAACAGGAAAATCATACCATATTTTTATTTTTACTTTATATTGAGAATATACATGCCATTTTAATAAATTTACTAGCACCATCTAATTTCAATACCATTAGTGGTCTTCCTGCTTCCACCCTCGACTCCCTACATTTTCTCTTACACTTAGCAGCCTGAATGATTCTTTTAATATACAAAAACATTCTTCAGTGGTTTTCTATTTTACTGAAAACAAAAACCCAAATCCCCACCATGCTCTAGTCCTACAAAGCCCTATGTGGTCTGTCCCTGCCTACCTCTTCCACTTTCTACTACTTCTCTTTCCCTAGTACTCTAGCTATATTTTCAAGCAAAGTTTTATTCTATTGACACCATATTTGAATTAATCATACAATGCGTAAGTTTATACTTATCCCAAATTTTACTCTTTTCAACCTCGTGAATATTTGCTGTTAGTCTGTAGTCAGCATTGAGTGAATTCCACATTCCATCTTTCCTCAACCCCACCATATCTGCAGATTTCTACTGTCATCATGCGGCAGACCATCAGTCTACCTTCATCATTTTCATTGTCTTTCTGAGAAGATTTTTCTAGCTCCATTATGTATTTTTTTAGATTCAGTGTTCAGAATACACAATTGTATGCTTCAGATGCAGACAAAAACTGTTTTCATACAAAAGTTGAGCGATATTTCCTCATTTGTTTCCAGCAAACTTCCCTTTTTGAGTTTTGGGGCATGGAAGTGGACGAGTTCACTCTTTTAACTCACATATTGGCTACTGATACAATAAGGAACACACAGAAGGTGCTCAGAGAATATTTATTGATTTACTACACTTGACATTTGGCCATTCCCTTCCTGAAATTTTCTTCTTTCTATTTTGCCATCCTTGCTATTGATTCCTCTAATTCTCTGCCTTGCTCTGGCTTCCGCCTGACCAAACATGGTGCTCCTCTATGGCCCTGCGTGGTATGGCACACCCACTTTGCTTGGGAAATGTAAGTAAATGTAAGTTCTTTCAATGGCATTGACTTCTTCATGTTGTCAGTCAGTCACCTCCATAAGTTAAAATTCCATAGGTATAATTTTACTATAGTCAGAAAATTAATAATATAAAACAACACAAATTTGTTGAGCATTTACTATGCATTAGGTGCTAGTATAAGCTATACATGTGCTTTCTCCTATTTAATGCTCAAAACAATTTTCTGAGTTGGTGCTAATGTTGTCTCCATTTTATATAAAATAAAAATTAGGCATAAGTAAGTAGTTAAGTAAATTTGGTGATATCACATAACTAGTAAATGGTGAAGCAAGGATTCAGATAGCTGTCTGGATCCAGAATTCTATTCAAGGCAAAGAAAGCATTTGCTGCATTTCAAAGGATTCTCCCTGCCCCAAGTCTCCCCTCTTATTGCTCCCCTTATATTGCCAGATTCCTGATTCTTTTGGCTTGGGAAAATGGAGGTGATGCTTTATAACACAGTACACCATCTACTGCCTGTCCACCTTATGCAGGTCTCAGAGTCTAAAGAAGGAGTGAATTTCAGAAGCCGGAGAACCAAGAAGGAAATGGTCAAACACCACGTGTAGTAAATGAATAACTATTATCTGAGTATATTCTGTGTGTTCCTTATTATATAGGTAGCCACAATGTGAGTTAAATGATATTATCTGAGTATCTTCTGTGTGTTCCTTATTATATAAGTAGCCAGTATGTGAGTTAAATGAGTGGGCCCATCCACTTTCATGCCCCACTTAGGTTCCAAATTCCAGAAAAATGAAATAATTCAAGGAGACTAGAAATTAACAAATTGACACATAAATCCCATCCATCAGCTAATTATAGTATTAATATTACAGTATCTAGAGCACTTTGTTAATCGAGTCCCTAGAATCTAAGTATGGAAGGAGTCAGAGTTGGAAGATGGTGTCAAATGACAGGTGAAGCTGCCACCATAATCCTGGAACACGATATTTTCCTGTAAGAAAAGTGAGTAGAATGGTTTAAAGAAGCATGATAAAGGGAACAATGATTAACATTCTCCTAAGATAGTTGAAGTTTATTTTCAAGATGGTAAACATGGACTCTAAACCACTTCTATGTTCCAAGTCTCAGCTGCTGACCCCAAAAGACCCCATATTATGTTTTAAAAATCCCAAAACATACCTATGTGGGGATTGTAAACCATAGATTTCATGGTTAAATCGAGTATTTAATTTATTCTCTGTCCATCTGTTGATTAAGAATGCAGGGTGAAATTTGTTGAGGACAGATTTAAAATGAGTAAAGAGGGCAGTGTCCATGAGCATCCCATAATCTCAGACCTGGCTCCACATCCATGCACCCCGTCTTGTGCTGAGAAACACCTAGGAGAGAAGACAAATATATGAAAAATAACTGCCTCACAATGTATTTCCTTTTGTAAGATGTTTTCTCAGTTCTTCATATATCTCTTATTTGGCTCAAGAGGATAAGTGGATAAGAACTCTCTTGCCTTTTTAGCCTGAAGTGTTCCTCACTTCTCAAACTCAGTTAGACCAACAGATACAGTCACACATATACTCACACATACAGACACACCTAACATTGCTTATAGCTCCAGAAATCTGCCCAGGCCTCCCTCTGGATCTCACCCACTAGCCCTTTGAACCTTCTTCAAAACAGTGTTTCATCATATCATACAATCACTCAGGTTCCAAATTCCAGAAAAACTAAATAATGCAAGACGATTAGAAATTAACAAATTGACACGTAAATCCCATCTATCTGCTAATCATAGTATTACAGTATCTAGAGCACTTTGTTGATCATGTCCCTAGAATCTAAGTATGGAGGAATCAGAGTTGGGAGATGGTGGCAAATGTCATGTCAATGGAAAATAAAGAAATTAAAAAAATGGTTTTCTGGTATGTTGATTTTTGAAACCCTTGGCTGAGCTAATGAAGAGTCCAGATGCTTTAGTAAATATAAACGATATGGCAGTCATTAAAGTTTGAAGTATTTACTTTTAATACATTTTCAAATGTTTAAAATGGATTACCATGATGTCTTACAAAGAAAACAGGTGTGAAGAGATAATTAACAATAAAGACTGTGTGTGTGATGGGGTAGATGCTATACACATTTCATGCAATGCTCAGAGAAGTGGGCAGGTTGCGTTGAGGGGCAGAGAATTTTAGGGGCCAAACCTGTGCAGCTACATGGCTGAGCTCAATGGCCAAATCAGCTCTGGAATTTCCAAAGCCAATAACAACAATTTTCTTCTCCCGAAATTTATCTGGCCTCTTGTATTCCCAACTGTGAATATATTGGCCTTTGAACCTCTTGATCCCTGTGGGAAAGAACAAAATTACTAAAGCATTGGTCATTATTCCATTTATTTTAACTGATGGTATACTCCAAAGCTTATCACTGAACTCAAAGTTCATCCTACTAACGCATATCATTTGCTGGTCTACTGATGCTAGTGTCATGGACCCTGCCAGCCCAGCATCATCAGGCAGAATGAATCCTCCTACAGATTTGTTCTAGACTGTAAATTCCAAGACAGAACAGACCCCCAGACTTCTGAGAAACTCAGATATCTCACCTCTGACTCCTTTTTACTTATCTGTATCCTGCAAAGCCTTCAAGGAGGAGCTCAGCTCTTATTTAAGTAATATATTTTCCTCATCCATCACTCATGTTATTCACAACTACTGCCCTGGACTCAGTTTCCTCTGTCTTGTCTTCCCTGGCCAAGCTTCATCCTTGTATAGCTGTTTCCTTTGCTTCCTGGGCCAAGTACACCCTTCCTACTAGCACTATCGCTCTGTTCTCCTACTGGGGCCAAACGCTCCAACATCACCCACAAGATCTGCAGCTAAGAGGACGTAAGAACTTATTTTTTCCTAAAAAATAAGTTTTTTACTTTGATTTAAAGAGAAAGATTATATAGCAAAGCCATAAAAGCTGATTGATTTTGCAGCATTTCATCTTTTAAACAATATTGGGGTCTGCACATATGGGCTTCATTTGCTCCTCCTGTGACACTGCACAGCCTTAGTCAGTCCTGATGGTGGTTCAGTCTTTGCTGTGTCCCCGTTTCCCTACAGAATTTGCTCCAAAACATTAGCTTTCCCTTGGAAACAGTTATTTGATTCTCACATAGTGAACTCCTGGCATGGATCCAATTGTTCCTAAACTCTATGTTTGGCAAGTTCAATTGCCCATGGATAGGATAGACTCCCTATCAATTATCTTACTGCAGCTACTTCAATTATTTCCCCTTTCCTTGGTGCCAATGTCACCCCTCTCATTCCCTGAAAATAACCTTTCTTCTCATTTGTATGAAAACAACAAAGTTCTTAGGTGAGTTCCTCAACACCTAGAAGTTAGTGTGTTTTCATCTATCTTTCCTCCGTCTTCTTTTCTCCAGGAGAAAATGTTTCTCTTTTATTCCAAAATGAACCCTTTGCCCTTGGAGTCAATGTGACTTTTAACCTAGGCATGAACCTCTTAGTAGTTAAATTTGTAATGTGTAAAGTGGACATTATTTTACCTATTGCATAGGAACGGTATAAGGATCCCTTGATATGCTCCTATGACATAGTAAGTGCTTAGAAAATAAATTTAGCTCTCTCCTTTGAATATTTTCAATCTTATTCCATTCTGTCCCACTTGCAATGAGCATCTCTGGAACCTGGTCATCCTGTGGCCTCCTCAATCTCTCTCCCTCATGCAGGCCAACAACATTGGTATTATCTTGGACCCCTCTCTTTTTGTCACATCCCATTTCTAATTCATCACTAAATCCTGTCATCTCTACCATTAAACTACATGTGGGTTCCAAGCACATCTCTATATATCTCCATTGCTACCACCTCGATACATGTCCCCATCATCTCTATATCAATATATGTCCCCATCATCTCTCACCTGGGTTAGTGCAAGAGCATCCACACCAGTCTCCTAGCTTCCACCACTACCATCTTCTCCCAGCTATTCTTAACAGAGCAGCCAAAGTGGCGGGAGCATGCCACTCCTGAGGCCCAGAGTCCAAAGTCAGAGTCCAAACATAAGATTTAAAGGCCCTTCTTGATCTGGTCTCTCTTTCACTTTCTGTCCTCATCTTCTTCCCACTCTTTCCTCTGGTCCAGCCACACTAGAATTGTCAGGCACACTCCTACCTCAAGGCCTTTGCACATGCTGTTCCTTCAAAACAGTATGCTTTCCCCAGATACCTGCATCACTTCCCCAACTCCTTTGGGTATTTACTCAAATGTCCCTTTCTAACTGAGGCTTGCCTTGACACCTTATTTAATGTTGTAAGACAATCCCCTATTGCTAAAATTCCTCCTCCTTCCCTGCTTCCCCTTCCTTCAACAAGTATTGCCTCCAACATATTTCTCCCATTTGTGTCTGTCTCCATCCACTACCATGCACACTCCTTGAGGATGGAGGTTTGGTCTGTTTTGCTCTCTGCTGAGCCTCTGGTAAGTTGGTGCTCAATAGGCGTTTCTTGAATTATTATTGAATGCATAAGTACAGGAATGTTTAAATCTCGAATTAATTAACTAAACAAAAAATAGACCTCTCTTGGCCAATTATGACCTTCTCATCTTTTTATATACTGGGAAAGAAACAATGGATGTGGAGAAATCCAGAGTCTCCTGGGAATCTTGAAGGAGCCTAAGGTTCAGCCCTCTTCAAGAAGACTAAATACTTATATTTCTAGAGATGAACAGAGAGATCTTGTGCAGGGAAATCATTCCTGCATCATTCCTAGTATTCAGGGTGCTTGAGCTTCCAAATAGCAGAGCAATAACATTGCAGTCTATTTTAAGATGCATGGTAACACCAGCAAATAGCTATTTATATTTGTCATGCTATGCATATACATACACATGAAATAAAGCTAAATCTCAAAATATTTTCTGTAGCTTTGATTTTCCTATTTACTCCAAACTATTACCAACACAAAACAACCTTCCAATTGTGTTAAAATGTGGGACTTTCCTATTAAAAAGCCCAGATGCTGATGAGATACTAGTAATTTTTATTTTCAATTTTAAAACATTATCTATTATTGAACGGACTTTCAAAGAGCATGCATGATTTCACAGTCAGAAAAGGTAATATTTATTGTAAAAATAAGGTGACCTTCGGAGTTGAAAACTTTAAAAAAAATCAATAACAACGATAGAACCCCATAAAAGCAGTGCCTTAGCATTCTATATGACATACTTGGAAAGTCCTGGAGTGGTAATACGGGATGGCTATGAAGGCCACTACACACCATAATCCCATCAAAGACATAGGATTTCTGCTTCCCTCCAGTCTCGACCACAACATCCCATTGCCTTGTGCATGAGAAGTTGCAGCACTTCTTCACACTGCACACCTTTGACTGGGAATGAGACAAACTCAGACTCATAACCACTCCTCCCACTTGCCCTCCTTCCAAAGAACTCTTGGCTTTAATGAATAAGGTTGGTTATAGCCACTCTCCTCTGGGATTCCTTTAGAATTGATTTTGCTACTGAGGCCTCTTTAAGTAGAGCCTTATTTAGTCCAGTTTTCTCCCAATCATGGTTGGGATCATAGTTAGGGGTAAGTCTACAAAAGGGGTCCAGTCTGATGTTTCAGCCAATCCACCATATTTTTTTTTTTTTTCCTGAAGGAAGAGAAGAGAGAAGCTCCTGCTGATTTCACTAGAGATGTATGTAAGGTGAACCCTGTCACCCCCTAAACTGAATGGAGGCCTTGCTGTACTTTGTTCTGGCCTGGTTTTCCACCCTCCCAAGATGGTTCCACATGTGCTAAGTGCCCTCTACCTCATTTACCATAAACTGTATGTGCTTCAGAAGATGAAAGTGATTGATGTACATTCTGAGGTACTCCATCAATTTGGAATTGTGCAAATAGTTGGGAAGATGGGAAGGGAAAGGGTAATCACTATAGGCTGATATTTCCTTTGAAGTATTGCTGGTGACACATTTATAGATGATTGCCCTGCCACCTTCAGCCTTCTCCTACAAGAGAAGAAGACACTCACCATCTTTTAGAATACAAGAGTGACAAGTTAAAGAAGAAGTCTCTTTATATGTAGAATTATGAGGTTCCTGGACTAAATTCTTTCAAAGAAAGCAATTTCACATTACCTTTACTAAGAGATAAGATATTTTCCGGCAAATAGTTAAGAAGAGCAAAAAAAATTCTAGTGAGGAACAGACAGAAGGACAGGAAAATAAAAATGTGTGTAGTACACCGGAAAGTGAAAATAAGCAGAGGAAGATAAGGGCTGCTTCTCTGCCTGCAGAGCTTTGTAGGGTTTCAAGTTCCAGACTGATGGGTGACTGGAGAGTACTGGGAAGAGGGCATCCAGGAAGCCCTTGGCTGTTTGTAGTGACTCATAGAAAATAGTAGTGATCATACTTAGACTTTCTTTTATCCTTTATTTTTTATATTGGCAATTTTTTCTAATTACATGAGCAGCACATGTTTATTATTATTATTATTTTATAGAAAATTATGGTGAAGACTATCATTCATGATGATCCCTTTAAATATTTTGATGTATACCCTTCCAATCACGGCCTATCTTTCAAGATCTCTTGCTACATATATTATCTATTTATCTATACACACACAGATGGGTATATAATGTTTTATCACTACTGTACTTATGGTTTTGAAGAGTTTTCAATATATAATAACATAATTCAATTCTATGATGCACATTATTCTCATTTTCCAAGATATAATAGGAGTCCATACAACATACAGTATCTGTTGTGTACATTAACAGCCATTATTGATTTTTTTTAAAAAAATTATGGCTACATATCTAAGTAATTTAAAGGTAAGGTAAAACATACCACCACTGAAAATATGTTGTTTTCTCCTAGAAAAATTTATTGTAATCCTAACTACATTATTTTAATACGTGAACACACAAAACACAATTTTGGGGGTTTTAATAATGTTTTGTGTCATGTGTAATATTTCAAGCCATGAAATATGGAATGTAATTCATGCTAAAGTATATCAGCTTTAGGAAAAATCAAACTATATGTTTTCTTCTTCAAACTGGAGAGCATTGTTTATTAATAAAACTCATTTTATTGATGTACCTGTATACAAAAATACCCCCTCCTGATAAGGTTAGTCTCTGCAAATATGACCAGCAGTTTAATAAGTGACAGCCTAACATATGAGCATCCCTAGTGAAGTTAGATGACATGAGGTGGTATTTTGATGTGGTTCTTGATATATATCATTGTGTGGCTAGGAAAAAGAACCTGACATAAAATCATTTCTCTGAATCTATTTCTCTGTCTGTAAATAAGTCTTTGCATTGTCCTTGCAGTCGCAGTATTGTTATGAGGACAAAATAATGTTGCAAGAAGTCAGGGACACCAAACAGAGGGACCAGCTGAAGCCATGGCAGAAGAACGTGGATAGTGAAGATTTCATGGACATTTATTAGTTCCCCAAATTAATACTTTTATAATTTCTATGCCTGTCTTTACTGCAGTCTCTGAACATAAATTGTGAAGATTTCATGGACACTTATCACTTCCCCAATCAATACCGTCGTGATTTCCTATGCCTGTCTTTACTTTAATCTCATAATTCCATCATCTTTGTAAGCTGAGGAGGATGTATGTCGCCTCGGGACCCTGTGATGATTGCTTTAACTGCACAAATTGTTTGCAGAGCATGTGTGTTTGAACAATATGAAATCTGGGCACCTTGAAAAAAGAATAGGATAACAGCAATGTTCAGGGAAAAAGAGAGATAACCTTAAACTCTGACCACCGGTGAGCTGGGTGGAACAGAGCCATATTTCTCTTCTTTCAAAAGCAAATGGGAGAAATATCGCTGAATTCTTTTTCTCATCAAGGAACATCCCTGAGAAAGAGAATGTGTCCCTGAGGGTAGGCCTCTGAAATGGCCGCTTTGGGGGATGGCCGTCTTTTATAGTCAAAGCTGTAGGGATGAAATAAGCCCCAGTCTCCCATAGTGCTCCCAAGGCTTATTAGGACGAGGAAATTCCTGCCTAATAAATTTTGGTCAGACTGGTTGTCTGCTCCCAAAACCTGTCTCCTTATAAGATGTTATCAATGACAATGCGTGCCCGAAACTTCATTAGCAATTTTAATTTCACCCCAGTCCTGTGGTCCTGTGATCTCACCCTGCCTCCATTTGCCTTGTGATATCTTATTACCTTGTGAAGCATGTGATCTCTGTGACCCACACCCTATTCGTACACTCCCTCCCCTATTGAAAATCACTAATAAAAACTTGCTGGTTTTACGGCTCAGGGGGCATCACGGAACCTGCTGATGTGTGATGTCTTCCCCGGACACCCAGCTTTAAAATTTCTGTCTTTTGTACTCTGTCCCTTTATTTCTCAGACCAGCTGACACGTAGGGAAAATAGAAAAGAACCTATGTGAAATATCAGGAGTGAATTTCACCCGATATCTGGCTGAATTTCCCCAGATAAAATAATTCACATAAAATGCTTTGAAAACCTAACACAGGAGATCAGCAATCACATGCAGTGAGATAGATGTAATAGTGGTGTGTCCATAGGGTGCTTTGGACCTGGAGGCAGGTGGTGTTGGGAAAGCCTTCCTGGAGATGTGTCTGTATCACTCAGGGATCAACCAGGAACATGGAAACTACTCTTAACTTGAGACAGGGAAGGTAATGCAGGGAATTGATCTCACAGATAATAAAAGACCTCAAAAGCTAATGAGGTGTTGGTGGAACATCCTAGAGATTAGCAAAATCAGGTAGCCACCCCACCTCTAGGCTAGCCCTAGGCAGTTATGGGTCAGTAGCCTTCCACCTTCTCTCTTTTCCCTTCTGTGGCACCCTTGGAGGCTATATGGTCCAGGGGTATAAGTTAAAGTTGGAGAAAGGCTACTTAATCATATCTTCTATTGTTATTATGCTAACCTCTTAAGGTTTGAGAATTTGTCTGTGAGACCCTTAGTGTTAGTTGCTCTAGCATACATACGTTGTTAGGCTGAAGATAAAGATCTAAAGATTATATATTAGCATATATGGCAGCTGAAGTCAAGAAGGGATAAGGAGATAGCCTAAGGAATGAGCAAAAGGTTAAAAGAACAGAAGATTGAAATAAAGCTACAGCCAGCCACATCTAGAGGCCAAGTGGAAAAATATTGAAGAGGAAAAGCAGAGAAGAAAAGAGAGTGAAATTGTAGAAGCTAGGGACGAATGTTTTTTAAGAAGGTTGGTTGGGTTTTAACATAATTAGCTCTCCTTGAGAAAGCAAAAAGGCCAGAAGGTCCACTTGATTTGACACCTTTGGAAACAGCAATGAGAACAGTTTTCAGGAAGTGCTGGGGATGTCCATCATGTAGCAATGGTTGAAATGTGGCGGGAGGTGAGAAAGTGCTGAGAGCAAGCATACATTCTTCCTTCAAGAAGCTGGACTCCCAAAGGAAGAAGGATGGACTGAATATTAACCTTGAGGAAAAGAAGAGAATGAGATTCAACACACAGGTGCAGACATTAGTAAAAATATTTATTATTATTCTGATAATTGAAGGATAAATTAGTGCTGCAATTCTTATATTTCTATTTCTCAGTTGTGGAAGTCACATATACATAAAAACATAAGACCATTCAAACTTACCTCATATCTCCATACTCCTCCAATGTCACTGCCTCCTTCAAAACAGGTGGGCTCCAGTCCCTCTTCCAGACAGCTCTTAATAGCGTTTAATCCACTGACTTCAGCGCCAATCACTGCAATTCTTTTTCCTGGCATTGTTTCTGACATCAGGAAACTTCTTAATATAAAATCAGATTTGTATTGCCATGTATTTTTCTCTATCATCCAAGAGCATTCTTTTTTTTTCCTAAAATTGCTGGTTAGTGCATTTAAGGAATGTCTTACTCAACATTTTTATGCCTTTCAAAGGCTCTTAGAGTGACGGAAAAGCCTACCTCACACAACTATTTCTCATTTTCAAGTACAAAGTAGATTGTTTTCAATACAAGTTTTGACTCTTAAAATGCTTCTGGCCATATGACTTCATTTTTACATTTCTTTTTTGATACCTTCCTTCTACCTCATACATTCACATATGCACACACACACACACACACACAACCCATGAAAAACCTCTCCATACACAGATTTTGCCCAAACTGAGTCTGCATTCCTTCCAATACTACTATCTGCTTGTTGAAACACTCATGTTGGGTATTTTTGTACAGTTTATTTAGGCCAGGGAATCCCTATATTTTCCCCCATGACATAGGGTCTGAAGTGCGAGGTAGGGGAGGAGGAAACCCCAACAAATCATTTCATCAAGCATCACTCATTACACTCTGCATGAGGCACAGTGTAAGCCACATAAGTGGTTTTTAGAACAGTTATCTAACTGCCTTCATGCAAGAGATTAATATTCTGCTAGTCATTTAATTTAATAAATATTTATTGGGTGCCCGTTATGTGCCAGACACTGCTTCAATGGGGAGATACAGCAGTGAAAAACTCAGATATGGTTCCTTAAAAACATCCTAATGGGGTAGAAAGACTAAACAAATAAGCAAATAAAGAATAAGCCAGATGATGATATGTACTATGGAGAAAGATGGAGCAGGGTAAGGGCTATGGGGAATACGGAAGGGAGGGTATTATTTTATATAATATGTTAGAGAATACTCGCTGATGTCATTTAAGCAGGAAGGGACCAAGCTATGTGGGTATCTGAAAGGGAATTCCAAGCACAGACTCTGAGGCAGGTACATACTGGAATTTTTTTTTTTTTTTTTTTTTGAGATGGAGAGTCGCTCTGTCGCCAGGCTGGAGTGCAGTGGCACAATCTCGGCTCACTGCAAGCTCTGCCTTCCGAGTTCAAGCGATTCTCCTGCCTCAGCTTCCCAAGTAGCTGGGACTACAGGTGCGCACCACCACGCCCAGCTAATTTTCGTATTTTTAGTAGAGACGGGGTTTCACCATGTTGACCAGGATGGTCTCCATCTCTTGAACTCGTGATCCGCCCACCGTGGCCTCCAAAGTGCTGGGATTACAGGAGTGAGCCACTGCGCCCAGCTGGACTTTTTTTTTTCTTTTCTTTTCTTTTTTTTTTTTTTTAAGAAAAGCAAGGGAAGCTTTGGGAATGGGTATGAAAAAAGTATAAAGGATATAAGATGAAGTCAGAAAGGCAGAATCAGGTATTAGTAGCAGAGTCAGATCAGGGAGTGCAGTTTTTTTAAAAGGATGAAGCAAAGAAAATGTATGGACTCTACAGTATCGACAGGTATTCAGAAATGCCACTTACCTGTAAGTATCTCTGGGGACACTACTTTTCTCTGTATTCTATCTACTCTGCAAGGGTGTGTTTCACCATCCACCACTCAGCTGAACCAGAAGGTAATACACTTTTCTTAAGCTAATGTCTCCTTAATTTATCATCCGATGATTGTCTCCCTATATCTTTGCTCTCTGCCCTGAATTGAAAGAGAAACTGAGTAGAATTCTGTACTGCACTTTAACAAGTTTGTGCTATAGTGGATTACCACAGCTATTAAAATATGAGACTATTTTTAGATCTAGAGTCCCTTGGTAAGTTTCTTTAACTTAAGGCTTTTTAGCATAACCTTGTACCATTGATACATTGCTACTTGAAAGTGTATCCAGAGGCTAATAAGCAAAGAGTTTAACTAATACAACAGCAAATAATACCAAAATAATCCCTCCTGAGTATACCTGTTGATGCAGAGGTCTTCCAAGTATTCGGGATTGTAATGTCAGCTAACACTTGGAACACACAGTAGCAGAATAACTCTATATTAACAAGGCAAATGAAATCACAGAAACACATGAATAAAGAATATTGCAATTAATAATTTGAAAAGTAGACCGATATAGTCAGTGTCTATTTTAAAATGCCATTTGGATATATACTTTTGTTTGAGAAATCAGCTTTCGAATATCAAAAATGTGTTGTCAAATGCTTTTCTTTAGGGTTTTGAATTCCTTGGCTGGTGAAATAGAAAAGCTATTAACACAATTCACATTTTTATAATCTATATGTGTCATTGATCACTCATATCCTCTTGCTCCTTCAGAAGTTCCCCTTAAACTTCAGTCTGCAATCAACTCCGTCCCTTTATCACCTTATCTGAAACAAACCCAAATGAAATCCCCGTGGGCCAAATCCCTCTCCGTACTTGCAGCAGACATTGTCCCCCAACCCGTCTTCTGCCCTGCTGGAAATACTTAAGAGTTGTTCTTTCAATGAATTCTTGATCCCTTGTGAATATTTCATACTAATTAGCCTTTTTCTTTTGACTGCATATATAAAACACAAATATATTTCCCTAGTCATGCAATTATATGGTATAAATGAAAAATTCAAAATACCATTAAGCCTTAAAGTCTTCGAGGAAATAAAAGTCACAAAACTAACCTGTATCAGAAGAAAAGAAAAATCAAATTTGCTCTAGATGTCTCCAGGCACTGTAGTAAAGAAACAGGTTCCAGAATGCTTGTCATCTATGGAGAATATGTGTTTCTTCTTTACTCTTTCCTATGCGAGGTGGCCCACTAAGGTGAGTTTTATGTGATGACTAATTTGCAAAAACTCCTTCCCAAGTCTCTTTCCTTCCCCTTTGGCTTTTTAAGGTGGGATTCAGAAAAAGAAACTGCCATGTTGTAAAATTTTTTTAAACAAAGTAATTGTGTTGATCTCATGAAGTCTAATCAAATCACAGGTATGAAGAAGCCTGGAAGGAACTCCATTAATACAGTGTACTGCTTGGGAATTGATCTATAGTGAAACTTGGAGAAATTTGGGGAAACATTTCAGTTCCTAGGATGGTAATGAATGTTCATGCATTTCAATTGATAAAGCATTATCACCGATGCTGGATAGGGAATGGGAGACAATGACCAAAAACATCCTCATGTAACTTTGTATATTTCTATTTCTTTATGGCTTGAGTCAAAGGCATTTGAAGAAATGCTATTCAGATCTTCAATATAACATTTCCTAGAATAATGAGATAGATTTTTATTTTTATAAAAAATGTTTGAAGATATTCTTTTCTTTTTTTTTTGCTAATTACATTAGCAAAAAAGAGTTTATATTAGCAAATATTAGTAAATATTCCATTTTCTTGTTAATCAGCAATTCTTTGAATACCAGTGAATCTAAACTCTATTCATATATTTTTAGTCCATTTATATTTCTTCTTTGGCAAATTTAATGAATATACTTTCTATATTTTTCTATCTTTTTTCTTTTAAGATTTAAAAATTATTATCAATAGAAACCATTTTTTCCTCACATATTTTTCCAAAATTTTCTCCCATTTGTTATTAGCTTTTAAAAATTGCAGATTTGTCTTTTATTTTATTTTATTTTCTATGAAGTAAAATGTAGTTTTCTGTATACTTATTGGCTATTGTGTCATGCTCATAGTCTTCCCTATCTCAAGATTATAAAATTATTCTTCTACGGTTGTTTTTTTTCTTATGGGTTTAGGTTTTTATTTAACTGTTTGTTATTTTCACAGTTTGATTGTGACATATGGTGTGAAGTAATACTCTAATGTGATTTTTTTTTTTTTTTTTTTTTTGGTGCTAGATCACCATGTGTCTCTGTCTATTATACAGATGAAGCCATCTTTCCCTACCATATTGAAAAAATGCCAACTTACAGTATTTTCAGTACTTATGTGCTTGGGCTGTATTGCGGATCTTTATCTTCTGCTCCACTAATGCTTCTTTATATTCAGATATCAAAACCACACTATTTAATTATTGTAGCTTTTAAGGATTGTCGAAATTTCCCTTGAATAGCCTCCAATTATTACTCTTCTTTTTCAATAGAGCCTGTTAAGATAATCTTTTGCTTGACTTTTCTATCAAATTTATTCTTATAGATGAAATTAGGAGTATTTTCACAGTTCCAAAAAATAAAATTTTATTAAATCCATCAATTAATTATGGGTTAATTACATCTTTATAACAAAGAACGACTCCATTTATTCACTTTTTTGGTATCTTATGGTGAAATTTTCTTCACATGGGCTCACAATTTTTGTTGTTAATTTCTAGTTACATATTTTATTATTATTGGCAATGTTATTTTTTCCACTATATTTTCCAAATTATTATTATTGGCATATTAGTTAGTTAATAGTTGTATATATTTTATTTACATATATGTTATATGGAAAACTATATAGTTATACTTTTAATAGTTCATACACAATGTAATTTCAGTCATTTGCTAAACCTTCATTCATTCTAAATATTTCATGGATTCTCATATCAGTCCAAGTAAAGAATCAAAGAACCAAAATGATAACATAATATAGCTTCTCCCTTTCTTATAAATATTCCAATATTTTTCTTCTCATTTACTGAGTTGTCTTGTATTTTCAGAACAATTTCCAATACAAGTGGTGACTGCAGTTGTTCTTTTGGTGTGTCATCCTTGAATATGATGCTGGCTCTTGTTTTGAGGAGCATATTCTATATCACATTAAAGAAATATTCTTATCTTTCTAGATAGCTTTGTATGCATGTATGCTTGTGTGTATGTGTGTGTGTAATCAGAAAATACTATTGATTTATTGACTGCATGCTTGAAATCTATTAAGATAATAATATGGTTTCCTCATTTCATATATTTCTGTGATGGATGATATTAGCAGATTTTCTATTTGAACTATATTTATATTTCTACATTAAAGCTTTCTTGGTGGTGATATGTATAAAGGTTGGATTCTATTTCTTAAAATTTTGTTTAGAGCTTTTACATTTAAAATTATAACTAAGATTATTGTACCTAAGATTGGTTTGCTGCTTAATTTTTTGCACCATGTCAAAGTTATGCTATCTTTGCTATCAGGTTTATGAAGAAGTTGCCCTATTTACTTTATACTCTGGACAATGTACATAATATGGTAATTATTCGTATATGGAAGGCTAACACCAATTTGCTAGGCAACCATGTGAGGACAGTTTTTTTTTCTTGGAGATAATTTTTATTTATTAAACACTTCATTTTATAGGCTTTATATGTTTATGCATGTCAATTTATTATTTTCTTTTGAAGATTATTCATTTATATGAGTTTGAAACATTTTAATCTAGCATTATATATTAAACTAATATTACATCGTAAATTTTTTATCTGTATCAAAAAGACAATCCCTTTGTTCTTTATTAATTTTGTATATTGTGCATTCTATTTTAGATTAATAGCAGAGCTAGTTCAACCAGTCCTCAGCAGCTTGCACCAGGAGATAAATCAATGCACTGCTTCAAGAAAGACTTACAAAAGCAAAAAGTTAGTGAACGTCGACAGTGTGTTTAGTGACTTAGTCAATTTACATTCTTGCATAAACTTCTTGTCTTACAGTATATAAATAACAATTAATTTGAGAATACAGGCTACACTGAGCTTAAGCCATATTAATAACCTAGAGTCTTGTTTATTTTACTTACTTTATGCTCGCTAAAGAATCAGCTCTTAGATTCATTTATCAAGCCTACAATTTTTGGTTTATAAATTCATTAATTTCTACTTTTATTTTTTATCCTTTCCTTAGGTTAGATTTCTTGTTTCTTGAGTTTTTATTCATATTATTTATTATCCTTTATTCTTTTTTTATGATTGTAAGTATTCCTCTAATTACTAATTTGGTCAAGTCTCATTGTAAGTTTTTAAGGTACAGTGTTCTCATGCTCATTATACTCTAAATTCCCTGTAGTTACAGTTAAGATTTTTCTCCTTTGGTTTGAATTACTTGCCAGCGTTTTCTTTCAAATTATGTCTTGTTTTATTTTGTTTTACTTTTGCTATTAATTTCTAATTATTCTTATGTAATTGTCAAAATTGCCTGAATAATTTTAATTTACTGATATTTATTGAGACTTTCTTTAAAGCATAACACATTATCAATTTTATATACATATATCATGAATTCTGGAAAAGAAGGTACTTTTTCTAGGGTATTAGTTTCAGTATATATTTATTTTCAGTGTTATTTAATTTTCTATTATCTGTTAAGAACTAAAATAGCTCTTGTGGTGTTAGGCTAATACTTTATTTCTATCAATATCTGTTTTAAATTTCAGTCAAATTTACCCTCATATATCTTGATTTTATTATTCAGTAGACAGTTCTGACTGACATATCTCCACTGTGGAGTAAAGTCTTTACTAACATAGAATGATTTGTAAATGATTAAACTTTTTTTGCCTATATTCTACTTTGCTTATTTTCTGAAATTTATTTTGTTTACATTCACTCATGTATTTTGCCCAAGCCTTTTATTGTACCTTTCCTGAGTCATTTTATTATAGTATATCTCCTGTAAACAATATATAGCTAGATTTTTTAAAAATATGTTTCCTTTAAATATTTCACAAGTTAAGAAAAAATAGGATCAATAATTCTTGATTGACTTTTGCAACTAGGCAAGATGAATTGGTTAGCACGATGACACTTCTCAATACCTTTCCCTCCAATCTCTTAGTATTTGTTGGTATTTGGGATTTTACACTTTTAAAAAATAAATTATATGTATTTTACATAATCGTCTCAAAATTATTGTTAATACCATTTGCATACTATTTGAGACTGGATTTAGAACAATTAAAATAAAAATATTTGAATTGTTTCACTGTTTACTATTATTTTATCTACATCTGAAGCATAATTAGTTGATATTGGTAGTAATTGATAGTTTAGTATTGTTTTATTATTAGTTTTAAGTTTAGTTTTAGTAAAAATAGCTTACTAAAGAGTACACTACTTAGTTTATTACTTACTAATACATAGTATTAGTGTACCAGAATTTTCTGTTTTTTATTCTTTATTTTGGCTGATATATACTTTAAAATCAGTTTTGTTTTCATTGAAGTAGCACCCATACTAAAATGCTAAAAATATACTTGTGTAGTACAATGGATTATCACAAAACAAATGTCCTTATAATTACTACCTAGGTTAAGGAATAAATTATTTTCAGATCTTAGAAGTTCCTTTCTTGCCCCTGGCAGGTACTACCCCCTTCTTTTGCTCCAACAGTGACCACATGTTAATCTCTATAACTATAGCCTAGTTTGACAGATTTTGAACTTTTAGCAAATGGAATTAAGTAGTATGTTTTATTTTATGTGTGGCTTCTTTCATTCAAAATTTATGTTTTGAGGTATAAAACTATAGGTAATTTGTTTTTACTGCTTCACAGTATTCCAATGTGTAAATATGCCACAATGTGTTATACATTCTACTGTTTGAGTTGCTTCCAGTTTGTAGCACCTATGATAAATGCTGCCATAAATATTATTTTATACGTCTCTGGGTACATGTGGGCAAGCATTCCTGATTAATATGCACCTCTATGTATATTTCTTTGTACTTTCTTGATTTATTTTGAACTGCAAAGATTTAAAATTTTTATTCAGTCTAATTTTTATTTTTATTTTTTATTTTACTGCTTATGTTACTAGTGGGTGTGCAGCTTCTTGGCATTTTGGACAAAGAATGGGACAACACACACAAACAAAGCAAAGGAAGAATGAAGCCACAAAAGCAGAGACATATTGAAAACAGAAGCACGCTCCAGAGGGTGGGAGTGGCCCAAGCAAGCAGCTCAAGGGCCCGGTTGCAGAATTTTCTGGGGTTTAATTACCCTCCAGAGGTTTCCATTGGTTACTTGCTGTATGCCATATGTAGATGAAGAGGCTAAAATGAAGTTACAAAGTCATTTACTTGGTGTATGCCCTGTGTAAAAGAAGAGGATATTTCCTGTCATAGCTGAAGTGTTTTTGTTTGATTTAGTTCTAGGAAGTCCTTAGGTTCTCTGCCTCCAGGCCCTATTCTCCTGCCTCATTTCCCCCTTGAAAGTAGTGATCCCCATAAATCTTTATGGGAGGCAGAGGCATAGATGGTCTTCTGTACTGCTTCATGCTGCCTTGGAGCATAGTCCCTACCTACTGGGGATCACAGAACCCTTGCCCTGCTTTGTCTAGTGGAGGCAGGGTAGCTCCTTGATAACCAGTGGTGGTGTCTTCACCTGGAGCTGGCCGGAACCCTTGTCGCATGATCATCTGAAGATTTATTGTCTCTAGGCAAGAGGAAATGAATTTGGTTACAAGATTTAATGGAAACTTCAGGAGATAGATACCTATGCTGTCAGGAATGTTTGTTATAGAGATTTGCAGGAGAAAAACAAAACTTGGTCTGTTCTAGGTTCTATGTGTTTCCTTAAAGTCTCAGCATAAGCGACTCCATTTTGGTTTGGTTTGGTCTGTTGGGGCCTAGTGCATGAGCTCAGTCCAAAACAATGGCCTCTCATAATTTTGTTTAAAAAAATTCTCCCTTTTTGGTCAGGTGCTCACTTAGGTGAGAGTGCAACCAAAACTTAGGGCCTTAGCTCCACTCTCAGTTATCATCATTTTGGGTTTCTGGTCTCAGCATGTCATTCATAGGTTACAGTGTTCTCATGGTCGCACATTTCTTTCAGCTCTTGTTATTCCAGTTGAATAGAGACCATTTGACATTCTAGAGATGGCTGCATGCAAACATTTAAAACCTTTGAGAGAATACAGCATGCCAGGGAGCCTATTATTATTACTATCAGGATGAGTGTTCCCATAAACCAAAATACCTAAAATCAAATAGATCAAAGGGTGACCTAGATAAAGAGTGTACTCACTTAACTAAAGAGTCTCCGCATTAATCCCCTACAACTGAATTTCTATAATCTTCATTTGATATATTTATCTGTAGGCCACAAGTGCCAGCAGTTGTACAAATACTTCTCTGTTCAGCCAATTCTATCATAACTTTCACAAAATAATTTAAAGTCTGTTGTGTAACTATAGCCTTTATAGTAGAATCTGGTATACAGCCTATCATGAGGGACACATTTCTAATAATTACTTCTTTTTCTCCAAACTGTGGAGCATATACACAGACATATTAGAATTTTAGAAATCCCATACAATTTTGGAACATATATTAATATCATTCACTAAAATATAACCTGAAGATAATTAAATATTATTTTTTATTTTGACAGTACTTCCCATGTAACTAAACATGTCAAATAATCCTATTTACCTCTCTTTTCAATGCTTCAGGGGCCCTCTGTAGCACTGCAAAGTTAGAGATCAGAAAAGTCTATTTTAAAGCTGAAATTTGATTGTGGGAAGCCTATTAAATATGTTAAAGATTTACAAGAATTTACATTCCCATGACTTCTTATAATCTTTTACCAATCATTCAACTGGTTTGCTCAGAGAGAGAGGGGCCAGAAGTCCGACTGGTAAGAATTCTTACCCTATTGCCGGCATGTCAGGTTTCTGGGTTCCTGTCCCTTAGCAGCCCTTGCAACTCTGCTCAACTGTATGCAAACAAACACATTGCCATGAATTAAGAATATTCACAAATAGTTTACAAATTTTGGAGAAATTAGGTAGAGAGAGAAATATGACTCAAATTCTTTTTATGAAAGTATACTCAACACATGTAAAGTATCAGGAATCCTAATTTCCAAAAATTTAGCTTAAGGTTAGAAAGTTGATGTGCTCCATCAATTTCTGCAGGCCTGACAAAAGTAGTCTAGGAATTCAAGATAAATGAAACAAATAGTGACTTGCTAGATATGCATAGGAAACAAAATGGCTATTAATAGAACTAAATAAAAGCCTTCCACTGGAAACTAAAAAAAATTAGGGCTTTATATATATGCATATGTAAGCAAAACTCAGGATAGTAAACAGCAAACAAATGAAAATTAGAAGCACAGACAAACAGGAAACCAACCCTAAATTTTTTCTACTCAATCTATCCTGGAGGCTACAGTGTAACCCAGGGCCCCACAAAACACACATAATGAATATTTTATTCCTGATACACAATTCAATATCCTTAAGTCAACCAATATCACCATACATCCTGTGCAATCAAGAAATTCACTCTAGGCATATGCCCAATAAGTACTCCAGTGCCAGCACTATCCACGCAAAATAGTAAACATAGTGTAAAGCAACGCAAGTATGTATGTGAAATTTGGCTCCACACTAAATCAGGTTTCATGTTTAACTATATTTAAAAAATAATTTCCAAACTGCCAACAATATTTCTTATTTTGCTTTAATCAAAACTAAGAACTTTATGAAAATGTTAATTAGCCAAATGTCTCCAATTCTCTATCGGGTTTTAAATAATATTTTATTATTTAAACTTTTTTTTTCACATGTTTCTCCCCTCCTTACTGGTTCCTTACTACATTGTTTCATAAACAACCTTTGTAAATTTGTAATTTGAACTAACTTTTAGATAACTTCTGAATTAGACAAAATTATTCTTTTTTTTTCACAAATAAAAGAATGCTTTCTGGCACATTTTGTCTACAGAATTATGTGTTAACTAGAATTCTTATTCTTAGTAACCTAAAACTTTAGTGAAACCCAAAAAGCAAGAAATCTTGAACTCTCAGATATGAACATTTATAGATAAGAATAATTCCAAAATTTCAGAAATGCATTTCCCCATATCACAACCCTTTCTGAATTGGAAATGACCCAGATATTCCATGGGCATCAAAAATAATTTTAGGATTTTAATTTACACAAAAAGTTTACCGAAAACATTTATCCCATTTACACGTACTCAGTTCTTTCATTTTTGTAACAGTTTATGTAGATTACTTCTGTAAACTGAGACATTAGACACTACCGTTTAAAGTTAGTCATTTCCTTGTTAACCATGTTTTTGTTTTTGTTTTTTTTTGAGACGGAGTCTCACTCTGTTGCCCAGGCTGGAGTGCAGTGGTGCGATCTTGGCTCACTGCAAGCTCCACCTCCCAGGTTCATGCCATTCTCCTGCCTCAGCTTCCAGAGTAGCTGGGACTACAGGCGCCCGCCACCCACCACGCCCAGCTATTTTTTTGTATTTTTAGTAGAGACGCAGGTTCACCGTGTTAGCCAGGATGGTCTCGATCTCCTGACCTTATGATCCGCCCACCTCGGCCTCCCAAAGTGCTGAGATTACAGGCATGAGCCACTGTGCCCAGCTGTTAACCATGTTTTTAATAGCCAGTGAACATTAGGTACTCCCCTCAACCTAAGTAAGAGTCTCAATGTTAAATACATAGGTAATTTTGCCAATAACTCGGACGATTTAGCTAATATTAAATTACTCTCGTTTGTCAAAAAAAGGCATGCAAACCAAGATCATTTTGTTTTGGCTGGGTTTTTAGTTTTATAACTTTCTATGCCAAACCCTGATGCCTCAAAATATCTAGCAGAGATAAATATAAATTCCAGACAAAAATGTATGCTGGCAATTCTGAAGGCATTTCTATTTTTATTTTACAAATAATTTTAAAACCAGCTTGTTTAGTAAAGCTAAACTTGTCACATGAACTTGAAAATTGCTTAGAATTATTTACTTAATTTATGAGCACTCCTTTACTTGTAAGCCAATTTGGTAGACACAACATATAACAACAAGTGTACATAACAAATAAACTTATCTAGACATGTATACACTCACAGGCACATGAAGATCCAATGGCTTTTATGCTGAAACCATAGTCATGAGCTAGCAATACATGCTCACCTGTTTTACTTTGTTTGCCCCAATAGATAATCCAATGAAGGCTGTGAACCAAAATTTCAGGTAAAGCTGTTTTCATGGCAGTTTGATTTTTAAAGGCAAACCCTCCCCAGATTCCATAGAATACTGGGGCCAAACAGCACCAAAGGAGAACATCACATATGAACCAGGCCTGACCCTGCTTAAAACAGCAACACCAAAGCCTGGATACATGCAACTTCATCTCACTTTCCCATTTAACAGCAAACTCTAGATTCCAAACAGTATTGGGGCCAAACCATATTGCAACTGTGAGAGAAAATTCTAAGGAGGGCTTAGTAGTAGGCCTTAGAACCTCTGCTGAAGTGCCCCCATTGGAGATGTTAAGGTCCAGAGGATCCCCTGGGGCATCCCCCAATGGAATCCAATCTTAGAGTGTCAGACATCTGGGACTTTAGGGGGCATTGGTGCCACTTTGCATGTTTTCCCTCCAGAGGTGACGACCTACTATGAGCTTCCCTTTTGTCCCTAGATGAAGGCTTCAACTTCCAGCACCCTTATAATTTGATTAGGCCATGCTTTTCCATGCTTCCCATTCCACTAGATAGCAACTGGAGGCTGGGTGGGTTTCTTTTGTCCTTAGCCAGTTGGATGGGGTAAGGGAATAATTTAGCATAAGAAAAGAAGGTTCAAGTTGCCTGAAACACCTGGGGGTTCACCCTGGAGGAACTGCGCCACACATAGGTATTAGGGACTGCAACTGGAATAGATAGAAAAGAGACCTTCCCCCTTTCAGGTGGGGCAACTATCCCCATTCAGGCAACACTAAAGAGTGGCCCTGGCCAGAAACCTGAAGTTGCTTCAGTGTTTAGGTAATGTCTACCAAGGGTCCTGAGTTGGTAAGGAAAAGAGAGAGAGAGAGAGAGAGAGAGAGAGAGAGAGAGAGATTGATTCCCCCATGTGGAGCAGAAAGAAAAAGGAAAGAAATAAACCCCAAACTTTGGGCTTACCTCCTGGCTGGCTTGCCAAAATATGTTACCAGTGGAAGTTGTGCAGTTTTCTTGGGGTTTTGAACAAAGAATTGGACAAAATGCACAAATAAAGCAAAGAAAGCATGAAGCAACAAAAGCAGAGATTTACTGAAAACAGAAGCACACTGCACAGGGTGGGAGCAGGCCCAAGCAAGAAGCTTAAGCGTCCAGTTACAGAATTTTCTGAGGTTTAAATACCTTCTGGAGGTTTCCACTGGTTCCTTGGTGTATGCCCTATGTAAATGAAGAGGCTAAAGTGAAGTTACAAAGTCATTTACTAGATGTACACCCTATGTAAATAAAGAGGATGAAGTAAATTTACAAAGTCATTTACTCAGTGTATGCCCTATGTAAATGAAGAAGATAATTCCTGTCATTGCTGAAGTGTTTCCATTTGATTTAATTCTAGGAAGTCCTTAGGTTTCCTGACTCCAGGCCCTGTTCTCTTGCCTCGTTTATATGGTTGCTGTCATATCTAAGAAATGATTGCCCAACCCAAGACATGAAGATTTACTCCTACTGGTATGGCTGCTATAATTTCTTTTTTATCCCATTGGCTATTTGGGAGTATGTAGGGTTTCCCAGGCAAGATGGCCAAATAGGAACAGCTCCAGTCTGCAGCTCCCAGCAAGCACCTGGGAAGCACAAGGGTTGGGGCACTCCCTCCCCTAACCAAGGAAAGCTGGGAGGGGCTGTGCCATGAGGGACAGTGCTATCTGGGCCAGATACTACACTTTTCCCATGGTATTCACAACCGGCAGACCAGGAGATTCCCTCCGGTGCCTACACCACCAGGACCCTGGGTTTCAAGCACAAAACCGGGCGGCCATTTGGCCAGACACTGAGCTAGCTGCAGGAGTTTTTTTCATGCCCCAGTGGCACCTGGTACCCCAGTAAGATAGAACTCTTCACTCCCCTGGAAAAAGGGCTGAAGCCAGGGAGCCAAATGGATTTGCTCAGCAGATCCCACCCTCACAGAGCCCAACAAGCTAAGATCTACTGGCTTGAAATTCTCACTGCCAGCACAGCAGTCTGAAGTCAACCTGGGATGCTCGAGCTTGGTGTGGGGAGGGGCGTCCACCATTACTGAGGCTCGAGTAGGTGGTTTTCCCCTCACAGTGTAAACAAAGCCACCAGGAAGTTCGGACTGGGTAAGACCCACCACAGTGCTGCAAAGCTGCTGTAGCCAGACTGCCTCTCTAGATTCCTCCTCACTGGGCAGGGCATCTCTGAAAGAAAGGCAGCAGCCCAAGTCAGGGGCTTTTAGATAAAACTCCCATCTCCCTGGGTCAGAGCACCTGGGGGAAGGGGCAGCTGTGGGTGCAGCTTCAGCAGACTTAAACATTCCTGCCTGCCAGCTCTGAAGAGAGCAGCAAATCTTCCAGCACAGTGCTCGAGCTCTGCTAAAGGCAGAATGCCTACTCTCCTCTCCAGGAGACACCTCCCAGGAGGGATCAACAGACACCGAATACAGGAGAGCTCCTGCTGGCATCTGGCAGGTGCTGCTCTGGGATGAAGCTTCCAGAGGAAGGATCAGGCAGCAATCTTTGCTGATCTGCAGCCTCCACTAGTGGTAACCAGGTAAACAGGGTCTGGAATAGACCTGCATCAAACTCCAGCAGACCTGCAGCAGAGGGGGTTGACTGTTAGAAGGAAAACTAACAAACAGAAAACAATAGCATAAACATCAACAAAAAGGACACCCATGAAAAAATCCTATCTGAAGGCCACCAATATCAAAGACCAAAGGTAGATAAATCCATGAAGATGAGGAAAAAGTAGCACAAAAAGGCTGAAAGTTCCAAAAACCAGAATGCCTCTTCTCCTCCAAAGAATCACAAGTTATAGCCAGCAAGGGAACAAAACTGGACAGAGAATGAGTTTGACAAAATGACAGAAGTAGGCTTCAGAAGGTGGGTAATAACAAACTCTTCTGAGCTAAAGGAGCAGGTTCTAACCCAGTGCAAGGAAGCTAAGAACCTTGATAAAAGGTTACAGGAACTGCTAACTATAATAACCAGTTTAGAGAAGAACATAAATGACCAGATGAAGCTGAAAAACACAGCATGAGTACTTTGTGAAGCATACACAAGTATCAACAGCTGAATCGATCAAGTGGAAGAAAGGATATCAGAGATTGAAGATCAACTTAATGAAATAAAGTGTGAAGACAAGATTAGAGAAAAAAGAATGAAAAGGAACAAACAAAACCTCCAAGAAATATGGGACTATGTGAAAAAAACAAATCTCATTTCATTGGTGTACCTGAAAGTGATGGGAAGAATGGAACCAAGTTGGAAAACACACTTCAGGATATTATCCAGGAGAACTTCCCCAACCTAGCAAGACAGGCCAACATTCCAATTCAGGAAATACAGAGAACACCACAAATATATTCCTTGAGAAGAGCAACCCCAAGACACATAATCATCAGACTCACCAAGGTTAAAATGAAGAAAAAATTGTTAGGGGGAGCCAGAGAGAAAGGTCAGGTTACCCAGAAAGGGAAGCCCATGAGACTAACAGCAGATCTCTCTGCAGAACCCTACAAACCAGAAAAGAGTAAGGGGCAATATTCAACACTCTTAAAGAAAAGAATTTCAACCCAGAACTTCCTATCCAGCCAAACTAAACTTCATAAGCAAAGAAGAAATAAAATTGTTTACAGACAAGCAAATGCTAAGAGATTTTCTCACCATCAGGCCTGCCTTTACAAGAGCTCCTGAAGGAAGCACTAAATATGGAAAGAAAAAACCAGTACCAGCCACTGCAAAAACAAACCAAAATGTAAAAGACCATCAATACTAGGAAGAAACCACATCAACTAATGGGCAAAATAACCAGCTAGCATTATAATGACAGGATCAAATTCACACATACCAATATTAACCTTAAATGTAAATGGCTAAATGCCCCAATTAAAAGCACTGACTGGCAAATTGGATAAAGAGTCAAGACTCATTGGTGTGCTGTATTCAAGAGACCCATCTCACGTTCAAAGACACACATAGGCTCAAAATAAAGGGATGGAGGAAGATTTACCAAACAGATGGAAGGAAAAAAAAAGTAGAGGCTGCAATCTTAGTTTCTGATAAAACAGACTTCAAACCAATGAAGATCAAAAAAGACAAAGAAGAGCATCACATAATGGTAAAGGGATCAATGCAACAAGAAGAGCTAAATATCCTAAATATGTATGGACCCAATATAGGAGCACCTGGATTCATAAAGCAAGTTCTTAGAGACCTACAAAGAGACTTAGACTCCCACACAATAATAGTAGGAGACTTTAAACCCCACTGCCAATATTAGAAAGATCAATGAGACAGAAAATTAACAAGGATATTCAGGACTTGAACTCAGCTCTGGACCAAGCAGACCTAATAGACATCTACAGAACTCTCCACCCATATCAATAGAATATACATTCTTCTCAGCACCACATCACACTTATTCTAAAATTGACCACATAATTTGAAGTAAAACACTCTTCAGCAAATGTTAAGGAATGGAAATCATAACAAACAGTCTCTCAGACCACGGTTCAATCAAATCAGAACTTAAGATTAAGAAACTCACTGAAAACTGCACAACCACATGGAAACAAAGCAACCTGCTCCTGAATGACTACTGGGTAAATAACGAAATTAAGGCAGAAATAAATAAGTTATGTGAAATCAATGAGAACAAAGACACAACATACTAGAATCTCTGGGACACAGCTAAAGCAGTGTTTAGAGGGAAATTTATAGCACTAAATGCTCACAGGAGAAAGCAGGAATTATCTAAAATCAACATCCTAACATCACAATTAAAAGAACTAGAGAAGCAAGAGCAACCAAATTCAAAAGATAGCAGAAGACAAGAAATAACTAAGATCAGAGCAAAACTGAAGGAGATAGAGACAGAAAAACCCCCTTGAAAATACCAATGAATCCAAGAGCTGGTTTTTTGAAAAGATTAACAAAATAGATAGACTGCTAGCCAGACTAATAAAGAAGAAAAGAGAGTAGAATAAAATAGACACAATAAAAAATGATATAGGGGGCCAGGTGTGGTGGTTCATGACTGTAATCCCAGCACTTTGGGAGGCCGAGGCGGGTGGATCACGAGGTCAGGAGATCGAGACCATCCTGGCTAACATGGTGAAACCCCATCTCTACTAAAAATACAAAAAATTAGCCAGATGTTTTGGCGGGTGCCTGTAGTCCCAGCTACTCGGGAAGCTGAGGCAGGAGAATGGCGTGAACCCGGGAGGTGGAGCTTGCAGTGAGCCGAGATCACGCTACTGCACTCCAGCCTAGGCAACAGAGCGAGACTCCATCTCAAAAAAAAAAAAAAATGATAAAGGGGATATCACCACTGATCCCACAGAATACAAACTACCATCAGATAATCCTATAAACACGTCTGTGCAAATAATGTAAAGTAGAAAATCAGAAGAAATGGATAAATTCCAGGACATATACACCCTCCCAAGACTACACCAGGAAGAAGTCGAGTCCCTGAGTAGACCAATAACAAGTTTGAAATTGAGGCAGTAATTAATAGCCTACCAACCAAAAAAAAAAAAAAGTCCAGGACCAGACAGATTGACAGCCAAATTCTACCAGAGATACAAAGAGGAGCGGGTACCATTCCATCTAAAACTATTCCAAACAATAGAAAAAGAGGGAATCCTCCCTAACTCATTTTATGAGGCCAGCATCATCCTGTTGCGGAAATCTGGCAGAGACACAACAAAAAAAGAAAATTTCAGGCCAATATTCCTGATGAACATCGATGAGAAAATCCTCAATAAAATACTGGTAAACCAAATCCAGTTCACATTAAAAAGCTTATCCACCACGATCAAGTCGGCTTCATACCTGGGATGCAAGGCTGGTTCTACATACGCAAATCAATAAATGTAATCCATTACATAAACAGAACCAATGACAAAAACCACATGATTATCTCAATAGATGCAGAAAAGGCCTTCGATAAAATTCAACACCCCTTCATGCTAAAAACACTCAATAAACTAGGTATTGATGGAACATATCACAAAATAATAAGAGCTATTTATGACAAACCCACAGCAAATATCATACAGAATGGGCAAAAGCTGGAAGCATTCCCTTTGAAAATCAGCACAAGACAAGGATGCCCTCTCTCACCACTCCTATTCAACATGGTATGGGAAGTTCTGGCCAGAGCAATTAGGTAAGAGAAAGAAATAAAGAGTATTCAAATAGGAAGAGAGGAAGTCAAATTATCTCTGTTTGCAGATGACATGATTGTATATTTAGAAAATCCCATTTTCTCAGCCCCAAAACTCCTTAAGCTGATAAGCAACTTCAGCAAAGTCTCAGGATACCAAATCAATGTGCAAAAATCACAGGCATTCCTATACACCAATAATAGACAAACACAGAGCCAAATCATGGGTGAACTCCCATTCACAATTGCTACAAAGAGAATAAAATACCTAGGAATACAACTTACAAGGGATGTGAAGGACCTCTTCAAGGTGAACTACAAACCACTGCTCAAATAAATAACAGAAGATGCAAACAAATGGAAAAACATTCCATGCTTATGGATAGGAAGTATCAATATCAGGAAAATATCCATACTGTCCAAAGTAATTTATAAATTCAATGCTATCCCCATCAAGCTACCATTGAATTTCTTCACAGAATTAGAAAAAACTACTCTAAATTTCATATGGAACCAAAAAAGAGCCCATATAGCCAAGACAATCCTAAGCAAAAAGAACAAAGCTGGAGGCATCATGCTACCTGACTTCAAACTATACCACAAGGCTACAGTAACCAAAACAGCATGGTACTGGTACCAAAACAGATATATAGACCAATGGAACAGAACAGAGGCCTCAGAAATAATGCTACACATCTACCACCATCTGATCTTTGACAAACCTGACAATAACAAGCAATGGGAAAAGGATTCCCCATTTAATAAATAGTGTTGGGAAAACTGGCTAACCGTATGCAGAAAACTGAAACTGGACTCTTTCCCTTACACTTTACACAAAAATTAACTCAAGAAAGATTAAAGATTGAAACATAAGAGCTAAAACCATAAAAACCCTAGAAGAAAACCTAGGCAATACCATTCAGGACATAGGCATGGGCAAAGACTTCATGAGTAAAACACCAAAAGCAATGGCAACAAAAGCCATAATAGACAAATGGGATCTGATTAAACTAAAGAGCTTCTGCTCAGCAAAAGAAACTATCATCAGAATGAACAGACAACCTACAGAATGGGAGAAAATTTTTGCAATCTATCTATCTGACGAAGGGCTAATATCCAGAATCTACAAGGAACTTAAACAAATTAACAGGAAAAAAACAAACAACCCCACTAAAAATTGGGGGAAGGAAATGAACAGACACTTCTCAAAAGAGGACATCTATGCAGCCAACAAACATATGAAAAAAAGCTCATCATCACTGGTCATTAGAGAAATGCAAATCAAAACCACAATGAGATACCATCTCGCATCAGTTAGAATGGCGATCATTAAAAAGTCAGGAAACAACAGATGCTGGAGAGGATGTGGAGAAATAGGAACACTTTTACACTGTTGGTGCGAGGGTAAGTTAGTTCAACCATTGTGGAGACAGTGTGGTGATTCCTCAAGGATCTAGAACCAGAAATACCACTTGACCCAGCAGTCCCATTACTGGGTATATACCGAAATGATTATAAGTTATTCTACTATCTTTATAGTAGAATAAACACATGCACACATATGTTTATTTCAGCACTATTCACAACAGCAAAGATGTGGAACCAACCCAAATGCCCATCAATGATAGACTGAATAATGAAAATGTAGCACATATATACCATGGAATACTATGCAGCCATAAAAAAGAATGAATTCATATCCTTTGCAGGAACATGGATGAAGCTGGAAACCATCATTCTCAGCAAATTAACACAGGAACAGAAAAATCAAACACTGCATGTTCTCACTCATAAGTAGGAGTTGAAAAATGAGAACATATGGGCACAGGGAGGGGAACATCACACACTGGGGCCTGTCACAGGATGTGGGACAAGGGGAGGGGTAGAATTAGGAGAAATCTAATGTAGATCACAGGTTGATGGGTGCAGCAAACCACCATGGCACATGTATACCTGTGTAACAAACCTACACTTTCTGCACATGTATCCCAGAACTTAAAGTATAATAATAAAAAATGATAATAATAATAAAGCATATTAAATCACATAAAAAAGAAATTTTGGTGTGTGTGTATATATATATATATCACTATGTATATATGCCACAATTCATATATATGTACACCACAATTTATACACACACACACATACACACACACACACACACACACACACACACACCATGGAATACTATTCAGCCATAAAAAGGAATGAAATAACAGCATTCACAGCAACCCGGATGGAATTGGAGACCATTATTCTAAGTGATGTAACTCATGAATGGAAAACCAAACATCACCTATTCTCACATATAAGTGGTAGCTAAGCTATAAGGATGCAAAGGCATAAAAATGATACAATGGACTTTGGGGACTCGGGGGAAAGGGTGGAAAGTGGGTGACAGGTAAAAGACTACAAATTGGATACAGTGTATACTGCTGGGGTGATGTGTGCACCGAAATCTCACACATCACCACTAAAAAACTTACTCATGTAACCAAACATCACCTGTTCCCCCAAAAAGTTATAGAAATCTACATTAAATATTTTTTAAATGAAAGAACAAAGGAGTATGTAGTTTAATGTCCATGTGTTTGAAAATTTTCCACATTTCTGTTTGTTGTTGATTTCTAATTTAATTCTGTTGTAGTTTGAGAACATCCTTTGTATGATTTTAATTATTTTACATTTGTCAATACTTATATTATGGCCCAGCATACAATCTATACCAGAGAATATTCTTTATGTGCCTGAGTAGATTACATATTCTTCTGTTGTTGTGGCATGTTCTACAGATATCAGCTGTATTCAGTTTATTAATACTGTTGTTGAAGTCTTATATATCCTTGCTGATTTACTTTCTAGTTGATTCATCCACTATTGAGAGTTGTATTTGTCTCCAACTACTACTGTTGAATTTTCCATTTCTCCCTTCAATTCTGTCAGTTTTTGTTTAATGTATTTTGAGGTTTTGCTTTTAGATACATATGTTTTTAATTGTTATATCTTCCTGATAAATGTATGCTTTTATCATTGTAAAATGTTGCTCTGTCTGTAGTAACATTTTTGTCTTAAATTCTGTTTTGTCTGATAGTAGCTCTCAAGTGCTCACTAGAGTTTCTCTCTCTTAGTTGTTTTGAGGTGCAGCCTAGTACATGCACACAGCCTTCCAGATCCCCTGGAAATGAATGTGATCTTAGCAGGGCCAATTTTGACTGTCTTTTTCTCTGATTCTCTCTCTTAACTTCTGCATGGTCTGCCACTTCATTTTTTCTACTAGTTTCATGGAGCTGTTAGCCTTATCTTAAATGCTCTATGAATTCCTCCACAGTCTGTTCCTAATGAGAACAGCTCACTGAGCAGAGCCGTGGAGCTGCCTGTCCTTCTGTATTATCCCCTGTACTGGGCTGAAGCTCTATGGCATTGCACTGGAGGTGGGTAAGGTGGTGGCTTGTTTCTCCCAGAATACACCACTATACTACAAGTTGAAGCTATGGGGGAATGGTATTCCTATTTTCTTGGGCTGCTCATCCTGGCCTGAAACCTCTGCTCTAAGGGCAGAAGCTGGGAAGGGGAAGATGGGGGCCTTCTTATTCTTGGTTTGCTGCTCCTGGAGTAGAGCCTCCATCCTACAAGTGAAAGCTAAGTAGAGGAAAAGAGTCCCAGTTTTATTACCACTGCCACAATAAAGAGCTGGGGACTGGGGCTGGGGTTGGGAATGAGGCAGGGGGTGCTATAGAGGGTTAAAGAAATGGGAGATATCACTGTCCTGTCCCTCCTGAGGTGAAACCACAGCCATACAGCTGAGAGCTAGAGGGAAAAGGAGATGTGTTATACCCACTCAGAGTAGAGTTTCCAGCGCAGAGCTGGGAGTAGGGTAGAAACAGGTTTTAGCTCAAATAACTTGGAATTCTGCTGTTCTTACCAAGATTTAGTAAGTTTTCTTGAATACATACTTATAGATTTTCTGTATAAACAAGTCAATTTTGAGATACTTTAAATAGTGGTGTTTTATAATTTTCCCTAGTTAAATTGTTTCACTGGGGAGAGGATTTGCTGAGCTTTTCACATAGCCATTCTGAAAGTCCCACCCAACTGCTTCAGCAATTTTATTCTGTATGCATAGGTTTTCTTTAGCTCAGAACATTTTATTATATTATGTTAGTGGCAATCATTTATGTTCTATTTCTTTTGTTCTCTTATTCTAACATTCTCATGATATGTGTATTAAATATATGTGATTTTTTTATTTCTTATAGATTCTATTCTGACTTAAAAATAACTCTAGTTCCTCAAAATTACATGACAATTTTTTAAATATGAATTCAGTCTCACTAATTGAATTTTCTGTAGTGTATAATCTGTTGTTTACTGCTTCCATTGCTATTTTAAATTGTGACCATAAATTTATTGGTTCAATTCTCCTTAATTTTACATATTTTTCTCTTCATTACTATTTGCTATAGATTCATAGATATTATGTTCTTTTCCATTGTTCTTGTTTTTAAAAATTATACTTTAAGTCAATTAACCATAAATTCTTTAATTTCTTGATTAACCAAAAAATCATAACGAGGATGTTATTTCTGTTGTTAAAATTTTTGGTAGCTTTTCCTAAATCTGGTGATTTTTCTGGATTTATCCACTCATGGAGGTGTATGCTTGCTTATTGAGCTAGCATACAGACTAAGTTGCTTTGACAAGGTGTACGCTTATTTATACCTCATTTAAAAAATCCACAGGCAATTCAGGAAAGATAGGGTAGCTCTATCATCTCCAATACATGGTTTTCATATCTGGTCCCAGGGTTGCTGTTTCCATTGTCACCATTTTGATCATATTGCAGCCATGTGAAAGTGGGTATGAGGCAAATATGTGACAGAAAATTGGCACCTATCCATTTTGCTCAAAAATCACTGGCCAGAAATTGGTTATATGTCCACACCTAACTGCAAGAGACATTAGAACTTGTAGTCTTCAGTTAGTCAGCCACATGCCTGGCAACAAATCAGAATTTCTTTTCTTTTTTTTTTGGAGACAGAGTCTTGCTCTGTCACCCAAGCTGGAGTACAGTGGCACAATCTTGGCTCACTGCAACCTCCGCCTCCTGGGTTCAAGCAATTCTCATGCCTCAGCCTCCCAAGTAGCTCAGATTACAGGCATGTGCCACCACGTCTTGCTAATTTTTTATTTTTAGTAGAGATGGGGTTTTGCCATGTTGGCCAGGATGGTTTTGAACTCCTGGCCTCAATGATCCACCCACCTCAGCCTCCCAAAGTTTTGGGATTACAGGCGTGAGCCACCGCACCTGGCCACAAATCAGAATTTCTATTATCAAAGGAAGTTTTATATTAGTTGAGAAATGACTGTTTCTGACATAGTCAACCTCTCTGGTCACCATGAAAATGCATGGTGGCAACCATGAAAATGCTCCATTTACATATTGTTCGTTGAGGAAATTGACAACCCCAGCTACCATTGTTCTGGATCTACTGTGTTCATGCCAATGCCAATGAGTAACCACAGCAGGGATATTAGTGCAAGTTTATTTCTGCAGGGTGCAGGACTTCTCCAATGGGTGACTCCTCCAGAACTCACCATTGGCCCTGGCTGAAACTTTCATAGAAGTGATTTTTGGTCTGAGACTCTTCCTACACAAACCTTTCTTCTTCCTCTACTTTCACAGGTGTCATAAATGTATTTTGGTCTGAAAGCTCTTCTCTTCTACTTCTGCTGGCTCCTCCTATTCTTCACAGATATTCCTCCAATAAAAATCTTGCATGTCTAATCCTATCTTGACATATGTTCTTTGAAGAACCCAAATTAACACACCACTCAAATATTCAAACCTTTCTTTCTCTAAGAAAAGTAACCAAAGATCATTCAATTCCTGCATTCAACTCAAAATTCTGGTGATCTTCCTGATGCACAGTCTTTGTAGTAAAGTGTGGATATGTGTTCACCAAATAAGTTATCTTTTAGTTATTACTCATAACTAAAAGATGAGTTACATGCTTGCATGCAAGTAAAATGCCTATGTGTCTTAAATATAATTTATAGAAGGTCATTTGTTTAGACTGAGTACTGCACAAAGCCCATCTATCTAAATGAAAATGGAGTCACTCATGCTGAAGATCTGTGTCACAAAGTTGAAACTGAATTGTTTGGCCTTCCAAGAAACTAGGAGAGTGAGAGATGATAGTCTGTAAAAAGAAAATAAATTTGGGGGCCCCAAAATCACTAAGCTAAAGGGGAAAGTCAAGCTGGGAACTGCTTGGGGCAAACCTACCTCCCATTCTATTCAAAGTCATTCCTCTGCTCACTGAGATAAATGCATATCTGATTGCCTCCTTTGAAAAGGCTAATCGGAAACTGAAAAGAATACAACCATTTGTCTCTAGACTACCTGTGACCTGGAAGCCCCCTCAATGATTAAGTTGTCCTGCCTTTCCAGACAGAACCAATGTACATCGTATATGTATTGATTGATGTCTCACGTCTCCCTAAAGTGTATAAAACCAAACTGTGCCCCGGCCACGTTGGGCACCTGTCATTAGGACTTCCTGAGGCTGTGTCACAGGTGTGCATCCTCAACCTTGGCAAAATAAGCTTTCTAAATTAACTGAGACCTGTCTCAGATTTTGGGGGTTCACATTTTGGTAACTACAGAGGGGTTCTGAGTGAAGGTGCCCTGATCTTTGAAAAATCTCCTATCGGTGCTAGGCACCAGCTTGAGCTATCTTTATAGCTCAAACCAACAGGACAACTTACAGAGGCCTGGAAGCACTCCCTCCAAAGAATCTCTGATATCCCCAAATTTGGCTAAGATCTAAAGTTCATTTTGCTGTACAACTCCATTTTTTGTAGTTTTACTTGCCTCCAACACAAGGAAGGCAAGTTTTTCCTGCTCCCAAGATGATGGAAGGCAGGTAACTCCTTTATGGAGTTTGAGCTTGCTTCCAACAGGGAAGATGAATTTGAGTTTTTTTCCTGCTTCTAGGATGGTATAAAGCAGTCTTCAGCCTGAGACCCATCCCTGGGTAACTGAATCGTGGTGAAAGTTAAGATTAACAACCAGCTGGGCTTAATTTCTCCTTACCATTACAGCACTCAGTAATGGTATAAGTTGGGCCATTGTTTGTTTTCCTTAACTGTTTTGTTGTTGTTGTCTGTTTCTGTTTTTGTTGTTGTTTCAGTCTTTTTCCCACTGGGCTTGATCAACTGTATCCAACTTGATCAAATCCAAAGGAAAGTTCCAAATTATGGGGAACAAGGCCTCTGAAGTGACTAAATTCCCACATAAACACAAAAAGGTGGTGTGGTGGGTAGAGAAAAATGGCCAGCAAAAAAATAAATAAATAAATAAATAAATAAATAAATAAATAAATAAATAAAGGAAAGCCTTCTGATTTTGGCTACTTAAGGGATTTTATTTACATAACAAGGCCACCTTTTTGCTATCCATGCCAAATTGAAAGAGCAATGGCTGTCACCCCACATTGCAGTTTCATAGCTAAGGGTTTTGCCTTTTTTTTTCCACCAGAAAAAACTGGGTTTGGATCCTAAATGAAGCCCTTTCTGATTTGATACTTGGTACTTCTGAAATAGCAGCAATCTGTACTAGCTGAAATATGGTAATGAGATTTGGAAAGATTTTTTAAAAGGAAATCAACAGTTAAAAGTCATCTTAATTAAAGCTAATGTCCAAGATGTGTGTGTGTGTGTGTGTGCATGTGTGTGTGTATTTAAAAAGCTTTCATGTTTTTGTTTTTGTTTTTTTCTCCTAAGACCTTGTCTTTTTTTTTTTTTTTGAGCAAAAGGTTTTTTCTTGTCAGTTGACTGAATTCTGTTTTCTTCATTTATGTCTGCTTTCTCTCCTTTCT
This sequence comes from Homo sapiens, assembly GCF_000001405.40. Taxonomy (NCBI): domain Eukaryota; kingdom Metazoa; phylum Chordata; class Mammalia; order Primates; family Hominidae; genus Homo; species Homo sapiens. Next base: position 166,540,249 of record NC_000001.11, on the reverse strand, counting down.
CTTGCACCTTCTACAGCATGAGAAACCTAAAGTAGCTTATAATAGCCTGGGGTTCCTTAAAGAAAATGGAGAGGGCATCAGACTCTCTTTGGGGGAGAAACCTGATTTTCTGCATGGAACCCCAAAAGTGTAAACAGACAAGTTCATCTCAGCTCTTAAACTGCTTGCTTTTGTATTGTGTTACTTGATTTATTGTTTAAAATAGTAACTGCAACAGAGGCTACTCTTGGGTTTGGAAGAGTGTAGTTTAGATGCTTACAAATGCCTTTAAAAAAAAATACATTGTTTTTAAGTATTCTGTAAAAGCATCATGTAGTCTAAACTCATAATAATTCTCCCTTTTTGGACACCCAGGATTCAGTGTGGGCATTGCCCAGAGCTCAGAGATCCAGTTAAAAAATAGGTAGTCACAGTCTAAATAAAATTGTTCTCATACAATTTTATAATAGATTTCTATAATTTTATGTTTGATTTGGCATCCATCTTTAATCTCCCTCTAGCCCCACCAGACTTTTTCTCTCTGTACCTTGGGATGTAAACTTTGTTATCTAATTTTCATCCATGCAGATTTAGAACTATTTAGCTGACAACAGCCAGGGTAATGAAACAGGTTATCAAGAGTTTGCAAGTCTAAGATAAAAGGAAAGAAGGTCTTAGGAATTTATTAATATAAGACATACTTCTGTCAGTATGCCTAATATGTCTATGTATTTATGTGTTGTGTACACAATGTCTCACTACTAAAAATATATAAAAGAGCTCTAATTAATTGGGTTAAAGAAAAATAAATGCACTTAAATCAAATACTTTATCAGAAAAAAGGAAAGATTAGTCAAATGCTTTTTCAAGTTTACATGATTTAGGTAAAATCTTTAATAAATAAGCTAGCTTCAAAATTGTTGGTAAAGTAATACTAGAAATGTCTTAAGAATTGCCAGAATACATTTTTGTTTGCATTTATTGATCAAGTAATTTCATACTTATCCTTCCCAAATACTATAAGCTGTCAAAATTTGGCATAGGGGTTACAAAACTATATACCTAGCCCAAAACACAATGATCTTTGCTGGTGTAATTTTTAATAAGTAAGACATTGATACTGGTTTAATGAAAACAGCTACATCTTGAATTATTTGATAAAATTACCATAACTTCTAATCTTGAGGCTTTTGGCAGTCTACTCCACAGGCGGTAAGGAGTTTTGTTTTGGGAAAAGACTGTTATCTTTTTTCAAAGCTAAACTATAAACTAAAGTCCTCCCAAAGTTAGTTCAGCCTACACCCAGGAATGAACAAGGACAGCTTGGAGGTTAGAAGCAAGATAGAGCTGTTAGGTCATATATTTTTCACTGTCTCAGTTAATAATTTTGCAATGGTGAGTTTCACAACTTTAAATGATGACTATTGCAGTTTTATAAATAAACAAGGAAACAATTAAAATAAAATAATTAGGTAAAGGTAACGGGTTAAATACTTGTAGACAAATGTCATAATTAAGTCATATTAAATTAAATTAAATTAAATAATAGATATTTCATTTTACTATTTGGGTATTTTTCAATAAAATACTATTTGAGTATTTTCCAATACAATGTATTGTAGGAAAACTTCCTTTTTAAAAAACAAAATGTGTCCTTTATAAAATGGGTGAATAATTTTTGTCTAATTCAAAGCTTATTTAAAGGTTTGTATAAAACAAAGCAAATCAGGAAATAAGAGAGACATAAAGTAAGTTATAGAAATAGAGAGGTATTTCTTGGTAAGAAAGCTTAAAGAGAAATAATTTTACATGAGAAAGAATCTTGTATGATAAATTAAGTCCTGGAATAAAATGACTGGTTATTTAAGAAAGAGGCATGTTCAGGACAAACCAGAAAGTCCACACATGTCATGAATGGCCTGTGTAAGTGAGAATAAGAGGATTAATTAAGAAAAAAACAACTTTTATATAATCAAGTTGTCTATAAAGTAAAATTATAATGACCTATCTAGAGATTGGGCTTGATGTAGAAAAAACACTTATACACTAAAAAATTGAGTAGAAAAATAAAATTTTATTAAGGGATTGATTTATTCCTATTAAATTATGAGATTTTAATTTATTTTTTAAGAATGTTTTCTTAAAGGTCTAAAGGAAATGTTTTCTTCCAACATAATATTCTGTGCAATGAAGGTCTTTTTCCTTTTGGTAACTTGTCTAACAGATTTTATGTTTCATCAAAATAATTCCTGTGCCATTATTATTAAGTTTTGGTTTGCTTAGAAAAAAGCTGAGATGAATTTTTTTAAGGTTATTACATCAGTGTATCTTTCGGTATGTGCTTTTGAAGTCCTTGGGACATTGAGTTACAGAGCTTTGACTCCTGGGTCTAAAAAGCACACCAAGTCCTGGTAAATTTTAAACACTGACAGCAACTAAAGCCCCGTCTTCAGGCCTGGTAGAAAATGCCAATCAAAATAAACTGCATTCCTGAAACACAGGGCCAAAAAATCAAAGCTCTTCAACTCCTGAATGCCCAGGAACTACCACAGAAAATGTGGGCATGTTAGATTGTAAGGGCCAATTTTGAGAGAGAAAATAAGTTCAGTTTCTCTATAAGTTGATCATTAATGTCAAAGACACACTGATGGAAGACCAGCATATGGGCCCCTGTGTCAGACTACCAAGGTTTTCTTAAAGCATTAACCAATTCTTTAATAAAGGTTATAAAAGTTTATGAATGCTATATCTTATAATCAACATTAAAATTTTATAGGTTGTTTATAAAATTTTGGAAAACAAATTAATTTGGCTGCATGCTGTTTTTGTTAGGGCTTATTGCTTGAAAAATTAAATCTCCTCTCAAAGAATGAAAGTTTTCTCCTTTTTTGGAAATCCTTGAGTTATCACTTGCTTAAATAAATGACTTATTTTACAATGACCTGTGATCCTATGTTGTGATATCAAGTGTTTAAACCTTTGATATTTGACAAATTCTTCAAAATTAAATTATAAATTATGTCTTTTTCTGACCTAATTAATCCTTTAAAATATTAGGTTCTCTAAAGTCCAAAAATGACATATTTGCCTTATTTGGTATAAAAATCATACAGAAAGCATTGTCAAATATAAAATGATATTTGGTTTTCTTTGGGCTGTATTTGTATAAATACGTTATTGGTATGTGATCCAAAGGAATGGGAAACTCTTGTAATTCTAATATGACTTAGTGTACTTTGTCAGTAATAATTAACAATTGCTATGTTAAATTATTGAGTTCCACAGAGGTAACACATTTCCTTGTCAACTGTGCCTTTCTATGGCTGCCCTAAGACTTTTTGTCATCAACAGGCAATTGTTGTCTTGTGCTGGCCCTCTTCAGAAATTGGTTTTATAATCAGCTATAAAACTCTAACAGGTGCTTTTGAATGCAGGTTTCTCATCACTTTGGAGACTGTGACATCAGGATAGAACAAAAATTTCCAAGACTCATGGAGAGCTGAAATGTTCACGAATATCAAACAGAACAAGAATTAACTGCATGGACTAAACTAATAAAAGACTGAAGTAATTTTTTTGACTTTTTGCTTAAAACATTGCTGATCCTTTGTTTTGTTTTTCAGTCAAAAAAAGCTTTCTTTTAAGCTATTGACAGTTTTTAACAATTAGGTATAATCCTATGAACAAAATTTGGAGCATATTTGTTTCTCTCTACCTGATTTCTCCAGATTTGGAGATATTTATGAGTATTCTTAACTTATAGCAATACAGTTATTTGCATAAGAGCAACAACAAGTGCAAGTGTTCATTTATAACAGGGCACAATTGGAGAAATTGGTTATTTTACCAAGGCTTTGACTGGAGCGGTGTGCTTTTCTTTAAGGAATCAAACTTGACTTATGGAGCCAATAAAACCCCTTGGGAAAACTGGCCTCATACATTTGTCTACACAGTCTCTGTACAGGGTTCCTGACCTGTCACGTTCTGACAGGTCCAGGAGCCCCAAGTTATCTTGGAACCTTAAGAGGAGAAGAATTCACCCAACTCACAGGTATTTAAGGATACAAATCCATGGAAGGGTTTGGCTTTAAAAAAAGTCTTATCTGAGATTCCATCTATGGAACAAATTTCCATCAAAGACAATTTTATAAGCCTATGTAAAAAGTAATTATTTCTGTGACACTTTATATAAATAATCTGGCCAAGTATAATAAAGCAAATTGGTACTCCCATGATTTGCTTTTGGTAAAAATGAAAAACTGGAGAAACAAACATATGTTTCAAAAACTATAGTATACCTGTTGTTACATTCTAGTCTTGCTTAATGTTTTTCAATATTTATTATATTCAACAGTTTGGACTAAATTCTTACTTTTCCAAGTCTCGAAAATAATGTTTTCAATTTTTTCCTTCTTTCTTTTCCTTTCCCTCCACTTTTTCCTAACTTGAAATCACTGAAAACTAAGCTGCACTTTCTTGAAGCCTTGTGAACTAAATCTAGACAACTTAAAATTCAGAGGAAAATAACAGCAATCTATTTACATACATAAGCCACTTTCATATCTGTCTATTGATGTATGGGATCAGGGTAATGTGGCCTATATCAATTTTCCAGGATTATTCCTTTTATTTGTTGTTGTTTTTCTCCCTTTCTCCCCGTTTTTTGTCTTCATAGGACATAAGACTTCTCAACCTGCTAAAAATGAGCTTTCCTAATGATTTGGGACCTACCCATCTAGGAGTAAACTATTCTAGCCATGAGAGATCAGATGAAACCTGAGACCAGAGGCTCATTTTCTTCTATAATGTTTTCTCCAAAAGATTTTAAAAAGAAAACAGGGGAAATGTGAAAGGAAAATAAATGTTGGGGTCCCAAAATTACAAAGCTGAAGGGAAGAGTCAAGCTGGGAACTGCTTAGGGCAAATCTGCCTCCCATTCTATTCAAAGTAATTGCTCTGCTCATCCAGCTAAATGCATAACTGATTGCCTCCTTTGGAGAGGCTAATCAGAAACTCAAAACAATGCAACCATTTATCTCTCACCTACCTGTGACTTGGAAGCCCCATCAATGCTTGAGTTGTCCTGCTTTTCTAGACAGAACCAATGCACATTTTACATATGTTGATTGAAGTCTCATGTCTCTCTAACATGTATAAAACCAAGTTGTGCCCCAACCACACTGGGCATATATCATCAGGACCACCTGAGGCTGTGTCATGGGTGTGTGTCCTCAACTTTGGCAAAATAAACTTTTTAAATTTACTAACACCTGTCTCAGATTGCTGTTGGGGCGGGGGGGTTTACATTCTGGTAACTATGGAGGTATTCTGAGTGGAAGTGACCTGACCTTTGGCAAATCTCCCATTGGTGCTTGTTACCAGCTTGAGCTATCTTTATGGCTCAAATCAATAGGACAATTGGCTGAGGCCTTGAAGTGCCCCCTCCAGAGAACCTCTGATCTCACCAAATTTGGCCAAGATCTAAAGTTAATTTTGTGTACAACTCCTTTTCTTTTTTGGAGTTTTGCTTGCTTCCAATACAAGGAAGGCAGTTTTTCCTGCTCTCGTGATGATGGAAGGCAGGTAACTCCTTTATGGAGTTTGAGATTGCTTCTAACAAGGAGGACGAATTTGAATTTTTTCCTGCTTCTAGGATGATAGAGAGCAGTCTTCAGCCTGAGACCCATCCCTAGGTAAGTAACTGAATTGGTTACTTTTAACTTGGCTAAAAGTAGATTAACAACCAGCATCTAAGTGTATTGTAAAAGCATCACGTGGTCTAACCTCATAATAATTCTCCCTTTTTTGGAGACCCAGGATTCAGTGTGGGCACTGCCCAGAGCTCAGAGATCTAGTTAAAAGATAGGTAGTCCAAATCTAAATAAAATTGTTCTCCTCATACAATCCTATGATAGATTTCTATAATTTTATGTTTGATTTGTCATCCATCTTTAATCTCCCTCTAGCACCGCCAGACTTTTTCTCTTTGTAACTTGGGATGTAAATTTTGCTATCTAATTTTTCATCTAAGAGTTGTTTCCTTCAATATGCAGATTTAGGACTATTTAGCTAACAACTGCCAGGGTAATGAAACAGGTTATCAAGAGTTTGCAAGCCTAAGATGGAGGAGGAAAAGGAGGTCTTAGGAATCTGTTAGTATAAGATATAGTTCTATCAGTATATCTAATATGTCTATTCTATTTATATGTTGTTTACACAATGTTTCACTACTAAAAATATATAAAAGAGCGGCCAGGCACAGTGGCTCAAGCCTGTAATCCCAGCACTTTGGGAGGTCAAGGCAGGCAGATCACGAGGTCGGGAGATCGAGACCATCCTGGCTAACATGGTGAAACCTTGTCTTTACTAAAAAATACAAAAAAAAGATAAATTAGCTGGGCATGGTGGCGGGCGCCTGTAGTCCCAGCTACTCAGGAGGCTGAGGCAGGAGAATGGCATGAACCCAGGAGGTGGAGCTTGCAGTGAGCCGAGATTGCACCACTGCACTCCAGCCTGGGTGACAGAGCAAGACTCCATCAAAAAAAAAGGAAAGAAAGAAAGAAAGAAATATATATATATATATATATATATATATATATATATATATACACACACACACACACACACACATACACACACACACACACACACACACACACACATATATATATATGCTCATTCTATTTTATGGAATAAAGTGCTGCCCAATTTTAGAATCACAAATGAAGCCAATTAATATTTTAAAACTAAATTTGTGTGAACCCCCAAAATTTGAGACAAGTCTCTGTTAATACAGAAAGTTTATTTTGCCAAGGTTGAGAATGCATGCTCATGACACAGCCTCAGGATGTCCTGATGACATGTGCCCAAGGTTGTCAGAGCACAGTTTGGTTTTATACATTTTAGGGAGACATGAGACATCAATCAACATATGTAAGATGTACACTGGTTTGGTCTGGAAAGGCAGAACAACTCAAAGAGAGGAGTGAGCTTCCTGATTATAGGTAGATAAAAGATGAATGTTTGCATTCTTTTGAGTTTCTGATTAGCCTCTCCAAAGGAGGCAATCAGATATGCATTTACCTCAGTGAACAGAGGGGTGAGTTTGAATAGATTGGGAGGCAGGTTTGCCCTAAGAAGTTCCCAGCTTGACTTTTCTCATTAGCTTAGTGATTTGGGGGCCTCAACATTTATTTTCCTTTCACATTTCCCCTTTTTTCTTTTCAAAAATATTTTGGAGAAAACATTATAGAAGAAAATGAGCCTCTGGTCTCAGGTTTCATCCAATCTCTCATGACTAGAATGGTTTATTCCTAGATGGGTACGTTCCAATTCATTAGGAAAGCTCATTTTTAGCAGGTTGAGAAATATCATGTCTTATGAAGAGAAAATAGGGAGAAAAGGGAGGAAAACAACAACAAACAAAAGAAGAATCCTGGAAAATTGATATAGGCCACATTACTCTGAAGTCCATATATCAGTAGGCAGGTATGAAAGTGGCTTATGTAAGTAAATATGTTGCTGTTATTTTTCACTGAAATTTAAGTTGTTTAGCTTTAGTCCACAGGTCTTCAAGAAAGCATAGCTTAGTTTTCAGTGACTCCAAATTAGGAAAAATGGAAAATAAAAAGAAGGAAAAAAACTGAAAACATTATTTGAAAACTTGTAGCCAAGAAAAATTAGAATTTGGTCCAAATAGTAGAAAATAATAAAATTGAAAAACATTAGGCAAGGCTAGAATCTCTAGCAACAGATGTACTACAGTTGTTGAAACATAATTTTTCACTGTCCAGTTTCTCATTTGCTTTATTATAGTTGGCCAGATTATTTGTATACAGTGCAGCAAGAATGATTATTTTTACATAGGCTTTTAAATTGTCTTTGATGAAACTTTTTTCCATAAAAGGAATTTCAAATAAGACTTTTTTAAAGCCAAGGCCAGCCATAAATTTGTATCATTAAATATCTATGAGTTGAATGAATTTCTCTCCTCTTGAGGTTCCAAGATAAACGTGGGGCTCCTGGGCCTTTCAGAACGTGACATTCTTCACTTGCCAAAGGTCAGTAACTCTGTACAGGGACTCTGTAGACAAAGGTATGAGGCCAGTTTTTCCAAGGGGCTTTATTGGCTCCATAAGTCAAGTTTGATTCCTTAAAGAAAAGCACACCGCTCCAGTCAAAGCCTTGATAAAGTAACCAGTTTCTCCAACTGTGTCCTGTTACAAATGAAAATGGATTCTTATTGCACTTATGCAAATAACTGTATTGTCATTGTCATCAGTTAAGAATACTCACAAATAGTTTCCAAATTCTGGAGAAATCATATAGAGAGAAACAAATGTGCTCAAAATTTTGTTTATAGGAGTATAATTTACTCAATTATTAAAAGCTGTAAATAGCTTAAAAGAAGGTTTCTTAACTCTTAAAAACAAAGGATCAGCAACATTTTAAGCAAAAAGTTAAAAATAGTATTTTAGACTTCTATTAATTTAGTCCATGCAGTTAATCCCTGTTCTGTTGATATTCATGAACATTTCTGCTCTCCGTGATTCGTGAAAGTATTTTCTCTATTCTGATGTCACAATCTCCAAAGTTATCAGAAACCTGCATTCAAGAGCACCTCTTAGAGTTTTATATCTGATTATACACCTTCTAAGGAGAACCAAAAGAAGACAACAATTGTCTGTGGATGACAAAAAGTTTTAGGACAACCATGGTCAAAGACACAATTGACAAAGAAATTTGTTACCTCTGTGGCACACAATAATTTAACATAACAATTATAATTATTACTAATAACACACACTAAGTCATATCAAAATTTTAGGATTTTCCCATAATTTTGGAACACATACCAATAACATATTTATGCAAATGCAGTCCAAAGAAAACCAAATACCATTTTATATTTGACAATGCTTTCTATACGTATAGTTTTTATACCGAATAAGCCAAGTATGTTATTTTTGGACTTTAGGGAGCCTATTAATATCTTAAAGGGTTAATTAGGTCAACAAAAGACATATTTTATAATTTGGTTTTTGAAAATTTGTGAAATATCAAAGGTTATGACAGGTCTTTGTAAAATAACTATTTCATTTAACCAAAGTTTAACAAAGGATTTCCCCAAGAAAGGAGACAACCTTCATTCTTTGAGAAAGGAGACTTAATTTTCCAAACAAGCACTAATAAAAACAGCATGAAGCCAAATTAATTTGTTTTCCAAAATTTTGTAAACAATATATAAAATTTTCATCTTGGTCATAAAATATAACTTCCATAATCCTTTATAACCTTCCTTAAGGAGTCAGTTAATGCTTCAGGAAAACCTTGTTAATCTGACACAGAAGCCCACATTCTGGTCTTGCATCAGTGTGCCTTTGACATTAATGATCAATTTATAGAGAAACTGAACTTATTTTATTCTCAAAATCAGCCCTTACAATCTCACATGCTCACCTCTTTTGTGATAGTTCCTGGGCCTCGAGGAGCTGAAGAGCTTTAACTTTTGGCCCTGTGATTCAGGAATGCAGTTTACATTGATTGGCATCTTCTACCAGGCCTGAAGATGGGGCTTTAATTGCTGTCAGTGTTTAAAATTTACCAGGACTTGGTGTGCTTTTCAGACTGAGAAGCCAAAGCCCTGTAACTCAATGTCACAGGGACTTTAAAAACACATACAGGGCTGGGTGCAGTGGCTCATGCCTGTAATCCCAGCAGTTTGGGAGGCTGAGGTGGGTGGATCACCTGAGGTCAGGAGTTCAAGACCAGCCTGGCCAAAATGGTGAAACCCTGTCTCTACTAAAAGTACAAAAAATTAGGTAGGCATGGTGGTGGGCACCTGTAATCCCAGCTACTCAGGAGGCTGAGGCGGGGGAATCGCTTGAACCTGGGAGGCGAAGGTTGCAGTGAGCCGAGATCACACCATTGCACCCCAGCCCGGGTAACAGGAGTGAAACTCTGTCTCAAAAAAAAAAGCACATACAGAAAGATACATGGATATAATAACCTTAATTTAAAAAAAATTTTAACCTCAGTTTTTCCCTAAGCAAACTAAAACCTAATAATAATGTGACAACTTGATCATACAAAAATTCTTGGCTTTTTAAAAATAATAAAACATTTTATTGTGATTTATACAGACTATTAATGACATGCTTGGACTTTCTGGTTTGTTCTGAACATCCCTCCTTCTTAAACAACCGTTTTACTCTAGGACTAAATTTACCATACAAGATTCTTTCTCATATAAAATTATTTTTCCTTAAGCTGTCTTACCAAGACAAATCCTCTTTATTTTTATAACTTTCTTTACATCTTTTTAAATTTCCTGATTCCTTTTACCTTGTTTTATTTATGACATTTAAATAAGCTTTCAGTGAGACACAAACTGTTCGCCTTGTTTGAAAGGACATACATTTTTTTGCTTTTTTGAAAGAATATTTTCCTACATATAAATTTGTATTAGAAAATATCCAAATAATGAAATATCTATTATTTAATTTAATATAGCTACAGGTATTTATCCTATTATATTTAACTGATTATTTTATTTTAATCATTCACCTAATTTATGAAAACTGTGTTATTATTTAAAATTATGAAACTGCCATTGCAAAATTATAAATGAAACAGTGAGAAAGATTTGACCTAACTGACTCCATCTTGCATTTAACCTCATGCCTGTCTCCTTGTTCGTTCCTGGGCATAGGCTGAACTAACTTTGGGAGGAACTTAGTTTATTGTTTACCTTTGAAACAAAGACGATAACAAACCTTACTGCCTGTGGACTAGACTGCCTAAAGCCACAAGATTAGAAGTTATAGTAATCTTACTAAATTCAAGATGTAGCTATTTTTATTAAACCAATATCAATTTCCTATTTATTAAAGATTACACAAGCAAAGATCATTGGGTTTGGGGCTGGGTTTATAGTTTTGTAACCCCTATGCCAAAATTTGACACCTTATATTATTTGGCAGGGTAAGTATGAAATTGCTTGATCAATAAATGCAAACAAAAATGTATCCTGGCAATTGGTAAGATATTTCTAGTATTACCTTACCAATAATTTTAAAGCTAGCTTATTTATTAAAGATTTTACTTAAGTTATGTAAACTTGAAAAAGCATATGACTAATCTTTCTTTTTTTCTGATAAAGTATTTGATTCAAACACTTTTATTTTCTTAAGCTAATTAATTAGAGCTCTTTTGTATATTTTCATCAGTGAAACATTGTACACAACACATAAATACATAGACGTATTTGGCATACTGATAAATGTACATCTTATAGATTTATAAAAATGCTTTTTTTTCCTAACTTAGACTTTTAGATTCTTAATAACCTGTTTTACATCCTAGACAGTTGTCAGCTAATAGCCTTAAATTTGCATATTAAAGGAAACAACTCCGTTGAAAATCAAGTAGTAAAATTTACTTCATAAGGTAGAGAGAAAAAAAGTCTGGTGGTGCTAGAGGGAGATTAAAGATGGATGCTAAATGAAACATAAAAATTATAGAAATCTCTCGTAGAATTGTGTAAGGATACCGATTTTCTTTAGTTAGGGACGACCCATCTTTTAACTTGATCTCTGAGCTGTGGGCAGAGCCCACATTGAATCCTGGATCTCCAAAAAGGGAGAATTATTATGAGGTTAGGCCACATGATGCCTTTAGAGTCCACTTAAAAATTTTTTTCTTTAAACAATGACATTCCTAAGTGTCTAAACCACACTCTTCCTTAAAAACCCAAGAGTAACCTCTGTTGCAATAACTATGTTGGTAAAAAACAAAACAAAACAAAACAAAAAACAGGTAACGCAATACAAAAGTAAGCAATTTAAGAGCTGAGACTAACTTGTCGGTTTACACTCTTGGGGTTCCATAAGGAAAAACAGGTTCTCCCTTAAAGGGAGTCTGGTGCTTTATTGGTTTTCTTTAAGGAACTCCAAGCTATTATAAACTACTTTAGGTCCCCCATGCAGCAGAGAGTGAGAGAGAAAGGAAAGACAGCAGATGTGAGTGAAGAAAACAGAACTCAGTCAAATGAGAAGAAAAAACTTTTGCTAAAAAAACAAAGACAAGGTCCTAAGAGAAAAACAAAAACCAAAAAATGAAGGCCTTTTAAATACAAACACACACATATACACACATACACATACATCTTGAATGTTAGCTTTTAATTAAGCTTTTAACTATTGAGTTTCTTTAAAAAATATTTTCAAATCTCATTACCACATTTCAGCTAGGACAGATTGCTATTTCAGAAGTACAGCCATTGCTCTTTTAGTTTGGCCTGGCTAGCAAAAAGGGGGCCTTGTTATGTAAATAAAGCCCCTTAGGAGTCAAAATAAAAAAGCTTTCCTCTTTTCTATTTCCTTTTGCTGGCTGTTTTTCTCCCCCACTTTTTTGGTGTGTGCGGGAATTTAGCCACTTCAGAGGCCTTGTCACCTATAATTTGGAACTTTTCTTCAGATTTGATCAAGTCAGATAGAGTTGATCAAACCTAACGGGAAAAGATTGAAACAGCAAAAACAGAAACAAACAAAAATGGTTAAGCAAAACAAATGATCACACAACTTATATGATTACTGAGCACTCTAGTGGTAAGGAGAAATTAAGACCAGCTAGTTGTTAATCTTAACTTTAGCCAAGACAAACTCCAATTCAGTTACTTACCCAGGGATGGGTGTCAGGCTGAAGACTGCTCTTTACTACGTTAGAAGCAGGAAAAAACCCAAATTCATCTTCCCTGTTGAAAGCAAGCTCAAATTCCATAAAGGAGTTACCTGCCTTCCATCATTAAGGAAGCAGCTAAAACTTGCCTTCCTTGTTGGAAGCAAGTAAAACTCCAAAGAAAAATGTACAGCAAAATAAACTTTAGATCTCGTCCAAATTTTGGGAGATCAGGGATTCTCTGGAGGGGGTGCTCCCAGACCTCAGCAAATTGTCTTATTGGTTTGACCATAAAGATAGCTCATGCTGGTACCAAGCACTGATGGGAGATTTGTCAAAAGTCAGGGGAACCTCCACTCAGAATCCCTTCATGGTTACCAAATGTGAACACCCCAAATTTGAGACAGGTCTCAGTTAATTTAGAAAGTTTATTTTGCCAAGGTTGAGAATGCGTGTTTGTGACACAGCCTCAGGAGGTCCTGATGACATGTGCCCAAGGTAGTCAGAGCAATTTGGTTTTATACATTTCAGGGAGACATGAGACATCAATCAACATATATAAGATGAACATGGCTTTGGTCTGGAAAGGCAGGACAACTCGAAGCAGGGAGGGGGCTTTCAGGTCATAGGTAGATAAGAGACAAAGATTGCATTTTTTGAATTTCTTATTAGCCTCTCCAAAGGAGGAAATCAGATATGAATTTGTCTCAGTGAGCAGAAGGTTGACTTTGAATAGAATGGGAGGCAGGATTGCCCTAAACAGTTCCCAGCTTGACTTTTCCCCTTAGCTTTGTGATTTGGGGGGACCAAGATATTTTCTTTTCACACCCATAAATTTGTCTTCTGTCATATATAATATATAATGGTGGAATAGAAATAGAAAAGCCAAATTATGAACTCTTCTAAACAAGAAAGAATAGGAACAGACATCATTCACCAGACTATAACAAATACTGAATCTGCTAAATAGAAACTATGAAAACTCCTGGACTGGCTTTGGAAAAGGTGGCTTGTGTAGACCCTTCTCTACAACCTGGGGGACTTTCTTATCTGCTGTCCTCCACAGCCATGTCTGGAGTGGACATTGAATAATACACCTGCTTCAGAGGCTGCACAGATTTCACAGCTCATTTCCTAGTGATATGGGTTTGAAAGTCCATGGGCTGCTTTAGAGTTGAACATAGACCTTTGTAAACAATGTTTATGTGTTTTTTCTTTCGGTGTTGTAATACCTTCAAAACCTTCATAAGCTTTTAGCATATTAGCATCCACCTGTTTTACTGTACATAAAACAGGGACATACAAATAATCATAGTCAAAGTGCTTCTTAGTATTCTTAAGCCTGATGACTCTTCTGTTATTCACTGGTCTTTGTGTGCAGGCTGTCCCTTCCTCTACTCAGTCGTGGCTGTCTTGAGGCCATCAGAGACAACAAGCTTGGGTGGAAAGGCAACACCCTTCATCTGATGTGTGCCTCTCTGGGCTGGCTTCCTTTGTCTCCCAGAAAAGACTTGTGGGAGGCACTTGAGAAAGGCACAGTCTTTGCCTTAATTTGATGGGAAAGAAGCAATTTCATAGCTGCCATCTCAGTATATTTACATTTCTGGCCCCAGAAAGAGAGACCTTCCATTAACAGAGCTATATCCCTTTCTCTGTTTCCTTGGAGAATGGCTGATTCTTGCCTGAGTTTTCTCTAGAAGAACTTTGATAAGAATGACAAGGCAGCTAATAAACTCTGATATTTTCCAGTCACTTCTCCTGGAACTAAAGGAAAAGTGATCAGTGAGAACATGGTCACACTTCCAAGGCTTCACAGCTGTCACTTTCAACAAATATTTTGCTCTGATGTAATAAGGATCATAATTCCTGTGTATCTTTTCAGCCACAATACTTGTGTTTTCACTGCCTTCTGCCTAATCGCCTAAACAATGCCTCATATTTTAGGTTTTTGCAATGAGAGTTCCCCATTTCCAGCACTATCTTATGTATTAGTTAGAGTATAACCTGTTTTTTAAAAGGGGACTTACAAATAGAGTGCCTGAAATAAGGTTAAAATTTAACTCTGTCATATAAAAGTCCAGAGGTAGGCAGTCCAGTGCTAGCAGGACAAATTTACCATCCTCAACGCGTGAATTTCATCCCTGGGTCAAAGTTGGCTTCTATAGCTCTCATCAGCTGATCTGTGTCCCAGCTGGAGGGAAGGAAAGAATGAGGCCAACTTGCTTATTCTCTTTAAGGATACAACCAAAAAGTGACTCCCATTAGTTCTGCTGACATCACATCTGACAAAACCTATTCCTATGGGCCATACCTAGCTTCAAGGGAGGCTAGGAAATAAATCTTTGGTCAAGTAATCATGGACCCATTTAAAACTTAGGAATATTATTTTAAAATGAACCAACAAATAGATTTTGGTGAACAACTAATAATTTCTGCAACATTGAATATTGGATTACAGTTAAGTAGGCATTGAAGTGTGTTCTGCCTAAGATTTCTTAGGGAAAAATGTCTGAATCTCTAGGTTCAGTCCAAACGGAAGGAAATATATATATTTAAAAATATGTGTGATAACTTCAGTGATCATCTTGCTGGCCTGGAGTGGGAAGAGAACTGGAAAGTCCCAGCTCTTTCTCTCCTCATTTCTTCTTTGTGCTAGTAGAGTTACAGCTCATAAAGTCTGGCTTACAGTTTGGTCTAGCTTCTGCATCAAGAATAGGCAGGGAAAGTGTTCACTCCCCTTCTTTCTATAGGTGCATGCCAAGCAAACTTTTGCTCACTTTAGCAAGCATAAATTTGGGCCACCAAATAGCCTTCATGGTGTTTCTCTTATTTGCAATATGCAGACAACATTTTGTGCTCTATGCAGAGGCAAGAAGTTCTAGGTCATGTATAAGAAGACATCCAGTATTTTCATTGTCAACCATTCCTCTTACCTGAGTGAAGGTTACTAATTAGACATAGAGAAAAGAAAGAAAAAAGAAGTGAATTATATCATTTACTGTCAGTTAATACAGAAAGTTCAGCAATATAGCTTAAAGAAGGGATGTGACTCTCAGTATCAAAAGGCAAGAATCACTAGTTTATTTTTTAAAAGGTTCAATATTATGTTAATAGAGGGAATATATACCTCTTATAAGGGCTGAATGGGAATTGATGGAAAGGAAATTCATCATTGCAGGTTGTGAAAAGTGTTTTGGAAACCTCCGGGAGAAAATTACCTTCATGTCATAGAACACCACCTCCACCATCATTTTGACCTTCATCCTCTAGTCCTCTCCAAAGTACCCAAACTAACTCTTCATCCGTCCCTAAAGCAGCCCACAAATACTGTCATCTCTTTTGTGGTACAGTGGAAATTGGGAAGAGGAGAAAAGTCAATGGCATTCAAGCTGTGCCTCACACTGTTAAATTATCAAGACATAAGCCCTTCCTTATGTCTTAAGAGAAAGTTGTAGAGATGAAAGAAAGGGATGAAGAAGAAAGAAAGAAGGAAGAGTCCCTGAGATCCAGCCCTTTCTTACCAAAAGAAGTAAAACCCACACATCTTACCAAAGCCTTACCATCCAGGCTAATCTCCTGTACTCCCTCCACTGCACCAGCCACACTGGCCTTCTTTCTTCAACCAAACTTGTTTTTACTTAAAGAACTTCCCTTTGCACTTTCTGTTCCCTCTGCCTGGAGGGCTACATTCTCACATTTTCTTTCTTTTAAATTTTATGTTTCTTTATTTTTCACTTTTTGCAAGCTCCCTGTAGCTAGACAAAGTCTGGCATGGAGTAAGCACTGAATGTGTAACCCATGGTAAGGGATTTGGATTTGTTTATTGAACTGGCTCCCATTTAAAAAATCGTAACCAATGAGTTGAAGATTATATTGTTGGCAGAAGTAAATATGTATGCCAACAATGTGGGCATACTATTAATGTTTATAATTCAACTTCTAAGAAGCTAGGCTAAGATAGAGTAATCCACAATATGAACAAGGATATAAATATATTTATTGATGTATTATTTTTTGTAGCATAATTTTGAAAAAACTAAAAATCCAACAATAGCAAAGCAGTTCAATAAACTTAAGAACTCAATAGAATATAATTGTATCAGTCAGAGTTCTCCACATAAATAGAACCAATAGGATATATACAAGTATAAATACATACATATACACACATAAACATGAAAGAGAGAGAGAGGTATTTATTTTAGGGAACTGAACAATGCAATTTTGTGGACAGGCAACTCTAAAATTTGTAGGGCAGGCTGGCAGGTTGAAAATTCAGGTAAGTGTTTATGTCTCAGCCTTAAATCCAAAATCTATAGGGAAGGCCAGTGGGCTAAAAACTCGGACTAGATTTCCATGTTGTAGTGTTGAGGCAGGATGTCCTTTTCTTTAGTAGATCTTGATCTTTACTTTTAAGGGTTTCAACTGATTGGATAAGATCAATCCACATTAGGGAGGGTAATTTGCTTTACCTGAAGTCAACTGATTGTGAATTTTAATCACGTCTTTTAAAAACTTTCACAACAACATCTAAATTAGTGTTTGACCAAGCAACTGGACACCACAGTTTAGCCAAATTGACACATAAAATTGGCCATCACAATAATAACATTTAAAGAAATGGTTAAGTGGGTTATGTTGTTGTGTGGGAGAAAAAGGCTTAGATATTCAGAAATAAGCAGAATGCGAAACTCCTGTCTATCTTAGTTATGGCTAGGTTAAAAATATGTAAGACAAAAGATGGAGATAAGAACACCAAAATGCTAATAATCATGAGGTAGAGTGGTAAGATTATGTGTAATATTTTTCTCACATGCCTAAAATGTTATAATGTTTTTATATCATTTTTATCATAGAAAAATAAAATTATGGCCATGCATGGTGGCTCATGCCTGTTATCTCAGCACTTTGAGAAGCAGAGGTAGGAGGATTGTTTGAGCCTAGGAATTCAAGGCCAGCCTGGGCAACATAGTGAGACTCTGTCTCTACAAAAATAATAATTATAAAAATGACCTGGCCCTAGTAGTATGTGCTTGTAGTTCTAGCTCCTTAGAGGCTGAGTGGGAAAGATTTCTTAAGCCCAGGAGATGGAGGCTGTAGTGAGCTATGACTGAGCCAGTGCACTCCACACTGAGTGACAGAGCAAGACCCTGTCTCAAATACTAACAAACAAACAAGAGAAAAAAAAAGAAAAATAACATTTTAATAGGCAATTCTTTCTCATTGATGATTTTTATAATAAAAAATTAATAGAAAGTTCTTCCTTAATGATTGAATTATTTAAAACAAAATGACAATACAACAACTTGGTGACATTAAAGATAGTAAACACTCAAGCTTTTTAAATGAGGAGAAAATTACTCTACAGATAATCAAATATTTTAAAGATAGCCTGAATGTTATTTTGGCAATCAGGCCCATTCTCTAAGTGATAAGAAGTTCCTGGGTACCCTAATTCAACATAAGCAGAGATATCTGTGGGGATTTGCAAGTGCCTCTGAGACCTGAAGACATGCTCCTTCTGCTTGTTCCCTTAGAATGATGGTGTTGGAAGATAAGATGAGCTTCCCAATTTCCACTCATGCTCAATGTGAAAGTGCAAACTAAGATTAGTCCAACATAAAACTTCTGCCAACAATATAATCTTCAACCCATTTCTTCTTATTATTATTTTAATGTGTGGGCTACTTCAATAAGCAAGTCTAAACTCCTTATCATGGGCAATATATTTAGTGTTCACTACATTCCATAAATGAGGCAAAGTTTAGTTTTGGTGCCCTTAGTATCTGTTTCTGCATCCTTGGTAATCCTTTTCTCTAACCTTGTACTTTTTCCACCTAACCCTATGAAAACTCCTGTCATGGAAAATAATTTGATACTGATCATAGCTGCATTTTGTTGAGCAGTTGTTACATACCAGGTGTAATTCTAGAGACAATTGTGAGATGGTTAACATTATTAATCCTATTTTATAGATGAGACAAGTGGAATAAGGAGAAGTTAAATAACGACGAAATTTGTACTTTTGTCAATTTATTTACATATATAAATAATTTTCCATATTTTTATATATATATATATATATATATAGTACATCCTCTATTTCATCTAGCAACTTTATCTTCAATGATTAATGAAAAACATCTTTTTTTCTTAACACTTATCCAACTGATTCTCTTTTGCATACAACCTGGTTTTATTCCTCATGGGTAAGTCATGTAATCAGAAGGAAATATACAATTGATATTCATGACCATAAATTTTTAATAGAACTAGTCTACCTAGTTGTGTAACTTTCTCCAGCAATGTTTTTGCCCAGGTGCAAGCAGGAAGAAGATGGAAGTTTGGTTGAAGTGGAAAAGAAAAGAAGAGCAAAGATTTTTAGTGTATTTGTAGGATATTATAAAAGTTATACCATAGACTAGAATGAATGAAGGAAGTGAAGACAGATTAGGAGCAGCAGAAAGAGAAAGTGGAGTATTTTATGAATTAGAAGCCTCAAAGATGTTGAAAGTTGCAGAAGGATATTTAAGCAGGCAAGGTAGAAGGATAAGTGGCATTACTAAGGGAGGAAGTTGGTGATTTTGGAGTTTGGAAAGCTATCAGTGATTCACAAAGCGGCTGTCAGAGTCACTGAGTGAAATAAAATACAAAGCATCATTGTACATGGGGGGGGGGGCAAGTAATATAGAATTGGGATATTATATAGATCTTCCATGTAAGTTTTGGAGTTATCCCAAAGTCAGGATGCAAAGGAAACTGTACACAGGTGTCAAAATCCTCAGAGAATGAGTAGAATGCCTTGACTTTAGATGATTAGTAGATGACAGCATAAAGCAGGAAGAATGTGTGGTAGAGTCACCTGGCATACATTTCAAAGATGGGTGGATTTTTAAGGTGGTGGAGAAACTTTAAAGAGATTGCAATCATTTCATGTTCTTTTGGAACTTTTAGCCACACATTTTCAGGCCTTACAGCAATTATTGTCAACTCGTTTCGCATCTGGTTTTAACACTTCCTAAACCTTGAGTTGCATACTCTAGCTTCTGCCTCACAAGTTTATATGTGACACCTCCTGCTTTCCATGTCTGTGAAATGCAAGTTTATATTAATTCCAAATGATGTTAATTACTTAGGGTTTAACACTGTTTAATAAAACTCTCTGCAATGACAGAAATGTGCTCTGTGTTACTAGTACAGTAGCCAAATTACTCTCAGTGCTGTTCTCAGAATCAAAAGCTCAAATAAAATTATCCCTCATCTTCTTATTGCAAGCCTTTCTTCACTGTCCCTTGTCCTGTCTCCTTTGGTCCTGAACTCTTCTTTGAGATTCAGAAAATGATATGCATAAATGTCCATCAGTGGGTCTAAACCTGAAACACATGGCTCTTTGAAGTGTCATGGATGGGCTTTGGAAGCCCACGAACCTCCTGATGTTGTATGCAAAGGTTGCGTACATGTGAATGTGCACTTTTCTAAGGACGAATATTAAAACATTCATCTTTCTTTAAAGACTATGAGATCCAAAAATGTTAAAATGTTTTTGTCCATAGTGAACACACAAACATTTTAGAAACCCCAAATGAAGCAAAATTAAATTATCCAAAAATAACCTGAAAGAGGATCTTGGCATTGAAGAGTTTTTCCCTCCTAGCAGCCCCTAGAAAAATGCCAACACATAGAAGGCAGTAATAACTATGTATTACTATTTACTCAGTGAGTATTGACAAATGATGAATACATAAAATTGATAAAGTGTACATAAAATTGATAAAGATAAGGACAGTGTACTTTGATGAGCTTCAACCTTCTTAAGGGGAGCAGGATCCCATTAGGACTTCCCAATATGATCTAAGAATGAATGTAGGAGTTGTGGATCAGGGATATTGACTATGAAACCGGGCATGCTTTATTAAATCCTAGTAACTGGGTTATTGCCATTTTCCCTTGACCATTTCCCAAAATAAAAGATCTCAAAACAAATGCAAAAAGATGTAGTTTACCTATTTTGGGGACTGTATACTTCATTTCATAGTTAAGTTAGACATAAAATGGATATTAACAGGTCTAAAACAGAAACTCAAGGAAACAAATCCTTGGGGGCAAAAAAGAAGTAGGCAGAGTTTTGACCTAGGGTTGTCTTCAGACTTACCTGAGTGAGAGCTTGGTATCAGATATATAGTAAAGTAATAGAGTTTAGAAATCCAAAGTTTGAAGACACATCATGAATAAAAATGTTAGTAAGTGTGGTGAAGTATACGGAAAACCCTCAAGCTGTCTTACTCCCAGCATCTCATCTTGGCTTGCTTCCTTAGAAACACAAATGTCTGAAGTACCTTGTGGTACATCTAATTGTGGGAGAGGTTCTATGAATTGAATCCATCCCAAATTCCTATTTTCATGCCCCCTGAGGTGCTCACTCAGTTTTGCTTTATAAATGATGAACAAATAGATTGTGGCTTATATAATAAAGCGTTTCCTTCTATTTCATGGTAATGGATTGTGACATTATAACCATGCCTTAATAGCTTTACATTAAATCTTACAAGCCCTTTAAAATTATTGTCAATATTTCTTTAGTTAATTAAAACCAGTGAGTTTATTTGCTGGGTAATATGATTTTTATAATTATTTAAGAATAGACAAGGTGAAAAATTTCTGAACTAGAGACATGAAGATTTTATGGAATATGGAGAAGGTAAGTCTCCAAAATAAACCTCTTCAATTTCTTTGAAAGCTTCTGACGTGAATGCAGGAAGGTACAAACTGCAAGTTAATTTTTTTATTACATCCTAAGTAATCAACATACACACACACACATACACAATATGACTCTAAAATTTACTATCATTTATAGATTATTGATAGCCATACTATGTGTCTTACCTTAAAGACAGCTAAACCCATCAATTAATGTTTCAACAGAAAGCAAATATCCAAAATGAAGCAATTAAAAGCTTTAGACTACTGTTGGAAGAATTACTCAGCTCTGCGTTTGTTACTATTATGAGTGAGAAATTGAGCAATAACTCTTCTTTAACCTATAAAGCTGGAATATGAATACCAACCTCACAGAATTATGATTTTTTTTTTTTTAGACAGAGTCTCACTCTGTTGCCCAGGCTGGAGTACAGTGGAGTGATCTCAGCTCACTGCAACCTCCGCCTCCCAGGTTCAAGCAATTCTCCTGCCTCAGCCTCCTGAGTAGCTGGAATTACAGGCACCTGCCACCATGCCTACCTAATTTTTGTATTTTTAGTAGAGACGGAGTTTCATCATGTTGGCCAGGCTGGTCTAGAACTCCTGACCTCAGGTGATCTGCCCGCCTCGGCCTCCCAAAGTGCTGGGATTACAGTGAGGCACCATGCCTGGCCTTGATATGGTTTAAATAAAAATGCTCTACTTAAGGATATTTTTGAAAACACAGCAGAACCTGCAAATTTAGCTTTACAACATATAAGCTTATCTATTTTGGTGGTTTCCAAACCTGGTTGAGCTTTAGAATCACTTGGGAAGTTAAAATTAATAAATAGAGAAGCCTTGGGCTTTACTATATATTTATTTAATCAGAATCCCCTGGCAAGGAATAAAAAAATCGTCATTTTTATTAAGTCATCAAGGTGCTTCAGATCTAATTCACTAATAAAACAATAGCTACTGTTTATTGGATACTTACTATGGTCTAGACACTTTGTCAGGTAGATATATTTTTCCTATATTTTGTGTCTCATTTAGATCTCACAAGACCTCTGGAAGTAGGTATTATTGCCTCCATTTTACAAATAAAGAAATAAATATTGTGTCCAAAGTCCCAACAAGTTACATAATGAGCAAATCGTGGAATCCTTGTTAAAAACTCAAGACTGTTAGACTCCAGTGGTTTTTCAAGTTTTATATGTTTCATGGCATGATTTAGGACTAGGATTTTTAGCAGTTGTACTTTTAAACAACTCAATAAGCTTAAAATAAGCCATTGCTATAGTATACCAATGCCCTTCTAAGCAGATCAGTCTCTTGGTTGTCTGTCCACTAGCAGTACTATTGGAGCAGAATGTTGCTGCCTGACTGACCCCTCATGCTCTCACAAAGCAGAGTCACCTCATGTTCCACTAGACATGTTATCATCTTTCTTTGGTACCGGCTACCTATTGCATTGTGCCTTTCATGTCTCAAGTATGTTAAAATTCTCATCATCTATCTGATATTTACTCCCTTAACAGTATAGGTATTTAGTTTGACAGAAATTAATTTTGCATGTTGACCGAAATTTGACAGCCCAATAAAGGATTCACAGTGCATATTCCTTCCACGGCAACATTCCTCCTATTTGTTTAAGACGGCTGACTTTCCTTGGGTGGTGGGGTGTTGGGGCAGGGGGGTGGTTAACTTTTTCCTTCTCCTAATCTTAAACTCTTACATAAGGTCTAACATAGCTTGTTTCATCCCCATTTAACATATGGTTTTAGATCTTATTTGAGCTTAGATTTTTAATTTTTTTCCATTCAAGACACACTTTTAAAAAGAATTTCTGCCAAAGTTGAAATGTTCTGCTTATGTGGGATGATACAGTGGTCTGCCATTGAAAGCAGAGCAACTTCCCTATGGTGGTTTTGAGGCACTGGGGATCTGCTCCACAAGGAAAGCCATGGTCCCTGAGATGTATACCAGACCAGAGAGTGAATGCTTTTCTTGTCATCCCTTTGCCCAGAATCATGACTGTAAAGCGTTGCTTTGACTGTGGTATTAACCTCTTTTTTTCCTCAGTCTTCTCTTCTCCTATCTTTAATACATAAAGTATACTTTCTGCTTTGTAATTTTTTTTTGTTCTTATTTTTAAGACACTTCCAGAAGTTTCCTAACTTTCTCAAAAATCTGACTTCAAGGAAACTTTTGGAAGTATCTTTTAAAAACAGCAAAAATTACTATAAGGCAGAAAATGTGTTTTATGTATATAGTCAAAGGTATTACTATAGCATAGATTATTATGGTAGCCAAATATTTGGATTTAATTTACTTGGGGGAAAGGAGGTATTACTAATTGTGCATTAACTAGGTGCCAAACATTGTAATAAACATGTCATGAACATAATTTCATTTAATCCTCACGATGACCCAATTATGAAAGCATTATTTCCATTTCATAGGCAAGGAAACAGGCTCACGGGAAATCAATCATCCAGAAATTGATAGAGCTGGAAACCCTTGCCTATCTAACTTCAGAATCTTTCCTCATAACATTGCATTTAACAGCCTCTTTCATGACTGCTGTGATGGTTTTAAATAAATAGCTGCAATTTTTTTGATATTCTTTCTATTTTAAGGTGGGGCCTATGCCTTGTCTCCTTGAATCTGTGTGGGCTTATAATTCAATTATAACCAATAGAATGACATGAAAGTCAATGCCTGATTTCTGAAGCTAAGTCATAAAAAGTGATGCAGCTTTTGTCTTATTCACTGGTTCACTTATTTTGGAGGCCTAATCTTCCATATAAGAAATCCAACTATTCTGAAACCAGCATGGTACGAAGAGGCCTAGGGTATTTGGAGAGACCTCAACCGACAGCAGCGTCAGCCACCAAGCATGGGAGTGAAGATCTCTCCAGATTTGCAGCTGGCCACTAACTGCCCAGACATATCTTTCCACACTCCTCTCCCATAAAAGCCAATGTGTTTACTTTAAATTCTCTGTTGTTCTTTGTCTGGAATACCTGATTCCCAGCTAAGTTCAACTTCTCCTTCCAAATATAGCTCAGATGTCACTTACTTCAGAAAAGCTTCATTGTCAGATGCACCCTTTCAAGCCTCAATGATGCAATGATCATAGGGGATATTTCCCCTTCTACCTTCTTCAATCAGCAGAAAAATACTCTAGGATAGGGTGGTTTGTCTCTTATTTTCTTATATTTGGGGTCTAGAATAGTGTCAGCACATGGTACACATTTAATAAAAACTTCTGAGTGAATAAATAAATACTTTAATGAACTAATTAATGAGTGTATAAGTGAGTGAGTTGACACGGTGGTATATAATATGCAGAAAAATATACGGAACACAATCTCTATATGAAGCAAATTAGGGAAGAAAAATTTTATAAAGAATTTATATAGACATGAATATTTAGGTAAATACTGTTTAGAAAGCATGAATAAAACAATAGAATGTTTGGTGTTTATAGTTTTAAAATAGTTTATAACAAATGCTCTATGGTTAATGCATAACTCAGAGATGTAATGAAATGTGAGCCTTATATATATATAACTTTGATTAACAGATTTTTTTTAATTGCCATTAAACATCTTTTACATGTAAGCAAGAAACAATTTTATATTTGCAAAAAAAGAGATTGGGTTGAATTCATAATATTGCTTATACAGATTTTACTGAAGGAGTAGATTATATAAAAAGATCAACTGGAAATTATAAAAGTAAAAAATAAAACATTTGGATTTATGCTTCCACTAATGAAGGATTAACTACAATAGTAATAGTGTTTTCACCATAAATAACTAGAAAACCTGATAAAATATGTGAAACAATTACTTTTCAGATATTGAGCTACCGCTCAGTGAGAAAAGAGAAACGGATGAGGAATATTTGCTGTCACATACTATGTAAAGGCAGTTTCCAGGCCACAATGATGGAAAGGAGAACCAGAGACAAGGCAGTGGTCTTGCTGAGGTGAGAAAACAAAGATCAGAGTTCAAGGAGGCTGAGACAACCAGAATTTGTGGACAGAAAGTTAAAGAGGAAAGAGCTGAACAGAGAGAGGACTCTAAAGGTCTGCTGAAGTGTGTCCTTGAATCTTTGTCTGAATATTAATCTGTATATGCATGGGATAAAACTCCATGAGGCTGATGAAAAAAATATGAAAGCAGTTAAGTCCAAAATTCCTGGAGGTCACAATTCAAGGTGGTCCTCAATCCCAATAGCTACAATGGAGGGACCTTGCAATATGTAAGGAATTGGATAGAGTCCTATATGGGTATTGCCTTAGTAGTGGGGTTAATTTAGCCCTAGGCTAAAGCCTACTACAGATTAGTGCTAATCAAAATTAAAAGTTAGCTTTAAAAGAATTAAATTGATTCAAAGTTAGTTTAAAAATAGTTAACAAAATATAATAGTAATTTTTCAAATTTAATGAAAGCAATAATCCCATAGCTCAATAAATCCCAGGAAGAAGAAAGTTGAGAGAAATGACATCTAGGTAAACTATGAACAAATTGCTGAAAACCAGCAATAAAAAAATCTTAAAAGTAGTCAGAGAAAAATAACACATTGCATTAAAGAATAAAAATAAAATTGATAGCAGACTGCCCATTGGAAACTATGTGAGTCAGAGAACAATGGAACACATCGCCAAAGGACACACAGGAAAAAATCCAAACTGGAATTTTATATCTAGTTAAAATAACTTTCAAAAATGAAGATTAAATGAATAATTTATTAGACAAACATAAGCTGAGAGATATTCTCACCAGCAGATCTTTACTATAAATCAATGTTAAAGAAAGTTCTCTGGGAAGATGGGAAATTCTACCAAATGAAAAATTAGATGCACAAAAGAAAACACCAGAAATGATAAATTTAGAGATTAATATAAAAGATATTTTTGTAATTTAAAAATATCTTTAAAAGATAATTGATGGTTGAAAGCAAAACTAATAGCAATGTATTGTAAAATATATTGGAGTAAATATATATCAGAGTGAAATGTATAACAAGAACAGCACAAAGGACAGAAGGAGACAACATGTATTGTGAGTTATATTTACAGACCATACATTATTTGAGAGTGGAAAAAGTTAAAAATATATTTTATAAACCCTGGAACATCTGCTAAAACAAAACAAAAAAGGTTGAACAAGATGCCAATATGTAAATATTTCTTGCATGTTGCCAAAACTAATTTCATATTAGCAAAATAGTTTGGATTAGATTTAGTAATAGTGCTTATTAAAAAAGAAGCTCAAGGGAAAGGAAAAAATCATATCCAAGAATGAAGGATTCACTTTTAGATTTGACTTCTGGTTAGGAAGCAAAGTCAGTGACAAAGTTAGGGGCAAAAGACTTTGGAGATTCCACCCATTTCTGAATCCCCACTCTCAGACTAGGCTTTCCCAGCAAGTGCATCATTTGTATATACGGTATATAAGTCCTGTATGTGTGTGTGTGTGTGCACGTGCATGTGTGTGTGTGTATTTGTGTAAAGTTTTGTATTGAGCAGGGCCTCTCTTTTGTTCATTGCTCCCTATACAGTGCCTGGTATAGCAGGTATGCAATAGTATTTTATGATTTACTGACTGGAAGTATCAGAACTCTCTGGAGAAGCAGACAGATTGAGCATCATGAGTTACTCTTTACACCTAGGTGAAGAATAATAGACGATACCATCATATGTGGCCTCCCTCTCTGATAAAGGTCCAACTCTCAGCCTACCTCTGATGCTAAGCTCTAAGTGAGAGAATTTACTTGATAGCTACCAACTTTGACTTCAGATGTTCCTGACCTTGGTTTAGCAAAAACAAATTCTGATCTTTCAAGCACCTAACTTATTTTTGTGGAGCCCAACTAAACTCCAGGTTGACAACTGAACCATCATTTATGTATTCTTTTTTTAATTGACTGTTTAATTTGGCCTCTTAAACTGAGCCTAGATCCAAATTATCCTTATCATAACTATTCAGCACAAGGAGCCTCTGCTTTATGTATACTATGCTGCAGCCCTGTGTCAAAGCCTAAGAGATGGGATATATAGCTCTTACCATCAAGAAACACAAGATTTACAGCAAAGGGAAATATATAAACAGGTAATTTTTAAGTACTGTAAAATGTATTGTAATGGCTAAAAGTAACAACAAAGTGTAATATTGGCAAAAGCATTGAAATATACAAGCTTATTACAAACACTTAGCATACAAAAAAATACTTATAAAAGCTTGGCATCTGCCATTCTGTGTTTCTTGGGTGGTATAACAACCCAGTGTTTGCATCCAGGAAAATGGTCCTGGGTACATATCTCAGCAAAATATGAGGAGTAGTAGTATATCATTCCTTTAAATTACCAGTTCTTTCCCATGTCTGTTGATTTTATCTAAGGTTGAAAAGAGAAGCTGCAAATCCCAGGCTTTCCTTTCATCATATGCTTCTTGCTTGCCAGCATTTGAAGGAGCAATTCTATCATGTGATTTGACTAACCACTGAATTAGGGAGCAGCAGTCATGTTTTGTGAAAGCCTACCAGTTCTGTAGAGACTATAAAATTAATCTAAACAATAAGGTTAAGAATGGGTTGATACCACAAAAGAAGGAAATGTAACTATATGAGATGATAGATATGTTATTTTGCTTAACTATAGTAATTACTTCACATATATATATATATATCAAGATAAGTATATCAAAACATCATGTTGTACACCTTAAATATATACAGTTACAAAGAAAGAATCGGGTGAAAACCCACAGTTTATTGTGGTGTTTGTTATTAGAATGACAACCTCTGAGTTCACTCTAAGCTACATTTTGGAGTCAGGTTCCAGATCTAGATGACTGTTTAGGAGTTGCAACAGAGGAAGATATAAGATGAGACAATTACATGTAGCTGAAGCCACAGTGGACTCATTTTGTGACTCAGTACAGGATTTCTCAACCTCAGCAATATTGGCAGTCAAGGCCAGCTGATTCTTTGTTGGTGGAGGAGAGGGCTGTCCTGTGCATTGCCGGGTATCTGGCAGCATGCCTGGCCTCTACCTTCTTGATGCCAGTAGCATTTGTGAAAACCAAAAATGTCTTCAGACATTTCCAAATGTTCTCTGGGAGGTACAATTTCCCTTGTTTTATAACCGCAAACCTAATATAACATATATATTTTAGTTAAAAGTAAGACAATATCTTCTTAAGTGACAGGTAGTTGACATCACTGCTTTTGTTTTTGGAATACTTGTGTCTGGAAAACCCTTGAAGGGGATGATATATGTCAAATGTTAACATTTTTTTTTTCCAGAAAGCCACATAGATACAGTAGTGAAGAGAATGATTAATTCTGCCTGGGAGTGATCTGTGAAGAACTTCACAAGAAATGATGTTACTCTTATGAAGTGATTAATACCTTTATCATGGGAGTGGAGTAGTTAGAGATGAAGTGGGTTCCTGTAAAATAATGCATTTGTCTCCCTCCCCTTCTCTCTCTAACCTCTTGCCTTTCTGCCTTTCACTATGGGGTGACAGAGCAAGAAGGCCCTTGCCAGATGTGGGCACCTCAGTCTTGGACTTTCCAGCCTCCAGAGCTGAAAAAATAAATTTCTGTCCTTTATAAATTACCTAGTCTTGGGTATTCTGTTATAGCAGCACAAAACACACTAAGACAGATGATTGCCAGGTGGACAAAGGTAAGAGAAGGACAGCACTTTGGGAGGCCGAGGCGGGCGGATCACGAGGTCAGGAGATCGAGACCATCCTGGCTAACACGGTGAAACCCCGTCTCTACTAAAAATACAAAAAAATTAGCCGGGCGTGGTGGCGGGCACCTGTAGTCCCAGCTACTCGGGAGGCTGAGGCAGGAGAATGGCGTGAACCTGGGAGGCGGAGCTTGCAGTGAGCCGAGATTGCGCCACTGCACTCCCACCTGGGCCACAGAGTGAGACTCCGTCTCAAAAAAAAAAAAAAAAAAAAAAAAAAAAAAAAAAAAAGAGAGAGAGAAGGAATAGCAATCTTCGTAGAAGAAACAGCACAGGTAAATGAATGGCAACATAGAATAGGATATTTATGGACCTTCAAGTAGTCAATATCACTCTCAGTTTGCGGAAGGTAGCTCCTTTCTGTCCCTGTTTTCTCAGTGTCTTTACTAATAGTGCCCCCTCCTGCCCCTGTCACTCTCAGAACTGTCCCATTTTAATGATAAGTGATATATGGTAATCTTAGATTTTACGAAACCACCAAACTCGGCCTTCTTTAGGTGAAATATTTATGGTCACTTCCTTCTTTCTTTTCTTCCTTTCTCTCACTCTTTCTTCAATAAATAAGTATTGAATTCTTGACACCTACTGATCGCTGTGATAGGCAGGCAGAGGGAACAAAGCAGTAGAAAAGACATAGTCCCTGTCTTCAAGGAGCTTATACTATAGTGAAAGACCTATAAATAAGCAGCTATCACACTAAGAGGAGCCCACTGGAATAATTACAAGTTGCTCTGAACTTACTTAGGACTTCACAGAAGGCTTTCTGAAGAGGAATGAGACAGCATTGCTGGTACCTGAAGTGCTAATGGGATACAGCCAGTAGATGAGAGGGTGGGCAGATGACCCAAGATGAAGAAACACCATGTGTAAAAACAGAATTGATAAAGGAAAGGCTCACTGACAAAGCAACATATATCTTCATGCCCCAAGAGGTGAGTGAGGCTGTGAATTAAGAGAGGAGTCAGATTGCCGGGCGCGGTGGCTCACGCCTGTAATCCCAGCACGTTGGGAGGCCGAGGTGGGTGGATCACAAGGTCAGGAGATCGAGACCATTTTGGCTAACACGGTGAAAGCCCGTCTCTACTAAAAATACAAAAAAATTAGCCAGGCGTGGTTGCGGGCCCCTGTAGTCCCAGCTACTTGGGAGGCTGAGGCAGGAGAATGGCGTGAACTCGGGAGGCGGAGCTTGGAGCCGAGATCGCGCCACTGCACTCCAGCCTGGGGGACAGAGAGAGACTCCGTCTCAAAAAAAAAAAAGAGAGGAGTCAGCAGATGGACAAACCAGGTGTGTGAAGGTCTATCCACTGCCTTTACTTTTTAAAGATATTTCAAAGCATACCACCCACCAAGGAACAGCACTATTCTACATTGCTTTTAAAAGTTAATCTCAACTTTTAGTTTTACTTGCAACATAATTTTTATTAGGTTTCTTAAAATTCCTTTTTTTTTACATTTTTAAGACTTTATTTTTATAGAGCAGTTTTAGTTTCACAGCAAAATGGAGAAGGTACAGTAGTTCCTCTTTATCCATGGTTTCACTTTCCAAGATTTCGATTACCCAAGAGTGAACTGCAGTCCAAAAATATTGCATATAATAAGATATTTTGAGAGAGACTACAGTCCTTAGAAATATTAAAACAAACCTTCAATATTATAGGAAAATTCATTGCTTTTAGCAAGTAGATTTATAAATTTAACCTCATAATGATAAGATACAGACTGAGTATATATTAAACTTAAAATTTGTCATCCTTGTATGTAAATGTTCACTATCCTTTTCCTTAATTAAATGACAAAGTGTATTTGCTAAAACTGCTTTTTTTTCCAAAGCATCTGTATCACTAGGCACCCATTCTTACAAGTTTCCTTATTAAATTCCAATTAAGCTTATAGAACTTCTGACTTTGATTGTAATTTTTAGCTAAGACTGAATTAATAGTGATGATAGTGATAATAATAAATGATAAACAACAGCAACATCTACTATAACAACTATCATTTATTGGATCTTTACTTTGTACCAGGCATTGTTCCAAGCTCTTTTATTAATCTTAACTCATTTAATACTGATAACAAACCTATGAGGTAGGCATTATTATTATACACTTTTCACACTCATGAAATTGAGGAATAGAAGTTGGTTAAATAACTTGCCATAAGTCACATATACAACCAGTAAGTGGTAGATTGGGGACGCAGTCACAGGTAGTTTGGGTCAAGGTCAGTTCTGTTCACAACTAGGGTTAATGAAGACAGATCTTATAATTTTGTCGTTCTTTTTTTCGAAAATTGGCATGCCTCCTTTCCACCTATGCTTTTATACTTTTACTATACATAGCTTTACAAGCCATAAATTATTGCTTTGTGCATTTTAAACCTATATAAATGCTGTATCATAACATGTATAACTCTGCATCTTGTTTTATTTTCTACTCAAATGGTGCTTTCAAAATTATTATGAATACCACAGAATCTTTAAAAATACCATTTTAGCAGCTATTAATATAATACGCTTTTTTTCTTCTTTAACTTGCTGATGAAATAAAGTATATTGTTAGATTCTGTAAAGTTGAAGAATTCTTGTATTCCTGGTTCCTCTGCTGCTTGGTCATAGTATGTTTTATTCTTAATCCTCTGATGACTTCATTTGCTAATATTTTATTAAAATTTTGTGTCTATTTCTTTACATTAAATTAGTCTATAGCCTTTATATTCTATAAGTTGCCTTATCTGGTAGTAAGAATGTACTAGCGTTTTCAAAAATTGGGAATTTTTTTATATTCTGAGATAAATAAGATAGAAAACTATGGTTTTATATTTACTTGGAAGTCATGAAAACCAATCTGGAAATGGTATCTTTTAATATTTACTTAGTTTTTTGATTTGGTAATACAGTTACATGGCTCAATGTTTTTAAAAAATATGAATGAACTATCAATATAAAGTGAAAAGTCTCCTTTTCACCCATCTCTTGGTGTCCCACTGCCATCATCATAGAAAGCCAATGCAGTGTGTGTGTGTGTCTGTGTGTGTGAGTGTGTACACTTCCAGAGACTTTTTTATACTTATAGGAACAAGCACACATAGATATCTTCCCATCTACTACCACTTTTACAGAAATAGTCATAGATTATATACAAATTATTCTGAATCCTGTGTTTTCATTTAAAAGTATAAGCTGTAAAATTTTTTCAGCTCTTCAGTATTTCATTGAATCAATGTCACATTTAGGACTTTCAGGGTGTTTCCCACATTTTAATATTTTAAACAATATTTCAATGAATAACCTTAGACTTATGTAATTTCACATGTGTAAAAATATGAGCTCACGTATATGCTATATGTCTAAAAGTTACAAGGTATGAAATTGCTCTGTCAGAAAGTATATGCCTATGTCATTTAGGTAGATATTGCCAAGCTGCCTTGTGCAGAGGTTGTATACAGTGCTTTTTAAATGGTAGTTCTTTAATTACATGTCTAATCTCTTTTGTGATTATTAATCTGTTTAGTTTTATATTTTCCTTGGGTCAATTTTAATATTTTTATATTTAATTATTTATAATATTTAATATTATGAATAAATATTATTTATAATATTTAATATTATTATAAATAAATCATATAATATTTAATTTTTTATTTGGGTTGTTATCTATTTACTTTAATTTAAATATATATTTTTTGCCAGATAATTGCACTTTTCTGTAATTATTTTAGTTTTTTCAATATCTGAGGTAATATACCACTTAAAAATTCCTAATATAAAGAAACAAACAACAGACACTGGGCTCTACTTGAGGGTGGAGAGTGGGATGAGGGAGAGGAGAAGAAAAGATAACTATTGGGTACTGAGCTTAATAACTGGGTGATGAAATAATCTGTACAACAAACCCATAGCATGTGTTTATCTATGTAACAAACCTTCACACGTACCCCAAAACCTAAAATAAAAGTTAAAAAAATTTAATACTATACTTCTGCCTAATTCTTCTAACACAGGAATTATCTGTTTTACAGTTCTCTTCAAATAATCAACTTTTGGTTTTATTTATACAACAAGTAATTTTGGATTTATGCTTTATGCTAATTTCAGCTTTGTCTTTATTAATTCCCTTCTCTTTGGTTTCCTTTTGGTTTATTTATTGCTTTTGTTCTAATTTTTAAAATTGAACCATTGTTCTTTATTTTTTAAGAGATATTATAGGTATTACAGCTGAGTTTAAAGTTATATCCTGAAGGTTTGGATTTAATACGTTCTTTTTTCATTACTTTCTTTACAAATTAAATTTTTGATTTTGATTTCTTCTTTGATCCAAGGATCTTTTAGGATTGTGCTCCTTAACTTTCAAATAGAGTAGTTGTTGATTTTTAAAAATGTGTTGAATTTCATGTATTTAACATAAAATTTTTTTTAAATTCAGTATCTTTTTGTAGGGTACAACTAAATATGTCTATTAAATTGTATTAGTCAAATATTTTATATTTTTTAGCATTTATCTACTTCTTGTAGCAAAATTTGTTAATATATTTACATCTCTTACACCAAATGTGTGTCTTCTCAATCTGTTAATTGATGTATCTCTGCCCAGTTAGAAATCTAAAAGTTTTATTTTAGATATTTGACCATGAAAATTTTCAAACTAAAAAAGAGAAAATAGGGTATTAAACAAAAATTTGTGCAAGCTTGTAAAAGAAAAAAAGATTACAAGAAAAAAACAATAAAATAAAATGTATAAAATAATTGATATAGAAATAGAATCAATTTCAATACACGTAATTGAATGAACTATATACCAACTTACCAACTTAATTCCTTTTATCAAAAGGTAGAGAGTAGCCAGGTGCAGTGGCTCAGTCCTGTAATCCCAGCACTTTGGGAGCCTGAGACGGGTAGATCACTTGAGCTCAGGAGTTTGACCAGCCTGGGCAACATGGCAAAACCCCATCTCTACAAAAAAATTCAAAAAGTTAGCTGGGCATGATGGCGGGGGCCTGTAGTCCCAGCTACCAGGGAGGCTGGTATGGGAGAATTGCTTGAGCCTGGCAGGTCAAGGCTGCAGTGAGCCGAGATCACACCACTGCAATCCAGCCTGGGTGACAAAGTGAGACCCTGGCTCAAAAAAAAAGAGAATAATCAATTGTATGTTTTAAAGAATTCAATTACAATATAGATTGCTTGTTTAAAAAAAAAAAAACACTAAGAGAGAATGATTTTAATGAGAGAAATTGGAAGCAGAGGTACAAGAAAATATATACCAGGCAAATACAAGCAGATGAATTTTTTTTTTTTTTTTAGGAGACAGGGTCTCAGTCTCACTGTGTTGCCCATGATGGAGTGCAGTGGCATAATCATAGTTCACTGTAACCTTGAACTCTGGCACTCAAAACATCATCCCACCTCAGCTTCCTAAGTAGCAAGGACTACAGGTGCACACCTCCATACCTCCACACCTGGCTTTTTTTCTGTTGTTGTTAGAGACAGAGTACTACTATGTTGCCCAGGCTGGTCTTGAACTCCCCATCTCAAGTGATCCTCCTGCCCTGGCCTCCCAAAGTTCTGGGATTACACGAGCAGATGCTTTTTGAATGTAGCTTATTCGACAGCCTTAGATTTCTGTGCAAAGACTGCACTAAAGAAAAGGGGATTGGGCAGCCACCGTGGCTCACGCCTGTAATCCCAGCACTTTGGGAGGCCAAGATGGGAGGGCTGCTTGAGCTCAGCAGTTCAAGACCAGCCTGAGCAATATAGTAAGACCTTGTCTCTACAAAAATTTTAAAAATTAGCTAGGGTGTGGTGGTGTGCACCTGTAGTCCCAGCCACTTGGGAGATGGAGGCAGGAGGATCGCTTGAGCCCAGGAGTTCAAGGCTGCAGAGAGCTATGATCTCACTACTGTACTCCAGCCTGAGAGACAGAGCAAGATCTTATCTCAAAAAAAATGAACAAATAATATAAAATAAAACAAAAGAAGAGAAGATCGCCTG
Source organism: Homo sapiens (assembly GCF_000001405.40). Taxonomy (NCBI): domain Eukaryota; kingdom Metazoa; phylum Chordata; class Mammalia; order Primates; family Hominidae; genus Homo; species Homo sapiens. The sequence goes on along the minus strand of NC_000001.11, from coordinate 166,505,153 downwards.
GCCACTTTTTACTCAAAAAGTGGTCTGAGGACAAGTAGCACCTGCATCATCTTGGAGCTTCTTAGAAATTTATTAATAGATTCTCAGGCCCAGCCCAGACCTACTGAGTTAGAAACTGCATGTTTTTCTTTCATTTGTATTTTTATTGAACACGTACAATTATACATATTTCTGGGGTACAATGTGATGTTTTGATACATGTATTATTGTGTTAATAATCAAATCAGGGTAATTAGCATATTCATCACCTCAAACACATATTTTTTATTTGTAGTAGAACATTAAACATATTCTCTTCTAGTTAATTTGAGATATAGATTCCCATATTGTTCATTATAGTTACCCTTCTGTGCAAAAGAACACCAGAACCTATGCTTCCTTTCTAATTGTAACTTTGTACCCATTGACCAACCTCTTCTCATCCTTCCATCCTCCCTACCCTCACTAGTTTCTGGCAGCCACTGTCCTATTTACTACTTCTATGAGATCAACTTATTTAGGTTATACTTATGAGTGATAACATGAGGTATTTGCTTTTCTGTATCTGACCAATGTCATTTAACATAATGTCCTCCAGGCTCATCCATGTTGTTGCAAATGACAGGATTGCATTCTTTTTCATGGCTTTTACAGGATTTCATTGTGTATAGACACCACATTTTCTTTTTTTGTTTGTTTTATTTTACTTTAAGTTCTGGGATACATGTGCAGAACATGCAGGTTTGTTACATACGTATACATGTGCCATGGTGGTTTGCTGCACCTGTCAACCCGTCATCTAGGTTTTAAGCCCCACATGCATTAGGTATTTTTCCTAATGCTCTCCCTCCCCTTGTCCCTAACCCCCCAACAGCCCCCAGTGTGTGATGTTCCCCTCCCTGTGTCCATGTGCTCTCATTGTTCAACTCCCACTTGTGAGTGAGAACATGCAGTGTTCGGTTTTCTGTTCCTGTGTTAGTTTCCTGAGGATGATGGTTTCCAGATTCATCCATGTCCCTGCAAAGGACATGAACTCATTCTTTTTTATGGCTGCATAGTACTCCATGGTGTACATATGCCACATTTTCTTTATCCAGTCTATCATTGTTGGGCATCTGGGTTGGTTCCAAGTCTTTGCTGTGGTCAATAGTGCTGGAATAAACATATGTGTGCATGTGTCCTTCTAGTAGAATGATTTATAATCCTTTGAGTATATACCCAGTAATGGGATTGCTGGGTCAAATGGTATTTTTGGTTCTATATCCTTGAGGAATCACCACATTGTCTTCCACAATGGTTGAAGTAATTTACACTCTCAACAACGGTGTAAAAGCGTTCCTATTTCTCCACATCCCCGCCAGCATCTATTGTTTCCAGACTTTTTATTATTTTTTTATTATACTTTAAGTTTTAGGGTACATGTGCAAAACGTGCAAGTTTGTTACATATGTATACATGTGCCATGTTGGTGTGCTGCACCCATTAACTCATCATTTAGCATTAGGTATATCTCCCCCCTTCTCCCACCCCACAACAGGCCTCAGTGTGTGATGTTCGCCTTCCTGTGTCCATGTGCTCTCATTGTTCAATTCCCACCCATGAGTGAGAACATGAGGTGTTTGGTTTTTTGTCCTTGCTAAAGTTTGCTGAGAATGATGGTTTCCACCTTCATCCATGTCCCTACAAAGGACATGAACTCATCATTTTTTATGGCTGCATAATATTCCATGGTGTATATGTGCCACATTTTCTTTATCCAGTCTATCATTGTTGGACATTTGGCTTGGTTCCAAGTCTTTGCTATTGTGAATAATGCTGCAATAAACATACGTGTGCATGTGTCTTTATAGCAGCATCATTTATAATCCTTTGGGTATATACCCAGTAATGGGATGGCTGGGTCAAATGGTATTTCTAGTTCTAGATCCCCGAGGAATCGCCATACTGACTTCCACAATGGTTGAACTAGTTTATGGTCCCACCAACAGTGTAAAAGTGTTCCTATTTCTCCACATCCTCTCCAGCACCTGTTGTTTCCTGACTTTTTAATGATTGCCATTCTAACTGGTGTGAGATGGTATCTCATTGTGGTTTTGATTTGCATTTCTCTGATCACCAGTGATGATGAGAATCTTTTCATGTGTCTTTTGGCTGCATAAATGTCTTCTTTTGAGAAGTGTCTGTTCATATCCTTCGTCCACCTGTTGATGGGGTTCTTTATTTATTTCTTGTAAATTTGTTTGAGTTCTTTGTAGATTCTGGATATTAGCCCTTTGTCAGATGAGTAGATTGCAAAAATTTTCCCCCATTCTGTAGGTTGCCTGTTCACTCTGATGGTAGTTTCTTTTGCTGTGCAGAAGCTTTTTGGTTTAATTGGATCCCATTTGTCAATTTTGGCTTCTGTTACCATTGTTTTTGGTGTTTTAGACATGAAGTCCGTGCCCATGCCTATCTCCTGAATGGTATTACCTATGTTTTATTTTAGTGTTTTTATGGTTTTAGCTCTAACATTTAAGTCTTTAATCCATCTTGAATTAATTTTTGTATAAAGTGTAAGGAAGGGATCCAGTTTCAGCTTTGTACCTATGCCTAGCCAGTTTTTCCAGCACCATTTATTAAATAGGGAATCCTTTCCCCATTTTTGTTTTTGTCAGGTTTGTCAAAGATCAGATAGTTGTCGATATGTGGCATTATTTCTGAGGGCTCTGTTCTGTTCCATTGGTCTATATCTCTGTTTTGGTACCAGTACCGTGCTGTTTTGGTTACTGTAGCCTTGCAGTATAGCTTGAAGTCAGGTAGCGTGATGCCTCCAGCTTTGTTCTTTTGGCTTAGGATTGACTTGGTGATGCGGGCTCTTTTTTGGTTCCATATGAACTTTAAAGTAGTTGTTTCCAATTCTGTGAAGAAAGTCATTGGTAGCTTGAAGGGGATGGCATTGAATCTATAAATTACCTTAGGCAGTATGGCCATTTTCATGATATTGATTACCCATGAGCATGGAATGTTCTTCCATTTCTTTGCATCCTCTTTTATTTCATTGAGCAGTGGTTTGTAGTTCTCCTTGAAGAAGTCGTTCATGTCCCTTGTAAATTGGATTCCTAGGTATTTTATTCTCTTTGAAGCAATTTGTGAATGGGAGTTCACTCATGATTTGGCTCTCTGTTTGTTATTGGTGTATAAGAATGCTTGTGATTTTTGCACATTGATTTTGTATCCTGAGACTTTGCTGAAGTTGCTTATCAGCTTAAGGAGATTTTGGGCTGAGACGATGGTTTCTAGATATACAATCATGTCATCTGCAAAGAGGGACAATTTGACTTCTTTTCCTAATTGAATACCCTTTATTTCCTTCTCCTGCCTAATTGCCCTGGCCAGAACTTCCAACACTATGTTAAATAGGAGTGGTGAGAGAGGGCATCCCTGTCTTGTGCCAGTTTTCAAAGGGAATGCTTCCAGTTTTTGCCCATTCAGTATGATATTGGCTATGGGTTTGTCATAGATAGCTCTTATTATTTTGAGTTATGTCCCATCAATAACTAATTTATTGAGAGTTTTTAGCATGAAGCGTTGTTGAATTTTGTCAAAGGCCTTTTCTGCATCTATTGAGATAATCATGTGGTTTTCGTCATTGGTTCTGTTTATATGCTGGATTATGTTTATTGATTTGCATATGTTGAATCAGCCTTGCATCCCAGGGATGAAGCCCACTTGATCATGGTGGATAAGCTTTTTGATGTGCTGCTGGATTCGGTTTGCCAGTATTTTATTGAGGATTTTTGCATCGATGTTCCTCAGGGATATTGGTCTCAAATTATCTTTTTTTGTTGTGTCTCCAGGGATGGAGGAAGATCTACCAAGCAAATGGAAAACAAAAAAAAAGGCAGGGGTTGCAATCCTAGTCTCTGATAAAAGAGACTTTAAACCAACAAAGATCAAAAGAGACAAAGAAGGCCATTACATAATGGTAAAGGGATCAATTCAACGAGAAGATCTGACTATCCTAAATATATATGCACCCAATACAGGAGCAACCAGATTCATAAAGCAAGTCCTTAGAGACCTACAAAGAGACTTAGACTCCCACACAATAATATTGGGAGACTTTAACACCCCATTGTCAACATTAGACAGATCAGTGAGACAGAAAGTCAACAAGGATATCCAGGAATTGAACTCAGCTCTGCACCAAGCAGACCTGATAGACATCTACAGAACTCTCCACCCCAAATCAACAGAATATACTTTCTTTTCAGCACCACACGGCACTTATTCCAAAATTGACCACATAGTTGGAAGTAACACACTCCTCAGCAAATGTAAAAGAACAGAAATCATAACAAACTGTCTCTCAGACCACAGTGCAATCAAACTAGAACTCAGGATTAAGAAACTCACTCAAAACCGCTCAACTACATGGAAACTGAACAACCTGCTCCTGAATGACTACTGGGTACATAACGAAATGAAGGCAGAAATAAAGATGTTCTTTGAAAACAACGAGAACAAAGACACAACATACCAGAATCTCTGGGACACATTCAAAGCAGTGCGTAGAGGGAAATGTATAGCACTAAATGCCCACAAGAGAAAGCAGGAAAGATCTAAAATTGACACCCTAACATCACAATTAAAAGAACTAGAGAAGCAAGAGCAAACACATTCAAAAGCTAGCAGAAGGCAAGAAATAACTAAGATCAGAGCAGAACTGAAGGAAATAGAGACACAAAAAACCCTTCAAAGAATCAATGAATCCAGGAGCTGGTTTTTTTTTGAAAAGATCAACAAAATTGATAGACCGCTAGCAAGACTAATAAAGAAGAAAAGAGAGAAGAATCAAATAGATGCAATAAAAAATGATCAAGGGGATATCACCATGGATCCCACAGAAATACAAACTACCATCAGAGAATACTATAAATAACTCTATGCAAATGAACTAGAAAATCTAGAAGAAATGGATAAATTCCTGAACACATACACCCTCCCAAGACTAAACCAGGAAGAAGTTGAATCTCTGAATACACCAATAACAGGCTCTGAAATCGAGGCAATAATTAATAGCTTACAAACAAAAAAAAGTCCAGGACCAGGTGCATTCACAGCCGAATTCTACCAGAGGTACAAGGAGGAGCTGGTACCATTCCTTCTGAAACTATTCCAATCAATAGAAAAAGAGGGAATCCTCCCTAACTCATTTTATGAGGCCAGCATCATCCTGTTTCCAGACTTTTTAATGATCGCCATTCTAACTGGCGTGAGATGGTATCTCATTGTGGTTTTGGTTTGCATTTCTCTAATGACCAGTGATGATGAGCTTTTTTTCACATGTTTGTTGGCCTCTTAAATGTCGTCTTTTGAGAAGTGTCTGTTCATATACTTTGCCCACTTTTTGATGGGGTTGTTTGCTTTTTTCTTGTAAATTTGTTTAAGTTCCTTGTAGATTCTCGATATTAGCCCTTTGTCAGATGGATAGATTGCAAAAACTTTCTCCCATTCTGTAGGTTGTCTGTTCACTCTGATTGTTTCATTTGCTGAACGGAAGCTCTTTAGTTTAATTAAATCCCATTTGTCAATTTTGGCTCCTGTTGCAATTGCTTTTGGTGATTCAATCATGAAGTCTTTGCCCATGCCTATGTCCTGACTGGTATTGCCTAGGTTTTCATCTAGGGTTTTTATGGTTTTAGGTTTTACATATAAGTCTCTAATCCATCTTGAGCTAATTTTTGTATAAGATGTAAGCAGGGGTCCAGTTTCTGCTTTCTACCTATGGCTACCCAGTTTTCCCAGCACCATTTATTAAATAGGGAATCTTTACCCCATTGCTTGTTTTTGTCAGGTTTGTCTGAGATCAGATGTTTGTAGATGTGTGGTGTTATTTCTGAGGCTTCTGTCTTGTTCCATTAGCCTATATATCTGTTTTGATACCAGTACCATGCTGTTTTGGTTACTGTAGCCTTGTAGTATAGTTTGAAGTCAGGTAGCGTGATGCCTTTTTGCTTAGTATTTTTGCTTAGGATGTTCTTTTTGCTTAGGATTGTCTTGGCTATACGGGCTCTTTTTTGGTTCCATATGAAATTTAAAGTAGCTTTTTCTTTTTCTTTGAAGAAAGTCAGTGGTAGCTTGATGAGAATAGCATTGAATTTATAAATTACTTTGGGCAGTATGGCCATTTTCACGATACTGATTCTTCCTATCCATGAACATGGAATTTTTTTCCATTTGTTTGTGTCCTCTCTTATTTCCTTGAGCAGTGGTTTGTAGGGTTGTTCTCCATTCATTGTTGGACACTTAGTTTGATTCCATATCTTCACTATTGTGAATAACACTGCAATAAACAGGAGTGCAGATATCTCTTTGACATACTGATTTAATTTCCTTTCTCACACTCCTAATAAAGACATACCCACAACTGGGTAATTTATAAAGAAAAAGAGGTTTAATGGACTCACAGTTCCACGTGGCTCGGGAGGCCTCATGATCATGGTGGAAGGCAAAAGGCATATCTTACATGTTGGCAGGCAAGAGAGAAATGGGAACCAAGCAAAAGGGGTTTCCCCTTATAAAACCATCAGATCTCATGAGACTTATTCACTACCACGAGAACAGTATGGGAGAAAACGCCCCCCATGACTCAATTCTCTATCACCAGGTCCCTCCAACAACAAGTGGGAATCATGGGAGCTACAATTCAAGATGAGATTTGGGTGGAGACACAGCCAAATCATATCAGATATATACCCAGTAACAGGATTGCTGGATTGTATGGTCATTCTACTTTTAATTTTTTAAGGAAACTCCATACTTTTTCCCATAATGGCTGTACTAATTTATATTCACACCAACAGTGTGTAAGGGTTCCCTTCTCTCTGCATACTCACCAATACTTGCTATCTTTTGCTTTTTGAAAATAGTCTTTCTAACTGGAGTGAGGTGATATTTCACTGGGGTTTTGATTTGCATTTCCCTGATGATTAGTGATGTTGAACATTTTTTCATATACCTGTTGGCCATTTGTATGTCTTGTTTGGTGAAATGTCTGTTCCTTGAATATTTTGCCCATTTTTTAATAAAATTTTTTGTTTTTATATTACTGAGTTATTTGAGTTCCTTATATATTCTGGATATTAACCCACTGTCAGATGTATAGTTCACAAATATTTTTCCACATGTGGAAATGTGAGATGCCTGCTCCCCATTCACCTTCTGTCATGATTTTAAGCTTCCCAAGCCCTCCCCAGAAGCAGATGCCAGTGCTATACTTCCTGTACAGCCTGCAGAACCATGAGCCGATTAAACCACTTTTCTTACAAATTACCTGGTCTCAGGTCTTTATAACAATGTAAGAATGGCCTAATACAGGGATTTTTGTGGTTTCATACAAACTTTAGGACTTTTTTCTATTTCTGTTAAAAACTTCATTGTTATTTTAATAAGGATTGCATTAGTTCTATAGATCACTTTTGACAGTATGGATGTTTTGAAAATATTAATTTTTCCAGTTCATGAACATGGAACATTTTTCCATGTATTTGTGTCCTCTTCAATTTCTTTCATCAGTTATTTTATAGCTTTCAGTATACAGATTTTTACCTCCTTGTTAAATTTATTGCTAGAAATCTTGGTGTTTTTTGTAGCTCATGTAAATACAATCCTTTTTCTGAATTCTTTTTCAGATAGTTTGCAGTGATTGCTAATGATTTTTTGTGTATTGATTTTGCATCCTAAAGCTTACCTGAATTTTTTTTAGTTCTAACAGTTTTTTTATAGTGAAATATTTAGGATTTTCTATATAAGATGATATTGTCTGTAAACAGGGACAATTTGACTTCCTTCTTTCTAATGTAAATACTTTTTAAAAATTTATTTATTTATTTTTGCCTAATTGTTTGGCTAGGACTTCCAGTACTACATTGAATAGAAGGGGTGAAAATTTGCAGGCATTGTTATCTCATTTCAGATATTAGAAGAAAAGCTTTCAACTTTTCCCCATTTAGTATGATTTTAGTTATGGATTTGTAATATATGGCTTTCATTGTGTTGAGGTATGTACTTTATATACCTAATTTATTGAGAGTTTTCATCATACAGGGATGTTAAATTTTGTCAAATGCTTTCTCTGTGTCTATTAAAATGACCATATGGCTTTTGTCCTTCTTTGTGTTAATATGATGTATCACATTTATTGATTTGCATATATTAAACCATTCATGCATTCCTGCGAGAAATCTCAGTTGATCATGGCCTTTTACTGTGCTGCTGAAATGAGTCTGCTATTATTTTGTTGAAAATTTTTGCATCTATGTCCATCAGATATATTGGCCTGTAGTTTTCTCTTTCTGGTTGTGTCCTTGTCTGGTTTTAGTATCAGCATAATGCTGGCCTTATATAATAATGAATTTGGAAGTATTTTCTTTTCTTCAATTTTTTGAAATAGTATGAGAAGAATTGTTATTCTTCCTTAAATATTTGGTAGAATTCAGCAGTGAAGGCATCAGGTCCTGGGATTTTCTTGGATGGGAGACTATATTACTGATTCATCTTTCTCATTATTGATCTGTTACAGATCTTCTATTTCTTCATAATTCAATTTTGGTATGTTGTATGTGTCTGAGAATTTATGTGTAACAATTATAAGTACATACACCCAATGTTGGACTACCCAAATATACAAAACAAATATTATTTTATCTAAAGGGAGAGAACAGACTGTGATACAGTAATAGTAGGAGACTTTAGCACCCCAGTTTCAGCAATAGACAGATCATCCAGACAGAAAATTGACAAAGAATTATCAGATTTAAACTGCACTCTAGCCCAAATGGATCTAACCAACATTTATAGTACATTACATCCAATAGTTGCAAAATACACATTCTTCTCAACTGCGCATGAAACGTCTCTGGGATAAATCACACATTCAGCCACAAAACAAGTGTTAACAAATTTAAGAATATAGATATATCAAGTATATTTTCTGATCACAATAGTATAAAACTGGAAATCAGTAACAGGAGGAACTTCAGAAACTTTACTAATATGTGGAAATTGAACAACATGGTCCTGAATAACCAATGGGTTAATGAAGAAATTAAAAGGAAAATTTAAAAATTTCTTGAGACAAAATTGAAACACGATGTTCCAAAACCTATGGGATACAGCAAATGCAGTTTTAGGAGTGAAGTTTATATAAATAAATGCATACACCAAAAAAAAGAAAAGTCAAATAAACGACCTAATGTTGTACTTCAAGGAAGTAGAAAAACAAAACAAACTAAATCCAAAATTACTGGAAGGAAGGAAATAAAAGCAGGACAGAAATAAATGAAATAGAGAGTTTAAAAAATACAAAAATCAACAAAATTAAGACTTGATTTTTTGAAAAGATAGAAAAAAAATCAACAAACTTTTAGCTACCCTAAGAAAAAGAGAGAAGACTCTGTTTTGGTACCAGTACCATGCTGTTTTGGTTACTGTAGCCTTGTAGTATAGTTTGAAGTCAGGTAGTGTGATGCCTCCAGCTTTGTTCTTTTGGCTTAGGATTGACTTGGCAATGCGGGCTCTTTTCTGGTTCCATATGAACTTTAAAGTAGTTGTTTCCAATTCTGTGAAGAAAGTCATTGGTAGCTTGATGGGGATGGCATTGAATCTATAAATTACCTTGAGCAGTATGGCCATTTTCACGATATTGATTCTTCCTACCTATGAGCATGGAATGTTCTCCCATTTCTTTTTATCCTCTTTTATTTCATTGAGCAGTGGTTTGTAGTTCTCCTTGAAGAGGTCCTTCATGTCCCTTGTAAGTTGGATTCCTAGGTATTTTATTCTCTTTGAAGCAATTGTGAATGGGAGTTCACTCATGATTTGGCTCTCTGTTTGTTTGTTATTGGTGTATAAGAATGCTTGTGATTTTTGCACATTGATTTTGTATCCTGAGACTTTGCTGAAGTTGCTTATCAGCTTAAGGAGATTTTGGGCTGAGACGATGGTTTCTAGATATACAATCATGTCATCTGCAAAGAGGGACAATTTGACTTCTTCTTTTCCTAATTGAATACCCTTTATTTCCTTCTCCTGCCTAATTGCCCTGGCCAGAACTCCCAACACTATGTTGAATAGGAGTGGTGAGAGAGGGCATCCCTGTCTTGTGCCAGTTTTCAAAGGGAATGCTTAATGGAACAGAACAGAGCCCTCAGAAATAACGCCAAATATCTACAACTATCTGATCTTTGACAAACCTGAGAAAAACAAGAAATGGGAAAGGATTCCCTATTTAATAAATGGTGCTGGGAAAACTGGCTAGCCATATGTAGAAAGCTGAAACTGGATCCCTTCCTTACACCTTATACAAAAATTAATTCAAGATGGATTAAAGACTTAAACGTTAGACCTAAAACCATAAAAACCCTAGAAGAAAACCTAGGCAATACCATTCAGGACATAGGCATGGGCAAGGACTTCATGTCTAAAACACCAAAAGCAATGGCAACAAAACCAACATAGAAAAATGGGATCTAATTAAACTAAAGAGCTTCTGCACAGCAAAAGAAACTACCATCAGAGTGAACAGGCAACCTACAAAATGGGAGAAAATTTTCTCAACCTACTCATCTGACAAAGGGCTAATATCCAGAATCTACAATGAACTCAAACAAATTTACAAGAAAAAAACAAACAACCCCATCAAAAAGTGGGCGAAGGACATGAACAGACACTTCTCAAAAGAAGACATTTATGCAGCCAAAAAACACATGAAAAAATGCTCACCATCACTGGCCATCAGAGAAATGCAAATCAAAACCACAATGAGATACCATCTCACACCAGTTAGAATGGCAATCATTAAAAAGTCAGGAAACAACAGGTGCTGGAGAGGATGTGGAGAAATAGGAACACTTTTACACTCTTGGTGGGACTGTAAACTAGTTCAACCATTGTGGAAGTCAGTGTGGCGATTCCTCAGGGATCTAGAACTAGAAATACCATTTGACCCAGCCATCCCATTACTAGGTATATACCCAGAGGACTATAAATCATGCTGCTATAAAGACACTTGCACACGTATGTTTATTGCAGCACTATTCACAATAGCAAAGACTTGGAACCAAGCCAAATGTCCAACAATGATAGACTGGATTAAGAAAATGTGGCACATATACACCATGGAATACTATGCAGCCATAAAAAATGATGAGTTCATGTCCTTTGTAGGGACATGGATGAAGGTGGAAATCATCATTCTCAGTAAACTATCGCAAGGACAAAGAACCAAACACCACATGTTCTCACTCATAGGTGGGAATTGAACAATGAGAACACATGGACACAGGAAGGGGAACATCACACTCTGGGGACTGTTGTGGGGTGGGGGGAGAGGGGAGGGATGGCATTAGGAGATATACCTTGTGCTAAATGACAAGTTAATGGGTGCAGCACACCAGCATGGCACATGTATACATATGTAACTAACCTGCACACTGTGCACATGTACCCTAAAACTTAAAGTATAATAATAATAAAATAAAATAAAAAGAGAGAAAACTCAAATAAATACAATTAGAGATGAAAAAGAAAACATTACAACTGATACCCCCAGAAATACAAAGGATCATGAGAGAGTATTATGAACAATTGTGTGCCAACAAATTGGATAACATAGAAGAAATGGATAAATTCCAGAATCTGCATTTTTTTGCAACAAGACAGTTGTTTTTTATTTTAATTTTTAAATTTTTATGGATACATAGTAGGTATATATATTTATGTGTTACATGAGATTTTATGACACAGACATGTAATGCATAATAATCACATAAACATAAATGGAGTATTCATCACCTCAAGTATTTATCCTTTTTTTTTAACTTTTACTTTAAGTTCAGGGGTACATGTGCAGGTTTGTTACATAGGTAAACTTGTGTCATGGGGGTTTGTTGTACAGATTACTTCATCACCCAGGTATTAAGCCTAGTACTCATTAGTTATTTTCATTCCTTATTTTCCCTGACCCTCTCCCTCCTCCTATCCTCTACCCTCCAACAGGACCTGGTGTTTGTTGTTCCCTCTTATGTGCCCATATGTTCTCATTGTTCAGCTCCCACTTATAAGTGAGAACATGCAGGATTTGATTTTCTGTTCCCGTGTTAGTTTGCTAAGGATAAGGGCCTCTAGTGCCATCCATGTCCCTGCAAAGGACATGATCTCATTCTTTTTTATGGCAGCATAGTATTCCATGATGCATATATAACACATTTTCTTTAATCTCTCATTGATGGGCATTTAGGTTGATTTCATGTCTTTGCTATTGTGCATACTGCTGCAGTGAACAAACATGTGCATGTGTCTTTATGGTAGTATGATTTATATTCCTTTGGGTATATACCCAGTAATGGGATTGCTGGCTTGAATGTCATTTCTTTCTTTTCTTTTTTTTTTTTTAATTATACTTTAAGTTCTAGGATACATGTGCACAGCATGCAGGTTTGTTACACATGTATACATGTTGAATGGCATTTCTTTCTTTAGATCTTAGAGGAATCACCACACTGTCTTCCACAATGGTGGAACTAATTTACACTCCTACCAACAGTGTATAAGTGTTTCTTTTTCTCTACAACCTCACCAGCATCTGTCATTTTTTGACTTTTTAGTAATAGCCACATAATCTGCATTTTAACAAGATTTCCAATATTAAAGTGTTAGGAGCACTCCCTTTATTGAATTTTTCAGCAAGAGACCTATGGAGACCATCAGTGAATGGTAAAGGAAAGCAGTTCTGACTAATCTGGATGCCTCTTTTTGTCTCTACTTTCTGTCCTTTCCATTCCACTCAGGAGAGAAACTTGGTTGGAGGTTTTGTTGGTTCTTAGGATATTGGGGCACGAAACCTCCATGCTGCCGAGGTGCCTCAGGGATGGCAAGTAAAGAGTAGGTCCTTCATGCCAGGAAGAGGGATAAGCAAACAGGTGTGTCTGGATGGAGTAGGTTCAGGTGCCAAACTCAGGTGTCCCAACCAGAAAAACAGTAAGACAATTGTTGGGACAGGAGCTGGTGTGGGTTGTTTAGCTGAAACCTCTCCTTTTTAAAGTGTTAGCACTCTCAGAACTTCTTCCTCATTTCCTGGCACACAGGACAACCTTCCTCCCACCTGTCTCACATTATGATCTTGTCAGTGTCTCTTATTTTCTTCTCTCAACCCAACTGGAATTCTCCTTGGCTATTTCTCTCTCTAGCCAACCCAAGGCTAATAAGAGTTGTCTGCATATATATTTTTAATTATCTTGATGTGCTCCTTGGTACTGCTCCGGCTTAAAGTGCACTGGCTATTCCGTCTGTCTGGAATGCTCTTTCAATGATGTGGACATAGCTGACTCTGACTTCTCAATAAGGCCCACACTGACCACATTATTTAAAATTGCAACTCATGCCTGGTGACCCTAATCCTCAGTAGCAGCTTGCTCTACATTTTCCTCTCCCTAGTATTTATTATCTTCTAACATCCTATATAATGTACTTATCTGTTATGTTTGTTACTTATTATTTGACTTCCCCTGCCAGACATTGACAATGTTCTCTGCCTATGTTGTTCACAAATGTATCCATAAAGAATAGTGCTTTGCCAAGGGTAAATTCTCAATAAATATTTGTTGAAATTGAATTGAAGTGAGTTGAATTGAATTGAGTCGAATTGAATTGGATTTTATTGAATGAAAAGACTGTCACTCTCACATTTTTACTTACAGGCACATCCAAAACCTTCTATTTTCTACTGGATCATTTCCATCAGTAGACAAACATGCTTTTATTTCTCTCATCAAAAACAAAAAGCTAAATACATTTTTTGACCTCCATTGTTTTCTGATCAACTCACCTCCCAATTTCTCTGCTCCTGTTTTAGCTAAACTCCTTGAAATAACTGCTGGTGCTCATAGTTGTCTCTAATTCTCTCCTTCTCTCACCATTGTATTCAGTAGGCTTTTGTTCTCCCTTCTCCACATAAATGACTCTTGTCAAGAGCATCAAGAACATCCTCACTGCTAAGTCTACACCCAGATCCCAGCCATCCTCTTTTTTTTTTTTCCTATCAGCAATGTTTGTCTCACACCATTGGTAAATGGCTCCCCTTGGCGTACTTTCTTTGCGCACTTCCAGGACACCACATTTTCCTGACTCTCTTACCTCCTTGTCTGTTTGTTCTCACTCTCCTTGGTTCTGCATTTCCCAGTCTCTAAATGTTGGAGAGCCCCACTGCTAAGCCCTTTGGCCTTCTTCTCACCCCTTGGTGATAGTAACCAGTCTTAAACCAGGCTTTAAGATCTTTCCTATGCTGACGACATCTACACTAATAACTCTCGTCCAGTTCTCTGCCATGTATATGGATTTATATACTAGACCTTTAAATGTGTTATTTCAAACTTAACAGTCAAAACGGAGCTCCTGATCTTCCCTCCCAAGGGAGGAACTGTCTCCAGTCTCAATTCCTAACAGCTGCTCAGGCCAAAGCCTTGGAATTATCCTTAATTCCTGTTTCTCTCATATCTCACATCCAGTCTATCGGCAAATCTTCCCAGCTGTTCCACAAATATGCGGCATCTGACCACTTCTCAACCCCCACTGCCACCACCCTGCCCAAGCCCCATCTTCTCTCTCCTGAATTAGCACAACAGTCTCATTACTGGGCCTATTGCTTTCACCCTTTGTGAGGGACTAAGTGGCTAAGTTGGCTGGACTTCCTGGGCCAATAGGAACTTCCCTAAGGGGACTTTCCCCTAAGCCAAAATGAGTCACAGCTGCAAGCTAAGGGATTGAAACCTCAACCAATCATATAGGGAGTTTAAGCTCTAGCTGCAGCCTGATGTTTTTAACCAATCAGGCCCGTCAACCCACAAGCGGATTGAAAATAAGCTAGTTATGTAGGACAGAAAAAGGAAAAGACGAGGGGTCATAAGGGGACATAAGCATAAGACAGAAGCAAAAAAACGGCAGCCCTTCCAGGTCCCCTTCCACCACGTGGAAGCTTTACTTTTGCTTTCATTTTACTTTCGCTTTTGCTCTAATAAATCTTGCCACCGCACCCTCTTTGGGTCCGCGGGTTTCTCTAATCTAGCTGTAACACTCGCCACTGCGGCCCACGGCTTCATTCCTGGAAGCCCGTGAGACCAGGAACCCTTCGATCGAGAAAAGACCTTCCATTGGGAGAAGACTTCTCGTCTTATTTCCACCTATAATCTCTTCAAAACATAGCAGTCAGAGTTACCTGCTGAACTCATAAGTCACTCATCTGCTCAAAGCCTCCCAGTGGCTTCTCATCTCACAGAGTAAGTCAGGCTGCTTACAGTGGCCCACGAGGAGCTTCACAGTTTAACTGGCTCTCTAGCTCTCTCTTGCTCTCTCTCTCTCTCTCTCTCAATGACCTCACCCTTCACTTCTTCCCCTTGCACACACTGAACATGCCACACCTCAGACATGCCAGGCACACTCCTGACTCAGGGCTTTTGCCCTTGCTTTTCCCTGGACCTAGGCATCCTTCCCCTAAATAGTGCCAATGCACCCTCTCTACCTTCAAGTCTTTGCTCTTTCTCAAATGCCACTTTCCAAGTCCCTTTCTGGCCCCCTGCTCTTCCTCTTTCTTATTACGCCCTTTTCTTTCCCATGTCACAATCTCTTCTAACTATATAATTGTCTATTTTACTTTATATAAACCTCTTTCGCCAGAATCTGTAAGCTCCAGAAACATAAGGGCTTTTGTTGGTTTTGTGTATTTCCCTATTCCTAGATCCTAGAACAGGGCCTGGCACATGATATAGGCTCAATAAATATTAGTGGTATAGATGAAATTATTAATTCTATGGACCTTCATCCTTCATTGAGAAACAGTGGTTACAGGGAGGGAAGGGGGAAAGAATTGGCTTAAGACCTAAATGATTTACATTTACTCCCTTCAAATGTAAACAACTGCTGACCATATGAATATTCTTGGACAAATCTCTTTATCTCTCTGGGCTTCAGTTCTCTTATGTGTATAAATAATGGGTTAAACTAAGTAGTCTCCATAAACATTCTTACTTTAGTATTCTTTAATTCTCTAAACCTCTTGTCCCTGCACTGTCTCTGGGATTTACTCTCTATCTCTCTCCCTTTTAAATGTTCTTTATCCATTCATCAATTCTATAAGCAATAATTGAGCATATTCAATGGGCCAATCCCTGGTCTGAGCCCTGAGGATATACGGTTGAATAAAATAAGAATTTCCACGGGGGAGAAGGTAAGTGAAGAAAGGCAGCTCATATACTTCAACAAGGTGGTCACTGTTGTCCTATGGAGGCCAGAGCCTTGAGTGTATGTTGGGTGCCGGTGGGAGATGGTGGGGAAGTTGGAAGAGGATGGGGCTGGGCTTCACTCATGGCTGCATAATGCACAGGAAATCCAGAAGCTGACCCTCTATAATAAAGAAGGCTATTGATTTTAGCAGTTTTCTGGTATCAGAGTTCTGGTTTTGTGGCTGTAGTATTTGTAGTAGTGGCAAAACGCTAGCCCATCTCTGCTACAAAACATACAGAGAAGATGAGGCTTCTACAAAAGGCTTAGCTCATTACAGTTGGGGTCAACCTGTCTTTCTGGCTTGATGCCTACCTGAGTGAGCAAGCAAAAAAGATTGCTGGCTGAAGCACTCTCTACCCTGCTCACCCAAGGGCCACCTTAGGACAGCTTCTGACTGATGTTTGGAGAATTTCCCAGGAAGCTAACTTGAGGCAAGGGGAGGACATGAGAAATGGAAGACAACAAATTAAACATTGCCCATCCCTTCTGAAACATACAAAGCCTTCGGAACACCCTCCATTTGCAGAAGATTTATTTCTCGAATTATATATTTAAGGGCCTGAGTCAGTCAATTATCTACCTTCACAGACCTATCTTGCTGCATAAACAGATTTCCATTTCCTGATGCTGTCCTTAAATGGCAAATAGTAAAACACTGGGAGAAGGTGGCTGACATTGCTCTGTAGGTGTCTCTAAAGAGTCTAGTGTGATCTGATGCATCTCCTGGGGCAAACACAGATGCATGTGAGAAGAGAAGGTGCAGAAGGGCTCAGCATATATGGGAGTGGACCATCACCTCTCACTCCAAATCCTGGAGCTGCTTTCTGCTGTCCTTTCTTTTTATGCCAATGATGTAGCCAAAACTGCCTGCATTGTTGTCACTTCAGATTTTGGACTCTTGTAGGGATGTTCTAACATACTCCAGTCCTTGCTTTTGTGGCTTTTCCCTCAGTCATCCAGTCAACAAACCTTTACTGTGAGCCTAGTATAGGCTGCTCTCCAGGCATTGCTAAAGGAACAAATATTAACCTGGCACCGTCCAAACCCAACAAACTCAATACTCTAGCTGGGAGACAAGCATTAAGCAATAATTACAATGCAGTATGTTATAGGCAGTAACATAAATACGTTTAAGAAATGTAAGTGTCACAAGAAATAAAAATGTATAACTTCAAGAGAGGCAGGAACAGAGAAGATTCTCAAAAGAGATGTTATCTGAGCTAGGTTTCTAAGAATCAATAGAAATTTATCACATGGATAAGAGTCAGAACAACTGAGGAATCTGCACATGCACAGGCACAGAAGTGAGCCGCAGTAGACCCATGTGCAGGGAACCACAGGTCCTTAAAGCATTCTCAGAGTGCAGCACAAAAGCCAAGGTACTGAGAGAAGACAGGTTCCCAGGGGTCTGCTGGCGAAGGTGGTATTTGTCATAAGGAAGACTTTTCTTACTGACATGAAGCATCACTGGAGGCTTTCAAACAAGACAGTGCCATGGTCAGGTTGGGGTTTTAGAAATATCACCCTATAAATAGTGGAGAAAAGATCAAGCAGTAAACGTGATCAGAATGAAAGGGGGTAAGTGACAAGTGAAGGTAAGGGCGTGCAAAGATGGAGGAGGCAGACAACACTGGCATTTAGGAGGCAGAGATACAGAGCTCAGGGACTGCTGGATTGCTTGGTTGTGGAAGAAAGGGAGAATGAAGCAACAAGCTGGGTGGCAGGCTCTGATTTGGTGGCTGGCTCAGTGGTGACCCCTCCAACCTCCAGGCCTCTGTTTGGACACATGTGACAACAATGGCCACCCTGTTGGAGTGTATGAACTGCCTTTCTTCACTCACATTCCTCTCTCCAGTTCTGAGGTCAGGGGTCTTATCTTATTCAACAAGTGTCCTGCCCTGTGTTTGGCTTACAGAATATGCTCAATTATTGCTTTTAGAATTGGTGAATGAATAAAGGAAGTCTAAAAGGGAGAGAGAGAGTAAAACCTGGAGACAGTGCAGGGACATGAAGTTTAGAGCATTAAAGAATGTTAAAGTAAAAACATTCATGGAGATTATTTAGTTCAACCTGGTAATTATACAGATGAAGAAACTGAGGCCCAGAGCACTAAGATATTTGTCCAACGTCACACACCTGAGATAATAAGACAGAGTAATGGGCAAGTTGGGGATGGAGAGATGATGAATTCAGTTTGGATGCCATTACATTTGTGATGCTTGTGGTGGTAAATGCAGATTATCATATCCAATGTGCTGTTGGAATGTGATGTTCAAGAGAAGGGTCAAGTCTAGACATACAAATTTGGGATACAGATCATACTAAGACCATACCTCATGAGAACAGGCTGAGTCAGGAGCCAGGAGGGCCACAAGGGGAGCTCTAGTAATCTCAGAGATGGCATAACATGGTAGGAAGCAGCACACCAAATTGATCGGCCTTCCTGTGCCTCAGTTTCCCCAATCTATTTTCTAAGGTTGTCATGTGTTATATAAAATGAATGTATATTTATAAGACAGCAGTGCCTGGCATGAACTAAGGTCTAAGTAAGTGTGAAAATGAATATATAAACACTAATATTTGATGGTGGACAGAGGAAAAAGACTCAGAAAATCAGTAAACTAGGTATGACAAGAATGGTAGGAGGAAATCAGGCAACTATGGGAACATCAATGACCAAGGAAGAGACAGTGTAAAGAAGGCAGGAGCAATTATGTGGCAGATGCTAAAGAAAGACTAAAATCAGAAAGTGCCTATTGGCTTTGGCAGTTGAAAGTTCACTGGTGATTTTAGAGCCTCGTTGGTGGGTGCTCAGGGGGAAGAGGGGTGGGCTGAAAAGTGAGTTAGGGGCAAGAAGTGGGAGGGCTGATGTGGGCAGTTGGCTCAGGGTGAGGCTGGCAAAGTGGAGGAACCCTGAGCTGTTGAACTCCTTTCTAGTGAGGCTCTGCAACAAGTCTCACCTACAACACAGGCCGAGTCTCTTCCCCATCCCAAAGTCATCATCTGTAAAATGAAGGCAAACTTGACCTCCACATTCCTATCAGCTATGATGGTTGAATACTTTTCTTGTTACTAACATATGATGGTGATCAAATTCTTTTTCACTTAGAAATGTACCTGAGTCAGCTAGTGGCATTCTTGTTAAAATCTTGTTTTGAGTTTATGGAAATAGATGCTATGAGGGCTGGTTTATTTTTAAATTTATGTAGTGTTTTCAATGTACAATTTTGCACTTGATCCTTAGGCATGCACGTTGTTGGTATTGTCACTTTATCTGTGAAGCCGACTTCAAACAATAGGGTAATTTTTCTCAAAGTCACAAGAGAAGTAACCCAAGAATTGAAGCCAGGACTTCTGGCAGGCAAATCCTGTGCCTGAGAGCTGCTGGGAGTACCTGGGGCAGGTGGCACAAAACTACTTAAGAACTGGGCCTCTAAAGAACAATTGTTTTTGTTTATGAAAAATGCCTTTCAGCACAAAATATCTTTGATATATTTATCAAAATAATAGGTTTTTCTGCCACATCCTCTTCTCCTGCAGTAGGATATAAGATTTCTCATTTGGAGAAATAGGCTTTTAAAATAAATATTTTGGTTTCTCCTGCAGTGATAGGGTGTTTAACAATATGATCATTTATATTTTATTAGACTGATGTGGCTTTGTATTCACCTAGACAATTTCAAAGCACTTTTGCATACATTATTCATCTGATTCTCCTCGCCACTCTTTGAGAATGGTAAAACAGGAATGACTAGCTTCATTTTAGACATAAGAATCTGGTGTTAGAAAGATTACGTGACCAATGCAGGCTCGCTCAGAATTGCTCAGGAGCACCATTTACACACTGAGTTTCCTCATCTCGAAGCTGGAGATAATTTCAAGCTTGGGGAATCATTGTGCAGCTGCCGATCAGATAGGGTCAGTAGGTCTCTAGTCTATAATTGGCACTCGTAAATTAGTGAGCATTAGGAGAAAAAAGTGCCCCACCTCTCTATCCAGTCCTCATCTTTATTGTCAGGATGTTGGTGGTGGTGTCACTGAAACTTAAGGGAAAACTGAAAATAATTCATAAGATGGGAGAGAAAGAGAAAGGAAAGAACAGGAGAAGGAAAAGAGAAGAAACCTTAGCAGTAGTTAAACATTTCACAAATGGTGGCTTTGGCTGTTTCCAATGTTTGTGTAAAGTGCTGACTTCATCATTCTATAAGTGTTTTATGGAATAATATTTAAAAAGCCCTTTGAGTGCCTTTGAAAACAGTGTTAGATAAATATAAAATACTGGGTGCATAAAAGTGGAAGACAACCTCAGATATATAGTCTATGTGTGAAAAGAAATAAAATTATTCATCAAAAAATAATCACTGTAAAGTGAAGAAAGCAGAGTTTTTTTTTTTCCCCTTGGCAGAGTAACCAGCCTGGGTTTCATAAGGATTAATGTGGTATAAACATATTTATCACTAATAAAAGAGTCTATAGAAATACTGCGGCTCTTCTTCAGCATGAGGATGAAACACTGCTAATTTAATCTCAGCAAGAACAATTCATCTGTCTTTGGGGCACAAACTTGTATAGTAAGTAAAAAAATTCTATGATCAAGTAATTTATTTTATCAGGGTGTCAGGTTTAGAGTGTGACCTGATTTAATCTCAGAAAGATATCTTTTTGGATGTGGTTCCAGAATATTCTGGGTATTATCTTTTAAACTAATTAGCACCATAATTTCAAAGGACGACAAAATAAAGAGAAAAGCATGAATATCTTTTCTTAATTTCATTAGTACTAAAATTCTTGCACCAATTTCAAGAAAAGGGTAAGTTTGACTGTAAATGCCTTACTGCAAAACTGAAAGAAAAACATTTATTTATTTTCTTTAGCCCAAGAAAGTACTTTTGAAAAAGAAAAAACGCTATATGTATAAAAAGATCAAATAATGAACAATTAATAAGTAGTTGAATGTTAATATGGTAGGCTGTTTTATAACTATTAAAATTATAAATATGCTGTCCATGAAAAAGCTGGGGAAATGTTTATAATATAATATTTTGAAAAGTGTACAACAAAGAAAAGTATATTATATACTATTATTATGTCCACGTAAAAACTCTATGTCTATATGGACAAAGTGTGGATGGGAACATGAAGAAACAGAAACCATTGGTTGTGTCGGTATATCAGTCAGGATAAGCTAGGTTATGCTATGGTAACAAACAATACCTATATATCAGTGACTCACAACAAAAGCTCATGCTACCCGATCAGACTCTGCTCATTGTAATCATTTTGGTACTCCGGCTGAAGAAGGTTCCATCTTTACACATCCTTCCTTAATTGTCTCAATGTTGGCAGAGGAAAGATATGGTTGGTACTATATCTAAAAGATTGTACATGGAAGTGAAATATGTCACTTCTACTTACATTTATTTGGCCAAAGCAAGTCACATTGGCATGTCAACTCCAAAGGGGACAGGGAAGCTAAATCCTACTAGGTGATCAGAAACAGAACCAGATATATTTGAATGACACTAACACGCTCAATAAGATTGATAAAATTACAGATGCTTTTTCAAATCTTTTATAATGTTAAAATATATTTTTATTATTATTACCTCAGATTCCACTTGTGAGCCAGAAATTGGGACTTGATGATGTATATGATACTAATCTTTCAAAGAAAGGCTTTTAACTGAAAATTCTTTAACATGCATATTCTTTTATTCAAATAGTTTAAATGGATCAAGATGATAAACATTTTCACATTAGGAAATACAGTTTGATTGAAAAATATTTCTGGCTTCACTCATTGTAATATGCAATTTGTAAATTACATTAAGGAAACAACTTGCAAGAAGGCATTCTGTTATAAATATTTATAAATGTAGTTAGAAAAATACGTCTTTTGCCTATGTACAATAGAACAATTTGCTTGCTTCAGCAAGCAATCAGCAATAAAGAAAAACATGTCACATTGGTAGGGTTTTAAATATTTCAGTTTATAAACTCCTGAAAAACATCAGTTGAGCACGAATGGAAGACAGTATGATGTACAGCAAAGGACACTGGCTTTGGCATCTGGTAGGTTCAAATGCTGAACCACATTTATTACACTACCTGGGGCAATCAGGCTAACTTCCTCCACACAGTTCCCAGCACACAGTAAGCACTCATATTTGTTTCATAAGTGAATTTCTTCTTTATTTCTATCATTTCTGCATTATGAAAAAAGTTTTCTCTTGGCTTGTAAGATAGTCAAATTATACCTGAATATAAAAACCAAGGGCAGAGTAAGTGTCTGCAATAAGGAGTTTTGTATTCTTTCTTTTTTTTTTTTTTTTTTTTTTTAGCATTCCTGAAAACTGCCTTCCTGACATTAGAAGTTCTATCTAAAATCTGACTTATGGATTTGACCACACACCCCTAAGCCCATAAATTCAGTAATTGCCTGTGGTGAAGGACCCTACTTTTCCCTGTGGCCTCTATTCTCTGGACCATGTCAGCCATCCTCTCCATGGAGGACCGGACTGTGTTCAGTCCTATGAAGGCAAACACAGGATAAGGAAAGGTTTAGGAAAGGCCAAGGAGTATAGTTCCAGGAAAGTAAAAGCGTGGGAGTGCGAGTTCTGAGCTTCTCCAAAGCTAATTGAAAGGACCTAAAAGAAGAGTTCTAGAAAGAAAATGAAGACCTGACTTTTTTCTTTCCCTGTTAGCAATATAAATGGGAGTTTTTATTCCTATATTTTTAAAGAGAATTGCTGAGAATGGCATGTTTTTCCTTCTCTGGCTCCTCAATTACTGTCTGTTCCACAAAATAGATAAAAAGAAAAAGAATGAAGGAGAAATCTCATCCCCAAAATAATTTTAGTACAAGTTCTAAATGGAACCCAGGGCCCTGGAGTGATGCTGATGCTGGCGGCTGATTCTGGACTATCCTGGTTTTGTGCTGTGGGAGAGCCCAGAAAGTGTGTACCAGGATGGGGGATTCTCTCAGTTTTGTAAAAATTGTTATGAATGAGTTTCCCACCCTTGATAACAATTTTTTAGGCTTTTCGGGCCTTTCTAAATTCTCCAAAAATAATTTTAAAAAAGGAAGATGTGTCCCTGTTATTGCCTTTAAGCTAAATAAAATTTATCTGGATAAAAAAATTATTTTAAACAAAGTTAGTGAACAGTAATTTCGGTTGTAATTGACCCATTCTTTCATTTAAACTGACTCAATTTTAATGCTCCTTTGGTTCAAGGTGGCTGGCTGTAGCAAAAAGGAAGCCACAAGAATTCATTCCTTTTAACTGTGTTACCTTTTAACACTCAGGTGGCCCAGAGAGTTTGGAATTTCCTTGTTGGCATTACAGCTCCCGATGGCTGCATTAACAACAACAACCAAAGTCACTTTTTCCACATGAAGTGGGAATACCTAATTGTATAGGAATATCTGGTTATCAGTGATATTCACAGAATCTTCAAAGAAAGGAAATGAGAAGGTGTGTTATTTGGCAAAGATGACATCAACATTCTCCACAGTGCTACGGTGTTAAAAAGTGGCAGCTATTTCCGTGAATTCTTTCACATTGGGTTTGATCATTATTCTGACAGAAATGGATGTTTTGGGAAGGTTGTCGCTAAGCTCTCACTGTCATTGAGAGTTGAGAAATCTTCAAAACTGGGGAAGATGGCTCATATTAGTATTTGTCTCACTTCATTTACTTATCCATTTATTCATTCTGGAAAATGTTATTGAATACTCTTTTTTCCCCTTCTGTTTCTACAGATGTATTAAAAAATGGTCTCTAGGAAAGATTTGGACTCCAGGGTTCTCCTTTTCCTCCTCCTTTCCTCTTCCTTCACTCTCCCTATATGAGGTTGATCTCATACTAAGAAAAGTAAAAAGCCAGGAAGGCAAAGCTCTGGTCTTCCACTGGAAACATCTTCACCTGTCTTTCCACGGTAGGGCCTTAAGCACAGCCTGTCTACACTAGCACAAGACAGAGGCACCTATAAAAGCTGGCTCTGGGGACTCATTCTCAGCTCTGATCTAGCATTTATCACAACCCCTGGTTCTCTTTGTTCTGAGATATTTAGCTGAATTTCACATAGTGGTGATGATTGGCACACAATCATATAGCATATAGCAAAGTCTCATTTGTCTGGCACTGTCATATTATCAGGATGTTGAGGAAACTTACATTTATACAGTTAAGAAAATACTTCTTTTACAATTTCTTTACTTTTTCACTTTGTTTTGATTAAAATATTTCTAAAATTGATTAAGCTCTTGTCTCATTTCTTAAACAGTGTGCAACGAACATAACTTAACCTTTTTTATTGCTTATTCTGATCATTAAGCACCTTAATTACTGCTCAAATGCTATAATGCAGTTTTAATGACTCCTCCCTGTGTTGTTCATTATTATAGCTCTTGTCACTGAATCTGCAGCCAGCAGTATTTCCCTTCTCACTTGTGGTTCTGGCCTGTCAAACCAGACAACCCATGGTTAGAATTATCTGTAAAGTAAGGGCCAATAAATACTGAGTGGTGGCGGGTGCCTGTAGTCCCAGCTACTCGGGAGGCTGAGGCAGGAGAATGGCGTGAACCCGGGAGGCGGAGCTTGCAGTGAGCGGAGCTGAGATCACGCCACTGCACTCCAGCCTGGGCAACAGAGAGACTCCGTCTCAAAAAAAAAAGACTTGGAAAACTAACACTTTACAATCTTTGGTGGTGTGACTATGTACTTTTCCTGCTAATCTATAGGCTTCACAAGATCAAGTACTTTGTCCTTTACCTATCTAAACCCCAGCAGTGCCTGGTGCTCCTGGGCTCTCTCACCTTCTTGATCTTCTAAACTCTGCCAGTCTTCAGTCCTTAATTAGCATAACCATTTCCAAGCTGGGGATCCTAAATCTTAAATTTGCAAAGGGCTGGGATCAGCTTCCCTCACTTTTACTTCTCAATTCACTCTCTAGTATCCTCATCCAATTTCATGCTTAAGCAATTTGCTTCTGTGTGAATGAACCCTAAATAAATATCTCTACACAAACCATTTAAATTAATCCCTATGCATTTCCTTTGTCAAGTCAGTGATCATTGCTTACATCTGTAAAAAGAAAAAAAAAGTTGATTATTTCTTTTATTCTTAGGTTGAAATGTAAGCAAATCTTCTAGGAAGGAGATGTCGATTTTAGTACGAGCCTTTTAAGTAATTTCCTGCCTTCCTTTACACTAACTATTAATGTCTTGGACCCTCAGTTTTCTTGGCTGTAAAATATGGGGGTTGAACTAAATAATTTCTTCAGCAATGCCAAGCTTTAAGATGCTATAATATTTTATTGATTACAGGAATTTAACCTCATTTAATTGGCTCAAAGAACTACTATCAGAATTTCTTTAAAATAATATTGTTTTATTTGTCGTATTTTTCAGACTTTTTTTGCTCTTTACATTGGATATTTTTAGTGATAAAATATTTTACACATGCAAAAAAGTAAAGAGAATCATACAACAGACACTTGTATCATGTATGATAATGTACCTGGCACACAGTAGGTGAATAATAAGTACTCTTGAAAGAATGATCTGGACCATCAGAGATAACTACAGTTGCTATAAAATAGCTGTGATTTTCCCAGAATGGCCAGCAGAGGGCGGACTTGCACATTGACAAAACTGACCCTTGGTTTAGGTAAATTACCTTGGTGTCTTAGCTCCCCTGGTACAAATTAATTATTGTGAAATTGTTTAGCACATAGCCAACAGCTGATCTATCTACCCCTTGTTAACCACATTAAATGAACACAACTACTGTTCACAGATTGTTCAGAGACTTCAAAGTCAGTGCATTGTCAAATAACAGTTTGGAAAATTTGCAGTATTTAAACCGCCTATCTAGATCACTCTAAATCTCCCCAAATCTTCTTTGCCAGTTGTAGCTATATTTCTAAACCTTGTCATTAGGAGTAGCAGAGTGATGGTCTGAATTAATTATCAAAGTTGCTGAATATTTTGTTTCACTAGTTAAGTATTGTAATCTCACTCTCGATCTGTTAACAAAATATATATAACCCCCTCACCCCCCCGCCACACACATGCATATCCATTCTTTATGCCCAGAGGAAGCCACTGTTAACGGTTACTTGAATCTTTTTTGAAATTGCATATGCACATATAACCATAGATATATAGGTTTTTTTTTTTTTAACCATAAATGGGATCACAAATGCCTGGAGTCCTATAATGTAATTTTTTTTAATAACCATGTAATCATCTACAATATATCTGTGTTAACTAGTAGAGATCTTGGCAGAGAGCAAACGACCTGAATATTTCTGATCTGATTACTGGGAATCCATTTGGCCCAGCCAACACACTTAATCCTTTGTTGTCTCTTGTGTGTAGATAAGGTGTTTTCAGTGGGAAGCCATAAAAATAACCCCTGAATCTTGGTTATCCTATACTTTGTGCCTCTCCATGCAGGTGGAGGATTACCACAACAACAAGATGCAGCTGTAAGAAAATAGGCTTGCTTTGCAGTGTGGCTGAGCACCACAGCCAGATCAGAGCCAGAATTTCCAATGCCAGTCATGAGGATTCTGTTTCCCATAAATCCCTCTAAATTTTATATTTCTCACTGTGGAAATATTTGCCTTTGAATTTCTCAATCTCTATTTAAGGAAAATAAATGGAAAATAATTGTTTAGATTCAAGAAATGCAAAGGTTACTTTAGCTTTTGCATTGCATTTGTGCAGTCTAACAGTAAACCCATTTTATAACTAGAATTTATATATAGTACCATGTTCAACTTCTTTTACTACTGGTCCTTCTGTGTCAGAGATCCATAATCCGTGGGCCATGGACTGGTACTGGTCTGTGGCCTGTTAGGAACTGGGCTGCACAGCAGGAGGTGAGCGGTGGACTAGCAAGCAAAGCTTCATCTGTATTTGCAGCCACTGCCCATTGCTTGCATTACTGCCTGAGTTTTGCCTCCTGTCAGATCAGTGGTGGCATTGGATTCTCACAGGAGTGCAAACGCTATTGTGGACTGCACATGTGAAGGATCTAGGTTGCATGCTCCTTATGAGAATCTAATATCTAATGATCTGTTACTGTCTCCTATCCCTTGAGATGGGACCATCTAGTTTCAGGAAAACAAGCTCAGGGCTCCCACTGATTCTACATGATGGTGAATTGGATAATCATTTCATTATATATTACAATGTAATAATAATAGAAATAGAGTGCACAATAAGTGTAATGCATTTGAATCTTCCCCAAATCATCCCCACCCCACCCCACTCTGTGGAAAAATTGTCTTCCACAAAACTCTTCCCTGGTGCCAAAAAGATTGGAGACCACTGCTCTATGTTACACCAACATTAACTGATACTAACAGAAATCTTATTTACCATAGTAAACACATGAAGTTATTTTATATACATTTTCACAGAGCAAGTTCATTTTGGTAATACCCAAATCCATACAGCATACTATGTTTTTTCTATCATTATCATCATGGACTCTCAAAATTGGAAAATGAGTCCATCTGGTCCAATTTTACATCATATATTAGCAGAGACTTGCTATGCAAAATTAACCCACAGACCGGCAGTAGCAGCAGCAGCAGCACCAGAGAACTTAGGCAAAGGCAAATTCAATTCAGAGGACCCACTCCACACATGTTGAATTGGAATTTTGGGGAGTTGGAACTAATAATCTGATTTAACAAGGACTTTGGGTGATTCTTGCCATACTAAAGTTTGAGAACCATTGATCTATAAACTCCTCATTAATGATCATTAGTTTCTGCTTAAATATTTCCTTAATTAGGAAATCTACTACTTCACAAGGCAGACCGTTTCATTTTAGATCATTACTTCTTGTTGGAAATCCCTTCTTATTTAGATCCAAGTCGACCTTCCTGGAGCCTCTATCCACTACTTGTTTTGCTCAACAAGAACACACATCGTGTTGACTCCATCTTTTATATGATGGTGAGTTGTGGTCAAACACAGCTATCCTGCTCCTCTTCCTCCCTCCGTGAGTGTCCTCCTCCCCCAGTGAATGTCCCTCTCAGGTTAAATAACTTTAGTGGTTTTTAAATGTTCACCAAGCTGCATTTATCTCTTTAATATTCTTATTGTTCTCCTTTAATGAAGTTCCCTTTTGTCACCATTCCTTCAAAGTGAAACACTTCAAAGAGTACAATAAAAAATAAATAAATAAATTTTTAAAAATAAATTTAAAATGAGAACAGAACATAATCCTTTAAGTGTAGTCTGACAACACTTAGAGGGGGGTAAAACAGATAGATACCTTTGTTGAAAAGTAAGTGCTATTTTTGGTTTGGGCTTGGACATTCTGATTCTAACAGGCTTTTTCCTTTATAAAACTGAAATCTCTACAGAAGTCAGGTTTTCTTCTAAAAGGGGTTATTTATTTGGGTTAGTGACTTATTGTTTGACATTGTCAAGATAATTTTAAATTTGTTTTACTTAACCACAGACTGTTATAAAGGAGAGGCATTTCCTTTGCTTTGCATAAATCATCCCTCCACCATTAGGATTCCCCAAGATAGGAAAGTTACATACCTAGGTAAATGAGGGTCAGTCTGATGACCACTGCAGCCCATAACTGTGCCAGAGACAGATGACCTTTGCTTCCCCTCAGCCTCACCACAATGTTCCATTGGCCAGTGCAAGAGAAACCAGGATGCTTCCTCATACTGCACATCTTTATCTGAGAACCAAAGGACAAATATGGGTGTCACATGCCAGCTCCTTCTACCTCCTTCTGAAACCAGAGGACTGGATTGGAACCAACAGAGATCATGCTGTTTACTTCACAGATTTCAAGAAAAGTGAATTCTGAGTAATCATTTTTTTTTAGATCTTCCTATGTGTAAAAATCTTTGGTGAGATTTACCATCTCATTTAAAGTTCTTTCACAATTTTTGTGAAAATTGAGTGATGTGTAATAAATAAGTTATTTTTTTTCTTTATAGCTGATGCTTGACCTTTTTTCCCTTGGTAATATAGCTTACGAAGCAGATATATATGCCAATACACCCTTGATTTTAAGTCTTTCAAATAGAAGAACATAGGGATAAACTGACACATGAGAGATGGATAAATGTACGGACACATACATGTTCAACAGTTGTTGTTTTGGGGATTATGCCACAGAGTCATCAAATGCTGTCTAACACTAAATTAGATTTTCCTGTGAGGTTGTAAGCAACCTGTTGTGGGAAGTAATCAAGCAGGGACTAGATATCCATCTATCAGAAAAAATGAATTTCTAGAGAGATATGGCATAGCCTTTCCAAATTTAAGGTTCCATGAGTGTAGAGAAATGAGGATAATGACTGTTAATGGTTAGTGTTTACCTTAGGAAAGCCACCAATCTAAGTATTCTATCTGCACTAACTCATTTAATCCAGAAAGAGATGGCTCCGAAAAGGGAATTTTAACAATACTCTGCCTTTCTGCAAAGAAAATGCCAAGTGAGAAAGTTGTATTGTTGATATACACACATATTCACAAAAGACCGCTATATAGGGAATAAGCTTTTGCAAATAAACACACTATTGCCTCTAAATCAGTGAGCAGTATTTCTAAACCAGGAGATTTAATCTTCTGAAATTTCATGAAAAATATTGTATTTATGTGCCCATTTCTGGAGAAAGGTGACAATTGCCCTCATCAGCTTTGCGCTCAAAGGTCAAAATAATAATAATTATAAAAAACTTTAAAGCTTACCCAGAAACAGATGTATTTCACAAGGTCAATGTATTATATATTTCAAAATAACTAAAGAATATGATTTTAAATGTTCTCACCACAAAGAAATGATAAATATTTGAGGTGATAGACACACTTATTCGCCTGATTTGATCATTCCACAATTTATGAGTGTATTGAAACATCATATTGTGACCCAAATATGTATAGAATAATTGTTTATCAATTCAAAATAAAACTGTTTTTAAAAGTGCTTGGCATATATCCTCAAATGCTGCAGGAGCTATGGGTTTTACATGTTATTTGGAAAGTGATGGAGTATGAGAAGTCACTGAAGCAGGTCATTTACTTCTAAGTGTTGATGGTCAAAGATTGGTAGATGCTGGGCTTTCCTTCTTCTGTCTGCCCATGTACTTGGCCTAGCTTCACTATTTGGGACTTGCATTCTCTGAACAAGTGACTGTTCTTCAGTGAGCTGTCAGGAAAATGGGGTTGCAGTAATACTGGCTCTATCTACTTTTTGTAAGGACCACATTGAAAGTAAAAAGCTTAGTAAAATGCTAGGAAGACAGCTAAGCATTGAACAAATATGATTCCTTTGGGGATTTATCTATGTACAATTTCAAAAATAGAGGCAATATGAGCAAGTTCAGAGGCAAAGCACAGAATAGCTTGGCATCTAACTAGAAGCACTTCCTGTAACCTGCTGCCATATTTCAAGGTGCCCACCCACCCATGCTTCCTTCTGGGGAATTCCTGTACAGATCCCCTAGTGTCCTAAGCAGCTGTGCTCTGGCCAGTGCATTTTTTTCCCAGCTCTTGTCTCAGCTGAGTACTGGTGGTGAGCTCCTGATATGGTTTGGCTGTGTCCCCACCAAAATCTCATCATGAATTCCCACATGTCGTGGAAGGGACTTGGTGGGAGGTAATTGAATCATGGGGGCAGATCTTCCCGTACTGTTCTCTTGATAGTGAATAAGTTTCATGAGATTTTTCCCTGCACAAGCTCTCTCTTTGCCTGCTGCCATCCATGTGAGATATGCCTTTCACCTTCCACCATGATTGTGAGGCCTCCCCAGCCATGTGGAACTGTAAGCCCAATAAACCTCTTTCTTTTGTAAATTGCCCAGTCTCAGGTATGTCTTTATCAGCAGTGTGAAAATGGACTAACAGAGTAAATTGGTACCAGTAGAGTGGGGTGCTACTGAAAAGATACCCAAAAATGTGGAAGCGACTTTGGAACTAAGTAACAGGCAGAGGTTGGAACAGTTTGGAGGGCTCAGAAGAAGGCAAAAAATGTAGGAAAGTTTCGAACTCCCTAGAGACTTGTTGAATGGCTTTGACCAAAATACTGATAATGATACAGACAATGAAATCCAGGCTGAGGTGGTCTCAGATGGAGATGAAGAACTTGTCGGGAACTGGAGTAAAGGTGACTCTTGCTATGTTTTAGCAAAGAGACTAGCAGCATTTTGTCCCTGCCCTAGAGATTTGTGGAACTTGGAACTTGAGAGAGATGATTTAGGGTATCTGGTGGAAGAAATTTCTAAGCAGCGAAGCATTCAAGAGGTGACCTGGGTGTTGTTAAAAGCACTAAGTTTTAAAAGAGAAACAGAGCATAAAAGTTGGGAAAATTTGCAGCCTGACACTGCCATAGAAAAAATATCCCATTTTCTGAGGAGAAATTCAAGCCAGCTGCAGAAATTTGCATAAGTAACAAGGAGCCAAATGTTAATCACCAAGACAATGAGGAAAATGTCCCCAGCGCATGTCAGAGGTCTTCATGGCAGCCCCTCCCATCACAGGCTCAGAGGCCTAATAGCAAAATATGGTTTCGTCCGCAGCCTGGCCCAGGGTCCCCATGCTGTGTGCAGCCTAGGGACTTGGTGCCCTGCTTCCCAGCCACTCCATCCATGGATGAAAGGGGACAACATGGAGCTCAAGCCGTGACTTCAGAGGGGTCAAGCCCCAAACCTTGGCAGCTTCCACATGGTATTGAGCCTGCGGGTGCACAGAAGTCAAGAATTGAGGTTTGGGAACACCAGTGTATGGAAATGCCTGGATGCCCAGGCAGAAGTTTGATGCAGAGGCAGGCGCCTCATGGAGAATCTCTGCTAGAGCAGTGCAGAAGGGAAATGTGGAGTTGGAGCCTCCACACAGAGTCCCTCCTGGGGCACTGCCTAGTGGAGCTGTGAGAAGAGGGTCACTGTCCTCCTGACTCCAGAATGGTAGATCCACCAACAGTTTGCACCATGCACCTGGAAAAGCCACAGATACTCAGTGCTAGCCCATGAAAGCAGCCAGGAAGGAAGCTGCACCCTGCAAAGCCACAGGGACAGAGCTGCCCAAGACTATGGGAACCCATTTCTTACATAGGCATGACCTGGATGTGAGACATGGAATCAAAAGAGATCATTTTGAAGCCTGAAGATTTGACTGCCCCACTGGATTTCAGACTTGCCCAGGGCCTGTAGCCCCTTTGTTTTGGCCAATTTCTCCCATTTGGAATGGCTGTATTTACCCAATGCCTGTACCCCCATTGTATCTAGGAAGTAACTAACTTGCTTTTGATTTTACAGGCTCATAGGCAAAAGGGACTTGCCTTATCTTGGATGAGACTTTGGACTGTGGACTTTTGAGTTAATGCTGAAATGAGTTAAAACTTTGGGGGATAGTTGGGAACTGTAAGACCAATAAGTTTGTTTTGTAAATTGTCCAGTCTTGGGTATGTCTTTATCAGCAGTGTGAAAACGGACAAATATAGCTACTAACACTTTTAAGAGTTAGCAATGAGTGGGAGAGGCCAAAAAGAGAGTTACAAAGCTAGAGAGGAGGCAAGGGCAGCCTTTATGTGCTTTATGTAAGGTAAAATGAGAATTCCATCCAGCAGCGAGAGAGCAGAGTCGTGCAGTCAAAGAAAAACAGAAAGGTAATGGTCCTAGTCCATGAGAAGGAAATACAGCATCCTTAGCTTTTCAGAACTGCTGTATTAAAGCCCTCTGTCTCTTCAAAATAACCCTAATTTTTTGAGCTAGCGAGTTGGAACTCTGTGCCATGATTTAGGTATAACCTGAGTGCCAGTGAGCTCAGAGTACAGAGCAGTGAACACTGCTATAGAGCCCCTCCTACAAAGGGTGCTGACTAAATAACTCAGAAGCCACTATCAGTGGGGCTTTACTGAGGTAGGAGCAGGGAATTTGTGCAGGACATACAATTAGTCTGAAATATTGGGTCCTTTCTTCATCACGCCCCTCTTGGGATATTCCTTTAAACTATTACTTACTGTTAAGCTCATCTGTATAAGAGACCACCTGAGCAGGCTTAGTGTGAGCAACAAGGCTGTTTATTCACTTGGGTGCAAGTGGGCTGAGTCCGAGAAAGGAGTCAGCGAAGGGTGGTGGGAGTGGAACTGGTTTCATTGGTTTGGGGTAGGTAGTGGAAAGTTACAGTTAGGGGCAGTTTTTTTGGGCAGGGGAAGAATGTCACAAGGTGCATAGTCACGAGGTGGGGGGAGGTCACAAGGCACGATATCACAAGGTCGATCGATTACTTAGGGTAGGGCAGGAGCATATCACAATGGTGGAATGTTGCAAGGTTGGTTAATCAGTTAAGACAGGAACCAGCTGTTTCTTCTTCTTTAGTGGATCTCCTGTTGCTCCAGGCTTTGTGACTCCAGGAAGCCTATACGTGTGGGTCACAGGGGTCACAATGGCTCGACCACAGTGTAGCCTGTTCAGAGGACCTTACACTTAGTCCCTCGATATTTTTAGGAAGTATCATATTAAATATCTCAACCTGTTGTTCAGCTCTATTGCTAACATAAAACTGTGTTTACATCTGTACTAAAATATTAATTGGCAAGTTAAATTGTGATTTGTGTATGTATTTGTCTCTCCACTAGACTGTGACCTCCAGAACATAAGGCTAGTTTACTTGTCTTTAAATATACTATGCCTAAGACTACCTCTTGCCTGCCATAGGGACCCAGTAAATATGGGAGGAATGAGTGAATGAATAAATGAATGTATTACCAAAGACAGTGTAGCTCAGTAAATGGCACTAAAATGTACTATTAAAGCAAGAATAATGTGAAAATTTCTTCTTACTGATCTAAAGTCACATTCTCTACCTATACTCCCATGAAGAGAATAGGATAAATAAATAGTATATCATACAATGAATACATATCACATCCTCTTTAAGTTGAATTTTGGGGCTGACTTATTGAACCTGTATTGTATAATTTACATGTCATCTCATGGTGCAACATCACTGCTTGCTGGGCCATTGCCATAGAAGCCAATGTGGGTGGTGAGACCTGCCCAATACCTCCCCAACACTTTGCCCAGGTGGTCTGCCCTTTGAATCATGACTGCCTCTACTGACTTTGCTTTATTGAGTGCCTCCAGTAAACGAAAGCAGCTTTCCAGAAACTGGATGCAGGGATTTTTTCCCCTAAGAGTCAGAAGCATTGTGAAAGTAGTCATTTACACAGGAGAAAGGTCACTTAGATCAGACAAAGCCTGCTGGGATTGGTTGGTCAGACCCAATTGTTAAGTTTCCAAGAATTTGTCAAGGCAGTTGCTCAATTCTTAAATGATATAAACTTACGAACCAATTCTATGAAAACCAAAGACAAGAAAAACTCAAAACCATTACTTCCTAATTACTACATGTTGCTATTATCAACACTTATAAAGTTACTTCTATGTATTGTATTTGCACGATGAAACTACTGCATAATGATGTGCTACTGTGCATCTCTTCCTAACTCTGTGTTCAATGAGTCATTTGGTAGCTTGAAATTGGCCTTGGTGGGAGTATTTACACCTTAGAACTCAGCAAACACTACAAATCAGGGCTATCCTCTGCCCCCAGAGCCTGTTATTCATCATTTGCCAGCACACCACAGATGTGCCCTTGAATAAACTCAGCAATATGAGCCATGCCTTTCAATGAGAACTAAACATTCAAATGAGGACAATGCTTTAGAATGCACAGTGGAGGATGCAGTAAACATCTGCTCAACATTCTCTAATCCTTGAGAAAAAAATTTCATAAAACTGCTGGAGCGGAAGCTCCCCTTCTTTGTATTATGAAAGCTAGCATGTGTAGACCCTTACTGCCAGCGACCCTCTCTCTCCCTGGGAAGCACTTTATGGGAACCAAGCTCAAAAGAGATTATGTCTCAACTGCATTTTAATACTCTGGCTACAAACCTTTAATGAAAAAGGCAGAAAAAGTACATTAAAAGCCTCATATTGATCCGTCAGGCTTTTTATGATCATAGACAACAAAAATGAAGTGGTAAAGCAAAGGCTATTAACTTACTATGATAACAACAGGACAAATAAACATAAAAATGTTTTTTTTTAAAAAAGTGTAGGTATGAGCTTACAAAAGCAGATTGCAAGAAAGTCACCACCCTTAAAAGGCCGTCATTTATCAAAGCAATAAAAAAGTCACAATGATTTCAACCAGTATCTAGTGGTTGTAAAATATACAGCCTTACAAATCAGATACTTCATACCCCAATACAATTGCTAACATCTAATTCTCTTGAGACAGTTTGCATGTTTTGAACTTAAACCAAGAAATCATTGCCAGAATTGTATGAGGTAATAAGATTTGTTTTTTGCCCAAAGTTAGGTCACAGTCCAACATATCAAGCCACAGATTACTTTTCTTCAGTCTGGGAGACTATATTGTAAAGAGCCACATTAAAATAAGACAGTAAATGCTTGCTTTTAAAAAAAGTACATTTGCCAATAGCTACAATAATGAAATAAATGCTCACTCAGGTACTATATTAAGTTCAATTGCAGCCATCAGGTCAAACAGATACACACCTTAGCAGGTAATTCTTTCCTCTGGCCAACAACTTTCTCAGTTTTAATGATGCTCTGGGCTCTGAAACTCAGCATCCTTACTTCTATGGATGCTCAAAAAAGTTGTTTTAGGTATTTCTTTGCAGACAGCAAGTCTTGTTTTCTTCAATCAGTTTCCTCTATTTTTGCTAAAGCAATTTTCTTATGAGTTACTGTTAAGTTGCTTATAAAACATTTATGAGGAAATAACGTCACTAATTCACATTAAAAAGAAAAACAATTCGCTAAGAGAAGAGCTGTGGTAAAACAAACAAACACACAAATTTTTTCAATCTCAAAAGAAAGTGTGCTGGTCACTTTGCTCTTCTCTGTTTTTATCTCCCTTTAGTAGCAGCCTGGGAGAAAAATGTTGTATGGTTGAGGGTTGCTTCTGGGTCAACCTGATTATTTAAAAAAAAACAAAGGAAGGTTGTTTCCCCTTTGCTCATGTTGATACTATTCCTGCCCTCATTTCTAAAAAAGAGAGTAAACTCTTTCCTTACCTCCACTTTGGAAAAATATTTGCACAGAAATTTATCTTACCTGATGAGCCTTTAGTCTTAGCTAGTGTGACATTTCTACATTATATGAATTTCCACTGCTGAATCATTTTAGGAAAAATTAAAATATTTTCCTCAGTAACTACATCTAGTCATAGCCTCTTTGCAACATGCTAAATCAGCCTTTGATTCATTTTGATTTAAATTATAACATTTGTGAATGAATGAAAGTATAAGGTACATTCACAGGCTCTCAGAAAAATTTACATGCACCTTAGTAAGGAAATTTGACAACCTTCTAACTGGTCAATTGCTCCCTATCTCTCTACATATACCGTGTTTGGAGGTATTTCTCTTGTTACTGCCTGTTCAGTAACCCTTTGATGGGTCCCTGTGGCCTGCAGAACAAAGTTGAAAATCTTCAATATGGCATTCAAGGCCTTCCAAGACTTGCTTCCAACTTTCTGGCTTTCTTTCCCCTACATTTACCCACAGGTGACCTATGGTACTTTCTGTAAGCTAAGAACTGTGTTCAGCACTTCAAATTCATTAACTCATTTATATCTCATAAGAGCCCTAGGAAGTAGATGCTATTATCACCATTTTACAGAATAAGAAACTGAGGCCCAGCAACAGTAAATAACTTGCCCAAGGTCACACAAGAGGTCAACGGTAGAACCTAAAACTGCAGTATTCTTGTGGCAGTGTTCATGCTCTAACCACTACTCCTTACCTCTCCTGTGTTCCAGATACCTGCAGATCCCTCTTTGCTCTTGCTCAAGCTATCGCTTTGGTTTGAAATGCCACTTCTCCTGCAACTACCACCCTGCCTTCAGGAGCCAGCTCAAATGCTACTGCCTCCCACAGGTCTTCCCCAATCCCTGCCAGCCCCACCTCCTATCAGAATTTTCCTCCCTCCTCTGCCTCTTAAAGCATTTTACTCCTCTGCTCAGAAAATTTTTTTAAAGAGTCATTCACTTCCACAGTGTCTTGAGGGCAGTGCCTATTTCCTATTTTTAATATTCCCCCCAGAGACCTTCCACAGAATCAACGTAATCAATAGATTACATTGTGTCCAATAGATTTTGTTGAGTTTAATTGAACATGGCAGCTTCCTGAATAGTAATCCCTTTCTTAACTACATTGAGCAGGGGGCAGAAAAATCCAGGAAAAATATGTACACAGGATGAAGGCCTTGGGGAAAAACTGGTTCATGCTGGGAGTCTGTGTGGTTAATGATAGAAGATCTTTTTAGTTGGACAATCTGCATTCTGATCCAGGCTCCTCCTCTTCTTAGCTGAATGGTTTTGGGCACATTCTTTAATGTCTCTTAGCCTCACTAAGGTCATTAATAAAATATGGGTACTCATACATGACCCCATTCTAGGAAAATGGCAACCATTGTCATTATGTACACATTCAGTCTCTGGTGACATCTACCATCTTCTCCACCTCATCGAATAGCACTATCGTCCCCCCAAGTGCTTCACCCAAAACTAGAAGCCTTCCAGGATTCCTTTGACTCCTTCATCCCTCATAACCAATATGACAGGAAATCATATTGACTCTGCCTCCTGAAAATATCTAACATTTTTCCATTTCTCTATATCAGATGCTGCCATCACCCTAGTCTAAACCACCACTATCATCTTCTTGCCTGGGTTTCTGTGATGACTTCTAAACAGTTCTTCCTGATCCACTTTATTTCCTTCAGTCTATTCTTCACACAGTATCTAGTCATCTTTTAAAAATGTAATTTAGATCACATCTCTTCCTGCTTGAAACCACCCAATGGTTTCACATCATCCACAGAATAAAATCCAGCCCCTGCATGATCTGGCCCCTACTATCACTCTGACCCCTCATGCCACTCTTCTCATCCTTCTTTCTAGCCTGCTTGCTTTCTTACTCTTCCTCAAACATACTGGGCTTATTTCCATTTTCAAAAGCCTACTGGCTTTCTTACTGTTCCTCAAGCACACCTTCATACAATCTTGCCTAGAAAGCTTTTCCTTCTGGATTTGACATAGCCATCTCCTATTTATTCAGCCTTCAACTTAAATGTCTATCTTCCAATCTATCTCTATATATGTATATATTTGTGGATATAACACACAGGGACACGTGCACACACACACACACGCACGCACACAGTTTTTTTTTATCTGCCCACTAAAATTTAAGTTCTATAAGAGCAGGAACTTGGTTTTCCTCCTTAAAAACTATAATCCTACAAGGTAAACTATTATGTGGCACATAGCATATGCTAAATACATGCTGAATAAATGAATATTTGTTTACCTGAATAATAAGAAACCACATTAATATATAACAACTATAAAATGTCATATTCATATATTAAACAAACATTTATAAAGCACCTATGATATACCAGATATTGTGTTAAGTAATGAGGAATCAAAAGTAAAGCACAATTTCATCCTTTCATGGGGTGAGCTTACAGTCTGATATTAAGTTTTATTATGTTATTGGGACCTTTGTATAATAAGGAAAAAAATATTTATATTACTTTCATGTTTCTTCATCTTTCCGGTTCTTATTGTCCACATGGCCTAGTGAGAAGGTGGGTACTTTAACAGGATACGTGCAGTCTTTAGACTTTTATGGGCCTGGGTTCAAATCTCAATCTTCCCCCAACCAGCTGTATGTATATTAAAAACTCATATAACCTCTTTGGGTCTCCTCACTTCATCTACAAGAAAAGAAATGGAGATTTCAACAAGATGGAAGAATAGAAAGCCCTTGACTCTTCTTCCTCCCACAGACACACCAATTCAACAGCAACACAAGGATCAATTCCCTTTAAGGAAATCTAAAAACTAGTTGAGAGGCTACTGTACTCTGGGCAAGTGAAAAATCAGTCACAATAAAACTGATAGGAAAAGTGGAGACACCTTGTTGCCAAATCCCTATCTCCATCACAGTTCCATATGATCTGGAGGGAACCTCTAGTTCCCAGCTCTTCCCTGAGCAGCAAAGGAGATGCACCACGTATTTAGCATCCAATTTTTTTCTGGTGCTACCAAAGGAATTGGATTTTATCTTGCCTGTTTCAGAATGCTGATGAGTCCTAGTATATGCTAGACTCTTGGGCACTATGAGGAACAAAGTGGAGGTTTGAACAAGTGTGTAGGCATTCACTGCAGCTCCTCCTCACAGCACAGAGAAAGCAAATTAGAACACAACCTCACATCTTCTTCCTGGGGAGAGAAAGAGTTAGACTATGCAT
Source organism: Homo sapiens (assembly GCF_000001405.40). Taxonomy (NCBI): domain Eukaryota; kingdom Metazoa; phylum Chordata; class Mammalia; order Primates; family Hominidae; genus Homo; species Homo sapiens. Next base: position 166,465,514 of record NC_000001.11, on the reverse strand, counting down.
CCAGCATTCCAACTTTTTAAGGGCCTAGCCAAAGGATTGGTTTTTGTCCCACCTGTCTCAGAGTGCTGATGGGACTTGGCACTCTGTACACACAGAGTGTGTTTTCTTAGCCACTGCTAAGAAAAAAGATGTCAGTTTGGACTAGCATGAAAATTTGAGAGGCCCATAGAAGCTGTGGCCAGGTTGACTGGTGAACGTGTTCTCCAAATAAGGTCAATTTGTAAAGACTGTAAGAGGTGGCAGGTTTTTTTTCTTTAATGTGTAGTTTCAACACAAAAAATTAAGGAAAATAAAGAAACAAGGAAGCACAATCCAAACAAATGAGCAAGATAAAACTGCAAAACCTAATGAAATGGAGATATATAAATTACCTGACAGAGAATTCAAAATAACCATAATAAAAATGCTCAATGAGCTCAGGAGAACAAAGCACAAAGACAGAATTTAAAATAAAGTGATGGAAAAATTTTAAAATAATCAGGCAGAAATATTGGAGCTGAATAACATAATAACTGAACTGAAATATTCAAAAGAGGGACTCAACAGCAGACAAGAGCAAGCAGAAAAAGGAATCAGCAAACAGGTCAGTTGAAATTATCCACTCAGAGGGGCAAAAAGAAAAAAAGAATCAAAACAGTGAAGATAGCTTAAGGGATTTATGGGGCACCATCAAGCAGACCAAATACACATTATGGGAATCTCAGAAGAAAGAGAGAAAACACCCAAGAGTTTATTCAAAGAAATAGTAGCTGAAAACATTCCAAATCTGAGGAAGGAAATGAATATCCAGATCAAGGAACCCAAAGAAATCCACACTGATACATTTTGATTACACATAAGGAAAAATTAAGAAGAAAAAACCATCCACACTAAGGTATTCAAATTGACATAAATCAAAGACTAAGAAAGAATTTTGAAAGCAGCAGGAGAAAAGTGATTTGTCGCACACAAGGGAACCCTTACAAGACTATCAGTAAATTTTTGCAGCAGAAACCTTGCAGGTCAGAAGGGCATGAAATGACATTAAAAATGCTGAAAGATTAAAATTCCTATCAAAAAATACTATAATGGCAAAACTATCCTTCAAAAATGAAGACTAGGTAAAGACTTTCTCAGATAAACAAAGGTTGAGGGAATTTGTTATTACTAGATTTGCCTTATAAGAAATGCTAGATGGAGTTCTTTGACTTGAAAGAATGCTAAACAGAAACACAATAACATAAGAAAGTGTAAAACTCATTGGTAAACGCAAATACATAGACAAATAAAATACTATATTACTGTAATGGTGGTGGATAAATCACTTTTAATTCTAAAATATAATTTAAAAGAAAAATATATACTATATTATATAATATATAACTATATTATGTATACTATATATAATATAGTATAGTATATATACTATATGATATATACTATTATATATACTATATGATATATACTATTATATATACTATATGATATATACTATATAATATATACTATATGATATATACTATATAATATATACTATATGATATATACTATATAATATATACTATATGATATATACTATATAATATATACTATATGATATATACTATTACGTATACTATATGATATATACTATTACGTATACTATATGATATATACTATTACGTATACTATATGATATATACTATTACGTATACTATATGATATATACTATTACGTATACTATATGATATATACTATTACGTATACTATATGATATATACTATTACGTATACTATATGATATATACTATTACGTATACTATATGATATATACTATTACGTATACTATATGATATATACTATAATGTATACTATATGATATATACTATAATGTATACTATATGATATATACTATATAATGTATACTATATGATATATACTATAATGTATACTATATGATATATACTATAATGTATACTATATGATATATACAATTATGTATATTATAATATATACTATTATGTATACTATATAATATATACTATTATGTATACTATATAATATATACTATTATATATACTATATAATATATACTATACTATAACTTAAAAATATGTGAATAGATACACAATATAAGTAGCTATAAATGACTGCATCAGTAACATAAAGCATAGAGACGGAGTAAAAGTGTCAAGTGTTTGTATGTAATTGAAGTTTACATGTTATAAACTTCAAATAGACTATTATAAGATATTTTAGGTAAGCCCCATAGTAACCACAAAGAAAATATCTGTAGAAGTTACAGAAAAGTAAATGATAACAGAATCAAAGTATATCAATACAAAAACATCAATAAAACACAAAGAAAAATGGCAAGAAGAAAAGAGAGGCAAAAGAACTACAAGACAAATAGAAAATAATAAGCAAAACAGCAATCATAAAACTAACCATATCAATAATTGCTTTAGATGTAGATGGATTAAACTCCCCAACCAAAAGACAGAGAGTGGCTAAATAGATTAACAAAAAACAAAATCAACTATGTGTTGTCTATAAGAGACTCACTTTAGATTTAAGGACACACATACACTGAAAGTAAAGGGATGGAAAAAGTTATTCCAATGTGAATGATAACCAAAAAAGAACAGGGATGGTCTTACTTATTTAAGAAAAGACAGACTTTAAGTAAAAAACTGTCACAAGAGAAAAAGAGAATATTATGTAGTAATAAAAGAATTAATCCACCGGAAAGGTATAACAATTATAAATATATATGCTACAAAATCAGAGCACCTAAATAGATAAAGCAAACACTGACAGACCTGAAGGGTAAAATAGACAGCAATACAATGATATTAAGAGACTTTAATACCCCACTTTCAATAATAAATAGAACAAGCAGACAGAAAAGCAACAAAGGAACAATGATTGAACAACACAGTAGACAAAAGTGGACCTAATAGATATTTATGGACCATTTAACCCAACAATGTAGAATATACATTTTTCTAAAGTGCACACAGAAAATTCTCCAAGATAGATCAAGCTAGGTCATAAAACAAGTCTTAACAAATTTAAGAAACTTCAAGTCACACAAAGTATATTTTCCAACCACAATGAAATGAAACTAGAAATCAATAGCTGAAGAAAAATTGAAAAAAAAATCACAAAAATGTGGAAATGAAACAACAGTTTTTAAAATAACCAATATGTCAAAGAAGAAATCAAAGGGAAATCAGAAAATACCTTGAGACAAATGAAAATAAGCATACAATATACAATAACTTATGGGATACAGCAAAAGCAGTACTACAAGGAAATTTTACAGTGACAAATGCCTACATTAAAAGAGAAGGATCTCCAAAAAACAACTTAACTTTTTACCTTAAGGAATTAGAAAAAGAACAAACTAAACCAAAAGTTAACAGAAAGAAGTAAATAATAAAGATTAGAATAGAAGTAAACAAAATAGAAAACAGAAAAACAGAAAAAGAAACAATGAAACAAACAGATTTTTGAAAAGTTAAAAACATTAACAAACCTATAGCTAGACTAACTAAGAAAAAGTGAGGTGACTCAATAAATAAAATAAGTAATGAAAGAGAAGGCATTACAATGAAAGCCACAGAAATAAAAAGGATCATAATATTCTACTATGAGCAATTATATATCAATGAACTTGTTAACCTAAAAGAAATGGATAAATTCCTAGAATCATACAACCTAATAAGACTTAATCATGAAGAAACAGAAAGTCTGAACAGAGTTTGAATCATTAATAAAAAACCTCCCAAGATGGAAAAGCCCAAGACCAAATGACTTCTTTGGCAAGTTCTATCAAACATTTGAAGAATTAAAGCCAATTCATCTCAAACTCTTTCAAAAGACCAAAGAGAAAGGAATATTTATTACTACAGTTTTATGAACTCAGCGTTACCCCAATACCAAAGCCAGGCAAAGACACTATGAGGTAAGAAGAGTACAGTCCAATATCTCTGATTAATATGCATGCAAAAATCCTCAACAAAATACTAGCAAGCTGAATTCAACGACATATTAAGAGGACCATTCACCATAATCAAGTGGGATTCAAGGATGGATGGTTCAACATATGCAAATCAATTAATATAATATACCACATAAAGAGAATGAAGAATAAGAGCCATATGATCACACAATGAGGAAAAGTCTGTCTCTTCAATAAATGGTATTGGGAAAACTGGAAATCCACATGTGGAAGACTGAAAATGGACCCTTATCTCACCCTTTATACAAGAAACAACTCAAAATGGATTAAAGAGTTAAATGTATGACCTGAAATTAAACTACTAGGAGAAAACATAAGGGAAAAGCTCCATGACATTGGTCTAGATAGTGATTTTTTGGATAAAACCCTGAAGTACAGACAATAAAAGCAAAAATAGATAATTGGGATTATATCAAACTATTAAATTTCTGCACAGCAGAAGAAAGAATTAATAGAGTGAAGAGACAACACACAGATTGGGAGAAGATATCTGCAAATCATACATCAGATAAAGGGCTAATATCCAAAATATACAAGGAACTCAAATTATTCAATAACAGGAAAACAACCCTATTTTAAAAGAGGCAAAGGACCTGAATAGATATATGAAAAACTACTTAACAACTCAAATTATCAGAGAAATGCAAATTAAAACCACAATGAGAGATCACCTCACACCTGTTTGATTGGCTATGAGTATCATTAAAAAGATAAAAGATAAGTATTGGCAAGGATGTGAAGACAAGAGAATCCTTGTACACTGTTGGTGGAAATGTAAATTAGTGCAGCCATTTTGGAAAACAGTATGGAGTTTCCTCAAAAAACTAAAAATAGAATTACCCAATGATCCAGCAATTTCACTTCTAGAGCATATGCCCAAAGGAACTGAAATCAGTATGTTGAAGAGATGCCTGCACTCTCATGTTTATTGCAGCATTACTCACAATAGCCACGATACGGGAACAACAAAAGTGCCCACAACAGATGAATGGATTTAAAAAGTGTGCTATACGGCCAGGCATGGTGGCTCATGCCTGTAATTCCAGTACTCTGGGAGGCCGAGGCAGGTGGATCACTTGAGGTCAGGAGTTAGAGACTGGCCTGGCCAACATGGTAAAACCCCGTCTCTACTAAAAATACAAAAATTAGCCGGCTGTGGTGGCATGTGCCTGTAGTCTCAGCTACTAGGGAGGCTGAGGCAGGAGGATCACCTGAACCTGGAAGGCAGAGATTGTAGTGAGCTGAAATCATACCACTGCACTCCAGCCTAAGTGACAAGAGCAAAACTTCGTCTTAAAAAAAAATGTGTGCTATAAATACATAATGAAATACTATTGGGCCTTAAGAAGCAGGAAATCCTGTCATTTGCATTTGCAACAACACGGATGAACCTAGAAGACATTATGCTAAGTGAAATAAGCCAGGCACAGACAGACAAGTATTGCATGATCTCACTTATATGTGGAATCTAAAAAGACTGAATACATAGAAGTAGAGAGTAAAATACTGGTAACCAGAGCCTGGTGGGAGTGTGGGAGTAGACAGGGAAAGGGGAAATGTGGGTCAATGAGTACAAAATTTCAGCTAGGTAGGAGGAATAAGTTCTGGTGATCTATTGGTGATGATAATTATGATTAATAGTGTATATTTCAATAAATAATTATTGGTCAATTAAAAATAAAAAAATTAAAAATGTATCTTCTCAAAAGTCTTATTTTCGAGTAGCATTATAGCATACTGGTTAAGTATGCAGGACCCCAAGTCCAGACTACCTCTGTTGGATTACCAAATGTGTAAATATGAATAAACTATTTAACTTCCCTGTGCCTCAGTTTCCCCTCAGCAAATGATGAGACCAATAGTATCTCATAAAATTATTCTGAATGTTAAATGAGCATGCTGACATAGTTTGCATGTTTCTAAACTATGTCATGTTGAAATGTGACCCACATTGTTGAAGGCGAGGCCTAGTGGGAGGTGTTTTGGTCATGGGGTTGGGTTCCTCATGAATGGCTTGGTGCCACCAACTTGGTGATGAGTGAGTTCTTGATCTGTGAGTTCACACAAGAACCAGTTGTTTAAAAGAGCCTGGTATCTCTCTTGCTCCCCTTCTCACCATGTGACACACCTTCTCCCCCTTCACCTTCCTCTATGATTGGAAGCCTCCTTTGGCCCACATCAGAAGCAGATGCTGGTGCCATGCTTCTTGTACAGCCTGCAGAACCATGAGTCAAATAGAACTCTTTTTAAAATAAATTACCCCACCTCAGACATTCCTTTATAACAACAAAAAAGGACTACTATACATGCGAATCATTTAGAACAGTATTAAGCACACAGTAAGCACTCAATAAAGGTTAGCTATTCCTCCTGTTACTCTTTGCTCTCCTAACAAATCACTCAAACTTAATAACATAAAGCAGTAATCATTCAGTTATGCTTTCAGGTCTATGAATCAGGGACTTGCAAAGTGAATAATAGGGAAGGCTGATCTCTGCTCCACAGAGAAGGCTCAGCTGGGAAGGCCTAGGCTTAGAGCCTAGGAGCGACTCTACGGCTGTGTGCTCGGATCCTTTGAGGGCTTCTTTCACAGTTCTGGGGGTTGAAGATGGCTGTTGACTGGGAGCTCCACAGAGGCTATTGACCCAAATACCTATATGGAGCCTCTCCATATGGCTTCATGGCTTTCTCCCAGCATGGGAGAAAGTTGCCACAAATCAGTGTCCCAAAAGTCAGGAATCAGAGGCTGTGAGTTTCCTGAGGCCTGGGCCCAGAATTTGGCCCAGGGTCACTTACTGTGTATTCTTCTGGTCAAAGGAGTCACAAAGTCCTCCCAAGTTCAAGGGGAAGGAACACAGATCTCACTACCTAATGGAACATATGTCAATGCCATGTTGTATAAGAGCATATGGGTTGGGTGTATTGTTATGGCCATCTCTGGAAAATACAATCTGTTACAGCTATTACTGTTAATATGATGCCCTACTAGTCATGAAAAATATTTTAGCTCTAAGAGATGCCCTCTCCAGTGCCTAAAAATTGAGATAAAATATAGGAGAAGAAGGCAAGAGAGGAGAGGCATTAACCATTTATATATCATCACAACTTAGAAATTATTCAGTCAAATGCTCTTGTTTAACAAGTGACAAAATGAGGTTAAGAGAAGTGAAGTGAGTTGCCCAAAATCATCCTGCTGGCAGAAGCACTGGGATATTTTGTTTCTGATACACCACAATACCTAGAAGAGCAAAAAAATTTAGTTGGAAGGGGAATACATGGGGAGATGATGAAGAGAGAAAAGGTGAACTAGAGAAGGAAATGAGCAGGAAGACAGAGAAAGAATTGCCAACAGCTTCTTCTGAGACTCCAGTAGTCTTTGGATGCATTCCCATACTTGATTTTAAACTGCAGAGCTGCTTCAGGCCTTGAATAATGTTGGCAAAACCCCTTGGATCTTTTGGATGATTTCTGCTCCTCCCTAACCCTGAGGATAAACTCTGGGCTGGAGAATAAGAGGTGACTGGAAATCTACCAAGTCCTAACTACAGCAGATACCTCTTTCTCCCTGTTATCTTGTTTACTTGGTTGCTTGGGACCAAACTTCCATCTCTCATGTCATTTAAACTCTCCTCTAAATTCAGTCCCCACTTCACCCTCCTCCAAGTGGATTTCTTCCCACGCCTCTCAGTGTGGCTCTGGTCATGTAGTATGACATTGCTTTGATGTCCCATTTAACCTGGTGTTTGGGCTCAGATTAGAACTCTAGGAACAAAGAGCTCATTTTGAAGTTTGGTGTTTTTCAAAGACCCTGCGTGTGGTGGAAACAACACCCACTGGAATCTCGAGGCTGGAGAGCCCTTCACCAGCCTGGCTCCCCTGCCTTGATATAGTTCTGCCCAACCACAGAGAACAGCACCACTCTAAAGGCAACCTCGGGAAGTTCACCTTTCTTTTACAGTCACTTAATGTGAAACCCCTAACCTTCCTACTGGGAAGGCCTTCTTTGTATCTAGCTCAATTATGTCCAGTTACTAAGTAATCCTATTTCCCCTTTTGGTATACTCAATGGCGCTCGAGACCAGCAGCCATAACAGCTAAATGCAATAGACATTCTTGTAATGAATAGAGCAGGTCTTTCCTCATTTTTCTTGAAAATATAATAATTGTTCAAATTTCTTATTTTTATTAGTTCATCAAGCATTTACCAAGCATTGCCATGTTCATTGGGAATACAAATATATATAAGGTACAATCTCTGCCCTCACAGAGTTTACAGTGTAGTACAGAGATTATAAGCTTAGAATCCATGGACTGGACTGAAGGAGTCTATAAACCCCCAAAATTATATGCAAAGCTTTGAGGGGTATGTGCATTTTTCTGATATAAAATAAATCTCTTTTACCAGATTCTGTTCAGGAACCATGACACAAAAGATGAAAAACTACTGAGATGCAGACATTCAAGCAAATGTCACATTCCTGATCACAGACTAAGGGAGATGGGAAGAGGGCTACTGTGTATCATCTCAATAGAGATGAGGTTAGTATCCAGTCCAGGTGGGACTGTACAGGGGAGGTATTATTGTTCACAACCAGCTGGTGGGTGCCTGGTCATGGCTACTGGGATAGGGAGGGAGGTCAGACAGGAAGGTGCTATGTTGAAGGCCCTGCTGCAAAGGAAACCCTCTCACTGTTATGAATATTTTTCACCACCTTATCATTTTCATTATTCTCAGAACATATTTCAAGTTCTTTATATGCCTGTTTATCCATAAGCCCAGGAACAGCCAGGGTTTTCTGGTGATTTACATAACACAAGGAAATTGCAGGTACAGAAGGACCTATAAGAAGAAAGATCTTGGCTCAGTCTGGCACACTTTGGCCAAAGGACTGTAGGTTAATTTTATAAATTATTTGCATATCACTTACACATTCACTTTAAGATCACTATCCACTTAAAATGGTATTACTAGCTTCCAAAGATTGCCATTCTTTGGAGATTTTTTCCCACTGCTGATACATATATATGTATGATATATATATGTAATGATAAATATATATTATATACCACTATATATGTGTGTGTATATATATATATATTCCATGCCTCCTGTAAAGTCTGCAGAACCATGAGCCAATTAAGCCTCTTTTCTTTATGTGTGTATGTGTGTGTGTATATATATAGAGTGGTATATAACATATATCTATCATTACATATATATCATTTTATATAATATATAATATACAATAATATATACCTATAATATATACCTATCATTATACCACTATATATAGTAGTATATAATATATATCATATGATATATGTATATATGTTATATGAAACATTAATATTTATATTTCTATGTATAATAATAATATATTTATATCTTTTCTCATTCAAGCAAGCTTTCTTATAACTAGACGTGGAAAATGGAAAGAAAGAAGAAAATCTGGAGGAAGGCAAAGGGTGAATATTGAATCAATTGAATGGATTCAATTCAAGGGGGAATCAATTTTGTGAAATGAATTTTATCTTAGTGACACTTTAGAGAACAACTCAGTTTCTACAAGCCAAAAGATCATAACAAAGCATTAGAATGGACTTTATTCAGGTTATTTAAGGCAAGTTAGTTTGCTTTTATTCAAAGGATGCTGAAATACTTATCAAGCAAGCAGACAAAGTGTGACATCTAGAATAAGGAGAAGATTGCTGTGAGTTCCTTTGCATGAGCTATTTGGTGTTTCAGAAGAAATTACATTAAAGAAAGCATCTGATCAAACATACAATTCTGTCAGTACAACAGAAGAATCTAAAAATAATTTTGCTCTTACTTCTTAAACAGCCAGTTTTGATGATTTTATAACCTTTGTCACACAGTCAGAAACTAACTTTATTGGAATATATTTAAGTTGTCAAACATTTACTGAATACCTATTATTAGCAAGGTGCTGTACTAAGCTTTGCAGGGGATACAACTATGAATAAGAAATAATCCTTCCTTTAAAGAAGTCACAGAATGGTGAGACTGACTCATATTTATAAACAACTATAAGTCAAGACAGAAACTATTAAATACTATAATAGTAAAAAAAAAAAAATCCAGAATGCTATGGAAATAGAGATGAAGACACCATGTGGACTTGTAAAGCCTGAGAAAGGTCTCATGAAGGAGGCAGAATCTTAGCTGGGTTACAAAGAAGGTATAGATGTTACCAGGTACAGAGACAGGACAAGGTCATTAGAGACCCAGCATATGCCAAGAGGGTGAGAGAAGGGAATTATAAAATATGTCCTGGGAATGGCAGGGACTAGTTTGGTTACAACAAATATCTTGAGATGGAGTAGAAGGCAATACATCCAGAAAATTATATTAGTGTAAGAATCTCATGAGTTTGCAATAGATAGTAAGAAATTTAGACTATTCCAAAGGCATAGTCTATGGGGGAAGGGATTCTATTATTAAAAGTAATAGCACAAAAGGATAGAAATTGGAGGCACAGAGGCCACTTATGAAGTTACTACGATAGTCCAAGTAGTAGAAATCTGGCACTGCGTGAAGATAAACAGCATGAGACTGAACTAGGAAGAATATCTATAAAGGCCAGGTATCAGCATTATTGGCAAGGTAATGGTCTCCAAAGAAAGCTAGTTAGCATCATCCTCAAAGATCTTCTTGGCACAAATCCCAATATACAAAGTAGAAAAAAAATACAAGATCGATGATCCTGTAGATGAGGAGCTCAGCAATATGGACTGTAAACCAGAGCAGCCCAGTGGTGTTGCACTTAATCATGGGGGTCAGTTTGATGTACAGAGTGTTACACAAAAGCTTATCTGAAATTGGAAAGGATAAGATTAATCAGGTAGATTATCCACTGATTATATTTGATTAGTCTAACCTTCATGGAGAATAATTGTTTTTTCAAAAAAGGTATTTAATTGAAGAGCATTTACAGTAAAATCAATTGCAGTTTGAAACTTCCTTGAACAATTACTTGTGAATTCAAGAGATTGCTATAATGAAGGTTGATATAGTTTGGATATTTGCCCCTGCCCCAATCTCATTGAATTGTAATCCCCATTTTTGGAGTTGGGGCCTGGTGGGAGGTGTTTGGATCATGGGGGCAGACCTCTCATGGCTTTGGTCTATCTTTGTGATACTGACTTCTTAGGAGATCTGGTCATTTAAAAGTGTGTAGCACCTCCTCCCCACCTCTCGCTCCCCCTTCACCTTTTGACATGATTGTAAGCTTCCTGAGTCCTCCCTAGAAGCTGAGCAGATGCCAGTACCATGCTTTTTGTAACGCCTGCAGAACTGTGAGCCAATTAAACCTCTTTTCTTTATAAATTCCTCAGTCTCTGGTAATTCTTTATAGCAATGTGAGAACAGCCTAATACAAAGGTCAAAAACCCAGGTACAAATCTTGCCTGTCATCAGTTAACAGTGTAACCCTGAATGGCTACTTAAACTTGATAATTGTTACTTTTCTTATCTGTAAAACATTGATAATAATACCTAACTAATTTGATCATTAGGAGGATAGAGGAGACAATGTATATAGAAATGCCCAGAACAAAGAAGTAGAGTCATATAGGATTGGTATTCTGATTTTGTGTTTCTTTTCTCTTTAATGCATTTGCATTGGAGTGGCCTAAGCCAATTGTAAATCCAATCCATTCAATTCTATGCTTAGGCATTGTGCAGTTTTGTTGGATTCTGAGATGGTGGCCATATGATTGTGTTTTCCAAGTGAGGGATTCTCACTACTACTCCATTCAAAGTTGTCAAATTAGAAGAGGAAAAATTTAGAATATGATTTAAAATCTATTTGACCCACAGTTTTATGTACCTCTTACTGGTCTATTCTGAATATCAGGAATTTTCTGCACCAGTGGGCTTGGCTATGCATCCTGAGATCTTAAAGATGGAGAGGCGGCCTGGTGTGGTGGCTCACGCCTGTAATCCCAGCACTTTGGGAGACTGAGGCAGGTAGATCACGAGGTCAGGAGATCAAGACCATCCTGGCTAACACGATGAAACTCTGTCTCTACCAAAAATACAAAAAATTAGCCAGGCATGGTGGCAGATGCCTGTAGTCCCAGCTACTCGGGAGGCTGAGGCAGGAGACTCACTTGAACCTGGCAGGTGGAGGTTGCAGTGAGCCAAGATTGTGCCACTGCACTCCAGCCTGGGCGACAGATGGAGACTCTGTCTCAAAAACAAAACAAAACAAAACAAACGACGGAAAGGCCAGAGCTGCCTGGTGAGGAGTTTCTTTGAGCAGGGGTCTGCTGGCAACCACAGTGAAGCAGAGAGAAGTATTCCAAACAGAATGAGAGTCACCCTGGCCAGAAAGGGCAAGAACCTCACTTCTCACTTGTAAAGGCTGACTTGATTCCAATAAAAAGAGAGATTGGGAAAAGAAGGGGTTGACTAGCAATTCGTCAATGGTGAAGGAAAGCAGGCAGCAGGTTTGAACATAATTGGATCTACCTTTTTTTTCTTCCTGAAAATAAATCCAGAACCACAGAATTGAGATACTTAGTCATATGTCTCTCTGTCTGTGGCTGCTGGCATTATACTAAGTACAATCAACTATTCTGCCAGATCAGCTAACCAAGGGAAGGGTTTCACACCTCGTAGTAGATTTACTTGGATACGCATTTTAAATGCTATAATCAAACTCTCATTGCAGCTTGCCTAACTCAGAGGAGAAGATTGCGGACTATTGCAAAGAAAAGTCATAAATGGCTATGGTTTTAGGGATGTGTATAAATATGAGATAGAACCAAACTTTTCATCATCTCTCAAAAAGGCAGCATGTCATGGAGGTTAAAAGCAAAGGTTCTAGAACTAGTCTACCTGTATTCAAATTCCAATTCTATCACTAGCTATGTGACCACTGAAAAGTTGTTTAATCTCTCTGTGCCTGGGTTTCTGCATTTGTAAAACAGAGGTGATAATAATAGTATGTATACATAATCGAGTTTTTATGACAAATAAAAGAATTAACATGCATAAATTGCTTAGTAAGTGGTAACTACTATTGAGGTAGGATAAAGAAGTATGTGTAATGAGCATCTCCAAACTAATTGTGGTACAACCCCTTCTTCCCACACAGAATTTTAGGCAGAGTTTCAAGAAAGTAGTTGATACCTCTGTCTCTGAAGACAGTTGCTGAGCAAAAAGAAGGGAAAAAACAAGACTTGGGGTGGAGGGATCAGAGGTAAGAGAACCTGAATAACTGCCCTCTGGAAAATCCCAGATGGCCTTGTCACCCTTCTGTGGTTCTGTGGATGACACCAGAAGTGTTGAGAAGGACAAAAGCAGGTTCAAAGAATAGACACCAGAACTCCTTGATTCACATCATCTGCAGGGGCACTTCCACAGGTATCAGTACATGAGTACAGAACAGCAGACTTAGAGGAGTGAGCACCAATCCCAGCTCACTTGCTGTTAGTAACCACTGGATTCAAAGCAAAGCACTGTCTTTCTTGACAGGATGTTTTTGCATGGGCTTTGTCTTAACTAGATGAGCACTTGTAAACTTGATAAAAAAATAAATAAAAGGCAACTGGAAAACTAGAAGCACATTCTGTACCATAAGAAACAGAAACTGTCCACCGAGCTGCCTGTGATCCTGGCTATGGCCTATGTGAAGAAGTGAAGAAGTATATGCAACTTTGTATAGTCATGCATTATTCTTTCATTTTCTCAACACACAGTTTTGAGTTTCTACTATGCCCCGCACATATTAGGTTCTTATATTGATAATACTTGGCTAAGAATTATGTAGCTCAGTGGTCTGCTGAGCAAAGCAAATACTGCATTCTGTGAGCAAACATGAAGATGACACCTGGAGTAGCAACTCTTCTAGAATTCAAGATAAATGATCAGAATAGATGTATATGTCTATAACATGAGAAAAATAGCAGTAATCATCCATTCTCCCTAGGCTTCCAGGAAGAATAATTTTCATTATCATTAAAAATATTTATAAGCCCATAAATACTCACAGATAAATATTCTTAATAACTTTTCTAAAGACTTCATATGTAGGCAGTACTTTTCCAGCCACATCTAAGACATTTTTACCCACTAAAGTCACATGTTGAGGCCTTGTAGCCTAATTCTGGAGCCATGTTTACATTTGCTATTTAATTTAAACTAAGCTTCTTTCTATGGAGAACTCTTTGTGGTTGCTAAAGTCCTGCCTACCCTTGTAGAGCTCTGTCAGTGATATCAGGGACTTTGATGTGATCAGGGTCTAAACTCAGATCACAAGGAAGCTGAATGATAACTTAAGAATGTCATCAGGCTTGCTGTCCCAGCACAAAGAGAGGCAGAGAGAGAGACAGACAGAAAGAGAAAAAGAGAGAGGGGAAGAGGAGGGGAAAGAGTAAGGGATGAGGAGGCCAAGACAATAGGGGAGGAGAGAAGTACAGTTTGGTAAGTAGGGAAGGGATTGATAACTAGAAAGAAGGAAGCTGATAGGTTATTGACTAAAACCAGTAGCTCCCTACTCAAAAGCTCATATTGTGCAGCATGAGTGTCCACCTTTAGTGAACTGGAATACAGTTCATCTTTCAAAGTAAAAAATTCAGCACAGACTGTAAGGTATTCTAATTCAGTTTAAAAATATGCCATTTTAATCTCAAGCATTGTATTTTGTTTATTGCCATGGACAAACAGCAGGTTTTGGTCAAAGATGGGCTACCTCAGGAAGTAGAGAATTTCCTCTCATTGGAGAGTACTGATTAGAAAGAACAGTCATCCAGCAGGTTCCATAGCATGAGGTGAGAAACCAAATTAGACCCCCTTGACATTTCCTCTCAACCCTGGGATCCTGCCTGTTCTACCATTGGTAGAGTTGCTTTCATTTTCAGACACATCTTTTGCTTGTTTGTTTGTTTTTCAAAAACAGTTCTGGAGGCAGTGTGGAGGATAGATGGGAGGACAGTGTGACCATTTTCTTGGATACCAGTAAGAGGCTCTTTTGATAATCCAGATACAAGCATAAAGACCTAGTTTATACAATACTATAGGGATTTAGCCACCCTAAGGTTAATTAGTAGGTAGTGGAATGGATTTTCAGCTAATATTCTTCTCAGGAATGCAATGCATTTAGTAGGAAGATTTCTTCTTTCATAAAAGCAATGCTGCAAGTCCATCATCTGTGGCATATACATTTGGGCATATCATTTTCCTGTCTGAACCCTTTGTAATAGGGTTCTGCATTTAGAAGGTAAGCTGGCTATGGCTGGTGGTTCAGTTTCTGGCCATGGAACAGAGCCAGGCCAAGTGCTCTTACTGAACCAGTGTCATGAATTTGTCTTTATTAGCATTATTCTTTGTGTCGTTGAGCTAAATAAATGCTTGCTGAACTAAAGGATCCTGAGAGGAGGAGATGTGAATTAGAAGCTAAACTACACACAAGAAGTTCAGCTTCTGTTTGCCAGTGGGGGACTCCAGGCAACTTTCTTGACACTTGTGTGATTCATTATCTATTTATCAGCACAGAATATTTGCCGAGCTCTTCCTGTGCTAGAACCATGCTAGACATTCTCAGATGTCAGGCTGGCAAACAGATCAAAGATGCTGCTGATAGGTACAATAAAAATTCATGTAGAAATAGTACGGGGTTCTTCAGGTTCTACTTCTAAGAAGCCAGAAAAGAGAGAAAATGAGAGTGGGAATTTATTTTAATGCAACAAATGTTTATCAAACACCTACCACAGTCAATGAGCAAGGCACCATTGATGGTGGTAAGGAGGGTGTATTAATAAGCATTTTCCAGAGAAACAGAACCAGTAGGATATAGATAGTTAGATATATGAGAGGGGGTTTATTAAGGGAATTGGCTCCCATGATTATGGATGATGAGAAGTCCCACAAGAGGCCGTATGCAAGCTGAAGTTTCTGGAAGGCATGGCTCAGTCCAAGTCCAAAGGCCTCAGAACCAAGGAAGGCAATTGTGTAACTCTCAGTTCAAGGCCAAAGGCCTGAGTGTCCTGAAGGATACTGGTGCAAGTACCAGAATCCAAAAGCCAAAGAACCTGGAGTTCTGATGTCCAAGGGCAGGAGGACAAGGGTATCCTACCCCAAGAGTGAGAGAGAATTCCCCCTTCTTCTGCCCGTTTGTTCCATCTGCCCTTAGCCAATTGGATGGTGCCTGCCCACATCGAAAGCAGATCTTCCTCACTCACTCTATCAACTCACATGTCAATCTCCTCTGGAAACACCCACACAGACACACTCAGAAACAATGCTTTACTAGCTATTGAGGCTTCCCTCAATCCAGTCAAGTTGACACCTAAAATTAACCATTACAGAGGGGGAGGGATATACAGGGTGAATAATACAGGGATCTGCCCTCTGTGACTAGTTGAGGAAACAGTCATAGAAACAATTAGGTCAAGGTAGAATGAGATAAGTGTTGTCACACTAGTTGTTTTGCATTTTTCATTCTAACTGAGGAGATCATGGAAGAAGTACCGATTGAGCCAGGCTTGGAAGGAAAAGTCTGAAAGATGCACTGGAGAGGAGAGCGAAGGATGGAGGTCAAGAACAGCTGCCTGGCATAGACCCAACTCCATTCTGAAGGGAAAGTATAGCTCTCCTTTTCTGTACTAGGCAATATGCTAGTCACTAGGGATATAATATGAGGAAAACAGACTCAATCATTCTCCTCGTGTACCTCATTACCTAGTGGTGAATATAACATTAATAAAATAATTACACATATAAACACATAGTGGAAACATGGATAAGGTATTTCTGTTTTCCCTTATCAAAAGCCAGTTTTTCTCCCTGTGCTCACCCTTATGGCCCAGGGGAAGAGAGCAAAACAAAAGTCTCCTTAGAAAAAACAAGAATGTAACATAGGGAAATCTGCTACACAGGAAGAGAAGGTGGAAACTCATTTTTTCTATCTTGGTTGGTATAAAGAGAAGGAGACAAAGATAGTGTGAAAAGGTTAGACATTCATGTCCTAGCTTTTCCTCCACTCAGAGTAGAACTCAGATGAAAGATGAGGAAGTGTGATAGACTCATACAGAGAGTGGGGCATTTGGACATTAGAAACCATAGGAGATAGTTAATGACATGTTTCTCTGGGTATAATGCTAGAAGTCCCATTGAAGTCATTTTCCAGCATAGCAAAGAAGACAGGGCAACATTTGCAGAGATAAAATTGGTGTCAAAATTTGTATAAACTGCCAAGACATGGAATCAACCTAAATGTCCATCAATGGCAGACTGGATAAAGAAAATGTGGTATAGTCAAGCCAAGAGCCAAATCAGGAACACAATCCCATTCACAATTGCCACAAAAAGAATAAAATACCTAGGCATACAGCTAACCAGCGATATGATAGATCTCTGCAATGAGAATTACAAAACACTGCTCAAAAATCAGAGATGACACAAATAGAAAAACATTTCATGCTTATGAATAGGAAGAATTGATATCATTAAAATGGCCATATTGCCCAAAGCAATTTATAGATTCACTGTTATTCCTATCAAGCTGTCAATGATATTCTTCACAGAACTAGAAAAAACTATTTTAAAATTTACGTGGAGTCCAAAAAGAGCCCAAATAGCCAAGGCAATCCTAAGCAAAAAGGATAAAGCTGGAGGCATCATGCCACCTGACTTCAAACTATACCATGGGGATATAGTAACCAAAACAGCACGATACTGGTACAAAAAACAGACATGTAGACCAATGAAACAGAATAGAGAGCCAAGAAATAAGTCCACATACCTACAACTGGTTGATCTTCAACAAAGTCGACAAGAACAAGCAATGGGGAAAGGACTCCCTGTTCAAAAAATTGTGCTGGGATAAGTGGCTAGCCATATACAGAAGATAGAAACTGGACCCCTTCCTTATACTACTTACAAAAGCAGATTAAAGACTTAAATGTAAAACCCAAAACTATAAAAACCCTGGAAGACAACTTAGACAATGCCCTTCTAGACATAGGAACAAGCAAAGATTTCATGACCAACATGCTAAAAGCAATGACAACAAAAGCAAAAATAGACGAACGGAATCTAATTAAACTAAAGAGTTTCTGCAAAGCAAAAGAAACTATCAAGACAGTGAATAGGCAGCCTACAGAATGGAAGAAAATTTTTGCAAACTATGCATCTGACAAAGGTCTAATATCCAGTAAACAAAACAAATTTACAAGAAAAACAAACAACCCTATTAAAAAGTGGTCAAAGGACATGAACAGACACTTTCCAAAAGAAGATATACATGTGGCCAAACAAGCATACGAAGAAAAGCTCAGTATCAATGATCATTAAAGAAATGCAAATTAAAACCACAATGTGATACCATCGCACACCAGTCAGAATGGCTGTTATTAAAAAGTAAAAAAATAACAGATGCTGATGAGGTTGTGGAGAAAAGAGAATGTTTACATACTGTTGGTGGGAGTGTATAAGGGAATGCTCATACACTGTTGGTGAGAATTCAACTATTGTGGAAAGCCGTATGGCGATTTCTCTAAGAACTAAAAACAGAACTACCATTTGACCCAGCAATTCCATTACTGAGTATATACCCAGAAGAATATAAATCATTGTGTCATAAAGACACATGCACACATATATTCATTGCAGCACTATTCACAATAGCAAGACATGGAATCACTCTAAATGCCCATCAACAGTAGACTGAATAAAGAAAATGTGATACACATACACATAGGGTACTACACAGCCATAAAAAAAATAAGTTAATGTCCTTTGCAGCAACATAGTTGGAGCTGGAGGCCATTATCCTAAGCTAACACAGGAACAGAAAATCAAATACTGCATGTTCTCATTTACAAGTGAGGGCTAAACATTGAATACACATGGACACAAAGAAGGGAATAATAAACACTGGGACCTATTTGAGGGTGGAGGGTGGGAGGAGGGAGAGGACTGAAAAACTACCTGTTGGGTACTATGACTATTACCTGTGTGAAAAAAAATAATCTGTACACCAAACCTCCATGACATGCAATTTACCCATGTAACAGGCCTGAACATGTACCCCTGAACCCAAAAGTTAAAAAAGAGTATGAATCCTCGTTAGGGGTTATGAAGATGCTAAAACATCCCTTAATCATTACTTAATTAACCAGGATTGCCATGTACTGAATTGTGTTCCCACCACTCCTCCCTTCTGCCTCAAGAATCATGTTTTGAAGCCCTAATCCCAAATGTGATGATATTTAGATACGGGGCTTTTGGGAGATATTGGGATAAGATGATTGGGTTCAGATGAAGGTGGGATCCTGATTATAGGATTAATGCTCTTATAGGAAGAGGACCAGACACCAGAGTTCTCCATTTGCCAAGTGAAGACAGAGGGAGAAGGTGACCACCTAACAGGAACCGAATTAGCCAGCAGTTTGATCTTGGACTTCCCGGCATCCAGAATTGTGGGAAAATAAATTTCTGTTGTTTTAGCCACCCAGTCTATGATATTTTGCTATGGCAGCCAAGCTGAATAATGTGGTTATGGTGCTATAACAAACAACCTCTCAAAACTCAGATGCTAACACAAAAATATTTCTGCTGCTTGTGCAAAGGTAAGCCGCAGTACTAGGCAACTCTACAGAACAACTGCCCTCCCTAGGAAGACTCAGTGATCTAGGGTGCCTTTATATGGTTGCTCCACCGTCTCAGCATGGGAAGCTACTGAGAGGTTTAATCATCTCTGAAGGCAGCTCCTATCAGAGTCTATTCTGGGAAGCACTTCAGTTGATTTAAGTTTTAGGAAGGCCAAGTGTAGTCTACAATAGTCATAAGTTGCAATGACCAAAGTGAACCTCCACCTCCCCAATGAACTTTTATTCATAGAAGGAATATATGGTAGAATCTCTTTTTTCACTTTTACTCTCATGAATTCCTCTGCCACTTTCCTGACTGTCAAAATAATCAAATCGGAAAGAGTCAGATAAATATTCCTCCTTCCTTCTTCTTCTTCTAGTGACCACGTGGGTATGGTGGACCTTCTAAAAAATACCATATCTCTTATTAAGATTTATTTGTTATCTACATACCAATAATTGCTCCAACTCTGCAAATCAGATTACAAAATAATTATCAACACCAAATGTGGTTCAAATTGCCTCTTACAGTTTCAGGCAAGCAGGATGATGGCATTAATTTGCTGCACTATTGAGCAGTGCATTTCTGGGGCCATTAAAATAAATGTTACATCACAGCAGCACACAGCATCCTAAAACATAAGGAATTCATGGCCCTGAAAGTTTCAAATAATATAATTTACCAGTCACATCACATAAACCTCATTCTGAGTCTCTCCTATTATGGATACCAGGAAGCCTGTGTTAATGAGTGTTTGGGCTGTCAAGGGAAGGATATGACACTAAGGATAAGGACATTCCTCTTACTATGGGGTAACTAAGTCTCTGCTCTCTAACAAGCAAAATTAAATACAAAATAGAACTTCCCTTTTTTCCTTTCCCCAGGACTATGCTGTTTAAAATTAAAATTCAAACTTTAATATAATGAATAGCCTTGACTGGAAATAAAACAGGAAGATTAAGATTAGAATTCCTAGTGCTCCCTTTTCCTCTCAGCTATAATCACTCTTTTTCCCAGCAAGTGATGAAGACAGAAGTGATAGTGAAGGACCTAGGGTATGGTGGGAAAAACATGCACATACCTCATGAATTTCTAAAAAAAAAAAAAAAAATAGGTAATACAGATAGAGTTTTCTCTGTTTTTCAAATGGGGAAACTAAAGTCCAATGGAAAGAAGTGACTGACCCAAGATCATATCACTAATGAGAAGAAGAGCCGAGACTAGACTCAAGCTTCATGATGCCTAAGCCAGTGCTGTTGCCACTGTGTTACCCTCCCATGTCTGTTCCGGATTCTAGCAAAGGATTCTGTTTCCAATACTGGTTTCCAAAATATCAAATGAGAGACCAAAAAAAATTTTCATTCATTGAATTAAATTCATTAAAAGAACAAGCATGTTTTTTTTAAAAAAAATCCCCAGCTTTCTTGACTGTGCATGGAAGAGAAACATAAAAGATATGATGGATATCACAGAAAATCAGTGGTGGGACTGGGAGGTTAGATTGATGGGTAAGTAATAAGAATGCTTAGGAAGGAATATTGCAGGTATGATGGTACCTATGTGATTTTTTTTCAAGTCAGGTGCATTTGAGAACATCCTTTCATATGAAAAATGCTAATCATCTTCTTCTTCTTCTTCCTTTCTTCTTCTTCTTCTCCTTCTTCTGCTTTTCCTTCTCCTCTTTCTCCTTCTTCTTTTTTCCTCCTCTTCCCTCTTCTTCTCCTTTCTCCTTCTCCTTCTCTCTCCTTCTCCTTCTCCTTCTTCGCTTCATTAGGAATATGCTCTAGTGGATAACCTTTTAAGATGGTTGCTCTTGTGAAATCCAGTAGGGTCATGGAGCCACTAATGACACTGTGCTGAAAGAATCTTTTAGAGATATACTTTTCAGAAATAAACTATTAAAATAATCAATATCATTGGTCACATCCATGAAGATAATATAAATAAATATATGGGTGATGTCCACATCAGCTGTGGCAGCAGAAGGTACACTGTAGCTATTTGAAAATACAGTCAGATGAGACAAAAGAAAAAAGAGTAAAGAATAAAGTATGCCTGACCAATTTAGAAAATAGCCTCAAAAGGGCAAATCTAAGAGTTAGTGGCCTTAAAGAGGAGGCAGAGGAAAATATAGGGGTAGAAAGTTTATTAAATGAGATAATAACTTCCTAAACCTAGAGAAAGATATCAATATTCATGTACAAGAAGGTTATAGAACACCAAGCAGATTAAATCCAAAGAAGACTACCTCAAGGCATTTAATAATCAAACTCCCTAAGGTCAGGAATAAAGAAAGAATCCTAAAAGCAGCAAGAGAAAAAAAAGAAATACAATGGAACTCCAATACATCTGGCAACAGATTTTTTAGTGGAAACCTAACAGGCCAGGAGAGAGTGGCATGACATATTTAAAGGGCTGAAAGAAAAATATTTTTATCCCAGAATAGTACATCTGGCAAAAAATCCCTCTGACCTGAAAGAGAAATAAAGACTTTCCCAGACAAACAAAAGCGAGGGACTTTATCAACACCAGACCTGTCCTCCAAGAAATGCTAAGGAGAGTTCTTCTATCTGAAAGAAAAGGACATTAATGCATAATAAAAAATCATATGAAGGCACAAAACTCACTGGTAATAGTAAGTAAACAGAAAAACACAGAATATTATAACACTGTAATTGTGGCATGTAAACTATATATCTTAAGTAGAAAGATGAAAAGATAAACTAATACTAATAAAAAATAAGAACTACAACAACTTTTCCAGATAAAGTACAATAAGGTATAAATAGAAACAAACAAAAAGTTTAAAAATGGGGGCACAAAGTTGAAGTGCAGTGTTTAATTAGCTTTCTTTTTGCTTGTTTATTTATTTATGCAATCAGTGTTAAGTTGTCATCAGTTCAAAAGAAGGGGTTATAAGATAGTACTTGCAAGTCTCATGGTAATCTCAAAAAAATATATAAAATGGATACAAAAAATATAAAAAGTAAGAAACTAAATCATAAGACCAGAGAAAATCACCTTCACTAAAGGAAGACAGGAAGGAAAGAAAGAAGTAAGAGAAGGCTACAAAACACCCAGAAAACAAATAACAAAATGGCAGGTGTAAGTCTTCACTTATCAATAACATTGACTGTAACTGCATTAAACTTCCCAGTCAAAAGACATAGGGTGGCTGAATAAATGAAAAAAATCAAAACCCAAAAATCTGTTGCCTCCAAGAAACACACTTCAACTATAAGGACACACATAGACTAAAAATAAATGAATGTAAAAAGATATTCCAAGTGAATAAAAAGAAAAAAGAACAGGAGTATCTATACTTATATCAGACAAAACATATTTCAAGACAAAAACTATAAATAGAGACAAAGAATGCCATTATATAATAATAAAGGGGTCAATTAGCAAGAGGGTATAAAAATTGTAAATATATATGCACCCAACACTGGAGCACCCAGATATGTAAAGCAAATATTATTAGAAGTAAAGAAAGAAATAGACCCCAATACAATAATAGCTGGAGACTTCAGCATCCCACTCTCAGCATTGAATAGATCATTCAGGCAGAAAATCAACAAAGAAACATTGGACTTAACCTGCGCTATAGACCAGATGGACCTAATAGATATTTATGGAACACTTCATCCAACGGCTGCAGAATACACATTTTTTTTCCTTAGCACATGGATCATTCTCAAGGATAGACCATATGTTAGGTCACAAAATAAGTCTTAAAACATTCAAAAATTGAAATCATATTACATATCTTCTCTGACCACAATGGAATAAAGCTAGAAATCAAATAACAAGAGGGATTTTAGAAACTATACAAACACATGGAAATTAAACAATGTGCTTCCAAATGACCAGTGGGTCAATTAAGAGATTAAGAAGAAAATTGAAAAACTTATTGAAACAAACGATAATGGAAGCACAACATACCAAAACCTATGGGATACAGCAAAAGCAGTACTAAGAAGGAAATTTATAGCTGTAAGTGCCTACATCAAAAAATTTAAAAATTTTCATAGGTGGGAATTGAACAATGAGAACACATGGACACAGGAAGGGGAACATCACACTCTGGGGACTGTTGTGGGGTGGGGGGAAGGGGGAGGGATAGCATTAGGAGATATACCTAACACTAAATGACGAGTTAATGGGTGCAGCACACCAGCATGGCACATGTATACATATGTAACTAATCTGCACATTGTGCACATGTACCCTAAAACTTAAAGTATAATAATAATAAAAAAAATTAAAAATTTCAAACAAACAACCTAACAATGCATCTTAAAGAACTAGAAAAGCAAAAGCAAACCAAACCCAAAGTTAGTAGAAGAAAAGAAATAATAATAATCAGAACATAAATAAATGAAACTGAAATGCAGAAAACAATACAAAAGATCAATGAAACAAAATGTTGGTTTTTTGAAAAATTGAACAAAATTGACAAACCTTTAGCCTAAGACAAAAAGAGAGAAAGACCCAAATAAATAAAATCAGGATGAAAAGGGAGACATTACAACCAATACCACAGAAATTCAAAGGGTTATTAGAGGCTACTATAAGCAACTATATGCCAATGAGTTAGAAAACTTAGAAGAAATGGATAAATTCCTAGACATATACAACCCAACAAGATTGAACCATGAAGAAATCCAAAGCCTGAACAGATCAATAACAAATAATGAGATCAAAGCCATCATAAAATGTCTCCCAGCAAAGAAAAGCCCAGGACCCAGTGGCTTCACTGCTAAATTCTACCAAACATTTGAAGAACTAATATCAATCCTATTCCAACTATTCCAAAAAACAGAGACAGGAATGCTTTCAAATTAATTCTATGAGCCCAGTATTATCCTGCTACCAAAACCAGAGCAAGACAGATCAAAAAAAGAAAACCACAGGTCAATATTCCTGATGAACATTCATGCAAAAATTCACAACAAAATACTAGCAAACTAAATTCAGTAATACATTAAAAATATTCATCATGACCAAGTGGGATTTATCCCAGGGATGCAAAGATGGTTCAACATACATAAATCAATCAATATAATACATCATATCAACAGAATGAAGGACAAAGCTATATGACCATTTCAATTGATGTTGAAAAAGCATTGTATAAAATTCAGCATCCCAGGCAACAGAGTGAGACTCCGTCTCAAAAAAAAAAAAAAAAAATCACCATCCCTTCATGATAAAAACCCCAAAAAACACTGGGTCTAGAAGGAACATACTTCAGCATTAAAAAAAGTCATGCACAACAGACCCACAGCTAGCATCATACTAAGTGGGGAAAAACTGAAAGCCTTTCCTCTAAGATCTGGAACACAACAAGGATGCCAACTGTCACCACTGTTATTCAACATAGTACTGTAAGTCCTAGCTAGAGCAGTAAGACAAGCAAAAGAAATAACAGACATCAAAAGTGGAAAGCAAGAAAAGAAATTATCCTTGTTTGCAGATGATAAGATCTCATATTTGGAAAAACCTAAAGACTCCACCAAAAAACTATTAGAACTGATAAACAATTCAGTACAATTGCAAGATACAAAATCAACATAGAAAAATCAGTAGCATTTGTAGATGTCAACAGTGAACAATCTGAAAGAGAAATCAAGAAAGTAATCCTATTTGCAATAGCTACAAATAAAATAAAATACCTAGGAATTAACAAAAAAGTGACATCTCTACAATGAAAACTATAAAACATTGATGCAAGAAATTGAAGAGGACACACACAAAAATATGGAAATATATTCCATGTTCATGGATTGGAAGAATCAGTGTTGTTAAAACGATCACACTACCCAAAGCAATCTACAGATTCAATGCAGTCTCTATCAAAATACTAATAACAATCTTCACAGAAATAGAAAAAACAATCCTAAAATTTAAATGGAACCACAAAAGACCCAGAATAGCCAAAGCAATTCTGAGCAAGAACAACAAAACTGGAGAAATCATATTACCTGACATTAAGTGATACTACAGAGCTACAGTAACCAAAACAGCATGGTACTGGCATAATTGACACATAGACCAATGGATCAGAATAGACAACCGAGAAATAAATCCATACAGCCCTAGTGAACTCATTTTTGAAAAAGGTTCCAAGAACATATATTGGGAAAGGGCAACCTGTTCAATAAATGGTGCTGGGAAAACTGGATACCCATATGCAGAAGAATGAAGTTAGACCCCCTGCTATCTCTCACCATATACAAAAATCAAATTACAATGCATCAAATACTTAAGTCGAATACCTCAAACTATGAAACTACTACAAGAAAACACTGAGGAAACTCTCTAGGACATTGGACTGAGCAAAGATTTCTTGAATAAACCCCACAAGCACAGACAACCAAAGCAAAAATGGACAAATGGGATCACATTAAGTTAAAAAGCTTCTTCACAGCAAAGAAAACAATTAACAAAGTGAAGAAACAACCCACAAATGGGAGAAAATATTTTCAAAAGACTTCATATGACAAGCGATTAATAACTAGCATACATAAGGAATTCAAACAACTCTATAGGAAAAAACCCAATAATCCAATCCAAAATGAGCAAAAGATCTGAACAGACATTTATCAAAAGAAGATATAGAAGTGATAAATAGATATATGAAAAGGTGCCCAATATTGTTGATCATCAGAGAAATGCAAATCAAAACTACAATGAGATATCATCTTACCCCAATTAAAATGGCTTTTATCCAAAAGACAGGCAATAATGAATGCTGGTGAGGATGTTGAGAAAAGGGAATACTGTTGGTGGGAATGTAAATTAGTACAACCATTATGGAGAACAGTTTGGAGGTTCCCCAAAAAATTCAAAATACAGCTATTATATAATCTAGCAAACCCACTGGTGGGCATATACCCAAAAGAAAGGAAATCAGTATGTTGATGAGGTTATCTGCACTGCTATTGCAGTGAAGAGATTATTGCAATACTATTCAAAATAGCCAAATTTTGGAACAACCTAAATGTCCATCAACAGACGAATGGATAAAGAAATGTGGTACATTTACATAGTTGAGTACTCTTCAGCCATAAAAAACAGTGAGATTCTGTCATTTGCAACAACATGGGTGGAACTGGAGGTTATTATGTTAAGTGAAATAAGTCAGGCACAGAAAGGCAAACTTTGCATGTTCTCACTTATTTGTGAGAGCTAAAAATTAAAACAATTGAACTCATAGAGATAGAGAGTAGAAGGATGGTTACCAGAGGCTGGGAAAGATAGTAGGGAATTGGGAGGAAGTGGGGATGGTTAATGGGTACTTATTATGTTCCTACTATATATACCTACTACCTACTATGTACCCACAGAAATTAAAAAGAAATTATTTAAACAAAAAAGAAACTGGAGTTAGAGAAAGCAGAAATCTTCAGATAGGGAGGAAAAATAGTAGTAGCCAGTTCTTGGTGGGACAATAGCTACGAATGTCTGACATAGGCTCCTGACAAGTAAAAACGGTAAAAAGGGGACAGTAAAAAAGGGAAAGAGGGTCTACCACAGTAGCAGTCATCTCCAAGGGACACCTTCTCTAGGTATTTCTCCCTTCCCCAACTCACATTCAAGCCTAGTATATAATTTGCCTCATCAACATGCTGTCATTGTCAACATCATCCACACTCTCAAGCTTCAAATGTCAATAAAAATAAATTGCTGCTCATAATTCAGCTTTGTTAACACATTTGGGAAACTGGGGAAAAGTTTTTAGCCTATTTGCATATGTCAATGACATCAGCCAAAATAAGTCTTGACTTGGTGCCCCAGGGGCTAGAGAGGGCCTAACAAATGTGAACAAATCACTGGGTTCAAACACAAATTCAAAATCTTCCCTTCAACTCTCTATTTCTTTTATCTGATTCTCCCTTCACCCCCACCAACCTCTTTGGCCTCTTCCTTTGGCAATGGTGATGATGATGATGATACTTAAGATAATTCAGCTCCTCCTTGCTTCTGCAAGGTATGAGCCTCCTAGAAGCCAAAGAAATATAGTTTGCTAGTTATGTATGTATAAGTGATATATTTTTAACTATTTATTAAAGCCTAAATATATGCATAAAAGTACACAAAGGTATAAAATTCAATGAATTTTTATAAAATAATCGTATCCATGTAACCAACACCCAGAACAAAAAGTAGAACATTACTAGCACACAGAAGTCAATACTTTGCCCAAAGGTTGCCAGTATTGCACTTCTAATAGCATAGATTAATTTTGTCAGATATGTCCTTTATAAAAATTAAATCCTACAGTATGTATGTTTTGTCTTATTTTTTCTCTCAATATTAAGTTTATGAGATTCATTCCTTTATGTAGTTATTGGTTATTCATTCTCATTACTGTATAGTATTTATTGTGTAATTATACCACAATGTGTTTACTCATTCCAACATCGATGGGTAGTTAGCCAATTTTCATTTTTTACATTGTCTATTATACATAGTGCTGCTATGGCTATTCTTAAATATTTTGGGTGAAAATATGTATGCAATTCTTTGGGTATATTCCTAAGGGTAGAACTGCTGGGTGTTTGGGAATGCACACGCCCAGCTTAAGTAGAATCCACCAGATTTCCAAAATGAATACGCTATATATACTGTTTCAAAATATATATTTTTTGAAACAGGGTCTTGCTGTCACCCAGGCTGCAGTGGCGTGATCATGGCTCAGTGCAGCCTTGAACTCCTGAACTCTGGTGATCCTCCTGCCTCATCCTCCCAAGTAGCTGGGACTACAGGCACGCACCACCTGGCTATTAATTTTTTTTTTTTTTTTTTGTAGAGCTAGGTCTGCTTATATTGCCTAGGCTGATTTCAGACTCCTGGCCTCAAACAATCTTCTTGCCTCAGCCTCCCAAAGTATTGGGATTACGGGCGTGAGCCACTGCACCTGGTCAAAATGAATATACTATTTTGTGTTAACACCAGCAGTATAGAGAGTTCCAGTTCCTCCGCATCCTCCCAACACTTGGCAACTCCCCTTTTAGCCTTTCCAGCAGGTATGTTTGGTTCAGGACTTTTGCCCACTTTTCTGTTGAGTTGACTGGGGTTTTTAATTATTAATGTGTAAGAGTTTTTTATATATTGTGATATGAGATCTTTGTCAAGTGCAAGTATTGTAAATATTTTCTCTCACCCTGTAGCCTGACTTTTCACTATCTTACTGGAGTCTTTTGACAAAATTAGAATTTTAAAAATACATTTAGAATACTTTCCTGCAACCTCACTAATGAGAGGATTAAGAAACCTCAATCTATTCTGCAGGGAAATACATTGGACTCTGCCTGGGTCAGCTGGTAGAAGTAAGGAGGTAATTCTTTGCCCTAGAATTAAGAAAGAATAGCTGATAATAATACCAACCATAAATGGATTGCCTACTATATGTCTAGAGATTATTATATATATTATATAATATCAAAGTTAAAACTTACAACCTTCCTATGACATAAAAGCATTATTATCAACCTCATTTTCAGATGAAGAAACTCTGGCATAGACAAGTAAAGCAGCCATTTCTAAATTTCTACTCTTGACCTTTACTATATACTTTCTTTTTGTCACCTCACACTAAAGTCAAAAATTCACAATATCTCCTGTTTAATAGGAACTTAGTCTAGCTAAATATGGCCTCCAGAGATTACATGCAATGAGCAGTCATTGCAGGCAGCCTGACCTTTAGAGGCAAGGAGGCTTCTGTCTCCACCTGAGGGCAAGGCCTCAAGAGGAGCTCAGGTGAAAACTATTGGCCACTCTCATTCCAAGCAGCTGGGAGAATGCATGCTTTAGTCCTATAGGAAAGAGCTGAGAAGTACGTATATGACTATATGGCATCCACTGTAGTCTATTCCTTGTACTGTCTGTATCTGCTTGCTCCATGTAATAAGTTCTGATAAAATCTCCTCCAGGATTTTGTTGGGCCTTTTTCTGGTAGGAACATATGATGGGAAGGTTAGTGGCATAAACTACAGTCCTTGCCATTGCAGTTGTGCTTCAGGCAACAATTGATATTATCTCCCTCTTCCATGCCTCCTAACCTCCATTCTAGAGTCCCTTCACTATTTGTACCTCTGCTAGTGAAGAAGCTTACATGGTATAGTGACTCAGACCTTCATCCTATTGCTGGTCCACCAGCAGGTGATGAAGCTCCAAAACCCCATATTAGAGTTTCTTGGGATGCTCCTGGTACCAGTTGCTTCAGGTTAACTTGCTCGAGAAGCAGGCTTTAGGATGGAGCTGTGTATGCAGGAAAAGTAAAGGAAGCATAATTGGCAAAGGGAGAAGTTGAAATAAAAATCAGTGTAACAAAGGCCTCAGCCAATCCTACCGGAAGCTCTGGAATTGGATGGCCTTCTATAGTTATCCCAAATGGGGAAAGGAGGCAAGCCTTCACATCTCCACATAAACCAATCATTGGATGTGGCCTGACCCCAAGATGGGGATGAGGTTTGAGGGAGGGGCAGTTCTCTTCATCTGAAAGCTATTGACCAACAACAATTCCAGTCCTAGGTGGGGGTATTCTGGGAAGATCACCATGGCATCCACTGCAAATATTTATGCCTTAGATCTGAGTTGCAATAATTCAGAAGAATAAATTTTGCATTTGAAATATTTGGGGTATTATTGGGCAAGGCAGACTTCTGGAAGGGATTTAGGTAACATGCTTCATACTACCAGATTTCATCAGTTATCATCATCAAGATAGATATCAACAATTTGGAAGATGAATTCCAATTTTATTATTACTTTATATATTATGAAAAAATAAAAATTGCCACCAATTAAATTATGATGCACCATATTATATGTAAGAGGTATCTCAATTTCAGAGATAGGAAAGTGTAAATAAAGCCCCCCTGGATCTTAGAATTGATATGTAGTAAGTTTTAACACCCCTCCTTGCCATACACACACACACACACACACACACACAGAAGAAAATGGTGTTTTTCGTGGTGTTAGTGAATGTTGCCAAAATGGAAGTAAAGTAGGGTAGATTTATTGGCAAGATCATCCTCAGTCCAGGTGTCCAGATAAAGTAAAAGTTGTTCACTGCTTTACTTCCCTACATCGTACCTATGTCATGGTATATGTAGGGTAGGGAGCACATCCCAGTGGATAAATGGCATTTGGCATTCACAGAAAAGAGGACCCAGGGAAGACGTCCAGACCAGAAGGGACTTACTAACCCACTCACTTACTCAGGAGTCCTTCTCAGCTCAGGACACATGTGCCTGGGGTTGGCCATTCTGTCTCTCTCATCCTTTAATCCTAAGACTATAATAAAGGGAAAGGGGCCCTCACTCTTTCCCTAACCCACCCCAACTTTTCCTTTGACAAGAAAGATGTAGAAACAGTGTTCAGGAGTGAGGATACTCACCACTATGCAAGGCACAGTTCATTCTCTCTCAGTCCACGCACACCTCAGGCTCTGCCTTCTCTGTCCCACCTACTCTGTGGCAAACAATTCTTCTCTCTTCAGTCATAGCAAAAACTCTTGACATGTTCCCTCCTTCGTGTAATGTTTTATGATGACCTGAATGAGAATCAATCTTCTTGGTCTCTTCCTTTCTAAACTCCCACAGAGGCCTCTTCACTCATGTTTCTCACTTTAAATGTACTTACATCTTTGCTTGAACAGCATTCAGACTTGGTTTAATTGCAGCATTTTTCTGGGATGTGGCTGTCAGCATATCCTTCACAGGCTGACACATGACCACAATGTCTCTCCCACATTTTCAGCAACACAGATAATGGACTTGGCGGTGAATGCTGATTAAAGTCATGGAGCCTCTTGCTAGCTTCTGTTGCTGCTGCTGATGCAGAGTCAGGATCTTAAATGTACATCAAGATCTCCCAGTTGATCCTACAAGGTCTATCCTGGACAAGGGTGCAGGGTTTTCCCAGCAGCCCTCTACAATGGGATGATTTGCTGCTCGGGGTTGCTCTGATTTTCTAAGATGCTGGGGGGAACTGGAAAGCATCAACATTTATCATGCACTAGAGGGTGCCAAAGTCCTGGGTAACTGAGTCCATCTAGGAAGAGTGTGTCTCACCTTGAAGCCCCAGGAAAGAGAAGCAGCGTCCAAATTTCTAAAGTTCTTAAAAAATGACGAGTTCATGTCCTTTGTAGGGACATGGATGAAGCTGGAAACCATCATTCTCAGCAAACTATCGCAAGGACAAAAAACCAAACACCACATGTTCTCACTCATAGGTGGGAATTGAACAATGAGAACACATGGACACAGGAAAGGGAACATCACATACCAGGGACTGTTGTGGGGTGTGGGGAGGGGGGAGGGATAGCATTAGGAGATATACCTAACTGCTAAATGACGAGTTAATGGGTGCAGCACACCAACATGGCACATGTATACATATGTAACAAACCTGCACGTTGTGCACATGTATCCTAAAACTTAAAGTATAATAATAATAAATTTAAAAAAAGAAAAAAAAGAAATTCAAATAACCAAAAAATAAAAAATAAATAAATAAGTAAAGTTCTGCAGCTGGACTGGGCATGAGGACATCTGCTGGAACACATGCCTGCATTATCAGAGAGACTATTCTAAAACATTCAGTAGATCAGGATCTATACCACTGCTGAAGGTTTTTCAAAGGCAACACCACTGTGATTGAAAAAATATATATTTTAACAGTAGTAATAGCTACCTATTTGCATACTATTTATTGTATGCCATACACTGTTGTAAGCACCTTATATACATTAGATCCTGTCAACAATGCTAAAACATTATCTTCAAGTTATAGATGAGAAAACTAAGGCAGAGCGCTTAAGAAATTTGCCCAAGATCACGTAGCTTGTAAGTGGCAGGACCAGGATTCAAATCCAGGAGTCCAGGTACAAGGCCTTCAACACTCTGCTTCACTCACATGTCAACACAAGTATCAGGCACTCTATAGCCACATTTCTTGTCAGAAGTAAACATAAATTTCCTCCAGCTTCCCTGGTTAGGCAACTACCACGTTCAGTACCCTTACTAGTAGAAAGTTCTTTCTTAACAGTCCCATGAATCCAGTTCCTCTTTTTTACTTCCACCCTAGATTTTTTTTTAATCTATCTATATATATTTTTGCACTCTAGACTTTTTGACCATATTATGGAGTATTTACTGACTGCCCAGCCTCAACAAATGGGGATTTTTTTTTTTTAAGATGAGGTTTCGCTATGGTGCTCAGGCTGGTCTCAAACTCCTTGGCTCAAGGGATCCTCCCACCTCAGCCTTCCAAAGTACTAGAATTACAGATGTAAGCCACCGTGCCCAGCCAATAAATGGCTTCTGACTGCCATGCTTCTAAACACAACTGATAAAATCTTTCTTGGATTCCAACAAGCTGTTGGCCACATTTGTTTAACTCCTATTCCAAAATAATGCTGAAAGTACCCAAGTGAAACGTGACAAACTAGGTCCAATGACTTGGCATTGCATTTGAACTAAATAATTTCACAAAACTCTGAGCTAATGTACATGTAATATTTTTAAAAGGAAGAATTTTTTTTCCTGTTTTTTTTTTATACTTTAAGTTCTAGGGTACATGTGCACAACGTACAGATTTGTTACATATGTATACATGTGCCATGTTGGTGTGCTGCACCTGTTAACTCGTCACTTACATTAGGTATGTCTCCTAATGCTATCCCTCCCCCTCCCCCCACCCCACAACAGGCCTTGGTGTGTGATGTTCCCCACCCTGTGTCCAAGTGTTCTTATTGTTGAGTTCCCACCTATGAGTGAGAACATGCAGTGCTTGGTTTTCTGTCCTTGTGATAGTTTGCTCAGAATGATGGTTTCTAGCTTCATCCATGTCCCTACAAAGGACATGAACTCATCATTTTTTATGGCTGCATAGTATTTCATGGTGTATATGTGCCACATTTTCTTAATCCAGTCTATCATTGTTGGACATTTGGGTTGGTTCCAAGTCTTTGCTATTGTGAATAGTGCCACAATAAATATACGTGTGCATGTGTCTTTATAGCTGCATGATTTATAATCCTTTGGGTATATGCCCAGTAATGGGATGGCTGGGTCAAATGGTATTTCTAGTTCTAGATCCTTGAGGAATCGCCACACTGTCTTCCATGATGGTTGAACTAGTTTACAGTCCCACAAACAGTGAAGAAGTGTTCCTATTTCTCCACATCCTCTCCAGCACCTGTTGTTTCCTGACTTTTTAATGATTGCCATTCTAACTGGTGTGAGATGGTATCTCATTGTGGTTTTGATTTGCATTTCTCTGATCACCAGTGATGATGAGCATTTTTTCATGTGTCTGTTGGCTGCATAAATGTCTTCTTTTGAGAAATGTCTGTTCATATCCTTTGCCCACTTGTTGATGGGGTTGTTTGATTTTTTCTTGTAAATTTGTTTAAGTTCTTGTAGATTCTGGATATTAGCCCTTTGTCAGATGGGTAGATTGTAAAAATTTTCTCCCATTCTGTAGGTTGCCTGTTCACCCTGATGGTAATTTCTTTTGATGTGCAGAAGCTCTTTAGTTTAATTAGATCCCATTTGTCAATTTTGGCTTTTGTTGCCATTGCTTTTGGTGTTTTAGTCATGAAGTCCTTGCCCATGCCTATGTCCTGAATGGTATTGCCTAGGTTTTCTTCTAGGGTTTTTATGGTTTTAGGTCTAACATTTAAGTCTTTAATCCATCTTGAATTAATTTTTCTATAAGGTGTAAGGAAGGGATCCAGTTTCAGCTTTCTACATATGGCTAGCCAGTTTTCCCAGCACCATTTATTAAATAGGGAATCCTTTCCCTGTTTCTTGTTTTTGTCATGTTTGTCAAAGATCAGATGGTTGTAGATATGTGGTATTATTTCTGAGGGCTCTGCTCTGTTCCATTGGTCTATATCTCTGTTTTGGTGCCAGTACCATGCTGTTTTCGTTACTGCAGCCTTGTAGTGTAGTTTGAAGTCAGGTAACATGATGCCTCCAGCTTCATTCTTTTGGCTTAGGGTTGTCTTGGCAATGTGGGCTCTTTTTTGGTTCCATATGAACTTTATAGTATTTTTTTCCAATTCTGTGAAGAAAGTCATTGGCAGCTTGATGGAGATGGCATTGAATCTATAAATTACCTTTGGCAGTATGGCCATTTTCACGATATTGATTCTTCCTATCCATGAGCATGGAATGTTCTTTAAAAGGAAGAATTTTGGAAGAACTGGACAACACAATGTTCTGAACAAAACAAAAAAAAAATTTGAGATGGAGTTTCACTCTTGTTGCCCAGGCTGGAGTGCAATGACACGATCTCCATTCACTGCAACCTCCACCTCCCAGGTTCAAGTGATTCTTCAGCCTCAGCCTCCCGAGAAGCAGGAATTACAGGTGCCCACCACCACACCTGGCACCCCGCTAATTTTTATATTTTTAGTAGAGATGGGGTTTCATCATGCTGGCCAGGCTGGCCCCGAACTCCTGACCTCAGGTCATCCACTTGCCTCGGCCTTCCAAAGTGCCGGGATTACAGGCATGCGCCACGGCCAGCCTGAAATTTTTTTCTTTATCAAAACATTAAATGTATTCTCTCCTGTCTTACATGATTGGCTGAAATTTCTTAAATGCACCCACAATTAATTGAACTTGGATTGTCTCTAAACTTTATTCCCCTCTTGTTCCAATAGCAACTTGCTGTGGGACCTTACCCCAGAGTTTTCTCATTCTGTGGAAAGAGACAGAACTTCTGTCTAAGAGACCCTTCCTGGAAAAGTTGTGGGCCAATAAGATTATGGTGAATTAAATCACATTTTCAGTGCATTTGGAGGAATTTTTTTTATATCATACAAACACTATGATTATAAAATGAGGAAGACTTGTTTTATTCTTATTGATAAATTTCAGTTGATCCATACGGGCTTTTTGAAGATATTTAGGCCAAGCAGATTCTCCTGTAGACACCCTAGCTTAAAAAAAAAAAAAAGGCTAGTTAGGAGGTGGATGGCAAGATGGCCGAATAGGAACAGCTCCAGTCTGCAGCTCCCAGCAAGATCATCGCAGAAGGCGGGTGATTTCTACATTTCCATCTGAGATATCCCGCTCTTCTCATTGGGAGTGGTTAGACAGTAGATGCAGCCCACAGAGGGCAAGCAGAAGCAGGGTAGGGTGTCACCTCATCAGGGAAGTACGAAGCATTGGGGAACTCCCTCTCCTAGGCAATGGAAGCCTGGAGGGACGGTGCCGTGAGGAACGGTGCATTCTGGCCCAGATACTATGCTTTCCCCACGGTCTTCACAACCCACAGACCAGGAGATTCCCTTGGGTGCCTACACCACCAGGGCTCTGGGTTTCAAGTACAAAACTGGGGGGCCATTTGGGCAGGCATCAAGCTCACTGCAGGAGTTACTTTTCATAACCCAGTGGCTCCTGGAACCCTAGTGAGACAGAACCATTCATTCCCTTGGAAAGGGGGCTGAAGCCAGGGACCCAAGTGGTCTAGCCCAGTGGATGCCATCCCTCAGAGCCCAGCAAGCTAATATCCACTGGCTTGAAATTCTCACTGCCAGCACAGCAGTCTGAAGTTGACCTGGGACACTTGAACTCGGTCGGGGGAGGGATGTCCACCATTACTGAGGCTTGAGTAGGCGGTTTTCCCCTCACAGTGTAAAAGCCACCAGGAAGTTCAAACTGGGCAGAGCCCACCACAGCTCTGCAAAGCCACGAGTACCCAGACCGCCTCTCTAGATTCCTCCTCTCTGGGCAGGGCATCTCTGAAAAAAAGGCAGCAGTCAGGGGCTTATAGATAAAACTCCTATCTCCCTGGGACAGAGCACCTGGGGGAAGAAGTGGAGGTGGGCAAAGCTTCAGCAGACTTAAACATTCCTGTCTGCCAGCTCTGAAGAGAGCAGCAGATCTCTCAGCACAGCGCTCGAGCTCTGCTAAGGGACAGACTGCCTCCTCAAGTGGGTCCCTGACCCCCGTGCCTCCTGACTGGGAGACATCTCCCAGTAGGGGTCAACAGACACTTCATACAGGAGAGCTCTGGCTGGCGTCTGGTGGGTGCCCCTCTGGAATGAAGCTTCCAGGCAAAAGAACAGGCAGCAATCTTTGCTCTTCTGCAGCCTCTGCTGGTGATACCCAGGCAAACAGGGTCTGCAGTGGACCTCCAGCAAACTCCAGCAGACCTGCAGCAGAGGGGCCTGTTAGAAGGAAAACTAACAAACAGAAAGGAATAGCAACAACATCAATAAAAAAGACGTCCACACAAACCCCATCTGAAGGTCAACAACATCAAAGACCAAAGGTAGATAAATCCACGAAGATGAGGAAAAACCAGCTCATAAAGGTTGAAAATTCCAAAAACCAGAATGCCTCTTCTCCTCCAAAGGATCACAACTCCTTTCCAGCAAGGGAACAAAACTGAACAGAGAATGAGTTTGATGAATTGACAGAAGTAGGCTTCAGAAGGTGGGTAATAACAAACTCCTCTGAGCTAAAGGAGCATGTTCTAACCCAATTCAAGGAAGCTAAGAACCTTGACAAAAGGTTACAGGGACTGTTAACTAGAATAACCAGTTTAAAGAAGGACATAAATAAGCTGATGGAGCTGCAAAACACAGCACGAGAACTCCATGAAGCATACACAAGTATCAATAGCCGAAGCAATCAAGCGGAAGAAAGGATATCAAGGATTGAAGATCAACTTAATGAAATAAAGTGTGAAGACAAGATTAGAGAAAAGAGAATGAAAAGGAACAAACAAAGCCTTCAAGAAATATGAGACTACGTGAAAAGACCAAACCTACATTTGACCGGCATACCTGAAAATGATGGGGAGAATGGAACCAAGTTGGAAAACACTCTTCAGGATATTATCCAGGAGAACTTCCCCAATGTAACAAGACAGGCTAACATCCAAATTCAGGAAATACAGAGAACACCACCAAGATATTCCTTGAGAAGAGCAACCCCAAGACACATGATCATGAGAATCACCAAAATTGAAATGAAGGAAAAAATGTTAAGGACAGCCAGGGAGAAAGGCCAGGTTAACCACAAAGGGAAGCCCATCAGACTAATAGCAGATCTCTCTACAGAAATCCTACAAGCCAACAGAGAATGGGAGCCAATATTCAACATTCTTAAAGAAAAGAACTTTCAACTCAGAATTTCATATCCAGTCAAACTAAGCTTCATAAGCAAAGGAGAAATAAAATCCTTTACAGACAAGCAAATGCTGAGAAATTTTCTCACCATTAGGCCTGCTTTACAAGAGCTCCTGAAAGAAGCACTAAATATGGAAAGGAAAAACTGGTACCAGCCCCTGCAAAAACATACCAAACTGTAAAGACCATCGACACTATGAAGAAACTGCATTAACTAACGGGCAAAATAATCAGCTAGCATCATGAGGACAGGATTGAATTCACACACAACAATATTAATGTTAAATGTAAATAGGCTAAATGCCCCAATTAAAAGACACAGACTGGCAGATTGGATAGAGTCAAGACCTATCAGTGTGCAGAATTAAGGAGACCCATCTCATGAGCAAAGACACACATAGGCTAAAAATAAATGGATGGAGGAGTATTTACCAAGCAAATGGAAAGGAAAAAAAAAGAAGAAAGCAGGGGTTGCAATCCTAGTCTCTGATAAAACAGACTTAAACCAACAAAGATAAAAAAAGACAAAGAATGACATTACATAATGGCAAAGGGATCAACGCAACAAGAAGAGCTAACTATCTTAAATATATATGCACCCAATATGGGAGCACCCAGATTCATCAAGCAAGTTCTTAGAGACCTACAAACAGACTTAATTTCCCACACAATAATAATGGGAGACTTTCACACCCCCCTGTCAATATTAGACAGACCAATGAGACAGAAAATTAACAAGGATATTCAGGACTTGCACTCAGCTCTGGACCAAGCAGACCTAATAGACATCTACAGAACTCTCCACCTCAAATCAACAGAATATACATTTTTCTCAACACCACATTGCACTTATGCTAAAATTGACCACATAATTGGAGGTAAAACACTCCTCAGCAAATGCACAAGAACGGAAATCATAACGAACAGTCTCTCAGATCACAGAGCAATCAAATTAGAACTCAGGGTTAAGAAACTCACTCCAAACTGCACAACTAAATGGAAACTGAACAATCTGCTCCTAAACGACTACTGAGTAAATAACAAAATTAAGGCAGAAATAAATAAACTCTTTGAAACGAACAAGAACAAAGGCACAATGAACTAGAATCACTGGGACACAGCAAAAGCAGTGTTTAGAGGGAAATTTATAGCACTAAATGCCCACATGAGAAAGCAGGAAAGATGTAAAATTGACACCCTAATATCACAATTAAAAGAACTAGAGAAACAAGAACAAACAAACTTAAAAGCTAGCAAAAGAGAAGAAATAACTAAGATCAGAGCAGAACTGAAGGAGAAAGAGACATGAAAAACCCTTCAAAAATCAATGAATCCAGGAGTTGATTTTTTTACAATATTAACAAAATAGACCGCTAGCCAGACTAATAAAGAAGAAAAGAGAGGAGAATCAAATAGACACAATAACAAATGATAAAGGGGATATCACCACTGATCCTACAGAAATACAAACTACCATCAGAGAATACTATAAACACCTCTAGCAAATAAACTAGAAAATCTAGAAGAAATGGATAAATTCCTGGACACATACACCCTCCCAAGACTAAACAAGGAAGAAGTCGAATCCCTGAATAGACCAATAACAAGTTCTGAAATTGACGCTGTAATTAATAGCCTACCAACCAAAAAAAAACCCAGGGCCAGGGGGATTCACAGCCGGATTCTACCAGAGGTACAAAAAGGAGCTGGTACCATTCCTTCTGAATCTATTCCAAACAATACAAAAAGAGGGACTCCTCCCTAACTCATTATATGAGGCCAGCATCATCCTGATAGCAAAACCTGGCAGAGACAAAACAAAAAAGAAAATTTCAGGCCAATATCCCTGATGAACATCAATGCAAAGATCCTCAATAAAATACTGGCAAACCAAATCCAGCAGCACGTCAAAAAGCTTACGCACCACGATCAAGTCAGCTTCATCCCTGGGATGTAGGGCTAGTTTAACATATGCAAATCAATAAACGTAATCCTTCACATAAGTAGAACAAATGACAAAACCACATGGTTATCTTAATACATGCAGAAAAGGTCTTTGATATAATTCAACACCCCTTCATGTTAAAAACTCTCAATAAACTACATATTCATGGAACATATCTCAAAATAATAAGAGCTATTTATGACAAACCTACAGCCAATATCATACTGAATGTGCAAAAGCTGGAAGCATTCCCTTTGAAAACCAGCACAAGACAAGGATGCCCTCTCTTATCACTCCTATTCAACATAGCATTGCAAGTTCTGTCTAGGGCAATCAGGCAAGAGAAAGAAATAAAACGTATTCAAATAGGAAGACAGAAAGTCAAATTATCTCTGTTTGCAGATGACATGATTGTATGTTTAGAAAACCCCATCATCTCAGCCCAAAGTCTCCTTAAGCTGATAAGCAACTTCAGCAAAATCTCAGGATACAAAATCAATATGCAAACATCACAGGCATTCCTATACACCCATAATAGACAAACAGAGACCCAAATCATGAGTGAACTCCCATTCACATTTGCTACAAAGAGAATAAAGTACCTAGGAATACAACTTCCGAGGGATGTGAAAGACCTCTTCAAGGAGAACTACAAACCACTGCTCAAGGAAATAAGAGAGGACATAAACAAATGGAAAAACATTCCATGCTCATGGATAGGAAGAATCAATATCATGACAATGGCCATAGTGCCCAAGGTAATTTATAGATTCAGTGCTATTCCCATCAAGCTACCATTGACTTTCTTCACCAAATTAGAAAAAAAATACTTTAAATTCCATATGGAACCAAAAAAGATCCTGGATAGCAAGACAATCCTCAGCAAAAAGAACAAAGCTGGAGGCATCAGGCTACCTGACTTCAAACTATACTACAAGGCTACTGTAACTAAAACATCATGGTACTGGTACCAAAACAGATATATAGACCAATGGAACAGAACAGAGGCCTCAGAAATAATGCCATACTTCTACCACCATCTGATCTTTGACAAAACTGACAAAAACAAGAAATGGGGAAAGGATTCCCTGTTTAATAAATGGTGTTGGGAAAACTGGCTAGCCATATGCAGAAAACTGAAACTGGATCCCTTCCTTACACCTTATACAAATGAACTCAAGATAGATTAAAGACTTAAATGTAAGACCTAAAACCATAAAAACTCTAGAAGAAAACAGAGGCAATACCATTCAGAACATAGGCATGGGCAAAGACTTCATGACTAAAACACCAAAAGCAATTGCAACAAAAGCCAAAATTGACAAATGGGATCTTATTAAACTAAAGAGCTTCTGCACAACAAAAGAAACTATCATCAGAGGGAACAGGCAACCTACAGAATGGGAGAAAATTTTTGCAATCTATTCATCTGAAAAAGGGCTAATATCCAGAATCTACAAGGAACTTAAACAAATTTACAAGAAAGAAATGAACAACCCCATCAAAAAATGGGCCAAGTATATGAACAGACACTTCTCAAAAGAAGACATTTATGTGGCCAGCAAACATGAAAAAAAAAGCTCATTATCACTGGTCATTAGAGAAATGCAAATCAAAACCACAATGAAATACCATCTCATGCCAGTTAGAATGGCGATCACTAAAAAGTTAGGAAATAACAGATGCTGGAGAGGATGTGGAGAAATAGGAATGCTTTTACACTGTTGGTGGGAATATAAATTAGTTCAACCATTGTGGGAGGCAGTGTGGTGATTCCTCTAGGATGTAGAACCAGAAATACCATTTGACCCAGCAATCCCATTACTGGGTATATACCCAAAGGATTATAAATCATTCTGCTATAAAGATACATGCACACTTATGTTTATTCAAGCGCTATTCACAATAGGAAAGACCTGGAGCCAACCCAAATGCCCATCAGTGATAGACTGGATAAAGAAAATGTGGCACATATACAACATGGAATAATATGCCCCCATAAAAAAGGATGAGTTCATATCCTTTGCAGGAACATGGATGGATCTGGAAACCATCATTCTCAGCAAACTAACACAGCAACAGAAAACCAAGCACTGCATGTTCTCACTCATAAGTGGGAGTTGAATAATGAGAACATATGGACACAGGGAGGGGAACGTCACACATCGGGACCTGTCAGGGGGTGGAGGGCTAGGGGAGGGATAGCATTAGGAGAAATACCTAATGTAGATGATGGGTTGATGGGTGCAGCAAACCACCATGGCGTGTGTATACCTATGTAACAAACCTGCACATTCTGCACATGTATCCCAGAACTTAAAGTATAATTTTTTTTAAAAAAAGGCCAATTATGTCTGAAACTTGGATATAGTATATTGACAAGGTAGGCAGACTGCTGGATGTAGGTGATACAGTAGAGTCAGAGTGCTTGGATTCTAGTTCTGGCTTTTCCACTTACCGGCTGTGAGAACTTAGCCAAATTACTCTCTCTGTGCCTCAGTTTCTTCATCCACAAAATAGGAATAATAACAGTGAATCAGGAAAAGTTCCTTTATCTCCCACACAGGGCATCCAATGGGAGTGTAGCTCACTTCTTCGGTGCCCGGCTGCTCATATCCCTAGAGGGAGCATGCAGACTGGCAGGCTGTGGGGTTCCAACTCCATGGCAGTGTCTAGGGGTGAATGTTTATAGCTCCTGAAGCCCCCAGTGCGTGTGTGTTACAGGGCACTCATTCAGTTTAGCCATACATAGGTGGCTTGTGTTAGTCAGCTCTATTACACTGCCTGCCTTATTGCTAGGACAGAGGGCTTTCTGTATCCTGGGGTTTCTTGCCTTGGTGTACTGGAAGAATCAGATCACACATGGGCTTGGAGAATGAGTGCAAGGTTTTATTGAGTGGAAATAGCTCTCAGCAGATGGGGGAGCCAGAAGGGGATGGAGTGGGAGGGTGGTTTTCCTCTGGAGTCAGGCTGCTGAGAGGCCAGGCTCTCTTCTGACTGCCCCCGCCAAACTCTACACTGTTTCATCTGTCCATGGCCTGCCAGCTTGCTGGCGTCTGTCAGCATGCTCTTATGCTGGTGCATTCCTCTAGACATCCAGCCACTTGTGTCTTCTTCTGCTTGTGTGTTCCTCTCAACGTCCAGCCCTGTGTGTGTGTGTGTGCCTGCTAGGGTCTTGGGGTTTTTATAGGCACGGGATGGGGGCATGGTGGATTAGTGTGGTCTTGGGAAATGCAACATTTGATCAGGGAAAACAGAAATGCCTGTCCTCACCTAGGACCGTGGGCACAGGTCTGGGAGTGGAGCCCCAGCCAGGGACCTGCCCTTCTCTGCTCAGCACTTCCGTGCCCACCTCCCATATCAATAGTACCTACCTCATGGACTGGTTGTGAGAACTGAATGAGTTAACACATGCAAAGCACTTATAACACTAGCACTAAGTGCTCAA
Organism: Homo sapiens; assembly: GCF_000001405.40. Lineage (NCBI taxonomy): Eukaryota > Metazoa > Chordata > Mammalia > Primates > Hominidae > Homo > Homo sapiens. The sequence goes on along the minus strand of NC_000001.11, from coordinate 166,422,349 downwards.
TAAATATATTTGTTATTAGTTGCTGTTTTCATTCCCAGTAATACCTAATTGTCTTGGAGGGAGAAGAGGGTGGGAAGCGTACTAAAGTCATTGCCCTTAGAAGGTACAAACAGAATCTGAAATAAAAAGAAAGCAGCTTTCTCAGAATCCCTGTGCATAACATCATCACACAGATATCCTGCTGTCACTCTGAACTCAGGCGAGGACTGGTAAAAACAACAGAATGTTGTTCAGAAACAACAGCAGGTTTAAACTGTTTCTTCGGAGTGGTAGGCAATTCCAGGAATGCTTCACAAAGAAGTCTTGCTGTTTGTACCTGAGTATATCCGGCAAGCAAATCTCCTTTCAGAGTTCAAACAGTAGATGTGGCCATCCATGAGCCCCCAAAGCCTGTGTGGTCTAATTAGGTGGTCAGTGATATCTATGATTTTATTTAATGGAAACACTCTAGGTTTTCAAGAAACAAATCAGCAGTCCTTGGAAAGATCAGAATTGGACCTCACATGTCATCTCATTCTCCTGCCTATAATACTGATTGAAGATAAGAGCTGAGGATGTGAACTCAGTTATAGGATACTAATGGGGATGTTTCATGCTGCTCAAGGAATTGGCAACCAGATCTCGAGAGTGTAGACAAAAAAAGGTGCATTGTAAAATGGCCTCCAGCAATGGCTAGATACCTTTCTCAGACTAAGAGAGAGCCAAAACTGTTTGCTAACACAAACCAACAATTCAGCACCCAACCCACCCACTCTAGTTATTTTAAAACCTGGAGGATTATAGACAGAGATTGAGGGAATCATTGAAACCACAAGTCATAAGCTTGTGAGACATTTTCCCTATCACCAAACTAAATTAAGAAGCCCCAAGAAAATTACTTGTTGAAATCTCAGGTAACTGTGGGAAGGGTGGAGTGATATCTCATTCCCAAATTGTATGTCTGCTCAAGTGGAAGACTTGCTGGTGTACCCCTTCTATTTGAGAAGAAGAGACTAATGAAGATGAAGGTAGGGCAAGGTGGTGGTGGAACACTTTGTGCTCCCACCATTGATCACAGCAAGGGTGCATGAATTTCCTGTGGGCTATACAGACACTACAGAAGGAGCAAAATGGGAGGCACCTTGCTCTCACCCCAACTGAGAGGGCTGGGCTGCAGGGGGAGCAACCCCAACTACCAGAAGTTGCAGGAAGTTTTTGGAAGAGATCAAGTCAGAGGTGGCAGTCCTATGTTGGAGAGCAAAGGAGTGGGGAGCCCCTTCATCTATCCCTACTCCCACCCAGGGTCCCCAAAGTACTGCATTCAGAGGCCTGCCATACAGAGGACTTTTGGAACTGTGAGTGTGAGCTAAGGAGGAGCAGCAGCCAAAAGAGAACCCTGACAGGTGGCTCCCAAGGACAGATTGGGTGCACAGAAAGGATTATTCAGAGATTACCTTAATTTTGAAATTAATATTCCATTTATCAAAAAATCTAGTTCTTTCTGAAGCTTTTAAATTCAGCCTACAGATCTTATTATGCCATTTATAGTTCTAGCAATCATTAAAATTTGCCTTTTATGAGGTCGTTGATTAACATTTAGTCTAATTTACAAATTTAGTTCAACTCCTTTAAATATTTTGTTGCAGTAAATTATTAAATATATTTAATTTCCCTTTTAAGTTCCCCAGTTGTCTGACTTAGCAAAAAGGCCTTCCTAAATGCTTGAATAACTCTTATAAATCTAATAAATTAAACTTATAAATAAGGTAAAACTTAAGACTTCTTAAGTGTGCTAATGCAAATATATACATTTAGTAAGAATTCTACTTAAAGTCAAAAGCTCAAACCAAATACTCAACAATTTTGAATTAGAGTCACAAGATTTACCTGCTACTCTAATATGCCCAATTCTCCTAAACAATGCAAACACCTAAGATAAAAATTTGAAGGGATTCCTTATTTAAAAAATTATACTATGAGTTTAATGTTCATAAATATCTGTATACCTAATTCTAAATCATATTTGGGCTAAAAAGTACTTCCTCACTAATAAAACAACTAGGTCATCCAATAGCTTTGAAGGATATCTTCTCAATTGTTGAATTTGAATCATGATCAGAGAGGAGCAAGGACATGTAGCCCACCAAGCCCACACCATTCAGGTCCCAGTCCACTCATGGAAGTCCAAATGCCTGACCTAGCCATTTCTTCACATGACTGGATTTTGCATTTATTTGGCATCCTATAACTGGGTTAAATTATTTATATACACTCCTGCCTCATTCCTCCTATCTCTTAGGCCACAAAACTCTTACATCTGTAAGAGCCAGTCAAATGAGTTAATTAATTGATATCCAATTAAATTGTGAATATCTCTTGTGGCTCAGGCTGTCCATAAACTTACCACCTTCAAGGTTATTCCATGTACAGGGGCCACTACCTATGATGACCCCTGCCCTCTCTCCTATTTCTACTTCTTAATCCCCAATTCCAAGTAAGCTAGAACTAGGAGGGTAGGAAGAGAGAAAAAGGTTGTTCCCTCTATAGGTTATTGAGGCCACTAGTCAAACCTGAGATGGGAAGACGGAAGGAGATGAGATGGACATCTTAAATTGTACTGGCTTGGACTTTTTAATAACTAGAAATGAGTGGAAAACTGTGGAATTTGCCTGAGATGTCAACAAAGAGAAGGAAAGGGAGATTAACAGAGAAAATATTTCTTTGATGTTTACATGTCATTGAATTCAAACTGTTCAATAAACATGTAACGTTTAAGCAAGGATATTTTACCTCTTATTAAGCCCTAAGAGGTGTCTGGTTCTAATTTTTTTGCTATTTTTAGAATATGTGACACTAGATCTCCCTTATCATCTTCTTTGAATCCCAGTTGCTAATTCTAGAATGAAAAGGAAAAATATCTTTCAGCATCCTGTTATGCTTATCTCCCAAGTGACAATTGACCCCCTTTATAAAAACCTGTAAGTCTCTATCCAGACTTCTGTATTTCTCATGTCATCCCCAAACCATTCTTACCTCTTCATGGTGGTTTTCATGTTGACAATCCCTCATGAGACCAGCATCATTCTTAACTGGTGAACAAAAATTCAGAAAATGTCCTGGATATGGGCCCCTTGCTAAGGCTACCAGAAAGATTGTAGCTACCATCCTGTACTCCCCTTTCTAAGAGCTTTCTTCTTCATTTAGAATCTAGCCCCCCTTGGAGAGAACAGGTGCTGTAATGGGAAAACCAGCTGGCCAAAATCTGGGCAAACCACACAGGCCTAGAGTTGAAGGCTCCTTCAATGAACTATGCCCCAGGATCCAGAGCTTGAATAGGCCCTCTCAGGGCTGTAGGCTCAAGTGTGGTCCCACCCACCCCGCACCACAGCTGTGCATCCAAAATAAGAGGGAAACTTAGGCAAGAACCAAAGTGAGGAGACCAGGAGAGGAAATTAAAATCCTTTAGTTATAGTGTATTAAGTCATTGCAGCACTCAAAGGCAGCCATTCATATCATTCAGGAAGCTCTGAATAAATGTTTCAGTAATGAGACATGCAGAAAGGAGCTTGTCACCCTGTGATAGTCTCTCTGCAAAGAATTTGATTTAAGGTTGGTATCAGAGCATGAACCATGCTGAAATACAATTACAAAAGAAACAGGAATTTCATTAGTGGATTGCAAGGAACAGCTTGGAACTGGGGAGGCTGGTGAGAGCTGATAGGTGTTGGCAGGAAGAAAGAGGGGAAAAGAAGATGTAGTGTGTGATGGGAGAAGCCACCCGTCCCTCTAGTGCCACACTGGGAAGGAAGATGGCGATGTCGGTTTCAGGAAAAGGAAAGGAGAAGATGACTTCCTCTTTTGGGTTGAGAAATTACAACTCTCTTGATATGTAGTTTTTACCTTAAAAAAATAATAAAATTAAGCTTTATTCATATTTATTTGGTAGATTTACAGTAGCTAATTAAGTAAAGTGCTTAGAAAACTGACTAGCACATAAGTAAGTATTATAGATGGGTTTGCTATGACTTTATAAATCACACATGTGTGTTTATGTATGTATGAGATGATGGCTCAAAATTATTTGTAATTATAGATAACATACAATTAAAAATGTTGACACTACTGTTAAGCAATTAGTGATTTAGAGGGACAAGGGGAGAGAAAGAGGGAAAGAAGAATGAAAGAATGAATAAAAAGAAGAGCTCTCACTGGGAATAGGATATCTATAGGTGTACAGTGTTTGCTCAGAAGAACTTCTTACTCTTCTGTCTTCACTGGGCAAAGCTTCTCAAATGTGATCTCTACAGAGCAGAGTTCAGCTTTTGATTATTCTAATCTAAAGTGGTCAGGGAATTTCTATTCCCTTGGAAAGCATGAGTGGCAGGTGCTTTCCTTTAGGAACAGAAGGCATATTCTGAGTCTCATTTTTGTCCCTTATCTCAGGTGGTGGCTATAGGGACAGGTAAACCAAACCTTTAACTGTTTAACTCATCAGGATGAGTGCTATCTTTCAACACACAACTCTTCAGTAGGTCTCTGATGGAATCTCAGAACTAAATAGGATTTCAGGTGCTGGCCAAGATGCAGTAAGCCTACCACAGTTCATCTGTCCCACTGATTACAATAAAAAACTCTAGAACACAATAGAAAAACAACCACACAAGGGCTCTGAAAAGTAGACATTAGCATCCAGATTGGGTTGGGAAGTCAAAACCTGATGAACAACCAGTAAACAATTGGGGAAGCCTTTTGGATATTTGCTCTTTATTGTCATTCATCTTTGACTTGAGTGTACTGCCCCTTTTACCCAGCAATTGTGTAACTGGGTAGCAATGATGAAAGCGAAAACAGTAAGAGAAAACAACACATCACAATGTGTGGGATGTGTCTAGAGCAGTGCTCAAAGTGGAATTTAAAGCATTAAATATTTATGGGGGGCAGTTCCAAGATGGCCGAATAGGAACAGCTCCAGTCTACAGCTCCCAGCGTGAGCGATGCAGAAGATGGATGATTTCTGCATTTCCAACTGAGGTACTGGGTTCATCTCACTGGGGATTGTTGGACAGTGGGTGCAGGACAGTGGGTGCAGCCCACCGAGTGTAAGCTGAAGCAGGGCGAGGCATTGCCTCAGTCAGGAAGTGCAAGGGGTCAGGGAATTCCCTTTCCTAGCCAAGGAAAGGTGTGACAGATGGCACCTGGAAAATCAGGTGACTCCCACCCTAACACTGCGCTTTACCAACAGTCTTAGCAAACAGCAAGGAGAGTATATCCCACGCTTGGCTCCAGAGGGTTCTACGCCCACAGAGCCTCACTCATTGCTAGCAGAATAGTCTGAGATCAAACTGCAAGGTGGCAGCGAGGCTGGGGGGAGGGGTGCCCGCCATTGCTGAGGCTTAAGCATGTAAACAAAGCAGCCAGAAAGCTCGAACTGGGTGGAGCCCATCGCAGCTCAAGGAGGCCTGCCTGCCTCTGTAGATTCCACCTCTGGGGGCAGGGCATAGCCAAACAAAAGGCAGCAGAAACCTCTGCAGACTTAAATTTCCCTGTCTGATAGTTTGGAAGACAGTAGTGGTTCTCCCAGCATGCAGCTTGAGATCTGAGAATGGACAGACTGCCTCCTCAAGTGGGTCCCTGACCCCCGAGTGCCTAACTGGGAGGCACCCCCCAGTAGGGGCAGACTGACACCTCACATGGCCGGGTACCCCTCTGAGACAAAAGTTCCAGAGGAACGATCAGGCAGCAACATTTGCTGTTCACCAATATTCGCTGTTCTACAGCCTCCACTGCTGATACCCAGGCAAACAGGGTGTGGAGTGGACTTCCAAAAAACTCCAACAGACCTGCAGCTGAGGGTCCTGACTATTATAAGGAAAACTAACAAACAGAAAGGATGTCCACACCAAAACCCCATCTGTACATCACCATCATCAAAGACCAAAGGTAGATAAAACCACAAAGATGGGGAAGAAACAGAGCAGAAAAACTGAAAATTCTAAAAATTAGAGCACCTGTCCTCCTCCAAAGGAACACAGCTCCTCACCAGCAATGGAACAAAGCTGGATGGAGAATGACTTTCACAAGTTGAAGAAGAAGGCTTCAGATGATCAAACTTCTCCGAGCTAAAGGAGGAAGTTCCAACCAATGGCAAAGAAGTTAAAAACCTTGAAAAAAGATTAGATGAATGGCTAACTAGAATAACCAATGCACAGAAGTCCTTAAAGGACCTGATGGAGCTGAAAACCATGGCACGAGAACTACGTGATGAATGCACAAGTGTCATAGCCGATTTGATCAACTGGAAGAAAGGGTATCAGTGATGGAAGATCAAATGAATGAAATGAAGTGAGAAGAGAAGATTAGAGAAAAAATAATAAAAAGAAATGAACGAAGCCTCCAGGAAATATGGGACTATGTGAAAAGACCAAATCTACATCTGATTGGTGTACCTGAAAGTGACGGGGAGAATGGAACTAAGTTGGAAAACACTCTGCAGGATGTTATCCAGGAGAACTTCCCCAATCTAGTGAGGCAGGCCAACATTCAAATTCAGGAAATACAGAAAACGCTACAAAGATACTCCTCAAGAAGAGCAACTCCAAGACACATAATTGTCAGATTCACCAAAGTTGAAATGAAGGAAAAAATGTTAAGGGCAGCCAGAGAGAAAGGTCGGGTTACCCACAGAGGGAAGCCCATCAGACTAACAGCTGATATCTCAGCAGAAACTCTACAAGCCAGAAGAGAGTGGGGGCCAATATTCAACATTCTTAAAGATAAGAATTTTCAACCCAGAATTTCATATCCAGCCAAACTAAGCTTCAAAAGTGAAGGAGAAATAAAATACTTTGCAGACAAGCTAATGCTGAGAGATTTTGTCACCACCACACGTGCCCTACAAGAGCTCCTGAAGGAAGCACTAAACATGGAAAGGAACAACCGGTACCAGCCACTGCAAAAACATGCCAAATTGTAAAGACCATCGAGGTATGAAGAAACTGCATCAACTAATGAGCAAAATAACCAGCTAACATCATAATGACAGGATCAAATTCACACATAACAATATTAACCTTAAATTTAAATGGGCTAAATTCTTCAATTAAAAGACACAGACTGGCAAATTGGATAAAGAGTCAAGGCCTATCAGTGTGCTGTATTCAGGAAACCCTTCTCACATGCAGAGACACACATAGGCTCAAAATAAAGGGATGGAGGAAGATCTACCAAGCAAATGGAAAACAAAAATAGGCAGGGGTTGCAATCCTAGTCTCTGATAAAACAGACTTCAAACCAACAAAGATCAAAAGAGACAAAGAAAGCCATTACATAATGGGAAAGGGATCAATTCAACAAGAAGAGCTAACTATCCTAATATATATGCACCCAATACAGGAGCACCCAGATTCATAAAGCAAGTCCTTAGAGACCTACAAAGAGACATAGACTCCCACATAATAATAATGGGAGACTTTAACATCCCACTGTCAACATTAGACAGCTCAATGAGACAGAAAGTTTACAAGGATATCCAGGAATTGAACTCAGCTCTGCACCAAGCGGACCTAATAGACATCTACAGAACTCTCCACCCCAAATCAACAGAATATACATTCTTTTCAGCATGACACCACACCTATTCCAAAATTGACCACATAGTTGGAAGTAAAGCACTCCTCAGCAAATGTAAAAGAACAGAAATCATAACAAACTGTCACTCAGACCACAGTGCAATCAAACTAGAACTCAGGATCAAGAAACTCACTCAAAACTGCTCAACTACATGGAAACTGAACAATCTGCTCCTGAATGACTACTGGGTATGTAATGAAATGAAGGCAGAAATAAAGATGTTCTTTGAAACCAACGAGAACAAAGACACAACATACCAGAATCTCTGGGACACATTCAAAGCAGTGTGTAGAGGGAAATTTACAGCACTAAATGCCCACAAGAGAAAGCAGGAAAGATCTAAAATTGACACCCTAATATCACAATTAGAAGAACTAGAGAAGCAAGAGCAAACACATTCAAAAGCTAGCAGAAGGCAACAAATAACTAAGATCAGAGTAGAACTGAAGGAGACAGAGATGCAAAAAACCCTTCAAAAAATCAATGAATCCAGGAGCTGGTTTTTTGAAAAGATCAACAAAATTGGTAGACTGCTAGCAAGACTAATAAAGAAGAAATGAGAGAAGAATCAAATAGACGCAATAAAAAATGATAAAGGGGATATCACCACTGATCCTGCAGAAATACAAACTACTATCAGAGAATACTATAAATAACTCTATGCAAATAAACTAGAAAATCTAGAAGAAATGGATAAATTCCTCAAAACTTACACCCTCCCAAGACTAAACCAGGAAGAAGTTGAATCTCTGAATAGACCAATAGCAGGCTCTGAAATTGAGGCAATAATTAATAGCTTATAAACCAAAAAAATCCAGGACCAGACAGATTCACAGAATTCTACCAGAGGTACAAGGAGGAGCTGGTACCATTCCTTCTGAAACTATTCCAATCAATAGAAAAAGAGGGAGTCCTCCCTAACTCATTTTATGAGGCCAGCATCATCCTGATACCAAAGCCTGGCAGAGACACAACAAAAAAAAGAGAATTTTAGACCAATATCACTGATGAATATCGATGCAAAAATCCTCAGTAAAATACTGGCAAACTGAATCCAGCAACACATCAAAAAGCTTATCCACCATGATCAAGTGGGCTTCATCCCTGGGATGCAAGGCTGGTTCAACATATGCAAATCAATAAACATAATCCAGCATATAAACAGAACCAATGACAAAAACCACATGGTTATCTCAATAGATGCAGAAACGGCCTTTGACAAAATTTAACAGCCCTTCATGTTAAAAACTCTCAATAAATTAGGTATTGATTGGATGTATCTCAAAATAACAAGAGCTATTTATGACAAACCCACAGCCAATATCATACTGAATGAGCAAAAACTGGAAGCATTCCCTTTGAAAACTCACACAAGGCAGGGATGCCCTCTCTCACCACTCCTATTTAACATAGTGTTGGAAGTTCTGGCCAGGGCAATCAGGCAGGAGAAGGAAATAAAGGGTATTCAATTAAGAAAAGAGGAAGTCAAATTGTTCCTGTTTGCAGATGACATGATTGTATATCTAGAAAACCCCATCATCTCAGCCCAAAATCTCCTTAAGCTGATAAGCAACTTCAGCAAATTCTCATGATACAAAATCAATGTGCAAAAATCACAAGCATTCTTATACACCAATAACAGACAAATGGAGAGCCAAATCATGAGTGAACTCCCATTCACAATTGCTTCAAAGAGAATAAAATACCTAGGAATCCAACTTACAAGGGATGTGAAGGACCTCTTCAAGAACTACAAACCACTGCTCAATGAAATAAAAGAGGATACAAACAAATGGAAGAACATTCCATGCTCATGGGTAGGAAGAATCAATATTGTGAAAATGGCCATACTGCCCAAGATAATTTATAGATTCAATGCCATCTCCATCAAGCTGCCATGACTTTCTTCACTGAATTGGAAAAAAAATACTTTAAAGTTCATATGGAACCAAAAAAGAGCCCGCATTGCCAAGACAACCCTAAGCCAAAAGAACGAAGCTGGAGGCATCATGCTACCTGACTTCAAACTATACTACAAGGCTAGAGTAACCAAAACAGCATAGTACTGGTACCAAAACAGACATATAGACCAATGGAACAGAGCAGAGCCCTCAGAAATAATACCACATATCTACAACCATCTGATCTTTGACAAACATGACAAAAACAAGAAATGGGGAAAGGATTCCCTATTTAATAAATGGTCCTGGGAAAACAGGCTAGCCATATGTAGAAAGCTGAAACTGGATCCCTTCCTTACACCTTACAGAAAAATTAATTCAAGATGGATTAAAGACTTAAATGTTAGACCTAAAACCATAAAAACCCTAGAAGAAAACCTAGGCAATACCATTCAGGACATAGGCATGGGCAAGGACTTCATGTCTAAAACACCAAAAGCAATGGCAACAAAACCAACATAGAAAAATGGGATCTAATTAAACTAAAGAGCTTCTGCACAGCAAAAGAAACTACCATCAGAGTGAACAGGCAACCTACAGAATGGCAGAAAATTTTTGCAATCTACTTATCTGACAAAGGGCTAATATCCAGAATCTACAAAGAACACAAACAAATTTACAAGAAAAAATCAAACAACCCCATCAACAATTGGGCGAAGGATATGAACAGACATTTCTCAAAAGAAGACATTTATGCAGCCAAAATACACGTGAAAAAATGCTCATCATCACTGGTGATCAGAGAAATGCAAATCAAAACCACAATGAGATACCATCTCACACCAGTTACAATGGCGATCATTAAAAAGTCAGGAAACAACAGGTGCTGGAGAGGATGTGGAGAAATAGGAACACTTTTACACTGTTGTTGGGACTGTAAACTAGTTCAATCATTGTGGAAGTCAGTGTGGCAATTCCTCAGGGATCTAGAACTAGAAATACCATTTGACCCAGCCATCCCATTACTGGGTATATACCCAGAGGACTATAAATCATGCTGCTATAAAGACACATGCACACATATGTTTATTGTGGCACTATTCACAATAGCAAAGACTTGGAACCAAGCCAAATGTCCAACAATGATAAACTGGATTAAGAAAATGTGGCACATATACATCATGGAATACTATGAGGCCATAAAAAATGATGAGTTCATGTCCTTTATAGGGACATGGATGAAGATGGAACCCATCATTCTCAGCAAACTATGGCAAGGACAAAAAACCAAACACCGCATGTTCTCACTCATAGGTGGGAATTGAACAATGAGAACACATGGACACAGGAAGGGGAACATCACACACCAGGGCCTGTTGTGGGGTGGGGGGAGGGGGAGGGATAGCCTTAGGAGATATACCTAATGTTAAATGATGAGTTAATCGGTGTAGCACACCAACACGGCAAATGTATACATATGTAACAAACCTGCACATTGTGCACATGTACCCTAAAACTTAAAGTATAATAATTTAAAAAAATTAAATATTTATATAGAAAAAGAAGGTCCTAAATCATATAAGTATCTACTTTAAGAAACCACAGGCCAGGTGCAGTGGCTCATGCCTGTAATCCCAGCACTTTGGGAGGCCAAGGCAGGAGGATCACAAGGTCAGAAGATCGAGACCATTCTAGCTAACATGTGAAAACCCATCTTTACTAGAAAATACAAAAAATTAGTCAAGCATGGTGGCAGGTGCCTGTAGTCCCAGCTACTCAAGAGGCTGAGGCAAGAGAATGGTGTGAACTCGGGAGGTGGAGCTTGCAGTGAGCCGAGATCGTGCTACTGCACTCCAGCCTGGGTGACAGAGCATGACTCCGTCTCAAAAAAAAAAAAAGGAAACCACAAAAAAGAACAATTTGAACGCAAAGCAAGTAACAGAAAGAAAATCATAAAGATGAAAGCAGATATCAGGCTGGACATGGTGGCTCAGGCCTGTAATCCCAGCAATTTTGGAGGCTGAGGCATGTAGATCGCCTGAGGTCAGGAGTTTAAGACTAGCCTGGCCAACATGGTGAAACTCCATCTCTACAAAAATACAAAAATTAGCTGGGTATGGTGGTGGGTGCCTGTAATCAATCCCAGCTACTCAGGAGGCTTAAGCAGGAGAATTGCTTGAACCCAGGAGGCAGAAGTTTCAGTGAGCTGAGATCCTACCATTGCACTCCAGCCTGGGTGACAAGAGTGAAACTCTATCTAAAAAAAATAAAAAAGGCAGAATTCAATGAGAGAAACTTGAATCAATGAAACCAAATACTAGTTTTCTAAAAAGATCAATAAAATGAATAATCTTTTAGCCACATTGACCGAGAAAAAAGAGAAAACACAAATTACCAATATCAGGAGTGAAAGCGGGGAGGACATCACTACAGATCCCACATACACCAAAAAGATAATAAGACCATAGGGGGATTCTGGCAAGATGGCTGAATAGGAACAGCTCTGGTCTGCAGCTTCCAGGAAGACCAATGCAGAAGGCAGGTGATTTCTGCATTTCCAACTAAAGTATTCAGTTCATCTCACTGGGACTGGTTAGACAGTGGGTGCAGCCCATTGAGGGCGAGCAGAAGCAGAGTGGGGCTTCGCCTCACCTGAGAAGTGCAAGGGGTTGTGAAACTCCCTCTACTAGCCAAGGGAAGCTGTGGGGGACTGTGTCGTGAGGGAAGGTGCTATCTGGCCCAGATACTATGCTTTTCCCCCAGTTTTTGCAACCCACAGACCAGGAGATTCACTCGGGTGCCTACACCACCAGGGCCCTGGGTTTCAAGCACAAAACTGGGTGGCCGTTTGAGCAGACACCAAGCTAGCTGCAGTAGTTTTTTTTTTTCCATACCCCCGCTGGTGCCTGGAACCCCAATGAGACAGAACCATTCACTCCCCTGGAAAGGAGGCTGAAGCCAGAGAGCCAAGGGGTCTTGCTCAGCGGGTTCCACCCCCACAGAGCCCAGCGAGCTAAGATCCACTGGCTTGAAATTCTAACTGCCAGCACAGCAGTCTGAAGTTGACCTTGGACTCTCTAGCTTGGTGGGGGAAGGGGCCATTGCTGACATTTGAGTAGGCTGTTTTCCCCTCACAGTGTAAACAAAGCCATCAGAAAGTTCACACTGGGTGGAGCCCACCACAGCTCTGCAAAGCCACTGTAGCCAGACTGCCTCTCTAGATTCCTCCTCTCTGGGCAGGGCATTTCTGAAAGAAAGGCAGAAACCCCAGTCAGGGGCTTGTAGATAAAACTCTCATCTCCCTGTGACAGAGCACCTGGGGGAAGAGGCAGCTGTGTGCACAGCTTCAGCAGATTTAAATGTTCCTGCCTGCCAGCTCTGAAGAGAACAGTGATCGAGCTCTGCTAACAGACAGACTGCCTCCTCAAGTGAGTCCCTGACCCCCGTGCCTCCTGACTGGGAGATACCTCCCAGCAGGGGTCAAGAGACACATCATACAGGAGAGCTCCGACTGGCATCTGGCAGGTGCCGCTCTGGAATGAATCTTCCAGAGGAAAGAGCAGGCAGCAATCTTTGCTGTTCTGCAGCCTCTGCTGGTGATAACCAGGCAAACTGGGTCTGGAGTGCACCTCCAACAAACTCCAGCAGACCTTTTGAAGAGGGGCCTGACTGTTAGAAGGAAAACTAACAGAAAGCAATAGCATAAACATCAACAAAAAGGACACCCATGCAAAAACCCCATCCAAAGGTCCTCAGCATCAAAGACCAAAGGTAGATAAATCCATGAAGATGAGGAAAAACCAGCCCAAAAAGGCTGAAAATTCCAAAAACCAGAACGCCTCTTCTCCCCCAAAGGATCACAACCCTTCACCAGCAAGAGAACAAAACTGGACTGAGAATGAGTTTGACGAATTGACAGAAGTAGGCTTCAGAAGGTGGGTAATAACTCCTCTGAGCTAAAGGAGCATGTTCTAACCCAATTCAAGGAAGTTAAGAGCCTTGATAAAAGGATAAAGGAATTGCCAACTAGAATAACCAGTTTAGAGAAGAACATAAATGACCTGATGGAGCTGAAAAAAACAGCACAAGAACTTCGTGAAGCATATAAAAGTACCAATAGCTGAATCGATCAAACAGAAGAAAGGATATCAGAGATTGAAGATCAACTTAATGAAATAAAGCATGAAGACAAGATTAGAGAAAAAAGAATGAAAAAGAATGAACAAAGCCTTAAAGATAGATAAGACTATGTGAAAAGACCAAATCCATGGTTGATTGGCGTACCTGAAAGTGACAGTGAGAATGGAAACAAGTTGGAAAACACACTTCGGGATATCATCTGGAGAACTTCCCAATCTGGCAAGAAAGGCTAACATTCAAATTCAGGAAATACAGAGACTGCCACCAAGATACTCCTCGAGAAGAGCGACCCCAAGACACACAATCATCAAAATCACCAAAGTTGAAGAAAAAATACTAAGGATAGCAAGAGAGAAAGTTCAGGTTACCGACAAAAAGAAGCCCATCAGACTAACAGCAGATCTATTTGTAGAAACCCTACAAGCCAGAGGAGAGTGAGGCCAATATTCAACATTCTTAAAGAATAGAATTTTCAGCCCAAAATTTCATATCCAGCCAAACTAAGTTTCATAAGTAAAGGAGAAATAAAATCCTTTTCAGACAAGCAAATGCTGAGAGATTTTGTCACCACCAGGTCTGCTTTATAAGAGCTACTGAAGGAGGCACTAAATATGGAAAGGAAAAGCCAGTACCAGCCACTGCAAAAACATACCAAATTGTAAAGACCATCAACACTATGAAGAAACTGCATCAACTAATGGGCAAAATAACCAGCTAGCATCATAATAACAGGATCAAATTCACACAGAACAATATTAGCATTAAATGTAAATGGGCTAAATGCCCCCAATTAAAAGACACAGACTGGCAAATTGGATAAAGAGTCAAGACTCATTGATGCGCTGTATTCAGGAGACCCATCTCACATACAAAGACACATATAGGCTCAAAATAAAGGGATGGAGGAATATTTACCAAGCAAATGGAAAGCAAAAAAAGCAGGGGCTGCAATCCTAGTCTCTGATAAAACAAACTTTAAACCAACAAAGATCAAAAAGGACAAAGAAGGGCATTACATAATGGTAAAGGGATCAATGCAACAAAAAGAGTTAACTATTCTCAATATATATGCACCCAATACAGGAGCACCCAGATTCATAAAGCAAGTTCTTAGGGACCTACGAAGAGACTTAGACTCCCACACAATAATAGTGGGAGACTTTAACACCCCACTGTTAATATTAAACAGATCAATGAGACAGAAAATTAACAAGTATATTCAGGACTTGAACTCAACTCTGGACCAAGCAGATCTAATAGACATCTACAGAACTCTCCACCCCAAGTCAACAGAATGTACATTCTTCTGAGTACCACATCACACTTATTCTGAAATTGATGACATAATTGGAAGTAAAACACTCCTCAGCAAATGCAAAAGCACGGATATCATAACAAACAGTGTCTCAGAGCACAGTGCAATCAAATTTGAACTCAGGATTAAGAAACTCCCTCAAAACTGCAAAACTACATGGAAACTGAAGAGTCTGCTCCTGAACGACTACTGGGTAAATAATGAAATTAAGGCAGAAATAAATACGTTCTTTGGAACCAATGAGTACAAAGACACAACATACTAGAATCTCTGGGACACAGCTAAAGCAGTGTTTAGAGGGAAATTTATAGCACTAAATGTCCACATGCAAAACCAGGAAAGATGTAAAATTGACACCCTAACATCACAATTAGAAAAACTAGAGAAGCAAGAAAAAATAAATTCAAAAACTAGCAGAAGAGAAGAAATAACTAGGATCAGAGCAGAACTGAAGGAGATAAGAAATGAAAAACCCTCCAAAAATCAATGAATCCAGGAGCTGTTTTTTTGAAAAGATTAATAAAATAGACCAGTAGCCAGACTAATAAAGAAGAAAAGAGAGAAGAATCAAATAGACACAATAAAAAATGATGGCCAGGCTCAGTGACTCACGTCTGTAATCCCAGCACTTTAGGAGGCTGAGGCAGGTGAATCATGAGGTCGGGAGTTTGAGACCAGCCTGGCCAACATGGTGAAACCTCATTCCACTAAAAATACAAAAAATTAGCTGGGCGTGGTGGCAGGTGCCTGTAATACTAGCTACTCAGGAGGGTGAGGCAGGAGAATTTCTTGAACTGGGGAGGCAGGGGTAGCAGTGAACTGAGATCGTGCCACTGCACTTCAGCCCAGGCAACAGTGTAAGAATCCATCTCAAAAAGAAAAAAAAAAGTGATAAAAGGGATATCACCACTCTTCCCACAGAAATACAAACTACCATCAGAGAATACTGTAAACACCTTTACACAAATAAACTAGAAAATCTAGAAGAAATGAATAAATTCCTGGACGCATACACCCTCCCAAGACTAAACCAGGAAGAAGTTGAATCCCTGAGTACACCAACAACAAGCTCTGAAATTGAAGCAGTAATTAATAGCCTGCCAACTAAAAAAAAAGCCCAAGACAAGATGGACTCACAGCCAAATTCTACCAGAGGTACAAAGAGGAGCTGGTACCATTCCTTCTGAAACTATTCCAAACAATAGAAAAAGAGGAACTCCTCCCTAACTCGTTTTATGAGGCCAGCATCATCCTGATACCAAAACCTGGCAGAGACACAACAACAATAAAAAAAGAAAATTTCAGGCCAATATCACTGATGAACATCGATGCAAAGATCCTCAATAAAATACTAGGAAACCAAATCCAGCAGCACATCAAAAACCTTATCCACCACAATCAAGTCAGCTTCATCCCTGGGATGCAAGACTGGTTCAACAAATGCAAATCAATAAATGTAATCCATCACATAAACAGAACCAAAGACAAAAACCACATGATTATCTCAATACATGCAGAAAAGGTCTTTGATATAATTCAACATCCCTTCATACTAAAAACTCTCAATAAACTAGGTATTGATGGAACATATCTCAAAATAATAAGAGCTATTTATGACAAACTCAGAGCCAATATCATACTGAATGTGCAAAAACTGGAAGTATTCTGTTTGAAAACAGGCACATGACAAGGATGACCTCTCTCACCACTCCTATTCTACATAGTATTGGAAGTTCTGTCTGGAGCAATCAGGAAAGAGAAAGAAATAAAGGATATTCAGATAAGAAGAGAGGAAGTCAAATTGTCTCTCTTTGCAGATGACATAATTGTATATTTAGAAAACCCCATTTTCTCAGCCCAAAATCTCCTTAAGCTGATAAGCAACTTCAGCAAATTCTCATGATACAAAATCGATGTGCACTACTGGGGCCAAAACAGAGATACAGACCAATGGAACACAACAGAGCCCTCAGAAATAATACCACACATCTACAACTATCTGATCTTTGACAAACATGACAAAAACAAGATATGGGGAAAGGATTCCCTATTTAATGAATGGTGCTGGGAAAACTGGCTAGCCATATGTAGAAAGCTGAAACTGGATCCCTTCCTTACACCTTATACAAAAATTGATTCAAGATGGATTAAAGACTTACATGTTAGACCTAAAACCATAAAAACCCTAGAAGAAAACCTAGGCAATACCATTCAGGACATAGGCATGGGCAAGGATTTCATGTCTAAAACATCAAAAGCAATGGCAACAAAAGCCAAAATTGACAAATGGGATCTGATTAAACTAAAGAGCTTCTGCACAGCAAAAGAAACTACCATCAGAGTGAACAGGCAACCTACAGAATGGCAGAAAATTTTTGCAATCTACTCATCTGACAAAGGGCTAATATCCAGAATCTACAAAGAACTCAAACAAATTTACAAGAAAAAAACAACTGCATCAACAATTGGGCGAAGGATATGAACAGACACTTCTCAGAAGAAGACATTTATGCAGCCAGAAGACACGTGAAAAAATGCTCATCATCACTGGCCATCAGAGAAATGCAAATCAAAACCACAATGAGATACCATCTCACACCAGTTACAATGGCGATCATTAAAAAGTCAGGAAACAACAGGTGCTGGAGAGGATGTGGAGAAATAGGAACACTTTGACACTGTTGGTGGGACTGTAAACTAGTTCAACCATTGTGGAAGTCAGTGTGGCGATTCCTCAGGGATCTAGAACTAGAAATACCATTTGGCCCAGCCATCCCATTACTGGGTATATACCCAAAGGATTATAAATCACACTGCTACAAAGACACATGCACATGTGTGTTTATTGCGGCACTATTCACAATAGCAAAGACTTGGAACCAAGCCAAATGTCCAACAATGATAGACTGGATTAAGAAAATGTGGCACATATACAACATGGAATACTATGCAGCCATAAAAATGATGAGTTCATGTCCTTTGTAGGGACATGGATGAAGATGGAAAACATCATTCTCAGCAAACTATCGCAAGGACAAAAAACCAAACACCGCATGTTCTCACTCATAGGTGGGAATTGAACAATGATAACACATGGACACAGGAAGGGGAACATCACACTCTGGGGACTGTTGTGGGGTGGGGGGAGGGGGGAGGGATAGCATTAGGAGATATACCTAATGTTAAATGACGAGTTAATGGGTGCAGCACACCAACATGGCACATGTATACATATGTAACAAACCTGCATGTTGTGCACATGCACCCTAAAACTTAAAGTATAATTTAAAAAAAATCAATGTGCAAAAATCACAAGCATTCCTATACACCAATAGTAGACAAACAGAGAGCCAAATCATGAGTGAACTCCCATTCACAATTGGAATGTGAGGGGCCTCTTCAAGGAGAACTACAAACCAGTGCTCAACAAAATAATAGAGGACACAAACAAATGGAAAAACATTCCATGATCATGGATAGGAAGAATCAATATCATGAAAATGGCCATACTGCCCAAAGTAATTTATAGATTCAATGCTATCCCCATCAAGCTACCATTGACTTTCTGCACAGAATAAGAAAAAAACTACTTTAAATTTAATATGGAAGCAAAAAAGAGCCCAGATAGGCAGGACAATCTAAGCAAAAAGAACAAAGCTGGAGGCATCAAGCTACCTGACTTCAAACTATACTATAAGGCTACAGTAACCAAAACAGCATGGTACTGGTACCAAAACAGATATATAGACCAATGGAACAAAACAGAGACTCAGAAATACCACCACATATCCACAATTATCTGATATTCAACAAACCTAACAAAAACAAGCAATGGGGAAACGATTCCTATTTAATAATTGTTGTTGGGAAAACCGGCTAGCCATATGCAGAAAACTGAAACTGGACCCCTTCCTTACACCTTATGCAAAAATTAACTCAAGATGGATTAAAGACTTAAATGTAAGACCTAAAATCATAAAAACCCTAGAAGAAAACCTAGGCAATACCATTCATGACATAGGTATGGACAAAGACTTCATGACTAAAACACAAAAAGCAATGGCAACAAAAGCCAAAATTGACAAATGGGATCTAATTAAACTAAAGAGCTTCTGCACAGAAAAAGAAACTGTCATCAGAGTGAACAAGTAACCTACAGAATGGGAGAAAATTTTTGCAATCTACTCATCTGACAAAGGGCTAATATTCAGAATCTACAAGAAACTTAAATAAATTTACAAGAAAAAAAACAAACAACCCCATCAAAAAGTGGGTGAAGGATATGAACAGACACTTCTCAAAGGAAGACATTTATGCAGCCAAGAAACATATGAAAAATAGCTCATCATCACTGGTCATTAGAGAACTGCAAATCAAATCACAATGAGATACCATCTCATGCCCGTTAGAATGGCGATCATTAAAAAGTCAGGAAACAACAGACGCTGGAGAGGATGTGGAGAAATAGGAATGTTTTTACATGGTTGGTGGGAGTGTAAATTATTTCAACTGTTGTGGAAGGCAGTGTGGCGATTCCTTAAGGATGTAGAACCAGAAATACCATTTGACCCAGCAATCCCATTACTGGCTATATACCCAAAGGATTATAAATCATTCTATTATAAAGACACATGCACATGTATGTTTATTGCAGCACTATTCACAGTAGCAAAGACTTGGAACCAACCCAAATGCCCATCAGTCATAGACTGGATAAAGAAAATGTGGCATATATACACCATGGAATGCTATGCAGCCAAAAAAAAGATAAAGTCATGTCTTTTGCAGGGACATGGACGAAGCTGGAAACCATCATTCTCAGCAAACTAACACAGCAACAGAAAACCAAACACCATGTGTTCTCACCCATAAGTGGGAACCGAACAATGAGAACATAAGAACACAGGGAGGGGAACATCATACATTGGTACCTGTCAGGGGGTGGGGCCAAGGGGAGGGATGGCATTAGGATAAATACCTAATGTAGATGACAGGTTGATGGGTGCAACAAACCACCATTGCACATGTATACCTATGTAACAATCCTGCACGTTCTGCACATGTATCCCAGAACTCAAAGTATAATAATGAATGAATTAATTAATTTTAAGAAAGAAAAGACCATAACAACTTTATATCCATAATTTTCAAACCTTGAATGAAATGAAATGAATGAAGATTTTACACAAAATACATAAAATGAGTTGGGAAGTGCTCTCACCTCTTTGCATTTCTGAGATTATATAGAATTGATATCTTATTTCTTTTGTAAATACATAAATGTATTTTTGTATTTTTTTTACAAAATACCTGTGTATTTTACCCAAAAAAATGTAAAATACATTTATGTATTTTAAGATTAAGTCAAAATAGCCTGTAGACCTGAATGTGAAATGTAAAATACTCCAACACTTCACTGATTTTATTTGTTTTTCTCATTTCAGTTTTACTGATTTCTGCTTTTATCTTTATTATTTTCTTTCTGTCACTTGCTTTGGGTTCAAGTTGCTCTTTTTCTGGTTTCTTAAAGTAGATACTTATATAATTTAAGACCCTTCTTTTATATCAGCATTATGCTGACATCAAAACTAGGCAAAATATTGAAAGAAAAAACCATCTGAAACAACCTACAAAAGAATCATGAAAGTAATAAGTGGGTTTGCCAATGTTGCAGGACATAAGGCCACTATATAAAAATCAACTGATAAAAATGTTACCAATATTTTTATTTTCTAGGAATGAGTAATTAGAAATCTAATTTTTTTAAGTAAAAGAGTCATGTTTGCAACAGTGCCAAAATAAATGAAATGCGTAAGTATAAGTCGAACAAAATATGTTCAGGGAAACTGCACAGGAAATATATGTGAAAACTATAAAATACTGATGAAAGAAATTGAAGAAAGACCTAAATAAATGGACAGATAAAAGTCAGGAAGTAATAAGTGACTATTTTCATGAATGAGGAAACAATATTATTGAGATGTTTTATTGAATCTATAGATCCAAATTCATCTATGGATTCAATAAAATCCTAATTAAAGTCCCAGTAGGTGTTTATAAAAATCAACAAGATGATTCCAAAATTTATAGGGAAAGGCAAAGTAACTAGAAGAGCCAAAACAATTTTAGGAGTTGGGGGAAGAACAAAGTTGGAGTACACACATTACTTTACTTCAAGATTTATTATAAAGCAAAAATAACCAAACAATGTCCTAATGACTGAAAGATATATAAACAAATCAGTGAAACAGAATAGAAAGTCCAAAAATGAAAACACACAAATATGGTCAATTGAATTTTGACAAAAATGTGTGGACAAATCACTGGAGAAAGCATAATATTTTCAACAAATGCAAAGGAGGAGGAGGAGGAGGAAGAGGAGGAAGGGGAAGAAGAAGAGGAGGAGGAAGAAGAGGGGCTGCTGGTCACACATTGCAGAAAGATTAAGTCAAAATATATCACAGACCTGAATGTGAAATATAAAGCTATAAGACTTTTAAAAGAAAACATGAAAAAATATCCCTGTGATCTTAATTAGGCAAAGAATCCTTAGATATGACAAAAAGCCTGATCCATAAAACAAAAAAATGATAAATTGGACTTCCTCAAAATTTTAAAAACCTTTGCTCTGTAAAGGATACTCTTAAGAAAATGATTAAAAAACATACACCACAGAATAGGAGAAAATATTTGCAAATCACATATCTGACAAAGAACTTGTGTCCAATATATATGCGCAGCTCTCAAACTAAATAGCAAGAAAACAAGCAACCCAGTTGGAAAATATAAGGAGCAAAATATCTAAACAGGCACATCACAAAAGAAAATATATGTATGGCAAATAAGCACAAGAAAACATGTTGAGCACCATTAATCATTAGAGAAATGCAAATAGAAACCACACTACCAGTGCATACCTATTAGAACAAGTAAAATAAAATAAACTGAAAATGCCAAGTGCTAGCAAGGATATGGAGCAATTGAAACTCAAATGTTGCTGTTGGGAGTGAAAAATGATACAGCCATATTGAAAAAGAGTTTTTGTTTATTATAAAATTCAGCATGTATTTACTGTAAGACCCAGGCATTCCACTGCTACTCCAGGAAAAATAAAACCTTGTATTCACAAAAAAATCTGTGTGTGAATGTTTTCAGCAGCCTTATTCATAATTGACAAAAACTGGAATCAGCCTAATCTTTAACCGGCAAATACATAAACAATTGGTATGTACATACATAGAATACTACTCAGCAACAGAAAGGAATGTAGTACTGTGACATGTTATAACATGGATAAATCCCAAATGCATTATGTTAAGTGAAACAAACCAGACCCAGAAGGCTATGTACTGGAGGTTCAATTCATGACATTCTGGGAGAGAAAAGACAATAGGACTATGAGGGAGGGGTTCACAGTAGAAGAACACCATGAAAGAATTTTGGGAAAAGCTACACAACTCTACGCATTTGCCAAAAGTCATAGAGAACTATACAACAAAAAGTGAATTTTACGTTGTGTAAATTTAAAAATAAATTGGAGAAAAAAGAAACTATCTTGTGGACTAGCCCAGCTTGTTCATCCTCTCGCACAGCAGATGAGGAAGCTGAGGCCACCAAGGGCACAAGACTTACTCAAGGTCACAGGAAAGCCAGACTGTAATCTCAGACTCCCAAAATGCTTCTTGTTTGTTTGTTTTGTTTTGTTTTGCTTTGCTTCTGTCTTTTGGCTATAGGAGCTGCCATCATAACACTTCATGAAATCCCATCTCATTTAGAATGGATTTCTCCCTCCCTTACACCTCCTATAGCCTTTGCTCCACCACTTCTTCCACTTATTATCACTTCCTGCCTTTTATCAGGGATTTTTTTTTCTCAGTTTGCCTCCCTTCCTCCACGGGGTGCATTAAAGAGGAAGAAGGCACAAAGGGGAGACATAGTGCGGGGTTGGGGGCAGGGGGTGGGTAGCAGTACCCAGCAATGCCATGTTTCTATTTCCACCAGTAACAATTTACACTAGATTCCACTGATCCCATTCTTTCCACCCTAACCCAGAAATGACCTGGGGAGAGCCCAGTGGTGAGCTCAAAGATGGTACTACTGAGAGCCTTTTCCAGTTGCTTCTGGAATTCATCAATTCAACAAATACTTACTGGGCACCCACCGGGCAGTGTGCTCAATGCTGTGGGAATAATGGTAGACAGAAAGACAGGCACAAGCCTCACACACCCTACTAGGGAATATTAATCTCATGCCCTCAAAAGAGATCAATAGAATAAACTCCAGCTTACAAAAGTACAGGTGAAAAAGAATATTTTCTTTAAAAATTAGCCAACATCACGGCTCTCTTTGGAGGTTAATTAGCAAAAATATTACACAGGAACGTGGCTGTTTCATGACTCTTTTCTTTCTAAATTGACTCTGAGAACAAGGAAAGTGCTGTTCCTTCCTTAACTGGTCTCCTAAGGGTGCTCCAGAACCAGATGGGTCTGTCTCAACCATTCTGAGTCCCCACACAGAGACAGGGACAGGCCAGCTAAACCACATGCTGACTCAGTTTCATTCTTTACCACCCAACCAAGTGATACTCTAAGGATATATTGGGAGCTGCAGCTACCTTAGAGAAAAGCTCTGAGCCAGGATGCCACTCAGACTCAAGTCAGGATCTGTGGGAGGTGGGATAGGAGGGTCAGCCAGACCTTGATTCAAATCCTTCCCACCACTAATCTCCTCAGTGCCTGGGTCCACTTCCTTAAACTCCCTGCAACCTTAAATTTCTTTCTCTAAGATAGAGATTTAAAAGCAGCAGCGGGGAAACCCTTCTTTCATGGGAATGTGGGAAAATTAATTGAGCTTAACATCAATCAGAATTGCAGAATATGTAATATGTACTTGACAAACGTTAGATTTCTCCCTCATACTCCCTGCTTTTTAGATATGGAAGAGCTATCCTTCTCCAAGGTCAAATGGGTCCTAGCCTTCCTTGAGGGGAGGTAGGCCTTGTAGCTCCAAAATTTCTCTTCAATCGGAGCAGTTTAGACAGAAACCTACAAATCTCATTTTCACCACTGCAAACCCCATTCCTCCCCCAATCCCTTTTCATCCCAGGTCAAGCCTCAGTGTCCTGCCCTCCTGGGATGCCTAACTATTGCAGCCAGTTATTCACCCATGACCCCATGGGCCAGCATGGGTGTTATGTGCATGCTGAGGCTTTCCACCCACCTGGAGACGGCTGCAGGCCTGGGGGTAGGCATCACCTTCCAAATTGCATCAAGTTGTATGGTCTCCAGTAGAATAGTTTGCCCACTGGTTCAGTGAGCCTCCAAGTAAATGGAAGTCCAGGCCATCAAAACTCTTAGAACTACATGTGTGATGCTATATTCACTGTTCCTTGAATAAATAAGAAAGGCATAGGCCCTGAAGAGTTGTCTCCATCCTCTTCCCCAGCCTTAACTGGATCTGATTACACCTTCTTTATGTTCTTACAGGCTTCCTCTGGGCTTATCTCTATCAGTGCACTTAACTCTCTAGACCTGGGTCTGTTTACCCATCAGTATCTCATCCAGCAGAATGTGAACCCTTTCATGGCTGGGATGGCATCTTACTCATCCTTATATGCCTAGTTGCCAGCACAGTGCATCTCACAGTTACTCAATAAATGCATTGAATAAATGGAAAAAGTTCCCTTAAAGGAATGAAAAGAGCCTCCTATAAGCATGCCATCTGAACATTTTCCCTCTGAGCATGCAGGCCTAGCATTTCCTCATGGCATCATGAATGGATGAGGTTCCTGAATATTTCTACAGGATAAACTGGCTGCCTTCTGGGCCTTTTTCTTAAATGCAGACTGCTATCAAGACTGCTAATACCGTTTCCCTGGGTGTACCACAGAGGATGCCAAGCTTTATTAGTTTAAGGTGTTTGCTTCATGTAACAACTTGCTTTTTAATGAGCTTGTTTATCTCACCATCTTGGATGTTAATATTGTTGAGAGGAAAACGTGCTGATTGACTGTTACCAAGTAAAGACCAAAATCTCCAGGGAGAGCATCAAATGCATGCTATGTGCTAACAATTATTCAATAACTGTGCCCTTTTCAAAAGACAAAAGAAAAGAGAGGAAAGGAAGAAAGGGAAAGAATGGTTTTCAGGTAAGCGATAGAAAAATAGTAAGTAGGAAAGTTGCTCACATTTCCTTCTCTGAGCTCCTAGCATGGTCCACGAATTAAATCAATTATTTCAAATTCTGCATTGCAGGTTGAGCCCAGGGGCCTACTGGGCTGCAAGCTCACCTCTGAGCCACCCACTTCACAGGGGAAAATATAAATTCTGAATACACAGGCAAGGAGGAAGGTTGAACAGTCCATCCTATCAATGTTTCCATTTTTAATTCCAGTTTTCACTATTGCAGTCTCCTAATTGAAATACTGTATAGCACTTCCCTCAGAGAATGGTTTCTGTGCTGATAATTCTCTATTTGCTAACTTCCCGTTCCCCATTCCCCTCCCTTCTCTGGCCCTGCTTTGTGACCCAGAGGTTGACTCTGTGGACTACAGGCCTAGGCTATCTTCCTTCTGGCTTTTATTGGAATTGGCCAACAGTCAGCAGCAGGTCAGAGGGTACAGGAGAGAGGTATTCCTCTCCCCTCCCATCCTGCTTCACCATCAAGTCCCGGGGCAGGAGCTGCACGCTTCCAGAGCTACTGCTCCCCCAAGGCCGTTCCACTCCCAGCAAACTCTGATTGAGTTCCAGTAATACTACATCTTCCCCTTGCCCCTGGGGTCTTGGGGAAGTAACTGGCTCCCACTGTGGCTAATGGTGCCTCAGTGGTCTCTTTTATGTTACTTTAACCCTGTCTACATCTCTGTAGCCAGTCCTTTCATTCACGTTTCTTAATTTGAGCCATTTGAAATGAATACCTATATGGCCTACTATTTACTATCTCAAATCAAAAGACGTGGCCCCCTAGTTATTCTGTCATATCATGTCCCTCTGTAGTGTTTTCATGCTTTGCAAAGTGCTTCCAATTCCACCAACACATTTGATCCCCTCAATAATTCTGTGAGGTAGGCAGGGCAGGTTGTTATCCCCATTGTACATATAAGAAAATTGAGACTCAGAAGCTAAGACACTTCTCCAAAGTCACACAGGAAGCTACTTCTTCCAAGAAAAAAAATTTATTGGAAAAATAACATATCAATGTACTTACCAAAGGAGAGTATACTTTGGAAGGCAAAGTATATGCCTACAGATGCAGTGGCTTGTAAGAATGTCTAAAATAAAGACCTAATTTTTTTTCCAGCTGTGTCTTCAAAGCAGGACCATCAGCTGTGGGATGGTGGCAGAGATTAGAGAGAAAGGAAAAAAGTGTAAAGTAGTCATCTCAGAGAGTGGAAAAGTGAATTTTTTCATTTAGAAAGATGTAGTTGGGTTGTCTGGCCAATGTAAAGTATTCTTTTGAGATTTGTGGTAAAAAATTTAAAGCTATCCAGCAAGCAACAAGTTGTGTATTTTCTTTCCCTTTCTTCCTTTTTTCATTTCTTCCTTATTTTCTTTCTTACTCCTTTTTCCTCCCTTCCCTTCCCTCCCTCCCTCCCTTCCTTCTTTCCTTCCTTCCTTCCTTCCTCTCTCTCTTTCTTTTCCAGTGTAGGCATCAAGTAAATGGACTATTGAAACTTTGCCAGCTGTTTACTATAGGGGGTGGGAGAAAAGTTAAGAATTTTTATGAAGGAGTGACTATGATACTAGAATATGGAATCCAGGTGAAAAGGAACTGATGGATGATAAGATGAGGGTGAGGAAGGTGGAAAAACTAATAGGGCCTATGGGTTAGTGATCTTAATGGGATAAGAGGTAACACTTGAGTAAATTAGTTGAAAGGATTGACTTTGTGCTTGAAATCAAGATTCTGAATGGCCTTGTTAATCCCAACGTCTCATTCTTGTTTTTATTCTGAGCATCCAGCCAGTGCTCGGCATATAGCCAGCAGCACCAGAATGAAGTTTGCAAAAGTAGATGAATTGTCAGAGTCTCAGGAGAAACTGAGACGTGAAAGGCAAAAGACATTTTGTCTCTACTGCTTATTTATTTAATAAGCACATCACCGACCCGCCCTTCTTTCCTCCATGCCTCTCTTTTCTCCCTCCCCCACCCCCCTCTCTCACAGGTACTATACTCATGCAACACTGATTTGTTCCCTATTCCAGTGCCTTGTCTGAACCCTCCTCCTTCCCCTTTCCCCCAGCTCTGCCTCCTGCAATGTCCCCTATCATCTCCTCAGCAAAACTTTTCTGAAGTGCTTTAGCCAAAATACCACTCATTTACTCTCATACCCACTGCATATCATTGATGCCATTGTTATGGCACTTTCTTCATTTTACCTTAATGACTGACAGTAGTTGTCTTTGCCACTTGACCATAAGCTCCTTGGAGTGCGTTTTCTAGCCTGATTCAGTTTTGTGTGCCCCACTGTCTAGCACATTGCCAAAATTCCATAAACATTTGTTGACTAAATAAATGAATATAATTCTACAAATGGAAGGTATTGTCTAATCAAATGTTAACTCAATCAGGTTCAGACTCAGGTGGAAGGAAACAATAAAACTAATAAGTAGTGAGCTTTTCTTGAACTCAGAGAAAGTAAATTTCTGTATTCACCAGCAGAGCTAAAAATTAAAATTACCAACTCAGAGAATAAGTCTATTAGGTGAGCATTTCCACAGTGACACAACAGAAGAAATCCTGGCACTCTGCTCCTGAGTATTTCTCTGGCTACTTCTGGATCTCCTGCTACAACAAATCTAGTAAAGTTTGCCCAATGTATTAAAATGGAAAAGAATAATAGTAATCCCAGCTAATATGTGTATAATGTTATTATGTGTTGCCCCACTTAATTCTCACAATGCTGTGAAATTTTTTTTGTAATATCCATTTTTATAAGCAAACAAACTGAGGCACAAAGAGATTATATATTTGTCTAAATAGCCAAACTGTAATCTCAGTTCCAAATCTCATATCCTTTTGATTTTTGATTATTTCTTAATAATCCCCCCTGACTTTTCCAGAAGAGTGGATATTATTCTGAATCTCTCACCAGAGCATAGGGAAATGGAGGCCCTAAGGAAATTGCCAGACACAAACCAATGGAATTCTTGTCTCGTAACTCTTGCCTCTTGTCTCATAACCCAGAGCGTCCTCAGCTAAGACACATCACTCCTCTGTGTAGTAAGAACATGGAGAGCCCCTCTGTCTTTTTGTTCTGAATCCTCTATTCTTCATTAATAAAAGGACCCATATCTTAGGTTATAGGATGATTCATTAATAATGGACCCATTTGGGGAAACCATCACCTCCAAGGAGAAAGTGGCTTCCTCTCTAAGAAAGATGGGCACATAGAAAAGGGCCCTAGAAAAGAGTCATCCTAAGGTCAGATGTGAGGAGGATATCCCAGCTTCTAAGTCTGGAGAACCATGGGGGTGGGGGTGAGAGCTTTACTTATGGGCCTAACACGGATCAGGAGCAGAGACTTAGAAATAAAAAGATGGATAGTGGAAGTAGAGTCTTAACAAGTGCTGAAGTGATTTAAAAAGAAAAGGTACACGATGAATGGCTGGTGAGAAGAAACAAAAGAAAGTAGAAAGATGTAAAAAATTAATGTGCAGAAGGCAGACACCTGAATATGAAGAAATGAGACCAAGAAATTTACCAAACATCTGTTTCAATTCTCACATTGACAAAATCAGACGAGACTATCTTTCTCTGCTTGAGGGGTTATTTTCAGGATCCCACAAAATCACACGGTGATCTTGATGTACCAGGCAGCCAACAATGGGCTTGAGGCCACTAGTAGCCATCTGTGCCTGCCACTCATTGATCTGAGGCACTCGCTCTCAAACCAAGAACCCAAAAATATTCTTGGGAGTCTGAGTGGTTCTACAAGAAATTTTAAATTTTGTGTTTACGTTTTGATGGCAATCTTTAAAATATCAATCCAAGCATTTTTCTAAATGATCTGATGAAAACTTCATGACCTGGTCTTGCCACTTGGTCTCTGGCCCACATGTAGTTTCTGTGTACTGGCTTTGCTGCTTCCTCTTCTTTTCCCTGACCTCTCAACAGGAAAGTGAGCCCACCCTTACTCTGCTGATAGCTCTGACTCTGCTCCTTGGTCTTCTCCTCTCCATTTATACTCATTTATTAGTGATCTCATCCAATCTCATGGCTTTAAAGCTTGTATAATCTGAGATCTCCCAAACACTTAGCCATGGCCCACACTGCTCACCTGAATGTCAGCCTAACTGCCTGCTCCTCACCTGCACCTATGTCTTGGTTGGACTGGGATGGTCCTAGATGACTCCTGTTGTTCCAGCATGATTATTAGTGTTTTCTCTTTTCTGCTATACAGTAACAAGTGTCCTAGTTTGTACAATAAATTATATGATCACCCTACTAATAAGCTTCCCAAATTTAACATGTCCAAAACTGAACACCTGACCTCTACAATCTTCCCTGCCCACTTGTCTTCCCTATTTCAATTCATGGCAGCTCCTTTCATCTAGTTGCTCAAGCCAAGACCCTTAGAGTCATGCTTAGCTCCTTTCCTCCTCTCACACTCCACATTCAAGACAAAGGGAAATCCTGTTGGATCTACCTTCATAACATATGAGAAACTGACCATTAGCTCTAATTCTGTTGCTATCATTTTGCTTGGAACTGCTATCCTCTTTCCCCTGCATCATCATCTCCCCCATGATCTTTAATCCAGCCTCCCCATTCCACAGCTTGAGCTCAATGCAAAAACCAGAATGATACTACCACAATGTAAGTCACATCATGCTATGCCTTGACTCAAGTCCTCCAGTGAGGTCTCCTTTATCGCAGAGTAAAAGCCAGAGATTTTACATTAGCCCAAGTGGGCTTACGAGATCAGGCTCCCTGTGACCTCTCTTGATTACTCTCTCCATCACCTACTGCCATCCAGCCCACTGGCCTCTCCCATGCACTCACAGCCTTGGCACTGGCTCTTCCCTCTCTCTGCAGCTTATTCCTTACCGCTTTCAGGTCTTTGATCAAATGTAACTTTCTCAATGAGGCCTAATTGCACCACAGTTTAAAATTGCAGCACCCACCCATACCCTAGCCCCTGACTCCCAAATCTCCCTATCCTGTCTATTTTTTCTTCATAACACTTAGTAACTTATAACACACTATATTAATTTTATTGTTGATTGACTGTCTCCCACATTACAATGTAAGCTCCACAAAGGCAGGGGTATTTTTGTCTGTTTTGTTCAATAATGCAGCCCAGGCACCTAGAACAGTATCTGGAATATAGTAGATGCCCAGTAAATAATTTTTTTAATGAATTCATTTTAGTGTCAATAATACTGCTTTATTTGTCCCTGACTAAGAAGAAAATAACTCAGGAGGATGTACTATATAAATGGTGTATTTTTATTGAGTGAAAAGCAATGATGTCATAGGGTAAATATTTCACACTGATGTGAATTTTAAAAAGTGGTGATAGACATGAGTCATCGCATGGCCACTCAGAATAATCTTCCCCTTAGTACTCAGTACCTTATTCACATTTAGAGGCTCAATTTAATTTCACAAACCAGCATCATCCATCACATTACATTAACGCACATTTGAATTTCATTGTATTTTAGCTTCATTTAGATTTAATGTATAAATTTGTTCTAGTTTTATAATTGTATGGGAATTCATAAGCATAACGACTTTATAGATGGTTTCATTAAGTTAAAACACACACACCAAACAATTTCAGTGAGTCCTGTGGATCCACATAAATTTTTATCTTTACAAAAGATGCATGCAGTACTAAAGTTTATAAAACAGTGCATATTTGGACTTCCTTTGGCTGCATGTATCAGAGTGACCTCAACCTCCCATCTGTCCAGATGTGAAGCAGATTGGAGTCATTGGTAATTCTATCTTCCAGGTCAGCCAAGCCCGTTACCACTCTAATCTCCTGCGGTTCAATGATTTGCACCATTAGTCCCTCAAACATAATTAAGTGCCCACCCTGTGCTAGGCAGTGACCTAGGTGTTGAGTATGCAACCAGAAAGATGGCAGGTGTCTGCTACTTTGGGCAGTTTTAACACCATCCACACCACAGTCTAGTACCTTATGTGGGAATAGCATTCGTAGTTCACAAAGTGCTCCAAGGTACACTCACCCTCTGAGGCAGGACTGTCAGATGTGAAAGCTGACACTCCCAAAGATTAACTGACTTTTTCAAGATCACATGGCTAATAATGTCAGAACCCAGAGCTCAAGTACCAATTTTTAACCCTTTGCTCTTTAAATTATAGTTTTTGCCTTCTACAACCACACCATCTTTGTCTTCATTTCACTTCCTGATTCACTTCCCTGCTTCCCACCAAGTTTTCCCAGGATTTCTGATGCCCTCCTGCTTCTGAGTGGGAGGATCACAAAAAGAGAATAATGTTTCTTATCTTTTGTGGTCCCCTTCCTTTCTCTGAGGTCTGAGTGTGCAAGGGCAAACATCAAGTCTGCAGTGTGTCATGCAGCCAGGATCATCAGTAATAATGTGCTGTCAAGTCCAGAGGGCTCGGTGCTCCCAGATCATGCAAATATAATCATGCTTATGTGTTTGGGAAAATCACTTTAATGGATCAGGGGGAATAAATTCTGTGTTCCTTTAGTTTCTCATAGCATCACCTGGCAGATGGGACCAAGACTGCATTCTTGGTGCATTACTCAATCTGTGGTACAAGGTCTGCTATAAATGCCTGTCTGCCATCTGGACAGAATGTCACACAGCACCCTCAGGGCATCCCACCAGATATGTTTCTTCCCAGCTTTGGCTAGTGCCAGCACTGAACCCCAGCAAAGCTTTGCAAGGGCCAGGGAACCCGATTTCACTTGGACTTACTGCTGCAATGTCTGCAGTTGTAGCAGGCATGCTTTCAAGCAGGCAGCTAAACCTTTTCCTGTTTCTACAACTCAGGCTGTTCAAAATGTCTTGATGGATTGTCTCCCCCTTCTATCAGTGTATCTGTTAAAAACAGCTAAAATTTGACACTTCACACACATCATCTTTGGATGGGTTTTTTTTCCTGAATAATACTTTGCATCCAGATAGCAATTTTCTCCCAGAGCTTTCACAGACAAGTTGTTACGCTCATCCCAATTTACTAGATGAGAAAATGGATGAGGAGGGAAGAGATAGCTTTGCCTGATAATTATACACTGAGTTGGGGTGGAATTTCCCAAGAAGTATGGTGTGAGCAAAACACTTCCATAAGAAATCCAACCCTTAGGGCAGAGGGCACAGGCCATGGGGATATGCACAATTAGGTTTATAAGAATTACTAGAAATAACATTCAATTTATTGGCAGCATTGGTTGGCACATAGCAAATGCTCAGTAAAAATGCCATAACACTCATTATCTCACTTCAACCTCATAAACATTCTGTGTGGAAAGTGGAACAGGTATGATTATTCTCAATTTGTAGAGAAAATCTTGAGAGGCCAATGATGTGTCAACATTATACAACTCAGGCCAGAACAAAGGTTTCTAACTACACACCAAGGTCCTTAGAATTTGGAACCAGCTTAGAATCCTAACTCCATCACTTACCAGCTGTTTCATTTGGTCAAGGGTTTCCATGGTAGTAAATGATAATAATAATGCTGTTTGGGGAGGTTTAGCAATTATTAGAGATAATTTATGTGAAAGATTTAGCATAATGCCTGGCTCAAAATAGAGGACTAATACAACTCATATTTTATGCTAAACCACCTACAGATATAATCTTTCTTATTAAAAAGCCCCTTATTTTCTTTTTCTTTCTTTCTTTTTTTTTTTTTTGAGACAGAGTCTCGCTCTGTCACCCAGGCTGGAGTGCAGTGGCGCGATCTCGGCTCACTGCAAGCTCCCCCTCCCGGGTTCACGCCATTTTCCAAAAGCCCCTTATTTTCAGGCAGGGGAAATGAAGTGTGCAGAGACTTGTAAATAGAACACATCAAATGGAACTCACAAACAACATCAGCACCCTATGACTGGGGAGGCTAGGGGAAATGGAAAGGTGGGCAGGGGATGCAGGCACAGCCAGGCTTGGGCCAAATGGGACATCCTTGGGCAACTCACCTTTGGTGCCCCTTCCAGCCGCCATCTATCCATACTGCAATCTCTCTGTGACCACGGGCCTTTAAGTAGCCCACACTGCACCTGGGTTTTACTTTAGTTTCTCTTGCATCTTCTTCACACCTTACTTAACTATCAACAGGTGACTCCTTTGCTCAGTCTGATTATCCATAGGCTGACATCCCAGTGAGCTGATGAAATTAATGAAACTCGTGATCCCTAAGATTCACTCTAGAGGGAAGGGATTCAGTAGGTGTTGCGCTGGTGTTGGGACTACAGAGATAGTAGAGACACTGTTGTTGGCCTTGAAAAGCTCATATTTCAGATGGGAGAAAGTCAATATTCCAGAATAACTTCTTACTGCAGGTAGTTGGGATTGATAAATCTTTACAAAAGAGATTATTTGCAGCCACTTCTAATGGCTGCTGTTAATGAGTTCAGATTCTGTTCTATATATTCCACAAAAAATAACTAATTTGATCCTGACAACAACCCTGGAATTATTACTCCTATTTTATAGTTGAGGAAATAGAGGATTGGAGAGGCTAAATAGCTTCTCCAAGGTCAGACAGCTGACTAGCAGCAAAAAGAGAGTTGAATCCACATCTATCCCATCTTTCTATTATGCTATTCTTGGAAAGATGAGAACTGGCAGAAGAGAAAAGATAGGTTCTAGGTCCAAGAGCATAGTTTGGGAGGAGGGACTTTTAATAATCTTAATGATGAATGTGGGGACATTTCTGCACATTTTCATCTTCTTTTCTTTCTTTCTTCCTTCTTTCTTTCTTTCTTTTTTCCCTCTTTCCTTCTTTCCTTTCTTCTTTTCTTTTCCCTTCACTTGCCTCTCCTCCCTTCCCTTCCTTCTTCCTTCTTTTTTTTTTTTTTTTCAGAGATGGGATCTTGCTCTGTCACCTACACTGGAGTGCAGCAGTACAATCATAGCTTACTGTAGCCTCAAACTCTTGGGCTCAAGTGATCCTCCTGCCTGAGCACCCCCAGTCTCTGCGATTACAGGCATCAACTTTCATCCTTTCAAATTTCTCCGAATTTTTCAGCAACATAGGCTCAGGGAGGAGCCCAGTCAAGGCAAGGAGCAGCTGGTTGGAGCATCATGCGCAACAAACTTTAAAGCATCAGAAGAATAAAGCTGAAGACTGGACCTCATGTACCCCTTCCTGAAGAGAAGAACCCAGGCCGTGACCCCTCTCACCAAAGGAAATGATGCTTTCTAATGGAAAGAATAGCATTCTTAGCATCAACCTCTGTCCACTGAGAAGTTTCTTATACCAACATGAAAATTGGTACCAGGCCAAGCCACCCATCCCAAAGACAGTCAGTGATGGCATCTGAAGCAGACCCCACTCTGCTGGAACTCTGAGAACTAATGATTGACACGCGCTGAAGTGCTGCTTACCAGGAAAGACTGATTGACTCCATTAAGTCAGCCCCAAACCCTTTAATATGCCACCCAAAACTTGTCTGATTGAGAACATGACAAAAGAACACTGAAGAGATAAATAAGAAAGCAAGAAATGTTTTCCCTTCATGAAAGCAAGGACTGAGAAACACATATTAAACATTAATAGGATAAGTTTTTCAAGCAAAATCTTTCTGTCAGGTAAATTAACTCTGTCCTTAATGAGTAGTATGTATTAATGAATCCAGTCATAAATAACACAAAAACTATAACACAAAATTAGTTTAAAGTCTATGTTATATTCATGAAAAATTTAAAAAACTACTTTGAACACAAAGAAATTCTGTACTAGTTCTATTTTGACAAGAGCAATAGCTAATAATGAGAACTCACTATGTGTCAGGCACTCTTCTAAGCATCTTACATATATGGACTCTTTTTTTTTTTTTTTTTTTTTTTTTTTTTGAGACAGGGTCTCATTCTATTGCCCAGGCTGTAGTACAGTGGTGAGATTATGGCTCACTGTAGCCTCAACCCCCAGGCTCAGGTGGTCCTCCCATCTCAGCCTCCTGGGTACCTGGGACTACAGGCACATGCCACTATGCCCGGCTAATTTATTGTATTTTTATTTTAGAGACAGGGTTTCACTATGTTGCCCAGGCTGGTCTCAAACTCCTGGGCTCAAGTGAACGGCCTACCTCTGCCTTGCAAAGTGCTGGAGTTATAGGTGTAAGCCACCACACCCGGCCACTTATATGGACTCCTAATCTTCACAACAATAATAAGAGGTGCTTATTACTATTATCCTCATTTTAGAGATGTGGAAACTGAAATACCAGGAGGTTAATATGCCCAAAATAACACAGCCAGAAATGGTAGAGGTGAGATTTGAACTT
Organism: Homo sapiens; assembly: GCF_000001405.40. Taxonomy (NCBI): domain Eukaryota; kingdom Metazoa; phylum Chordata; class Mammalia; order Primates; family Hominidae; genus Homo; species Homo sapiens. Next base: position 166,386,937 of record NC_000001.11, on the reverse strand, counting down.
GAGTGATCTGGCTCCAGGGTCCATGCAAATCCTTTCCTACCTCTACCAAATACATGGTGAGCAGATATGTGAACTTGCTTGCTTCAAAAGGGCATCAAGGTATTAATTCCTGTCTGGCCAGTTTTTGCTTAAGGCACCCCCTTCCTACACCCCTGCTCTAATTGCCTGGGATATTTGGATTCTCAAATAGAGCCAGGAAATCAGGCAGGGAGTTTCCACCAACTCCCTAATCCACCCCAGGAAACGTGGGAAATGATAGACAGCAAAAGCCAAGTAAAGCCACAAGTCTTTGAAGGACAGATAATGTATAAATTCTAACAAAATGCCACCCACCAGGAAACTAACCACCTGGGAGGTGTAGAGGCCCTAGCAGCTTCCTGGAGGGGAGCCCAAGGAATCTAATTGAGTCTGAGAAGAGACTGCAAGCAAGGGATCAGGATCATGGGTCCAGGCTAACACAAGTTTCCAAAGAGCCTCAGAGGCTGCCCGCTTTAGGGAGTGACAGCAAAGAGTTCCATTGTTGAAAGTGTTTACAGGTCTTTCATTCAGAAAGAATTGATCAGACTGCTTCCCTCACGTTCTTTCTCCCAGTGACACAAGATCCCGTCTCCACTGAGAAAAACAGTGTGTTATTATTGCCAGGGTGTGAGAGGAAACCCTTGAAATGCCAATGTAAGGCTCAGACTGAATCTTAAATCCATTGGAATTGCCACAATCACATGATCTTTGGCCACATATATGTTTCCTTTGAATGTGTGTATCTATTTTGCACTTGTTACAAATCAAGCACTGTACTAAGCTCTAGGGTAGACAAGGGGAAGAGAAGAGAATGCTACTCAATAGATGCATATATTCTAATGGAAAAAATAGATGTGTGCACGAATAATATCAGGGGAAATGAACAGAGAAGGAAATGGGAAATGTACGGGTATGTAACTAGCCAAACTCAAGGTTCTAATTAGACACCAATGTTCAACGTGAAGGGGACTACTTTTCAAAAACTCTTGCCTAAGTCAACATTATCTATCCACCTAAGTCAACATTATCCTATCCAGTCTGATAGCAGGTTCTGGGCAGGGAGAAGAAACTGGGAATTGCATAGAAGCCATTAAATTCCTGGCGGGAGGCCTCTACAATCCCTGTCTCTTGGCTTGCTTAGGGGAGTTCAATACTGGCATTGGAACCCATTGAAGACACATTCCATTTTTGTTTCAGGGGCAAATGCACCTCTGATGGCTAGAAGTGAGAGGGGAAGCCCATACAGCATTTTCTTTGTCTTTACTCCTGTCCTAGGGAGAGGGCATTGGAAAGGGAACACACTGTTGGGGTTGTTTCCCTTGTAAAATACCCAGCAGGGTAAGCCTTAGCAGAGAATATGCTTTCAGAAAGCATTGGCCTACATTCCAACTTGTAGGGCCTGTGCTTCCTGAGATAACTGCTTTTGCTTGTTCCATTAATGATGTCTACTTACATCCCTCCTACACCAGGGTAAATGCCTGCCTACTCCCCAAGGTGCATCTGTCAGAAATCATGACAACTAGAAAGTGGGTTCAAGGGAGAGGGGAAGTTAAAATGGACCATCTACTGCCAGAACTGGAGGGGAGAAAGGAAGACACAGCACTGGACAGCGTCTGTGCTTTTGGAGTATGAGGAATTTTCTGGCAGCTTCTAACTGATCGAAGGCATCCCCAGAGACTCCAGCCATAACAGGAACTTGCTGTGCTAAAAGTATTTAAGAATGTTCAGTGGAGCCACTGTGTTCCACGGGCCATGATTTCTGCTTGGTGCAAGTCTATTACAAAAGCACCTAAGTATATCATTCCTCTAAACGTGGGCGTGATTACAAGAGGTGCTGGCTAATGTGCTGATACACACCAGCTCCATGGGCTGTAAAATGTGCTGCTGTTCAACTGCACGGTTATTGCTCCAGGACCGATTTTGTGGGCAAAGGGAATAGTATTCCCTCTAGCAATTCCAGCCACCTTGCAGGTAGGAAAACTTTTAAGAGACAAACAAGGTTATCTGTAACTGTTACAAAGTGCTAGTGACAGTCTGCCCAGGAGGTAAAGCTCACATTTAAACACTTAGGAATTCCTTTACCCCATTTGAGGAAGTCTGGATCACTCACGGGGCTGGACTGGAGAAAAGGAGAACTAGAGCATGATTTTCTTTTCATTTGTTCATTTATTTGTTTTTTCCATTCAACCAACAGTTACTGAGGACCTTATGCATTATGGACTTTTCTAGACATTGAGGACACAAAGATAAATATGATCTGGTCTCTTCTAACTTAGGACGTCACTATTTTTGCAGAGGGAAGATGAAACAGCACATAAACAATTACAATAACAAATTTAGAAGCTCACATTTATGTAGCATTCTCCATGCTTTATTTCATGTGATATTCATAACAACTCTATGGGACAGGCAGGAAAATATTATTGGGTCGGTGCCCATCAGCCAAAGACCACGGGGAACATATCCACAGGAATAAAGTTAGGTTCTTACTTGCTGCAGCAAGGAAGACCATATAGCATGGGGAGCTGTGGGGCCTCTCCAAAGTGGGGGAGTCAGAAAAAGGTCCATATACGGCTTGGGAGCTGGAGTTAGTCCTAGGGTGGGCTTAGCAGGAATGAACTCGGGAGTTTGGAACAGTCTGTGGCTTTGTATTTAGAATGATTTGGTCATACAGAGTCACTGTTAGATCAGTTGTCTGTGGTCTTATCTTGGAGCTCACGGATCTGAACAGACTGGTGTTAAAAGACTGAAAGTTTCTCTAGCTGCAGATGAACACTATGGTTTTGATTTGATACAGTTTATCTGTTTTGCACAATCGGCTTTGAAAAACTGTGGTTTCTATTTTCAATTCTCAGTACCCTCCCTTTAGTCTAGCCGCCAGTGTCTTTTCTCTTTATCAATTGTTGTTAAGATTACTTCAGTTTTACCAGTGGAGATACTAAGCAAGACTCACCAAAGTCTTCCTCATCAGAAGCTGCTGCAGAGGCCCAGCCAAACCCAGGTCTCCAGTGGGGAACACAAATAGACTCCCTTGACCTAGACACGATGTTCAGGCTATGAGCTCTGTCTTGCCTCATACCTATTTGCCTGCCTTTCCTTCTTACCTCCCTAACTGTATGAACGGCGACCACAACTTAACAAAGCTCCAGCCTAGTAAACGAGAACATGGTCTTTGGGAGTGAACTGCCCAGCTTCAGAGCCCGGATCTGTCTTGTACTGGATTACCAACCTCTCTATACTCTGGCATTTCCTCAGCTTTAAAACAGCAATAATATTAGTCTCTCCCTCAGGGGGTTATTGTGAAGATTAAAAGAGATAATATACCTAATGTGCTTAGAGGGGTGCCTGCCATATAGAAAGTGCCCAATTAAAGGGTTATTATGATTATTCTCTCCTGTCTCTGTAGCACCCAGTACGGTGCCCTGCAAACTGACAGCTGTGGTGTACAGCAGCACTTCTCAAATTTTAATTTGCATACAAATCATCCAGAGATCTTGTTAAAATTCTGAATCTAATTCTGTGGTTCCGAGAATCTGCCTTTCTAAGGAGCTCTTGGGTGATGCCTGCTGGGACCACACTTTGAACAACAAGTAGTTCTCTGCTTGTGGTCTGGAGACCAGCAGCTTCAGTGTTACCTGGAAACTTGTTGAAATGCAAATCCCCCCTTCCCATCAAACATGCTGGAATACAGCCAGCAATCTATGCTTTAATAAACCCACTGGGGTGTAGGAAAGAATAATTGACTGGATTCAAAAGTCTTGGATGGCATTCTGGATTTGCCAGTTAATAGTTGTGTGGCCTTGGGCAAGTCACTTAATCTCTGTTAGCCTAGCACTGAAGTCCCTAAATAGTTTATTCTTTTAAACCCAGAATGTGGCCACAAAAGACCCTAAGCTAAAATAGGGCCATGTTTCACCTCCTTGGAATCCCAAATTCACTGCTTCTCTATTGCTTCTGTAAAACTGGACACATTTTATTTACCCTGCTCAGAAGGCTGTTGTAAGGTTCTAATGAGACAATGCAAAAGCATGTGAAACTATAGGATAATACATAATTATTAAGTACTTGAAATATATTTGATAAATGGTTAAATGAAGAATGAAATATCACATATATAACTAAAACACCTTTGGAAAGCCCAGATCATTTCTTTATTAAAAGTCATTTTTTTAGGAGAGATGCATCCTGGGTTTCTTAGGAGCTGCAGACTTCTGTCAGAAGTGGATGTCTGATCATGAATGCTTAATGAAGAGCTAGGATATTTTATTTTAGCACTATTAATAGACCAATGAAGAAAACAACCAGGCAGGTAAAATAGCTCATTTATTCCAAGGTCTAAATACCTTTTATATGAGTATGTTCACATTTTTAAAACTCCGTTAGATGGTTGGGAATTTGCTGAGACACCCAAGTTTGACAGAGGCAGCCATTCCTACCTTAATATCTGGCCTGTCCACCTACACTGGATATTTATGTGTGAGGCTTTTTATCTGACTCTATCAAAACACTCTCCAGCTGGTACTGTCTATAATTAGGCAAACCTACTTATGAATATGACTCAGTTACTTCTACCCCAATCAAGAAGTATTAATTCAGGCTGGGCGTGGTAGCTCATGCCTGTAATCTCAGCACTTTGGGAGGCCAAGGCAGGAGGATTGCTTGAGCCCAGGAGAGCAAGACCAGCCTGGGCAACAAAACGAGGTCCCCTCTCTACTATAAATAATTTTTTAAAAATTAACCTTGCGTGGTGATGTGTGCCCGTAGTCCTAGCTACTTGGGAGGCTAAGGTGAGAGGATCCCTTTAGCCCAGGGATTCAAGGCTGCCAATGAGCTATAATCCTGCCACTGCACACCAGCCTGGGCAACAGAGAGAGATTTTGTCTCTTAAAAAAAAAAAAAGGAAACAAATATTAATTGAGACACATGATGAGAGTTTTATTTTATGTATTTAGTAAATCCCAAAATTTTAAAATAACTATTACTAAATGCCTACTAAGTTTAAGATACAATGATAGTAACCAAGACTTTCTGTAGACCCTCCTGTTGTCACAAAACTACCTAGACAAATCTAAAATATGTGCCTCCCAGACAAACCACACATCTTGCACTTGAGAATAATTTCCTGATACAGCCATCCCATGTAACCTTAATTAACAAACCCAAATCTAATAATCTCAGCAGAAGCAAAATATTGCGATGGGAATGACCCTGAGCTGATCAGAAGGATGAGAACCCAGGTCTGCTATTAACCAGCTCCCAGACCTTCTCTCTGCCATTTGCCCTCTACGCCTCATTTTCATTGTCTGCGAAGTGTGAATTTTGAAATGATCTTATAAAGTCTCCTCCAGTTCTAATATCCTATTTGGTGCTCCTGTGCACGTCTCAGGTGAACATAGATGTGAATTGTTCCTATGCCACTTTTCTGTGTGTTTGCTTACCCTTTTTCCTTTTCCTGTCAGTTACTCTAGATGTAGCCAGCTTGAAGGTAGACACTACAGCCCATGCTGATTTTGAAACATCCTCCGCAGGACACAGCCTCAGGGAGCTCTCAGTTGATATTGCTGGCAAATGGCAAACTATCTCTTTCCATCTCTAGCAAACTCAGGAACCCCACATTTATTCCTGCTAAGCATTTTCTCTGTGTTGCCTTATAGCTGATCCCACTATAGTCTAGTGGGTCTATGTTACAGACCCATCATGAGGTGAGAGACTCAGAGTTGTCCTGCCACCATTTTCAGAAAAAAAAGCTGCAATCCCACTGACAGACCTGCCTTTAAGAAGAGAGAGAGATGTGCTGAGCCCCATCTCAGAAGAGCAGCTCACTCCTCATTGGCAGAACTGGTTGTTGGTAATATCACTAATGTCAAAAGTAGTGGCCATATGTAGAATCACAGCATATCTGTATTGGAAGTGCTCACATAGTCCCTTTTCCCCTTAGGAGGAAACCGAGGCCCTGAGGTGGAAGTGACATGCTTAAGTTCATCTATTTATCCCTTCCTCGACTTTCCATTACTCTAGGAGTTTGAATGCAAGTACAGAGAGAAAATGTGGAAGCGTCAGACACTGCAGACAAGGACAGCTATTTGAAGAGCCTTACTCCGGCCTATCTTTGTTAGGATGCTGAGGCATTATATTACAAGGTTGACAGCACAGAAAAATTATCAGACACAAACTGAGTGAATTTTGATGGGACAAGTGCCATGAAGAACATCAGGGAAAACTGCCCAAATGTAATATGCTATAGAAATATTATACACAATAGAATATTCTCACTGGTTATATGCAGATATAGCAGAGAAATATTACAGTCTCAAGGGTCTAGAAGCTGAACATGAGTCAGCAGCACTGCGATATTGTTTAATACAGCAGAAATGGGATTCGGAAGCAGACAGGGATGGAACATTCTACTCAGCACATTTGAGTGCTCTCGCTCTTTTTTATTATTCTCTAATTGTATCTTTTGTGTAAGTCTTGTCTCCCCAATGAGATTAAAGACTCCCGAAGGACACAGGCCTTGATTCGTCCTTTGTATCTTTTTACCACCAACAAGAAAATATATGTTAGAGAAAGAGAGAGAACTTGGAATCTAAGAGGAGGCCGACGGTGTTTTGAAATTCTATAATTTCAGAGGGAATTTGCTTAAAAGATATGAGCAAAGAGAAATGAAACTAAAATTAAGAGGTGTCTTGATGTCAGCCTAGAAAAGAGATGACTGAAAGAACACACAATGACAGTAATGGCTACCATTTATTGAGTGCCTGTTAAGCTACAGTCAATGAATATCCATTATCTCTAATTTTTACAATGACCCTGCAGGGTAGCTTTTAGTAGCCCCATGTCACAGTCAAGAAAACTAAGAGAACTTAAATAATGCTGCTCATGATTATAAAACTACCAAGTGACCGAGCTAGAGTTAGGGCCAGGGCCGCCTGGTTGTGAACTCCAAGTCCTTTCCATGGGCCCATTTGCCATCCTGAGAACAGAGAACAGGTTCTATCTCTGTTGGAGCCAAGAAATAGACCTTACATAGCAAGAGGAACTTCAGGCCTATGGGAGAAATAGCTTTCAAGCCAGGAGGATGGTCACTGAGAGCTCCATATCTCAGCCTCGCAGCTGTGGAGGCTGACATGTGGGCATATGGAGTCCAGTGCAGAGGGATCTACAGGACCTTCTGGGGCTCAGGCAACTCTTCCTGAAGTCCTAGCGTCATAGGAACATGCAAACCCTAGCTGCCCTGGAGGTGGTCCAGTTCTGTTTCTATTTGTGTCCTTTCCATGTCACTTTGGCTGACTCATCCTCCTCCTCTCCACAAGGGAGCTCAATCACTGTCCTTGTCATAATGAAACAAGAGATCTTAAAACAAGCTTTCCTCACTAGAAGTTGCAGGAAAAAGATCCCTGTTACAGCAAAAAAAAGAGTAAAAAGAGACTGAACAAAATGTTAAGTATTGAATTTAGAGGGTTTGGTTTTTTAATGTCCCCTTAGACTTCTCTGATTTTTCCACAGTCTCAAAATCAAAATGCTCGTCTTTCAAACTAGGCAAAATATTACATATATTTAAAATAATGTAAAAATTTAGGAATAAAATACCTACACAAGTTTTAAGGAAAATACTGAAAGTTATTATGTTCAATTACAACCTTTTCTGGTACTTCCCACTGGTGAATAATCTTATGTTTTCATTCTACTCTTGTGATCTGAAACATGTTCCTCCCATGCCATAAATTAAAACGAATGAGCAAACATATAAAGGCATTTTTTTAAATGTCAACAAAGTGCACATGCTATAAAGTTGACTAACATCAATAGCATTTGAAATAAACAGTTAACAAACTGGTGGTCACAGAGATAACATGTCAGGCAAAGGTGATTCCTCCCCCAAGGAATTTGAGCCAGGCTAGCCAGAAACCTCAGCACACTCAGGAAAGCAGTCTGGGGTTCTATTTGACTGTGATGCTGGGAACTCCCAGGGCAGAAATATCCCACTCTATACTGTCAGTGCTAGGCAGAGAGCAACTCTCCAGGCAACGCAAGATGCATTGACAGCCAAATGGGGACGTTTAGACTTCTTTCATTTCTCTCACTTTGCAGGTATTCATAGCCGGTCTCAAAAGGATCTTTTCAAATAGAAGCACCTTCTCATTCCACTATACCAAAATATCCTGGAAGATGTTTTCGAGAAAGGAAATAGGTGCTCCTCAGAGCCAGCAGACCTGAGGGGAGAGTGATAAATAACTCATTGGTTGGTTCTCCTAGACAGAGATCATAGGTCATAAATTCATAGAGAATTGTCACTGAACAGGATCTTAGACCAGAAATTCTCAAATGTGAATGTTATAGGAATCATCTGCGGATCTTCCAATGCAGATTCTGACTCGGTACCTTGGAGATGAGACCTGAGATGCTGTGTTCTATCACGCCTCCAGTTCATGTTGATGCTGCTAGTCTAAGGACCACATTTTGAGTATGCTCAACTTTACTTATAATAGGAGAACTGCAATTAAAACCATAAGGCTAAATGCCATTTTTCACCATTTTGTCACCACCATATACACTTCACCAATGTATAAGACACTTACAACTGTTGATAAAAATATGGATTAACTGGATCCCACATACACTGCTGATGAAAATATAAAATGTTGCAGTCACTTTGTACAATACTTTGGCAGTTTCTTAAAATGTTAAAATATAAATTGAGTTATCCCTATGTCCTCATTTCTAGAATAACTGACGTAGACCTTTCCCTGGAATAAATACGATTCAGCCAGATATTTTCTATGAGGTTAACTAGAAGTAGCTGTGGTATAATGAAAAGAGGCCTTATTTTGTCAGAAGTCCTAGATATGACTCATAGTTAATCTTTCTGAGTCTCTCTGAGCGTCAGTTTCCTCTTCTGTAAAAAGAGGTCAATAAAACATACCTGACAGAGTTTTGGGGAGATTCAATGTAATTATAGACTGTAAATTGCAGGAACCCAAACAAGTGAAAGTTATTTTGTATCCCGAGATTTACTGAGTGGTGATTCAGTGTACCTGGAAGCCCTGGAGGGGAGGAGGCAAAAGTGGAAAGTATGATACACAATATGGTTTTTACAGTCTGGTCAGGGAGATGAAGCAAGTACAGGCAGAAGGCCCTAAGGCTTTTGCTATTTTAAAAGAATATGGTGTGAACTAGTTATTTAATTACTAAAGAGATTCAAAGAAACAACTTGTTGGAGTTGAATGGAAATAACCTGTGTGAAAACTGGCAGGAAGTTAGTATTGAGCTGGGGCATGAAAGAAATGGGGAGGAGGGGTGGATTGATAGAGAGATGAACAAATTGCTTAAGCAATCTAAGTTATTCTCTCTCTCATCTGTAAAATTGAAATTAAAATAAAACTTCACAGGGCTCTTTTGAGGATTAAATGAGATGATATATTTACAAGTTTAGCACAGTATCTTAACACACACTAAGTACTCGCTGCTTGAATTTTTTAATCTTTACTTTTTTTTATTGGAATGGTTGATATAAATCCATGATTCAAAAAGCCAAACCACCCAGGTGCGGTGGCCCAAGCCTGTAATTTCAGCACTTTGGGAGCCCAAGGCAGGTGGATCACCTGATGTCAGGAGTTCAAGACCAGCCTGGCCAACATGGTGAAACCCTGCCTCTAGTAAAAATACAAAAAATTACCTGGGCATGGTGGCACATTCCTGTAATCCCAGCTACTCAGGAGCCTGATTCAGGAGCGCCTGTAATTCTAGCACTTTGGTGGGTCGAGGCAGGCAGACCACTTGAGGTCAGGAGTTCGAGACCAGCCTGATCGACATGGTAAAACCCCGTCTCTACTAAAAATACAAAAATTAGGCAGGGCGCAGTGGCTCATGCCTGTAATCCCAGCACTTTGGGAGTCCAAGGTGGGCAGATCACCTGAGGTCAGCAGTTCAAGACCAACCTGGCCAACATGGCGAAACCCTGTTTCTACTAAAAATACAAAAAAAATTAACCGGGTGTGGTGGCAGGCACCTGTAAACCCAGATACTCGGGAGGCTGAGGCAGGGGAATTGCTTGAACCTGGGAGGTGGAGCTTGCAGTGAGCTGAGATTGCACCACTGCACTCCAGCCTGGGCAACAGGGCAAGACTGGGCAACAGAGTAGTAAATGCAGTCAATGAATATCCATCATCTCTAATTTTACAATGACCCTGCAGGGTAGTTTTTAGTAGCCCCATGTCACAGTCAAGAAAACTAAGAGAACTTAAATAATGCTGCTTATGATTATAAAACTACCAAGAGTTAGGGCCAGGTCAAAAAAAAAAAAAAAACCACCAAAGTAATAAAGTACATATTAACAAGTCTTGCTCTCATCTCTTTTCCCTTCTAGCAGATTCTTCCTTTCTGAACAGGTAATTACTCTTAGCAATTTATGTAACTTTTCATTGATTCTTTATGCAGATACAGGCAAATACAATATAAATATTCTTATTACTCCGTTTGTTACACAAAGGTAAGGTACTATACACACTGTTCTGCACTTGAGTTTTTAACTTTTTTCTCTTTGTAAAACTAACTAGAGAAACTTTTCTCTGTGTGTTTTTAAAGCTGAATAGTATTCTAATGTATGTTTGCACCACAGTTTATTTATCCAGCCCCCTACTCATGGACCCTTGGATTTCTTACTATTGTAAATTGCAATAAATAACTTTTGCAAACCTGCCATTTTGTATGTGTGCACTTAAGTCAATTGGTTACAAACCTCAGCATCACACAATATATCCAGGTAACAAACCTGTGCATGTACGCTCTAAATCTAAAACAAAAACTGAAATTATAAATGAATTATTGCTAAAGAAATAAAATAAATAAAAAAGTTGGAAAAACATCAAAATTATTAAAAGTAAGAAAAAAGAAAACATAAAGTAGCAATCAAGAGATTCTGCTAACTTCAGTGGGTTGGAAAAACCAACATACATGAGCTCAGGGCTACCCAGGAAGCTGCTAATTAAGGAAAAATAAAAATACTTCAAGATCAACAAATAAAATCTATGCATTAAATTCTCAGAAATGGGATAAATGTATTTGTAATTTTAACAAATATTATCAGATTTACCTCCATGGAATTGGAGCTTGTACCATTTTCTTCCCCACAGCCTTGCCAAGAGAGTGTACTGTCAAACATTGGATTTTGATACCACCTTCACCAATGATTCTACTAAATTCCTTTGTTAATCAATTCTATTTCTGAACTTTCTAGCCTGTGTTACTGTCTGTTTGCCTATTCAGGAATCATTATCTCTCTCTTCTACTTATTGAGATTGTGTAATATGCCTTATTACCTAGAGAGACTAATCCTTCTGCACTGCTCTCATTTTCAGAATTTTTCTTGCTATTCTTGTGTAAGCATTTTTCCATATGAATTTTAGAATCAACTTGTCCAATTCCAGAGAAAGAAGGAGGGGGGTATTTGTTTTTACTTTTATTAGGATTGAATTAAATTTGTAAATTAAAAAGAATTGACCTCTTTGTGATTTCTAGTCTTCCAGTTTTAGAACATGATATGTCTTTCCATCTATGTTGTTTGTGTCATTATTAAGCACATCTCATAGTGAGTAATTGACAGGTAAAAAGGCACGGAGACAAAGACTAACAAGTTATGACGGCAAAGAGCAAACAGATTAATCTGTTCAAAAGTCAAGGAGCCATATCTCTAAATTCTGGCAAAGTGGTAAGATGCAGGATTAAGTCAGAAAGGAAAAAGTGGGAGGAAAAACAGTCATTATTTGGGCTTAGTGATTTAAATTGATTATCTCATTGAATCCTCATTTCAAAGATCATAACAATATAATAATAAAAAAGACCTATCTGTTAGGATTATTTTACTCATAAATGCAAAGCACTTAGCATAGTATGTTCCACGTAGAAAGAACTCAACAAATGTTAGAGATTATAATGCTGATGAGGATGAAAAAGGAGGAGAAATAAAGGTTCTGAATTATGAAATAATATGCCAAACATCTTATAGATCCATAATTCAAACTCAGGTCAGCCAGTTTCTAAAGCCCAAGCTCTTTGCACTGTACTATTCTGCCTCTAGGGAAGTTCATTTAACTCAGTTTAATAAGTGTTTATTACATGTCTGCTATGAACAATTTGAGTATTGTGTTCCATTCCAAAAGTCACACTAGTGAAGGCTTATTAATTTATAAATAATAGAGGCAAATTCAACCTATATAAGTATAAAAAGTGTAAAGGAAGTATTTATCAGCTAATTATGGAAAAGGCTAGAGTAAGGTTGTCCTCAGGGATCTCTAGGTTCAGGGAGTGGAATACTGTCGGGTTCCTTTCTTTCTTGTATCTCTCCCTTCCCTCTGTTTCTAGCTGTTGGTTCTCTTGCTACACCGGCTCTCATCTCTGCCTCCCTGCACTTTGTGCTTTCAGGCTGACTGTCCCAGTGAGTCCAGGCTCACATCATTGCTCCAGGCTCACATCCTCACATCAAACTTTGCTGTCCAGCTCCTGGGGAGTTTTCTAACTCCCCAGAAAAGTTATCTCATCAGCTGAGCTGGCTTGGGCCACATTCTTAGCACTGTGGCCAGAGGGCTGGGGTATAGTGATTGGCAGCTTTGCCCGCTTTGGAATCACATGGTTGGAGAGGGGAAAGAGGAGTGGTCCAATTAAGATGTGGGACTGATACCAAGAATGTTAGAGTTTTAGGCAGAGAGAAGAACGAATGACAATGAACAAAAGTGAATTATAGTATAGCCATTCAATGTGCCATCATGCAGCCATTGAAAAATATGCTTTAATTTTAATATGACATGATAACATGGGAGCATACTGTACCATGAGAGTAGATTAAGAAAAGCAGAATAGGCTGGGCCCAATGGCTCATGCCTCTAATCCCAGCACTTTGGGAGGCTGAGGCAGGCAGATCACCTGAGGTCTGGAGTTTGAGACCAGCCTCGCCAACATGGTGAAACCCCGTCTCTACCAAAAAAATAATACAAAAAATTTAGCCAGGAGTGTAGGTAGGCACCTATAATCCCAGCTACTCAGGAGATTGAGGCAAAAGAATTGCTTGAACCCAGGAGGCGGAGTTTGCAGTGAGTTGAGAGATCATGCCACTGTACTCCAGCCTGGGCGACAGAGTGAGATTCCATCTTAAAAAAAAAAAAAAAAATAGAAAGAAAAGAAAAGCAGAAAAGCCAACTGTATAAACATGGCTATGTAAAAGCTAGAAACAAAAGCTTGGGCATGGTGTGGTGGAGGAGGGGGAGGAAGACTTAAAAAAAACAACCAACCAACCAAATGAGAATATTGTTTATCTTTGGGTAGTACAACAGTCATTTTTCTCCCTCCTGCTTTCTTTGTTGTATTATTGTTTCTGTTGTCATAGTTTATACTTGGCTCCCAAACTTTTCTTTTTAAATTATTTATTTTTATCAAGGCAATGCATGTGATTAAAAGTAATTCCCTCACCCCCAGCACCAGCACATGTAAGTCCCACTGTCCAGATCAGTCACTTTGAACTCTCACGCTGTTTCTTCTAGGGAGTATTTTTAAATCATATACTTATATTGCTATGTCTTCAGTTATAGAGTTTAGACAGTATCTCGTCAATTCTTTTCCTGGTAATTGAGATTTAGTTTTTTGGTTTTTTTGGTTGTGTTTTGTTTTGTTTTTGAGATGAAGTCTTGCTCTGTCACCAGGCTGGAGTGCCGTGGCACAATCTTGGCTCACTGCAACCTCCGTCTCCTTGGTTCAAGCAATTCTCCAACCTCAGCCTCTTGAGTAGCTGGGACTGCAGGCCCCCGCCACCATAGCCAGCTAATTTTTATATTTTTAGTAGAGACAGGGTTTTACCATGTTGGCCAGGATGGTCTGGATCTGTTGACCTTATGATCCGCCTGCCTTGGCCTCCCAAAGTGTTGGGATTACAGGCATGAGCCAATGTGCCCGGCCAAAGATTTAGTTTTTAAAATCATCCAAACACACATATATACCCATTTCTTCTACCCATTTTCCATAACAATTATGCTAAAATTTTTATCTAAATAAGTAGAGAGAGATTATACGATGATGATGATATATATACAATTTACTGATGAGCGAGCAGTGACCTTTCTTCCTTTACTGACTTCTTTCTCTGAAAAGCATCCCAAAGTAGCTCCTTAAAGGATGTGTGAAGATAAATATTTAGAGTTGTTTTATATATATAAATATCTTCTACCTTCAATCTTGATAATAGTTTGACAAAATACAGAATTCTTGATTGAAAGCTACTGAAGGGCTTTCTTCCAATGTTTTCCAGAATCCAATATTACTATTGAGAAGTCTAGTGCCATCTTTAACTTTGAAACCCCATGTTTTTCCTCTCTTCAGAAGCTTCTCTTTATCTCTAGTGGTATAACATTTCAAAGTTATGTCTCTTTTCTCCTCCATTCATTATATCGCACTTGATGGGCCCATTCAAACTGGAGATGCATGCCTTTCAATTTTGGGAAATTTCTGCCTTCCTTGGATAATTTCCTTTCATTTTCTTGGCTTTCTCCTCTGGCAATCCTGTTATGATGATATCAGACATTTGGTATTGATCTTATAATATTACAACTTTTTTCTGCTATTGCCCATTTCTTTAATGTTTTATAATTCTTCCTTTTTTGTGGGGTGAAGGGTGGATTGCGTGGTGGGAAGTTCTTGCTGGGTTGCTGAGGTTGATCTTGAACTACCGGCCTCAAGTGATTCTTCCACCTCAGCCTCTGGAGTAGCTGGGATTACAGGCACGATCCACCATGCCCAGCTCATGTTTTATAATTTTTTTTTTCTGGGATATTTCCAAGGGTCCTTCACTGAGTTAATTTTTAATTTTTTTAATAATATTTTTAATTTCTAGGAGTTCTTACTGCTTTTCTGTTCTTTTATCATAGCATCCTGCACTTGGCTTGTGATTAAGGCATCTTTTTTACCTTTGAGAAGATATATTGTAATTTTGTTGGTTTGTTTAGATTTTTCTGTTCCCTGGAGAAGTATTTGTATTCTCTAGGAGAGTTTATTTTTCCTTTTTTTTTCTTACTTGTTTTCTTGTTATCTCTTTTATATTTAAAGTTTTTACAAATACCTAAAGCTTACCTCACATAAAGAATGATCGTTTATTTTATGTTCATAATTTTGTGGTAGAGGTGATTTTCAACTGTTGAGATTCAGAATAGGGTGAACAAGAAGTAAGGCAGGCTTGTCAATGGATGCCCCCAAATGTCAGTATTGGAGGTCTTTTCTCCAGAAAATAATTATTCAATTTCCAGCCTGGGACAGAGGGAAAAAGAGGATAATTCTGCAGGGCTCAACCTACTGTGGGGAGGAGGAAGAATAGGTGCTGAGAATCTTATGATTCAATACATAGACCGACTCCTCCCCTTTTTAGCACCCTTTCCTTAGGAACTCCTATTTCTGGGGGAAGAGGCAGATTGGGAGGAGACTTGTAGTCACTTGGCTGTGCAGGGTAGGTAAGAGAGTCTGGGGGAAGTCTCACCTCTCTACAAAACGTCTTTCAGTCATTCCTCCTCTCCAGCACTCCAGCCTTGCCTTTATTGCTTTGGGCCACCTTGAGATATTTGCTAGGTGAATTGGTCTCCTTTCCATCAGGATATTCGCTAAAGGCAGTTGAGTAAAACTTCTCCACTCTGCTTGGTCATGAGCCCTCCTTCATCTCTTCATCTGCTTTCCAATTCTGAAAACTTGTTGATTTCTATTATTTTTGTCTTTTTCCAGGTTCACGCTTTTTTTTTTTTTTTTTTTTTTTTTTGCTCTGTCGCCCATGCTGGAGTGCCCTGGCATGATCTTGGCTCACTGCAAGCTCCAACTCCTGGATTGACGCCATTCTCCTGCCTCAGCCTCCGGAGCAGCTGGGACCACAGGCGCCCGCCACCACGTCCGGCTAGTTTTTTGTATTTTTAGTAGAGACAGGGTTTCACCGTGTTAGCCAGGATGGTCTCGATCTCCTGACCTCGTGATCTGCCCTCTTCAGTCTCCCAAAGTGCTGGGATTACAGGCGTGAGCCACCATGCCCGGCAAGTTCACGCTTTTTAAAAAGCATTCCGCAATCATTTTGGTAGACTTTCCAGGGATGATTAAAACAAATGCAGTTGACCCACCATGCATAATTTGAAGCTTCGTGTCCTATCTTTGTGTTCAAATTTTTAAAATAAGTACATGCTGTGTTTATAAAGGGGGAAATACAGTACACTTTAATTTTTTTAAGTTTATAATTAAACATTGATAAGAAAAAAGGAAAAACTAAAAACTAGATAGAAAATGGACAAAAGAGTTGACATGAGGTTTACATACAAAAAGTTTACACATGGCCCTTAAACATAAATTTATGCTCAACTTTACTCCTAATAGAATTGCAATTAAAACTATATCTAGATGCCATTTTTCACAGTTTTCTCACCATATACATTTCAATAACATATGAGGACAACAACTGTTGACAAGGATGTGGATTAACTGGAACCCACATACATTGCTGGTGGAAATGTAAAATACTGCAGTCACTTTGTAAAATATTTTGGCAGTTTCTTAAAATGTTAAACAAAAATTTGCCACATACCCAACAATTCCACTTCCTGGAATCTCCGAGAGAAATAAAATATATGTCTACACAAAGACTTATATGTGAAAGTTTGTAACAACATTATTCACATTAGGCAAAAGGAGAAACAACCTAGTATCTATCATCTGACGAATGGATAAACAAAATGTAATATATTCATGCAATGGAATAGTAGTCAGCAATAAAAAGGAACAAACTGCTGATAAATGCTACAACATGGATGAACTTCAAAAACATTATGTTATGTGATAGAAGTATAATAAATAAACTACACAATAAACCACATGTGTATGATTTCATTTACATAAAATTTCCAGAAAAGTGAAATCTATAGAGATAAAAAGTAGATTAGTGATTGCCTGAGGCTGGCAGTGAAAATGGAAAATGACCATACATGGGCACTTCGTTTCTTTTTTGGGGTGACAGAAATATTCTAAAATTAAATTATTGTGTGAGTTGCACAATGCTGTAAATTTACTTTAGGTAATTAAATTGTGCAGTTAAAACAAGTGAATTTGGGGTATGTAAATTAGACCTCAATAAAGCTATGAAAGAAAGGAAAGTGAGGAAAGAGGGAAAGAAGGAAGGAAAGAAGGAAGGAAGGAAGGAAGGAAAGAAGGGAGGGAGGGAGGGAAAGAGAGAAGGTAGGAAAGAGAGGAAGAGAATGAGAAAGAAAGGGAGTGAAGGAGGAAAGGAGGGCAGGAGGGAGGGAGGGGAAAAGCTCTTGTATTTGGCATGAAT
This sequence comes from Homo sapiens, assembly GCF_000001405.40. Classification (NCBI taxonomy): domain Eukaryota; kingdom Metazoa; phylum Chordata; class Mammalia; order Primates; family Hominidae; genus Homo; species Homo sapiens. Next base: position 166,369,584 of record NC_000001.11, on the reverse strand, counting down.
TTTTTGACCAGAAAAGTCACCATGCATCTGAAGTTTCTGGTTGAGAGGAGAAAAAGAATTAAATAGAAAAATTTAAAGTGGGATATATGCAAATTCTAAGGCTTCAAAGAGGGGAGAGACTTGGTTTTCTAAGTTTTAGTTACTAGGAAATGAATTTATTTAAAATAAAATATAATACAAAATAATGTTTGGTTAAATTATAGTAACATAGAATATACATACTTCAGATTAAGCTAGTCTTAGTGTGAGTCAAATAACAAACAACAGGAATTATTGTGATGGCAAATAAAAGACCTAAATGGTGCAAGAGGTATCATTTTTATTCATCTTGAAATTGATCACACAGTAACTCCCAGGGAAGTAAATAAAATTTTAGATCTGATTCTTGCAATCTATATATGTTGAAGGTACCATGTCATCAGAGTTGATTTGACCTGGCCTCCCCTCTTTGGGGGAGAGGTTTTGAGGAAAATGTTAAGCCAACTTTGTCTTGAAATATTATAACTGCAAAAATACAGAAAATTCTTTGAAAATCTAAGGGGTAGAAAATCTTCTTGAAAGAACAGACTCTGCTGAAAACTTGACAGATCCTTTGGTGCAATGATTGCACTCTAATACTTATCTCTGCACAACCAGAAGAAATTATTCTATTGGTAACTTCCCACCTATTTCATGACTGGCTGACGTAATGACAGATCCTGGTTAGGGATTATTTCACCATCCAATTTCACTGTTCCATTAAAACCAGAATATTCTTTTTTAACTTCTCAAATCCATCAAATGGCAACAGTAGTTACAAGTATGTGATCTAGTGTCTAACGACTGGGTTCACGTCCAGCTGTATTCCTTATTAGCTGCAGGACCACCGGGAAACTGCTAACCTGTCAGGGTCTTCACCTGTAACATAGAGATGGTGACAATAGAACCTCCGGGGTGTTTGTGAGAGTTAAATGAGATGGTGTGCATGAAGTGTGGAGACAGGCACCTTGTACCTAGTGGGGATTCAATAATGTAGGCTAGTGTTTCTTCCAGAAGTAAAACTTTAATGATGTTTACTACTTATTATTCACTGCTATGTAACAGGCATTCTGCTAAGCACACATCATGTCATTTAATCTTCATAATAACTCATCAAAGTAGGTTTTAATCCCCACTTTTAGATGAGGAAACTGAGTGCAAAAGAAGTTAAGTGACTCACCATAGCTCACAGACTTAGAGATGGGATCTGACCCCAGGTCTGTCTTACACCAAGTTCTAGCTACCTCTTAAAGAGATAAAAATTAAACCAATACCACCGCTCTGACTGGCCACAGCTGATCTTGTGGAACCCTAGTACAAGAATGTAATTCAATCACGTGACATATTTTGTGAAGGTCCTTTTGTGAGTAAAGCACTAAAAGATGCAGTGATGGACTGACATGGACCCATGACCTCAATCCTGGAGTATCCAAGGGGGTTACAGGAAACAGACATGTAAACATATTGTGTTTGGATGAAGCAGAACAGAAAACGTGCTAAACAGAAGTACAAGACAGGGCTGTGGGAGCATGTAGGAGGAAGCAATTAATTCTGGTAGAGTGATAAGGGCAGGCCTCAGGGAGAAGCTGAAAATGAGCTGAGCCTTGAAGGTTGCATAGATTTTGATTAGTGGAGGAAGAAATGGGTATTCTGGGCCTAACAAAAGTGAGGAGGAGTGAACATCACATGTGTTTGGGGACCAGGCAGGTGATCAGTGAAGGAGGCTACAGAATATACTGACGGATGCATTGGAAATGAGACTGGAAAACTGGCAAGGGGTAAGGGCAGCTCAGGAGGCCCCTGAATGCCTGTTTAAAAGATTGAACTATATTAGAAGGTCAACAAGGAGTCATCAAAAGTTTTATGAAGACAACTCTAGCACTGCCTTAAAGATGAGTTGGTAAAGCAGATTGATGAAAACTGGAGGCAGAAGAAACAAAGGCAGAGAAGGGCTTCAAAAAACAGTCCATCTCATTTTTCCAGATAACTCTGTTGTAAACAATCCCCCAAACACAGACACCTGTGTGCATTTATTTTAAAAGTATACTTTTCATAACTTCCTCAAAGGTAAGGTGCTGGGGATGAGAAAGTGGAAATTAGAGAAGACCACTATAATCCTAATTCCCTCTAAATGTCTACAGAGCAGTGATTTTCACAATGTATTGCAGAGTGCTGTTTTTGCACAGAGGTAGTTGGGAATAGGGACGTAAAGACAAAGACAGAGAAAGGGCATCTCTGAGTTTCCCACCCTTTCAACCAGAGCAGCAGCCTGTAATAGAATGTCTTCATAGGGTTTTGCCTCTTGTTCACCACTGTGCCCTCAACATGACACAGTGTTGGGGACAATAGGTATCAATATTTGTTAAATGAGTGAATGGATGAATGGAATCACTTTTGAGATTTTATTTGGAAAAAAATTCATAGAAATAAGTAGAAGGAGGAGGAGGAGAAAGTGAAGAAGGTTTGCAATACTTCTTCTGAGTGAAAATATTTGCCAACTCTCTGGGAATCTCATAATAGTATTTAACGAACTCAAGAGGAAGTTCTTTCTTATATCTGACCTCAACATTTTATTCAGTGGTATAAGCCCCTTTTCTTTCTCTTGCCTCGGTGAAGATGAAGGAGGATTCATCACAATAATCATTTACTTATTGGAGGCAAAAATTAAAAGTTTTGTTTTTGCCTATATTAACCACTGTTTACCAGAGCATGCATTGTATGTCATGAGCACAATGGTGTTCTCTGGGAGAAGATGCTGGTGCAGTTGCTGGGTGATGGGTGTCCGTGCCCATGAGAACAACCCAATTAGGAAATCAAGGCAATATAGTATATTGGAAAGAGTGCAGCCTAGGGAGTTGGCAAGACTGGCAGCCCAAATCAATCCATTTATAGATTGCTTGACCTTGGGTAAGTTACCTAACTTTTCTAAACCTCAGCTTCCTCCTATCAAATGAGAATATTAAATAATGCCCAGCCAGTATAATTGTTTTGGGAAGTACAGCTAAGGTATATCGAACAGCTAGCACAGTTCCCAACACATAGTAGTGCTTAATAAATGTTGACCATTGTTTTAATGGACAATGACACAATATACCAGAATGGATCTATCATTTCCTATAAAAGTTCATTTAAAATATTAGTAAAACTTTTCTTGAAACATAACAAGTGGTTTAAAACTGGGACAATTGCCTACACACACACACACACACACACACACACACACACACACACACACAGAGAGAGAGAGAGAGAGAGAGAGAGAGAGGGAGGGAGAGAGAGATTTGTAAACTCAAAATTTAAAAGAAATTTCAGTTGTCTTAGAATACTTAAGAATCTGAATTTGGCCGTGCCTAAGACTACCTAGAATTCAGCGATGAAGAATGAAAATGGAGATCCTAGGGCAAGGTCACTTCCTAATTTTAGCCTGTGGAGGTACATGAAAGTGGCAGCCTCAGTACTCCTAAGAGGGATTCATGCTTAACAGGGCGGCCCAATAAGGCTGACATCATGGTAATTATGTATTCATCCATTCATTTAATATTTGCTTTATGCTTATTTGATTAACTGAGTTGTCTCAAAGAGTGAGAGTCCTCCAGAGACAAGAAGGGCTAACAACCAAAGGAGCTCTTACTGGCTCAAAGAAAATAGAAAAAGTGGCTGGGTGCGGTGGCTCATGCCTGTAATCCCAGCACTTTGGGAGGCCGAGGCAGGTGGATCACGAAGTCAGGAGATTGAGACCATCCTGGCTAACACGGTGAAACCCTGTCTCTACTAAAAATATAAAAAAATTAGCCGGGCGTGGTGGTGGCTGCCTGTAGTCCCAGCTACTTGGGAGGCTGAGGCAGGAGAATGGAGTGAACCCGGGAGGCAGAGCTTGCAGTGAGTCAAGATCGTGCCACTGCACTCCAGCCTGGGTGACAGAGCGAGAGTCTGTCTCAAAAAAATTAAAAATATTTTTAAAAAAATAGAAAATGTATATGACTGAAAACAATATAAACCAGTCAGTATTCTAGACAGAATTGCTAACCTCTAGCAGTACCCTTTTCCATTCCTATTGCTATGTGGCACTCTGTGGTAGTTTGAATTAGTGGCTCCAATTCTTTCTCCCTCCCTGCATCCACTGCCACTTTTCAGTGTCCTCCCAATCAGACATGAGGCTCGCAGAATCTTGAAAAGCACTCGCAAGATAAGGCTTCCTCTCTCCTAGGCCAAGAGAAGAGCCTGCTCAAACTCGTCCCAGACCAGCCAGCTGGTCACAGGAAGATGGCAGACATATGGCAGAGCAGAGTTGGCCCCAGCTAATCTCTAGACATGTGAGACCAACCAGAACCGGCATAGTCATCCAGCCAAGTGCAGCCTAGATCAGCCAACATGCAGACTTATGAGAATAAATGACTGTTGTTCTAAGCTAAATTTGGGGGCAATTTGTTACATGCTATGTTCATGGCAATAACTAACATGCATACACTTCATTTGCCACAATTATTTTACTTAGGGAAACTATAACATGCAGAAAAATCTGAAATTTATTCAAATTAAAGTTTAAAACATGTCTGCTAAAGCTGAAAAAATGAGAGAATGTTAGGAAGGAGTAAGCTGCATAAAATCGTCTCCTCGAAGGAAAACTCACCTAGAATCGTGATATATAAAATTGATAAAAAGCCAGTAATCTGCTTGAAGATGAGATGTCCTCCCCAGGCCTCTAAGGCACATTTTCCAAAATGCTAGAGCGACATGAGAACAGTCATAAAAGTATAATCTTAAGTGAGAAATTTATTTTAGAATGTAATGCTCTAAGAATCATCTACTTTCATTGGGCTATGCAGAATGAGGCTTAAGATGATCTTTAGATCTGAATCTCCTGGACATGCATATAAGCAAGATTGCCAGGAGATATATAGCCTGGTGTTTTCTGGCTCTCAAGAGACCTTACATAGTTTACATAGTTATGGGTTATTAATTAAAACAGAGTAGATGAGTTCATATGTGGTTATAAGTTACAAATTCAGTTTTCAATTTAACTTATTTATAATTAAGTGATAAGTGAACAAATACAATTTCCTATAATAAACATGTTTTATAATAACCTGTAACAAATCTCATGGTTAAAAGTTACATCTCTAGTGGTTAAAAAAACAAAAGAAAAATTGTGGATAAAACTTGGTACTTGCTCTGCCTTTAACTCTTTCTCTTTCTTTTCATCTTTCCCCTCCCTTCCCCCATAATTTAGTACTGATTCTCTGGGTGACATTAAATGGAACAGAGCAAGGTAGGCATCCATGCTGGAGGGGCATCTGGGGTGGGCTTCAGGGTCCCAAGCAGGGTGTTCTTGCAGGCAAGTGGACCAGCGTGAGGTGTTGAGGGCCAAGAAGGGTGAGAAAGACATTCAAGTATGGGGACAGCCTGACATGAGGTATCAGAGGCCAAAAAGAATGAGGAGGGCACCTATGTATAAGCATAGCCTGGCATGCAAGTTCAGAGCCCAAGAATAGTGACAAGGGCATCCACACCTGGAGGAGTTTTGGTATAGATTGTCAGGAGGTAACCTGGTGTGAGAGGTCAGAGTCAAGAACATTGATAAAGGTGTCCAGGTAGAGGGGCATGGCATAGGGAATCAGAGCCCAGGTGGGGTGAGGAGGTCATCTCCAAGAACAGAAAAAGGACAGTTATTGTGAGGAGTCAGGATCCAAGGGGTAAAGGGGTTGACCCTGAGGAGGGATGGCCTGCCCTGATGAGTAATGCAGGGTGAGGAAGGTGTCCATGTGATGGGGGGGAGTAGCCAGCTGGGGGATGAGAGCCCTAATTCAGTGTTCTTCAGGATGACCTCCCAGAAGAGAGGCATCTGGTAGGGTGGGTCAGTTTCCAAAAAGAATAAGGAAGGCACTCATGCTTGGGGCATTGGGAGTCAGCAAAAGCAAGATGATGTCAGAATCCATGGAGCGGGTAGACTAGCATGAGGTGTCCTGGCCCAAAATGGGTGAGGAGGGTGTTCAGCTCTGGGAGAGGTGGCCAGGGTAAGGAGGCAGAACCCACGAAGCAAGGTGAGGATAAGGGCAACCCAACGTGGGAAGTCACACCTAAGCAGGATGAGAAAGGCTTCCATGCAGAGGTGGAAAGAGTCAGATCTGAAGTAGGCTGAGGAGGGCATCCACATATGGGGGTAGACCAGTATGACAGTTCCAATCCAGCAGGGTACAGAGAGTTCCAAATAGGGGGTAGTCTGGCAAGAGTTTCAGAACCCAAGTTGGGGTGAAGAGGACATCCTTGCAAGAAAAGGGGTGGTGGCAGAGATGGAAAACTGATTTAAGGAGGGGTGTTGATCAAATAAGTAGATATATTAGAGATAATGAGAGCCAGATCTTCACTGTTGAAGAAGAAAATTACAAATACCAGAAGGAAAAAGACCAAAATAAACTCAGTGGGTTGGATTGGACTTAGAGATACTCATGTGAACTACAGACTTTTAATATATTGTATTAGTTATATAAATAAATATAAAAGTAAATGTGCGAATAAATGTATATATTTACATACATATATCCCCCAGCTCTGTCCTTTGAAAGGGCCTGGAAGCAGTGACACCCCAGTTGTAATAAACATACCTGGCACCCAGATCATGGCTTCTAAATCCCATTCTCAAAACTAAAAGAAACCATGGCCCCTTTGGAAAAATTACTGATTTCAGATCTGGGACAGGGAAAGTAAAAGGTGAGGCTAACACACACATTTATTGTGCCAGAAGGCAAGAAAGCGTTTCAGAATGATGGAAACATGTCAAAAGACACAGAAGTCTGCTTCAATAGATTTTCACTGGAAAAACTGAGGACAATTTGATCATCAAAATAAATAATGATAATAATGGGTTATAACTGATTGGATACCATAGGCTACCATGAACCCATAGAGAGATAAGTAAATAATTAGATAAAGTTTGATGAGAAATGGGATATTTATATAGTTTCATAATACCTCCCTACAAAATGCTTAAGTGAAAAAGGGGAAGAATAACCTCTCAGTGGAGAAGTCTGGCAGACACTACCTTAATCGAGTGATTAAAATAACTCATTAGTAATGGAACAAACAAAATTATGTGCCACTGATAATAAGATACAGGAAGAGGAGCACAGCATTGGTTCTGGGATATTCCTGCTAAAGATGCACAACCTGAATCTAAGCATGAAGAACCATCAGTCAGACCTGAATTGAGGGCCATGCTGCAAAATAACTGGCTTGTTCTCTTCAAAAACGTAAGGAGATGAAAGTAAAGAGATTAATGAACCATTCTAGACAGAAGGCTGAAAAACATGACAACCAAATGTAATGTGTGATTCTGAACTGGAGCAGTCTTTTGCTATACCTGACATTGTTGGGCAACTGGGGATCTGAGGGTTAGATGGTGACTTATCAATGTTAATTTCCCTATTTCGTTGGTCAAGTTATGATTTTATAAGAGAATACTCATTTGTAGGAAATACTCACTGGGGTAATTGGAGGTGATGGGTATTGGATTAGCAATTTTTTTCAGGTGGTTCAGGTTGGAAATGTTCTTTATTTTTGTTATAATTTGTAATCATTTCAAAATAAGAAACAGAAAAATAGAACTTTATAATTAAATATCATGGGGAATCTCCTATTCCATATCAGCAAAAGTTAAATAGAGGAGTTATAAATTTGATAACATGATTAAAGCTAAATAAGATCTTTGCCCCATTGGTTTCTGGCAAGAGTCTCTCAGTACTTTATGTTCACGGTGCTCCCACACTCACTGAGGTGTAAATATTCTCCAACCTGCTCTTCTCTATATTGCCGAGAAAGATATTAACCAACATAACACTTTAAGTTCTTAAGTACATATGTCAACAAGATTATTTTTTCTCGTCTTCTCCCTAAAATGTGAACTGTGGTTTCTTTTCATTTGATCCAAGGCTGAATCAAATATCTCAAGGCTTCTAATTTTGTCCCACGAGATGTGCCCATGAAAGGACCCATGGTAAAATGGTCTTGTGGCTGGGCTGCACCCTTAGGGATGTTCCCTGAGATTAGCTATAGGGGCTGCTGATTTGGGAAAGTCAATGTCACTCCTGAGTAAACAAGAGGGTTCAGCATCAAATCTGAAATGGGAGGCAAAGACAGGAAGAGCCATGCTGGCATCCTGGAGACTTGAGAAAGCAGCGTGGTAACGTGACACAAGGGTCAGGAGACCAGTTCCAAGCTCCACTCTCCTATGGGGGAGGTTTCACCAGCTGCCCCTTTTGCATAGAGTCCAGCATGAAATGCAGGCTGGACTGGGCTGCTTAAAGGAGCCAGATGGGGCTGACATACCTCCTGAGTTAAAAATATTTCTTTCTTTGGGACAGAAGGAACTACATAATTCACTCTAGTCCAGTTTGGTCCTAGCTTCCAGGAAGCCTGAAGTCAAACTTATGGCCAGCAAGTCCTCCAATTAGCTGACCTGAGCCCTTCTTTTACAGAAGTAGAGAAGATCCAGAAGACAATGTCCCAGAATTCCCCCAAATTCCTGCTCTCATTTCTCTGCCCATTATACTTCTTCATATCCCCCTCCTTCTTTCCTGTCACATTCTCACATCTACTTAACTCTCCCCTCATTTCCTGTATCTTCATATTTGTTCTTTAGTGGCCTCTATTCTTCTACATTTAAATTTCTCACTTTTTGCTAAATTGGGTCGATTTTTCCCCCATCTTTCCCTTACTTGACTTTTCTATATTTTCTATAATATCACCATGCTTTCTTTAAATTTTCTACCTTGGCTTTCATTTGTCTACACTCTACTGGCTTCCCTCTTTCTCCTTAAGCCATCCCTTCTCAGCAATTTTTACAGGCTCTTTACTCCATCCACTCATTAAGTATTATGCTTCCCAAAGTTATTTTCTGATCTCCTTCTCTTACTGCATCCATATTCTAGGCACACTCTGTTATCCCTAAAGTATCTACAGATGAACTCAAGTGCTCTGTGTATCCCATGAAAAAAAATGTGGGTATGTGTGTGTGTTTGTGTGTGTTTTAAACTTTTTTTCCTGATGAAAATAGCTTTCTTCATATTCTCTAAGGGACTCATGAAAACACAAAGTTAAATCTGGCATATGTTAATGCTCTGAAATCTATATACTCAGATTGTATTTCTCCCTGAACTCCAATTCATATATCTAACAATGTAAGCAGCACGGCCTAAACGAAATTATCCTCTTCCTCTCCAAACCTCTCCCAGTTTCTTTTGTCTTCTGTTGATGGCACTGCCATCAACTCAGTTATCCCAGTTTGATATCCAATCAAACTTCAGAGTCCAGCATTTCTCCATGCTTAAGATCCTTTCACTTGGATGGCTTCTTTCAATCTCTTAGGCATCATTTCATGAAGCAGACTCCTGTTGTCCCTGACACGAGGTTTGCCCCCCTCTAAACCATTCACAGACTAAAACTAGAATGATCTTTTTAAACTGCTAATGTGCTCATTTTCTTCCCCTTCACTTAAAACTCTTCTCATAGAATAAAGGCTAAACTTTTAAATTATAATATATAAAGCACAAAATCATCTGGCCCCAACCAACACTCCTTCTGCCATGCCTTCATCTGCCCAGTAAGCCCTAACATTTCACTCTGTCCTCCAGTCATGCTGAGCTTTTTACAGACCCTGGCAGGTGCCATTATGTTATTAGATTCTGGGACTTGGCACATTTTATTGCCCCAGGATCCCCTGGTTCTCTACACATTCATATCCGATGAAAAGCACAGTGCATAGGTCTTTGATGGTCTATTGTGTTTTCATACTTTGTCAACATGGCTGAGCTGGAATTACTTTTCTCAGAGCTTCATCGCTGTATGGTTCCAGTTTAGAGGTGGCAAAAAGAGAATTTGCCCAAAATTTGGAAGGCAAAAGTGGAGTGTCAGTTATTATGCTGCAAAGGGGACTGTGGATGGAGGTAATGAGAGATGGATGCAGAGGTATGGATGGATTCCAGTTTGTCCCTGCTCTTCCCCATGCCATCTGTCCATCTCTTTTTCCCAGTGTCCCTTCCTGCTGACCAACAACTCAGGCTGTGAACTCAGAGACAGTAGCTATGAAGAGACAGCCTCCGTAGACACTTTCCATGGTCCCGCCGCATTAGGAGGATGTGCCTCGCATCCAGATGTCTTTGCAAGCTCTGACTTGTCCATCCACATCAGTTCTCTGAACTTCCAAATCTCTTTTTCAGACCTTTACTTCCCCCAGCTTTTCCACATTTGTGTAAGGACCAATTCCTCTTATTAATTTCTTGCTCCCTGATAGCCACAGCTCTGCTTCCCTGATTGGATTCCTCAGTTTTGTTGAGTAGTAGGCTTGCACACATCCTTCAGTATGTCATCTCTGGGAGAAGCCCCTCTCACCACAGAGCCATCATGGTTTCCATGAAGGGAAGAATGCAGAAGGCCTCCTCATGGCTACTCCTCATGGCTACACAGCTCCTATGTTCACACTGTGAGACACACACCTGCACTTCCACCCCAAGTGAGAAAAATCCTGGGTCTGATTCCTGGGGCGCTCTTCTCAGGGGTAGAATATCTGGGTGGCCAAACTGACTCCTTCTGTAACTGCCCTGCAAGTGGCTGGCTATTCCCTGAAAGCTTCACTACACCTCATGACTACAGGCTGGGGAAAGAAGAGACATAGGCAGTGCTGGGCACTTGGTTTTGGTAGAAAACTACCCCAGGGAGATGGACTTCAGTACAGGTGGGTCCTCAAAATGCTTCTAGGGACAATTGGCCAGGATCCAACCTTTCCAGGATCGAGACAAGACATCACCAGGAGCTGGAGATGCATTATTTCCCCATGTCAAGAAAGGCCGCTCCAACCTAGAGACAAGTCTGATGCAAATACACTCTGTATGGGGCTGGGAAGATATCAGTAGTGCCTTCCAGCTCTACCTACTCCTACGTCAGCTCTTTGCCCCTTTAATACCCTGATGCCTGCTCTGCCAAGGGAGTAGAACACAGGTAACTCCATCCACCACTCCAGAAGCATCTCTACCTTGATTGTGAGCCCTTCATGGTGGCTTGCAAGATGTGTTCACTATGCCCCTACATTATTTGAAGGCACAGTTAGGAACTGTGAGCTCCTTGAGGAGTGGAGCTATGCCTGAAGCTCCCTTTTAGGCTGAGCAGAGATGCTTTCAGATCACGGCTGTGAATCCCCTCCTTTCATAACTATGTCAGCCGGGCATTGACTTTGTCATCACGAGGCTGTCCTGCATGGCCCAGGTTTGTCCCACTTTATACTGCATCAGGTTGCACGATGCTGGCCAGGCACTTTTGCTAGCTCACATGCCCCATTTCCTCACTTCCCAGGCAGAATAGAATGTGCTCCCTAAACAGAAGTCAGCCTGCTCAGGGGCCTGGCTTCAGACTAATTCTTCAAAGTCAACTTCTTTATACAAACCCTGTGACCACACGTATCTCCCAGCCTGGTGATTCAAGGCTTCCAGGCTGCTGCCTTAATGAACCATGAATTCCTTAGGGTTACATCTGTGTCTACCTTCATCATCACTAGATTCCCAGTGTAGACGCATCACCTGACAAACAGCAGGTGCTGAAAAAAAACATGAACAATTGCATGTGGATATAGATGGAGTATAGAGGCTCAGGAACTTGTCCACCTATGTCTGCCCCTCCCTGTGGGTATCTCCCTGCTCAGAGTCAACCAACAATCCCAGAGAACTGACCCAGTGATGCATGAAGTAACTTCATGCTCCTTTTCCCAGAGGAAGTCTCACTTATGAAATGGTCTTTTTGCCAGGAAGACTTTGCCTCCTGGGGATTCTCCTAGCTTGACTTGATGCTGACTGGCTGCTCCACTTCTCAGTATAATATTTCCAGAGATTATCATTCTGTAGGAGAAAGAACAATGTTTCTCAATGGAAAACAGCCTGGCAGAGCCTTTGGTTTCATCAGGCCTGTACCGAGGTAAAGCCATTATAAGCTGTCCCCTGCCTCATCTTTCCCATCTATAAATGGGCCAACTCTTATCTACCCCCAGTCAATGCACTGAGACTATGAATGTCATTTAATAGGTTTTGAAAGGGATTGCCCCCACCGTGAGCTAGGTTTGATGGCCCACACAAACCCTGTGATTCTCCATCGCAGTATTTACCTTGCTATATTGCCTCCCTTGCCTTAATGATGGTCTCCTCCCACCACTGGCAATGAGCCCTCCATAGCCCTAGAATCTCGAAACAAGCTCATACTTAATATTTAGGGGCAGCCGCATTGGTCAGATGCATCAAAAAGTGTCAGTTTTGAAAGCAGACTGATCTTAGCTCAAATTCTAGGTCTGCCTCTTGGGTGCTATAGGTCAGTACTTTAGACACTCAGTTTTCTCTTCTGTAAGATGGACTACTACATGTCCAGAAGGAGACTATGAAAGAGAAACCACAAGTCATGAATTCCTGTCCTATGATTATATTTTACTTTGGTAACTATTGTTATTTATTAATAAATAAATAAATTCCAAGAAAATAATTCAAAAGAAAAGTAAACACAAAGGCTATCATTACAGCCTTTTCAGTGAAAGAGTAAAATATTTTAAACTTAGCTGCTCAAAAATAAGAGAATGGTTAATTATATTACTGACTCCTTTGGCCCAGAAGTTCTACTTCTAAGAATAGTCTACAAAAATACTCTCACAAAAAAATGCCCATGGATAAGAACATTCATTGCCAGATTGGTTGCAATAGAAAAATTTGGAGATGATACTCTAACATCCCATATGGCCATGTCTAAAAATGAGTATTTTACAACATGGAAGAATATTCATAGTGTTTGTTGAGTGAGAAAAAACAAAAACAAACAAACAAAAAACAAATTGTGGGACACTCTGTATAATGTAAACTCATCTTTGAAAAGAACAAAAGACAATATAAAACATTATATATTATGTACATAGATCATACAGAAAAAGTTAGGAAGGTTACATACTAAACTGCAGAATAGGTGAGGGCATCATATTTAGCTTTATATACATTTGTGTTCTTTGAATATTATAAAAAGTATGCATGATTTTATATTTTTAATATACAATTAAAATGTAAAAAATAAAGTTTCGAAAAGGGGTATGTGACAAGTGAAAACCAAAAAATTTTGCAAGTAGGCAAGCTCAAAGATTAAATGATATTGTCATATGTGAATGCCAAAGAGCTTTCATCAAAAAGGATTGCTTACAGCAGATGCAGATCCTCAACAAATGGCAGCCTCTTACACCATACACCAAGGGTAACCATACCCTAAGACCTGACCCCCAGCTTCAAAGGTCCAATAATGAATCGGTAACGTGTTTTGAGCACCTACCACAAGCTGGGAACTGTGCTAAGTACAGTTGAGCACCACTTCATTTAATCATCATGGCAGCCCTATAAAGCAGTACTATGGTTATCTCTATTTTACAGATGAGGAAACTGAGGCTCAGTTATGGCTAATAAGCAATGGAACCAAGAATGAAACCCAGATTACTCCAGATTTTGAGCCCAAACTCTTAAACACTCAGCTCTAATATCTTCACGATTTGTTTTTTCAGTTCACCCACCATTAGACTCATGAAGATTACCTCATGCTAACTAGACTTATAAAAGTATATAAATTAAATGCCAGTGTAGCATTTATAATAGTCATGCCCACCATTCGGAACACCTCTCTTCCTTATATTAGGTTTCCAGGGATGCTGATAGACATAGAATCCGTGACTAAGAATTGGATAGTTGGGCATATTTCATCCCAGCTAAGGAAAAACATGATGAGAAGGGGGCAGGAGTGCCGAGTGGCTAAGACCAGGACCCTGGAGACAGATGAGCCTGCCTTCATATCCTGCATCCTCTTTGGGCCACGTAGGTGACTGGCTTAGAAAACTCCCGGTGACTGGTTTTCTTGTCAATAAAATGTGGATAAAAACAGTCCTACGACATAGGGTTATTTTAGAGATTAAATTTTAAAATCTGTTAAAGCACTTTAGTATCTATAGGGCTTGACATGCAGTTGGTGTAAGCAAATGTAATAATGAAACCAATATAATTTGTATTGTAACATAATATTGTTTTCCCATCTGCCGCTGCTCACTCTGCAGTGCCCTGCTGAGTGTCCACGTCCTCATGTCTGTCAGTTAGAATTCCTCTATGCAGTTCATCAAAGAACTGGATAAACGCTTTCTGCCCTACTTTCTTTGTGATACATCATACAGACCACACCCTTCACTGATTCTTGTTTGATTATAGCTCTTTGTGGAAACCTGCCCATCTCCTGAATAAACCCGGTTCACCTTGATTGAATTTAGGTATTTGCCAAGTCTCCATAAGTAACACACTCACAAACATTCAATAAGGAGGCTCCCTTCTGCCAAAGCAAGCTTCCTTTTCATTGATTTTTAACCAGGCGTCACTTTGTAAGTGTACCTGCCACTAGCATTGTTAGCTTTGGGGATGGAATAGATCAGACTGGAACAATGATCCAAAATTTACCAATTCAAAGGTAGTTTTTTGTTTTTGTTTGTTTATATCCCTTCCATCTTTCAGAAAGGAAATCAACCAGCTGTTTTTTCTCACCTGGCATGAATCTTACTCTCCTGGATGAGTGGAGTGCTGTACTCAGCATGAAGCACTGGACTGGATGATTTATAGACAGAAAGATTCTTCCAAGCCCGTGTCTGATTTTTTACTGTGGAATCCCTAGGTCAACATTATCCCGGTCTTTGTCCCCTTGGTAGATTCCAACCCACAGAGCTAGATAGACAGAAATGGCTTACAATTCCAGTCCTATGTGAAAGTGTGTGCAGCACCTGAAAAGAAACTTTAAGTTCTGCACAAAGGTAGCATATTATCTGTACAGAGTCACCATTACTTAGCAATCTGACAGCAGTGCTGATGAGCGACCTGCATTCACTGAGCAAAGTACTCATTTGCTGAATGTCAACAAAACTCTTACGCCTCCCAGTGCCCAAAGGAGTCACCAAAGAAAAGAGGCTGACAGGTTCTTTGTGTATAAGGCAAGGAGGGGAAGTTAGGAACAAGGAGGGGGTAATTGGGTGCGGCTTGGCTGTAGCGTCATTAAAGCATAGAATGCAAAGCTAGAAGGTCTTTGTGGAGCACTTGGGCCAATGGTTTTAGGTGCTAGGGAGAGGCCTGCCTGCATTGAAACTACCAGGGCACAGATTAGAAAGACCATTTCCTGGACCCCTTCCACAGAAGATTTTTTATCAGTAAGACTAGCTGGGTCTCTGGAACTTGTATTTTATTTTTATTTTTATTTATTTATTTATTTAGAGACGGAGTCTCACTCTGTCGCCCAGGCTGGAGTGCAATGGCACTATCTCGGCTCACTGTAAGCTCTGCCATACAGGTTCATGCCATTCTCCTGCCTCAGCCTCCCGAATAGCTGGGACTACAGGCGCCTGCCACCATGCCCAGCTAATTTTTTGTATTTTTAGTAGAGATGGGGTTTCACCGTGTTAGCCCAGATGGTCTTGATCTCCTGACCTCGTGATCCACCCGCCTCGGCCTCCCAAAGTGCTGGGATTACAGGTGTGAGCCACCACGCCCGGCCTGTAACTTACATTTTTAACACGCTTCTCAGACTATTCTAATGTCCAACCAGGTTTGGAAAACACTGAGCTCATCTAAAGACCTCATCTTACAGAGGAGACTACGGCCTGCAGATGTGATGGGTATGACTTAGACAAAGTGTCCCAGAGACTAAGCAGCAGTTTGCTCTCCAAAATGTTACCCATAGTAAAGACGTTAGCAAAAATATTCCCCCACATCACCAGGAAAGAGTGTTCATCTGACAAAAAATTGAGAAAAGATGGCTCAGAAAAGCCACCTACCAGAGACCCAGGCTCATGCCACACATTGGGGCTTGCAAGCACAAGAGACAGAGGAGGGAAATCAATTCTGTCAATTTACTGGTGCACAAATTACTCCTGCCAATTTCTTTAAACATCTCCCCATACTGAACTACAGACTGTTTCTATTTGCTCTTCAAACACCTTTAGCTCTTGTTTGGTACAAATGCGGAAAAGCCTTTTTTTGTTGCCATGGCACCGCCACAATAAGCTGTTTTAAAGTGTTAGATATTCTGAAATGACAGACTGTGTTTCAAGAAATGACAATTCTGACAGGGTCAGTAGAAATTGCCAACCTTCTATGTATCACAGATTGTCATGAATCAGTGGTGTCACTATACCAGGAATTTACTCTTGAGACCAAAGAGCACATGTTTTGACAATCTACTCCAGGCCCAGGTGTTCAGTGGACATGCGGGCAACTCTCTCTCCCAGCCATGCACTTAGCTAACTGGCCCCAGATGCTGATGCTCTCAGATCTGAGTCACGGAGAAAGTGCTGGTCCAGTGCAAAATAACCAAGTGTCAATGTCCTTCTCTTAGTTTTTTGTTTGTTTGTTTGTTTGTTTGTTTGTTTGTTTGTTTTAGATGGAGTCTCGCTCTGTCGCCCAGGCTGGAGTGCAGTGGTGCGATCTCGGCTCACTGCAAGCACCGCCTCTCAGGTTCACGCCATTCTCCTGCCTCAGCCTCTCGAGTAGCTGGGACCGCAGGCATGTGCCACCACCCCCGGCTAATTTTTTTAATTTTTTTTTATTTTTAGTAGAGATGGGGTTTCACCGTGTTAGCCAGGATGGTCTCGATCTCCTGACCTTGTGATCTGCCCGCCTCAGCCTCTCAAAGTGCTGGGATTACAGGCATGAGCCACCGTGCCCGGCCCCTTTGTTTTCTTTTCGCGGAGATGCAGCTCCTCCACCACTGAAATTGAAGGCTGACTTCAAGCCTCCCATTCCCAGGATGAGATGGACAAATAGCATGACACTTGTATTCCAAGCACAATCTTGAGGCAACCATGTTTTTGTCCATGGCCTTGCCCTGTAATTGTGGGATGTATACGCGTGCCTTCCTCTCTGCATTGTAAACTCCTCAAGGACAAAGGACATGATTTATTCATCTCTACATCTACCACTGTGTCTGACACATATGAAGCACTAGTTCATGTTTGTTAGGGGTTCCAAGATCAAATTTAAAAAATAGAGTGGTGTGTGTGTGTGTGTGTGTGTGTGTGTGTGTGTGTGTGACATGTATTTTGGATGATATGAGCCTTGCTTAGTGAGATGACAGTGAGACTAGGAAAGAAGAGATATATGAAAGCAGTTTTAGAGGCATCTCCAAAAGTAATTGTTAGCACACTTTTGTTGATATCATAAACCCCCAAGAGTTCATTTAAATAAAATTTGGGTCCCCATCTCTGAAGTTTCTGATTCAACTGGGGTACAGAAAGACCCAGGAGTCTTTTTAATGCAAGTCCCCAGGGCATTCTGACATACACTAAATCATCTGGTAGTAGATGAAAATCAAAGGGTGAAGGATGCCTAAACATTAGTAGTCCTACTTTTAAGCAATTTTATAGCATTTATTAGGAGTGAAAAGCTACACATATTAAACAGTTAGGCATAAAAAGAAACACCCTAGAAAGGAATACACAGTAAGATGCAAAACAATCTGAACCAATGCCAAAATCTGAGAGTCAAACAATAAATGTAATTGTAGCTCTCAGACACCATCAGGGAAGATTCCATGGAGAGGTGAGACTTCAAATGGAAAAGGGCCTTTATAGGCTAGTGCAACTTTCTTGGCAGAGACAGAGGGGGCATTTCAGGACGATAAGTTCTTGAACTCTACCATGTTTTGAAATCCTAGTGGTTTGTGTGCAATATTATATAACCTGGTGAGAACCAGACCAGGAATGACAGCCTTATATTCCTGCTACCACCTGGGGAGTTGGGATACAGTTAGAGCTGCTATACAGCTATACAGAAACATGCATCCTGTTTTCTGCATAATCACCATTTTCACAGTCGGCTCTCAGGCTGCCATACTCCACATCAACCAAAGTTTCATGTAGATATTGACAGAAATGTAGATATATAGACATACATTGATATAGATATAGCATAGATATCTTTCCTGATTCTGTCGTTTAAGGCATTCATTCAGGGACAAACAAGAGAGTTCTTTTAATGTTATCATCAGATGCAGGGAAGCAAGAGCTTGAGAGGAACAGGGAAAGACTGATGTGGCTTTATAAACAAAGTATCTGACATCAAGGCATTAAACAATCATTTGTGCTTAGAAAAACTGAAGGAAGTGGCCGGGTGCGGTGGCTCATGCCTGTAATCCCAGCACTTTGGGAGGCCAAGGCGGGCCTTGGTCAGGAGATCAAGACCATCCTGGCTAACATGGTGAAACCCTGGCTCTACTAAAAATACAAAAAAATTAGCCTGGCGTGGTGGCACACGCCTGTAGTCCCAGCTACTCAGGAGGCTGAAGCAGGAGAATGGTGTGAACCCAGGAGGCGGAGGTTGAAGTGAGCCAAGATCGTGTCACTGCACTCCAGCCTGGGTGACAGAGCGAAACTCTGTCTCAAAAAAAAAAAAAAAAAGAAAGAAAGAAAGAAAAATTGAAGGAAGTAAGGTAAGAATCTGCTGTGTCAGTAAAAGCTTAAAGGGGCAGATAAGGATAGAGAGGGAGACAAAAATAATGGTAATAATAATAATAACAAAACACACAGAAGGGATGAGGAAAAAATAAGGGCTTTTTTTGTATACCTGCCCCAGCCTAAAAGGAAAGAACAGGCAGATGGAAGCCCATTGACAAATGGAAGGTCTATTAAATAAACGATTAATACAAAATGATCCACTCACTGAGCTTCACTCACAGAGAAAAAGAAAGACAAGAAGCTGTGGACAATTAGGAGCTACTGCAATATGATCAGAAAGCTGCAGGGAGCAGCCGCCAGAAAGGGGGTGGAGCTCGGGCAGCTGGGATGCAGGCAAATAAGCAGGGCCCGATTTCCAGAGAGCCCAGGGAAATCGGTAATGAACCTGGACCTGCCACAGCTGACATGTCAGAGGGAACAGCACAGTGGGGTCCCAGGGGGTTTCAAAGAGCAAAAGCACAACTCCACATTTCTCAAGAGGCCCAGGAATTAGTGGCCAGTGCCAAGAAATAATAGCATCCAACAATGTCTATATGTGAGTGCACAGTCCATGGTGATATGTGACACTATCTGTGAGTTAATGCTAGCTAAAGCAAGGCTGATCTGTTTAAGTAAATGCATAAGCAAATAAATAGATAGGACAAAGCATACCAGCCACAAAATTGGCATGCTTTTATAATTGGACTACAGTGATGAGAAATTACAAGTCTTTTATCAGAATGCAAAAGGCCTAAGTTCTATTTCCTGTTATTACTATCAGAGTTGCTGAAAACAATTACCTCTAATTTATCACTTACCACATGCCAAGCAATAGTGCTGAGTACTCTATGTGCAACAATTTCATTCAACCTCATAACCCTTATGATATAAGTTTATTCTCATTTTAGAACTCAAAGTGATTAGGCAAATTACCTAAACTCATATTGCTAATAAATGACAGAGGAAAGACAACCCACATCTGTCTGCCACTGAGCAAGCCTCAGTCCTACCGCCAGCCCACAGTGGAACCCTGACTTGGTCCCTTCACCTTCCACACCTTAGTTATTTTCATCTGTGATATGCAGTGAGGTGGGGTGTTGCTCCGTGTTCTTGAATAGTATATGGGTAGCATCTATGGTAGAAAGTACAAAAGCTTAGAATTTGAACAGAGCTGGGTTTAGGTTCTGCTAGTGCCATGATGCTGGGAACCTATTCCAAACCTAGCTTCCTCATTTAGAAATAAGAAAAATCACAACTAACTCATAGGGCAATTGTAGAGTTCAAGGAGATATTATACTTCAGTAGGTGCCTAGTAGCTTTAATATTCTATGATTTTGTTCTAGTTGTAAACTGACCTGACTATAATTACATGAAAAGCAAAAGAAGAAATAGTAATTCACAAAAAGAAAATCTTTTCAAAATTAATGTAGTAAGTTAAATTTATTGAAAAATTATTAATTTAGAAATATGTTATAGACTGTTAGATACTAGAATAATAAATTATTTTAAGGGTGATGTTCAGCCTTTGAGCTTTCATAATTTAGAGAGAAAAGTTATGAGGGTTTTATTCCCCTAAGTCATTCAAAATTGAATTCTGAATCTAGTAGCAGATTCCAGAGCCTCTGAGGATAATGAGGAAATTATCTTCTAAAGGGAACCTGTTTTCAGTGAAGTAAAATATTATGTGTTACCCAATCACTTTCGGTAGAGGGGTTCCATTCATGTAATAGAAATATTTGGTGAAATTTATACCATTTTGTCCTAAGACAATGAACGTTTATTTTTTAGACTCAATGAGCATTTATCTTTGTAACTTCTTCCCCATACCACTTTTAACTGCTTTTTTGGTCATCATTTACTTCAAGAAATCTGACTAAATCAAATTGAATTTAAGTAGTTTCTTGATATCCTTTATTGTACTTGATATGGTCAAAATTAGTCCTCCTCTTCATCAGTTATTGTGGAATCCTTGCAGACAAACAAACAGGAAATGCCCGATAGCTAAATTGGACCAAAAAGTGAACTTCATTCTCCCACCAAAAATGTAGAAATGCAGGAAATTTAACAGTAACCAAGACTGACATCTTCTGCTTCCTAATGATAAAGTAGGAATGAGAAAATAATGATTTTGGTTCATATGTACTGAACACTTACAATGTAGACATTCTTTCTAAGATTTAGGATTCATATTGCTCAAATCCATCATCACACCTGATGCTCACAACAACCCTATGGAGTGAGTGGTGACTGTCACCCTCATTTTACAGTTGATGAAACTGAGGCATAGATAGGTAACTAACTTCCCAAAGCCTCACAGTCCATCAGTGGCAGAGGGGTGTTTTAACCCAGACAATCCTGCTCTGGAGCCCAAGCTTTCAACCACAGATGCCATGGGTATCCATTGTAAAGGCCCCTTTCAAGATTTTAATTACCATTTTATAATGTAGTATTTTTATTAACAGTAATAATGTGTATATTTGAGTAGCCTATTTATGCTCACAAAACATTTGAGATAAGTCTATTTCCCTGGGCCCTCCTGATATAAACAGTACAAACACCATCAATTTGAGTTACAGAAACAGACTCCAAGAGATGGAATGACTTGAGGATCTAAATACAGGACTTCTGACTCCAAGTCCAGAGTCCTGAGAAAAATCAAACCCTGGAATCTGCTGGTGGGTCTGCAGTCACCAGGAACTAACACCTCACAGCATTTTTTTTTTTTTTTTTTTTTTTTTTGAGACGGAGTCTCGCTCTGTCGCCCAGGCCGGACTGCGGACTGCAGTGGCGCAATCTCGGCTCACTGCAAGCTCCGCTTCCCGGGTTCACGCCATTCTCCTGCCTCAGCCTCCCGAGTAGCTGGGACTACAGGCGCCCGCCACCCTCACAGCATTTCTTGAACAGCAAGACTGATTCTCATTGAACATTTACTTTCTGCCAAGGACTATGTAAAGCATTCTATTAATCTCGTGTAAGCCTCTGTCTTAATACTAGGATGTGAGTTCACTTAACACTTATATTTTTAAAGTGAGGGATTTGAAGTCCAGATAGATTAAGCAACTCATCCTAGGCCACATAGTTCCTAATTGACCTGATAACAACCTAACCCAAGCTGGGCTTGGTATTTGAACACACATATATTCAATTGCAAAATTTTCATATTCTTCAATACTAAAAGATAAACCTGATGAGGGCAGATATGGTGGTGTCCTTCCAGAACCTATAGAACTGCTGGCTACAGTCAGTTTCCAACATAGCCCTAGCACGATATATTAGTTATCTACTGATGTGTGATGATATCACCACAAACATGGCAGCTGAAACAACACTCATTTATTATCTCATAGTTTCTGTGGGTCAGGAATCCAGATACAGACTGGCTAAGTCTCTGCAAGGCTGCAATTAAGATTTACTCCTGGGCTGTGATCTCATCTGAAAGCTTGATTGGGAAAAGACCCATTTCCAAGTATACTTGGTTGTTGGCAGGATTCAGATCCTTACAAGAAATCAGAATGAAGGTCTCAGTTTCTCACCGACTGTTGGCCTGAGGCTACCCTCAGTTCCTAGATCATTTTTAGCTAGAAGCCATCCTCAGGTCCTTGACACATGGCCATTCACTACATCACTTCTAGCTCCCACAAATACATCTAGGGTCTTCTAAAATGAAACTTGACAGCTTTATGTCACATAATCCTGAAAATAGCATCCCATCACCTTTGCCATGTTCTCTTGGTAGAAACCAAGTCATAGGCCTTGCCACACTCAAAAAGATGGATACCACAGATATGAGTATTAGAAGGCAAGGATAACTGGGGATGATCCCAGAGTTTGACTAGGGCCACTCCTTCTGAAGTCCAATTCATACAAGTCTATGGTATGAAGAACAGACTTCTGGTTTGATGCAGAGGCAGAAATGGTGGTCCCCTCTCTTGAGAAACCTTGAAATATCAGACAAGAAAGCAAATTTCTCCTGTTTAATGAAATAGGATACATCTGTAATCCTGAACCTCAATATAAAAAGTTCACAAATAATAGAAAAATCTCACAGGGGTGCATAAAGGGCCAGGAAAATATGCTCATGGTTATAGAAATTAGACAAAGCTAGCAGACAGGAGTTCTCAAAACATGAGCATACCCCAAGGTACAAAACCACAGTTTGCAAATCAAATTTTCCATTGACCCTTTTTGGTATGAAGTCTTGAAAAGCTAGGAAGGTGGCGCTGAATGAAGAATCACAAACAAACCATGTTTGCAAGAAGCAGTCTGTCAGGATGACAGGAAGAAAGAAAGAGACTCTATATTGGGAATATTCTGCTGTGCCAATCTAGTTTGGCTGGGGAGGAATGAAGACGAGAGGAACACACACTTACAAAATCCCATCATAAGGAAGATTCCTGCTGGGCTGGCACAGGGCTCTGGCACCTCCCAGACACAAATTTCCTGCACATAGCTTACCCAGAAACAATTCACCTAATTCACACGTGATTATTAACTTAAAGGAATACATATAAGACCAATAAAGGCATTATAAGAAGAAAGGGTAAAAGCAACAGGAAAAGCAAAACAACTTGAAAACACATGCATAAGAAAACTGTTGCAACAGGGCAGGTGAAAATTTTAACAACCACGTCACAATTTAAAAATAATAATGATCCGGGTACGGTGGCTCACGCCTGCAATCTCAGCACTTTGGGAGGCTGAGGCGGGTGGATCACTTGAGGTCAGGAGTTCAAGATCAGCCTGGTCAACATGGTGAAACCCCATCTCTACTAAAAATACAAAATTAGCTGGGCATGTTGGCACATGTCTGTAATCCCAGCTACTCGGGAGGCTGAGGCAGGAGAATTGCTTGAACCCAGGAGTTGGAGGTAACAGTGAGCCAGGATTGCGCCATTGCATTCCAGCCTGGCCAACAAGAGCGAAACTCCATCTCAATCAATCAATCAATCACAATAATGGAGTAACCATTTCCTTCAAAACAAGTCTTTAGGGCAGAGATTAAAGGCTTCAGGGAAGAAGTGGCAAGACAATGGAAGTTGAAATATGAGGTGGGGGAAAAAACGTGAAAATGATCAAAAAACTGAAAAGCAAATTGATAGCACCATAAATGCAAAGAAACTCTGTTGGAAACATAACAAAGAACAAGAAGCAAAGGACTAAGAGAAAGCAAACAAAACAGTGTGGAAGTTTTTAAAAATGAAATCAGCCTGGGCGCAATGGCTCACGCCTATAATCCCAGCACTTTGGGAGGCCAAGGCAGGTGCATCATAAGGTCAGGAGTTCGAGACCAGCCTGACCAACATGGTGAAACCGCATCTCTCTACTAAAAATACAAAAATTAGTGGGGCATGGTGGTTCATGCCTGTAATCCTAGCTGCTCAAGAGGTTGAGGCAGGAGAATCACTTGAACCCGGGAGGCGGAGGTTGCAGTGAGCTGAGATGGCACCACTGCACGATCTGCCTGGGCAACAAGGCAAGACTCTGTCTCAAAAAAAAATACATATATATACACATGCATAATGTGACCCAAATGAATATAGTTCAAATAAAAGGACCAAAACATCATTTTAAAATGTAATTCAATAAATCTTTATAGTAATTAAACAAATTTCGGCTGTACATATTGAAAGACAAACTGTTCCATGACCGATAGCAGAAAAAAATCCAGTAAAATTACTAGACTCCAAAGTGAAGAATTTTTTTTATCCAGCTAGGCAAAAATATTGGGTCACCTAAAGAGAGAAAAAACTAAAAATTGGCTAAATGGTGAGCAGGCTAAATGATAATTGGGCTAATGCAATGAATTAAAACAAACAAACAAACAAAAAACAGTTAAGTTATAAGTGCTTCCAAAGTCCCTGAGGATAAGATGTGACCAGTAATAAGACAGCAGGAAAATCTTTTATGATCCAATTAAGAAATTAAGGGAGACTAGAGTGGAGAAGAATACTGTTGCCCAGGCTGGAGTGCAGTGGTGTGATTATGGCTCACTGAAGCCTAGACAACATAGGCTCAATTGACTCTTCCACCTCAATCTCCCAAATCGCTGCACCACCATGCCCAGCTAATTTTTGTATTTTTGTAGAGACAAGGTTTTGCCATGTTGCCCAGGCTGGTCTCAAACACCTGGTCTCAAGCAATTCGTCTGCCTCAGTCTCCCAAATTGCTGGAATTATAGGCGTGAGCCACCGCATCTAGGCCATATACATAGCTTTTTGATAAAAAGTCTAAATTGTGCTTTAAAAAACAGATGTGGCTTTAATAATCTGAAACGTTTGCATTTTCAGATTAAATTTTGTTTACACTGTAGTTGATATGTTCAATGTTATACTCTGATATGGCACAACTTGTTTAACTTTGTTTCTACAATCCAACAAGCTCTCATTATATAATAAACTGGTTTAAATTGTAAAAAAAAAAAAAAAAAAGTGTTTAAAAGAAAGAAATTAAGGGAGACTGCAGCAAAAGGAAAGTAATGAGCATTGAATCCGCAACTTTAAGACAGTCTAAAGCAGCTGCGGATGTTATAGTTACAGAACACAAGGAAATGTTACGCATCTTTACAATGTAGATAAGAAATAACTAACAAAGTTTAGGAGGGTAAGTGAAGAGGAATGGTGGCAAATAATGTAAGTATTGATTTCCTTATAAAAATACACTATTCAAAGCTGCTAAACCAAACCATATATATATAAATATATTGGAAAAATAGGAAGTTAAACACTAAGAAAAATTACATAGCAAATGGAAATTGAATGGTGTAGAAGAGGAAGAGTGAGGAGAGAAAAAAGTATGCTGATGTTCTTTGCTTACTAAGGATAATCAAGAGACTATCTGTAGAAATAGAAGATTGGTATAGTATGTAAAATTATAGACACAAAAATGATTACCAGCACAAAATATTTACGGCTCTAAAAATATACATATACTATATATATAATGATTTTATATAACATAATACATATTGTTGTTATGGTTAATTTTTATCTGATAACTTGGCTGGGCCATGGTACCCAGATATTTGGCCAAACATTATTCTGGAGATTGCTTTGAAGGTGTTTTTTGGATGAGATTGAATTTAAATTGGTGGACTTTATCCATAATGAGGCTGGGCCTTATCTAACCAGATGAAGGCCTTAACAGAGAAAAAGACTGACCTCTTCTAGACAAGAAGAAATGCTGCCAGCAGACTGCCTTTGGACTCAACTGCAACTCTTCTCTGGGTCTCCAGACTACAAGCCTACCCTCCACAATCACATGAGCCAATTATTTAAAGTAAATCTTTCTCTCTATATTATATGTATACACATCCTATTGGTTATTTCTCTGGGGAACTCTGACCAATACTATCTATCTATCTATCTATCTATCTATCTATCTATCTATCCATAATCTATCAAATGTTAAACTCAAATATAATACATAATTCTAAAACATAACTCTACTCCATGAAAACTGATGAGAGGTGACAGCGTGCTGGCAGCCCTCACGGCCCTCGCTCGCTCTCGGCGCCTCCTCGGCCTTGGCGCCCACTCTGGCCACGCTTGAGGAGCCCTTCAGCCCCCAGCTGCACTGTGGGAGCCCCTTCCTGGGCTGGCCCAGGCTGGAGCCGGCTCCCTCAGCTTGCGGGGAGGTGTCAGTGGAGAGGCGCCAGCGGGAACCGGGGCTGCACGCAGTGCTTGTGGGCCAGCCCGAGTTGCAGGTGGGCGTGGGCTCAGCGGCCCCGCACTCGGAGGGGCCGGCTGGCCTGCAAGCCCCGGGCAGTGAGGGGCTTAGCACCTTGGCCAGCAGCTGCTGTGCTCGATTTCTCACCGGGCCTTAGATGCCTCCCCGCAGGGCAGGGCTCGAGACCTGCAGCCAGCCATGCCTGAGCCTCCCCCTGCTCCCCCTGCTCCCCCTGCTCCCCACTCCCCATGCCGCCGACCCCCCCTCACCGCCACTCCCCCCACGCGCCCCCGCCCCCCCCACGCGCCCCCGCCCTCCCCGCCTCCCGGCCACGCCCCCATTCCCCCACCCCCGTGCCACCTTGCTCCCTGCCCCCACTCTCCCCCGCCACCCCCGCCTCCCGCTCCCTCCCCCCACCCCCCACCCCCGAGCGGTGGTGGGCTCCTGTGGGGCCCAAGCCTCCCCAACGAGCCCAACGCTCCCTGCTCCAGGGCACCCAGTCCCATCCACTGCCCAAGGGCTGAGGAGTGTGGGTGCACGGCGCAGGACTGGCAGGCAGCTCCACCTGCGGCCCTGGTGCAGGATCCACTGGGTGAAGCCAGCTGGGCTTCTGAGTCTGGTGGGGACTTGGAGAATCTTTATGTCTAGCTAAGGGATTGTAAATACACCAATCGGCACTCTGTATCTAGCACAAGGTTTGTAAACACAACAATCAGCACCCTGTGTCTAGCTCAGGGTTTGTGAATGCACCAATGGACACTCTGTATCTAGCTACTCTGGTGGAGGCTTGGAGAACCTTTATGTCTAGCTGAGGGATTGTAAATGCACCAGTCCGAACTCTGTATCTAGCTCAAGGTTTGTAAACACACCAATCAGCACCCTGTGTCTAGCTCAGGGTTTGTGAATGCACCAATCGACGCCCTGTATCTTAGCTACTCTGGTCGGGACTTAGAGAACCTTTGTGTCCACACTCTGTATCTAGCTAATCTAGTGGGGACGTGGAGAACTTTTGTGTCTAGCTCAGGGATTGTAAACGCACCAATCAGCACCTTGTCAAAACGGACCAGTCAGCTCTCTGTAAAATGGACCAATCAGCAGGATGTGGGTGGGGCCAGATAAGGCAATAAAAGAAGGCTGCCCAAGCCAGCAGTGGCAACTCGCTGGTGTCCCCATCCACGGTGTGGAAGCTTTGTTGTTTAGCTGTTTGCAATAAATGTTGCTACTACTCACTCTTTGGGTCCACACTGCTTTTATGAGCTGTAACACTCATGGCGAAGGTCTGCAGCTTCACTCCTGAGCCAGTGACACCACGAACCCACCAGAAGGAAGAAACTCCGAACACATCCAAACATCAGAAGGAACAAACTCCAGACACGCCACCTCTAAGAACTGTAACACTCACTGGGCGCGTCCACAGCTTCATTCTTGAAGTCAGTGAGACCAAGAACCCAATTCTGGACACACTGAGACTATAGTTTTTCAACATCCCTAGAAACTCAAGAAGTATTTACAAATGTTGACAATTAGGGCCAAAGAAAGTCTCAATATGTTCCAAAATGTGAACAGTACAGTCAACATCCTCAAATTACAATGTGATAAAACTAGAAATCTATTAGCAAGATTAGAAGAAAAGTCTTTTTCTTATGCAACGCTTAGTTCAAAGAGAGAAAGTGAAAGCATATTTTACCAACAAAATAACAATGATCAAAGCGTTGTCAAAATCTATGTGACGTGTTCAAAAGAAAATGTGTAATTATAATAATAAAAAATGCTTATATAATATTTTAATAACATAAAATAAACTTGCATTAATAAATATGAAAGAATAAAAATAAAGCAACTCCAGAAGGTAAAGAAAGAACTATAAAGCGTAAGAAAGAAAACATTATAAATGAAAGCAGAAATTAATAATTTGGAACAGAATAATAATAAAACTAAATGATATCCAAGCCATCGACTAAAATTTAAAAGACAGAATGAAGTAGAAAAATCTTTCCTAAGGGGGAAAAAAAGCGAGAAGACATTTTTTAGCAGATTGACAAATTCCACATAATTTTTTTTTAAATACTGGGGGAAAATATCACTTAAAAAGTCAGAAGCGATTGACAAACTGGTTAAAAAATAAAAGTCCAATTAAAATCACAGATAGAAGGCCAGTATCTGTGGAGCTCCTACAATCACAAAAAGTCAATAACCCAGTTTTTAAAAAGAATGAAGAACATAAACAGAAAGTGAATTACAAGTGTCTCTTAAAAATAAAAGGATGCTTGACCTCATTCATAAAACAAATGAAAATTAAATCTGTTATCTCTTTTTAAATCAATTAGACAATATAAGATCAAAATATTTTGAAACATGTTGGCAACAATGTAGAGAGACAGACATTCATCTTGCATAGCTGGTGGTAATGTAAATTGGTAAAATCTGTATTAAAAGCAACCTGGCAATATCTATCAAAATTATAAAGACATAGATCCTTTGACTCAGCAATTTTTACTTTTGGTACTTTATTCTGCATATATGACAGCAAACATGTCAATGATGTACACCTTATTCATTAAAGCTTTGTTTGTAAAAACAATCCTTTGGAAGCTATGTAAAGAACTATCAATGAGAAATTTTTAAAAAGTATTAGGATATATTCTTATAATTGAATACTACTGTATATGACCATTAAAAAAAGAATGAGACAGCTCAATATGAATTGATATGAACTAATTTCCAAGACACAACACATATATTGTTAAACTAAAAATACCAGAGTGTGAAAGAGTTAGTTCAGATTTCCAACATTTGGTTTTTTAAGCAATAACAAACATATACACATGTTTTTGCATGTGCATAGTGTACATGAGTATCAGGACACACAAGAACCTTATACTAGCAATTGCCTTTGGAGAAAGAAACCAAGTGGCAAGTGCAAGAATGAGAGACCGTCCTACCATTTACCATCAGCCTTTTTGAACATTCTTACCTTTGTACCATGCTCATATATTATTTACTCAAAAATAAATGACTAAATATTTAAAAGAGGGAAAATTATATGAGAGCTGACTGTGGGATTTGAGTTCTAAGCAGGTTGGCTCAGAACTGTTTACCCACCATACCCCTCCCCAACCACCACAATTCAAGAATCTCTGATTCTTAAGGATTTAAAATTTTGTTCTGTATAGGCTTGAGATGTGCCAGTTGGTCAGCTCTGTGGGTCTGTAAATTAAGCCCATTCTGTTCTGACTGTAATACAATGTCATTGACTACTGACACCAAGGAGCTACAGAAATGAGGAGACGTGACCTAGAAGAGCAGGAGGGTATAAGGAAAAATGGGAAGTCTGAGGCCTGTGGCCAGCCAATTACCAACTCAGTAACTGAGAGATGGCGCAGCAAGCTGCCCCACCCTTAAATAGAAGGGTGCCTACCCCATTTTTTATCCCTCCCCCTGCACTAAGCCACCCTGAAATAGATTGAAGGAAGCACAGCTACATATGAGGAAGAATGCAGTGTCCTTTCTCAAGGGCAGTAAATATCATTTATTTGGATTTTGTTGCTTCTAAGATCCATTGTCTCCTGAAATCTAATTTGCTATGTGCCCTAAGCTTATTTGGGGCTCCACGGAACAGAAATTACTGCAAGGTAGCAAAGTCTCCATGCAGGCCTGAACAGGAGGAGATCAGTCCATCTTAATAACCTCATTAATGATCAGAAGGAGAGGACTGAAAGCATATAAAAACAGACAGCCTGGTTGGGAACAGGTGGGAACATTTCTGAGAATGTCCTCTGCTTTTTTTTCACGTTATTAGCACCCAGAGTATTTTTTCTTCGTGAGAGAATTTAATCTTCAGGAGTGTTAACCATTTTTTTCTTAGAGTTGCCATCAGCTCCAATAAAGAGAGTAGGATTATCGCAGAGCAGAGATTTGCGGGCTCAAGGAGGCAGCAATCCAAAGGTGCGCAAAGGAATGCCGTGTGGCCAACCTTCTTAGCCTCCAATGGGTGCTCATCTCTGGATTAGCGCGACTAGACCAGCTAGGAATAGGTTTTATTATTTAAGCCACATTTTGTCTGTCTGCTTTTCAGACCTAGGAGAAGGTATACTCCTGAGTTCGTACTACAGAAAATATAAAAATAATTTCATCTTTCCATTCATTGAATAAAATACTAAATACATATTGAACACAGAGAAGTGAAAGAGAGGCAGCCTGTGACACCGAACAAATGTAGGGCCCATCCCTGCCCACTTGGAGTTTACAGTGCAGGTGGTAAGATGTAAATAGCATGCATGAGAAGAACCAGAGAAGGCATGAGTTTACACTTGATTTTTAATTGACTTCACTGCCTTTTTTGATGGCTGACAGTTTCCTTACATTCAGGCTCTGCCAGGAAGAGTCTCTAGGAGAAGTTCAGGGGACCAACCGGCCTATACCAAGTGTACCACCTTTCTCCTCCAGGCTGCAACATAGTTTTCAAAAGGAGCTCTTCTACGTCCTTGAAACCTAGAGAGAAAAAAGGAAACAAGATCTCTAAGAACAGCTGCATTGTTTCTCAGGATGGTGGGACTATCGGCTGATAAATATCTATAGGCCTCTTCAGGGGTGGAAACCTGGCTTCAGTTCAGGTGTCAAAAATGGGAGAATGACAATCAGAAATTTGTTTGGATCTCACTCTCTGTGTGAATCTGTGTCTGAGAACTGGAACCTCAGAGGACATGGATTTGATCTTCCTTCCGGCATGATACAAAGCATAGTCTTCCACCACCAAAAGTATAGCAAGGATGTGGAAAAGGGAAAAGCCAGTGTGGGCTGGGGTCATCATGGAAGACTGTCTGGGAAGTGGTGGAGGTTTGAGCTGGACTCAGAAGCTAAAGAGAGAGGCCTGGAAAGGGCACTTGAGGCAGGAAAGCCATAGGAACCAAACCTTGGAGGCTAGGATGGACTTGACCTGAGAAAAAAGTTGCAGAAGGCCTGAGGAAGCCATTTGTAAAGGAGAGGGCTTTGATCGGCCTTCTCAGTGAGGGGACAGCAGGAGAACCACAGTCAAAACTCATGCCTCCTCTCTCTGGAATGCTCATTTCCATTCTGAATTCAGAATATCCCAGTGATTTGCAGCTACTGATAAACATCTGAGATCCAAGGCCCTTCCAGTCAGGCGAGCAGAATTAGAAGTTGCTGCAGCACTTCTAGTTCCATGTCATTGACAAATTAAGCAATTTTTCTGGTCTATGAATGAGAATTTTAATATTTACCCTGCAGAGTTTTTGTGATGGTCAAGTTTGAATATATGAAAAGGGTATGACATATAATAGGAACCCAAAAATGGTTGTCATTGTTATTGGAAAAGGTTAAATGCGCTCCTTGATAAAACATAGGGAAGAGAAACAGGGCTCTCTGTACAATATCTGGCACTGCTCTCACAAGGAAAGAAGATTGATACCTACTGTGTGTCAGGGTCCTAGACCTTCTGGGCCACTTAGGTAATAAATATTCAAACATTGGATTATGAGATAGGCTCTACTTGCCAGTTTTGGTATTAATTTTCATATCATTTTATCATTGTAATAGAGCCGTTAGTTAATTATATGATTCAATGTCTTTTAAGATTTGTATTACATAAATTTTAAAATTTATATCCATGGAAATGGAGGGAGAAAATCCCATGGCAGAGGACATGTCTTGATTTTTGTTTTGTAGTTCAGTCATAACTCTGGTCTCTCTATAATATCTAAATCAGGGCGTCCAGGGATCACCACTACCAGCAAGTTGCCAGTTTCCAATAGCCTTGGAATGAGGCTGCTGGGCCAAAAGCCCTCACATGGAGCCAGGAGAGAAACCTTTCTGAAGTCCACAAGTGCATGATGCTACTTCTAAATGGCAGGTGTCACAAACCCAGAGGCTGGTGGCCTAGGAAGTTGGCTTTGGGCTGGCTTCACCAAAGGGCAAAATAAGTATAACCCTTTAGTTTCTGTGTCCCTAAGCATTTAAAAAGACTTGCAAACAAATCTGGCTGCTCAGGGCTGCACTATGATGGTCCTGGACCCTAGGACCATTGGCTTTCGTGGGCTGCTTCCTCCATAGAAAATATCTTAAATTATATTTAACGTGTTCATATAAAGATTATTAATATTGTATATTACACTTTTTGACCTAAACATTTATTTTTTTCTTTTTTTAAATTGTTGTTCCCCTGTATATGATGTCACAATTTTTTGCTGCTTTTGAGATTTTTGTGTGTTTTTATTGATGCATAATAATTTTACATATTTATGGGGCACACATGATATTTTGATACATGCATACAATGTATAATGATTAAATCAGGATAACTACAATATCCATCACCTCAAGTATTTATCATTTTTTTGTGTTGCGCACATTCCAAATCCTCTCCTCTAGCTATTTTGAAATATACAAGAAATTATTAATAACTATAGTCACCCTACTAGGCTATTTAACACTAGAACTAATTCCTTCTATTTAACTGTATTTTTGTACCCA
The DNA here is from genome assembly GCF_000001405.40 of Homo sapiens. Classification (NCBI taxonomy): domain Eukaryota; kingdom Metazoa; phylum Chordata; class Mammalia; order Primates; family Hominidae; genus Homo; species Homo sapiens. Next base: position 166,336,901 of record NC_000001.11, on the reverse strand, counting down.
TTAGCCAATTTTCTTCTTCTTCTGATTTTAAAAGAAATTAAAAGCTTTGTGGGCCCTAGGCACTGTGCCTACTGTGCATTCTGAATAATTAGGTCTTGATAGGGGTCAGAATTAAATTTTAAAAGGTGATGGCAGGGAGGAAAGAATTGTAAATATGAAAAAAAATACACATCACAGAAGAGCACAGAGTGGTAGGTTAGAGAAAGCAGCAAATTGGCTAGCCAAATTTTGTCAAAGTCCCCAAACACAGTCTTACTTTCTCAGAGGTTAAAATCTCCAGGTCTTGAGAATTTGCTCATTTTACCTTCAGGGTGATTACAGCTTAATGCAAAGCACCACAGCGATCACTTTTCAGGAGCAAATGTTTTTCTGATTACTTTGCATTTGTGTATCTAAAACTAGTATTTCATGAATGCTAACTGCTGCAATTTGACATTCCAATTGAATTGTCAAGTGGTGACTTTGTTCTTTCACTTGTAAACTTCCATGTAGTGTGCATCGTTTCTTTAGCTTTTCATTTTTCCAGTGATTTTGAAGTATGTTTAGAAACACAGTTCCAGCCAGCCGCCCTGGAGAAGGCTTCAGGAAGAGCTGGAGAATTATGGAAAACCTTGTATAGCACTGTGAGAAATTTCATTTTTAACCTGTCCCCAGGCCTGTGTTGTTCTGACCCAAGATCTGAACAGAGTCAATACATTTGGCACTCTCACCTGCCAGAGAGTCTCCAGGACCTCCCGAGAGGAAAGTAAGGGGTGCATTGGAGACACAGTTTTCTGCTGCATATGAAATGACCATCCTGCCCCGTGCTGTTTACTTCAGTGTAAGGTCACCTGCTCTTAATTGTTTTCCCCTTTTTGGAGACAAAGTTACACTGATGTATCCCTTCCCTTTAAACTAGTTCCCACTCCCATCACCTATTGCATGAAGGTTGTTTTCCTCTAAGGAGAGAGAATACTACTTACTGAGCACTTAGTATTAGCCTAAGTTGGTTCTTTCCCATCATTATCTCATTTAATTCTCACACCACTTAGAGGTGGAAGTAATAGTCTTTATAAGATGAGGAAACCAAGGCTGGGAGAGGAAAAAAGTGAGAAGACTCAGCCATAAAAATGAGAAGAAAGATAACATGCACCAGACAATTAAATATATGATTTTATTCAGGCTATTATAAGGAGAATGATCGTTAATGAGAACTTCCTCAAAGAAAAGGAAGGGGACCGAGGGTTTTATGCAAGCAGGTCACTAACGGAGCCATCTGCGAGTCCTACGGGAGTCACGCGCAAGGATGGAGATGAGTCTGTCTTGGAATATGCAAGGGCAGGGTGGTCCTCTGTAGTTAGCCTCCTGGGACACAAAGGAGTGGGGTGGGGGATTTCATAATTGTTGCAACTTTCAGGGAGCACAAGACTCAGGAAAAGTTCAACATTGTCAGTCACCTTTTTGTTCAAGGCAAGTGTCTCATTGCTGAACAACTCCGAGGTGATCATAAACCTCCTGAGAAGGTGGAGCGGGATCCAAGAAAGGGTCTCCAGAGGACTTTGTTAGTGTTGTTCCTGTAAAACCACCTGAACCATCTGTGGAGAGTCAATGGGAAAGATCAGTTGTTTTAGGGTCTGGAGATCGGCTTCTTGAAAGGGGAATGCCTAAAATGAAAAAGGGAAGCATTAATATGAAAACTGGTATTGAAGGAAAGAGCTGGGAGTTGAATCTGAAGGTTAATGAGTCCAATGAGTCCAAGACGTTTGTGGAGGAAACTCTCTCAGTTATCGAGCATCACTCTTTGAGTTTCTTCAAGCTCCAAAGCTTGGATGTCGATGCTGTTGGTGACATCATCCTTGTCTTGGTTCCCTCTTATAAAAGCATATATATGGCCTAAGCAGATCACTGGACCTTCTTATTTGTCCAGATACAATTTGTCTAGAGAGAACTCTTCCTTACGCATGTTCTACTGAAGTGGTGAGCCCTCGGAGGTTTGCACCAAACTGTCAGGCTTCAGCTTGCAAGATTTCTTCAGATCCTAGGGAAAAGAGCCAGCTTTAAGGTAACCTAAAGTAATGATAGAGATCTGATCAGTCAGGTTTTTAGTTCCCAGTGATGCTGAGCCAGGTGGGAGGGAGAAAAATGGAAATAGTTTGGAGGATTGTAGCCAGGTATTGAAGAAAATTGAAAGGATTAAAAATTTGGTAAAAATGGAGGCGGGGAATGGTGGCTCACGCCTGTAATCCCAGCACTTTGGGAGGCTGAGGCAGGCAGATCACGAGGTCAGGAGATCGAGACCATGGTGAAAGCCTGTCTCTACTAAAAATACAAAAATAAGCTGGGCATGGTGGTGTGTGCCTGTAGTCCCAGCTACTTGGGAGGCTGAGGCAGGAGAATGGCGTGAACCCGGGAGGCAGAGCTTTCAGTGAGCTGAGATCACACCACTGCACTCCAGCCTAGGTGACAGAGCGAGACTCTGTCTCAAAAAAAAAAAAAAAAAAGAAAGAAAATTTAGTAAAAATGGACAATATGGTCAAGGTGACAGATCAGTCCAGTTTTGTTCAGGGGTTAAGAAGAAAACCAGTTAAATCTCTACCAGACAAGACAGAGTTGGCACATCTATTATTTACCTGCAATTTTTAAAGATGAGAGATCCCATGAAAGTTTCTACAAGAATAATGCAACTACAAAGGGAATTTGTGTCTGTGTAAAACAAGATAAAAGTCAATCCAAAAAAAAGTTTAGACAAAATATCTATGAATATAATAATTAACCCTATTTTCAAAGAAAAGTGGATATTATATCTAATTTATAAAAATGGATGAACATTATCTTTACCAAAAAAATCTTCGGATTTACTGTAATCCTGAGATATAATATACCATGAAGATACCAGGTATATAGTTTAAAAATACCAAGAATATATCAGAAATACCAAGTGAAGAGATTCTGCAAGCCTACAATAGGTCTTAAACATCTGTATATCAAATAAAACTCCACAGGTAAATGATATTAATAAAACTTCATAGATTAAAAAAAAATTCACTTGAAAACCATGAGCCTAAATGATGTTAGATTCAATTTAAACAAGTAAATTGCAATGCAGTTCACATCTTTAAAAATAACTGAGTTATGACTATACTGTTTTTGTTTGATATCAGGCAAAGCAGCACCAGGACTATATCATAGACAGTGAGAGAACTGACAAATATCCAGGAACTACCCATACAGCATATGATTCTGAAATATTTGTATTAATAATGTTACCTACACAGATTTATCCTAGAAAAGGTTAAGCATCTGCATCCCTTCTGACTTGGCAATGCTTTGAAATTCATCAATGGTAAAGTATCACAACCTCATTATTTCTAGTTTCTCTCTTTTTATAAGGTAAAAGAACAAATCCTTTGTGATTTTCTAGGGTCCCCCTAGGAAATCTCAAAAACATATTTAGGTGCAAAAGACATCACTTAGGAATCAATTTTATAAAGGCAAAAATCAAAAGTTGTTAGGAGATTTGAACACCTAAGATAGGAATTGAATCATGGGTGTCTGAGAGATATTTTACTTCTCATTTCATAGTGACAATAAAACATTTAAAAATAAACCCAGAAGGTAGCATGATTGTAAATAATCTTAGCTCTTTTCTAAATGAGAAGGCTTTGTTTACTTAAATCATCAAGGATATAATAAAATCAACGTAAACCATAAAAGCTTATTCTGTTAAGACACAGAATCTTTGCTATCTAGGCAGATTACACAGAAGGTAAAGAATAACATTTTATAGCCTTACATTATGAGCAGACCAATGATCCAAGGAAATTTTGTCACTTTAGCAAAGATTAAAAACAAATTTTTGCTTTGCATCAGCATAATATAGAATACTGAAGCTCTTTCTGACATCTTATAAACAAACCCGTCAAATCTTAGCTAGCTGTGACAACAATAGATGAAATTTTTTTCCCATGTACCTTCTATAAGTGTTTTTATCCATTCAGGTTTGGTCCTACTCTTTCCTCTTTCTCACTCTGCAATAAGTAGTCATTTTAGTTTAAGACAAAACTACTCTCTGTTTTCATTAACAAAAAACATATCCTGCCTATCTTGCATATATAGTTATTCATTTGCCACTATTGCTCCTAGTGGATCTCATCCATATATATTGATAATAACTTTTAACCACAGTAACCTCTATTCCAGAGAGAAAATTAGGAGGTAGGTAACTGTGAACTGTCACACACCAGCACTTTGCAGCAGGTTAGCAGAGCTTACACTTTCTGTAACCATATACATCTCTTATAATGTCTCAAAATGGCAAAAGTGAAAACATTCATTAACACACCCAAAATACATAGCCTTTCTGCAGCATAGAAAAATTAGAGGCAAACATATATAAACTTAAAATTACGGTTAATAATTAATATTACAATACTCAATCTTACTTAGAAATGATGTCTAATTCAATTTAGCAGAAATTCAAGATTTTAATTTACCTAAAGACCTTGGGAATTATTTTCAAGATAACATACTGCAAAACATACTTACTGTTGAAATAAAGTCTTCAGATAAGGATTCTATTTGGTTAAATACAAACTTACATTTTTCATAATCTTCAACATTAAGTCAAAGTAATCCTAGCTTATTTGATTAGTGAACCTATAATAAGTTTAGAGAGACTACCCCCAAGTAGAATAAAAGTGTGTGCTTCTGTTATACTTAATGCTAATAACTCAGAGAAAGTATAGCTGTTTTTATTGAACCAAAATTATTAGATCGGTTTTGTTTGCCAAATATTTACTTGAATTATGTGAACTTGAACTCACAGAACATTTCTGAGCTAGTTAATATAGCAATACCTCTTTTTTCCACATTGAAACAGTTTAAGCTTTAATTTCCTTAATTTCTGGAAATTCTAGGAATATTAAATTTATATAAGCACTTATTTACCTCTAAGTCAATGAGAACAGAACTCCTTTAAGTATTTTATCATCTAATTTGGTGATAGCGTCCAGATGTAGGATAATATCACAAACTCACACAATGAAAGGTAAAGGCCTTTCCAAATTCCAGACATATAAACACACAGACACACACGCACAGAGAAAACTTATAGCTTCAAGTCTAAAATGTTAGTCATAGGTCAAACACATATGCAAAAATGCAAACCTTACCAGTTTATATCAAAGACCTGTTCTCCTCCCAGTGGATACAAGTTTTTAATTGATTTGAATTGAAAACAGAAAAACAGACAAACAGAAAAGACTAACAAACCATATTCTTTGTCATCTTTTATCCAACAGAGAAAAGATCCGTTTACATTACATTACACCTATTATATTTACATTAATCTGTTTACAGAGAATACCGATTTGTCAGCCCATAAAGCCAAGAGAAGCCAGTACCAGAAATCAAGTACTTGAAAAGAATCAAAGTCAAATACTTACTGTGCTACCAAAAGACCGAGGTCCAGAGCACAGGACCAGGAGTTGGGCCCACCATTGGGTCCCCAAGTCATGAGTAAGGAGGGAACAAACAGGGCTCTGAGAAGCTTCACTATCTAGATGGAGTAAATGAGGATTCAAAGGTGAAGTCTAATCCTATTTAATTCATCATGAAAGTTATGTAACATAAAAAGCACCAGACAATGAAGGAGATTATTTTATTCAGGTTATTCCAATAGGGAGAAAGTCCATTAATGAGTAATGCTTCAAGGAAAAGGAAGGGGACTTGAAATTTTATATAGGCAAGTAATTGAGGGATCATCACAAGTCTTATGAAAGTCTTGAGAAAACTTATTTCAGAATATATTATACAAGAGCAGTGCGGTCCTTTGTGGTTGGTCAATCCCAAGACACAAAAAGATCAGGGGATTTTTAAACCACATTGTCTAAAGCTATGTTCTTTTAAAAGTTCAATCCTTTCCTTCATTCCTCTGGCCTTTCTGGACCTGCTTTGGGATCTGGGCAGGTAGAAGCTGCTTGGCAACTGCTTGTTGAGCTTTCTTGGGTTGACTATGGTGATGGAGGCGCTACCCAGCAGGGAGGACTGCGGGAGGAAGCAAAGGGCCCACTGTGCTCCAGAGAGAGAGGACTCAGGTCAGGCTCTGAATATCAGCAATGAATAAATCCTTGGTTAATACTTTTCAAGGGTTCAAATTTATCTATGCCACTGGGAAAGTTAAATAACTTTACAGAGACTCATGGGTTTTTAAAATTTCTAAAATGGAAATATAATAACATACTTCATAGACTTCCCTGAGCCTTCAGAGATATAACAATAAAATGCCTGCAATATATTAGGCACTCAGTAAAGTGTTTCTTTCCTTCTCTTTCTTTATAGCTTGGTTACAGCTCCATCTCACTGTACTGGGATCTTTCTCTCAGAGTCAACCGCAAGCTCTCTCTGGGCAGGGAGCATATGAAATTTACCTTTGAATCATCTTTTCACAGTGGGCACAGTAAGTACCCAGTAAATGCCAATTTTTATACTATATAGGCAAAGGCTGAGCTGCTACAACAAAGAGCCTCTAAAATAAAGTGACTTACAAAAACAGAAGTTAATTTCTTTTTCACGAATTAGCCTGGAGAGTAGCTATCCAGGCTGATGGAATAGCTCCACTCCATGTGACCATTCAGGAATGCAGCTCTTGTTCTCTTGTGGCTTTGCCTTAGGAGGTTAGCAAACTATATCCCATGAGTGGACCACCTGTTTTGGTAAATAAAGTTGTATATAAACACAGCCATGCTCATTTGTTTATATATTGCTCAAGGCTGCTTTTGTGCTAAAATGACAAAGTTCATAAAAAGACTAATTTCTACAGAGACCATATGGCCCACAAGCCTAAAGTATTTACTATTTTACTACTTACTAACAGCTGACCCCTACTCTAAGGCAGTATCCCCATCTGCCTGGTTGACTCTGGGTGGCTGCAAGGTCTATGTTCCCAGAATGGGTAGAGGACAGATGTTCAGAGCAAGTGGCCTTTGTTTTCATTAGACATGATCAGACTTTGCATGTATCATTTCTACTCTCATCTCCTTGGCCTGAAATTTGCCACATGGCTATACTTAGCGGCAAGGAAAGTTAAGAAGAGTAGTCCCTAGCTAGACAGTTACGTGCTCAGCATAAATCCAAATAGTTAAGCTATAGAAAGAAAGAAGGACTGCAACCACATATCCTACAAAGGACCAGTATCTGGAGCATATAAAGAGCTCTTGAAACTCAAGAAATCATTTTTCATTGTCTCCAAAATGAGCAATCTAATTAGAAAATGGGCAAAAGACATAAACAGGTATTTCACTGAAAAGGCTATACAGATGGCAAATAAGCACATGAAAAATTTTCCACATCATTTCCCATTAAGAAAATGAAAATTAAAACCACAAGGAGTTATCACTACATACTTATCTAAATGACTAAAACAAGAAATAGCAGAAATACCAAATGCTAGTGAGGATATAGAGAAATTGGACTACACATATATTACTAGTAGCAATATAAAATGGTAAGTCTACTCTGGAAAACAATTTGTGAGTTTCTTAGAAAACTAAACATAATAATTATCATAAACAACTATATATAAACATGCAACAATCATACAACCCAGAAGTTGCACACTCGGGCATTTGTCCCAAATAAATGAATAGTTATGTTCCTCAAAAATCTGTACACAAATGTTTCTAGCTTCAAACTGGAAACAACTGGATATTCTCCAAAGACTGAATCTTTAAATAAACTGTGGTACACCCATACTGCAGAAGACTGCTCAACAATAAAAAAGGAATTATTCATACATGCCACAACTTAGATGAATCTCAAGGGAATTATGCTGAGTTAAAAAAAAAAAAAAAAACCCAAAAGGTTACATACTGCATAATTCCATTTAACATAACACCTTGAAATGGCAAAATTAAAGAAATGGGAAATAGATCAGTGCTTTCCAGGGATTAGGGAGACAGTGGGGAGGTGGATGTGGTTATAAAAGGGCAACTTGAGGGTTTCTTGTGATGATGGAATTTTTCTGTACCTAAATATAAGCACAGTGCAGGTAAAACTTGAGGAATCTGTAAAAAGGAAAAGAAGAAGAAGGGGAGGGATGCTGGGGGAGAACTCGCAGTCTCCACCACAAGTGTGTTATTGTTCTGGTGCAGAGATAAGAAAGGAATATTCTTATCACTCTGACTTCTTTTTTGCTCAGCTCTTCTTCTGAACTTGCTAGGTGGCAGAGAATAATACTAGCATGTGACAGCAAGTATCACCCCTTCCCACCCTCCCAAAAAAGGAGAAAAGATGAGAACTGCAGCTTTTTCTTTGTTAATGAAATAAGGAATTTTTATTATCCCATAAGAATTCCCCCATGAAAAGATTAGAGAATTAGAAATAAGAGCACCCCCACCCCTCATTACCAGGTAACAAAATAATAAGCTGAACACTTGAGGGCTTTAACAGAGCAAATAACAATGAGGTTGCTTTCCTTTTTGTAAAACTGGGGTGCATGAATCATTTAAATTGCAAGAGGGGTTCTTGGAAGTGGCAAACAAACTCTTTTAATCATCTGAACAAGAATCACATAATAATGCGTGGTACAGAAGGAATTACAATCTGGTTGACCAGGCTGAAAAAGTACCTTGTGTTCTTGGAATGTGGGCTAGTACCAGTTTGCCCCAGGGCAGCCTTTACTGCCCAGAAACGGTCATTAAACTGTCCATTTGTTGTCGTGCGCATTAATGCAGAGTGTTTTCTCTTTTATGCCAATATGAAGTTTCTTGTCCTAGGCTCCCTATAGGGGGTGTCAAGGGTTTTGACTGAGACGAGCATAGGTGCTAGATCCGTTCCAGAAGCCTGAACACAGCTGCTAAATTGGGGCTGGAGGTGGCAGAGGTGGACTCTGCAGGCTCTTGAATGGTACTTTCCTCTGCTCCATGGCTCCTTTCCCCATGCCAACATACCATCCACTATGTACCATACCTCTCCAGATTAGAGAATTCTCCTCTCTCTTTAATGAGGGTGGATTTATCCTTGAGTGGACCTGGGAATAAGACTCCAACTCCAGGGCCGAAACAAGGGATGGTTTTTTTTAAGTCCCACCTTATCATGCATTCCACAAGTATTTATCAAATATCAACGATGTGGCAGGCAGGCATCATGAGGATGGGATTAGGCTGGGATTAAATAAATCCCAAAGTGACCCTGACAGCTAACATCACAGGTTCTCTGACCTTCATGTCACCAGAGCCTGTGAGAGCCTGAGGGTAGCTGATCACAACTGTGGACAGTGTGAGCAAGTTTGAGCCTTGTATGGGTTCTGCATCCCTTGTTACTGTGTTATTTTTTAGTGGGATTCACTTAGAAAATACTGCTATACATCATTTGCATTGCCGACTATTATTTGTCTAAGTCAGTGATTTCAAAGTTTATTGTATCTCAGAATCACCTGGAGGGCTATTTAAAACACCGTTTCTGATTCAGGAGCTCTGGGAAGGGGCCAGAGAATTCACATTTCTGACAAGTTCCCAGCTGCTGCCGTTGTCTGGGGACCAGCTTTGCAAACCACTTAAAACCATCTTCCCAAGAGTTTCTGCTACTCTTTACCTCACTCTTAGCCATATATGATACAATGTTTGGTGAGGAAGAACTTGATTTTTCCTAAATTCAGCAACTCAGCATTGCTTCTCCGTGTAGGTGGAGCCAGCATGTCCTTTCCACACAGAACTGTATTACAGAAAAATCTCTTCTGGAATCACCCCTCTTGATTATGTAACTCTAAAACCAGGAGGAAGCAATGAAAATGTCTTTGGGGCTTGATGTCTCTCCTAGGTCCTCTTGGTGTGCAGAGCTCTGGGTGGGAATGAATCTTAATAAGAAGCATGGGGGTCTGTTGGTGGGAAGGGACCCCGTATAACCCCCACCTATAAGTAGTTTTCAATTGCTACAGAAAAAATTACCCAAAATTTAGCTTAAAACAACTCCTGTTGACTATCTCATGGTTTCTACATGTAGGTTAGCAGTCCAGACATGACTGAGCTAGGTTCTCTGTGAAGAGGCTGAAATCAAGGTATTGGCCAGGCTGCATTCCTTTCTGGGGTTCCAAGTCCTCTTCCAAACTCACATGATTGTTCACAGAATTCAGTTTCTTGAGGTTGGAGGACTAATGTCCTCATTCTCTTGCTAAATCTCTAATTCTCTTGCTAAATCTCTGCTCTCAGCTTCTAGTAGTGACCTGCAGTTTCATTCCATGTCCCTGTCTTTCCCACAGGGCCTCTCATACTCGAAACTATTCTTCCTCCTTAAGGTAGCAGGGGACTATCTCTCTGACTTCTTTTAAAGCCTCCTCTAATGAAGTCAGACCCCTCCAAGAAACTCTTCCTTTTGATTAACTTAGTCAACTGGTTCATAACCTGCTCATGGGAGAGCTATCCCATCATATTTGCAGAGTCCAGCCACCCTCAAGGAGAAGGGATAATAAGGGAATTGATCTGGGCGAGGGTAGGGTGGACAGTCATGGGGAAGGTGAGGCTTGAGGGCCATCTTAGAGCCCTGACCAGGATACCACCCTTTCCCCTGAAATTGAACATTACTAGATCACATTGGGGTGAATTAGAGTCATTCTGGTCAAGGTCAAACTGATGAGCAAGGACACCAAGGGAACAAAAAGCACTCCCATAAGGAGAAGGAGTTGGAAATGGTGACCTGGGCTCATATGAAGGTTTAAAGTCTCCTGAGATGGGGATCTTCTGAGTCAGCAACTGGCTAAGTACTGTACTATGACTTATTTGGGAACAATGACCAAGAAAAGCACACTAGTGAGGCTAGAGAGGTGAGCAGGGCCCAGATGCTGGAGAGTCATATATGTCCTGAAGGTAACTGGGAGTCATTCATGACTAGGCAAGCAGTGGCATGATCAGCCTTGTGTTTTAGATGATCACTTTGGCTGCAGCTTGAGGAATTGATTGGATAGCAGCAAAATTGGAGGATTATGAAGTCTTCAGTAATCATTCAGATGAGGTGGCCTAAACCAGGACACAAAAATGAGGATGGGAGTTAAGGACACTCAGCATGGTTTGGTATTGGAGAGTCGATGAATGCCAATGCCTCTGCCCTTATTAAGGCCACATCATCTCTCCACTTGACTTTATTAACAGCTCACTCCATTCCTTGTATAATAAGCTCTGTTGTGAATAAAACCAGATTCAAACCTCAGGGTCTGGCACTCAAGGCTCTTTGTGCCCTGGCCTTGCCACTTTCACCAGCTTCAACTTCTGCACAAAGTAACTATGGGGTTACTTTGAATATCTTACAAATCTCTGAACAGGTAAGATCATATCCTCTCAGCCTAGAAAATTGCCAGCCGGCTGCGGTGGCTCATGCCTGTAATCCCAGCACTTTGGGAGGCCAAGGCGGGTGGATCACGAGGTCAGGAGATCAAGACCAGCCTGGCCAACATGGTGAAACCCCGTTTCTACTAAAAATACACAAATTAGCCGGTCTTGGTGGTGCGTGCCTGTAATCCCAGCTACTTGGGAGGCTGAAGCAGGAGAATCACTTGAACCCGGGAGGCAGAGGTTGCAGTGAGCCGAGATCACGCCACTGTGCACTCCAGCCTGGGCAAAAGAGCGAGACTCCGTCTCAAAAAAAAAAAAAAAGAAGAAGAAGAAAATTGCCAGAAAAACTCGTACTCATCCCTCAAGACACAGCCCAAATGCCCTATCCTCATTCTATAACTCTGTAGTTGGCTGGATGATGCCCCCTAAAGATATTGAGGTGCTAATTTTCAGTACCTGTGAATGTCACCTTTATGCTAAAAAGAGACTTTGCTGATGTGATTTGAGTCGAGGATCTTGAGATGGGAAGATTAGCCTAGATCAGATGGGCCTTAAATGTAATTAAAGACTTCTTATAAGAGAGAACAAGGGAATATATGACTATGGGAGAAGTAGGCATATGATGACATAAGCAAGAGGCTGGAGGGGTGCAAGGAAAGGGTCACGAGCCAAGGAAGACAGGTAGTCTTCCAGAGGCTAAAAAAGGCAAAGAAACAGATTCTCCTCTAGTGCCTTCAGAAGGAACCAGCCCTGCTGGCACTTTGACTTTAACCTAGAGAAACTAATTTCAGAGCTTGGCTTCCAGAACTGTAAGGAAATAGATTTGTGTTGTTTTAAGCCACTAAATATCCAAAAATGTGTTACAGCAGCAATAGAAAACTAATATGAACTCCTTCAGTAGTCACTCTCAAAACCTTTTATTTGTATTTCTAATGAAGTACTACCACAGGGTCTAATTACTGGTTTATAAGTCTGTCTTTCCCACTAGACTGTGACTTCCTAAAGTGTAGGGATTGTGTCGTTCATCCTTATATTCTCAGTGCTCTGCACAGTGCTTGGCATATAGTAGGTCTTCAGTAACTGTTTGAGGGAAGAAAGAGATGGAGATGGAAGGAACGAATCAAAGTAAGAAAACTGTTCTATAGAGCACCTTTCCATCATTTTGTACCCCTGTCATCCTTTGTTCATTCCTTTCTATAGGGTTTTATAGCTTCTTTCTGATCCACGGTGTATTAGTTTGCTTTGCGTTGTTATAAAGGAATACCTGAGACTGGGTAGTTTATAAAGAAAATAGTTTTATTTGGCTCATGGTTCTGCAGGCTGTACAAGCATGGCACCAGCATCTGCTCAGCTTCTGGTGAAGCTTCAGGAAGCTTTTACCCATGGCAGAAGCCACAGGGAAGGCAGGCATGTCACATGGAAAAAGAGGGAGCAAGAAAGATTGCCAGGCTCTTTTAAACAACCAGCATGAACTCATGGAGTGAGAATTCACTCACTACTGCAGGGAGGGCACCAAGACATTCATGAGGGATCCACCTGCATGACCCAAACACCTCCTACTAGGCCCACCTCCAACGTTGGGGATCACATTTCAACATGAGATTTGGAGGGGAAGAACATTCAAACCACATCACATGGATATTTAACCATCCCACACATTTAGACTAGGGTATTAGGAACCGAAGAGGAGTGAGAGGAAATCTGGCCAATACTTACTCTTCAAGGAAACTAATAATAGAGTTAATTACCAAATGTCCCCTGGGGAACAAAATTATCCCCAGTTGAGAAGCGCTGTTCTTGAGGTACACTTCCTTCAGGCTATAGGAAATCTATACCACAATAGAACCTCTGTGAAAGCCCACATCCACATAGTTGCTAGATGTGGTGCCCCTAGCATGGTTTCTTCTAGTGGGATTTGACAGCCCAATTTTCATTTCCCAGGTCCAGTGCAGCCTCACCATTTAACAAAACCACTCCTTCCAAAGAATTACTAAAAAGGTGTTAGCTGCAGTGAAATCCAGGCTTAAGGCCACACCCTTAGCTGCAATGGAATATTTCCTAAGTCTTCATCAGCAGCACACGGACAAAACACTTCTCAGGGTGGGCCCCCCCACCGTCTTGATCAAGTGCTTCTACTGCTTGCTGAGTCTCCTTGATTTGTCTCTTAGAAGCTGACCTCCTCTGCCACATTCTTGAGACACCTCACTGCAGGCGCAGACTCCAGTGTTTTGTTTCTGAGCTGAATCTGATGAGTGAAGTATTCACAATGACCATGCAAACAAGTCTGCCATTCTGTACCCGCCATTGGAGATGGTGGTGGGAGATCTTACATTGTTGTGTGCTGAAGCATAAGCATTATCTATTTTATATAGGTTAATACTGAGACATTGGGAAGGCATTATTTTGGCATTGGCTTTCTCTAAGGTGAAACAGGTCCAGATGAGGCGAATTATGAAATTAGATGTGGAAGGGATCCCTAGGCATTTTGTCAGGATGGGTCTGCAGGTGGGAAGTGATGAGCTCTGCAGAAAGACGCTAAATGAAAACTAGAGTTTGCAACCAAATAGAATTAGATAGTCTCCTGGACCAACAGAAAGCTGTGGTCAGCTGAGCAGTAGCCAAAGACATCAGGAAATGGAATATCAGTCTCAGAATTTAGAAGCCAAAAATAGAGGGAGTGAGCTGAGGATGCCTCAACTGTTTTGCAGGTCAGAAGTGACTTTAAAACAAAATCTGAAAGCTAAAAACTACCCTCAGAAGCACATAGTTTTTCATTCTCCACAACTACCCAGTAGACAGGCATCATTATATTTCTTTTATATCATTCCTTTTAGCTTCCTTTGAGCATGAACGTATTCAACAACTGTTGATGGGTACTTTTTAACTGAACCATGATGCAAACATAAAAGAGTATTTAGTAATAAAGAAACTGAGACTCAGGCTCATTTGCAGACCAAGGCACGAAGCCAGGACTCAACTCAAACTCTGGCCCTATGGCTCTAAGTCCATTTTTCCTTTCTGCACAAATTAACGATAATTACATGTATTCCTTTGGCTATATTTTGGCTCTCCTTTTCAAATTATGCCATCCTAAATCTTTTTACTGGAGCTATTAGTAATAAAATGAGTATATTTCATTTTTCATTCTTTTCCTTTGCCTAAGGAGAAGCAAAAGTCATGGGTTCAAAAAGAATTAGGCAAGAGTTCACTGAATGATCAGGAACTGGATTTCCCCAGAAGACCTACCAATTTACAACACCAGGTTAAAACACCTAAGCTTTAATTTAAAGAGCTTCAAGGTAAGCACCAGCACAAATCTGGTCAAATGAAGCACTGGTGAGCAAAGTGCCGTACGAATAGGGACATCTGGCTTTGCATGAGTAGGGACAGCTGGCTCTGTATAAGTAGGAACAGCCAGCACTCTGGAAGGAGAATGGCTACCTTGGGGAAGTGAAATATGAGTTTGATCCCAGTTTTGCCCCTTCCAAGCCATGTGACTTTTCTCAGCCTATTTTTTTTAATCTTCGAAACTGAGCTAACAATATTTACTTCAAAGGATTGTGATGAGGATTACATGAAAAAATAATGGGGACCTTAGATTTCTGATCTGGCATATAAGGGGCTTAGGAGTCATTACTCCATCCTAACAACAAGTAAAAGCCTTAATAAACTAAAAAACAAACAAAAATAAGTCTTATTAATCAAAAAAGTAAGGTCACAAGGCAAACCATTGTCCCCCCAAATTGGAGAGGCAGATAGGCAAATATAGAAAATCACAACTTATCAGGGCAGAAATCCACAAAGAGAAACCTCTCTGGGAACCAGTGCCAGGGGAGGGAAACCAGAACTGTAACTGACAAATTGCTGGAGGCCCAGTGTAGACATATCTGAGAAATAAAACTCCAGAGATAGGTGGGGACCATTCACAGTGGGATCCTGACAATTTTGTGAGTTTCACCTCTAAGAGTTCTACTAGGTTCTCACTGTGAAGATCATGGGGAAAAATTCTCTCATTCTACTGGCAGGGAAAGGAGGAAAATAGCCATTTTGAAATATGCCAGAGCATTCTGTTCTTAGTGAAGCCTGCCCTCAAAAAAATACTATTTACCACAGCCTAACCTATTAGGGTTTAATTAGAAGCCAGCTGATCTGGGGAAAGGGAAATACATAACTCCAGCCCGTTGTAGCCATTCTTTCCCACAAAAGGACAGGGAAAATCTGAGAAGCATTTGTGAAGTTCACAGTCCAGGAGCCTAGGCCCTCTAAAAGACTGAGACCTAATCATAAGACCATAAAATGCTTCCCTTCCCGCACACCTTACCACTATATTACCAAAGGCCTATTTACTGTAATTTCCCTTACCCTGTACATCATAACCAACTATCAAAAAATTACAAGGTATACTAAAAGGCAAAAACACAACTTGAAGAAACTAAATAAGCATCAGAACCAGAGTCTGACATGGCAGGAATGTTGGAATTATCATAAGAGAAATATTTTAAAATTTGTGGTAAGTATGCTAAGGTTCACATGAAAAAAGTAGAATCATGAATAGATGGATAATGTAAGCAGAGAGACAGAAATTCTGAGAAAGAATTTAAAAAGAAATGCTACAGAACAAAAACACTGTGACAGAAATGAAGAATGCCTTTGATGTGCTTATTACTAGACTGGAGACAACTGAGGAGAGAATCTCTGAGGTTGCAGGCACACCAACAGAAACTTTCAAAAGTGAAAAGCAAACAGAAAAAAGGCTGAAAATGGAATTGAATATCCAAGAACTGTAAGAAAACTATAAAATGTGTTTAAAAAAAAACATTTAATGGGAATACCAGAAGGAGAAGAAAAAGAGAAAGAAACAGATGCAATATTTGAAGCAATAATGACAGGAAATTTCTTCAAATTAATGTCAGACACCAAACCACAGACCCAGAAATCTCACAGAACACCAAGCAGGATAAATATCAAAAAATAAAATAAAAAAATAAACAAACTTCACCTATAATATCATAATTAATCTGCAGAAAATCAAAGATAAAGAAGAAAAATCTTGAAAGAAGCTAGAGAGAAAAAAATACCTTACCTATAGATAAGAATTATGTTGAACTTTCCATCAGAAACCATGTATGCGAGAAAATGAAGAAAAACATTTAGTGCTGAGAGAAAAAAAATCAGCAACCTAGAACTTTGTATCTTAGGGAATTATCCTTCAAAGGTAGGAAAAAATAAAGACTTTCTCAGACAAAAACTGAGGAAATTTGTGGCCATTAGACCTGTCTTGCAAGAAATGTTAAAAGAAGTTATTCACAGAGAAGAAAAATGATAGAGGTCAGAAACTTGAATTTACATAAAGAAATGAAGAGTATTGTAGAAGGAATAGTGAAGGTGAAATAAAAACTTTTATTTTTTCATATTCTTAATTGATCTAACAGATAATAGTTTGATCAAAATAATAATTGCAACAATGTATTTGATGACTATAGCTTATGTATAAGTGAAATGAACAGCAATGCTAAAAGGCATGGAAGAGCAGAATCAGCAATTTTTCTTTTCTTTTTCTGTTTTTTCTTTTTTCTTTTTTCTTTTTTTTCTTTTTTCAGATGGAGTCTCACTCTGTCGCCCAGGCTAGAGTGCAGTGGCACGATCTTGGCTCACTGCAAGCTCTGACTCCCGGGTTCATGCCATTCTCCTGCCTCAGCCTCCCGAGTAGCTGGGACTACAGGAACCTGCCACCACGCCCGGCTAATTTTTTTTGTATTTTTAGTAGAGATGGGGTTTCAACGTGTTAGCCAGGATGGTCTCGATCTCCTGACCTCGTGATCCACCCGCCTCGGCCTCCCAAAGTGCTGGGATTACAGGCATGAGCCACCGCGCTCAGCCAGCAATTTTTCATTATTGTAAGGTATTGTACAACCTGTGAAGCGATACAATGTCATTTGAAAGTGAAATTTGATTTGTTGTAAATGCATATTGCAAACTGTAGGGCAACCACTAAAAAATGTAAAAGGAAGTATGATTAATATGCTAAGAAAGGAGAAAAAATCATATAAGTGCTCATATAAAATTATAAAAAATGTTCAATTAAAACCACAAAGTGCAGAAAAAGGGTGGAAAATTAAAAGTAGGAAAAAATTAAAAGGGCAATAGAAAATAGTTATGAATATGGTAAATATTAATCCAGCTATATCAATAATTTCTTTAAACACCAATGATTTAAATACATCAATTAAAAGACAGAGATTGTCAGAGTGGATTAAAAAAGTCAAGACCCAACTATGAGATATCTACAGGAAACCCACTATAAATATAATGACACATATAAATTAAAAGTAAAGGGATGGAGAAGAATATGCCACATTAATAGTAATCAAAATAGAGATGGAGTAGCTATAAAGTCAATATAAAATCAGTCAGAGCAGACTTCAGAGCAAGGAAAGTTAACAAGAATAGAGGTGCGTTACATAATGATGAAAAGGTCATTTCTCCAGGAAGACATAATAAACCTTCAGGTATATGCATATAACAATGAAACATCAAAATGCATTAGGTAAAAACTGATAAAAATGCAAAGAGAAATAGATGAATCCCCTATTATATCTGGAGACTTAAAAATCCTTGTACCAGAAATGGACAGGTCCAATAAACAGGAAATCAGTAAGAACATAGCTGAACTCAACAGTTCCATGAATTGGCTGGATATAATTGTCATCTGTAGACTACCTTATCCAACAACAGTAGAGTACACATTCTTACCAAGCTCACATGGAACATACATCAAGATGCACCACATTCTGGGACATAAAACACACCTTAACAAATTTAAAAGAATACAGTTTATATAATATCTACTCTCAGATCATCATGATCTATGATTGAATTAAACTAAAAATCAGTAACAAAAAGATGGGTGGAAAATTCCAAAACACTTGGAGACTAAGTAGCACACTTCTAAATAACACATGGGTCAAAGAAGAAATTTTCAAGAGAAATTTAAAAATATTTTGAACTGGCTGGGCGTGGTGGCTCATGCCTGTAATCCCAGCACTTTGGGAGGCCAAGATGGGCAGATCACGAGGTCAGGAGATTGAGACCATCCTGGCTAACATGGTGAAACCCCGTCTCTACTAAAAATACAAAAAAATTAGCCGGGCATGGTGGCAGGCGCCTGTAGTCCCAGCTACTCGGGAGGCTGAGGCAGAAGAATGGTATGAACCCGGGAGGCGGAGCTTGCAGTGAGCTGAGATAGTACCACTGCACTCCAGCCTAGTGGACTGAGTGAAACTCCATCTCCAAAAAAAGAAAAAAAATAATAATAATAAATATATATATATATATATAGATGTATATTTTGAACTAAATAAAAGTGAAAATACAACTTAATAAAATTTGTAAGAATTAAATTTGTAAAAAAATTAAATGCTATACATTTAATATGCATTAAATTGAATTAAAGAAAAAACAAAGATCAAAAATCAATAACCTGATCTTCCACCTCAAGAAATTAGAATGAGGAGAGTAAATTAAACACAAAGTAAACAGAAAAAAAGAAATAATAAAAACCAAGGCAAAAGAATCAATTAAATTGAAAACAAGAAATCAATAGAGAAAAATCAATGAAACCAAAAGCTGGTTCTTAGAAAAGGTCAATAAAATTGATAAGCCTCTAGCCAGGCTAAGAAAAAAGGGGAAATGACACAAATTACTAATACCAGAAATGAAAGAGGGAACATAACTACAGCTCTAATAGACATTAAAATGATAATAAAGGAAAATTAGGAACAATACCATACTCACAAATTTGATAACCTACATAAAATGGGCCAATTCTGTGGAAGAAACAATCTGCCAAAACTCACACAAGAATAAATTAAAAACTTAAATAGGCCTGTATCTATTAAAGAAACAATCAATATCTGATAACCTTTCAAAAAAGAAGACACTAGGTCTAGATAGGTTCACTGGTGAATCCTATCAAACATCTAAGGAAGAAAATACACCAATTCTCTGCAGTATCTACCAGAAGATAGAATCAGAAGGAATATTTCCTAACTCATTCTATGAGGCTAGCAAAACCTAATACCAAAACCAAAGACAGTACAAGAAAAGAAAACTATAGACCAATATCCTTTATGAAAATAAAAATAAAAATTATCAACATAATATTAGCAAATGGAATCCAACAATGAATAAAAAGAATTATGCAATGAAACTAGTGGGACTTATTCCAGGTATGCAAGTCTTGTTCCATATTTAAAAGTCAATTAATTTATTTATCACAGGCTAAAGAGGAAAAATCACAAATCATATCAGTAGATGCAGAAAAAGCAATGACAAAAATCCAACATCAACTCACGAAAAAAGAAAAAATGCTCAGCAAATTAGGAATAGAGGGAAATTTACTCAATTTGATTAAGAACATCAATTAAAAAATATAGAGTTAACATAATATTTAATGGTGACACTAGAAGCTTTCACACTAAGATCAGGAGGAAGGCAAGATGCCCCCTCTAAACACTCTTTCAACATCATACTGTAAGTTTTAGTAATGCAATAAGACAAGAAAATAAAATGGTAGGTGGAGCCAAGATAGCCAAATAGGAAAAGCTCCAGTCTACAGCTCCCAGCATGAGTGATGCAGAAGACGAATGATTTCTGCATTTCCAACTGAGGTACCGGGTTCATCTCACTGGGGATTGTCAGACACTGGGTGCAGGACAGTGGGGGCAGCACACTGAGCATGAGCCAAAGCAGGGCAAGGCATCGCCTCACCCGGGAAGTGCAAGGGGTCAGGGAATTCCCTTTCCTAGCCAAGGAAAGGGGTGACAGACGGCACCTGGAAAATTGGGTGACTCTCAACCTAATACTGCAATTTTCCAATGGTCTTAGCAAATGGCACACAGGAGATTGTATCCCATGCCTGGCTCAGAGGGTCCTACGCCCACGGAGCCTCACTCATTGCTAGCACAGCAGTCTGAGATCAAACTGCAAGGTGGCAGTGAGGCTGGGGGAGGGGCGCCTGCCATTGCTGAGGCCTGAGCAGATAAACAAAGAGGCCAGGAAGCTCTAAATGGGTGGAGCCCACCACAGCTCAAGGATCCTGCCTGCCTCTGTAGACTTCACCTATGGGGGCAGGGCATAGCCAAACAAAAGGCAGCCGAAACCTCTGCAGACTTAAATGTCCCTGTCTGACAGTTTGGAAGACAGTAGTGGTTTTCCCAACACTCAGCTTGAGATCTGAGAACGGACAGACTGCCTCCTTAAGTGGGTCCCTGACCCCTGAGTAGCCTAACTGGGAGACACACCCCAGTAGGGGCAGACTGAAACCTCACATGGCTGGGTACCTCTCTGAGACAAAACTTCCAGAGGAACAATCAGGCAGCAACATTTGCAGTTCACCAATATTCGCTGTTCTGCAGCCTCCTCTGCTGATTCTCAGGCAAACAGGGTCTGGAGTGGGCCTTCAGCAAACTCCAACAGACCTGCAGCTGAGGGTCCTGACTGTTAGAAGGCAAACTAACAAACAGAAAGGACATCCACACCAAAACCCCATCTGTACGTCACCATCATCAAAGACAAAAGGCAGATAAAACCACAAAGGTGGGGAAAAAAAAGAGCAGGAAAACTGAAAATTCTAAAAATCAGAGCACCTCTCCTCCTCCAAAGGAATGCAGCTCCTCACCAGCAATGAAACAAAGCTAGATGGAGAATGATTTTGACGAGCTGAGAGAGGAAGGCTTCAGATGATCAAACTACTCCAAGCTAAAGGAGGAAGATTGAACAATGGCAAAGAAGTTAAAAACCTTGAAAAAAGATTAGACAAATGGCTAACTAGAATAACCAATGCACAGAAGTCCTTAAAGGACCTGATGGAGCTGAAAACCATGGCACGAGAACTACATGATGAATGAACAAGCCTCAGTAGCTGATTCCATCAGCTGGAAGAAAGGGTATCAGTGACGGAAGATCAAATGAATGAAATGAAGCAAGAAGAGAAGTTTAGAGAAAAAAGAATAAAAAGAAACGAACAAAGCCTCCAAGAAATATGGGACAAGGTAAAAACACCAAATCTATGTCTGACTGGTGTACCTGAAAGTGATGGGGAGAATGGAACCAAGTTGGAAAAAAATCTGCAGGATATTATCCAGGAGAACTTCCCCAATCTAGCAAGGCAGGCCAACATTCAGATTCAGGAAATACAGAGAACACCACAAAGATACTCTTCGAGAAGAGCAACTCCAAGACACATAATTGTCAGATTCACCAAAGTTGAAATGAAGGAAAACATGTTAAGGGCAGCCAGAGAGAAAGGTCAGGTTACACACAGAGGGAAGCCCATTAGACCAACAGCTGATCTCTTGGCAGAAACTCTATAAGCCAGAAGAGAGTGGGGGCCAATATTCAACATTCTTAAAGAAAATAATTTTCAACCCACAATTTCATATCCAGCCAAACTAAGCTTCATAAGTGAAGGAGAAATAAAATACTTTACAGATAAGCAAATGCGAGAGATTTTTGTCACCACCAGGCCTGCCCTACAGGAGCTCCTGAAGGAAGCACTAAACATGGGAAGGAACAACTGGTACCAGCCACTGCAAAAACATGCCAAATTGTAAAGACCATCGAGGCTAGGAAGAAACTGCATCAACTAACAAGCAAAATAACCAGCTAACATCATCATGACTGGATCAAATTCACACATAACAATATTAACCTTAAATGTTGATGGGCTAAATGCTCCAGTTAAAAGACACAGACTGGCAAATTGGATTAAGAGTCAAAACCCATCAGTGTGCTGTATTCAGGAAACCCTTCTCACATGCAGAGACACACATAGGCTCAAAATAAAGGGATGGAGGAAGATCTACCAAGCAAATGGAAAACAAAAAAAGGCAGGGGTTGCAATCCTAGTCTCTGATAAAACAGACTTTAAACCAACAAAGATCAAAAGAGACAAAGAAGGCCATTACATAATGGTAAAGGGATCAATTCAACAAGAAGAGCTAACTATCCTAAATATATATGCACCCAATACAGGAGCACCCGGATTCATAAAGCAAGTCCTTAGACACCTACAAAGAGGCTTAGACTCCCACACAATAATCACGGGAGACTTTAACACCGCACTGTCAACATTAGACAGATTAACGAGACAGAAAGTTTACAAGGATATCCAGGAATTGAACTCAGCTCTGCACCAAGCGGACCTAATAGACATCTACAGAACTCTCCACCCCAAATCAACAGAATATACATTCTTTTCAGCACCACACCACACCTATTCCAAAATTGACCACATAGTTGGAAGTAAAGCACTCCTCAGCAAATGTAAAAGAACAGAAATTATAACAAACTGTCTCTCAGACCACAGTGCAATCAAACTAGAACTCAGGATTAAGAAACTCACTCAAAACCGCTCAACTACATGGAAACTGAACAACCTGCTCCTGAATGACTACTGGGTACATAATGAAAAGAACGCAGAAATAAAGATGTTCTTTGAAACCAATGAGAACAAAGACACAACATACCAGAATCTCTAGGACACATTCAAAGCAGTGTGTAGAGGGAAATTTATAGCACTAAATGCCCACAAGAGAAAGCAGAAAAGATCTAAAATTAATACCCGAACATCACAATTAGAAGAACTAGAGAAGCAAGAGCAAACACATTCAAAAGCTAGCAGAAGGCAACAAATAACCAAGATCAGAGCAGAACT
Source organism: Homo sapiens (assembly GCF_000001405.40). NCBI lineage: Eukaryota > Metazoa > Chordata > Mammalia > Primates > Hominidae > Homo > Homo sapiens. The sequence continues at coordinate 166,313,885 of NC_000001.11, read as the reverse complement.
GAAGGAAATAGAGATACAAAAAACCCTACAAAAAATCAATGAATCCAGGAGCTGGTTTTTTGAAACGATCAACAAAATTGATAGACCGCTAGCAAGACTAATAAAGAAGAAAAGAGAGAAGAATCAAATAGACACAATAAAAAATGATAAAGGGGATATCACCACCAATCCCACAGAAATACAAACTACCATCAGAGAATACTATAAACACCCTTATGCAAATAAACTAGAAAATCTAGAAGAAATGGATAAATTTCTCGACACATACACCCTCCCAAGACTAAACCAGGAAGAAGTTGAATCTCTGAATAGACCAATAACAGGCTCTGAAATTGAGGCAATAATTAATAGCTTACCAACCAAAAAAAGTCCAGGACCAGACAGATTCACAGCCGAATTCTACCAGAGGTACAAGGAGGAGATGGTACCATTCCTTCTGAAACTATTCCAATCAACAGAAAAAGAGGGAGTCCTCCCTAACTCATTTTATGAGGCCAGCATCATCCTGATACCAAAGCCTGGCAGAGACACAACAAAAAAACAGAATTTTAGACCAATATCCCTGGCGAACATCGATGCAAAATCCTCAATAAAATACTGGCAAACTGAATCCACCAGCACATCAAAAAGCTTATCCACCATGATCAAGTGGGCTTCATCCCTGGGATGCAAGGCTGGTTCAACATACGCAAATCAACAACTGTAATCCAACATATAAGCAGAACCAACGACAAAAACCACATGATTATCTCAACAGATGCGGAAAAGGCCTTTGACAAAATTCAACAACGCTTCATGCTAAAAACTCTCAATAAATTAGGTATTGATGGGACATATCTCAAAATAATAAGAGCTATCTATGACAAACCCACAGCCAATATCATACTGAATAGGCAAAAACTGGAAGCATTCCCTTTGAAAACTGGCACAAGACAGGGATGCCCTCTCTCACCACTCCTATTCAACATAATGTTAGAAGTTCTGGCCAGGGCAATCAGGCAGGAGAAGGAAATAAATGGTATTCGATTAGGAAAAGAGGAAGTCAAATTGTCCCTGTTTGTAGATGACATGATTGTATATCTAGAAAACCCCATCGTCTCAGCCCAAAATCTCCTTAAGCTGATAGGCAACTTCAGCAAAGTCTCATGATACAAAATCAATGTGCAAAAATCACAAGCATTCTTATACACCAATAACAGACAAACAGAGAGCTAAATCATGAGTGAACTCCCATTCACAATTGCTTCAAAGAGAATCAAATACTTACGAATCCAACTTACAAGGGATGTGAAGGACCTCTTCAAGAACTACAAACCACTGCTCAATGAAATAAAAGAGGATACAAACAAATGGAATGCTCATGGGTAGGAAGAATCAATATCATGAAAATGGCCATACTGCCCAAGGTAATTTATAGATTCAATGCCATCCCCATCAAGTTACCAATGACTTTCTTCACAGAATTGGAAAAACTACTTTAAAGTTCATATGGAACAGAAAAGAGCCCGCATTGCCAAGTCAATCCTAAGCCAAAAGAACAAAGCTGGAGGTATCATGCTACCTGACTTTAAACTATACTACAAGGCTACAGTAACCAAAACATCATGGTACTGGTACCAAAACAGCGATATCGACCAACGGAACAGAACAGACCAAGCAGAAATAATGCCACATATCTACAGCTATCTGATATTTGACAATCCTGACTAAAACAAGAAATGGGGAAAGGATTCTGTATTTAATAAATGGTGCTGGGAAAACTGGCTAGCCATAGGTAGAAAGCTGAAACTGGATCTCTTCCTTACACCTTATACAAAAATTAATTCAAGATGGATTATTCAAGATGGATTACAGACTTAAATGTTAGACCTAAAACCATAAAAACCCTAGAAGAAAACCTAGGCGATACCATTCAGGACATAGGCATGGGCAAGGACTTCATGTCTAAAACACTAAAAGCAATGACAACAAAAGCCAAAATTGACAAATGGGATCTAATTAAACTAAAGAGCTTCTGCACAGCAAAAGAAACTACCATCAGAGTGAACAGGCAACCTACAGAATGGCAGAAAATTTTTGCAATCTACTCATCTGACAAAGGGCTAGTATCCAGAATCTACAATGAACTCAAACAAATTTACAAGAAAAAAATCAAACAACCCCATCAAAAAGTGGGCAAAGGATATGAACAGACACTTCTCAAAAGAAGATATTTATGCAGCCAAAAGACATGTGAAAAAATGCTCATCATCTCTGGCTATCAGAGAAATGCTAATCAAAACCAGAGTTAGATACCATCTCACACCAGTTAGAATGGTGATCATTAAAAAGTCAGGAAACAACAGGTGCTGGAGAGGATGTGGAGAAATAGGAACACTTTTACACTGTTGGTGGGACTGTAAACTAGTTCAACCATTGTGGAAGTCAGTGTGGCGATTCCTCAGGGATCTAGAACTAGAAATACCATTTGACCCAGCCATCCCATTACTGGGTATATACCCAAAGGATTATAAATCATGCTGCTATAAAGACACATGCACACGTATGTTTATTGCGGCACTATTCACAATAGCAAAGACTTGGAACCAACCCAAATGTCCAACAATGATAGACTGGATTAAGAAAATGTGGCACATATACACCATGGAATACTATGCAGCCATAACAAATGATGAGTTCATGTCCTTTGTAGGGACATGGATGAAGCTGGAAACCATCATTCTCAGCAAACTATTGCAAGGACAAAAAACCAAACACCGCATGTTCTCACTCATAGGTGGGAATTGAACAATGAGAACACATGGACACAGGAAGGGGAACATCACACACTGGGGCCTACTGTGGGGTAGGGGGAGGGGGGAGGGATAGCATTAGGAGATATAACTAATGTTAAATGATGAGTTAATGGGTGCAGCACACCAACATAGCACATGTATACATATGCAACAAACCTGCACGTTGTGCACATGTACCCTAAAACTTAAAGTATAATTAAAATAAAAGAAAATAAAATAAATGGTATACATATTGGGGTGGAAGAAATAAAACTATCTTTATTTGTAGATGACATGATTGTCTATGTAGAAAATCCTAAAGGATCAACAACAATAAGAAGAAAAATCTCCTGGAACTAATAAAAGATTATAGCAAGGTTGCAGGATACAAAGTTAATATACAAAATTCAATCACTTTCCTATATGCCAACAAATGGAAGTTTAAATTAGAAACACATTACCATTTACATTAGCATTCCCCCAAATAAAATACTTATATATAATCTGAGATATATACTTCTGTATATATCTAAAAATATATGTATAAGATTTATACGAGGAAAACTACAAAACTGTGATGAAAGAAATCAAAGACCTACATACATGGAGAGATATTCTATATTCATGGAGAGGAAGATAAAATATTGTTAAAGCATCAGTTCTTTCCCACTTGATCTATAGATTCAACACAATCCTAAACAAAATCTCAGCAAGTTATTTTGTGGATATCAACAATTATGTTCTAAACTTTATATAGAGATGCTAAAGACCCAGAACAGCCAACGCAATATAGAAGAACAAAGTCAGAGGACTGACACTCTGAACTCCAAGACCTACTAAAAAGCTACAGTAATCAAGACAGTGTGATATTGGTCCAAGAATAGACAAATATATCAATGAAACATAATAGAAAAGCTAGAAATAAGTGCACATAAACATGGTCAACTGATGTTTAACAAAGGAGCAAAGGCAATACATGGATAAAAGATAGTCTTTTCAACAAATGGTGCTGGAACAATTACACATCCAAATGCAAAAAAAAAAAAAAAAAAAGAAGAAGAAGAATTTAGCCACACCTTATACCACTCAAAAAAAGCTTTTCCTGCATTTAACTCAAAATGGATCACAGACATGAATGTAAAATGCAAAACCATAAAACACTTACAAGATAGCATAGAAGAAAACCTAGATGACCCTAGATGTGGTGATGATTTTTTAGGTCCAACACCAAGCCACAGTCCATGAAAGAGATAATTGATAAGCTGGACTTCATTAAAATTAAAAACTTCTGCTTTGCAAAAGATATTGTCAGGAGAATGAGAAGACAAGCCACAGACTGGGAGAAAATATTTGCAAAAGACATATCTGATAAAGTGCTGTTATCCAAAATATACAAAGCTCTCTTAAAACTCAACAATAAGAAAACCAACATCTTGATTAAAAAATAGGCAAAAGGCCTGAATAGATACCTTGCCAATGAAGATATACAGGTGGCAAATAAGCATATGAAAAGATGCCCAAAATCATATGTAATTGGAGCAACAACGCAAATTAAAGCAACAATGAGATACCACCTACTAGAATGACAAAATCTACAACCCTGACAATACCAAATGTTGTGAGGATACAGAGCAACAGGAACTTTCATTCAGTGCTGATGGGAATGAAAAATGGTACAGCCACTTTGGAAAACAATTTAGCAATTTCTTGCAAAATTAAATATACTTACCATATAATCTGACAGTCATGATCATTGATATTTACTCAAATGAATTAAAAACATATGTTCACACAAAAATCTGCTCATAGATATTAATAGTAGCTTTATTCGTGATTGCCAAAACTTGTAACCAACCAAAATGTCATTCAGTAGGTGAATGGTTAAATAAACTATGGTGCATCCAAACAATGATATATTATTCAGAAGTTTTTAAAAAAGCTATCAAGCCATGAAAACACATGGATAAAATTTAAATGCATATTACTAAGTGAAGGAAGCCAATCTGGAAAGGCTATGTGCTGTATGATTCAAACAATATGACATTCTAAAAAAGGCAGAAAGGATCAGTTGTTGTCAGGTGTTGAGGGGAGGGAAGAATGAGTAGCAGGAGCACGGAGGATTTTTAAAGCAGTAAAAGAATTCTGCTTGATATTATAATGGCAGTTACATGTAATTATATACCTGTCAAATCTGTAGAATGTACAACACCAAGAGTGAACTCTAATAAAAACTATGGACTTATGTGATAATAATGGGTCAATGTAGGTTCATTTTTGTAAAAAATGTACCACTGTGGTGTGGGATATTGGTAGTAGGGGAAGCTGTGTATACATGGGGACGAAGAGGGTTACAGGCTCTGGACCTTCCAGTTGGTTTTGCTGTGAACCTAAAACTGCTATAAAAATAGTCTTCAAAATAATAATATGAAGAGTAATAATAATAATAATAATAATAGCCAACATTCATGGAGGGGTGGCTTTATGCCAACCATTGTGCTCATGAGTTTGATAATAATCACTGCCAGTATTTGATTAAGTCTTTACTAAGCGCCAGATTATACTAAGTATATTAAACACATATCTCATTTATTCCTCTCCAAAATACTGAAGGGGAGGTCTTACTTCCCTCATTTCACAGAAGAGTCTTGTCCAAGGTCATGATGGAGCCAGTGCACAATCACAATTAGTTTCCTTCCTTTCTTCCATCTGCTGAAAGTCTAAGGCAGGTCTGCTTCTAGACCACAGCAACCAGACCAGAAGTGAAGGTAAGATTCTTTAAACCAAGCATGACCTGGGGTGTTCAAAAGGCCTCTAGTATGAACCCAGAACTCTATAAAGCCGGCAGGCAGAGCAAAGATAGGCAAACCACCTTTGTAAAAGACATCACTTCTCTGCCATGAGAAGAATAAGCCTTCATACAGGAATGGATTTCACTAATAAAAGGCAGATGCCCGAGAAGCACTTTTTGTTCCAATGCTTGATGCCAGCCACAGTCCCAAAAGATGATTAGAATAGAAACACTTCATTGCTGATCAGGTGGGTCTGGTTGGTGAGATTCCCAGCTGTCATATTAGAACATACCAACGTGATAATCACCAGGCCACAGCGGCCACGGTTGACTGGCTCCGCTGCTGGCTCATTCACAACAGTGTCAGACACAGCTTTTCCCTGGAAATTCCCTCCACAAGCCCAGTGTTTCCCCAAGACCCATTCAATCAACTGCTTAATCAATTACTCCGGTGATGTTTTAAATGCCTGAGAGAAACTTGAATGTAAAAGAATAACATTGCCCCTCTGCTCTCAAAGACACTTTCATCAATCAAAGTCTCCCCCAGAGCTGGTAAGGGGCAGGAGAGGGTGTCAACCCCCTCCAGATTCCATGGCCACTACATAATGGAGGAGAGAGATTATAATCCTACAGAATCCAAAATCTGGATGCTGTTAGGCAGGCAGAGGAGGGGCAGGATGCTAGTTAGCAATCAGCAAATGCCCACCACGGAGGGTCTCTGGATTCACTGAGCCTCTCCATTAACTAGATCACCAGGGAAAAGAAGGACATAGATGCCTTGAGAAACCACAGATGTCAAATACAGTCATATATATTACCTCACTTCATTCTCTCCTCAGCCTTGTAAATTAGGTTTAATTTTATCAATTGGCAGGCAACAGGAGGTCGGAGGATTTAAGTATCTTTCTCACGTTGATAGAGGCAGTAGGTACTTAAGCCTAGATTTGAAGCCAAGTCTATTTGGCTTCAAAGTTCTTGCTCATTTTACTGAATTGTTACCTCCCTCAAAAGGCAATGACAAATTTTTTACTGGATTCTGGGACTCAACAGTTAGTGAATAGGAATAGAGAAGCAAATTCTGAGACATGAGCATTGGGAATCAGGGAGAGGTGAGAAGGCAAGGCAGTTAAGTGATTAAGTGTAATGACACTGACAGAGAATACAAGTCCCCTGAGTAGGGAATCTCCATACATTAGTGCATTATAATGGAAATTTAGTTGGGACTATGCCATCCAAAATAAAATTTACATTTCTCTGCATTATATGTGGCCACATGTGGTCATGGAACTAATCTCAGGACAATAAGATGTATACAGAATGCCAAATGGAAGTTTCCAGAAACCTTCCCCAAAGACAGGTGAAATGTCTTTTCCCTTCTTCATCTCTTCCTCTTTGCAGAATGGTTAGGGAACATGATGACTGCAGCTTGAGCAGCCATCTTGGACTACCAGGTAATGGGTGAATAAAGGCCACACACAAGATGAAGAGATACAAGGAGCCCGGGTTCCAAGGACCTCAGGAAGCAAAGCCACCAAACCACCTCTGGACAGCCTAATCTGATCATAGCTGATACACTAATTATAAGAATTTGAATAAATTTCTGAAACACCCTGAATCTCAGTTTTCTCCTCTGTAAACGGGCATAATAATGAGGACAGTAATTGCTAATTTCATGGGTGGTTGTGTGTACTAATTTAGGGAACAGGTTAATTGTGCTGATTAAACAGGTATTTAGTAAGAAACAACCATAAGGACTATCACTAGCTCTCTTTCTACAAGTCAATCTTGGGTACCCTAATTGTTTGGCAATGAGAGGAGAATTTCCTCAGGTGGGATGGCTGCTGGACGCCATATTTCTCCTGCCTCAGCCTCCTACGTGCCACCATGCCTGGCTAATTTTTGTATTTTTAGTACAGATGGAGTTTGCCCATGTTGGCCAGGCTGGTCTCGAACTCCTGACCTCAAGTGATCCACCCACCTTGGCCTCCCAAAGTGTTGGGATTACAGGTGTGAGCCACCGTGCCCTCCCTGTTCACTGTCTTTTGAGATAGGTCTTCAGGTCTCAGCTCCTGTTCATCAGTGGCCACACCACAAGAGGGTCATCTCTTTAGTCTATTTCCCTTCCCTAACCTTCCCCTGATGACCTTCCTTTCTATTTTCCTGAGAAAAGAGAAGCCACCAGAAAAGCACATCCACAAACTTTCACCTCTGCATCTACCCCACTACCTGCATCTAGGCCAGTATGCTCTGCCTTGACTCCTGTTACCATGGATGTATTTTCTGTCCTGCCATTCAAGGTCAACCCCTACTCCAGAACCCATCTCCTTCAGGCCAAAGAAATGACCATTCTGTCTCCTACTCCTCTATTTGTCCTCTACTTCCTCATTTTCATCAGCACACAAATATGCTATCTGATCTTGAAAAAAAATCTCTTGTCCACATGTGGCCCTCCAGGTATTTCCCCACTTCTTTGCTCCTCTTCAGAACACCTGAGTAGTCTATACTTACTGCTATCTTCAAATCTTCTCCTCTTATTTTCTCTGGAGATTCTCCAATTAGAATGTGGTTTAACTAGAAACCTCAAATTATTAAATCCAAAGGTCAATTACCCATTCTTATCTTGCTTGACCCATGAGCAACATTTAACACAGAGGAACAAGCCCTTCACCTGGAAGCACTGTCTTAGAATATTGCCCTCTCCTGATAGTGCCCAGCTTGACCAGCTGCTCACTCTCACCTTCCCTTGCTGACAACTCCTTGTCTCCTTGCCCTCTAACTGTGGAGTACCTCAGGACTCATTCATCAGCGTTCTTCTATTCCATGTCTGAATTTACTCTTGTTAAGAACTCATCCACTCTCGTGGCAAAAAAAAAAAAAAACCAAAAAACTATTTATACACATACAGACAATGCCCATCTTTCTAACTATCTTCTGCAGTTCATTCTGCCTTGTTTACCTCTCCTTCCAGCCTCTGCTGAAAGGTCACCTTCCCAGTGAGGCCTTACCTGACCATGCTTACTTAAAGCTACAACCTACTCCTATCCCAGAAGGGTACTCCCTTTCTCCCTCCTCTTTTATGTTCTGTCATAACATTTTTAATTTTCTAATATATGGTATAATTTATCTTGTGTTTTCCAATGCTGGAATATAAGTTTCATGAGAGGAGGAAATTTTGCCTGTTCTGTACTGCTAATTCTCAGTACTTAGAATTGTGCCAGGCACATCGTAAGTGCTCAATCAATACTATGAAAAGGATGAGTGAGTAAATGTCCTTAGAGGAGCTATTATAATATTAAGAGGTAGAAAAATCATAATTGTAAACAGTCATTTTCACAAAAAATTGGTTGACCTAACTATACATCTGTTTATTCTCACCTCTAAGACAGGTCTCACACCTCGCAGTTGTATTGTACTTTTAGCTTTCAAAGCACTTTCACAAATATTCCCTACAGAATCCTGTGAGCCAGGTATCTGAGCTCCATAGGGGTCAAGGAGATACAAGTATGATAGGCAGAATCCTCCCCGACCCCAAAGGCCATGTTCCAATCCTCAGGAACTGTGAACATGTTACATCAAATGACAAAAGGGACTTGCAGATGTTATTAAGGTTACAAACCTTATGACACGGATGGTAGCCTAGATTATCCAGGTGGATCCAATCTAATCACAGGAGAACTCAAAAGCAGGCAACTTTCTCTGGCTGGAAGCAGGAGAAATGTGGCAGAAACGTCAAAGAGATTCAAAATGTGACAAAGATTCTTGATCTGCCATTGCTGATTTGAAGATGAAGGGAATATGGTGCCCTCCAGAAGTGAAAACAACCCCCAGCTGACAGCCAGGAAGGAAACTGGGACCTTGCTCCTACTACTCAAAACACTGAATTCTGCTAACAATCTGAATGAGACTGGAAGCAGATCCCGCTTCCCGCCCCACCCACAAGCCTCCAGATAAGAGCCCCACCTGGTCAACATCTTGACTTTGGCATTGTGAGCCCATGAGCAGAGAATGCTGCTGAGCCCACTTGGACTTATGCCTGAACCCTGAGATTGTGAATGAGTATTGTTTTAAGCTGCTAAATTTGTGACAATTTGTTACAGTAGCAGTGGAACTGATACAAGAGGTGGCTATCACTGAGTGATAAGGAACCGTGAAATATTTGTAATCAGGGAGTTTTCTTCCATCCAAGAGTCAGGCCCACTGAAAAATCTGGCTTTTGTTGGTTTCCCAAAACATGTCAAACTGATGCTTTGACCTATTATTAAAATGTCACTTTTAGGCCAGGCGCGGTGGCTCACGCCTGTAATCCCAGCACTTTGGGAGGCCGAGGCGGGCGGATCACAAGGTCAAGAGATTGAGACCATCCTGGCTAACACGGTGAAATCCTGTCTCTACTAAAAATACAAAAAATTAGCCGGGCATGGTGGCGGGCGCCTGTAGTCCCAGCTACTCAGGAGGCTGAGGCAGGAGAATGGTGTGAACCCAGAAGGCAGAGCTTGCAGTGAGCCAAGATTGCACCACTGCACTCCAGCCTGGGCGACAGAGCGAGACTCTGTCTCAAAAAAAAAAAAAAAAAAAAAAAAAAAAAAAATGCCACTTCCTTCTGATTCCCCTGGTGTCAGAAATTCAAATGAACTGAAATAGTGGAGGTCATCCTGTATCTTTCCCTAGGTTGTGAGGACACATTTTAGAGACTTTCACTTCTGCATGGATTGGGTCTGGGTTTAACTAATGATCTGAATTTCTATTAAGCTGCAGGGATCATGAGAAATGGCTGCTTTCATAGAATTAGTAAATGCCACCAAAACTAAAGGTCAAAGCAAGTTGACATTAAATACAGTACTTCCAGTGGGGCAATGCAGGGTGATTTAAAGAGCAGCTCCCACAAACCCCTGCAATGCCTATTCACTGAGCTTGTTTTGAGTGCCAATGGAATCCAGTTAAACTCTTTGTCAGTCCCCGTCCTTTCCCACCTGCGACCTACATTAGCCACAATAAGTCTGTTTTCACTGACAAAGCCCCCTCACTGACCAGCGTGGAGAAGGGCCATGTGGTTGGTTCCACATTTCAGACATTACACTCACTCATGCAGGCTGCAGCATCACTGTGAACTGAACATCTGTTTATTCTCTCATATGGCTGTGGAGGGGCAGAGAAACAAATGAGTACCGACACAAGGCAGATTCCAGCTGAGCTGACTCTGCACATGAAATCAAGCTTGAAACAAAGGCCTGGTAACCTAAGAACTTCAAGTAGAGACGCAGACGTGTGATGTAGAGGGAATATGCACAGACTTGGGAACCAGGCTACTGTAGGTGCGAATCCCAGTTCAGCCACTTATTAGCTGTTGGTGTGGATTTAACCTCGCTGAGCCTCGGTTTCCTCTTCTGTAAAATGGGGATAATATTAAGTTAAAAATCAAATAAATACAGAATGTGCCCTCCCAACTTCAGTGTTTTCTATTACCCTTGACTTGCTTTATTTTTATTTCATGGCAATTATCACTATCTGAGGTCTACGTATTTATGTGTTTATTGATTAATATATCTCTCCCCCTACCCCATCCATCAGAATGTAGCCCTGAAAGGCTACATTCATGGTGTCTACAGCCATGAAAAGACAGTAGAGTTTAGTGGTTAAGAGCTCAGGCTCCAGAGTCAGGTTGTTGCGGGGGGTCTAATATCGATGTACAAACTACCAGTTCTGTGAACCTGGAAAAATTATTTCATTTATAACTTCCTCAGTTTCCTCATCTATAAATTGAGGATAATAATGGAACCTCCTTCAAAGGTTTATCCCAGGGATTAAGCTGTGAATACATGTGAAGGTCTTAGAAGAATGCCAGGCATACAGCAAATACCCAAAAAATGTTAGCTAATAAAAATAGTGACGATACCTGGAATATTTATAATAATCAGTATTATTGAATGAATGAAAAATATTTACAAAGCATTTTGAACTATGCCCAGCATATAATAGGGGCTCAGTAAATAACTTTCCACAGTGATATGCTGGTATATGATTTGTTGTTGTGTTATTACCAAAAACTATGTGAATATATGCCGCTGTATGTTCAACAACAGACTCTCAGAGGCAGGAAGATGATTTTTGATGTGTGCCAACATCTGTGGCATAAATACTCCCATCATAGCTGATTTCAGCTACCAGTCTGACACCACTGAATACAGAGTTGAGAAGAGATGCACAGTGGCATGTCATAATGGAGTACTGTTACCATACAAATACAATAAACATATATAAGCTCGAGAACATACATAATCGAATAATAATTAAGTGATGGGCTTTAAGTATTTATTACCTTTGTTTTTAATATAATTATAATTTTGTATAATATAATGTTAATAATGGCTGACTTTGTTTAGTTTTTAATAACAAGCTTCTTAAAATTTAACCATTGGCTTTTGTGAGCCAGAACAAGCTAACTCCACTGGCTGTATACATGTTAGTCTTTCTACCACAAAAAAGTGCCCTTTCTCTGCCCCCCAAACAAATAAATAAAAGCACAAACACTTGTGCAGAAATCTAGGACAGATATCTTGCCCAGCCAAAGCATTGGAATCAGATCCCAAAGAGGAAATGAATTAATCCCCCACCAAATATTTAGCCAACTCTGGTACAACAAGCCAATTCCTTAGGCCATTCCCCTCCGAGGGATAGCCTAGAATCCCTGACTGTGCTAGAATTTCACTGTTTCAAATGCTGCTGGAAATAAATGGGCCATTAGCCTAGACTTGCGTATATCTAGATTATGTGGTCATTAAGGAAACTAAAGTTTAGAGATTTGTCTGGAGGAATGAATAGAGAGTGATAGATTGTAGGGGTGAAAAGTGTGTTGGTAACCATTGTCTGCAGCTGTGAAATGTGCATTCTCCCACTGGTCAGCTCTCTTATACTCTGCTCCACACTCAGGAAAAGAAAAAAGGGTAAGATCCAGAGAAAATTCAGTCAAGTCTGGTAATATTCCACTGACACCAGCCCCAATATTCCACTATCTCAGTTACCCTAGGACATTCCTTGGAGCAGGGACATTATGGTCCTGCACAAATCCTGACAGCCGCCCTGACTTTCCTGGGACTATCCCAGCTTTAGCACTGAAAATCCAGAGTCTCAGGAAATCCCTCATCCTGGGTAAACCAGGATCACCCTATCCCATGGCCCTCAAGGCCAGGATTCTTACGGCTTTCAGTCTGCCAGGAAAGCCATAGACAATGATTCTAGAGGGTTCCTCAAACCAAGAATATGAAGAAGAAACATGAAAAAACCCAAGAGGCCTAGAATTGTAAGTGAGTGGTCATTGTAAGTTCCTATCATTTCCAAAGGATGCCCTGAAGTGGACAGAGACACCCAGCGGTTAAAAACGGACATTTAGTTTGCCCTGTAGAGGTCTTTCACATCCTTAGTTAAGTAAAATCCTAAGGTTTTTGTTTGTTTGGTTGTTTTTTTGTTATTGTTGTTGTTGTTTTGTTTTTGCCGCTATTGTGAAAATAGTTGAGTTCTTCATTTGAGTCTCAGCTTGGTCGCTGTTGGTGTATAGCAGAGCTACTGATTTGTGTACATTAATTTTGTATCCTGAAATTTTGCTGAATTCATTTACCAGTTCAAGGAGCTTTTTGGATGAGTCTTTAGGGTTTTCTAGGTATACAATCATATCACCACCAAACAGCGACAGTTTGACTTCCTCTTTACCGATGTGGATGTCTTTTATTTCTTTCTCTTGTCTGATTGCTCTGGCTAGGACTTGCAGTACTTTGTTGAATAGAAGTGGTGAGAGTGGACATCCTTGTCCTGTTCTGGTTCTCAGGGGAATGCTTTCAGCTTTTCCCCATTCAGTGTATTGTTGGCTGTGGATTTGTCATAGATGGCTTATATTAACTTAAGGTATGTCCCTTCTATGCTGATTTGGCTGAGGGTTTTAATCATAAAGGGATGCTGGATTTTGGGGGGTTGAAAAGGACATTTAAAATTGGACTGAAGCACATCTTCTCTTTGCCATTTGTGCCTTTTCTTTTCCTTTTGTCAGCCCTGCTTCTTAGAGTGCCTATCTGAGCTATTCTGAGCAGATGAAAAAGGCCTTTGTTTAGAGTTAGTGTGTTCAGGATGTCTCTGTGGTCTCTCCCCACCCAGACCACGAAGAGAGTAAGAACAAACACTCATCTGACCCAGGAAGAATTAGCAGAGTTTGAGAGAACTCTTTGAGGCCCACCAAAGAGTAGACAAGGCAAGTGTCATTAGAGCCAAATCAAGCATTGACCTCCAGAGCAGCCTGTTTTCTGAAAATATCCATCCCCACCACCATCATAGCAGGCCTGGTCTTTGCGCTCTACAGTCCACAGGTCCCCATGATTCTCCCTCAAGCATCTTTCCTAGGCTTCTCCAAGATCCACCAAAACTTCCTCCTTTGCCCTAGCTGTGTCATCATGATCATTTACTCGGCCAGCACCTCAGAGGCAAACTCCCCAAAAAACCTTTTGGCATGACAATTTGACACCACAGTTTTTATTTCTAAAAATTCAGTTTGGTTTCTTTTTAAACCCATTTAATCTTTTTCATTTTGACCAGTTCTTGTCTCATGGTCCCTTATTCCTTTGAATATTCATGGTGTGTTCATGGTATGGAGCACTGTATAGCTGCCTGCCAAGGAATTGATCTGGGATTTATTTTTGACCAACATAATTGGTTTTCAAGAGGGACTAAAGCTGTAACACAGACCAAACAGTAATTCTCAACCTTAAAGGAAATAGACAAGTATTTCTCTTTCGTGTACAAATCCGAGGCAAATGGTGTAGGTCAATGGGTTGTTCTGACCCATGCAGTTATTAAAGAACCAAGATTCCTTCTATTTTCCTCTTTTTTTTACATTGATTGAAATGATTATTTTAATAACAATGATACACAAAGAAAGCTAGTTGCCATTTATTTATTTGTGTTCAAACAAATGTTTTATGGGGTCTGGGAATGGTGGCTCACACCTATAATCCTAACACGTGGGGAGAACAAGGCAGGAGTTAGAGGCCAGGAGTTAGAAACCAGCCTGGGCAACATAGAAAGACCTCATTTCTGGGGAAAAAAAGAAATAGCTGGGTGTGGTGGCACATGCCTATAGTCCCAGCTACTGATGAGGCTAAGGTGGGAGGATAGCCTGAGCCAAGGAGGTAGAGGCAGTAAGATTGCATCACTTCACTCCAGCCTGGGTGACAGAGCAAGAACCTGTCTTAAAAAAAAAAAGTGCACAAAAATTAAAATTAAGAAAACTTTTTAAAAAGTACTCTTTAGTCAACCCTAGGGTGTTATCCTCATATGCCTAGTTGGAGCTGGGGCATCACACATCTGGATTGCAGCCAGTGTGAAAAGAAAACATCATGGAGGAGAAACCCCCACTGTCTTCAGGTGCCAGCCCAGAAGTGTCACACATCACTTTTGCTCCCATTGGAGAGAACTGAGCCACGTGGCTACACCCACCTACATCAGAGACTGCGAAATGTAGTGTAGGTGGGTAGTCATAAGCCCAGCTATAATTCCATCTCTGTCAGGAAGGGGAAAAAAGGTAAGGTGGGCAGCTTCAGTTTCTGTAACAGTGGTTAGGAGGCAAGCTCTGCAATGATCAGCTGTTCAAATTTGACTCCACTATTTCCTAACTGTGTGACCTTAGTTAACCAATATTGCCTCAGTTTTCTTATCTGTAAAATGTGGCTAGTAATAGTCTCCAACTCACTGGACTGGTGGGAAGGGCAATACATTAAAGTTCTTCTAATAGTGCTTGGTGCACAGTAGGTTCTCAGTATTGTTGAAATTTTATAGATTCTTATTTTATAGTCTTTTAGAGATTGTTTGACTTTCTCTAATTCTTGGGGTGTTAGTTTTACTGTTTCCTTCCTTGAATATTTTTCCCTCATGGAATTTGTTTCCTAGTATGGTTTGTGATTTTCTTTCTGTTAAGCATATCAGCAACAGAGATTATCTCCTATGGACCCCTCATATGCTCAGGATTGTGGGCTCCTCTGTAGAGAGGTTCCATGGTGGCCTCTGCCAGTTCTCTAATAGTTTTATTGGTTTAAACAGTTTTCACTTCCATTTCTCAAACCAGCAATCTGCAGTATAAAGGTAAGGCAACATTTTGACTAAATATTCAAGCATGATTCATACTTAGAATTCTCATTTCTCTAAGGTGACATTATTTCCATAGAGGGTCTCAAACAGATGGCAAGCTCCCCAGATGATCAGGTTATTTCTAATCTTCCCTTCGAGCAAAGGGTAGCCCTTTGAGGTTCCCAGTTCAATGCAGGTGGTTCCCTTTTAAACCCCCACCTTGCACAGGCCTGAGGTCTCATTTCCCATTTCCAGATGGGAGAAAAACCTCTACCCAGCCCTGAAGGCCTTTATCCGGGTCCTCTAGCATCAGCTCCCTTTTACCCCAACACTTTCCTCTTCTTTTCTGGGACATGAGGATTTTCTTGTCTTTCAAGCTCAGCTATACATTTAAATACAATTTTTAAAACGTTCTACTGAGCATATCTCTGTGCTAAAAGTGGGAGGGGGCATTTTACATCTGCTCTGTCGGACACATTCTTTACCAGTTTGTTTTACAACTAATGGATAGAGAAAGAATTCCTTTCAGGGGAGAGTGCTGTATTTGCTAGAAAGGAATATGTCATAAGCCACATGGGGTAAGATTATGAGATAAGAAAGGTAATTCTGACCACCCACCACTCACTGGTCGGCCTGCATGGGGATTCCAATATCTGGGCCCTCCCCATGCTCCAGAAAAATAAACACCCTCGGCCGGGCGCAGTGGCTCACCCCTGTAATCCCAGCACTTTGGAAGGCCGAGCCTGGCGGATCATGAAGTCAGGCGATCAAGACCATACTGGCTAACACGGTGGAAGCCTCGTCTCTACTAAAAACACACACACACAAATTAGCCAGGTGTGGTCGGCGGGCGCCTGTAGTCCCAGCTACTCGGGAGGCTGAGGCAGGAGAATGGCGTGAACCTGGGAGGCGGAGCTTGCAGTGAGCCGAGATGGCGCCACTGCACTCCAGCCTGGGCGACAGAGCAAGACTCCGTCTCAAAAAATAAATAAATAAATATACCCTTATCTTTCCACAGTCTGGGTCCTACCTGACGGACCAATAAGCCCCACTATGGAAAAAAGGAATTTAATCAGTTCTTTTGTGTTGAAGGCTCTAAAATCAGAGGAATCGAGATGAGAAAAGAAACAAAGAGAGGAAAGGGATCTCAGTGTCCAAGGGTCAGATACCAGACTAAGCATAGAGGTGGATTGTGGCCCAGGAAATACCAGAGGGGCACTGTGTGGCTCACCCCAGCTCTGGGGCCTGAGACAATTTCCAGGACGGGGTCCCGATGAGTGGGCAGACTCCTTTCCCAGCCTAGGCTTTGAGGCTTTGTTCCCTGGCCCCATCACCACCCTCATCTCCCTCCCCCACAATTCTTAGGCCCTTGTATGCTGAGTCCCCTGGCTGGACAGAGATGAGTAGATACCCCTGCTACACTTACTGCCAATAAGAACATTTACAACTATTCATGCAGCACTGTATAATTCATAAAACACTATGCTTCCGCAAGTATTTTACAACTATCTAGTCAGGTGAGTATTTTTAGTTTTATTTTACGAACTAAAATTTAACATCTCTCCACTGCAGAAAAAGTGAAGAGGAAAAACAAATATATACTTTTATAAGTTGTACCCTTTCCCTATACCCATCCTTACTCTATTTTACACAATTAAAAACATCAAAATCAAAAGCTAAAATGTTTTCATTTATTTACTTCACAAACTTCAGAGTATGTCTAAAAAAAAAAAAAAAAAAAAAAGAATCGCTACTTGGCCTATATTCACCTAAATAGAAAAAGGACTCACCAAAGCTATTTCTTTCAGAAACAAGACTCTGCCCCAAAGGCTGACTCTCACTCTTACACTCTTGAGTTAAAGGAAGCAAAATGCTGGTATTCTCAGAGTAGCCCTTTTGTCTCTGTTTTAAGCCAAGAGGGTTCCATAATTTTGACAAGCAGTCTCAAAGCACCTCTTTACACACTCAAGAATTTTAGAAAGTATAAAATGCTGAGCAATTATGTCATCAATTCATTTTACAGTTTGAAAAACTGTGTCCATTTCAATCAAGTGTCCATTTTAATACTGAAATGGCAAGTCCACATTCTACAAATTGAAGTTATACACAAACTGAGTGAGAGAAACCAAATCTGAGCCCAGTCAGACCTTTTTGTCAATCGCTCAGATCTAATTCAGTAATAGGGAACAAGTCAAAGGATTACTTCTAGGACTGTCTGCATTGGGTAGATCCATTCTTCCTGCCTATAATTGTGAAATTTCAAATGTTGGTCATAAGTAAAAAATAAGGGCTTGGGGTGTCAGGTTCTAGCAACTGGCATAAGGTTGTAAACCACACCCAAAGCCATGAATCCAACTAGCTGACACTGTGCTTCTTTCCCATGTTGCAGACTCTAAGCTCATGACTCTGGTTCATGGCTATGGATACTTAACTCCAAGTTCATGGCTCTGAATTTGTGGCTGTGGTTCATAGCTCTGGTATAAGGCTTTGGGTTAATGTCTCTGGGTTTGTGACTCTGGCTTCATGGCTCCTGTTCATGGCTCTGGGTTGACGGCTCTGGTTTCATGCCTATGGTTTGTGGCTCTGGCTTATGGCTGTGGGACACCAGGATCTGGAAGGCTGTGCCACCTGCAGTCCTTGACAAGGCCAAAGTGACCTGAGACACAGCATCATGGGTCAAGAAAATCAAGGAATAGCTCACTTCCTAGCACCTCCAAGGAAATAATCAGTCCATAGTCCAATATTTATTAAAGTCCTGCTTATGCCCCTGCCCAGTTCTAGACCCTGAGAGAATCAGGTGTCAGGGAGTGAAGCAAGGAAAAGAAAGAAAAATGAAAAAAATGAATAGAACACTGCACTGTTAAAAAAAAAAAAAGATGACTGTTCAGTTTGGAAAAGAAGGTAGCTATGAAGGAACATTTAACAAGACAAAATGTAGAAGAGCGAGCCAGAAGAATGTACATGGTGGGAGGGGGTTGTCAAGGGAGTTCAAAGGATGGCAAGTGGGGGGAGAAAGGAGTGTGCCAGACTGTTTGGTTATGAGATCAGTCAAAGAGTTATTATAATCTTTCTACAAGAGACAAGGCCTCCAGTAGACCAATCCAAAGAGTCCTTCTTAGTACAGAAATTATATATATATAAAAAAAGAATGGTTCAGTTATCATTAGACTAGTTGCAAAAAGAATGTTTGGTTAAAGGTCAAGACTCTTGACCGACAGCTGGGTGGGTGGGTGATTAGTTTCCCAGAACAAGTCTTAATCCCATTATAATTTCCAGAAAATAGGTTAAGCATTTTACCAGGAATGCTAATTTCTTCCCAGAACCAAATTCTGAACTTCGTATCACAAAAAATTCTGTCCCAGTCTATGTTTAGGACAATTTTTCTTTTACAACAACCACATCCATGCCTTTCATGGCCTTTTCTTTCCCTATAAGGCAACAAAGACCACAAAACTCATATTTATATTGTGTAGACTTCCTGCCAAAGACCAGGTCTGGACTTGAACATTTGCACTCTCGGGAGAAGGATGACCTTGATTAGTTTGCTCTGATGTGGGAAACATACAAGGACAGATTTGGGGGTATTTGGGTCTAAAGTCTGTACAATTTGGAGGAAACTCATTACTCAAAAAATATAAAATTATGAATATAAAATTAGGAATAAAATGAGCATTTATTTAGAAGGAGAAAAGAAATCACCTTGGTGATTCAGGTCCTATCCTTCAGAAACCACTGTTTCAGAAATGGTTACATAGTAATGCTTCCCAGCTGCACCCTGGATTCCTCTCCCCACCTATATTACAATATCTCCCCGCAGCCCTTGGCTCCCACAGGGACACTGAAGCTTGAGCTTTCTTCTCCTCCCAGTAGGCTCTGATGTGATGCTCCGGTAGGTCCAGTTATAGCTTCCCAGCCCCCCGACTTCTTACTCTGGGCTGTTGGTACCCAGTCACCCTGCCCTGGCTTCACTCATCAACTAAAAATGATAATTTCCTAGAGAACCACGGGAATTATCTGTAGATGGATTCACCAAGTATTTTTTAATTTTAAATTTTATTTTATTTTAAGTTCCAGGATACATGTGCAGGATGTGCAGGTTGTTACATAGGTAGGCGTGTGCCATGGTGGTTTGCTGCACTTATCCCATCACCTAGATACTAAGCCCCACATGCATTAGCTCTTTATCCTGATGCTCTCCCTCCCCCGACCCCACATCAGGCCCCAGTGTGCATTGTTCCCCTCCCTGTGTCCATATGTTCTCATTGTTCAACTCCCACTTGTAAGTGAGAACATTCAGGATTTGGTTTCCTGTTCCTGGGTTAGTTCGCTGAGAATAATGGCTTCCAGCTCCATCCATGTCTCTACAAAGGACACGATCTTGTTCCTTTTTATGGCTGCATAGTATTCCACAGTGTATATGTACCATATTTTCTTTATCCAGTCTATCATTGATGGATTTGTGTTGATTCCATGTCTTTGCTATTTCAACAAGTTTGTTTTTTTTTTTTTTTTTTTTTTTTGTTTTTTTTTTTTTTTAACCATTGTTACATGCCAAGCACTGCTCTGGGGTGGGAATAAACTTTCCATTAATTGAAGTTAACATCTAAGAATATTTTGAGAAGGTAGAGTCTCATTCCTTCATTTATGCCACAGTATTTACTGACAATCACCTATATGCCAGGCTTGAGCCACCACCAACCACATAACGTAGACACAGTTACAATGTTACCATTTTACAGATGAGGAAACTGGGGCTCTCAGAGAAGTTAAGTAGCATGCTGATGGCAGAGCCTGCAGGTGAAGGAGAAGCCCTGGGCCCTCATCCTGAGAGTCAGCTGTGGGATCTTGGGTGAATCACTTCCTGCAGTAAAATTGGGGGTCTAGATTAAATTATTTCTAAGGCCTAATAGTTGTGCCCTCCTTTGATCTTTGGTCAGCCAACCCTGACCATATATCACTTCTCACAGGCCCCTTTTTAGCCGCTTTGGCATATGTGCAGAATAAGAGAAGGAAACAGGTCGGAAGAAAAGGAGAGGAGAGATTTAAAGCAGGGATTGAGTCTACTCAGAGGCAAGAGAAAATTTGCAGCTGCGAGAAAACTCTGAGCTCTCTGGCCAAATGCCCCCAAAGCTGGAGAGTCCACTAGAAACTAAAGTTTGTTTCTGCTCCATAGTTGTCCACAGGCAAACTTTCTGAGCTCTGTCCTTATAGACTGTAGTCTATAAAGTCACCCTTCAACACTCCTCCTCCAGACCCTTCATTCCCTTTCCAGCGGCTAAAAGCAAACTTTTGTCTGTGCTAAATAGAGCCCCTAAGGAACCCCTCACAAGACCAAACTCCAGGCGCTGCTTTTCAAGTGACGAGGGATGCAGGTGGGGTGTGGTCTCACAAGCAAAGGCCAGGATGCCCATGACAGCTCTGAGGGGCTGAGATTCCTGAACTGCATTTTAAGGAAAGGAGGAAACTAATTCCTAAAATATACAATCACTGTCTGGAGAATTTCCTTCCTTTCAGTTGACTTTTTTCTTTCTTAATGTTATATCTTACTTTTCTCTCTCTCTCATTTTTTTTTTTGGTTGAATGCCCCTAAGTGTTTTTATGTTTTTTAATAAGGTAAGATTTATGTAGCATAAAATTCACCATTTTATTTTAAAATGTACAGTTTAGTGACTTTCAGTACATTCACAATGTTGTCCACCAACACTACTACCTAATTTCAGAACATTTTATTTTCTTCTTCACATGGCGTTCTCCACAAATACATATACATATATTTTTCCAATTCAGTTCATCTCGATTCTTCAATCCTTCAGTTTCCTAATCTGAGCTAATAGCAGACTTTAGGAGATGTGCAGACCACTAAAATTGAAATCAGATTGTCAAAAGGATCATGGTTCTGCACAATTACGAGTGATGGCAGCTCTGGCCACAGATTTGTTGAGCTGAAAGAAGAGTTTTAAAAGCTTAAAATTGAGTCACGTAGCTGAAATGGCAGGTGCATGTTTGTACATAAAGGACCTTCCTTCTAAGGTCACAAGCAACTATTTCAATTAGAAGATGTCCTGTGGGGTCAAAAGAAGCAATGCTTGTTTAAAATCCTTGAAATTAATTAGATCGAGAAGAGGAATACAAGTAAATTAATTAGTTGTAAATTTCCTTTGCACAAAGTCCAAAGTTAAATCCATCTGCATCTAATCTAGAACTGCCCATCATTGGGAGTAATTTAGCTATAATGACTGAACAATCAAACCACCTCCCTCTCTGACAGTTAGTCGCCACCACATCCCCCATTCAATCAACTCTGAAGTCACCTGATTCTGTGATTCTGAGTTCTGCCACTCTCTGGAACTTGCCGCAGCCTCAAGACTGGTTTCCGGGGGTCTCCCCTACGATCCACTGGCACATTTCTGCCAGGAACTCCTCTTCATATAATGTATTACTCTAACATTCAGAAAACTTCACTTCCCCCACCCCCAAATACTATAAAATGAAAAAAAAAATACTTAGCCCTTCTCCCTATGGTTTCTCACATTTTAAAATCCAAAGTTCTTCCTCCTTGTTGTTCCCCCATGAACCTCTCTTTAGTTAAACTGTCCTGCTCACTATCACCCAAACACGTCATGCATCACCATGTTCACGCCTTTCAGCTGTCTCCCTTCCTAGAACACCGTGACATATCGTCTTAAACTCTAAATCCTGCCTGGGCTTCCCAAGCCTCATCTTCCCTCTCCCTGGGGCTCTTCTGGGCTATCTCAGTTTCCATGGCTCTTCTGTCTGAATTCTTCACCACATTCTACCCTGTTTCCTCTCTTATGTTTCTATGTCATGTTCTAATTTCGTTTGACTTCTGGTGTCCTCTCACTCTCTCCGACCCAATCATAGTTCTTTGTGGATAAAGCTTTGTGTGCAGCCATTTAGAAATCTCTACCACTACATTGGACGTAGTGTTTTGAACATGGTAGGAATGCTATTTATTGAGAACAGAACACAGGCTGTGTCAGATCTTCCTGGATCAAAATTCTTGGTCCACTTTTAACTTGCTATATGTTATTCAGTTATTTGACTGTTTAAAGCTTCAGTTTCTTCACTTGTTCATGGTAATCATTGTACTTCCCACCTCAAAGGGGTGTTGCAAGGATTAAGTGAGATAAAGCACACAGAGTGTGCAGGACAGTCTGAAACACAGTTCTTCATGCATGCAGGTGAGGCATTGTCATCCTTAGCACCAGCTATTACTGGAAGTAAAGATGGTCCCTTAAGTGAAGATGAACCAACACAACAGTGAGGGAGGCAGCCCTCTCCAACACACTTAAAACTGGAAAAAAACTGAACTCAAACCTGCAGGAGTGTTGGGGGAGGGAGAAGTTCAGAGAAAACAAAGCTAGATAAGCTGGGACTGGATTTATAAAGCTACTTCATACCAGTGATTTTCAACCAGCAAATTATCACCTCTCAGTAGACCCGTGAGACTGCCCCTGCCAGACCCCTTCCCCTTTCACATCCATGGAGCTCTCCACAGGCATGTTCCCCACGTGTGTCTTCCAAATCCCTCCCAACCATCAGTGACTCGACTTCTCAGTCCCCAAACAACTCATGTCACCACCTCGTCTGCCCGGCACCACCATCCCCATCAGTGAGTATAAGAGTTTGAGGAAAATAAAAACACCCTCTCATTAGAGAAACTTGGGGATTCTGTATCAGGCTCAGAGCCCAGAGCTGCTCCCAATAGTACCAGCTAATCCCACACTGTTACAGGTCTGGAGGTGCCTGTGCTTCACACTTGGCATGTTTCTGTTCCTTTAGATTCCTCTTAGCTTTCTTCCCGTGACTGTAGACAACAGGAGGAACATGTGAGTAGCTTCTGTGTATCCCTGTGGAACTGCCTTGTCTCTTGCCTGTTGCTGCTCCCATAGAGTAATGTGAGGCCAGCACCTACTTTTCACCATGTTATCAATGCTCCATCTTTCATGCCAGGGAGCAGGTGCTGCCAAGATGGGGATCACGTTTGTTAAAAAATTAGTTCAATAAGCATATGCCTGGCATACTTCCTAAGTACTAGAAAAGAGTGATAAAGAAGACTTATTTCTTCTAGGTCTAGTATTACCCCTCTTCAATCCACATAGAGGCAGAGTGCTGTTTCTGAAATATAAATCAGCTCTCATCCTTCCCCTGCTCATAGCAACTCCCTGCTCAGCCAGATCATCCTTCAACTTCATCTCCAGCTTATTAAAAACAGACAAGCAAGTGGGGAAACATCTGGGATGTAGAGTTGAGAAAGGTTGGTTTGCCACAGTCCCAGCTCCAGAAGAGCATCTTTAAATGCAGCAATCGCTTGCTGATATATGCAAAAGTCATATGGAGATCGCTGTGGGTGTGCAGAGCCAGGTTCTTGGCCTAGAGAAGCAGAGAGTCCCTCTGGAGGCCATGGCAAAATGAACTTTCTCCCCAACAATGCTTCATCAGAAAGTGAATATTCTGACTCCAGTCTTCATGCTTCTCTCTGCCAGGGGCTCTCTTTCCTGTCAAGTCCTCTGAGTGTCTTTCTAAAAATGATCAGTCATTCTTCTAGGCATTGCACAGACCTGAAAGCAGTTTGTTTTGCTGGGAGCCTCAAGATACTCAATAATGTCATGTATTTCCCTGGAATGTCCTGCCTCCTCTTCACCAGTGCAGTTCCTCCACTTCTCCTGAGATCAGGCTGAAAGGTCACCTCCTCCAGGAAGCCCTCGCAAATTCACACCCTTCATTTCTAATCATTTATCCATTCTGTCACCTTCCAGCAGTTATGTGGTTACGTGTTCAGTTTTGACTGTGCCATTCTTTACTTGCTCATATGTTGTTGTAACTGCAGATCCTTTATCCAAAACCTGTGGAGTTAAATGTGTTTTAGAATTCAGAACTTTTCAGATCTTAGAAAGATGACAGAGGTTCTGGGGTGGCACCCATAATCAAACACATTAATATTTGTTCAGTGAAACTTATGAATATTCATGGTAAGTGGAGTATATAAGAATTGTAATTAGCTTCTTATCAGTTCAGGTCAGGTTTTGCCACAAATGAATCCAGTATTTCAGAAGTGTGGACCTGAGCTATTTAATAACCACCGTTACCGAACCTCCCCTCTTGCTAGCACTCTGCTGTTGTGTGCAGTATCTCATTTAATCCCACAACAGTCCCACATGAAGGAGGTGTTGTTTTCCACACATTATAGATGAGAAAAATGAGGCTCAAAGAGATTATATAATTTGCCCAGGGTCAAATCTCTAGAAAATGCAGGCACCAGCATTCAAACCCAAGCCTGCCATAAGCTCAATGCTCATCGGCCATACAGTTCTCATATTACATGTGTTTCCTTATACGCCTCTACTTACTGGGTTCCATGTACAAAGTAGAACATATAAGTGCTTACCAATGAGGATAAACAGACAGAAGAGCATTTAATTTTTTCTTTGTAATTCACAGGTTGTACTTGTCTTCCTCCAAAAAGACTATACAGCATTTTAAATGTTAGTTAGTTCTGTAGGTCTCAAGCCCCTAGAAGCCCAGAGGTGACCAAGGCAGACAAAGTCGCTGACAAGTACATCATGTGACAGGTCCCAGCCAGGCAGCACATGGGCCCACTGACCATCACATGTATTCCCAGCTCACACAGAATCAATGGTCAACACTTAAAGCTCGGGAGATTTCAACTAAAAGTCCAAATAGGTCCAAATAGTTTCTCTAAATGTTAAAACTATTTTTGAAATTGTTTATAGTTCTTTCTCTTGACAAATTGGATGCTCTCACAACACAGTGTCTTCATTCCTTCATGGCAGTAATCAGATGATGCTGAGTAGCAGCTTTAGACAGAGGAAGCACTCTCCAATTAGCCACAGTTTCTCCACTGCTACACACCTAGATTCTGAGGGAATTTCAGTTTGGGGCCACTGTACCTGATGGAGAGGGCCAAAAGCAGTAAGCTTGCCCTGTCATGCCCCTGCCCCGACCCCCCACCACTCAGCAGGCTGACAGTCTTTTTACCGATTTGAGCAAGATGGATGTGTTGCGTAGTTCCTCCATTACAAATCAAGAACTTCCAGTAAAGATGACACTGTGAGATCACAGTTTCAGCACTACCACAGCCACCACTATGCAGCAAGGGGAGATAGAGAGAGAGAGAGAGAGAGAGAGAGAGAGAGAGAGAGAGAGAAATAGAGAAATAGAGATAAAGAGAAGATGACATTTCTAACTCCACTTAGAAACCAGATATACAATTCCTTGTGCCAGAGACAGAAGAGAAATCTGAGGTGGTAAAGCAGACTAAAGCACAGCTATTGGGCCCAGGAGTCAGAAGGACACAGAAGTGGCCCCTGTGTCAACCCCTAAGAGGCAAAGTTTCTACGTGAAGCAGAGCAACCAGAACCTAGATCACTTTTTGAGCCCAGGCTCCACCACCCTTGAAAGGAAGCAAGAAAAGCTACAACACACAGCTGCTTCAGGGTCATGGCTTATAGAAAGCTCTGTGACTAGAGAATCTAGATGAAGCAGATAGTGTCACCTCAGGAAAAGGCGCCAGCCAACTGCTGGCTCCATGACTGTATCTGTGATGTTCTCAATACTGCCTGAGCCACCAACACAAGATCTGGCTCTGGACTTGGGGTAGTGGGGAGAGGATGGAATGGGGGTTGATGATTGATAGAGAAGGTTAGGTGAGGGCAACTGCAAAACAGCTTGCCAGAAAGGGGTGTCAGGTTGTGGGGATGGGAAAGAGAGTTAGCAAGAGAAAGAAAAGAAATTCCTACTTAAGCTGAGCCTGCAAACAAAAATCCAAAAACACATGAGGAAAATACATAAGCAAAACAGCTAGCAAGGTTGATAATGAGATTTATTCACTTCAGAAGATGAATTCTTGTCCAGAAAAGGAATAGAAATGCTAGAAAACTAGAGTCAGAAAAATTTATAGCTAAGTAAACATTTTAAATATGTTTGAATAACCACCAGAAGAACAGAAATATAATCCCTATTTTCCCAACTAGCAGAAATAAGAGGGTAAGGAAGAAGACGACCAGTCCAACAAAAAGTAGGAAGATGAAAAATAAGAAAGACAGGGGAAATCAAGGAAGAATATACTGGGCAATGAATAAATACTTCCTAGATTTTCCTAGCTTCCAGTATGATCAACCAAAACCCAAGTTTACCAGACTAGTGACCTTTCTCAATGTCAGCAAAAACACCTTCAGGTAGGACCTAGTAGAGTTTACAATGGAATTTTATGTGAAGAGAGGCTAGTTTTCCTTTTAACCCACATTGGGAACCCAGATATTTACCCATTATCATCTGAAGCCCACTATGCAGGAAGCACCTGCCTTAGGACTGTCATTACGAAGCACAACATCCCTCAAGGAGGTAGGTTTGTTTGGTGAACTCTCAGGGAAACTCTAACGAATAAATATAAGGGTAGCACTAAAATCTGGACAACCAATTGTACCAGAGCTTGTCAACGTCACTGTGGGCAAAAGGACCTTGACCAGATCTGCTCAATGATTGCCCTTCCTCTTACAACCAGCCCCACATCCTGTCAGATACATTTATAATTCTATGATTGGATTTCAAGCAAATACTCCCTCCCATCAATACCATAACCTGAATCGGGGCAATGATTTTGTTAGTCTTCTGAAAATTTCCAAATTTTCCAGATCGGTTCAGTTTCCTGGGCCTGGGAGAAAAAGCTCACTGGGCTGTGTGCCCCAGTGTCCTGAGAGATGAGGTGCTTGCCAAGTCTTCTCTCTGGGAGCCAGAAATGTAAAGCAGATAAGGTAAATTGCATTGTTGTTTTGGTTTGGACCTGAGAGGCAAACATCCAATTTGAGATCAAATAAATGGATTCTGGGCCTGAATAAGCTGATTAAATAGGATTCACTCTAGAGCAGTCTGAAAATTAGAAAGAAGCACTGCAAAATTTTGCCTTTACTTTCTGGGCTAAAAAGGAGACGCTCCCCCAAGGAGGGGACCCATTTATACCAGATACCATGTTTTACAATTAGAAAAGTACAACTACAGACTTGGGAAACAGAAAAGAGTCTTATATAATTTTGACTTGAATGAAGATAAGCAGAATTTAAATTTACAGCACCAATGTTTCCAAAATAAAGACAGCTAACATTTATCAAGTGCTTACTATATGCTTGAAACTGTTTAAAGTATGTAATAATTACACAATATTTCTTAACTCACTGCTTGAAAAAATAAAAAACAAAGCCAAATACCCCAAATCTTGTGAGGTAAGTGTTATTATCTCTCCTTTACAGATGAGAAAACTGCTGAAGAACAGCTAATATGTGCTGGTGCTGAGATGCCCACCTAGGATGTCTGTCTGACTCCAAAGCCCATTTACTTCACTATTAGCCTATCTAGAAAATGTCTTACTTTCAATGTACTTAGTAATACTTAACAATGTACAGTATTCGTCAAAAAAAGTACAGGATCTTTGTGTCTCACCTATAATTAGCCCACACCTTGTTTTCCTTCCTAGTAGCTATCCCTAGTCTCTAATTTACAGAATTTCAAGTTGTTTGAGAATCAACATCTCAAAGAGGGAAACTCCTTCGTCCTAGGAGGTGAACCATGATTAATCTGAAACACTAAGGCAATCTTGTTTCTCTTTGCTGGGGATTGGAGGCATGTAACACAGCTCTAGCCACTGAGAACTAGAAAAATTCTGCTGGCAGAATCTGGGGGAAATTTTGCTCCATGATAAACAGATCATGAGAAAGTCTGCTGCATTTTTTTCTTTTTCGAATGTGAGTGTGTAAAGTATGATGCTTGGACTTGAGGCAGCCATTTTAGGCTTGTCTGCCTATGGACAAAAAGCCAATATGCTGAGTATGGTAAAGCAGAAAGGTTTTTAAAAGCCTGACTGTCTAATGACAGATTGAGCCAATAAACCAAACTTGGAATCCTCTATCTCCAGACTTTTTGCTACATGGTATAATTATATATCTTTGATGCTTAAGCCATTATTAAGCATATGTCACTGTATCCAAATGCATTCCAACTTACACATACATCTTTTGTCTATGTATAGGCATATCATATATTTATATACTTTTCACCTTTCTTTATTCCAGTTGACTTTTAGCTGTGTAGCCAAACAAACCCAGTCAGTCAAGAAAGGAAAGGAAATACATTTTGAAAGTAGTTTATCAATACTCTTTTGGAAAAAAAAAGTTCAAGGTTTCTGTACTATCATTTACCAAGCCCCATCCTAAATCCACCTTAAATGCAGTCACTTGCAAGCTATGACTGAGCAGTAAACAAAATAAAATATACCCCCAGGTCCCTCCTTAGTAAAATAATCAGTTTGAACCAGATGATTTTTAGGTAAACTTTAGCACTGACATTTATACTTTAAGAAATGTTTATCTCATAAAAATTTCTAGCAATGACTTATAAATAATGACCACATCTTTAAATACTTCATAAAATAGTAATAATTTATCAAGAGTTTTAAATCCTTTCCCTCTGCCTACCTCAGTTCCTCATCAGAAAAATGTGAAAAAATGAAACTGATGCTCTTAAAGGTTCTTTTCATCTGGGGCACTTTTGAATCTGGCTAGAATCTGAAGTATGTGGTTCTAATCCTCACTGACTTCTACTCAAAGCTTATGCAGTCAGTTACCTGGCAATATGTAAATCATACACAGAACTTTCTGGAACACATACTTACTTTAAAATTAAATTAAATATTTCCTTTCCTTTCTTGAATTAAAAGTTAATGGACTCACTTGGACTGTGTGCTCCTTATTCGCCTTCTGTATCCTCAGTGCCTAACACAACATATAGTATATAGTAGGTACTTCATAATTACTAATTTTCCAATAATGGCTACCACTTTTTGAGCATCTAGTATTTAAAAGACGTTTTAAAATAGGGTTTCTAAAATCCTCACAACAGTCCTGCAAGGGTAGCATTTTTACATTTATAATCTTAGTAAAATTGGGCTGCCTATAGGTCAGTCTCAGCATAGTGTCACATCCAAAATAAATACAAATCCAAACCCAACAACATTAAGAAATTGTGTAGGTCTTTAGTGAAGTCAATTACATTGTAAAACATACAGCAGAAACTCCCTGTACCTGTCTTCCTAAAATCTCACAGTACCACGAAGATCCCCAATCTCCACCTTTTCCAAACTCCCAAACAAAACTCTTGCCTCCTCCCAATTCTAGTTCACCCCATTCGGTTCTCTTCTGTCCTTTGGGGAGTGGTCTCATGCCCTGTACGACCTAAATTGGTTGAAAAGTTTAACCTCTTCAAGCTCTCCAGTTTTCCCCAGTGTCCATTGATTTTGCCAAGTTCACGCTGCAAGAATTGATCGCACTAGCATTTGGACGCAGTCCTCTGATCCAGAGCCAGTGTCATTCCACAACACCATGCAATGGCTGTGCTTTGCGCTGCTTATGCAAAGTTGCTCTGTCATGGATAGATATCCATTAACCAGTGGCTGCCTCCAAACCACCTGAAGAAGTCCTTAAAAACACTTCTGCTCCTCACACCAGTCCCTGTGAGTCAGAGTGTCCTAGGGTGAGACCCA
Organism: Homo sapiens; assembly: GCF_000001405.40. Classification (NCBI taxonomy): domain Eukaryota; kingdom Metazoa; phylum Chordata; class Mammalia; order Primates; family Hominidae; genus Homo; species Homo sapiens. The sequence goes on along the minus strand of NC_000001.11, from coordinate 166,283,647 downwards.
AGATTCCACATTTTTAACAAGCTTTCCAGGTGATGCTGAGGCATAGTCCGGTTTTGAAGCACTACTTTATACTGCAAAGGCTTTAGAATTGAGCTACAGAGTAGCTCATGCCCATAGGAACAGGAAAATTCTACCCATTTTAATGTTTAACCTTCCCCTACAACATGATGTTCCAGACACACAGGCAGTCCTCAACGCCTGCATACCGTGGGTTTAAAAAAATGTTAGTGGTGACGTGCAACTCAGAATGTATTCCCCAGAGAAACTGTAACTGGAGATCCTAGCAGGGCTGAGAGAGGGCTCCAGAGCTTTGCGTTCCTTCTCAAAGTGATTCTGTGAGAAGATATACATAGAAGTCTCCACTGGGGCTATCATGAAAAATTTACCCCTGACCCCGATTCCACTCCTATATCAGGAGCTGATAGCACGAGGGGAAGTTCAGATGGTGACAGAGAGCAGAGAGCTCTAGTATTAAGGGGAAGAAGTCAGAAAAGGTGTCTTCTACAAAACCTACAGAAAGTAGACCCCCTGTAAGGAGGGATACAAACAGCAAGATTTTCAGGGCCCCTGCAGTGGCTTCTTACACAGAGTCAGGGCACTGACAGAGGGAGAAGGCATTCACTGGGCAGAAGAGGCATTTTGAGGAAGGGAAACAGGAGGGCCCAAGGCCTTAGATCCCTCAGGCAGCTGTAGCCAGGGACCCTGTCCAGGATCAGAAAGATGGGACAGACAGGCCTATCCCAAGGGCAAGCCTTTCCTCAAGCAAGTTCTCACTATAGAAGTTCCCTCTCCTGGGTCTTCCTCAAAGCTCTGCTCTCTTTGGAAAGGACTTCAGCATCAAGAGGTGCCATCAGAGACCCCTCCAAGGGTTTTAGTCACTGAAGAAAAAATATTTGGCCTCATTGTAAGGTGATCTTACCACACAGGTTCTGAAGACAGTTTGGGAGTGAGGACTAGTGTTATTTGAAACTCAATTGCAGTACATGATTAGTAGCAATTCTTGTCAACAAACATTTATCAAATACTTACTGATGCACTAGGCCTGGGGAACATGTGGCAAGAGTGAATCAATCCTTGGCAGGGCATCGAGTACCAGAAATCAGAACACATGATCCGACAAGCATAAATGTCCTTATGAGTCTGCTGGAACAGAAAAATTGAATACAGAACTACCTCAGAAATCCCAGACATTTACTTGCTCAAAATAAGGCTGGGAAGGTCAGTGGAATCGTTGATCACAACAGTCAATGTGTGGTTAAATCCAGTGTCGCTAAAACGTAAGTTCTGACCCAACATCAAACATGGGTTCTGTACAGCCATATCTTTACAAGGGAATGAGATTTCACCCCTTCCCTATGGGACTTCCACAGCACGTTGACAAATCAACACAATCACCTCTTGGGTTAGCTACAGGGACATGCACATGGGTAACTTTTTTGTTGTTGTTACTTTATGCTCCTCTACTTCTCATCTTTCCAGGTATACTCCTCACATCCTTTTTGTAGTATTCCTGCCTTCAATCTTGTTTTGAATGCACTGACATTGTTCTTCCTCTCCAAGACTGCTTTGCAGAGTTAATTTAGGCAGTGGAATCCTTTTAGCAGAACAAAGCTTCCATGCAACTTCAATATTTTCAACATAAAAATCCAGATCTCTGGGTCTCTGTCCTGTCTAGACCCTGTCCACCCTCAGAAGCAACCCTGACACCTTAGGAACATAGCTGCCCTAAAACACTAATCAGTACCAATTCTTGCCTGTGAGGCAGAAATTGCAAATTACTGTTCCAGTACCACTTTCTTCTTCTTTCTTAGTAACAGAATTCAGACTAGGGTGGGAATGAAACCAACTAAACGACTGCATTTCCCAGACTGTCTTCCTGCTAGGTAAAACCAGTCCTGTGACTGAAGTCTGGTCAATAAAATGTAAGTGGAACATATGGGACTCCCAGAAAGACTCCTTAAAACGGAGAGTTGTGCCCTTTCTGTCTTTCTATTCTTCTTCCTTCCTGCTGCCTTGAATATGAGTATTATGACTAGAACTTCAGCAGCCATCTTGGACCATTAGATTACTTTAAAGGTGGTGTCTATGATCTAGAGAATATGGGGCAGAAAAGACAGACAGAATCTGGGTCTGGATGACTTCATGGCACTGTTATTCCAGTTATGCCCTGCCTGCCTCTGAACTTCTTTTTAGGTAAGAGAATAAGCCCTGTATGTTTGATGCAATGTTGTTTTGGTTTTTCCAAAATATGCAGCCATATCAAGTCCTAAATGATACAGAATCTGTCCATAGTTAACTTTTCCAGTGAAAACTTCCACTGCAGATCTCTTCTTCTTCTTCTTTTTTTTTTTTTTTTTTTTTTTTGAGACGGAGTCTTGCACTGTTGCCCAGGCTGGAGTGCAGTGGCGCCATCTCGGCTCACTGCAAGCTCTGCCTCCTGGGTTCACACCATTCTCCTGCCTCAGCCTCCTGAGCAGCTGGGACTACAGGCGCCTGCCACCGTGCCTGCCTAATTTTTTGTACTTTTAGTAGAGACGGGGTTTCACCGTGTTAGCCAGAATGGTCTCGATCTCCTGACCTCATGATCTGCCTGCCTTGGCCTCCCAAAGTGCTGGGATTACAGGCGTGAGCCACCGCGCCCGGCTAGGTCTCTTCTTATATACTATATTTGGAAAAGAAAAATTATTAAGAACTAAGATAAGAACATACAGCCATTATGGTATATACTATATGGATCAGATTTGTTTATAAAATTAATAATAATAGCTAGTGTTTACCGAGTGCTTGCTGTGTGTCAGGCTATCTGTAAGCACTTGTGCATACATTATTTTATTTAATGCTCAAATTAATCACATAAAGTAAGTAATATAATGGACAGTTTTCCAATGGGGAAAAAAACGAGGCTGAGAGGAGTTAATAACTTGCCTAAAGTCACACAGCTAGTTAGTTGCCCAGCAGAGATTTGAGATTACATCTCTCTTCCGTAACAAGCTCCAAATATAAGGGGACTTAGAGTCTAAGCAAAATAAATGAGTAGATAAAAGGAACTTTTGAATTACTTTATAATAAAGACAATTTAAGCAGTGTACTTTATCCTAAGATTTAAATTATGTTTACTTTCATGATCTAAACTTTAGATTGAAAAGCTCTGAAATCAAACTGACTTGGATACAAATCCTTGCTCTATGTCTTCCCAGAAGTGTGATCTTGGGCAAAATTCATCAGCTTCTCTGAGCCTCTGGCTGTCATGCACAGTAAGGTGTGAACTGATGAGATAATGTATAAGAAGTTTATGATACAATGCCTGCAATGATGAAGAAGCTATTATCAATTTCATGACACAGGCAAGGTGAAATGAGAAAAATGAGGTAAGAATCAATCGACTTGTTTTATGAAAGAATTTGAAAATCACTCTTTGGAGAACTGGCATAGAATAGTAAAATGTTTATGATGTTTTAGTGCACATTGACAGTGAGAGTCTGAGGAAGATACTTCCTCTTTAGTCCCAGTTTTATCATCTGTAAAGTGGGAAAAACAATATTTTCTACACAAGGTCATTGAAAGAAAGAAATGATTACTGCAAAGTGCTACACCACATTATCATTATTAACCTCCACTAGCCCTTGCCACTTCTTAGTTTTTCCACATGAAGTGATAAAATGTCTATCCCCCTTTCTTGTTTTTCACATTTCAACCTATTACTGGGATTTCTTTCATACTATAAAAAATCAATCACAACACTCATGATTCAGAAATGTTAACCCTAATAAATGTAAAAGAATAAGAATTGGATGATAGAGAAAAAACAGTGGCAAGCACACAAGAATGGTAGTTTTTATAGGAAAAGTGATAATTACTAAAATTATAAAGTCTGTTAAGAGACTGCATCAAAACTTAAAACTTTTATACATCAAAAGACACAATGAACAGAGTGGAAAAGTGACATACAAAATGGGAGAAAATATTTGCAAATTATATATCTGATTGAGGAATTGATATCCAGAATATATAAAGAACTCCTACAACCCAACAATGAAAAAAACCAAATACCTTGATTTAAAAATAGGCAAAGGACTTCAACAGACACTTCTCCAAAAAAGATACACAAATAGCCAACAAGTATATAAAAACATGTTCAATATCACTAATTATTAGGGAAACATAAATTGAAACCACCATGAGATATCACCACAAAGCCATTAGAATGGCTACCGTCAACAAAGAAAAAAAAAACAGAAAATAACAAGTGTTGGTGAGGATGTGGAGAAATTGGAACCTTTGTGCTTTATTGCTAGGAATGTAAAATGGTGCAGCCCATCAAAAAGCTAATCCACCACAATCACCAAATAGGCTTCATCCCTGGGATGCAAGTTTGGCTCAACATATGCAAATCAATAAATGCAATTCATCACGTAAACAGAACTAAAGACAAAAAAAACCACATGATTATCTCAATAGATGCAGAGAAGGCTTTCAATAAAATTCACCACCACTTCATTAAAAACTCTCAATAAAGTAGGTATTGAAGGAACATACCTCAAAATAATAAAAGCCATCTATGACAAGCCCACAGCCAGCATCATACAGAATGGGCAAAAGCTAGAAGCACTTCCTTTGAAAACAGACACAAAACAAGGATACCTTCTCTTACCATGCCTATTCAACATAGTATTGGAAGTCCTGGCCAAGGTAATCAGGCAAGAGAAAGAAATAAAGGCATCCAAAAAGGAAGAGAGGAAGTCAAACTAGCTCTGTTTGCAGATGACATGATCCTATATCTAGAAAACCCCATAGTCTCAAAAGCTCCTTCAGCTGATAAATAACTTCGGCAAAGTTTCAGGATATAAGATCCACATACAGAAATCACCAGCACTCCTATACACCAACAACAGCCAAGCCAAGAGCCAAATCAAGAACACAATCTCATTCACAACCGCCACAAAAATAATAAAATACCTAGGAATACAGCTAACCAGGGAGGTGACAGATCTCTACAATGAGAATTACAAAACACTGCTCAAAGAAATCAGAGGTGACAAACAAATAGAAAAACATTCCATGCTCACAGATAGGAAGAATCAATATCATTAAAATGGCCAGACTGCCCAAAGCAATTTAAAGATTCAATGCTATTCCTATCAAACCACCAGTGTCATTCTTCACAGAGCTAGAAATAACTTTTAAAATTCACATAGAACAAAAAAAGGAGCTCAAATAGCCAAGGCAATCCTAAGCAAAAAGAACAAAGCTGGAGGCATCATACTACCTGACTTCAAACTATACTACAGGTCTACAGTAACCAAAACAGAATGGTACTGGTACAAAAACAGACATATAGACCAATGGAACAGAATAGAGGGCCCAGAAATAAGGCTGCACACCTACAACCACTGACCTTTGACAAAGCTGACAAAAACAAGCAATGGGGAAAGGACTCCCTGCTCAATAAATGGTGCTGGGATCTGGCTAGCCATATGCAGAAGATTGAAACTGAACCCCTTCGTTACATCATGTACAAAAATCAACTCAAGATGGATTAAAAAACTTAAATGTAGAACTCAAAACTATAAAAACCCTAGAAGAAAACCTGGGCAATACCATCCTAGATATAGGAATGAGCAAAGATTTCATGACAAAGACACCAAAAGCAATTGCAACAAAAGCAAAAATTGACAAGTGGGATCTAATTAAACTTAAGAGCTTCTGCACAGCAAAAGAAACTATCAACAAAGCAAATCGTCAACCTACAGAATGGGAGAAAACTTTTGCAACCTATGCATTTAACAAAGGTCTAACATCCAGCAACTATAAGGAACTTAAAGAAATTTACAAGAAAAAAAACAAACACCCCTATTAAAAAGTGGGAAAGGACATGAACAGGCACTACAAAAGAAGACATACATGTGGCCAAGAAACATATGAAAAAAAGTTGAATATCACTGATCATTAGAGAAATGCAAATCAAAACCACACCAGTCAGAATGACTATTATTAAAAAGTCAATAAACAACAGATGGGGACGTTGAGAGAACGAGGAGGAAGGAGAGAAAATGGCATCCATGGATTACAGTACCTATAGCCAAGCTGCAGCGCAGCAGGGCTACAGTGCTTACAACACCCAGCCCACTCAAGGATATGCACAGACCACCCAGGCATATGGGCAACAAAGCTATGGAACCTATGGACAGCCCATTGATGTCAGCTATACCCAGGCTCAGACCACTGCAATCTATGGGCAGACCGCCTATGCAACTTCTTATGGACAGCCTCCCACTGGTTATACTACTCCAACTGCCCCCCAGGCATACAGCCAGCCTGTCCAGGGGTATGGCACTGGTGCTTATGATACCACCACTGCTACAGTCACCACCACCCAGGCCTCCTATGCAGCTCAATCTGCATATGGCACTCAGCCTGCTTATCCAGCTTATGGGCAGCAGCCAGTAGCCACTGCACCTACAAGACTGCAGAATGGAAACAAGCCCACTGAGACTAGTCAACCTCAATCTAGCACAGGGGGTTACAACCAGCCCAGCCTAGGATATGGACAGAGTAACTGCAGTTATCCCCAGGTACCTGGGAGCTACTCCATGCAGCCAGTCACCGCACCTCCATCCTACCCTCCTACCAGCTATTCCTCTACACAGCCAACTAGTTATGATCAGAGCAGTTACTCTCAGCAGAACACCTATGGGAAACCGAGCAGCTATGGACAGCAGAGTAGCTATGGTCAACAAAGCAGCTATGGGCAGCTGCCTCCCACTAGTTACCCACCCCAAACTTGATCCTACAGCCAAGCTCCAAGTCAGTATAGCTAACAGAGCAGCAGCTACGGGCAGCAGAGTTCATTCTGACAGGACCACCCCAGTAGCATGGGTGTTTATGGGCAGGAGTCTGGAGGATTTTCCGGACTAGGAGAGAACCGGAGCATGAGTGGCCCTGATAACTGGGGCAGGGGAAGAGGGGGATTTGATCGTGGAGGCATGAGCAGAGGTGGGCGGGGAGGAGGATGCGGTGGAATGGGCAGCGCTGGAGAGCAAGTTGGCTTCAATAAGCCTGGTGGACCCATGGATGAAGGACCAGATCTTGATCTAGGCCCACCTGTAGATCCAGATGAAGACTCTGACAACAGTGCAATTTATGTACAAGGATTAAATGACAATGTGACTCTAGATGATCTGGTAGACTTCTTTAAGCAGTGTGGGGTTGTTAAGATGAACAAGAGAACTGAGCAACCCATGATCCACACCTACCTGGACAAGGAAACAAGAAAGCCCAAAGGTGATGCCACAGTGTCCTGTGAAGACTCACCTACTGCCAAAGCTGCCGTGGAATGGTTTGATGGGAAAGATTTTCAAGGGAGCAAACTTAAAGTCTCTCTTGCTCGGAAGAGGCCTCCAGTGAACAGTATGCAGGGTGGTATGCCACCCCATGAGGGCAGAGGGATGCCACCACCACTCTGCGGAGGTCCAGGAGGCCCAGGAAGTCCTGGGGGACCCATGGGTCACATGGGAGGCCGTGGAGGAGATAGAGGAGGCCTCCCTCCAAGAGGACCCCAGGGTTCCCGAGGGAACACCTCTGGAGGAGGAAACGTCCAGCACCAAGCTGGAGACAGGCAGTGTCCCAATCCGGGTTGTGGAAACCAGAACTTCGCCTGGAGAACAGAGAGCAACAAGTGTAAGGCTCCAAAGCCTGAAGGCTTCCTCCCGCCACCCTTCCCACCCCCGGGTGGTGATCATGGCAGAGGTGGCCCTGGTGGCATGTGGGGAGGAAGAGGTGGCCTCATGGATCATGGTGGTCCCGGTGGAATGTTCAGAGGTGGCTGTGGTAGAGACAGAAGTGGCTTCTGTGGTGGCTGGGCATGGACCGAGGTGGCTTTGGTGGAGGAAGACAAGGTGGCCCTGGGGGGCCCCCGGACCTTTGATGTAACCAATGGGAGGAAGAAGAGGAGGACGTGAAGGACCTGGAAAAACGGATAAAGGCGAGCACTGTCAGGAGCGCAGAGATCAGCCCTACTAGATGCAGAGAACCCGCAGAGCTGCATTGACTACCAGATTTATTTTTTAAACCAGAAAATGTTTTAAATTTATAATTCCATATTTATAATGTTGGCCACAACATTATGATTATTCTTTCTCTGTACTTTAGTATTTTTCACCATTTGTGAAGAAACATTAAAACAAGTTAAATGGTAAAAAACAAACAAACAAAAAAAAACAGATGCTGGTGAGGTTGTGGAGAAATGGGAATGCTTTCACACTGTTGGTGGGAGTGTAAATTACTTCAGCCATTCTGGAAGACAATGTGGTGATTCCTCAAAAACCTAGGAGCAGAAATATCATTTGACCCAGCAATCCCATTACTGGGTATATACCCATAGGAATATAAGTCATTCTATTATAAAGACACATGCACATGTATGTTCACTGCAGCATTATTCACAATAGCAAAGACATGGAATCAACCTAAATGCCCATCAATGACAGATTAAATAAAGAAAATGTGGTACATATACACCATGGAATACTATGCAGCCATAAAAAAGAACTAGATCATGTCCTTTGTGGGAACATAGATAGAGCTGGAGGTCATTATTCTTAGCAAACTAATGCAGAAACAGAAAACCAAATACCACATGTTCTCATTTATAAGTGGGAGCTAAATGATGAGAACACGTGGACACAAAGAGGGAACAATAGACACTGGGGCCTACTTGAGGGTCAAGGGTGGGAGGAGGGAGAGGATCAGAAAAAATAACTGTTGGGTACTAGGCTTAATACGTTGGTGATGGAATAATTGGTATAAAAAACCCCTGTAACACAAGTTTGCCTATAAAACAAACCTACACATGTACCCCCTGAACCTAAAAGTTTTTTTTTTAATAAAATGGTGCAGCCACTATGGAAAACAGTATGATAATTCCTCAAATAAATAAAAAATGTAATAGTCTTTCAAAAATATTAAAAATACAATTACTCTATGATCAGCAATGTCAATTCTGTGTAAATACTCCAAAGAGTTGAAAGCAGGGACTCAAACAGTTGTGCACCCATGTTCATAGCAGCACTATTCACAAAAAGCCAAGAGGTGGAAGCAACCCAAACACTCATTGACAGATGATGGGATAAACAAAATGTGGTATTTACATACGTTGGAATACGATCTACCCTTAGAAAGGAAATTCTGACACATGCTACGACATAGATGAACCTTGAGCACATTACGCTAAGTGAAATAAAAACAAACATTGTCGCAAAAAACAAACATTGTAGGATTCTGCTTATATGAGGACATACTGTAGTCAAATCCAGAGATAGAAAGCAGAATGGTGACTGCCAGGGGCCGGAGGAAGGAAAGAATGAAGAATTGTTCAGTGTACGTAGAGTTTCAGTTTCACAAGATGGAAAGGTTCAGGAGGTTGGTTGCATAAGGAATATATTTAACACTACTGAACTGTACACTTAAAAATGGTTAAAATAGTACTTTTATGTTAGTGTATTTCATTGCAATAATTTGTTTTAGAAACTGCTGTTAGAAGTACAGCAATAGGAGGAGAGTGAAAAGGACACCCTGGAAGAAAGCAGGTGACAGGAGTGCAGCAGCATTATGTGGGTGTCAGTGATGCATTTGACAACGACCTCCATAAAAGTTGTGCTCCAAATTAAATTGGCCTGTTTTTGAATGCTCTCGTCTAAGTGGAATGCTGGCAGGGTGAAAACACTGCATAATCAGGAGTAAATAGGAACTACATCTGGTTGGGAAGCAAAAGGTCCACTGGGGCATGTCGGAGGCTGATGTCAGAACTGGCCTTGTTTAACAAACTCACTAATGACCTAGAAGAAGGCGGAAACAGCCACTGCTAATGAAATTTGCAAAGATATGTTGGCAATGCCCTGGACTTGGCCATAATGGCATAAGCACTGCTGGGATGCAGAGCGATTTTCCACTAGGTAGTTAATTGGATTAAAACAACGACTTCCTGGGATATACATAAACACTTGCTCAATTCTAACTCTTATCTCCAGAGCAGAAAGCAAATTCTGAAATGTGATGCAGTTCATCAAACTATATGTGATAGAAGCCTGTGGAAGAATAGTGCTTTCCCATAGCACAATTCTGCTTGTGTTATTTACTTCTAGGTAGAAGACAATGGAATCTACACATTAAAAAAAGATATAAGACAGGAGAAGGTGAGAGAAGCAGGGGACATATACTGTTTCTTTCATGGAGGGAGGTGTGGGCAAGATGCCCACAAAACCTAAATATGCAAGGGCTCTGATGCTTGGCACAGGTTTTGCCACCCCCTCTATGCTGCTTAAAACCTGTCAGTGGTTCCCCAGGGCCCTTAAGAGACATCTCAGTTCCTTGACAATGTCCTGAATGATCTAGCCCCTGCCTACCCATCCAGTTTTCCTGTGCCACTGCCCTTCTCACTCATGCAAGAGGCATCTGCTATTTTGCCTGCCCAGTAGTAGTTTCCTTCTTCTGCCAACAGCACCACAATTTTCTTTGGCAGATTCACTCCTTCCCCACTCTGAGTCACCATTCCACCCCCTGTCACTATGCTTGGTTCAGGGATGGACAGCAGACTCAAGCTGTGACCATCTGACTCCATCACAGAACTTTTTAAAGCAACTATTGCTAAGTAGCAGTTCTCCTTTTGATGAGGTTGGCTGCTGTGAGACTGACCTCAGCCTACAGGGTTTCTCAGAGAAAGGTGCTGTTGGCATTTTGAGCAGCACAGTTCTTTGTTATGCAGAACCATCTTGCATGTTGTAAGCATTTAGCATTTCTGCCTCTGTGCACTAAATTCTTAGTATTTTATTTCTATTTTTTCTTTCCTTTGTTTTTTGTTTTGTTTTGGAGACTGGATCCCACTCTATTACCCAGGTTGGAGTGCAGGAGCATGAACCTGGCTTACTGCAAGTTCAATCTCCTGGGCTCAAGAGATTCTCCTGCTTCAGTCTCCCAAGTAGCTGGGACTACAGATACATATCACCATGCCTGGCTAATTTTTAAAAACTATTTGTAAGGGGAGGGTTTCACTATGTTGCCCAGGCTGGTCTTGAACTCCTGGGCTCAAGCAATCCTCCCACCTTGGCCTCCCAAAGTGCTGGGACTATAGGCATAAGACCCTGCTCCCAGCCCTGTAGTACTTTCTGAATCATTGTGACAAAGACAAAAAAACCAATGCCCCTTCACACCCACACCTAAATACCAACCCATGGCTAAGAACTACAAGAAACCATAGAACTTTGGCCATGAGATGAAAATCTAAGAATGAGTCACTTTGCGTGGGCACTACATTCCCATCTTCATGGTCTTCAGCTTGCATGTCACTTCCTCAAAGAGGCCTTTTCATATCTTCCCCATCCAAATTATGTCCCTGTCATGACTACTTATTATGTATAGTATTGTACCAATTTGCAAATACATATTTAGTTGTGTGGTTGTTTGTTTCATATCTGTTTTCTCCCACTAGACTGTAAGTTCTATGAAAAAAAGGGCTATCTATTTTGGTTTCCAATGACTGGCATTCAATAAACATTTGGATAGAAAGGAGAAAGGAAGTTGCTAGGGTCTGAATGTTTGCTCCCCACCCCCATTCATGTGTTGAAATCCTAATACCCACTGTGATGGTATTAGGAGGTGGGGCTTTTGGGAGGTGATAGGTCATGAGGGTGAAGCCCTCATGAATGGGATTAGAGCCCTTATAAAAGAAGCCCCAAAGAGGTCTCTCACCCCTTCTGCCATCTGAGGTTACAGCGGGAAGATAGCTGTCTATGAGGAAGCAGACCTCATCAGATACCAAACCTGCTGGTGCATTGATCTTGGATTTACCAGACTCCAGAACTATGATAAATAAATTTTTGTTGTGTATAAATCATGGCATTTTGTCTATAGTATTTTGTTATAGCAGCCTGAATGGACTAAGACAGAAGGTTGCTTGGAAACTAGTAACATTTAGTGACTAGGGTCTCAAGCCAACCCACAAAAGCCTACTTAATTTAGGAATCTAAAATGTCATCTACACTGTTGTTATGAGAGAAGAGGAAGAACTAAGATTGACCATAGAGTCACAGGAGCCTATCTGCCTTTCCTTAAAACCAGCTCTTAGAATTCCCCTGGTTCCCATGGGAACAGGTCCTACTTCAGAACAGCAGGGGCTGGAAGCTGGAGGTGGAGATTGGGGGTCTGGTAGCAGCCAGCATCCACTCCTCTCCTCTCTCACCCCAGTCTTGGCAGTGGTATCAAGAGCTCCACTAGTGGGGAGAGGGAGTAGGAGTGACAAAGGAATCACTTGACCCACTGTGGAAATCAGACACCTGTCCTTGTTGGGAACATAGGTTGTTTTGTGGTCACCCAGCACTATTTCCCCGCTTCCTAAAACATTTCTCTCCCCCCAGGAGCATAATCTACCCCACTGAAGGTAGCCTTGGTGACATGGGAAATCCAAATCCCTGCCTTCACTCTGGAAGCCAATACATTAGATACCTCCTGCTATGGCTGTCATACGGTGGAGCAATTAGCAGATTCTCTCCTAGGACTTTTAATCTTGAGTGAGCAATATAAAGGCATGAAAAAAAACAAAAACAAAAACAAAACAAAACAAAACAAAAAACCAGACTGAAGAGCATTCATCCAGTAATGTGACTCTGACCAAGATGTTCCTGCTGCTTGACCAGTATTTTCTTCTAGTTTCCTGGCCCTGCAGGGGTGCCCTGACTGCTGCCCATTTCCAAGCCTAGTTCTCTAGGCTTTTCTCAATTCCTGGACAATCAATATCATTCCAGTAAAGTTCTCTTTGTCAAAAATACCAGGGCCAGAGAGTTTATTTGCAGTGCAAGAATCTGGATGGATTTCTGAGACCTGATCAAGTAACTCACTGCAGTTTCACATTGCCATTCATTCGTTCCAAATGCAGCTAATGAAATTTGATTATGCCCCATGTACTGTGCCAGGTGCTGGGTATAAAAAAACAAACATGATTCAAGCCCAGGGCTAAGAGGACACATTCTGCTGAGGAGGCAGAGAAATAAATCAGCAATTAAAATTGAAGTGATATCATCAGTGGCAGAGAGTCCTGGGAAGATGGTGATCTGAACTCAATTCTCTTCCCTTCAGTCACACTTTCTATTTCTTTTCTTTTTTTTTTTAAACTCCAGAGTTCTCTTTATTTTCTTTCCTTTTTTTTATTATTATTATACTTTAAGTTTTAGGGTACATGTGCACATTGTGCAGGTTAGTTACATATGTATACATGTGCCATGCTGGTGTGCTGCACCCATTATCTCCTCATTTAGCATTAGGTATATCTCCTAATGCTATCCCTCCCCTCTCCCCCAACCCCACAACAGTCCCCAGAGTGTGATGTTCCCCTTCCTGTGTCTAGGTGTTCTCATTGTTCAATTCCCATCTATGAGTGAGAACATGTGGTGTTTGGTTTTTTGTCCTTGCGATAGTTTACTGAGAATGATGACTTCCAATTTCATCCATGTCCCTACAAAGGACATGAACTCATCATTTTTTATGGCTGCATAGTATTCCATGGTGTATATGTGCCACATTTTCTTAATCCAGTCTATCATTGTTAGACATTTGGCTTGGTTCCAAGTCTTTGCTACTGTGAATAGTGCCGCAATAAACATACGTGTACATGTGTCTTTATAGCAGCATGATTTATAGTCCTTTTTGTATATACCCAGTAATGGGATGGCTGGGTCAAATGATATTTCTAGTTCTAGATCCTTGAGGAATCACCACACTGACTTCCACAATGGTTGAACTAGTTTACAGTCACACCAACAGTGTCAAAGTGTTCCTATTTCTCCACATCCTCTCCAGCACCTGTTGTTTCCTGACTTTTTAATGATAGCCATTCTAACTGGTGTGAGATGGTATCTCATTGTGGTTTTGATTTGTATTTCTCTGATGGCCAGTGATGATGAGCATTTTTTCATGTGTCTGTTGGCTGCATAAATGTCTTCTTTTGAGAATTGTCTGTTCATATCCTTTGCCCACTTTTTGATGGGGTTCTTTGTTTTTTTCTTGTAAATTTGTTTGAGTTCATTGTAGATTCTGGATATTAGCCCTTTGTCAGATGAGTAGGTTGCAAACATTTTCTCCCATTTTGTAGGTTGCCTGTTCACTCTGATGGTAGTTTCCTTTGCTGTGCAGAAGCTCTTTAGTTTAATTAGATCCCATTTGTCAATTTTGGCTTTTGTTGCCATTGCTTTTGGTGTTTTAGACATGAAGTCCTTGCCCATGCCTATGTCCTGAATGGTAATGCCTAGGTTTTCTTCTAGGGTTTTTATGGTTTTAGGTCTAACGTTTAAGTCTTTAATCCATCTTGAATTAATTTTTGTATAAGGTGTAAGGAAGGGATCCAGTTTCAGCTTTCTACATATGAGCTAGCCAGTTTTGCCAGCACCATTTATTAAATAGGGAATCCTTTCCCCATTGCTTGTTTTTCTCAGGTTTGTCAAAGATCAGATAGTTGTAGATATGTGGCATTATTTCTGAGGGCTCTGTTCTGTTCCATTGATTTATATCTCTGTTTTGGTACCAGTACCATGCTGTTTTGGTTACTGTAGTCTTGTAGTATAGTTTGAAGTCAGGTAGCGTGATGCCTCTGGCTTTGTTCTTTTGGCTTAGGATTGACTTGGCAATGCAGGCTCTTTTTTGGTTCCATATGAACTTTAAAGTAGTTTTTTTCCAATTCTGTGAAGAAAGTCATTGGTAGCTTGATGGGGATGTCATTGAATCTATAAATTACCTTGGGCAGTATGGCCATTTTCATGATATTGCTTCTTCCTACCCATGAGCATGGAATGTTCTTCCATTTGTTTGTATCCTCTTTTATATCATTGAGCAGTGGTTTGTAGTTCTCCTTGAAGAGGTCCTTCACGTCCCTTGTAAGTTGGATTCCTAAGTATTTTATTCTCTTTGAAGTAATTGTGAATGGGAGTTCACTCATGATTTGGCTCTCTGTTTGTCTGTTATTGGTGTATAAGAATGCTTGTGATTTTTGTACATTGATTTTGTATCCTGAGACTTTGCTGAAGTTGCTTATCAGCTTAAGAAGATTTTGGGCTGAGACAATGGGGTTTTCTAGATATACAATCATGTCATCTGCAAACAGGGACAATTAGACTTCCTCTTTTCCTAATTGAATACCCTTTATTTCCTTCTCCTGCCTAATTGCCCTGGCCAGAACTTCCAACACTATGTTGAATAGGAGTGGTGAGAGAGGGCATCCCTGTCTTGTGCCCATTTTCAAAGGGAATGCTTCCAGTTTTTGCCCATTCAGTATGATATTGGCTGTGGGTTTGTCATAGATAGCTCTTATTATTTTGAGATACATCCCATCAATACCTAATTTATTGAGAGTTTTTAGCATGAATTGTTGTTGAATTTTGTCAAAGGCCTTTTCTGCATCTATTGAAATAATCACATGGTTTTTGTCTTTGGTTCTGTTTATATGCTGGATTACATTTATTGATTTGTGTATATTGAACCAGCCTTGCATCCCAGGGATAAAGCCCACTTGATCATGGTGGATAAGCTTTTTGATGTGCTGCTGGATTTGGTTTGCCAGTATTTTATTGAGGATTTTCACATCAATGTTCATCAAGGATATTGGTCTAAAATTATCTTTTTTGGTTGTGTCTCTGCCAGGCTTTGGTATCAGGATGATGCTGGCCTCATAAAATGAGTTAGGGAGGATTCCCTCTTTTTCTATTGATTGGAATAGTTTCAGAAGGAATGGTACCAGTTCCTCCTTGAACCTCTGGTAGAATTCAGCTGTGAATCCATCTGCTCCTGGACTCTTTTTGGTTGGTATGCTATTGATTATTGCCACAATTTCAGATCCTGTTATTGGTCTATTCAGAGATTCAACTTCTTCCTGGTTTAGTCTTGGGAGGGTGTATGTGTCGAGAAATTTATCCATTTCTTCTAGATTTTCTAGCTTATTTGCATAGAGGTGTTTGTAGTATTTGCTGAAGGTAGTTTGTATTTCTGTGGGATCAGTGGTGATATCCCCTTTATCATTTTTTATTGTGTCTATTTGATTCTTCTCTCTTTTTTTCTTTATTAGTCTTGCTAGCGGTCTATCAATTTTGTTGATCCTTTCAAAAAACCAGCTCATGGATTCATTAATTTTTTGAAGGGTTTTTTGTGTCTCTATTTCCTTCAGGTCTGCTCTGATCTTAGTTATTTCTTGCCTTCTGCTAGCTTTTGAATGTGTTTGCTCTTGCTTTTCTAGTTCTTTTAATTGTGATGTTAGGTTGTCAATTTTGGATCTTTCCTGCTTTCTCTTGTGGGCATTTAGTGCTATAAATTTCCCTCTACACACTGCTTTGAATGTGTCCCAGAGATTCTGGTATGTTGTGTCTTAGTTCTCATTGGTTTCAAAGAACATCTTTATTTCTGCCTTCATTTCGTTATGTACCCAGTAGTCATTCAGGAGCAGGTTTGTTCAGTTTCCATGTAGTTGAGTGGTTTTGAGTGAGTTTCTTAATTCTGAGTTCCAGTTTGATTGCACTGTGGTCTGAGAGACAGTTTGTTATAATTTCTGTTCTTTTACATTTGCCATCAGTGTGCTGTATTCAGGAAACCCATCTCACGTGCAGAGACACACATAGGCTCAAAATAAAAGGATGGAGGAAGATCTACCAAGCAAATGGAAAACAAAAAAAGGCAGGGGTTGCAATCCTGGTCTCTGATAAAACAGACTTTAAACCAACAAAGATCAAAAGAGACAAAGAAGGCCATTACATAATGGTAAAGGGATCAATTCAACAAGAACAGCTAACTATCCTAAATATATATGCACCCAATACAGGAGCACCCAGATTCATAAAGCAAGTCCTGAGTGACCTACAAATAGACTTAGACTTCCACACATTAATAATGGGAGACTTTAACACCCCACTGTCAACGTTAGACAGATCAACGAGACAGAAAGTCAACGAGGATACCCAGGAATTGAACTCAGCTCTGCACCAAGCAGACCGAATAGACATCTACAGAACTCTCCACGCCAAATCAACAGAATATACATTTTTTTCAGCACCACACCACACCTATTCCAAAATTGACCACATAGTTGGAAGTAAAGCTCTCCACACTTTCTATTTATTTTCAAAGAATCTCTCTGCCTCTCCCAATTCTAATGACTTCTAGGGCCTATGGTTATCAGACTCAAGTGAAGATTTGGGTACTGTGGAATATCTGCAAACTCTCTCCAGTGGGCTGAACAGGAGCATGGGGAAGCCAGAGTTGGAGAGCTCCAGAGTGGGATCATAAAGCCCAAGATCACAGTAAGCACTGGGGGAGATTGCCTGGGTTTCCTGACCCTAAGAGGCCAAGAAGGATAGGACTGGCAGACTGGGTCCTTCCTTCCCAAGAGGCAGGGAGAGCATGAGAAAACTAGGGAGCAAGGAGGCTGCTTCTGGGGCCCTGGAAATCTGCCAGCCTCCACACTCCCTTAGCCCACAGGATGAAAGACAACATTTCCTTGCCACTATTGAGGCTGCTGCCACATTAAGGACTTAAACAAGCAGCACTTGTTTCTCATCTGGCTGTCTGAGAGAGAAGTATGCATCAGAAGAAACTGAACACATGCATAGCAAAATAGAGCTGCTGAAGAAGAATGCCAACACTTTGCATATAAAAATTAGTACTTAAGTAGATCCAGTGTAGCACACACAGCAACAGCAGCAACAGTAAAATAGTCTTCTGTGGTCAAAGAAAACCTCAACTAAAAGATTTAGAAGAGAAATCAAAGCAGAGGGTGGTCATGGTTAAGACTTGAATTAATGGCCTGGATGATCAAATATGAGAAATATTTTAAGCATGGAAGAAAAAAATAAATAAACATAAATTGTGAAGGAAAATATAAGAGACTTGGAGAATATATCCGTGAGAACTATAGGTGTTCTAGAAGAAGAAAAAAAAAACAGTTATACTTACGTAAAGCCTCTCTGAATTCTGACATGACTGAAAAGAAAAGAGACATACCAAGGAATATCCTAGTAACATTTCAAACTGGGTAAAAAGAAAAGCCTGCCAAGCATTCAGATAAAAAGAGAATAAGCTCTATAAGTGAAAAATAATCAGACTGGCATCAGTTTTCTTCACTGTAGCCTTAGAACCTGAAAAACAGTAAAATAACATCCATGGACACTGGGAGACTGCAGCAAGGATCCTACACGCAGTCAAAATTATTCACTTCTCAGAATGAAAGAAAAATGCATGAGAACATGCCAGGAATCGAGTTTATCACCCCCATAGCCCATCTTAGGAAAAGAATCTACAGAGACTATCCACATACAAAAGAATGAAGTTGGGCCCCTACTTAACACCATAAATTAACTCAAAATGGATCACAGACCTAAAGATAAGAGCTAAAACTTTAAAACTCCTAGAAGAAAACATAGGAGTAAGCATTCATTACCTAGAGTGAAGCAATGGTTTCTTTTATTTTTATATTTATTATTTTTTATAGAGACAGGGTCTTGCTCTGTCGCCCAGGCTGGAGTGCAATGGTGTGATCTTGGCTCACTGCAACCTCTCCCTCCCAGACTCAAGTGATCCTCACACCTCAACTTTCCAGGTAGCTGGGACTACACATGCATGCCACCGTGCCTGGCTAATTTATATATATATATATTTTGTAGAGATGAGTTCTCGCCATGTTGCCCAAGCTGGTCTCAAACACCTGGACTCAAGTGATTCATCCACCTCAGCCTCCCAAAGTGTTAGGATTACAAGCATGAGCCACCACACCCAGCCAAGCAATGGTTTCTTAGACATGACACTAAAATCACAAGGAAAAAAAGTCAAATTTGATGTCATCAAAATAAAAATGTTTGTGCTTCAAAGGATACCATCGTGAAAGTGAAGAGACAACCCATAAAATGAGAAAAAATATTTGCAAATCATGTATTTGACAAGAGATTTGTATCAAAAATACTTTTAAAACTCTTTTCAATTCAATATTAAAAATGATAGACAATCCAATTTTAAAATGCATAAAGGGTCTAAATAGGCATTTCTTCAAAGAAGGTATATACAAATAGCCAATAAACACATGAAAAGAAGCTCAATATCATTATTCCATCATTAGTCATTAGGGAAATACATATCAAAACCACAATGAAATACTGCTTCACAACTACTTCGATGGCTATAAGAAAAGACAATAACAAATGTTAGGGGGATTGAAGCCCTCATATGCTGGTGATGAGAATGTAAAATGGTTTGGTCACATGGAAAATAGTTTGTCAGTTCCTCAAAAAGTTAAACATAGGGTTATCATATGAACCAGCAATTCTACTCCTAGGCATATAGCAAAGAAAAATGACAACATTCATTCACAAAAAATCTTGCACATGAATGTTCATAACAATATTATTTATAGAAATCAAAAAGTGGAAACAATTCAAATTCCCATCAAGATGTGGCATATCCATATAATGGAATGTTATTTTGCAATAAAAAAGAATGAAGTATTGATGCATTCTGTAACATGGATGTACCTTGAAAACATTATGCTAAATGAAAGAAGCCAGCCACAATGGATCATATATTGTATGAAATGCCCAGAAGAGGCACATCTATAGAAACCACAAATATATCAGTGATTGTCTGGGGCTAGTGAGGGTAAGAGGGATGAGAATGGGTAATAGGCTAATAGGCATAGGGTTTCTTTTGAGGGTTGCAAAAGTGTTCTAAAGTTATATTGTGGTGACAGTTGCATGAGTGAACATACTAAAACCCACAGAACTGAACACTTTATGTGAATTATATCTCAACATAGGTGTTTTTAAAATTATTATTATCATTATTATTATTATTTTGAGACAGGGTTTTGCTCTATCACCCAGGCTAGAATGCAGTGGCACAACCACAGGTCACTGTAGCCTCCACCTCCTGGGCTCAAGGATCAATCCTCCCACCACAGGCATGCGCCACTGCACCAGGCTAATTTTTTTTTTTTTTTTTTTGTAGAGACAGAGTCATGCTATATTGCCCAGGCTGGTCTCCAATTCCTGGGCTCAGGCAATCCTCCCACCTTGGCCTCCCAAAGTGCTGGGATTACAGTGTGAGCCACTAAACTCAGCCAAAAATTAATTTTTTCAATTATACTACCCACACTTTCAGAAAATCTAAGGGGAACTCAGCCAAGCGCGGTGGCTCACACCTGTAATTCCAGCACTTTGGGAGGCCGAGGTGGGCAGATCACCTGAGGTCAAGAGTTCAAGACCAGCCTGGCCAACATGGTGAAACCCCATCTCTACTAAAAATATAAAAATCAGCCAGTCATGGTGGCGCATGCCTGTAATCGCAGCTACTCAGGAGGCTGAGGCAGGAGAATCACTTGAACCCGGGAGGCGGAGGTTGCAGTGAGCTGAGATCACGCCATTATGCTCCAGTCTGGGCAACAAAAGTGAAACTTCGTCTCAGAAAAAAAAAAAAAAGATAAAGAAAGAAAGAAAAAAAGAAAATCAGGGGGGAGTCTAGCAAACAACCAATGAACTATAACAGGTACTTCAAGAGGGAGAAAAAAATAAGAGGAGAAAAAACAGTGTAAGCAAAGAGCTGTGAACTAATATGTGAATAAACCTAAGTGGATAATAACTTACTAAGAATATGAAATATATATGTTTTTAAAGGATTTTTGAAATAGAAGGTATATACTACAAGGAAATAATTGTATGTACTTTTTTTTTTTTGAGGTGGAGTCTGTCTCTGTTGCCCAGGCTGGCATGCAGTGGCGTGATCTCGGCTCACTGCAACCTCCATCTCCTGGTTCAAGTGATTCTCCTGCCTCAGCCTCCTGAGAAGCTGGGATTACAGGTGCATGCCACCATGCCCAGCTATTTTTTTGTATTTTCAGTAGAGACGGGGTTTCATTGTGTTACCTAGGATGGTCTCTGTCTCCTGACCTCAGGTGATCTGCCTGCCTCGGCCTCCCAAAGTGCTGGGATTACAGGCGTGAGCTACCATGCCCAGCCATGTGTACTTTTAAAATAGTACTTTAAAGGTTAGAAGTAGAAAAACCCAGCAGTTGAGATAAATAAGGTAAAGTAAAAACTTTTGAGTTCTCATCTTATTAGGGTAGAGTAAAGCTGAGAATAGACTGTCTTGGAGGGGCAAATATACATCTTGGTGGAGGAAACAGTAGAGACATTGTTTTCCAATACTGCAAAAAATGTATGTCTGATTATCGATGTATAGAAAGTGAACCAAGTGCTAATAAAAGGGAAAGCAGCCCGGTGCAGTGGCTCACGTCTGTAATCCCAGCACTTTGGGAGGCTGAGATGGGCAGATCACAAGGTCAGGAGTTCGAGACCAGCCTGACCAACATAGTGAAACCCTGTCTCTACTAAAAGTACAAAAATTAGCCAGTCGTGGTGATGTTGTGCCTGTAATCCCAGCTACTCAGGAGGCTGAGGCAGGAGAATCGCTTGAACCCAGGAGGCAAAGATCATGCCACTGCACTCCAGCCTGGGTGACAGAGTGAAACTCCATCTCAAAAAAAAAAAAAAAAGCAAAGTAGAACTTTCAAATTAACAAGGCATCGGGGGTGTGTATGGGGAATAGGATAAAGAGCAGCTTGAGCAAACCAACAAATATAAGAAAATAACACTATAAAATAACTTTTATATCTCTAATTTGAGTTTCTCTAATGCCTTCTCCATGGTTAGATGGGGCTCTGGGATTTTGGAAAGAATACTACAAAAGTGAAATGCCCCTCTTCTCACATTACATCAGGGGTACATGATATCCACAAAATATCAACAATGATGTTAGTCTTCATCACTTCGTGCTTGCCAGGTCTCCCCGTTACAAAATTACCATTATTCTCTTTCCTTACTCTATTCTTTGGAAGCCACTCACTAAATTTAGCCAGCCCTCAAGAAGGCAGGGGCGTGGGAGTGAGGCAGGAATTAAACTGCACCTTCTGGAGTGGGGAGTACCTACATATATTATTTGAAATTCTGCAATCAAAATTTGTCTCTTCTCCCCCATATGAAATAAAATTTTTTAAAACATAAACATAAGAGGAATAAAGTCATGTATATCAATCATTCTAATAGATGTGAAATGACTGAATTCCCATTAAGAATCAGAGACAAGGCCAGGCGCTGTGGCTTATGCCTGTACTCCCAGCACTTTGGGAGGCCAAGGTGGGTGAATCATCTAAGGTCAGGAGTTTGAGACCAGCCTGGCCAACATGGTGAAACTCCATCTCTACTTAAAATACAAAAATTAGCCAGGCGTGATGGCATGCACCTGTAATCCCAGCTACTCAGGAGACTGAGGAAGGAGAATCACTTGAACCCAGGAGGCAGAGGTTGCAGTGAGCTGCATGCCACTGCACTCCAGCCTGGATAACAAAGCAAGACTCTATCTCAAAAAACGAATCAAATGGCGAGAAACTGGCTATATGCTGTTTACTGTAAAAATATCTAAAATAGTGAGGATATTAATTAATTAGAGGAATAGGCAGTAAAAAACAATTTGTAAAGGCAGGAGCTAATATCAGACAAAGTAAAATTTCCATTTAAAAGTATTAAACAGGAAGAAGGGAAAACATTAGGTACTGAGACAAGGCATAGGCATACTTTATGAAGACAGTATGAATTGTAAACCTGTGTGCTTGAAGTACTTACAGCAGCAAAATATTTAAGACAAAAACTATTAGAAATGCAAAGAGAACTTAATATTTTAATATTAACTTAATATTTTAGATAGTGAGAGACATCATTATACCTCTTTCATAGTTACACAAATTGAATAGACAAAGATTTTAAAAAGGACTTTAAAAAATTAAATAATCAAATCAGTAAAAATTATAATACAGATACATTTAGAACCCAAATCCACCAAACAAAAAGTACTTATTTTTTCTTATGTTCTTTGAATAATTATAAAAATCAATCATGTACTTGGCCACAAAGAATATCTTCTATGCAAATATTTAGGTAGATTTAACAATATTTAGTGGTCTTCATTTTTCAGTCAAAACTCAATAAAAGTAGAAATGACTAATGCAAAGGTAATAAAAAGAAAATCTTAAATTTTGGAATTAAAAAGCTTTCATGACTAATCTTTGGGTAAAACAGAAAATCTAAAAATATATGTAAGCTACAAAGAAAGCAATAAATATTAAATAACATAATACTTTATATCAAAACCTACAGACACAGAAAAAGCTGTACTGTGAGGAAAAAAATGTATAGACCTACTTGTGTTCTAAAGATGAAAATTAAAAGCCATTAGCACTTAAGGAATTTTAATGTGAACAACAAATATATTAAGCAGGAGGAACAAATAAGTATAAATACTGAAGTTAATAAAGTAGAAAGCAAAAAATTATAAAATTAGGATAATGTATAAATAAATAGAAAAGCTGGTTCTCTAAAGATAAAAATAAAATAGGAACCTCTTGTGGCCCAGATTAAGGAAAAAAGCTGGAAAGCAAAAATAGATAGGAATAAGGAAAAAGATATAATAATAGCAACTTTGGAAAATATATATAAGAGAATACTACATTCTTTTTTATGAAAACCCAAAGGTAATAGATAATACCCTAGGCAAATATAAATTAACAAAATTTATCCAAAAATCAATGAAAATTTTTAATCGACAATTTGCCACAAAAAAGGATTGAAAAAAAATAATGACCTAACATTTTTAGTCATCAGGATTAGATAGATTTATGGCTAAGCTTTATCTAAATTTTAAATAGTTATCAGTATTTTGAAAGCTATGCTAAGGCTTAGGTAAGTATAGCAAGAAGGCAATACAACCTTAACAGTAAAACTTGCTTTTAAAATAGTATTACAAAAAACGAAGCTGTAAACCAATCTCACTTACAAATATAGGTGCAAATTTTAAAATAAAAATTAACAAATAGAAGCAAATACTATACCAAAAGATGAAAGGTTTTCTGTTCAACAAACAAGCAAGGCTTGTTCTATGAATACAAGAGCATTCAACATTAGAATCTATCAACACAATAAATTTTATTAACAAATTAAAAAGAAAAAGATCATGTAATTACATCAGTAAATGCTAAAAGGGCATTTGAAATCATTTAGCATGTATTTCTTTTTTTAGAAAAATCTAAGTACAATAGGTATATTATAGACCCATTAGGCAAAATAAATACTATTTACCAAAGTCAACAGCAAACATTATTCTAAATGTTAAAACAAAATTAAAAAAAAAAATCAGAAATGCTTACTCTCAATGTTAATATTATTCAACACCATCTTGGAAGTTTTAGCCAAAGCAAAATAACAATAAAATAATAATAATTGTCATAGGCATTGGAAAAGAAGAGTTAATACTATGTCTTTTTGCCAATGATATGATTATATATCTAGAAAACCAAAGAAAAGCTAGTAAAATTAACAGAAGAGATTTTGGCAAAGGGCTGGACACAAGATAAATACACAAACCCAATAGATTGCAAGAAACGGATGTAAAGAGAAAAATTAGAAATGCAAGGAGAATGTAATAAAAATTTAAAGATGGTGAGAGACTTTACTTCTTTTATATTTAGGCAAATAAAGTAGACAAAGAAAAAACAAATACAATCATATCAACAGAAATTATGTTATAGATATATAATTATAGCTAAACAAAAAAATAAACATAAAAGTAATAAACTGTTAGCTATTCTGGCAATAAGCACTTAGAAAATTTAATGTGTAAAAATGTTTTATTTACAATAGTAAAAAAATTGGAAAATGCTTAAGAATAAAGGTCACAACAAAAGCACAAGACTGATGTAGAAAAATATAAAATTTTAAAGGAGAAAAGTTATTGAAAAATATAAAACAATATGGAACAAATATATAGGTATAACTTATTTCTATCTTAAAATTTAACATCAAAAAATATCAGTGTTCCCAAAATTGGATGTCAGTAAGATAGCTGACTAGAAGCTACTAGAGCTCTACCTCCACAACTAAAAAAAAAAAACCATAACATTTTAACCAAAATAACTGATGGAGTATACCAGAGAACAATAAAAACCCAAAAGAAATCCTGTAGAGCACAGAAATTCAGGATGGCCACATAGCGAAGGGGAGAAAACACCTTTCCCCAGCCACTCTATCCCCTCAATTGGGATCAGCTCAGAACCAGGAAGGACTTCTTTCTGCAAGGAAAAGGTAAGCAAGAGGACCCCAGTAACCCTCAAACCACTGTTGACTCCTACTTCTACTACTTCTATTACTAGAGGCTCCTACAGTTCTCACAGGCTCTGAACCCAGCTGAGGGAACTCTCTGGAGTCCACATGTTGAGCTACCCCCAAAGAAGCCCATGCTGCTACTGCCCTGTGTCATCCTGCAACCAGAGCCACCGCTAGAGTGTGTCCTACACTGGGGACAAGTAGCCATTGCATTCCTCCACCCCTGAGGCTCAGCCACCACTGCATTACACCCACGCAGTAGCACACCAGACCCAAGCAGAATTGCTGCTATGCTCTACTTCCTAGAGCCAATTAGCCATGGAGATACTCCATTCTCCCCATCCCAACCACTGCTGCACACTCCCCTTAGGGCCAACCTGAAGCCGTGCCCCACTATTAGGGACCCAGAGCCTCAAACTACTAGAGCAGTTGTTCCCCTGGTACCACAGCCAAGGCCTACTTCAACCCCTGAGGACTTCAGGACTCCAGAACACTGAAGCACTCACAAAAGCAGACATAGCACTTCATCCCTCAGGGACCTTAGATATAGAACTTTATCCCCCAGGGACCTCAGGTTTTCTGCACACCAGAGCACTTGTGTCCCTGGTGCCACAACTGAGGCAGCACTCCATTCCTCCCACCCCAGGTCTTCAGGTTTCCTGCACACCAGAGCAGTCACACGGACCCCTATGCCACAGGTAAGGGAGCACTCTGCCCCACAAGGGACTTCAAGCTTCTGGCACAGTGGAGCAGTTGCACTCCACAGCACCATAGTTGACATGATGCCCCGCCTCTAGGGATCTAGAGGCTCCACTGACCCATGTAGCTGTGACTTTTCGGGCCAAATAGATGTGGTGCCTCATGTTTCAGGGAATCAGAGCTTTTGTTGAGGTGTCACCCTGCCTTCCAGGCTGAACAGCCACAGTACCTCTCCTACCTAGAATTTCATGAGCTCCTCACAGTTCAAGCTGCTATGGCACTGCGCCTCTCCAGGGAATGGAGTTATCACTGCACTGCTCCCCATCAGCCAAGGCCCAAGCCACAGCAGCATCTTGCCATTCCTGGGTCATTGGTGCTGTTTCACTTGGCCTAACAGAGCCTGGACTACTGCTATGTCCCATTATCTCTGAACCCAGAGTCAACATTGTGTGGTACTTCATCCCCTGGAGTCTAAGCTGTCACTGTGCCCTGTTGGTTCTGGGACCTGAATTGCAGTTGTGCTCTGCTCCCCAGAGCTTGAGCCTCCAGAGCACTCTTTTTTCCCTGGATCAATGCCATTACTTTGTCCCACCTCCCAGGGTCAGAATCACAGCTATATCGTGCCTCCTGGGCTCAAGCTGCTGAGATATGCTGCAGAATGACCGACTCTGGCTTAGTGGGAGAACTGCATTCACTCATACCTTGGAGAGTGAACCTGTACCTCAAGTCTCAAGTGCTGTAGTAGTTTCACAAGACCCTGAGTTCAGAAACCCAGCTCCATAGCACCCATGAGCACCTGTGCCCTGGATTCTAGTGCTGCTGTCACTACCTGTGAGCCATGTCAGACCAATACCAAGAGAGATCTTCTCAGATAAGTCCCCACTGTGAGGAAGACAAAAACAGGAGGATTCCTAAATCCCTTACCCAAATAACCCATGCAGCCACCATCACTGCCACAAATTCCTGTAACCTAGACTACTGAAACCCCCAGTCATTGCTAACATTTATCATAACCGAAGAAGCTGCACAAAAACTACACAACTGTATCCATATGAAACCAGAGCCACTGCATCCTGCCCAACTGAAACCCTCAGGCCCATCTACAGGTGAAAGTCTTTCTCTACAAAAGCCACTCTGTAAAGCCTGGAAGAGGAGACCACACCACCAGATATGCAGACATCAGTGCAGGAACACAAGATGCATGAAAATACCATAGCACCAAAATGCATACCAAAATACAAGGAAACATGACTCCACCAAAGGAACACAGTAATTATCCAGTAACTGATGCCAAAGAAGCAGACATTTATGAGTTTCCTGAAAAGAAATTCAAAATTATAATTTTAAGAAAACTCAGTGAGATACAAGAGAATACAAATAGATAATTAATAAAATCAGAAAAATGATTCATGCTTTCAATGAGAAATTTAACAAAGAAATAGATAATATATTTTTTAAAAGAGCCAAACAGAAAGCTTGGAGCTGAAGAATTCAATCAATGAAATAAAAATACAACCAAGAAATTCAACAGCAGGCTAGATCAAGCAGAAGAAAGAATCTGGGAACTTAAACATAGGTCTTCTGAAATGACTCAGTCAGAGGAAAGAAAGAAAAAAGAATGAAAAAGAGTGAAGACAGCCTAATGGAACCTATAAGATGACATTAAGCAACAAATATTCACATTATGGGATTTCAAAAAAGAGAAGAGAAATGGACAGAAATCCTGTTTAATGAAATAGTTCCTAAAAAGTTCCTAAGTATTGGAAGAGATATGGATGTCCAAATCCACAAAGCTCAAAAGTCCCTAAATAGATTCCACCTAAAGGGGTCCTCTTAAAGAATATTATAATAAAACTGACTAAAGTCAAAGACAGAGAATTATAAAGCAGCAAGAGAATAATGTCAAGTCACATAAGGAATCCTCATTAGACTGTTAGGAGGTTTCTCAGCAGAAACTTTGCAGGCCAAGAGCAAGTAGAATAATATATTCAAAATGCTGAAAGAAAAAAATACTGTCAGTCAAGAATATTATACTCAGAAAAGCTGTCCTTCATAAAAGAAGGAAAAATATAGTATTTCATAGACAAGCAAAAGCTGAGGGAATTCATTATCACTAGACCTCTCTTACAAAAAATGCCTAAGGAAGTTCTTTAAGTGGAAACAAAAGGATGATAATTACTATCAGGAATACATATGAAAGTGTAAAACTCACTATAGAGGTAAATACATAGTCAAATCCAGAATATTCCAATACTGTAATGGTGGTATGTAAATCATATATATCTATATATATCTATATATATATATATATAGATATATATATATATATTTCAAAAAGACTAAAAGTCAAAACAGTCAAAAATAACAAAAGGTACAATAAGCTTTTAAGGAATGCACACTCTAAAATATGTAAATTGTGACATTAAAAACAAATTGTGGAGGAAGACAGAAAAGGCTAGAGTTTTTGTATGCAATAGAAATTAAGTTGTTTTCAGCTTAAAATTGTAGATTATAACTATAAGATGCTTTATGTAAGCCAGAATTATCCCATAAATTCTTTTCTTTAGTAGGCGATGCTTACTATGTGACTCCTCATAGACCTGGCTGAAATTTTTCAGAGCTGCATTATACTCTGAAACTCTTTTTATACAATACTTCTTTTATCCCCCTCTTCTATCAGAGGTATCATACCTGCATTGCATCCTGAAGCCTATTTCTGTCTACTTCTCCTCCCCATTCCATGTTTCCTTCATAGGCACTCCTCCCAAAAATCTCTTAAACCTCTAATTCTATCTTAGCCTCTGCTTCCAGGGAGACCCAAGCTGACACAGATGATCAGAGAAAAACTTTTTTTCAAGGTAACAAATACTTGAACAGATTCATGAAAGAAGTGAAGCCAAGAGGATATCAGGTGAAAGAAACATCCAGACAGAGAAAACAACAAGTATAAAGGCTTTAAGGCAGAATCACAACTGACCTCTGAGATAAATCAAATTATTTTCCCAAAGTCTTCATTTTCTCTCTCTGCTATGTGACCTTGCTGTATTTACCAATAAAATAGAGTACACATCCCTTCCCCATTGACTTTGGGCTTGGCAATGTAACTGCCTTGACAAAAGGATAATTAGAGACAGAATTTAAGGAGAGGCTTTAAATGTGCTTGAGTGGTTTGTCTGGGCTTCTTATGCTTCTGCATTCTACCATGAAAGAAATATGAATGGGTAATCACAGACCCTAGAAATGTTGAATAAAAATGTAGCAGATCTAAACCAAACCTGAGGCTTGGAGTCCAGCCTAGCCTAAGTGAACTACTAAATACCATAATAACAGCAAGAATATGTGACACTTTATCCACAACCTGCACCTTCTCTCTCCTTGTTTCCAGCTCATTGTGATGAATATCCCACTCCATGATTCAGTAAGGCCAGATCATATAAGAAAAATTTAAAAACAAAAAGAAAATTCATCACTAAAAAAGTATGGCCAAAAAGATGAGATTCCCTTTCCCCTAAGCTCCCAGTCAAGGGCCACAGTATCTTCCCAAGAGGAGCAGGCCACCAGCATCTCTCATTACTGTGCACACATGTGCACACACACAGGCACACACGCATACACACACACACACGCACACACCAGTACTATGTTACAGAGGCTAAATTCCATACAAGTATAACCCCTGTTGGTCAGGGGCTTCTGTCTTCCACCCAGCCCACATTCATTTGGTGGAGACTCTACCCTAGACAGAGTAGGCTGAGAATAATGAGATCCCATTCACCTTTAGCCCAGTACATTGTAAGATATATGTTCCACACTAGCAGAAGGAAGCTGAGAAGACCAGAAGCTACCACAAACTCTGCCCAGTAGCCTGTGTGTATAGCAGGACTCTCTCCAAGAGAAGTGGGCTACTATCCCTGTCCACAGCTCCAAAACAGTGGCAGAGAGACTTTTCCCAGGGAAAGAAGCAGGTCATAAAGAAAAGAGCCCCAAGGCTCCCCAAAAGGGAAGTCACTTCAATCAGAAGTCACTGATAGTGTTGGGAAGGTCAAGCCTAAGGGGACTTTCAAAAACAATGAGGATTTTAGTAGTAAGCAGTTTTTTTAATGCTGCTAGTTCCATGAGATGACCTAACTAAACCACAGGCCAGATATTTTGCCAGAGAGAACTAGGGAGGAATACAGCCAAAAGAATCCTCATAGGATTAGAACAAACCTCAAAACCTAGCTCAAAAACAGCTCCTGCTAATAGGCCTGAATTTAATTTGATCAGACTGTGGAGCAATGTTGTAAATAATAAAGTAATCAACCAGCAATTAATGGAGCCCAATATTTAGGCATAATACCTAGAGAGGCAGATAGTTTAACAGAAAGATCAGGGAAAGAGAAAGTCAAAAAGAGACTTGTTAAAACAACTATAATCCCAGGGTGACTGCACATGCCCAAGGCTCTGCCCTCTGGAAGCCAGATGAGAGGTTTCACATTGCAGAAGAAATAGACATACTAAAATATGCCAGCCAAGTCACTAAAATAAACAAGCAAACAATAACATCATGCCACAGAAAAAGGTGGCAGTTGGTATCCAGAGTTGCTACATTATCTAAAATGAGGAAAGTATCACCAAAGTGATGAGAAAAATCAAGATACAAAATAAACACCCACAAGATGACACAAATATTTAACTTAACAAAAAAGACTTCATATATATATATGCTCCTTGATTTATGACATGACTATGTCCAAATAAACCCATTGTAAATTGAAAATATCATATGCTGAAAATGCATTGAATACACCTAACCTACCTAACATCGTAACTTAGCTTAGCGTACCTTAAACATGCTCAGAACACTTGCATTAGCCTACACTTGGTCAAAACCATCTAACACAAACCCTATGTTATAATAAAGTGTTGAATATCTCATGTAATTAATTGAATACTCTATCGAAAATGAAAACAAAATGGTTATGTGGGTACTCAAAATATGGTTTCTGCTGAATGCATATTATTTTGGCACCATTGTAAAGACAAAAAATCCTAAGTCAAGGCATTATAAGTTGGGGGCCATCTGTGTGTATGGATGTGTATATATTTATGTATATATCTCAAATAATCCATGCTTAAAGAAGAGAAGATATGATGACCATATCTTATCACTAAAGAATATCAAAAAAAGACGTAAGTTTAAAAAAAAAAAAAAGCAAATGTAGCTGGGTGCCATGGCTCACGCCTGTAATCCCAGCACTTTGGGAGGCTGAGACGGGCGGATCACGAGGTCAGGAATTCGAGACCAGCCTGACCCACATAGTGAAACCCTGTCTCTACTGAAAATACAAAAATTTGCCGGGTGTGGTGGTGTGGCTGTAATCCTAGCTACTCAGGAGGCTGAGGCAGGATAATGGCTTGAATCTGGGAAGTGGAGGTTGCAGTGAGCCAAGGGAGTGCCACTGCACTCTAGCCTGGGCAAGAAGGCAAGATTCTGTCTCAAAAAAATAAAAATAAAAAAACAGGGGGAGGAGCCAAGATGGCCAAATAGGAACACCTCCAGTCTACAGCTCCCAGCATGAGCAACGCAGCAGATGGGTGATTTCTGCATTTCCAACTGAGGTACCGGGTTCATCTCACTGGGGAGTGCCAGATAGTAGGTGCAGGACAGTGGGTGCAGCGCACCATGTGCAAGCCAAAGCAGGGCGAGGAATCACCTCACCCGGGAAGCACAAGAGGTCAGGGAATTCCCTTTCCTAGTCAAAGAAAGCGGTGACAGAGGGCACCTGGAAAATCAGGTCACTCCCACCCTAATACTGCGCTTTTCCAACGGGCTTAAAAAAGGGCACACCAGGAGATTATATCCCGCATCTGGTTCAGAGGGTCCTACGCCCACGGAGTCTCGCTCATTGCTAGCACAGCAGTCTGAGATCAAACTGCAAGGTGGCAGCGAGGCTGGGGGAGGGGCGCCCGCCATTGCCGAGTTAGCTGTTTGATTAGGTAAACAAAGTGACCAGAAGCTCGAACGGGGTGGAGCCCACCACAGCTGAAGGAGGCCTGCTTGCCTCTATAGGCTCCACCTCTGGGGGCAGGACACAGACAAATAAAAAGACAGCAGTATCCTCTGTAGACTTAGATGTCCCTCTCTGACAGCTTTGAAGAGAGTAATGGTTCTCCCAGCACGCAGCTTGAGATCTGAGAATGGACAGACTGCCTCCTTAAGTGGGTCCCTGACCCCCGAGTAGCCTAACTGGGAGGCACACCCCAGTAGGGGCGGACTGACACCTCACACGGCCAGGTACTCCTCTGAGACAAAACTTCCAGAGGAACAATCAGGCAGCAGCATCTGCGGTTCACCAATATCCACTGTTCTGCAGCCACCGCTGCTGATACCCAGGCAAACAGGGTCTGGAGTGGACGTCTAGCAAACTCTGACAGACCTGCAGCTGAGGGTCCTGTCTGTTAGAAGGAAAACTAACAAACAGAAAGGATATCCACACCAAAAACCCATCTGTACGTAACCGTCATCAAAGACCAAAGGTAGATAAAACCACAAAGATGGGGAAAAAACAGAGCAGAAAAACTGGAAACTCTAAAAATCAGAGCGCCTCTCCTCCTCCAAAGGAATGCAGTTCCTCACCAGCAACAGAACAAAGCTGGATGGAGAATGACTTTGACGAGTTGAGAGAAGAAGGCTTCAGACGATCAAACAACTCCGAGCTAAAGGAGGAAATTCGAACCAATGGCAAAGAAGTTAAAAGCTTTGAAAAAAAATTAGATGAATGGCTAACTAGAATAACCAATGCAGAGAAGTCCTTAAAGGACCTGATGGAGCTGAAAACCATACCACAAGAACTATGTGACGAATGCAGAAGCCTCAGTAGCCAATGCAATTAACTGGAAGAAAGGGTATCAGTGATGGAAGATGAAATGAATGAAATGAAGCATGAAGAGAAGATTAGAGAAAAAAGAATAAAAAGAAATGAACAGAGCCTCCAAGAAATATGGGACTATGTGAAACGACCAAATCTACGTCTGATTGGTGTACCTGAAAGTGAAGGGGAGAATGGAACCAAGTCGGAAAACACTCTGCAGGATATTATCCAGGAGAACTTCCCCAATCTAGTAAGGCAGGTCAACATTCAAATTCAGGAAATACAGAGAATGCCACAAAGATACTCCTCGAGAAGAGCAACTCTAAGACACATAATTGTCAGATTCACCAAAGTTGAAATGAAGGAAAAAATGTTAAGGGCAGCCAGAGAGAAAGGTCAGGTTACCCAAAAAGGGAAGCCTATCAGACTAACAGCAGCTCTCTTGGCAGAAAGTCTACAAGCCAGAAGAGAGAAGGGACCAATATTCAACATTCTTAAAGAAAAGAATTTTCAACCCAGAATTTCATATCCAGCCAAACTAAGCTTCATAAGTGAAGAAGAAATAAAATACTTTACAGACAAGCCAATGCTGAGAGATTTTGTGTCCACCAGGCCTGCCCTAAAAGAGCTCCTCAAGGAAGCCCTAAACATGGAAAGGAACAACCAGTACCAGCCACTGCAAAAACATGCCAAATTGTAAAGACCATCAAGGCTAGGAAGAAACTGCATCAACTAATGAGCAAAATCACCAGCTAACATCTTCATGACAGGATTAAATTCACACATAACAATATTAACCTTAAATGTAAATGGGCTAAATGCTCCAATTAAAAGACACAGACTGGCAAATTGGATAAAGAGTCAAGACCCATCAGTGTGCTGCATTCAGGAAACCCATCTCATGTGCAGAGACACACATAGGCTCAAAATAAAGGGATGGAGGAAGATCTACCAGGCAAATGGAAAACAAAAAAAGGCAAGGGTTGCAATCCTAGTCTCTGATAAAACAGACTTTAAACCAACAAAGATCAAAAGAGACAAAGAAGGCCATTACATAATGGTAAAGGGATCAATTCAACAAGAAGAGCTAACTATCCTAAATATATATGCACCCAATACAGGAGCTCCCAGATTCATAAAGCAAGTCCTTACTGAAATACAAAGAGACTTAGAGGCCCACATAATAATAATGGGAGACTTTAACACCTCACTGTCAACATTAGACAGATCAACGAGACAGAAAGTTAACAAGGATACCCAGGAATTGAACTCAGCTCTGCACCAAATGGACCTAATAGACATCTACAGAACTCTCCACCCCAAATCAAAAGAATATACATTCTTTTCAGCACCACACAACACCTACTCCAAAATTGACCACATAGTTGGAAGTAAAGCACTCCTCAGCAAATGTAAAAGAACAGAAATTATAACAAACTGTCTCTCAGACCACAGTGCAATCAAACTAGAACTCAGGATTAAGAAACTCACTCAAAACTGCTCAACTACATGGAAACTGAAAAACCTGCTGCTGAATGACTACTGGGTAAATAATGAAATGAAGGTAGAAATAAAGATGTTCTTTGAAACCAATGAGAACAAAGATACAACATACCAGAATCTCTGGGACACATTCAAAGCAGTGTGTAGAGGGAAATTTATAGCACTAAATGCCCACAAGAGAAAGCAGGAAAGATCTAAAATCGACACCCTAACATCACAATTAGAAGAACTAGAAAAGCAAGAGCAAACACATTCAAAAGCTAGCAGAAGGCAAGAAATAACTAAGATCAGGGGAGGAGCCAAGATGGTCGAATAGGAACAGCTCCGGTCTACAGCTCCCAGCGTGAGCGACGCAGAAGACGGGTGATTTCTGCATTTCCATCTGAGGTACCGGGTTCATCTCACTAGGGAGTGCCAGACAGTGGGCGCAGGCCAGTGTGTGTGCGCACCGTGCGCGAGCCGAAGCAGGGCGAGGCATTGCCTCACCTGGGAAGCGCAAGGGGTCAGGGAGTTCCCTTTCCGAGTCAAAGAAAGGGGTGACAGACGCACCTGGAAAATCGGGTCACTCCCACCCGAATATTGCACTTTTCAGACCGGCTTAAGAAACGGCGCACCACGAGACTATATCCCACACCTGGCTCAGAGGGTCCTACGCCCACGGAATCGAGCTGATTGCTAGCACAGCAGTCTGAGATCAAACTGCAAGGCGGCAACGAGGCTGGGGGAGGGGCGCCCGCCATTGCCCAGGCTTGCTTAGGTAAACAAAGCAGCTGGGAAGCTCGAACTGGGTGGAGCCCACCACAGCTCAAGGAGGCCTGCCTGCCTCTGTAGGCTCCACCTTTGGGGGCAGGGCACAGACAAACAAAAAGACAGCAGTAACCTCTGCAGACTTAAACGTCCCTGTCTGACAGCTTTGAAGAGAGCAGTGGTTCTCCCAGCATGCAGCTGGAGATCTGAGAACGGGCAGACTGCCTCCTCAAGTGGGTCCCTGACCCCTGACCCCCGAGCAGCCTAACTGGGAGGCACCCCCCAGCAGGGGCACACTGACACCTCACAAGGCAGGGTATTCCAACAGACCTGCAGCTGAGGGTCCTGTCTGTTAGAAGGAAAACTAACAACCAGAAAGGACATCTACACCGAAAACCCATCTGTACATCACCATCATCAAAGACCAAAAGTAGATAAAACCACAAAGATGGGGAAAAAACAGAACAGAAAAACTGGAAACTCTAAAATGTAGAGCGCCTCTCCTCCTCCAAAGGAACGCAGTTCCTCACCAGCAACAGAACAAAGCTGGATGGAGAATGATTTTGACGAGCTGAGAGAAGAAGGCTTCAGACGATCAAATTAATCTGAGCTACGGGAGGACATTCAAACCAAAGGCAAAGAAGTTGAAAACTTTGAAAAAAATTTAGAAGAATGTATAACTAGAATAACCAATACAGAGAAGTGCTTAAAGGAGCTGATGGAGCTGAAAACCAAGGCTCGAGAACTACGTGAAGAATGCAGAAGCCTCAGGAGCCGATGCGATCAACTGGAAGAAAGGGTATCAGCAATGGAAGATGAAATGAATGAAATGAAGCGAGAAGGGAAGTTTAGAGAAAAAAGAATAAAAAGAAATGAGCAAAGCCTCCAAGAAATATGGGACTATGTGAAAAGACCAAATCTACATCTGATTGGTGTACCTGAAAGTGATGTGGAGAATGGAACTAAGTTGGAAAACACTCTGCAGGATATTATCCAGGAGAACTTCCCCGATCTAGCAAGGCAGGCCAACATTCAGATTCAGGAAATACAGAGAACGCCACAAAGATACTCCTCGAGAAGAGCAACTCCAAGACACATAATTGTCAGATTCACCAAAGTTGAAATGAAGGAAAAAATGTTAAGGGCAGCCAGAGAGAAAGGTCGGGTTACCCTCAAAGGAAAGCCCATCAGACTAACAGCGGATCTCTCGGCGGAAACCCTACAAGCCAGAAGAGAATGGGGGCCAATATTCAACATTCTTAAAGAAAAGAATTTTCAACCCAGAATTTCATATCCAGCCAAACTAAGCTTCATAAGTGAAGGAGAAATAAAATACTTTATAGACAAGCAAATGCTGAGAGATTTTGTCACCACCAGGCCTGCCCTAAAAGAGCTCCTGAAGGAAGCGCTAAACATGGAAAGGAACAACCGGTACCAGCCGCTGCAAAATCATGCCAAAATGTAAAGACCATCAAGACTAGGAAGAAACTGCATCAACTAATGAGCAAAATCACCAGCTAACATCATAATGACAGGATCAAATTCACACATAACAATATTAACTTTAAATATAAATGGACTAAATTCTGCAATTAAAAGACACAGACTGGCAAGTTGGATAAAGAGTCAAGACCCATCAGTGTGCTGTATTCAGGAAACCCATCTCACGTGCAGAGACACACATAGGCTCAAAATAAAAGGATGGAGGAAGATCTACCAAGCAAATGGAAAACAAAAAAAGGCAGGGGTTGCAATCCTAGTCTCTGATAAAACAGACTTTAAACCAACAAAGATCAAAAGAGACAAAGAAGGCCATTACATAATGGTAAAGGGATCAATTCAACAAGAAGAGCTAACTATCCTAAATATTTATGCAACCAATACAGGAGCACCCAGATTCATAAAGCAAGTCCTCAGTGACCTACAAAGAGACTTAGACTCCCACACATTAATAATGGGAGACGTTAACACCCCACTGTCAACATTAGACAGATCAACGAGACAGAAAGTCAACAAGGATAACCAGGAATTCAACTCAGCTCTGCACCAAGCAGACCTAATAGACATCTACAGAACTCTCCACCCCAAATCAACAGAATATACATTTTTTTCAGCACCACACCACACCTATTCCAAAATTGACCACATAGTTGGAAGTAAAGCTCTCCTCAGCAAATGTAAAAGAACAGAAATTATAACAAACTATCTCTCAGACCACAGTGCAATCAAACTAGAACTCAGGATTAAGAATCTCACTCAAAGCCGCTCAACTACATGGAAACTGAACAACCTGCTCCTGAATGACTACTGGGTACATAACGAAATGAAGGCAGAAATAAAGATGTTCTTTGAAACCAACGAGAAAAAAGACACCACATACCAGAATCTCTGGGACGCATTCAAAGCAGTGTGTAGAGGGAAATTTATAGCACTAAATGCCTACAAGAGAAAGCAGGAAAGATCCAAAATTGACACCCTAACATCACAATTAAAAGAACTAGAAAAGCAAGAGCAAACACATTCAAAAGCTAGCAGAAGGCAAGAAATAACTAAAATCAGAGCAGAACTGAAGGAAATAGAGACACAAAAAACCCTTCAAAAAATCAACGAATCCAGGAGCTGGTTTTTTGAAAGGATCAACAAAATTGATAGACCGCTAGCAAGACTAATAAAGAAAAAAAGAGAGAAGAATCAAATAGACACAATAAAAAATGATAAAGGGGATATCACCACCAATCCCACAGAAATACAAACTACCTTCAGCAAATACTACAAATACCTCTACGCAAATAAACTAGAAAATCTAGAAGAAATGGATACATTCCTCGACACATACACTCTCCCAAGACTAAACCAGGAAGAAGTTGAATCTCTGAATAGACCAATAACAGGATCTGAAATTGTGGCAATAATCAATAGTTTACCAACCAAAAAGAGTCCAGGACCACATGGATTCACAGCCGAATTCTACCAGAGGTACAAGGAGGAACTGGTACCATTCCTTCTGAAACTATTCCAATCAATAGAAAGAGAGGGAATCCTCCCTAACTCATTTTATGAGGCCAGCATCATTCTGATACCAAAGCCGGGCAGAGACACAACCAAAAAAGAGAATTTTAGACCAATATCCTTGATGAACATTGATGCAAAAATCCTCAATAAAATACTGGCAAACCGAATCCAGCAGCACATCAAAAAGCTTATCCACCATGATCAAGTGGGCTTCATCCCTGGGATGCAAGGCTGGTTCAATATACGCAAATCAATAAATGTAATCCAGCATATAAACAGAGCCAAAGACAAAAACCACATGATTATCTCAATAGATGCAGAAAAAGCCTTTGACAAAATTCAACAACCCTTCATGCTAAAAACGCTCAATAAATTAGGTATTGATGGGACGTATTTCAAAATAATAAGAGCTATCTATGACAAACCCACAGCCAATATCATACTGAATGGGCAAAAACTGGAAGCATTCCCTTTGAAAACTGGCACAAGACAGGGATGCCCTCTCTCACCACTCGTATTCAACATAGTGTTGGAAGTTCTGGCCAGGGCAATCAGGCAGGAGAAGGAAATAAAGGGTATTCAATTAGGAAAAGAGGAAGTCAAATTGTCCCTGTTTGCAAACGACATGATTGTTTATCTAGAAAACCCCATCGTCTCAGCCCAAAATCTCCTTAAGCTGATAAGCAACTTCAGCAAAGTCTCAGGATAAAAAATCAATGTACAAAAATCACAAGCATTCTTATACACCAACAACAGACAAACAGAGAGCCAAATCATGGGTGAACTCCCATTCACAATTGCTTCAAAGAGAATAAAATACCTAGGAATCCAACTTACAAGGGATGTGAAGGACCTCTTCAAGGAGAACTACAAACCACTGCTCAAGGAAATAAAAGAGGACACAAACAAATGGAAGAACATTCCATGCTCATGGGTAGGAAGAATCAATATCGTGAAAATGGCCATACTGCCCAAGGTAATTTACAGATTCAATGCCATCCCCATCAAGCTACCAATGACTTTCTTCAAAGAATTGGAAAAAACTACTTTAAAGTTCATATGGAACCAAAAAAGAGCCCGCATTGCCAAGTCAATCCTAAGCCAAAAGAACAAAGCTGGAGGCATCACACTACCTGACTTCAAACTATACTACAAGGCTACAGTAACCAAAACAGCATGGTACTGGTACCAAAACAGAGATATAGATCAATGGAACAGAACAGAGCCCTCAGAAATAATGCCGCATATCTACAACTATCTGATCTTTGACAAACCTGAGAAAAACAAGCAATGGGGAAAGGATTCCCTATTTAATAAATGGTGCTGGGAAAACTGGCTAGCCATATGTAGAAAGCTGAAACTGGATCCCTTCCTTACACCTTATACAAAAATCAATTCAAGATGGATTAAAGATTTAAACGTTAGACCTAAAACCATAAAAACCCTAGAAGAAAACCTAGGCATTACCATTCAGGGCATAGGCGTGGGCAAGGACTTCATGTCCAAAACACCAAAAGCAATGGCAACAAAAGCCAAAATTGACAAATGGGATCTAATTAAACTAAAGAGCTTCTGCACAGCAAAAGAAACTACCATCAGAGTGAACAGGCAACCTACAACATGGGAGAAAATTTTCGCAACCTACTCATCTGACAAAGGGCTAATATCCAGAATCTACAATGAACTCAAACAAATTTACAAGAAAAAAACAAACAACCCCATCAAAAAGTGGGCGAAGGACATGAACAGACACTTCTCTAAAGAAGACATTTATGCAGCCAAAAAACACATGAAGAAATGCTCATCATCACTGGCCATCAGAGAAATGCAAATCAAAACCACTATGAGATATCATCTCACACCAGTTAGAATGGCAATCATTAAAAAGTCAGGAAACAGCAGGTGCTGGAGAGGATGTGGAGAAATAGGAACACTTTTACACTGTTGGTGGGACTGTAAACTAGTTCAACCATTGTGGAAGTCAGTGTGGTGATTCCTCAGGGATCTAGAACTAGAAATACCATTTGACCCAGCCATCCCATTACTGGGTATATACCCAAAGGGCTATAAATCATGCTGCTATAAAGACACATGCACACGTATGTTTATTGCGGCACTATTCACAATAGCAAAGACTTGGAACCAACCCAAATGTCCAACAATGATAGACTGGATTAAGAAAATGTGGCACATATACACCATGGAATACTATGCAGCCATAAAAAATGATGAGTTCATATCCTTTGTAGGGACATGGATGAAATTGGAAACCATCATTCTCAGTAAACTATCGCAAGAACAAAAAACCAAACACCGCATATTCTCACTCATAGGTGGGAACTGAACAATGAGATCACATGGACACAGAAAGGGGAATATCACACTCTGGGGACTGTGGTGGGGTCGGGGGAGGGGGGAGGGATAGCATTGGGAGATATACCTAATGCTAGATGACACATTAGTGGGTGCAGCGCACCAGCATGGCACATGTATACATATGTAACTAACCTGCACAATGTGCACATGTACCCTAAAACTTAGAGTATAATAAAAAAAAAAAAAAAAAAAGAAATAACTAAGATCAGAGCAGACCTGAAGGAAATAGAGACACAAAAAACCCTTCAAAAAAATTAATGAATCCAGGAGCTGGTTTTTTTTAAAAGATCAACAAAATTGATAGACTGCTAGCAAAACTGGTTTTTTAAAAAGATCAACAAAATTGATAGACTGCTAGCAAGACTAATAAAGAAGAAAAGAGAGAAGAATCAAATAGATGCAATAAAAAATGATAAAGAGGATATCACCACTGATCCCACAGAAATGCAAACTACCATCAGAGAATACTATAAGCAACTCTATGCAAATAAACTAGAAAATCTAGAAGAAATGGATAAATTCCTCGACACATACACCCTCCCAAGACTAAACCAGGAAGAAGTTGAATCTCTGAATAGACCAATAACAGGCTCTGAAATTGTGGCAATAATCAATAGCTTACCAACCAAAAAAAGTCCAGCACCAGATGGATTCACAACCAAATTCTACCAGAGGTACAAAGAGGAGCTGGTACCATTCCTTCTGAAACTATTCCAATCAATAGAAAAAGAGGGAATCCTCCCTAACTCATTTTATGAGGCCAGCATCATCCTGATACCAAATCCTGGCAGAGACACAACCAAAAAAGAGAATTTTAGACCAATATCCTTAATGAACATCAATGCAAAAATCCTCAATAAAATACTGGCAAACCAAATCCAGCAGCACATCAAAAAGCTTATCCACCAAGATCAAGTGGGCTTCATCCCTGAGATGCAAGGCTGGTTCAACATACACAATCAATAAATGTAATCCAATACATAAACAGAACCGAAGACAAAAACCACATGATTATCTCAATAGATGCAGAAAAGACCTTTGACAAAATTCAACAACTCATGCTAAAAACTCTCAATAAATTAGGTATTGATGGGATGTATCTCAAAATAATAAGAGCTATCTATGACAAACCCACAGCCAATATCATACTGAATGGGCAAATACTGGAAGCATTCTCTTTGAAAACTGGCACAAGACAGGGATGCCCTCTCTCACCACTCCTATTCAACATAGTGTTGGAAGTTCTGGCCAGGGCAATCAGGCAGGAGAAGGAAATAAAGGGTGTTCAATTAGGAAAAGAGGAAGTCAAATTGTCCCTGTTTGCAGATGACATGATTACATATCTAGAAAACCCCATTGTCTCAGCCCAAAATCTCCTTAAGCTGATAAGCAACTTCAGCAAAGTCTCAGGATACAAAATCAATGTACAAAAATCACAAGCATTCTTATACACCAATAACAGAGAAACAGAGAACCAAATCATGAGTGAACTCCCATTCACAATTGCTTCAAAGAGAATACAATACCTAGGAATCCAACTTACAAGGGATGTGAAGGACCTCTTCAAGGAGAACTACAAACCACTGCTCAATGAAATAAAAGAGGATACAAACAAATGGAATAACATTCCATGCTCATGGATAGGAAGAATCAATATCATGAAAATGGCCATACTGCCCAAGGTAATTTATAGATTCAATGACATCCCCATCAAGCTACCATTGACTTTCTTCACAGAATTGGAAAAAACTATTTTAAAGTTCATATGGAAACAAAAAAGAGCCCGCATAGCCAAGTCAATCCTAAGCAAAAAGAACAAAGCTGGAGGCATCATGGTACCTGACTTCAAACTATACTACAAGACTACAGTAACCAAAACAGCATGGTACTGGTACCAAAACAGAGATATAAACCAATGGAACAGAACAGAGCCCTCAGAAATAATGCCACATATCTGTAACTATCTGATCTTTGACAAACCTGACAAAAACAAGAAATGGGGAAAGGATTCCCTATTTAATAAATGGTGCTGGGAAAACTGGCTAGCTACATGTAGAAAGCTGAAACTGGATCCCTTCTTTACACCTTATACAAAAATTAATTCAAGGTGGATTAAAGACTTAAATGTTACATCTAAAACCATAAAAACCCTAGAAGAAAACCTAGGCAATACCATTGAGGACATAGGCATGGGCAAGGACTTCATGTTTAAAACACCAAAAGCAATGGCAACAAAAGCCAAAATTGACAAATGGGATCTAATTAAACTAAAGAGCTTCTGCACAGCAAAAGAAACTACCATCAGAGTGAACAGGCAACCTACAGAATGGGAGAAAATTTTTGCAACCTACTCATCTGACAAAGGGCTAATATCCAGAATCTACAATGAACTCAAACAAATTTACAAGAAAAAAACAAAGAACCCCATCAAAAAGTGGGCGAAGGACATGAACAGACACTTCTCTAAAGAAGACATTTATGCAGCCAAAGGACACGTGAAAAAATGCTCATCATCAATGGCAATCAGAGAAATGCAAATCAAACCCACAATGAGATACCATCTCACACCAGTTAGAATGGCAATCATTAAAAAGTCAGGAAACCACAGGTGCTGGAGAGGATGTGGAGAAATGGGAACATTTTTACACTGTTGGTGTGACTGTAAACTAGTTCAACCATTGTGGAAGTCAGTGTGGCGATTCCTCAAGGATCTAGAACTAGAAATACCATTTGACCCAGCCATCCCATTGCTGAGTATATACCCAAAGGACTATAAATCATGCTGCTATAAAGACACATGCACACGTATGTTTATTGCGGCACTATTCACAATAGCAAAGACTTGGAACCAACCCAAATGTCCAACAATGATAGACTGGATAAATAAATGTGGCACATATACACCATGGAATACTATGCAGCCATAAAAAATGATGAGTTCATGTCCTTTGTAGGGACATGGATGAAATTGGAAATCATCATTCTCAGTAAACTATCGCAAGGACAAAAAACCAAACACCGCATGTTCTCACTCATAGATGGGAATTCAACAATGAGAACACATGGACACAGGAAGGGGAACATCACACTCTGGGGACTGTTGTGGGGTGGGAGGAGGGGGGAGGGATAGCATTAGGAGATATACCTAATGCTAAATGACGAGTTAATGGATGCAGCACACCAGCATGGCACATGTATACATATGTAACTAACCTGCACATTGTGCACATGTATCCTAAATCTTAAAGTATAATAATAAAAAAAAGTTAAAAAAAAAAAAAAGAAAATGTGGCTCATATACACCATGGAATACTGTGCAGCCATAAAAAATGATGAGTTCATGTCCTTTGTAGGGACATGGATGAAACTGGAAACCATCATTCTCAGCAAACTATCACAAGGACAAAAAACCAAACACCACATGTTCTCACTCATAGGTGGGAATTGAACAATGAGAACACATGGACACAGGAAGGGGAACATCACACACCAGGGACAGTTGTGGGGTGGGGGGAGGGGGGAGGGATAGCATTAGGAGATATACCTAATGCTAAATGACGAGTTAATGGGTGCAGCACACCAACATGGCACATGTATACATATGTAACAAACCTGCACGCTGTGCACATGTACCCTAAAACTTAAAGTATAATAATAATAAAATTTTAAAAAAAGCAAAAACAAAAAAAGAAGCAAATGTATATAAAGAACTCTTGAATCTCAACAATAAAAAAAAACTGCCCAATTAAAAATGGGCAGAAGACAAATAAACACTCATCAAAGATATATGGATGGAAAATAAGCATATAAAAAGATGCCCAACATTACACGTCATTAGGGAATTGCAAATTAAAACAACAATGAGGTATCACCTATTAGAATCACAAAATCTAAAACACTGACAACACCAAATACTGGTGAGGATATGGAACATCAGGAACTTTTATTGCTTGGTGGGAATGAAATATGGCACAGTTACATTGGAGACAATTAGTTTCTTACAAGGCTAAACATACATTTATCACACAATCCAGCAACCATGCTTCTTAGAATTTACCCAAGTTAAGTGGAAAACTTATGTCCATGCAAAAACCTGTGCAAATATTTATGTCAGCTTTATTTATAATGAACAAAACTTGGAAGTATCTAGGATGTCCTTCAGTAGGTGAATGGATAAACA
This sequence comes from Homo sapiens, assembly GCF_000001405.40. Taxonomy (NCBI): domain Eukaryota; kingdom Metazoa; phylum Chordata; class Mammalia; order Primates; family Hominidae; genus Homo; species Homo sapiens. The sequence continues at coordinate 166,239,059 of NC_000001.11, read as the reverse complement.
AACTGTGGTATATCCAAGTGATAATTATTTGAGTCCTTAAAAGAAACTAGCTATCAAGTCTGAAAAGACATGAAGGAAACTTAAATGTATATCACTAAGTGAAAGGAGCCAATTTTAAAAGGCTATATACTGTATGATTCCAACCATGTAACTGTCTGAAAAATGCAAAACCACAAAGACAGTAAAAGGATCAGTAGTTGTCAGGGGTCTAGGGGGAAGGAGGGATGAATAGGGGACTTTTAGGGCAATTATTCTGTATGATGACAAAAATGGTTGGATACATTATCATACCTGTCAAAACCCATAGAAAGCACAATATCAAGAGTGAAACCTAATGTAAACTATGGATGTTGGGTGATAATAATGTGTCAATGCAGCTTTATTAATTGTAGTATATGCACCACTCATTGCAGGATGCTGATAGTGGGGAGGCTGCATATAAGTGGAGGTGGGAGATATATGACAACTCTCTGTACTTTCCACTGAATTTTTCTGTGAACCTAAAACTGCTCTAAAAAAATAAAGTTTATTTTTAAAAAATGGAAATTAGAGTTATAAAGTATAATAACTAAAATTTAAAATTCACTAATGGTTCTCAAAAGTAGATTTCAGCTGACTAAAAAAATCAGTAAACCTGAAGATAAGCCAATAGAGATTAAGAATATTACAGAATAGAAGGTTGGGGGCGAAGTACTTTAAAAAAAGGAACAGAACTTCAGAGAAAGGTGGGACATCAATGAGAACACCAGCATACCTGTACTGTAAGTACCAAAAGAAGAGGAAAGAAAGGAACGGAAAAAATATTCAAAAATGTAATAGCTGAAAATTCCCCAAATTTAATGTAAAACATTAATCTACACATCTAAGTTCAATGAACTTCAAGTAGAATTACACAAGGAGACCCACACTCAGACACATCATAGTTAAACTATTGAAAGAAAATAAATCTTGAAAGCTGCATGAGAAAAATGACTCATCACATAAAAGGGAATCCCAGGAAAATAACAACAGACATATCATCAGAAACAATGGAGGCCAGAAGGCAGTGAGGAGATATATTCAAAGTACTAAAAGAAAAAAGAACTGTCAAACAAGAATTCTACATCCAGCAAACTTACCTTTCAAAAATGAAAGTGAGGAGTAGAGTCGAGATGACTGACTAGACACAGTAGTACATGCCTCCACCATGGAGAGGAGCCAAAATAGTAAGTAGATACTCACAGTTCAAACAAGGCATCCAGGAGAGAATGTTCAGATTTTCCAGAGGAGAGACAGGAAGCACTAAAAGTAAGTAAAGAGAGGGTTTGAGGCACCTTGCCCATCTGGGAACTGACTGATAGCCAGAAGAGGCTCCTGAATGTGGGGAAACAGAGAGAAACCCCCAGGGCTGCTAAATGGGTTTTTATGATTTTGGCTATGGAAGAAACCCTCAACCTACTAGGACCTCAGGCCTGACACAAAGAGCCACCTAAAGATTGCAGAGATACTTCTCCAGAAAGGGAACCCCACACAGAATTCCACAGGCATTTGATCCTCGAGCCACTTCAGTTGGGAGCCATTCTGAGAGCCTAGACATGAGGGATCTGCAGGCATGGCTGCTGCCACTGCACTGCTTTAAGGCGAAAAGGGCAGGGGAGTCCAGCTGCTCCCACACACCTTTGAGAGGGTCTCTGCCACCCTGCTGTGGTCTGCTATTGAGACTGAGATGTGAGAAGACTGCACAACCTCACAGCTTCTTGCCCATGCTGCTGCTTGCCTGGGAGGGACCCTGTCCTCTCAGGGTACCAGGCTCAAGGCACCATTTTGAGACTTTAATGCTAAGCTGCACCTTTCCCTTTGGCCTGGGTCAGGATGATGTGGCTGCAACTGATGCCCAGCCAAGGAGGGACAGGGATACCAGGCTATCCTACATATATCTAGAACAATACCCACTGCCCTGCAATGGGCTGCTGTGAGACTGGGCTGTGAGTGGGTCACACTCTGCTCAGCACCTTGCCTGTGCTGTCTGCCTGGGAGGGGTCCCGCCTTCCCTGATGGTAGGCCCAAGGTGCCATTTTGAGAGTTTAACACTGGGCTGCACCCCATTCTTGGGCCAAATTTCAGTTAATGTGGCTGCACCTGCCACCCCATCAAGGAGGGATGGGAAAGCCAGGCTCTCCTATGCGTACCTAGGACAATACTCAACATCTTGCTATGAACTGCTGTGAAACTGAAACTCAAGTAGACCACACAGCTTCTTGCCCATGCTGCTCACCTGAGCAAGGTCTCTCCCTCTCTGGTCACAAGCCCATTGCTGGCACCATTTTGAGAGTTTGACAAGGCGCTGTGCCCAGCACTTAGGCTGAGTTTGAGGTGATGTGGCTACAGTAGCCACCCAGCTGGGGAAGAGACAGGGGAGACCAAGCTCTCCTAAGCACACTTAGGACAATACAGACTCCCCTGCTAGAGGTGTCTATGGGACTGTAGACTAACCCACTGAACTCATCCCAGCTTCCAGGAACACCAACAAAAACCACTTGGGTCCCAGTGGGTTGCTCCACCACTGCTACTGCCATCACCCACACAACATCAGCTGCTCAGGGGCCTGAGAGCAAACTCACACACCTGGCCCACCTCTCCCACCACTAGCTTCTAAGCAAAACACCTGAAGGCCCAAGAATCAGCCCTCCAAGACTCATTAACACTAGAAGCAGTGTAAGCTGCTCTGGGGCCTAAAAACAGGCACGCTCACCTTACTGCTGCCACCACGGGGGCCCAAACAAAGACTGGCTCAATTGGCATTCAAGTCCCCAGCTAAACTTCACAAAAACTCAACTAATAATTGTACCTTAAGACACCAAGGAAATGACAGAGACCACTAACCCTGCATACTTCCAGAGATGTCATACACAAAGATCACACTACAACAGGCACCCAAAATCAAAGCCAAAGTATCCTAATCAACAACATACATCCTCAAGAAAAAATTCTCCCCTACAAAAGCAATTTCAATAACTTGAGGGGGTTGGGCCCAAATTGTGGACTAGAAACAGCTCATGTGTGCTGCTTTCGTAGGGAGAAAGCATAAGGGCTAGGGAACACTGTCCCTGCAGGCCGATCATCTGAGAAATCATGTCAGGACCTGTCAAGGCAGCAGGGGCACATAGAGGACAGTGAGGGGTGAAGCTGGGCACCAGCCTGTCTGGGCTCAGCATGGAGCCAGGAGAACCTCTCCAACATGGGAAAGGGTTAGTAAGTGACAGCCCCCAGGGGGATTCACACCCTACACAGGGATTTGTGTAAGACTAGGAATAGGAGAATCCCCCTGGCCACTCTGCACCTCCCCACATTGTGCTTTAAGACTGAGGCAGAGAGTTACCCAGATGTTTTGCGGGGGCAACTCTGAAGTCCAACGGGATCATTAAAAGCCTTGGGCCCTGGAGCAGACCAGTACCAGTGCCATAGCCCCAATAGAGGCTGCAGTTGTGGTGCCTGGGAGCAGTAAGATTGTTCCACCACCCCCCTCCCCTTGCAAGATGGGGCTGGCAGCTTCTCACCCAGCAGTCTGGCCACTCCACCCACCCATACCACAGGTAGCCCAGGCAGGCAGTACCTGCTAGAGCTGCAGGCACAGTGGTATTGCTTCTGTGTGAACTCACCTGCAGAGTGCATCTTCCTGTTGTCCCTGGAAACTTGGAAACACCTGGACAGCAGGGTGGGCAACCCTGCCCAACTCTGCCTCTCATAGCCAGATAGGCTACACCTGCTAGAGCTTTCAGCCTAGCAGTCCTGCTTGTGCCTGAACTCTGCAGGCAGGTTCAACCCCATGTTTCCTGAGGAAGCACACAGACAGCATATTAGGACCAATTCAGCAAGGATACAGAGGGAGCCCCATGGACCAGAACACCCAACAAAAGCGTGGACATGGAGATAGTAATCAGAGGAGGCTCCTCCAAAATGCAGAAGTGGACTAGAATTGAAGCCGGTCAATCAAACCCACCTATACCATAATCAAACCCCAAAGGGCATCAAATTAGATAAAAACAAAAAAAAATCAAAAGGACTGGGACTTCAATGATTGAAGGACCATCAGCCCACACAGACAGGAAATAACCAGTGCAAGGACTCTGGAAACTCAAAAAGCCAGAGTGTCTTCTGACCTCCAAACAATTACACTAATTCTCCAGCAATGATTCTCAAGCTTGCTGAAGTGAAAAAACAGAATTCACAATATGCATCAGAAGGAAGATCAACATTCAGGAGAAAGTTGAAATCCAACCCAAGGATTGTAAGATATACAATAAAATAAAACAGGAGATGAAAGATGAAATGTCTGTTTTAAGAAAGAACCAAACTGAACTAATAGAACTGAAAAACTCACTTCAAATGCTAAGGGCCAAGACGGCCACATAGAAACAGCTGTGGTGTGGTACTCACAGAGAGGAGCAAAAGGGATGAGTGAATACAGAACCTTCAACTGAAATATCCAGGTACTCACAGTGGGACTGATCAGGAAAACAACTGGACCCACAGAAAATGGAGAAAAGCAGGGAAGGGCAACAGCCCACTCGGGAGTAACGTGGAGCCAAGGGAACCCCCACCCACAGCCAGGGGAATTGGTGAGTTAATGTGTGAACCCAGGAAACCATGCTTCTCCCACAGATCTTTGCAACCCTCAGATCAAGAGATCCCCTCATGAGCCCACACCACCAGGGCCTTGAGCCTGAGACAGAGCTGTGTGGAATCTCAGCAGAGCAGCTGCTCAGGCATGCAGAGACCCAGGAGCTTTACATACCCTGGCCCCGATATCCCCAGCAAGGTGGGAGGTCTGTATGTACATACCTCTAAAAAGGGGGCTGAATCCAGGGGGCCAAGCAGCATCCGTTTGCAGGCCCCACTTCCACTGCACCTCACAAGATGAGACTTACTAGCTTGGAATTCCAAGCAGCCACCGGCAACAGGGTGGATGGAGCCTGCCTGAGACAGGATGGAGCCCCCGGGGGGAGAAGTGGGCTGTGATTTTTGTTGTTTGGTTGACTCAGCCATTCCAGCCTGCAGGCTTTGGAGAGTCCAAGCAGTCCAGATGAGGAAGGGTCCCCCAAGCTCAGCACAGCTGCTTTGCCAGAATGTGTCCAGATTGCTTCTTTAAACGAGACCCCATCCATTCCTCCTCACTGGGTGGGACCTCCCAGCCGGGGCAGCCTCAAGCACCCCCACTCTCCCATATTCTATAGACAGAGCTCTGATCTCTCCCTAGGGGAGAGTGTGTGGTGGGAGGGCTGGGCCACCACCTTGGTTATTGGGACAACTCAGCAATTCCAGCCTATGGGCTTTGGAGAGTCCAAGCCAACAAGGGCAGAGCTGGTTCCGCAGCAAGGCATGGCTGTTTTGTCGAGATGTGGCCTGACTGATTCTTTAAATGGGACCTGGATCTTGCATTCTAATTTGATGATGCTATGATCTGAGACACTGTTTGTTATTATTTCAGTTCTTTTGCATTTGCTGAGGAGTGTTTTACTTCCAATTATGTCATCAGTTTTAGATTAAGTTCCATGTGGTGATGAGAAGAATGTATATTCTATTGGTTTTGGGTGAAGAGTTCTGTAGATATCTATCAGGTCCACTTGATCCAGAGCTGAATTCAGGTCCTAGATAACTTTGTTAATTTTCTGTCTCAATGATCTGTCTAATATTGTCAGAAGGGTGTTGAAGTCTCCCACTATTATTGTGTGGGAGTCTACATCTCTTTGAAGAGCCTCCAGCCACCCTCACCCATATTCCACAGCTAACAGCATTCTAATTTCTCCTTGGGATGGAGTGCCTGGGGGGAGGCCACCACCTTTACTGTTTGGGGCATCTCAGCTGGCTCAGCCTGTGGGCCTTGGAGAGCCCAAACTGATTGGGGACCAAAGGGATACACAACACAGTGCAGCTGCTGTACCAAAACATAGCAAGACTGCTCCTTTTAGCAGCTTCCTGATCCCATTTCTCCTGCCTGAGTGAGACCTCCCAACTGGTAGGGGTCTCCAGCTACCTCCTACAAGTGTGTTTGGGCTGGCAACAAGTCAGTACCCCCATGGGACAGAGCTTCCAGAGCAAGAGACAGGCTTCCATCTTTGCTGTTTCACAGCCTTCACTGGTGATACTTCCAGGTATTAGAAAAACCGAGGTGACTAGAGTATGGAGTGGACTCCTAGCAAACTGCAGCAACCCTACAGAAAAGTGGCCAGACTGTTAAAATAAAAATAAACAAACAACAACAAATAAAAAACCCCATCCACAGGTCAGCAACCTCAAATATCCGAGGTAGATAAGCTCACAAAGATGAGAAAGAATAAGCACAAAAAATGCTGAAAACTCAAAAATACAGAGTGCCCCCTTTCCTCCAAATGACTGCAACACCTCTCCTGCAAGGCTTCATAACTGGGCTGAGGCTAAGATGGCTGAAATGACAGATGTAGGATTCAGAATGTGGATAAAGCAAACTTAGCTGAGCTAGAAGAGCACATTGTAACCCAATGCAAAGAAGCTAAGAATCATGATAAAACAATGCAAGAGATGACCGCCAGAATAGCCAGTATAGAGAGGAACATAACCAACCTGATAGAGCTGAAAAACACACTACAAGAACTTCACAGTGGAATCACAAGTATTAATAGCAGAATAGACCAAAAGGAGAAAACCTCAGAGCTTGAAGACTGTCTTTTTGAAATAAGACAGGCAGACAAGAATAGAGGAAAAAAGAATAAAAAGAAATGAACAAAGCCTCTGAGAAATATGGGATTATGTAAAGAGACTGAATCTAAAAATGATTAGGGTACTTGAAACAGATGGAAAGAATGAAACCAAAATGGAAAACATATTTCAGGACATCAACCAGGAGAACTTCTCCAACATTCAACAGGCCAACATTCAAATTCAGGAAAAGCAGAGAACCCCAGTAAGATACTCCATGAGAAGATCATCCCCAAGACATAATCATCAGATTCTCCAAGGTCAAAAAAAAAAAAAATTAAGGGCAGCCAGAGAGAAAAGCCAGGTCACCTACAAAGGGAAGCCCACCAGCTAACAGTGGCTATCTCAGCAGAAACCCTACAAGCTAGAAGAGATTAGGTACCAATATTCAACTTCTTAAAGAAAAGAATTTCCAACCCAGAATTTCATATCTGGCCAAATTAAACTTTATAAGCAACAGAGAAATAAGATCCTTTTCAGACAGGCAAATGCTGAGGGAATTAGTTACCACCGTACCTGCCTTACAAGAGCCCCTGAAGGAAGCTCTAATATGGAAAGGAAAAATTGTTACCAGCCACTACAAAAGCACACTGAAGTACACAGACCAGTGACACTCTGAAGCAACCACATAAACAAGTCTGCAAAAGAACTAGCTAGCATCATGATGACAGGATCAAATCCACACACAACAATACTAGCCTTAAATGTAAATGGGCTAAATGCCCCAATTAAAATACAGAGGACGGCAAGCTGGATAAAGAACCAAGACCCATCAGTATGCTGTCTTCAAGAGATCCACCTCACATGCAAGATACACATAAGTTTAAAATAAAGGGATGGAGGAAATTTTACAAAGCAAGTGGAAAACAGAAAAAAGCAGGGGTTGCAATCCTAGTTTCTAACAAAACAGATTTTAAAACAACAAAGATAAAAAATAGACAAAGAAGGGCATTATATAATGGTAAAGGTTCAATTCAACAAGAAGAGCTAGCTATCCTAAATACATATGTACCCAATACAGGAGCACCCAGATTCATAAGACAAGTTCTTAGAGACCTTCAGAGAGACGTAGACTCCCACACAATAATAGTAGGAGACTTCAACACCCTTCTGACAATATTAGACAGATCATCAAGACAGAAAAACAAAGATATCTAGAACCTGTACTCTGGATCAAGTGGACCTGATATCCACAGAACTCTCCACCCAAAAATAACAGAATATACATTCTTCTCATCACCACATGGCACTTACTCTAAAACTGATCACATAATTGAAAGTAAAACACTCCTCAGAAAATGCAAAAGAATTGAAATCATAACAGACAGTCTCTTGGGCCATAGCACAATCAAATTAGAACTCAAGATTCACTCAAAATCACAAAATTACATAAAAATTGAACAACCTGCTCCTGAATGACTTTTAGGTAAATAATGAAATTAAGGCACAAATCAAGAAGTTCTTTGAAACTAATGAGAGCAAAGATACAATGTGCCAGAATCTCCAGGATGCAGCTAAAGCAGTGTTAAGAGGGAAATTTATACCACTAAATGCCCACATCAAAAAGCTAGAAAGATCTGAAGTTAACAACCTAACGTTGCAACAAAAAGAACTAGAGAACCAAGAGCAAACAAACTCCAAAGCTAGCAGAAGACAAGAAATAACCAAGATTAGAGCTGAACTGAAAGAGATGGGGACACATAAACCCCTTCAAAAATCAATGAATGTAGGAGCTGTTTTCTGAATAAAAAATTAATAAAATAGATAGACTGCTAGCTAGACCAATAAAAAAGAAAAGAGAGAAGAGTCGAATAAATAGAATCAGAAATAAGGGGAATATTACCACTGACCCCACAGAAATACAAACAATCATCAGAGAATACTATAAACACCTGTATGTACATAAACTAGGAAATCTAGAAGAAATGGATAAATTCCTGGACACATCCACCCTCCCAAGACTGAACCAGGAAGACAATGAATCCCTGAATAGACCAATAATGAGTTCTGAAATTGAGTCAGTAATAAATAGCCTATCAACCAAAAAGAGCCCAGGACCAGATAGATTCACAGATGAATTCTATCAGAGGTACAAAGAAGAGCTGGTACCATTCCTACTGAAACTATTTCAAAAAATTAAAAAGGAGGGAATCTTCCCTAAATACATATGTATTTATTCTGTGAGACCAGCATCATTCTGATACCAAAACTGGCAGGTATACAAAAACAACAAAAACTTCAGGCCAATATCCTTGATAAACATCAATACAAAAACCTTCAACAAAATACTGGCAAGCCAAATAAAGCAGCACATCAAAAGCTTATCCACCATGACCAAGTAGGCTTCATCCCCAGGATGCAAGACTGGTCCAACATGCATGAATGAATAAATGTAATTCATCACATAAACAGAACTAAAAACAAAAACTACATGATTATCTTGATAGATGCATAAAAGGCTTTTGATAACATTCAACATCCCTTTATGTTAAAAACTCTCAATAAACTAGGTATTGATGGGACTTACCTCAAAATGTAAGATACATATATGACAAACCCACAACCAATATCATACTGAATGGGCAAGAGCTGGAAGCATTCCCCTTAAAAACTGGCACAAGACAAGGTTGCCCTCTCTCACCACTCCTATTCAATATACTATTTGAAGTTCTGGCCAGGGGAATAAGGCAAGAGAAAGAAATAAAGCATATTCAAATAGGAAAAGAGAAAGTCAAACTATCTTTCTTTGCAGATGACATGATTATATATCTAGAAAACCCCATCATCTCAGCCCAAAAGCTTCTTAAGCTGATAAGAAACTTCAACAAAGTCTCAGCATAAAAAATCAATGTGTGAAAATCACACATTCCTATATACCAACAACAGGCAAGCCGACAGCCAAATCAGAAAGGCAATCCCATTCACAATTGCCACAAAAAGAATAAAAATACCTACAAATACAGCTAACAAGGGAAGTGAAGGACCTCTTCAAGGAAAACTGCAAACCACTGCTCAAAGAAATCAGAGATGATACAAACAAATGGAAAAACATTCCATGCTCATGAATAGGAAGAATCAGTGTCATGAAAATGGCCATACTGCCTGAAGCAATTTACAGATTCAATGCTATTCCTATGAAACTACCATTGACATTCTTCACAGTATTAGAAGAAACCATTTTAAAGTTCATATGGAACCAAAAAAGAGCCCAAATAGCCAAAGCAATCCTAAGCAAGAAGAATAAAGCTTGAGGCATCACACTACCTGACTTCAAACTATACTATAGCAATACAGTAATCAGAATAGCATGATACTGGTATAAGAATAGCAACATACACCAATAGAACAGAATAGAGAACCTAGAAATAGGACCACACACCTACAATTATCTGATCTGTGACAAACCTTACAAAAACAAGCAATTGGAAAAGGATTCCCTATTTAATAAATGATGCTGGGAGAACTGGCTAGCCATACGCAGAAAATTGAAACCAGATCCCTTCCTTATACCATATACAAAAATCAAATCAAGATGGATTAAAGACTTAAATGTAAATCCCAAAACTATAAAAATCTTAGAAGAAAACCTAGGCAATACAATTCAGGACATAGGCACAGGCGAAGATTTCATGAGGAAGAAGCCCAAAGCATTTGCAACAAAAGCAAATATGGACAAGTTAGATCTAATTAAACTTAAGAGCTTCTATATAGCAAAAGAAACTGTCAACAGAGTAAACAGAACCCTACAGAATGGGAAAAATTTTTTACAATCTATCCTTCTGACAAAGTTCTAATATCCAGCATCTATAAGGAACTTAAACAAATTTACAAGAAAACAAACAAACAACCCCATTAAAAAGTGGCCAAAGGACACGAACAGACTCTTCAAAAGAAGAAATGCGTGAGGCCAAAATATTAACAAAAAAAAAGCTCAACGTCACTGATCATTAGAGAAATGCAAATCAAAACCACAATGAGGTAGCATCTCACACCAGTCAGAATGACTATTATTAAAAAGCCAAAAAACAACAGATGCTGATGAGGTTGTGGAGAAAAATAAACACTTTTACACTGTTGGTGAGAGTGTAACTTAGTTCATCCACTGTGGAAGACAATGTGGTGATTCCAGTGTGGTGACCTAGAGGCAGAAATACCATTCAACCCAGCAATTCCATTACTGGGCATATACACAAAGGAATATAAATCATTCCATTATAAAGACACATGCACGTGTATGTTCATTGCAGCACTATTCACAATATTAAAGACATGGAGTCAACCTAAATGCCCATCAGTGGTAGACTGGATAAGGAAAATATGTTACATATACACCATGGAATACTGTACAGCCATAAAAAGTAATGAGATAATGTCCTTTGCAGGGACATGGATGGAGCTGGAGACCATTATCCTTAGCAAACTAATGCAAGAACAAAAAAAAAACAAATACCACATGTTCTCACTTATAAGTGGGAGCTAAATGATGAAAACACATGAAGGGGGATAATGCACATGAAGGGAGATAATGCACACTGTGGCCTGTCGCAGGATTGCCGGGGTTGGGGGGTGGGAGGAAGGAGAGGACCAGGAAAAATAGCTAATAGATGTTGGGCTTAATACCTGAGTGATGGCATAATCTGTGCAGCAAACCACTATGGCACACATTTACCTATGTAACACCTGCCTACCCTGAACGTGTACCCCTGAACTTAAAATAAAAGTTAAAAATTAAAAAAGAAAAAGAAAGAAAAACTAACTTCAAGAATTACAGAATGCAATTGAAAGTATTAACAGCAGACTCTCTGTTTCTCTGTTGTTGGTGTGTAAGAATGCTTGTGATTTTTGTACATTGATTTTGTCTCCTGAGACTTTGCTGAAGTTGCTTATCAGCTTAAGGAGATTTTGGGCTGAGACAATGGGGTTTCCTAGATATACAATCATGTCGTCTGCAAACAGGGACAATTTGACTTCCTCTTTTCCTAATTGAATACCCTTTATTTCCTTCTCCTGCCTGATTGCCCTGGCCAGAACTTCCAACACTATGTTGAATAGGAGTGGTGAGAGAGGGCATCCCTGTCTTGTGCCAGTTTTCAAAGGGAATGCTTCCAGTTTTTGCCCATTCAGTATGATATTGGCTGTGGGTTTGTCATAGATAGCTCTTATTATTTTGAAATACATCCCATCAGTACCTAATTTATTGAGAGTTTTTAGCATGAAGGGTTGTTGAATTTGGTCAAAGGCCTTTTCTGCATGTATTGAGATAATCATGTGGTTTTTGTCTTCGGTTCTGTTTACATGCTGGATTACATTTACTGATTTGCATATATTGAACCAGCCTTGCATCGCAGGGATGAAGCCCACTTGATCATGGTGGATAAGCTTTTTGATGTGCTGCTGGATTTGGTTTGCCAGTATTTTATTGAGGATTTTTGCATCAATGTTCATCAAAGATATTGGTCTAAAATTCTCTTTTTTGGTTGTGTCTCTGCCCGGCTTTGGTATCAGGATGATGCTGGCCTCATAAAATGAGTTAGGGAGGATTCCCTCTTTTTCTATTGATTGGAATAGTTTCAGAAGGAATGGTACCAGCTCCTCCTTGTACCTCTGGTAGAATTCGGCTGTGAATCCATCTGGTCCTGGACTCTTTTTGGTTGGTAAGCTATTGATTATTGCCACAATTTCAGATCCTGTTATTGGTCTATTCAGAGATTCAACTTCTTCCTGGTTTAGTCTTGGGAGAGTGTACATGTCTAGAAATATATCCATTTCTTCTAGATTTTCTAGTTTATTTGCATAGAGGTATTTGTAGTATTCTCTGATGGTAGTTTGTATTTCTGTGGGATCGGTGGTGATATCCCCTTTATCATTTTTTATAGCATCTAAAGCAATGGCAACAAAAGCCAAAATTGACAAATGGGATCTAATTAAACTAAAGAGCTTCTGCACAGCAAAAGAAACTACCATCAGAGTGAACAGGCAACCTACAAAATGGGAGAAAATTTTCACAAACTACTCATCTGACAAAGGGCTAATATCCAGAATCTACAATGAACCCAAACAAATTTACAAGAAAAAAACAAACAACCCCATCAAAAAGTGGGTGAAGGACATGAACAGACACTTCTCAAAAGAAGACATTTATGCAGCCAAAAAACAGATGAAAAAATGCTCACCATCACTGGCCATCAGAGAAATGCAAATCAAAACCACAATGAGATACCATCTCACACCAGTTAGAATGGCTATCATTAAAAAGTCAGGAAACAACAGGTGCTGGAGAGGATGTGGAGAAATAGGAACACTTTTACACTATTGGTAGGACTGTAAACTAGTTCAACCATCGTGGAAGTCAGTGTGGCGATTCCTCAGGGATCTAGAACTAGAAATACCATTTGACCCAGCCATCCTGTTACTGGGTATATACCCAAAGGACTATAAATCATGCTGTTATAAAGACACATGCACACGTATGTTTACTGCGGCATTATTCACAATAGAAAAGACTTGGAACCAAGCCAAATGTCCAACAATGATAGACTGGATAAAGAAAATGTGGCACATATACACCATGGAATACTATGCAGCCATAAAAAATGATGAGTATGAGTTCATGTCCTTTGTAGGGACATGGATGAAATTGGAAATCATCATTCTCAGTAAACTAGCACAAGAACAAAAAACCAAACACCGCATATTCTCACTCATAGGTGGGAATTGAACAGTGAGAACACATGGACACAGTAAGGGGAACATCACACTCTGGGGACTGTTATGGGGTGGGGGGAGGGGGGAGGGGTAGCAGTGGGAGATATACCTAATGCTAGATGACAAGTTAGTGGGTGCAGTGCACCAGCATGGCACATGTATACATATGTAACTAACCTGCACACTGTGCACATGTACCCTAAAACTTAAAGTATAATGATAATAAATAAATAAATTTAAAAAAAAGAAAGTATTAACAGCTGAATAGACCAAGCTGAGGAAAGAATCTCGGAGCTCAAACACCAGTTCTCTGAAATAATTCAGCCAGAAAACAAAAAGAAAAAAACAATAAAGCAGAATGAACAAAACCTCCAAGAATATGGGATTATGTAAAGAGACCAAATCTATGACTCATTGGCATCCCTGAAAGAGAGGGAGAGAAAGCAAGCAACTTGGAAAATATATTTTAGAATATCATCTATGAAAATTTTCCTAGCTTTGCTAGAGAGGTTAACATTCAAACTCAGGAAATGCCGAGAACACCTGTAAAATACTATACACAAGAAGACCATCTCCAAGACACATAGTCATCAGATTATCCAAGGTAGAAATGAAAACAAAAATGTTAAAGGCAGCTAGAGAGATAGAGGCAGGTCACCTACCTCCTTTTGTATGCTGTCTTCAAGAGACCCACCTTACATGCAATGACACACATAGACTGAAATTAAAGGGATGGAGGAAAATCTACCAAGCAAATTGAAAACAGAAAAAAAGCAGGAGTTGCTATTCTAATTTCAGACAAAACAGATTTTAAACCAACAAAGATCAAAAAAGATAAAGAAGGGCATTACATAATAGTAAAGGGTTCAATTCAACAAGAAGACCTAACTATTGTAAATATATACATACGCAACACAGGAGCACCCAAATTCATAAAGCAAGTTCTTAGAGACCAGCAAAGAGACTTAGATAACCACATAGTAATAGTGGGAGACTTCAACACCCCACTGACAATATTAGAAAGATCATTAAGGTAGAAAACTAATGAAGATATTCAGGACCTGAACTCAACACCTGACCAAATGGACCTAATAGACACCTACAGAACTTTCCACCCCAAAACAATAGAATATACATTCTTCTCATCTGCATGTGGCACATACTCTAAAATCAACCACACAATCGTCCATAAAACAATTCTCAGCAAATTCAGAAAAACCAAAATCATACCATCCATATTCTCAGACCACAGCGCAATAAAAACAGAAATTAATACTAAGAAAATTGCTCAGAACCATACAATTGCGTGGAAATTAAACAATGTGATTCTGAATGATTTGGGGACAAATAATGAAATTAAGGCAGAAATCAAGAAATTCTTTGAAACTAATGAGAACAAAGATACAACATAGCAGAATCTCTGGGACATAGCTAATGCAGTGTTAAGAGTGAAGTTTATAGCACTAAACACCTACTTCAAAAAGTTAGAAAGATCTCAAACTAACAATCTAACATCACAACTAGAGGAACTAGAGAAACAAGAGCAAACCTATACCAAAGCTAGCAGAAAACAAAACAAACAAACAAAAAAACAGAATCAGAGCTGAACTGAATGAAATTGAGATGTTAAAAAACTATAAAAAGATCAACAAATCCATGAGTTTTTTTCTGTGAAAGAATGAATAAGGCAGACAGACCACTAGCTAGAATAATAAAGAAAAAAAGAAGATGCAAGTAAGGACAATCAGAAATGACAAAAAGGACATTACCACTGACACCACATATATACCAAAAAACCCTCAGAGACTTCTATGAACACTTCTATGCACACAAGCTAGAAAATCTAGAATAAATGGATAAATTCCTGGATGCACACAACATCCCAAGATTGAACCAAGAAGAAATTGAATCCCTGAACAGACCAATAATGTTTTCTAAAATTTAGTCAGCAACAAAAATCCTACCAACCAGAAAAAGCCCAGAACAAGATAGATTTATAGCTGAATTCCATCTGATTTATAAAGAACTGATATTATTCCTACTGAAACTATTCCAAAAGATTGAGGAGGAGGGACTTCTCTCTGACCCACTCTATGAGGTCAGCATTATCCTGATACCAAAACCTGGCACAGACACAACAAGAAAAGAAAACTTCAGGCCAATATCTTTGATGAACATAAATGCAAAAATGCACAATAAAATACTAGCAAACAAAATCCAGCAGCACATGAAAAAGCTAATCCACCATGATTAAGTAGGCTTTATCTCTGGTATGCAAGGTTGGTTCAACATACACAAATCAATAAATGTGATTCACCAGATAAACAGAACCAAAGAAAAAGCCACATCTCAATAGATGTAGAAAGGCTTTAAATAAAATTCAACACCCTTTCATAAAAAAAAAAAAAAACCTCAACTAACTAGGCATTGAAGGAATGGACTTCAAAATAATAACAGCCATCTGAAACACACACACACATACATGCACACACGCACACACACACACCCAACATTATACTGAATGGACAAATGCTGGAGGCATTCTCATTGAAAATCAGACCAAAACAAGCATGCCCTCTCTCAGCACTCCTAGTCAACATAGTACTGGAAGTCCTAACCAAAACAACCGGGAAAGAGTGAGAAATAAAAGGCAGCCAAATAGGAAATCAAAGTATCTGATTGCAGACGATGAGATTCTATACTTGAAAACTCCATAGTGTCTGCCCAAAAGACCTTTGTTCTGATAAACCACTTCAGCAAAGTCTCAGGATACAAAGTCAATGTACAAAAATCACTGGCATTCCCATACACCAACAACATTCAAGCTGAGAACTAAATCCAGAATGCAATCCCATTCACAATAGCCAGAAAGAGAATAAAATACCTAAAAATACAGCTAACCAGAGAAGTGAAAGACCTCTACAAGGAGAATTACAAAACACTGCTCAAAGAAATCAGAGGTGACACAAACAAATAGAAAAACATTCCCTGCTCACGAATAGAAAGAGTCAATATCATTAAAATGGCCATACTGCTCAAAACAACTCGTAGATTTAATGCTATTCCTATCTTTTTAATTTTTTTAATTTTTGTGCATACATAGCAGGTATATATACTTATTAGGTACATGAGATATTTTGATACAAACATGCAAGGTAAAATAATCACAGCATGAAGAATGGGATACCCATCTCCTCATCCAATGATTCTATTCCTATCAAACTACCAATGACATTCTTCACAGAATTAGAAAACACTATTTTAAAATTCATATGGAATGAAAAAAGAGCCTGAATAGCCACGACAATCCTAAGCAAAAAGAACAAAGCTGGAGGCATCACATTATCCAAGTTCAAACTATACGACAGGGCTAGAGTAACCAAAACAGCATGGTACTGGTACAAAAACAGACATAGAGACCAATGGAACAGAATAGACAGCCCAGAAATAAGGCCCTACATCTACAACCATCTGATCTTCAGCAATGTTGACAAAAACAAGCAATGGGGAAAGGACTTCCTATTCAATAAATGGTCCTGGGGTAATTGGTTAGTGATATATAGAAGATTGAAACTGGACTTCTTCCTTACACCATGTACAAAAGCCAACTCAATGTGTATTAAAACTTAAATGTAAAGCCTAAAATGATAAAAATCCTGGAAACAACCTAGGAAATACCATCCTGGACATAGGCCCTGGCAAAGATTTTATGAGAAAGACTCCAAAAACAATGGAAACAAAAACAAAAATTGGCAAATGGGACCTAATTAAACTAAATATCTTCTGCACAGCAAAATAAACAATTAATAGAGTAAACAGACATCCTACAGAATGGGAGAAAATATTTGCAAACTATGCCCTAACAAAGGTCTAATATCCAGAATCTATAAGGAACTTAAACAAATTTACAAGAAAACAAACAACCCTTTTAAAAAGTAGACAAAGTATGTGAACAGACACTTTTCAAAAGAAGACATGCATATGGCCACCAAGTATATGAAAAAATGCTCAACATCACTAATCATCAGAGAAATGCAAATGAAAACCATTATGAGATGCCATTTCAGAATGGCTATTACTAAAAAGTCAAAAAATAGCAAATACTAGACAGGCTGTAAAGCAAAGGGAACACTTATACACTGCTGGTGGGTATGTAAATTAGTTCAGCCACTGTGAAAAGCAGTTTCATAATTTCTCAAAGAACTCAAAGCAGAATTACCATTCAACCCAGCAATTACATCAATGGGTATATACCCAAAGGAATACGAATCATTCTACTATAAAGACACATGCATGTGTATGTACATCACAGCACTATTCACAATAGCAAAAACATGGATTCAACCTGGATGCCCATCAACAGTACACTGGATAAAGAAAATGCAGTACATACACACTATGGAATATTATGCAGCCACAAATGCAGCCACAAAAAAGAATGAGATCATGATCCTTTGCAGCATCATAGATGGAGCTGGAGGCCATTATCCTAACCAAAAGAAAACAGGAACAAAAAACAAGATACCACATGTTCTCACTTATAAGTGGAAGCTAAACATTGAGTACAAATGGACACAAAGAAGAAAACAACAGACACCAGGGCCTACTTGAAGGCAGAAGGTGGGAGGAGATGAGGACTGAAAAATTACCTATCAGGTACTATGCTTATTACTTGGGTGATAAAACAATCTGTATGCCAAACCCCCATGACACACAATTTACCTATATAACAAACCTGCACATGTGTGAACCTAAAATAACGTTAAAACAAAAGGACCACCCAAAACCCCCCAAAATTGGAACAAGTGACTGCTACACCAGATGCACAGATATCAATGGAAGGACACAGGAAACATGGAAAAGCAGAGAAATGTGACATCACCATAGGACTAAAACAATTGTCCAGCAACAGATGCCAATCACAAAAGTATTCCTTGAAATGCCAGAAAGAGAATTCAAAATATTGATTTTAAAGAAGACCAATGAGATGCAAGAGAAATCTGAAAAACAATGCAAAGAAATCTAAAAACCAATTCAGAATATGAATGAGATATTTATCAAGGAGATATCTTCAAAAATAAAAGAAACAAATTCTAAAATTAAAAAATTAATTGAAGGAAATACAAAATACATTTGAAAGCTTCCATAATAGACTAGACCAAGCAGAATAAAGAATCTCAGAACTTAAAGACTGGTCTTTCAATATACTCTTGTACAAAAATAAGAATAAAAAAGAATGAACAAAACTTCTGAGACATCTGGGACTACGCAAAGCAACTAAACTTACAAATGATCAATATTTCCAAGGGGGAAGAGAAAGCAAAAAGTTTAGAAAAAAATATTTGATAAAATAATTGATAAAAATTTTCCAAGTCTATCAAGATAAACATCTAGATATAGGAGGCCCAATGACCCCCAGGAAAATACATTGTAAAAAGGACTTCATCACAGCATATTATATTCAGAATGTCTAAAGTCAAGAAAGAATTTTAAAATTATCAAGAGAGGAGCGTCTTGTCATCTATAAAGGAAACTTCATCAGATTAACAGTATAGTTTTCAGCAGAAACATTACAGGCCAGAAGAGAATGGAATGGCATTTTTAAAGTGCTGGGGAAAAAAATAACTGTCAGCCAAGAATTTTGTATCCTGCCAGAATAAGTTTTATAAATGAAGGAGAAATAAGTCATTCACAGACAAGCAAATGCTGAAGGAATTTGTCACCACTAGATTAGACCTATAGGAAATGCTGAAAGGAGTCTTAAACATGAAGAAAAAAAGTTGATATTCACCATCACAAAAACACAGAAATATAAAATCACATTTGTATAAAACAATCACACAAAGGAGAAAGAGAAAGGAATCAAATGGCAACACAAAAAAATTTCATCAAACCACAAAGACAAAGAGGAAGAGAAAAAAGAAACAAAAACTTGTAAAAACTACATCAATATAACAGAAGCAAATCTTCACATATCAATATTAACCTTAAATGTAAGTGTATTAAATGATCCATTTTTTAAATGTCTTTAATGTCTATTTTATTTAGTATTTATTTTTATTTTTTATTTTTGTGGTACAGAGTAGGTGTATATATTTATGGGGCACATGAGATATTTTGATATAGGCACACAATGCCTAATAATCACATCATGAATAATGGGGCATTCTTCCCCTCAAGCATTTATCCTTTGTATTACAAACAATCCAATTACATTCTTCTAGTTATTTTTAAATGTGCAATTACGTTATTAAGATGGAAATTAAAAAAAAATTGAAACTAATGAAAATGAAAGTACAGCATACCAAAACCTGTGGGATATGGCAAAAGTAGTGCTAAGAGGGAATTTTATAGCATTAAATACTTACATCAAAAAATTAGTAAGATCACAAACTAACAACCTAATGTTACACTTCAAGGATCTAGAAAACCAAGCCCAAAGTTAGCAGAAGAAAAGAAATAACAAAGATCAGAGCAGAACTAAATGAAATAAAGACAAAAAAGTAATAAAAATGATCAACAAAATGAAAGGTTTGTTCTTGAAAAGATAACCACAACTGATAAACCACTAGCTATTCTAAACAGAAAAAGATTCAAATAAACATAATTGCAAGAAAAAGGAGACATTATAACTAATACCACAGAAAAGAAAAGATCATCAGAGATGATTATAAACAACCATACCCTCACAAACTAGAAAACCTAGAGGAAATGGACAAATTCCTAGAAACACACAACCTCCTGAGAATAATCCAGGAAGAAATAGAACTCTTGAATAGACCAATAATGAGTGCAGAGATTGAATATGTAATTTTAAAAAATCTCCCAACAAAGAAAAGTCCAGGACCAGAGAGATTCTCTGCAGAATTCCACCAAACATTCAAAGAAGAAATAATGACAATTATACTGAAACTATTCCAAAAAATTGAGGAGGGAATTCTCCCTAACTCATTCTATGAGGCCAGTATCACACTGTTATCAAAACTAGACAGAGACACAAGAAAAAGCATACTACAGACCAATATGACTGATGAACATATATGCAAAAATCCTCAACAAAATACTACAAATCAAATCCAATAACACGTAAAAAAGATAATTCACCAGGATCAGATGGGATTTATCTCTGGGATGCAAGTATGGTTCATCATATGCAAATCAACAAATGTGATACATCACACAAACAGAACTAAGGACAAAAACCATGTGATCATCTCAATAGATGGCAGAAAAAGCACTTGATAGAATTCAGCATCCTTTCACGATAAAAATCCTCAACCAACTAGGCATAGAAAGAACATACTTGAATGTAATAAAGTCCATATATGGTGATCCCAAAGCCAATATTATACTTAATGGGGAAAAATTGAAAGCGTTCCCTCTTAGAACTGGAACAAGACAAGGATGCCCACTTTCACCACTGTTATTCAGCATAGTACTGAAAGTCCTTACCAGAGCAATCAGGGAAGATTTAAACAAACAAAAAAAAAGACATCCAAATTGGAAAAGAGCAAGTCAAACGATCCCTGTTCACTGATGATATGAGCTTATATCCTAAAGACTCCATCAAAATTTTCTTAGATTTAGTAAATTTATCCAGGGCCAGGCGCCGTTGCTCACACCTGTAATCCCAGCACTTTCGGAGGCCAAGGCAGGCACATCTCTTGAGGTCAGGAGTTTGAGACCAGCCTGGCCAACATGGTAAAACCTCGTCTTTACTGAAAATACAAAAATTAGCCTGGCGTGGTGCCGGGCACCTGTAGTCCCAGCTACTAGGGAGTCTGAGGCAGGAGAATCTCTTGAACCTGGGAGGTGGAGGTTGCAGTGAGCCGAGATCGTGCCACTGCACTCCAACCTAGGTGACAGAGCAAGACTCCATCTAAAAAATAATAACAATAAAATAAGATAAATGCATTCAGTAAAGTTCCAGGATACAAAACTAACGTACACAAATCAGTAGCATTTCTATATACCAATAACAATTTAGCCAAGAACCAAACCAAGAAGGCAATGCCATTTACAACAACTCCAAAAAAAAAAAAAAAAGAACAAAAAAAACCTCAATACCTAGGAATATATTTAACCAAGGAGGTGAAAGATCTCCATAAGGAAAACTGCAATACAGTGATGAAAGAAATCATAGATGACACAATTTTTTTAATTCCATGATCATGAGTTGGAAGAATCAATAAAATTATCATGCTGCCCAAAGCAATCTACAGATTCAACACAATCCCTATCAAATTACCAATATCATTTTCCACAGAATTAGAAAAAACAATTCTAAAATTTGTATACAACCAAAATAGAGCCCAAATAGCCAAAGCAATCCTAAGCAAAAAGAGCAAAGCTGGAGATATCACATTACCTGACTTCAAATTACAGTACAAGGCTATACTAACCAAAACACGTGGCACCAGTATAAAAATGGATACACAGATCAGTGTAAAAAAATAGAGAACCCAAAAATAAAGCTGTATATCTAAAACCAACTGATATTCAATAAAATCAACAAAAACAGACACTAAGGAAAGGACACTCTATTCAATAAACGGTGCTGAGAAAATTGGATAGCCATATGCAGAATGGAATTGGACCCGTACCTCTCACCATATACAAAAATTAACTCAAGATAGATTAAAGATCTAACCATAACACCTGAAACTATAAAAATCTTAGGATAAAACTCATGAAAAACTCTTCTGGATATTGGCCTAGGAAAATAATTTATGATCAAGTCCTCAAAACAAACACAACAATAATAAAAATAGACAAACAGGACTTAATTAAATGAAAAATTTTCTACACGGCAAAAGAAACAATCAATTAAGTAAACAGACAACCTACAGAACGGGAAAAAATATTTCCAAACTTTTCATCCAAGAAAGGTCTAGTATCCAGAATCTATAAGGAACTCAAACAGCTCAAGATGAAAAAAAACAATCTCATTAAAAAGTGGGCAAAAGACTTGAACAGACATTTTTCAAAAGAAGACATATAAGTGGTCAACAAACATATAAAAAATGCCCAACATCACTAGTCATCAAAGAAATCCAAATTAAAACCACAATAAAATAAATAACATCTTAACGCCAGTTAGAATGGCTGTTACTAAAAACTCTAAAAACAACAGATGTTGGCAAGGATTCAGAGAAAAGGGAATGCTTATACACTGTTGGTGGGAATGTAAATTAGTACAACCTTTGTGGAAAAAATAGTATGGAGATTTCTCAAAGAACTAAAAATAGAACTACCATTTGATCCAGTAATCCTACTACTGATTACATACCCAAAGGGAAAGAAATTGTTACATCAAAAAGATATCTGTACTTGTATGTTTATCACAGCACAATTCACAATAGCAAAGATACAGAATCAATTATATTAGGCCTATCAATGGAGGATTGGATAAAGAAAATATTGTGTGTCTACATATATACCATGGAACACCACTCAGCCATAAAAACAATGAAATCATGTCTTTTGCAGCAATATGAATGGAACTGGAGGCCATTATCTTAACTGAAATAACTCAGAAACAGAAAGTCAAATGCCATATGTTCTCATATAAGTGGAAGCTAAACAATTGATACACATAGACACACAGAATGGGATAATAGAATTAAAAACCACAAAAGGAGGGAAGGTAGGAGGGGGTTGAGGGTTGAAAATTTCCTATTGGGTAAATGTTCAACATTCACGTGATGGTTACACTAAAAGTCCAGACTTCACCACTCACTACTCAGTAAATGCATGTAAAAATTCTGAACTTGTAACCCCCAAATACATAAAACTTAAATGAAGTTTAAAGCAAAAAAAAAATGAAGGTGAAATAAAGACTTTCCAGATAACAAAAACTGAGAGAATGTGTTACTAGCGGGCCCATTTTACAAGAAGTACTGAAAGAAGTTCTTCAGGCTGATAGCGGGTGACCCCAGACAGTAATTTGAATCTATACAAGAAAACAATGACTACTACTAAAGGTAATTATGTAATCATAAAAGATAGTATGAATGTGTATTTGTTATCCCTTTTCTCTTAACAGATTCAAAAAATAATTGCATAAAAGAATATGTATGTAATTACATTATTTGACCTAAAACATATAGAAATATATTTTAAAACAATAGAACAAATTGTGGTAGCAAAGCCATCCTGGAGTAAGGAGATGACATGTGATGACAATTCAAATTCACAAGAACAAATAAAGAGTCTGAAATGGCAAAAAGGAAAGTTAAAATAACAAACTCTATAAGTATATATTTCCTCCCCTTTCTGCTCTTGACTTCTTTAAAAACATTAAATTATATAATGTATATAATTATAAAAATATGTTTAAGGGTTTGTAACATATTTATATTTAATAGCATCAAAAGGGAAAAGAGAGAACAGAACTCTATGCAACAATGTTACTATATCTCACTGAAATTAAATAATATGAATCAGAAGTAGATTCTCATAAATTAACATGTATACTGTAAGCCCTAGAGCAACCACTGAAAAAACCCTCAAAGACTATAGTGAAATAATTATGAAAATAATTTAAATGTTGCACTAGAAAATATTCACTTATTGTAAAAAGAAAAAGCAGTAAAAGAGGAACCGAGACCCAAACCATGAGATATAGAAAACAAAAAGTAAAATGGCAGATATAAATCTAAGTATATCAATAATTAATTGACTAGAGATGATGAATTAAACAATCCTATCAAAAGGCAGAGATTGTCAAAACAATCCAGCTATATACTTTCTACAAAACACACTCTTTGGATTCAAAGTTGCAAGTAGGTTGAAATTAAAATGGGAGACGTTAACACCCCACTGTCAACATTAGACGGATCAATGAGACAGAAAGTTAACAAGGATATCCAGGAATTGACCTCAGCTCTGCACAAAGCAGACCTAATAGACATCTACAGAACTCTCCACCCCAAATCAACAGAATATACATTCTTCTCACCACCACGCTGCACTTATTCCAAAATTGACCACATAGTTGGAAGTAAAGCACTCCTCAGCAAATGTAAAAGAACAGAAATTATAACAAACTGTCTCTCAGACCACAGTGCAATCAAACTAGAACTCAGGATTAAGAAACTCACTCAAAACCGCTCAACTACATGAAACCTGAACAACCTGCTCCTAAATGACTACTGGGTACATAAAGAAATGAAGGCAGAAATAAAGATGTTCTTTGAAACCAATGAGAACAAAGACACAACATACCAGAATCTCTGGGACACATTCAAAGCAGCGTGTAGGTGGAAATTTATAGCACTAAATGCCCACAAGAGAAAGCAGGAAATATCTAAAATTAACACCCTAACATCACAATTAAAAGAACTAGAGAAGCAAGAGCAAACACATTCAAAAGCTAGCAGAAGGCAAGAAATAACCAAGATCAGAGCAGAACTGAAGGAAATGGAGACACAAAAAACCCTTCAAAAAATCAATGAATCCAGGAGCTGGTCTTTTGAAAGGATCAACAAAATTGATAGAATGCTAGCAAGACTAATAAAGAAGAAAAGAGAGAAGAATCAAATAGACTCAATAAAAAAATGATAAAGGGGATGTCACCACCGATCCCACAGAAATACAAACTACCATCAGAGAATACTATAAACACCTCTATGCAAATAAACTAGAAAATCTAGAAGAAATGGATAAATTCCTGGACACATACACCCTCCCAAGACTAAACCAGGAAGAAGTTGAATCTCTGAATAGACCAATAACAGGATCTGAAATTCAGGCAATAATTAATAGCTTACCAACCAAAAAAAGTCCAGGACCAGATGGATTCACAACCAAATTCTACCAGAGGTACAAAGAGGAGCTGGTACCATTCCTTCTGAAACTATTCCAATCAATAGAAAAAGAGGGAATCCTCCCTAACTCATTTTATGAGGCCAGCATCATCTTGATACCAAAACCTGGCAGAGACACAAAAATAAAAGAGAATTTTAGACCAATATCCCTGATGAACATCGATGCAAAATCCTCAATAAAATACTGGCAAACCGAATCCAGCAGCACATCAAAAAGCTTATCCACCATGATCAAGTGGGCTTCATCCCCGGGATGCAAGGCTGGTTCAACATACATAAATCAATAAACGTAATCCAGCATATAAAGAGAACCAATGACAGAAACCATATGATTATCTGAATAGATGCAGAAAAGGCCTTTGACAAAATTCAACAGCCTTTCATGCTAAAAACTCTCAATAAATTAGGTATTGATGTGATGTATCTCAAAATAATAACAGCTATCTATGACAAACCCACAGCCAATATCATACTGAATGGACAAAAACTGGAAGCATTCCCTTCGAAAACTGGCACAAGACAGGGATGCCCTCTCTCACCACTCCTATTCAACATAGTGTTGGAAGTTCTGGCCAGGGCAATCAGGCAGGAGAAGGAAATAAATGGTATTCGGTTAGGAAAAGAGGAAGTCAAATTGTCACTGTTTGCAGATGACATGATTGTATATCTAGAAAACCCCATCATCTCAGCCCCAAATCTCCTTAAGCTGATAAACAACTTCAGCAAAGTCTCAGGATACAAAACCAATGTGCAAAAATCACAAGCATTCTTATACACCAATCACAGACAAACAGCCAAATCATGAGTGAACTCCCATTCAAAATTGCTTCAAAGAGAATAAAATACCTAGGAATCCAACTTACAAGGGACATGAAGGACTTCTTCAAGGAGAACTACAGACCACTGCTCAATGAAATAAAAGAGGATACAAACAAATGGATGAACATTCCATGCTTATGTGTAGGAAGAATCAATATCATGAAAATGGCCATACTGCCCAAGGTAATTTATAGATTCAATGCCATCCCCATCAAGCTACCAATGACTTTCTTCACAGAATTGGAAAAAACTATTTTAAAGTTCATATGGAACCAAAAAAGAGCCTGCATTGCCAAGTCAATTCTAAGCAAAAAGAACAAAGCCATGGGCATCACGCTACCTGACTTCAAACTATACTACAAGGCTACAGTAACCAAAACAGCATGGTACTGGTACCAAAGCAGAGATATAGGTCAATGGAACAGAACAGAGCCCTCAGAAATAATGCCACTTATCTACAACTATCTGATCTTTGAGAAACCTGAGAAAAACAAGCAACGGGGAAAGGATTCCCTATTTAATAAATGGTGCTGGGAAAACTGGCTAGCCATAGGTAGAAAGCTGAAACTGGATCTCTTCCTTACACCTTATACAAAAATTAATTCAAGATGGATTAAAGATTTAAACGTTAGTCCTAAAACCATAAAAACCCTAGAAGAAAACCTAGGCATTACCATTCAGGACATAGGCATGGGCGAGGACTTCATGTCTAAAACACCAAAAGCAATGGCAACAAAAGCCAAAATTGACAAATGGGATCTAGTTAAACTAAAGAGCTTCTGCACAGCAAAAGAAACTACCATCAGAGTGAACAGGCAACCTACAAAATGGGAGAAAATTTTCACAACCTACTCATCTGACAAAGGGATAATATCCAGAATCTACAATGAACTCAAACAAATTTACAAGAAAAAAACAAACAACCCCATCAAAAAGTGGGCAAATGACATGAACAGACACTTCTCAAAAGAAGACATTTATGCAGCCAAAAAACACATGAAAAAATGCTAACCATCACTGGCCATCAGAGAAATACAAATCAAAACCACAATGAGATACCATCTCACACCAGTTAGAATGGCAATCATTAAAAAGCCAAACAACAGGTGTTGGAGAGGATGTGGAGAAATAGGAACATTTTTACACTGTTGGTGGGACTGTAAACTAGTTCAACCATTGTGGAAGTCAGTGTGGTGATTCCTCAGGGATCTAGAACTAGAAATACCATTTGACCCAGCCATCCCATTACTAGGTATATACCCAAAGGACTATAAATCATGCTGCTATAAAGACACATGCACACGTATGTTTATTGTAGCACTGTTCACAACAGCAAAGACTTGGAACCAAGCCAAATGTCCAACAATGATAGACTGGATTAAGAAAATGTGGCACATATACACCATGGAATACTATGCAGCCATAACAAATGATGAGTTCATGTCCTTTGTAGGGACATGGATGAAACTGGAAATCATCATTCTCAGTTAACTATCACAAGGACAAAAACCAAACACCTCATGTTCTCACTCATAGATGGGAATTGAACAATGAGAACACATGGACACAGGAAGGGGGACATCACACTCTGGGGACTGTTGTGGGGTGGGGGTAGGGGGGAGAGATAGCATTAGGAGATATACCTAATGCTAAATGACGAGTTAATGGGTGCAGCACACCAGCATGGCACATGTATACATATGTAACTAACCTGCATATTGTGCACATGTACCCTAAAACTTAAAGTATAATAATAAAATGTTTTTTTAAAAAAGTATCAACTAGAGAAAAATTCATTAAAAATAGGTTTATATAAAAAGTTTAAACAAGAAGAAGGAAATGAAACAATTTCTACATCATAGAAACATATCTATAGTGTTGAGTCAAAATTAGCAATATTTTGGTTATTGTCTTAAAACTGAGCACATTATAAATATTTGTCAGAAAAAGTCAGACACAGAGAAACAGTAAAAATTGCCCAAGCATTTTTTTCATTTACTCTTCATTAACAGAGATTGGAAAGGGTTTTTTGGGGGATAGTTATGTCACCTATTCTAAGATTATGTCTGTGTTTTTATGGTGCCAAACATTTGGATTGAAATGAGAAATGGCACAGGTCTCTTGATTGTTCATTTGGGTAAACTATCATGGACTAGACTTTTTTCCCTCTTTATATGATAGGCCTCAGGTTACAGCTAACCTATAATACCATGGGAATGGTAGGAATTGGAGGGGCTTCTTATGAAAACACACTGTTAGAGTGGTCCCTCTTGAACCTTTGTGAGAAGAGGAAAGAAGAGTATTTTTTTAGTTAGAAAAATAAAGCATGAAGTTATAATCTAGTTTCTTCATATATAGCCTTTCAGGCAATAGAAGAAAACAGTTTCATTTGAGTCACTTTAATGAAATACTGAACTATAAAAAAAAAAAAAAAAAAAAGAACTTGGAGTCCAATATTCAGGAGTAGTAAGCATCCAGCACAGGAGAAAGACGTAAACTGGGAGGCTAGGCCCGTCTCTCCTTTTCACATTTTTCTGCCTGCTTTATATTCGCTGGAAGCTAATTAGATTGTGCCCACCAGATTAAGGTTGGATCTGCCTTCCCCAGCCCACTGACTCAAATGTTAATCTCTTTTAGCAACACCCAAACAGACACACCCAGGATTAATACTTTGTATCCCCCAATCGGATCAAGTTGACACTCAGTACTAACAATCACACTTCCCACAAAGAAAAGCCCAGGTGGTTTCACTAGTGAATTTTATCAATCATTTAAAAAACTTAACACCAATTGTTTATAAATTCTTCCAAATAATAAAAAGGGAATATTTCCAACTTTTTATGAGGCAGTGTTTCCCTCATACCAAAAGCAAAGAAAGACATCACAAGAAAACAATAAACTAACATAATTTAGGAATATAGATGCAGAGCTCCTCAACGAAATACTACACAATTTAATTCAGGAACATATAAAAAGGATTATACACCATGACCAAGTGGGATTTATCCCAGGACTGTTAGGTTAGCTAACAATCAAAAATTAGTTAATGTAATACACCATATCAACAGAATAAAGAACAAAAGCCATATGATCATCTAGAGTTAAAAAAAAATTTTTAAAAATCTAACATATTTTATGATTCAAAAAAGTTGGTCATCAGGAAAATGCAAATCAAAACCACAATGAGATACCACCTCATACCCACTAGGGTGGCTATAAATAAAAAGACAAGGCTGGGCATGGTAGCTCACACCTGTAATCCCAGCACTTTGGGAGGCCAAGGTGGGCAGATCACCTGAGGTCAGGAGTTCAAGACCAGACTGGCCAACATGGTGAAACCCCGTCTCTACTAAAAATACAAAAATTAGCCGGTTGTGGTGGCACATGCCTATAATCCCAGCTACTCAGGAGGCTGAAGCAAGAGAATTGCTTGAACCCAGAAGGCAAAGGTTGGAGGTTGCAGTGAGCCAAGATCGTGCCACTGCACTCTAGCCTGGTGACAAAGCAAGACTCTGTCTCAAAAAAATAAAATGCAATTAAAATTAAAAGATAATAACACATGCTGGAGATTATGTGGAGAAGTCAGAACCCTCATACACTGCTAGTGGGAATGCAAAATGGTGCAGCCACTTTGGAAAACAGTCTGGTATTTTCTAAAACAATTAAACATAGAGTTACCGTATGACCCAGCAATTCTACTCTTAGATATATAACCAAGAGAATTGAAAACAGGTACTTTAAACAAATACATGTATGTTATGTTCATAGAAGCTAATAAGCAAAATGGGCAAAAGGTGAAAATAGCCAAAAATCCACTAATGAATGAATGGATAAACAAAATATGGCACATTCATACAACTGAGTATTATTCAGCCATAAAAATGAATGAAGTACTGATACATGCTGTAACATGGATGAATCTTGAAAACATTATGCTAAGTAAAAGAAGTCAGATACAAAAGACCACATATTGTATGATTCCATTTATATGAAATGTCCACAATAGGCAAATCCATAGAAATAGAAAGGAGATTAGTGGGTGGTCTTCTGGAGCTGGACAGTTGGGGAGAAACGAGAAGTGACTTAGTATGTATGGAGTTTCTTTGTGGGGTTATACAAATATTCTAAAATTAATTGTGATGTTGGTTGTACAAATATGTAAATATCTTTAAAACCACTGAATTGATTTCCTTAGAAATACAATTCTCAGTATATAAGAATATGAATTCAAGGATGCTTATTACATCATTGTTTACACTAACATGATAATAATTAGAATTAAAGTCATAGAAACATAGTGACTGTCCACCTGTGGGGATATCTGGATTAATATAATACATTCATACCATGAAACATGATACAGCCACTAAAAAGCATGAATTCATGCCCGAACAAGTGCCTTGATGGGATTTCCATGTGTTGTTATGAGTAGAAACATCAACTACATAATCATGTATATAGTGTGATTCACTTTTTGTAAAATAAACAATGACAAAAACTTTCTTCCTATGTGTATATTTGTATATATACACAAATAGTACACATAATCAACTGAGCATAAAGAGTGATGTGGAATGATGCCCCAGGAATAAGTGGGTCATTGGAGTTGTGAAATAAAATAATATTGGAAAGAAAATAATTGCCAACCATATACTGAAGTGAGCTACGTGTTTGATACTTGCGCTTAAAATGGGAATTTTTAAAGCTACTAAAATTTAAAATCTGTATAATTACTATGTAAGCTCCATGGGATCCAGTCTCTGCCATTTGCTAGTTGCGTTAGCTTGGGAGCACTACTTAACCTCTCTGTGCTTCCAGTTTCCTTATCTGAAAATAAGGAAGTAGAAATAATAATAGTATCTACCTCACAAAGTGATTGCAAGAATTGAAAAAGTTAACAAGCATAAACACTCAGAATTGTGCTATTTGCTATTTATTATTACTCTTTTTATGGCTAGTTCTTTGCTGCAAATATTGTGCAAAACCACAGCCTATATCTGTTTACTAAGTAGAGAGATGGATATTTTTTTATCGCGTTAACTTTTTCTTCCTCTTCTCTCCATCATGTTCCCATAATGGAAGAAAATGTACTCTGTGGCTGGTTCTGTGGCCACTCAGAAGTCATGGCAACACTGAACTGAGAAGTAGACCTAGTGCCAGGCAAGGCCAAATGATAATATAAACGGACTTAGCAGATTAGAAATATGAACAGCACATAATGAAATGAGATTTATCTTGGGAGGAAATGCAAACTAGTTTATCTAGGAAGAAATAGTTCAATATATAGTCAACCTGGAAGCAAAGAAGAGTGCATCTAAGGGAGGCAGAGATAAGGAACAAGGAGAGTGAAGGACACTGGCAGGAATATGGCCAGATTGTCCCTGCTGTATACAGCATGGCCCCAGGGTAAGAAGATAACTCCTCATGAGGTGCTCACTGATTAATATCTTCTCATCTTGTGAGCTGTCCATTTTTGCTTGATTTATATTTCCCAAATCTAATAGAGACCAGCGGTCAAGTGATTGATGTAATTGTGCACCAAAAATATTTTTCTCAGCTGTGTTAGTCATTATTTTGGCAGTTTTAACCACCAAGCTGGACCAAGAAGAGACAATCGGAACCACTTCTGGGAACTGTGCCCTCATGACAAGCACATATATACTCAATCTACTAAAGAGGCAAAACCTGGGCAACATTGTGAGACCTTGTCTCTACAAAAAATAAAACATTAACCAGGTGTAGCAGCATTAACCAGGTGTAGCAGCATGCACCTGTAGTCTCAGCTACTCAGTAAGCTGAGGAAGGAGGATTGCTTGAGCCCAGGAGTTCAAGGCTGTAGTGAGCTGTGATCACGCCGCTGCACTCCAGTCTGGGTGATAGAGCAAGACCCTGTCTTAAAAGAAAAAAAAAGATACTAAAGAGGCAGGTCTAAGTCACAGTGTATAGACATAGCCTTGGCCTCTAAAGCTACTTTCCAAAACCATGCTCCATGCCGGGATGGTGCTGGGAGCTGAGGAACACAGTGCTGTGGCTGCATCTCTGAACTGATTGCAGCTGGAGACTGCCTCTCCTCTCCTGGTGGGTCAGGTCACCTCAGGAAGCTTTGTGTTTGTAGATAGGAGCGACAGACTCCTTGTAATTAAGAACTAAGGCTTTAGTACAGAATAATCAAGAAAGAGACAATCCTACTTGAAATGCCTCCCATCTTAATTGGCTTAAACTAGTATTAACAGCAAAAAAAAAAAGAAAGAAAGAAAAGAAAGAATGCCAAAGCATAATTAGCTCATAAAAGATGGGGCTCTAGGGACCAGGAAAGAAGTAGATCCAGCAGAGGCTAAGACCTGAGTGGGGGCTACCCTGGTTGTACCTTTACCAAATTCTCCCAGGGAGGCAGAACTCCAGGGGAGGGAGATCACCACCCTCAGAGCTCAGAGACCTCAAGAGTCAGAGGGCATCTTGGATACCCAGAGAGAGACTCATATAATCAGAAGGATAACTTCCCACTTCCTGACTAGGACAGAAGAGGGTCCTCAAGGATTGGATTTACCTTCAAAACAGGTCATTATGTTCTCTCAGTTCTTCCTTAAAAACATTTCTTGGATCTGTCCCCAACTCATCAATAGCAGTGAATGTCCCTTAGTTCAAGTCCCCACTGTATAGGCCTCCAAACTTCCCTCCCTGCCTCTTGCCTCCAAATCCCCTACCCTTCAGCACCTCCCCCAACTTCACTCATATTCATCTTTTAGTGTTTTGTTTTTGTTTTGTTTTTAAGACAGGGTCTTGCTCTGTCACCCAGGCTGGAGTGCAGTAGCATGATTTCAGCTCACTGCAGTGTCAACCTCCTGGCCTCAAGTGGTCTTCCTACCTCAGCCCTGCAAGTTGCTGGGACTACAGACCTGTGCCTCCACACCTTGATAATTTTTGTATTTTTTTGTAGAGACAGGGTTCCACCATGTTGCCCAGGCTGGTCTCGAACTCCTGAGCTCAAGAGATCTGGCCCACTTCTGTATCCCAAAGTGCTGAGATTACAGCTGTGAGCTACCATGCCTGGCTCATATTAGTCTTGACTTTTGCCCTTTGAACAATAAAATGTATGTACCCTAGGTGATCTATCTAAAGCACAAATCTATTATGTCAGCCCCTCAACCCCCAACTTAAAAACACCCAGTTAGTGGATCCAGCAAAGCTTTAATGTGTATAGATGTGTCCCCGGCACTGTGCTGTGCACTGAGAATTTGATGATGAAAAAAGCAAAGAAGCTATGCCCTCATGAAGCTTGGAATCCAGTGGGGAGAAAAGACAACAAAACAATTACACAAAAAAAGCTATGATTAAAGTGCTAGGAAGAAGAGGGGTTATGAGAACCTCTATCAGGGGCTCAGTCTAGCCTGGGAGGTCAAGAGAAGACTTTCCTATAGATGCAACATGTGAGCAGAAATCTGAAAGATGAGTAGGAACCAACTAGGCCAGTGGTTCTTGCAACCTCTTAATAGGTCAAGGAAATTATTTAGAGTGTCACAACTACATCTTTTAAAATGAAGTAACAGACTGGACTGCAATACAATAGAAGAGAACAGAACAGAATGGAAAAAAATAAGGAATAGATCAAAATGTATTGAAAATTAGCAAAAGTTAGCATTACTTCGTGAAATGTTTGTCGAGCATTACAATATAAAATGTATTTCTTACTACGGGTTGTGAACTAGACAGTGGAGGAAGCAGGGAGGATGGACACACTTCCCAAAAAGAGAACAGCCTCTGCAAAGGCTCAGGGGGTGAGAGAAATCATGAGGTGTTTAGCCTCAGTTTTAAGTTGGGAGAGAAGCCAATCATCATCCAAGCAGCAGATACCATGGACATCACAAAGAAGAGCCAGGCATGGTTCCCTGTCTTGTTGAGCTTACATGCCATCAGGAGAGACAGACCAGTATGTAAATAAACATCAGACTAAATTTGAACAAAAAAATGTAGGAACAAATAAAATATAACAAGGATATAAAGTGTGAAGAAATTACTTCCAGCTAGAGAAAATCTCAGAAAACTTGACAAAAGAGGAGGCTTCTTCTTGAGGCCTACAAAGATGGGTAGGAATTCAATAAGTGAAAACGTTGGCAGTGGGAGTTGGGGGAAGAGGGGTGCAACCATTCCAGATGAAGAATAGTGGGAGTAAAGGGACAGGAATATAGAGGATATGTTAGGGGAATGGTAAGTTGGGCTGGAACAATGGGTCTAAGAGTGGAAAAAGAGAGTCATGGAAAATAAGGCACAGGATTTTAGATGGAGACCAACTCATGTAGGGCCTTGCCTGCCTGGCTAAAGAGTTTGAACTTTGCTTTCAGGAAAAAAAAAAAAAAAAACAATGGAAGCAACACGGAGTAGAATAGATTAGTGGGAGTGGCACTGGGGAGAACAACTAAGGGGAAATTGTAAAATTCGCCAGTTACACTGACTAAGACCTCAGCCAGGGTTGGGGCAGTGGGGATGCAAGGGAGGGAGGACATGGTTAGGTGCATCAGCCAGGTGTGGGTGTCGAGCCTCTGGGACACAACAGCTTCTCATAAGGATCAGGATGGATCAGGATCTGTCTCAGCCTCTAACTGTGACAACCCAGGTAGGTCCTCTAGCCTTCTCTGCCTTAGGTTTTTTCCTCTGTGACCTGAGGGAATATTACTCTGGCTTCTGATACAATCAGCAGAGACTGGGAAAAATAAAGTGCATTCAACCACGTAAAGTGTTTACAACTTGCTGGAGTAAAAGTGCCCTAAATCTACAACGATCTTAGCAGCCCCAAAAAGAAAACCAATCATTAAAGAGTAACAAGATTAATGGGTAGTATTTTTCAGTCCTTAAATCCTTTTTACTGTTGAGCTGCCTCAATTTCCTTTCCAGGAAAGCTTTTCCTTTTCAACGTTGAAAATTAAAAGAGCTTAGGGCCACCATAGACTAAAGTGAGCATAGAATCAGGCATGCTTCTATAACTAATCATATCATCAATACACCTTGAAAATGATAGAGTCTATCCCGAAGTGGTACTACACATTGATAAAGGGGTTTACTGTCAAAATTTGCTGATTTCTTTTATCTCTATGGGTCCTGGATTTTTGATTCACTAAAATCTATTAAATTATAATTTCCACTAGGAAAGCAAGCTGAGCTATCTTGTGCACCTGCCATTTCCTCACCACCCAGCATAAGCAGGACCCAATCATTACATGAATGAATGAACCACAGTGTCTCCCCTCTGAGTACAAAGTGCATTTCACCAGTGAGCTGTCACCAAATTATTTCAATCTGACCTCTCCAACATCATAAGGAAAAATGTCCATTTGACCCAAGCAAACTTCTTCTAGAGGAAAAAGTTATATATTTAAATATGCATATATTTCTAAAATCCTAAACCTTATTTTTCTAATTCTAATTTTCTTAAGTCTCTGTACATATATGACATACTAAGGCAGAAAGGTATGGTGACCAGCATCATCATTTGAATCAGTACTCTTGGTTATAAGTGACAAAATCCTATTCAAACGGCTCACACAATAGAAAAGTACAGGCCCAGGCTTGTCTTTAGGCACAACTGAATCCACGTATTCAAACAATGTCAGCAGGAGTTTGTCTCTCTCCATCTCTTGGCTCTCTTTTTCTCTGTGTTGGCTTCATTCTCAGCTGGGTTCTTCTTCAGCAGTGACAAAGAGACCGGAAGATCTAGATTTAGTATTTTAGCAATCTAAAAACCCAAGAGGACAAAGAGCTTTTTTTTTTTTATTTCCTCCTAATAGTTCCTGCTAAAGTCCTAGGGTTGCCTGTCTAGTTGACCTAGGTTGTCTCTCTAGTTGACCGAGAGTTGACCGAGCTTGGGTCACATGCCTATCCCCGAACCAATCACTGGAATTCTAATTGTCCAGGCCTAGCTCCGGAGCCAGGGAAATGAGACCAGCCCTACTTGAAACACAGAAAATAAAAGCAGAGATGGGAAGGGGTGCTGCCCCAAAAGAAAATCAGGTGATATTAACAGAGATGGTAAATGAATGTGAAAAAGACCAGAAAGACAGATGTCATCATCTCTAGCTGTCTAAAATAAGGTTGAATAGAGCCACATATGATGGGCTATCAGAAAGAAAGTTATTAAGCCTTTTGCCATTATCAATGCTATGCATGTGCTTAATGATAATAGATGAGATGCAGTGCCAGTGAGCAGTGGCAGGAAGGGAGCCAGCAGGGCTGGGAGTGGAAGCCAAGTAGCAATTCATCTTACAGCGTTAAGAGTTCCCCCAAGTCGGTTTTACCAAACAAGATGCCCAAACTGACTCAGGCACTTTTCAAGTTGCAAAACTTGCTCTCAGACTCAGCAGATACATTTGAAACAATTTTATGACCAGCAGTTAAACAGGAGGAAATTAAAGGTGAAAAATCAAGGATACAGCTTCATGCATAAAACTCAGCCACACAATTAATGGAGCCCACATTAATCACACATCAGTTAGGCCTCAGTGGTTTGATAGTTATTCGTTGGCAGAAACAAACCGCATTCTGATAGGCAAAGAGGACTGATGCAAGTATAACTGAAAGACTTAAATGTAGGGTTCCTATCATTAATTAATCAAGTAATCACTCTCTTTGTGGTACTTGTGTGACATTTCGTAATTAGTTTTTCAGTGTTTCTCTCGCTCTAGCTTAGTTCTTTATTACACCCCACACTCCTTTATCTAAACGTTCCAGTGGAAGATGAGATGTGTTTTTAATAATAATAAGACCTTGTATTTGTAGATCACTTTGTACTTTATAAAATGGCTCACCGGAGTCTTCCAGCAGCCTTTGGAGATAAGCAGGACAAATATTATTCTCCCAAGTATCTACTGAAGTGTCTTGCGTGGAGTCAGACTCAAATAATTGCCATCAGAACCTGATTCTCTTGCAGGGGGATTGAAGTGCCTTCTCACTGTAATAGTGGAGCAAATGGAGCTTTGGTTCTGGGATAAGGTGCAGACAGGTGGGGCCACATCATCAGAACAGAACCACCATCAGAACTTACTCCTGAGGTCATAAGTCAGTCATGCATCACTGCAAAGGTGTTAAATATAATTGGGCTTCAAGGGAAATCTCCCTGGCTTATTAATAATAATCCTATACAGAAGAAAGTAAAGCAATAACATGGAAAACCCAAATAGTTATATTTCATAACATAATTTAAAAGTACTTTAATGATGCTTCCTGTGGTTTGGATTTCTTCATATCTCTTTGAAATGCATTATCCCATTTAGTTCTGAATCTATATAGACTGGCAATACCTGTTTCTCTATGACTCCAAAAAATATTATAGGACAGAGGCAAGGTCTTGCATTGCTAGGAGACCTCCCCTATCGTTCCTGTATTTTCAGCTCCATCTCAGAGCTGAAAATACAGTAAATGTATTCAGGAAGTGGTTCTTTGTTTTAAGTAGAAAAAATATTGCTTCACTGAATTAATGCTGGTTAGCTTTTTGCATGACTCTGAGGTCTACTGTTAGAACTACCATCCTTAAAATAATAGTTATAAAAGCAAAGGCAGCTGAATTCACTCTAAATTGTTCACTTATTCAATCAGTCTACACAATTTTTCAAGGACACAATGCCAGATTCTAAAGTGAGACAGAGTAGATAAAGATGAAATGTTACAGTCACTAACCTCAATGGCTGGACATGCAAGCTAATCATTACAGCAGCAGCTACAACAACAAATAATAATAGCATATGTTTCTGAGCACTTACTGTAGGCCAGTCACCCTGCCAAGTGCTTTTCCTGTATTGATTATCTTAATTCTTACCATAACCACTGAGGTAAGTATTATTATTAATGTCATTTTACAGATGAGTAAACTGAGGATCAAAGTGGGTAAGTGGCTTGCCCAAGTTCACATGGTCAGTTAGAGGTGGAGCTGGAAGCCAAGCTCAGACAGTCTGACTCTACACTCATACTCTTCACTCCACACCATGAATACGCTAGTCATGGCATGGATCAAGTTCAGTGGTTGCACAAGGAAAAGAAGCAGCAAAATATCCATTTTGCTGAGTTAGCTAGAAGGAGTTAGCTAAGCATCACAGGAGACTTAAAGGATTGATAACATTTTGTCCAGGGCAACTAGATTGGAAAAAGGATTTCAAGAAAAGGAAACAGCATGGCTGAAGCACAAACCAGGAGGAAGCCTGGTGTGTTTGGAGATACACAGCTAGATGTGAGTGGCTTGGGCTTTGAGCGAGGTTGGGAGGAGTGGGAGCCAAGACCAGTGAGGAAGGCAGGATATGTATCCATGTCTTCATTGTATAAGATGCCTATGTTATCATTTTCAGATATAAAACAAATCTGTCATTTAGTTTCGGCTAGTAGTTAACAGCTCTCACTGAATAACAGTGTGAACTTGACTTCAGCTTGCTGGGATCTAGTTTCCTTGATGAACTGGCTAATTTTACTGCCACTATTTAATGTCAAACATCTCTCATACAAAGACTTTAATATGTTTGTTTTGTTCTTCTTTTCAATCCTGATGGGGATGTAAAATGATAAAAATTATGTATGGAATCTAAGCTAATCAAT
Source organism: Homo sapiens (assembly GCF_000001405.40). NCBI lineage: Eukaryota > Metazoa > Chordata > Mammalia > Primates > Hominidae > Homo > Homo sapiens. The sequence continues at coordinate 166,200,423 of NC_000001.11, read as the reverse complement.
TTAGATTCATGAATTTGAATGCACCAAAATGTATCCTAACTCAACATAATCACAAATGTGTATAAATGTAATCAATTTTAAAAGAGTGAAGGAAAATATACCAATAGTTTTAAGAATTGCCTTTAAATACTGGACAATTTTCCATATTTTCAAACTTTTCCATAATAAGCATGTGTCAATTTTAAGAATATAGAAAAAAATTCTAGAATGGAGAGCAGACTTTTTTTTAAGTCAAAGTAATGAATGCACATAGTTCAAAAGTCAAATTTTGCCAAAGAACTAGCAACAAAAACAATAGTTTGCCTTTTGCTCTCACCTTCAGTCTTACCTTCCCAAAGTCAACCCACTAACTCAACATGTTTATTCTATAGTCACATAGAAATACTGTAGTTCTTTTGTGGTTCTATGGTGTATATGAGTTTCTAAAAGATTTAACTCATTTATATCACCTCCCATCTTTCCTCCCCAATTTCCCAATACAATTATAGCACTATATTTAGTTCCTGGTTCCTGTATTGTTTCCTTCCTTTTGAAAGTTTAAGTAATAAACATACACTATGTCTTCTTATTTTGCCAAACATAGATAGTCTCTCTTAACACTGCAGTGGGTACAAAAAGAACCCTGGTGCTCTTAGCCTTGCCCTAAGCTCTTCTACCTCCCATCTTCAGGATTGCAACCTTAGAGGATTCAAGTTGATAACATTTACATTTGGCTTGGTAATCATAATTCCATCATCAATACTTTTTCCAACAATTCATTCTAAAATACTAAAACTAATAACAGCATTTACAGTATTGTGACTATGTAAACGTTAATTCATGGAGGAGCCAAGTAGTATTCTATGAGTATAATTTCTTTCCTACACGTTTTTATTTCTCCTGATTCTAACATTATTTTTAAACTTTCCATTATATCAAGTTTTCTAGGAAGTCCCCCTTTTGCCCAGGAGACCTCTTTCCCCAGGCTCTACATCCCTCCGCTTTGACCTGGATGTTTTGTTCTGTACGTGTCATAGAAAGAGTGTGGTTGATTCCCCCATTACATTCTTAGTGAGGATTTTCCTGAACACCTTCCCTAAAATTTAATCACCCTCCCAAATACTACCTAGTCTCTCTTCTGCTTTGTCTCACCAGCACGTACGACCATATAGCATACAGATATTTTACATACTTACTTTGTCTATTGTCTGTTTTCCTAAATCTGAGCTCTGTAAAAGTTGGAAGTTTTGTCTGTTTTACTTTCTGCCTTATCATCAGTGCTTAGAACAGCGCCTCATACACAGTTGACACTGAATGGAAGAATCAAAGCTACTCCATCTCCTTTGCTAGACACTTCTGGGAATGGGCAGCTGTAGGCCACTTTGGGCAAATGGGATGTGAGGAGAGACTTGCTGGGAAGGAGAAGTCAGTACTCTCCCACTAGGTACAAACAAAAAGCATTGCTTAGGTTGCTCTGGCAGTCATCTTGACCAAGAGGAAAAGCAGCCTTTGGAGAAGCCAATACCAAGGATGGCAGAACAGAGAGACAGTGAAAGCCTGGATCTTCATTGATCTTCGAACCATTAAATCAACCTGAGAGCCCTCCCTGCCTTTTTGTTATCGTTTTCATGCCAATTTGAGTTGGATTTTCTGTTACTTTCAGTCAAAGAAGCTTACCTGTTACCTGAGTTCCACTGAGCACACGTCATCTTAGGTAGCCCTTAACTGATTTTCTGAACCTGAGTCATACTATCATGGACCCCATGTCTTTCTCCTTTGATTTACTCCCTGCTTTTACTAGAACACACACTGGATGATTTTCTAAGATATGTATTATGGAAATAATGTTTCTGAGTCATTGAATGTCTTTCAGTGTTTTAATTTCCCCCTTATACTTCGTTGATGAGTTGGGTAGATATGGGATTCTGGGTTGAAAAATGATTGTGTCTTGGAATTTTGAAAGCAGCACTCATATTGCCTTTTACCACCCACTGTTACTGATGCTATATTTGGGCGATCTAGCTTTATTCTAGGAAATAGGATAGACACATTTAGCAAATAAAAATACAGAACATCTGATTAAAATTACCTTTCAGATAAACAATGAAATATTGGGGACGTGCTTAATCTAAAAAAAAATTATTCATTGTTTATATGAACTTCAAATTTAACTGGTGTCCTATATTTTATCTGTCAACCCTACAAGGAAAGTTTTTAGTATATTCTCTTTATCCTTGATGTTCTGAAATTTCACAGTATTTTTAATTGTGAGGGTTTTAATTTTTTATTTTTTAAAAGCTCATTATATTAATGCCAAATGTGCCCCATGAAAGAGGGTATAGTTCTTGTTGACATGTTTAGTGGGTGGATCACCACAGTCTACAGGCTCCAGCCCTCTGTCAGCTTGGGTTTGAGGAACCAGAGCAAGAAAAAATATATATAAACAGTTTCATCAACTCCAGAGTTTGAAAATCTTTAGAGAAAATTCCTTTCAGAGCAGAGCCATGGGGAGATTGTAGTCTACTCCCTATAGGACCCTGTAGTCTAGTGGAATTATCTGGTTTCAAACCTGGTCACCCAACTGGCATTTCACACAAGCATCAGTGAACAACTTCAGAAAAGGGCCAAGAGTTCAGGCTAAAGAGCCTTGCTTTGTAAGTGTGAATAATCTGGACACATCCCAGATTTGCCACGTAATTGCCCTGCTGTTAACCTAGCAGAGAGATATACTATCTCCAAAGAAAGAGACAATTTGTTTGTGAGATACATATTTCCTGGGCTTATCTTTGAGTGAACTAGCTAGAAAGTAAGTGATAAGGCAGAGAGATAAGAAATAATCAATTTGGAAAGTAGGGGTAAAATCAGGCAAGGTAAAAATAGGTCAAAGAAATTAGGAGGAGAGCTGCAGAGTCAGTAGAGAGAGGAAGTTTTTTAAAATGACTTCAGCATTGACTAGACATGACCTTAGAAATAATCTAATTCAGCCCCTCATTTTACTAGTGACTATACCAAGGCTAAGAGAGTGGAAGAGACTTGCCAGAGTCATGGAACCTGTTCCCTGATTCCCAGTCCAGTGTTTATCCCACTCTATTGCTGCTGTTGCTTGGGACCTATTGCACAACAGCCCTATTTAATCATCTTGACAGCTTCTGAGAATGATAAACCTTCTCTACAATGATCTCACTCAGCTCAGGCTAGCAGCTTCACCAAATGTCCCATTAAAAGGCAAATGACTCCAGGTGGGGATTTCAGGGAGCTTGGAAAAGATACCCGTAACCAAAAATATTGCCCATACTCACCTACCTATGTGCCTAAAATTATACCTTGAAAATGTTGTTGAAATGCAAATGACTACTTTTTACATTTTGCTTCGATCTTTGTAGAGGCTTCTTAACAAAGAAGGGTTTGATGGTATGTGACACAGGACAAATGCATTTTGATTGGACAGAGGTAGAATGATTAGATGTATTAGGATCCATCAGGTACAAATGGCAGCAGGTGCCTACTTCACCATCACTATTTCATATAAGAACAAAGCAACAGATTGCTTTGTGCTCTAATCATTTTCTTGTCATCAGACTTCACTCTTGGTGTCTGATGTCACAGTAAGATATTTTAGTAGACCTGGTTTCCTTGATTACTTGAATAATTCACATTTTGTATCTGAATATAGGATGCTTTCAGCAGAATAAAGTCCCTTTAAATGGCAATTTTGATTTCAGCATCAAGAATTGCTATGTCTGGAGTCAAACTTGAAAATGTTACTTATCATCCATGAAGGTCATTGCCTTCTTGTCTAAAAGTTAAGGAAGATGAAGTTTGAAAGTTGTCCATTGGTTTTGTCAATGAAGAGAAGATTTTAACCAGAGTAGGTGTAACAAAGTAGTAAAGGCCAAATTAGACTGCTATATTTGTTGTTAGGAAGTGAACCCAGGTGAAAAAGTGATGAGATTAATGTAGACAACTTTTAAGAAGCTTGACTATGACCAAAAAGAGAAAATATTTTATTGAAATGTTTGATTGAGTATTGGTTGGCTGGTTCGTTCATTGGTTGGTTGGTTGGTTGGTTGGTTGGTTGGTTGGTTGGTTGGTTTTTAAAGGTAGGAGACACTTGAGCATTTATTTTAGCTTGGAGGGATGAATCAGGACCTCAGCTCCCTCATCTGCATATTGCAGACATGCTAACCACCATAAACAAAGAGTCTGTCTAAGATCACCTGGCCAATTGGCCAAAGTACCAGAATTAAAATTTAGGTCTTTCAACGCTTTGTTCCCTTGGGCCCATGTTGTCTCTCCATTTTGCAAATATTCTTGGTTTTCAGTGGGTCATAAGAGGATCAGGAGGTCATTTCTATACAAAAGCATTTGCAAAGAGCTGTAAAGTCCTCTTGGGCAGGGCAGGAATAAGGAAAGCAAACACTTGATGAAGTAAACACTTTCCATATGCTAGACACTAGGGTAATCACTTTACTGGTAATAAGTTATTCAAACCTCACAGCAACTGTATGAAGTAGGTAAAGTTATCTTTCTTTCACAGATAAAGAAACTGAGGCTCAAATAAATTAAGTGACTTGCCCACAATCACATGGTTAGTAAGAGCCAAAACAGAGTCTTAACCACTAGATTACACTATCTCAGGGGAATGCAGAGTAATACTGATTTAGTATCACTAATTAATAATATCTTAAATTGTCATAAGTCATTTTTTCTAAGCACAGTCATATTTACTTTCCTTTTTTGTATAATTTTACTTTCAGAGCAACCCTGTGAAACAAGTAAGGTAGAGAACACTATCCCCATCTGAGAGTAAGGAAATTAAAGCACACACTCTCTCTCTCTCCCCCCTCCCCCGCTCTCACACACATACACACAACCATTAGGGAGGGCAATGACAGAGCCTGGGCCAGCTCAGTGGCCAGATTTTCTACAGAGCTACCAAGAGCCTAAAGGGGAGAGATTCACTCCTCTGCTGTCTTTCCCAAGTAGCAACTGGTGTCCAGGGTTGAGAAAATAAACCCATTCCATCAAAATGCCAGAATATAGGCCCTTGAGCTACTGTATCAGAGTTCCAAGTGAGAGGAGTCATAAGTAACAACCAAGCAAACTATTCCCAACTGGAATTAACTCTTAAAGAAAAAATAATCAGAAGCAGGTTTTGACCACTACTAGACTTCTTCCCTCTTCTTTTTTTTTTTTTTTTTTTTTTTTTTTTTCTGAGACAGAGTCCTGCTCTGTCGCCCAGGCTAGAGTGTGGTGGCGCGATCTCGCCAAGCTCCACCTCCCGGGTTCACGCCATTCTCCTGCGTCAGCCTCCCGAGTAGCTGGGACTACAGCCACCCACCACCACGCCTGGCTAATTTTTTTGTGTTTTTAGTAGAGACGGGGTTTCACCGTGTTCGCCAGGATGGTCTTGATCTCCTGACCTCCTGATCCGCCTGCCTCGGCCTCCCAAAGTGCTGGGATTACAGGCGTAAGCCACCGCGCCTGGCCGACTTCTTCCCTTTTCAAAATGACCTACAGTCTCTCGAAATTGTAGGGCTGTTTGGCAAAATAGTAAACACAAGCAGGTCCCACATACTCTTTCTGGTTTGTTTTGTTTGAGACAGGGTCTCACTCTCTTGCCCAGGATGGAGTGCAGTGGCATGATCTTGGCTCAATGCACCCTCCACCTTCCGGGCTCAAGTAATGCTCCCACCTTAGCCTCCCAAGTAGCTGGGACTACAAGCGAGTGCCACCATGCCCAGCTAATTTTTGTATTATTTGTAGAGATGGGGTTTCATCATATTGCCCAGGCTTGTCTCAAACTCCTGAACTCAAGCGGTTCACCCGCTTCAGCCTCCCAGAGTAAAGTACTGCATCTAGCCCAAACATAATCTTTTTTTTTTTTATTTCAAGTTCTGGGATACATGTGCAGAATGTGCAGGTTTGTTACATAGGTATACATGTGCCATGGTGGTTTGCTGCACCTGTCAACCAGTCATCAAGGTTTTAAGCCCCGCATGCATTAGGTATTTGTCCTAATGCTCTCCTTCCCCTTGCCCCCCACCCGCTGACAGGCCCTGGTGTGTGATGTTCCCCTCCCTGTGTCTATGTGTTCTTATGGTTCAACTCCCACTTATGAGTGAGAATATACGGTATTTGGGTTTCTGTTCCTGCCACATCCACTCTTAATACATTAACAAACTATTTTAGAAAGCAGTATCTATCAGTTGAGAAAAGGAACCACTGGTTTGAAAGTTCAGCACAGGTATGATTTGTTGATAATTTTGTGGCAAGGGCTGTACCTTACTCATTTTTGTATCCCTAACACCTATCATGATGTCTGGCAGGTAGTAAGTGCCTAATAAATTTTGTGTAATGATTGATGAACACTATCCAGGATATAATGATGGCCATGTCTACCACCTGTGCTCTAATTCTCAAAACCAATGATTATGCTAATAAAATCTACTTAGTTGGGTAGAAAGAAAATTGAAATGACACCAAACAACTCTGGCCTGAATTTCTCAGGGAATTGCCTCAACTTTTAACTTTTTAAATATTTAACATTCGTAGCATTCTGATTTTAAGAAGCAATTCTCTTATTGCTGAGTAAGTTTCTAGACCAATCTATAAAATTTTTTTATTCTAACACAGAATAATAATAGAGTCCAGTAGCATTATAGAACCATATTCTCATTATGTCAACCCTAATTTGGAATTCCAATATGAGATGGCAGTAAGAGCCCATTTCCTAGAGTCACAGCTTCAGATTCAGGAACTTCTTTTTAACACTCTTTTCATTCTGTCTGACCTTCCACTATGTGTCCCCACCCACCCTGCTCTGCAACTAAATGAAACCTGCTTCTTCTCTTGCTTTCCGAATCTCCATGAGTGGCATCACTAACTACCCAGTTATTCAAGTTTGATGCTCTGGAAACATCCACCCTGAATATTCCCCACACTCCCACAACACACATCCACGCCCACACACATATGCCTAATATGTGTATCAGGTACCAATGATTCTACACCCACTATCACTGTAGTTCAGGACATCATCTTTCTGGACTATTACAAAATGTGTCTGGGTTCCAGAGAGAAGGAAGCCTTAAGTTTTAAGAAGAAGGTAGTAAGCCTTGCCCCTTTTATGCATCTAAAATTTACCTGAAATTGTAAGTTTCATAAGGAAGCACGGCTATATTCAGGACCTTGGAGAGAACCAGACAAAGAAACGGATTTTGAGGAGCAGAAAGCAGGCAAGTGCTGTGCCAAGACCAGGGTTGTAAACAGTTCCAAATGCTGGAGAGAAGTCAGGCTACGAAGTCCAGCCACACAAGTTTTCTTTTTGATCTTTGAACACTTCAAACCCATCTCTGCCTTGAGGCTTTGGCCCCAGGTCTGTTTCCTGACTGGAACCCTTTGCATTGCTGCCCACTTTACACTATTCAGGTTCCCACCCCAATAACTCCACAGAATAGCCTTCCCTTCATCACGTTATCACATTTCCCCATTTTACTTTCTTCATAACAGCGATCACTATTTGAAACCGTCTTTTTTATTCATTTCTGTACTTGACTATTTTCTTCCCAGCTGCCTCAGTAGGTGTAAGCTTTATGAGAGAATAGGCTATGTCTCTGTGATTCACTGTGATAGTGTTAGTGTTTAAAACTGTATCTGATACGCAGAAGCTGCTCATTAAGTATTTGACAAATAAGCAAATGAAATAAACAAGCAATGAGAACAGAAAATTTAATTTGAAGTTGAAGAGACTTTTGAGGACCTTGAACTGAATAGTTTGAGCCGATACCAGACACTTATTTGGGGGTTAATAAATATTTTGGGGTTTGAAGAAACGCATATATAGATGTGTTAGCATGACCCATATAAGAATGGGCATCTAACACACTCATCAGATGGCACTGCCAATACTATGTATCATATGTGTATATATATGTGTGTGTGTATATATTATATATTATATAATATATATTATATATAATAATACATATATTATATATATATACATATTTGAGACAGGTTCTCACTCTGTCACCCTGGCTGGAGTGCAGTGGCAAGATCAACACTATTGCAACCTCTGCCTCCCAGGTTCAAGTGATCCTGCCACCTCAGCCTCCCAAGTACCTGGGACTACAGGTGTGCACCAACACACCCAGCTAATTTCTGTATATATTTTTGTAGAGATGGAGTTTTGCCATGTTACCCAGGCTGGTCTTGAACTCCTGAACTCAAGTGATCCGCCTACCTCGGCCTCCCAAAGTGCTGGGATTACAGGTGTAAGCCACTGCATGCAGGCCTATATTTTAATTTCTAGAATAATTAATACATTTCTAACTAATAAAAAGTAGGCAAAGGCAATCCCTTTTTGGATCGTCTTAAAAGCAACTACTGTTTCCCCATTTAGTCTAGTAAGGGATTTTTATTTTCTCATGATGTCAACTGGAGGCTGACCAAGAAAATAGTTGGGTGATTGTTTGACCACATCATAGAGGTCAGTTAGTAAGAGCCACTGCACTCAAGGCTCTTACTTACAGAATTGTCAGAAAATGAGAAAATCCCGTGGCTGAGGAGCGCGGATACCATTATCCCTGACCATGAAGAAGGCACACACCAGGGTGACGGGGCAAACTGCCCAGGAGTTGAGTCTAGTAAACATGTTTAGTTTGGCCCACACAGTGGTTTTACATTTTTTAGTTGATCACCAACATTTTAAAAATCAGGAGATTTTGCACAAAATTAAAGATTTCCAGCATCTCTTGAAAATTCAGAAGTTTTAGAAATACTGGCCCTTGAATTTCCACATGACCACAACCATCTGACATAGCAACTGCCCCCTTTAAACAGGATTTGTGGTCTCAAGGCTGCTATAGTCTCCCCTCCTCTACCTGTGTAACACCCAGCCTGCTTCACTTATTCATACTGATTGCATGGCCTGGGAACACATTTGAATTTGAGATCCCTTATTATGAAATATAATGATCAGATAATTCTAAGAACTGGGAACATGCAAATTATTAGAAAGAGAAAATATCCATGAATCACAGTGTCCATTTTCCCAAAGAAGCAACTAATTGCGACAGGCATGAAACTTGTAATTGTATGTATTATAAAGATATTTATGAGGATATTGTACACTATTTCACACATTTCTAGGTAAAATGTGTGTTGGGTTTATGTGTGCATGCATGCTTATATGTATGCATATAGTGGGTGCTCAATAAATATTTACTGAATAAATTAATATGAGGTGCAAGAGTGTTCACCAAAATTCTGAACCCTAAAAACACTATGATCTACTGCTACATAATTTACAATTTCTGAATCCACCATGCTTCTCTTTTTTTCTCTTATTTTCCCCCAGTTTCAGCCTAAGACTGAAAATAGAGCAGAGGCTTCATTAAAGTCCATCAATAATTATAAATAAAAGCTGATTAATCAATCATCAATGAGTGTGTTTACATCAGCATGATGAGGTTTCACAGTGCATTCACTGCATTAGTGAAGCCAGGACTTCTGGGTTCTGGCCCTGGCTCTGCCCTTAGCGACAGTGATTCTGTGAGCAAGTCCCTTGGCTCCCTGGTCCAAAGTGTGCTCATCTATAAAATTATATGATATGCAGGGCTCCTCTCTGCTTTATGGTCTCTGTTTTTGTGAAAACAAAGACCTATGAGCCATAAGTTGACTGGAAGCTCAAAGCCATTAGAGTCTAGCAAGGAAAAACCAAGAAGAGATTTTTTTTTCCTCCAATAATTAAGGCAGGAAGGTCTGCAAATGCCTGGACAGTAATTCGTGGAGGGCCAAGGGTGGAACGTGAACTCATTAGCAGGATGTTGAGTAACACTCAGAGAGGAAGAGAGGGTGATGGGAAGGGAGTCCAACTGAAGACAGAATTTTAAAGAGAATGTAAAATAGTGCTGCTAATTACGTCATTTAAAAACTGAACAACTGAGTGTAATTCTTGCTGAAGTAATAAGAAAACAGTCAGGGGATGCATAATAGTTACAAGAATATACGCTAATAGACAAAAACAGGATCCCCAACTAACTTAGGACAACAAACCCCATGTGAGCTAATAGAAGTCAGACGGAAAACAGTACCTGAATTTCAACCCAATCTCACTTGAGTACATAGATTTTAAAGTTATATAAAAGACATACATAATAAGTACTCAGAAAATATTTGTTGAATTATATTACATTTTTAAAACCTCAGGAATACTTCACTATTTAAAAAGTCTAACCTGAAGAAAATGAAAAATATGACACATCTCAGAGTAGTTATTTCTTTTATGAAAGGATTCACTACAAGTATATTTTAAACATAAATATTTTGCCATTAAAATGGTTCTATTTACAAAGATTTTTCACCAACAAACATATATAAACAAGATAGAGTTTAGAATCCATGCTTTATTTAGCTTTGCATCTATTTGGCCTAACACAATATCAGGCACAGACGGATATCAGGCACCAATGGATAGTTAAATAACTTTCAGTAAGTGAATACATATGTTTCGGTTATCTATTGCTGCAAAGAAAACCACCCCACTCTAATGACTTAAAAAGACATTCATGTTCTTATCTCTCACAGTTCCATAGGTTGGCTAGGCTCCATGGGAAGTTCTTCTGTAGTCTTACTTGGGTTCTCACATGTACTTTCCATGAAATGGAAACTCAAATAGCATGGAGCTTCTGGAAGCTCACCTGACATGCTGGGATGACTTGGTCTCTCTCCCTCTTTGTGTATTCTCAGGCCTCTCCCCCTCTATGTGGACTCTCTGTGTGGTCTTTCCTGTAGGGTAGATAGACTTCTTACATTCTTAGGAATCCCAAAAGTACAGAATCAAGACTGTACTCAGAGCTTGATTCTGCCCAGAGCTGGCTGTGTTCCTTCTGCCATCTTCCATTGATTAAAGCAGGCCACAGGGCCAGCCCAGACTCAGTGGGTAAGGGAGGGACAGGAGGGCATGAGTACCAGGAGGCATGGTTCACTGAGGCATGTTTGAGGTGAGCCACCACAATTTTCTCTTGCTTTGGGCCCCAACTTCCCACAGGGCAGAAAGCAGGATTACAGATATGCAGCTACAAATGTGCGCCATTTCTGTGACAAAGGAAGTATGACTCAGAGGCAGAGCTCGAATCCCAGAGGGTGAGACCAAAAGCTGAGCAGAACCACTTCTAAAGAACAAAAGTGAGCCTTCATCAGGAATATCCCTTGCTTCAAGTCAGAAAAATTGGGACATGTGTCAGGCTGGATTTCAGAATTGCTATGAATCAGTGACTGATCATCTCTCCTTTTTTCCCCTCTTTTTGAACAGGAAAGTCAATTGTCATTTTCTTGTCTCATTTTCAACTAACTAAATGTTAGTGAGTGAGATATAGATACTTGTCCTTTTCTTTCCTTGGTCCTTGCAACTGAGAAAATGCACATAAGGAACTTCATCCCAAAAGCCCCATTCTGGGACATGATTTAGTGCACAATATCCTGGACTTCAAGCTGATACCATATTGGAATGAGATTTGCAAGGGTGAGTGTATTTTTTATATAGGAAGTTCACGAATCATGAACAGCCACAGGCAGTAGCTCGTCTCCAAAGATGGCTCCCAATGAGCCACACCTCTCCATGTTCACACTTTTATTGTGAATTCATTAAATTTGGGCTTCCCTGAGATTTGATTTAATTAACAAAAATAGCAGAACTGACATGGTGCCAATTAGAGGCTTATGTGTTATAAGCCTGGAAGCTTCCACGTTTACATTTTTGGAGACCCTGCACCTCCACATAAGAAGTCTGGCTGCCCTTCTGGGAAGACCACATTGAAAGATGACCTGGAGAGGCCACATGGGGAGACACAGGTTCTAAGCCTACAGGAAGAGAGAAAGAGGCCCCACTGTCCCAGCAAACCAGCCAAGCTTCTTTCTGACTATCCCTGCCTAAAAGAACCCAAGAGAGAGGGCAAAAGAACTGCCCAGCTGAGCCCAATCAACTCACAGAACTATAAAATAAGATAGTTGTGTTTAGCCACTAAATTTTAGGATAGTTTACTAATGTAGCTACAGATAACTAAAGTGGCATCAATGAATGAATATGGGCAAATTATATCATTTAAGGAAGTTATATTTTCAAACACTATCCAAAAGTTATTTTCTCTATTCAAGAAATGTCTGTTGGGCCCCTAAACTTGTCAGCTCAGCCCTCTCGGGTTTGGAGGAAAAATGGTGTTTCTTTTGCCCCATTTACATGTTTTCTCCTGAACAATGAGGCTTAGACATAGATCTGAGAAAAAAATCTTTAGTTGGAAGCTGGGAGCTTCCATATCATTGGCTCTAGCCTCCTCTGGCCTTAAGAGAGGCTGTCGTGATGCAATAGCGGCAGGAAGCAGTTGCAGATTCTCAGGGGAGACATAACATGATGAAGGTGGTGTTCAGGAAGGTTCATTTGGCAGCAGAGCACAGATGGGTTATAGGGAGTGTGATGCAAGCTGACCTGAGTCCAAACCAGGGCAGATAGAAAAGAAAAGAACTTGAATAACTACAGAAAATAAAAGAGAAAGGGCTGAAGATTACTCAGACTGGGAGAATAACGGTACCACTAACATAAATATGTAAGAATGTGAGACATTTGGAAAAGGAGTTGTGTGTGGGAATAATTGATCCACCCAGAGTTGGACTTATGCATTTGGACAAGAAGACAACTGAACAGAACCATCTTTTTTAAAAAACTTTATTTTTTATTTTTCCGTAAGTTATTAGGGTACAGGTGGTGTTTGGTTACAAGAGTAAGTTCTTTAGTGGTGATTTGTGAGATTTGGGTGCACCCATCACCCAAGCAGTATACACTGCACCCTATTTGTAGTCTTTTATCCCTCGCCCCCCTCCCACCCTTCCCCCCAAGTCCCCAAAGTCCATTGTATCATTCTTATGCCTTTGCGTCCTCACAGCTTAGCTCCCACATGTCAGTGAGAACATATGATGTTTAGTTTTCCATTCCTGAGTTACTTCACTTAGAATAATAGTCTCCAGTCTCATCCAGGTCACTGAGAATGCCATTAATTCATTCCTCTTTATGGCTGAGTAGTGTTCCATCATATATATCTCTATATATCTATAGATATATATATAGATATATAGAGAGATATATATAGAGATATATATCTATAGATATGTATATAGATATACATATAGATAGATATATATAGATATATAGATACATATATAGATATATATAGATAAATATAGATAGTGGATAAACTATGAGATATATATATCTCATATATATATATATATATCTCCACTTGTTGATTGATGGGCATTTGGGTTGGTTCCACGATTTTGCAATTGCGAATTGTGCTGCTATAAACATGGGTGTGCAAATATCTCTTTCATATAATGACTTGTTTTCCTCTGGGTAGATTTGAAGGCCTAAGAGCCACAGAGTTGAGGGCAAAAGAATATTGATGTCCCAGCTCAAGCCTTCAGGGAGAAAGCCATCAAATCCTCCCTTCCTCTACCTTATTGTTCTATTCTAGCCCTGAAAGGATTATATGAGGCCCACCTACATTGGGAAGGGCTATCTTCTGGGGTTTTTCATTTGTTTGTTTTTGAGACAGGGTCTCACTCTGCCACCCAGGCTGGAGTGCAGAGGCACAATCATGGCTCACTGCAACCTCCACCTCCCAGGCTCAAGTGATCCTCCCACCTAGCCTCCCAAGTAGCTGGGACTACAGGTGCATACCACCATGCCAGCTAATTTTTGTATTTTTTGTAGAGTCAGGGTTTTGCCATGCTGCTCAGACTGGTCCCGAACTCCTGAGCTCAATTAAGTGGCTGGTCTTGGCCTCCCAAAGTGTTGGGATTACAGGCATGAGCCACTACGCCTGGCCAGGGTGATCTTCTTACATAGTAAAAAGATTCAAATGCTAATCTGTTTAGGAAACAGCCTGAAAGAAACAGCCAGAAATAATGTTTAATCAGAGATCTGGGCATCCTGTGATCTAGTCAAGTTGACACACAAAATTAACTATCACAGTCCCTGAATCTCTGCATAGCGATATACATATATAAGTATTATCAAGCTCAAGCTAGTCTTCTGGAGGATAAGATACCACATAGAGCAGAGACAAGACATCCCAGCTGAGCTTTCTTATATTAACCAGCCCCCAGCCAACTCCGCAGCTGATTGTACATGTATAAGACACTAAATATATATAACTGGACCTTGACATGGAAAAGGAATACATCTTTATTGTGTTAAGCACAGAGATTTTTATGTTGCTTATTATACCTGTTACCCCACCTTGACACGGTGGCATGATTTGAAGTCAGTTGACTCCAAAGCCTGTGCTCCCAAAGGATGGAGAGCATGATTGGTGTCCCACCTCCTAGCCTAGGATCTATTATCTATTAATTTCACCCAGCTTTATAGAAAACTGTTCCTAAAATCTCAAAACACATGATCTCACCAGTGGTACTAGACTCTAGAAAAACCTTTGGGGAAATATCTGTGTTTAGTAAGGTTTTACTATACAACAAACCACCCCAAAACCAAGTCTCTTACAACCCAAAACAAACAAACAAACAAACATTATTTTAGCTCACAAATATGAGAATCTGCAATTTGGGCTTGGCTCAGTGGGGCGATTCTGCCAGCCTGGGCCAGGCTCAGCCAATATAAGCTGGATTCCCACACACGTCTGTGATCGGCTGCAGAGCTGGCTGGTTAATCAAATATGGTTCAGCTAGGACAGCTTGTCTCCGTTCCATGTGGTGTCTCTTCCTCCAGCAGGCTAGCTTGAGCTTGATCAAGCAGTGGCAGAGGCAGAGGCTGCAAGAGCAGCAGAAGGATAAACCCTAAAGCACAAGTTCTTTTCAAGCTACTCCCTTTGACAAAAGCAAGACACCTGGCTGTACCAAAAGGCAGTGGGGGAGATCATTATCAAATGCACGAATGCAGGAAGATGGGAACAAATGGGGCCATTACCACTATATACCCAAATAACTCAGGATCCCTGTGCGGGCCAGAACACAAAACAAGTATGTCACAGACTTTAAAGCCTCCAGAGTTATTTCTTCCAGCCTCTGATCTCCAAATCTCCAGCAACTCAACAGTAATAGAATCTATAGGACAGTAGCATCAATTTACTTTTTTGGGAGAATAATAAAACCCATGCTTAGAAAGGAATGACCGATTCGTTGTTTCTGTAACTGGTTTGGCAGAACTCTGGAGGCAGAGGGCTGTCTCTACCTGACAGAAGGATTATTCCTGTGTGTGAGAAATCTTCCTGCAAAAAAGTGAGTCATTACAAGAAGAATGCCAGGCCTCCCTCGTACTCCTCAATGTGGTAAGGAGGATGTGACCAAAACGCTGATGAATACGCTGAATACACTCCCTTTCCCGAAAAGGATGGCAGGAATAAATGAAAGTGCTACTGGATTTGCTGCCCAAGTTGTAACCCAATCTGTTCTCTGCTAAAATGTCCCTTTTGCCTTGAATTTCTGTGTCCAAGCACTTCTCTTTGTGGCTTGCTATTGTTTCTATAAAAATACCTTTCACTTGGCAACATCTAGCCAAGAAAAGCAAAATATCTAACAGAGAAAAACACAGTTTGTCTGTTATTTCAGTGACTTGAGAACAATAATGAGTTGTTATGGTGTGATTTGGGTGCCCCACCAAAATTAGTATGTTAAAGTGTCAACCCCCAGTACTTCAGAATGTGAACTTACTTGGAAATCGGGGCATTACAGATCTGTTGAGATGGGGTCATACTGGATGTGGACACAGGGAGAACTCTATATGATGATATAGGCAAAGATTGGGGTGACACAACAGAAGCCAAGAAAACCAAAGATCGCCAGCAAGCCACCAGAAGCTAGGGGAGAGATGTGGAACAGCCCTCAGAAGGCACCACTCCCACCAACGCCTTGATCCCGTATCTCCAACCTCCAGTACTGTGAGGCAATAAATTTCTGTTGTTTAAGTAATTCAATTTGTGGTAAATTATTATGCTAGTCCTAGCAAGCTAATGAATGAACAACCACCTATGTCATGGGCCCCTTCACATTCAGTCTCTTTTTCACCTCTTGCTCCAAGATTGTTTGTCCCAGTTTCAGATGAAAACACTGAGGCTAGCTTGCCTATGCTCAGTCAGCATGGCCAAAGGCCAGACTCAAGCCCAGGTTCCAGACCCTGTCCATATACTTTCCTTTGCATAGTGTTGCTGTGTGAAGGTTGCTGACAAGGCAAAAATTGGAGCTGCAATTCTAAAGGGAGCTACACCCCCATTGTGCAATAGATTGGTTTCTAAAAGAATTAGTTCTTAATCGATTCCTTATAAACTCAATGATATTTTAAGTGCTCTCACAGAGTTTCCTATTCAAAAGAGCCCTGTGGGAGATCCTTTGGTATAGCTAAGGGTCTTTTTGGATTGTGAATTATCACCTGTCTCCCTTCAAATTTATTTAATTTGCAGGCATAATTTGTTTTTGTATGAGAGTCTTTTGTGAAAGTGGCCCTGCCTTCAATTCTGCACCTCTGCCTTGGCTGGTGGGGGTTCAGTAAATGCTTGCTGTTACCGTTGTGGTTAATGATAGCAATGAAGAACGCCCACAAGTGGCACTGCCTTTTAAATACACGTGGTGTCTGGAATGATTTCCTCCCATTTCAAGCCATTTTGGGCATTTTCAACTTAAACTCATTGCTTGGGTAGAAAAGGGGGAAAACATCATTTTGTTAAATGCCAATGTTTAACTATTAATTACTCAACTATTAGTGAGCTCTGTGTTAGTTACTATTCCAGATATCTAGGTGTTTGTAAATTAGCAGGTACATGTAATTTCTTTTTCTGGGTCTGCCTTTAAGCTGCCTGTGCAGAAAAATTCCCCTGGGGGGTGAGGGTGCCTTTGGCCCAGTGAAGAGAAGACATGTATGGTTGGAGTGAATAGAATCGTATTACTTTAATAACAGCCTCTATTTGGAAGTGCAGGTTCCCAAAGTTTTAGATTAGTTTCAAGGTTCTTTCCTGAAATTGCTTTTATGATTGATTGATTAATTAATTAATTTCTTAAGAATGAGCTGAGTACCTACTAAGTGTCAGGCACCATCCTCAGCCCTGGAGATTCATAGATGAAGAAGACTCCAGCTCTACCTCTCACATCCTCATCGTCTAATGGAAAGATACATGCTTCAGTCAATAACAACACTGAAGTGGTTAAGTGATATACTAGAAGAATGGGGAATGGTGCCTTGGGAGCAAAGGGGGGGAACAAAAGCACTTCACGTTGCTGGAAATGGCAGAATCTGTCTCCCAGAGTTGGTGGCATTCTCACAAAATCTTGAAGGATGAGTAGGAGTATGCCAAATGCATGATTTGATAAAGGACATTTCGAGAAGAAAGAGCAGTGCACTCTTAAGATGCTGCAATGAGAACCTGGTGTTTGGAGACTGGTGGGTGGCTGGACACAGGAGATGATGAGAAAGTAGCAGGAAGTGAGTTTAAAACAGTTGTCTGGGGCAAGATCACAAAGAAGCTCAAAAACTCGTCTCCTCCTAGAAGGGAGAGTGACCTAACTAAATTGAGTGACATGGAAGATGGCCTGAAATGTGAAGAGGCTAGAGGCAGGGAGCTGAACGGGGAGGCACATACTATGAATGGAGGTCTAAGCCAGGGCAGGAGCTGTCGGGATGTGCAGAAGAGCAATAACTTAAACAATAGTAATGAAATGAAATTCTAGAAGCTTGTGACTGGGAGGTGAGAGAGAGGAAGAGTCTGGGATGACTGCACGTCCCTGGCTTGGGTATCCAGGTGTACTTACCAAAACTGGATGGTCCAGGCACAGAAGCAAACTAATGTGATTCATTCTGAGTATATTTAGAATGCAGAAACTGTAAGGAAGCTTTCAGAAGTGAGATTTCTACTCACTCCTTCAAGGGTAATTTGGGACCTGCTTGCTCATTCTGACCTAGCAACCCTTAGAAAGTTGTACCTTGAATCACAGAACAAATGAGTTTAATTTGCATTCACATAAACAGGAAGCACTGGCCCTTAACAACCAACAACCAAGAGGAGTTATCTATCAGGTTCTCAGTTACACATAGCAGAACCGCCTCCATTTACCTTAAGCAGAAAAAGAATTTATTAAAAGATATTGGGTAGCTCAGAAAACCTCCAGGAGGGTCAGAAAGCCAGGCTTGGAGGTAACATGATCAGGGAAAACACTTGGACCACACTGTGGTTGGCTCCAACGGAGACCACAGCCCTGATACTGGGCCCTGGAAGCCCAAAACTCTGCCTCTGTTACCCCTAACAACCAAGTGCCCCATAGTTATCCTCATCAGAAAATGGTTACAGCCCTTGCTTCCTCACTCTGTTCTTTCCCTAATTGAAGTCTTCCATCCATGGGTCTGATTGGCAAAACTTGGATCTGGTAAATATGCTCTAGCTGCAAGGAAGTGGGAAAGCAAATATCTGGCTTTCCTTTTAAGGAGGTGAGATTTACAATGCAGAAAATGTCCTAAACATAGGAAGGGTTTCAGAACATGCTGATTAGAAAACAGACAGATAGTGCCGCAGAGGGCTACTGTTTAAGCAAAAAGATAGAATGAAGTGATCTCTTTCTCCAGGGACTTGTGAGACACTGCTTTTGTAGAGATGACAACTTTGTACTACAGTTTTTACTCCCAGAATGGAAAACTCCCTGTGGCAGGTGAGGTGTTTTGAGTTTTGTATGACACATTGTTGGTGCCATCCACCCGGGAAGAGCTCAATAAACATGGCCCTGTCCAAGTCCATGACAATTATGGAACTCTCTGGCTTGTTCATTCAGTGAGCATTTGCTATATACCTATTGTGTGTCCTGACCTATGTTGGGCACTGCTGCTGATTCAGAAGCATTGAACACACCTGTGCTCATACTCTGTAATCAACAGGGCCTGCTATGTATTGTGCACAGAAATGACACCTGGTGTCTGTCATCACTACAGTAATGTATCATCATTATAGGAACCATCACAGTTTGCCCTAACAAAAAAGGCTTCATGGTCACTCAAGGAGGCGGAATCTTCCCTTGTCATGGCCACCCTGACTGCACCTCCTTGATATTGGTTTCTATTCAATTCTATTCTCTGATTCAATAAAAAGAAACTGGAAGGGAAATGATATTGACTTCCAAGGAGTACCAGAAAAGAATCTTCTAGGCCATTTGGCCAGACTCTCTGAAACAAGGATTCTAAGCCTCGGGGAGAGGCTTAGCCTCCTGAGAATTCTATTTCAAGATCTTTTTCCCAGAGGGCAGTCATCAGGGATGCTCAACCATCCAGGCCATCAGTTCCCCTACAGCACAGGAAGCTGCCCAGCTCTTACTCCTTATTTCAACAGGTCCCTCCAACCCAGGAAATCTGAATTTCTGTAAGGAAAGAAAGTAATTTATCATAAGTCTGCTGCTACAGAGTTAATTGTGTTTTAAACTCACTCTGTCCTACTTCCTCATCATCTCCTATGGCCAGCCAGAATTGAAGCCCTGGGAGGATGGCTTCATGTCTCAGTCTTGAATTTTAATGTTGAGGTGTTAGTAGGCCCCATGGGGCTCAGGCCTGTTTCCCTTGAAATGTGGGTAGAAATAGTCTTCAAGGAAACCAGGCAAATCTACTGCGACCAGGGCCCTGGGTGGGGCAGGTGGATTCACTGAAATGAAGGGTAAGCTCAGAGCCTCAGAATCCAGTGATGACTGGGGGCTCCTCTGTCTTACTCTAGCAAAGCTTTCAGCAGGGCCCAGCATGTGCTTCTATCTGAGGCAGAAAGGAACAAACTGTGCAGATTTTAGGCATGTTGAGATTGTCCTCTTGCTCCCTAGATACTCTAGGGTTTTCATGTTCTAGGATTTCATGAACATGGCATTATTTTTTGAATCTGAGGCTCCATAAAAGTCAGATCTTTAAGCAATTTCACCTTAAGCTATTTTATGTCTACTTTCACTTCCAACCAAGATGGAATAAAAATAGCCTAAGTTTCTTTCCCTCCTTAAATAATTTAAAAACTGAACAAACTTTATGAAACAAGATTTCAGACATTGGACAACAGGAAGTAAAGAATAGGCTTTCCTGAAAGAGAGGAAACAAACGAGGAGAGCCCTACAATTTCCCGATTGATGCCTGGAAAGTTTACCATTTTACATCTTAGAAATCATCTAATCTTCTGGACAAAGCCTGCCAGTTCCATGGTGACAGTGGCTTCCACCTGGGTGGTGTTGGGGGTCACTGCCCTCGTCTAATGTGCCTGGGAGTGGTTTTCTTGTTGTTTGGCACATATCTCATCACACTAACTTCCCAGTCTGTTTTTTGGTTTTTACCATTTCTGCTCAGATGTCTTCACCTTTACACATTCTGCTCAATTGTTTCTACATCCCTGTAAACCTTAGATCAAATACAGAAGCCCGGGTGCTGTGGCTTAAGCCTGTAACCCAAGCACTTTGGAAGGCCAAAGCAGGAGAATCACTTGAACTCAAGAGTTCAAGACCAGCCTGGGCAATATCACAACACCTTGTCTCCACAAAAAAAATGTTTAAAAATTAGCTGTGCCTGGTAACACATGCCCGTAGTCCCAGCTACTCAGAAGGCCCAGGTGGGAGGATCCTTTGAGCCCAGGAGGTTGAGGCTGCAGTGAGCTATGATCGCACCACTGCACTCCAGCCTGGGTGGTAGAGTAAGACCCTGTCTCTAAAATAAATAAATAAATGAGAAACAGAGAAGATCACTTTGGCTTTTGCTTCTACTCCTTACCTTGAGAACTTCTTTAGAATCCCCTTTTCAGGACCCATCACTCTCTCTCATCTAGAAAAGGAGCTGAATTGCCTCTGATTGGTCACTCATTTTTTTCATAAGTTTAATGTAGTATTTTAATTTCTTTTTCAAGCAGGAAATTGCTCAGTCTCTCTAGACCGCTGCCAAATTGCTCAGCTTTGCATTTATTTTAGCTATTACCATAGCATGCTCAGGAAGATGCTGTCCCATGGGGTGGCCCTTGATCTCCAACAAACAAGAATAAAAAAAAATAACCTTTGTGTAATGCTTTCCAGATTGGAAATTGGGTGATAAAGTCTGGGACACAAGCAGAGAAGGCTTTAAGTCCCCTAAAATAGTAACAACAATATCTGACATCAATAATCTTTTCACATGCATTATTCTTCTCAACTCATGACAACCATATAAGGTAATCAAGGCAGGGCAGTTTCTAGCAGTAATAAAAATAATTACTCATTCCGAAGGTGGTGTCCACAAAGATTTCTGCTCTTGTGTCATCCTTATTTTTCTCATTTTATATGTGACCCAGGTGTGCTCAGGTTTTCCTTCTCCTTGAGAAAGATTTAGATTGACTTAAATTCTCATCCCATGTCACTAGGAAATCCAATTTCCTTTTCAAGATTTCTGTCAATTTCAGGGGGCTTATGTCCTCATAGTCTCCCTTGACTCTGACTTCATGTAACTTCTCAACTCTTGGTCTCCACTTTGTCTCATAGTTGTTTCTATAGATTTGCCCTAGAATTAACCCAGCTTTAGAACTCATTCTTATTCTTCAATCTACGTACAGACACACACATATACATGCAGGGACTGTGTATGTAAAGCATACTGTGTTGAAGACTTGGAGATACGGAGAAGTGGGTCTCTCACATGAAAGTATAATAGAAACCACTTAAAACTGAATATCGGACCTCCCTATTCTAATGGGTAGATCTCCATACACATCTTAGTAGGCCATTCACTCTCTCCTCTCTCCCTTGTCTTCTCTTTATCCTAGTCTCTTCCCATCCCCCAAACTCATATTCATTTCTATGAAAGAACTGACTAGCATCTTTTTATGAGATCTCAATTTCCTTATCAGATACTCATCTCTTGTCCTAGGCAGTTATCAAGGGGTTTCCAAAGACAAAAACAGGAGGAAATCTGGAAACAGCCATGAAGATATTTTTGAATTACAAATGCAAACAAAGAAGCTGAGGCTCAAAGAATTTCTGTGACTTGCCCAACACCAAAGGAGTTACTACCACTACCAGTCCTTTGTTAATGGAAAGGCAAAAAGTCTCAGATGCACACTTTCCTATAAAGCTCCCAGTGCCAGCCTGAGGGCTTATGTAAGACATAATCAATTGTGCTTCAAACATTTTAGGGAAATAGCATAGCCTTCCCCATCTAGCACCACGAGGGGCTTGGGAAATGAAATTGTGCTGTGTGACCTGCTCGATGCTTATCTCAAGTCAGTGCAGGATTGTGGCTATTGTCCCCAGCCGCCTCAGGAAGTGTAAACACTAACGTTATTTTGCTTCCACTGTGTGTGATACTTATTGAGTGATATAGATAAAATTAGTTTCTCTTCCAGTAAACACAATACCCAACGTAAAGGGATTCTCAGGTTTTCTCCTTCCCTTTTGTATTATTTCTTCCTATTTATTCCTTTCTTCCTGCTCATTCCATTTATTTTAATGTGATTTGGACTTCCTTTCTATTCGTAAATCAATAGTTTCTAGCAGTAATAAAAATAATTACTTATCTTAGTGGTAAATGCCATGAAGGTTTCTGCCCTCATGTTGTGTTTATTTAGCCTGAACTGAGGCACACGTTGCATTTTCTAAGTAAACACAGCATACAGCAGCACTCCCTGAACAGTCGATCCCTGAAGATCCCATCACTGGCTTCTCGAATCCTCTTGTTGTGTCTGCAGACACTTGACCCTGACACAATTTGGATGGGGCAGACCAGGAGGGGTGGGACCTGGAACTAATGTGGAGATCCCAAAGCAAGTGCAGAGAGAAATGTTTCTAGTCCCACAGGTATAACACGGCATCAAGGAGCCCTGGCCTTGGCACTAGAGCTTCCAAGATGGAACGATGAATATGCCCTGGCAGGGGACATAACAAACAGATCCAGGAGCAGCCAGAAGCAGGTAGTGCGAAGGAAGTCTGAGAGTAACTAGCATGGCCCCTGCACTAAGGTGGAGTTAGGGGATCTTTCTCCCACTCAAGGGAGTGAGGGAGTGTTGAGAGTGAAGTAGGACAACGTCTCTAGAAGGACTGGGATACTAAGCAGGTTACCAAGACAAGGTCTCAACCTCATTCATTTATTCAACAAATATTTTCTCAATAGTCACTAGGTATCAGGCATTGTTTTGAGGGCTGGGGAAACAGCAATGAAAAAACTAAACATAGTTTCTACCCTCATGAAGCTTATAATCTATCAAGGAAGACAGATTAAATAATTGCAGGCCAGGCGTGGTGGCTCATGCCTATAATACCAGCACTTTGGGAGGCCAAGGTGGGTGGATCACCTGAGGTCAGGAGTTCAAGACCAGCCTGGCCAACATGGTGAAACCCCATCTCTACTAAAAATATTTAAAAAATTAGCCAGGGATGGTGGCGCACACCTATAGCCCCAGATACTCGGGAGGCTGAGGCAGGAGAATTGCTTGAACCTGAGAGGCGGAGATTGCAGTGAGCTGAGATCACGCCATTGCACTCCAGCCTGGGCAACAAGCATGAAACTCTGCCTCAAAAAAAAAAAATTAATTAAATAATCACAGAAATGATTATTTAATTACTCATATAAGTGCTGAGGGAAAGAGGTCCAGAGGGCTTTAAGAATGCACAAAAATGAGCCCTGGCTGGGTGTGCGGGGTTGAAAGCATTGCTGAGGGTACAGCATTTAGGTCGAAGTCTAAAGGATGAGTTGGCTATGTGAATGTGCAGAGGCTAGAGGGTGGAGGTTAGAGGTTGGAGGTCAGGACAGGGGTACAGGAAGAAGACTGATCTCACCAGAAGAAAGAGTTTGCACAAAGGCCTTGAGGTAGAAAGTGAGGCTTGACTCATTCAGTGACATGAAAGAAGGAAAATGTGCAGATGGAACAGATGAGACAGAACATGGTACAAGATAATGCAGGAGAGGCAGCCAGGAGCCAGCTCATGAAGTAGCTTATCACAGTCACACCACATGGTAAGACTGAAAATGGGGTCCCAAGAGAAGTAGGAAGCCATTGAAATGTTTTTTGAGAATAAGTGACACAATCTTATTCCAGTTTTTAAAAGATCATGTTGATTATTGTGTGAAAAAAGTAGGTTAGGGGCAAAGGAGAAGGGCAAATGTGGAGAATCCCGTTGGGACACTCAAGAAAACAGAGGGATGCCAGTTCTTAGAAGTGGGGCATAGGGTAAAGAGTGGATCCTAGGAAAGACGTGGAAACTCTGTGACAAGGACCAGAGACCAAAGTGGGCCTTGGGAACAAGGCTCTAGATCAGATTCAGCCCACAACCAGGATACGCTGGCACTGCTAAGGCTCAGAGGGTGTCGCTGGGCCTCTGGCACACCTTAGTCAGGTGTAACTTAATTGTCCAGGCAGGGGTGATGCTGAGCCTGCAGGGAGGAGCTGGTGGCCTCAGCTGAAGTCAGGGAGATGTTCCAGTTTCCTACGCTGCTGTAACAACAAAGCACCACAAACTGCATGGCTTTAAACAACAGAGATTTTATTCTCTCCCAGTTCTAGAGGCTAGAAGTCCAAAATCAAGGTGTTAGCAGGGCATGCTCCCTCCGAGACTCCAGGTAGAATCTTTTCTTGCCTCTTCCTTTTGGTGGTGACCATCCATCCTTGACTTTCCTTGGTTGCATGATTCCAGTCTCCGCCTCTGTCATCACATGGTATTCTCTCAGTGCACCGGTGTCTTCTTATAAGGACTGACGACTCATATTAGATTAAAGGCACACTTTCTCCAGCATGACCTCCTAACTAATTACAACTGCAACAACACTGTGCCAAATAAGGTCACATTCTGAGTTACTGGGGGTTTGAACTTCAAGATCTCTTCCAGGGGGCAAAATTCAATACTTTACAAGAGGGTGATTGAAGGGAAGACCACCAGGGCCTGACCTAGCCCTTTATACATCACAGTTTCTCTACCCAGCAAGATCTACAAGGACATCAGCTTTCACTTCTTCCATCCCCCTTTCCTTTCTGAAACTATTATTAAATATTTAGTCTGAAATAGGCACCAGGATATAAAAATGAAAAACATATAGTGACAACCCCAGAAGGAGCATATACACTAGCAGAAGACACTGACACATAAACAAGCAGTTGCAGGACACCCTGGCAATTGCTAATGTGGAGGAATATTCACCAGAGCAGCCAGGAAAAAGAGCTCACTGTGCATGGGAGGGTATGTATGTGGGGGCCAGGGAGCAGGGAGGCTTCAAGGCTTCACAGAGGAAGTGACTTTTAAAGGGTGGACAGACATTCATCAGATAGAAAGACCTCAAAGAAGAGGAATCAACATATGCAAGGCATTCATGCATTCAATAAATATTTAAGTGTCCACTCTATGTTGGGTGCTGTACTAAGCTTTTGGGATTAATTAGTGAACAAAAAGGCAAGGACCCCTGCCCTCACAGAGTGTACATGCTTGTGGGATGAAAAATAAAAAGCACATGGCAAACTGTTTGGGCAACACTAAGAACCCTGATGTGGCTAAATGTGAGTGGAGGGGTGAGAGTTTAGGCTGTAGGAAGGGGCCAGATTACAAAGTCTTTTTCACCACCCGGGGGAGCAGGAGGTCACAAGGAGCCCTGAATTCTGTAAGGACAAGGGCAGTATCTTGTCTGTCTTCATCTGTCCAGCACCTCATTCAACGGCTGACAGATGGCAGCTGCTCAGCAAGTGAATGAATGAATGAATGCATGAATAAGTGAATGAATGGCTTCAGATAAGCCAGTGAACAATAAGAAGTGTGTTTTTGAAAGATAATTCAGAGTGTAATATAAAAAAAAGGATTGAGATGAGATCAGTTAGAAGGAATTGCAATTGTCTAGATCAGTGGTTGCCATTTAGGTTTATTTATTTATAAATGATATATGTCAGTAGCACAACACTGATAAATAAATAAAACATACATCAAATATAAATTTTAACATAAAATGTTTAAAATAATGGAAAATAGAAATTCTCTTATATCCTTCTTCTCCTGCAGTGTAGACCCTTTGGAGACCAGTGGATCTCCTAGTGAATGAGGATTGAATAGTGGCAATGGCAAGGGAGTTGGAGAGGACAAGGGGTGACTCTGCCTTCCACACAGCAGCAAGCTGGACAGCCGCCAACCCTGCTGATGAGGAACGCCTGCAGACATGCACCAGCACTGAGCTGCTGCTCTAATATGACGCTGGATAAATCCTCAGACTAAATCCCAGTCTCTGACCCATGCAGAGGGATCACGGTAAAATACACCTTATCCAAGATCAGACAGTGTTTGGTAGGGAAACCTATGGGTGAAGTAAGAAGAGAAAAAAGAGGAAAGGTGACTAAAAGAAATGTGAATCAGTCCAAAGCAAATCCAGAGAAGGTAATGACCTTCTGCTGATGGTTTTAGGGACCTGGGTTTCTCTGCAAGTGGTAATCCCACCCAGGGCCTCAAGCTGTGCAACCAATTGACTATTTACCCACGTCAGTCATGAAACTGAAACAGGAAAAATGGAGGGGCCATAGCCAGGAGGCTCATTTTGGAAACGGACCACTTTGGAAATTCCTATAGGCAGGGATTATGTTTTCTCTATCACATTGTCCCTCACATGCAATGGTGACAATGCTCACTACCATTTATTGAGTACCTACCACAGGCCAGGCATTGTAGTAGGAGATTTACATTCAGCTCATGCACATGACAATCTCATAAAAAAGACATTGTGTTCTCCTTATTCTCATTTGATAGACAAGGAACATGAGGCCTAGGGATACGGAAAGCATACAGCTATTACTTGTCCAAGGTGAGATTAGAACTCATGTATGTCTGAGTCCAGTTGCATTAGCTTTTCACTATACCTCCCACTGCCTCATGTAGACATTTGGATCTGTAGGCTCTGGTCCTTCTCTCCCTTTTTGACCTTACCTCTCCCCATCCCTGCACCCCATGTGCTATGCTTGCCATACTAAACTTCCTGCTTCTCCCTAGAACATTACCCCTTCTATCGAGCTTCTTGAACTTGAATGCCAATGCTGCTGGTCCTCAAACTACATTTTGAGTAACAAAGATCTAGAAGCTCATTTGAAATGCAGAATCTCAGGCCCCACCTGAGACCTACTGAATCAGAATCTGCATTTTAACAAGATTCCCGGGTGATGTGTATGTGCATAATAATTTGAGAAGCACTGGTCTTAACCTGTAATACCCTTTCCCCTACTCCTCACCTCTTACTCATTATCATTTGAGCACACACAAAGTGCCAGGCACTGTGCTTAGAACTGAGGACAAAAAATCAAATTAAATACAATGCACAAACCCAAGACAATGATAATGTATTCACGAGAGAGACATGTAAATAAATTGTATTTTTAAAAGTGTGAGTGCTATTAATAAGGTAAGAACTACATGTAGTATATTATATGTCTCAGAATCTCTAAGCACCATCATAACAACAGGCACTAAGAAAAGGCTTATTGATATTTCTGGAAGAAAGTAAAGAAGGGAAAGAAAGGGATAGAAAGGAAAGGAGGGAGAAACAGGAGAAGGAAGGAAGGAGTTGTACTAAGCTATAATTTCTAAAATGACCACTCAAACAAGATGTGTTCATTAGTGACTTCCCCTACAGGGTATCTTCACTTGAACACTTGGATACTTTAACATCAAGATCATTGTAGTTCTCAACCCACTAAACTCTCTTCGTCTCACGTGATTCACCTTGACAATGGTATTACTGTCCTTTAAGCTATTAGCCTCTTGGATTTATCCTTGATTCTTCCTTCTCCTTTGAGCTTTCTATAAATCTATTACAAAACCTTGTTATTTTATTCATTCAGGCATCAGTTACTCAGTTCTACAGGCATCAGTTATACATGTTCTTAGCAGGACTCTAGGGTGGGAAAGATCTTATATAGCTGAAGTGCTCCCAGAAGTTCTCACAGGAGCTAGAGGGTCATTAACGTGTGGTCAGATGGAGGTCTGAGTCCTAGCCTGGCCAGTTGCCAGTTGTGACCTTGGGGAAGTTCCTTACTCTCTTTTCCACTGTACCTTTATATGTAAAAGAGGATAATGATATAGACTTATGCCAGGAATAAATGAGATACACATGGTTATTGTAATTGTCATGGAACAGGGTGGGGCTTAAACATACAGTCAGAGGACATGGCCTAACCAAAACAGAGAATAGGAAACTGCTGAAGGACTGGTGAGTCATCTGCTTGACCTGAGGCCCAGGGTGGGCAGGAAATAGAGGGAAAGAAGGCTAGAAACGCAGGTTGGTTGGGGTCCCATCATGGTGCAGCACTTCAATACCAACCTGAGGGATTTGTGATGAATTTAATAGTAATAAGAAAACACAGAAGGTTTCCACAGTAGGGAAATACATGATCAAAATTTGCTCTGACTTGATGTGTTAGATTGAGTGTAGCAAAGATGAAGAGGGAGGAGCCCAAGATGGTTCTGGACTTTAAGAGTAGGAAGACACTGGCGCCTTCAGCCAGGAACAGGGTAGTCCGGAAGAAACAATGGCTCACAGAAAGAGAGGTATCAAAACTCATTGTGATGGAGGAGGATACAGCAGTACATCCAAATGAAAACATCTAGCAGGCAGATGGGTCTGCTGACCTTGAGTTCAGGAGAAATGCTGGGCTGGCAAGACAAACTTGGAAGACATCCATGAAAAATACCAGTTAAAACATGGATAAATACCCTGAGGGAGTTCAGGAAGAAGAGGGGAGACCCTTAGGAAGTATGACCCTGGAAAATGAGGAAAGCAAGAGGAGTCAGAGAAGCTAAGAGAAGAATCAGGATTTGCAGAATCACGGGATTAAAAGTAGTTTTCTTTCAAGAGTGCCAAATCTGACAGATCAGGACAGAGAAAAGGACTTTGAAAGCAGCAGAGATAGGCACAGCAGACCTACAACAGAATAGCTGAGGAACCAAGGTATCCTTCTTCATAGTTTCTGTGGCCTAATCTAATGCAAGGCTAGTGGAAAAAGCTTGATAAATATTGACTACTTGAACCACACAATAGCTGCCACATCTTGGGCTGAATGACTTCTGCAAAGTGCCTGAGTCCCTTGCCATATTCCACTCCATGTTGAGTTTCTTAGCCTGTTCTAGAAGAGAAATTAGTAACCCTGGCTCTGAAGTAGTGGTAGGGAGAGCTCACAATCAAGAAGGAGCTGTTTCCTCAATCCTGCAGTCTTGGGCCTGAGGCTAACCTCTTGCCTGTCTTTGGGCCATCTAAGTGAGACGGAAATCCATGTCTGTTTTTAACAGCTCCAGAGGCAATTCCTCAACATCTCTTGGTAGTCTGTTCTATAGTCTCTGAAAACCCTTGCCAAGGTCAACTAGAAAATAGGCCCTTGTGACCCAGAGTTTCTAAAAAGCTCACTTGACAAATTGAGTAATGAGTCAATCAAGAGGAAAAATAAAGTCAGAGATCACCCTGCTTCTGGAAGGACCGAGTCATCTACAGCTAAAGGAGTGGATTGTAAAGGGGACACAGAGGCCAACATCCTGGAGAGTGCACAGCACAGCTCTAACTCAGGGAACTGAGGAGCTCTGTCATGCCCAAGAACATCAGAAGCTTGAAGTACAAAGGATCATTTGTTCTGTGCCCTGAGAATGAACTCCAATGAAGTTATTCACAAGGAATGATTGTTGTCAAGGTCTTGTCATTGGAGCTTTCCCATTTTCGTGGTGTCTAGAACTGATAACCCTTGAGATCATGTATAGTGCTCGAAGACAAAGGGCATCACTTAACATCAAGGAGCCACATTAAGAAAAGAGTGGGGGGACAAAGAGGTACAGTGCAGAAAGAATTAGAATAAAAACATATGCTTGCTGCAGGTATTGAGACAGAGCTTATAGGGAAGCTTATAGGGAATGTCAAGGGTCCATGTCTGTGAATCATGTTACATTTTATTGGCATTCTACTAAATATGATGTATGGGAAATGTTGTATTGGATTTTTAAGAATACTTTTAGTCATTCAAATGTTTATTGAGCAGCACCTAGGTGCCACGCACTAGGCTGGGCAACAGGGCACGATGGTGCATTCTCTTGAGGAGTGAACAGCTTATTGGGAGAGACAAGTGTGAGCAAGGAACTGTGAAACAGCTTTAAAGGTGTTAATAGAAGCAAGGGACTTACCATGAGGAGACAGAAAGAGAAACTTAGAAGAGCAGCACAGAGAAACTGTTGCAAATTCTGGGGATTTCATTTGAGCTACAGATAGCCCTGCATTGGCATTTGCAGACTGAATATGCATGAATGATAAAAACCCCCAGTGAGTAATCCAAAAGGTCCCTGTCATGAGGTAATTTGCTGAGACACAAATTTGAATGGGGCTGCCAGGAGGCCAGAGTGTACTTGCCAGCCACTCAGCTAGTGAATGACCACTCCTAACACTGGCATTTGTGTCCCAGTACCACTTAGCTCTCCTTACTTTCTCATCGACATCCGCACAATAATTCTCATACTGTGATCAATTTTTTCTTCACAGAGTCAGGGAAATAGGGCGTTAATAAGGTAAAGATATAAGGTAATGAAGTAAGAAGTTTATTTTAATGGCAAAATTTATTTAAGTAGCTTTAGAAATTACTTTGGCCCCATATTCATAGAACCATTAAGAGTCTAAAAAGATTCTTTACATTTTTCAGCTACACTTTACCGTACTTTATGGTGGAAATTATATGCCATGATGACATTCATGATTTTGGAGACTCACCAAGGTCATGGATGAACCCTCTGAGAATGTCAAGGGTCCAAGTCCATGAATAATGTTACATTTTATTGGCTTTACTAAATATAACAAAATCTTATTTTAAGTTTGAAAAATAAGATATTCTTCCTTATGTGATTTCCCTATATTTTGGGAAAGGCTGCCATTCCCCTCCCCGTTTATGAAGGTTTAACATGTGTCACCAGAAGACAAAGGAGTTATTTATCCACAAAACTGCAGCCTGACAAGCAACTCAAATTAAGAAACATAACTACATTCCCCAATGAAATGCTTTCCTTTTGGTCTATTGCCTGGAACCTAATAACCACTGAAACTCAAACTCTGACCCCACCCTGCCCCCCAAATACCTCCAAGAACCTCGAACTTAACATGACATCACCCACAGTCCCAAGCTGCTTCCCCTTCTATCACCTTGTTCAGTTACCAAGTAAATACATTTACCTCCTAAGTGATTCTTAAATGCAAATGCAGCCAGGCCTCTCCAGCCCCACAGCACTGCCCCAAGCTAGCCGAGGGTCAAAGTATCTGTCATCACAATATTCTGAAACGCTGCCTCCTCTATTCTCTATATGGATGCAGAGTAATTTTTCTCAAAATGCATGGCTTGCCTTCATTGGCTTCCACTGAAGTTTAAGATAAGGTCCTATCAAGAGAAGACACTGGGCCCTACTAGAGGGTGAAGGGTAGGAGGAGGCAGAGGATAAAAAAAAAATACCTATTGGGTACTATCCTCATTACCAGGGTGATAAAATAATCTGTCCAACAAACCCCTATGACATGCAATTTACCTATATAACAAACCTGCACCTGTACCTCTGAACCTAAAAGTTAAAAAAATTATTCACCAAACCCAGTGATCAAGGTTAATAACACCAGTAAAAAGTCATATTGCTATCATGTACCCCTGACATAATGCAATGAGAAGGCACTTCATCTTCATGGTATTCATCCCCCAAATCCAAAACCCTGGTCTAATCATGAGGAAACATCAGATAAATGCAAATGAGGAACAATTCTACAGAATATCTGACCAGTCCTCTTTAAAAATGTCAAGGTCATGAAAAACAGAGAAAGACTGAGAAGCTGTCACAGATTGAGAAGAATAAGGAGATGTAATGACTAAATGCAACATCATATCTTGGATTAGATTCTAGAGAAAAAAAGACATTAGTGGAAAAACTAGTAAAATCAAAATAAAGTCTGTAGTCTTAATTTTAAAAAGAAAAAAGATATGGTCTATCAACAACCAATTGATTCTTGGACAGTGATTCTGATGCCCATGGTCGACACATAACACCTTGAGAAATGCCTTGACTGTGAGTTGTTTCTCCCCCTCAGTACAGGATGAGTTCTTTCATATCTCTATGCATTTTGCATTTGCCAAATGCTGGTCCTGTACTACTCATTCACCTTTCTCTTTTCAGTGAGACTCTACAGTCTGTCAGTATTCAATTTAAATGTCACTACTTGAGCAAAGTCACACGTAAATCTCTCAGTGGCCAGAGAGCCACTGAGTGGCTCTCTGACCACTGAGGGATTTACATGTGGCCAGAGATTTACATGTCTGGCCTTCCACGGCACTGGATACACAACCCCACTAAAGCAGGTGTCACAGTTTACTATAATAACTTGTTAACAGGTTTATTTTCTCCAGTGATCCATGTGCTCTTTTTCAACTTTGAATCCCTAGTACCTAGCACTATGTTTGGCTCCTGCCAGGCAGGCAGTCAGCCTTTGCTGAATGAAAGGACCAGTGATTGAGGTCTGTGGCTACACGGTAAAATGAGAGAGACGAGTCATCAAAGGGAAAAACTGCTTTTTTGTTAACTATAAAGTGAACCAAGGTGTCAGAACAGTTAAAACAAGGATGAAGAGTGCTTTTAGATCTCAATCAATTTTTAAATTACTCGTCACACCTGTCCTAGCTAAAGACTAACTCTAGCACCTCCTGCGGCCTGTTAGTCAGTATTTCACACTTGGGCAGCAGATCCAGCAAATGTTCAATGATCGCAGAAGAAATACTTAGAAGCTATTGGCTTTGAAAATAAAAATGTAAGAAGATGCCTAGTAAAAGCATCTGCTAAATATTCTTCCTGTTTGGCACATTAGACTGCAGTATCAGACACATGACCGTGGTCATACTGTACACAATGCCCAATGTCTGCCAAAACTCTGGCATATGAGAGACTTAGTGCTGGAGTACGGAGGGATTCTTCCGGTATCCCCACTACACACAGTGGTGGAAAGAAGAGCTTCCAGAACAAACCCAGTCAGGCAAAGAGGCAAATACACTGCATTTAGTAACGCTGCTGGAGCCCGCCCTTCACCCTTTCTGAAGGTAGGATACTAAAAGGGCTCAAGCCTAAATCTAATCCAACAAGCTATATTCTGAATAACGACCAATCTCTGATAAAGCTGTTCCCCTAACCCTTCTGCTGCCCGAAACACTCACTCTACAGCCCCTACTGGGCTACCGGGTTCCCCACTGGACTCTGGACAGCGCCGCGCCCTGCTCGGCCTCACCCACCCGGTGGCGCTTGGGCCCGCCCTAGTCCCCCACCCCCACCCCAGGGCACCACCTACCAGGGCCCCGCCCCGCCTCAGCCCCACGTGCGGGGCCCCACCCCGGCGCTAGCGGCCCTTTAAACACCCCCACCCTTACACATTACCCCCCCCCCACCCGGACGGCAGCCGAATAGGGACAAAACTCATGGCGTACAGCCAGTTTCCTCCGCGGAGCACGTCCTGTGCTGCTCCAGCCGTTGGGGCTCTCCACCCCGGGCCACAGCCTCCTGGCGCCCCCCGGGCCGAGGCAGCCGGGCCGAGGAGTGTCGGTGTGGTCCGGCTACGGGGCGGGGCCGGCGGGAGCTCCGGTCGCCGCCGCCGCCGCTGCTGCCTCCGCCTGCCTCTTGGGCCGCCCGCTCGCCCGCCGCTGGGTGCGCTGCACGCGGGGGGCAGCCGTGGTGCAGAGGTTCATGCAGCGGCGGCGGCGGCGGCGGCTGCTGCTGCTGCCGCCGCGGAGGCAGACAGACCGGGCGCTGCCACCGCCGCCCTCCCCCGGCTCCATGCCGCCGCCGCTGCCGCCTCCTCCTCTCCGGCGAGGGGCGGGGGGCTCCGGCCCGGGGTGGGCACCATTCCTCGCAGCGCCGCTCCCCTCCCTGCCCTCCGCCCGGGCGCTGGAGCCGGCGAGGGCACCCGCCGCCTCCTAGGAGTGCACCCTCCGCGCGCCCTGCCGGAGCGAGGGGGCGGGCGTGGGCGGACGTCGGGGCAGCGGGGACCCCGCGCGGCTGCAAGAGGAGGGGGCTTCCCCAAGGATGCCCGGCGGCTCCCCGCTCCTAGGTGCGAGCTGAGTCTGACCGGGAGCGAGCGGCGCGTCGCCATGCCGGCGTGACGGGCGCCCCCGGCTGCCCGCGCGGGCCCCCGCGCTGCCCCACGCCGCGCCGTGCCGGCACCGGGCTGCAGGATGGGCTGTATCCAAAGCATCACCTGCAAGGCGCGGATCCGGCGCGAGAACATCGTGGTGTACGATGTGTGCGCCACCATCGACCAGTGCCCCACGCGCATCGAGGAGACCTCGCCCATCGTCCTGCGCTACAAGACCCCCTACTTCAAAGCCTCCGCCCGCGTGGTCATGCCCCCCATCCCCCGCCACGAGACCTGGGTGGTGGGCTGGATTCAGGCGTGCAATCAGATGGAGTTCTTCAACACCTACAGCGACCTGGGCATGTAAGCGACTCGCCGCGCGGCACGGGAGCGGACTCTGGGCCCCCAGCTCTGCTTGCCACCTTGACCCCCCTCCCCAGCTCCTTCCTACTGCTGTCCCCATCGTCTTTCTAAACCTTCCTCCCGCCTCCTCTCCCACCTCCCTCCTCCCTACGCTTTTGTTTCAGTGACAGGGCGGGTGTAGGGAGGCTCCTTGCGAAGGCATTTTCTCGTGGTTTGCTTCTGACTTCCCAGAAACGCGAGGAGAAAGGTGCGGGGCGGGAAGAACGCGACAAGGAGGGTTCGAGAGGCGGAGGTGGGGATGGCTGGCGAGTGCCTGGCGAGTTTCAGGGCGCCGTCTGTGCTTTGTGGGGCTCCCCGGGAAGAGTTTGGGGGAAACCATAGAGGAGTGGAGTGGAGTGCCGGGGGCGCATGGGCTGTGCCGCGCGTCCTTTGGAGAAACCGGAGCGGGCTTGGAAGAGCAGGTCCCGGGCATCCGAGCGGGAGTTGGTAGTTCTGTCCTTGCCCTCGCGACTGTTGAAGTTTCGAACCCTTGTCCCCCGGGCCAGGGAGCCCGGAGGCGTTTCCGTCTGGAACCACAAGCCGGACACAGTTGCCTCTCTGTTTCCGCGCCCCCTGGACCAGTTCTGGTGGGGAGCTGGAAGGCACCGAGTGCGTCCCGGCCAAGAAGGGCGGATAGCCTTGTGCGAGCAGCGTTCGGCTGGCGCGGCGCGGGGTGTTTCTTATGCTAAAGGAAAGGATGGATCTCTTGTCTGTCTAGGGTCCTTACTTTTTAAAACTTTCCTA
Organism: Homo sapiens; assembly: GCF_000001405.40. Taxonomy (NCBI): domain Eukaryota; kingdom Metazoa; phylum Chordata; class Mammalia; order Primates; family Hominidae; genus Homo; species Homo sapiens. Next base: position 166,165,202 of record NC_000001.11, on the reverse strand, counting down.
ATTGCGGCACTGGAAGGGATTCCCCTGGCGCCCACCGCCGAATTCTATCGGCGAGCTGGGAGCTCTCCAACTTTCAGCAGCGCCGGTTGGTGCGCGCCGGGCTTGGCTGCTGCGGTGAAGACCAAGGATCGCCGCGGCTCCTCAACCGCCAGGGGCCGCAGGCTACGGGCGGTCGCGTCCGGGACTTTTATATTTACCAAATTTTCATAACTCCGCACCCGCCTCCTTTCAGAACTAGACTCTGAGCAGGTGGCAACGACAATAGCTAAAAGGTTTAGGGCCTGCCTTCTACCTGCTGTTACAATGTAGGTCTAGAACACCCTAATTAGCCAGTCTGCAGCCTACAGGGAAACCCTTTTTCTGGAAATTCAACCTCATTTCACTTATTAATCTAAAACTCTAGAGCTCCCAAGGTTCGTCTATTTAATATGGATATGGGGTGGGGGAGTTCCCATTTTAAAAGGTCAAACCATCTTTTTAGCAGCAGTTTGCAGGCTTTTTATTGCACTCTGAGAGCATGTCAGTTAACACTAGTCATAGGCGCTAAAAGAAATTTGACAGGTCGTTGTTTTCCTTTTTTCCTCCCAAAGATTTTGCACTTTTCTCTTTAAGCACAAAAGCTTAATCCTTGAGAAAACTCAATTCCTAGTGAAGAAATGTGAGGCCCAGTTTCCAATATGCCTCAGCACACTGTATTCTTCCAGAGAAGACAGCTAGATGTGAGAAATGGGGGATATTTTATTTGGGGCGAATCATGCCATTTAAAAACTGACATACCCTCAAAAGAATGATTATATGTGAACACATGTGTCTCTTAAAACTGCTTTTTAAAATAAATCCATTGTTTCCAGCCAAGTCAGAGAAAGCCACAGGCAGGGCAAGAGCCCTTCCTCTCATTTCCCTGGCCTCACCCTGATGGCAGTGGGTTGCTGGAGGACAGCAAGTGCTCCCCACAGCAGCCTGGGGCCCCTGGTAGAGGAAGCCAGGAGTGACTGTGCAGAAGCAGCCTCACTTTTCCCAAGACTGCACAGCGGAACTCTCTGTTGCCTCAAATCTCTTATGAATAAGTAAAAGCAAATATATAAATACAGAATTATTTCCGTAAAACTTACTTTACCTTAGGAGAAGTCAAGTTGAGATATAAACAGACATGGTAGTTGAACTTCCTGGAATCTATAGGGAAGGTATGTCCTCACTGGAACCAACTTTAATGGATATGAATCAGTGACAGGATTCCTGACCCTTCCCCACTGAATCCTTGCATTTGGGATTTGGAAAGTGGTTTTGTTTTTAAACTGCCACTTTTGATATTTTAAGATTCTTGGTTTTCATGTAGATGTAGGAGAGCAAAAATAGACCCCCAATAAATCATAAAGCATATTATTATAGATTTGTGTCCACAGTCTACCTGTTTCTTCATGGTTGCAATAATTGCTATGTGTTAAAGGCCACTTTGGAGCCCAAATTTGAATGAACCAATTTCCACAAGATATTTATGCCTGGAAAATTTTGCTAGTGTAAACTTTTTAATGGGAATTCATATTGCATGAAAGTTGCTGCAGTCTATTAGTTATTATGTCTACTTTAGCCAATATCTGGATTGTAAAAAATAGCATGGAGTGATTTTTCACCTCTGTGCAGTGTTCTGTCACATGAACCACAATATGGTGAAAGGGTTTGGATTAGAAAACTGCCTTTTCAATATTTTGAAAAGGATTGTGCCAGAGGAAATCCACAACATAAAATGGCAAGAAACTCCTGTTTACAGGATTGAAAGAAAGCCTGAGGTTTTGTGGTTTAAATTGTAAACTTTTCCAAGAAGGGGTAGGCTTCTAAAAGAACATTTGAAATAGTTGATGGCTATGATGGCCAGAGCTTAATTTGAACTTGAACTCATTTCCATGGCACTTCCTCGAATGATTCTATAGAAACCAGGCTGGTGAAGAGTTGTGGCACCTATTTATTTCTCATTTGGCCCTGGTGAATCTTGCTAGTGCAGCCTTGAACAGACTGCTGCAAGTCTTCATCCCTCGGGGAGGAAGGGCTCCTGACTCTCTCAATCAACCTGTCAATATACAAACATTTACCAAATGCTTCTGCTGTGCAGGCAGCAGCACCAAAGAAAAAGGAATATGCAGGCAGTTTTCACTGCTTCTCATTATAAGACGACAAATGCAGAGAAAAGCAGCGCTCTTTGGTGGTGTGGAAGAAATGCCTGAGAGCGCTGGCGGGCCAAGCAGGGTGTTCTAGAGGTGAATGGACTCAAGGTGAACTCTGAGGTATGGGTAATATTCAGGTAGGCAAGGAGGAGGGACTAATTCCAAAGGGGAAGACCAGCAAAAATATGGAGGTAGGAAAATAGAAGGTGTTTTAAGGGGGCATAAGTGGGCCAGAGTGGAGTGTTCAAGAAGGAGAACAGTAGGAGATGAGGTTTGAAAGGTAGCTTGGGGTCTGTTGGGTGGGCCCAGAATAACATAGTCTGGAAAAGGAAAAGATTAAAGTCAGATCTTGACCAGACAGAGGATGTCAGGAAGCTCTTCCTATCTTCTTTATACCTCTTGAGTATGCAGAAGCTTTCCAACAGAAGTGGAAGACGTTTATAATGGAACAGTTTTGAATGCTGGAGTACAACGCTGAAGAGGTTTCCTGAGTAAGATTTGAGCAAGGAATGGGGCTCTTGTGCCAGGGTTGAATGAGATGAAGACAAGGTCAGGGAAAACCAGCAATAGCTAAAGCCCCTTCTCATTCTCTTTGAGTCTTCTGGGGCTATAAGGGAACTTTTAATGGTCAGGCTGGGCTGATAGTATGGAAACCATCTCCACTGCCAATTTGGAAAAGTTTGGCCTGTGTGAAACTTTAGGAAGTCATAGCTCAGTCATAGCTTCAAGAGACAGGTCCTGCCTGTCCCTCTACTCCTCCTTCAGAATCAAGATTATTGAGGATTTGGCTGTACCCGCTCACCTCTGTTGCCTGTTCAGTTTAGTCCAAGCTGATCTCTATCCATTCTGAAACTGCTCTTGCTAAGTTCGTCTGTGATTTCCATGTTGCCGAATCCCTCAGACACTTTTGAGAGACTCACCGTTTCAGCAGCATTCCTTGTAGACGGGCTTCTCTGTGTGGAACTGCTCCCATCTTTTAACTTCTATGCTATTTTTCCGCTGTTCCTGTAACTCCATCTTACCTCAAAGTACAGTTAATGGGACTTTTTTCTTCTTGTTCTATGCTTTCCTTGGGTAATTTCATCCATCCTAATGGTGAGAGATAACCTCTATGATACACAGTCACCTCCAGTCCAGATGTGTGTGTGTCTTCGCACAATGATGACATGACACAATGAAAGACATCTCAAGCTTAGGGTATCCAGACCCGAACTCTCGATCCCCACTATAGCTCCCACTCTAAATCTGCACCTTTGCCATTCTTCATCTTAGTAAACAACACCTCCACTCTTTGAGTTGCTCAAGCGAAACCATCTGTATGTCACCCTAGATACTTCCCCACACATCCAGCCCATCATTAAATCCTACTGATCCCATCTCCAGAATATGTGTGTAATCCAGCCACCACTCTCTCTGTCTACTGCTACCATCTCAGGACATGTCACCATTAACTGTCACCTGTTCTTGTAGAGACTTTCTAACTGAACCTGTCACCACCATTCTTGTCCCCCTCCAGTCTGCCTCCCACATAGCAGCCAGAGTGATGTATTAAAAATGTAGATGTTATTAGTTTCTTGCTTAAACCTTTTAATAACTTACCATTGCAATTGGAATAAAATGGGAAAATCTCTTGCATGGGAGGCCGAGGCAGGTGGATCACTTGAGCCCAGGAGTTCAAGACCAGCCTGACCAATATGGTGAAACCCCATCTCTACTAAAAATTCCAAAAAGTAGCTGGGCATGGTGGCACACGCCTGTAAACCCATTTACTCTGGTGGCTGAGGCACGAGAATTGCTTGAGCCTGGGAGGTGGAGGTTGCAGTGAACCAAGATTGCACACTCCAGCCTGGCTGACAGAGCGAGAGTCTGTTTCAAAAAAAAAAAAAGAAAGAAAATCTCTTTCTGTTCTCTGATTTTCTGTTCTTAAGCCTTGTCAGCCTTCTTCCAGTCTTTCAAAAGAACCAACTTTATCCCAACTCAGAACGTTTCCATATGCCGCTCTCCATCTGAAATGTGCTTCCTCCCTGCACTGCTCTAGCTACTTCCTGCCCCTCATTCCGGTCTCAGCCGCTATCTCCTCTGAGAGGCTATCCCTGATCTCACAGTTGAAATTGGGATCCTCCTGTTCTTTTCCTTCAAGATGCGCTGTTCTTATACTGGTTACCATTACTAAGAATATAATTAGTGAGAATATAATTGTTTACTTAATTTCTGACTTGTCCATTACAGTGTAAATTTCATGAAAGCAGATGTCATGTCCATCTTGTTTATGAACAGTGCATGGCCCATAGCAGATGTTCAAGAAACATTTGATACAAAATAAACGAATAAACTATTTTTCTGACCTCAAATAGTCTGTCCTCTTCAACAAATAATGTCTCTTCAAAGTTAGCTTTTCATGTTAAACCTAAGCCTGAACCCACAAAGATCTTGAACCCAAGACACTCCAGCAGTTACTTAGCACTAATATATAGTTTAACTCCGCTGTGCTTTTGCGTTATTTGTCCTGTGTTACCCCACCAGATGGTTTGTTTCTCAGCACAGGGCTTACTTCTGTCACTTCCTCTGTCTCCCTGAGGTGTTCTGTACACTGGGAGTGGTGTTCAGCAAACACCGAAGCCTTGCTCTCGTATCACCTACATGCTGTAAAGTGGCATTCAGTGTGTACCCAAGGAGACCTTGTTGTGGCACTGTTCCACCTGCATCACTAACTCATTAATCCCGGACTTGTGGAGGAGAAGGCTAAAGGCCTTGGCTAGTACAGTTATGTCCCCCAAGCTAGAGCTCCCCTTTTTGTTACCAGTTACATGCTGCTACATGCCCAGTGTGGCTTTAAGTGTGACCTTCATTGGTGACCATAGAGATGGTCACACAGTTGGGCATTTTGCTCTCGAGGACCAGATCAGCCCATCTGTCCAGGGAGCCTGATGAGTCTCCAGGCCACTTGACCAATACCCATTCTCCCCCCGCCATTTCCATTTCATTCCAATCAGGAGGCTCACGGTCTGGAAATAACCAGAACTGCTTCTCAGCAGAAACACTGGGGATGCCAATCTAGAGCATCAGATGGGAAAGCAGGATCCAGTTCCTTTATTAAAGTCCTGAGTGCCCTTGGAAGGGAGATGACCCTTTGCCTTTAATCTCCTCCATCTCTGCAAAAGAGGAGCAGCAGAGGATTAACTGGTCTTATCAGGGAAGCATTAAGCTCACTGGAGATAAAGCACAACTCTGGAGTCAAAGGAGGAGTTGGAGAGATAGGGGAGGAAACAAATGATTAGGGAAAGATGTAGAGGGGGAGAAACAAATGGGAAGTTAACAAATTGTGGCTTGTGTAGCCTGGGATATTAATCTGCATTCCAGGGCACTGGATGGGTTGGGGAAAGCAAGGACAGGAGATGGACTGTGAGGGCATCAGACTGCAAAGTATCAGTGACCTTCCACAGGCAGCAGGGACAAATGCTGTTTTAGGGGCAGGTCTGCAGAGGCATCATGTTCCAGGTTAAGGATGCAGACTGGCAAGTGAAAGGGAAATGCAAAGTCTGGTGTGGGGTGTGCAGTCCCAAATATCCCCTTTCCTTCTAATTCGTACTGCATTCTGATCTCATCTGACCCCCTCATCTGACCCTCTCATCTGATCCCCCTGGTTCTTGGGAACTAGGTACTATTGTCATGCTGATCTTACTGATGAGGAAACTGAGTCTCAGGGGGTTGGGTAACCTGCCTGAGGCCATACATCAAGTAAGTGGCCGAGCTGAGACTGCAAGCCATGTCTTCTGACCCTGTGTCCTGGCTTTCTATATACTGCCACAGTTTGGCCTGTGAGGGGGACAGGTCAGCCCTCCATTCATATCAGCACAAGAAAAGTTAGTAGTTATGGCCGCTGTTACTGTCATCATGCACCTAGCTCTTTTCCTCAAAGCTTCTTGCAAGGAAGCCTAGGGTTGCCCAAAGGCTCCAAGTAGTTGATAGCATGGCTTTCTTCTTACCCAGCTTCCTTCCCTGGACCACTTTGATCTACTGATAAGAAAAAGTTGTCACAGATAACAGAGGGGCCACAACTTCTGTTGTGTTAACACCAAGCAGGCCACAAGAAGTGGCTGTCATTTATAAGTTGGTTATTATGGACTCCTTTGAGAAGATAAATAACAGGAAATTAGCAGTAGCAGAGCATCCTGGTGAATACTTACAAAGAAGCAGAGTCCTCGTGGTGCTGAGGGTCCGTGGAAGGGATTGGTGCCTGCCTGCACACCAGCAGCAGAACTGCCCACAGAGTGGGATATTCCCCCACAGAGGCAGAGTCATCAGGCAAGTTGCCTCTTATTCTCACTAATCCAAATCAGTGTGGTATTTAAGGATGGTTCTAGAGTTGTTGTTGTTGTTTTGGGTTTTAGTGAAGAAGGTGTGAGTGTGCCTGTGCCAGGAGAGTTGTCCAGATCGAGGAACGTCTGGAGATGCTGTTTGGGAAGGAAAAGAAAGAGAAGGGAAATAACACACGTGAAAGGTCTATGTGCCCGGCACTGTGCAGGGTGCTTTCCATGCATGGCCTCATTGAAATCTTACCCAGTGAGGGAAGTTATCCTATTGTGAGGTCCAGGGATGCTCAGTAGCTAGCTCAAGGCCTCATGGCCAGCAAGGAGCCGTGCCAGGAGTCTAGCTCATGTGCTCTGACTACTCTGGTTCTTTTTAAAAATTATTTATTTATTTATCTATCCGTCTATTTGAGATAAGTCTTGCTCTGTTACCCAGGCTGGAGTGCAGTGGCACAATCACAGCTCATTGCAGCCTGGATCCCCTGGGCCCAAGTGATTCTCCCACCTCAGCCTCCCGAGTAGTTGGGACCACAGTCATGTACCACCACACCTGACTAGTATTCTGTTTCTAATAGATGATGGCCTTATCTCCCAGGAAGGGGGTTCTCTGAACTTGCTTTGCAAAATAGTGATAATGGACCTAGCTTTATTGGTTTTCTCTGATTTCTGTATTTCCTCACTCCTTTGGAAACAGAGTAAGTTGCTCTGAGATCATGTGTGTGAACCTCCTTGCATTCCCCTTGAGAATGGCATTGGTGGTTAGCTGTAAGAGCCATATCTTTGTGAGGGGCCAGGAGTAAAGACAGCAGGGAATAAGCTCCTTTCATGCTGAGGAGCACATTCCTTGGGAGCAGGGGGACGACATCCTCAGTTCTCGGGCTGCAAGCTGGTTGGTCTGGGCTGTAGCTTTTAGCCGTGTGCCTACACCTTCAGGCCCTAATGGGCAGCCCTGGGCCCCAGCAGACAGTCACCCAGACTACCCAGGTACTGGATATGGATAGCTATTCATCCCTCAAACTCTCCGGGCAGTTGCTGTTCGGGTGGATGATTAGGAAGAGAAGGAGAACAAGGATTCCCATCTGGTGGTGGAAGGGACCCCTGGCTTTGTCATCAGCTCATTGGACATACCTCTGGCTCCCAAGAATTCCTGCACTGTTCCTTTTCTCGAGGCCCATGTGGACCCTGCTCCCTCATTAGGTTCTGGGGTACATGCCAGTTGGAACTGTTCACTGTGCCAGTGGAAGATTTAGCTGCTGGTTCCCCAGCGCAGGGTTCCAGTCAGAAGATCTGGGTCCCAGTGCCAGCTGCATGACCTTTGGCAGGTCCCTTAATAAGCCAGCATCTAGTTTGCCTGTACATAAATGGACAGTAATAAGATCTCCCCATCCTAATGCCATACGGATTAGGAATCAACACTTGTGATTTTTGTTATTACAGAGCATGCTCGTTATTATTGCTAGAGGATGACTGTGGATCAGCCTTAAGGAACAGGGAGGTTGTGGCTGTGGCCCTGCAACTTCCCTGGACAGAGAAGCATTCAGACTCTGGAGAGGGGTCTCTGGCATGTCAGCTATACAAACCTCCCCTACAAACCCACTCAAAGATAGAGGGGAGGAGAAAGGCTTGCTCTGTACATCTGGAGCCAGGGCTGTTTTCTGTTCAAACTCAGAGGAAGGCATTGGAGCCCCCCCCCCCCCTCCGCCGCCCCCTTGACGTCATGTCACTCAGAAGTCACCCTCCTTGTTCTCCTCTAAGCTGTAGACTTTGGGAAGCCTCCAGGACCCTGGCTGCTCCTAATCCCTAGGCATGATGCCTGCAGCCTAGCCACATCCTTATGGGGACTTCCTGTCCTATCCCTGAGCCCTTCTTTGGTAACAGTATCACTCAGGCTGGGGGAAGGAGCTACAGTTTGTCCAAGCCAAGGACTTGAGGGTGGGGTGATGCTGGAGCATGTGAGCCATGCTGTTCATGCTCAGGAAGGTTGTGCAATTTCCACCTTAGGGGGACAGTGAGACCAACACCTGAAATCATTTGTGTCCAAAGCTATTTTTAAGGTACTTTATTCTTTGCAGGTCCCTTTCATGATTTTTGTTTTCTTTATAAGGGGACCTCTCATAATTAACCTCACAATAATCATGAAACATGTAGGACAACAGTTATTCCTATTTCAGATAAGCAAGCTGAGGCCTAAGGAGATTAAATTATGTGCCCAAGGTCATCCTGGCAAGCACTGGTAGACTCAGGCCTGATGCTCAGGCATCCCACCTCCTCTCCCAGTGCCCTCCATACTGAGTCCATGATCAGCCAACCAAGAATGGGAGTCAGGGATGGGAGAGGTCATCCTCAGAGCCATGTGCATTGGGCACCTCTGGCTCAGACAGCATGTGGACACTTTTAAGGGCATCATTTATGATGTCTGAAGACAAGAGAGGGTAAACAGGACCACCTAAATGTCTTCAACAAGCGCAAAGAGAAATTTTCAGGCTGTCAGATTAAAACAAGATAAATAAGGCCATTTTGTTATTAAAACAAAATAAAGGATGGCACATCAACAGGGTCACTGTGCGAGGCCTGCCTCGCAAAGCCTCTGGCTGGCTCCTGCTCCTGGGGCCTGACCTTTCAGAGCTGGCTGGTGGGCCTGTGTCCGGCACAGGCTCTCAGAGGCTGTTAGAGGCCTGGCTAATGGGAAGCGGTAAATCGGCATCCGCAGTCAGCACTTTCTGCAGCATCCCGAAGGAGCAGGCAGAGGCTTCTGGGGCATGTGTGGCGGCAGGTACAGGCTTTGGCAAGTCCAAGAGCTGCCAGAAACAGGCAAATTAGATGTTGCTTTGCCCTCTGCATGGGGGCTCAGGCTGGGATATGTAGGGGAAGAGAGGCGTGAAGGGAATCAGACATGCCCGTTCTGTGAGAGCAGGATCTTACTTACCTTCTATTCCCTCTCCCGAGACCACACACGCTGAGCCTCCATTCCAAAATGGCAGTCCCCACACCTGAGCTGGGCAAATCAATTCAAGAATAGATTTTTTGTTATCACTTAATGATTTGAGAATCTGTTTCAAGCTTCCACGAACCATCTTCACTTTCTTTAGGAAGGATGAGTGATTTGTGCCACAAACTAACCCCCAACCTCCTGTTGAAGTTATTTTCTTGACGTTCAGAACCAAGGAGCCTGTCTTTTGCTAAGAAACCTGCACACACTGAGTGATGGGCAGCTATGTGCTCGTCTGTCTCCCCGTGAAACCATGAGCAACTTACTCAACTTGATGATGATAACAACTAGTGTGTGCCAGATGCTTTAGATGCACTGTCTGTAAAGTAGGTAGCACCATTATTTTCCTCATATTAGAGATGAAACGGAGGCCTACAGCGGTCGGATAACATGCCCAGCATTACTCAGCTAAGTAGTGCCAGAGCCAGATTTAGAAAGCAGGTCAAACTAATTCCTGTGACTCCTTATGATGTTGTACTGCCTCATAAGGGTTGAATGAATGAATGTCCAAATGAATGAATGATCAGGAAGTATTCAGGATATTGCTTGAGTGTTTGCTTTCGTCCTTGCTGAGGAGACTTGGGAAACAAAAGGTTTAAATCAAATTGGAAATGACTAGTCTCCTTGCCTCCCAGCTGCCTGGTTCACTCAGCTGCTCAGGATGTGATAGTAATGAAACCAGGGTCTTGGGATCAGACCCAGGGGACCATCCCAGCACCAGAGGCAGTCCTCTGTCCTTTCAGCTACCTCACAGGTGACTGTTACCAGCTACCAGTCACAGCAGGGTCTTGATTAAAGAGTAGAGAAATGGCCAGAAGAATGCAAGTGGTAGATCAACAGAATCATTTTTAACTTACAGGGTGTTAGGATGGTGCGGGAAATCATCTAGCTCATTTGCTTCTTTTACAGATGGGGACGCTGAAGCCCAGAAAAGGGCAGTGCCACAACTAGTGAGGGACAGAACCAGGATTCAGACTCAGGTCCATGGGCCTGGATCACTGGCTAATTCTGTGGGTCAGGGCTGGAGGCACCCAGCACACCTAGTCTTCAAAGCAGCAGTCAGTGGTCACCTCCCCCTGTTTTTTCATCACTGCCTGCCCCTGCCCCCCAGCCAGGTTTGCTGAGGGTCCAGGTCTTCAGGCAGAGATGGCCACCTGCCCAGGAAAGGAAAGTGCACAGGGTGCAGGAAGAATCCATCCCTTGGCAGCACAGAGAGGAACTCACATCAGCCCAAGGGATGTCTACACAGTTGCCAGGAGCAGAGAGTCCAGCCTGTTTTCAGTGTCTATATGCAGTGATTAGCAAGCAAGAAAGAAGAGGGTCTCCCCAGAGACACCTGTCACAGATGGCAGGAGATGGGAGGGCTTGGCAGCCCAAGGGAAGGGGAAAGTATGGAGAAATTGAGATTTAGCCGGGATTCCCAACAACCCAGAATCCCTTTCTTCCACCCCTCAATACCCCCCTTACCCTAGCCCTGGTGCTGATGGCATGCATGGCCCTCCTGGCCCCTACCCACACACAGGCAAGGTATCTTCCTAGCCCCTGGCAGCTCTAGAAGAAATAAGATCCAAGTAGCGTCAAAGATGACAGATTGTGAGGGGGCCAGGGGCCCTCCCCTGACAGCAGGGCTCAGCTGGGAGGCCTCTGTGGAGCAGAACAGATGGGAGAAGTCTGAGAGGGATATCCTAGCAGCCTGGAGACCCTGTCTCTGTTGTGGCTTTTAGTTGGTTTCAGTCAATTCTTTTGTCATTGTTTTGTTTTATTGAGGCATTTCAGCATAGGGGCATGATCAAATGGTGCTGTGTCTGCTCACCCTAAAGGAGGTGGGGTTGGGGAAGAATGGGAGGGAACAGGTCTAGGCAACACCCCATTTTGCTTTGCCCTTGTTGGGATCTAAGGGGGGTATAGAGGGAGGACTGCAGAGGGAGACGAGTATATACCTCCGAGCATCCTGCCATCACTGCCTGCCTGGCTTACTCTAAAGCTGTAGTTTCTGTACCACTCCACACTTCCTGTCATGAGGACTCTGGGAATCCAGGGCGATGTCATGTGGTCCACCTCCCCCTTACATAGTCCTGTTGCAGCCTGGCCCTCCTTCTCTAAGCTTGCACTGGGACCAGGCTTCTACCCTCCCTGGAGACCTGCGTAGAGGAGGAGGCATCCTCATGTTTCTTGGGCTATGTGGACCCTTCACTGTTGTCCTGCCTGCCTGGCATGTCCTGTTCCAAGTCCTATAACTCACAGGGCTCCTGCCTGTCTGATCGATTGGCCCTGCTGCCTGATTCTCAGTATTTGTTGCCAGGTTCCTGCCTGCCTTTGAACTACTTGTTCATCTTTGTGTCCATCCCAAGTTCTACCGGCTTGGTTTCTGACCCTCTGCTTGTCTTGGGATAGTCACTCTTTCAAGCTGCAGGGCTTTAGCCAGATGCCCTTCCCCAGACCCCTGGATCCCCCCACTTCTCATTGACTCCCTGACTTGTGCTCCCCCTCTCTCTCTGGAGAGATAAATATGGAAGGAGCCACAGCTGGAAGAGCAAAGCTGTTCTCCACCCTTGGAGCAGAACCATTCACCCTTCTCTTGGGAGCCCATGAGTCACTCTGTCTTCCACGTTGCCTCCAAGCCTGGCTGGGCGTCTACTTTCATCTCATGAGTGGGTTTCCAAAAACCATGGATGATCTTTATAAAGAAAATTACTTGTGATCTAAAGGGGCAACTCAGCTAGAGTTCTGGATGTCTGGTGAGGAAGCTGGGAACAGTTAAAACCAGAGTACCAGCTGGGCGCACTCACGCCTGTAATCCCAGCACTTTGGGAGGCCAAGGCAGGCAGATCATGAGGTCAAGAAATCGAGACCATCCTGGCCAACATGGTGAAACCTCGTCTGTACTAAAAATACAAAAATTAGCTGGGTGTGGTGGCGTGCACCTGTAGTTCCAGCTACTTGGGAGGCTGAGGCAGGAGAATCTCTTGAACCCAGGAGGTGGAGGTTGCAGTGAGCAGAGATCACGCCACTGCACTCCAGCCTGGTGACAGAGCGAGATTCCATCAATAAATAAATAAATAAATAAATAAATAAATAAATAAATAAATCCAGAGTACCAAGAACTTCCCCTGAGCATGTGGGGTTTGGAATCCAGGGAGAGGGCACAGGTTAAAGGGGGATTGATTCAACAAGTGTCCGGGGCCAGTTCATCCACAGCAAGTCTGCAGCAGAGAGGGAGTATGAAAGAAGCTTAAGCACATGGTTGTCCTCTGGGCAAGCATCTTAAAGGCCTGGATATCAAGAGTAGATCCTAAAATACGGAAAAGAGAACAATTAATGGGGTGCAGACAGGGCCAAGGGAAGCTATGGTGGGCCTAGTTTCTCACGACAAGACCAGACAAATTCTTGACCTTTGGTCCTGCCGCATCCCGCCAGCGTGGAACTGAAAGGCCCGGGCAAGGTTAGCAGCTGCTCCCATCCCTATCCCTGACACCTGAGAACAACAACCACCACGGGCTTCTCTGCTGCAAAGCTCCCTGGGGTAACATCTCCAGCTGGATGGCTGAGCAGATGGCTTTAGCTAGAAGATTCCAGAGAGGGGAGGAGCTAGGAACACTGAAGGGCCCTTTATAGCCTCGGTGGACATCCTCCTCTCTGGCCAGTGCCTGGGCTGCTGGGATTCTAAAATGTCTTTGAGAAAATTTGTCTTTTCAGAACCTGTATCTGACAGAGACTCTAGATAATCTGGGTACCTGTGGGGTTGCGTAATCACAATTGAAAAGTCTTTCAGAGATGGGACTGTTGTATAATTAGGCTGAGAGTTGGGCCCGGGGTAAAGTTAAGTACTGGTATGGATTTAGTGCTAATGGGCTCATTCCTTCTACTGGGCCGTCAAAGTTGAACAGTAGGGGAGAGGTAGCATTTGTCTACATGATAAAGTTTTTGCGGAAACCCTATCTGTTGAACTTGAACCTTGGGATCTGTACATAGTTACTTTTTCATGAAGCAGCTAATTCTCTTTAGCCGAATGGTTGAACAGTTGAGTGGGTCTGGCACTTGAAGCAGAGACATTTGGGTACAGCTCCTACTGAGGAGTATTTGTGAACACCTGGAAGCTAAGATGGTTTCTTGTCCACTTACATCTGGCCATGGTTTCTGTGGCTGTATCAATGACTTCAGATTGAGGGATCCTAGGCCAACAATTGGACAAACTCACTGCTGAGCCAAGAAAAGCAGGATGCTTCTGGATCAGAACCCAGGAATGTTTAGGGCTTTATTCTAAGAGGGAGAGTCTTCCTTGGATGCTGGGAGGGTTTTTTCAAGATTTACCTTCAACATCTGGTGCTTCCTGAAACGTCTGGTCATCAGAATTAGAATCTAGAATTATACCCTAGTACTTAACGACTTTCCACTAAAAGGAAAATCTTGGAATGTTTTCATGCCATCCTCAAAAAGCAAAAACATTGAAGAAATGTTCTATCAGAAATGCCCCTGGTTAAACTGAAGCAGAGTAACCAGAGAGAAAGAAGTGGACGAGACAGTCAGATTGTCTTCATTGAGACATTTCAAAAGCACAGGCCAATTTACAGGGTAGCATTGAACTCTTGAGCTATTACAAGTCTACGTGCATTTGTTTCCAGTCTCAAGTGTTCAAATTCTTCTCTGATGCCATCCTCTATAACCCAGCACAGAACTGAGGTGAATCTCTCTGCAAGCTCCTTGGCAAAAATCAACTTCTATACCAGATTAAAACCCCAGTTCTGGGTCATACCATCCAACTTCTAAACATTTCTGATTTACCTCTATTATATATTTTAATTTTTTTTATTTTTTAAATATAGGTAGAGACAAGTTCTCACTGTGTTGCTCAGGCTAGTCTCAAACTCCTGGGCTCAGGTAATCCTGCCTCAGCCTCCCAAAGTGCTGGCATTACAGGCATGAGCCCCTGCACCCAGCCTGCTTCTATGTATACTTTAAAAGAATGTGTATTTCTTGTTGTCCATAAGATCCCATTTGCTAGTTGTATTGTACAAATGTTCTATATTCTTGGTAATTTTTATGTTTGATCTATCATTTGAGAAGAATGATAGAAATTTGTGTATGAAATTTGTGTTGAAATTTGTGTATGCTAGTGTGGTCGTAACTCTTTTTGCAGTTTTTTCACATTTTACTTTGTACATTTTGAGGATGAGGCTGCTTACCTCTTGAGTTGTGGGCTTCCTCTTCATTTTTGACCCCTAGGAATTTATTTTTGCAAATTCAACTGTGTATTCAAGAAGAAACTTGCAATGTAGGAGTTTTTCAGGAGATTTAGTCTATTATGATTTACTTACTATATTCTTCTGTTCCTCAATTATAGAGAAAAGTAAGCTTTTCATGTCTCCTTTTTCTGGTTTGAATGACTGTCTTTCAAAGCAAGCTGCCTATCTAGGCAAGGCTCTTTGATAAAAAGAACTGAGGTTTCTTTTTACTTAGCACTCCACTGTTAGGGGTGAAGGGGGAGCCAAGGCACTGGGAGGGTTTGGGTCTAAGGCCAAGGACAAGAGAGTCCAGCACGTTGTCCCACTGTGCACTAGGCACAACCACCTGGGGTATACTGCTGCCTCAGCAGACCCAGTTTCTCTGAGATGCATTCCTCAGACATCACAAACCCCCCCTGAGGCACAGCCATCCTCATTGTCCCTATGCAGTATCAGAGTCCGAAGTAGCTAGCTCCAGGTTTCTCTGCACCTGTTCCCTGACCTTACCCCCAAGGCTCACTTTGCACTAGCATTTGGCTTCTGGCAGGCAGGAAGCTTGTTGCTTTCTTCTCTTCCAGGTGGCTCTAGGAAGGACCAGCAGAGGGAAGGGAGGTGGGAGAGGAGACCAAGAGGCAAAGCAGTCATTTGGAAGGTGCAGCCAGCAACCCCCAAGAAGGCACACATGCCTAGTATCACCCTGCACTCAGCAGGCTGACACTCTCCAGAGGTGGGGATGGAGCATGGGGATTCCCTGTGTGGAGGTATTCTACGATATGGAGCTCAAGGTGGTTGGGGCCATATAAACCTTGAATGTAATGAAAAAGGCTAGGCTTGAACTTTAATGTTTACAAAAATGCTTCCATGTATGTTACTCCTATTGAGCCTCACACTCAACTTTTAGAGATGGTATTATTGTTCTCCATGTAATGAGAGAAAACCAAGGCTCTGCATGCTGAACTGATTCAGCAGGTTTACGTGGTTAGGAGGTGGCCACACTTGCCATCCAATTCCAAATTGATTACTCCCTTTAAGTAGCTGATACTGGAAAAGGGGAAAGTGATAGAACTTCTGAAGCTGAAAAGACCTTGGAGATCCCAGTCTTCTTCCTTGACTTTACAGGTGAGAAGACATGTAAAAAGAGGTAAAAAGGAATTGCCCAAGCTCATACAAAAAGCTAAGAAATCCTCAAAGGATGGAGTTTAAGATATCTGTTTTCTATAACAGTTCAATTCAGTGAATGTAATTTTTTGTTTGTTTGTTTGTTTGTTTGTTTGTTTAATTATACTTTAAGTTTTAGGGTACATGTGCGATTCCTCAGGGATCTAGAACTAGAAATACCATTTGACCCAGCCATCCCATTACTGGGTATATACCCAAAGGACTATAAATCATGCTGCTATAAAGACACATGCACACGTATGTTTATTGCGGCATTATTCACAATAGCAAAGACTTGGAACCAACCCAAATGTCCAACAATGATAGACTGGATTAAGAAAATGTGGCACATATACACCATGGAATACTATGCAGCCATAAAAAATGATGAGTTCATGTCCTTTGTAGGGACAAGGATGAAATTGGAAATCATCATTCTCAGTAAACTATGGCAAGAACAAAAAACCAAACACCGCATATTCTCACTCATAGGTGGGAATTGAACAGTGAATGTAATTTTTATGAATGCTTATCACTTATGTGAGGAACCCACTCTGTGGTGGGATGACAGTCTACAGGAATAACCTAGCTGAATGGACAACTGCATTGGGAGAAAAGGATATGAGCTCCCTTTGTCATCTGATCTTCCTGGCTCAAAGTGACAGCACAGGTTGTCTCCTCTCTCATTTCCGTTGAGTTCCCATTAGAAGTCTGAGCTGCATCCCAGCTGCCCGCCTGCCATTGGGCAGATCCTTTTCTAATACAGATTTTCATCATTGATTCATCACCTAATGAGCACAGATGAACATGAGGTGCTAGGCGTTTACACAAATGATATCTCATTTAACACTTATTCACATTATCTCTGTTTCACATATAATGAAACTATGGCTCATGAAAGACCATGTAAGTTGCCCAAACTTTCAGTGCCAGAATCAGAATATAACACCAGGTTAGAATAATTCCAAAGCTAGGCCTCTGCCTACCATCATGCTTATATAGATGCTTCACCTGAAAGAGAAAAAGGAACCTCAGATTCTGAGCAGGGCTTGGGAAAGCTGGGCACAGCAAATAATTTGAACATACCATGGCAAAACTATTGCAATCGCTCTTGCCAAATTACTGTACCAAAAGTATTTCAAGATTTATCTTTTAGCCATAAGACACTCCTTAAAACATCTGATTAGAGTTGAATTATTTGCGTTACCAGCTCTCTAGACCCCTCATATCTTACTTTGCATTCATCTGTTTCTACATGGGTTTCTACAAAAAGTGAGAGATTCACTGTTGTTAAAGTTGAAGTGTTAGATTAACAGGAAGAGTGTACCACAATGGAGAGGAGCATGAGATTCAGAAGCCACCCGTCACCAAGAATTAATTTCCTTTAACCCCTCTTTGATTGCAGGCAACATTAAAAAGCACAGACTTTGGGTCAAGGAAGTGGCTCATGCCTGTAATCCCAGCACTCTGGGAGGCTGAAGTGGGAGGATCACATGAGCCCAGGAGTTCAAGACCAGCCCAGGCAACAAAGCGCAAGACCCCATCTCTACAAAAAATGCAAAAATTAGCCTGGGGTATGGTGGTGTGCACCTGAAGTCCCAGCCACTCGGGAGGCTGAGGTGGGAGGATTGCTTGAGCCCAGGAGGCCAAGGCTGCAGTGAGCTATGATTGCACTGCTCCACTCCAGCATGGGTGACAGAGTGAGATCCTGTCTCAAAAAAAAAAAATCATGGTGTTTGGAACCTTAGTATGTGAGTTCAAATCCTGCTTGCTTGCACCATTTACTAGCTGTGTGATTTCAGGCACATTAACTGTCTGAGCACGGGGAACGCAGTAGACCCATAAAAACACCTTGACAATACTGTAATTTCCCATCCAGCCTTCTCCAGGCAGACTTGTGCCAGTTCTCTAAAGCATCCTTATGGGTTCTAACTTATTCATCCTTTGGACTCAGTTCCCCAAGAAGGTCTGGCCTGAGCTGGCTGCAGCCATGAGAGGACATCCCTG
The DNA here is from genome assembly GCF_000001405.40 of Homo sapiens. NCBI lineage: Eukaryota > Metazoa > Chordata > Mammalia > Primates > Hominidae > Homo > Homo sapiens. The sequence continues at coordinate 166,147,357 of NC_000001.11, read as the reverse complement.
GGCCTCCTGCCCACTGATGCTCATTTAGGCGTTATCATCCTGGCATTGCCTGCTTTTTGTCTCTGAAACCACAGCAGGCCAGTAAGAGAGGCTGACTGTTACCTTCAACAACCCCTAGGACTTTTCTGACTGTGCTCACCACACACACAACCAGCCTTTCCTATCCTGGTGTTGAGCAAGTTTCCCCTCCCTGTGTCCACTGCTGCACTTACTAAGCTGAACTTTGTTCTTTCCTGACCACCTCTCCTAGGGTAAGGCTCTTTCGGATTATCTCCTCCTAGATCAGGTCTCTCATGAACTCCAGTCAAGTGAGTACCAGACCCAGAACTCAAAGCTCTGGGATGAGGTTATGAGCTTAGAATGTCTAGGAACCTTACAGCTTTGTGTGTGTGCTTGGTGATGTGAGGATCAGACCTGCAAGGAGAGATCGTAGGTTAGTCTCACAAAGTGGTGAACCAAGCCTGCACATTCAATACAGAGGGAAGTGAATGATCTGAAGCTTGCAAAGAGGAAGCTCAGGATAACTCCTGCCAGCACAAATGAAATGAATGCCAATGCTCAGAAGGCCATTTCTACTATTGTTGAAAGGTTGACTGAGATGTTCCCTAAGACTCATTATCTATGATTTGTCTACTTTTAACATCCCACTTCCCCTCTGCCTTCTGAATTTGAGCATCAGCTTAATGTGCCGCCCTTGACCCATTGTATATTCGCAACTTCCCAACCTCCTTTTTTTGAATGTGGGGAGACTACCATAGGCAACCTCAGACCCCCCTTGCCCTTGGCCTAGTAGAGCTCTGACCTTGGAGTGCTTTTAGCCCAGTTAGGTTATAGAAATCTCCTCCTAAAACTGGTAAACAAGAGCAAGTTTCTGTCCATCTTCATTTCCGTAGGACTGCATCATCCTACCTGTCCGGTCAGCAGCCCTTATTTATTATTTTATCAAGTACCAGCTTTATAGCAAGCACTGTACTTGGTATGAGAGGACTATGAAAATCAATCAGTTTGATTCAACATAGAAGAAATGTCTCAGAAAGTATCCTAAATAAACATAATGCCTTGTGATCCCAGATGCCGTAAAACCCTGAGTGAAGAAAATAGAAATTGGTCATTGGGTCAGAAGTCTTTTCAACAGAATGACAGTGGCACTGTGAGACATGAGTCCATTGAACTAATGTTTTAAAGCATCCCCCTGAATTGTCCTCAGGGAAGATTCTGGACCTTTCAAACAATGTTAATAATAACCATCCTTCATCCTTCATACAGGTAGTAGAAGTTTACAAAGTGCTCTCATTCACATTTCTTTTGCTCCTCACAGTAGCTGTGAGAGGAAGCAGAGAAGCTATCATCTCTCCTTCGCAAATGAAAAGAACTAAGACTGAGACTTAAGGGGCAAAGCCTGGCAGAGACACAATAAAAAAAAGAGAATTTTAGACCAATAACTTACCCCTTAATATATTTATTGTCCAAAGCCAGAAGGAGGAGACAAAAGACTAAAACAGTATCTTCTGACTCATTATCCAGTATTTGTTTACTTTACCACACTACTGGCCTTCAGGTTGTGAATTTAACATCAGTTTAATGTGCAGCCAACCAAGAAAAAGTGTTAGTCACCTTTCATTTGAAAAGCTTGCGTGGATGGGCTTCATTTGATGCCAAAAATGTGTCTGACTTGAGATTGTCTTTGATAAGTTACAGATCCAAGACTAGATGTTTTGCTGGATTTTTGCTAAGATAATGCATTGTGGCCTGTCTTAGAGTCCTAAAGCAGCTGGAAGAGAATTTTGGAAAACATCTGACTCATCCCTTCCCCTCCTCCATGCAACTGAGAGGCAGGCAAATATCCTGTACCTTGCAGGCCCTTACATCCTCCTCTTTGCCCATCAAAACGCCCTCTTTCCCTTTGAAAGCATGGGCAAAGTGCTGCTGACATGATGGCACCTGGTGCCAACCTACAGGATGCCCTAATGCACCCTGGGAACGTAGGCTTCAGGCAGGGAAGTGAGACAGGTGGAAGCACACCCAACATGTAAAATCTTGCTTTGGTACCATGTTTAGGAGGCACCTTTGACTTGCAAAGATAAACTTGATGGAAGCAGCTTTGATGGAAGAGGTGGAAGTCTGAGGCAGGGATGGTGATTCCTGCAGTGCTTGGCCTCCTTAGTTTGTGGATATCAGAAGCTGAGAGGGGTTCAGCTTTTTTGTCCCAGGGCCAACCAGTTGGTACAATCTTTACCATGACTGGAATAGACCTGACCCAAGTTGAGGGCATTTCCCCCATCCTCCCACCTGTCTTCTTTGGTGTGGTTTGAGATTCAAGGAACTGGGGACTGATGTATCCTTTAAAATGATAGTCAAGTCTGGTAGGTGGTGGTGAGTCCTCCCAACCCTCACCCCATCTCTGTCTTTTCCAAAGAAACCCCAAACTTCTCCCTTCCATGGACAGGAAATCAGAGGAGTGGGTTGCCTTTTTATGGAAAGATTGATGGGTTCACAGCAAAACCCCTGGGTGAGGTGCCATGGTAAAGAACAGAAAGGGGGTTTAAGTGGCAGGTCTCTCCTTCTTTTGTGGGCTCTATACCTTTGATGTGCTTTTCCCCTCTTGCAGCTGAAGATTTTTTGCCTTGAGGAAAGTTAGTTTACACCTTGTTGCTGGAGAAAATAGCTGAGGTTTGAGAGATAAACAGCCACCCACTCCCTGTCTGTCAAGAGCTAGTACAGTTTAAGATGAATGGGGACCTCACTCTGCCCCCCTTTCCGCCCACCCTGTTACTCTCTGATCCTTCCTGCTCCATCATGAGGACAACAACCAACCTCTTTCTCCCCATCCCTGTCTCCCACCTTTGGACAGAGACAGATCAGAGTTGAGCTAATCCTTTCAAAAATATTTAATGTTCATATGCCTTCCTTGCATAGAAGCAGTTTAAGGGTTCCTGTGATTCTGGATTTAAATCTGTCTCTTTCATTTCCTACAAATGTATTGCCATCTGTTGATTTCATTCCTGTGACACCCACATCAAGATCATTCATAAGGAAAATCGGGCCCATTTCTAGACCACCCCCCCACCACCACTCCCCAGCCTTACTCACAGCTCTCCCCAGTCCAAATGCCTGAGCAGGGATCTGTGAAAACGCTAACACACACACAACAGACTGACAGGAAATTTAGAGTTTGGCGTTCATCTCCTAAATAATTGAAGTGGGCACCCACCAAGCCCTTCATCCCTGGGAACCCTGGTCACTGGAACCACATTAATTTGGGCCCAGGAGTTCTCTGGTGCCTTTTGTCAGCTATTTTGGATGCGTCATCATTACTTACGCCTTAATAAAACCACCCTCCTTTTTTATTGTCATCAGATGTGTTAGCAGTTTGTATCTCATCTATCTGTCCTTCAGCTCCTAAGGACATTCTGGAGGAGGGACATTCCCTCCCCATCCTGCCCCCAACCCTCACACACACTGTGGTTCATAGGGTTTGGGTAAAGACTAAAAGAGTTGCTCCATGCGAAGTGTTTGGCACAGGGGCTCACGTGGTTAAGGGCTCAATGTATTGTCAGTTATGGTGTTTTAGTATATGCAGTTCTGTTGTTTAACCTCTTGATCTTTCTCAGATCTCTGCTTCCCTCTCCACCCCACTTCCTTAGAGCAACCCTCACTGCCTCTCACCTTCATTACTGCCATGGCCTCCCATCAGGACCCTCTTCCTCCTGGTTCCACATGCTTCCCCTCCACCACCTGTCCTCTGCACCACAGCCCGAGTAGGCAACTCAGAATAGAAAGCTGATAATATCACCCTCTCCTATTTAAAAGCCTCCTAAGGTTCCCCATTCCCTTCAAGATGAAATTTACACGCCTTAGCAAGTAATGCCAAGCCTCTGTTGGCCTGACCTTTCCTAGATAGGGAACCAGAAACATCTCTGAAACATCTCTGGCCTGTCTTCATCTGCCAGTCTCTCCTTGGCACTAGGGCAGAGCTACACCACATGGCATGTAGCTCCCAGCCGTGATACCTCTAGACTTTTGAATATGCTGTTCCCCAGCCAGGCTTACCCTCTCCTCTCCTAGAAGACACCTGTGCATCTCCCCAGAGCCCTCCCTGGCACCCTTCCCCCAGTCTGAATTAGGCCTCTTCCCTGCCACTGTCCCAGCCTCTACTATATATTAATAGTTAATACATTTGCAAATATTTTATGTTTTAACTCATTTAATCCTCACAACAACCCTATATTGGGTACTGTCATTATTATGGCTACTTAAAGATGAGGAAATTGAGACATAGAGAAATTACCTAATTTGCCCAACATCTCACAGCTCCTAAGAGCTGAGATTTGAACCCAAATGATCTGGCTCCAGAGTCTACACTCATAACCACTGGGCTCTATGGCCTCTTACACTACTGTACCATTGACCAAACCATGGCCCTCTCTGGACTGAGCTCCCTGAACTAAGAAACCATGTGCTGCTCATGTTTGCACCCTGTGCCCTGACACAGGGCAAGAGCACAATTCCTTCTTAATTAACCCTTCAACCCATTCATCCTTCTAGGCCTGTGGTATTCAGTAGATTTAAGACTAGCCCACTTTTTACGACCCATTACCCGTACATCATTTCATTTAAAAAGTGCCTAGAGGGCCTTTTATGTGCTACAGTGGTAAGGGTAAGAGACTTAGAAGACAAGGTTCCACCCTTGAGGAACTTATAATTTGGTTGAAGAGATAAAGATTATACCCAAACCTGAAGTAATGAAAATGATTCCTCAAATCACAAACGAAACCAGTTTCTTTGTTTTGTGGTCAATCCTCAAATAAAAATAGTCTTCCTCTTTTCCCACTTAGACCTCAAGATCCTTGAGGGGAGGAATCCCATTGTGCACCATACATATGTCAATGCCCAGTGCTCAGTAAGTGCTGGTGCTAATGCACCACTGACTCTGTCTGTGGACTTCAGGCTTCTGCTGCTGCCCCGTGTCCTAGCCTCAGCTGTGCAGTCTTCCCAGGCCTGGGTGGTAGCTGTCACCCAGAAGACTTAGGGCACAGGGAGAGTCTGGGAGAGTCTAGGTTGGAAGTAGATTTTTGGGTGCAGAGTCTCAAGCTGCAATAGACCCTAGTGGTTCAAGACACTAGAACCTCCTTTAAGTGCAGTCTAACCCTCCACTCCCCAATAATGGTTTTCCATTGCATAATGTCCCCTAGTGACCTGCCTGGGTATAGCTCTCCACAAGGCAGCTGTCCCTTCCATGCAGACTGTCCCAAGTCAGAGCAGGGCTGGTCACCATGCCACTCACCTTCACAGCCAGTCTGATCATTGAGGAGCTGTGCTCAGGGCAAGGACACCTGGGACCTCTCACAGGTGGCATGCCCTTCCAAGACCAGGAGAGAACACCACAACTTTGCAGGACCAGCATCTCTCAGCCTGCCTCCTCCCTTTCTCCATATCAATATGATATGGATGAGTACTCATCCAGCATTGGATGATATGGATGAATGGTCATCCATCCCAGAGCACTGTCCCTACTCCAGTTCCAGGGCACTCTTAGTCTGTTCTTGGCACATACAGCTTTGCATCTGTCAGTGTCCATGCAAAAGCCAACACAAGCTGTGATGGACTGTGCATTGGGTAGCCACCAGAGGTAACTGCCACTTATCTATCAGTCAGCCTTTGACAGGCCTCACATAGATACGTACCTCCCATCACCTCCAAGCTGGAATACACTTTACTCATCTGTAAAATGGGTATGAACATGCCTCCTTTGCAGAGCTTTTTTGAAGATTCTGCATTTACTAGTTTAACAACTGTTCAGTACCTATTATGGGCCTAGCTACCGGCACATAGTAAACACTCAGTTACAATAGCTTTAAGAAAATCTGTCTTAGACAAAGGAGTTTCAAAACTATGTGAAGAATATACAAGAAGTAGTAGTCCAAACTGTTTTTTCAGTTGTTTAATGATCTCTATGATAAAGATGTTCAGGGAGAGGAATATCTTGCGTGATAACTGGAGTAAAACCCACTTAGATTTCTATGTCCCCAAACCTCTGGTGTGGTCAGGGTTGGCACCTGCCCTCTCAACCATTTGTCTCACTGTACATGCATCTTGTCTATGTCTTCCACTAGAGACCATGAGGGCAGAGATCAGACCTATGTACGTTGCACATTGCTGTCCCCAGTACCTAGCACAGCACCTTGCCCCAGTACGCACTTCATATATATTTCCTGGACTACGGCAGGTGAGCCCTTTGTGAGGGTTCCACCTGCCCACTGGCCTGGCCTTTAATGTCAGGGGAGCATTTCTGATATATTAATGCCCCTCTAATTGTGCTGCATTCGTTTACATAGGCAGTGCAGCAGCCTGGCTTTGGTGTTTAAAGACCGGATTGCAGTCAAAGCTCTGCTGTTTGCTGGCTATGAACTCCAAGTAAGTTGCCAGGTTCCTCTGAGCACTAATGATAATATTACCTGCCTCACAGGGTTGTTTTGAGAGCAGCTTCTGCTGCTGCCCCATGCCCCAGAATTATGGAAAACCATTTTGTAAACTTCAAGTCACTTCCTCTCCATAGTACAGATCAATGGTAGACCAGTGATCAGGGAGGATACAAATCATACCCCCAAAAAAGGCTTCTTTGTTGTATTTTGCCTCAAGTGTTTTCTTAGAGAACCTCAACAAACCACACTATTTTCTAGTAATCAGCCACTTATCCCACCATTTGCAGTAAGGAAAACTGAGGCACGCCTTGATGGCTTATTCAGCATCAGCAGCCTCACAAAAGACAGAAGTCTCCTTTGGATTAGCTTTATCATCTTTCCCTTAAGCAGAGATGATGGTGCCTTTCTCGCTGCTCTGGCTCAGTTAAGAAGTCAAGTCTGATTTATTGGTCATCCTAACTATCGTTTCCTGAAGGCCCGAAGCCCTGTAATGCTGTTGTCTGGCTTCCCAGATTTATGACCATGGTTTCTGGCCCCCAACAATATCTGGAGTTCGGTTTACATATTCACTTCCACCATCCAATCCAAATCCTCCCAGGCAGCAATCAAGCTGGGGCTGATTCCTCATCCATTTGTGGGCTCACTTTTTCTGGCAAGTCAGCCTTCATTCTCCAGGACGCTTAGAAGCCGCATGTTGGCGGTGGATTGTGCTACGGGAAAGAGTGAATGTGTAGCCTGCACATTTGAAGCCTTGCTGGGGTAGAGAGCAACGCTACTGCTCCTGGAATGTCCAGGCCACTGTTAGAAAGGCCATCTTATTCCTTAGAAGAGTCTAGCCCTGCTGCAGGCTTCAGAAACGTGTGCTCTAAGCTCGTTCCTGCTCATTTGAAGCAGTCTTCTGAAAAGGTCTGCAGAAACCTGCCTTTACCCTCTCCCTCATCCTGCGTGGCCTTTGTCACATCCTTCCTCCAAGGTTCCTCTGGTGGTGGTAGTAGGGAGGCTGCCACCTGGCTTTGCATGTGGGAAAGCCCAGCCTCTTCCCTCCAACCTCACAGCAGGACAGCCAAACTTGGATTTTTTCATGAGGAAGCAACTCTTATGAGCTCTCTGGTTCAGCTCTCTGGTTAAAAGACCATACTGTGCTGTTTCTGGGGCAGCACAGACCTGGTTGATCGTGTCCACAGGAAGAACAGCCTTTGGGATTCATTAGTCTGGTTAAGACCAGCCCTGCAGCCTCCTCTGCCAGCTATAGAACTATGTGTTAGAGTTGGTGCTGAAGCCAGTCACAAACCCATCCCAGATGCGTGTGGTCTTGTTGATGTTCAAATGCCACCTCCTCCTCCAGGAAGACTTCACCACCTCCCCAAGGCTGCCTTATGGGCTCCTTCTCTGTTCCCTCTCGACTCTGCCCCTCTATCACTATGGCCATTTTATAGAATTTTAATTATTGTCTCGGGTGTCTCCACTAGACTGTAAGTATCAAGTGTGTAGAGACTTTTGTTTCAACTCTGTATCCCCAAAATTCAGCATAGTTCATAGCACATACAGTACTCTCAATGCCTGTTGAATGAATAAAGAGTCTGCTTGCATGTAAAACTACAGTGGTTTGGTCTTGGAGACACTTGTTTTGGAATTCTTCTACTGATAGGGACAGCATCAAGATGATGGGAAATGTATTGGTCTGGGATTTGTTTTGCCTACAAAGTTTCTTATGTTGGCTCATCTCCAACTAGATAAAACCCTGAGTCTAGGCTTCCCCTTCTAACAAAGCTGCTATACCTTTATGGACCTCCATTTTCCTGTCTGTAAAATGAGAGTGTGGGCTAGCTAGAAAAATTTCTGGTGTCCCCCTTGCTGCTTTGTAATTCTGGAGTACGTTCGGAGAACACCCCAATGTGACAAAGGATCTGGAAATTCTTCATAAAATATTCAGGGAGGGAGACAACTCAGGGAACATGACAACTGTCTGGAATTATTTGAGGGGTTGTCATGTAGAAGATGAAAAGGATTAGATTATCTTGAAAGGCCCCACAGGTTATAAATAAGACCAATTATTAATTCATTCAACAAATATTTGAGTACCTGCCATGTGCAAGGCACTATTCTAAGCAATAATGATGCAGTAATGAATACAACAGACAAAAATCTTGTTGCCTTTATGGAGTTGACATTCTAGTGAACAGAAACAATTCAAAAACAAACACAATGGAGAGGAGCTTCTTGGACCCTCAAAACGAGCTGCCTGTGAACTATTGAGCTCTTTGTGTTCAGGAATACGTTTAGTACTTAGAAATCTGCTTCCAGTGGCTGCTTAGACTAAATGACCTTGTTAGGTTTTTTTAGCCCAGCAATCCCATGAATCTAAGGCTAGCGAAGATGTGTGATCTCTTTATTCTAACACCACTAAGCCAAATCATGACCTCCTCTCAATGGTAACTGTCACTCTAAAAAGAGAGATAAGGTAGATGCAGTGGGCTGTTCTTATGAAAAGGCACCTAAAAAATAGTACTTTAGAAACATGCATTGTGGTGGGGGTCTGGGTGGAGGGGTTGCTTTTTCTTGAGATCCCTGTGATATTGAGGATGAAGAAAGAGAAACACAGGGGGTGGGCAACTTCCTTGAAGGACCAGAGAGAGTGAGTCATGAGGAAGAGAAGGAGGAGACAGAGAACAGGAGAGTTGGGGATGAAGCCTTTGATGAGGGGAGTGAGGAGGGGCAGAAGTAGGAGACAGACATGAGGAAACCACCAACTGAAGTCCCAGAAACCCAGCCTCCGTCCCCTCTAGGTCCTACTGCCGTCATCCTCTTTCTGTAAAGGTGAGAGTCTAGGTGCAGTGTCCCAGGTTCCAAACACAAGTTCATACTCATTGACTAGTGGGATGCCCACTGTGAGAGCAGGAAGGAGGGCTAGAGAGATCTAAGAGGGCAGAAGCCCTGCCCTGCCAGTATTTTTTGCCTCCAGCCACCTGCTCTGTTCTGAGACATGCCTGAGACCAGCTGCCTACAGGGGGACCAGGGTCTGTTTCTGCTGTTAACCTTGGTTCCCTCCTGCATTCCTGCATGTGGGGATGTAGACAGGAAGCCTGCAGGTATGGAGCAATTGAAGCAGAGTCTAGATAGAGCCCAGACTCCTTACTTCCCATAGTACTATTCTGCATTTTGTAGTGCTGCTTATGCTTTTCAGTGTTTCCACATCTATTTACTAATAACATCATAGTACAACAGCAAGAACATGGCCTCAGAACTCAAAGTTCTGGAATTCTAATATTTTATTTGATTGTCAGTATTTCTGTGAGATAGATAAAATAGGAATTATTTCCTCTGATCTGCAGGTGAGGAAACTCAGTCACAGGGAGCACATTTATCCATACTTGTGGAGCTATAGTATAACTAGTATTAGGACAAGGATAGCCAACATAGTTAAAAAAAAAAAAAGTACTGGACTTACAGTCAAGAATCCTGGGTTCACATATCAGCTACTGTCCTGCTATGTAACTTAGAATACATCTGTTTTCTGATGCTTAATTTTATTATCTATAAAATAAATAGGTTGGACTAGAAAAAGAAAATATGGCGGATGGTGGACATCTTTAGTCCTTTCAGTCCTTTGCATGCCTGTGGCAGACATGGCTAATTGATCATAGCTCACTGTCCTGCTGAGCCAGATGCAGCCCAGAGTCCTCAGTACAGGGCTCCTGGGAGCCAGCAACCACTGCTGAAAATCAGGGTTAGCACATAAAAGGAAATTGCTTGCCATTCCTCAACTAGCTCTCCAAGTTTTTTTCCAGTCTAGCATTCTGGGCATAGAAAACTGGTCTCCTCCCTTCCAACCTCATGCTCTCTACATCACGTCATCCTGGAACACTCCTTTTCTATAGATCTGTAGGAAAAGTAAAGGACTAAAATAAGATCTAGGTTCAGGCCCCTTCTCTTTCCATTAGGAGCTTAGTATCCTCACAGAATGTAATAACACCTACCTCACATGATAGTTATGAGCCATACGAGTGCATTCAGTTAGCAGACGTCAGTGCTTGACAACTGTGTGCCAGGCATTATGCTAACACACAGCAACTTGAGCTCCCCATCAGGCATCTTCTAGACCCTCTTCCCTCTCAGGAACTGAGCAGGAGCCTAGACTATTGACCATCCAGGCAAGCTGTGTTGCTGCAACTGCTCTAAATCAGAGTCACCGGCCCAGTTAGGGGCAAGGTAGCCTGGAGCCTCAGGTAGAGGTGGATTTTTTCATCTCATAACGTTGCCTTCCAGGAGTTCATTGCTTTTTCTTTTTGGTAGATCATCCTGTTTCCATTTACTTGTTCATCTGCTCTTTGGTGCCTTTATTTTTTTGCCATTACTTATCGGTAAAGTTATGCTGTTGTAAAGAGGGGAAGAGGAAGGGGTCCTGGTTCATAATAACACTGGAATGAGAGTTGGCAGAGACAGCAGCAGCTGTGAGGGCAGAGAGATAAGGCATCTGGAGATGGCTGCTCTGTTACCTACGTCACTGATCCGCTCATGGGGGCCAGCACACAGCTAGAAGTCAGCTTCCCCAACCCTCACACCCTGTCCCTGCAGGCTCAGGCTTTCCATCACCCAGGCTCTGTGAAGATTAGTGTGTCATCTTTAAAGCACTTGGCACTTCTTGGAAAAAGCCATGCTGTGAATTCAGGCATGGCTAAAAGATTGAACTCTTATTAAATCTCTGACACCCTCCATGCATCAGAATTCATACAGTCTTGTTCTGTTACATCCTCAGTGTCCTTTGCTAGTTCCCAGCTGGTCCCACAGACAAGCAAATTACTGGCAGGTTTGTTTAAGACACTGTACTTAGCCCACCTAGAATACTCATGAGTGACAAGTCCCCTTTAAAAGAACTGTTTGAAAAAAGTTAGCATTGAGGCTTGCAATGTTCCTTCTGCTTCATGTTGAGAATGCAGGAACCCCTGGGGATATTCTAGGTCTTAGGAGACTAGATCTCTTGTTAATATGTCAAAAACCAACTTCTGGAAAATAAGTCTGGTCTGTACTGATTCTAAAATACCTTGGATTGTTAACTTTTGCACCATCTTTGCAGAACACACACAGAATGTGACTATTCAGAGGAAGAAAAATTCTTTCGGCATAGACCTCCCTTCCGTAGTTGACAAAGTCATGGTGTTGAGTTAAAAGTGCTATGGCTGCTCCTGTGTTGTTTGGGGCAGGTAGTCCAGAACCCTGAGACCATGGTGGAAACAGCTCCATTTGGAATTCTCTCTAGTTTGGTTCTTTCTCCTTTTCCCCACCTGCAAAAGAATACTCAGAGTGCTATCTATCTATGTCCTTTCTTTGAATCTTTAAGGAGAATGTCTTCACCCAACATGTCTCATGCTACTGGACTGAGTAGAAGAGCAATGGAATCTTGTTACTTATTGCTAGTGAAACAGACAAGGAGCAATACATGATACACGCTTTCATTGTAAATCCTGATGTGGAAGGATTCAGGTAGTGCGATGTGAATCATCATCAGGATGATGCTTCCTGCTATGCCATCTCCCAGCTTTAGCTTTAGATGCTGGAGTTGGTTAACCATTACCAATGTACCCTTTGTCCAAAGAGGAATTGTTCTCAGAGTTTTGGACTTTGAAAACAAAAGAATGTGCTTTCAAGATGTCATTGCTGTTATACTTTATAGTTTATACATTCCTGCCCACTGGTCTTGCTTTTTTTCACTTTTTCTTCTGAGGCAGTTATAAGCCGTGTTGATACAGCTGTTTAGAGAAAATTCCTATGGAAGTAGTTCTAGCTGGAAGTCATCTGGGGAAAATTAACCTCTGTAGGTGGACTGAACTTTTTCAGGGAACGTGTAGGGACCTCACAATTGACCTAATTAATGTGTTTGCATAGTAACATACCTGTTTTCATTGTACATTTAATTAGCTTCTTTAAAAATAATTCTTCAGGTGAAAGATGTTAAAGGCTTCTCATCCTGCCCTGCTGAGCAGAGCCAAAGAGCTTGATAGTTTTAGGACAAATAAAAGGAAGCAGTACTTTACGCTGTAGGTAGTAAATGTGTGAAAATCATTACTCCTAGAAACAGTATGTGTTGAAATTATCAATAGATTCTAGACACGAACCTTTAGAGAGCATCATGGATGACAGATATAAATTGAGTTATTAAAGGGACATTAGAGAGCATTTTCTAATCGTTTTAAGTTATCGTTACGAATGGATCCCCCATATTCTCCGGTGAGCCTTGTGACACCACAATCAGGAACAGAATGTTAGGTGGATGAATGCTGGTCTGACCTACTGAGGTATTATTAAATTCATATGCTCCAGTCAAAATTTTTAAGCCAGTTTAACCTTTTTACCTATTTATGCTCCAGTCTTTTTAGGTCAGTTTAACCTTATACTTATTATTATTATTATTATTATTATTACTACTTTAATGTTCTGGTGTCTTTCAAATGGCCACTTCTTCAGAACTCTCTCAAATGATTTGGAAAAGCTAGGGGGTACTCAGCCCAACCATAAGATGGGAAACCTGAGCTGCAGTCCTGCCTCTGCCACTAGCTAGTTGCTTGACTAGGGGCAACACTGCACTTCTGCTTCATTTTTCTGCAAAGAAAGGGAGTTGGATTAAATGCCTTCCAAGGCCCCATTGGCAGCAAAATACTGTGGATCAGTAAATAAATATTATATGCACACTCATTCAGGGAGTCCCTAGAATAAAAGAATAGTGGGGTCGGGGGTGGGATGGGGGACTGCTTTGCCTTATTTTCCAAAAAGGATAAAGTAGAGCATTTCTCCCTTCTGACAGGAGAAACTGAATGTTGTAGGGACAGTGCAGAAAAACCCCTGACAGCATGGGGAAACCCCCCAAACTTTCTTTTCTCTGAACCTGAGGAGGGAGGTAGTGGGGAGAACATACGGTGGGAGTTAGGCAGGTCTGGGCTCAGTCACTCACTGACTCTCAGTCTCCCGTTGGTAAAATGGAGGTAAGTACATGTAACCTTTGGGGTGATGAGGATGAAATGAGACAAGTGGCATGAAGTTATCTCACTTAGTTCCTCGTATAAAGTAAGGGCTCAATAAATAATAATGTTTAGAGAAAGGAGATGGGAGTTCCAAAACACGGCAATTATAATGGTAAGCACCTCGCGAGTGGCCATCAGAGAAGGAGAAGCCAGTGCAATTGAAGCAGACGGCCTGAGAAAGGCCGTAGCCTGAAGCCCACAGGTGTGCAAAGACCTGCTCTAATTAATTAGGCATAAGATTAGCACTGGAATACATTTCTAACCACCAAAAATCAGATTCACTATTTCACATTATATTTACGGTTCTTTTTTTTTTTTAAGATTGCTCAACTTTACAGATTAATATTATTTAAAAGTTGCAAATATTTTAATAAATCATTGAAATTAACAGTTACACATTTGTGGGATTTGCAGAAAGATCCCCACATGAAGCAAAGACATCTTGTGTTTTGTTTCATATCGCTGTCACCTGCTGGCAGAATATGCAAATTGCAGGTTTGGTTTTGTCTAAGAAATTCTACCTCTAACATACATCTGTCTTTAGGAAAATGTAACTCTAAACCTAAAGTTACACAATAACAGGTATCCTCTCTTCTCCTGAGAATTCCCATAACCAGCTCTTGAGGAAGACCAGAGTGGACCTTGTGAGGAGTTTCCGGTACTACCATGAAGCTGCTAGGTCAGGATATGCAGCTGTGCACAGCTCAGCCCTTATTCTTCCTCCAGGAAGCCAGTAGAAAAACACTGGGGTCTAACCTCTAGCAGAAATAATGTGCTCAAAGAGAAAAGCAGGGCCACTCTGCTATTCTCAGAGTCAGCAATCTCCTTGCCCTGCCAAGATCCTACCAGTTTAATGAACAACTCATACCTTTCCTCGTTGTTGAAAGCTCCAATTCCTCAACAAAGTCTCAGTGCTGCTGATAACCTTAGATCAGCCCCAGAGATTGTTCTCATATCCCAGAGGGCATAAATATGGCAGTTACACCCCTACAAACTGCCCTTATCATTTTAATCATGGTTCATCTTGAGAAACCAGCAGATACTATGAAGCAGTTTTGTCACACTCATAAGCTGGTACTGTAACTCAAGTCACTGTTTATCTAACAATATGGGGCATAAAATAACAAAGTTGGCCTTTCTGGTACACTTAGCTGATGTAGTATTATCTTTGTAGTGGTTTCCTCACAGAAAACAACTAGAAGCAAGTGGCTTTTGAACTTGGTGACTTCATCCTAACATGAAAATTTTTGTCTAATTAGGTGGAATGATTTGGCAAAAGAGAGCAATACTTAGGTGGAGATTCATTCATTGGGAGGATGGAGGGAATCTCCCACTGCTGTACAAGAAGGGAGATGGCATATGGTAAAGCCCTTTGTCATAATGGTTGACATTCACAAGCCACTTACTTTGCACACACCTGGGTTTTTTTGCACTTCACAAACATCTCACTTAATCCTCAACAATTACCCAATAAAGGTAAGCAGTAATATTATCCCCATTTTGCAGATAAGGAAACTGCAAAATAAAAATTACATGACTTTCCCAGGATCACACCGTTAAATCGCAAGCTAGATTTTGCTAGTCAAGTCCAGTGTGTCATGTTCTTCACACCGCGAGGGTTAGGGGAGAGGGGAGATTTGGAACCACTCTTCTGGGTAGCAAAGAGAGGACAGAAAAACCAAAACATATCCTTTCAGCTATTATGTGAACTGCTTAATTCTGGTGTTACACAATAGTAATGATAGGACATCACTAAACATGTCATATTTACTTTATTTTATGATGACAGCTAATATGTTTCCAGTCTTCATAGCCTGTTGCTCTTACTGTAGAGGTATCTGCTGACAAGTTTTTAAAATTGGAGAAAATTGTGCTTAGGCCTTGCCTTTTATATGGCCTTCCTGACATTCAGCCTCAGATTGCAGCAGAAGTCTCTCTCAACTGAAGTCAACAGCTTTCATCAGAGGGAGAGCAATGCATGTACACCACTGTCACTGCAATTTAAGACCTGGGTCTTCTGCCCCCAGCTGACTATTTTCTGCCATGTGAGGGCAGGATTTTTTCAGGTTCCATCTCCCACCCCTAGACAGCCCTGCCGCTGGGGTCTTCAGTTCAGGACCTCCAACTAGTGCATAGCCACGTAACCTTACTTTTTTTCATAAAACATAGTAAAAATATGTTTACTATTTTCTTCTAAGGGACACTCAGTGTCCTGAACCCCAATGACATGGAACTTTGTGCCCTTTTAGATAGTTCTCCCCAGTCTTCTTCATATTGAGCCCAAATCAGTCAAATTTTATTCTTCATGCAGCCCAGTTCTACCCAGCAGAGCCCCCTAAGATAGGTCTTCTCACAGACACACGTACCAGGAAAACTAACGTTGCTGTTGCTTGGTCTCAGTAAAGTCACTGTCTGTTGGAGGGTTCAGCTGCCCACTACTGTGAGGTAGTTTGCTCTCCTTTAACCCCCTCTGTAACGTGGAACAGTGGAGTTGCTTTAACTCTGGAGCAGTTTTGCCTGGTGTACTGGGATGGGCCTTAGCTGCCTGCTGGGCTTCTGACATTGCCTCTCACTGTCTTACATAATTTGGAGACACTATTAAAAAGCACCTAGGGGGCTGGGCACTGTGGCTCACTCTTGTGGCTCACTCCTGTAATCCCAGTGCTTTGGGAGGCTGAGGCGGGCAGATCACTTGGGGTCAGGAGTTCCAGACCAGCCTGGCCAACATGGCGAAACCCCATCTCTACTAAAAATACAAAAATTAGCCGGGTGTGGTGGCACGCATCTGTAGTCCCAGCTACTCAGGAGGCTGAGGCAGGAGAATTGCTTAAACCTGGGAAGTGGAGGTTGCAGTGAGCCAAGATTGCACCACTGCACTCTAGCCTGGGCAACATGTTGAACAAGACTCTTGTATCAAAAAAAAAAAAAAAAAAAAAAAGCACCTGGGGAGATGCAGATACACCAAGTTATTCTACCTCCTGGGCCCGCAGCCTTGTGACATCGGCCAAGCTTAGTAATGACAGCATTCTTTGTTGGTTCTGTTTCTTCTGAGTTCTGCCACAGTGTCTGGCTGTGCAGATGTACACACAATGCAGGAGAAAGAGCACAGGTCTGGGAGTCAGGGAACCGGGGCTTAGGCCTGTATCTCCCACTTAAATAGTTGTTCTATCTTGGGCAATCCACCTCACTTGTTTGTCAGTTTTTTCAACTTGATTAATAATACTTATTTTAATTAATAAGTATTCAGGGTTTCTCAATAGCAGTACTATTGACATTTTGGCCTGGTTAGTTCTTTGTTGGAGTGGCAGCAGAGGGCTGTCCTCTGTATTGTAGGATGTTAGCAGCATACCTAGCCTCTACCCACTAAATGCCAGTAGTACCTTCCAGCTGTGACAACCAAAAGTGTTCCCAGACATAGCCAGGTGTCCTCTGAAGGGCAGAATTGTCCCCAGTTGAGAACCACTGCATTAACTCATAGGATTAGCAGGATACATTAAATAACTGTGTGAAAATATAAGACATCATGGTTGTCTTCCTCCTTCTCTGGCATTCCAGTCTTCTCTGATTGTCTATACTTACGTAGAAGCAGAAAGAAGAAACAGCATATTCTATCCACATCCCTATGTGGTCCAGCAAGTGACTTGTTACGTCCATGCTTTCACATCATGCGATTCAGGTAAGTTTGTCCTTTTCTAATGGGCTTGATATTTACTGTGTGTGAAGAGCCACAGAGGTGAGTAGCAGTGCCTGTTTTCATGGATGACACATTCTCATGGGAGGAATATTTAAGCACAGAAATGACTAAGACCAGAAAGGCATGCTCAGGTGTCAGAGAGGAAGCACTTCACAGAGGAGGTGATGTTTGGGTTTCAGTAGACAGAGATAGGCTGGTATAGCCTGAAGGGGCTTGAATCAGAGGGAGCAGTGACCCAGGGTAGAAAGCACATAGGATTAGATGAGAAGGTAGCAAGAGATAAGACCTTGTGATCAGTCTACGGAGGCTTGGAATGCCAAATGTGTTCATTGTCCCTAATTTAGCAGTGACATGGCATGGCCATAGCTGTGTTGAAGAGGGTCATGTGGCAATGGATTAGAGTAAGGAGAGGCCAGCACAAGGTGGCTTGGGGACCTGAATAGAGTGATTGTGGTAGGAGAAGGGAGGATGAGGTTAATGGAAGAGAAAGTGCAGGAGAAGAAGCAGCAGGGTCTGTGAAGGTGAAGAAAGGGAAGAGGACGAGAGGACTACAATTTTGACTCTGGAGCTCAGAGAAAAGGGTTTCCCAGAATAGAACAGGAGAAGACAAGAGGAGGAACCAGGAATCAGGAAGTTCGAGCACTGGAGAAGGGCCAAGGTAAAACATTAAAATTGAGGGTTTCCTAAATTCATCCACATCCATGCCTGAAAAGGTCTCACACACTTCCTGGGAGAAAAGGCACATGAGTGTTTGCTTGATGCTTTGTTCATTGCAGAGATGGGCTTCTTGAATCCATTTATCGTTTAAGGACTATTTATATGGCCCTCAACAAATAACAGTAAGAAAAAAAGAAAAGAAAAGCAACTCAGCCTGGGGCTTTGGTTCCTGTGCAAAGCACTTTTTATAAGCAGAAAGAATCAGACTTTGGATTTAACTAAGTTAACAGCAGGAGCAGAATTGCATGCGGAGCACATGCCATATGCTGCTTTTTCCTAATATTCTAACAATACACTGGGATGCTCTAAATCTATATACACAGGAGTGCGCCCACAGCAGGGGCTCTGGGCACTGAATTGGCACAGCTGGGCCTTCTGCCACTGCTCACACACCCAGACAGAGAAGCATAGCCTGGACTCTTGAGGATGTGAGCAGGATCCCCACATTTATGTTCTCAGGGACAACTCAATCACATTCGCATCTTGGCCCCCCAGCAGGTGACCCAACTTTGGTCTGTTTTTCCTCCCATGAACCTTGCTTCACCTCCTCCCATGCTTTCTATTATTTCATTCCAGCACTCTATACAATTAAGATATTGAGATCCTTAAATGCATCTAAGAAGGGACAATCAAAGTAATGGCTCCCAGGACACTCATCTATCTTCTACCCTGCATACATATTTAGTCATTAATATTTATCTACTAACCAGCCAAAGAGATGCTCCATGTGTCAGTGGGTCTGCCATAGGGAACCAAGTCATACTGCCTCACCCACTGTCTCTCACAGACTCAATGCCATGTTCTCTCCCAGTGGGAAAGTGGAAAGAGATGCCCGAAGACCAAACCTCCCTTGGCTTCAGCTTGTGAATGTTAGCAGTGGTATCCAGCTGTGAAACCTTCTCTCCTCTATTTTCTGACTTACAACCAAAGAACAGTGATTTACATGGGGATAGCCTTTCACAATTAGGCATTTTCACCAACATTAGCGCATTCAGTTGTCACAGTGAAAACTAATTCAGGTGTTAACTGCCTACTTTATAAGGGACAGAGTGCAGAGAGGGAGGGATGTGATTCAGTGCCAGTGCAAGGACCAGACCCCAGGTGTCTGACTGCCAGCCCAGGCTCTGTCCACCTGCTGACTTCTGCCATGGCCCTTTGCATCTCTTCTTTCTCTTGCTGCAGGCTTCCTCCAGTCCATTGAGTGCTCATTATGGCCTTTGTGGAGTGAGGAATAAATAAAGGAGGAATGAAATAAATGTATAAAATTAATGAGGAAAGTATAAAATGAATGAATAAATAAAAGAGGAATAAAAGGAGATGAACTGCAAAGAAGAAAAGTTTAGCTCCTATAGGTAATAGGGTGTCAGAATTACTTTTGTTGGCTTAGCTCTCCTATTTCTCAGTTTCCACATTTCCTTCACTTCCTATGTTTTAGGCTTTTATTTACTATAAGTTTTCCAGTGCTCCTACAATAAAGCTTATACTACTGAGGCCAATTTCATAGGTGGTTTTTATCAACTAGCAAAATATCTTGTCTGACATGGTGGCTCTATGTTTTATATCTGCTACTTCTAAAATAATCGTCAGTGTGTGCCAAGTAATTATGTGTGGATCCATTTGCCACCCGATGGACCAGGGCTATTGCAGGTGAGGTGTGATCTTGGTACCATCCTTAGCCTTTGGGTTAACCTCAGCAGTGGTCTGTGTGCTCTTTGACCTTGGTGTGTTTGTTTCACTGCATCCACCCCCTCCGCCTGCTACAGACACACAGTAGCAGTCAGACACATTTTTGAACTAAATTTGTCTTTCTCTTTTCATCACCAACTTTTCCTTTACCAACATCTGTTCAAACTGGCAATACATTTTTGGTAGCAACAAATTCAATTTCTACTAGTACTATTATCAATAACAGCTATTTATTGAGCACCTAATATGTGCCTAACACTTTAAACAGAGCTGTGAGCACATACAGTAGGCCCCAGTTGGTAGAAAAGGGACTGCAGAGTCTCAAGGTTAGAGACTCCTCAAGCACCAGATCCTGAGTCCCCTGGAAGGAAGTTGGACTCTCCATGTAATAGAGACAAAAAGGGAGGTGGTCTTCCACAGTCGTAGGTAAACCCTTCTGCTCAAAGTCTGGAGAAAGACTTAATTCCAAGCTCCCTCCTGGACTGGTGGTGATTGGGGTGGAGGCAGCCAATATATATGCAGTCTCTGTCTAGGGCAGAATTGAACTTGGAGATGGATTGTCAGTGATTGCAGCTGCCAAAAGCTGGGGAAGTGGTAGGAAATGAAAGAGGAACTGCAAGCACTTTTCAAAGCCCTTGGACATGCATACATTTCAATCTTCACAACCCTGTAAAGCAGGAGTGATTTTCTCCATTGTTCAGGTGAGGATACTGACATTCAGAAAGTTTAACATTATATGTCACCCAGTAAGAGAGAGAAAGACCCAGCCTTCAGCCTCAAAATCTTTTATTCCTTCTACCATAACAGAATCAGGTGAGATCTCTTGGATTCCTTCCAGATCACAAATATCTGAGTCTTAGGTCCTACTGTGCCTAAGTTGGTTGACAGGGGAAGATACCATGAAACATCTTGGTTTCCATGTGTTAGCGTTAGGATGCACACATAAGCTCTGAACTGAGACCACCTGGGTGCATTCCCAGCTCCAATACTTGGTTATGTCACCTTGGACAAGATATGTAATATTCCTTTGCCTCAGTTTCCTCATCTATAAAATGGGACTAATATTGGTACTCAATATTGTAGCCTACATAATGCAATAATTATCATGTATTATTGTGTATATTACACCCCATATGATGTGGCCCCTCATTGTCTGTCATCCTCATCTTCTCCATCATCACTCCTTCCCAGCCTCACGTGCCCTCTTACCACTCCCTGAGCACCCCAGCATGCTCTCACTTTTAGACCTTTGCCCAGAATGCCCCTCCCCCAGATGGCCAACTCCCTCACCTCCATCAAATTTTTGCTCAGTTATCGTCTTCTCAGTGAGGCCTACCTGGACCATTCCCTGGCACTCCCAGTCTCTTTTACCTGCTCTACTATTTCATCCATACTATTTCTCCCTAACCTACTACATGGTTTACCTTGTAGTTTACTACTCATTTATTGTGTTTATTGCTTGTCCATATACAAGTCAGAGATCTTTGTTTTATTCACTGCTGTTTCCCAAGTGTCCAATATAGATCCTGGCATCTACAGGTACTTAATCATAACTGTCAAAAGGATTAACACAGACTTGTGAAGATTAAATTAGGACAGTCAGCCCTCTGTATCCATTGGTTCTGCATCCAAGGAGTCAGCCAACCATGGATTGAATATATTCAGAAAATAAAAAAATTGAAAGTAATAGGCCGGGCACAGTGGCTCACACCTGTAATCCCAGCACTTTGGGAGGCTGAGGTGGGCAGATCACCAGGCCAAGAGATTGAAACCATCCTGGCCAACCAACATGGTGAAACCCTGTCTCTACTAAAAATACAAAAATTAGCTGGGCATGGTAGTACATGCCTGTAGTCCCAGCTACTTGGGAGGATGAGGCAGGAGAATCGCTTGAACCTGGGAGGTGGAGGTTGCAGTGAGCTGAGATCGCGCCACTGCACTCCAGCCTGGCGACAGAGCAAGACGCAGTCTCAAAAAAAAAAAAAAAAAATTCAAAGTAGCAATACAATAATAACAGAAATTCAAAATGCAATATAATGTTGCAATTATTTACATAGCGTTTACATCGTATTCAGTGTTATAGGTAATGTAGAGATGATTGAGAGTATACAGGAGGATGTGCGTAGGTTATATGCAGATACTGTGCCATTTTATATATGGGATTTGTGCATCTGCAGATTTGGGTATTTGGTATTTGAATTGGTCATAAAACCAATCCACCACAGACAGAGAGGAACAATTGTATTTGTTAATAGTTTAGCTCAATGCCTGACCCATAGGAAGGACTCAATAA
This sequence comes from Homo sapiens, assembly GCF_000001405.40. Taxonomy (NCBI): domain Eukaryota; kingdom Metazoa; phylum Chordata; class Mammalia; order Primates; family Hominidae; genus Homo; species Homo sapiens. The sequence continues at coordinate 166,125,529 of NC_000001.11, read as the reverse complement.
AAGGCTTCTCTCATCATATCTGACTTTGACATTGATAAATTTGCTGTCAGGTTGTAGTTAAGTTTCAGGTCCCACTGGCAGGGAAGATGGACCGTGTTTAATGACTGGCCATAATGATTGCAGTCCCTCCCTCTTACCACTAGCTTTCCCAGTGGAGACAAATAGGCTCTCATACTGAGCTCCGAGGCCCATTGAGGCAGGTTATTAGACTCAGCCTCAATATGCAACTGGAGAAACCGAGTCAGGGGGCATCCAATGGCTTATTTAAGGAAAGACAGTGAGTCAGAGACCTGCCTGGCGCTTGGTCCCACAACCATAGGAAAAAGAAGCTAAACTGAGGGATTAGCTCAATTTAGTTAATGGGTGAAAATCAGCTCTGAATGAAAACCACTCCAGAACCTGCATACCCCAACATAGGCCTTATCAAGTTATGCATGGAAAAGTACTGCAATTGTGAGAGCTCAGTGCTGGCAGGTCTCAGTTGACCATAGGAGAAGCCAAATTTGCTTAAAGAATAGGAAACAAGTTGGAGAGAGAAAGTATAGCTGAGTTGGGAAGAGACATTTCTCAGAGGTGACCTGGTGGGTGTAGGGTACTGACCAGCTTGCTGGGTGTCTGTGTCCCTTCTCCCACACCAGGTCTGCCAGGATGCAGCCAACCTGGGACTGACTCCAGTGACTCCATTCCTTCCACAGCCCTCTATGATCCCGCTTCCAAGGGCCCAAGTGGCCTTTTCTACTTCTCTCTTCCTCCTGCTGCTGCCCAACAGAGGAGGTTCCGTTCAGTTCTGTCAGACAGTATTTCATGAAGGACTCAGCCAATACCAGCAGTGCAAGGATGGCTGTCACAGTATCTGCCCTGGAGGGCTCACAGCCTAGCCAGGTAGACTGAAGCCTGTTAAATTATTTCTAAAGCAGAACTCAGAGCTACACTTCCTGGGTTTGAACTTGGCTCTGCTACTTATAACTCTGTGATCTCAGGCAAGTGATATAAATTATCTGTGCCTCAGTTTCCTTGCTTCAATAAAGCAAGCTCCACTTGCTATTAGTAGTACCCACCTCATAGGGTTGTTATGGGAGCAAGTGAATTAAAATATACCAAATGCCTAGAACAGTGCCTGGCATATAGTAAGTGCTACGTGTGTTTGTTTTTGTTGTTATCATCATTGTTTAGTGTTATTCTATAGTAACTACAATAAAGACACACAGGTGTGCTGAGAGCCCAAAAAGAAGCAATCTAGTCTAAGAGCTCTGGGAAGGATTCTGGGGAGAAGCAACTGTGAATTGAATGTGGAAGGATGACTGCATTACCCAACCAAAGAAGGTGCAAAAGATGTTCCAGGAAAAGGGTGTTGAAACCCATGAGCCAGACATAGAAGCATAAAGCAGACTGGTGTGTGCTGGAAACTACAAGGAGATTGGTTTTGCTATGGTGGCAGCCTCGGGGTGGGGCATAGTGAGTGATGAGGCCAAAGCAGGGTCAGATCATGAGGGGCTTTTGTCCTCATCAGTTCAGCACCTTCTCCTGGCTTCTGCAGCCCAGATCCCACTCCTCTTCCCACTTTGGACTAGGCCTGGGCCTGGGACCTGGGTACCAATCACATTCCCCATTCTACTGGCCGCAATAATTATCAAGCGATGGGCATGCGACCCAAGCTGGCCGATCATAATGTTTGCCCAGGATTTTTGCTGGAGCTGGGGTGGAAGAATTCAGCTTGCCCCTCATGGCGTGTTGCTGGAGGAGTGTGGTTGTGGGTCTCTAAACACCTCTTCCTCACCCCATGGAGAAGGCCCCTGTCCTGACCCCTGAGATCCCAGGAACTGCCCAGTTCTTATGGTTCTTTTCTGCTAGGAACTTTCCCAGTATCCTACCAATAAATCCTTTCATTGTTTATTAATCTGAGCTTCTTCAAGTTGGTTTCTGATATTTGCAAATGAAAAAGTCCTGACTAGTAGACTAAGGAGCTTGGATTTCATCCTCAGAAGCCATTGAAGAATATTAAATTGGGGTCGTTGTGTGTTTTAGAGATGTCACTCTGACAGCACTGTGGAGGATAAATTAGGTTGGAGACGAGGATACCAGTGAAGGGCTGTCATCTTTGTCCAGGAGAGAAGTGGCAAGGGCCTGACCTGAGGTCATTGAAGTAGGAATGGAGAAGAGGGGTTGACCTGAGAAACACCGTTATGGGAGCGGCAAGGTGGCCAAGAGCCGACAGAGCCAGAGACTGAGTCAGCTGTGTCTTCATCTATGAAGCCCAGCCTGGGGCCTTCTGAACCAGCTACAGGTGGTCCAGGGTGGGGGAGGCCTGGCCTGGCTTTGAAAAGTCAAGGCCCAGAAGGAGGCAGCTGCCAGAGGCAGCCAGAGACATCTGTTCTCCACTTGCAACCAAAGCCTTTCTGCCACATCACACTGTTACCTGTCCGTGCTGGGATCTACCCCCTGCTGCTCTGCTGTCCCTGCCACTGAGGAATTTCTTTTAAATGTATTTATCTAGTTTCCTGCCTTTCTTAGAGTAGCCCCTGATTGAAATCAGGCTCTGCCCTCTGCTGTGTTTATACCTTCGTCCTGGAGCTCTCAGCCGGACCACGTTTCCCTCATATAAAAGAGGGGCCTCAGATAGCTGTGAATAATCCACTCTATGGGATCCTAAAGATAACCTGAAAACAGAGGCTTCCAGGAGGGAGGAGGAGAAGGTGGAAATGGCCAAAGAAGGGGGAAAAATAACATTTTTAAAGCATATTTTATATACCAGAACATTTACATGTTATTTCATTGAATTCTCGCAATAATCCTGTTAGATATTTTCCATCCCCATTTGGCAGCTAAGAAGCCAAGGTTCAGAGAGATCAAATAACATATAGAACGACACACAGATGCTAAGAGAGAGAATGAGGATTTGAACCCAGATTCAGGGTGATTCACACAATGCCCTTTCCACATTTGGAAAGATTTCTTTAAGCATTTGTGAGTAGGTTGTAGCAAATCTCTATTCTGAGGCCTGTTAATATCTGAGATATGAGTTGGCTTATATAATGTTGGATAATAAGCTTTATAAACATGTATAAATATCAAACTGATGGTGTTTCCTTGGCATTTGATTAGTTACCCAATTTAGATAGAGGTGGCTTAAGCTTTCAAGAGAACTGAGATCTCTTTTCTTTGGCTTGTACTTTCTCCCAATTCAAGGGCAGCTATCATCACTGGCTGTTAGAAACCCTACTCATCTGGGGTGTTTTCCATCTCTCCTGCTTTCAGGCTGATCTGTGCCCTGGGCAGAGCAGCCTTCTCCTGATTATCAGCTGTGGCATCAAACCACCGATGCCCTCAGACTATGCTTATCTCCTCCCCTAGGGATGATTTCATTCCTTATCCTGGCTAAGGCAAGGAAAAAAAGCCATCTCCTGACTCACTTCCAACTTTCCAAAATGGTGCTTCAGCAAACCTACTGGACAGATCTGGGAATTAATCTGTGATTCCGAAAAGCAGTCAGAGGTGTGGTGATGTGATGAAGAGTTGTCCCAAATGTTCATGAATATAGGCCATGAGTACACAATGGGTGCTCCGTAGTGCCTGGTTGGGAGTTGCCTTCAGGGCTGAGCTGTGGGAGGCTGCCCTGTAAGCCAGTATGTGCCTCAAAGGTGGGCCCTGCTGTGTGTACAGGGGATATGATGTAGTCAGTAGGAGTGAGGACCTGCAGCCAGATGACCTGGCTCCATCACTTACGACTTTGGGCAAGTTGCTTACCTGCTCTCTGTCTCAGGTTCCTCATCTATAGAATGACGGTAGTAATAGTACCTACCTCATAGAGTTGTTAGGAGGATTAAACAAGTTAGCACATGTAAAATGCTTGGGACAGCTAAACCTTGGCACATGGTGCTAATTATTAGAGGCATTATTGGTACATGGGGCTATCAAAGGTCATTACCACTCAGAGCCCCTTGCCCTGGGACCCATGCTTTAGAGGGCCCTGCTCTGGCCCTTTCTTAAGTCCCTTTCCACAGGGTATGGAGCTCTGAAGGGCCAAGAACACAGACCCATACCCTTCCTTCTAGACCATTCTTCAGTGGCAGCCAGGACCTTGGAATTCCCTGCTTAGACAGTATAGAGCTCCCAGAACCTGTGTGGACACTTTCCCTGGGTCTGCTTCCTCAGGGTGGGCTCCACTACCCTGTGAACCCTCAGGGGTCCAAGAGTGACCGAGGTGAGGGTGTAGACAGAGCCTGGTCCTGAGGACCTCAGTATCCCACCACAGCTACACACCTGTGGTGGGATGCTGAAGTCCCCAGGACCATATGCATGTGGCCCCTTGTGGACCTTGATGGTGTCCACACCGATGTGTGTTCCATCCCTTGCCACCATAGTGCAACATGTCTTTGATTTAGCATTTGTAGGCTTGATTTGTAACTTTTAAATATTTAGTCATATGATAAGCGGGCTTTTAAAAAAAATTGCCCGAGGCTCTACAAATTTAAAGAGTGCACCTGGTGACAATAATCTTGCTAGTAAAGAATGAGATCAAGAAAGGTCACTCTGAGTTGAAGCTCTGGTGACAACATCCAGAAGTGATAGTGTTACTGTATTGACTTATGTTCACACTTCTCCACTTTGGCCAAGTGGATGAAGGGGAGAGTGTTGGAAACTTAGCTGTAAAGAACAAGACAAATGGTGTTGGCGGATATGGCCAGGGTTCTGGAGTCTCCTGCCTAGCGCATTTATCCATTGCCCCTGGTTAACTGTGAGTTCACCGTGGATGTCCTCTGCTCACCACGTGCTCCTGCTCTTGGGGACAGCCCTTAGCTCCTCCTGTTTTCATCCACCCACCTCACTTCAGATTCTGCTGGAAGCTTGTGTTTTTGCTATATTCAGCCTCCCTTGCAGTCGTCCGCAGGGACCCCTCTTTAGGACCCCTGTTATCCAAATGAGCACTGTTGTCTGTACATCTTCTATTTCCACACAAATTGGGTTTGTTCTTCTCTCATTTCACTCTTCTGCCTTTGCTCTCCAAATGATCTTCAGCTCACCATGCTCTCGTTTCAACATGATATACAGCACACTGAATGCACCTGAGCCTCGACCCATGTTCCCGCAGTTGCTGGGCACCCTGCTAAGTAGGCGTGGCACGGTCAGCCCGCAACTGTGATGAAAGAAAGCCTCCAGGCTTTGGATATGGTGCAGTGTGATGGAAAGCACACAGGCACACATGTGAGTTTGAATGCCTGGCTCCACCACTAACTTGCTGTGTGCCTTTGGACCAGTTACTTAACTTCTCTTGAGTTGAGGGTACTATGTGTATAAAATGAGGAAAATAATGCTGACCTTATGGCTGTGTGAGGATTTAAAGAAATGGCATATGTAAAGCCCCCAGCACAGCACCTGGCACAGATAGATTCTCAATAAATGTAAAGACAAGGACTTTATTTATCTTTGATTCTCGGCAGCCCACCCAATGCCTCACATAATCCTTGCTGGTTTTCACCTTTCAGCTGTGAGGAGCTGACTTTATGGGAGGGAGTGGGCTGAATTCAGAGGCACAAGGAACAGTAGATCCACAGGCTGAGCCCCAAACAGAGCTGCCTCTCTTGGCGCATCTTCTCTTTCATGCTTAGCTTCCCTCTTGTGGCTGGAAATGTCACCCTTGAAATTCAGGCGTGTGTCTGAGCTGGGCAGAAGCTCTGTGGGCCTGGAGAACCATGCACATGTTCAGTGTATTGCCTTGGCAAGGCTTCAGGGAGTCTCGTGTGGCCACTTACGACACGCGTCCTTTATTCTTTTGACCACTTATGTTAGAACTGCTGATGCGCTTTAATCTCTTGGATGAATATTCATTCCTGTCTGTCCAAGAGAGATGTGTAATAGAAGTGGAAATGCAGAAACTGTAAAGGCTTGTAAATGGCAAAGAGGAGGAAAACAGCTCTCTTAGGGAGGCAGCTGGAAGAAGGGTTAAAGTGGGGTCGGCTTTCAACTGATACTCTCCTGGACAAATGTAGAGCATGCTAATGGGCTGATTGATTCTTGTCGCTCTGGGAAATCTCCCACACAGAAAGCGGAGGCCCGATGTGGGCCTCAGATTGGCTGTTTGTTCTTTAAATGTGATTGTGGGTAGATAGGGCTTGTTTTTTACCATGTGCGTCGTCTCCTTTGGAATCACTCATGTCAAAGAAAGGTAAATATCAGGTACTCATATGTTTTGGTGTTTGTAGCAGATGCCACTGAAGGAATTGAAGACAACTGGGTGTGTTAAAATCATTTTAGTCCAACAGGGCTGCTTGGAGTAATTTCCCTGGAAACCTGTGAAAAGGGTTTTCAAGTTGAACTCGAGACAGTTGTAAATGTGTCCTTTTGTTGGAAAACAGAAGGTGAATGCTAATGCTGAGAGAGACTTGGGGAGCCAAATGAGTTCTTGTCTTCAAAGCTCTTAGAAGCTCTCTCTGCCTTCCACTCCTCTCTCTCTCTCTCCTACTCCTACTTGGAGTAGCAGTTTGAAGCCGGTTCTGTAGGATCAGAACTTGGAAGTGTGAGGCCTGTCCTGTGGCCAGCAGACAGGCGTAGTGACCCTGGGCCAGTCACTTCACCTCTGCCCCTCTGTCCTGGTGTCTGCAAAATGACAAAATGGAATGGCGTGAAGAGGTGCACATCAGCAGAGGAGCTGGGGATGGGACATTGGGAGCAGAAGTGGAGAAACAAAGGCCTGGGTGTCATGTGTCATGGTTCTTGCCACAACTCAGTCACCACCTAGCTCCCTCGAAGTAAGCCCTTTACTTTGAAGGCCTCAGTTTTCTTATCTGTATAATGGAGGGTTAGATTGCATCAAAGGGTTGCAAACATTTTCTCTGAAGGGCCAGAGAATAAGTATCTTAGGCTTAGTGAGCTGTAAGGTCTCTTTTGCAACCACTCAGCTCTGCCGTGATAGCCTGAAAACAGTCAAAGAGAATATATAAATGAATGAGCATGGCTGTGTTTGAATAAAACTTCATTTATTAATATAAAAACAAGCAGTAGGCCATAGTTTGTCAAGTGCTGGATTAAATGACACATAAGGTTATTTCTAGCAATAAAGCTATATGTTTTATCTTATGAAGACAAAACCTATTAGTGTGTGAAATTATTGGTTCTTTTATTTGCTATGTGATTAACTGAAACTATACATTAGATAGGTATCTTGGTATAGACTTTTTTAAAATCTCATGGAATTTCAGACCCTTAGAGCCCAAAGAGATTTTAGCAATCATAGAGTCCCACGGCACCCTTCATGCTGAAAGCTCCTCGACAAGTTCCTAACTCCTGGTTATCTGTATTCTGCAAAGAGCCTGTCATCTAAGGAGGCAACCCACTCCATCCAAGCTCCTGTCTGTGAGCAGGTTCTTAGTGAAGGCAGAATCTGCTTCCGTGTAACTTTCTCCCAGTGGTCCTAGTTATGCCTGCTCCTTCATTCCACATTTTCTTTCTAGCTTTGTCTCCAGGAGTGGAGCTGTGGTTCTCTTACAGAGTCCATGAGGTTTGCTTCAAAGGACCACCTCAGTTCTGCCTCCTTCCCTCCAGTCTGAACCTGACTCTGGGCCCATCACCCCCGCCCCTCCCAATTGCGTCATGTCGGGTTTGCTCACCCTTGCCCAGATTTTTAAGGTGAGCAATTCTGTGGGACTGTCTGCTTGGCTTTCCATTCCAGCTGTGCTCCTGACTCTGTCTTTTAGAACCCGCTTGACTCAACCTCTGTGCTCTTCCCAGACACCCAGAAGCCCTGCTGTGTCCAGCCCCTAGGTCCCAATTCATTTAGGAAAAAGGTTTAGAATATACCATAACCCTTTAGATATTTTAAGTGCATTCTTTCAGACCAGTGAGACCTCCAGTGCCTTCCATGTACCTATAAAACCCATAGGTCTGCCATTCCTGCCTTGAATAAAACAACTAACTACCTTCTTGATGGAAACCTATGCTAACAAAGCACATATCCATAGAAAAATAAGTGCCATTAAGACTGCAAAGAAATGGGGCCCCTAGAAGCTGCACTTTTCACATGGGAATTAATGGATAGGAGAAATAGCAGCTTCTGCTGATGAGGAAATGTGATATGGGGTGCTAAGACTAAAAGCTGGTTGTCTAAATTAAGAAAGGAAAATGTGCCTCACAACTGATACTCATCCCCTTACAAAAAAAAATAATAATAAAAGAAAAAAAGAGAAAAAGTGTGCTATTTGGAAGTCTGTTAGTCTGCTGTTGTATTTACAGCAACAGCAAACTACATGTCCCACAAGATACAAAATGCAAAATAGATAAGTATCCTACTCAGGGATTGTTGAGTAGGATTCTTGAATTCTACTGGAATTCAACCAGAATTCTACTCAGGGAGATCATATGTCTCCTTAAACTAAGGGGGAAAACAGCAGAAAGAGACCATAGTGCAACACAGAGTTCTGGGGGGTCTGAAAATTCTAAATTTGAATTTGGTCTTCCAGATATGAGGATATAGTTGTCAAAGTAGGAGAATACCACATATTTTATTTAGCATTTATAGGTTTCATTTATTACTTTAAAAGGCAGAAGTCAAGGTCAACATCAAGGGATGTGGTGACCCCTTAGCCAAGACAGATGGCAGGGCGCTGCCATTAGAGACAAAGCGTCATGGGATCCTAGAAGGCTGGAGCTGGAAGGAACCTTAAGATTCACCTGTTCTTAATTCTCCCATTTTACAGATAGTTGTTGAGGCCAAAGGGATGCTCAAGGTCACAGAGCAGAGCCAACACTTGAACCCAGCCAGTGTTTTCCCATAAGTCGAAAGGGGATTTTTCAGCTGAAGAGGGTAAGATTACTGTAGGACAACTCCAATTGGAAAAAATACACTGGAAGATGAAATACATTAAAGCCTCGGGGTTGGTGAAAATAGACTCTTCTTTCTGAAGGGTCCTAGAGAAAAAGAACTTTTTAACCCCAGAGAGGGCAGGTGGATCATGCTGCAATCTGGCTTTCGTTGTTGGGGGTTGTTTGATTTTAAACCATAACCTTGCCAATCTGCTGATGGAAATTTACTCCCCCAAAGTACCTTCTTGATAGAGAGGGCAGACGCTTCTCTTTCCCTGGCTGAGCGCCTATCACTACGGAGAAATGTTGCCCTGGACAGAGCCAAACCTGGCCTATGTGGGAATAGCATCCCCCTCCTGAATACAGACAAACAGCAATGCAGGGTGACCAAGCACCTGCAGCCTAGTGGCCACCTCTTCTCTGGGGCCTGGAAAGCAGGGGCAGGATCCCATCTCTGGTTCTGGTCAGAGAGAATGAAGAGCCCAGAAGCCAACAGGAGTCTGCACACATGTCTGAGCAATCCCAGTTAAACAGCGGAGAAAATGCCACAGGGATGTTGTCTCCAGCAGCCCCACCAAGAGCCACAGGACACATGAAAGCTGCAGAATGCAACCAGGCCTTGGGCCAAGAAGCCTGGCTTTACAAACTGACCAGCTTTGCTGGGTGCAAGGAGAGGTGCTAGGGGCCTATGCACTTAGCTGTGTGCACTCACACACAGTCACAGGTCTGTAGGAAGAGAAAGCACTGTGGTGAGATAGTAGGAGTATTTTACATCTCTCTAGAACATTACAGTCTTGAAAAGACCTTCACACCTTTGACCTTGTTTTCTGTTTAGAGAACAGGTATTGTTATTTCCATTTCTTACACAAGGAAGTTGAAGTTCAGAAAGATCCAAGGATTTGACTGAGATGGGAAATGGGCAAAAGTGGCTCCAGAACATAGCTGACTTCTGGCTTATTTCACAACTGTTCCTTCCAGCTTTGGTGTCATCTCCTCTGGAAGCCCTTTCTTGAGCCCTCAGCCGCTCCAAATGCCTTTCAGCACTTACAACGGTGTCCTGGACTCACCTCCTTCTTTGTCAACCTTTGATAGATCATAAGCTGCCCCGGCGAAGGTAGGGATCATGACATGTTTTTCTCTGCCCTCAGGCCCTAGGACATCCCCGGCACACAGATGCTGCACAATAAGTACCCAGGGTCCTCTCAGCATGGCTTCCAGGGCCCATAGGATCTGTCCCACCACTGGGCTGCTACCTCTTTGACCTCACCCCTACCTACCTTCCCAAGTGGAGCTCAGATGCACAAAGCACTCTCTGGTCACCCCAGGGCCTTTGCCCTTGCTTGTCCCCTCTGCCTGGAACACTCTGCCTCCAGATAACCATGCATGCTCTCCCTCGCTCCATTTGGGTGTTTGCTTAAAATGACAATGTGACAACATTCTCAAAGAGGCCATCTCTGCCTTCTGTCTTAAAAAGCAGCCCCATCTCTCATTACCTTTATCTTGTTTGTGTATCGTCTCTTTCTCCGGCCAGTATGTAAGCTCCCTGAGAAGTGGGAGCTTTGTTTCGTTTACTGCTGTGAGCCCAGAGCTTGGAGCGGTCTCTGGCACTCAGTAGACTTTTGTCAGATGAACGAACAAACCATGCTGTTTCATGTTCAGGCAGCCAAAGGTGTTTTCTGTCACATCTTGAGAGGACAGTCATACCACATGCTCCTCCCAAAACTCTCTCACCCTTTCCCCTCTAAAATTTGAGAATCACCACCTCTATGCTATCAATGGAGAAGGCTAAAGGGAACTTGTTCCAGAAGACCAGACTATCTCCCTGGGAGTGAGGAGGCCCCAGGATACACATGCATCAGATGTAGTCTAACTCTAAGCTGTTTGCCAGGGTGGCCATGGTTTCTGAGTTTGGGAAGGAAAAAGAGAACAACAACAAAAAAATATGCTATATTGTTGTCTCTTTTAAAGTAAAGATTCCACATTGGTATTCTCTTCTGGGAAGGCTCCTCATCTTCCCCTCCCGTGTCCTCTGAGGTAACTAGCACAGGGAGGAATGAGTAAAGGCCACCTCCTCCCTACTCCCACTATCTGTTCTAATGCAGGATGGACCAAGTCTTTTCAAGTCCTGCTGGAAATCTCCTGGCTGGAAACCTTCCCAGACACCCAGTTTTCTTGCTTGCAGTGCATTTCTTCTTTTCTCCTTGAAAATTGGTTCTGGAGAATTTGTCTCTATTATAAACCCCTTCCTGGGGGGAAGTGTAGTATTCAGTATTCACACAGAACTTTCTAAATGCCAGTCTTTCCAAAAGGTGGCACATCTATTCCAAACTGGATCAAAATTAATTCTGAAAAATTTGAACCATTTTATGAATGAATGAATGAACCAGTCGGCTTCAGCACAAGCTCTTGTCATTTAATAACTATGACCCAGGGCACCCTCCTTCCCTGAGCCTCAGTTTTCCAACCTCTAAATGGGCATTAGACTATGTTCTGCACAGGTTTGTGTCAAGAATTTAGTTGGATCATGCATGTGTTAGCACCTCAAAAATTCGAATGTGCAATGGAAATGTATTTTTATCATCATGCACCCAAAGGTGTGCCCAGCATAGAGTGTGCACAGAGGAGGCCTTTGGCTGAACAGTGGAAGGATAATTGGTGTCTATGTGATTTATTTATTGTCCCATGTCTTGTTTTGTAAAGGATTTGCATGTCTAACAGGTGTCTTCAGGTTAGTGGGCCCTAATGTGGTGGGCAGTGCTAAGGGTTCTGATGGGCTGCTTTCTTTTGACCTGTGTTTGACCTTCACTGGTTTTCACCAGTTTGGACCCTGACACTGCCCCTGCGAAGATGGCATCTTCTTCTGTTCTCCATTCCCCACTGAGGAGAGAGCTGAATAGAGGCCTGTTGGTCTCAGAGGTACACCCATCTGCACACTGGCCCATCTCCTATGCCTGTTCAGCCTCCCTTCTGTCCCAGGAAACACCCTTTCATTGCTGCCCAGGGCTGCTTAAGGCAAAATACTTAAGAGAGTTCAGGGAAAGCCAGCTGGGACACTATGGCAGGACATGCCTTGCAGAAGGGTGGCAGGTGTGGCTCCAGTCCTTCCAGCCAGCTGGAGGAATTTTCAGGATTCCTTAACTTCTGATGCCACATACACATCCCACTAATTTGAGCATCATTTGTTTGCAGATATCCTTGGAGGGTAAATCCTAATGGGCATTCACACCCCAGTGAAAATAAATTTAGTTGTATGCTTAGTCGCTAATGTTTGTAAGGCTTTCACACGTGCTGTCTCATCACACATTTAATTTAATCTTCATAGTTCTGTGAAGTAGCTGTTAGCCCTGTTTAACAGATGAGGAAACCAGAGCTGGAGCAGTGAAGTAATCTGAACATGCACCTGCAAGGAACAGAGTTGGGATTTCAAACCCAACATTATCCCCCTGGAAAGTAAGTCTTTTTCTCCCAGGAAGTCTGTAAGGAGGCAGAACACTGACTAGGGGATCCACAGGACCCACCAAAGGAGGGTCTTGGCCAAGGCCAACAAACCTGGTCCAGAGGCCGTGTTGAGAGTCGGTTTGCTCACCTCCTCACCTTGACCAGGACAGCATGTGCAGGGTCTGGGGCCATTGAGCATCTTTCGACTGAGTGACCATCAGACAGCATAGCTGAGCCTCTTTCCCTACAATAAGTTTCTGTATTTTTATTTTTTTAATTAGAAAACAGATTTTTTAAAATCTCTCATCTCTCTAACTTAGCTAATTGAACAATGCACTTTAAGTGGATTTCCCAATAATATAGACATGAGTGTATTTCTCAACTCTGGCAATTATTAGTGATATGACTATGGCAAATTACATAACCTCTCTGCACCTGGGTTTCCACATCTGTAAAATGGGAGTAATGCTAGTATGTACCTCATAGGATTGTTGGGAAGACAAGTTGACTGTGTAGTATTTACACAGGGCCTGGCATGTAGGAAGTGCTCACAGAATCCTAGGTGGACCATAGCCTTGCTGCCATATCTCCATCTGTTATTGGTTTGAGAGCAGGGGTGTGGATAATGCCTGCCTCATGGAGTGATGGAGCACCAGCATATTCTAGCCACTCCTTGAATAATAAGGCTCCTCAGAAAGGAGCAGCTGGAGTGGGACGTTAGTGTGTACTCCTTTTGTCATCATTAGAATCCAAGAATTAGTATCTTTTTTTCAAGGCCTTCCCTGAGGCCGACCCATGAGAGCACTTGGTCTTGCAGCATTTGGAGGCAGATTCTTTGGGAAGGTGCCCTTTCAAACTCCAGAGACTTCACTCCTAGACTAATTCAGACTGTTGACCTAAAAAACCTGATTAGTACTTTTTAATAAACAGGGTGAATTGAGGTGAAGATCACAAGAAATGAAAACGGCTGGGCTTCATAGAATTCTGCTTTGCTTTGGGCTCACACCTTTATTTTCTTCATCCTTAATCTGTTTTGTGTCTGTCAATCCAAGGACCAGGGTTGTGAGCACAATTATAATAGAAATGTGGTAAATAAGTAAGAAGGCTAATCCCTGGTAAATCTGTTTTGAAGATGGGAATGACCAAGCCAGAAGAGAATTGCAGAGCAGTGGACAGATATACCCCAAGAATTTAGGCAGGGGCAGTGATGCCAGAGAGGCTAGGCTGCTTCTGGAGATGAAACTGCAGAATTATAGCCAGGGAAGGACACAGCACTGAGTCATGTCTTCTGATGTTAAAATAAAGAAAACGTGACTTCGAGAGCCTGGATCACACAACTTAACTGAACTCAACTTATATTCTCTTAGGCAAAATCTCTATGACCTGGATGGAAATTTAGCCAGAGAGCAATAAGAATGGAACAGGCAATGAAGTATAGCCTCTGGGAAGCCAGGGACGCTGCTCTATGGCTAGTTGTTTCTTAAATGTTAGAGGAAATTAGATAATAATGCATATTTGCTGAGTGCTTATTATGTGCCAAGAACTATGCTGTGAACTTTGATGACCTGCATTCGTTGGATCCCCTGAAAAACCCCCATGCAGAGGGCATCCCAGTCCACTTACCACTTGACAGTTTTCTGTTATAAAGACGTAGACTTTGACCTTGGGAGTTTGACTTTTCCCCCACTTCAGGTGACCAAAAGGAAGTGATATTCCCAGTTAACTTGTAACTAAAGCAAGAGACTTTTTATATTTCCAAAATAGACTATAAGCACAGCAAGGACACTGTCTGCGAATCACAGTCAATGTGTTACTGCTGTAGACAGCTGCTCCAGCCTCTGTAACAGGTAGCCCTGTACTTATCTGAGATTTCTAACTTGTTCTCTACACTTGTGTATTAGGCCTCTCAACTTGATAACCCAGCTCTGAAAGCAGAGGCCCATTGGTGGGAGTGCAGAGAGCAAATATGAAATTCAATATAACCTTACCCTTCCTATCCCTGCCTATCAGTCCTGGAGAGAGTTCCTATTTCTGACAACTTCGTACATTTGGAGTGTCCTTGATGCAGAAGGCAGCACTAATCCGGATGGATCCTAGCCACCTGGACATCATGGTTGCTTGACCCAGAGGAGATATGAAAGAGAAGGGCCAAGTCTATGCTAGTGTTTGTGGGATGGTCAGGAGACACCTATCTACAGTGGCCCCGTCAGCTTATCTTCACACAGAGACCTTACACTTTCCATGCTCCAAGCTGGGTTATCCAAGATGGTAGTTCATATTGGTCATTTTATTCACCCCAACTCCTGTATCCTCCTTCATATTTGCCCAGCAGGGACATTTCAGGTTTCTGTCATTTCTATATACATTTATAGGGGCACAGACTTTCCAAAGCTTGATTATATAGTGCCAATATATGCTCACACTTGTAACTTCTTAATTCACAGCCTGTCCTAATACCTTTTTATCTCATTATACCTTCTGCCTCACTCCTCACAAGTCTAAATATGCTCAGTTGCACAGAGCTCTGCCAGATGCTCTGGGAAGGTATCACAAGCTGAGTCTCTAATAGTTGGGCGCATAGGCTCTACTCTCTAAAAGCAGAGACTCCTCAGGTCTCCCTGTGTGGCTCCATTCAAAGCTGGATACCATCTTAAGTCACTGTTGCCCACCAAGCCACTAGCCAGTGTGCACAGGTGATATAGTCACTGTTTCTGTGACAGGCAAGCAAGAAAGCAGTGGTGAAGTTAACTCTCAGCTGGCTTTGGGTACTACCACATGGGAGAAAAAGACATTGATTGCTTACCACTTGTGTTGGCCTCAGCCACAGGGAAAAAGAACAATAATAATAATAATGAGTAATGTCCAAAACAGCAGAAGTGAAAGCTCACTTGCTGTCTCTTACTGCCTGACTCCTCAAAGATGCCCAGCTCTGCAGAGGGAGGATCTGAGGTTGGGATTTCATGATACCCAGGGAATAGCAGGATCAGGGCCAGTGATAAATCCCCATTCTCTTTCTTTTTTTTAATATTTTTTTCTTAAGTTATTGGGGTACAGGTGGTATTGGGTTACATGAGTAAGTTCTTAAGTGGTGATTTGTGAGATTTTGGTGCACCCATCACCCGAGCAGTATTCACTGCACCATATTTATAGTCTTCTATCCCTCTCTCCTCTACTTCCCCCCAAGTCCCCAAAGTCCATTGCATCATTCTTATGCCTTTGTGTCCTCATACCTTAGCTCCCACATATCAGTGAGAACATACGATGTTTGGTTTTCCATTCCTGAGTTACTTTACTTACAATAACAGTCTCCAGTCTCATCCAGGTCACTGCAAATGCTGTTAATTCATTCCCTTTTATGTCTGCATAGTATTCCATTATATATATATATATATATATATATATATACATATATACATATATATATATACACATACATATATATATATATATATATACATATATACATATATATATATATATACATATATACATATATATCACAGTTTCTTTATCCACTCGTTGATTGATGGGCATTTGGGTTGGTTCCACAATTTTGCAATTGTGAATTGTGCTGCTATAAACATGCGTGTCCAAGTATATTTTTCAAATAATGACTCTTTTCCTCTGGGTAGATACTCAATAGTGTGACTGGTGGATCAAATGGTAGTTCTACTTTTAGTTCTTTAAGGAATCTCCACACTGTTTTCCATAGCAGGCTGTACTAGTTTACATTCCCAACAGCAGTGTAGAAGTGTTCTCTGTTCACCGCATCCACACCACCATCTACTGTTTTTTGATTTTTCATTTATGGCCATTCTTGCAGGAGTGAGGTGATACCACATTGTGGTTTTGATTTGCATTTCCCTGATCATTAGTGATGTTGAGCATTTTTTGATATGTTTGTTGGCCATTTGTATATCCTCTTTTGAGAATTTTCTATTCATGTCCTTAGCCCACTTTTTGATTGGATTGTTTGTTTTTTTCTTACTGATTTGTTTGAGTTCATTATAGATTCTGGATATTAGTCCTTTGTCAGATGTATAGGTGGTAAAGATTTTCTCCACTCTGTGGGTTGTCTGTTTACTCTGCTGACTGTTCTTTTTGCTGTGCAAAAGCTCTTTAGTTTAATTAGGTCTCAACTATTTATCTTTGTTTTTGTCACATTTGCTTTTGGGTTCTTGGTCATGAAATCCTTGCCTAAGCCAATGTCTAGAAGGGTTTTTCCAGTGTTATCTTCTAGAATTTTTATAGTTTTGGGTCTTAGGTTTAGGTCCTTAATTCATCTTGAGTTGATTTTTGTGTAAGGTGAGAAATAAGGATCCAGTTTCATTCTGCATGTGGCTAGTCAATTATCTCAGCACCATTTGTTGACAAGGGTGTCCTTTCCCCCACTGGATGTTTTTATTTGCTTTGTCAAAGATCAGTTGGCTGTAAGTATTTGGATTTATTTCTGGGTTCTCTATTTTGTTCCATTGGTCTATGTGCCTATTTTTGTACCAGTACCATGCTGTTTTGGTGAATATGGCCTTATAGTACAGTTTGAAATCAGGTAGTGTGATGCCTCCAGATTTGTTCTTTTTGCTTAGTCTTGCTTTGGCTATGCATGCTCTTTTTTGTTTCCGTATGAATTTTAGGATTGTTTTTTCTAGTTCTGTGAAGAATGATAGTGGTATTTTGATGGGAATTGCATTGAATTTGTAGATTGCTTTTGGCAGTATGGTCATTTTCACAATATTGATTCGACCCATCCATAAGCGTGGGATGTGTTTCCATTTGTTCATGTCATCTATGATCTCTTTCAGCAGTGTTTTGTAGTTTTCCTTGTAGAGGTCTTTTGACTCCTTGATTAGGTATATTCCTAAGTATTATATTTATTTTTTATTTACTTATTTTTGTAGCTATTGTAAAAGGGGTTGAGTTCTTGATTTGATTCTTTGCTTGGTCACTGTTGGTGTATAGAAGAGCTACTGATTGGTGTACATTAATCTTGTACCTGGAAACTTTGCTGAATTCTTTTATCAGTTCTAGGAGCTTTCTGGAGGAGTCCTTAGGGTTTTCAAGGTAAACAATCATATTGTCAGCAAACAGTGACAGTTTGACTTCCTCTTTACCGATTTCGATGCCCTTTATTTCTTTCTCTTGTCTGATTGCTCTGACTAGGACTTCCAGTACTATGTTGAAGAGAAGTGGTGAGGGTGGGCATCCTTGTCTTGTTCCAGTTCTCAGAGGGAATGCTTTCGACCTTTCCCTATTCAGTATTATGTTGGCTGTGGGTTTGTCGTAGATGGTTTTTATTACATTAAGGTATGTCCCTTGTATGCCTATTTTGCTGAGAGTTTTAATCATAAAGTGATGCTGGATTTTGTCAAATGCTTTTTCTGCAGCTGTTGAAATGATCATGTGATTTTCGTTTTTAATTCTGTTTATGTGGTGTATCACATTTATTGTCTTGTGTATGTTAAACCATCCCTGCATCCGTGGTATGAAACCCACTTGATCATCACGGATTATCTCTTTGATATGTTGTTGGATTCAGTAAGCAAGTATTTTGTTGAGGATTTTAGCGTCTATGTTCACCGAGGATATTCAGTCTGTAGTTTTCTTTTTTGGTTATATCCTTTTCTGGTTTTGGTATTAGGGTGATACTGGCTTCATAGAATGAATTAGGGAAGGTTCCTTCTCCATCTTGTGGAATAGTATCAAAAGGACTGGTACCAATGCTTCTTTGAATGTCTGATAGAATTCTTATATTAATCTGTCTGGTCCTGGACTTTTTTTGTTGGTAATTTTTAAATTACCATTTCAATCTGCTTGTTATTGGTCTGTTCAGGGTATCTAATTCTTCCTGATTTAAGCTAGGAGGGTTGTGTTTTTCCAGGAATTTTTCTATCTCTTCCAGATTTTCTAGTTTATGTGCACAAAGGTATTCATAAGAGCCCTGAATAATCTTTTGTATTTCAGTGGTGTCAGTTGTAATATCTCCTGTTTTGTTTCTTAGTGAGGTTATTTGGATTTTCTCTCTTCTTTTCTTGGTTAATCTTGCCAATGGTCTATCAATTTTATTTATCTTTTCAAAGAACCAGCTTTTCGTTTCATTTATCTATTGTATTTTTTGTTTGTTTCAATTTTATTTCGTTCTGCTCTGATCTTGGTTATTTTCTTTCTTCTACTGGGTTTTGGTTTGGTTTATTCTTGTTTCTGTAGTTCCTTGAGGTGTGACCTTAGAGGGTCAGTTTGTGCTCTTTCAGTCTTTTTGATGTAGGCATTTAGGTCTAGGAACTTTCCTCTTAGCACCGTCTTTGTTGTATCCCAGAGATTTCGGTAGGTTGTGTCATTATTGTTCTTCAGTTCAAAGATTTTTTTTTTTACTTTTGTATATGTTTTTATTGATGAAAGTTTTTTGATATAACTTCAACTTTTATTTTAGATTCAGGGGGTACATGTGCAAGTTTCTTACATGGTATATTGTGTAATGCTGAGGTTTCGGGTATAAGTGATCCCATCACCCAGGTAATGAGCATAATACCCAATTGTTAGTTTTTCAACTCTTGCTTCCTTCCCTCCCTCTCTCCCCCTCCAAGTAGTCCCCACAGTCTGATGTTGCCATCTTTTTGTCCATGAGTACCCAATGTTTAGCTCCTACTTAGCAGTGAGAACATGCAGTATTTGGTTTTCTGTTCCTGTGTTAATTCACTTAAATGCCCTTAAATGCTCTTAAATTCACTTAAATGCTCACTATATGACAATGACCTCCAGCTGCATCTGTGTTGCTGCAATGGACATGATTTCATTCTTTTGTATATTGTATAGTATTCCATGGTGTATGTGTACTATATTTTCTTTTTTTTTTAATTTAAGTTTTAGGGTACATGTGCACATGATTTCATTCTTTTTTATACTGTATAGTATTCCATGGTGTATGTGTACTACATTTTCTTTTTTTTTTATTTAAGTTTTAGGGTACATGTGCACAATGTGCAGGTTTGTTACATATGTATACATGTGCCATGTTGGCGTGCTGCACCCATTAACTCATCATTTACATTAGGTATATCTCCTAATGCTATCCCTCCCCCCTCCCCCCACCCCACAACAGGCCCCGGTGTGCGATGTTCCCCTTCCTGTGTCCATGTGTTCTCACTGTTCAATTCCCACCTGTGAGTGAGAACATACGGTGTTTGGTTTTTCGTCCTTGTGATACTTTGCTGAGAATGATGGTTTCCATCTTCACCCATGTCCCTACAAAGGACATGAACTCATCATTTTTTATGGCTGCATAGTATTCCATGGTGTATATGTGCCACATTTTGTTAATCCAGTCTATCATTGTTGGACATTTGGCTTGGTTCCAAGTCTTTGCTATTGTGAATAGTGCCGCAATAAACATACGTGTGCATGTGTCTTTATAGCAGCATGATTTATAATCCTTTGGGTATATACCCAGTAATGGGATGGCTGGGTCAAATGGTATTTCTAGTTCTAGATCCCTGAGGAATCGCCACACTGACTTCCACAATGGTTGAACTAGTTTACAGTCCCACCAACAGTGTAAAAGTGTTCCTATTTCTCCACATCCTCTCCAGCACCTGTTGTTTCCTGACTTTTTAATGATCACCATTCTAACTGGTGTGAGATAGTGTCTCATTGTGGTTTTGATTTGCATTTCTCTGATGGCCAGTGATGATGAGCATTTTTTCATGTGTCTGTTGGCTGCATACATGTCTTCTTTTGAGAAGTGTCTGTTCATATCCTTCGCCTACTTGTTGATGGGGTTGTTTGCTTTTTTCTTGTAAGTTTGTTTGAGTTCATTGTAGATTCTGGATATTAGCCCTTTGTCAGATGAGTAGGTTGCGAAAATTTTCTCCCATTCTGTAGGTTGCCTGTTCACTCTGATGGTAGTTTCTTTTGCTGTGCAGAAGCTCTTTAGTTTAATTAGATCCCATTTGTCAATTTTGGCTTTTGTTGCCATTGCTTTTGGTGTTTTAGACATGAAGTCCTTGCCCATGCCTATGTGCTGACTGGTATTGCCTAGGTTTTATTCTAGGGTTTTTATGGTTTTGGGTCTAACATTTAAGTCTTTAATGCATCTTGAATTAATTTTTGTATAAGGTGTAAGGAAGGGATCCAGTTTCAGCTTTCTACATATGGCTAGCCAGTTTTCCCAGCACCATTTATTAAATAGGGAATCCTTTCCCCATTGCTTGTTTTTGTCAGGTTTGTCAAAGATCAGATAGTTGTAGATATGTGGCATTATTTCTGAGGGCCCTGTTCTGTTCCATTGGTCTATATGTCTGTTTAGGTACCAGTACCATGCTGTTTTGGTTACTCTACCCTTGTAGTATAGTTTGAAGTCAGGTAGCATGATGCCTCCAGCTTTGTTCTTTTTGCTTAGGATTGACTTGGCAATGCGGGCTCTTTTTTAGTTCCATATGAACTTTAAAGTAGTTTTTTCCAATTCTGTGAAGAAAGTCATTGGTAGCTTGATAGGGATGGCATTAAATCTATAAATTACCTTGGGCAGTATGGCCATTTTCACGATGTTGATTCTTCCTACCCATGAGCATGGAATGTTCTTCCATTTGTTTGTATCCTCTTTTATTTTGTTGAGCAGTGGTTTGTAGTGCTCCTTGAAGAGGTCCTTCACGTCCCTTGTAAGTTGGATTCCTAGCTATTTGATTCTCTTTGAAGCAATTGTGAATGGGAGTTCACTCATGATTTGGCTCTCTGTTTGTCTGTTATTGGTGTATAAGAATGCTTGTGATTTTTGCACATTGATTTTGTATCCTGAGACTTTGCTAAAGTTGCTTATCAGCTTAAGGAGATTTTGGGCTGAGGTGATGGGGTTTTCTAGATATACAATCATGTCACCTGCAAACAGGGACAATTTGACTTCCTCTTTTCCTAATTGAATACCCTATATTTCCTTCTCCTGCCTGATTGCCCTGGCCAGAACTTCCAACACTATGTTGAATAGGACTGGTGAGAGAGGGCATCCCTGTCTTGTGCCAGTTTTCAAAGGGAATGCTTCTAGTTTTTGCCCATTCAATATGATATTGGCTGTGGGTTTGTCATAAATAGCTCTTATTATTTTGAGATACGTCCCATCAATACCTAATTTATTGAGAGTTTTTAGCATGAAGGGCTGTTGAATTTTGTCAAAAGCCTTTTCTGCATCTATTGAGATAATCATGTGGTTTTTGTTGTTGGTTCTCTTTATATGCTGGATTATGTTTATTGATTTGCGTATGTTGAACCAGCCTTGCATCCCAGGGATGAAGCCCACTTGATCATGGTGGATAAGCTTTTGGATGTGTTGCTGGATTCGGTTTGCCAGTATTTTATTGAGGATTTTTGCATCAATGTTCCTCAGGGATATTGGTCTAAAATTCTCTTTTATTTTTGTGTCTCTGCCAGGCTTTGGTATCAGGATGATGCTGGCCTCATAAAATGAGTTAAGGAGGATACCCTCTTTTTCTATTGATTGGAATAGTTTCAGAAGGAATGGTACCAGTTCCTCCTTGAAGCTCTGGTGGAATTCGGCTGTGAATCTATCTGGACCTGGACTTTTTTTGGTTTGTAAGCTATTAATTATTGCCTCAATTTCAGAGTCTATTATCGGTCTATTCAGAGATTCAACTTCGTCCTGGTTTAGTCTTGGGAAGGTGTATGTGTCGAGGAATTTATCCATTTCTTCTAGATTTTCTAGTTTATTTGCATAGAGGTGTTTATAGTATTCTCTGACAGTAGTTTGTATTTCTGTGGGATCGTTGGTGATATCCCCCTTATCATTTTTTATTGTGTCTATTTGATTCTCCTCTCTCTTCTTCTTTATTAGTCTTGCTAACGTCTATTAATTTTGTTGATCTTTTCAAAAAACCAGCTCCTGGATTCATTGATTTTTTGAAGGGTTTTTTGTGTCTCTATTTCCTTCAGTTCTGCTCTGATCTTAGTTATTTCTTGCCTTCTGCTAGCTTTTGAATGTGTTTGCCCTTGCTTCTCTAGTTCTTTTAATTGTGATGTTAGGGTGTCAATTTTAGATCTTTCCTGCTTTCTCTTGTGGGCTTTAGTGCTATAAATTTCCCTCTACACACTGCTTTAAATGTGTCCCAGAGATTCTGGTATGTTGTATCTTTGTTCCCATTGGTTTCAAAGAACATCTTTATTTCTGCCTTCCTTTCGTTATGTACCCAATAGTCATTCAGGAGCAGGTTGTTCAGTTTCCATGTAGTTGAGCAGTTTTGAGTGAGTTTCTTGATCCTGAGTTCTAGTTTGATTGCACTGTGGTCTGAGACACTGTTATAATTTCTTTTCTTTTACATTTGCTGAGGAGTGCTTTACTTCCAACTATGTGGTCAATTTTGGAATAGGTGTGGTGTCGTGCTGAAAAGAATGTATATTCTGTTGATTTGGGGTGGAGAGTTCTGTAGATGTCTATTAGGTCTGCTTGGTGCAGAGCTGAGTTCAATTCCTGGATATCCTTGTTAACTTTCTGTCTCATTGATCTGTCTAATGTTGACAGTGGGATGTTAATGTCTCCCGTTATTATTGTGTGGGAGTCTAAGTCTCTTTGTAGGTCTCTAAGGACTTGCTTTATGAATCTGGGTGCTCCTGTATTGGGCGCATATATATTTAGGATAGTTAGCTCTTCTTGTTGAATTGATCCCTTTACCATTATGTAATGGCCTTCTTTGTCTCTTTTGATCTTTGTTGGTTTAAAGTCTGTTTTATCAGAGACTAGGATTGCAACCCCTGCCTTTTTTTGTTTTCCATTTGCTTGGTAGATCTTCCTCCATCCCTTTATTTTGAGCCTATGTTTGTCTCTACAGATGAGACGGGTTTCCTGAATACAGCACACTGATGGGTCTTGACTCTTTATCCAATTTGCCAGTCTGTGTCTTTTAATTGGAGCATTTAGCCCATTTACATTTACGTTAATATTGTTATGTGTGAATTTAATCCTGTCATGATGATGTTAGCTGGTTATTTTGCTCGTTAGTTGATGCAGTTTCTTCCTAGCCTCAACGGTCTTTACAATTTGGCATGTTTTTGCAGTGGCTGTTACCGGTTGTTCCTTTCATGTTTAGTGCTTCCTTCAGGAGCTCTTTTAGGGCAGGCCTGGTGGTGACAAAATCTCTCAGCATTTGCTTGTCTGTAAAGTATTTTATTTCTCCTTTGGTTATGAAGCTTAGTTTGGCTGGATATGAAATTCTGGGTTGAAAATTATTTTCCTTAAGAATGTTGAATATTGGCCCCCACTCTCTTCTGGCTTGTAGAGTTTCTGCCGAGAGTTCAGCTGTTAGTCTGATGGGCTTCCCTCTGTGGGTAACCTGACCTTTCTCTCTGGCTGCCCTTAACATTTTTTCCTTCATTTCAACTTTGGTGAATCTGACAATTATGTGTCTTGGAGTTGCTCTTCTCGAGGAGTATCTTTGTGGTGTTCTCTGTATTTCCTGAATTTGAATGTTGGCCTGCCTTACTAGATTGGGGAAGTTCTCCTGGATAATATCCTGCAGAGTGTTTTCCAACTTGGTTCCATTCTCCCCGTCACTTTCAGGTACACCAATCAGACGTAGATTTGGTCTTTTCACATAGTCCCATATTTCTTGGAGGCTTTGTTCGTTTCTTTTTATTCTTTTTTCTCTAAACTTCCTTCTCACTTCATTTCATTCGTTTGATCTTCAATCACTGATACCCTTTCTTCCAGTTGATCGAATCGGCTACTGAAGCTTGCGCATTCGTCACATAGTTCTTGTGGTATGGTTTTCAGCTCCATCAGGTCCTTTAAGGACTTCTCTGCATTGGTTATTCTAGTTAGCCATTCATCTAATTTTTTTTCAAGGTTTTTAACTTCTTTGCCATGGGTTTGAACTTCCTCACCATGGGTTCAAACTTCCTCCTTTAGCTCGGAGAAGTTTGATTGTCTGAAGCCTTCTTCTCTCAACTCCTCAAAGTTATTCTCTGTCTAGCTTTGTTCCATTGCTGGTGAGGAGCTGCATTCCTTTCGAGAAGAGGCGCTCTGATTTTTAGAATTTTCAGTTTTTCTGCTCTGTTTTTTCCCCATCTTTGTGGTTTTATCTACCTTTTGTCTTTGATGATGGTGATGTACAGATGGGGTTTTGGTGTGGATGTCCTTTCTGTTTGTTAGTTTTCCTTCTAACAGTCGGGACCCTCAGTTGCAGGTCTGTTGGAGTTTGCCAGAGGCCCACTCCAGACCCTGTTTGCCTGGGTATCAGCAGCGGAGGCTGCAGAACAGCAGATATTGGTGAACAGCAAATGTTGCTGCCTGATCATTCCTCTGGAAGTTTTGTCTCAGAGTGGTACCTGGCCATGTGAGGTGTCAGTTTGCCCCTACTGGGGGTGCCTCCCAGTTAGGCTACTCAGGGGGTTAGGGACCCACTTGAGGAGGCAGTCTGTCCATTCTCAGATCTCAAGCTGCATGCTGGGAGAACCACTACTGTCTTCCAATCTGTCAGACAGGGACATTTAAGTCTGCAGAGGTTTCTGCTGCCTTTTGTTTGGCTATGCCCTGCTCCCAGAGGTGGAATCTACAGAGGCAGGCAGGCCTCCTTGAGCTACGGTGGGCTTCACCCAGTTCGAGCTTTCCAGCTGCTTTGTTTACCTGCTCAAGCCTCAGCAATGGCAGGCGCCCCTCCCCCAGCCTTGCTGCCACCTTGCAGTTTGATCTCAGACTGCTGTGCTAGCAATCAGCAAGGCTCTGTGGGCATAGGGCCCTCTGAGCCATGCATGGGATATAATCTCCTGGTGTGCTGTCTGCTAAGACCATCGGAAAAGCACAGTATTAGGGTGGGAGGGACCCGATTTTCCAGGTGCCATCTGTCACCCCTTTCCTTGGCTAGGAAAGGGAAATCCCTGACCCCTTGCACTTCCTGGGTGAGGCAATGCCTTGCCCTGCTTCGGCTCATGCTAGGTGCACTGCACCTACTGTCCTGCACCCACTGTCTGACAATCCCCAATGAGATGAACCCGGTACCTCAGTTGGAAATGCAGAAATCATCCGTCTTCTGCATCGCTCCTGCTGGGAGCTGTATACTGGAGCTGTTCCTATTTGGCCATCTTGGAACTGCCTCCTCAAAGAATTTTTAGATTTCCATCTTGATTTTGTTTTTGACTCAATGCTCATTCAGGACCAGGTTATTTAATTTCCATGTATTTGGATGGTTTTGAAGGTTCCTTTTGGAGTTGATTTCCAGTTTTATTCCACTGTGATCTGAGAGAGTGCTTGATATAATTTCAGTTGTCTTAAATTTATTGAGGCTCGTTTTATGGCCTATCATATGGTCTGTCTTGGAGAAAGTTCCATGCACTGTTGAATAGAATCTGTATTCTGCGGCTGTTGTATATCTATTAATTCCGTTTGTTCCAAGGTATAGTTTAAATCCATTGTTTCTTTGTTGACTTTCTGTCTTAATGACCTGTCTAGTGCTGTCAATGGAATATTCAAGTCCCCTACCATTATTGTGTTGTTGTCTGTCTCATTTCTTAGGTCAATTAGTAATTGTTTTATAAATTTGCAAGCTTCAGTGTTAGGTACATATATGTTTAGAATTGTGATAT
The DNA here is from genome assembly GCF_000001405.40 of Homo sapiens. Taxonomy (NCBI): domain Eukaryota; kingdom Metazoa; phylum Chordata; class Mammalia; order Primates; family Hominidae; genus Homo; species Homo sapiens. Next base: position 166,099,720 of record NC_000001.11, on the reverse strand, counting down.
TTTCCTTTTGGACGAGGCCTTTTACCATTATATAATGTCCCTCTTTGTCTGTTTTAACTGCTGTTGCTTTAAAGTTTGTTTTGTCTGATATAAGAATAGCTACCTACCCCTGCTCGCTGCTACCCCATTTGCATGAAATGGCTTTTTCCACCCCTTTAATTTAACTTTATATGAGTCTTTATGTGCTAGGTGAGTCTCCTGAAGGCAGCAGATAGTTAGTTGGTGAGTTTTTATCCATTCTGTGGGTTCTGCATCTTTTAAGTGCAGCATTTAGACCATTTACGTTCAATGTTAGTATTGATTTGTGAGGTACTAGTTGCATTCATCATGCTCTTTGTTGCCTGTGTACTTCGTTTTTTTGTTTGTTTGTTTTTGCTTTTTAACTTGTATTTTTGTTTTATAGGTCCTGTGTGATTTATGCCTTAAAGAGGTTCTGTTTTGATGTCTTTCTAGAATTTGTTTCAAGATTTAGAGCTCCTTTTAGCAGTTCTTACAGTGGTGGTTTGCTAGTGGAGAATTCTCTTATCATTTGTTTGTCTGAAAACAACTGTATCTTTCCTTCATATGTGGTGCTTGGTTTCTCTGGATACAAAATTCTTGGCTGATAATTGTTTTGTTAGAGGAGGCTAAAGATAGGGCCCCAATCCCTTCTAGCTTGTAGGGTTTCTGCTGAGAAATCTGCTGTTAATCTAATAGGTTTTCCTTTATAAGTTACCTGATGCTTCTGTCTCACAGCTCTTAAGATTCTTTCCTTCATCTTAACTTTGGATAACCTGATGACAGTGTGTCTAGGCAAAGATCTTTTCGTGATGAATTTCCCAGGTGTTCTTTGTGCTCCTTGTATTTGGATGTCTAGGTCTTAACTCTAGCAAAACCAGGGAAGTTTTCCTTGATTATTCCTCCAAATATGTTTTCCAAGCTTTTAGAATTATCTTTTTCCTCAGGAACACCGATTATTCTAAGATTTGGTCATTTAACATAATCCCAGACTTCTTGCAGGCTTTGTTCATATTTTATTCTTTTTTCTTTGTCTTTGTTGGATTGGGTTAATTCGAAGACTTTGTCTTTGAGCTCTGAATTTCTTTCTTCTGCTTGTTCAGTTCTGTTGCTGAGACTTTCCAGAGCATTTCACATTTCTGAAAGTGTGTCCAAAGTTTCTTGAATTTTTTATTGTTTTTTCTTTAAGCTGTGTATTTCCTTGAATATTTCTCCCTTCACTTTTTGTGTCATATTTTGGATTTCCTTGCACTGGGCTTCACCTTTCTCTGGTCCCTCCCTGAGTAGCTTAATAACTAACCTTCTGAATTCTTTCTCAGGTAAATCAGGTGTTTCTTCTTCGTTTGGATCAATTGCTGATGAACTAGTGTGATTTTGGAGGCGGCGGGGCAGGGCTGTTGAAGAGCCTTTTTTTATCATATTACCAGAGTTGGTTTTCTGATTCCTTCTCATTTGGGTAGTCTCTGTCAAAGGGAAGGTCTAGGGTTGAAGGCCATTGTTCAGATTCTTTTGTCCCACATGTGTTCCCTTGATGTAGTACTCTCCCCCTTTTCCTATGGATGTGGCTTCCTATTACCCAAACTGCAGTGATTGTTGTCTCTCTTCTGGGTCTAGCCACCCAGCGAGTCTACCCGGCTCCAGGTTGGTACTGGGAGTTGTCTACACAGAGTCCTGTGATGTGGGTCTATGGTTCTCTCAGCCATGGATACCAGTACCTGTTCTGTTGGAGGTGGCAAAGGGGTGTAGTGGACTCCGTGAGGGTCCTTGGCTTTGGTGGTTTAATTCTCTATTTTTGTGCTGGTTGGCTTCCTGCCAGGACATGGCGCTTTCCAGAGAGCATCAGCTGTGGTATTATGGGGAGGAACTGGTGGTGGGCAGGACCGTGTAACTCCCAAGATTATATGCCCTTTGTCTTCTGTTACCAGGGTGTGTAGGGAAGGACCATCAGGTGGGGGCGGGGCTGGGCATGTCTGAGTTCAGACTCTCCTTGAGCTGGTCTTCCTGCAGCTGCTGTGGGGATGGGGGTAAGATTCCCAGGTCACTGGAGTTGTATACCTAGGAGGATTATGGCTCCCTCTGTAGAGTCATATAGGTTGTCAGAAGTTGGAGAAAGCCAGCAGTCACAGGCCTTACCCAGCTCCCACGCAACCCAAAGGGCTGGTTGGTCTCAGTCCCCAAAGGGCTGGTCTCACTCCCACCATGCTCCCCGCAACAGTCCCCAGACCCTTTCCAGTTGGAGAGCCATATGGGCTTGAAAACCTGCCCCTGGCTATCTGCCTCTCAGCTGCAGAAGAAAAGGGGCTTGGTTCTTCCGCTTGCCTGTGCAGTCTGTATGCTGGATTTGCACCCTCCCCTGAGTTCTGGCCAGGAGGCTTCTCGCCCTATTCAAGTTGTTGCAGAGTTAAGCTAGAGAATTCCTTCCCCCTGTGGAGTTTTACCCACTGCTCCTCTCCCGTTGGATCCCTATGGTGCCAGGCAGGAATGGCCTGCTAGGGGACCCAGCAAGCTCCCAGGGCCTTTCTGCTGCTTCCTCTACTCCTGTATTTCTCTCAGCTCTCCAGACTGACTCAGCTCCAGGTAAAGTCGGAAACTTCTCCCACAAACAGACCTTCAGCTTCTCCGGCAGGGGTGTGTGTTCAAGAGAGGAGCGTCTCCCTTTCCTGCTTCTGCAGTTGGGGCACTCACAGTTTTGGGGGGTGGTCTCCTGGGTCGTGCAGGAGCAGTCCGCTTCCTTCAGAGGGTCTGTGCGTCCTCTCAGGATTGCTGGTTTGTTCTTGCAGTCGATCTGGACCTACAGCTTACAGTGTGAGCCGCCGCCCGCTGCTCTGTCCAGAGCTGCAATCTAGTCTTGCCTGCCATCCACCACGATCTCTCTCCCCTCGCCCCATTCTTTTTCTTTTGAAGACAACTCTTCATCTTCTCTGGATCGTAGGACTCCAGGCTGGTTTCTGGAGTCAAAGGTCAGCCTAGGGTGGGATGCAGGCATAGCTGCCATAGTAGGTATTCAGGGAGGAAGACCAACTGGGTAAGGAGAGGAGGACAAGAACATTGAGGCAGGCCTCTCTCACTACATCAGGACAGTTGGAGATACTCTCGTTCTACTTTACAGATGAGGAAACTGAGGCACAAAGCAGTCAAGTGACTCGCCCTAGGTCACATAGCTAGGACTTCGCAGAACCAGGAATGAGATCTATTATGGAGCAAGTTTTCCTTCTTAACAACAACAACAAAATGCTACCACTGACCAACCATCGAGAGGTTGTGCACATAAAGTCGTTTTTCTTGGAGAAGAGATGGATGTAGAGTGATCTATGCATGGGGCTGTTTGGGTTGGCCAGTGAAGTGAGCTACCCATCCACAGATGTAAGCAGCCCAAGCTCACTGTGTTATGCCAGAGTGGCCAGGCCATGTGCTGACCAGTGACCAGCCTGCCCTCAACAGTGGCTCCTGGGTAATAGTAGAACTCCAAGACCCAAGGGAGAGCTGAAATCCAAACTTATATTCTCCCCAGCAGTCAAAGCAAGTCAAGATGAAAATTTGCTGAGAACAGCAGAGGTTCGTGGGACGACTGGCAATTTGAGTTTCTTAGAGACAGATAATATGTTGATACCAGATGTCATCTTAAGCTAAAAACCTATGGTTACGTTGCTTAGATGATCTTTTTTATTTACTCTAACCCATAATCCAGAAGCCATTCTAGATTGAATGTGGGGCATTGAGCATTCCTGTGAGAACCATAGCTCAGTATTTTTAGGTGCTGCCATTTCCAGCTGGGGAATTACATTTCTGTCTGCAGCTTCCTGCATTTAGTATTTGATTTTCTCTGTGTTTAATCTTTCACTGATCCTGGGAGCCAGCACCTTACTCCTCTGTGCCACTGGAGTGTTGCCCCCCTACTCGTCACCACCCCAACACACACACACAGAACAGTTCCTGAATTGTTCATCTACTCAGGTCCCAGAGACCTACCTGGGTTGGGGGTGGGGGTGGTCTGTGTAGCACTTACTATCTATCACGTAAGCAATTCCCTGCCCTTTTCCTCCTGCCCCCTTTTTGGCAGGATGAGGAGAGGGGACTCTGAGGAGGCCTGGGGTTCCTGCGGGCTCACAATGACTGGGGCAGAGGTGGAGGGGCTGGCCATAACGCTCCTATTAAAAACAGTATGAAGTTCCTAATCTCCCTTCCCCTGCCCATGCCCAGCATTGGCTAGGAAGAGTACACATGCCCCCAAAGGCACCTGAACCTCTGGGCAGCACCAGGCCTATTTGAGCCTCATCAGCATTCCTGTCTGCCTGTCCTGGTTCCTGGCCCACTGGCTGTACTGACCACTCTACCCTCCCCTCTGCCATCTTTAAACCTGTCCAGACTGTTCAGCACACCTCTCTTCTCACCCATGATAGCTTTGCACTCTTCTGCTGCCACCTGCACTCCGGCTGCTCTTGCGGGGCTGCTGCATCGAGTATGCCATGCTCAAGGGAAGGGAGCCCACTCCGCACACAGGGCATGGGCAAGCCCTTTGGGAACGGGGAAATGCAACCACCCTGAGGACGGACCTTCCAAGCCTCTGAGGGCAGGGTTGTCAGCAGACTTGCTTCTGCAAGGATGGTGATGACTCTGCAAGGACTGGTATGGACAGACAGAGTCATCATTAGACCAGGTCTAATGATGAAGGCAGAAGTGTCCTGAGCATCAGACCTGTCAGCTCAGCCACCTGCTGATTTGGTCACCTTAGACAAGTCTCTTCAGCTCCCTAAACTTATTTTCTTATAGACAGAACCAATCTAATAATATCTACTAGGCAGAAGGGTCATTCTGAAGGTGAAACAAAGAAATTTATGTAGCATGCTCTAAACCCTCCAGCATTCAATAGGTGTATAAACCTCAGTAAGTGTTACTAGCACTGTTATTGCTGTCACGACCAAGGAAGTTCTGTCTTGTCCCTCCCGGCATGTCTTAACCTCACTTGGTATCCAGATGTCCTCCTTATCTTTTCAGGGCTCCGTCCAGAATATGTGACCATTTTGATTCATGGGAGCATCCATATAGGGTCAGAATATTCACTGCAGAAACATTAAGGCACATTCTGTCTCCACATCTATAGGGCACTCCTGCATTATCAGTCTTCTAAGAAAATTGCAGACTGTTGGAAGTCAAGGAACATCTGCCCTGACAGATCACAACAGCACAAATTTACAGACTCATCACCACACAGTGCAGCCTGGCCACAGGCAGTTCTGGGTCCATAGTGATTGGGAAATGCCCACTGCAGCTCTCTGTCAAAGAGCAGGTGTCAGCATTGCATGCACACTTCACAGTGGAGAGCCCCGCCATGGCATGAGACTGAGCCCTACATGGAGCACGGGACACAGATTCTCTTTATAGCTGTCCCAAAGCAGGGTGGTAGCCTTCTGCTTCTGTCTCCAGACTGCAGCCTCCTGCTCCATCAGGGCCCACTTGCCTACAGTCATTCCTGCCACCTCTGTTCCTGCTCCTTGCTTGCCATCATTTTTCCCTTGGCTGTAGGCATGGGCATGTTCCTAAGTGCTATCTGTTCTGATGGCTTCTGCTCCGGGGTTGCATTCGGTGCTTCCTGTTTGGGATCAGCCCTGCATCCCAACGTCCTGCTTCCTTCCCCTGCTGCACCACTGGCTCAATAAAGCAGAGATTCAAGAACACCACACACACACACACACACACACACACACACACACACACACACAGTCATTCGCAAGCCCTGTGTGCCCCTCTTCCCTGTCCCCCATACCCCCACCCTGCTCCTCTCTCCCCGTGCACCGTCATTGATCCTGGGCCTATGCAAGTCCCTCTGCAGCAGCCCTATTCTGTATCATCCTAGCCAATCAGGACACATCAAGGTATAATTCAAATCTTTCCTAAGAAAATCAATGCTTGCCTTACCACCAGAGCCCAATCTACAACTGCGAATTTTATTGCTTTCTTTAAAAAAAAAAAAAAGTGTTTCCCATGTGACCTGCTTGTCTGCTATTTACAGGCCCTGGAGAAGCCTCGGCTGATCAGAATTCTTTTATTCTGCAAAGAATTGCCCTGAAATACTTTTCTCTCATGAGTTTGTCCTCAATTAATTTGGCAAAGGTTCAGTCTCTTAGCGCCTTTACATGTGAGAAGGAATAGAAAGATATTTTATGTAAAAGAAGGCAAGCCCCTGGCTTTAAAATGGGGATCCATGGTCCTATAGGGCCAAACATGTCAGGGCAGTAATGTTTCTGTTTCTTCTCTTCTGTCTTTGACCCAGGAGAAAAGGATATAAAAGGAGACAAATGCCCTGTCGGCCTCTTGTTTCCTGGTGGGAGCAATGGGAAGGGCAGGAACTTGGAACCTCTGCTTGGAGATGAGGATTTAAAATCATTTTTATCATTTTCCTGCTGATTACAACCATTGTTCACACCTGGAATGTAGACATGACTTGGCCATGTCTTCTTCCCACCTTTCTGCCGAATATCTGTTCTGGACCATTTCTCACAAACTGCATGCCCCACTTTGAGAAGCTGGAGAGATATATATTTGAAAAAACATAAAACAGGAAAATTTAATAGGTGTTTATTTACATATTACATAAAGCGTTTTCTATTCCAAACAATACTTCTCTCAGGGCTCCTTTGAGGAGTAGCTACCCAAGTATATTTTTTTATTTTTTTAAATATATTCTTAACTAATATTGTTGTTATAAGTGGATTTGTGTGAGTGTAGGTTTGGGGCTCAGACCCAGGTTTGATTTCAGCCCGGCCACTTAACGGCAAGTTAGAATGTCTCTGAGATCCAGTAAGCTTGTCTGATGATGATCATATCCACCTAACCAACATTGTTGGGAGGATTTAACAAGTGACTTATTCCTTCATTTATCAAAAATGTGTATTAGAATGGCATTTCTGAAGGCCTCTTTTACTCTCACTGTATCACACAAAAATAACTAACTAGACAGATGTCATCAAATTTAAAGAGTATGTTTGGGATGGTTGGACCTAAAATGAAAGCTGTGCTGTATACACAAAATTCATATTGGGGAGCCCACGCCCTCGGGTCACAGGGGTCAGGACTGGAGTTCTGGGTGGGCACAGCCAGCTTGCAGCTGAGGAGCATGGGATAAAGGGGAATCAGAGTCTGCAACCTTCATGACAAGATCAGGCTTAAGGAAGCTTGAGGCTTAAAGACCAGTAGGCATAGAATAGGCAGAGAACCAAAACTGAATCCACAGCAAGGGGCCTACAGAAGAGAAGAGGCAGGGTAGGACTAACTAGGGGTGGAAGGAGGTAGAGGAGGTGTTGACCACTTGGAGGGGCCCGTTTGAACAAGCCCCTGGTGGGCAGGTGTGGTTAGCAATGCCAGGGAGGGTTGGGGGTGCAGGCTGCACATAGGGCAGGACAACTCAGCATCCCCCACTGGAAGGAGGAGGGCTGTGGCTCTGCCATCCAAGGGATACTGCCACACTTTTTATTCTCCACATCAGTGCTCGCTTCCATTGGCACAGATAATTAACAAACATTGATGGTAGCTCATTAGCTAATTATTTCTGGCTCATGTTTACCAAGTATACTACAGGTATTTTGGGCAGATCATCCTGCTGAGAGCTAAGTTCTGGAAAATTCCTCAGAAAGATAGACTTTTGATACATAAGCTTCCCCCACTTTTTGTTTTGCAAAAAAAAAAAAAAAAAATGATGGCTCAATCATGTTAACCACACAGTGTCTGTCCAGGTTCTCCTGCTGTCTTGCTTCATTGAGAAGCAGGGGTAGTGTGGTAGAAAACGTAACAGAATGTGGATGTAGGTTTAAGACCTCTGTCTCCATCACTTATGAACTGTTGGACTTTGAGAAAATCACGTAACCTTTCTGAGCTCTGGTTTCCTTGTTTTTAAGGTAGAGGACATAATACCTATTTCATAGCATTATTGTGAAGATTAAATGAGATCATTTATGTGGGGATTGTTTTGTGAAATGTAAGGTACTAAGTCCATATCTGGTTATGGTTACCTTCCCATGAATTCAGCCTCCAAATCCTTATGGAGGATCTCCGTGGCAATGTCAGGTGGCAGGACCAGTAAAGAATTAGGCTTGAGATACCATCTGTATTAGTCTGTCCTCATGCTGCTGGTAAAGATAGATACACCTGAGACTGGACAATTTACAAAAGAGAGAGGTTTATTGGACTTAGAGTTCCATATGGCTGGACAGGCTTCACAATCATGGTGGAAGGCAAGGAGCAGCTAATCACGTCTTGGATGGCAGCAGGCAAAAAGAGCTTGTGCAGGGGAACTCCCCCTTTTTAAAACCGTCAGATCTCGTGAGACTTATTCACCATCATGAGAACAGCAAGAGAAAGACCTGCCCCCATGATTCAGTTACCTCCCACTGAGTCCCTCCCCCAATATGTAGGAAATCAAGATGAGATTTGGGTGGGGACACAGCCAAACCATATCACCATCCTTCTTGCACCAACCCAACCAGACTTTCATGGGGGAGCTGTCAAGGCCACCACCTCCCCTTCAGCCTTGACTTCCCTCACTCTTGGCCCAACATTGTGTTTAAGAAATACAGAAACAAGTAGTTCTACCCTTCCTGCCCGTGCCACACCTTGAGGCCATTGTTCATGCTGCTTCCTCCTCTGCTGCTCATCCTTCACCCAGGATGCTGCTCAGGAGCCAGTCAGCCTACGTTCAAATCCTGTGTTGCCCTAGGCCAGTTTCTTCACCTCCCCAAACCTCAGTCGCACCCCCACCCCAACTTTAAAATGGAAATAAAGTTAGTACCAGCTTCACTGGGTTGTTGTGAGGATTGATCAGTTGGTGCATGTGAAGTGCCATGAGCAATACCTGCACAGAGTAAGCCCTCAATAAACACTAGCCATCATTATGGTCACCATCATCCACCTCTTCCCAGATGGCCAGATGGCTTTTGCTGCTGCCCCTGATGACATGTCTCTGTCCCCAAATATCCCACATTGTATTGAAGTGATCTGCTCTAATTCTGTCCCAGAATTAGAGCAGGGACACCATTTCATGAGTCTTGTTGTCGCCTGCACCCAGGACAGTACCAAGCACATGGCAGGTGGTGAAGAAATCATTCGAACTGATGGCTCATGAGCCATATCTCTGAGGTGGCTTTTATTACTGACTTTGATTGGGACTGCATTCCCTTCAAAGGGGTTAGTTTTACCCATGAAAGGACCGAGTTAATAGCCTGTGACCTTGGAGAGCTCTCATTCCATTGTCCTTGGAGTGGCCTCCTCCTTTGGTTCCTGACACCTACTTCCCCTGTTTTGTTTTTTTCAGCCTAGTCTTCCTGTTGAGTAAGGGTTCAGTTTCAGTGAGGCATTGCTCTGCCTGTCCGGAACCTGAGAAGGTTCATGTGTCAGTGTGTGGACAGATGATTGTGATGACCAGGCTTAGAAAATGTTGTATGTTTGTTTGTGTTTACGTGCTCAGAAGCCCTAAAAAGTGTTGCATGGGGGATTGGACTTTTCATTTCTTAGTTTTCACATGGACATCTTTTGACCTGTACTGGAGTTCAGGGCCAGAAAGTAGACACTGGGAAGAAGATTACAGGGCTCTGGGAGGACAGGAGCAGCATTGTATAACTGACCTGGGTAGGAACCTCAGGACCTCACTTTTATTTTGAAAGAGCTATTTCTGCAAGAGGCAATTATTGGCTTCCTGTTTGGCTTTCGATCCTCCCCTGCCTCTGCTGTTCAACTTTATAATTGCTGCCAGGAGGGCGAAGAGCCCCAGTGTGGCTCAGGGACAGTGGGAGCTGAGTCTCGAGGAGTCTGTGCAGCGCTGCCAGCCACAGGGCTCTGTACCACTGAGGGAAAGCTGCTCTTTAACCCCCACCGCGGTTATGTTAACAGAGTTCCCTTTTCCCTGGAGAGAGCTCCCTCCTACTGAGTCCAAGGGATACTGGTGACATCTGGAGTGCAGGGCCACCCCATAACACAGGGACATAGGCACCATCGGTACCCTCCCCCTCACCCCCCATTCCAGAGCTCTCTCTTATTTCCTTGCCAGTTCCCAGTCCCAGGGCACTCTGGATGCCCTAACTGTACAAAACTCCATCACAAGGCTGCATCTTCCCCTTCCTAGGAGCCTCAAAACAGGCCATGCTTCATGGCTGCCCCTCTGAAATCTTAAATGCAAACAGCCCACTCTCAGGTCTTCCTCCTGACCCATTCTTTCACTTCCTAGAGCCCTCTGCTTTTTCCCTGCTGCCCACCGTGGTACCTCTCAGGCACATCACTGCCACCACTCCCTTCCCACTCTCCTCCATCCTCTTGCCCCTTGTCGCTACCTGTTTCATGTAGACATTCACTCTTCATACACGCTGATGGAATACCACTATATCCGAGGCTGTGGTGGATCCTCGTCAGTAGCAGTGATCAGTTAAGGTGTTCCAATCCACACGAAGAGAGACACATTAAATCATAAATAGGTTCACATGTATATAATTACAAATGGTGATAAGTTCTATGAATCAGGAGAAGATGCAGTTCTATAGCAGAGACCTAGTTTCGTTCAGCGTGGGAGGAGGTGGTGCATGGATCAGGGGAGGTATCCCAGAGGAAGTGACACTTGGGTTTAGACCTAAGGATTACTCAGTTGCCCAAGGGAGCAGTGGGAAAAAGTACCTTCCAGACAGTGTCTGCCGAGGCTCTGAGGCAGGGAAGAGCCTGGCATGTTGGAGGACCATAAGGAAAGCTATTGGGGGTGGAAAGCTGTTTGCAGTGGAACACTGAGAGCATGGGGGAGTGTGGTGTGAGATGAAGCTGGGGAGTCAGAGGCCAGAGGATGCAGGACTGTGTGGAGCACATTAGAGGTTTGGGTGGTATTCTACCAGTACTGGGAAGCCTCTCAAGAATTGTACACTGGAGGAGCCCACTAGCCCCACACAGCCCAAAGCCCAGATTCACCCAGTGTCTGCCCCCTCTGCCCCTCCCCGTGGTTGGCCAAATACTTCGGGTCAGTCCTACATCCCTCCAGAAGTCAGGCAGGCTGGAACAGTCAGGAAGCCCTTCACAGAGGATTGAAGGGTGGGAATGACTTGGCCATAGCTGTATGCCAGTCCGTGAGGCCTGGAAATTGCAGTAAGTGTGACACCTACCGTTCCACATACTTCTCATGTAACCCACATGGCAGCTCTGCAAGAAGGCATTATTATCCCATTTTACTGCTCAGAAGACTGAGGCCTAGGAGAGCCTTCGTGACAGTCATGCTGCTGAGTGACAGACCAGATAGTGGGCCTGGATCTTCTGAGTCCAAACCCAGTGCTCTTTCTGCCCCACCCAGCAGGGTCTGCAGATGGGAGAAAACTCCCTTGGGAGGGAGTGAGGAGAACATGGAGCACAGTGGAGTAAAGGGCCATGCAGGGATGACACTGGTGTTCCTTTTGAATCCACAGCAGTTCCCATGCAGCGTTGATGGGCTCCTGAATACAGACGAGTCATAAAGCACCTGATTTCAATTTAACATCTAAAGAGCGTGAGGTTCCAGAGGCCTCTGTTGCATAGCTGTTCCCCTGCTGGTTCTCACATGGATGCCAGAATCATCAGAGCAGAGATGATCCATCCAGGGACAAAAGCCAGTCTCTTGAGTGTTGGAAGGAGATGACCAACAGCTTGAGCAGAATTGGGTCAAAGCATCTGCAGCCTGGGCTTTGCGTTGGGGCAGGCTGACTTCTGAACCACCCTCCCCAGGGTGCAGAAGGTAAAAGCAGCAGACACAAGTACCCTCTGCCATCCCCAGCACCCCAGAATGCTCTCCAGCCTGAGCGGCACTCCTCCCATTCCTCCTTGCACTGTAGTCATTTACTTACGGCTTATGCCTGCTAGTAGCCAGGTCAGAGTCATCTTTGTGTGTCTCCCTGCCCACCCCCTGCCCACATACTGTCTTAGATGCCTACACATTTCAAACATCACACGTTAAAAGAATTAACCAATCAATTAAGTAATGTAACTTTTAAAAATTGACAACACAACACAGTCATGTGTATGTCTCCTCTGGGTTTAAGTCCCAGCTCTGCCACTTACAAGCTGGGCAAAGAGAGACACATTACTTAACTTCTCTCCATCTAAGTTGTTGCATTTGTAACACAGGACTTACAGTGCCCCCTTCACAAGGACTTACGATGACCAAATTAGTTAACCCATACAAAGTACCTAACATGGTGCCTGAAGTACGCTAGGTGCTCAAGACATGGTAGTTTTCCTTCCACAAGTACTTAAATTTGGCCTGTTGAGGTATCTGTTAGGGTGAGAATCCTGCCTCCATGGTTTACTCCAGTTGTCATCCTTGGTGTCACTGTGTCTCAGTTTCCTCCTTTGCAAAATGGAGATGGTGGGCTGGGCACGGTGGCTCTTGCTTGTAATCCTAGCATTTTGGGGAGCTGAGGCAGGTGGATCACAAGGTCAGGAGTTCAAGACCAGCCTGGACAACATGGTGAAACCCCGTCTCTATCAAAAATACAAAAATTAGCCGGCATGGTGGCGGGCGCCTGTAATCCCAGCTACTTGGGAGGCTGAGGCAGGAGAATCGCTTGAAACTGGAAGGCAGAGGCTGCAGTGAGCCGAGATCGTGCCATTGCACTCCAGCCTGGGTGAAAGAGTGAAACTCCATCTAAAAAAAAAAAAATGGAGATGGTAATCATAATAGCCGCCCGGTAGTGTTGTTGCAGATTAAATGAAAGCCAGTGTGTGTACCACTTTCATCCACAATCACTGAGACAGACATCTCACCTGGGCCACACTGCATGTGGCCACACTGCATGTAGCCACACTGGGGGAACATTTAGGCATCCCTAGAAATTTTGCAGTCTCTCTGCCCCTCTAGTTTGATAATACCCATGTGAATTCCTCTGTCCACACGTGTGGACAGTGTGGCCCCACCTCTGCCAACTGCAGACAGGCACTCCTTTTGTGTGCTAAGCTGGCATCTGCCTGGTAAGACATGTCTATGGTCCTGTCACCAGGGTACACACTCAGCTGCCAGCATCTTTATATCTCCTGCCCCAGCTCAGCTGCTGCCGGAAACTCCCCACATCTGCTGCCCTACTCAGCATGCAGTGAAATGTGGCATGCAAAGAACACAAAGTGGAAAGTTAATGAAAACAATAAACTCTGATTTTAAAGTCTGTGCTGCTAGAGCACTCCATCCTCAGCCTCTCCCCTTCTGTTTTCCTGTGTCTGCCTCCCTCTGCCCCGCTTTCATGACCTTGACCCTTCCCCCTACACCTTGAGCATTATTTGGTGGAAACTGGGAAGCCCCTTCCATCTTCCCACCCTTACCCTGCCCAGCGCCAGTGAGAGAAATGAGAGAAATGACTGCTCCAGCAGCAGAGTCCTGCCCTTCTGCCACTGTGCTTTCTTTGGGGACATTCCTCTGCTCTAGTGTCACCTATGAGGAAACCCTGTGCTGTGGGGATGGTGGGGGAGGGAGAATCAGGTTAGAGGACCTGGGTCAGTACTGGCTGCAAAAGCCTTTGGTTTTGACCAGGAAGAGGGGTCAAAGGTACCGGAGAGCCAGAGGCCAGAGTTAAGTTTGTCCCATCTCTGCCACTTATTTGCTTTGTGACAATGGCGAGTCATTTAGCCTGAGCCTCAGCTCCTTTATGCAAAAAAAAAAAAAAAAAAGAGTAACATAGTACCTACTTTGAAGGTTACTATAGCAAGAATTTAGTAGACTGCCTGGAAGCCTTCAGTAAATATTAGCTCCTCTTACCTGTAGTAGCAGTATTAATAATACCTGACATTTGAGATTCCTGCCTCTAGCCTGTCTTGATCTTCTCAACTTTGTCACCACAGATGTTTTGCTGTGTGACTCTCCTGGCCTTGTTCTTGCCCTAGTAAACACATCTCTTTATTTCCTGGTTTCCAGACTTTGGATTTCCTGGTTTCCAGACCACTGAGGCCAAGGAGCCCCCAGCCCAGACTTGGCATTGACTCCCAGGTACCCAGACCCTGTCGGTTATGTTCTTTCTGGTCATAGTCACTTGTCATGGGGTCACTGAGGCCTCTAACCAGGGAGGCAGGAGAAAGGCAAGAATGCTGTCTGATAGAAGGGCTGATAGTGCCCTGCACTCCTGCTCACACGCTGTGCCCAGCAGACCTGCCCTGGTTCATTCATTCATTCAGCTGATAAGTATCTAGTAACTCCTGATTGATCTTGGAGAAGACTTGACAACCATGTCTTTATCAGTGTCTCCTTGACCTTGAACATTTGTTCTCCTTAATGATTCCCAAATCAGATGGGAATAAATTGCAGGAAGTGCTGTCTAGGCCAAAAGATCTGAAGAGATCTTGAGTTCTGACCCCACCCTCCGAAGCTAGCACATCAGCTTTAGGTCCAGATGGGAAGGGATGGTACAGTGGCCCCCCTTCCCCTGAGCTGCCCAGGGTCCCCAGCCAACTATGCTCAGTGTTCATTATCTCCATCAGATGCATATGCTGCCATTAGATTCAGCCACAAAAAAACTAGTCGTGTCTTTACAAGTAACAGTTAAAACTGCAGATGTTCTGTGCTAAAACAGTCCATGGGATGCTAAAACAGTCCATGAGATGAGGATGCACTGCCAAACTGTGCCAGTTAACCAAGACAGGGTAAATGGCGGAGGGCCCCAAGAGCTTCTCTTCCAGGGATCCACCAGAAGGTTCCATACTAGGAGTCTTCCTTGACAAATAAGGTAAAAAGAAATAAGTGCACCACACCTTCTCTGTCAATGCCCAGGCACAAAGGGAAAAAAATAAGAAGAAAGGCATTAGGTGTTCACGGTGTTAAGGCCTTTTATAGCCACAGGACCTGCAGGATTGTAGACTCCAGGTACAGGCACCAAGGTAAGCCAGGCTTTGGGGCTGGGATCCAGGCCATGTGCAGGCAGGAGTGGTGCCCCACTTCCACCACCTGATGCGCAGGTGGCAAGCCTGACAAGCAGCAAGTCAGAGACATCCAGCAGGGCTCAAGAGCTGTAGTCCTCCCAGCTGCAGGTGTCACAGGAGACTCATTCAGGAGGAGCTAGAACCCTGATAGGAGAGTAGACGTGGACCCAGGTGCAGGGAAGCCACTCTGAATCCCTGGGAGCCTTACAGCCTTACAGTGTGGTGTCCTGTATTCTGGGAGAAGCAACTCATCCCTTGGGAATAACCACTATATTTCTCTTTTCTGAAACCATAACTCTTCCCTTGTGGCCCTGAAAATTGCACTCGCCATCAGCACAAGGACTGAGGTCTTTGGTCAGAGATTATAGGAGCTGGACATATCCTTATCCATGAGGTTGTTTATTCTACTCTCTGTTTTATAGATGAGGAAACTGAAGGTGAAAGGGCTCACTTTGGAGCCCAAAAGTCATGCCAGAAAGGGCATCTAGGCTGGTAGCTTCCAGAGCAGATATTTTTAGACTTGAGACCCTCACCAGATGAAATTATATGCAAAGAGAGAGAGAGAAAGAGAGAGAGAGAGAGAGAGAGAGAGAGTGTGTGTGTGTGTGTGTGTGTGTGTGTGTGTGGTTTCTACATCCTCTGTGTTATCCACAAAGTCTAACACAATGTTAAGAACAAAGTAGGTGCTCTTTGTGAAAAGAATACTATCTGTGGATGTGCGTCTTTCTTGGTGCATGCCATGAATGAATCATTTCTCTACTTCAGTGTCCTTATTATGTAAATAAAGTGTGGCCATCTACCCTCCTGTTACCTTGTCAAGATGGAAGGGAAATACTCAGTTCTTACTTGCGTAAAGGGAGGAAATGAGTCCTACCCTTTGAAGAAGCTCAGGTCCCAGCCAGCCAACATCCTTTTTGAATGAGCAATACCCATAATAATAGTTCTCATTTGTGAGCTGTTATGTGCCACGCAGGCATGATATAGATTAGTTTTCATAGGGTTCTCATTAAAAAAAAAAAAAAAAAAAAAAAAGCTGGGTGCGTGGCTCACGCCTGTAATCCCAGCACTTTGGGAGGCCGAGGCAGACGGATCATGAGGTCAAGAGATCGAGACCATCCTGATCAACATAGTGAAACCCGTCTCTACTAAAACTACAAAAATCAGCTGGGCGTGGTGGCACGCACGTGTAGTCCTAGCTACTCCGGAGGCTGAGGCAGGAGAAGCACTTGAACCCAAGAGGCAGAGGTTGCAGTGAGCTGAGATCGCGCCACCGCACTCCAGCCTGGGTGACCGAGCAAAACTGCATTTCAAAAAAAAGGAAAAACCTACAGCGTGGGTTTTGTTATTATCCCCATTCACATAAGAAATGAAAGCCCAAAGAGGCTTAGTGATTTGTCCAAGGCCACGTGGTAGCAGGTGGTAACATCCAGATTTGCATGCAGGTCTTGGGAGTCCCACCCCGCACTCTTCCCCTACCCCTCCTCTCTCTTTCCCTGAAATGCTTCATATTCATTCTATGTAATTCTGTGAGGTAACTCATTCCTTTTTATTACAGAATAAAGACAAATTAATTTTTTTAATGAGAATATTCACAAAATAAAGAGAAAACTCCTATAGTCCCACAACTATAGATAAGCACTTTTCACATTTTGGTGTATCCACCCAATAATGTCTTTTCTCAGGTTAACTAAGGTTTGCCTATAATAGCAGAATTCCAAAATAAGAAGGAAAAAAACACACATCCACTCCCCATCTCCTCTACCTGCCATTTGTCTGGCTTCAAGGGCTGCAAGTAGAGGATACAGTCTACTGCCATGGGCTGGATTGAATGTGTGTTGCACCCCCATGCCCCTCAATGCCACCACCCAGCCCCTACATCCTCTCCCAGCTTAGCTGGGCTCCTATTTAATGCAAGCTGTCAGAGGAAAGGCACTTAGTACCTTGCCAGGAGCCCCAGGGACACTCGTTCCAATGTGTCTGCATTCAGTCCCTTCCCATCCCTTCGGCTGTCACGTGGGACTCTCCCCTAGACTCCAGAAGAGCCTTCCCCATCTTACTCCCTCTGCAGCTCCCTTGAACTCACCTCACAGCCAGCCCTACCTGCTCTTCCAGAAACACTTGCCCCATTCATTGCGCTGCTTGAAGGAAGCACCTGTTCTGGGCTCTTCTGGAGGTACTGAAGATGCAGCAAAGCCTGTCCTCAGGACGCATGCAGTCTAGTGGAAAACTGTCATAGACACAAGCAAATCAGCACACTGAAATGCATATGCAATTGGAAGCCACTCTCAGAAGGTGGCCTGGAGCTGCAAGTTGAGGATGAAAGGGAGCCAAGGGTGGTGGCTTATGCCCATAATCCCAACACTCTGTGGGGGTTGAGGCAGGAAGATCATTTGAGCCTAGGAGTTCAAGACCAGCCTGGGAAAGGTAGTGAGACCCCATCTCTATTTTCAGAAAAAGAAAAGGAGTCCAGGTTGTAAAGAACTGAAAGAAAATGGTCCTGGGCAAAGGGAACAGCAAATCCAAAGGCCCAGCAAGTCCAGTGGGAGGAAGCTTATCTTGTTGAAAAGTGAAAAAAGTTGAAGTTGCTGAAGTCTAGAGAGCCAGAAGGGAGGGGGTGAGGATGAATGAGGCTGGAGAACTGGTGGGGCAAATAAGGAAACATGGACATCTGGGTGCAGTAGAAAACCATCATAGGATTTTTCAGAGATGAGACATGGCCTGATGTACATTTTATAAAAACCATATTCGTGGCTTGCAGGGGCAGCACAAGCTTGGAAGCAGTGTCCCAGTGAGGAGAGGACCTGCATGGTCCCGGATAGAGGAGAAATGGCTTGGAGAAGGGTGGCGGCCATGGGGTTAGACAGAAGAGACAAATTCTGGCCATATTGTAGAGGCATAGTGGAGAAACATGTTGGTCTAAGAGCAGGTGAGGATTGGGGCATGGTGAGGGACAGGCAGGTCTCTGTGCTCGCCACCTGGAATGCTGCCCACATCGATTCCCCCTCATCTTTTGGGGTCCCACTGCAGCCCCATTTCCCCTTAGGAGGCCTGCTGACCTCTACCTCCAGCCCCAGTTTCCTCTGCTTCCTCTTGGCACCCCCAGAGCCTGGCATAAGCAGGGCCTTACTCCTGTGGGAAGGCATCTGACCTGCCACCTTGGGTGGGCTGTGACCTTCGGGATGGAGAACAAATGCCACTGGGCCTGGCACAAGTCCCAGTGACTGGTAAGGAGCCAAAAGGGCTTGCTGTGTGGTCAGGGGACACGACCCTTGTAAGGGACACAGCCTGGGCCTGCACGGCGCTCTGCAGGCATTAGAGAACACTGCTTCTCTGTGTGGGGTAAGGCGCTTTGCTCCAAGAAACTCAGAATTGGAGTCGGAAGTCAACCATTTTCAGATGTGACCTAGAAAACTGGCCAACGACCCCAGACCTCAGGGCTGTCAAATTGAAACAAGTCAGCAGAGGACTCTGAGAACCCAGCTGGGGCAACTTACTTAGAGGGCACAAGGTAACCTGACCTCCACGTGGTGAAGGTTAAATACACAGTGAGAAGATGTCTCTAATGCTGGAAGAACTCACCCTAAACAGGACGCAAGAGTGGTAACAAACATGAAGCCTGTCTCTGCACTGATGACTCTTGAAAAACACTGCAAATGATCTTTTCTGCAATAGGAAAAATGCCTCCTTGTGCGCCAAAAAGAAAAGGATGTGGTCAGAAAGGAAGTGGGCGGAGGGGAAAGTGGGAGGGGGGAGTATTTACAGGCTGCTTGGAGTCTGATATAAACAGTGCGGAATGAGGAAAATCCTAATTTTAACACTTACTCTGTAATCATGGTTGCAAAGCATCTGAGAATCAGGACCTCTGCCAGAGGCAGGGCTGGAAATTGGTCTCAGGGGCCAGGTGGCTGCCCAGGTGACAGGCGCCTGGCCTGGCTCCCCTCTGACCCCAGCCTTGTGTCAGACTCCACCTCCGTGCCTCCTCTCTCTTCACTGTCCCACCATGCACTGTTATTTCCAGCTCCTCCTGTGGAGGGGTTGGGAGGAGAAAGTTGCTGCAAAGTCAGCAATGACACGGAACATGAGACTCACGTGACTGGGAGCACATTGCTCTCCTTCACGTTAGATGAAAAGCCTCAATGCTCAGGGTGTGGTGTTCTCTTTAACTAAACTTGCCACATACCCAAATAGTAGAGCCTTAGGTTCCAGCCATGAAGATGAAGAGAAAAGGCAGAAGCCTCTTTTCCCACCCTCTAAGTGCAGTAAAGTTAACGCAGCAGTCAGGATTCCTTTAAAGAGTAGGCTGAACATAGCGGTTAGACCACAGACTCTCAGGACAGTGCCTGGCATTCAGGTTAAGTGTGAGCTATGATCAAGATGATGTTATCAGAACTATTAATATACTCAGCTTTAGAACCAGAGCCTGTCTTGGAGATCCCCTGCTGTGCCTGTGTAAACACTTTAGTTGATTAATTTTTGGAGACATGGTGGTGGGTAGCTGAGGAGGAACCTGGGTGGCCAAAGAGAAGGCATTACGGGGAGGGAGAGGGGTCGTTTAGCAATTGTTCCAAAAATGTTTGAATATTTTAACAACTGGCATGGTCATAGCAGTGTGTATCAGCTAATCTCATTCATGACTTTTATTATTTTTCAGAGCTTTTGGACTCTTAATTTTGTACTAGGGAGGCATCATGAGAAAGCATGTGTTTAGAATCAGACCTTGGGTTCACAGTTTGATTCTGCCCCTCACTAGCGGAAAGATCTTGAGCAAGTTCCCTACTGCATAATGGAAAATAGAAAGATGCCCACCTCATGCAATTGATGTACAAAGTAGACGTGACACTGATTGTAAGGGTGCTTTGTGCATGTTAAGACTAAACAAGCAGCAGTGAAACCACACGTAACAAAAGGAAAACATTCCAGGTTGGAACTGTCCTGGGTTCCAGAACTGTGCATCTAGATCTCCCAGCTCTGCCCATCCCTAACAAACATTTGAGGCTTCGGAGTATGAATACAAAGGCCAGGGTGCCATATTTCTCAGTATTTATAAGTTATAGGTCAGACTAACAGAGGGCTGAATCAAGTAAGTTCTATCCTCCTACCTAGACAAGTATACCTTTGTAAAAACCTGAAGGCTATGTTTACATTGAGGATTCTTGGACTCCTCAAAGTTTTGTGCCAGAACCTAGCAGCATAGGAACAAGTGACCCTCAGCCCCTAGCTCCACCTACTTCCCCTCCCACCCCTGGCTCTGTACCACATTGAAAAAGATGTTCCATCACACATTTGCATGTGGGCACCCAACACATGGTCCCAAACTCCATGCACACCCCCAACAAACAGCCACCCTCTGGCCACCCCGTGGGCCCAAAAGTGCATACACAGTGGAGTGGACTGCCCTTGGAAAGACAGGACAGTGAAAAGGCCTGAATAGACTCTGGAGGTATGTTTAGGGACATTTGGGCTGGAAATATTGAGATCCTAGGTACCCAGAGAGTGTTCTCGAAGGAGGGGCCACCCTCTCAGCACCACAGACTTCTTACCCAGTGTGAAAGAGCATGGCCAGAAGATACCAGAGTGGGTCTCTTAAAAGGGTAAGGCCAGCCAGACACAGTGGTTCATGCCTGTAATCCCAGCAACTTGGCGGGCGGAGGCAGGAGGATCCCTGGAGGCCAGGAAGTCAAGACCAACCTGGGTAACATAGCAAGACTCCATCTCTTTTAAAATGTTTTAAAATTAGCTGGGCATGGTGGTGCATGCCTGTAGTCCCAGCTACTCCAGAGGCTGAGGCGGGAGGATCACTTGAGCCCAGGAGTTCAAGGCTGCAGTGAGCTATGATTGTGCCACTGTGCTCTAGCCTGGGTGACAGAGTGAGACCCCATCTCTAAAGAAAAAAAAAAAAAAAAACATGTAAGGCCAGGCCAGGGCTCCTCTCACCTGGGTCTAAGGGTAGTACTGCCGCAGATTTCAAAATCTGCCCTAGAAGCTCTCCAGGCTTAAAACCGTCAGTCCTCCATGTGTGGTTCCCCCTGACTCCCAACCCACACCGCATCAGGGGACATTAGTATCAGTAGAGTCCCTGCATAACTGCCCACTCCCTGCCTCCAAGAATGTTGCTGCCAGCCTCTCCCCAGACTCCCCAGTGACTGCAGGGCTTCAGGGGGAGCAAAGTGGGGTTCTTTTCAGAGAAGTTGCTCTGCCCCTCAAAGGCAGTGGGAGAATTTGTTGGGTCTGAGTGGAGTCTTGACCTTAACCCATGGACTGCTTATTTGAATGAAATGCTTAACATGATGTTTGATTGAAATTTACCTCTTTCTTCTAAAAATGGGATGCAGAAAGCATGAACGTTGCCATAATCAATGTTTTCATTATTAGGCCCATTGGCAAGTCCATTAGCTGTGAGCTTTGGGTCAATAGCTGATTGTCTAAAGCAAAAACACTGTTTATCACAGTGAGGAGAAGGGTTATAGGAGAAGGAAGGGAATTAGATAATAACTAATATTGACGGCCAGGCACGGTGGCTCACGCCTGTAATCCCAGCACTTTGGGAGGTCGAGGCAGGCGGATCACCAGGTCAGGAGATGAGACCATCCTGGCTAACATGGTGAAACCCTGTCTCTACTAAAAATACAAAAATTAGTTGGGTGTGGTGGCACATGCCTGTAGTCCCAGCTACTCGGGAGTCTGAGGCAGAAGAATTGCTTGAACCCAAGAGGCGGAGGTTGCAGTGAGCCAAGATCATACCGCTGCACTCCAGCCTGGAAACGGAGCGAGACTCCATCTCAAAAATATATATAGATATATTTTATTTTGTATATATATTTATTATATATATAATTATATATATAAATTATATATATTTATTATATATATAATTATATATATAAATTATATATATTATTATATATTTATTATATATATAATTATATATATAAATTATATATATTTATTATATATATAATTATATATATAAATTATATATATTATTATATATATAAATTATATATATTTATATATAATCTACATATAAATATATATAATTATATGTATTTATTATATATAATTCATATATAAATATATGTAATTATATGTATTTATTATAATTTATAAATATATGTAATTATATGTATTTATTATATATAATTTATATATAAATATATAATTATATGTATTTATTATAATTTATATATAAATATATAATTATATGTATTATATATAATTTATATAAATATATAATTATATGTATTTTATATATATAAATTATATATAGAGAGAGAGACATTGTGTGCTGTAGTTTACAAAGCATTTGCTCCTACATCATCACTTCATTTGATTTCTGTAATAGTTCTGAGATGTAGGGAGATCTGGAGTTATTTTTCTTCCTGTTTTACACATGAAAGTATTTAGCTGTGCTAAGTACTTCCCATTCATTATCTCATTTAATTCTCATACCAAGTACATCAAGTAAGTACTGTTATTATCTTTATTCCTTATTTCTTAGATGAGGAAACAGGTACAGAAAGTTCACACAACTAGTAAGTAGTAGCACTAGGTTTACAGGCCTAAGCAGTCTGCCTCCAGAATGCTGCTTTCAGCCATGATGCTGGACCAGCTCTCTACTTCATCTCTCTTCTCCCCTTTGTTGCCCAACTTCTTCTCGTTTTTTTCTTGTGCTTGTTAATTCCCTTGCAGAATGGCTTCCACCAGCATATCTTTACTGCTGTCTTGAAAATTAACAAGTCGAATGGCTTTTTCTCTTCAATTTCTGTGGCTTTTGACACTGCTGACTCCCTGAAATTCTCAACTTTGGAAATTAGTTCTCCTTTTTTGCTGGCTATTCCTTTGCTTTTTATACTCTTCTTTGTCTCTGGCCATGTGACAGGTCTGTCATCCTCAAAGAGCTCACCCAGCACCTGATCCTCTCCATGCAGATGGTTGCCAAATTTACATCCCTAGCCCTGACTTTCTTCTAAGCTCTGGACCCAACTTTGCAATTAACTCAGACACAGTGTCCGCCTATTTAGTCAGTTCCGCAAATGCAGCAGTGTCTAAATTGAAATTCATGGTCTCCACTCATCTTTCACTTCAGATCAATTTGATATGTATTCAACAAATGATTTTGAACTCCTATTTTCCCAGCACTGTTCTAGGTACTGGAGATATAGCAGTGAATAAAATATATAAAAATCCTTGCCTTAGGGATTATATTTGGAGAGTAGGGTGAGGGGAGACAGACCGTTAGCAAAATAAGTAAGTTATAGTGTATTAGAAGGTGCTGTGGAGAAAAAATAAAGCAGAGATGTGGGATGGGGAGCACTGGGGCAGGAGGTTGCAATTTTAAATATGGTTGTTAGGAAAGATTGCAGTGAGAACGTGGTATTTGGGCCAAGAATAAGGGAGGCAAGGGAGCAAGCCTTTCAGATATCCAAAGGAATATTTTTCCAGGCAAAATGAACGGTAAGTGCAAAGGCCCTCAGGTGGGAGTTTATTTGGCATGTTCAATGAACAGCACAGAGGCCAGAATGGGCAAGAGGGAGAGAAAAGGAGATACAATCAGAGAGGAAATAGGGAACCGGATCATGTAGGGCCACATGAGCCATTTTAAGTAGCTGAGCTTTTCCTGAGTGCTTTAGGAGGCATGGAAACACTTTGAGCAAGAAAGTGACACGATTTTACAAATATTTAACAAGATCACTGTGGCTGCCATGTTGACAATAGAACAGGGACGCAAAGTTGAGTAATTAGCAAGGAGACCAGTTAGAAGGCCACTGCAGTAATCTAAGAGAGACAACTCTAGCTTGGACCGGTGTCATGGTGATGGGGATAGTGGAAAGGAGTTGAATTCTAGATATATTTTGATTGCATCCACAGGATTTGCTGATAGGTAGCATGTGGAATGTGAGAGAGTGGCCAAGAGTGACTCCAAAGTTTTTGGCAAGTGGGCAGGTGAATATATGGATTTGGAGCTCAAGGGAGCAATCCAGCCTAGAGATACAAATTTGGAAGTTGTCACAGTGCAGATGGTACTTAAAATCATGAGACCAGATGAGATCACCAAGGAAATGCAAATAGATAGAAAAGAGAAGAAGACCAAAGCCTAAGCCCTGGGGCCCTCCAATGTTAAAAGGTTGAAAGATGAGGCAGAACTAGCAAAGGACACTGAGAAATAAATAATGAGATATAAAGAGAAACAAGATTAGTAAGTATGCATCATGTGCCAGACACCATGCTCCAGACAAAGGATGCAAAGACAAACACAACCCCGTCCTCATCATCCTCATGCTCTAATGCAGCAGTCAGGTACTACACCTTGAAATACCATTGTGATTGGTTCAGGGATGGGTGTAAAATGTCAGGGACAGTGAGACCACAACCTTGTTACTTCTGTGAATGATTACACACACACACACAATCAGCCATACTTGCCTCTTCTGAGTGATTCTTTTTGTTTATTTATTCTTTTGTCTCTAACAGGCAATTGGTTACCAAACCTTGAAGAATCTACCTTTGTAATATCTCTTATATGTGACACCTCCTGTCCATTTTCTCAGCCACCAGTCTAGATGAAGCCCTCATTAAAGATCACCTGCAGTGTTGCAGAAGCTCCTAAACATCCTCGTTCCCTCCCTTTAACCCTCTAATCCTACTTTTTTCATTACTCTTCTTCCTCGCAGTTAACTCTCCTGAGCAAAAGTCTCACCACCTCTAGGATGCAGCCCAGGTGCCTAAACCCGTTATTGAAGGTGCTCCACAAACCGATACTACCCTGCCCCGCCAGCAGTGTCTTCACTCTTCCCAGTGTTCTCTGTTTCCTGGACACTCACATCCATGCTTGGTATCACACTTTAGCCTGTGACACAGACTCCCACCTGGAATGCCTATCTCTATTCCAAAGTGTTCATATGCCATTTCCTTCACAAAGCTTTTCCCCTGCTGTAGCCTGCATGGTTGTCTGTGTCTCCAAATTGCTGTATCACTTGGAGTCTCTGACACTCATTTTTGTATGTAGGTATATGATGGCACGAGTAGTCACTAAAATACATTCATATTCACTACTTCATTCACTTTCATTTAAATGTGCCTCCTCCTTTTAAGGATAAGCAACTTTCCGTGCAAGGCATGATACTATTCTAATAATAGATTCTAAATGAATAGATGTTAGATTTTTTTTAAAGGTGAGTAAATATATAAAGTATAAGACTGTAATAAAACACTTTGTCGTATGCAAGTTCTACCAAGCTCCAGGAATATAGTCATGAAAATAATTCAAATAAAGTATTTACTCTTTTAATAAATAGTTATTAAGTTTTATGTGCCAGCCATGTGCAAGACACTAATGATTCAAAAATAAGTCATAATTCCAAGGCTCAAGAAACCTGTAATCTAATGAGAAAGACATACAGATCGTTATAATATAATCTGACACCTGTAGTTGTAGATATATCTATGAGTGCATGGAAGAGAAGGCTTCCTGGAGGAGGTGATACATATGGTGATTCTCAGAGGATGAGTAGTAGTTCGATACAGTGGAAATTGAATAGGAGGAGGAACAGCATAGGCAGAGGGCACAGCAGTGGAGGTGAGAAAGGCATGGTGTGTGGAGATGGGGAGGCCAGATGATGGAGAGCCATGTATGTCCTGTTAAGGTACTTGAATTTTACCCTGTGGGTGATGCCAACGATGTCCATATAGAAAAGCCTTGGAAGGATTTTATGTATAGAAAGAGCATGATCAGATTTGCATGTTTGAACACTTGGACAACCTAAAAGATGGATTTGAGAGAGACCAGAGTTGGATGCAGAGAGACAAATTATGCGCCATTCCAGTAGACCAGGTAAGAGATGCTGAGGGCTTGGATTAAGTGAAGGCAGTAAGAGTTGGGTGGGGAAAAGGAGATAAATTCAAGTATCACTTATGGGGCAAAATTCACAGGATGCAGTGATACAGTCACTGTGGCAGCCTAGGGGAGGGTGTGGAAAGAGCCAAAGATGGCCCTTACTTCTGACCTTGAAGATTGGGTGAGCAGTGGGCCACCCCTTGCAGAGAGACAGGGGAAGACGGCTTGGTTTATGGTGGAAATGATGAGTTCAGTTTGAGCCATATGGAGTTTGAAATGCCTCTGGCATTCCATTCAAAGTA
The DNA here is from genome assembly GCF_000001405.40 of Homo sapiens. NCBI lineage: Eukaryota > Metazoa > Chordata > Mammalia > Primates > Hominidae > Homo > Homo sapiens. The sequence goes on along the minus strand of NC_000001.11, from coordinate 166,073,695 downwards.
ATCCCCTTAAATGGTCATTGAGTGACTCAAATAGTGCTACTGTTCTTGGAACTTTTCAGAGACTTCTCGAAAAACCATTACCAAAGACATTTTATCAGCTACATAAACTAGTCATGCATTTTATAGACACAACTCTCCTTTTGGAAAAAAAAAAAAAAAGAGAGAAAGAGAAAGGAAGGGAGCGAGAGATAGAGAGAGGGAAGAAGGGAAGGTCACTGCCTTGGGGTGTACATTAGTATCTATTTTTCATAAAGGAAAAATTTGATATTTTTCAGATAGCAACTCCCTATTCACTAGACTTAAATCGTAATGAATTTTGGCTGTTTCCAAAATCAAACCATCCCTTAATGATGTAGTCCTAATTCCCTAGGGCTATGGAAGAGAACATGCCTCTGACCTGAGGAATTCCCAAAAGCACAGTTGCAGAAGTAACAACAGTGTGGATGGAACTAAAGTGTAACCTCCAATGTCACTATTCCCAATGACTACATGTGGCCAGATGTGTTTGTTCTGATGTGATGATTAAGAAGCCTGTTGTATTTCTCTGTTCCAGAAACTCCTCCAAGAAAAGGGTATTTTCCTTCCCTCCTGAGATAGCCACAAGAGTGTGTCTTTATTGTATTATCTCTGTTTTTTGTTGTTTTGTTGTTGTTGTTTTTCAAAAAACCTAGGACCAAACTAAGTTTTATGATTTGTCTTACAAGGCTGACTTGCAGACCCTGGGCCCAAGTCTCTGCTCACACAGCTCTGGGCAGGAAGATGGGAGGCAAAAATATGAGAACTATAAAGACTCTATAGACAAAGCAAGATAGCCTGAAAAGGACTGTGTTGTAACAGAATAAAAAGTACATCCACTCAAAACCAAATTCCCCAGGCAATACGCCACAGTAAGCCCTGTGTGTAGCGGGGGAGAGCAAGAACAGTCTGCCACTGCTCGGAATACCTGCCCTCCAATTCTAAGAAGGAACTCAAAGGCCAGCAGGGACTGGTCACAGCCAAAGTGTAAAACAAGATTTAGGCAACACAGGAAATAGATGTATTGTGACTGAAGAATTGTCTTAGCCCTTTGCTTGGGGGCATGAAACCGACTCCAGTATGGTTATTTCATGAACCCAATGAGCAGATTGGATCTCTGCACAACCTCTGACCCACTCAAAGAACATGTACTCCCTTTTGTACAGTAAGAAATGGCATAGAATTACCTGGGAGCTACTACCCCCCAGCTGCAAAAGCATATGTAGCAAAATGAGCTCTCTCTGACTTTCTGCATCAGGTCAATTCCTTACTTAGTGTCTGCCAACCATGATACACTGCAGCTATTCCCAGCAGTTACCAAGGGCATGACAAGAAAAAAGGCTCTTGCAGCTGTGGGGTCACCTCCTCCCCAGGCAGCCAAGCCCTCCCTTCACTTCAGGCTGGGGCTGACTGGCCTAGGAGGTACTGTAGGGGGTCAGTAGGAGGCAGTGGTTAGTGTCTCCATGTCCCCATGTGATAGTAAGGGTGCTGAGATGTTAATCAGCACTAGCTTGACAATGCAATTCCCTTTAAGACAACTTGTATAAAACCCTGCAGGATCTTCTGTCACCTCATAGGAGGAAGAACTTTATGTCAAAGAAGACCACTGCCTCTTAGCTGATGAATAAAGCAGTCTCATCTCTTTAATTATTAAATTCTAGTGCATTATTACCAAGCATCATCCCTGGTACCCGGAGCGAAAATATGGAGCATGCATCAACACTCTGCTGACTAGACTTCTGCCCTTACTGGGGTCCAGTCCAGTTCTCCATGACTGACTGGTCTTGGAGCTGCTAACTCATTAGACAGCCTGAGTCCTCTCCATTCTAACTCCCTCCAGCGCTGTGTAAGGGTACTTTGGGAGGCAGTATGATACAGTGGCCAAAACCAGGGACTTTGAAGTCAGACAACTCTCAGCTTCACCTCTTGGAATCTTTAGGACCTTTGTCATGTACCTTAACATCTTTAAGCCTTCATCCCCTTGTGTGTAAAATGGAAATAAAAATGTATTTATCTTGTGGAGTATTTTGAATACTGACTGAGATAATGTACTTAGCACAATGGTTGTAATAGAGTAACACTCAATAAGTATCAGCAATTATTATTAGCAACAGTCTACAGCAGGGGGTAGAGACATTGGTTCCTCCTCCTCCTCCTCCTGTACAAGGTCAGAGACAGCCAGGAGGAGTAGGTAGGTGCCAGAATGGCAAGTTTGCCAAACTAAGCTGTGAGGCTTCCAGGCTGGACTGGAAGGCAATGGGAGAGCGGTGCATTAGAGTGTATGCCAGCCTGTAGAACAACTTTCACATTCAGATGGTTTCCAGAAGATGACCATGATTTTCTCATGTTATGATTTTCTATGCCTAAGCGATGAATTGGCTGATGCCTAGAATTTAAACAACCCTCTTTGTTAAGTAGAAATTCTATTACTATGATTTCCTAAGAAATTAATATAACCTTTAACTTTGCCTCCTTTTGCCCTTCTTTCCACCAGATACTGCCTTCCAAGTACATCGAATTTCAACCATCATTTCTTCCCAAAAAGCAAACCTTATTCACATTCATATTTCCAAGAAAGTGGTTCTTGTAATGGAATTCCTCTAAACTGCTGATTACCATCATCTAACTAGTTGATGTCTCTTTGTGGTCTCACAACTGCCTTTTTGAGCTTCCTGTTCTCAATTGGGTCAGCCATGGTTGTATTTAACTTGTTTTGGCATGGCTTTGTTATTTTTATTTTGGTTTGTTCTCATTTAATCCTGAAACAGCACAGCATAGAACTTTTTGCCCTGAATTCCCCCTGTGAACTTCCCATTTTGCCCAAGTTGACTATGTTAGTAAGCAGTGAGCACCTCTCCAGCTTTTGAAAAATTCATTCAGCCTCTTCTTTTCTTGTGCATGTCTTCTGCTTTGCCAGGTCAAGCTGGGAACTGCCTGACTTGAGGGAAGGGAGAGTAAAAGCCATCAGTGACTCAGATGGGGTGAGCTACCCTTGGTACGGGAACACCACAGAAACTGTGACCCTGGTTGGCCCCACCAACAAGATCTCCAGGTTCTCCGTCAGCATGAATGACAACTTCTACCCCAGTGTGACATGGGCAGTGCCTGTGAGTGACAGCAATGTGCCACTGCTCACAAGAATCAAGAGAGACCAAAGTTTCACGACCTGGCTGGTGGCCATGAACACCACCACAAAGGAGAAGATCATTCTGCAGACCATCAAGTGGAGGATGAGGGTGGACATTGAAGTGGACCCTCTTCAGCTCTTGGGGCAGCGGGCCCGGCTGGTGGGCAGGACTCAGCAGGAGCAGCCCCGGATCCTGAGCCGGATGGAACCCATCCCCCCTAATGCACTAGTGAAACCCAATGCCAATGATGCCCAGGTCCTCATGTGGAGGCCCAAGCGGGGGCCACCTCTGGTTGTGATCCCTCCTAAGTAGAAGCAGACTGGCCTGACTGTGTGTGGATCACACGCCTCTGAGACATGCAGTGAGGGTGCCAGGGGTGGCAGGAGCCAAACAGAGTTTCTGAGCCAAAGCAGACCTCTCGGTTTGCCAGCCTTTGCAGCCACTTTTGAAGAGTAGGGCTGCTCCTTGGGTGGTAGAACCATAATCCTTAGGAAAAATCCCTTCCTCTTAGGAATAAAGAAATCACTGATTTGACAGACTTGCTGTGATTACCATGCAAGTAGCCATATTTTGGAGCTGACCAGGATGATTCTTTTATCTGAACTATTGACCATTTCTTTCCTGTGAGATGCAGGGGATGGAAACGAAATTAAACAGTGCCTGTGGCAAATGCTGCTTCCCAGCCAATTAGAAGTAGGAGTGAAAACATCCACACCAGGTGGTCGTAAGACAGACTCCTGCTGTCTGACTGGAGGGTGCTGGGGAAATGGGTGGTGAAAGAATGGGTGATGGGGAGAGGAAAGAATAAGGTTTTATGACACATTAATACTTCTGCATTTATTAGTTGATAATCAGATCAACACACTCAATGGAATGAATGCTTAGAAAACTAGACAAATACTGATATTTGCTCCTTTCTGAGGGAGAAAGCCTCCTTGGAACTGTCCAAGGTGCTGATGTGAACTAACGGAAACACTTCATTAGTTCCGTCTACCCACCTCTTTCCAAAAAGATTGCTTATTCAGAGTATTTTTAATCACAGTATTTGGCTTTGTAATTCCCACATTCTGCAATAGTTATGATATTTGGGGCCCTGTCCATGTTTTAGTGAAATCCTAACTAACTTGATTTTGTTTACAGCTGCTTATTCTGTTCCCATGATTAGCCCTAAATTTATATTTAAAAAGTTATGAGCCATGAATCCATGTAAGGTTCAAGAACATTTCAGCAAATAAGAACAGCATTTTCATTCTGTTTCTTTTGAGTTTCTGAATGATCTGAACATATGGAATGGACACGTGTATGCATAGACACACACACACACATGCACACATGCACACATGATGCATATAGCATAATTACTAGCATATTTGCCACCAGTGCCTACATATCTACCTGTAGCCTTTCTATGTACATACGCTGTATATTTTTATATATATTTATTTTAGCTCTATTTCACAGAAGCTCAAACTTGAACATTTGTGAGAAACTACTTCCTAAGGCTTAACTTAACTTTAGAGCTCTTCAAAGAAAATCTAAGCTACTCATGTTAAGCAAGCCTGTATTGCTAAGATTTAACCAGTAAAGATGAGAGGCCAGGTTTCCTTTAGTCAGGCCAATATACAACTTCTTTTTGAGGGTTTCCAGTCTTTAAGTGAGGATTTTTGCAGTTCTAGCTTGAATCACCCTTCCTCCCCCACCTCAAAAAAAGAGCTTTTCCCTTTATTCTCAATAATTCAACCATATATATGGTTGTATATATATTTGCTTGTTCACCACCCCCTTCCATGCAAACTAATTATAAAACTTTCACATTGTCATTGTGGATTTAAGAAGTAGACACTGCTAGCTTAATTTCAGAGGGAGAAATTTGAAGTTCAGAGCAGTTTTACAATCTCATGGTTGGCTCCAAAGAGCTGTCTTCTACTAGAGTTTGTGGATAGAGAATAAAAAGCAGCAGGGTTTATTACTTTTATTAAAAATTCAATTTAGTCTAATTTATTTCAGATTCTAGTCCCAGGGGATGGTACTTACTTACATAAGAGTGCTAAGAGATCTGCTCCAAATTATGTAGTGTTAACTTCACACCCCAACCATCAACTACTCTGTTATAGATTAGTTATTGATGGCAAGTTATTTATAACAACACATTAATAATACATCAGTGGCTCACAGAGGACCTGGAGACATTCATTTAGAAATAATTCAGCTGTTATGTTTGGCATTCTCTGTCCCTTCCCATGTTTCCTTGTTTTATTTGGGAAAGGCAGTCCCAGAGAGCTCCATGGCTAAAGTACAAAGCAGCTTATTTTCCATGCTGACACCACAGGCAGCACTCTCTCCCCCAGACTGAATTAGACTCCACCCCTATGGGATCCTGGGGAGTGGATACTGACCCTAGAATCTAATCCATGTGGCCCCACTTTAAGAAAACCTGGTATTTTAAACTCCAAAGTTGTAACAAACAACAGATTAATTAGAATTTACATTACAAAATGCTATACAAGATTTATGTTTGCAAATTCCCCTAGTGCATTAAAATAAGATATGACTTACACAACTATATTTACAAATAACTTTTTCAGAAGCTTATCTATATATCTAAAGCAAGGTGTAGCATACTTAGCTAGGCTTGTTTCCCATGAAAAATCACAGTTTTTCAGAGTTTTAAAAGAAATTACCCCCACAGCAGTTTTCTGGGAAGTTGTATAATGACAAAATGAAAAAAATGGGAAAGTGCTTATGAAAGTTAAAAGCACTGTATACATTGTGATTATTGTTATTGGTACCATTGTGAACTCTACAGTTGGGTGTCTCAGCTCTGAAGTCAGCCTGGCAGAATGCTCTATTGCCCTTTAGCCAATTATTTTCAAGTTACTGTTGTTTTACAAGGAAATGACCCCTTTTCTTCCTGTGATTTGTGGATCATTATCTTTCAGCTTAGTCAGGATATTGCCAAATGAAAGTCTCTTGTACAAGAGAGAATTAACCTTGAAATCTCTGTTGAGGTCACCTCTGCCCTCCCATCCAGCCCTCCTTCCCCTCAAAATGCCTGGGCCTGACGCCAGATGCCATCAGTTTAAAGGGGCTCATTTAGTGCCTTGATTAAGTTTTAGTTGGGTGGTCTCAGGACTTAGACACACACACAACACATGGCTTCTTGGTGGCACTAGAGTTTTGAATTACGTAGGAAAAAGCATTTCATCAGGCCTTAAGTTTTCTTAATCAGGTCCTTTGAGATCTTTTAGTCCATGATCCCGAAGGAATTTGAGGCCTCGTTAAATTAGGTCATCTATTCAGAATGGTATACCTAGCCAGCTGAAGAGCCAAGAGAAGGCCCCATCTCCCAAATTTCATCTCACAACATGGTAACACTTAGCTAGAACTCACAGCCTCTTGTCTCCAACCAAAACATTATCATCATCCCTAATCCATTCACCCACAAACCAATGAGTCTAAAACTAGAGACAATTGGATCCGTCCTTTAAAGAACAAGAGGAAATCCTTGTTACTATTATGTAAAAGAAAATTTGAATGTTCCAGATTCCCTTTATCTGTGACAGCTGTTTTGAGGTTGAACCCTTAATATGGGCCCTTCGCTGCATGCAGTTTACATTCCTGGGTCATTGCTGTAGCTCACATACCTAGCCAACTGAAGAGCCAAGCACATCTCCCGAATCTCATCTCACATGAGATGGGGGCACATGAGAGAGTTGGAGACTAGTCCCCTACCCACCTCCCATTCTGTGGACCTTTTTACAACTCCCTGTTTCCTGGTGCTGGAATGATAATCTCATAGGTCAAAAGCATGTACTAAGCAGCAATTCTGATCAGTAAAATAAAAGAACTATGATTTATAGAGTATTTTTACAAAAGCCTTCCACATGCATTTTCTCATCCCCAGTCTTACGAGTGTAATACTGATGAGTAGTATTATTCCCATTTTCAGATAATAAATTGAGACCAAAGAGGTTAAGTGGCATATCCATGAGTACACAAACAAAATGTCAGGAGCCAGGATTGAAATGGGGCCTTTTGGCTCCAACTTCCATGCCCTTCCACTATCCTGTTCTGCCTCTCCTGTTCATCCCTGACTAGAGGGCACAAAAGAAAAGGAAGGAAAGGAGAAAGCTAGTCCCTTTCATCTACACTGTCATGTAGTCTCTCCCAATCTATTAAATGGACATACTAAACATAGGAGAACAAACACTGCTTTCTTATGCAAAGAAACCCTTTGGGAGGTTATCCCAGAATATAATGCCTGACAGGGGCTGCAGTGTGGGTGAGCTAGCTGTCACTCAGCAGCTCTTAGCAGAGTACTTAGTAATTGGAGTAGGAAATCTGCTCTCCTGGCATCAGAATCCTTTAAGCACCACAAGGCCAAAAAGGGGAAGGAAAGCATGCATCCTGCAACTGAGGTCCCAGCTGAACAAGGCCCTGCCACCCGCCGTCCCTCAACATGGCAGGAGCAGCCTTTGGGGTGTGAGCAGTGGAAACAATGGCTTTCCAAGCCCTGGTTAGCACATTGAACGTGCTTGTTAGAACTGAGGGCACAATTAAACATTGCAAGAGCCAGCTCCCAACTGAGTTGCAAAGAAAGATGTAAACACACACACATACAGAGACCTGCCACACTCACATACTCTTCAAACTGAAAAGAAAATTAATCAAAAACCCAATGAATGCCTGAACTCTATAATTAAGCCTAAATGATCCTTAGATAGAAAGGGAGCTGAGTGAGCAAGCTCTGTGCACACAGATATTTTTACCCCAGAGTCTTATTGCCATTAATTTCTTTTGAGATCTTGAGTACATCTGGTTCCAGTTTCCCTGGTAGGACATCTGCCTATGGAAGGCCATCAGAAGAGTTGCCAGTTGCCAGATGACAGGAAGGCATCTGGGGAGATGGAGTGTCATCCCCACCCAGGTCAGCGGTGCACCTGCCCATGACAGAGCCCATCACCAACCTTAGGGTCCTAAAATTCCCTTTATGTATAAGTGCTTTACAGTTTATAAAGAGTTTTTCATTTCCTTTGTGTAGAACAAGAGGCATCTCTGTTCAAGATGGAAAGTCTTAGTATTGGCCTGATCTGTCATTGTTGTTATTAATAGTAACAACACCCATCTGATTAGTATGTTACAGTTTACATAGTACAGACACAAATATTTTGCCATTTTATCCTCAACAATCCTGTAATATTTTGGCATTATATCACCACTTTATGAGGAGTTTGAAGCAGAAAGCTCAAGTGACTTGTCCAAGGTCACACTAAATTGGTGGTGCCCTAAGAACTTGAGCCCTCTGCACACAGATATTTTTACCCCAGACCTTCACTCCGTTGTCACAGAACATTCTCTCCCTGGTTAAATGCAGGCACCCTCCTCCACTTGTCCAGCCACTACTGTTTATCAGGCAGGGCTGACTAGGAAAGAGTGCCCTAATTGATCTCTGGATGCACTTTAACCAGACAGAATAAGCTCCACTGAGGAGTCAGGGTTCAGGTGGCCCAGGCTGTGCCTTCAAGTGGTTTCTCTCCTATCCCACATTAGAAGGGAGGCCCAGTTGGGTGCTCTGAGGTAGAAGGCCAGAACCTGGGACATCAGCATTACTTGAGATCTTGGAGGTCCTGCTGGTAGCTGGACTTGAACAAATCATTTAACTTTTCTGAGACTTGGTTTCCTTCTCTGTTACCTGAGATATTAATACAGCCCAGCCAACATCACGATCAGAAAGACAAAGTAGGACAGTGTCTGAAAATAGTCCAAATTGCCTAATGTGCTGCCTCATGTAAGATATTGTGACTTGAGTAGAATCACAGGGCCTGAAGCTGATGGCAGGCCCTCTGGCCTCATCTACTTGGAAGCCCAAAACCATCTCAGGAGAACTCACTCTTACTGCCAAGTGAGGCCTGGCCCCTGCGGAGAGTGGGTCCCATTTCCCCCAGCCACCTTGTTTGTTCAGGGAGGCGTGAAACCTGGTGGTCAAGGAAAGAAAGATTTTTGCATAGCACTCCAGGAAGCAGCTCTAGAAAGAATGTGTAGCTGGAACTCCAAGCGGCCTTTTGGAAAGGAAAGGAGGCTGGAATGTCAAGTCTAGGCCAGACTTGAAATCCCAGCCCAATTTGCCTAGTTTAAACCTAGAGAAGCCAGCCAGGAACAGCTGCATTTTTCCTGTTATGGTCTCAGACAAGAGATTCAGAGGAAAATATATATATATTCAAAGTTTTATGTGGGTCTCTACACAGTTTTTGATGTCCCAGATCTTGGCTGGGACCCCACAGTTTAACGGTGTTATTTCAGATTTGGCCGTGTGGGTGCAAGTAAAATGAAGAAATAACTTTTGTACCCTACAGTCCCCAGGCTGTCTCACCACACTGGAGGCATATATGATGATGGCTTCTCTCTGCACCTGCCCGAGGCAGCCCCATTCCCCATGGCCCTACATGGACCAGCCACACAGTTCACCTCAGGGCTGCTTCCCAAGGGCTCCCTGTCCCCATACCCCAAACTGTGCCTCTCCCAGCTGGGCCTGGGAATGGCCCCTAAGAGAACCTAACCAGCTCTTCTCACCAGGACAAATGTGAAGCCAGGCCTCTGGGCAGCAAGCCATGTGGCCAAGCATAGGAGCCCATCCTCTGCCTCCAGGCCCACATATGTCCTTGGCTAACCCAGAAAACAGGTTGATCCTCAAAACAGCTGAGTGCTGGGTCAGAAATGCCCGGGAGAAGGGAAAACACATTAGAATTACAGCAATGATGGGAGAGGCCAGAGACACAGAGCACAACCCAGTGCCACATGGACCTTACTGGGGACTATGAGGAATACAGCCAGTGCCATGAAGCATTTGGATAGTGAGATCGCTGAGCCTAGGGCCAGCATTACTAGGAACAGAGAGGAAATATAAAGGAGGAGAGATTGTTTGCTTCATGCCAGTCCTGGGACTGGGTGAGCCAAGCAGGCACTAGGATCCAGAATATTTTTATTATTATTTTTTCACAGAGCTGGAGTCTTGCTATATTGTCCAGGCTGGTCTCATAAGATCCAGTGTTTAAGAAGGCACTCACTGTCAGGCCACGCACAGGCCTGGGAGTAAGTCCCTTCTTAAATACTGAATCCTGTACCCACCTGCCCCTGTGCAAGCGAGCCTCCTTCAGTGTTTATCCTAGGCACCTGGCTTGCCTCCCCTAGTCCCAGCCCTGCTTCATGCCCACCTCCAACTCACTCCTCTCTTCACAAGAAGATCAAGCAGGGAGGATGTTGTGGTATCCCTCTGAATACTTGTTCTGTCAACAAGTCTGTAGTGAGTGTCTTCTATGTGTCAGGCTAAACAGAGTCCTGCCATCAGGGAGACAATGCCAACAGGAAGTTTTGGGAGCTGCGCATTTTCCCCCTTGGGCTCATCCATCAGAAGGGAGCCCAGAACCTGGGGAAATGCCTGCTTAGTTCTCTCTATCCAGTGCATCAGCCAGTGTGCCTGTAAGGAGATATTGCCTTCCTGGCCCAGGGGCTCCATGAGGATGGGTGAGGTTGACAGGGAAGGACTTCTCTCGAGCACTTTGAGCCCTTTGAAGGAAAGGCGCTAGGAAAAACCTACAGCCACGTCAGTATGTGCACAGACACTGGGGATGAAAGAAACAGCTGGTTATCTCTCCATCTGCTCTTGTCCCTTCACCCCGCCCTTCAATTAGAATATTCCACACAGACGTGATCCAATGAAATGTTAATTGGAAAAATAACAGGAAAGATAATACATGCACTTCAGGCTGAGAACTATTTCATTAAACTGGGCTTTGAAAGCAAGACAGCCAATTAAATTATTTCCCACTTCACTCCCTCACGTACCAGAAACTATGGAAAGCTATTACTTCTAATTAGGAAAGAAAGAAAGACGCTGCACATGCATATCAGATGAGCAGGGACTGAGAGGCTACGCCACCCATTTCTTTGTACACGCACATGCACATGCATCAGGGAACTAAAGACTCATCTGTCTCACCTGAAAAATTTCCTAAGTCTTCTGAAATAGCAAGAAAGCATCTGTTCCCAGGAGCCACTCACAAAATCAAACAAAGGAAAACGCCTTCTTCAGGCACGTTCATCAGAAGGGAAATACGGCATTTGCTGTGAAAGAATAAGCAGCTTTAAACTCAGTTGGATTCCAAACCTTCTGCAGCTTGACATGATCCTGTCTTTTTCTCTTCAGTAGAATTAGATCTTTCCAAGCCTGCTTTCTGTATCAAATGCAGTGTTCATTGGCACAGGGTGGTCTCATGGACCAGAAGACCTGAGACCCCTGAGGCCTGATTTTGGCTTGATGGTGGTCTGATGCAGGCCATCTTTGGGATCTTCACTTTTCCATCTGTGAAATGGGAAGAAGGCCAATCTCAGTGCCATATTCACCCTCAAAGTTTTTAGGCTTGTGAGAGCACATTTGATGGAGAGCTCTGAGCCTCTGTGCCTTGCCTTAGAGAAAACTGATAGAATCCAAACGTGCATTTAAAATATTTTCTGGAGAAAAATTTTCCTCACCCAGAGACACCCTTATTGTATAATAAATATAACAGAAATAATATAGTGAAATAATGATGACATAAAGCAGTCATTGTGGTGATGTGACTGGCACACAGGCATCTCTCCAGTATGGTCCAGGAGCAGCAGGCAGACTCAGGGTGTCTCAAGGCCTCTGCACACGTGCAACCACATTGTGCCCCACTCATTCCCCTCTATCCCTGCTGTGTCTGTCATTCTGTGTCACACAAGGTATTGAGGGCTGGCAAAGCCTAGCACAGTCAGTGCCTCTGACCAATTCTAACCAATCTCATTATTGCAGGAAGGGGAAGTGGCACCAAAGAGCATGGCAGCTATTCCACAGCACAGGGAATGCAGAGGAACACTTTCTAGAATGGCTTCTAGGCTGTTACGTCCCCAATTATATATGTAATGGCGCATTGTCTTCTAGGCTGTTAAGTCCCCAATTATATATGTAATGGCGTTGTCTACTGACTTCAAACAATTGGAACAAGTTTTTTTTACCATCTGCCTAAGAATTTGAAATTTGGTTTTCTCCTAAAATTGAAACCATGCATACAATCTGAAAAGGCAACATATTAATTAATTTATAATCATAAAATTTGTGTCATTATAGCAGTACATCCCTGTAAGCAGACAGAGCATATCAAAAATTCAAAGATACCAAACAGAAGAATGATCAAGAAAAAAAAAGAGAAGGATGCCTGATGCTTGGCTTTACCCTAGAGCAACTATCTTCATATGTTCAAGACTGCTTTTTTCTAATTTTAAAACTTTAGTTCACCCACTTTGTTATGGCCACAACTATTACATGAGAACTTCAAGTTGAATAACTGAATAACTTCAGTTTTCTCTAATGTTGCATATTCAAGAAGTAAGTTTTATCTCATGTGATTTGGACTCTGGAATAAAACAGTAAGTTTTAGCTCAGTCGTGGTGTGACCCCCTTGCACAGGAATGTTGGGTGAGCTACAGAGCTCTGGTCACTCAGTGATTCTTGCAAGTCCCTTTGTGCTTTGGATGCTAAAAAACAATGCCATTGGGGGTCTCAACTTCCCCCCCATTTCTGAGGATTGCCTGGTGACTTGCTAATGGGTTACACATATAAATGACCTGTAAACCTTTAATATTATTTTAGTTTTTAATCTTTTTAAAATAACCATATGAAAGTTATATATTCTTTATAGAGAAGTGCATATGAAAATAAATACCAAAAATTTTTTGTAAAATTTCAGGGTCATCTCCCCTTGAAATCTATTAATGGAGCCCAGATCATGACCATCTGCTTTTAGGGAATGACATTTCTTTGATCACTGTCTTAATGCCCGCTTTATTTACATGTTTCCATGTCCACATACAGGTCTCCTAGTAGGACAAGGAAAGCCCAGCAAGCACAACCACATGGCAGAGACTGAGAAGGAGGAAGTGAGCAATGGCTGGCGGCTCCAGAAGCTGAATCCCTGGACAGCTGATTTCCCATTAAAATGTGTGCCATCCTGCCTACCTCCTCGCCTTCCTCCCGTCCCGTGACCAGTCCCTCCTACCCACCCTCCACGAGCCATGTGGCACTTGCCCTGGGCTGATTGGGCTGCCTGCTTGGCCCATGGGGAGCTGTGTTAAAGTGAGAGTTGTGCCTGCTGTATCTTTTTGTGTGTAGAAAGATGGGGTTCATTCAGATCCCAAGTCCTTTCCCCAACCCTCAAAGTGAAGCCTCCTAGGGATGAAGAGCTGGTCAGCCTGGACTTTAAATACCTAATGTGGCCCAGCCTTGGTTCCCAAACCCTGCCTTCCCTCCCTATGCTTTTGGGTGGGAAACGGGGGATTTGTATCTCCCTTCCTCCTCCTTCTCCATGTGGGTGGCCTCTCTAGGTTTCTCTGTGTTCTCTGATCCTTGGAGAGCCAGAGCCAAGGCAGTCATCTTGTTCCCCCTTCCACGGCCAGGCTGGGTGCCTTCAGGTGACCAGGGGCAGAGTGTAAGTCACCAGGTTCAATGGGGTGAGGGGAGAACCACCTTAAGAGGGAAAAAATGGTGTGCATTGGTTTATTTATTGGTTTATTTATTGGCTTGCTTACTGATGTATTTATTTGTATTTATTATACAACACAAAATCCATTTCCATTTTTTAAGCATCAGCCCCAGAATTTGTCTTCCTGGGCCCATAGAGCACAGCGAATTATTTCTCTTTGAAGCTTCAGAATAGAGAGGGAAATTTTTCTCCTTACGCCCAAACACCTCCACCTCAGCCACATTTTCAACCAGACATGGGATTAGAAATCACCAGCTAACAAGGCTGTAAAGTCACACAAATCAGCAGAGGCTTGACTGTCTAGATAGCCCTCAGAATCCGGCCTCCACCCCAACCACCTTGCACCAGTCTTCTCATTCTCCTTTACTCAGGTGGGGATTGACCAGCCATCTTCAGCCTAACAGTGCAGAACAAAACTTCTCATTCTGCTCTGATGTAGTATTCTAACATCAGATGCACGTTAGAATCATCTGAGGAGCTTAAAAAATATCCATGCCTGGTCCCCTGCCCAAACCAATTATAGCATCGAAGGGTAGATCCTGGGCATCGGAGTTTTTTAAGTTACCCAGATGACTCTAATGTGAAAATAGGGTTGGAAAGTTCTAGTATCACCTCTCCCTTGCCCCTCCCCACCCAGATTCTTTCATCTCTACTTCCCAAGCTTTCTCTGGAGTCCTCTTCCCGTTCCTCCAGCCCCTTCTCCTCTCTGCACCTTCCCCATCAGCTCAGCCAACCATAGCAGATCCCTGGAGAGGGGGCAGGTCCCATGAGTGGTACTCTGAGGCTGGTTCCTGCATCCAGCCTGCGGGCTGCTCCCAAACAATTTCCAGCTTTTCTAGGAGCAGAAACCTACTCTCTGCAGGATTCTCTGTTCACCTGCACCTTCTCCAGGTTCCCAAACTCCAAAAGTTTAAAGGGCACTTTGGCGACATTTCTGTCTCCAAGCCCCAGTCTTGATGGTATGGCCCATGTAAGTCTTATAACCCAAGCCTTGGCCATTTCTGCAGAGCCACCTGAGTTGAATGAGGATCTACTGTTAACAGAGAAAGGGGTCACAGTGCTCCCCCAGCAAGTCCTTTTTCCAACAACCAACCTCCTCAGCCATCTAGGATTTGGGTCCACAATGCAGCAGCTACTGTGCATTCAAATCCTAGATGGCTGAGAAGAGGCATCTCACCCTTCACATCTACAAGATCTCCACTGCTGGGTATGAGTAAATGTGTGTGTGAGTGCGTGTACACGTACATGTGCACACACTGTCTACATACAAACCATCTAGATCTATAGAGATGCCAGGCTTCACTTTACATGTGATTACATTCTACATGAAAACAGTTGAGGGCTTTTGTTATCTTTCACTTGATGGAGTTTCACTGTATTATGTTCATGATGGGCCCCAGTGAACTCCATATCAGGTATATACATAGAATGTATAATATATACAAACTGTTAGACACACTACACACACACACACACACACACACACACACACACACAAAGCCTAGGGAAACCTGTGATGTGGGTAAGTTCATTTTGCCATCCCATCTCCTCCATCTAAGTAATTTCCCGGGGCAAGCATTGTTTCACACACTCCCCTCAGCTGCCCAGCCATTCCCTCTCCAGCGTCCCATACCACCAAGCCTTCTTTCCCCATCAGTCCAAATGTCCCTGCCCTATGTCCCATCTCTCAGGGTCCTACTCTCTGATAGGTGACAGTTCAGTCAGTGGGTGCTAAAGAGTCGAGTGTTACCCTTCCCAGGTGACATTTACATTTTAATAGGGGCTACAGATAATGCCTTAATCAGAAAGAGTGGCTGTAGTGGTGGGAATTTCAGGCCCAGAAGTGGGCCAGTAAGGGAGATTCTTTTATATCAGGAGGGCATTTTAGAGCCCCCGAGTCATACCTGTCTGTAAGCGCAGCCCTTCATAAGTGCATGAGCACAAGCAAGCACACTTGCCTACATTATACCCTCCATAATTTTGAGATACCTCCCTTGCATTGGCCCTATCTTTAAAAATGAAAAAAAAAAACCCAAAAAAAACAAAAACAAAACAGGGAACTAGCTAAATTAATTTAGATCTCGCTGGGAAACGTAGCCTATTTTTTCACCGGCTGCCAGCCATCTGGCCCACCCCACCCTGTTCAATTTCCCTTCTGCTCTTTATCTTTTCAGCTATGACTGACTATATCAGTTAATTTACTTGTACGTGTCCTCTCTGCTGTCTCCTTACCCTGCTCCCCTACACCATGTATTTCCTTCCTTTACCATTTCCTCCTTGGAATTGTGCTGTGTTTCGTTGTCCTGGAGGACAGAAGAGCAGGTTAAGGCATGAGCATGTGTGTATCACTTTGAAGAAAGAGAAACCAGGTATTCTGCTACAGTTTGGAGAAAAACCCAATGAAGGAAGAAATGAAAGCTGGCTCTGCAGAGTGCCTTAAAAATGACTTTAATTAGGAAATTCTGAGTTGTCAGTCTTCAGATGTTACATAAACTCAAACAGATGTTGCATTTCACTTCTCTGGGATTAAAAAAAGTTAAATACAGTGTGTATTCAACAACAACAACAAAATATGTTTTCTCTTTAATTTTGTCCTCAAAGATGCAGTGCCTGGTTTTCTACAAAACCTGGGGATGGCCCCAGGAACAAGCAAGCTCTGGAACATACAGAGGGCAGATGCAGGAATCCTGCCCAGCTAGGAAAGCTCTGGCAGGCTAAGGCATAATGTTGCCATCAAATTTGGTCCAAAAGACAATTCTAAGATGGGAAAAAGCATGGACAACTGTAAGGGGAAGAAAGGGATCCTCACCCTTCTCCCTAATGACACGCTTTGGGCTTAGTCTTTTGGGGCTGCTATAACCAAATATCCTAAGTTGGGTGGCCTATAAACAACAGAAATGTATTTCTCACTGTTCTGGAAGCTGGGAAGTCCACGATCAAGGCTCTGGCAGATTCGATGACTGGGGAGGCCCTGTTTTCTAGTTCGTACTTGGCACCTTCCAGCTGTGCCCTCACGTGGTGCAAAGGACAAATGAGCTTCCTTGGGCCTCTCTTACAAGAGGTCTGTCTTCATGACCTAATCACCTCCCAAAAGCCCCACCCCCTAATACTATCACCATGGGGGTTAGGATTTCAACATGAATTTGTGGGGGATACAAATATTGGAACATAGCACTCTCCTCATCTATGATTCGGTGCTGTGAAATTGGGAGAAAGAGAACATTCTAGAATCAGAGGATAAAGTTTGCCCTTCCATCTCTTTCGTACTACCATTTCTTCCTGGAACACCCTTGACCAGATTCTGCTTTGCTTTTGCTAAATTATTTTACTTTAGCTTAATGTTTGCCACCTAGGATCTGATCAAAACAGGTCATCTTAAAGTTTGAGTTCCTGAGGCAGTTAGGTTTCTGGAATGTTGCCTTCTCTCCCTGAGTGTTGGTATACGTAAATGGTCAGATTCATCCAGGCAAGAGTGGGAACTGCAGGGTTGGAAGAGAGGTCTTGAGGTGTACTTGGATTCTGAAAACTATGGAGGTTGACAGGACTGAAGACCTAGCCTATTAGAGCCCTCCTCCTGCCCGTCCCCACCACCTGCACTCTGATCTTTCCACAAGATATATGACCCTTCTGTGGGGTCCACAGTTTTAAGAGGGCTGAAAGTCACTAATTCACATTCATTCATTCATTCATTCATATTCTCTCTCTCTCTCTACACACGCACACACACACACCAGTCAAAAGAGGGAGAGCAAGGAGACCCAGATATTGAAATAAAAAGTGGTAAATAGTGGTTATCACTCCTGGAAAAAAAATTTAAGAAAAGGGCCTCTGCCATGCATGTCATGGGGTGAGGGAGTATTTTTAAATATACATATGTCTAACTAAGACGCCTCTACCCTCACCAGGTGGCCTGAGCAGCACATGCTCAACTCTGGAGCAAGCAGCTTTGCAGACACATTTTAGAAAAGGGATTCCTGCATCTTCTCTATCAGAATGCATGATCTCTGGAAAGAACAATTGGCACTTTTTTCTTAGTTCATTCATTTCAAGAAATAAATAAGGAACTGGCAATTGCTGAACACACTGCAGTATGTATGTGTGTATATATACAGCACAAATGTATGAGTGAGGGTTGGTAGAATATAGTGACAGTTGAGGCAAACTGAAAATACAAGTGGTATTTCTTTCTCACTTAAAAAAAACTGTAAGTTCCATGTTAACTTGGAAAAGGGAACAGGGATGTGTCTGATTTTTTGAAAACCAAATTGTCATATATTTAATGAAGTTACTTGGGGGAGCAAAAACAATATTCAAACAAAACTATATATTTATTGTTACCTACGTGAAGAAATGGTATAGCCTGCCATGTTACATATATGGTCACATTTCTTTTATTTTTGAAATTAATTACCTGAACCATCTTATGTTTTGTTAACAGAGAGCAAAGTAATCCCTTTTTAAGGTTTTCCCAGCCCATCTAATTCCAATTTCTCAAAAACCCTGGGTCCTGAACTCAGTCCCAAGAGATTCAAAACCCCAAGCAGAAGCCGGGCATACTAACCTGTTCCTGCCTTCCCTGCCCACTGCATAAAGGAAGATGGCAGTTCATTGCAGCCAGGAAGCCCAGGACACAAGTTATCACCTTGGTATAGCTTCTGGCATACCAAGTCATTATTCTCAAAGCAGAATGACGCCAAGGGGCCAGTACTGGAGGCCTGTCCAGAATCATTCCTAAGTTGTGCTGAAACAGACTCCCTCACAAATCTCTTAAGTGTGTTCATTACACCCAAGTCAACAACCTAAACCACTGTCCTCCCCAAGTTGGTGACCTGCCAATTTTCTTGGGCTCCCAGCCCAGGTGTGGGCCCCCTTGGAGCTCCCATGGGAATCCCTGTTTCAAACCTTGACGAAGAGGAGCTGAGCTGTCAGTTCCTTGCCTTGCAGAAAGTTCCAGCTTCTAATGAACTTTTCCACGTCCTCCATGCCTTCTTCTCCCTGAAGCCCTACATTTTCATAGCTAAAGATCACTGGAGTGATCTGCAGAGCAAAAGGATGTACTATTTCAGCAAGCACTTATTATGTGACTGCCATGTGCCAGACTTTTAGATGCTAGGAACTCCTCAGCAAACCAGACAGACAAAAATCCATCCCTCCTAGAACTTCCATTCTAGTGAGAGGAAAGATAGACTGTAGACATAATAAATAAAGAAATTTGTATGTTAGGCAGTGAGAAATATTATGGGAGAATTAAAAAACAAGAACAGATGAGGGGAACCAAGAGGACAGAGTTGTTTCCTTTATGTCTGGGCTATACCAAGAAGCAACTACTAATTATTACACTTAATAAAGATAATTTTTGGCCTCTCCAGGCACCTCCTTTATGCATTAACAGGCATCCTATTCCATTAGAGGCTTCACATCTATGCTTTATACATTTCAGAGCAGAATCAGGTTTATCATCTACTGTTTTTACCATAATCCATGGAGAGTCCATTTACTGCAGCTTTGAAAAATAAAATGACGTTCTCAAGTTCACACAGCTGTTAAATATTAGAGTGAGGATCCCAGTATGGCTCTTTTGACTTCATCATATGATTTTCTCAATGCACTTGTAAAAAGCACAAAACATGAAGCTGGAACATCTAAAATAGAGACCCAGCATTGCCTCTTACTAGGTATACAAAACCTTGAAATGTTCCCTGCAAACATAAGACTGGATGTGACCGGGTATGGTGGCTCACACCTGTAATCCCAGCACTTTGGGAGGTCAAGACAGGCAGATCACTTGAGGTCAGGAGTTCGATACCAGCCTGGCCAACATGGTGAAACCCCATCTCTACTAAAAATACAAAAAAAATAGCTGGGCCTAGTGGCATATGCCTGTAATCCCAGCTACTCGGGAGGCTGAGGCAGGAGAATCTCTTGAACCCAGGAGGCGGAGGCTACAGAGAGCCAAGATAGCACCACTGCACTCCAGCCTGGGTGACAGAGTGAGACTCATCTCAAAAAAAAAAAAAAGACTGGATGTGAAATTACATTATAAATCATAAGGCACAGTACAAATGTGAGGCTTTGGGGCAACTCTGCAGGCTGTCTCAAAACTCCACTCACCTATCATCTGTGTGATTCATTAAGTAAATAAATATAATTAAAAGTTATTTTTATAACACACTGCACACAACTCCCAAAGCAATCCTTACTCAAGTTGGAAAAATTAAAACAGTATATATTTTCTGTCTGTAAACTAATTATCTGATTCAAATGGATTCAAAGCAAGCCCACTTCTAAGGTGTTCTCTAAAAGCATGTGCATAATTACAGTAAGTGTATTGAAGAAGCACCAACACGTGGCCTTTGTGACCAGCCTCTGAGCACTCACTGTACACAGTGCAAGTGTGGAGAAATGGCCAAGCATGTGATGGTTCCCTGGGGTGTAGAGGTGGCTGTGAACAACCAGTTGGATTTATTCCTGTTTCAGGCCTCTTCCTCTTTGTTATCCTAGTCATTGGAGAATGCCCACCAGTGAACAGAAAAAAGTGTCGCATTGGCCTGCAAGGCAGCTGGTACCGAGTCCATCAGTCTAAGCCAGTAAATAAAATTGAATTCTGCTTAGCAGATCTTAGAAGGGAGATCTTAGGAGGTACAAACTATAAGAGGAGAGGCATACTCTACTTTCTGAAAAGCTTCTGAAGCTTAGCTGCCCAATCCCTGTGCTTCTACAAAGGGAAGGTTCTTGCCCTCAAAAAAATAAATAAATAAATAACTACAAAAATAAAAGTGTACCTTCAGAGAGCTGCAAATGTCGCCTTCTGTCTTCTCCCCTGCCACACAGCTACAATCCTGGCTCTGAATCCTAGCTACAATCATAGCTCTGAACCCATGGTCAGAGTGGGAGACTTTAGAACAAGTAAAGACTGGTAGCTCCTCAGCCATCCCCACCCAGCCTGGGGATATGGAAAACTATCCTATCCCTGCCTCTGAGGCTCCTCACCAAGATTCCAAGAGAAATTGGATTAAACCCCCCAAAACAAAGATATCTTGATGAGCCTAGGTTCAAAATGAAGGGAGTGAGGAAGTCTCATTTTCAGGAGGAAAGATAGAGAATGAACCAAGATAGAAATGGAGTAACTTCAGGAGTAAATAAAATGGAGATGAAAGTCAGGTATGGTGGCTCACACCCATAATCTCAACACTGTAGGCAGCTGAGGTGGGAAGATAACCTGAGCCCAGGAGTTTGGGACCAGCCTGGGTAATATATGGAAATCTCTACCAAAAAAATTAAAAACCAGGAATGGTGACACATGCCTCTAGTTCTAGCTGTTTGGGAGGCAGAAATGGGGGGATTGCTCAAGCCCAGGAGTTTAAGGCTGCAGTGAGCTATGATCTTGCCACTGCACTCCAGCCTGGACAACAGAGCAAGACCCCATCTCTGAAGAAAAAAAAAAAAAGATATGAGGATGCTAAAATCATGATGATCATAGTTTCCAAACCAAAAATGTCTGTCCCTAGCCTGATCAAGGCATAAAATAGTTTAAATCAAATCTATCCCCCAAATTCTAGAATGTGTCTTTGTTTCAGCTCAACAGCTAGTCCGTGGTAATTTTTCACCCTCGTAAGACTATCTACATTGAAGATGAGGGGAACCAGTTATTTCCCATCACTGAGGAAAGATAAATGGGCTCCAACTGAAGCCCTAGGGACCCTTTGTTAAGATTCCGAGAGGATGAAAAAAAATGGTACCTGGTGGAGAATTTTGAGTTTTTTCTGTTCCTCACATCCCTTTCCCACTCGGAACAGAGGAGTCCATTAAGTCAGTGGCAAATGCAGCAGGGTGAAGAGTTCATCCCTGGGCAATTCTGAGTTGACTCTCCACTTCTGAATTCCAAAATATTAAACTGATGGCAGAAATGATCCCCCAAATCATACTTCTTCCAGAGATCCCAACCCCTAGAGGAGCAGTGCCCCTCAGTGGGAAGTAGGAGAACTTAGGGCGCCCATGACCAGGCTACATTTCAAGGTTATCAAGAGGTGGCTTGCAGTCTGATTCTCTTGAGTATTTAATGATACACAAATATCTCCTCAATGTCAAATAAATAGCAGCCATGAGGCTGCCATCCACTTGCAGAGCTAAGCAATTTAGTTTAAAAGAAAAGTGAACAGGCCTAGCTCCCCAAGAGTTAAGATCCAATATGTCCCCTGACTTCCATGCATCTCTCTTTCTCAGATTCAGAGATTCCTACGCCCTCTCAATTGTATAAAGCCTCATGGCTTACCAAGTTTTGACACATATAGTGGTACTTCACTTCATCCTATCAACAACCCTGTGGGTGTTACTAGCCCTGATTTACATATGAAAAAACAGTCTCATAAATGTCAGAGCTGGGGCTTGAGTTGAAGTTTCCCAATCTTGTCTATCCAGTGTGCTTTTCATGGCTCTGGTGTGGAAGTTTAAAGCTGAGAAAGAAGCCTGCATATTATGCAGCCATGCCATTTTTCAGAGAAGAACACTAAGGTCCAACAAATAAGTCCATTAGCTTAGCCACATAGCTTATCCTGAGCTCAGCAAAGAGAGACATCCTCTGCCCCTGCTGTTAGCTAGCTGGGGTCTTGCCGACTCAGGGATGGAGAGGCTGCCACCCCAAGGAAAGGCCCTTGAGAGAGGACTGAGGGTGGGGTGAGTTTCAGCCCAAGCTTCTCCCTCCCCTTTCAGGTGGGAGAGAGGCAGGGAATGCTCCAACTTATTCCACTGGGTTTTGTGCCTCCATCTGTTCTGCTTCCAGCAGAGATAAGCCCTCCAGGCAGTGTGAGCCTCCAACATAAGAACCTACCACACAGCTACAATCCTAGCCCTGAATCCTAGCTACAATCCTAGCTGTGAACCCATTCCAGGGGCATGGAAGGGCTGAGGGGCTTCTGGGCAGTAACAGTAAGTCACCTATTTCATGTGTGGCCTCAATTCCATGCCAAAAGCTACCACAGAAATGGGAGTGCCCCAGAAAACCACTTCCCTTTAGGATGTGAGACCCCTATGTTTCCCTCTTTCTAAATACCATTGAAGCCCCAGGGAGTATCAGTGATAGTCCACTGATACACCAATTCATCCACCTACCAGCTCAGTCAAAAACTGGGCCCCTCACCACACGCCTCTCTAGCTGAAGGCTCCTGCTGCCTTGGGAAGTAGGTGCTGAGGTAGCTGTGTCAGGGATCCTTGAGAGTGTCCAGAAGCCCTGCTAAGGTCTGGAAAAGACTGAGGGGCACATCCCATCCCCAGCCCTGAGGAAATCCCCCTCACCTGGGCCAATTCTAGGAAGGTTGATTTCAAGAGAATTCTAGGCTGATTCACGTGCTCTATGAAGAAACACATTTTGGAAAAGAGGTCCAATCCCAAACCTAATCCCAGCTGGCCCTGTGTTCTTTTCTTTCCCAGGCTTTCCCCTGACAGTTTGCTACTTACTGTGTTATTCTATCACACAGTCCCATCTCCCCTAAAGATGGAAAAGACACCAGGAGGTCTCAGGATGGATGGGCTGAAGCTCATTGCAAAGTGATTGCGTGTGCATGCACAGTGAGTCCGAGTGCTGAGTTACTTAGTGACCACTCATCCTGGGATCTTAGAGGCAGGGAGGCTCCTACCAAAGTCGCAGGAAAAATAGCATGAAAGCTGACAGAGGGCTCCAGCTCAGTAATGCCTCCTTCCCTCCTGAATGAAAGATTTTTCTGCTGGTGAGCTCACTTAGGCAGAAACCAGAAGCTATGAACAGGGAAATTCCTGTATCTCTGTTTAGCTCCTTTGTTACCAAATCGCACTAGGAGGCAGGAACTTGGAAAGGAAGGCAGCCCCTCAGAGGTTCAGTATAACAAACATCTACTGTGTTAGGCTGTTGTTGCATTGCTATAAAGAAATCCCTGAGACTAGGTAATTTATAAAGAAAAGAGGTTTAATTGGCTCATAGTTCTGCAGACTGTACAGGAAGCATGGTACTGGCATCTGCTCGGCTTAGGGGGAGGCCACAAGGAGCTTTTACTCATGACAGAAAGTGAAGCGGGAGCAGGCATCTTACATGGCAGAGCAGGAGCAAGAAGTGGGGTTTGTGCCACTCTTTACTACAACCAGATCTCGTGAGAACTCAGTCACTGTGGTAAGGACAGCACCAGTACATGAGGGATCCTCCCCCAGGATCCAAACACCTCCCACCAGGCCCCACCTCCAACACTGGAGATTACATTTCAACAGGAGGTTGGATGGGGACACATTCAAACTATATCATCTACTATACAGGGGATGCAAAGAGGAACACGGCATTGCCTTCCCAGCCCCAAGGCTCCCGAATGACTCTGTGAAGATGCCTATGACCTAAGTCTGGTAGAGGGACATGAGGCCTCTAGGAAAGAGGAGAGTGGGTCTTAGAGTCGACGGAGCAGGGGCTTGAAAACCAAGCTGAGGAGTTTCCCAGTAATTTCTCTTGTGGTCCACAACCAAGTAGACGCGAAGAATGGGCCCAATTACCTCTCTTCATTTCCATTATTCAGCCCTCATAAATATTCATTTATTATTTATTCAACAAATATGTAAGGCACACCTACATATACACATACACCTATGTAGGGCACACCTATGTAGGGCACACCTATGTAGGGCACACCTACGTAACACTTATGTGACAGGCACTGCTCTAGGTGCAGAGGACACAGGAGTGAACAAAGCAAACAAAACCTTCAGGAGCTAGCATTCTAATTGGGAGTTAGGGAGTGATGAAGAATATTAGTACATAAACTATATGTCGTGTTAGTGTAAGTGCTGTGAAGGAAAATAAGGCAGGAAATAAGAATGCAGTTTGTTGAGGAGCTTAAAATAGGGTGGTAAGAGAAGGTAGCAGATGAAACACAGACTTAGATGAAGAGTCATGCAGATACCTAGAGAAGGCACTTACCAGGAAGAGGAAATGAGCCCTGCAAAGGACCTGAGGCTGGATCGAGCCTGATCTCATCAAGAGCTGTAGAGGCTCAGTGTGGCTGGAGTGGAATAGGCCTTATCCTTAAGGTTCAGCTTGCCAGGGGCTCATTTGAGTGCCCTTCTGAGTTTGAAATGACACATCCCACAGGTTTTCTTCAGAAACGGGGATGTTCTGGCTGGATAGCCAATTTCCCCATGAAGATACTTCAAACTAGTAGTTCCTAGGTCCTCAATGGAGGTAATGAGTTCAGAACTCTTATTCAAGAAAGGAAGGAAGGGAAAAAATAAGGAAAAGTAATTATAGGACACTCAGAATATTGGAAAGACTGTGGATGTGTAGACAGAACTAAGTTCTGTGCACATGCTGTGCTGTTCTCGTCAGGCCTTTGCCCAAGCTGTGCCCTCTGTGGATGCCCCTTCCTCCCCTTGCCCCAGCTCATGCTGCAGGGCTCAGCCATTCCGTCTACTCACACATACCTCTGCACTCATGTAACTGTTCTGCAGTTTGTTACAGTTCCTGAGGCCAGGAGCAATACTATATCCCCTGGACTTCAGAAGAGATGTCCATTGAGCAAATGGAAATGAGATTCTAGAATCAAGAGCCTAGAACCTGTGCTGTCAGGGCAATTGTTGCAGTCACGTGGAGGAAGCATCTACACAAGGCAAAACAGTTCCTTTTTGGAGTTACTTTTCCTTCTCATTGGCTCTGTGAGTTGACAGACAAGCCTGGCATAGGGCCCTTGAAACAGTCAGTCAGTCCCATTCCCCATAGGTTGGGACTTGAAACGCTTGCAGTGGAGCAGCACCTTCCCAGGGCTGGAATCAACTGGACACAACCAAGCTCCTTGTCTTCATGAGGACCTTGCAGGAGTCATGTGGCTGAGCCTCTCCTGGGGAAGGAGGAAAGGGTCCCATCACTGGTACTAAGTCCCCGTAAGATGAACCCAAGCAGGAATCTACATCAATGGCATTTTTAGGGACCCAGAGGAAATGTTCCTTGGCTTTGGCTGCTTATCTTTTGCCAGAGATTTCAGCTGTGGCATTTGCTACCCCAAGGGTCCAGAGGCTTGCTCTCAAATGCCCCTGTCACTAAAGGCTGTTTTGCAGGAGCCAATTACCAGGGTAAGTCACACTTGAGTGAGAAAAGGCAGTGGGGCAGGTGCAGTGACAGCCTCCTCAAATGCCCACGGAAGCCCACCTCAACATGGCACCTTTCACACCTCATAACTCGCAGCTCCGGCTTCTGCCTCTCAGTATCACACAGAAGCACAGCAGCAGCCACTCAAGGTGCCAGCAAGGCAGATGTAATTGTCTGGGGCATCAGGGTGTGAGAAAACAAATCCTTTGTAGAACAAATGTGGGAAATGCTTCTTTATTTGTTTCAAATCATGTTTTCTGTAAAACTGGCTCTCAGGCAAGAGAAAGCAACATAAATATTTTGGAGGTTGAGATGATTAAAGCACAAGAATGAAATAAAGGAGATTCTGCAATGTAGCTCTTCAAACAGGAGGGACTAACCTTATTATCTTTTGAGAGAGGGGGCTTGGGAACTAGGAGGATGGGTAAGAAGGAGATCCATTTTTTTATAGATGCCTTTTTTCCGTATTTGAATTGTTTCTGTGTATGTGTAATAACTTTTCAAAAAGTTTTAACTCATCCTATGACTATATACACCCTTTCCCACATTTGATATGGGTATTTATACTGCTCCTGTGTATTTCCCGTTCAAGAAGCAGCAAACACTACACTTACTGAGCTTACTAAGTGCCAACTGCTTCAACCTTCCTCAGTTCATCTTCATGACAACCCTGCAAGGGAATGGAATGACCATAGGTTTTATAGGTGAAGAAACTGAGGCTCACTGACATTAACTCACTCCAGTGCACTAGGTAAGTGGCAGTATTGTACTTAAAATCCAGGTCATCGCACTGCAAAGCCCATATTGGACCTTGTTCTTGACTTCTGTTTATACCCTGAACCAAGGAGATCTGGATTCGATTAGGAGGAAGGTTCCAGAGAAAGGATGCTCTGTTTATACTGACTGAGAGGCATGAAGATGAAATCGAACCCTCTCCTCCCTCCTCTGTCTTGGAAATAACACTTCCCTTTTCCCCATCTGCCATTTCCCTTCTGGTGTTTGTTTCCTCCCGAGTCTCAGCAATACCTAATGCTGCATTGTCTCTCAGACCCTGGTCAAGACAGCAATGAGCTCTTCTCACCTGTGAGTGTTAACTGTTTCATAATTCAAGCCTATATCCATGATCCTTCCCCTCTCTCTCTCTCTCTCTCTCTCTCTCTCTCTCTCTCTCTCTCTCTCTCTCTCACACACACACACACACACACACACACGTTCTGCATCAACTTTCAAAACTGTCAAACCAACACTCTTACACCAGAATATTGGCCCTGCACTAAGGCCTAGAGACTGGAATGAACCATTTGCCCAAGTATAGGTAGGATAGGTAGGGGCAGAATGAATGAGTTGGAGTCATAGTGAAGCCCTGCATACCCAAGGCCATATTCCTGTGTTCATGGACCTAATGATACACTCATGGTCTCATCTTAGGAGCCCCAGAAAATGCTACTTCCAGCACAAATATCCCCCAAGAAACTACTCTCAGTGGGAAATGCCAGGATTTCCTTTTGCTTGAGGCTTTGATCCTGTTAGAATGTACTTCCCCCTGGAAGGACAGCCTGATGCCATAGAAAGACAGCCCCTTTCCCACCTCCACTCAAGCTGCATGCCTGGTTCTGCAGTCCGTATACCACACAACTCTAAGGGTGCCATTTACATTATAATTATTATTGATTTGTATATTTTGTGACAATTTTATGGCAGATGGCAAAGGTCTAGCACTGGTGTTGCTCACCCCCAACAGGACAGAATCCACTTTATCCTGACCCTTTGCTGCCTTGACTTATACAGGGAATGCAGGCTCCATGAACCTTGTCTGCCCCATTCTCTTCTTTCTTCAGGGGTTTCTGAAGGGAATGGGGCAGACAAGGTTCATGGAGCCTGCATTTCCTCTATAAGTCATGGGGCTCCTAAGATGAAACCATGAGTGTGTCATTAGGTCTACGAGCACAGGAATATGACTTTGGGTGTAATGGCTTTGGGTGTGATGTCGTCTTTCTGCACTGTAACTGGAGCCAGGGTTGAACTCTCTCTAGGAGACCTTGCCTGGGGACTCTAGCCCAGGACTTCTCACTCAGAGTGAGCAGGGATTGGAGAAGGACATGGGAATGTATCAGAATCATGGAGGCGGAGGAGGAGGAAGAGGAGTATTTCAAAATACTCAAAGCTGGGACCCCTCACTTAAATTTCCCACCGACACAGGAGGAGAGGAACCAGGCCCATGCATTTTGAAAAGCTCCCCATAGCCCTCAGCCCCACTTCTATTGGAAAGCGTCTCTCTGGCCTGTGTGGAGGCAGAGTAGACACAGGCCTGAAAGGCTTCAAGGCACCAAAGCATCTCACTCCTGCCTCACCAGAAGGCCCAGAATTCTCCCCCTGCTCACGCCTTTGGGTTAAGGCATCAAATCTAAATGTTATGTTGGAAACAAGTACACTAATGTTAACTGGCTTTTAATCTAATTGTTGTTAACATTCACCCAGCTCTAAGCAGAAGGTTTTGATAGGTGACCTCATTCAGTCTTCATGGCATATGCTATCTTTATCCCCTCCTACAGAAAGGAAGACATAACAATCATTTCTCCTATTGCCCCTACTGTTCCTTCTGATTGGACAGCCCAAATCCCAGCATGGCTCACTTCCTCCCCTTCAAGTCTTTGGTCAAATGTTACCTTCTCAATGGGACTGGCCCTGACCAGTCTCACTAAAAGTATCATCACCACTCTTCATCCTCAGCACGTTGCTCCACTTTCCCCCATGGCCCCCATCATCTCTAACTTACAGATAATTTGTTTATTGTTATTGTCCTGTATCTCCATCTCCATCCCCATCCCAGTAGCAGGGAAGTTCTGTAAGAAAGTCTTTCTCTGTTTTTTTCACTCAGTATTCCAAGCACCTAGAGCAATGCCTGAAGGTGGGTACTCAAAAAGTGATAGTTGAATGGATGAGAAAGAGGATAAGCATTTCCTCAGGGTGTTCCAGCTGTGAGCAGAGGACAAAGGACAGACTGGAGCTCTTATCCACACTATGCCACTATTTTGTTGAGACCTCCCTCCCTCAGTTACAGCAGAGATTTGCTCAAGTAGCCTCAAATAAGGAAGAGTTTACAATAAGGAGCCATATGAATGGGAACCAAAATTAGAACTAGAAACATCTCAGGGACCAAGTTAGCCATGGGGGCTGCCTACGTTTATTTTTTTAAATTATTTTATAGACTTAGGGGGTACAAGTGCAGTTTTGTTACATGGATATATTATAGAGTGGTGACATCTGGACTTTTAGTGTAGCAATTACCCAAATATTATACATTATTCTCATTAGGTAATTTCTCATCCCTCACCCCACTCCCACCCAACTACCTTTCTGAGATTTTGATGTCTATTATTCTACACTCTATTTCCATGTGTCTGCATTATTTAGCTTCCACTTACAAGTGAGAACATATGGTATTTGACTTTCTGAGTTATTTCAATTAAGATAATAGCCTCCAAGCTGGGTGCCATGGCTCACGCCTATAATTGCAGCACTTTGGGAGGCCGAGGCAGGCAGATCACAAGGTCAGGAGTTCAAGACCAGCCTGACTAACATGGTGAAACCCTGTCTCTACTAAAAATACAAAAATTAGCCAGGCATGGTGGTTCGCGCCTGTAATCACAGCTACTCAGGAGGCTGAGGCAGGAGAACTGCTTAAACTTGGGAGGCAGAGGTTGCAGTGAACTGAGATCGCACCACTGCACCAGGCTGGGTGACAGAGTGAGACTCCATCCCCACCCCCAAAAAAAGATAAAAGATAGTAGCCTCCAATTCTATCCATGTTGCTGCAAAAGACGTGATTTCATTCTTTTTTGTGGCCAAGTAGTATTCCATGGTATGTATAATCACACTCTCTTTATTCAGTCATTCATTGACAGACACTTAGGTTGATTCCATGTCTTTACTATTGTGAACAGTGCTGCAATAAACATATGAGTGCAGGTATCTTTTTGATATAATGAGTTATTTTCCTTTGGATAAATACTCCATAGTGGGATTACTGGATCAAATGTTAGTTCTATTTTTAGTTCTTTGAGAAATCTCCATACTGTTTTCCATAGAGGTTATATTAATTTACATTCCCATCAACAGTGTATGAGTTTCTTTTTCTCCACATCTTTGCCATTATCTGTTTTTGTTTTGTTTTTTTTTTTTACTTTTTCATGATGGCCATTCTGACTGGTGTGAGATGGTAACATTATGGTTTTAATTTGCATTTCTCTGATGATTACTGATATTGAGCATTTTTTCTTATGCTTGCTAGCCATTTGTATGTTTTCATTTGAAAAATGACCGTTCGTGTCCTTTGCCCACTTTTTAATGGGATTATTTGCTTTTTCTTGTTGAGTTGTTGGAATTCCTTGTAGATTACGGGTATTAGTCCCATGTCAAATGCATCATTTGCAAATATTTCCTCCCATTCTGTAGGTTGTCTGTTCACCCGGTTGATTATTTCTTTTGCTCTGCAGAAGCTCTGGGAACTGCCTACTTTACCTCTTTCATGGGCTACTTAATATTTCTCTTTCATGGCCTCTCTCTTCAAGGGTGTACTCTGTTCTCTCTCCTGCTGAGTGTGTCTGCTCCTTTAGTTTCAATCTGCCCATTGACTACGTGGCCTCTCTGGTCCCTCTCCTTTGGTTCCCTCATGCCCTTTCTGCTTCAGCTCCCACTCCTGATTGCCACCTGCTCTCTGTATTTCCCTTTTGATTTGCTGGGAGAAGCCTGTCTGATTGGCTGATGCATGTCGGTGATGGTAGGCTAGCCAATAGTGGCTGCCCTTAGATCAGGTAAACCCCCTCACCACCAGAGAAGTCAGGGAGCTGGTGTCTCAGAGCACAAAGCACAGGCAATAAGCAGGGGCTGTAGGTGTGACTCAATCTATAACTTGTTCACTAGAACTATTTACTGGATTCTCTCTAACAGAGATAAAGGTCAGGAGGCAAAGGGACATATCAGTTTTGATGGAAAAGGAGGGTTGATGAGAGGTCTGGGCACTGCATGTGAGGTTTGCAGACCTGTGGGCAGCTTCAGGAACTGGGGTACCCAGAAGCTCTGATGGCCAGGAAAGTGGGCAAAGCAAGTTCTAAAGAAGAATGGAGGGGTCTGGGCACAGTGGCTCATGCCTGTAATCCTAGCACTTTGGGAGGCCAAGGTGGGTGGATCACTTGAGCTCAGGAGTTTGAGACAAGGCTGGGCAGCATGGCAAAACACCATCTCTACACAAAATACAAAAAAAAAAAAAAATTAGCCAGGCATGGTGGTGCATGCCTATAGTCTCAGCTACTTGAGGGGCTGAGGTGGGGGGATGGCTTGAGCCCAGGAGGTCAAGGCTGCAGTAAGCCAAAATCATGCCACTACACTGTAGCCTGGGTGACAAAGCGAGACTTTGTCTCAAAAAAAGAAAAAAGAAGAACAGAGGAGTAAAAAAATCTTGGACACCTTTACAGTTCTACCTTAAGCTAGGCTTGTTCTAATACTCACAGTTTGTCTTTCTTTGACCACCTAGATTCTAATGACTTCTTTTTTTCAGCCTAAAACACCAGGTATTCCCAGGTGGTCTCCCATCTGTGTACTAACCACACCTGACTGCTTAGCTTCTGAGATCAGGAGCATTCAGGGAGGTATGGCTGTAGACTGAGGGCCCTGATGACTTTTAAAGAATCCTAGAAGGAGCAAAGATTCCAGGTGTGTTGACAGAATTCAGATGCTAAAGTGAGAAACAGGTGTAAAACAGTCCTCCTCTCTCTCCAGAACCCCTTTTCCCTTCCAGGGACCTTTGAAAGACCCTGGATCAAACTATGGAGCAGTGCAACGACTATTCAACGCCTTCTGGTGCTAAGGGCCTCTTCTCCTTACCTTGAACTGACACCCATTAAGGAAGCCTGGCCCAGGAACAGTGCCTACAAACCTGCAGATTACAGGGGCATTTGACTTGATGGTGGCCTCAGGGCATTGGGATTAAGGTGTTAAATGGAGAGTGCCCCCTGCTTATCCCTGAATGCCCAGCGGGCAAAAAGTTTAACCTGAAAGAGTGAAGATGCCTGTATGTGTCCAGGGACTGTATACCCTGCCTGACCCTCAATTCACCAGGCTAGACAAGCCTTCCCATAAACAACCGAGGGCTGTGGCTAACCCTCCCCCTGCCACATAAATGGTAGCAGAAAAAGCACTGGCTCTAGGTCCCACCAGGTGAATCCCAGTAATGCAAAACCTCCAAACCTCCTCTCTTCTCAGCAGGTCCAAGGGAGCTTTTGACCAACACAGTCTCCTTTTGACCACCACAGTCCTCTGGAGGTCCAGGCGATCTCATGCCCCAGCCTGATTGCCTTTAGTGGCTTCTGCCATGCACTTGGGATCCCTTGGCTCTTCTCATCACCACTAGATTTGGTGTTGTCCCCTTCAGAACCACAGTGATGACCAGAGTTATCAACACTGACATGGCCAGGCTTCTGAAGGGCTGTCTCCATCTGTTACAACTCCCATTGTAGGGTTCCCAGAATGGTGGCTTTGTGCACTTGCTTTTTCTCTCTCTCTCTTTTCTCTCTCCCCACTCCCCACTTCCTTGATTCTTATAGCTTCCTTTCTTAACAAACTCAAGACATGACCCAAGATCCTACATTACAGGCATTTGTAGGATGCCCACTCCAAAACTATTCAACCCTCCAATAATCACTCAGAGTCCCAGGACAGACCCAAGGCACCTCAGCTCCCTGTTGCCTCAGATGAATTCCCAGTGCATCGAGGTCATCTTCTGGAAAGGTAGGGTAACATCTCAGTCAAGACACCTACATCCAGTGCCTTTGAGTCTTTCATTCTCACTATCCTTTTTTATCCATGGAACTTTTTCATTTTATAAGGTTTATTTTATGTGTTTTTAATAAAGAAAGGCATGAGATTGTCCCCTCCTCCTCTCCCACACTCTTTCCTACACCTGTGCAGACCACATTTACTCTAGCCTTCGGGCTTTGCCTATAAACGGGCTCTGGCAGCAGCCTGGCTCTACAGACTCCCTAGGTGGATACAGAGCCACACCTCCCTCTACACCCTCCTTCATTAGGGACTGTCTTTAATAGCTCTTTCTCGGGGTTTCTGCCTTTGTTTCACACAAAAGCCTCTCAGGGCAGGCAGAAGCCTCTGTTTAGATGGGGCCTGTGTCTCTGGGGCATTGCTCTGCCTATAGGAGATTGTTATTTACAGCTTTTTAATATCTGCTTTCCATTCCTAGCCTCTCAAGAAGCAATAAAACGGGAGATACACTTGCAGCTGCTCTAAAAACTCACCTGGCTTTAAACAAAGGCTTCTGGTGACTTGGTTCCCACCCTCTCAGTGGGCCCAGGTCGGGGGTTCCCACATCCCTGTAATTATGCTTTCGGTTCCAAAGGAATCTGAGGCCACTCCTTTGAATTGCCTGAAACAAGGTGGTGTATTTATGTGTAAGCAAGCCAGAAAGCCAGAAAGGGCAAGCCCACGGACCTTCCAGGTGGGAGGGCCCCAGTGCCTTGAATAAATCCAGGAGCCTTCTAGCACTCAGGGCAAGGAATCCATCAATAAAACATCAAAGGCCAGTGCCATTAGAGGAGGTAAAGCGGGATATTTTATTCATGACTGTATTTTGAAGGGGCTTGCTCATGACTCACAAATTATTCATGAGCTTTTTCTATTTTTAAATGTAAATTACAAGGGTGTTTAAAGGGGCGGAAGTCCTACACCCTTCCCTTTGGTACCACTCTGCTATTTTTGGGAAAGACTGCCTCATTTCAGGTAGTCCTGTCTCATGGCACGCAGTCCCCATTGTTATGACCGAGGGCCTCTCCCAAGCAATTGGAAGGCAGGTTGAGCATCCGCCCCCAGGCCTGCCTTTCTGCTGCTCATTGTACCCACAGCTCCTGGCCAATCAGTACCAGAGACCATCACTGTGACAGGGGTCATAGTGACCCAGAGGTCATCTCCTACATCAGTGATGAAAATACCATCTGTAGACCTGCTTCTGAATCTCCCAGGGCAAATCTGTTCAAGGTGCAGATTCCTGGGCTTTCGTCTGACTTTCCAAACTAGAATTTCTGGGGTAGGGTCCAAGGATCTTCATTTAAATAGGTTCCCTGAATAATTCTTATACACATTACAGTTTCAGGAGCACTGGGCTAGTCCCATGGTTTTCAGACTTTAATGTGTGTGTGTATCAGCGTTACCTAGACAACTTGTTAAAACACAGATTGCCAGGCCCCACCTGTAGAGTTTCGGATCCAGAAGGTCTAGGGTGGGGTCTGAGAATTTGCATTTCCAACAAGTTCTGAGTCAGTGCTGATGCTGCTGATCTGGAGACAGCACTTTGAGATATGGAGACTGCACTTTGAGAACCGCTGAACTAGTTTATCCCCTCCTGAAGTCTCTTGAGACCCAGGTAAAGGATGAGTTCGATGAGAATGCAGGTCTCCCAGCCCCCAGGCCTATAGGCCACTATTCACCATTGCCTCTCATCACATCCAGGAAGCCTTTCTCACTTTTGAGCTTGTTCCCAGGGCCCTCTGACCGGCCAGAATATGGCCGGAGCAGAGACATCTGTTGAATATCATGAAAACTTGAAGAAAAATTTGCAAAGTCCTTCTCTTCAATCCCTAATCCCAGAATGTTGTGCATATATTATAGAGGCACCTGCTTTAGAGGGTCCTACCTGCATTTCTTCATCCAACGTACACCGATTAAGCACTTACTGTGTATCCACCAGGAATGCAAACATACAGAGTTCCTTGCCTCAGAGACCTGACAGTACAGAGGGACCAGCACAAGCCGATCATCTGAACATGTTGCAGCTCTGGGCAATGATGGCGTCTATGGGAACCCTAAGAGGGCCACGTAAGCCAGCCTGGGTTGAGGGCGAAGAATCCCTAAGCAGAGCAGCACTGGAGCTGAGTGTTGAAGGATGTAAGGAGTCAGCTCTCAAAAGGAGTGAGAGGCTAAGCAAAGGAACAAAGCTGAGAAGTAGCACTGGTCAGGGCCGGGCCCAGGAGCAGGGGCGGGGCATGGGTGGGTGTGCTGCAGGCCCTCAGTCTGTGGTGGCAACATCGCTGAAATGTCAGAGCAACCCATCCAGTCCCTGTGGAGGGCATGGTGGGAAGTAAGCGGGTGGGATTTGGAAATAAGGCATTTCCTCAGTTTTTGTGAGCTGGGCTAGAAAAGAGAAGAGTGTGGAACCACGGGCCTATGACACGCCATGACCTTCACCTTGAGCATCAGCTTTTGGAAGAGCATTGCTCCAGTAGGGAGGGAGTGAGGACTTGGGTGGCAGACAGGAAGTTAGCAAAGTTTTCTGGAGAGACCCTGCAGCTGGGCTTGAAGAAGCCAGATCCACTGATTGGCCTTCAGGAGAGTCCTCAGACTCGTGTATGCAAAGGGCTTCTTCTGCCCCTGCCTCCCTGTGTCCAGATTAAACCCATTCTTCAGGCCCAGCTTAAACATGTCCTGTCTCAAGAAGACTTTCCTGCTCCCCTATTGAAAAGTAAATTTCCCCTCTTATCTATGAACTCCTGTAGCATTTTATCTATGCCTCCCTTATAATATATATAATTTTCTTGTGTGCTTGTCATTTCCTCAACCAGACCAAGTTTCCTGAGGACAGAGGCTGTTTGTCATTCATTTTTATGTCAGACACATAGCATCTGGCCTAATGCCTAGCACATAGTAGGCGGTCAAAAGATGTTGAATAGATGAAGGAATGAATTGAGTAAATACATGAATTAAATTATTTCCCATCATGGCCTCATTCCCAGGAAGCAGACTAACCACCATGTGGTTGGAATGAATATCCAAGAAGAGCTTACTCTTGATTATTGGGTGTTGCTCATAGACAACCAGCCTTAGTAAGGAATGAGGCCCTTACCAAACCTCCCATAGGCCAAAACCCTGAAAGAGTGATGCAAAGCTGTTCAGCCAGAGCCCCTAGTACCTAACCAATAGACAAGGGCCTGCAGAGTCCCAGATCCATCAGCAGCTGACAGATCACTCCATACATGCTCTGCAGATAATTAGCTTGTGAGCACTGGGGACTGCAGGCATTTTGGGAAAATAATTACAACAGGTTAAAAGCCCCATCAGAGCAAAATCAAAATGAAATCAAAGGGACTGCTGAGGTCAGGCAAGGGATGCTCTGGTCTTTGAAATCCCATCAAAGTAATTAGGAAAGGAAGGTTGGGGTAAGAAGGGGAAAGGATGAGAGAAGAGGAACAAAATCAAATTCCTGTCCTTATTAGATTGTGGAATTCTGGGTAGGCGCAGACCCAGCCTGCCAGATAACAGCCCATTTCTGTCTCCTCCTACAGTCAGGAGCAGTGGGTGTGCAGGTGCGACTCACGCACATGACCCCTCTTCCTTCACTATCCACATACACACACACACACACACACACACACACACACACTCCAATCCCTCTCCTCAAAGCAGATCAGGAGGGATGACTTCAAGGGAAGAGCACTGCTGTGGAATTGCTGGGAAAGGAGGATCACTCTAATTATTAACTCATGAAATCAGGCAATTCTCTGTTAAGTGGCGATTGCGAACCCAGGATTGGGCCAGGCTCAGAAGGAGCGGGTAAAAACTGTAAGACTCATTCCAGCCATCAGTGACTTCTCCCTCACTAGGGGAAGAAAACTAAGGCACATGAAACAGTTGCAGAAACCACATGGCAAGCTGTGAGTCACTGTGAAGCCATGGTGTGCCAAGCAGGTGGGTGCACTGGAGCACCCATCCCTCCCAGTGCACACAATAAGGGGGTACAGTGTGCACTGAGGATTTAGAAACAATAGGGTGACTCAGTGGAGGTCTGCTTTTTCTTATCACCATTTTTACAACTCTTATTATCTGTGATAAAATATTCCTCCTCACAGGAACAGAAGCCCTGCGGCACCCTCTCTCTCCTCATATACCTCTCACGTTAAGATTAAGATTGCCAAAGAAGAGGAAGTTAGCATAGATTAGCGTAGTTGGTAAGGCTTCTCAGATGCAGAGGACCAGAGGTTAAACCTTGATGTGTGGGGAGGATTTGAATTGCGAGGGGTAAGTGTAAGGATTCCAGTCAAGATTGCACTTCTGTGTCTGCTGCGTTGAGGGGCATTTCCTAAGCCAAGGTACTCCTGATTGTCATGAGTCAGGGGAGTAGGAGCCTCCTGACTGGCACTCTGGAGCTCTTTGTGGGGCTCTAACGTAGAAGGAAGAAGCACGTCTCTTTCTAGCAGGCCCTGGGGTGTGCCTGGGGCACATAAGGGAAAACAGGCAAGATACTTGGAAGAGAAGCAGGATGTAGTAGGGAACTTTGATTGGGTCCCAAGGTACTGAAATGAAATGAGAAAGCACTTTTAAGAAATAGAAAATGGAACAGACAGCAGAGGGTATTGCCTGGAATCCACAGAGCAAGTAGCAAAAACTGAGAAGTCTCTGTCCTGGGGACAGCCTCTCTCTCAAGGCTCAGAAGCTGTGTCACATCTCAGCAGGAGGACCTGAGAGGCAGCTTCGAGTCACTGGAGGGCTGTCAGGAGGAAGAGAAATGAGTCTCGCTGTGTAGCTTCAGAGGCAGAATTAGGCTCTGTGGGTAGAAATTATAGGGAAGCTGATTTCAATACAACATTAGCCTGATGTTTTTTCGCCATTAGAGATGTCTCACAGTAGGGTACACCATTTGAGAGGTGGTGAGTGCCCGGGCACTGTGCATGCTCAAACAGTAGTTGGACGGCCACTCATTGGAGGATTGGAGCATGTTGTAAGGAACATTCTGGCCAGGAGCATGGGTCTTGGGAGTCGCCTGCTGATGCATAATGCTAGTAATAGCTATTCATTTGGAGGAGGGTGTTGCATGACTCAGTCTCCAGGCTTAGCCTTCCCTTTTGCATAAAGAGTTTGGGGGGTCCTGAGATTTTTTTATTTTCCTTTACAGAGGATCGAAGGATGCTATTTTCCTTTAAGAGGATTGAAGGGGACATTCTAGCAGCAAGCATGGATCTCAGATTTCTCTTTAAGTCTGAAATTCTGTAATTCCAAGCCCCATCCTTGACCAAGCTCTTGCATTTATGCTACTCAATGTCTAGACTCACCCAAGCCAATCCTGGGAATATAAATGACAATCTTCAGGGACATGCCACCCCTGTTGGTCCACCACAGCCTAGCCACCCATCACTAGAGGAAGGCCAGAGAACCATGTGCTTTCCTATTTATTAGCAGTTAGGGTGAATCATCTAAGGTCAGGAGTTCAAGACCAGCCTGGCCATCATGATGAAACCCTGTCTCTACTAAAAATACAAAAATTAGCTGGGCACGGAAGCACACACCTGTAATTCAGATACTCGGGAGTCTGAGGCAGGAGAATCACTTGAAGCCAGGAGGTGGAGGTTGCAGTGAGCCGAGATGGCACCATTGCACTCCAGCCTGGGTAACAGAGTGAGACTCCATCTTAAAAAAAACACAAAAACAAAAACAAAACAAAACAAAACAAAACAAAAAGGGTTAGTAAAAAGAACGCAGCCATGGGAACAGGAGACCTAGGTTCTGCCTGTCCTTAACGAGCTCTGGAACCTTGGGCAGATCTTTTCTCTGGTCCTTGCTTTCTTTATTTATCAAATGAAGATGGTTCTGAGTAGTCCTCTCACTCTTGTCAGGTCAAATCAATTCTCTTATTCTCATCACACTTTATTGAGAAAATAAAAGCCATCAGATAAGAATTGCCCCACCTTCCCATCTGCCTGCCTCTAAAGCTGCATACCCTGTCTCCTCCTTTGTTTAGTTGGAAAAGTATCTCCACT
The DNA here is from genome assembly GCF_000001405.40 of Homo sapiens. NCBI lineage: Eukaryota > Metazoa > Chordata > Mammalia > Primates > Hominidae > Homo > Homo sapiens. The sequence goes on along the minus strand of NC_000001.11, from coordinate 166,035,093 downwards.
CCTCTCTAAAGTCAGCTTCTCCACTTGTGCTCTGGACCCGGCATATTCAAGAGCACTTTAATCCTGAATTATCCTCTCACTTTCCTGCATCTACAGCTTTCTCCTCCCTATCAGGTCATTCCATCAGCGTACACACATGCCAAAACAGCAACAAAATACATTGTGTGGACCTTATTCATGTTCTGATTTTTTAAAATATACCTCATAAAACCATTTATAAGACAATCAGGGAAAAGTAAACTCTGACAAAATATTTGATAGTATAAATAATTTTTTTAATTTTAGGTGCAATAACACTCTTATGTAATTATGTTTTCTAAAATGCTTTCTTTTAAAATAATCCAAGGTACAGGACGAGTAGTGGGGTTATGGGTGAAACAATTTTTCATATGTATAGATAATTGTTGGCATTACAGGATGGGTACATAGGAGTTCATTACACTATTTTCTCTACCTTTGTATATGTTTGAAATTTTCCAGAATAAAAGTTAAAAATAATAAATAAATAAGAGGCCAGATTCTCAGCAGGTTTTACACCACATCTTGGTAGGACCCTCCCAGGGTTCTAGATGTTTTAACAAGGAGAATTAGGTTGGCTGTATAGACAGGAGGTCCTATTCCCCAGAAGGCATGTCCAGCAGGCAGAGAAATGGGTGGTGTGCCCAGGCTTCCTCCCTGCAGCCCTGAGATTGCAGGATCCCCAGATCCCAGCAGAGGAAGTAGTCAGGTCTTACAGAGAGGTCTCCAAGCCAGGAGACCTCCATCAGCCTGCCAAGCTCTCAACCCACCCGAGGGCCAAGATAACTCCCATTTATCCAGTGCTTTACCACTTTCTTACAAAACCTCACACATGCCTAATCTCATTTCATCCTCACCACCCCTTTGAGGTTTTCTCATACTCCTCCATTTTGTTAATGAGGAAATGGAGGCTGAGAATAAAAAAGTGACTTGCCCAAGGTTATTCAGCTGCTAAAAAGCATAGCTTGGACTTGAACCCAAGTCTTTCTCTACAAAAGTTGTACTCTTATCTCCATACTAACTATAAACTCCTTGAGGGTAGAGACTACGTGTTTGTTTTCATCTTTGAATCCCAAATGCAATAATCGTTCTGGGAATATGGTAAGAGCTCAGTAAAAGTCTGCTGGACAAATGGATGGGTGTGAGCTGTGCCCCTGTGTTCAGTGTAAATACTTCTTCTCTTAAGCAAGTGTTTATCACATTCTGTGTTGCAGGCATAATGTGTATGGCTGCTGTCTGCCCTAGTGGATGGTAAACTAGTGGCCAGGAGGGGCCTTCCATGCCACTGTGGCCTCCAGCAGACCTGGGTAAAATGGTTGGGAAAAGAGGGACAGATTCCTTGGGCATGGTAGTAGTAGGAGTCTCCATAAGAAGACACTTAATATACTTGTTATTTTTCTCTCAATGAAAGATTTTAGTTTTATTGTTATAGAATAGATAGAACCATAATTTTTTACTCACATGCTGATTTCTTAAGCTGTTGGCATATATTACATATCACTTCTCTGACTTTTATAAATTATTTCCTCCCTGTCATTGAAAAGTCCAATTGGCATGTGGGCAACCACATCCCTTCTTTGTCTGTCCATAGGCCCCTCTCACTTCAGGGTCCAACACTGGGCAGGCTAGGATCCTTCTCCATGGGATAATGTTAGATTCTCTGGGCCCATCAGTGAGTTGGCAGAGGCTCAATGGGCATCTGAATTCACCGAGAACTCCAAGCACCATGGTCCTGGCAAGTGGCAAGACTTAGCACTCTCAGGCGCACACTGAACAGAATCGATTGGTTAACAGGAGGTAGGGAAGGCTGGGGAAGTGCAGTTTAATTTCCTTCTCTGGCGCCCTGCCAGCTGGATATGACAGCAGCTGCTAATATATTTCAAACAGGCAGTTTCATGCAACGCTTGCAGTGTAAAAGCTGGGTTTTTGTCAAACCCTGGGAAGCTAAAATGGTGAATTGTGAAAGCCTAGGGCTGGCAGAGTCCGGGTGGGCATGTTCACAGGCCTTGACCTTGGCAGCTCCAGCTGGTAGTGGCTCTTTGCCAGCCCTGGCCTGAGGTCCTCCCACCTGGAGTGAGGTGTCAGAGTGTCTGCCAGGAACAGCATGTCACCGAAGCTACCATGCATTTTGAGTCAGGCCGGAAAATTCCTAGGGATTTCAGGGACAGAAGACATCAGGAGAGCTCAGATACAAATCAGGCACAGAGCAATCAGGGTTTTTAATAAACAATGACATGCCTGTGTGCCTCTGACCCATTCCTGGCACATCCACAGTATCTGTCTAGGATGAAGGGTGGGACAGCTAGGGTTTGGTTGATTTGATTAAGACAATGACCATATAGGGTGGGCCGACATCTAACCACGTCATTCTAAGACAGTCCTCCCCCACCAAAGAACTGGAAGAAATGCATACTGCAAGTTCTCTTAACACCACTGAGGAAAGAACCTATGGTAAGATGGAGTCAATGCGAATGGAGAATCCCTCAAATTAACTTCTAGCTCAGCCCCTTGAGGAAACTGTACCAGGTTCCTGCAGAGAGAAGGGCTGTGATTAAAAGTGACGCAAATGGAGATTTCCAGCTCTTGAAACAATAAGAGCCTACATTTTCCTGGGAGAGGATTTGTTGCTTTCAGCAGATCCTCCAAAGGGTGTGTGTCCTATAAAAGGCTAAGAATCACTGACCTACAGGCAGAAACTGGTTGGTTTACAGATAGGCCTAATGATCTGGCAGGCCTGCCCAAGTACAGATTGATGCTGTTGACCTTAGATATGAAGACAAACAAATTAGAAGTTCCCAGATTTTCACTGCTTTTGTAATTCATCAAAACTACTAAGCCTGATCTCCCAAAAAGCTTGCATGGTTTTTTTTTCCTCAGCCTGTTTATTACAAAGACTGGTGACTTCACATTTGCATTGCAAATAGCTCTTTTTTGTTGACATTTCATTTGGTCTTGAAGGGCCCATAATATTTTTCCAGTTTGGGTGGGGTTAATGGCTCAAATCCAGAAACCAGTAGATATTCATGTACTCAAAATGTAACAGATGCTCAATAACTATAATTTGAATGAATGAATAAATGAATGAATGAATTTGAATATAGGTTTCCAACTGCACAATAGCAACACACATTCAGTTGTCTTTAAACAATTATAAAGTTAAAATGTTTTGTTTTTAAGATTAAATACTTTTATTCATCATTTATTCATTCATTCAACAAATGTTTGCCCAATACCTCATTTAATTATTGACTGAAAACTCTGTGACAATAGGAAGCCTGAGACTATGTCATACTTTACATCTTCAGTATCTCCTGGTACATATGAAATGCTCAAAAAATATCTGCTGGGTGAAAAACAGGAATTCTGGATGTCATTTTTTTTTTCAGGGAATTGTCAAACACACTCAAGCTAAGAATTTGATTTGTGTACCCACTTCTTAAATAAGAGTAAAATATTAGAAAGAGGCAGCGTTGGTAGCCCTTTGGATATTCATAGCATATAGACTTGAAAAGTTGTAGCAACCCATTCATGTATTAATTCAACACATGTTTATTAAGCACCAGTCACTACAGAGCCACAGAGGACATAGAGGTAAGCCTGAGCTGTGGATGACCAAGTCATTTCAGCAAAGCCTTATTGATTGAAGGAGAAGATGAGTGGAGAATAAACAGCAAAACTGAGGGAGGAGGTGAGTGAAGATTAGTCACAAGACTAAGGGAGGAGTTGAGAAGAGAATAAACAGCAAGACTGAGGGAGGAGGCGAGGAGAGGATAGCCAGCAAGACTGAGGGAAGAGGTAAGGAGAGGATAACCATCAAGACTGAGGGAGGAGGTGAGGAAAGAATAACCAGCAAGACTGAGGTAGGAGATGAGAGGAGCCTGGCCAAGACCAGCAGATCTGAACCTGTTTCCCAAAAGGTGATCTTTAGCCGAGATTAAAGGATGAAAAGGAATGAGAGCCGGGCAGAGGGGGCAGGGTCAGAGGTGTCACAGGGTACATCCAGGAAAACCCAAGATCAGACCTAAGGAATCCTCCATCCACAGCCGTTCAGACAACTGAGAAACCTAAGAGTCAAAAATCAACCAAGAAGGCCTAGGAGTAGTGTGAAAGGAAGCGACAAACATCTTTATCTGATTCACCTCTACCTGCCTCTCCCTTTCTTTCTCAACAATAAGATCTACAGTGAATGCTGAGAAAGGGCTTAACAGGGGGAATTTTTCTTTGAAGAGGAAAGAGCTAGTGTGAGGCCTGAAGGTAAGAGCTAGCATTCTCCATCAGAGGAAATAAAAGAAGGTCAGTAAAAGGAAAGGGTGTGAGGCTGGAGAGGAAGTAGGGTCAAAGCCCACAGAGCCCTTTGGGCCATGTAAAGAATTTGTTTCAAATCCTAAGAACAAGAGGATGTGGGAGCTGAGCTGGGATGTAACATCCCCCATATCTGTACTTTTGAACTATCTCTCTGGCTGCAGATTCTTCTTATCAAGAAGCAATTGTACAGCTGAGCAATGATGGTGCCTGAGGCTGGGGATGGCAAATATAAGGAAGTGAGTGAATTCAGGAAATATTTAGGAGATAGAATCCAAAGAGTCTAACGATTTCTAGAGCACTTTTTGAGTTCCTGCTATATGCCAAGCACCTTCCTTTTTTAATTCTCCTAACCATTTTCTTTATTTCTATTATTATCTCCATTTCCACAAAAGAAGAAACTGAGACATTAAGCAAAGCAAATTTTCAAAGACCACCAGTTTATAAATGGCAGAGCTGAGATTCAGGACAGGCACAAAAGCTCCAATCCTCTTATCCTTCCCTCTTAATCATCATGTCATACAATTTAGGTTTCTGGCTTAGGCAATGGAAAGAATGGTGGTGTCATTTACTGAGGTAGAAAACACAGGAGGATTTGGAAATTTGGGTGAGAAGAAAATTATGAGTTCAGCTTTCAACATGCTTGTAGGACATCCAAATGAAAATGAGCAGTGAGTAGTTTAGAGCTCAAGAGATAGATTTGGTGGGGGGGCAGAGTAGACATACAGATTTGAAAGTCATCAGCAAATAAGCAAGAATCGCACTTCACAGGCTTCCTCCTTGGGAATGATGCTGAATTTGGGAGCAGATTCAATGCTTTCCAAGTGAAGAGGAAGTGGGAAGATGTCAGTAGTAATGAGCCCAGCTGAGCCAGGGCACCAGGAGCTCCAGCAGTGTCTCATCCAGCTCTGCTTCCAGGTCATGCCCAGGGGACACTCAAAGGGCATGACGTTAGGGCCCTGGTGTTCTGCAGCCCCAGCCTTCCCAGGCAGTCTGTAGCACTGCTGCATGCCTGTGCCGTAGGAGCTGCCTTAACACTGATTAACTCTTCCTTTAAAAAGTCACGTTTCTACGTTGCCTGCCAAAATGGTAACAGACAGATAATGTACTGTGTCACTAACACATCCCTGTCTATTTAAAAACCTCCAGAAAAGCAAGCAGATGAGCCTTGGAGTCAGCTCAGTGGTGGGAATTATTGCTTGGCTAATTATAAGCAGTGTTCCCAGAACTTCAGAACATGCTCAGGAGGGTACAGTCCTTGTCTTCCTTGAGGATCTATGGGTGACTTTTGAAAATACTAACAACACTCAAGACACAGGAAGTCAAGTGGGGACATAACACCCTTGCATGATTGTGAGTTGAGGAATAGGCCCTCATTTGTGGGGTAGTATGTCAGCTGGCCACCAGTGATCCTCTTCTCCTGATATTTGTGCCCTGTATGGTCCCTTCACCCTGTGAATCAGGATTGGCCCTGTGTGGCCAATAGAATATAGCAGAAGTATGTGAATTTCAAGGATAAATCACAAATGGCATTGCAGATTTCACCTTGGTCTCTTGGATCACTCACTCCAGGGGAATTCAGACACCATGTTGTGAGGTTACTCAGGCAGTCCTATAGAGAGGCCCATGTGACAAGAGCTGAGACACCTCCCTCCACCCCGCTGCCCCACTGCCAACAGCCAGCACCAATTTGCCATTAAGGAGTGAGACTTCTTAATGTTGAATGTTCCCTCTTCAGTCAAGTCACAGCTGACATCTGACTGCAACCTCATGAGAGACTCTCAAGCCAGAACCACCCAACCAAGCCCCTCCCAAATTCCTGACCGACAGCAATTGTTAGAGAAAGTAAATGATCATTGTTGTTTCAAGTCACTACGTTTTGGTGTGATTTGTACATTAACGAATACAGTCAATAAAAAGATTGGGTCCTGAGTAGGGAAAGAAATATTAATTGAGTCCCTGCTGTGCCACAGGGACTCACGTACATTATCGCATTTACCAGGCCCGCTTCACAGATGAATAAACCAAGGCACAAAATATATACAATTGAAAAGCCTGCCCAGTTCTACAGCTAGGAAATGCAGAACAAGGATTTGAATCCTGACCTGCCTGCCTTCAAAGCTCTGGCTATTTCTCCCACGTATTCTGCCTCCCTGGAAATAAGCAGCCCAAAACACTGGTTCTAGCTCTGCCATGACATAGCTCAGTGATTTGGGGGAAAGGTTCATTCTCCCCCAGCTCATTTTCTTTCCTGGAAAGTGGGGGAGTTAGAGTCGTGTTGTCTGTTGAGGTTCCAGTTAGCTCTAGTATCCTTTGACCCTGTGGCTCCAGCTCATTGCTAACAACATCTACCTTCCTCCAAGGACAGGTTGTTCTCAAAGACTTCCCTCCAGCTCTGGCTGTTCTCCACTTATCATGAGGAATTGGTTTCAACTGTAGCAAAATGGTCATAGGTTAGCCCTTAAGAAATCCCTAGAAGTTATGGGAATCTTAAGTTACCAAGAAAACTGAAAAAACTTTCTTCCCTGGAGGCTTTTCAAAATAATATTATTCAGGGTTTGTCCAGGAGCTTTTAGGTTAGCTGAGCAAATTACAAAGAAATGAAGCCAAGTCCAAAAGAAACAGGGTGGTGAGCTTCTAGTATTTCTGGCTTCCATATAGTAAGCATCTCAAGGAGAATTCATGGACTGAATACATGAATAATGGGCCTTTTTATTGTGTTGAGTAGAAATGAGATGTGTGACAGAGGGCAAGTTACTCAACCATTCTGAGCCTCCGTTTCCTTATCTACAAATAGTAAATTAACTCAAAGGGACTGTAATAAATATAAAAGACAATAATGCATACAAAACTTTAGCAGGATGTCTGAAAGATAGAACGTGCTTAATAAAACAAGTCTTTATATTCTGTTAAAGAAAAATGACCATATTCATTCAACAGAAAATGAAGGACACTTCATCGGTATCATCAACAGTTGGAGTGCAGGTTCTTTTTGGTTCTATAAACCTCTGAGAAGCATTGGCATCTGCGGAAGGGGAGTGAATTTTGGAAGGAGAAGCCCAGATGGTAGACTCAACAATCGCTCCTGCCACCCTCTAGCACCTTAACAGCACCTGCCTGCTGGGCTTTCTTGCTCCAGCCCCCACTTTTGCCACGTCCACCCTCAAAATCCATCTGTGACCTCATCACTTTGTGCATTTAAGTGCCACCCACCCCAGTTTGCTCTCTCCTGACCCAAGATTTGGAAATCTATCAGCTTTACCAGCCAGATTAAGAAGCTGACTCTGATTAATGGCCACTTCTGCCAGGGACTCCAATAAGTGACCAAAATCAGGACCTTCCCTTCACAAAAGGGACTTTCATTCCCACCAACTGCATAGTGTAGCAACCATCTGTGTACGTCTCCCAGGGGAACTCCAAGAAGGGGCTGCTCTGTCTTCTCCCTCCTGCCTGTCTTCAGATCAGACCCTCAACACCCACCCACTCAGAAGGCCGAGTCTTGCAGTTCAGTCCACACAAGGAAGTTTTCAAGAGTGTTAGATTCCGTACAGGTCTCTAGGAGGTGGACCCATAGGTGTACTAATTCCATTCTGACTCTGAAGATATCATAAATGCTTTCTGATCACTCGCTTAGCTCAGGAAAGTGAGTTTAGAGAAAGAATGTGGCCCTGGCATTATTTTTATCAAGCCTATTTAGTCCAAAAAGAGATCTGTCAGGCTTCATCAGGGACTGTTGATGGGCTAACTCAGTTAAAACCTTTCATTTCATTAGGGGGAGGAGACCATAATGATATCTTGAAACCCATAAGTAAAGGATTATAATAGTTTAATAAGTGAGGAGGGCTCCAGAACATTCAATAATACAATTAGGTTATGCTCTGGAAGAAAATATGATCATTGGATAAAAGACAGCCCTTGTTTTTCATTAGACCTCACTAGCATTGCCAGTGGAGATGATTTGTTTTCCACTCCTCTCATTTGACTCTAAAGAGTATCCTATTTCCTCCAATATCCTGTCATCAAAAAACAGCATGAACCTTGTTGAGGTTAACCACCTCCCACAAAGAAAAAAAAAAAAAAAACAGCCGTACTTTAACCATGAATCTTATATCCAGTTTGGGGATAAGAAAATCAACTCAGCATTGACATGACCACATATGTGTGCCAGTCAATCCTCCCCAATCTGTATTGTCCTTTACCATTAACAAAGGCTTGTCACCTGCGTTATCTCATTTACTATATTCTCACAACAGCATCTACTCACGTTTTTCAGGTATAGAAAATGAGACAAAGATGCTTGGTTCAACATTTATTGAATATCTCCTACCTGTCAAGTGGGGGAAGGGGTGTCACACAGATGACTGGCCCAAGGTCATAGATCCAGTAAATGTCAGGGCTGGGACTTGAAACTTGCTCTTCCACCTCTTAATCTGGGTTGGACTTTGGTCTTGAAGCTGGGCCAGCAGGATCAGGCCCTCTGACTACAGGAAAGATATCGAGTGTTTGATCCCACAGATAGGTACACATCTGTCATCCTATGGCTCTGATTCTGTAATTTGAAAAGATCCATCTTAAACTATTTAGATGAAATCAGTTTTAAAATAAGAGATTTATTCTCTTTTTTCTCATAAGAAAGATGAGGATCCTGGAAAGATAAATGAGAATGTTCTGAAAGAAAATTTAGAAAGTCTCGTCATGTGCATCATGTGAGCATCAGGACTTTGCTGTATTCTGCATAATAAAACTCTGCTTCCTGTTATAAATGGTTTTCAGTGCCTGGACTTCTCTGTTTCAGGGATGAATATTTCTCTATAGAGAATCATTCAATACCACAAAATAGATGTCTTGTCAACAATCATTCTGTTATATGTACTTATCTCCTATGGGTTTGTCACACTTACAAGACCATAAGTTCCTCAAGGCAGCAATTGTGCCTAGCACAGTGCTGACAAACATTTGGAGCTCAAGCAGTCTTCATTACATTGAAATGATCTCTACAAAAACATCAGTGTGTTTTAGGTTCTTCAATTATAGAACATTCCTGGAAAATTAGGTTTTGTACATGTGAGAAAATTTTTCAGTTAACTTGAAAAACACTCCTTTATGCACCAAAACTTTTCTCACCAAAAAAAGAAGAGAGAAAGGATGAAAAGAGGGAGGGAAAGAATGAAAAAGCAAAGAAGGGAGGAAAGGAGAAAGGAGGGAATAAGGGAGAAGAGGAAAGAGAGGGAAGGAAGGAAGGGAGAATAAAGAAAGGAGGGAAAGAAGAAAAGAAGGAAAAGAGGGAGGGGAGAAAGAGAGAGGGACAAAGGAGCTGAGGGAAAAAGATGGGAAGAAGTCAGCTGAAAATATTGGAGAGCTAAGAGGATAGTGAAAAATCACCAAGCCAATACGTAGAAGATTGGAAATATAGAGAAGTGAGACCAACATCTTTCCCTTAGGTATATTTTCTAATTTCAGAAGTTTTGAAAGCCTCCAGGTAGTAAAGGGAACAAAATTTATGAGGAAAACCTAATAAACTCCTCCTGTTTTTGTTTGGAACCTTGAAATGCTGTGAGGGTGAACCAGGGGTGTACCAGCCTTTGCAGTGACCAGTTCAACTTCCAATCTACTCAACCACTGAAATAGGATTAAGGTGACCCTGATTGCTCAGGCCCCCAGGTGCCTCAAAGAAGCAAATGAAAATTCTCACTGGAGGCAGCAAACAAAAGTGAATTTAGAATAAAAGCATTTTCAGACAAACAAAACCAAAAGAGTTTGTCACATCCAGATCTGCCTTAAAGAAAACATTAACATGAGTGTTTCAAGTGGGAGAAAAATTATTCCAGATGAAATGACACAGATGTGGAAAGAAATGAAAAAGGAAAATATGTGTGCAGAGTTGGCTATATAAACCAACATTAAATATGTCATTGGAGTTTAAAATATGCATAAGCTAAAATACATGACAACAATGGCATATAAGTCAGAAGGAGGTAAATGGAGTTTAAGTACCTTAGATCTTTGCATTTTCTGGGGAGAGGGTAAAAGTGCCAACTGATGGTGAACCGTGATAAGTCAAAGTTGTCATCTCTTAGGTAATCAATGAAAGAATAATAAAAGTATATAACTTCAAAACTAATAGAAGAGGGAAATGCTTTTTGAAAAATCAATCTAAAAGAAACAGAGTAAGATGAGAGATTTAAACCCACATGAATCAATGGCTATATTAAATGTATGTAGACCCAGTGCTCCAATTAAAAGCGAAGATTATCCACCTGGACATAAAAACAAAACACAACCATGTGCTCTTCACAAGAGATACATGTAGAACTGGAAACAGAGAGACTGACAGTAAAAAAAAAAAAAAAAAGAAAGAAAACAAAACAAAAAATATGCCATACAAAAGCTACCTTGAAGAAGGCTGATAAGTTCTATCATAGAGCTAAAGGCAAAAAGCCTTTTACTAGAGATTAAGAGAATACTTCATTATGATAAAAGGCTTAATTTACCAGGAAGACATAACACTTTAAAATTTTTATGTACTTAATAATGTAGTTTCAAAACAAATGAAGCAAAATCTGACTGAACTACTAAGAAAGTAAACAAATCTATAAAAACAGTGGGAGATTTAAATACACGTCCCTCAGAAATTGATAAAACAAGCAGGCAAAAATCAGTAAGGATACAGAAAATTTGAATAACGTGTAACAAACCTATCCTAATTGACATATTTAGAACACTGCACCCAGAAACTGCAAATTACACATTCTTTTCAAGCACACTCAGAACACTTTTAAAAAATTTACTATATGCTGCACCATAAAGCAAATCTCAACAAATTCCAAAGGATAGAAATCAAACCAAGTGTCTTTAACCACAATGCAATTAAGCCAGAAATCAATAAGAAAAAGATTACTAGAAGCCCCATAAGTTTAGAAAATAAGAAATACACCATCTAAATAACAAAGAAATCACAATATGAATTAGAATGCAATTTAAATAATAAAATAACTCTACGTGTCAATACTGACTTCTGGGTTCCAGCTAAACCGCTAATGCACTGGAAAAGACGCTAAAAATAAAAAAATTCTCAATCATACTATACAGTTGCAACTCTTCCCCTAACAGACCTGTCCCAGTCCAATCTCCTGAGCCAGACTCCAGGACTACTTGTTGGATTTTGTCACTTTCCTGGGTTGGATCCTCCATATCCTGGATCTCATTTCATTCTCTTAGTTTACTTCTTCATTTAGATGTAGTACATTCTCAAGCAACTTCCTAACAAAGGTGCATGGGAGATAAAATTTTCTAGTCTCAATCCAAAAATAATTCTACCCTCATATTTGACTATTAGTCTAGGTGTAGAACTTTAGGTTAACTTTTTTTTCCCTCAAAAACTTGTTGACATTTCTACATGGTCTACCAACATGATCTACCAACATCTTAGCTACTGCTAAGTCCAATGCCAGCCTGTGTATTGTTTCTTTGTGGACACTCTATTTTTGTTTGTTTTCTTCTTGGAAGCCTTTAGGAATTTCATCCTTGAGTGTTACATTTCATGATGAGCCATCAAGGTTTGAGTCATTTTGTATTTGTTACATTGGGAATGTGGTGGGCTCTTTCAATATGGAAACTTCCCTCTTGGGCTCTAGGAATTTGCTTCTATTATTTCTTTGACAATTTTCTCTCCTCTATTTTCTCTACTTTCTTTTTTTACACTAATAGGACTTTTTATTTGCTACTACTGTAAGTCTGAACTTTAAACACATTTTGGACTGGTGGTTCATATCAATCAGCTCGTTTAACTTTATCAACTGTCTCATCCCCAGTAGCTTTTCCCAAACTACTACCTTCCCCATGAAACTCCATGAGTCTTCTCAATTCAAACTCAGGCTTCTTGAGCAATTTTACTCCCCTAACAAAGACATCATGGGGAGGATAAGTAGATTGGCAAGACTTTTCTATGTCTCTTCCAATGCTGTCTGGATGAGGCAATTTATTGCTTCAATTATTGAATCAATTTATTGACCACTTCTTTCATGTTATTTGTCTGCACCTCTCCGGTCATGATTTCCAAATCTTCTTCTGGATTTATCGGACCTGTTGGTGTTGAACATAAGTGGTTTTCCATATCTGATTGTTGCATTTTTTCAGTAAAACCAACACAGAACAGATTAAAGAAGTAGCCATCATTAGTCTTGACATCGACATGAGCTTCAATCATTGTCTGCCATTTTTTGACCATGGAACACATTGTGTCATGGGTAAGATCCATGCCATGGAAGTTAGTCAGGCAGTTTTTGCCCTGAACATCTTCAGTAATCATCTTGAATTTTCTAAATACAACTTCATCATTCTGAAAATCAGCATGACTCACTTCATATGACCCTTGAGGCCATCAGATACAATTTTGGTTCCTTGGGTCCTGGTGACTAGTGTCCTTCCAATATTTCTTATATTAAACATAGCAGGTGCTTTCACATCATAGCAATCTTTCTTAGAAAATGGATCAACCACCTTCTTCTTGGCTCCCTTTTTGCCATCTTTAGTAAGATGCTGGTTCTTACCAACCACCATGGTGCTGCTCAGAAAGCCAAAATGGCTCTACTTTCTTTTTGTAGGATTCCTGTTAGTCAGATGTTGAACTTCCTTTATTGGTCTGCCATACAGTTCATTTCATTTCCTTAAAGATAATCCTCACATTTTTTGTGGTTTTGCTTGTTTGTTTGCATAAGTTGAGGGGGTGAAATGCCGCGATGTTACTCTCCAGTGTGGGGAGTGAGGGAGATGTTGACTGTCCCATTTATAGTTCCAATTATTGCCTCTGTTTATAACCCCACATACCACTTCACCCTCCATTATGCCTGATGTCTTCAGTTCCTATGCCTCCTTTTAGCTCTGAATTTAAGTTGACATAACACAAGTTTTCTCCTTAGTAGTAGCCCCTCCTTTCCTCTACTTCACCAGGTATCACCATTTCACCTATTTTCTTTCTTCAAGAAATTTGCTGAAATTTCTCATTCTCTTCAATATAGAGAGATAACTTTTTATTATTATTTTAAAGGATCTTGCAGAAAGAGGAGATACATCTACATATAATCTATATGCCCAGTCTTCCATCTTTGCTTACAAGCTCAGCTTTTGTTTCTTTATCTGTTTGCCCACTGTAGAGCTGTAAGCAAAGAGCAGCAACGTAGCATTTTCCTCTTTAACTTTGGGGCATAACACACAGATGGCTAACCATCATTCCCTAAATGTTTGCTGAATTTCATTGATTTGCCTAGTGCAGGTCGGGTGCAGTGGCTCATCCCTGTTATCCCAGCAATCTCCACTTTGGGAGGCCAAGGCGGGTGGATCACTAGAGATCAGGAGTTTGAGACCAGCCTGACCAACATGGTGAAACCCCATTTCTCATAAAAATACAAAACTTATCCAAGTATGGTGGTGCACGCCTGTAGTCCCAGCTACTCAAGAGGCTTAGGCTGGAGAATCACTTGGAATTGCTTGAACTCAGGAGGCAGAGGTTGCAGTGAGCCGAGATCATGTTTGCACTCCAGCCTGAGCAATAGGGCAAGACTCTCTCAAAAAAAAAAAAAAGAAGAAGAAGAAAAAAAAAGAAAAAAAATGAATTGCCTAGTGCACATTAGGCATGCTCAGTCACTCTACGATAATCACCAAGTCCTTAAGGAGACCTATAAGGATATCCCTATAATAACCAGTCTCCAAAATGTAAAAAAAAATTGATAAAATTTCAACAATTGCATTGAGGAGGACCACAAAGTGAACATTTAAAATGTAGAGGATCCTGAGAAATCTAGAATTTAACCTACTACTTTACTGAGTCTTCAGCACGTAATACAGTGTGCTTTATATGCAAGAGATGCTGTTGGTGTTGCTTTTATGTATATATGTATGTATATATATATATATGAAATAAAGTTAGAAGAAATGTCACTTAATTCTGAGAATATGAGGTATTTTTCTAAGTTGAAAACAAGAACTGCTTCTTCTCTTAGATTGAATAAATGCTGACCATTTTCTCAGATGTTGCTGCTTTTATTATTTAGAGTTGATAAACTCTCAAGATGTCAATCAATGAATTGAGGGGTTTTCCCTCTTATCAATGATTTAGGATCCAGCTAATAGCTGATGAAAGAGTTTAATTCACAGGAGATTGGCTTTCTAGATATTTAGAGGGAAGCAGCCATTCAACTTCCAGAAAGAATAATAGTTCATTTTTCTCCCTTTATCTGAGCTGGCTGGTAACTTGGGAGAAGCAAAGAGCAGCCCAGATTGAAAGGTCAAGCTGGCAGTGTGTACTTAACTCTGATAGAAGAGAGAGTGTAAATCTTTGAATGTCCTGAGATAACAAAAGCCCAGTGAAAATACAAATAAAGTCATGTGGATCGGTGTCTAAATCTGCTGCCAGCCGCCTCTAGTACAGATGCTCTGTGGTACAGCAGGAAAAGCAAGGGCTTCAGATTTGCACAGATTCGTTTAACCCTGTTGCTTTCCAACTGTGTGATCTTGGGGGAGCTTTCTCAACCTTTCTGAGTTTTGCTTTCCTTATATAATGAGATTATTGAAGAAAATTAAATGAGAGAATGAGTGTTAAAGAGCATGTCCAGCATAGTAGTTGCTCAGTAGATGCTAGTTCTACTTTTCCTTTTATGTCTCAGGAAAGTTAACTACGGTGCCTCACTGTGAGAACACTCCTATGAGAGACTGCCTTCTCATGGATCACACCTCTGCCTTGGTGATCAGAGGGCAGATTTACCACAGCATCCCCATTTTAGGATATACCCTCACTATTCTTCCTTATGTTTTTTTTTCTCCTCTTTTCTTTTCTTCTTGCCCTCCCTTTCCCCAGCAAGTCTCATATCAAAGGAGTTACCTGTCTGAGTGCTGTCATTGCTCTCTCTGGCTATTGAGAACCCCTCGGTGCACTGAATTTTCCTTTGTGAACTCTTGATTCTGCTCTTTCTTGGGACCAAGGTTAAGCGATCAAGAGTGGCAATGAATTTGGGAACATTGAAAAGCACAACAGCCTCTGACCCTAGGGACCAACCCAGGTGGCAGATTACCTCTCCCCAGATGAAACCTCTGGAGGAAGTCTCTCTGCTCTCTATCTCCTCAAGAATAAAGACCACAGCTCTCAGGGGTAGGAGAACCCCAACCATGCTGCAGTCTTACCTCAGGTCTTCAGGAACAGGGTAGCCAACAGGTATTCCTAGGACCACGTCGGCCATGGATCTCCATGGCTCAAGCTCCCTGCAATAACTAAGTTTTGCTCCAGGGCTTTCCCTTATCTCAAGGCTCCTATCTTGGCCAGAAGGCTGAGCACTACTCCCAGACTCCTATGGAGCACAGACCTTCAGCTGGTAGTTGGATTTGAGCTAGGGTAAAAAGGCTGTAGGATACATGCTTCAGCTGCCATCATCCCAGAATTTCCTCCATCTCTCTCCCATCCACTGTCATCTTCCTGGACCACGCACCACCATTTCTTCCCTAAACTACTGCAATAGCCTCCTAAATGTTTCCATTCCTACCTTCCTACAATTCATTCTCCCCTCTGCACCCAGATAGATCTTTAACAAGTAAACAAACAATAATCTGTTCATCTTTTTCTCCTGCTTAAAAATCTTTCAATGACTTCTCAGAACTCCCAGAGAAAAGACTAACACCTCTGACATAATCTACCAGGTCTTGAATAATTTCACCTTCTTTGAAGCTCATCTACTTCTAGGCAAGGGAAGAGGTTGTAAACAGGGGTCTCTTTCCAAAAAAGAGGAACAATGCCTCCAGAATCATACCTAGAATGTGGTCCTGCTTTCTCCATGAATCAACTGAGTTTCCTGACTAATGTGCTTCATTTCTCCAGACATCTGCTTCTTCATCTAAACAATGGTGATAAAGTCTGCCTCACCTTCTTCAGAGACTTTTAGTGAGGCTCTCATAAGAAAATGTTTTCAATGTCTGTTTTGTAAACTGCAAAGTAGTATAAAAATTGTAGCTGCCCTACTAAGTAGTGTGAGTTTTAGGGAACTATAAACTGAAAACATGACTTCAACCAGCTTGTCACAGATACCATAATTTCTACCGTGAAAGTTTCTCTTGTGGACTGAGGCATTATGACTCCAATTACTCACTGTTAAAATGCACAAGATACAGGCAAAGGAAGAGAAAAGGATAAAGCATGAAGTCATTTTGATTCAGTGCTATGGAAGATCCTCATAGAATTATCACTCAGATTGACTGATTCTGAGGGACTGGGAGACAAGAGAGGTAACATTTTATAATTGAGAGAAGGGAGGAAAAGATCCAAGGTGATACCCAGAGAAGAACAGCCAGGTAAGCACAGTGTTGGCATTCCTTGGCCAGTGGAGGGGCAGCAACAAGGCCAGCACCCCATATCCTTCAGTAGTGCTGGTCTTCCTCTTAACTTTATTTTGGGAGGTGTTTCTTCCTTTCAGACAATTATCTTCCTCCCAATAGTGCAAAAAAATTCATATATAATGGAGAAAAATTAGAAAAAGGCATTCTAGTTGCTTCTCCTCAACCAAGAATGCTATAGAATATTTTATTCTATTTATCTAATCTAAGATGCCATCAATTATATGAAACATAATTATGTGTAATATTAAGAAAAAACGTATTTCTGATTTAAACTATGAAATATCAATGATAAGTTGTATCCCAGTTTCAAAGATGATAAATGTGAAAAAATGTATATTTTAAAATCCATGAACTATAACATCTGTACGTTGATTGGATCAATATGACTAGTCTGCTGCAACTGTGTGACACAATACCATCCATCTGCTAGGATGGGGATTACAATGTGGAATTCTCCATACGCTCAGAGTAGAAAACAGTTACTTGCTATCAAGGATGTTTTGAGAATGTTCATGGTGATGGTACGCTGAACCATCCAGTTTCTCCTGGAGTAAAATGGGAGAAATCCTATATACATTACAGATAAAAAGGATTTTTTAAAGGATACAAATAGCTTTATTCCAGGTTATAGATTTTTTAAAAGATACAAATAGCTTTATTCCAGGTCATAAACAAATTTGGTTCTGACCACTATTTCTCAAATTGTGGCTCACATCCCACCTGTAGACCTGAAGAGCCCTCCAAGGGTCCCTGAGAGTGCAGTAAGCATTCCAGACCCTCTGTGAAATCCTGCAGGGGGCGCACTGCAGTCCACAGGCCCCAGAGACCTCCTCACTCATCACCCTGACGGAAGAACTGTCTTGTCCCAAGGGTCCCCCTATGCCACAGGGACATTTAATTCATCTCCTCTTCATTGAATAATGACTATGTGCCCAGCATCAGGTAATAGTTAATATTAGAAGTAAAAAAGAAGTTGACCGCCCAGTACTAGCCCTACTGTTCACAAAAATCCCAAAGTAGAGAATAGATTCTCAGCACATGATGAGGTCAGGACGTGCCCTGGAAAAAAAGCTGACAGGATCCCTGTAGTCAACATGGGGAGGAGAGGGAGGATGCATCATTACTTTAGTGAATTCACCTACAATCCACTCTCTGGCCCTGGGTCTTGTAGGGTCAGAAACGTGACTTGTCAGCACAGTGACAGCAGTTGCATCTCTCAGGGTCAGGCTCACATAAAGCAGGACTGATGTACAAAATCAGAATTAAAATTAATTCACTTACAAGAGGAAATTATACCTGTTCCATGGACTTGAATACTCCAGTTCTCATCACCTGTCAACAAGCCTATGTGAGAAACCAAACCCCAGCTGGTGTTATCTGGAGAGTCTTCAAGCAGGATAAGGGGAGGATGGCAGGTAGATCAAATGTACAATGGCAGCAGGCTAAGGCAGCCTCTGGGGCACTTGCCTCCACAGCACGGTCTTACCCATATGACTGAAAATGCTGAAAATCGGCCAGGCACAGTGGCTTATGCCTGTAATCCCAGCACTTTGGGAGGCCGAGGCAGGTGGATCACGAGGTCAGGAGATCGAGACCATCCTGGCAAACACTGTGAAACCCCGTCTCTACTAAAAATGCAAAAAAAATAGCCAGGCGTGGTGGCGGGCGCCTGTAGCCCCAGCTACTCGGGAGGCTGAGGCAGGAGAATGGCATGAACTCGGGGGGCAGAGCTTGCAGTGAGCGGAGATCATGCCACTGCACTCTAGCCTGGGCAGCAGAGCGAGACTCTGTCTCAAAAAAAAAAAAAAAAGAAAATGCTGAAAATCTACTGGCTACAACTCTTCCTCACATTTTCACTTTAAACATGGCCATGATCATGGGACCAAAATAACCAAACTTTCATGGCTAAAACACCTCTCTTCTGAATGCTACTTGGATGGGCACTGTTCTAAAATTTACTTTTTTTTTTTTTTTTGAGATAGAGTCTCACTCTGTCACCTAGGCCGAAGTGCAGTTGTGTAACCTTGTCTCACTGCAACCTCTGCCTCCTACGTTCAAGCAATTTTCGTGCCTCAGCCTCCTAAGTAGCTGGGACTACAGGCATGTACCACCACACCCAGCGAATTTTTGTATTTTTGGTAGAGACAGGGTTTTGCCATCATGGCCAGGCTGGTCTCAAACTCCTGATTTCAAGTGATCCACCTGCCTCAGCCTCCCAAAGTGCCGGGATTACAGGTATGAACCACTGCACCCAGCCTAAGATAGGCTTTTTATTGTTATTCTGGGGCTGACCAGCCCCCTTCTGTATTTAGATATAGTCATTATTTCCATCATATTTTACTCTGACCTGAGAACCATTCTGTGTCTTTAAGTCACATTCATTCACCATTCACTCAACAATTACTAACTGAGCAGCTACTATGTTCCAAAGTTCAAATCAGAAGAGTAAAGAAGTATGATGGCAAGTGCTACAACACATGAAGTACAGAATGGAACTAGGAGCACTGTATTAGTCTGCTGGGGCTGCCATAACAAAATGCCACAGAGTAGGTGGCTTTAACAACAGAAATTTATTTCTCACAATTTTGGAGGCTAGGAATCTAAGATCAAGGTACCAACAGGGTTGGTTTCTGGTGAGGCTGGTCTTTCTGGCTTGCATATGATACTTTCTCTCTGTGTCCTCATATAACCTTTTCTCTGCGTTCATGGAAAAAGAGCTCTGTGTTACTTCTTCTTCTTCTTCCAAGAACACAAATCCCTATAGAATTAGAGCCTCATCTTTATGACCTCACTTAACCATATTTACCTCCATAAAAAACACCCTATCTCCAAACATAGTCACACTGGAGACTAGGGTTTCAACACATTAATTTTGAGGGGACACAATTCAGTTCATAACAAGCACACAGGAGAGTATCTGGAAACAGACTGCAGGGAAGAGGAACATTAGAAAGTTGTTTTGAAAGTAGCCTACAGAGGGTTGAAGGGCCTATGAAGAAGTCAGAAAGGCAGATTGGGCAAACAAAGAAGCTGGCCAGCAATGCACTTGCAGCTGAGGCCTCAGTCAATCCAACAGGGCACACTAAAATTGAGACAGCCCTCAGAGGGCTCCCACATCTAAATAAACACATCTTTAACCAACTTATTTTCTGATCCATCACATTCCTGGGTGCATTATAGCCAACTCCTGCAGCATACAGTCCCTCTCCTTCTCAGCAGGCCCTGCTCATTCCATCAAGCTGTGCTGGGATGTGGCCCTTATTGGTCTGATTGCTAGCAGAGTATACAGAGGTAGATTCTGAGGGAGCAAACATCATTTCATAAGACACTCTCCTTAATGGAAGCCTCCATATGATCCGAATCTGGTAACAAGGGGGAGTGGGCCACATCTGTAGGCCCAGTGACTTCAGAGAAGTCTACATTCAGGGGTCTCAACTGCGTCTATTCAGACATCCCCATCCCAAGTCTGAAGTTCCCACTCGTACTCTATTAAGACCCTGACTTTGGTATAAGACTCCTACCAGGGCCAGAATTCACCTTTCTCTGAAGCAGCTATCCCTACAATTTAGTGCCAGGACTGATTTTCCATTCTTTGTGACCCTACTGCAAGGAATTAGAGTTTCCTTAAATGCTGCCAAGGAGGTCCTCTGGCTTTCAGATTTTGCCTAGAATTGGTGATTAATCCCATTCTGACCCTGACATAATCTCTCTTCAATGGATCAGTGGCATTCAGTGGCTGTCACCCAATTCCACAGTCACCATTTGCCTCAAACTTCTACAGTGCCCAAGGTATTGCATAAGCCAGTGCATCTACTTT
Source organism: Homo sapiens (assembly GCF_000001405.40). Classification (NCBI taxonomy): domain Eukaryota; kingdom Metazoa; phylum Chordata; class Mammalia; order Primates; family Hominidae; genus Homo; species Homo sapiens. The sequence continues at coordinate 166,014,578 of NC_000001.11, read as the reverse complement.
TACTAGCATCCTATCTCAGTCTTAACAATTGCACTGCTACACACACCAGGAGCTCTCCTTACTCCACCTACCACCAGTGTTGAGGACCTCATTGACAGAGGACTGATAAGTCTGATAAGTGGATCACCAAGATTCTATTTTAGAGTCTTTCTCCCAGGGCCACTCCTGGTACAATCACCTTAACTTGGCTTTCTAGGAAACACACTAAGATGGAGAAATGTGTACAGAAAATTGAATGGAGATTTTTCCAGGAGATACACCAGTAAGAAATTGAAGAAGGTGGGACAAGGCAGGGAGAAGCTGGTCCACAATGAGGCTAAAACCAAGGCTCCTGCAAAGCCTATAGAGAGCTCTGGAGCTGATGGCTCTGCAGAGACCCTGCTGAGGCAAGGCCACTGAGCCTTTGGACCCCCAAGTCAACCAGTCATGGGTTGTGGGCCACCCTCTGTGGAGGGACAGGACGTTAGGGAGGCAGTTCCCAGCAACCTAGCACAAATCTCAGTGACAGCTTCAGCAGGTGTTGACATTACCAGCAGCAGGGAATGAGTGTGCTGACCCTAAGGAGGACATCTAGGCAGAGAACCACAGTTTCCATTGCAGAGCCACATGGGACACAATCAAGAAAAGGGGTCAGGAAGTCAAAATGGGAGCAGGTGCAAGAAGGAGTGTGGGAGTATCTCAGCAGAGGAAGGACCATGTCCCAGACAGGGAGGGCAAAATCAAAGATTTTCGGTGAGGCTGGAGCAAGGAGAGGTGAGGATGGAAAGGGAGCGGCAGAGGGATCCTTGGCTTTGTACTCCCATGGGAAACATGGTGTGCCTGGTGGCATGGCGTGCTGATTCCACCAGTTAGCCTTTTGGAGGGCATTCTTATTTCTCTCATTTCTAAGTTTTGGTGACAGTGAGTTACTACATCCCCAAGTATTGATAAGAGAGTCCCTTTTGAGAAATTAAGGCTTATGGACAAAAAAAACAGAAGAGCTCAACACTTGGCAGTATAGGAATGGAATGCTCCAACATCGTGCCGGGTAACAAACTCTGTCCATCTTATGCTGTTTTCTGTGGGAGAGGCTGCAATTCTTTCTCTGCCTTAGTGCGTACAATTACAGCCAGACCTGAGGAGGGGACTTTCCCTGGCCCCCCTGGGACCACATGCTACACAAAGACAGCTGAGAACAGACAAGGGCTGCAAAGCAAGGGAGAAGGTGATGTGAAAGAAGGAGCGTGACAGGAAGATGAAATCAATTCAAGGCCTGGCTCTGTGGGACTTAAGGAAAATTCCTATACCTCTCTGGACTCCAGAGGGTAGAACTAGATTCAGTCCTCTGAGTTCAATGGCACTTGGATTCTATATTACTTAGTAAATATTTTATAACATTAAATGAAAGCAAGATACCGCCCAGATCAGTCCCGGGTCTTCTTTTCTTTCAGGTGAGGTTTGTGATGGTGAAGCATGAGAGCAGCATGGAACCTGCCAGTCCAGGCTCCTTTCTGGATGGAACACTGGCTTTCCACTGTGGCATCACATCCCTCAAAAAGAGAATGAAACCCACTTGCCCATTCTTACCTCCAACTCTCACATTAGCAAGCAAGATTCCCTTTCTGCTCTCACTCTGACTTCTTCCCTGGTGCTTTTCCTCCACACTCCCCTCATTTTATCCCTGCCTTGCAGTACACATTGCTTGATTCACAAAAATACTGCATTCTTAACCCAGGAAAACATGTGGCAAGACTTTGTCTATGCAGGGGGTAGAGAGACTAATACAGAATTATGGATTTAACTTTGTAAAACAATGATTAATCTATTATTTATAACTAAGAAGAAAACTATTAATTCCCTGTCCTCAATTTGCCATAGAGTATATCTCTGCCTTCAACAGGTTGATTCTTTTAATAGATGTTAGTTTAAGATTGGCTTACTGCACTAGGCACCAACGCACATTAGCAGATTATACATATTATTTATTTAACCAGTGTATTTCTTTGGCGGATTCAGCTAACAATATATTAAAACATAATATCTATTTAGCAGGTGTTCACCTGCATCAAATATTTATTCCCAATAGTAAATTTGCTTTACAAAAATCCCATTGCCTCCCAGAGTAACTAATTCTGGACTGTCAGCAGCAGCAGCAGTGGCTGGCAGTGTCTGTTGGTCAAGCCAACCAGGGATCTCCCACATAGAGGATGTTCTCTATGGTGTTACCCACCATCCTTCCTCCCATCAGCAAGCATCTGATGGGCATCTGCTCTGTCTCCAGGCTGTTGGGGAGTAGGAGACACTGTAGGAGGCAGTGGAAAGAACACAAGCTTCTGAAATCCCCAAATCTCATTACAGTCCCTCTGCTGTCTCTTGCAAGCTGCATGAGCTTTGGCAAAACCCTTCACCTCTTTAAGCTTTTGTTTCCTCACTTGAAGAATCAAAACCACAATGAGATACCATCTCACACCAGTTAGAATGGCGATCATTAAAAAGTCAGGAAACAACAGGTGCTGGAGAGGATGTGGAGAAATAGGAACACTTTGACACTGTTGGTGGGACTGTAAACTAGTTCAACCATTGTTGAAGTCAGTGTGGTGATTCCTCAGGGATCTAGAACTAGAAATACCATTTGACCCAGCCATCCCATTACTGGGTATATACCCAAAGGATTATAAATCATGCTGCTATAAAGACACATGCACATGTATGTTTATTGCGGCACTATTCACGATAGCAAAGACTTGGAACCAAGCCAAATGCCCATCAATGATAGACTGGATTAAGAAAATGTGGCACATATACACCATGGAATACTATGCAGCCATAAAAAATGATGAGTTCATGTCCTTTGTAGGGACATGGATGAAGCTGGAAACTATCATTCTCAGCAAACTAGCACAAGGACAAAAAACCAAACACCGCATGTTCTCACTCATAGGTGGGAAATGAACAATGAGAACACATGGACACAGGAAGGGGAACATCACACACCGGGGACTGTTGTGGGGTGGGGGGAGGGGGGAGGGATAGCATTAGGAGATAGACCTAATGTTAAATGACGAGTTAATGGGTGCAGCACGCCAACATGGCACATGTATACATATGTAACTAACCTGCACATTGTGCACATGTACCCTAAAACTTAAAGTATAATAATAAAAAAAAAGAATGGGCCCACCTACAGCACCGTTATAAGGGTCAACTACCGTAGTGATGTGGATGTGCTTGGGAAAACTGAAAACCACCCTCAGAGGGCGGTCATTGTTGTTGTTGTCATAACACATAAGACAACCTACTCTTTCAGTTTTCTATTTTCAGTTAAATCACCAGTTACTCCATGAAAGAGCAGAGAATATCTTTTTCATCTTGTATCTTTAACGTCTGGTACAGTACCTGGCACATCTCTGACACAATAATTATTTTGTAGATAAATCTCTTCATTAATAGTGATCATTTAATTTTATTTTTGTTATCAATTAAATAAGTTGCAAATAAAATAATTATAATAATGCAAATGACAAGTGTTAATATACAGACAATCCTTTGACATAATTAAAGATAATTATACCTTATATTAATTCATTCAATAAATAAGTAAACATATATATATAAATCTACTGCTAAGTGCTAAGACCTGTTGCTGTTCTGGGTGCTGAGGACAAAATGAGGACAAGACACACAAGGTTGCTGTTATAATATAGCAGGGGTCCTATAGAAGGGTAAGGCAAACAATAAATAAATACATAGATATCAAGATAAATCCAAACAGTTGTAATAGAGGGAGGTTTCAGCTACAGAGTGACTTATCAGAGGAGGTGATATTTGATCTAGGATTGAAATTTTAAAAGGGAGCTCAACCCCTGAGGTTCTGGAGTTCGAATGTGCCAGGCAGAAGGAACAAGTACAAATGACCTTAGACAGGAGCGAGTTGGTAAGTTCAAGATATAGGAAATAACTGAGTGTGACTGCAGTGAAATGAAAGAGGGAATGAATGATATGAAATGAGGCCAGAGTCTGTACTATGTTGAGCTATATTAGGGATTTGGGATATTAATTTAAGCTGAGTGGGAACCAAGCAGAGGCGATATGATCCACTTTACATTTTTAGAATTTCAGTCTGGCTAATGTGCAGAAAAAGATTTATAGGGGGATAATAGGCTATTTCAGTAAACTAGCATCTTAGTTTGGGTTCTCCCAGAAGCAAACCCTGAGACAAACTGTATTTAAGAATTGCAGGAAACACCTTGACAGAAGTGGGAGGAAGTGTTATAGGAAAGGGAAGGCAAGCAATGAAGAGTGTATTATTAACCCGTCTACTATAGTGAGTGACCAGAGCTTAGTCCTGCAGGGAAATTTGGAAAAAGGGTTCCAAATACAACTCAGACTAGTTCCACCTGAAAGGCAAGGCAGCTGGGGTATTTATACACCAACTCCAAAAGTCTTTGATTGAGGTTGCTGTTAGAGGGGGCTGAGGGTACTAATTCCCCAGCACTTCCAGCCAATAGCAGGTAGGCAGAGTGACCTTTCAAGATTGGAGGAGAGCAGCCCTCAAGCACCAACATGTAAGTACTGGCAGTGGGAAGTTGACTGGAACAACTTGGAAAGGTCTGAGGGACATGAGTGTGCACTGACATCGCCCACAAGTAATGATGGCTTGAAATGGGAGATAGCAGTGGAGATGATGGGAAGTGGTTAGATTTGAGGATGAACTGACAAGAATTGCTAGATGCAAAGGGATATAAAGAGGAATCAAAGACAAATCCTAGACTGGGGCTTGAACTATGGGATAATGGTGGGACCATTTTATGAAATGGGAAAGATTACAGGAAGAATCAGCTTTAGGGGGAAGGAATCAAAAGATTTGCTTTGAGATGCATATAACACATCAAAATGGAACAGTCAAGTAAATGATTGGATTTAAAAGTTGAGCTCAAAGATGGCCGTCTAGAAGCAGCTAGTGTGTGCCACTCTCATGGAGAGGAACAGAAGGGGCAAGTAAATATTGCACCTTCAACTGAAATATTCAGGTACATGAATTAGGACTAATCAAGGAAACAACTTGACCCACAGAGAATGGAGAAAAGCAAGACAGGACAATGGCTCACCCAGGAGCAACATGGAATGAGGGGCACCTCCCTCGCCCAGGGAAGCAGTGAGTGAATGAGTGACCCAGGGAACCCATGTATCTCCCACGGAGAAGGATCTTTGCAACCCTTGGGTCAGGAGATCCCCTCGTGAACTCACTCCACCAGGGCCTTCAGTCTGACATACAGAGCTACGTGGAGTCTTGGCAGAGCAGCCACTGAGGCACATGCAGAGACCTGGTAGGCTTAGATACCTGGGCTTCCTGGCAAAAACAATTGCAACTCCAGTGAATTGGGAGGTTAGACTATCCCCCCAACAAGGTACCCCCAGAAAAGAGGCTGAATCAAGGGGGCTGAGCAGTGACAGACAACAAGCCCCACTTCCACAACACATTACAGGGTAAGACCCACTGGCTTGGAACTCCAGCCAGCCACCAGTAACAGCATTATACCCCCTGAGACAGAGATCCCAGGGGGAGGGGTGAGCTGCCATCTTTGCTGTTTGGGCTACTTAGCTGATCTAGCCTTCAGGCTTTGGGGAGTCCAAGGTGACCGGGAGCTGAAGCAGACCCCAGCATAGCAAAGCTATTTCATGAAAACGTGGCCAGACTGCTTTTTTAAGCAGGTCTCCAATCCCATTCCTCCTCAGCAGGTGGGACCTCCCAACTAGGGTCTCCAGCTACCTCTGATAGAACTCAAACTTCCATGGGATGGAGCTCCCAGAGTGAAGGGAATGCCACTATCTTTGCTGTTTGGGGGAATTAGTCATTCTACCCTTTGGGCTTTGGAGAATCCAAGGCAACTTGGGGCTGGAGCAGGCCCCCAGCACAGCACAGCTGCTCTACAAAAACATGGCCAGGCTGTTTTTTTTTAAGTGGGTCCCTGATCCCATTTCTCCTCACTGGGTGGGACCTACTAACTATGGTCTCTAGCTGCCTTCTACTGATGCTTTCAGGCTGGCAACAGCTCTGTACTTCCCTGGGGCAGAGCTCCTATAGGGAGGGGCAGGCCACCATCTTTGCTGTTTTGCATCCTTCATTTTTGATTCTTCCACGTACTAGAAAATCTGAGGTGACTAGGGACTTGATGGACCCCCCAGCATGCTGCAGCAGCCCTATATAAAAGTGGCCAGACTGTTACACGGGTGCCCATTCCCATATCTCCTCACAGGCAGATCCTCCAGGCCTGGGCCTCCACCCACCACCCACTGGGGCTATCAAGCCAGTAGCAGGTCAGCAACTCTCTGGACAGAGCTGCCAAGGGCAACTGAAAGCCTCTCTGCCACTGCCCCTGCAGTGGAACTACCCATGCTACCCTCAGACTAATAAAGGAGCAAAGACCCTACGTGCCTTATGCACACCTCCAACAAGCTGTAGTCGACCCAAGGAGAGGAGGCCAGTCCGTCTCCCATGGGTCCCACCCAACCACCCCTGCTCATCACCACACAAGGAACGCCCCCCAGCTTGGGCCCACAGCACAGACCCTTCATCCTGAACTGATTGCACTGAGCAATTGCTGACCTGCATCTTTCTGGGGTGGAGTCCCCAGGAGACAAACAAAAGATCCTTGGCACAACCACTACTAAAGTTCCTTCCTCTGCTTCCTCCAAATTAAGGAAGGAACATAAACCTTGAGATTGCCCCAGAGATGCAAGGGGGAGCTCAGGAGTGGCAAGCCACGATCTACAGCCAGCACTCAAGAGAGAGAGGAGCCCATACTTTTAGAACATCAAGAGGGAACACAACTGCAACTGTGAGAAAATATAGGGGAGCCATACAACCAAGCAAGAGACTATCAACTGACCAATATGCCTAAGCACCACCTACTGGATCACACCCCTCAGCTTCAACACCAAAAATACCTCACTAACATAACCCCTCTGAAACCAGAGCCAAGAAGTCAGCTTCAAATAAAGAACCTGCACAAAGCCTTGGCCCTGTGAAAACATCCAGAAAAGAAGTTTATTGGCTGTACTCAATCTGCACTGTAGTTAAAGGAATACTCACACACAGAGATGAGAAAGAACCAATGCAAGAATTCCGGTAACTCAAATGGCCAGAGTGTTGTATGTCCTCCAAATGACTGCACCAGTTCTCCAACAAGAGTTCTTAACCAAGCTAACCTGGCTGAAATGACAGAAATAGAATTTAGAATATGAATAGGAATGAGATCCTTGAGATTCAGGAGAACTGCAAAACCCAATCCAAGGAAACTAAGAATCACAATAAAATGATACAGGAGATGAATGACAAAGTAGCCCAATAAAACAGACCCTAATGGATCTGACAGAGCTGAAAAACACAACACAAGAATTTCACAATGCAATCTAGGTATTAACAGCAGAATAGACAAAGCTGAGGAAAGAATCTCAGAACTTGAAGATTGGCTCTCTGAAATAAGACAGTCAGACAAAAATAAAGAAAAGGAATAGGCCGGATGCAGTGACTCACACCTGTAATGCTAGCACTTTGAGAGGCCAAGGCGGATGGATCACCTGAGGTCAGGAGCTCAAGACCAGCCTCGCCAACACGGAGAAACTCCATCTCTACCAAAAATACAAAAATTAGCCCGACATGATGGCAGGCACCGTGATCCCAGCTACTCCGGAGGCTGAGGCAGGAGAATCGCTTGAATCCAGGAGGCAGAGGTTGCAGTGAGCCAAGATCATGCCATTGCACTCCAGCCTGAGCGAAAGAGTGAAACTCTGTCTCAAAAAAAAAGAAAAAAGGAATGAAAATAAATGAACAAAACCTTTGCAAAGTAAAGGATTATATAAAGAGGCCAAATCTATGAATCATTGCATCTCTGAAAGGGAGGGGGAGAAAGCAAACAACTTGGAAAACATATTTCAAGATATTGTCCATGAAAACTTCTCCAACCTTTCTAGAGAGGCCAACAGTCAAATTCAGGAAATACAGAGAACCCCTTTAAGACTACAGAAGAAGATCATCCTCAAGACACACAATCATCAGATTTTCCAAGGTTGAAATGAAAGAAAGAATGTTAAAGGCAACTAGAAAGAAAGGGCAGGTCACCTACAAAGGGAACCCCATTAAGCTAACAGCAGACCTCTCAGTTGAAACCCTAAAGCCAGAAGAGATTGGGGGCCTATATTCAACATTCTTAAAGAAAAAAAAAAATCTTCAACCCAGAATTTCCTATCCAGTCAAACTAAGCTTCCTAAGCAAGGAGAAATAAGATCTTTTTCAGGTAAGCAAATGCTGAGGGAGTTTGTTACCACCAGACCTGCCTTACAAGAGATCTTGAAAGGAGCACTAGATATAGAAAGGAAAGTCCACTATCAGCTAATACAAAAAGACACTTAAATATAGAGACCAGTGACACTATAAAACAGCCACACAAGCCAGCATAATAACCAACTAACAACACAATGACAGATCAAATCCACACATTTAATTCTGAGGGCTAAATGCCCCCACTTAAAAGGCACAGAGTGGCAAGCTGGATAAAAAAAAAAAGCATGACCCAATGGTATGCTGTCTTCAAGAGACCCATCTCACAATAACAACACCATAGGCTCAAAATAAAGGGATGGAGGAAAGTCTACCAAGCAAATGGGAAACAGAAAGGGGTGTGATCCTAATTTCAGATAAAAACAGACTTTAAACCAACAAAGATCAAAAAGACAAAGAAGGCCATTACATAATGGTAAAGGGTGCAATTCAACAGGGAGACCTAACTATCTTAAATATATATGCACCCAACACAGGAACACCCAGATCCATAAAGCAAGTCCTTAGAGACCTACAAAAAGATGTAGACTCCCACACAATAATACTGGGAGACTTCAGCACTCCACTGGCAGTATTAAACAGATCATCGGCTGGGCGTGGTGGCTCATGCCTGTAATCCCAACACTTTGGAAGGCCGAGGTGGGCAGATCACAAAGTCAGGAGATCGAGACACTCCAAGCCAACATGGTAAAACCCCATCTTTGCTAAAATACAAAAAATTAGCTGGGTGTGGTGGTGCACCCATGTAGTCCCAGCTACTCAGGAGGCTGAGGGAGGGGAATCACTTGAACCTGGGAGGCAGAGGTTATAGTGAGCCAAGATTGCACCACTGCACTCCAGCCTGGTAACAGAGCAAGAATCCATCTAAAACAAACAAACAAACAAACAAAAAACCAAAAAAACAGATCATCAAGTCAGAAAATTAACAAAGATATTCAGGACTTGAACTCAACATTGGACCAAATAGATTGATAGACCTCTGCATAACTCTCCACCTAAAAACAACAGAATATACATTCTTCTCATTGCCATATGGCACATACTCTAAAATTGACCACATAATTGGACATAAAACAATCCTTAGCAAATTCAAAAGATCTGAAATTATACCAAACACACTCTCGGACAACAGCACGATAAAAATATAAGTTAAGACTAAGAAAATCACTCAAAACCATGTAGTTACATGGAAACTAAACAACATGCTCCTGAATGACTTTGGCATAAATAATGGAATTAAGACAGAAATCAAGTTCTTTGAAACTAATGAGAACAAAAATACAACATACCAGGATCTTTGGGACATAGCTCAGGTAGTGCTGACAGGGAAATCTATAGCACTAAATCCCCACATCAAAAAGTTAGAAAGACCTCAAATCAACAACCTAATATCACAACTGAAAGAATTAGAAAAGCAAGAAGAAATCAACCCTACCAGAAGACAAGAAATAACCAAAATCAGAACTGAACTGAAAGAATCAAGACATGATAACCATTCAAAAGAACAATGAATCCAGGAGTTGTTTTTTTTTTTGGAAAAAATTAATAAGATAGGCCACTAGGTAGGCTACTAAAAAAGAGAAAATATCCAAATAAACACCATAGGAAATGTTGAAGGGGATGTTACCACTGACCCCACAGAAATAAAAATAATCATCCAAAACTACTATGAACACCCCTATGCACACAAACTAGAAAACCTAGAAGACATGGATACATTCCTGGATACATACATCCTCCCAACACTGAACTAAAAAGAAATTGATTCCCTGAACAGACCAATAATGAGCTCCAAAATTGAATCAGTAATAAATAGCCTACCAACCAAAAAAAGCCCAGGACCAGATGCAATGACAGCCAAATTCTACCAGTTCTACAAAGAAGAGCTAGTACCATTCCTACTGAAACTATTACCAAAAAATTGAGGAGGAGGAACTTCTCTCCAACTCATTCTGTGAGACCAGCATCATTCTTTTTTTTTTTTTTTTTTTTGAGACGGAGTCTGTCACTCAGGCTGGAGAGCAGTGGTGCAGTGGTGCGATCTTGGCTCACTGCAAGCTCTGCCTCCTGGTTTCACACCTTCTCCTGCCTCAGCCTCCAGAGTAGCTGGGACTACAGGCACCCACCACCACACTTGGCTAATTTTTTGTGTTTTTAGTAGAGAAGGGGTTTCACCATGTTAGCCAGGATGGTCTCGATCTCCTGACCTCGTGATTCACCCGCCTCAGCCTCCCAAAGTGCTGGGATTACAGGCGTGAGCCACCACACCCAGCCCGAGGCCAGCATCATTCTGATATCAAAACCTGGCAGAGACACAACAAAAAAAGGAAACTTCAGGCAAATATCCTTGGTGAACATCAATGCAAAAATCCTCATCAAAATACTTGTAAACTGGATCCAGTAGCACATCAAAAAGCTAATCTACCATGATCAATAAGGCTTCATCCCTGGGATGCAAGGTTGGTTCAGCCTATGTAAATCAATAAGTGTGATTCATCACATAAACAGAACCAAAGACAAAAACCACATGATTATCTCAATGGATGCAGAAAAGGCTTTTGATAAAATTCATCATCTTTTTGTGTTAAAAATGCTCAATAAACTAGAAATTGAAGGAATATATCTCAAAATAATAAGAGCCATCTATGACCAACCCACAGCCAACATCATACCAAATGGGCAAAAGCTGGAAGCACTCCTCTTGAAAATCGGCACAAGACAAGGATGCCCTCTCTTACCACTCCTATTCAACATAATATTGGAAGTCATACCCAAAGGAATCAGGCAAGAGAAAAAAATAAAGGGCATCCAGATAGAAAGAGAGGAAGTCAAATTATTCCTGTTTGCAGACAACATGATTCTATGTCTAGAAAACCCCATAGTTTCAGCCCAAATGCTCCTTCAGCTGATAAACAACTTCAGCAAAGGTTCAGGACACAAAATCAATGTACAAATATCACTACACCGACAACAGCCAAGCTGAGAGCCAAATCAGGAAGGCAATCCCATTCACAATTGCCGCAAAAAGAATAAAATACCTAGGAATATGGCTAACCAGGGAGGTGAATGATCTCTACAATGCGAGTTACAAAACACTGCTCAAAGGAATCAGAAGCCACAAACATGCCATGCTCATGGATAAGAAGAATCAGTGTCATTTAAATGACCATACTGCCCAAAGCAATTTACAGATTCAATGCTATTCCTATCAAACTACCAATGACATTCTTCACAGAACTAGAAAAAAACTATTTTAAAATTCATATGGAACCAAAGAAGAGCCTGAATAGCCAAGACAATCCTAAGCAAAAAGATCAAAGCTGGAGGCATCACGTTACCCACCTTCAAACTATACTATACTGCAGGGCTACAGTAACCAAAACAGTGTGGCACTGGAACAAAAACAGGCACATAGACCAGTGGAACAGAACAGAAAGCCTGGAAATAAGGCCACACACCTACAACATCTGATCTTCTATGAAGCTGACAAAAACAAGCAATGGGGAAAAGACTCCCTATTCAATAAATGGTGCTGGGATAACTGGCTAGCCATATGCAGAAAATTGAAACTGGACCCCTTCTTTACACCATATACAAAAATCAACTCAAGATGGATTAAAGACTCTGATGTAAAATCCAAAACTATAAAAACCTGGAAGACATCCCAGGCAATATGATCCTGGACATAGGCATGGGCAAAGATTTCATGACAAAGACACCAAAAGCAATTGCAACCAAAGGAAAAATTGACAATGAGATCTAATTAAACTTAAGAGCTTCTGCACAGCACAAGAAACTATCAACAGAGTAAACAGATGACCTACAGAATGAGAGGAAATATTTGCAGACTATGCATCTGACAGAGGTCTAATATCCATCATCTATAAGAAGCTTAAACAAATTTATAAAAGAAAAGCAAACAACCCTCATTAAAAAGTAGGCAAAGGACATGAATGGACACTTTTCAAAAGAAGACATACATGCAGCCAACAAGCATATGAAAAAAAGCTCAATATCATTAGAGAAATGCAAATCAAAACCACAATGAGATATCATCTCACACCAGTCAGAATGGCTATTATTAAGAAGTCAAAAAATATTAAAAAGTCAAAACATTATTAAAAAGTCAAAAAAGTTTGAACTAATTTACACTCCCACCAACAGTGTATAAGTGTTCCCTTACACAGAGAAAAGGGAACACTTATACACTGTTGGTGGGAGTGTAAATTAGTTCAACCATTGTGGAAAGCAGTATGCAATTCCTCAAAGAGCTAAAAACAGAACTACCATCTAATCCAGCAATCCTATGACTGGGTATATACCCAGAGGAATATAAATCATCCTACCACAAAGACACATGCATGTGAATGTTCACTGCAATGCTATTCTTGATAACAAAGACATGGAATCAACCTAAATGCCCTTCATTGACAGATTGGGTAAGGAAAATGTGGTACATATACACCATGAAATATTATGCAGCCATAAAAAAGAATGAGATCATGTCTTTTGCAGGAACATGAATGAAGCTGGAGGCTATCGTCCTCAGCAAACTAACACGGGAACAGAAAACCAAATACCACATGTTCTCACTTATAAGTGGGAGCTAAGTGATGAGAACTCATGAACACAAGAGAACAACAGACACTGGGGTCTACTTGAGGGTGGAGGCTGGGAGGAGGGAAAGGATCAGAAAAAAATAACTATCAGGAACTAGGATTAATATCTGGGTGATAATCTGTACAACAAAGGCCCATGACACAACTTTACCTGTGTAACAAACCTTCACATGTACACCGAACCTAACATAAAAGTCAAAAATACACAAAATTTAAAAATAAAAGTTGAGCTCATAGAAGCTTCAGTTATGCAAGATGAATAAGTTCTAGAGATGTGCTATATAACATTGTACCTATAGTTAGCAATACCCTATTGTACACTTAAAAATATGTCAGGAGGGTAACTCTCATGTTAAGTGTTCTTAATACAATAAAATATTTAAAAATTAACAAAAAAAAGTTTAAAAGTAGAGCTTATGGAAAATAAGCTCCTTGTGCTCAGCCTCTGAGCTCCAATGAGAATAGCATGGCTAATACCCAGTTTCAAAGTTGGTTTTCTTGAAAGAGCCATCTGAATTAATGACTCTGGATTCTGCTACCTCAAAGATATTTGCAAACCACCTACAAGTTAAAATAGGTTAACAGCAGAAATTTGAGATCAAAAATTTACTGAACAGCTATTACATATCAGGCCTTGTACTCAGCTGTGTCACATACATTTTCTTATTTAGGTCTCTAATAATTCCTTCAATAATTATAATACAGGTTTTATTATTGCCATTTTGTAGCTGGGCAAACTGACTCAGTGAGGCTCGGTGACTTATCTAATATCACACAGCTAAGAAGACAAGAGGAATCCAGTTCCCAGGCCCCAGATCCACGCTCATTGCCCTGCACCATGTTGCCTGGTTCCATAATCAAAAGCTGGCCCTGCACTCCAGCTTGGATCTAAGACTTTGGTCCTGAATGATTTGGGCACCACTTCTTGGTCATTTGTTAGAGATCCTACCCAGAAGAAATCAGAAAGGAAGGTAGCCAAATAGCATTTCTCAGACTGCGTCTGAGGAGCAGCATCTGCCCAATAAAGATTCCATAGTCATCAACCAGAGAAAAGACAACATAGTATATCCCTCTCTTGGAGAATCACAGTGCACATCAGAATGTTAGCGATGCTGATAACACTGCAGTTAAAAACAAACAAAACCTGTCTACGTTGGTTTAACATAGATTCCCAAACCTCCTCTGCCATTGCACCCTGATTTTATAAGAGCCCTATTAGTATCTCAGAATGAGTGTTCTGAGAAAACTCTATATGAAACTAAGTCAGCATACCGGTTTTCATCCTGTCCCCTCTGCCTTTGATTGGTTCTCTGTCTTTGAATATTTTTTCACATACTGAGCCTCCCCTGTTCTGATGATGGCATCCATAACCCTTTCATTCAACTAATGTTCGTTGAGCCTGTGCCAGACCCTGTGCTAGGTCTGCGCTTTCAATGTTGAAGAGTCGGCTCTTGACTCCATGTCTCCTGGTGCTCGCCTCTGAGAAGAGGCCACCTGCTTATCACTATGCCATCCCCATAGCTCTATCTTCTATAAGAATTCACTCAAGTCTTTTATCAAAGCAGGCAAGAAAAATGATCCTTTTTCTACAATGAAACCTAAGGCCAGCTGAGAAATAGCCCTGAGAGCAGGACTAGCCATATATCTTGTGGGGCCAGTGCAAAATAAAAATGTCAGGCTCCTTATTCGAAAAGCAGGGGGTGGCAAGTGTGCAGCTAAACATACTAAGATATCAAGCTTTTTCCTTTAAAAATATTGTTTTAGGAAAAAATGTTGTATTAATTATAAAACACAATGGGGTAATAGTGATACCTGTATAACAATATAAATTTACAAATAGCACAAATAAAATATGTTGGCATAATAATTTTACATAACACAATAAATAATAACAACTAGCATGATATTTTGATTGGCCATGAGATTTTTCTGGCTCATTTTTCTGGAAATTCATATATTAGGTTTGTAGCAACTTCACATACTGAAATTTATAGAAACTTCATTTTCAATTGATATAATTGAGAGCAACATTCTTTCTTGGCAAGTGCAAGATCACACATAATTTTTGATAATTTTTAATTCTGAGAAGGATTTATGCTGATGTAACTGTTACTGGAACTATTAAGAGTGTTTTATAGTTTATGACAACATTAGAATACATTTCTGCGAAATTATTTCAAAATATAAGTTTTAGTACATCTAGAGCTGATGATTTTTGCAAAACAATGTTTCTGAAAAGATTTAACTCTTCATTCAATTAAGTTTTTGTGTACATCTGAATTTAATTTTCAATGGAAATTTTTATCATGGCATTTTAATGTTTCCTCTGAAATTTATTTTTATTTTTATTTTTTTAATTTTTTTTGAAATTTTTTTGTAACTTGTAGAAGATGTACAAGAAACTGAAGGTGGCAATATGATTTGTGTATCATTCAAAACAGCTGTGTCTTCAAATACAAGGAAAAATTAATTTTTAAATTGTCTCCCTCACTAATAATTGATTCAGCCTGAGTATCATGTGAAAATAGTGTTCTTTTCCCTTGAATATATGATCTTTAAATTCAATTTCTATTTCTAAACCTGTGGAGCTTCCTTTGCAATCTGAAGCAGTTTTCAAGCCCAAAAGTTCTCAACTTTTTGAAGAATTGTAGTAACTCTCTTGTATGCCTTATTGCAATGTCCATGTGTATACTTTTATTTTGTATAATTTGTATAATTTGCTGACAAAGTTTACTGCATGTGCACCTGCAGTTCCTATTCTGGTGCTCAGGCTGGAGAGTTAATATCTGTACAGATGCCACAGGGACAGACTAGGGATGAACAGACAAGCCAACCTCCCACTGGAGACCCCATCACTACCTCCCTATAGTGTTCTCCTCTCTCTTATAGCCACATCACTACTGCTGCTGCTTATGTTATTGCTGCCACCACCATCATCATCTGGGCCTAGGTCCTGGCCTGGCCAACCCCTCTGGGCTCTGCAGCACCTAGACAGCTCCAGCCATGTGTGTGGGATGGCTGGGCCAGCCTACTGTGTTGAGGAGCCTGGGCCTACCCTGCACGTGTGCTGCTGGCATCTCTCCTCTGCTCATATGCATGTTCCATTGTACCATCAGGTTTTCTTACAAAACACAAGTTCAAAGACAAAATTATTTAGAATTTCAAGATGATGACAGCTGAGCATTAAGCCAAGTGTCTGGCTCCTCCTGAGAGTAGGACCCTGTTCAACTGCCATAAAACCAGCCCTGCCTGAGAGGCATCAGAATTAACACTCTTCTTCAGGTTGGCCAGAAACCCTATGACATTCTTCCGCATCAGTTTTGCAAAGCTACTATGTGAGCCTGTCCTGAAGAACTACACTGACACAAATAGCTTGGCCTGGGGCCCTCCCATCAGATCCCATCCTTGCCTGCGTCAAACTAAAGCATTTGTCCTCATGGATTCTTCAGGACCAAACCTTGTCCATCTTCCTTTGGCCTCTGATTCATCCCCTGTGCAACAGAGCACTATTTCTAATTTTGAAATCTTCTACTGATGGTTCACCTGATCCTAAGATGTCATCTCTCCTGCAGGTTCTTCTCACTTTGCTTTGCTGGCATCCAACTTGGTTTTTCTAATGGCAATAAGAATAGATTTAAAAATAAACAAAAGAAATAATAAATGTGATAAGAATTAGCCAGGAGCAGTGACTAATGGAGGTGACAGTAGATTAAGTGACTAAGCAGTCAGTAGGCCAAGTAGCTATTATGTGATAAATTTCAGCTAAGATAAAAAGAAAAGCATTTTGCTTCTCTGGCTCTTTTCACCCAAGAGGTCTCCCCTCTCTCCATTCCTCTTGAAATGTTGAATTTTAAATAAGAAGAGACATCATCTTGCTCACAATAACTGTGAAAGAATGGGAACCAACATTTTTAAGTATCCACTGTTTATCAAGCACAGTGCTTTATAAAATCTCATTTACCCTTTGTGGCAATCCTGTGAATCATCTGACCTCCCTCCTAGAAAGGCAGAAGCCAGGACATTCAGTAAGCCTGGTTCACAGTGACCCAGGAGGCTGGTTGGGCCTGTTGATGTGCTATCTTATGAGGGTATGTGGCCAGAACCAAAGTGCTAGGCTGAGGTAGGGTCACCAAATCCCACTGGGCCTGCCAAGACAAGAGAGATGTCCAGCCGAGAGGGTGACTTGCCCAGGGAACTCTCCATATGAGAACAGTTGAAGGGGATGGAAAGAAGTCAACAGTTGGAGGCTCCCTAAGCCAAGGTTTAGGGTTGGACTTATATGGTACCCGCAGCTGCTGGTGTGGGCAGGCTGGCAGCAGTTAAGGGAGCCATGGGAGAGCATTCACAAAAGTAAGGCTTTTATCACCATTTTATCACAAAGACTCATAAAGGTTAAGTAGATTGCCTGAGATCATACAAACAGAGCCTGAGTTCCAATCTGGATCTGGTACATTAAGTTTCTACCATTAACTGGACATGACATTGGAGCAGAGGGCTTGTTCTGTTAGCTTTTCTTCCCATCAGCTCCAGTACATGAGAACATAATCCTTTACCTTGGTCTTAGCAAATGCACCCCTCAACCAAGCTAACCTGGCCAGTCTAGGATCCCTGACACTCAGAATTATGAAAACAATTCTAGTCCAAGTTATCCCACTTACAACAAGAATAAAAAGAGGCCAAGTGTGTTTCTCTGGATGTCAACACAGCTTATCAGTCTAGTTCTTGCAAAATAGTTGTCAGACTACTGTCTCTGCTGTGGGTTAGACTGTATTTTAAAACAAAATTCTACTTTGAAACAAAACTGAGTAGTGAACCCTTTGCTAAGCTGTCTTCTTCCAGAAGCAACGAATACTATTGATTTCATCAGCAGGGGCCCTTGAGGCAATTAGGAACTAGGAGCAACCAGGACCTATCAAAAATAAAAATAAGCCAGTTTAAAAATAAATATTTCAAATAATATTATCCATTCCATATTTATGGAGGACCTCAATGTGCCAGGAAGTGACTGAGGGAGGTAGTTGGCAAAGGAGGCGACAAGTAAACAGAGTAACACTGAGGTGCAACTGGGACAGCGTGGAAGGATGACATCTACTGGGGGACGCTTCTGTTGGCTCCTGTTCTTTCCTTTCATGTGCAGTTGTGTCACTCCTGGCATCTCCCACCACCCATTGCTCTTCCCTGGGAGAAAAGTATGGCTTAATCTGATTCGTGAATTTGAGAGGAATAATCTGGTCATTCTCATCTTAGCTACTTCTTTTATTTCTGTTGGAAGGGTCAGCTATGGAGAATATGAGCTCTGCTCTTCTCCCTGGGAAGCCTGCCTTCGTCCATGCTGCCTGTGGCTGAACAGATACGTCTGTCTAGTTGAGGGGTTTAATTGGCTCTCACACTATGCTAAGTCCTCCAGCTTAGCCTTTATCAGTAATAAAGGTGATATTTTGGCTCTCACATGCTTACTCTTTTATCTTCTATCTCCACTTGCTCAGAAAGCCGATTGAGAAGATGGAGCCTCCTCAGAGACCACAGCTCTCAGGTTGTTTACCAAGACACATCAGAAATGGGCACTCAACTCCCTTCCTTCTAGAGATATCTTGCAGGCCACATTTCTTCACCTCCACAGGTACATTCTGAGGAACCACATCAACATCTTGGCTACGTCATTTGTCTCATTTGCTAACCTAGTTCCTCCTCACAAAAAGAGTGTGGGTTCCTCCACTTGCCTCACCTGGTTTTTGTTGTTGTTGTTGTTGTTGTTTGTTTGTTTGTTTTGAGACAGAGTCTTGTTCTGTCACCCAGGCTGGAGTGCAGTGGCATGATCTCAGCTCACTGTAACCTCTGCCTTCCAGGTCAAGTGATTCTCCTGCCTCAGCCTCCCGAGTAGCTGAGACTACAGGCGCGTACCACCATGCCTGGCTCATTTTTTGTATTTTTAGTAGAGATGGAGTTTCATCATGTTAGCCAGGATGGTCTCGATCTCCTGACCTCCCTCACCTGTTTTTAATGAACTCATGCCAGTTCCAAGGGAACACCATTCCCTCTGCTAAGCCAACTTCTACTTAACAATAGGCTCTGGAGTCTTGTCAAGTGTCGATATCAGGTCTTGAGACCTAATCCTTTTCCCTTTCAGGAGGATGGGAGGCACACAGTAGTGTGGCCTCTGCATTCTCCATCATTCTTGAGTTCAGGACAGTGTTTCTGAGTTCCAGCTCCCTTGGAAGTAATTCATCTGGGTTTGAGCTCATTCAGAACCATGCTGTACTGTCGCCTCACCTGTTTTAGTTTTCAATTCACTCTTAATCATGTTTGTTCTGCTCTTTTTGGTTTTAAGGATAGATTCTCTATCATCTTGATAGAGAATACAGAGGCAAAATAACACTGCCCACTCTGTCACCTGTTAACATGATCCCATCTGCCCCAAGCAGTGGGCCTATCATTCAACCCTTATTTCCACTTCTGATTTCAAAAGTAACTTCAAAAAAATTTTTCTTTCCATTCATAACAATTTTGCAAGCTGCAGCTCATCCTAGGCTTTACCCATTCTGATACTATTTTTGTACATCTGTACCTCTCTTGTTTCCCTGGTTATTTGGCCATCTTTCCATCTCTCATACATGGTCTTTAAATATCTGAGCTCATCTGGACCCCTGCGTATGGTTACTTTGATCCCCTAGGTATCCTCCTGCCTCCACCCCACAATTTTGCTTCCTCATCCAAGTTCTTTGTGCTGATGTATTCTCAGAAATCATTCTGTCATATTACTTTGTATTAAAATGTTGACATTTCTTTATTTATCCTCCATATCTTGCACAATACTAGACCCAAGTCTGAAGCTATAGGTACTGTTTTTATCACACTTTGTTTCCTCCTCCTTAGAATAATGACACTTCCACTATTCTTATTTCAATGTCACACTCCTTGTCCTCTGCAGTTAATAGTTGGTAGTCTGATATTTTTCTCCTTATCCCTGAATTCCAGATTAAAGCCACCTCAATCAGGTGAACAATTCTCTTGCTACACACATTCTTCCCCATCTCCTAAGCATTCTCACTTGCTACGTAAGTGTTGAGCAGCCAGGATACTCAGGGGATAAGCACTGGATCGGGTGTCCATGTCCCTTCCCAACCCTTGCAAAGTCCCTTCACCTCTCCAAAGACATCAGCTTCACTGTCCGTAACATGGGTAACTACTACTTCCTGCCTTTTATTGTTTTGTGACAATTAAATCAGGAGAAATCTACATCAGTCTATGCAAATGCTCCCACGAGTCCATCTGTCTTTCTCCGTCATCTGCCCTGAGCAGCAGGCCTGTCAGTTCTTGTTTTATTCTACTGCATATGTTTCTAAACCACACCCCAGTCCCTGACACTATCTATACAGCCAGAATCTAAGTCAGGTATGGGTGAGACTGAAGGCAATTCATCCTGAGGCAAAATTCCTCTCTAGCTGTGAACGTGTAAAACTAGACAAGTTATGGGCTTCCAAAATACAATGATGGGACAGGCTTAAGATAGACATTTCCATTCCAAAAGGGAGAAGTAGGAAAGAAAGAAGGAGTGGCTGGTCCCAAACAAGTCCAAAACCTAGCAGGGCAAATACCATTTAATCTTGAGGCTTGAGAAAATCCTCTTTGGCTGAATGCTCTGTGCTTCAGGCCCAGTGGGGTAGCAGCATCACCCCTATATTCCTAGACAGTGGTCCTACCCATGGCTCTGCAGGGAGGTCCTGCCCCAAGGCTCTGGACAGTCTCATTTAACCCCACTCCCAGTACCAAAATCTGTGTTAGTCTGCTCAGGCTGCCATAACAAAATGCCATAAACTGGGTGATTTAAACAACAGAAATTGACTTTCTCACAGTCTGAAGGCTAAAAGTCCAAGATCAAGGTTCTGGCCAATGTTAACCCCTGGAGGTTTTTCCTATAAGAGTCAATAAAAACTAACACAATGTCTCCCAGGTAGACAAGGACCAAGCCTGTGCTTCTTTAGCATCAGGGTGGCAGGGTATCACAGTGGTTAAGGAAGAGGCCTTTGGAATATGCAAGACTTGTGTTCAAGTCCTAATACTGCGTCTGCCTAAATAATGACCTTGAATACATTATTTAAATTCTTACTTTCAGCCTCCTCATCAGTAAATTGGACATAACAATTCCTACCTCACAGACTTGTGAAGATTAAATGAGAATATGAATGTAAAGTGCTTAGAGGCTGGCATGTACACACATGCACACATATGCAAACACTCAATACATTGGTAGCTACTATTATTTCTCACAGTGCCTAGCTGGGAACACAGCACAGAGAAGGTGTTTAACACATTTATTTTATGCTTCTTCAATTCATTGTTTTGTTTCCAGTCCCCAGAGACCCAGTAGAGACAGAGTGTGGTGAATGCTTCTCACCAACTAAGAAACTCTAGTGAGATTTGGCCAACATTGATGGGTCTAGAATGGGAAAGTAGAGGTGATGGGAGGAAAAAAAATGCACTTTCATTAGTCATTGATGCCTCTTAATATAAATACAAAGAGAAGTTCCACAATGGTCATCCTCTTATCCCCCCAAAAGCAGAAATTATTGATTCAGAAACTTGACTAACAAAATGCCCCAAAGAGAAACTGTTGTACAAGTCAAATGAGTAAATAATCTCAGCACTTTTCAGTTCTTTCCTTTACTGGAGGCCTGGGGGTCTCAACTAGACCAGCATTTCCCCAACACAATTGTTGTTAAGTATAACTTGGGGAATAAAGGGGAACCATTAGTTTGCACAGATTGAAAGGGAGGCTCAATGAAACCCAATGCACTGTTCTGTACCCAGGAAGAGGCCACACTGGGGGCTCATGTTTTATTATTTCTTCCAATTTATTAGACAAGCCTTGTCCTTAAAATCAGTGAGAGTGAGGAATGGCTTCACAGAGGAATATGTTGTTTGAATCCAGCTGTTGAACTGTGGCAATGTGTAATTAGTCGATTTGCTCCAGAGGATGGACTGAAACGCCCCGGACTAAAGACCAGGTTTCACCATTTGTTTTGGAGTTCAAATTTCTTCCTCCAAGTCCTAAAAAATTTAATGTCTCTTTTTTACTAAAGCATTGTCTGGTCCTAGGAGCCCTCTCTTCTGTGGTATTTGACACCCATTAATATTCTAAAGAAAAAGCAGTAACAGCAAATAGCTACACCCTCCAGTCTTCCGCATCCCTCTTTCTTTAACTCCCAAATATGTTTTCAAATAATAACTGCTAGCATTCATTGAGAATTTACAACATACCAGGAACTGTTCTAAGTAATTTACAGGTAGTATTATTAACCCTCATAATAGCCCTATGTATTAATAACAACATTCAACAGATGAGGAAACTGAGCCACAGGAAGTTAAATAACTTGCACAAGGTCATAGAATTGAAAGATCCAGAATTTAAACACAATCTAACTCCAGTCCCCACTGTCTACCATTATGCCACATGCCTCTGGTCATGATACACACTGCCACATCTCCGTGCCTTTGCCCATACTTTTCCCTTTGTCTAAGATCCCCTTCTTGCCCCGATCCATCATTTAGAAAGCTACTACTCATCCTTTGAAATTATGAAATCCTTCCTTGACTCCACTGGGAAGTTTAGGCCTGGGCTGTCCTCTTTGCACCCACAACATATTATGCATAACATAGCCACGTTTCTCCTACACTACTGTGATCATGGTTCATGTATCTGTCCCCACTAGACCAGATGAGACTGAGGATCCTCAGAGGTAGATCTATGCCTTCTTCCTCTTTGTAACCCCAAAACCAAACATACATGGGGCTTAGCAGATTATTGCCATTTTTAAGGTTTTTGTTAAAATTAAATTAAAATGCAGGATTTGGTAGGAAACTGTTTGAATTCAGCAAACTCAGTAAACTGCTTGAGTTTGAGGTCTGAACCTCATTATGAAACAACTGTCATCAATTTTTGTGCTGCAGATTTGTCATGAGTGAAATAGGATCCCAGGTCCTGTCTACTTCCTGGAAATGTTTCTTCCTCTACTTTACCACCTCCATCCCCAGTTCTTGCCTGAACAAGCACTGTGGCCTCCTCTTAGGCCCCTGGCTTCTTGTTTTACTCATTGCAATTTATCCCCTTTGGCACAACTAGAATGACCTACCTAAACAGATTCAACCGTGCTATTTTCTGTCACCCTTTCAACGCCCCCACCTCCCCCTCTACTTCCACACACCCAAGGGTGACCATCATACTTTATTGTGGGTGGTGCAGTCTCATTTGCCTAGTTGCAGCTATGCATTTTAAATATTTAAATAATATAACATTTCAACATCAGAGTGCATGTTTGGAGGAAGAGGCTGAAATCATCTAGTAGGCTCAAAGCACAGAAATCATCTACTAGGCTCAAAGTGGAGAAATTTAAAACTCGTTGGTTTTTCACATTGACCAAGTTCCACTTGGCTGGAAGCAAACAAATCTATTGCATCATTTTTCACTTAATTAGCCTTGAAGCTGCTGGCTTGGGCATTCTTACTGCCAAGCCAGCACAAGCCATGCCTTCTTCATTCTCCTCCTCATTAATCAGTAGAGGTTGTCACCCCTCCACCATTAACTCCAAGTCCTACAGTTGCTTCCCCTGAGCTTCTTAGCCCTTTTCTCACATCTATACTGGAAGCTTTTCTCACTCTGCCCCATGAAGTAGGTGTCTGACTTCCCACGGGGCTCTGAGTTCTGAAGATGTAAAGACAATGCCCACTCATCATTTTTCCCCAAGCGCTGGCATAGAACCAGTACCCAATTAATTTCCAATAAATAATGTCACATCCTGGAGTGAAATTTGCAAGGACCAATCTTAAGAATTACATTTAAACTTCTTGT
The DNA here is from genome assembly GCF_000001405.40 of Homo sapiens. NCBI lineage: Eukaryota > Metazoa > Chordata > Mammalia > Primates > Hominidae > Homo > Homo sapiens. The sequence continues at coordinate 165,990,793 of NC_000001.11, read as the reverse complement.
TCTACTCACATAATTGAATGGGGTCCCGCTGTCCAGAAGCGCAGGGACCCCTCACCAGCCTTTCTCTTTAGGTAAGTATGCAAACACTCTCTATGTGTCCAGCTGCTGGAATTTAAAGCCAAGTCCCAGTATTTGACTGATATCCTCTCCCCAGCCCATGTGGATTAACTTCTTTTTGGGATTTTTTAAAACAGAAGTAACTGGCCTGGCACAGTGGCTCACACCTGTAATCCCAGCACTTTGGGAGGCCAAGGCGGGTGGATCAATTGAGATCAGAAGTTCTCAACCAGCCTGGCCAACATAATAAAACCCCGTCTCTACTTAAAATACAAAATTAGCTAGGAGTGGTGGTGCACGCCTGTAATCCCAGTTACTCGGGAGGCTGAGGCAGAAGAACTGCTTGAACCCAGGAGGTGGAGGTTGCAGTGAGCCAAGACTGTGCCACTGCACTCCCACCTGGGCAACAGAGCAAGACTCTATCTCAAAAAAAAAAAAAAAAGTAACCAGCTTAATATCTTGCTAGTCTTCGAAGCATTCAGAGAGTTAAAGGACAATTATGATATGTGTGGTGAGGAACAGGAGTGCTGTTGTCATGGGTCAGTGGTGTTTGAATAGTCCTAAGCAGAATGAAACTCATAGCCCTTCCTTGATTCTGGTTGGCTCGTGAACCAATGGTTGACAACAATAATTCCATTTGCGCTCCTAATCTAAGGCCAACCTCTCCATTTATCCACAGTATCTCATTCCCTCTCACTTATAGAAGGACATCATTCTAGCAATTTATCTTATTCTCCCCTGCATCGTTATATTTTTCTCTTTAAAGGATCATTTCCATCATTATACTGAAGCACTGTAATATCTTTCATATTTAACAAAAAAGTATGTTCCCTGGACTCCATGTCTCCTTCCAGCTATATGGTTATCACAAAGCAAAACTTTGGAAGAGTTTCGCACACTCATTTTCTGCACTTTCTCTCATCCTTTCCTTTTGAACCCATCCTAATTAGGCCAATATCCCCAACATTCCACCAAAACTGTGCTAATCGGAATTACTAATGACCTCCATGTTGTCCAAAACCAATGCTACTTCTCAGTCTTATCTTACTCGATCTATCAGCAGCATTTAATATTGTTGATTACTCCCTCCCTCTTTCCTCACTTTGCTTTTTGGATACCATTCTCTGTTTTCCTTCTACCTCACTAGTCACTTCTTCTCAGTCTCATTTGCTAGTTCCTCTTTGTCTCCTCAATTTGTGCATGTTGCACAGCCCCAGGGATCTGTCCTTAGCCCTTTTATCTTTCTTATCTACATGCACCAACCAGCTGACTACTAGACATCTCCCCTTGAATGTCCAATTAACACCTCAAGCCTCATATGACTATTGGTAACTGACCTAAGACAATTTGGTCATGCACAACACTTTGTTTCTTTTGATAAAGAATGATAGCTGCCCTTGAGGCTCTAAGGCAAATGAATGTAAGCTACTCTCCCATACACTTATTATGTTCATCATGTACAAGCTATTGTTCATCATGCCTGGAGTTGGGCACCATTTTGTTCACAGCATTGTTTCTGGTACATGCCTGTGTTTAACTTATTAATAATATCACTTATTAATAAGTGATATTATAGTAATAATATTAATTATTACTAATGTTATTAATAATACTACCTCCTCAGTCTGTACTCAGTGGAATATGCACTGAGTACGAAAGTGAAAACTGTATTCTAGACTCACTTACTAGTAAATGCTTGGGTGACTTCTGGCTCCCTAGAGCAAGACTGCAAGACTGAGGTCTCAACACCTCAGTTCCCCAGTCTATAAAAATGGAAACCATGAGACAGATCTGGCAACAAGGCAGACGGGCTTAAGCCTGCCTCCCTGAGGCCTCTACATAAAAATGCCATATAAATATATAACCAAGAAAAACATTTACACACATAGCCAGGCTGGAAAGAAAGTGAAGTCTTTAAGTACTGAAAGCAAAGAAGAAATTCAGAGCCAAAGCAGTACACTCCAAATAGGCCCACAGAGAAGGACTACGAGGGCACTGTACCTAGATGTGAGCTCAAGGGGCTGGGACATGGAAACCTAAGGCCATCTCCGGGACGGGGTCAGCCAAAATAGGGAAATGAAGCCAAGACCTGTAAATGTAAGAAGCTTTAAGGGTTTCTATGTCCATGTAGAGAGAACCAGAAAGATCCCATTTCACTCCCATACCTCTAGTCTAGAGAAGTAGTTAGAAAGTTTGGTCTTTATCAATCTGAGCTCTGTCTATAGCCATGTGAGGGAGCCTACATGTCAACTTTCCCCCTTGTGGAGTCTTGGGATGACTGCAGTCCCACCAGACACATTCCTTGTAGCCCAACAAGAGAACCTGACCCAGCAGACCCAACTAAGATGCATCTGGATTCCTCACCCAAAGAAATTGTGAAATAAGGTTTGCTGTTTTAAACTGCTAAATGTTGAGGTAATTTGTTACATGACAGTAGATAACTAGTACAACTGCTAACGGTATAGCAAAGTGAGTCAGACATCTGCTGTACAAGTACTAAGAATATACAACTTGAGAATAAAAATCATTTATAGGGTTGAGCTTAGACTTTGTATTCTGAAGAACAGTCATTTTCCCTATGGATATTTTTGGTTATTTCCTCCTCTCAATGGTATTTATTCCAAGGTCTACACTGCAATGCCATTTTTTTAACAAAAAAAATTATTAAATAAAATGGTCAGAGAAAAGGCTAAATAATTCATGCTATAACTCACAATTGCATAGCAACAAAGAATCACATTCCAATATATAAGCCTTGGTCCTTCATAACTTTTTAACCTCATTTTTTTCATCTGTGATTTAGGGATAAGATTACAACTCTAGAAAATCAAATAAAATGATAAAAATGCAAAAAAAGAAAGTTTAGTCTTTATCTCAAACTCTGGATGGCAAGGACAAAGAGTCATCTAGATATTAAAACCTGAACTACTTGAGTTTGTAGGACCCACAGCACTGTGCATCAGTTAAGATACTTGACTGCAGGTATCAAAACTTTAATTCAAATGGGCTTTGAAATTAGGAAATGTATTATCTCTATTAATTAGAGCTCTAGAGAAAGTGTAGCTTCCAGACAGTTGTGCTCAACAGCTCAGTAGTATCAAGTTGCTTTGTTTGCTTACCATTGTGTGTGTGCTTGTTCATTTATTTTTATAATTATCCTAATTTTCACTTTATCTAGTTTGATACTATATTGTTATACACATACAGGTTCTGGATTGTTATATTTTCTTATAAATTGTTATTACTTTTATTATTCTGTAATAATGCTCATGGTCCCCCAGTAGCACCTGTTTTAATGTCCATTTTGTTTAATCAATATTAATTGCTATACCAGCTTTAATTTGGTTATGGTTTTCCTAGTATATCTTTTTCTATCTTTTTGCTTTTAAACTTTTTGTGTCACTATATTGAAGGTGTTCATTTTGTAAAGAAGTTATATCTCTTTCAACAAATGAGTTTAATTCTTTTATATTAGTGTAATTATTGCTATATGTAGCCTGCTTTTACAGTTGTATATTACATTTTTTATGTGCCACAGGATTTTTGTCCTATTTTGATTTAATTTTGCTTTTTTCTATTTTGATCAATTTTTTTCTTATATTTATTTAAGAATGAAAGCTCCACAATTTATGTTATGAGATTAGTATTAGGCTACCTACACTCAACATAGAAAATATGTTTTTAAAAATTGCAGATATATATCCACAAAAAAAAAAATCTAAATACAATATAGCAAATTGAGTCAAGAAATGTGTAAGGAAAATACAGGCACATATTGGAGATAATTCAGCTTTAGTACCAGACCACCACAATAAAGCAAATTCACAATAAAGAGAGTCACACAAATTTTTTAGTTTCCCAGTGCATATAAAAGTTATGTTTACACCAGAGTATAGTGTGTTAAGTGTGCAATAGCATTATGTTTTAACAAACCATGTACATATTTAATTTTAAAAATATTTAGTTGCTTTAAACAGGCTAATAATCATCTGAGCCTTCACCAAGTCATAATCTTTTGGCTGATACGGTTTTTTGCCTCCATGTTGATGGCAGCCATGTTGATGGGTGATGAAGGTAGGAGTGGCTGTGGGCATTTATTTAAATAAGACAACGATGAAGTTTGCCCCATTGATGGACTCTTCCTTTCACAAAAGACTTCCCTATACCATGCAGTGCTATTTGATAGCATTTTATCCACAGTAGAACTTCTTTCGAATTTACAGTCCTCTCAAACCCTAATGCTGCTTTGTCAACTATAGTTACGGAATATCCTAAATTCTTTGTTGTCATTTTAACAATGTTCACAGCATCTTCAACAGGAATAGATTCCATTTCAAGAAACCACTTTCTCTGCTCATCCATAAGAAGAAACTCCTCATCCATACAAGTTTTGTCATCAGATTGCGGCAATTCGGTCACAACTTCAGGCTCCGTTTCTAATTCTAGTTCTCTTGTTATTTCTACCATATCTGCAGTGACTTCCTCCATTGAAATCTTGAACCCCTGAGAGTCATCCATGAGGATTGGAATTCACTTCTTCCAAACTCCTATTAATGTTGGTATTTAGACCTCTTCAAGTGAATCACAAATGTTCTTAATGGCTTCTAGAATGGTGAAGCCTTTCCAGAAGTTTTTCAATTTACTTTGCTCAAATCCATCAGGGCATCATTATCTATGGCAGCTATAACCTTATGAAATGTATTTCTCAAATAATAAGATTGAAAATCAAAATTACTGCTTGATGCATGGGCTACAGAATGAATGTCATATTAGCAAGCATGAAAACAACATTTATCTCCTTGTACATCTCCATCAGAGCTCTTGGATGATGAGGTACATTATTAATGAGCAGGAATCTTTTTTTCTGAGCAATATTTCTAAACAGTGAGTTTAAAATGTTCAGTAAACCATTATGTAAATAAAGGTACTATCATACACACTTTGTTTTTATATTTATAGGGCACAGGCAGAGTAGATAGATGTAGCATAATTCATAAGGGCCCTAGAATTTTTGGAATGGTAAATAAGCATTGACTTCAACTTAAAGCCATCAGCTGTATTAACCCCTAACAAAAGGATCTGCCTGCCCTTGGAAGTTTCGAAGCTAGTCATTGACTTCTCCTCTTTAGCTATGAAGGTCCTAGATGGCATCTTCTTTCAATAGAAGGCTGTTTCATCTACATTGAAAATCTGTTGTTTAGTGTATCCACCTTCATTGATTATTTTAGCTAAATCTTCTAGATAACTTGCCACAGTTTCTACATCAGCACTTGCTGCTTCACTTTGCATTTTATGTTATAGAGATGACTTTTTTCTTTAAACCTCATGAACCAGTCTCTGTTGAATTCCAACTTTTCTTCTGCAGCTATATCGCCTCTCTCAGCATTTATAGCATTGGAGAGAGTTAGGGCCTTGCTCTAGATTAGGCTTTGGCCTAAAGGAATGTTGTGGCTGGTTTGATCTTCTATCCAGACCATTCAAACTATCTCCATATCAGCAATAAGACTGTTTTGCTTTCTTATCATTTGTGTGTTTGTTCACTGGAATAGCACTTTTAATTTCCTTCATAAACTTCTCCTTTGCATTTGCAATTTGCTAACTATTTGGCACAAGAAGCCTCACTTTTGGCCTATCTTGGCTTTTGATATGCCTTCCTCACTAAACTTAATCATTTCTACCTTTTGATTTAAAGTGAGAAACATGTGACTCTTCCTTTCACTTGAACACTTAGAGGCCATTGTTAAGGTTGTTAATTGGCCTAATTTCAATATTGTGTCTCAGGCAATATGAAGGCTCAAAAAGAGGGTAGAAAACAGAAACAGCCAGTCAATGGAACAGTCAGAATACACACATTTATTAAGTTTGCTGTCTTCTGTGGGTGTGGTTTGTGATGCCCCAAAACAATTATAATAGTAACATGAAAGATCTCTGATCATAAATCACTATAACAGATATAATAAAAATGAAAAAGTTTGAAATAGTATGAGAATTACCAAAATGTGACACAGAGACATGAAGTGAGCACATACAGTTGGGAAAATGGTGCCAAAAGAGTTGCTTGACACAGGGTTGCCACAAATCCTTAATCTGTAAATAGTGCAACATGTATGAAGCACAATAAAGTGATGCACAATAAAATTAAGTATGTATGTATGTGTATATTTATATAAAATAATATAATTTATCTGAGGACATGAGGATTATTTAACATTTAGAAAATCTAACTGCATAAATCATATTAACTAATTCAAGGTTGATAATTGTTATGGTTTGAATGTGTCCCCCAGAGTTCACTGCTCTGGAAGGTACAAGCTGTAAATCTTTACAGCATCCACATGGAGCTAATTCTACAAATGTACAGAATACAAGAGCAGTAGGGGCATGGCTTTCTTCACCTAGGTTACAAAGGATGTTATGGACAGCCTGGAGGCCAGGCAGAGATTTGTTACAGGGGCAGAACCACCTCAGAAAGTCCCTGTTAGGGCAATGCTAAGCAGAAATATGGGGTCAGAGTCATCACAAAAAGTCCCCAGGAGGGCAATTCTTAGTAGAGCTGTGGGAGTAGGGCCATTCCTGAGACCCCAGAACCGTAGAACTGCCATGTTGCAACATCAGCCTGGAAGAGCTACAGGCATGAGACTTCAACCTGTGAGAGCTTCGGGGTGGACCGAGCCTAGGAAATTTCCAGAGGCTGGTTACCAGAGACCTTGGGGGCCCAATCCCCACCCCAGTGTGTCCAGGATGCAGGACATGGAGCCAAAGGAGATTACTCTGGTGCTTTAAGACTTAACATTGTTTTCCCTGTTGGGTTTTAGACTTAGTTGGGAATTCCTCCCTTTTGGGATGCAAACATATATTTTATGCCTGCCCCAGCATTGTTTTGGAAGCACATAACTTATTTTGGAAGCCTATCACTTGTTAATTTCATAGGCTCACAGCTCACAGTTAATTTCATAGGCTCACATGAATCTGCCTCAGGATGAAATGTGCCTTGAGTCTCACCTGTATCCAATTTAGATGAAACTCTGGACTTTAAACTTTTGAGTTGATATGAAAACAAGTTAAGACTTTCGTGGCTATTGGGATGGAACTGATGTATTTTGCATTGTGAGAAGGACATAAATGTGGTGGAAGAAGCAGGGGCAGAATGTTATTCAAATGTGTCTTCCAAGGTTTATGCATTAGAAACTTAATTTCCAATGCAACAGTGTTGAGAGATGGAGCCTAATAAGAAGTGATAAGAGTCTTGGAGGAAAATGGTGAATAGGAGGCAGGACTAAATTGCAGCTCCCACTCAGACAGACAGAGCAGTGTGCGGAGACTCACATCATGAACTTTTGCTCCAAGACCTATTGCAGGTACATATCAGGAAATTCAAGAGAATCCACAGACCCTTTGAAGGAAGCAGATTGCTCCTGCAGGCCCTGGGAGACAGCCCAAAAGCTGTGAGTGCACAAAGTGTGAAAGGGAGATCATCGCCCATGAAGACACACCCTCACTGGGGAACCTGAAGGTCCAGATCACAGGAGAAGGATTTGACCTTACCTGGAGCAGAGACAAATCTAGAGAGCAGAGCAAAATAGAGGGTCAGAAGTAGCATCAGGAAGAGCCCTGTGGGCTCTCTCGGTCCCCAGGGAAGCCATTTCTGACTTTGTCTCACAAAGGTCCTTGGGGAGGGCTACCAGGGGAACTGGGAAAAGACCACAAGGAAAAGGGAACTTCCAGCTGAACATTATAACAATTTAACTGAACACAAAGTTTCCTGGACAGAACTTGGCAGAGGGGGTGAATCAGGAGAGCAGACACAGCAGAGAAGCCATGGCAGGTGGAGAGGTACACAACCTGAAAGCCCTGCTTGCTTCACAGCCGGGAGGCTGGTAGGCTGGGGCGAGTTCTCAGCTCTGCTCACCCACTGCCTGGAAACAAATTGGGGCATGGTGGGAGTGAGACTGGCCTGTATAGTAGCTGGGTGAGGCCGGTCACTGCCAGCTTTCTCCCACTTCCCTGGCGACCTGCATGACACAGCAGAGGTAGCCATAATCCCCCCAGGAACATAACTCCATTGGCCTGAGAGCCACACCCCACAGCAGCCACAGTGAGCCCTGCCCAAGGAGAGTCTAAGCTCAGGCACACCTAACCCTGCCCTCACCTGACAGTCTTTCTCTACTAGCCCTAGTAGCTGAAGCACACATTCTCTTGGGAGCTCTAGGGCCCCTGCTCACCATGTGATCCTCCCATATACTACCACAGCTGATGCTCTCTTGAAAGTGCCACCTCCTGGCAGGAGGCCAACCAGCATAAAACTAGTACAATAAACAAAACTATAACTAAGGACCCTCACAGAGTTCATTTCACTCCCCTACCACCTCCACCAGTGCAGGTGCTGCTATCCTCAGCTGAGAGACCTGAAAACAGCTCACATCACAGAACTCTGTGCAGACACCCCCGGGTACCAACGTGGAACCTGGTAGCTCCTCTGGGTGGCTAGATACAAAAGAAATAACAATCACTACCATTTGGCTCTCAGGAAGCCACATCCCTAGGAAAAGGGGGAGAGTACTACATCAAGGGAGCACCCTGTGGGACAGAAGAATGTGAACAGCAGCCCTTGAGCCCCAGATCTTCCCTCTGACATAGTCTATCCAAATGAGAAGGAACCAGAAAAACAATTCTGCTAACCTGACAAAACAAGGTTCTTTAACACTCCCAAAAGATAACAGTAGCTCATGAGCAATGGATCCAAACCAAGAAGAAATCCCTGAATTGCCAGAAAAAGAACTCAGAAGGTTGATTATTAAGCTAATCAAGGAGGCATCAGAGAAATTAAAATGTAATTTAATGAAAAAAAAAGATACAAGATGTGAAGGGGAAAATCTTCAGTAAAATAGAAAGCATAAATAAGAAACAACCACAACTTCTGGAAATGAAGGACACACTTAGAGAAATGCAAAATGCACTGGAAAGTCTCAGCAATAGAATCAAACAAGCAGAAGAAACAACTGCAGAGCTCAAAGACAAGGTTTTCCTTTTTTTTTTTTTTTTTTTTTTTTTTTTTTTTTTTTTTTTTTTTTTGAGACAGAGTCTTACTCTGTCTCCCAGGCTGGAGTGCAGTGGTGCAATCTCAGCTCACTGCAACCTCCGCCTCCTGGGTTCACGCCATTCTCCTGCCTCAGCCTCCCAAGTAGCTGGGACTACAGGCACCCACTACCACACCCGGCTAATATTTGTATTTTTAGTAGAGAGAGGGGTTTTCAAATTAACCCAATCAAACAAAGACAAAGAAAAAAGAATTTCAAAAACTAAACAAAGCCTCCAAGAAGTTTGGGATTATGTTGAACAACCAAACTTAAGAATAATTAGTGTTCCTGAGGAAGAATAGAAATCTAAAAGTTTGAAAACATATTTGAGGGAATAACCAAGGAAAACTTCCCCACCCAGCCTTGCTAGAGATCTAGATTTCCAAATACAAGAACCTCAAACAGCACCTGGGAAATTTATTGCAATAAGATCATTGCCTGGGCATAGAGTCATCAGGTTATCTAAAGTCAAGACAAATGAAAGAATCTTAAGAGCTATGAGGCAAAAGTACCAGGTAACCTGCAAGGGAAAACCTATCAGATTAACAGCAGATTTTTCAGCAAAAACCCTACAAGCTAGAAGGGATAGGGGCCCTATCTTCAGCCTCCTTAAACAAAACAATTATTAGCCAGGAATTTGTATCCAGCAAAACTAAGCTTCATAAATGAAGCAAAGACAGTCTTTTTCAGAAAAATGCTGAGAGAATTTGCCACTACCAAGCCAGCACTACAAGAACTGCTGAAAGGAACTCTTAATGTTGAAAGAAATTATCAGAATACACCAAAATAGAACTTCCTTAAAGCATAAATCTCACAGAACCTATAAAACAAAAACACAATAAAACAACAACAACAACAAGATATTCAGGCAACAAATAGCATGATGAATAGAATAGTACCTCACATCTCAATACTAACATTGAATGGAAATAAACAAAACTATAACTAAGGACTCTCACAGAGTTCATTTCACTCCCCTACCACCTCCACCAGTGCAGGTGCTGCTATCCTCAGCTGAGAGACCTGAAAACAGCTCTCATCACAGAACTCTGTGCCTAATTAAGTGCACCTAAATGGTCCACTTAAAAGAGATAGAATGGCAGAATGGATAAGAATTCACCAACCAAGAATCTGCTGTCAGGAGACTTGCCTAACACATTAGGACTCACATGAACATAAGGTAAAGGTGTGGAAAAAGATATTCCATGGAAATGGAGTCCAAAAGTGAGCAGGAGTAGCTATTCTTATATCAGACAAAACAAACTTTAAAGCAACAGCAGTTTTTTAAAAAGACAAAGAGGGACATTATATAATGATAAAAAGACTTGTCCAACAGGAAAATGTCACAATCCTAAATATATATGCACCTAACACTGGAGCTACCAAATTTATAAAACGATTACTGCTAGACTTAAGAGATGAGAGACAGCAACACAATAATAGTGGAGGACTTCAATACTCCACTGACAGCACTAGACAAGTCATCAAGACAGAATGTCAACAAAGAAACAATGTACTTAAACTATACCCTAGAACAAATGGACTTAACAGATATATACAGAACATTCTACCCAACAACTGCAGAATATACATTATATTCATCAGTACAAGGAACATTCTCCAAGAAAGACCAAATGACAGGCCACTAAAGAAGTCTCAATAAATTTAATAAACTTGAAATTATATCAAGTTCTCTCTCAGACCACAGTGGAATAAAATTGGAAATCAACTCCAAAAGGAACCCTCAAAACCATGCAAATACATGGAAATTAAATAACATTGCTCCTGAATAATCATTGGGTCAACAATGAAATCAAAATGGAAATTTTAAAATTCTTTGAATTGAATGATAATAGTGACACAACCTATCAAAACCTCTGGAATACAACAAAGGCAGTGCTAAGAGGAAAGTTCATAGCCTTAAATGTCTTCATCAAAAAGTCTGAACCAGCATAAACAGATAATCTAAGGAACTAGATTCCTTAGATTCCACCTCAAGGAACTAGAGAACAAGAACAAACCAAACCCAAACCCAGCAGAAGAAAAGAAATAACAAAGATCCCAGCAGAACTAAATGAAATTGAAACAAAAAAAATACAAAAGATAAACAAAAAGCTGGTTCTTCAAAAAGATAAATAAAATTGATAGACCATTAGCAAGATTAACCAAGAAAAGAAGAGAGAAGATCCAAATTAGATCAATTAAAAATGAAACAGGAAATGTTACAACTGATACCACAGAAATATAAAAGATCATTCAAAACTACTATGAACATCTTTATGTGCATAAACTAGAAAACCTAAAGGAGATGGATAAATTTCTGGAAATATACAACCCTCCTAGTTTAAACCAGGAAGAAATAGAAACTCTGAACAGGCCAATAACACACAAGATTGAAATGGTAATTTAAAAATTTCCAATAAAAAAAGTCCAGGACCAGATGGATTCACAGCTAAATTCTATCAAATATTCAAAGAAGAACTGGTACCAATCTTATTGACATTATTCCACAAGATAGAGAAGGAGGGAATCCTCCCTAAATCATTCTATGATGGCAGTATCACCCTATTACCAAAACCAGGAAAGAACATAACAAAAAAAGAAAACTACAGATCAATAGCCCTGATGAAAATAGATGCAAAAACCCTTAACAAAATATTAGCTAACTGAATCCAACAGCATATCAAAAAGATAATCCACCATGATCCAGTGGGTTTCATACCAGGGATTCAGGGGTGGTTTCACATACACAAGCCAATAAATGTGATACATTTATTGTTAAATGTTAAATACATTAGAGTTAAAAACAAAAATCACACGATCATCTCAATAGATGCAGAAAAAGCATTTGACAAAAATCCAGCATCCCTTTATGATTAAACCCCTTAGCAAAATCAGCATAGAAGGGACATACCTTAATGTGATAAAGCCATCTATGACAAACCCACAGACAATATGATACTGAATGGGGAAAAGTTGAAAGCATTCCCCCTAGGAACTGGAACAGACAAGGATGCCCACTCTCACCACTTCTATTCAACATAGTACTGGAAGTTATAGCCAGAGCAATGAGACAAATGAAAGAAATAAAGGGCATCCAAATCAGTAAAAAGGAAGTCAAACTGTTGCTGCTTGCTGATATGATCATATACCTAGAAAACCCTAAAGACTCCTCCAAAAAGTTCCTAGAACTGATAAATGAATTCAGCAAAGTTTCAGGATACAAAATTAACGTACGCAAATCAGTAGCTCTGCTATACACCAACAGCGACCAAGCTGAGAATCAAATCAAGAACTCAACTCCTTTTACAATAGCTGCAAAATAAAAAATAAAAGATTTAGAAATATACCTAACCAAGGATGTGAAAGACCTCTACAAGGAAAACTACCAAACACTGCCAAAAGAAATCATAGATGACACAAATAAATGGAAACACATCCCATGCTCATGGATGGGAAGAATCAATATTGTGAAAAAGACCATACTGCCAAAAGCAATCTACAAGTTTAATGCAATTTCCATCAAAATGCCATCATCATCCTTCACAGAACTAGAAGAAAACAATCATAAGATTCATATGAAACCAAAAAAGATCCCACATAGCCAAAGGAAAACTAAGCAAAAAGAGCAGATCTGGAGGCATCACATTACCCAACTTCAAACTATATTATAAGGCTATAGTCACCAAAACAGCACAGTACTGGTATAAAAATGGGCACATAGGAACAGAATAGAGAACCCAGAATTAAAGCCAAATACTTACAGCCAACTGATCTTCAACAAAGCAAACAAAAACATAAAGTGGGGAAAGGACACTCTATTCAAGAAATGTTACTGGGATAATTGGCAAGCCACGTGTAGAAGAATGAAGCTGGATCCTCATCTCTCACCTTATTCAAAAATCAACTCAAGATGGATCAAGAACTTAAATCTAAGACCAAAAACCATGAAAACTAGAAGACAGCATCAGAAAAACCATTCCAGACATTGGCTTAGGCAAAGACTTCATGACCAAGAACCCAAAGCAAATGCAACAAAAACAAAGATAAATAGATGGGACTTAATTAAACTAAAAAGCTGCTGCACAGCAAAAGAAACAATCAGCAGAGTAAACAGACAACCCACAGAGTGGGAGAAAATCTTTGCAATCTATACATCTGACAAAGGACAAATATCCAGAATCTACAAAGAACTCAAACAAATTATCAAGAAAAAAAAATCCCTTCAAAAAGTGGGCTAAGGACATGAACAGACAATTCTCAAAAGAAGACATACAAATGGCCAACAAATATATGAAAAAGTGCTCAATGTCACTAATGATCAGGGAAATGCAAATCAAAACAACAATGCAATACCACCTTACTTCTGCAAGAATGGCCATAATCAAAAAATCAAAAGATAATAGATGTTTGCAGTGAAGTGGTGAAAATGAAACACTTTTACACTGCTGGTGGGAATGTAGTACGATCGCTATAGAAAACAGTGTGAAGAGTCCTTGAAGAATTAAAAGTAGAACTACTATTTGATCTAGCAATCCCACAACTGGGTATCTACCCAGAAGAAGTTATTATACAAAAAAGTCTTGCACACATATGTTTATAGTAGCACAATTCACAATAACAAAGCTATGGAACCAGCCCAAATGCCCTTCAGTCAACAATTGTGAGATATATATATATATATATATATTTTATATATATATAAATATCTCCCATCAAATACTACTCAGCCATAAAAAGGAACAAAATAATGGCATCCACAGCAACCTGGATGGAATTGGAGACCATTATTCTAAGTGAAGTAACTCAGGAATGGAAAACCAAATATCATATGTTCTCACTCATAAGTGGGAGATGAGCTATAAGGATGCAAAGGCATAAGAATGATAAAATAGACTTTGGGGCCTTGAGGGAAAGGATGGGAGGGGTTGAGAGATAAAAGACTACAAATTGGGTAGTGTATACTGGTTGCATGCACCAAAATCTCAGAAATCACCACTAAAAAGCTTATTCATGTAACCAAACACTACCTGTTCCTCAAAAACCTATGGAAATAAGAAATAAAAATAAATAAAATTAATTTTAAAAAGAGGCAGTTAGGTCATGAGTGCCCTCATGAATGGATTAGTGTTAGTATTACATGAGTGGGTTGGTTATCAGGGGTGTGGGCTTGTTATAAAAGCAAGTTTGGCCACCTCGTGCTCTCTTGCTCTCATGCCCTCTTGACTGTTCCTCCACCATGGGATGATGCAGCAGCAGATGCTGGTGCTATGCTCTTGGACTTCTCAGCCCCCAGAACTGTGAGCCAAATAAATTTCTGTTCACTATAAATTGCCCAGTCTGTGATATTCTGTTATAGCAACATAAAATGGAGTAAGATAGAAAATAAAATTGAGTAAGACAATATCCATATAATACTTTCAGTTGAAACAGAAAAACATTTGACAAAATTCATATATTTCTCAATTTAAAAAAACAGCAAATTAGTAATTAAAAATAAAAAGGCATGGTATATGGTTTTGTTTTGTTTTGTTTTGTTTTGTTTTGTTTTGTTTTGAGATGGAGTCTCTCTCTCTCTCTGCTGCCTAGAGTGCAGTGGCACGATCTTGGATCACTGCAACCTCTGCTTCCTGGGTTCAGGGGATTCTTCTACCTCAGCCTCCCAAGTAGCTGAGACTACAGGTGCATGCCACCATGCCCAGCTAATTTTTGTATTTTTAGTAGAGATGGGGTTTCACCATCTTGGCCAGGCTGGTCTTGAACTCCTGGCCCCATGTGATCCACCTGCCTCAGCCTCACAAAGTGCTAGGATTACAGGCATGAGCCACTGCACTGGCCACACTGTATGTTTTAGCAGGATAGAGGATATATACCAAAATTTATAACATAGCAAATATGACACTAAGTTGTGAAATATTTAAAGCACTTCCATTAAAGTCAAGAACATGATAAAAATCTCTGATTTTGCCACAGATTTTCAATATGTACTCAAGGTTTTTGTTTTTTGGTTTTTTGTTTTTGTTTTTTGTTTTTTGTTTTTGAGACGGAGTCTCACTCTCTTGCCAAGGCTGAAGTGCAGTGGAACAATCTCGGCTCACTGCAACATCTGCCTCCTAGGTTCAAGTGATTCTCCTGACTCAGCCTCTCAAGTAGCTAGGACTACAGGCACTTGCCACCACACCTGGATAATTTTTTGTACTTTTAGTAGAGATGGGTTTCACCATGTTAGCCAGAATGATCTCAATCTCCTGACCTCGTGCTCCACCTACCTCGGCCTCCCAAAGTGCTGGGATTACAGGCGTGAGCCACTGCACCTGGCCTCAGTACTCAAGGTTTTTAACAGTGCAATGCAACAAGAAAAGAAAGAAAAAGAAAGAGGGAAAGAGGGCAAGAAAGAAAGAAAGAAAGAAAGAAAGAAAGAAAGAAAGAAAGAAAGAAAGAAAGAAAGAAAGAAAGAAAGGGAGAGAGAGAGAAAAAGAAAAGAAAGAAAGAAAGAAAGGAAAGAGAGAAAGAAAGAAAGAGAGAGGAAGGAAGGAAGGAGGGAGGGAGGGAGGGACGGAAAGAGAGAGAGAGAAAGAGAAAAAGGAAGAAAGAAAGAAGAGAGTAAAAGAAAAGAAAGGGAGAGGCGAAGGAAGGAAGGAATGGAGGGAGGGAGGGAAAGAAAGAGAGAAAGGAAGAAAGAGAGAGAAAGGAAAGAAGGATGGAAGGAAGGAGGGAAGGGGAATGAAAGGGGAAGGGAAAGGGAAGGGAAGAGGAAGGAAAGGGAAGGGAAGGGAAGGGAAAGGAAAGGAAAAGAAAGGAAGAAGGAAGGAAGGAAGGAAGGAAGGAAGGAAGGAAGGAAAGGAAGGAAAGAAAGGAAGGAAGGAAATGAAGAAAGGAAAGGAAGGAGAGAGAGAAGGGAGGAAGGAAAGAAGGAAGGAAGGGAAAGAGAAAGAAAGAGAAGGATTCGGAAAGTAAGAAATGAAATTTTCATTACTTATGGATGATATGATTCTCATATGCTTATCTACATATAAAGCCCAAACAACAACAGAGAATAATGAAAAGAGTTTAGCAAGACTTCTATATTTTTAAAAAACAAAACAAAAAGCAGCCCTATATTAGCAATAATTTATTAGAGAAAATTAATTTTTAAATTATATGACACTTAGGAGTAAAGCCTGAGCAAGGTATTTTGTATGTAATTATAAAGCCTAACTTGATGACATAAAGAAGACAGACTTCAATAAATTGAGCAATATACCATAATGGGTATGAAGATTCAATATCTTAAAGATCAAAAACTGTTTCCAAGAACTCTCCACCCCAAATCAACAGAATATACATTTTTTTCAGCACCACACCACACCTACTCCAAAATTGACCACATAGTTGGAAGTAAAGCTCTCCTCAGCAAATGTAAAAGAACAGAAATTATAACAAACTATCTCTCAGACCACAGTGCAATCAAACTAGAACTCAGGATTAAGAATCTCACTCAAAGCCGCTCAACTACATGGAAACTGAACAACCTGCTCCTGAATGACTACTGGGTACATAACGAAATGAAGGCAGAAATAAAGATGTTCTTTGAAACCAACGAGAAAAAAGACACCACATACCAGAATCTCTGGGACGCATTCAAAGCAGTGTGTAGAGGGAAATTTATAGCACTAAATGCCTACAAGAGAAAGCAGGAAAGATCCAAAATTGACACCCTAACATCACAATTAAAAGAACTAGAAAAGCAAGAGCAAACACATTCAAAAGCTAGCAGAAGGCAAGAAATAACTAAAATCAGAGCAGAACTGAAGGAAAGAGAGACACAAAAAACCCTTCAAAAAATCAATGAATCCAGGAGCTGGTTTTTTGAAAGGATCAACAAAATTGATAGACCACTAGCAAGACTAATAAAGAAAAAAAGAGAGAAGAATCAAATAGACACAATAAAAAATGATAAAGGGGATATCACCACCGATCCCACAGAAATACAAACTACCATCAGAGAATACTACAAACACCTCTACGCAAATAAACTAGAAAATCTAGAAGAAATGGATACATTCCTCGACACATACACTCTCCCAAGACTAAACCAGGAAGAAGTTGAATCTCTGAATAGACCAATAACAGGCTCTGAAATTGTGGCAATAATCAATAGTTTACCAACCAAAAAGAGTCCAGGACCAGATGGATTCACAGCCGAATTCTACCAGAGGTACAAGGAGGAACTGGTACCATTCCTTCTGAAACTATTCCAATCAATAGAAAAAGAGGGAATCCTCCCTAACTCATTTTATGAGGCCAGCATCATTCTGATACCAAAGCCGGGCAGAGACACAACCAAAAAAGAGAATTTTAGACCAATATCCTTGATGAACATTGATGCAAAAATCCTCAATAAAATACTGGCAAACCGAATCCAGCAGCACATCAAAAAGCTTATCCACCATGATCAAGTGGGCTTCATCCCTGGGATGCAAGGCTGGTTCAATATACGCAAATCAATAAATGTAATCCAGCATATAAACAGAGCCAAAGACAAAAACCACATGATTATCTCAATAGATGCAGAAAAAGCCTTTGACAAAATTCAACAACCCTTCATGCTAAAAACGCTCAATAAATTAGGTATTGATGGGACGTATTTCAAAATAATAAGAGCTATCTATGACAAACCCACAGCCAATATCATACTGAATGGACAAAAACTGGAAGCATTCCCTTTGAAAACTGGCACAAGACAGGGATGCCCTCTCTCACCACTCCTATTCAACATAGTGTTGGAAGTTCTGGCCAGGGCAATCAGGCAGGAGAAGGAAATAAAGGGTATTCAATTAGGAAAAGAGGAAGTCAAATTGTCCCTGTTTGCAGACGACATGATTGTTTATCTAGAAAACCCCATCGTCTCAGCCCAAAATCTCCTTAAGCTGATAAGCAACTTCAGCAAAGTCTCAGGATACAAAATCAATGTACAAAAATCACAAGCATTCTTATACACCAACAACAGACAAACAGAGAGCCAAATCATGAGTGAACTCCCATTCACAATTGCTTCAAAGAGAATAAAATACCTAGGAATCCAACTTACAAGGGATGTGAAGGACCTCTTCAAGGAGAACTACAAACCACTGCTCAAGGAAATAAAAGAGGACACAAACAAATGGAAGAACATTCCATGCTCATGGGTAGGAAGAATCAATATCGTGAAAATGGCCATACTGCCCAAGGTAATTTACAGATTCAATGCCATCCCCATCAAGCTACCAATGACTTTCTTCACAGAGTTGGAAAAAACTACTTTAAAGTTCATATGGAACCAAAAAAGAGCCCGCATCGCCAAGTCAATCCTAAGCCAAAAGAACAAAGCTGGAGGCATCACACTACCTGACTTCAAACTATACTACAAGGCTACAGTAACCAAAACAGCATGGTACTGGTACCAAAACAGAGATATAGATCAATGGAACAGAACAGAGCCCTCAGAAATAACGCCGCATACCTACAACTATCTGATCTTTGACAAACCTGAGAAAAACAAGCAATGGGGAAAGGATTCCCTATTTAATAAATGGTGCTGGGAAAACTGGCTAGCCATATGTAGAAAGCTGAAACTGGATCCCTTCCTTACACCTTATACAAAAATCAATTCAAGATGGATTAAAGATTTAAACGTTAGACCTAAAACCATAAAAACCCTAGAAGAAAACCTAGGCATTACCATTCAGGACATAGGCGTGGGCAAGGACTTCATGTCCAAAACACCAAAAGCAATGGCAACAAAAGCCAAAATTGACAAATGGGATCTAATTAAACTAAAGAGCTTCTGCACAGCAAAAGAAACTACCATCGGAGTGAACAGGCAACCTACAACATGGGAGAAAATTTTCGCAACCTACTCATCTGACAAAGGGCTAATATCCAGAATCTACAATGAACTCAAACAAATTTACAAGAAAAAAACAAACAACCCCATCAAAAAGTGGGCGAAGGACATGAACAGACACTTCTCAAAAGAAGACATTTATGCAGCCAAAAAACAGATGAAGAAATGCTCATCATCACTGGCCATCAGAGAAATGCAAATCAAAACCACTATGAGATATCATCTCACACCAGTTAGAATGGCAATCATTAAAAAGTCAGGAAACAACAGGTGCTGGAGAGGATGTGGAGAAATAGGAACACTTTTACACTGTTGGTGGGACTGTAAACTAGTTCAACCATTGTGGAAGTCAGTGTGGCGATTCCTCAGGGATCTAGAACTAGAAATACCATTTGACCCAGCCATCCCATTACTGGGTATATACCCAAAGGACTATAAATCATGCTGCTATAAAGACACATGCACACGTATGTTTATTGCGGCACTATTCACAATAGCAAAGACTTGGAACCAACCCAAATGTCCAACAATGATAGACTGGATTAAGAAAATGTGGCACATATACACCATGGAATACTATGCAGCCATAAAAAATGATGAGTTCATGTCCTTTGTAGGGACATGGATGAAATTGGAAACCATCATTCTCAGTAAACTATCGCAAGAACAAAAAACCAAACACCGCATATTCTCACTCATAGGTGGGAATTGAACAATGAGATCACATGGACACAGGAAGGGGAATATCACACTCTGGGGACTGTGGTGGGGTCGGGGGAGGGGGGAGGGATAGCATTGGGAGATATACCTAATGCTAGATGACACATTAGTGGGTGCAGCGCACCAGCATGGCACATGTATACATATGTAACTAACCTGCACAATGTGCACATGTACCCTAAAACTTAGAGTATAATAAAAAAAAACAAAACAAAACAAAACAAAAATAAATGGTTACCTGAACAAATATCAAAGCATCAAAAAAAAAAAAAAAAAAAAAACTGTTTCCAAAATTAATCTATGCAGTCAGTGCAGTCACAATCAAAATCCTAACAAAGTTTTTGGCAAAACTTTATAAGTTGATGCAAATATGTATACAGAGGAGTAAAACGCCAAGAATAACCAGAACACTTTTGAAGAAGAAAAATAAGAAAGGAATGTACTATATCAGTTGACTTATTATTCCACAATAAAAATGAAAGATAATGAGGCAGGCATGAAGGTTGCCTACCCAAAATCCATTCTCCCCTATGAATCTCCAATAAAACTAATTTTATTTTAGCAATGTAAACAGTTAAAATGACTCACTTTTCAGACTCTCTTGCAGATGGGGGTCCATATGACTCAGGTCTAACCAGAGAGATACGTTAACTGAGTTTTTAAAAAGAAAAAAAAAAGCTGTTATTTCTCTGAAAAGCAAAGGACAGACTTGAGGACATTTGCCGTTTTTTCTTTGCCTATATCCTTTTTTCCTCAATAGAATGAAAATGCTGAACATAAAAGTGCAACAGCCATCTAGTGACCATGAGAAAGAAAAATACGTAAGACTGATAGAGCGGAAGGAATGATCTTGGATTCTTTTTTTGTTTTAATTATACTTGAAGTTCTAGGGTACATGTGCACAACGTGCAGTTTTGTTGCATAGGTATACATGTGCCATGTTCGTGTGCTGCACCCAGTAACTCTTCATTTATATTAGGTATTTCTCCTAATGCTATCCCTCCCCCTGCCCCCGACAGGCCCCAGTGTGTGATGTTCCCCGCCCTGTGTCCAAGTGTTCTCATTGTTCAATTCCCACCTATGAGTGAGAACATGCTGTATTTGGTTTTCTGTCCTTGCGATACTTTGCTCAGAATGATGGTTTTCAGTTTCATCCATGCACCTGCAAAGGACATGAACTCATCCCTTTTTATGGCTGCATAGTATTCCGTGGTGTATATGTGCCACATTTTCTTAATCCAGTCTACCATTGTTGGACATTTGGGTTGGTTCCAAGTCTTGCTATTGTGAATAGTGCCGCAATAAACATACATGTGCATGTGTCTTTATAGCAGCATGATTTATAATCCTTTGGGTATATACCCAGTAATGGGATCGCTGGGTCAAATGGTATTTCTAGTTCTAGATCCCTGAGGAATCGCCACACTGTCTTCCACAATGGTTGAACTAGTTTACACTCCCACCAACAGTGTAAAAGTGTTCCTATTTCTCCACATCCTCTCCAGCACCTGTTGCTTCCTGACTTTTTTAAATGATCGCCATTGTATCTGGTGTGAGATGGTATCTCATTGTGGTTTTGATTTGCCTTTCTCTGAGGACCAGTGATGATGAGCATTTTTTCATGTGTCTGTTGGCCACATAAATGTCTTCTTTCGAGAAGGGTCTGTTCATATCCTTGGCCCACTTTTTGATGGGGTTGTTTGTTTTTTTCTTGTAAATTTGTTTAAGTTCTTTGTAGATTCTGGTTGTTAGCCTTTTGTCATATGGGTAGATTGCAAAACTTTTCTCCCATTCTGTAGGCTGCTTGTTCACTCTGATGGTAGTTTCTTTTGCTGTGCAGAAGCTCTTTAGTTTAATTAGATCCCATTTGTCTATGTTGGCTTTTGTTGCCATTGCTTTTGGTGTTTAGTCATAAAGTCCTTGCACATGCCTATGTCTTGAATGGTATTGCCTAGATTTTCTTCTAGGGTTTTTATGATTTTAGGTCTAACATTTAAGTCTTTAATCCATCTTGAATTAATTTTTGTATAAGGTGTAAGGAAGGGATCCAGTTTCAGCTTTCTACGTATGGCTAGAAAGTTTTCCCAGCACCATTTATTAAATAGGGAATCCTTCCCCATTTCTTGTTTTTGTCAGGTTTGTCAAAGACCTGATGGTTGTACATGTGTGGTATTATTTCTGAGGCCTCTGTTCTGTTCCATTGGTCTATATCTCTGCTTTGTTACCAGTACCATGCTGTTTTGGTTACTCTAGCCTAGTAGTGTAGTTTGAAGTCAGGTAGCATGATGCCTCCAGCTTTGTTCTTTTGGCTTAGGACTGTCTTGGCAATGTGGGCTCTTTTTTGGTTCCATATGAACTTTAAGGTAGTTTTTTCCAGTTCTGTGAAGAAAGTCAATGGTAGCTTGATGGGGATGGCATTGAATCTATAAATTACCTTAGGCAGTATGGCCATTTTCATGATATTGATTCTTCCTATCCATGAGCATGGAATTTTCTTCCATTTGTTTGTATCGTCTTTTATTTCGTTGAGCAGTGGTTTGTAGTTCTCCTTGAAGAAGTCCTTCACATCCCATGTAAGTTGGATTCCTAGGTATTTTATTCTCTTTGAAGCAATTGTGAATGGGAGTTCACTCATGTTTTGGCTCTCTGTCTGTTATTGTTGTATAAGAATGCTTGTGATTTTTGCACATTGATTTTGTATCCTGAGACTTTGCTGAAGTTGCTTATCAGCTTAAGGAGATTTTTGGCTGAGATGATGGGGTTTTCTAAATATACAATCATGTCATCTGCAAACAGGGACAATTTGATTTCCTCTTTTCCTAATTGAATACCCTTTATTTCTTTCTCTTGCCTGATTGCCCTGGCCAGAACTTCCAACACTATGTTGAATAGGAGTGGTGAGAGAGGGCATCCCTGTCTTGTGCCAGTTTTCAAAGGGAATGCTTCCAGTTTTTGCCCATTCAGTATGATATTGGCTGTGGGTTTGTCATAAATAGCTCTTATTATTTTGAGATACATTCCATCAATACTCAGTTTATTGAGTTTTTAGCATGAAGGGCTGTTTAATTTTGTCAAAGGCCTTTTCTGCCTCTATTGAGATAATCATGTGGTTTTTGTCATTGGTTCTGTTTATGTGATGGATTATGTTTATTGATTTGTGTACGGTGAACCAGCCTTACATCCCAGGAATGAAGCCAACTTGATTGTGGTGGATAAGCTTTTTGATGTGCTGCTGGATTCGGTTTGCCAGTATTTTATTGAGGATTTTTGCATCGATTTTCATCAGGGATATTGGTCTAAAATTCTTTTTTTTTGTTGTGTCTCTTCCAGGCTTTGGTATCAGGATGATGTTGGCCTTATAAAATGAGTTAGGGGAGATTCCCTCTTTTTCTATTGATTGGAATAGTTTCAGAAGGAATGGTACCAGCTCCTCTTTGTACCTCTGGTAGAATTTGGCTGTGAATCTGTCTGGTCCTGGACTTTTTTTGGCTGGTAGGCCCTGCTTTGGCTTGCCCTCCGTGGGCTGTACCCACTGTCCAATCACTCCCAATGAGAAGAACCAGGTACCTCAGTTGGAAATGCAGAAATCACCCGTCTTCTGTGTCGATCATGCTGGGAGCTGCAGACAGGAGCTGTTTCATTCGGCCATCTTGGAATGGAATCTGATCTTGGATTCTTAAGATTTCCTCAAGCTGCTGCACTAGTCATAGGCTACCTACTTCTGTATTTCTTGTCACAAAAGGAAAATAAGCTCTTATTTTATTAAGATGTTTCAATAAGCTTCTATGTAACTGAGTACAATCCGAATTGATAAAGACAGAATGGTGTTAACATACAAATTTAAAAATAGATCAATGAGACAAAACTGAGGGCCATAATAGATGCATGCATTTGTGGAAACATAGAATATGACAGAGAAGATATTACAAACCAGTGTAAAAGGATGGGCAATTCACAAATATTGATGGAACAAATACCTTTCCATGGGAAAAAAATATCAAGTCAGAATTATACCTTATATCATACACATATAAAAGTACAGAAAGATTAAAGTTTTAAGGCAAAACTTTTAAAATTTTGGAAGGAAACATGTATAAATCTTTATGATATTGGGATAAGAAAAGATTTCTTAAATAATACACAAAAGCATGGGTCATAAAAGAAAAAAACCCTGTGAATTTAACTGGAGTAGTTTAAAATGTATATGTAACAAAAGTTACCCAGTAGCAAGAGGCTGGGATGGAGAGTATCGAATGAAATCGTAAGTTAGATACGACAATGCGAGAAGGCCTTTCTGTAGCAGTATCGTGTAAACTGAGAAGGAAAGGACCATGTGAAGAACATGGGAGAGGCTCTTCTAACAAAAGGAATATAATCTGCAAAGACCCAGGGAGGGAAGAGCTTGGAGGTTATACAAACAAAAAAGACCAGTGTGCCTGGAGGTAGAAATAAAGAAGAATAGTGATGGGCAATATAGTTGGAGAGACAGGCAAGAAAATCCCACAGGGACCTGTAAGCAATGGTAACAAGTGTGTGGGAAGCTACTGAAGGTCTGTGGATAAGGAGAATCACAAGCCAATCTCTTGTAGCATCATGCAAATAATGACTGAAGAAAAATGATGGACAAGGAGCTCTGAATTCCTTCTTGCAACAGCTAGACCAGAAATAGGAGAACACATTGTTTAAGTCATCAATGATCTCAAAGAAGAAAGAAGAGTTCTCCAAGAATGATACTACCTCCCCACCACTGAAAAACAAACAAATAGCTGAAAGGACTTTTGGGGGCCTGAAGTACTGAGGACTTACAGTGGGGACAGGCAATGTTGGGCAGTAAGGACTGTCAGACAGTGAGAAAAGTAAGGTTTTCCTAGCTTATTTCCAGGCTACTGAGGAGATTTTTAAATTTGAAAGAATAGGTAGGTGAAAAGGCTGAGCCTGGGACTCTTGCTCTGAGCCAGAACTCTTTAGGTGGCTTATGTGGTTTTGTCTCAGGACAACTCTTCCCCATTGGCTGAAGCAAAACCAAAGCAAATAATCTCTGAAGGGAGCTTCCCCACATTAGGTCTGAAGACTCTCACAAACTGAGATCAAGAAGTGAGTTCACCTTTTTACACGTATGTTCCTCAAAAAACTAAACACAAGATTACCATATGACTAGCAATTCCACTTCTAGCTATATAATTAAATACAAAATAATTGAAAGCAGGGACTCAAACAGATATTTGTATACCAATCTCCATAGCAGTGTTTTTCACAATAGCCAAAATGTGGAAGCAACCCAAATGTCCATCGATGAATGAATGGATGAAAAAAATGCAGTATATACATACAATTTCAAATTATTCCGCCTTAAAAAGAAGTGAAATTCTGACACATGCTACAAAATAGATGAACTCTGAAACCATTATGTTCCACTGAAGGAAACCAGGAACAAAAGGACAAATATTATATGACTATGACTACACTCATATGAAAGTACCTATAATGGTCAAATTTAAAGACAGAGAGTAGGATGGTGGTTACCAGATACTACTTTGAGAGGGAAAAATTGGGAGTTATTATTTAATAGGTACAGAGTTTCAGCACAGGATGATGCAAATGTTCTGGAGGTTGATAGCAGTAATAATTGCACAACAGTGAATATACTTAATGTACTAAATTGTACACTTAAAACTGTTAAAATGTTAATTTATATATATAAAACCACAATAGAAAAGTAAATACAAGAGAAACCACTGTGAGTGAAAATCAGCTGAAACATGAAGCAATAGATTTTGAACCCTAAGGATCCCAAGGATGTGAGACAGTTACATGCAGAATATTTTTTTAAATCTATGTATAATGTGTTTAAAGAAATAAATGATTCAAATGGTATTTTACCATTTGACCCAGCCATCTCATTACTGGGTATATACCCAAAGGATTATAAATCATGCTGCTATAAAGATACACACACACGTATGTTTATTGTGGCACTATTCACAATAGCAAAGACCTGGAACCAACCCAAATGTCCAACAATGATAGACTGGATTAAGAAAATGTGGCACATATACACCATGGAATACTGTGCAGCCATAAAAAATGATGAGTTCATGTCCTTTGTAGGGACATGGATAAAGCCAGAAACCATCATTCTCAGCAAACTATCGCAAGGACAAAAAACCAAACACAGCATGATCTCACTCATAGGTGGGAATTGAACAAAGAGAACGCTTGGACACAGGAAGGGGGACATCACACACCGGGGCCTGTTGTTGGGTGAGGGGAGGGGGGAGGGATAGCATTAGGAGATATACCTAATGTAAATGACAAGTTAATGGGTGCAGCACACAAACATGGCACATGTATACATATGTAACAAACCTGCACATTGTGCACATGTACCCTAGAACTTAAAGTATAATAATAAAAATAAAATAAAATAAAATAAAATAAAATTTATATGACACTTTGGTAGGCCAGGGCAGAAGCATCACTTGAGCCCAGGAGTTCAAGACCAGCCTGGGCAACATAGCAAGACCCCATCTTTACAAAAATAAAAAATGTATATGAATTGAAAAAAAAGAAATAAATGATTCAATTACAAAGATAAACATTCAACAAGAAACCATTAGAAAAGAAACAAGTTTTAGAGGAAATGGAACTATTAGTAGTGAAAAATATGAAAATAAAAAAACTTGATGGACTGGCTAAACAATAGTTTTAGACTCAATTTAGGAGATAATTCATTAGCTAGAAGATATATCCAAAGACTTGGCAGAAGGTAGCCAAGGGAAATGAAGAAGAAAATATAAAAGAGAAGTTAAGAGGCATTGAAAATAGAATGAGATAGCCTGATATACATGTATGATTAGAATCCCAGGAGGAAAAAAACAGAGAATGGAGGAGAGACAATATTTAATTTAATGGTGATTTCACAAGTTTTATAGTGCTAGTAAGAAATATAGATCCCAAACTGCAGGAAGTAAAACATTCCAGATATGATAAATAAAAAGAAATCCACACCTAGTACAGTAGAAAGCTGGATGACACAAAAGATGAAGAGAAGATTTTGAAAGGAGCTTGATAAGAGGAGAAATTACTTACAAAGGAATGGCCATTAGAATGACAGCTATCTTCTCCCTAGCAACAACAGAGACTAGAAAACAGCAGAGTTACAACTTAAATGCATTGAGAGAAAATAATACAAAATTACATACCCAGCAAAATGATCTTTTTAAGAGGGTAAAATAATAACATTTACAGATTAAACAGAAACTGAGTTTACTGCCAAGAAACTGCTCTAAAAGACATACTTCTGAAATGAAATGCAGTTCCTGTAATTAATAAAAAATATTTTTAAGATATACTTTGGAAAAATGGGGAAGAAACAGAAGGATGATCTGAAATACAAAAAAAGTATAGAGAGCAAAGAAAATGGAAAGCAGGTAAAAAAAATTCAAACTGACACTGTCTAAATAATATAATAATATTATGTCTTATTTCTGGGATTAAAAAGTTAGAACTGTAAAAATGAACAGTAGTAGATAAATAGAACATAGATTGAAAATACAGTAATTCTTAGAATATCTGGAAATGAGTGTCAAGATACTGTTTAATTTTTTTAATGATTGAATTGTAGAAAGGCAGGAAATTTGGAGTTCCATTAAGAGGCTGTTGCGTGAGTCCAGAGGAGAAATGATGGTCCCCTGGACTAACAGGTGGCAGTACAAATAGAAAGGAGATAGTTTCAAGATGCATTTTCGAGAGAGAAAGAATGGGAAGAACCAAGAATAACTTCCAGGTTTTGGACTGAGTAACTGAGTGGAGGGTGGTGCTAAATGAGATGGAAAAGCTTAGATCAGTAGGGTGGATGAGAAAAAAGTCAAGTGTCCCATTTTGATATGCTAAATTTGAGAAGCGTGTGAGTCCATCAAGAAGGTAAGCAACGGGCAATTCTGTAGTTTTAAATAAAGTTCCAAGCTGAAGAGGACAATTTGGGCAGTATCAGCATAGAGATGTCTTTTAAATTCATGGAATTGGATAAAATTACTTAAGAAAAGAATTTAGAGAAAGATTAGGAGGAGGCTTAAGGCAAGTACTAAAACACACTGGCTTTTAGAGATCAGGTAGAGCAGGAAGAACCATCAAATAAAGCAGAGAACAAGGAAGGTTAGAGAAAGAGAGGAAAGAGGATCAGGGTCACCAGGTCCAAGAGGGGAGAGTTTTCAAAAATGATTTTAGTGCACTAAGAGGTCAGGTGTGATGGGGTCAAAAACAAGTACAACCTTGACAGAGGTTTATTGGAAGAAGTATGGTGAGTGTTTAGGGTTTTTTTGGACTTTATGCAAAAAAATTTTTTAAGTTTTGCACAGTAAAGGATACTATCAACCAAGTCAAAAGGCAACCCACAGAATGGGATAAAATACTTGCAAATCACATCTTTGTTAAGGGATTAATATCCAGAATATACAAAGAACAATTCAACAAAAAAACAAACACTTGATTTAAAAATGGGCAAAAAACTTGAATAGACATTTCCCTAAAGAAGATGTAAAATGGCCAATAAGCACATGAAAAGCAGCTCAACAGAAATAATCATTAGTGAAATAAAAATCAAACTCCAAATGAGATATCATTTATTTTTTTGTTTGTTTTGTTTTAACTTTTTTTTAAGTCCATGGGTATAGGTGCAGGTTTGTTACATAGGTAAACTTGTGTCATGGGGGTTTGTTATACAGATTATTTCATTACACAGGTATTAAGCCTAGTCCCCTTTAGTTTTTTTTCCTGATCCTCTTCTTCCTCCCAACCTCCGTCCTCCAAAAGGCCCCAATATGGGTTGTTCCTCTCTATGTGTCCATGTGTTCTCATGATTTAGCTCCCACTTGTAAGTGAGGACATGTGGTATTTAGTTTTCTGTACCTGTGTAAGTTTGCTAAGGATAACAGCCTCCAGCTCCATCCATGTCCCTGCAAAGGACATGATCTCATTCTTTTTTATGGCTGCAAGTGAGTGTTTAATTAAATGGGAGAGAAGGTAGTAGAGAAGGTGTGTGAGATGAGTTCATGCCAGTTGGGTATGAAATGGGACAGAGAAATGTAACAGTACCTGGATAGAGAAGTGAGGTCAATAAAGGGGTTTTTGATATTTGGAGATGTCAGGGTGTTCTTGTATAGTATAGGGATGACCCAGCAGAGAAAGGGAGGTTGATAATGCTGGAGAGGATGCAAATCATCAAATAAGTGCAATCCTTGAGAGGATAAGAAGGGATGAGATCCAGAAGATAATGGAAAGATTGGCATTTAGTAGAAAAGGAATACATACTCTATTGTTAACAGGGGGAAGAAAATGTATTAATGTTTTCAGATTTAGTGGCAGGAAGATGAAGGAGTTCACATCTGAAAGCTTCTAATTTCTCATTATAGTCAGAAATTTGATGAAAACCTAAGGGTTAGGGAAAAAGGAGCTATAAGTAGCTGGGGGTGGAGGGAAGGCATGAAGTAGTATTCCCTTTCTTCTACATTACAACACTCCACTTGGTTCCTTTGTGGCAGTTATTACAATCTTTAAGTATTTTGTTTATTTTCCATTTACTCATTTATTATCTGCCTGCCCTATTAAAATGTAGGCTCCATGAGGGGCAGGAACCAGGCCTGCCTTGTTCACAGTTAGAGTCAATGCCTAACAGAGTGCCCAGCACACATTACATCCTGAAAACATATTAGCTGAAAACTGGATGAATAAACACAAGTGTATTCAGTGATCAATAATTATTAGAGAATTTTAAAACTCCTAAGTGGAGGTCACACTACTTGAAGTCATTGTTGAGTCACCTACCAGAGACACCTCCATTCTCAGTCCATTCCCAGTCTCAACACCTACTCCACTAGGGCTTCGGGGATACTCAAGTTCCTCTTAAGATTCACCCATCCTCAGCACCTAGCACAGAGCCCCACACACAGCATAACACCTGGCACTGAACCACCCTCGCCTCCTACTCTGACTGGCTGGCATCCAAAAAGTGACAGAACATTAAGGAAGATCCTCAGAATTTCTGACATTGCCAAAAAGTGATATTTTTCCTTTCTCTTAGGAAACAGATAGAATTGAAGAAGATCCTGTCTATTGTTCTTAAGTAAATTAACCAGCATCAGGTGCCCATATCCCTGAAGAGAGGCTGTCTGAAAAAGAAGAAAATGTAACAGTGACAGAATGTCTTCTAAGCCTCTTTATTTAGAAACCAGGCTGGCTTGATCTTTATGCTTATATTAGCATCCCAACTGAGGTAAGAGAGTTATAATTCAATGTGTGACAAGCCCATGATTTCTGCCCCAGGGAAGGCAATAAGTGGTGTCATGACCCCTTCCCACTGTCACCATCACCACCACCACCTCCACCAGTGCTAATTGTGCCCACAAAGCTTGACTGTGAACTGTGAGCAGATCTGCCTGGATCTGCCTTCAAGAGCCCCAGACTGTTCAGACACTTGAGAAAATTCCACCTTTAACGGAAGCCTGGAAGAAGTGCAAATAGTATCTGACTATTGCTCGATGCTGGGTTGGAAAAGGAATAAAAGAACAGTGTGAACCTTCTAACAATCTCTTGGCTTCCTGAAATGTCTGTCTTGTTGAAAGTCAAAGAATTAAATAAGACTTGGCCCTAGGAAGGGAGTCATCCATATTTTTGACAGATTCTAAAACAGCAACACACAAGAACACAAATATGTTCACACACACGCAAGCCCCAGCTCCAGCAAGGTTATGAGCAAGCTAGTAGTTAGCAGGCTTGACTAATACATCAAGAATGAAAGAAGACTCTTCCCACACATATAGGGTGGAAAGGACTGCATCTCACCCACCACGTTCACTCCATTCATGTCATTGCCTTCCTCCTGCCCAAAATGTCCACTCCATACTCTCCCCTAAAATCTGCTTATCCTTCAAGTCTCACTCCTTCTGTGAAGCCCTCTCCAAATTCTCCAACACTTCTCTGAACTTCTACATTACTGATCCTAGTCATTGAGTATACACAGCCTCTCAGTGCTGTTTGAGAGTTCCGGATTTTTTTTTTATCTTATCTTCCCAGCAAGAACAGGGAAGCTCTTACATATTGCATTCCCCTAGAGCCATCGGAGTGCGGGCACGCTGCACATATTCAGTAATAATTCAATGTATATTTTTCTACTAGTCATTTGGTCAAATGGGCATCTATGTGGACAGTCCCATAATAACAACAACAATAGCTATTATATTTAAGCATTTACTACAGAACAAGTCCTATGTAAGTATTTTCTATGTATTACCTAATTTAAATTTCTCAATAACTCTATGAAATAAGTACTGTATTTATTCCTACTTTATAGGTGGGGAAATTTAGCCTTAACTCAAATTTATTGGTTAACTTTTAACCAATAAACTGATTCCAAATGTGCGTGTGTGTATTTATAACTTACAAAATGTTATTTACTTATTTTTAATTTTTTTTTTTTTGGTAGGGGGGATGGAGTCTCACTCTGTCACCTGTGCTGGAGTGCAGTGGAGCAATCTTGGCTCACTGCAGCCTTGACCTCCCAGGTTCAAGTGATCCTCCCACCTCAGCCTCCTGATTAGCTGGACTATAGGCGTGCGCCACCATGACTGGCTTGTTTTTGTTTTTGTTTTGTATTTTTAGTAGAAACAGAGCTTCACCATGTTGGCCAGGCTGGTCTCGAACTCCTGACCTCAAGTGATCCACCCGCCTTGGCCTCCCAAAGTGCTGGGATTACAGGTGTGAGCCACCATGCCTGGACTTATAAAATTTTAAATAGGGCATTACAGGCCCTACTAATACTTACCAAACAGACTCATGGGATACTAGCCCCAAAAGGACTTTAGAGCTCATCTAGTCCAACTGTCTGGTCTTACAGATGATGAAAACAGATGTCAGGAATGTGAAATGACCCTCCTAGGACTAGACAGCCAGTAAGAAGCAGAGGTAAGGCTAGAGCTATGAGTCCCTTACTCCTGAGGTGTGTGACTTCTACCGCTCACAATTCTACCAAAAAATACATATATTGTCTTTTCTCCTCCCCAACACAAGTTCAACATCTTTGAGTTTTACATCTAGTAGACCTGATGCAGGAATCTCAGGTGCAGCGGTTATTAACAGCCCCTCTGGAATGAGCTAGGCTCTCTTCAGCCTTACTTTCCCTTTCATCCCTTCCCTGCCATCTTCCCTCTCATCCATCTTCTCCCCCAGCCTGGACCCCAACCCCAGGTTGCACTGCCCCTGCCCTCGCTCTTAACCAAAGCTTCTCTATGGCAGGTGAAACCATTAGAATGCTGCTGGGGCTGCCAAAAAGCAGAGAGTAACACAGACTGCGACACAGGCGGCCCAAGCGTGCCTTTGACTAGATAGAAATCAAGTTACCCCCCATGCAAGACAGAGGGGATTTATACCCCTGCCTGCATCTTGCCCTGCATGGCAGCCTCTGCCCACAGTGGGAGGAGGGGAAGCTAGAGAAGCAGCTAATTGCACTGGGGCCCTCTAATCCAGTCACAATTTAATCAAGCTTGGGGCTGTCAGTAGCAATGCTGTTTTCAAAAGACACTTTGATCTTATGAGTTGTCACTGCCAAGGCTGACCACATCAATCCTTCTGGAGCCAGAAGCTACCAGACTCATGTACCCATTAGACCAGGGACAGGAAAAAGGCCAGCACTCCAGACACACCAAACTAGATTGGAACAATTCCCAAATGTTTCATTCTATGGGGAAATTGGGCATAGGCCCCTTAGGGAAGAGCATGGCAAGAGGCACAAGCAGTTTTCAGGTTTCCAGGAAGTAAGTATTTTGCTTTATTTGTAATTATTAGCACTGATTGCTTTATTTCTAATTATTAGCAAAATAAGTATTTTGCTTTATTTCTAATTATTAGCATTTGAGTGACAAAATGTTTCCCAATAAAAAGGCCAAAACAGCTCTGCGGAGAGTATCTTTCTTTCTTCAAACTTAACTGGGAGAAATATAATAATTGACTTCCTCAGGCTCCGATCTATCCTCTCTCCAAATCCATCCTTCAAAAAATAAATTCATTTATCTATATTACAAATCCCGCTTAAGCACCCAATCCGTGGACCCCTGAAGAACAAATAAGAATAAGAACTGATCCCCGGGAGACCAACACGGAGCAGGCCATTTCAGTGCATTCAGTATGGACAATAACGTACCTATGAAGCAGGAAGCTCAAGGGGTCATGTCACTGTCAGATACAAAAGCTTAGAAGCCCACCCACACCCTCTCTACTTGTGGCAATCAATGATTTTCACCGATATCCCAGTCCTCTTCATTCCAGGCCCATGGTGGGAATGTCTTTCCCTCCTCTTCCCACGACCATATGACTAACCTTGACCAACAAAATGTGAGTGGAAATGACACACGACTTTTTTTTTTTTTTTCTGAGACGGAGTCTCACTCTGTGTCCCAGGCTGGAGTGCAGTGGCATGATTTCTGCTCACTGCAACCTCCATCCCCCAGGTTCAAGTGATTCTCACGCCTCAGCCTCCTGAGTAGCTGAGATTATAGGCACGTGCCACCATGCCTGGCTAATTTTTGTATTTTTAGTAGAGATGGGGTTTCACCATGTTGGCCAGACTGGTCTGGAACTCTTGACCTCAAGAGGTCCACCTGCCTTGGCCTCCCAAAGTGCTGGGATTACAGACATGAGCCACTGCACCCAGCTGACACGCTACTTTTAAGTGGAAGCCTTTAAGTACTGATGTGCAAATTTCTATGTCTTCTCCCTCCAACTGTCTCAAAGTACATTTCAGAAGGTGGGAGCTCCATCAGCATGATCCTGGAGTGAGAAGGACAGGAAGCAGGCTTCCTGCTGACCTGTGATGGACTTGTAGCATGAGCAAAAATTGAGCTTTGTTGATTTAAGCTTCTGAGGTTTTAGACTTATTTGTTTTTACAGCATAATATAGCTTACCCAAACTCCCTAGGCTGGCACTCGAGGACTTCCCATAAAGCAAAGCACCTATTCCTCTAGGCCTTTCTTTAATAATACTTCCATGAATTCTACACTGAAGCCAAACTGGTCTATCTACCATGTGCCAGCCATATCCAGACCATCTAACAAGCAGACCTTGTCTCATGCTAGTCCCTTTGCCCAAAATGCCCTCCTCCCATCTAAATCCTACTAACCTTATAAAATCTAGCTTAATAAATCCCTCCTCCAAGAGGCCTTCCTGAATGACCTAAGTTAGAAATGAATCCTGTGAATTATGATAGCCCTTTAAGCATCCCAGTCATGGGTATTTATCTTATAGAATTTTCTAGAATATTTGGCCATTTATTTGTCTGTGTCTCTGCTAGACGTAAACTCCTTGAGAATGGGGCTTTGGGGCTCATTGGCCTTCATGACCCACACTCCATGTAACCTGCATTTTGAGTGCCTTCCACATGGTAGTCAAATGTTATCATTTGCACAGGCTGGAACATTCCTTACAGTGCCTTTGAATCACTTTGTCTCATTTCTATAAAGAAAATGTGGTGAGCTCTCTCAGTTGCATTATGAACCTGAGCCACTGCTAAATCCAACCTCCCAGTTTTTATCTCAAATTTCTATTTTCTGGTCCACCTTCTTGGCCCTCATTATTTTCTTTTCACCTACATCCTCAACACTAGTAACTGGCTTTTTTTCAGAGGCCATTTTCCACCAAAGAACTAAACTATTATTTCAAGAGTCATGACTTCTGAGGGATCGAGCTGCAGGCATTTAGCAGTGAGCAAGCCTCCCTCACCAGGCAGGCAGCTTCCCTCTGCACCCAGCCTCTTAGCAAATGGAGCAAACCCAACATTGCAGGTTGCTGCACCACATGGACCTCTGGGGTACTTGGGAATATCTGAAACTGTAAGTGATAAATACTGTAACTCCCTCCTTGCAGGGTTCCTATGAGGATTAGAGACTAGCCAGAGCAATGCCTGGTACACAACAGGTATTCAATGAGTGACAGCCATTGTGTTAGAACAAAGCATCAGACCACACAAGGGCATATGTATGTCTGAACATAGTGGCCGTGGAAGATCTAAGGGATGGCTGGCAGGGCTTTGCTCTTCTCACCATGCCCCTCCAGCCCTGGCTCAATCTGTCACACACACGTAGTCTCCCCCAACGCTCTGTCCACTGTTTGAATTTCCAGTGTTAGAAAACCTATCTTGTATGTTTTAAAATACTATATCTGTCCAAGAAAGTCCCCTAGGACAATGATAAGTTTATGTGACAACTTCTATCATCTAACACATCATAGAAGATTCAGTAACCAGAGGCCAATCCAGGGAATGGAGCACAGGCTCAGGGACACTGTCCCATTGTTGGGATAATGTGGGAAGAGACCCACAAATACAGAAAGAGAACATGGACTTTTACAGAAAGAGACCCAGAAATACAGAAAGAGAACTTGGATCTTTACAGAAAAGATCTTGGAACTCATCTAGGTCCACCCCTTATCACATGTATGAGGATGCTGAGCCCAAGATATGTGAAGTGACTTGCCACAGCCCCAGATGCATTAATAAAAATGCTGGTTCCCAACTCCAGACCTCCTGATTCCCTGTTTACTGCTGCTCTTTCTACACTAGGGATCTCCTGGAGACAAAGGATGTTAGGCCCCAAAGATCATTTTGCTGGGTCCCAACCTGCTGCACCCTCACTGTCACCCTCTCCCCACTTGCCCTTTCCTATATCATCACCATTGACAGAAAATTTCAGTAATTAAAAAAAAAAACGTTGGTGAGGAGGGGAGGAAGAAGAAAAGGGGCTTCCTACACACATGTATAAAGCCCTGGCAGGCCCCAGGGAAATATACAGCTGTTCTAGCTTTCTGATTTGAGCTGTTAGCGGAAATTCCAGAAATTCAGCTGCTAACCACAGCAACAGAAGTCTTGCCTGCTCAGCCTCCCACATCTGTTCCTGGGCTCCAGAAGTGGGAGGGGAGGCCCAGCTTGGGAGGCTTCAGAGCAGATGGCAGCTCCACTCCCTGTGGATGACTTCACTTGGGTAATTAGGCCCAATGAGAAGGTTGGGAGGCCTCCTTGCTGATGATAATTAGCCAGGATAAATAAACTGAGCCCTGCTTGGAGGTCTTGGGAGTAGATGAAAGATTAATATTAGTGACTATGGGTCATAGGACACCTACTAAGTGCAGGCACTTTACAAACCATTTTTTGGTTAATCCTCCCTACAAGCCTGTAAGGTATAGGTTTTATGATCTCCATTTTGCATGAAAAAAAAAAACCCTAAAGCTTAGAAAATATTAAAGCAACACACCCAAGATCACTCAAGCAGTAGGTAACAGCTTCAAGGTTCAAACCTTAGTTCAAATGACTCAGGAGCCTGTGATTTTTCCTGGTGTGGCACACACATACCCTTGATGTCACTGGTGATCCAAAACAGGGGTCCTTTAACCAGTGTGAACCCAGTCCCTACTCTCTGACAGACACTGACATTCAAAGACAATAAGCCATCAGCCCTCACCCAGGGGTTCATAATCAAGAGGAAAAACAAAACAGAGACATCAATGAGAATTACGCCACCAAATGGGAAATTCCTTTGCAGAGGTGGGTAGTCACCAAGATCATTTTTGTTGTTGTTGTTTACTTCCTTTCTATTGTCCCCAGGACCCCAAAGGCCATGGAAAAATAGCAAAATGTTTTTTAGAGAAAGAAAGAAAGACTTAATAAATGCAGAAAAGAAAAGGGAAGTACAGTATATATCTACATTTTTAGAACAAGAATCTCCAAACTAAACAAAGGGCATACTATAGGGACTTCATTCTGTCTTGGGGAGGTTGGCTACCAATGACCATGGCTTGCTTCCATGGCCCAAAGACGTTTATGGTGGATAAGAGATCACTCCAGTTAGACATCTCCCTATGGCTCTCTTTATGTCTTCATACCCTTGGTCTCAAAAAGTCATCAGGCCTCCCATTGCAATAATTTTCCCCCGGAAAAGTAAAGAGAAGATCTTAGGGCTAAAACTGGAAGTAGAGAAATTCCATACACATACCAGCTCCTAGAAAAATCTTCAGATGCTGGGTGATCCCAGCAGTTTGGGAGGCCGAGGCAGGTGGATCACCTGAGGTCAGGAGCTCGAGACTAGCTTGGCCAACATGGTAAAATCCCATCCCTACTGAAAACATACAAAAAATTAGCCAGGCATGGTGGTGGGCGCCTGTAATTCCAGCTAGTCAGGAGGCTGAGGCAGAAGAATCGCTTGAATATGGGAGTCAGAGGCTGCAGTGAGCCAAGATCGTGCCATTGCACTCCAGCCTGGGCAACAAAAGCTAAACTCCATCTCAAAAAACAAGAAAAATCTTCAGAGACTGGACAGTCATCTGCCAGGATGGGACAGGAGGCTTCCTGCACTGAATAAGTCAGGAAACTAATCCATAAGGTCCCGTTCCACTCTGAGGGTCCTGTGCCATGTAAGCTGATCCCAGGCACAGAAAAGGATGAGAAGGCATCCAATTAAGGCTTTGAAGTTATTGGAAAACCAGACAAATGACCAAAAATAAAAAGGGAATATAATAGGTCATTCTTATTTGTGAATATATTTATTAAGCACCCATCATTCACTAGGCAGCAGTTCTGAGGAGCAGTGAGCCGGACAGACCAGAAATCCATGCTCTCAAGGCACATACGTCCTAGTGGGAGGAGACAGACAATCAGGGCATAAACAAAGTAATTTAAGTTCAGGTATAGGAAAATTCTAAGAAAATAAGATAGGATAATGTAATCAAGAGGTATTATAAAGCTGCCTAACTAGAAAGCTCAGGAAGAGCCTCTCTAAGAAGGTGATGTTTGAGTTGGGTTATGAATAATGAGAAAGTAATAGTCCAGAAAAAATCTGGGAGAAGAACATTGTTCTGTGACAGAGTAAGGCTGGCATGCTCAAAGCCAGTGCTATTGGATGGAACCAGGGGGAGTATGGAAAGAGAGCTGGGTGGGAGTCAAAGAATAAAAGGTCTTACAGGTTGTGATAGGAAGTTCTATGTTATTAATGGTAAATCAGTGAAGGTGTTTAAGCAGGGGAGTGACTTGATCTGATTTACACTTTAGAAAGATAAGTCTGGCCACTGTGTAGAGTTTGGACTAAAAGAGTAGAGACAGGAGAACAAGTTGAAATATTATGAATGGGTTCCATACATTAAAAAATAATCAGGCCGGGCGCGGTGGCGGTGGCTCACGCCTGTAATCCCAGCACTTTGGGAGGCCGAGGCGGGTGGATCACCTGAGGTCCAGAGTTCGAGACCAGCCTGACCAACATGGAGAAACCCTGTCTCTACTAAAAATACAAAATTAGCCGTGCGTGGTGGCGCATGCCTGTAATCCCAGCTACTCCGGAGGCTGAGGCAGGAGAATGGCTTGAACCCGGGAGGCAGAGGTTGCTGTGAGCCGAGATCGTGCCATTGCACTCCAGCCTGGGCAACAATAGCGAAACTCCATCTCAAAAAAAAAAATCTCCAGTGATACAGCAAAGTGTATCCCATAAATATAAGGCCAGTCCAACACTAAGAAATCTATGAATATACCTTATCACCACTTATCAGTCACATATCACTTAATGACAGGAATACGTTCTGAGAAATGTATCATTAGGGGGCAAGCGTGGTGGCTCATGCCTGTAATGCACTTTGGGAGGCTGAGGGGGGCAGATCACTTGAGGTTAGGAAATCAAGACCAGCCTGGCCAACATGGCAAAACCCCGTCTCTACTAAAAATACAAAAATTAGCTAGGTGTGGTGATGTGCACCTTTAGTCCCAGCTACTTGGGAGGCTGAGGTGGGAGAATCACTTGAACCCAGGAGGCGGATGTTGCAGTGAGCCAAGATCATGCCATTACTCTCCAGCCTAGGCAACAGAGTGAGACTCCAGCTCAAACAAACAAACAAACAAAAAAGAAATGTATCATTAGGCGATTTTGTCATTATGCGAACATCATAGAGTGTACTTACACAAACATAGATGATAGAGCCTACTACACACCTTGGGTATATGGTATAGCCTGATGCTCCTAGGCTACAAACTTGTACAGCATATTACTATACTGAATACTGTAGGCAACTGTAACACAATGGTAGGCACTTGTGTATCTTAAACATATCTAAACACAGAAAAAGGACTGCTAAAATATTATAATCTTATGACACAACTATAGTATATGTGGTCTACCCTTGACTGAAACATCATTTTGCAGCACATAACTGTCTATGACAAAAGTATATGACTGGCCGGGCACGGTGGCTCACGCCTGTAATCCCAGCACTTTGGGAGGCTGAGGTGGGCAGGTCATTTGAGGTCAGGCATTTGAGACCAGCCTGGCCAACATGGTGAAACCCTGTCTCTAAGAAAAATAGAAAAATTAGCTGGGCATGGTGGTGCATGCCTATAATCCCAACTACTCAGGAGGCTGAGGCATCAGAATTGCTTGAACCCAAGGGGCAGAGGTTGCAGTGAGCCAAGATTGCACCACTGCACTCCAGCTGGGCAACAGAGCAAGATTCTGTTTAAAAAAAAAAAAAAAAGGCATATGATTATTTCAATAGGGCATTTAATAAAATTCAAATGCATTCTAAATAAACATTTTAAAATGCGAGAAGAGATGAGTCATTTCTCAATATGATAAAGAGATTCTCTTTCCAACTGACTTTATTTTTAGCTGTAAAATACTAGAGGCCTCAAACAAAGATTCCCATTATTTCTATCATGGTTTATTATTTTGTTTATAAAATTCTAGACAATTCAATAAGATGTAAGACATAAATAAGAAGTATCAGTTTGGAGAGAAGAAAATTATCATTATTGATAGAGGGTTTGATTTATGTCTCTGCTGAGAATCTAACCTTGACATGGGGCTACTGTGTGCCTGCTGTTTACAATATGCTACTTCACTGAATCCCATGACACATTAGGGGGTCACGTCTTTCTCCTTATTTGATAGACAAAGATGAGTAACTTTCCTACCTATGAAGCAGGGAAGCTGAGATTTGAACATAAGTTTGTGATTTAAAAGCCTGTGTTCTTACACCATGTTGCCAAAACATTAAAAGGTAAAGCCAGAGGCTGCCAGAAATTCTTCTTTCCTATGGCTCCAGAGCTATGGAAATTTCAGCCTGCCTCTGGGATCAAGGTAGGACCTAGAGTTTGCCAGCATCTCAAAATTCTTGGTGCCAGAGGAAAGCAGCTGCCTCCTTCCCTGCGTCCCCTGTGCCATTCCAGCTGGAAGGAGGCCCCAGAGCCTCAGCTTCTCTGCATAAAAAATGTCAAGGAACTCCGCATTTCAGTGTGTCTTAGTCCTTCCTAAGAATATTTAAGTATCAAAAAGAGATGTTTTTTAACCCAGCTGAGTCTACTATTAGTTGAATTGTGTTTGTAGTGCTAGAAGATAGTTACTCTTGCCTCCAAGTTTTCGCCACATCATTGTAGTGCTTCATCTGCACAGCACAGCCGCATCATTGTAGTGCTAGAAGATAGCTAGAAGATTGGCCTCTGCCTCTGGAAGTGTGCTGACCCTGCCCAGAAGCTACTGTTGCTGCATGAGACTTGAAGAAAGAACCCAGGCCCCTGAGTTATGACTGTACAACCTGACTGTCTCTCTGGACTCAGACAAGACTTAACCCTACACACAGGGATGCTGAGAGGTTTCCTGAACCAAAGAATTCTGCCACCTGAGGCACTGAGTTCCTGCTGAGAACATGGAGCTTTCTCTTTTCATCTTGGATGTGAGCATCAGAATAAAACGTATCTCTTCTCATTTTCAAATGAAACCCTCAATTCAAAGAATTGAGGCCTATTGCCTCTCTAAGATAAAGTGGACTGACATCTCTCTACATTTTCCTCATTACTCTTGAAATGCCAATGTCATGGGCAACAGGCAGTTCACCAGCTGCCTGAATTCAAAATTGGCAAGCCCAAACTGGCCTCTTCCCAGCTGCCAGTCACTTTGAAGCTTTTCACTTTTCTGTGGATGCTTTCTCTCCTCCCATCATAAACAACACAATGCCCACCTGCAAGTGGCCTCTGTATCCTGGCCCTTGTCCCATCTCAGCCTTCCACTGTGCAGCGGGTGTGAAGCGTGGGTGTGGTAGAAAGGAAAGGAGAGGGATGGGAAGGACAGGATGAGGGGAGGAAAAGAGAGGAGGAAGGGGAAGGAGGGGCACCTGAAGAAGGGCTAAGAGGGTGTCAGCAGAAGACTGAACCCACAGGGTGGTGGCATGTGGCACCATCTCTGCAACGCAAAAGCATCGGCACTAGGGGAAATCTTTATTGTTGCCTGAAGCATCTTTCACTGCACCATGAGGGCCAGGCTTTCCCCAGTTGTCTCAACTCATATTCTGACCACATACCTGGGCACTGAGGAGTGTGGCATCTCAGTTTGGGAACCTTGGGAAATCTGTCCCCAAGGAGGCTTCCTCTTTCCTCCTGACCAAAGCTCACCACAAACTCTGGAAGAATGCCCCACAGTGTCCAGAGGCCACTGTGCCATCCTCTCCCCAGCCACAGGACCCTGGACAGCTCCCTGCAGCCCCTGGGGCCCCTCCCTTTGGAGGTTTCCAACAAAGTTACAGTTTGCCTCTCTTGGATTTCAGTCACATCAACAATAAAGACAGATTTTTAAAAATAAATTTGGGGCTCTCTGATCCACAGGCAGGGTTGGTATTCTGAAGAACACAAGGCTCTTTAAACATGGCTCCCACGTCCCCCTCGAGTTGCCCCATTTATCATTATGACAAGATGTTTATTAGCAGCACAGCAGTAAATGGTGAGTGAACATCTGAAAACAGGGCTATAAAATTCTCTAAATCACAACTTCGCACAGGCAGCCACCAGCACTGGGATGAGCCTTCCCTTCATGGCTCTGGAAAGCAAGGCCGATCTCCATCTGCACCAGGGTCATTTACCCTGCTTAGATGCTGTGAAGGGCTTTTTCCTAGGTAGACTCACTTTGTCTCTTGCCCATTTCATTTACACAGTTCCTAATATATGCCAGACGCTGCACTCAGTGCCACAACCTGAAAATGGCCCTAGACTTATGGGAGCTCACAAGATATATGCAAGTGGCAGAGCACAAACACAACAGCATCCTTTGCTCTCTGAAGAAGCCAGGCCCCTCTTTGTGTGTGTTTGGGGGGGGGGGGCTCCATTTATTTATTTATTTGCTTCTTTATTCATTCATTCATTCATTTTTAGAGACAGTGTCTGGCTCTGTCACCCAGGCTGGAGAGCAGTGGTGAATCACAGCTCACTGTAGCTTCAAACTCCTGGTCTCAAATGATCCTCCCACCTAGTCCTCCCAAAGTGCTGGAATTACAGGCATAAGTCACTGTGCGCAGGTCCCCCTTCTTTCTGTCTTTCTGTCTTCTACTAACCACCACGCCCCCTATGGTCATACTTCTTAAAGAGGATCTAGTTTGTATGTGTCCTGAGATGAGCTTAGCCACTTATTCCTGGTCGGTGTTACTGGCGATCTTCCAGAAGGCTCACCTGGCACTACCACATTCTTATAGGCCACAGAGAGGAGGATTTGGTTGGTTGTAGAAAGATTCATGGAGCTTCTATATTATCTTCATAGCAGAGGCCACATCATTGTAGTTCTTCACCTGCACAGCCTGCTGGGCTTGCTCCTGCAGATGCTTCCAGTCTCCCATGTCACTCAAGACACAACGTGGCAGGACACCTCATGCCTCACATGTCAGACTTTGTGCATCCCATCTCCCACACTGCGGGACCCACGGAGCCACCCACCCCAACCTCCTAGGCACACACACTGGAGGGCCCCTGAGGCTTCTGCTACAGGCAGGAAGGGAGGGTGTGCCGCTAGCTCACCATGGTCTACCTTATGAGTTCTTCCTTCCCCAGCAGCTGCCCAGAGGGTCCAGGTAACACAACTTAGAAATATGAAAGGGCGAAGGCCCCATGGGGAAGAACCTTGGCTGATCAGAGTAGGAAGATAGGGAGGAGAGAGTGGATCAGTTCTCCCCTCCTCCCAACAGACTGTTCCCAAACAGTGTTTCTGTTCAACCTCTCCTGAGACCTACCATTTGATGGCGCAATAGCTGGGCTTCTTGGTTAAACTGTAGCCAGTTTGGTAAAACAACTCTTTGTATTTGCTTTTTCTCATTCCCATCTCATTTCCCCTCTTCCCTCACTCTCACCTCCCTGGAATTGTACTCCCACACCCCTACAGAGCATGAGCTCATAAACTTTGCTTCAGGTTCTGTTTCCTAAGAAATTCAGGCTAAGACACCTCTCAACAATAAATGACCAAAAATAACTTCCTTCCTCACAACCTTCTATTTACCCTGCTCAGCCACTCTCCTCAAGCCTGCTCAGACTTTGCCTGGCAGCCAGCTCCCTGCTACAGGGTGGAAGAGGAAGCCAGGAACTTTTCAAAAGGAATCACAATGGAAGGTGAAGAAAGGTCACTCTTCAATAAATGGAATGAGATCCTTTATCAGCCTGAAGGACCAGGCTCCACACTGATGGGCAGAAGCATGCCCCAAGCTGGGGCTTACACAGACACGTTTCCCAGGGATGATGGTTTATGTTGGGGAGAAGACGGGAAAACCATGAGGTCTCCTTCAGGGTGGAGCACCATGAGCCCAGCTGACCTGGGATGGGGCAGTGCCAGCCTTGGTGGTGCTTCTGACATGCTTGGCACTTTGCAGAAGGTACAAAAGTGAATAAGCGTCACGCTTCAAAATTAGCTATTTTTAGCATCGTGTGGCTTTGCAATTATCTTTGTCTGTTTTGTTTTATTTCTTTACCAGATTTAAATAACTAGAGGAATTTTCTCCAACTTTTTTTCCTTCTCTAGCAGGTATCCCCAGCAGTCAATTAATGATGAGCCACTATAAAACGCCTAAATTAACCAATCTTCAGTCTTCCTTTACAAGTTTTTTTTACTGTTTTTAGATGAATGTACGATGAGAAATTCAACAATAATTTTGGATTTTCTTATAACAAAAAAAGAAAATGAAGGACCTGAAAGCACCAGAACAGTTTACCAACCATTTTGAATTTATTTACCTTCATTTGAATGTCTTCCAGAATATGTAAAAAGTAATAAAATGTATCTTCCATACTACATGTACAATAAGAACTTCTATAATTATATATATACGCCTTTGATGTATTTTCCCCTCAAGATTATCAACTGTGTGTTTGACAGTGAAAATTAAATCTGTTATCAGTTGAAATTTTTGGTTATAAATGTAATAAGAATTGTTTCACAAACAGAAAACATGTAAAGCAGTATTAAAATTTGGCCAAACAAGGGTTCTGTATCTACTCTAATAAGTGGTTATTCTTTTTTTAAAAAAATAGCTATTTTTGGCCCACACACATCCCAAACCTCATCAAAACTGATTCAGACCCATAGTCAGGTCAAGCTCCCATTGTGGTAAATGACATGCTCTTACAACACAACTCTCCGATAGACAGGGAAAAGTGTTAGTCCACAAAATGGCCCATGCTCTGAGGTATAAGGTGAAAGGCCACATTTGCAAGAGGAATCTACTTTCAAAACATGTATTCTGTGCTTACTATATATAATCAGCCTAGAGGCTGAAAATCCACAGATGTATAAGCCCCCAATTCTGACTTCAAAAAGTTTACAACTATTTCAGGGCACCAACACGCTCACAGTTTTAATATGACGTGGCATCATAATAGAAATGCAAAGTGGGAGCAAAAAGGAGGGTATCAGGTCTAATCAGGAATCTAGGTGAGCTTTCTAAAAGAATGTATAAGAAGCAACCTGATAATATCCGGTGATACAGGACAAGGGACTGGCATATGCAGAGGCTTGAGGAATTAAACCATTCTGAAAGCTCCTGCCTAACATTCCATGGAGGGTTCCTCATTCAGAAGCCCCTTGCTGCTGCTACTGCTGCCGTTCCCACCACCACCACCACCACCAGCAGCCACACTCTACAGTGACATAATCTAGGAACCTCCACGTCTGTTGGGGGTACTACTCACCTCTGGCCTTTTCTCCCAAAGCG
This sequence comes from Homo sapiens, assembly GCF_000001405.40. Classification (NCBI taxonomy): domain Eukaryota; kingdom Metazoa; phylum Chordata; class Mammalia; order Primates; family Hominidae; genus Homo; species Homo sapiens. The sequence continues at coordinate 165,946,044 of NC_000001.11, read as the reverse complement.
TCCATGAGTATTTACTCTACTTGTTACATGGAATACTGGATTGGCCAGGCAGATACATAAGAGGCCTCACATGCTCCCACCAATAACAGTGGCTCCCTAAGGCAGTGATTGACAGTCTCAGGGGGGAGGGCCAATAAGGCAAGGGATTGGAACATAGGCAGTATGAAAACAATAAATCCTAGGGGAGTTACTGGAAAGGTCATGAGGAAACTTTCCAAGAAGATGGAAAAGTTCTATATCCTGGTAGAAATGCAGGTTACAGAAGCATACATATTCATTTGTCAAAACTGACTAGTTAAAATATATGTAAATACATTTTGTATACATTTATTAAAAGGTAATATTTATCTTCAATGTATATAAAGATTACCTTTTAAGAAACTGTAAAAAGATAACAATAAAACCAAGTGGAGTGTGGGTAGTGGGTCACAGGATGGATGAAACAAGAATGGCCAAATGTTGATAATTGTGGGAGCAGGATGATGGATTCATATACCATTGTGTTTATTGTTTAGTGTGTGTGTAAAGACTGTATTCTTTGTCATGCATGGCCACTGAAGTCTCTGTTCTGTTATGTTAAGTGGTCAGCTACTGAGATGACAGAGGTGTCCTTAAACACCTGGAGCCAAAGAAAAATGAAAAACTATCCTCCCAGTCTTTGTATATTGGTTCTGTGATGGGGCACTTCTTCAAACACAAGCCATTTACGATTCTGCCTTAGCCTTCACTTCCTGCTTTCAGGGAACCTACAGGTCAGCCAGAAGTGAAAGCTTGGGGTCTCCTCAGGTCTTCCATGGGCATGTGTCCAGCCCTGAGTACGTGGTGGCCTTCTAGATTCCCCAGTATGCACAGGAGCTTTTCAAAGCCCTTACTCCCCCATGTATCTCCTTCCCTAGCCACCTCTTCCTTCCTAGGATTACCCATCTACTGCTCGCCCTCACTTTTATCCCTTGCCACAGGTGGCTGCAGCTTTTAAATGCTTTCGACCAGCCGCTTCGGCCCTGAGAAAGATCCAAGTCAAGAAAAACAAAGGCAAGCCCTGAGCCTATCTTTCAGGGAGCCACCGGGCAGCTTAAAACATACAACCAAAATTCTTTGAAAATAAGAATAAGATCATTGCTCCTGCTAGTACCAGCAACCTTTTCCAGGAATATAGATCACTGTCTTCACAGCTGCTGCCGAACTGAGTGGGGCTTGGTGAATAAGTTAAAACAACCCAGTGCTCTCTTCCCCAAATTCAGCAGCTTCTTTCTTCATTCATTCAACCAGCATTCACCTATTTGTTGTAACTTTTTTTAATTGGATTCCAGAGCTCTGAAAATTTTGATTCTGACAGTTTTTGCCAGTTAAATCACTGCTTTAATGGAAACAGATTTTTAAGTTCCCTAGTCATTTTCAGTGACATCACTCTTGTTTATTCTGTATGTGTTTTGATTCTTCTATAGTAAAAAGTTTTATAAATGCCTCAGGTAATTCTGGTAACAATCATTTGCCCTTATCAAGGTTTGTTAAGATCACTAGTTTAAATGAACTCTGGCTCTCCTTGTGATTTGAGTAACCTTTTTTAAGAGACCAGTCTTGCTATGTTGCCCAGACTGGTCTTGAACTCCTGGACTTAAGCCTTCTCCTGAGTAGCTAGGACTACAGGAATGTTTTGCTGTGCCTGGCTATTGATTTGAGCAATTTTAATTTACACTCCCTGTCATCTTTAGACTTAACCAGCCCTAAAATGACATTTCATAAGTGTCCCTGAAGCCTCCAGGCACCTCATATCCCTGTGTCCATCAGGGCAGCCTGTGTCAGCCAGTTCTGGAGCATCCAGAAATGATGAGGCATTTCACAGACCCCACCAAGACTCAGTGGATGGGTGCTGGTATTTCTCCTGCCCAATTCTTTTTTTTTTTTTTTTTTTTTGAGACGGAGTCTCGCCCTGTCACCCAGGCTGGAGTGCAGTGGTGCGATCTCGGCTCACTGCAAGCTCCACCTCCTGAGTTCATGCCATTCTCCTGCCTCAGCCTCCCGAGTAGCTGGGACTACAGGCACCTGCCATCACGCCCGGCTAATTTTTTGTTTTTGTTTTTGTTTTTTCAGTAGAGACGGGATTTCACTGTGTTAGCCAGGATGGTCTCGATCTCCTGACCTCGTGATCCACCCTCCTCTGCCTCCCAAAGTGCTGGGATTACAGGTGTGAGCCACTGCGACCGGCCTCTCCTGCCTAATTCTAAGCATACCCCTCTTCCGTCTTTCTGTGTCCTTGCATCATTTTTATCTTATGACAAGCAGTACACAGAGGGAATTGCAATAAGCACATCCACAATACCAAGGACTACTTATTAGTAAACATGTTTGGTTTTGTCATTGTCTTATTTTTATCTTAATCAGTGTGAATGTTACTTACTCCAACTTCCCAGAATCTTCACCCGACCCTCAGCAGATAGGGACCTGAAGGATTAGGCTTTTCTCCCCCTGAACACACTTCCAGGAAACTTTTCAAACAGCCACATACACAGCTAAGCAACTCAGTATTTGTGAATGCTTTTTCTGACCTTCTCTTTTTCTTTCATTTAACTACTTTAGGGGATGTTTCTGGCCACCTAGAGGGAACTCTGAGTAACAAACAGATCTCCATGTGGTTGTTTTTCCTGAGCCAGATGCATGTAACACCTGGCAGCTGAGTCATTTGGGGAAAACAGCTTCTTGTCACACCTCTCTGATTCCACCAGCCCAGGGAATCACTGGAGAATCCAGAAACAGTGGCATGGAGCTAGGCATTGCCAACTCTTACTTTTCACAGAACTATGGGGAGTGTGAAATGCTGCAATCCTTCTTTTCCTTTTGTATAGCTTCTTGGTTTCATCTCAGAAGAACAAGATGGGAATGCATTCCTTTCATTTGTTAATATTTTATTAATGTGCAACTCTACATACATAATGCACATCATGCTATTCCTATGCCAAAAAGAAACCCCGAGTGTCTCCTCACTGCCAGTAAATTAAGCCCAACATCTTTTCAAGTTTCAAACAAGCTAAACCTGGTATATTTTTCTAATTCTATTTTGTAGTGTGTAGAGTGCTGTAATCTAGGCAAATCGACCACCATCCGCTTTCTCTTTTGCCCCAGACTGTCCCTCTTTTACGATTTTGCTCATGCCATCCCCTCCACCTCAAGTGTCCTCTCATCCTGTTGTGGTGACCATGTACCCAGCCATCCTTCTGGAGTCAGGACGACCCCAACCAACTCAGGGCTCACCTTCTTCTCAACCCCCATAGCACCTTGGGGGTGCCTCGCTTACTCCATTTTACATTCTGCTTTGTATTGCAGTTTTGACGAGTCTGTCTCTTCCACTGTGTTAAAAGTTTCCTGAGGGGAGGGAAGGTGGCATAGTCACTTTTGCTACTGACAGTATCTCCTACGTACCAGGGATTCAAAAATGTTCACCTGAATGAATGTTAAATGAGAAGAGAATTAAATGGCATGGCAGTCATTTCTCTTGGGCATCAAGCATCCCCCAAGTGAAACTAAATTTGCCTTCTTGCAAGTGCTTATTTAGTGCCTGTGAAGCTCTTGCATTTAGTTCCCCAGGTCGAAGTCCTGACCAGCTAGTGTAGTGCTCATGGAATTGACTGATCAATGCCTAAGGGATTAGAAGAACTCCATTCAAGACACACTGACTCTTCTCTTACTAATTATCTTCAGTGTCTCCTGAACAAATTGCTCTGTAATCAGTAACTTCATCCTCTGCACAGAGCCTGGGCTTAACTTAAGATGTCTGAAAAACAGCTTTGTCCTCTCCCACCTCCAACAGGGATAAGAGGGCGGTAAGCAGGCCTGAGAATGGGGCCTTAACACTAAGTGGGTTTAACATACAGACAGGAAGGCTCAAGAGCTCAAAGGACCCTTCACGACTATCTAGCCCAATACTCTCATTTTATTAGGTTGCTGCAAAAGTAATTGCTGTAATACACACTAGGAAAATGCAGACGGAGGAAGGGGGCCACTTCCCCAAGGTTATGTGGTTCCTTAAAGGTAGAACTAGAACTGGAACTCTGGAGGCCTGATTCCCAAGACCGCGCTACCATTAATTACACAGGTATTTTCCCTAATCCACCTCAGCACGCAAATCAGCTGGTGTTTTTGTTAAGAAGAAAGAATCATGAAGACTTTGTTCTGCGGGATTATCGGAGTCAAGGAATACAGGCTAAATAAGTGGCAAGTTTCATGCTTAGACGTTCCCGCCCCTCAGCCTGGCCCGGGTTCCCCCTACATCCTGGCTGCCACTGCCTGGGTGCCCATCTGCTGCCCTCGAGGAGCTGGGCCGTGGGCAGGGAGGCGCCCCAGCGCTGCGCGTGACGTTTCCACATGTCTGCTCGGTGGCCTGAGCCTCCTGCAGCCACTGACCCAGCTGCACCTCCCAGTGTTCCTGGCATCTCCCGCTCTGCCCCCTCAACTTCGGCCTCGGCGGCGTGGAGAGCTCGTGCTGGCCCTTGCTCGCTCAAATCTCCTCCAAGGACCTCATGGTCCCGAAAATGCTTTCATTGTGCTACTTGGTCGCATGCGCCTCGCCGCATTCTCCGGCTGACCGAGAAGCACACGAAGGCAAGTCCCAGGCTGGAACAGCGGCTCTGCATGGTCGGCACATCGCCTTCTCAGCACTGGCTGTCTACTTTGGGCATGTGTATTGCTAGGCTGGGGTGTGCACCGTCTTTGCCCGCCTGGAGTATGCTGTCCTCCTAACCAACATAGGGTTCAGCATGGTGGGACTTCCGGAGCGAAGAGCATACCCTCTTGACCTGAGGAAAAGCTATTCTGAACCCTTCAATCCTGCTTGGGAGGAGGCAGCCCACTGCCCGGAAGCCAGAAACAAGGTGCTGCTCTACTCTGGTCTTCCCCACCCCGCGTCCTCTCTTGTCCCTACTGAAGACAGAGGTGGGGTGAGACAGAAGGGCAGAGGCCAAAGCTGACTCCAGTGCTGCTGGCCTCTCCCCGGCCCTCAAGCAACAGCAACCCTACCTGAGAAGCCCCAAGAAGTTGAGCTAGCAGAGACCTCCACCATTTGGTGCTGAAAAGAGTCCAGAGGCTCATGACCACCATCCAGTTTTTGGCCTTTACATAGCCACCTTTTGCTGAGGTCAGGCGCCCCTGGGCAGTGGCTGCTCCCTGACAATCACAGCCATTTCTCTCCACAAGGTCATTCACATGTCTGATGTATCTCATGATATACTGTGCATATCCAGGCCTGGGGCCACAGTCCCCTGCTAAAGCTGCTCAGGTGGTGTAGTCCTGACCTTGCCTTTTTGATTTGGGGTGTGCCTTAGGGTGCATATCCTTCCCTATCTGAGCCTCAATGTGTCCATGTGTGTGATGGGGGATGGGTGTGTTATGTGATTTCCAAGGCTCTGCCAGTCTGTGGTTCTGATGTCATCGATGAAGGTGGTGTTCTGTACCTAAAGGATGACCCATTCCAGAAAAAGCACCAGCACAGCATATATTTCCCTTCCCTTCTGAAATTTCTGGCTTATAGACCTCCCCTCCTTTACAAAGGTATGGGGTGGAGGGATCAGACCCACAGGTCCCTACCCTGAAATGGGCTCCCTGGTATACCCCTGTCTTCCCTACTGCTCCAGGCCCTGAGCTTTTTTGGTTGTACATTTTATTTTAAAGGAAAATAATGTTTTTTGCCAACAACAACAACAAAGTTTCATGCTTAGGAGATGGTAAAGGAGGGGCCTTTAAGAAGAAAAAGAGAATTTGTAGGTTGATGGTGGAATTGCAGAGGGGAGTGGAGAGGAGTTCAGTTTTTGAAATGGTACTGCAAGTAACATAGTAGTACAACAAAGTGTTTTATGATCTAATTGGAAAAACTAGACTAGGGCACTGCAGGCCAGGTCTTAGAATTAAGCACTATTGGCAATGGAGGAGCGAAAATGACCATGATTACTAAATGACTAGTAAAAGCTTCTTGGAGGAGGTAGTGTTTGAGCCAAACCTTGAAGAAGAGCAGGACTTAAATGGGGCCACAGAGGGGTGCGGAGCAAAGGCAGTTGGGCGGAGGGGTGATTTTTAGGGACATTAGAGACCAGCTATCCTCAATCAAGAGATGAGGAAGTCTGGAGAAAAAATGTTACAGTCAAAACGCTAAGAAAACAATGCTTTTCAGTGGTCTATCCCTCTTCCCTCCTCTTGGTGCAACTTACACAACTCTGCACACTTACTTTCCCGCCAATATCACCCAGCACCTGTTCAGAGCAACACCCCACTTGGATCCCTCCTGCCCTAGACAACTCCCATATTCTCAACCTGCTCAGTCCCTCTCCCCACTAATTAGTTAACCAGTGCTCAGGCCTTACTGTGTGCCAGAGCTTGTGCCAAACAAATGACATGTAACATCTATTTTGGTACTCACAGTTTAGCACTTAATAATAGTTATTATTATCTGCATTTAACAGAATAGTGAATCAGGTATGGTAGGCCAAATAATACTCCTGCCTCCCCCAAAAAAATCCACATCCTAATGCTTAGAACCTATGAATATGTTATCTTACATGTTAAAATATGTTGGCTGGCACGGTGGCTCATACCTATAATCCCAGCACTTTGGGAGGCCAAGGCGGGCAGATCACGAGGTCAGGAGATCGAGACCATACTGGCTAACATGGTGAAACCCCATCTCTACTGAAAAAATACAAAAAAAAAAATTAGCCAGGTGTGGTAGCGGGCACCTGTAGTCCCAGCTACTCGGGAGGCTGAGGCAGGAGAATAGCCTGAACCCGGGAGGCAGAGCTTGCAGTGAGCTGAGATTGCGCCACTGCACTCCAGCCTGGGCAACAGAACAAGACTCCATCTCAAAAAAAAAAAGTTACAATGGCACTTCGTAGATGTGATTAAGTTAAGAATCTTGAGATGGGAGATGATCCCAGATTCACTGTGTGGGTCGATGTAATCACAAGGGTCCTTATAAGATGAGAAGTAGAAGCATCAAAGTCAAAGGGAAAATTGATGATGGAAGCAGAATCACACAATTAAGTCATGCACCTGAAGATGGAGGAAGGTGGAAGCCAAGGAATGCAGGCAGCCTCCAGAAGCTAGGAAAGGCAAGGAATTCAATCCTTCCCAGAGCTTCCAGAAGGAACACATCTCTGCCAAACATCTTGATTATAGCCTGTAAGACCCATTTCAGACTTTTGACCTCTAGACTGTAGGATAATAAATTTGTGTAATTTTAAGTTCCTAAGTTTGTGGTAATTTATTACAACAGCAGTATAAAAATAATACCCTGGGTTTACACAACACTTGCGCTTTAGCAGAGACTTTTACTACCTTAACTCAGTACAGTTTCTTCAAACAAAGGAAATTTTGCAAAATATGGCAGGCCAGTAGGGGAGACATCTCTGTGTGTGTGTCTGTCTGTCTTGCAGAGTATGCGTGAGACGGTGTTGTAAGAAGTAGCTGTAAGAGTGTTTGAAAATTCATCATAATGTCAAACAATCTGTTCTAATGGAGAGAATTCCCCAAGCAGTCAATGCCACACCTGGAATGAGATTCTAACCAAAGTACCTAAAGAAACCTGGTCAGGGCTGGGTGCAGTGGCTCACACCTGTAATCCTAGCACTTTGGGAGGCCGAGGTAGGTGGATCACCTGAGGTCAGGAGTTTGAGACCAGCCTGGCCAACATGGCAAACCCTGTCTCTGCTAAAAATACAAAAATTAGCTGAGCATGGTGGCAGGTGCCTGTAATCCCAGCTACTCAGGAGACTGAGGCAGAATTGCTTGAACATGGGAGGCAGAGGTTGCAGTGAGCCGAGATCGTGCCATTGCACTCCAGCCTGTGTGACAAGAGCAAAACTCCATCTCAAATTAAAAAAGTAACCTGGTCAGAATGCACCACTCAGAGACCTCCCTCCTACTATGGTTTTACATCCCTCTCACTGCCTTTGTCCTAGAATCAGTGGCTGCAGTTTTTGTTCTCCAGGAGCCTGCTGTCAATCTGACTAATTAGGTAGGTGCAATGATCAGGAATGGGAACCACAAAAGGAAAATTGCTGAGCAGTTGGCTGCCCATTAGAGAAGAGCTATGCCTATCACTCCCCATTAATAAAAGAAAGGTGGGACTTTGCATGAAATCTCAGCTCTAATATTGCCTGGCTCATTTTTATCGTCCATAAGAGAATGTAAGCAGGAAATTCTGGGACAGTTCAAAAGCACCGTATTATATAAGATTTACTTTGCATTCAACAAGGCAAAGTAAAGTTACTGTGCTGATGGTTAGGTGCTGAGGTACCTGACCATTTTGTTTTCAAGAAAATGTAATCAATTACTTGGGGAAAATACAAAGATTTACCTATGATATGATGAAAATAACACTTTGCCCCCTCTGGTCTTCCTCCCAAAAACCCATACCCTAGTCTAATCATGAGGAAAAAAATCAGATAAATCCCAATTAAGGGCATCCTACAAAATAACTGACCAGTTCTCCTCAAAACTACTGTATGGATTGGCAAGTACAGAGATTGCCATTTCCATAGTGTGTAAAAGCTCTGGCTCCTGCCTCCACTGGTCCCTACCACAAAGCCCTCTGCAAATCTTAGCCTCAGGGTCCATGTGGGCAGCTCTCCTAATTTCAGAAATAACCACCGTAAACAAACACAAAGACTTACCTGTGCAGGATTCAGGAGACATGATCTTGAGCAGGTCATCTGCCCTCTGGAAAGCCATCTCCTCACTTGTAAACTGAAGAAATTGGTTTAGGTCAGCACTTGTCAATTCTAACTGCATACGAATCACCTGAGGACCTTGTTAAAATGCGGATTCTGACTCAGTAGATTTGGAGTGGGCCTCAAGAGTCTTCACTTCTAACAAATTTCTAGATGAGACAGACGCTTACTGGACCACGGACTGTATTTCAAGAAGCAAGGGTCTGGATCCTTGGTTCTCAAAACTGGGACGATTTTGACCCACAGGCAGACATTAGGCAATGTCTGTAGACAGTTTTGGTTGCTACAACTGGAAGGCAGACCTACTGGCATCTAGTGGGTAGAGGCCAGGGAAGCTGCTAACATCCTACAATGCACAGGCCAGTCACCACAACAAAGAATTACCTGGTCCAAAATATCAATAACACTGCTGCTGAGAAACCTTAGTCTAGATCAGTTGTCATCAGAATCACCTGGAGGATCTGCTAAAGCACTGATTGCAAGGCCCCTCCCCAGAGTTTCTGAATCAGTGAGTCTGGAAGGGGCCTGCGCCTTTGCATTGCTAGCATGTTCCCAGGACGCAGTTGGAGAACCGCTGGTCTTCATGACTCAGATCCTTGCAGCTCCAGCACGCTTTGCATCTCCCACTGCCCACACACCAGAGGCCATGACTCCTCATTCTAAAACACCTAACACAGCCAGAACTTGTTGGCTCCAAGGTAGGAACTGGCATCTTTCCCCTGTGACAGCTTTAGATCCCGAGATGAGGCAAAATCAAGGGGGAAACCAACTCCATCTTAAAGAACATTCCTGGTACACCTGGCCCTGTGTGTAGGTGGATCCACTTTTAAATGAAACTAACAGCCCTTCTCCTCCTGAGGCTAAAAACAAAGCAATGGAAGGACAGTTTACACCCAATTTTGTTGCCCCCTGCCCTCCATTTTTGTTCTCCACAGATGACTCATTAAATGTCAGAACGATGTACAAGGAAACAGCTAACAAGCAAATAAAAATAGCTGTCTGTCTAGGATGACATGTTGGCAGGCCCATGAGATGGCACACAGTGAGACTCCCCACCCAACCCTTCCATTCTCACATGAAACAGCACAGAAAAACTGTCCCTATTAATCCAGGTGACCTAGGAGTGAATACACATGCCCTCACCTCCCAGCTTGCCCACTTCTCTGAGTGACCCTGGAGAAGTCACTTCACCTCTCAAAACCTTGGTTTACAATCTGTAAACGAGAATGATACAAGTACTTCATGGGTTACTGTGAGGCTTGATGCATGAGGCAGCCTATGTTATTGACCCCAACTATGGGCCAGCACCATGTTAAGCACCGGGGCTATCACAGTGAACAGAACAGACTAAAATCCCTGCCATGCTGGTTCATGGTAGGTCCTCGACACTTCTTTTTCAAGATGGAGTTTCACTCTTGTTGTCCAGGCTGGAGTGCAATGGCACGATCTTGGGTCACTGCAACCTCTACCTCCTGGGTTCAAGCGATTCGCTTGCTTCAGCCTCCCAAGTAGCTGAGATTACAGGCATGTGCCACCACGCCTGGCTAATTTTATATTTTTAGCAGAGACAGGGTTTCACCATGTTGGTCAGGCTGGTCTCGAACTCCTGACCTCCGGTGATCTGCCCGCCTCAGCCTCCCAAAGTGCTGGGATTATAGGTGTGAGCCACTGCGCCTGGCCCGACCTCAACATTTTTTGTTAAATTTACCTTAGACAAATTAATGAGGGCTTCCTCTCCCTAAGAGATCAGTCAACTTGCAGCCTCCAATCCACTCAGAAAGAAAAGCTCCAACAAGCCAGGTAGCCCGAAGCAGAGGAAATGGAGTCAGTGAGGCCTTTTTCATGATTAATTATTTTTTGCTCAATATGGCATGGGCCGCAGTTCCCTGAGCTTTAAATATTAAGGGTTTTATTATGACTATTTCATTACTCTGAGCAGTACATTGCAGGAGACAAAGTTACTCAGTGTGACCAAAGCAGGAGGTGAGGCTGGCTGGTGTCAGATGCCCAGTGCTGTTGGGTGGACAGGGAACTGGGAGCTGGTGAACCACAGTCAGCTGAGAACTCCCAGCTGGCAGTGGGGAGGACAGGATGTATCTCGTTCATCAGTGGATATATGGAGCAGGCCCCATTTGTGCCAGGGACTGCGCAGGGCAGAGGGGACACAGCAGCTCTCTGGGCACAGGTGTCAAGTGGTTGGCTCTGCAGACGCCTGCCAGACCCAGGCCCAGGACTCCCAAGGGCCAAAGAGGACTTTCTGGTGAAGGCTCCATTTAGACAATGGCTGTGAGCTCTGGCTGGTCAACACAGCAGGTCAGTCTGAGCCTCTACAGGCCCCAGATCATGGATTCTGTCAGGGGGCCAGCAGCCATGAGCCAGCCTGCCCTAGTCCACCTCCTTTCTTCCAGCACCCCAGTCCCCTGGCCTTTCTCTCCCTGTTGCCCCTTCTTCCAAGGGAACCCCCAGTGTTCGTGGTCTTTTCAGTGATTACCCTGCCTTTGTCACTTTCTCCCTGGACCCACTCCCTATGTCTAACTAAATGTGACAAACTCTTCCCCAGGGCTGGGATCAGAGGATGCTGACTTGCTAGTGTTATTCCTCTGAAACACTGATTCGGTAAACATATATTCACATTTTTCGTATAGGTCTTCTGGAGGCTATTTTTTAACCCCAGGGAATGATGGATGCAGAAAGTTGCAGCACCAGCGAACAACGTGAGGGGACAAAAGGTCAGATACGGGGAGGAAAGCATTTGTTTCCTGCCACGATAGGCTGCTAAGGTCACAATAACCGTAAGAGGTAGATATTATTTAGGCAGATTTTTGCAAATGAGGAATCTGTGGATAAGAGAGCTTTAAGGGACTTTCATAAGTGTCACGCAGCTAGGAAAAGACCCAGCCAGGATTTTCCTAAAATCACATGCCCCATCATCCATGAGAAGCCAGCTCTTTAGCCCCATGTGCATGGCCTCCTGATAAAGTTTGGGATTAGGAAGCCCAGAGAAGTGAGACCTCTCTAATACACGTGCTGAACCTACTCCCTCACTTTCCCTCCTAGCCCCCCAAAGCCCCAGCATGTGGTTGTAGCTATAGCAATTGGAGAAAGAGGTCCAGCAGCAAGGTGCAGCCTGTGCCCATGCAGGAATGAAAACTGTTCAGGTGTCCCCTGACAGGAATCACAGTCCAGACCCAGGTCAACTCTACCTGCGAGTCTGAAGGCCAGACCCTGATGCAGGACAGCTGGCCCTTGGCATCACTTCTCCAAGCCCTGCCTGGGGAAGCGGGGCTCACTGAAGCTAAGCTGGCCAACTAAAGCCAGTTTCCGCCTAACAGCTGGTGTAGTGCCTTCATGTGTCTGCCCTCCTGGGTCACATTTGCATTTTAACAGCCACCTTCATGTTGCCCCACTGGGGGGCAACAGTTGCAGGGCAGGGGGCAGGGTGGGGAAGATGTGCTTGAGAGAAAAGGGCGGCCTTTCCTAGACCTGGAAACGTTTTTGATTTCCCAAGAGCTATTTTTCTATTTCCTACTCAAGCCTTTTCCCCCCTAGGCTGCTCCTCGCTTTCTTTCTACTGCAGCAGGAAGGGCTCACAGCTTTCAGGGCCCCCTGCCTGTCTTCTCTCTGGCAAGGCAGCTTAGCCTCAGCTGGGGCTCCCAATTAAGCAAGGGCTCGGGCTAATGGGCTCCCTCAGCTCTCCCTCAGGGCAGTCTGGGAGGGCTCCCTTCCGCCCTTTCTGCTGCATCCCTGACACTGTGCCACTCTCCTCTACCCTAGCCCTACCACACACCTCCCCAAACCAGCCTTGGATTCCCGTATCTCAGATCAGTGCCTTTGACTACTACACCCCTGCCAGCTCCAGGACTGATTGCTGATCATGGCCTCCACTGACCCCTCCCCTGAATTAAGTGATGACCAAATCACGCCCCCCACACCCTTACACACCCATAGTAAAATTGGAGAGGCTCTGGGTTTGGTGCTTGGTGATTCAGGTGTGACTCCCAGCTCTGCCACTTGTACGAGTGACCTTATTCAGGACATGTCATCTCTAAGTCTCAGTTGACTCACCTGAAAAATGGCAAGGCAACCAATACCTGCCTACTTCATAGAGTTGTTATGAAGGTCAAATAAGATTATGCATTTAGGAGCCCAATAAATAATACTCCTGTCTTCTCCTCCTGAATTCTGAGAGGAGAAACATGATTTAAAAAAAAAAAAAAAAAAAAAAAAGACTAAATTGAGGCAGAGTACGTTTTTTAAAATCAATCAGTCTTGGCTGGGCACGGTGGGTCCCTGTAATCCCAGCACTTTGGGAGGCCGAGGCGGGTGGATCACGAGGTCAGGAGATCGAGAGACCATCCTGGCTAACACAGTGAAACCCCATCTCTACTAAAAATACAAAAAAAAAATTAGCCAGGCATGGTGGCAGGCGACTGTATTCCCAGCTACTCAGGAGGCTGAGGCAGGAGAATGGCGTGACCCCGGGAGGCGGAGCTTGCAGTGAGCAGAGATCACGCCACTGCACTCCGGCCTGGGTGACAGAGCGAGACTTCGTCTAAAAAAAAAAAAAAAAAAAAAAAAATCAGTCTTATTAATAGAGCTAAATTGAAGAACATGGATTAGATTTGGGGCCAAGGGGGCTTCCTGGTATGTCTCTCCTGAATGCACATGTGAAAGCAGAAGGCATCACAGGCCTTCTGGCCCTGCAAAGCCCAAGCCTGTGGAGTGTAGCTGTGGCAATTGGAGAAAGAGGTCAAGCAGTAAGGCACAGTCTGTGTCCATGCAGGAATGAAAATAGTTCAGGGGTGCCCTGACAAAAATCACAGTCCAGACCCAGGTAGCAACTCTACCTGCGAGTCAGAAGGTCGAACCCTGATGCAGGACAGCTGGGTCTCTGGGCATCACTTCTCCAAGCCCTGCCTGGTATAATGGAGTATACCATTTTTATCTCCAATATACACATCCAAGACCTGTGGCTATTACTTGTTACAGAAGAGGGCACTAAGGCCCAAAGAGATGAAGCAACTTACCTAAGCCCACACACCTAATAAGCTGCAGAGCTGGGATCTGAAGCCAATTAGTTGATTCCAGGCTCTCACCACTAGTCTGGGGAATGCCAGGGCCTGGCTAAAAGGCAAGTGACTTTGCTGCAGTTGGAGGCGGAGGCATGGGACAGCAACTATCTCAACCAAGGGATCATGCTTATACTCTTCACTTCACCATCTCACTGCATTCACTTATCCATTCAGTAAACTTCTATCGAGCACTGTCCTGTGCTAGACCATCTTCTAGATCCTCAGGACGCAGTAGAAAACAACATAAGTCCCTGCTTACATTCTGGCGAGGAGACAGACCCAGAAGAACTATCCGCAGAGGAAAGGCAAGTACACAGATAGAGACTAAAACAGATAAATTCAATGAAAAACTAAATCAGGGTTAAGGGATGGGCCAGTCAAGGATGGCTGCTGTGAGTGTCACATCCAGCAGAGACCCAGTACAGTAAGCAAGTGTGACTATCAGGGGAAGAACATTCCAGGCAGAGGGAACGGCCAGGGCAAAATTCCCAAGAAGGAAGCAATGCAGTCATCAAGTACCAGCCAAGTCCTGTCAAGTAAGGCATTGCGGCTAAAAAACAGCAAGGAGGAGAAGGGTAGGAGGTGATGTCTTAGAGTTAGTAGGGAGTTATGGGGCATGGATAGGGGTGATATGTAGTCTAGTTGATCACAAAAAGGACTGGGTTTTATTCTTCAGTGTGTCAGAAACTGGGGGATTATAGAACCAGTGAGTGACTTGATCGAATTTACATTTTTAAAATATAGCTATGGCTGTTATGGGGAGAACAGGCTACAAAGGGCAATAATGGAAACAGGGAGCCTAGTCCAGTTATGAAGCTATTACAGAATTTCATCTGGCACATAATGGTGGCTTGTACCAAAGGGTAAGCAGTGGAAATGTTGAGAAGTGGTTGGATTCTGGATGTATTGTGAAGGCAGCAGGGTAGGTATTGTCCCCAGGAAAAAAAAAAAAAGGGAATCACAGAGCCCAGAAGTAGGAAGGGAGGATGAATGCACCAGGTGTAGGGTATCCAGTTATCAAAACCTGAGCCCACTCTGGAAGCAGCTCCCTGAGCCTGGCCTGGGATCTCTACATTGGATGCACCAAACAACACCGAATGTCCAAGCCAAGGCCCAGCCCCAGCCATGGATCCACCCCTGGTTCCTCACCCTTCTCCTGTCAAGATGGCAAACCAGATGCACCATCTAACACTTGCTGTGTATTTTTCAAATGACATTTTCCCAGTAGTGAAAACACAACATGGCACTTTAATGCAAGATGGTGGAACAAAGGAACAACTCTGGGGGGAGGCATCTCAAATCCTCAAATTCAAGGAACCACACCATATATCCCACAGAGAAGCCGGTGACGCTGCATTTCAATCAATATCCCTGAGCACGGGCTTGCCAGGTGCTTGCTGCAATACCAAGGCACACATTACAGAGGGCTGTGCTCCTAGCCTGATGGTAGAGAGAAAGAGAGGGATAAACTAAGGGTCCAGTAGACTGTTCACCAGGGGCTGCAGGGACACAAGATAAACAAAGGCTAAAGCGAAGGATAAACCCAGGGTAAGGAAAAGAGTCTTCAGTGTGTGCCCTGAATGAGATTTGGTGATGGGGGTCCAGGAGGAGAAGATCAGGTAGGGCAGTGTGTGAGCAGAGACCTGGAGATGCAAAAAGTCATGGAAGCAGAGTAGACCCATGCAGGGAGTAGTCTAGTGCATCCTGAGCAACAGAAGCTACAGCAGACACTAGTGTTTACTGAGCAATATGCTAAGCCCTGTACTGAGAGCCTGTAGGCATTCGCTCATGTGTTCCTCACCACACTGTGAGGCAGGCATTATCATGGCCCCATCATGTGGGATGAAGAAACTGAGGCTTGGAGAGCTTAAGTGACTTGTCCAAGATTATACAATTAATAAGAAGTGAAACTTGGATTTTTAAAAAATAAATGTCTTTTATTGAAATATTTTACAGAAAAGATTGCAAATCCTAAGTGTACATCTCGAGAGAGTATCACAAAGAGAACACACCCAGTAACTACCACCCAGATCAAGAAACAGAATCTTACCATTCTGAAGCCCCTCTCATGCCCCTCCCCAACCCCTTCCCTTCCCTCCTCCCCACAGTAAGAACTATCCTGACTTTTAACTCCATAGACTAGTTTTTGGAGTTGAGGTTTGCATCCAGGTCTGTGGCCAGGATCTGTAGTAGGCACAGTAATAGGTGGATGGCTGTCTGCAGTCTGATAGGGTCTGTGCAGGATTGCCAAGATTGTTTTCCCCAGCTGCATCCCATTCTGTGCTGTTCTCCTTCAATTTCCTTGGGGGGGTGGGGGCGGGGGCTTGTGGGAGACAGGTGCTAGCTCTAAAGAGGACCTCTGGAAACAAGTGAGGGAGCCACCTGTGTCCAGTGTGGAAGAGAGTCCCTTCCTGTGCTCAAGGAGCTGGCTATGCACTAGGCTGCAGTCAATGAGGTTTGCTACATCCCATCTTTAGGAAAATATGATTTAATGACAAGAATGTCCTTTTGGAGAGAGCAAATCAATAGCTCTGGGCAGTATCTTTGGACAGGTTTAGCCATATTCTCAAAGTAAAGGGTTTCAATCTGTGAAATGTGAAGAAAACTCTATAGTCATTACCAAAAAAAAAAAAAATAGACTTCAGTTAGTCAACTGGATAATAAGACTCAAGACTCACTCCCACCCCTCTATCCCACCCCCTGGCTCGTGTTCTGAAACAAAAGCAAAAAATAAGCACAAATTGTGCTGAGAAAATGATTAGCTTGGGCTCCTTTGAAGCCCTAAGTCACAAGCATCAGCCCATCTGCCGCTTGCCTTCACCCCATATTTTAGCCAAATCTTCACACGGAATTCCATGGTCCCAGGCTTTGCTGACCACTCCCCTCTCAGGAAGTCTTCTGTTTCCTCTGTCCCATCATTCAGATCAAGATGGACCTCTAACTTTCTCAAGTGGCCTCCAGCAAGATTCTGCTCTCCTTACCAGACAGTCCTGACTGGGGTGCTGTATTGCTAACTGGAAATAGCTTAAAGGGTTGTCCCTCTCGGAGGCAGCATCCTTCCTCTCAAAAGCTACTCTGAGTTTAGGGAACAGCCACCTTAAGGGAGACTTAGGCCAAGCCACAGAGACAGGTAAAATGAAATGTGGATGCTTCCATAGCATCTAAGTTGGAAATGTGCCTTTAAAATGCAGATATCAGCTGGGCGTGATGCCTCACACCTGTAATCCCAGCACTTTGGGAAGCCAAGGCAGGCGGATCACCTGAGGCCAGGAGTTTGAGACCAACCTGGCCAACATGGTGAAACCCCATCTGTACTAAAAATACAAAAATTAGCTGGGCATGGTGGTGAGTGCCTGTAATCCCAGCTACTCAGGAGGCTGAGGCAGGAGAATTGCTTGAACCTGGAGGGCAGAGGTTGCAGTGAGCCAAGATCGCACCGCTGCACTCTAGCATGGGCAACAGAGTGAAACTCTGTCTCAAAAATAATAACAATAAATAAAATGCAGATATGAATGACAAGGTCCCAAATAGGGATATTATAAGGAAACACAAACCCAGGCTAAGGGCCGAGGTGCTCACCTGCTGGTCAGGTGAACAGGGACTTCCACGGAGTAGCTCCGTGGAGAGCCGAGCACTGTAAAGATATCCAGGAGGGAGAGGGTTGGAGAACAGAACTCAGTCTTTGAGATAGCATGACATGGGGGAGGCAGCAGGGTGTAAGGGTATTGGGTTTACATTCTGCAGGCAGAAAAACACGGGTTCAAATTCCGGCTTCTCCATGTATTGCTGACGACATAATTTACTTAACATCTCCTAAAGCTCAATTCCCTTTATGGAAAGAGGGGTAATTCAATCTACCTCACAGGATTCAAATGAGGTTTAAAACAAAACAATGCATTTCAGTGACAGGCATACAGTAGAGGCTAACTAGATAAATGGTTGATGAACGAAATGAATGCGAGAAATTACAATTGCGCCCCCTGGTGAGGTTTTGAAGCCTAGCACATTGGAGAATGACAAGCACATGGGAGATAGTGTCATTACAGGATGTGTCAATGTGTCATGGCCAATACTTACACACACACACACACACACACACACACACAGTCTACCTCTGCCAGATTCTCCTTGCTGCTACAGCAGCAAATAGAAATGACCATGTATTAGTCCTTTCTCCTTATTCTCACACATACACAAATGCAACCAAGAGAAAAATCTCCACATCTAAGTGTGTCCAAAAGTCATATCCAAGTTCTGTATTATCAAATATCTATTAGCAAACTCAACAAAAATAAACGATGGAGAAAAGATTCCCTATTCAATAAATGGTGCCGGGATGACTGGCTATACATAGGTAAAAGAATAAAACTGGACTCCTACCTATCACCACATACAAACAATAACTCAAGACGGATTAACGACTTAAATGTAAGACCTCAAGCTATAAGAATCCTAAAAGAAAGCTTAGGAAATACCCTTCTCAATATTGGCCTTGGCAAAGAATTTATGACTAAGTCCTCAAATGCAACTGCAACAAAAACAAAAATTGACAAGTGGGACCTAATTAAACTAAAGAGCTTCTGCACAGCAAGAGAAACCATCGAGGAAGTAAAGAGACAACCTACAGAATGGAAGAAAATATTCACAAACTATGCATCTAACAAATGTCTAAGACCCAAAATCGATATAAAAACTTAAATCAATAAGCAAAAAGCAAATAACCTCATTAAAAGTTGACAAAAGACATGGACAAACACTTCTAAAACGAAGACATACAACCAGCCAACAAACATATGACAAAATGCTCAACAACACTAATCATCAGAGAAATGCAAATCAAAACCACAATGAGATACCATCTCTCGCCTGTCAGAGTGACTTTTGTTAAAAAGTCAAAAAATAACAGGTGCTAGCAAGGCTATGGAGAAAAGGGAACACATATGCTGTTGGCAAGAATGCAAATTAGTCTAGCCACTGTAGAGAGCAGTTTGTAGATTTCTCAAAGAAGTTAGGCTGAACTACTATTTGTCCCAGCAATCCCATTACCAGATATATGCCCAAAGGAAAATAAATCATTCTACCAAAAGGATACATGCACCCATATGTTCACTGCAGCACTATTCACAATAGCAAAAACATGGAATCAACCCAGGTGCCCAACAACAGTGGACTGGATAAAGAAAATGTGGTATATATTCGCCATGGAATACTACACAGCCATAAAAAAGAACAAAATCAGCTGGGCGCGGTGGCTCCTGCCTGTAATCCCGCACTTTGGGAGGCCGAGGCAGGCGGATCACGAGGTCAGGAGATCGAGACCATCCTGGCTAACACGGTGAAACCCCATCTCTACTAAAAATACAAAAAATTAGCCAGGTGTGGTGGCGGGCGCCTGTAGTCCCAGCTACTCGGGAGGCTGAGGCAGGAGAATGGTGTGAACCTGGGAGGCGGAGCTTGCAGTGAGCCGAGATTGCACCACTGCACTCCAGCCTGGGGGACAGAGCGACACTCCGTCTCAAAAAAAAAAAAAAAAAAATCATGTCCTTTGCATCAACATAGATGCAGCTAGAGGCCATTATCCTAAGTGAAGTAACACAGAAACAGAAAACCAAATACCACATGTTCTCACTTATAAGTGGGAGCTAAACATTGCATATACATGGACATAAAAATGCCAACAACAGACACTGGGGAATATTAGAGGAGGGACTGAGGGAGGGGCGCAGGGGCTGAAAAACTACACATTGGGTACTATGGTCTCTACCTGGGTGATGGATTCAGTCATACCCCAAACCTCAGCATCACACAATATACCTTTGTAACAAACCTGCACAGGTACCCCCAATTCTAAAATAAAGGCTGAAACAGAAAAAAAAAAATATCTATTAGCAAACCAGATGGTGCTGTTGGTGCTGTTGTTGACTGCATGATCAAATAAATCTCTAACATAAAACAGCAGAGAACAGGTTAAAACCCCCTCAGAGGAAATGCTATTCTAAAAATAGTCTCTCTTTGGTCCCCATTCCCACCCCAGCAGCCCCCTGACACATGCACATACACACACACACCAATGTGTGTGCATGGAAAGCTCACCTTAACTGAAGTTTTAAAAACACCAGTTTGATCAAATCAATAAAGACATTTTTAAAATAGACTCTGAAAGAAAATGGCCCTAAGGATCTCGCTGGGGTGTTCTTTGGCGCAGCAGGCGATAAGCATGGTGACTGACATTTCCAGTCTTTCCTCCTCCCCTCTCATGCCACCAATCATGAACAGGCACTTTAAGTCTCCCATCACCTTGAGAAGGGGTCAGTCTCCTTTCCTCAAGCATGAGAGAAGATGGCAAAGCTCTCTCTACCATTCAGTTCCTTTATTGGTCCTGAAAAGTGAGTGACAGTGGCTTTTCTTCTCGGAAGCTTATCTCAGGGGTTAGAGCAGCATCATACCACACCCATTCTTAATCTCCTCTTCCTCAGGGTCCCTGCCCGGAAAAGGAAAGTGCCCCTCTCCACAGTCTGGAGCATAACCCTCCCACAGGGCCACCCTTCTTGGATGCCAGGCTGACACCTCCCCAGAGAGTGTCAGAGCACAATGTTCAGCCCAACACTTTAATGACACTGCTGTTTCCTGGCTCTCAGATTTGTCCGAAACTGCCTGGTATACCTCGGCTTACTGTGGGTCTCCTCTTCTGGAAGAGTGTACATTCTAGTTAATTCAGTAAATGCCCATGGTGCACCCAAACTTCCTAGACTCTGAGGGCATTTTAGGGAAATTTATATTAACAATTATTTTAAAGCTTCATAAATATATGGCACTTATGAATTTTCAAAAGTACTTTGATCTTCATTACTTTGCTTAAATCTGACACAATCCTATGAGGTAGAAAGGACTTGATATTATCATCCCTAAATAAAGAGATTAAAGATTAGAGAGTGGTTAGTCCAGGGTTATGCAAATAGTCTACTGCAAAGCCTGGGTGGTCTCTGGCAGGCAACAGTAAAGCCATATGCACATGAAACAGGTGTATGAAGAGGTGGGTGAGACTGAGACTGAGAGGGTGGATGGTGCAGGTCCTGTAAGTTTCCTTCTCACAGACTGACCAATCTGAGTTCTACAGGAAAGCCACCCACAGTTCCTCCTTGTTGAGACCCCCTAGATCTAGGAGTTGGGATTGTACCTCTTTGTGCACATTCCATTCTGCCTTGTACAAGAGTTGTGTCTATATGTGAGGGGCCACTGGCCATTTATGAGGTCCTGGAAGGCAGGGAGGGCTTGGCACAGTACCTGGCACATGATAGGTGCTCTCTAGTGTGTTTGAATTGACCGTCCTCCAGCTGTTCTGAAGGTTAAAACAGGACTTTGCTGTGCTGTGGCTCATTCTCACCCTCTAGTGGCCACTTTTAAGAATAACGGACCACAGATGGAGCTGAGCTTCCAAAGCCAATCAGGAGGCACTGCCATGCCTAGGCCACAGTCCACCTTCTGGTCAGGAGAAACTCAGTTATCAATGGAACTCTTTAAAAATACATGTGCATCTCGGGCCGGGCGCGGCGGCTCACGCCTGTAATCCCAGCACTTTGGGAGGCCGAGGCGAGTGGATCACGAGGTCAAGAGATCGAGACCATCCTGGCGAACATGGTGAAACCCCGTCTCAACTAAAAATACAAAAATTAGCTGGGCGTGGTGGTGCGCGCCTGTAATCCCAGCTACTCGGGAGGCTGAGGCACGAGAATCGCTTGAACCCGGGAGGCGGAGCTTGCAGCGAGCCGAGATTGCACCACTGCACTCCAGCCTGGCGGCAGAGCGAGACTGCATCTCAAAAAAAAAAAAAAACAAAACAAAAA
Organism: Homo sapiens; assembly: GCF_000001405.40. Classification (NCBI taxonomy): domain Eukaryota; kingdom Metazoa; phylum Chordata; class Mammalia; order Primates; family Hominidae; genus Homo; species Homo sapiens. Next base: position 165,924,417 of record NC_000001.11, on the reverse strand, counting down.
AACGTGTGCATCTCTGCTAGCGAGGCGTCTGGCTCTAAAGCAAAAGTCAAATAAGGAAATCAGCCAACTGTTTATCAGGCACTGACTACGTGGCAAGTACCCTGCCAGGACACATGAGATACAGGAAACACAGTTGCTGACCGTAAAGGAGCCCACAATTTAATGTGAAGTAACACTCCACCGCCCAGGCATCCCAGCATGCTTCACATACAAAGAACAATGGAAGTTTTAGAACTCCAAGCAACATTTGATGCTGTGAACAAAGCAGAATTTCTCTGGAGGAGAAAGTTTGAAAAAACCAATGAGACACTTTTTTTTTTTTCATTATCATGGTTCAGATAACCAGAAAACCTTCCTGCTACAAAATACCTACAAGTTCCACATAAAATACAAAAAAGATAATAATAATGAAGTCCTGCTTAATGCATAGCTGAGCATATAAGAAAATGACATTAGACAAGGGCCAAGAATAGCAATTTAAAACATTAGTATAAAACACAATCAAAAATCAACAAGCAGATTTGGACTATAATGAAATGGTTTTTCTAAAAGCCAAAAATATGGTCACTGAAATTAAAAACTTGGTAAGTTTTAAACAGCAAACTAAACATGGGTGAAGAGCGAGTAACTAAATTGGAAATGATCTAAGGAGCTTAGCTACAATGTAGCTTGAGAGATAAAAAGATTAAAAATAAGGCAGGGCACAGTGGTACATATCAATAATCCCATCACTTTGGGAGGACAAGATGGGTAAATCGCTTGAGTCCAGGAGTTCGAGACCAGCCTGGGCAACATAGTGAAACCCCATCTCTACAAAAAATACAAAAATTAACCGGTCATGGCGGCTCACGCCTGTGGTCCCAGCTACTTAGGAGGCTGAGGTGGGAGGATCACTTGAGCCCAGGAGGTTGAGGCTGCAGCAAGCCATGATCACTCTACTGCATTTCAGCCTGGGCTATAGAGTGAGACCCTGTCTCAAACAAACAAACAAACAAAAAACAGATTAAAAATAAAATAAGAGAGTAAGAGACTTAGAAGAAAGAGCAAAAGGTCCTATGTACATGGAACCACAGATCAAAAGATAGAAAACAGAGAGAAAAGTGAGAAGGCAACATTAGAAAAGATAATAGCTATAAATTTTCTAGAATAGATGAAACACATAGAACTCGCCTTCAGGAAGCACATGCCCTAAGTAGGGTAAATAAAAATAAATCCACATTTCAACACATCATAAGAAATTGCAAAACATCAAAGAGAAATCTTTTTAAAAGACAGAAAACAGAAGACCAATCTATCCAAAATGTTGAGAGAAACAGCTAAATTATAACTCAAGAATGAGGGTAAAAAAAGGCATTTTCCAACAAAGAGTGTCCCACTAATAATTCTGACAAATAATTATGAAAAAAATGTGTGTTATGAAGAAAACTGAATCCATAACCAAGATTGACAATGCAAAATAAAATAGTGAACAAAGTCATTAGTAATAATCTGGGAAAATCTAAATGAGCACTGACAGGATAAAACAGTAATCGTAACTAATGTCAAGAATATAAAAGCAAGGTGGAACTATAATACTTAACATCAATAACATGTAAGATAGACAGAGTGGTCAGAGTTTAAGCTTTCAAAGCTTTCATATTGTTTAGGAAGAGGAGAGAAATACTGATTAAATTCAGATTTTGTCAACTATCCATGTCAATTTTAAAAGATGGCCACTAAAGTAAGAAAAATATAATGTGTGTAATTTTCAACCCTAAAAAGAGGATAAAAGTGAACATAAAAAATCTCAACTTTTGGTTAAACAGGATAGGTTGAACCACTGTTTTCTCTCTGCTGTCTTCTAACACCACTCTAAAAATAGTGAATTTAGCAAGATTGCAGAATAAAAGACCAATATATAAAAATCAATTGTATTCTTATATGCTTGCAATAAACAATCGTTAAGTTGGACTTCTAAAAAAATACTATTCACAATAGCATCATAAAATATAAAATATGTAGGGATACATCTGATAAAAGATATTTAAGACTTATACATTTAAAACAATAAAACATTGCTGAGACACTTTTAAAGACCAAAATAAATGGATAGATATATCTTGTTCATAAATCAAAAGACATAACACTGTTAAAATGTCAGCTGTCCCCAAATTGATCTATGGATTCAACACCATCCCAATTAAAGTCCCAGCATTTTTTGTAGAAATTGACAAGCTGATTCTTTAAAATTTATATAGAAATGCAAAGAACTCAGAACTGCCAAAACGATTTTGACAAAAAATAAAGTTGGAGAGCTGACACTACTAGATTTCAAGATTTATTATAAAGCTACAGTAATTAAGACAGTGTGGTATAGATGTCAAGATAGACAAATCAATGGAACAGAGTCTAGAAACAGACCCACATATATGGACAAATGACTTTTTCACAAAGGAGCAAAGGCAATTCAAAAGAGAAAGGACAGTCTTCAATTATGGTGCTAAAACACATGGATAGCACATGTAAAATAATGATATTACCTCACACCATCTTAAAAAATTAACTTACCAGGTGCAGTGTTTCAGGCCAGTAATGCCAGCGCTTTGGGAGGCTGAGGCAGAAGGATTGCTTTAGCTCAGGAGTTTGAGACCAGCCTAGACAACATAGCAAGACCTTGTCTCAAAAACTCAAAAACTTAGCCAGTCATTGTGTTGCACAGCTGCAATCCCAGGTACTCAGGAGGCTGAGGCAGGAGAATCACTTGAGCCCAGGAGGTCAAGGCTGCAGTGAGCCATAATTGCGCCACTGTACTCCAGCTTGGGTGACAGAATGAAAAAAAATAAAAAAAAAACCCACCTAAAACTATAAAACTTTTAGAAGACAACACAAGAGAAAAACTTTTGTGGCTGGGAGTGGTGGCTCACACCTGTAATCCCAGCACTTTGGGAGGCAAAGGGAAGCAGATCACTTGAGGTCAGGAGTTCAAGACCAGCCTGGCCAACATAGTGAAACCCGTTTCTACTAAACATACAAAAATTAGTAGTGGTGGTGGGTGCCTGTAATCCCAGCTACTCAGGAGGCTGAGGCAGCAGAATTGCTTGAACCTAGGAGGTGGAGGTTTCAGTGACCCGAGATCATGCCACCGCACTCTAGCTGGGGCAACAGAGCGAGATTCCGTCAAAAACACACACACATACACACACACACACACACACACACACACACACACACAAAAAAAAAAAAAAAAAAAAAAACACTGGCTGGGCATGGTGGCTCACGCCTGTAATCCCAGCACTTTGGGAGACCTAGGTGAACAGATCATGAGGTCAGGAGTTCGAGACCCGCCTAACCAACATGGTGAAACCCTGTCTCTACTAAAAATACAAAAATTAGCCGGCTGTGGTGGCATGCACCTGTAGTCCCAGCTACTCAGGAGGCTGAGGCAGCAGAATTGCTTGAACCTAGGAGGTGGAGGTTTCAGTGACCCGAGATCATGCCACCGCACTCTAGCTGGGGCAACAGAGCGAGATTCCGTCAAAAACACACACACATACACACACAAAAAAAAAACAAAAAAAATAAAAAAAATAAAACACTGGCTGGGCGTGGTGGCTCACACCTGTAATCCCAGCACTTTGGGAGACCCAGGTGAACAGATCACGAGGTCAGGAGTTCGAGACCCGCCTAACCAACATGGTGAAACCCTGTCTCTACTAAAAATACAAAAATTAGCAGGCTGTGGTGGCATGCACCTGTAATCCCAGCTACTCAGGAGTCTGAGGCAGAACAATCGCTTGAACCTGGGAGGTGGAGGCTGCAGTGAGCCGTGATTGCACCACTGCACTCCAGCCTGGGCAACAGAGCGAGAATCCATCTCAAAAAAAAAAAAAAAAAAAGTGACATTAGATTATGCGAAGATTTATTAGCTATGGCACCAAAGCAAAATTGATAAGTCAGACTTCATCAAAATTTAAAACAAGAGCTTTCTAAAAACAGTGTCGTTTAAGAAAAGAAAGACAAGCCATGGAATAAGAGAAAATACTTGCAGAGTATAAATCTGAAAGTGACTTGTACCCAGAATACGTAAAGAACTCTCAAAACTCAGTAAAGAAGGCCAGGTATGGTAGTTCATATCTGTAATCCCAGCACTTTGGGAGGCTGAGGCAGGAGGATCACTTGAGGCCAGGAGTTCAAAACCAGCCTGGGCAATATGGCAAGACCCCATCTCTCTTAACGAAAAAAAAAAAAAAACTCAATAAGAAAACAAACAACCCTCCTCCAAAACAATGAGCGAAACTTTGATATACAAAACATGGATGAATCACAAAATTGTGCTGAGTGAAAAAAAGCCAAACAAAAAGAAAAGGAGTACATACAATATGATTCCACTTATATAAAATTCTATAAAACACAAAGTAATCTCTAGTGAGAAGAAGGCAGGTCAGTGGTTCCCTGGAGTAGGAGGGAGGATTACAAGGGAGCATGAGGAAACTTTAGGAGGCGATGAATGTTCACCATCTTGATTTTGGTGATGGTTTCAGAGGTGGATACATATCTCAAATTTATCAAATTAAACACTTTAAATGTGTGTAGTTTATTTTATGCCCTTTATACCTCAATAAAGCTGTTTTTTAAAAATAAAATTATATTAACAGATGTCATTGACTGAGTGCTTGTCATGCTTGATTGTTTCTTTTTGGTTATATTATCATTGCACATTTCTTATTTTATTCAGGGTAGGCATGCAGTCAACTAAAAGGATCACATATCTCAACCTCCTTAGCAGGTAGATGTAGACCTAGACTAAGTTCTGGCCAAAGAGATGTAAGCAGAAGTGTCATGTGGTGTTTCTGGAAAGTCTTCCTTAACAGGAATAAGGCATGCCCTTCATCTCTTCTTCCTTCTGTATAGAATGAAGATCTGCTGACTGTGATTCCAGCAGCCTTTTCAGACCATAAAGTGACTTTGAAAGCATCAACCAAGTGCTGATGATAGGAACGGGAGCCTGAGTCCCTTACGATATGATGAAACCACCATATTAGCTCCAGACTTCCACACCCTAGACTTCTGTGAGAAAAGTCAACTTCTACCTTGCCTAAGCCAGTTGTTTTGGTTCTTTGTTTTTCTATTATGTGCCATTGAACCTAGTCCTCACTGAAAGAGCCTCCCTCAGTGATGTTCAGTATGGTGGGGCTAACTCTCTGGTAGTGGGGTACTTAGGTCTTATGACAAGTTGACACCTTGAGTGAACATTGTCTTCATGCTTCCTGCTAGCTCACAGACATTGCCCCAAGCCTGGCTGACACAGGCTTTGATTCCCTGAATCCACTTTGCTGTTTTCATCTGCTCTAATCTGCTTTCTGGCTTTGTGTGGACATCTTATTTTCCTTACAAATACATTGGTCAGGGCTGAACTCGATCAATTCTTAATACCACTTTGGCCCAGTTGCACTTTGTACTGAAAATAAGTAACACAGTATATGTTTGTGTTATAGTTTTTTTTTTTGCTTCCAATTCATGTTATATCGATTATTTCACATGGTCTTCTAAACCACTAAATTGAGGAGGGCAGAGATGACACTCTCATCTCTCAGATGAAGAGGACTGACAGAAGCGAGCAATCTACAAATGTCCCCAGGAAAGAGTGGGGCGTTGAGAGTACAGCGAGGGCCCCGACTCTGTGCCTGTCCTGTGCTGCAGAACAGCTCTCCCTCAGTCACTCACTCCTTTATTCCCATTTGTTTTTCAAATGCTTGCCAAGCACCTGCTCTGCAGCAGGAACCTGCCATCCCACGTGTTGGGGACACTAAGAGGAGCCAGACATGCTCCGGGCTCTCAAGGAGCCACCAGTGCAGAAGAGGCCACTCACCATACACACCCACAGTGCCATGGACAAGCAAGCTGTCAGGGTGGCGTCTCGGGGTAGATGATGGAGGTGCAAGGAAAAGGACAATTCCCTGGTGTCTTCCCTTATCTGTTTTTAGGTAAGAACTAGAGCATTCTACTATTTCCTCCTCTTTTCCTTTGATTACCAGTCATTTCCACCTTCCATTCATTCCAGTCATCTCCTCTTAACCTCTGTGGAATAAATGGACTTTAATGTGTTCCCATCTATTCAATATCATTGCAAATATTTTGCCAGTTTATCATATTTCTTTTTGGCAACTTACTGTTTACTTCTCTCCACCCTGGATTTCTTTGAGAGAGATTCACTTTCTCTTCATCCATTCCTTAAAACATTTACTCTTCCTGCTATGAGGTGACCCCATCTCCCATCAGTATATCCTCTGAAGCCTTCATGTTCCAGGCCTTCCTCTCCTTGGCTCTGGTTAGCTGTCCTCCTGGCATCACTCATCACTGGGCTTTCAGAGGCAGAACCCCCAAAGCCTGAGTTTCTCCTGCCTTCCATCAGACTTAGGGCTAGGAAAACATAACCTTTACCAAAAGGCAGTGTGATGGTAGAACATCCACTAGACCAGGGCCTAACCAAAGCCTTGCTCTCTAACTAGCTAACCATGACCTTGGACAAATCACCTTCTTTCTCTGAACCCCAATTTCCCCTTAGGTAAAACAATAGGATTCAACTGCAGCCTTGCCCAGCCCTGACATGATATAATTCTAACTATATTGACCGGTGCTGCCCAGTGACATGGCCACTAGGCATGTGGCCATTGAGCCCCTTGACATGTGGTTAGTCCAAATTGAGATGTGCCATGAATGCAAAATAGACACACCAAAGACTCTGTACAAAAAAAGCATGCAAAAATCTCATGAATAATTTTATATTAATTACATATTAAAATAATATTTTGGATAGTTTATATGAATAAAATATAATGCAAAAATAAATTTCACCTGTTTTGAGTTTTTTGTTTTGTTTTTGTGTGTGTGTGACAGGGTCTCACTCTGTCACCAAGGCAGGAATGCAGTGGTGTGATCACAGCTCCTGCAGTCTCAAACTCTCAAGCTCAAGTGATCGTCCCACATCAGCCACCCAAGTAGGACTCTAGGTACGCACCACGATGCCAGGAGTCTTACTATGTTGCCCAAGCTGGTCTCAAACTCCTGGCCTCAAACCATCCTCCCACCTTGACCTCCCAAAGCACTGATTACAGGCACGAGCCACTGCACCCAGTCCTGCCTTTTACTCTTTTAAAAGTGGTTCCAAGAATGTTTTAAAATTGTTTCTACTGGCCAGAGCCAGTACAATTATCTCACAAGAAGCCTAGCACCACTGACTGAGGCTCAGCTCATTCCACACACAGGGTAAAGAGGAAAATCTTCGGTCTAACTTAGTCTCCAGGTGACTAGGATGATTTGGATCTGGACAGGGGTTCATAACCTGAGGATAAAGCACTGAGCAGAATTCAGGTAATCCATGAACTTGAAAAATGACATCTATCTTTTCACTATCCTCTAACTGAAAGTTAGCAATTGCTTCCATTATGAAGGCAATTTGTAGGCATCATAGAAATATTGGCTGTATTTGTTTGTCAGCAACAGAAATCAGTTATTTTCATAACACATTATTGTTGTTACAGAATTGCAAAATATCACTCAGGTGCATCACTACCACACAATTTTGGTAGATATTAGACCTGCTGCTGGATCTTGTTATTTGACGTGTTACTAAAGCAACACATACCTTACCATATCCCAGATTTGTCTTTATGTTTTGGTAACTGTACTGCAATTTATTTCCTTTGATATTTGTGGGGTGTTATTTCATGTATGTAAAAACATTCTGAGAAGGGGTCCTTCTGTAGCCTGCTAGAGGGGTTCATGGCACTCCCCCACAAAATATATGTATATAAACCCCAACTGACAAAGATGGGGTATTTTCATCAGCCAGGGTACTGGAACACCCTGAATAGAGGCGGACACTAGGCCTAAAGGGGTTCCAGGCACGAGGTAGACTGTCTCACTAAAGATGCCAAGTGTCCCTCAGCTTGTCTGACCCCCTAGGCAGCCCCTTTAGCTGAAGAATCAGAGGACACAATATTAGACCCTTTCGTTTTGATGCCAGGACTTTTTGATTTTCACTATTTTGAAGAAATGGTGAAACACACACCATTAAATTGTAGGATCCCTTTAAAATTACTAAATAATATGTGCAACAGATATCCTTCCTTACGCCATCCCCGAACCAAACTTCCATATCACAACCTCACCCCAAAGTGGGCATCGGGATTGGCAAAGGGCCCAGAAATGGGTGTGTCTCAGCCTGCGAGGCACAGAGCTCCAGGGGTAGGCCAAGCTCTAAAACCCATTTGATGTCTGATCAAAATATCCTGCTTTGGTTTTACTAAACCCTTCTCTGCAACAGCTGAGTTTAGCCTAGGGGCAGGGCTCTAGCAGTGGCTGCTGAGAAGTCTAGTTTAGGTATTCTTTCCCAAGCCAGCCAGCCACTCCCAGATCTCTGGACAACACAGCCTCACCCACAACCCAAGCACCAGGGATAGACTAGAAGCACAAAATCAGCCACCACTCACTGGGCAGCTCTTGTGCCAACACTGTCCTGCCACTCTACCTGTAAAGTCTCATTCAATACTCTAGGCAAAACAAGGAGGTTAGCCCTGGGTTATGGATGTAGACACTGAAGCCAAACAGCTTCCCCAAGACCAGCTATTAAGTGAGGGAGCCAAGTTTTTAATCCAGGTCTGTTTAACTCCAGAGATATTTCCCCAAACAAGCCACCTCCCCACTTGGTTGAGGCCAGCCAACACTGAGGTCCTTGAGGAGAAGGTGGAGTCCCTTTTACAGAACTCAGCGGATATCAACTAACCAAACATAACTTGTAAACAGTGTTCAGTTCTCTGTAAAGCCCTAATCCAATCCACTGCAGACCTACAGCCCAACAATGGGCTCTTGACCTGGTCACTTTGCTTCTGGGTCTATTTCGTCATCTGTGAAGTGAGAAGCCTGGGTTTAAATGGTTTCCAAGCTCAAGGGAGAGGCTAAGGGGAGGCTCCAGACACCCCTTGCCAGTTTCAACCACACAGCTTTGCTTTCCTCTGATTTGCATGTTGAAACTTCAGGTAAGATTTCCTGAAGGGATCCATAGCCAAAACATGTTTGAAGGCCACTGGGCTCGCTAACTTCTAAAAGCACCCCAGTTCTAGCAGACATCCTAAGGAACATTCCCAGGAAAATTCCAGCCTAGAACCTCCTGGGGTCTGACAACCTTAGAGAACAGTGCTGGCTTTGAATGGGCTTGGGGGCAGCCTCGAAACCCTCTTTCCAGTCTCCATGCAGGCAGGGGAGCTCCTTAAGCAACACATAGGACATTTCTGGGAGAAATGGGATCCCCAACACAATGAACACTATAGATTTTAATGGTCTATATGGTTAAATACACAAGGCCCCTCATTTCCAACCCCGCCTGTTCATCTGATTCATCTGTACAGTTTGTTATAAAAGATTCCCTCCCCAACATGGTAAAACCCCATCTCTAGAAAAATAAAAAAATAGTTGGGCATGGTGGTGCACACCTGTAGTCACAGCTACTCAGAAGGTTGAGGTGGGAGGATCGCTTGAGGCCAGGAATCTGAGGTTGCAATGAGCCATGACCATGCCACTGCACTCCAGCCTGGGCAACAGCAAGACCCTATCAAAAAAAAAAAAAAAAAAAAAATTCCCTCCCTGGAATTCTCAGGAATGGATCCCACTAAAGTTTTTAAACAAGCCCACCCACTGATTATGATGGCCATCTTGTGGAACCACTACAACAGATGGTAGCAATAGAGAAATTAAGAGGGTCAGCTTCCATCTCCCCTAGTGAAGACTTTAATAAAAGATTTTCCAAAAGCCAGGTGCTGTGGTGCATGCCTATAGTCCCAGCTACTCAGAAGGCTGAGGCAGGAGGATCCATCCCTTCAGCCCAGGAGTTCAAGACCCACCTGGGGAACAGCAAGACCTGCCCCATCGCTTAAAAAAATTTTTTTTCCAGAAAAAAAAGAGACTTCTAGGGACATTCCAACAACTCTCATAAACCATGGTAGCCAAGCATATGCCAAGTTCAGCAACCAAAACAACCTTCCTGTTGCAATCTGAATCCCACCATTAGATGGCAGGCACACATCAGACAACCTGACTATACAGCCTGTCCTACTTCGCAGCAGTTGCTTTGGGTTTAAATCAAGTTTCCTTCTCAGTAAAACTGGAGCATGACCACATTCCTTATATATTTCGCAGGACTGTTTTAAGGATAAAATGAAAAGTGTAACGAGAGCTGGAAAAGGTGAATATGAACATTACAATGCAAACTGGAAATTTCAGAAACAGAAGAGAAAGCACATGCCATTATAAAGAGAAATCTTGAGAACATCCACAACTACAATTATCTTGGGTGAAAAACTCCTGGGCTTTTCAGCATAGAATTCCACCATCACATGTGAGCTATTTAGGCAGAGGCCATGGTGGCTTTCCCTGGACCAGAACAGTCAGAATTCAGTGAACACTGCATTAAACCCTGCACTGTTTTCATTCTGGGCACCATGTCATAGGCACCATTGGATCTAGTCCATAGGCACCATTGGATCTAGACCAAACACACCCTAATATGAAAAGGCAATGCTAAGCGTGGATTTGACTGTATGAAAAGGGAGTGTGTATAAGGCACAACTTCATATTCTCCTGCCCCTCACCTCCATTCATTTAATTGAGAACATATATCTTGGTTTAGTCCTAACTCACATTTTTTTACTTGGTATTTTGTTATTTTAGTTCATGAAAAAATTATAAGCATATGTGTGTGTGTGTGTGTGTGTGTGTATACACACGCGCACACACACACACACACACACACACAATCCAAAATCTAGCAAGTAGCTTTACTTCATTCTGGGTTTAGGAAGTGATCTGATTACAGTCTGCTTTAAAATAGAAATCTAAAGGCTGGGCGCAGTGGCTCACGCCTGTAATCCCAGCACTTTGGGAGGCCGAGGCAGGTGGATCACGAGGTCAGGAGATTGAGACCATCCTGGCTAACATGGTGAAACCCCGTCTCTACTAAAAATACAAAAAAAAAAAATTAGCCAGGAGTCGTGGTGGGCGCTTGTAGTCCCAGCTACTTGGGAGGCTGAGGCAGGAGAATGGCGTGAGCCTGGGAGACAGAGTTTGCAGTGAGCCGAGATCGCGCCACTGCACTCCAGCCTGGGCAACAAAGCAAGACTCTGTCTCAAAAAAAAAAAAAAAAAGAAAGAAATCTAAACATCCCCCCAGCACCAAATAACAGAAATCCATCTCTGGTTCCATCCTCTCAAAGCACTTTCCCACATCCCAAGTCTCCTTCTCCACCCCTTATTTAAAACCTTTCAGCAGGTCCTAACAAGTTTCTTTTAATCTGCCCCAATTAGGGTTTGATTAAAGCAGCACTAGTCAAACAGGCGTCTCCTCCTAGCTGTGGAGCTGGAGGATGGCTCAGAGGATGTTGTGACACAAGGGTGGGGAGACAAAAATAAAAAATCAACTCTGGGGCATTACTGGCCTGTACCACGGTCCCCTCTAACTACAACAAAGGTGCAGAAACACACTGTGAGAACCAACTGGCATCCCAAGCAAAGCATCAAAGTCCAGAGGTGGTCGGCTTGGGACAGGTGAGACTGCGAGCAGTGCAGAGGGAAACTGAACCACAGCTAAGCACCGGCTTGCACGACCACTGCCTGTGTGACACCAGGCAAGCCACTCACTGTGACACACAATGTCTTCACCTGCCAGAAGTTGACAATGCTTACATTAGCTCTTGCAGGGGCACCTGCGTGTTGTTTAAAATAGCCACCTTTTGAGGGCAGATCCTGTTAAAAACCTGCTAAATTCACAGATGGGGTTGCACCTGTCAGAGTGGAGTGAGTGGCTAGAAAGAAAATGGCTCTGCTCATCAATGACAGTCATTGGGTGCCTGGTAGGCAGTGGTAGAAGAGTTGAATGAGAAGCTAAGAAAGGTGGCAAGCTGATAGGGGATAGGGCACCACAAACAACAGAGAAGCCGTATTTTTTTCCTTTTTTTTTTTGAGACAGTCTTGCTCTGTTGCAGTGGTGTGCAGCGGTGTGATCTCAGCTCACTGCAATTTCTGCCTCCTGCGTTCAAGTGATTCTCGTGCTTCAGCTTCCCGAGTAGCTAGGATTACAGGCATGTGCCACCACACCTAGCTAATTTTTGTTTAGTAGAGATGGGGTTTCACCCTCTTGCCCAGGCTGGTCTCAAACTCCTGGCCTCAAGCAGTCCTCCTGCCCTGGCCTCTCAAAGTGCTGGGATTATAGGCATGAGCCACCACACCCTGACAAAAGCCAATCATCTATCTTTGGTGGGTAGCCTAGGTCTTTGAAAAACAGGGATAGACACACACATACATCCATTCACTGCGTGTGGACAACATGGAACTGTTTGTGTTGTTATAATGTAAACTTTCCTCATCTTCCACCCATCTCCCTCAAAAAAGTTTACTTTAAAAGGGTTTGTTTGAGCAAGGAAGGGGCTGGGTCACCAGCCTAAGGAAGGCAATGGGGCAGAGGCCAGGTAAACTGGATGGAATCAGGGGAACATAGCGCCAGGTTGTCCTAAGAACCAAAGGCTCCCAGAAACCCTGGCCCGGGCTTCCCACTTGACAAGAACTGCAAGTCCACTAACCTGAACCAGTATCTGAGCCCAGGTGAGGCCTGGGGTCTGCCCCACATACACCCCAGGATCATGAGGCTTCGTGACAGCAGGCCCAGTGACATCTACACCACACATGCACAGCATGGCCCTTCCTGAGCCACTTGGGCCACACAGCCAGGATTCGGTCGCTGCTCTGGGCCAAGCATCACACAGAAGGCGAGAGCCTTTTTGTCTGTCTTTATTTACAGCAAAGTACATAATATGTGGTCACTTTGTAACCACTAACAATAAAGGTAGGGTGGTAAAAAGAAAAGGGAGAGGAGCAAGCATCTTAAAAGGGGGGAAAAAAAAGCCTAAGTCTGTATTTAGCTACTCACCCTGCTCCTGAGGCAGGACTGGGTAGGCACTCCCTGCCTCTAAGACCACAGCCAAGCTGACCTGGAATGCCAGTCCCCGGTATGAGGAAGGCAGCAGAACGCCCAGAGACAAAAGATTAAAGGGGACTGAGCTCTGGATGCATCCACTTATGCTTTGCCAGACAGTTCCCTTCCTTGTTTTGTTTGAATGCTTCCCCCACCCCGCCCTGAGCAAAGTGTAAAGGGCAACGGTGGTACAGAAGTACAGGCAGTCCCTTCCAGAAGCAGTCCTGAACCGCATAACCCACCTACCTAGCTGCTCCTCAGCCTGCCGAGTTCTTGGCCCTGGAATCTTTAACAGGCACATAGGAGATTCCAGGGCAGGGGAAAATATTTCCCTGCAAGAGGCTACTTCCCTCCAACAGCTGTGAGGGCCAGTGCAGGTCAAGGTTGCTAAATCAAGGAAAGTGCACAAGGGCAAGAGAGGTCATATACAAACCAACCAGGCTTCCGGCCCTCCTGCTGCCCGACTGCTCCGAGGTGTACACAAGCCTCCAGCCCGACCCAGCGGCCTAATGAAACTCTGGCAACCTATCCTGGGCGTGGCCACAAGTATCCAGCTCCAAGCCCAAGTGAGGCGGGGAGTCAACTTCCCCATGATTGCCAAGTGGCCAAGACCAGAAGCAGGGATGATTAGGCTAGTTCTGCGGCAAGGTGAACTGGAGACCCTGTCTCTGCCCTCCTTCCCTGGCCTGTCCCACAGACATCCCGTTGTTTAACCCACTGCCTTTGCAAGGACCTGCTCTGTCCACTCCAAATCAAAGGATACTTGCATCCTTCTTACACAGACTCCCATCTCTCTGCTCATAGTGGTCCCAGGCTGCCCGAGAAAAAGAAACTTGGGTCAGTAGAAGGCTCATTAGTGTGAAGGAGTGAGAGGCCAGGCCTTCCTGTGACATAATGCTTCTATGCTTGTTTCCTAAACACTTGGTCCACACACAATACCTGGGCAGGAAGAGAGAACCAAGCACCACTGGATGGCTCTGGAGCCAGGGGACTTCTATGCACATACAACCAACATCACCCCACTCTGCTCATCTGTGCCTCCACCCTGAACAGCAGAGTACCTAGATGGCAAATGTCATGGTTTCTGGTCCACTAATTCTACTCCTGACTCTCCATGGAATCAGAGACCCAGAGGCTCTTAAAAAACTAAGACCATTGTTTGTTCCATAGAAAGCTCAAGTTCAGATACAGAGTTGGCCAAATGCTGGGCTGCCACGGAGGGGTAGAGCCTTCCATCCCTTCCTTGTTCCAGAAACAGTGTGTCACAGACCCCAGCAGACACTGTTCATTGTCCCCAGCCAAGCCACCAAGAATTGGTGATCATTTGACAAGGGGCAGGGCAGCCCTTATAGCTGTTTCCAAGCTAGGAGTGGGCTATTCAGAGATATTGGAGGCTTGGTCCCAACACCACAGGTAGATGAGGAAGCAGCTAGGTAAAGGCTCAGAGATGAGAGGAGTCCATCTTCCAAGGCAGTGGGATAAACAGCCAAGGCACTAAATGGTTTGGCACCTGGGAGCTTCAAGTAAAGTTGAGCATGCTGCCCACTGAAAAGCCAAGGCTCTCCCAGACACGGGTGGGCTTCACCTGAGCACAGCCCAGTGCCATCAAGGCCAGGGGCCCTGTGTCCTCAGGATACTAACCCAGGCCTGCATTCCCTGCTTCATCTCAGAACTGATCAAGGCATGACTACAAGGATAATGATTGATCCTGAACTGATCTTGGTGAGCACCGGCTTTCAAAGGAGGCATCTTGGGAGCCTTCCCTTGCTCCAAGTAGGCGGCTGCTGTGACTGGGAGCTCCCTTCAGAGCCTGCACGGTCTCCTGAAAGTCTCCGGGTGGCAAGCTCTGCTGGGGACCAGGTTTGACTTTTTAAAATAGCAAAACAGATTTAGAGTCAAACTGAGCCCAGAAACGGGGAATCAGACTGGATGGTGCTGAGTCTGGGGGAAAATCTGGTGTGACCAGGTAATAATGGAGACCAATTTACCTGAATGGCTCGAACAGGCTCTGAGAGCAATGGGAAGAAAAGGTTCTCCAAAATGTTTCTGGCAATGGCAGCCACAGTGGGATAGCTAAGGGCACAGTCCACCAAGCACTAGGGTGGTCAACAATGAAATGAACATCTCTGGCTCTTCTGCAGTCAGAAACTGAGGCTCGGGACTCTATAATCAGAACTCCTTCAGGCTCACTTGGGCTCCCCTCCACCCAGAATGTCAGGAATCTGTACTTCCAGAGAAAACACTACCACCAAGCAGCAGCTCTCAGGAAAGCTAGAAATCTCCACCCCAAATATTTCAACCTCAGGCTCCAACTTAGGTACCTATGATTTAAATACTCTCCTTTTAAATACTTTGTAAAAACTGCTTTTCCGAGCCCCTTTTATGCTCTGCAGTTGCCATATCCACTAGGTGGTATTGCAAATAAGTAAAGCATCCTGGCCATGACGCTGCTAGTGAGAATCCCTGACCAAAGTTACTCTCCTCACCTCACTGCAAACCTCCAGGAAGCGGAAACTACTACCCCTCCACAGACAGAGCTCCCCTGCCACTCCATGAGGCGCTGCTGCCGGCATCAGTTACCGAAGCCCTCACCCACACCCAGCCTGCAATGGTCCACTCTATATTCCACAATACAGGAAAAAGCCCAAGGAGTCAGATCAGTTACGCCCCTGGGATGCAGAAAGAACCAGTGATTCTTCAGATATGACAGCAGGCAAAGTTCTGCCCTCTCCTTCCCATCTTCTATCAGGAAGCGATCCCATAAAATCTCTTCCAGGGAAGGAAAGAGGCAGCTCTGGCTTCTTGGAGAGACAGAGAAGCAGGAGGGTGAGGAAGGAGTCACCAAGCTATCCAAGCAGCCAGAGGCGAGAAGGTGGGAGCAGGGCAGGAAGAAAATGCAGAAGACTTGTTCTCCTCAGTGGGCCTCTTCCCTGAGTTTGATTTTTGAGTTGAGATTTTACCTAATTTCAACTCAAAAAAAAAAAAGAAAAGAAAAAAAAAAAAGACAAGAGTATCTCTCATTGACATATCACTAAGCTCCAGCTCCAAGAGTGGCATGTGACAGAGGAGGCAATCAAGGTTTTCCAACCCCATTCCCATCAAGTTCCACGGGGCACTCAAAAGCAACTGGACCTTAGCCACCCTCCCTGTCTCTCACAGATGCCCGAGCCTCCCCACCCTGGGACACAACAGGCAATTTCCCCTTGGTGAAATTCCAGCTCCAGTCCTAAAACACTCAAGTACAGACCCTCCTGCAAAATACTTATGGCAAACAGCTTTACAGTATTTGTACATTTACACAAAAATAGATCCTTTTTTATATATATATGTATTTATAACTGGTTACACGTTGGATTCATAATTAGGCATCACCAGTAGTAGTTGGCACAGTTTTGTTATTTAAGCTCAGGGTCAAGTTCTGTTTCATTTTGTCGTTCCAAAGTACAAAAAGAAAAAAAAAATCAAAGGCATTTCATCTCCATGGTGTTTTCTTAAATACAGTAATGTCATAGGAAACAGTATGTACAGATGAGCAGTGCCTCCTGACCCCTCCTCTGTCTCTTGGAGATAGGGGCTGGGGTCCGATGGAGACGGGTCAATGCGGCCTGCTGCTGGACTCCGATGCCTGCCTCTTGCGTGAAGGGGTGTAGCCGTTGAGACAGCCATTGGTCTGCCGTTTGGAGGGCCCTCCATTCAGGATGTCCTGGATGTGCTGCACGATGAGGTTGATGGCCACTGTGGGGCAGAGACCAGCAGAGCGTTACGGGTGCAGGCATGGGTGCAGGGGTGAGTGTGGGAGTCTGTCTGGGGGAAGGGCATGCAGGAACCACAGTAGAAAGACTTCCAGGGAAGTGGCTCTGCCACTTGCAGGCAAGTCATCCAACTTCCCAGTGGCTCTGCCTGAGCTAATATGATCCTCCTCCTTCACAGGAGGGCTCTAAGGAGTAAGATAGACAATGCCTACCACAGAGTAAGCCCTTAATGAATGGGCTTCTTATCAGGAGATGATCAGTCACCACTGGATGAAGCACTCGGGCCAAAGTCTGCAGACGTGGTAACCAGCCATGGTTCTGACACGTCAATTAGCTATGAGACCTTTCCACCAGGGAACCTTCCAGTTTTCCATCCTAAGACAGAGCATCCCTATGGAAGGCCCTCTTTCCCTCCAAAAAATATAATGCAGAGAGCTATCTTTTATTAGCATTAGAAATAAATTATATACCTCAACCAAGAGGTCAATTTAACATCACCAAAAATGGAATACACATCAAATGCTTTCTGATGTGATACACAAAGAGGACCACGCCACATCTCTCCTGGGATAATTCCTTCAGACTGTATAAGCTCATGAAACCAATCATAAGAAAATAAAAGACAAACCCAAATTGAGGACCATTCTACCAAACAATGGGCCTGTACGCCTCAAAAATGTCTTAAAAAACAAAAGATAGGGAACATCTCCAGGTTAAAAGAGGTCATATCAATGGTAAATGTCTTGAATTTAATGACTGCATTCTGCTGATGAATAAGAATGCCTTTGTTCTTAAAAAATACAGGGTTAAATATTTATTGCTATAACTTACTCCCAAACAGCTCAAGAAATAATCTTTTTAAATGGAGGGAAAATTAAATAAATTCTAAAGAGAATGAAGAAACCAGGTCCTATTTTACAGATCAACTCTGCCACACTACGCCTAGTCCAGAGACATTCATACTTCCTAGACAGGCCAAAAAAATAAATAAAACAATGGGGCCAGGTGCTATGGCTCACGCCTGTAATCCTAACACTTTGGGAGGCTGAGATGGAAGGGTCGCTTGAGGTAGGAGTTTTAGACCAGCTTAGGCAACATAATGAAACCATCTCTACAAAAACACTTTTTTAAAATTAGTGGACCGTGGTGGTGCAAGCCTGTAGTCCCAGCTACCGGGAGGCTGGGCCCAGGAATTGGAGGCTGCAAATGAGCTGTGACTGTGCTACTGCACTTCCATCTTGGTGACAGAGCAAGACCTCGTCTCTAAAGTAAAATAAAATAAAATGAAAAATAAGTACAATAATGGTAGCAACCAGCTCCCTTTAGAAAGGGCTACCGTGATGGCAGGTCATTCTAAATTAGATCAAGGAGGGAATCTGCTTTTGCTAAAAGGTGGCCTCAGAAGCAAAGTACCCAAGTGTCATCATTGGGAAGTGATAGTAAAAGGTAATCTACAGCCCTCTATTCTGCCAGAGAAGCACAAGTGCATGTCTGTCCCCGTAACACATGGGTGCCTACACCCAGGGACCTGTTCCTGAGGCCAGACGTGTAGGTGGAAAGGTTCTGCTGGCTCACAATCACAGACAAGCAGGGCAGCCATGTCTGCAGAGCCCTGTAGGGTCACCACATCCTGCCCCAAATTATGACTGACAAAGGGCAGACATTATACTCCAGGATGACACTCTGCAGGGACTCACCCAGATTATCTGCACCTCTAGGGATGATCACATCAGCATACTTCTTTGTCTGTGGAGAAAGACAGTTAATATGCATTAATACAGTTAAGAGACAACTGGCCCGAGACCCTCTCCAAGGGAATATGGGGAAAGGGCAGCATTCATACTAGCGAGCCCAGAAGAGCACCTTTTAAGGCTTCAAATATAATATTGTTTACAACTTCACAGTGAATGCATCTATTAATAGAAATTTGGGGAAACCTAAGGAAGTGCCTTGTTTAGCTGAAATGTGAATGAAAGAAGATAAGCAGGGAATGAGGAAAATGAGAAAGAAGGATTGAAGACTTTCATGCATCAGTGAGGGAAAATGGTCCAGACTGAGTGGTTAATCCAAAACCAGTTCATAATTCGATTGATAACTATCTACCATGGATTTTTATCCACTTTATCTACATTACAAGAATTTAGCTTTTATTCAAATTCTCTCTCACTCTCTCTTTTTTTTTTAAGACAGCGTCTCACTCTGTCACCCAGGCTGGAGTGCAGCGGCATCATCACAGCTCACTGCAGCCTTGACTTCCTGAGTTGGGGAGATCATCCCACCTCAGCCTCCTGAGTAGCTGGGACTACAGGCACCCGCCACCACACCCAGCTAATTTTTGTTATTTTTTATAGAGAGGGGGTATCGCCATGTTGCCCAGGCTGGTCTCAAACTCCTGGGCTCAAGCGATCCACCCACCTGGGCCTCCCAAAGTCCCAGGATTACAGGCGTGAGCCACTGCACCCAACCAAGTTCTCATTTCTAACGCTGAACACTGTTTCAGCTTATGACCTATGCAGAGAACATGGTCTTTGAAGCCAAACACTTAATTGCCTCTATTCCACTAGGACAAATATGAACTAGAAAAACCCAAACTTTCCAGGGGACTGGTTCACCTTGGACTTTTACACATAGTCTGAAACATGACACTGTTCACTCCTAGCACAGGGTAAAACCAGAAAAAGTATTCTTCACTGATGACCAGTTCATAGGTTCTATTATTACCCAATTTTTAAAGAAAGAAAGTCAGGCCACAAAGAGGCATATTTCTTTTTTCTTTTTCTTTTTTGTTGGTCCAAATTTACTGAGATTTTGTAGACCATTCTACAAGTAACTGCATCCTGGCATACAAACTAAGTCTAGCATAAGAACACATAAACCACACCTCAAGCATGTGGGCATCTTACTCTGTGCAGCCTCTGCCCTAGGATTGCTGAAAGGCAACGGTGTCAGCCCCAAACCCAACTTGAACTGAGCAGACATTTATCAGGTCCAAGTTCCTGGCTTACAGGGGAATGAGCTGATCTTCCCTGAGCAAAGAGTGGCTGGACAGTGGAAGCAAGCAGAAATAACCCAGAAAACGTCTGCAGAATTTTTAGCTTTGTTACAACTAAGTTAAACGTAGAAAACTGACAGTTAAATATGACTGATATCCAATAATAAATTCATTTTGTGTTCTTATTAAGTCAAAAATAACAGGAGAGGTCCTCAGATAGATAACTGGGTGGAAAGAAGTTCACAGCTCCTCAGCCCCCTCTGGTCTCTTTCCAGTAACCTACTCTTGTAACTCAATAGTCTCCAGGGCAATGGATAGGGCATCAATGTTACTCAGTTGGCTCAAAAAGTCCACCTGTCCCGCATTTAAACCAAAGTCAAGTATGGGTTGCTGTAAAAGCTAGTAACATCCTTAAAGAAACAAAGACAGTTTGAGATATTTTCCCAGAAGAAAAAGAATGAAGTTTATTGTTAGAATAAATAGGGAAATTCCAATACCCAGCCTTACTCTAAATCTTCAATGTCTTCAGAGATTCCAGCCTTCCCAGTGTATCTCAACCAAGACCAGGTTAAGTCCCAAGCTCTTCCTTCCCTTCCTCCCGGTCTCAGAGCTTAACTATAAATAATTCAGGAGCCAGACCATGGTTTGGCCAAGCTGGAGAAGACTCATTGACTCAGTAGGATTCTCCTGAGTTAAATACTTCTCCTTCTGCAGCCCCAGCACACCACACCTCTTGTCTCTGGTAGCCTTCCCTCAACATGCCCCTTCCTGTCTTTCCTGGGCTGAGGGCCAACTCTCTGTGTTCTTCCTTCTCTGAAAGCCACCTCACTAGAGAATTCCTAGCTGCCACAGGAAGGACTGGTGAGTCTGCAAGGGTGAAGGGAAGGAAGCTTATTCCAGTAAGGCATGACAGTCTCCAAATGGGAGCTAAAGACAAGCTCAAAGCAGGGCTCAGTGGTGATGGCAGGAGAGGCTCAGAGGGGAACATCTCGGGGCACAGCACCCAGTGCATCCATACGTCACCCATTGCAGACCCTTCAGAGATCCAAATGGCTGAGGACTCTCCTTGGATATGATACACCCTCAGTAAACGGTCTCACACCATGACCCCACCAAGCAAGAAACCTAGAACTAGCTGGGAATTAAATGACCTGCCTAAGGACTGGCAGGACCCTACAGGGCTACCCAAAGAAAGAACAGCAGGACAGGGCTCCTGGAGAACACAGAGGACACAAGGACCAAGGGCTGCCCTCTCTTAGGACTTCAGGACAGAGGATCACTCAGAGAGAGGAGTGAGATTCAGGCAGGGGAGCTCCACAAACTTGCACACCTTCGTTTATATCATCAAATTTTAAATTCTACATTCAACAAAAACAAACCAAGAACACAACTCACTGGCAAGCAGAATTCCTCAAAGGCAGGCTTGACGAACGTAATGTACTGAGATAAAATCTGCTCAAGATCCCTGCCTCTCTCGCTGATGTCCCTTAATACTGTAAGAGAAGGGAAAACAAGAATCAAAAAACGGTGTAGGAGCCAGCACACACCCGCCCTTCATGGGGTGGACCTAGCTCCCACAGGCTCCACAATTACTCTAGATGATTCTCAAGCTGGAATCCTGAGAGGCTTGACCAAGAGCAGATCAGCAGCGGCTTCGGAAAAGACAAGTTACATTCTGACATCTTACAATGGTCAAACTTGGCAATGACACAATGCTCTTTGAAACAAAAGGCTGTCCATGGAGGCCAACAGCCTTCTTGTTTCAAGCAACATTTGCTCCAAACAAAATTTCAGTGTGAATTTTTTAAAAAAGCAGGGCACTCCTGGAGAGCTCACTGTTAACAAGAAGCAATCTGGGCCCCGAGAGGGCTGGGCTGCACGCTGCCTCCTTGCATGCACTTACCTGCGTTCAGAAGTCCAGCGACCCACTGATCAGGCATCAGCTCACTGCTCCCAGCTCCCACCCATGCCCCCTCTGCAGCATGGAGCCCAGGCCAGGCTGAGGACCCAGCCATGGTTAACCATTTCCACCTACCTCATGCACAGAGGTTTGCCAAAAAAAAAAAAAAAAAAAAAAAAAAATCACTCAGTGAAAGATAAGAAAACCATGGCCTAGAGAATGGTGGGCTGGGGCTGAGATGAAGCCCAAATTGACAACAAACTCACCATCTTCTGTCTTCTACCTTCTTCCCCCGGTCAGTTTTATCCAGGGGCTTTTACCATTCTTTTTTTTTTTTCTTTAAAAAATTTTTTTTTCTTTTAATACAAGGTGTCTTGCTCTGTCACACAGGTTGTAGTGCAGTAGCACAGTCATAGCTCACTACAGCCTCAACCTCCTGGGCTTGAGCAAGTGATCCTCCCACCTCAACTTCCCAAGTAGCTGGGACTACAGGCACACACCACCTCAATGGACTAATTTTTTGTTTGTTTGTTTTTGAGACAGAGTCTCATCACTCTGTCACCCAGGCTGGAGTGCAGTGGCGCGATCTCAGCTCACTACAACCTCTGCCTCTGGGGTTCAAGCGATTCTCCTGCCTCAGCCTCCCGAGTAGCTGAGACTACAGGCACCTGCCACCACGCCTGGCTAATTTTTTGTATTTTTAGTAGAGATGGGGGTTTCACCGTGTTAGCCAGGATGGTCTCGATCTCCTGACTTCCTGATCCACCCGCCTCAGCCTCCCAAAGTGCTGGGAATTACAGGTGTGAGCCTTTTTTTTTTTTTTTTTTGGTAGACACGGGGTCTTGCTTTGTTGCCCAGGCTAGTCTTGAATTCTTGGGCTCAAGTGATCCTTCTGCCTCGGCCTCCCAAAGTGCTGGAATTATAGGCAGCCCATACACTCTTTATTAAATAGAGTCTTCTGTCAATAAATAGAAAGAAGACTGATCACCCTCATTCTGCCGCTGTACATGAGCCTTAGTTTCCCCATGAGTAGGGAGTTTGGAAGTAGATTCTCTTAATTAAAACTGCCTCTCTTTGCAGATGTCATTTTAAATGCTATCTTAATCTAACCTTATCATCTGAGCTGCTAAATCTTTCACCCCAAAAAGTTACCACATCCATCTACAATCATTTGCAGTGGCTCTTCAGCTCCTTCCCAACCATTTCTCAGTAAATAGACTCAAATGTTGGGTGAAACTCACTGTAAACGAACATGGGGTATATCTGTGACGGAACTTCTGAAAGCCATTTGTCTAAATAATTCTGTCTTTATACACACATGCACAGGTGCATGCACAGAGAGGCCAGGGAACGGGGAGGCTGTCATGGCTATGATCCAGGCTGACAGGAAATCTATAAGATGAGAAGGTGAGAAAACTGTCAGGAAATCCACATTTCCAGAAAGCTGGGCACTAATGATGCTGCCATTCGACTTTTGTAACAGCTCCTCGATTTACGAAGTGTTTTCTCCATGGGAGACCTGGTAATAAAACAGTTGGCTGATCGCTAATGTGTCAGGACTTGCCCACCCAGCCCAGCAGCAGCCTTCTCCAGCCAGGAAATGGTTTTCCCCACCCCTGCAACGCTGGACCTGGGCTCCTGCTGCCGACCTGCTGCTCTGGCAGATCTGCTGGGAGACTCGCTAAGAAGGAGCCCTAAGGAGCTGCCACGTGGCTCACCCCCCAGAAGTCCCCAGAGCTCCGGCACACATGGCTAACCAGAGTAGCACCGCCAAAACACACAGCCAGCGCGGCCTCCAATTCTTCACACGTCTCCAGATAAAGCCCAAAGAAAAAAGGAAACCAGATCAAAAGGGTATCAGAGCTAGGGAAAAAACAAACACACCCGTGCTTGGGCAGCTTTTACTTAAAGCCCTGCAAACGCCTGATGCTGGATTGTTTTGCAACACATGCTTTTCATACAATTGCTGAAGGCTTTAGCACTGGAGGAAGCTTTGTCCTTCTCCCAGCACACACACACACACACGTGCACACACACAAACACACATGCACACAAACGCACGCACGCACACACAGTGCACGTCCACACCCTGTCACGTAGTCCTCCTAACTGCCCTCAGCCTGGGCCTTCAGCCCCCTTCCTTCTGTAGATCTGGTGGCTTCAGCTGTTTTGTCACTGGAGAGAGGAAACTGGTCGTGCAGAAAGTAGGAGGAGGAGGTAAATCACAGTGAAGCTGCTCTGTAGCCCAAAAGCTGCTTCTTGTTCTACCTCTATGGGCTCTGGGGGGAAAACTGCCCTGGACCTGAATCCTAACCCCAATAACTCCTACCTCTGTGAACTTCGACAAGTGACTTTAACCTCTTTGAATCTTAAGTTCCTTAACTATAAAACAGGGACAATAATGGTACCTTCCTCATACAGTTACTATTCAGGAATACAGAGATGTGCATAAAACTCTTCAGCACCATAGCTGGCACCTTAGCACATGTTCAATAAGCATGTGTTCTATGATGATTACGACCACAACAGAACCTGAGGACGCGTTGGGAGGGCAGTGCCTCCCTGACAGAGCAGCTCAACACCGTGGGAGCGCGGGAACCTCGAATTCAGGTAAGCAGGTCAGACCCAGCTGAGCGGGGGCAGCAAAGGGAAAAAGGAGTCCCGCAGGGCAGCTGGAAAGGCAGGTTGCCACGCGGGAAGGGAGAGCAGGACACAAGCACATAGGACAACATACGTGAGGAAGGAAAAAAAGCAAGGAAGATAGGGAATAGTCCCACTACAGCTTCCACGCTGGAAAAGCAAATGGGGAATGGGTCAGAATGTTGCCCAGACACTGGGAACATGCAACATCATAAGGCCTTGCCCACCTCTGCTCCCCAAGAACCTCCGATAGAACTATCACCTCAGGCAGACTGTGCCTCCCTGAGCCAAGGACAACAGAGGGCCAGCCAGTTCCCTGCACTGAAAGGCCCTTCTCCTCAGGCAGAGTCAGGAAACAGGGCCGCGCCAAGGACTGAGTCCAAACAAGGTCTTGGCACAACCTGGAAACCCCAGGGGCTCAAAACCAGCCCCTCCATCACTGCTCTGACCCCAGCACATTTGCTGGGCCAGGACAGGCCTTTTCAGAGGACAGGGTACAGGGCAGGAAGCTACAAGTCTGCCCACATTCCCTGCTGGGCTTCCACGTCAGCCCTTCCAAACCCAGACTTGCTCTTTCTGGTTAGCCAAAAGCCAAGAAAGAAACTTAGAGGGACCCAAAATAAAGATAATTCCTCAATGGTGAAGTCAATCACTTTAAAAATCTGATGAGGAAATGTGCTACTCTATAGTAAAAGAATGGGCTGAATCCCCCAAGGCCCAGTGCAGCCCTAATTCTATGAGAACCAGAGAATGATGGATGAGGAAGATGAGGGGTCAGCCATCCTGAATCTCCCTGCCCCACCTCCTCCCTGTCCCCGTATTCAGAGCTGGGTGGTGGTAAAGAGCACAGAGGGAATATGAAGGCAAATGAGGCTAGAAACCAATCCCGAGAAGATCAAGGGTTTCCATCAGGAAGGAGGTAGTTTCCAGGGCTGCTTCACTCAAACACAGATCTCTCTCCCACATGAGGGTCAACTCAGAATCTGGAGGTCACATGCCCAGGAGGGTGTGACAGATGGGTAAAATCATGGAGCTAACTCAAGTCTCCAGGAATGTTCAAGCTCACTCAACAGCTGCTTCTGACTAACCAGCCTCCCTACCCCAGCACCCCCGCACTCCACAAAGCACATGCCAAGCATGTTTTTTGTCCTACGTGGAGAGAGAATGAATTTGTAGAAATAGCATGCAGAAAAGTCCCATGAATCCATCAGGAAAGTGACTCGGCAGTAGGTGACATGTGAAGTTAGCAGATCTGAAATGAGAAAGCAGAGCCCTGCCCAGGCAGCCTGTTCAGAGAAGGCGGAGAGGCAGAGCTGGCCCTAAGAAACCCCCAGAGGGCCAGCACCATTGTAGGAATTGCTCCTATTTCACATAAGAATCCCATGCAAGAAAGGAAGGGAAAATGTTCTGTTGAAACCACACCGTGATGATCTGTTTGAATTAGACACTAGGATGCACTTTATTTCCAGCGTCTTGCTGCTGCTCAAAACTTGGTTCTAATCTCCTGTGCTGGTTCCTGCACTCCCTGCTGCGAGGCCTCCCTCGGCAGCACTGCATCCCTGAGACTGAGTACCACTGCTGGACTAGTGATGGCATCAGTCCGGGCATCACTAGCTCCTGAGGACATGACCGGAGCAGATCCCCTTGGAGGATCTAACCAGTCTTGTCAGAAAATTCAGAAAACGAACAGCACCGACCCCTTCAGCAGAAGCAGATTTCTGATCTGCCACATAGATATTTATTGACTAATGCACCACCAGGCATTTTACCTGCACTACCTCTCATCTTCACAACTATCCCAGAAGTACCAATCATAAGACCACATTCTAATAGGAAAATGAGATACAAAAAAGTTAAAACACAATTTGCCAATTTGCACAATTTGCCACACATCTAGTAAGTGGTAAAACCAGGATCTCAGCCCAATTCGCTGGACTCTAAAATTTATCTGTCCCTGTGTATCACACTGCCTCTCTAATTTGACAAGCTGACATGGACACTGAGCAGATCAACCAAAGCAGGGCCGGAGTTTGTGGATTAAGGTGACAAGCCAGGCCCTGGGGCAGAAGCATGAGGGGTTGTCAGGCTCAGGGTTCAATTATCTATCCAAAATGACCATGCAACTCTTACCCAGCCAGAGTCGTGACACTAAAAGCAGGCCTGTCTCCCCTGTATTATCCATAAAGAAACCCAAGCCGGGGTGTCGCAAGAGCCTAGTCACAAAGCTAGCTGGGAAGGGCTCTGCTAGAACTAAAAGTCTCCTCCCATTCCATTCTTTTTTCCATCACACAAAACTAACTGTCCCTCACCCCACCTGGGAGCAAGATGTAGCTCCCACTGACTTAATAGCATATGTATCTATTACTACTTAGAAGGGCAAAGCTCAGGACTTGTTTCTGTAGGTTCTACTGGTCTCATGAATAGTTCTTACAATTACGGTGCTAAATGGGATAAACTACAGATCTGTTTCATGAACCGAAAAGAGAAAATTACCCAGACTTTGAAGTCAGAGGGCCCTGGGATACAGCTTATAATATCTGAAACTGTCAATAATGTGTCCTGTGACTAGGAGCTAACCTCGTCATTTCCTGTGTCTCCCTGCCTCTGTCACACAACGGAGACTCAAACCTTCTCACCTTTCATTCCTCTATTCAGTCGCCTCCACCCACTGCCCTTGCTGGGTCCTGGTCGATTCTAACTCTGCTAATACTCTTCTCATCTCAACTCTGCTCCCTCTCCCACCCATCTAAGGACCACAGCCCTGCCTCTCGTCTAGATCAGCAGAGCAGTCTCCAAAGAGCTGCTCCAGCTACAGGCTTCACTTACATTTCCTTTGTCAGAACCAGTGTCCAACACAGAACAGTGGCCACTTCACTTGCCTCGCTCAGAACCTCACAGTGGCTCTCCCTTGCCCACCGAGAACCAGACTAGAGATCTCAGTCTCTAAAACCAGACCCCAACCTACTTTGTAGTGTCTCTTCGTACAACCCTCTGTACACTCCAGGTTCCTGCCACTCTCGGAACAAGCCACTGTCTGTACATCTCTGCCGTGCACCTTCATGGGTTGCCTATAGCGTCACCCTACCCCACCACATCCAAGTCCCAACCCTTCTTCCTCCATGAAGCCTCCCAATCTCTCCTGGTGGAAGCGAACTCTCTGCTGAATACCCTGTAGAGCTCAGTTCACAGGCTGGGCTCCTCTACCAAGGGGCACTGCTGTGCCTTCAGCACACAAGCACAGGGACTTAGCACAGGCAGGCCCACACTTAGTAGGGCCTGCGGAGGGCACAGCTGACTTCCCTCCTGAGCTGACTGGAAAGAGTGATAATGCCTCCATAAAGCCTGCTGGAAAATAAAGGGCTAGAGAAGCAGGCTAACAGGATGAGCTGCCCAGTACTTCAGGCACAGGGGATCCTATCCTCGGGGGTCCTACAGTTAGTTCCCCAAATCAGAGCATCTTCATTTTGATGTCTTATAAACAAATTGCAAGGAACTAAGCATTTAATCAAACTTTTCCAGGCAAAACCAGATGTCAGTGTCTTATTTAGTCTCTGTGACCTCACAAGCCTTTCGTTATCCCAAACAGTAAGTGACTAATCCCTTCTCAAATGTTACCAAGTGTCTGGGCAGCAGGATATCCTGGGGCTGGACTGACGCAGCCGGGCTGGACCATGCGACACACAGCTGCCTCAGGGAAGGCATGGGCTTCAGACTCAGGCGGGTGGGGTCCTGTCACAGGCTCCCAGCTCCCCCGCCCTCAAGGTGGCCACCAACAGGGCCACCTGAGGCTTTTAGAACGCACCTCTGCGTGAGAGCCGGGTGTCCGCATCTGTATCCACAAAAAGCTTCATCTGGAACAGGTCTCGTACCTCCTGGGAGTAGAAGGCCAGGATCCCTTCAAAGAGCACCACGTCTGCGGGATAGACAGTAACTGTCTCCTCCTTCCTGCAAAGCACAGAGCAGATAATGGGCCAAGCCAGGCAGGGGCTAGCAAGGGACAGAGAACAAGGGCCAGAACATCTGGCTGGGCTGGGTTCTGGGTTCCTTGCCCCCACAGACTTCAAGCGGGGGCTAAAGACTTGGCTAATATGGTCTTACAGAGCCCTCGGACCACCACCAAAGAGCCAAGGGTGATCACGGCCGGGACAAAGGTCTCCTTTGACCACTTCTGAGCTTTCACCATGAAACAGAAATACACGGCAGACATCCTTCTCCTTGGAATTAAAAAAACCTGCTGTTGAATGAAGAATAAAGGCAGACAAAAACAGATGTGATTTCTTTTTTTCTCTGAAGGCGTCTCCAGGAATGCTCTCATGGCCTGGCATTTATGGAACCTAACACTCTGAACTTTAAAAACAGAAACTCACAGTTTTCTCTCAACAACTCCATCCCCTCCCCGCCAGTCCTGAGGCAATTGAAAGGAGGGAGGAAAGGACAGAAGGGGAAGGGAAGGAGGGAAAATAAAGAAAAGTTTTGGGAAAGAGGATACAGACGAGAAAGCATTTGTGAGGAAGTACAGAATCCCGACGTCTGTCTGGTCTGGCTCTACCCCAAACCAACAAAGTGGCCACAGGTCAATCCTGAGCTCCCTAGAGCTGCTCTTCCTTATCAATAAAGCAGAAATATGCATGACCTCATCCACCCAACCCACATGGTTGGGTAGCCTAGGGCAGGCACTAATTGTAAACATGACTTTTCTTTCTTTTTCTTGTTTTTGGAGACAGGGTCTCACTTTGTCACCCAGGAGGCTGGAGTGCAGCGGCGCAATCTTGGACTCACTGCAGCCTCAACTTCCCAGGCTCAGGCGATCCTCCCGCCTCAGCCCCCTAAGTGTCTAGGACTACAGATGCACACCACCACCCCAGGCTAATTTTTGTATTTTTGGTAGAAACGGGGTTTTACCATATTGCCCAGGCTGGTCTATAACTCCTGGACTCATGCAACCCACCCACCTCAGCCTCCCAAAGTGCTAGGATTACAGGCATGAGCTACCAAGCTCAACCAACATGACTTTTCAAAAAGCAAGAAGGGTGAAACATTGCTAAACGGTTAGGCGACGGGCTGTCACAGATGGCCTTGCTTGTGCTCAGCTTTGCCTTGCTGCAGCTTTCACTGTGTTTTGTCTTTTGATTCTGTCCTATGCCCACCTTATATGTCACCAACTGCCTCTTGCTCAAAATTCACTGAAAATAGAGAAATAATCATCATTGCAAGGTTTCCACTCACCCTGACTAGCACACTGGCAAACCAAATAAAACAAAGTCTCTTAAAACAGTAGTTCCATCTGTGCAAACATAAGGAGGTCAGTATCAACGGCCAGCTCAAGAGGGTGCCGTTGGAACTCCTTCCCATAAACACTTCCTGATGCCTTCTCAGCTTGGACCAACAGGCTTGTGTCTGAGTTTTAAGGCAGGCACTGCTAGGGTAGCTAGCAAGTGGCAGAACGGGGCAGGGAAGACGGGAAAAAAGGACTAGGATTAGGAAATGCCCTAGAATTGTGGTGTATCTGAGATGCATATCAGAACCATCTGGGAAGCTTATAAAAATATCCCTACCTGGATCCTACCCCCAAGGAGCTCTGATTTAATGAGTCTGAAGTGGAGCTAGAACTTCAACACTATTTAGAAGCTCCCAAGATATTTCTAACATGCAGCCAGGGTAGAGAAGCACCAGTCTAGAGGAATGTCAGCTGCCAGAAAATGGTGTGCCCATTGTCATTGTGCATAAGAAGGCAACCTAGAGAAGTTCAGAAAACAGAACCAATGGGTAAGTGAAATAGTGAGCCACTCTCTAGGCAACTCCCCTACACCAAGGAGAGTGTGGGAAGGCTTTGTCCAAAAATAAAGTGAATGTATGTGCAAGAGTCCACTTGAACACACTAACAGAGAACACAATGGCTGCACTAAGTTTACATATCCAGGTTAAGTATCCCTTATATGAAATGCTTAGGTGTTTAGAATTTTTGAATTTTGGATTTTTTTCAGATTTTGGAATATCTGCATTATATTTAGGGCATCCCTAATATGGCAGGGGGAGAGAGGATCTACAATGAGCCTCCCTAACATGAAAATCCAAAATCTGAAATGCTCCAATGAGCATTTCCTTTGAACGTCACACTGGCACTCAAAAAGTTTCAGATTTTGGAGCATTTCACATTTTGGGTTTTTAGATTAGGGATGTTCAATCTGTACTGACACTAGATATTAAGAGCATTTTAGGATGCCTAACTGATAAATACTAAAAAGGAAAAGTGGTTTTCCTTCGGAAGGAGAAAATTAACTGCCTAATTTGTTGGTGGTGCCTTAAGAAGTTAGAATTAATCATTTCCCAAGTCCAAACGCAGGTCTAAAAACTGTCATAACAGCTCAGAGTTTTTAAAAAACAACAACAAATTTATTGAGCAACTACTAGCCCAGAATGTGCAAGGAGTCATACCTGGCATAATATACCACTTAGGAATTTAGAGTCTGGCTGGGAAGCCCCAGAAAGAAACTAGCCAATTAGATCATCTGAGATAACCCAGTCTAACCATCTCATTTGGCTTATGGGGAAAAGGATGCTCAGAGAAATGTAATTGCAACAAGTAAATGTCTTCTTCATTTTAGCCCAACAAATTTTTGTTTGTACCAAACGCCCATGGGTGGGATGGAATCAGTTAACCCTGAATGGCTCGATGTCCAATTAAGTGGCCCTTAAGATTTGCAAGGAGGTAGGAAAGGGGTGGATATGGGTCTAGGGTGATCAGTGAAAGTTTCTAAGACATGAGCTTTGAGCCACTAAAGGATAAGGTTTTAAAATATAAGGTATGAGATAAATCAGGAGGAAACGTGAAACATGTCTGCACTGGGAATTCTACCAGGATTTTCTTTTGTTGGCATATCAACTTGATGGAACTCATGATGCACGAGGTCTTCAACTTCCCTCCTCCACTCCTAGACTGCACTGGTCAGGCCCTGGCTCCTGTCAACCATGCTCAGTTCCACTGCTTTCTTTCAGGCCCTTATCAGACTCTCACTGGGGCTGTTCCAAAGGCTTCTTCACAAATGGCATTGCAGATCCTCTCTCCTCCTGCCACCACAATGACCTTTCCACTACAACAATAGACCCGTCTGTAGCTCCCTATTGCCAAAATGTCTGTGCTCCTGGCCCTGCCGCCTATGGCCCTTCATGACCTGAGGTCTGCCTGCCTTCCCACACACCCACTCCCATTCCTCCACACCTCTCCACTGCCATGCCCCAACCAAGCTGATCCATGCCTAGCTCTGAAATGCTTCCCTACCCAGCACCTTGGAAATCCCTTTCCCAAACAACTTCTTATCCTTTCCTATCTAAAGCTTAAATATCACCTCCTCCATACAACCTGCTCTGAATCCCCTGCTCTTCCTCCCTCCTTTACATTCTTCTGCAGGCCCTTGCCTTAGCCATCATGCTGCATTTTAATTCTTTACTTGGGAAGTGGTGGGCTGGAATGTCTCTTGTCAACGTGACACCACCACCACTTCCCCCTAAGGGAGAACTACAATTCTCAGAATCCCTTGCCCCACATGCTTCCAGGTTACTACGCCAACAAGAGACTTCGAAGGTGAGAGTGAAGCAAAATCCACAATATTCAGGAGATCATAATACTGAGACAGGGAAACTTTGCAAACAGTCCATAAGCTCCCAGATTGAGGCTGCAAACCCAGACATGGTGGTTTCTTGGACTTTTCCATGAACCCCAGCTTCTGCTCCAGTGCCTCAGGCTAGAGTCAGTGGGGACTATTTTGTCTGATTCTCTGACTATAAACTTCCAGGCCTTCACTCTCCCAGCCTTGATGTTCGTGTAAGCTCCAAATCCTATACGAAATGCCTTCATTCATTCCTCCATGATCTGCAGTGGTTGGGTTAGGAAAACAGAGTGACACGGGAGGCGTGAGGATGGTATCCTGATCTTTCACTCTCCTCTCTCCTACACAGAAGAACCTGGCCCATAGAAGGAAGTGTTTCAGAAGATTCTGGTGAGGCATGGAGGTAAGCACCAAAACAGCCCCCTCTACACCTCAACGCACACACATGCATGCTCATTCTCTCTCTCTCTCTCTCTCATCTTCCTCCTGCAACCAAATCGTCACCATGCTCTCTAGTTCAGACTCATGGGAAGATGTGTGTGTTCTACATTCAGGTCTGAGACGCTCTGAAGGAGCCTGGGGTCTGGCCAGCAGGAGTGCAATCTTCTAGGAGCCCATTCCCATCACTCAAAGGGAAGGAGGATGAGGTGGAAGTGTGGCCACTCCTCTATTCCTAATCAGGAGCACTAAAATTGAGGCTTCACTGGAAAGGACTGGTTTGATTCCACTGAGAAGCTTTCTGGAGGGCTTGGTTAATTCTGAGATCACGATCTGGTGACCTCATGCCTCTCCACATTGTCCAATCCCAAGTAAACCAGGACAGCAGAAAAAACAGTTTTCTTTGCTCTTCTTCCTGCCCTTCCTCTACCCCTCCCCTTACATCTTGTTCCAGGAACAGCAGCACTGGAATGTGGATCAGAATGCACATGCAGTCCCTCAAGCTGAAATCACTATCCCATCCTTCAGAGTTAAGGAATCGTGACAACAGGACTGTTCCAGGGAGCGCTCAGATGAACTCCCCAACCTCTACAATCCCACAGCACACACTGCTGCCACCACCCACTCCACTGACCAGCTGGAATGGCATTAGGCAGGGGTAGGACAGAGGTCTGAAGTGCGAGAGGTAAGGAAGGAGGTCTCAGTGCAGACCAGGGATGCTCTGCGGAGCAGTGGGTGCCATCCCTGGCCCAGAACAGCTCACTTACCGGGAATGGGAGACAAAGTCATACACGGGGATCTGGACTGTTTTCCCTTCAGTGATTTCTTTGAGTGTTTTGAGAATGAGTTCATTGTCAAAGGCATCTGAAAAATACCAAATTGTTAAAATGTTTCTTAATTTTAAAATAGGATCTCCTATAATCATACACAAGGCATCCTCATAAACATGTATATGGGCACATCACACTTTAAAGGTAATCATACTGCTCCCTAAAAAGCTGGATTTTTACCCAAAGCAGAATGGATGCTCCCTGTATCTCAAAATAGGGTGTATAAATGAGTTCTGACAAATAGATTTCTTTTTTCTCTCCTTTGACATTCCATCCCTGACTTCAGTCAGTTCTTTCCCCTCTCCAAGTTTAGCTGTTATCATCCTAGGATTGGCACATGCTAAACTGACCTGGAAAGCAAACCCATGACTGGGGGAGTACACACAATAGGCACCATGCCCAGGTTTGCTTCTAACAATTATAAGAAACCCAAGCCAGCTAAAGGAGCAGTGTGCTGATCTAGGGCTGTAGGGCAAAAACCACTCTGGCAGCCACCCTGCCCCTCCATCTCCCTCTCTGCCAGACAGTGGGTTGAACACACATGTACACCTGAGGAGGAGGGTCTGACGAGGGCTGCCTCAGATCAGAGGCAGCAGGACTAGCTCTGTATGTTCGACCTCATGTCTGGCCCATCTTGAGTCCCAGGCTCATACAAAATCACCTTTGTTCAGATACAGATTCAATCAGTATTTAATGAGCCAAGCACTACTTGAAGCATTTGAAAATTCCTTCTTTCACATAAGCCCCACAATAACACTGCAAGGTAGTTATCAAGTCCCTACGTTCTAGATAGAAACAAGATTCCGAGAGGTTAAGCAACTTCCTCATGAGCAAAATAAAACTATTCCCCCC
The DNA here is from genome assembly GCF_000001405.40 of Homo sapiens. Taxonomy (NCBI): domain Eukaryota; kingdom Metazoa; phylum Chordata; class Mammalia; order Primates; family Hominidae; genus Homo; species Homo sapiens. Next base: position 165,890,407 of record NC_000001.11, on the reverse strand, counting down.
AACACACCAATACAGATACATACCCCCTTCAATGCCCGACTCACCCGGGTGGTCAAAGTTGAACTGGCCCTTCAGGGCTTTGGCCTTCTGCTCCGAGGTAAGGACACGGTAGAAGCTATCCTGGCTCAGGATGACCACCTGCTTCTGGCGATAGTCCACCTCATTCTGCCCCAGGAGCTGCACGATCTTAGCACACACGGAAGACTGTGAGGAGAGAAGAGAGCACCCAGGAATAAGAGAAAGGGCACGTGTGGTACAGAGGAAGTCCCGAGAGTAACCAAGCTGATGCACACCTTCCAAGAAGGGGCTCTGGAAGGAAGAATCCAAAGGCAGCTATCGTGCATGATGAGTTAAAGGGCTAAGGGATGCAGCCATAAAAAGAATAAGATCACGTCTCATGTGGGAACATGGATGGAGCTAGAGGACACTATCCTTAGCAAACTAACACAGGAACAGAAAACCAAATACTGCATGTTCCCACTTGTAAGTGGGAGCTAAATGATGAGAATGCATGGACACAGGGAGGGGAACAACACACACTGGGGCCTGCTGGAGGTGGCGGGTGGGAGGAAGCAGAGGATAAGGAAAAATAACTAATGGGTACTAGGCTTAATACCTGGGTGATGAAATAATCTGTATAACAAACCTCTGTGACACAAGTTTACCTATGTAACAAACCCCTGAACTTAAAAGTTAAATTAAAAAAAAAAAAAAAAAAAGGCTAACGGAGAAGAGTCCGCCTTACACGCCTGTGACAGAGAAGTCTTAGGATCCCCAAAGTTCCTTCCTCCCTTCCCTTAACACAGCTTACTACTGTCAGGTACTTGCAGTGATGGTGGGGGAAGGAGGGCAGCACACACCACCTCCTCCTCCAGAAGAGCCTTTCCCAGAGCCACTGATAAAGGTAGGGCTACCTGATCCTGTCTGCTTGTGCCCTGGTATAGACAGACAAAAAAGGCAGCAGAAAGTAGAATGAAGGCATGGTGATGATGTGCTGAGGGGCTACAGGGCCTTGGAATCACAAGGTGACTGCACATCCATGGAATGCCACTCAGCCCCTGCACATCTCTTTATATCAACGGAACCAAAAACCATGGCCAGAGAGCTCAGCTAGTTAGCAAGAAGGCTATGCTCACAGCGTTAATCCTACTTCTGTTGGTTACTTTTGCTCCAGTCCACAGCCATGACTTCACATCTACAGTAAACCAGGTGGCCTTTTCACAAACGTGTGTCACCACAGACAGGGTGACAAGGAACACAAACACCACCAACATCTAAAACAACTTAGGAGTATCCCAAACAAGAGTGGAGAAGCCAACTCCAAATGAACTCAAACCTACATGCTTTGTGTGTTGTTGTTAGTAATACATGTATCCTAAAATTTAAAAAAAAGAAAAACAGATAGTAATACATGTGTCTGCCCCTTTTTCCCTTCAATATACTCTTCGTAAAAGGAACATTATGAAACAAGTGCATTCAATAGAATGAGATAGTGAAGGATTGTATTTATCAAATAACTGATTTCTTTTTTCATTTCATACAAAGACTAATGTAAAAATAAAAATGTCTGTATTACACAAGCTGTAGGAGACATAACCCAAGTCTTCTAATGAAACTGATTGACCTGCCGGGCACGGTGGCCCATGCCTGTAATCCCATAACTTTGGGAGGCTGAAGGGGGTGGATTGCTTGAGGTCAGGAATTCGAGACCAGCCTGGGCAACACAGTGAGACCCCATCTCAAAAAAAAAAAAAAAAAAAAAAAAGAAGAAGAAAGAAACTGGTCAACCGAATAAATAGAAAGGAAAAACAGCATATTTAGGCCAGGCAGGGTAGCTCACACCTATAATCCCACAGTTTAAGAGGCCAAGGTGGGTGGATCACCTGAAGTCAGTTTGAGACTAGCCTGGCCAACATGGTGAAACCCTGCCTCTACTAAAAATACAAAAATTAGCCAGGCATGGTGGCACATGCCTGTAGTCCCAGCTACTCGGGAGGCTGAGCCAGGAAAATCGCCTGAACCCAAGACACAAAGGTTGCAGTCAGCTGAGATCGTGCCATGTACTCCAACCTGGGCAACAGAGTGAGACTGCATCAAAAAAAAAGAAAAAAGAGAAAAGAACAGAACAGAACAGAACAGAAAAACAGCATATTTAGAGGTTTGATGACTCAAATCTTAGAAGTTTTACTATTGAATTTATTTCATCAACGATTTTAACAACAACAACAACAAAAATATGAAATCTTTTAAAGTTACAATTCTTATAAAGTTGTGTTTGATTGCCCTGAGCGTAAGGAAAACTGGCCATTCCTGTTGCACAAGTCAGTGCAAACTAAACAGCTCTGCAAAATACGTCCTGTTATACAAGCTGTGACACACGACTAAGTAAGGATCTTTGGAGGAACAATAATATTTTGACTCAATTATTTGCAAACAATTTATTTCGCCTTCATGATACTTTTGCATATTAACACAGAAAAACATTTAAAACTACTCTGGACTTTGGGACCACAGATCCTCCCATGCCCCAAAATATCACAGAACAGTAAAACTTTCATATGATAAACTAGATTCAAAAGTGAAAATGTTACAAAACCAAGGCTCTCTGGGTGCTACAGATGGATGGGTGGGGGGGGAAATCAAAGGCTCTAAGCAATTATAAACTATAGGTTTTTAAACACCTGTAGGCCCTCAATTTCCTTTTCCTCCCAGGCATCTATCTTAGGACGTTTCTTACGTCCTAAGGTTGTAGGAAGATAAAGTCTGCAGCCTTTATTAGTAGATAGAATTCCTCCTAGAATTCCAAAGAACAAAAACAAAAAAGTGATTCACGAAGCCAAATGTATATTATCTAGTTATTCAAATTGTGATATTTTTATTTATATTTAAAACCCATAAAATGTTTTTAATGTAAATAGCAATCCCATCACCATCAAAAAAGCATATTAAAAAGTTACACTACCTAATTTTGCAGATAAACTACTGTTTCCCTTAACCCAGCACAATCTAGGACAGAACCTGTACAATGGCCAGTAAAATGGGATAATGAACATACAGTAGGTGCAATTCTAGAAAATCAGCGCTCATCCCAACCCTTGATCAATGATACAGTATGACTAATTGTGTTGATCCCCCGCTGCATGTTTCAGTCCTGTGTTTTCAAGGACCTGGCTGGTGACCCTTCCCTTCCACAAACACACTACCACTGCTAACAGTGTAAATGATTACTTATTAGGCAGCAGTCCCTGTGCCAAACACTCCATTATGACCACCTTTAGAAGCCACATGTGCTCTCCTACATGGATGAGGAAACCAAGTTAAGTAATGTGGTTTCATAGAGTCCTGGCTCTTTACCTCAACCTTAGATAGTAAGAAGTCCCAAGGCAGAAGAAGCCCTTTATCAGGAAGGAGATAAATAAAATTGCACAAATAAGCAAAGAAACACCTGCCTCTAGGTTAATCTAGATTGTTCAGGCATTTTCTTCCTCCTGGGCCATATTACAAATGGGCCCTAAAAAATCCGGATAACTGTTGAATCTGGCTGACATGTACATAGGGTTTGGTTATATCATCCTCTCTATTGTTGTGTAGGTTTGAATTTTTACCTGGTAGGGAAGAAGGCAGGGAGGGAAGGAGGAGTCCCACAAAGAGACTCTACTCTGCCCTGAATAAATGCTCTTTCGCTTACTTAACACTCACCTCTGTATCTCTTTCACTATCATCTCTGTGTTCTCCTTTTGCCTAATCCTGCCCCTCTCTTCAAAAGGATGAAATGGAGCTCTGAGGTGTCATCTTGTTCCTTAAGAATAATTCAGCTGGGCACAGTGGCGTGCACCTATAATCCCAGTGACTTGAGAAGCTAGGGCAGGAGGATCACTTGAGCCCAGGAGTTCAAGCCCAGGGTGGGCAACACTGTGAGACCCCACCTCTACACAAATTCAGAAATTATCTAGGCATGGTGTTTGTGCCTGTAGTCCCAGCTACGTGTGGCAGGCTAAGGCAGGAGGACTGCTTGAGCCCAGGAGATCAAGGCTGCAGTGAGCCATGATCATGCCACTGCACTCCAGCCTGGGCAACAGAGCAAGACTCTATCTCTAAAAAAATAAGAGAGAAAAAAAGAAAAGAAAGAGAAATAATCCACCAATAACCAGGGTTTGAGAAGGCAGGCAATCCTGAGCCTATAGAAATCTAAAATGGGAAAGGGTACAACTGTTACAGTGGGCTAAGACTTAACAATTATATTAATAGTCACAAAAAGACAAATACCATAGGATTTCACTATGCAAAGTGAAATGCACTATGCAAAGTCAAATTCATAGAAACGGAAAGTTAAATGGTGGTTGCCAGGGGCTGAGGGGAGGGGAAAATGAAGAGTTGTTGAATGGATTTTATATAATGAAAGGGTTCTGGAATTTGGTCATCCAATAATGTGAATATACTCAACACCACTGAGATGTACACTTAAAGACGGTTACGATGGTAAATTTTATGTTATGTGTATTTTACCACAATTAAAAATTATTATCACTATAATAAAAGCCCCATTTCTTTCTATATGCTAGGTACTGGGCTCAGCACTTTAAAATGATCTCATTTGCATACCACAAGCTTATGTGATGGGAATTATTATCATATCCACACCACTGATGGCAAACATAGAGGCAAAGAGAGGTTGAATGGAGCCAGGATTCCCACTCTAGCCGTCCATCTCCAGTGCCTAGACACTTAGTGGCTGCAGCTGCATAGCGCTGTCTCACAGGCAAACTGACACTGCCCACTGGAGCGTGAGTTCAGCTTCATTTTGTATAATATCTCTATATTTAGTGAATGAATCCAGAATATATTCTGTCCCTGCCACTTCTAACACATTACTGAAATTGGAGTCGGGAGGGTTAAAGGTCTGCTAGGACTGTTGGGTGTTGTCCAAATACAAAGTTAGGTGAAGGTCAATACAAGGTATTTTAAGAAAGGAAAAAACAAAATCTATGGAACAAATCAGTGAAGGTGATTCACAATTTCTTTACTTACATGGCATTCTGAAGACATTATCTCATTTAATTCCATTACAACAAGTATTACTTTGTCTTCTTTTTTCCTAATGAGGAAACTGGAGCTTAGAAAATTGATCACGTGAAATGATTTGCTCAGTCCCAAAGCTGAGTCTCAAACCATAGGTCTAACTCCAACTGCACAATTCTTTTCACTATTTTAGAACATAAGCCGCTTTGGCATTCACCCCGATGTTCTCCATAAATGTACTTTACCTCTGGAAAACAATGACAGGGGAAGGGAGACAGGGAGGGAACTGATGAGAAATATAATACTGTTTTGTCCCACTGCATCACTAAAGTCAACATTTATGTTGAACTTCATAGAACTAAAGGCAGGCAAGTGATGTGCCTATTAAAAGGAAGCTAAAAGCTCACCAAGAAAACCTGTTCTAGAAATGTTTATTATGTTCAAAAGAATCCAGCTGTTAGGAGCCAGGGTCCACTAGACATGCTGAACAATGAACTCCTTTAGCAGAGACTTCCCATTTGGGAAGCCCCAGTGGCAGTAAACAGCTCATCAACAGGCCCCTTCGGCTGGCAGTTTCCAAAAGGGCAGCTGTTGAGCCAGCATAGGTTCCTGTATTGCTACACAAAGGATATTTCTCTAAAATCGTTCTCACCCTGGAGGTGGCTCTGACAGCCTAAACACAATCTTACTATGTTAGTTCTAGTGTGTGTCTTCCAGGAGCTAATCCATAAAATCCTCTTGCCCAGTTCCAAGACCACTGAATAAATAAAAGAAAACAAGCAGGGTAATCAGCTCTGTCGCCTCTTTGTCATATACCCTCCACTACACTTCAGTGCTCAGAACCTGACATAGCCCAAGCCTGGACAGCTCAGAACAATTCAGCCCTTGGGAGGGCGTCGGGTTAGGTGTGTCCCTACGGGAATGGGCTGGCACACCTCACAGTCATCCTTACAGAAGAAGACCAGATAACCATGCTGCCCAACATTTTTGAATCCCATCAAGATGTCTGTTGTAACACTCCGAATGAGCTGCTTCAGAATCACAGGGAGGGCTGCTCAGAGGGAAGAAAACTTAGCAACCACAGCCAATCGGCTCCAGGTTGAGGCACACTGATTGATCATTTCCTCCCTGCTTTTCAGGACGGGAAACAACATCACAGCAGAGAAGAATGCTTGAAGGCCAGACGCTTGGCCTCCTCAGGCAGGAAGATCCCATCTAGCTCCTTGGCTCTGGGACTATGTGTGGGTCACATCAATTACTCTTGGCAGTAGCTTTCCCTGTCACTATCATAAAGTAAGTATCACCACTAGCTTATATGGTATCCATCTCAAAGGAAAAAACCATTGCAGCCCCCAGACATTACATCACTCCTTTGCGGGTAGGGGTTGCTCCCCACATGGCTCAGAAGCTCTAATTTACAGGCATTAGAAAACCAAAGCACCAGTAATTTGCCCTGGTTTAAAACTAAGAACAAGGTTCAAACCTGCTGGCTCAACTTCCAATCCAACTGATTAAGTGGCACAATAGAGAGGTGTCACTCAAATGCTTCCCTGGAATATCTGCAAAGCCATCTATTCTTTTCTTTTTTCAGCAGCAAGATTTATTGTGAAGAACGAAAGAACAAAGCTTCCACAGCATGGAAGGGGACCCAAGTGGGTTGCCCTAGGCCATCTATTCTTGAAGTCATGCATGGCCCCAGAGCCCATGCATTGCTGACTAGGAGCTCCTAGCTACAATACAATCACCACCACCCACCCATGCCACCACATACAGGATCTAAATTAAAAACTCACTAAATTACTAATAAGGTTCTTCAGTACCAAAAAGCAGCCATGGGTCAATCAAATAACTGAAGAGCTTTTGGAGCACAAGGACCAATAGTGTGACTAAGTTTTTATTCTCAGGCACCTGGACTGGGGGGTGGGGGTGTGTCTCCCAAATGTCTGTTAAATAGAAATGTCAAAATTTATCAGAAGTCTTTTTTGAAGTCGTAACATCTTAGCTCACTGCAGCCTCGAACTCCTGGACTCAAGCCATCAGTCCTTGAATTTTAGCTGGGCACACAGACTGCATTTTTCAGCCACCTTTGCAGTTCCTCATGACTATGCAACTGTTCCCTCTTTTGACATTCCTTCCTGTTGACTCAAATGAAGACCTGATAGCTGAAGCTCAAGCAGCCACCTTGCAGCACTGCTATCATTCTAACTAAGGATGGGAGAGCAGCTAAATAAAAGCCCAAGATTCAAATAATTAGAGCTGAGAGCCATTAAGAGTGAGTGCTTCACACCCGTAATCCCAGCACTTTGAGAGGCCGAGTCAGGCAGATCACGAGGTCAAGAGATCAAGACCATCCTGGCCAACATGGTGAAACCCGGTCTCTACTAAAAATACAAAAAATTAGCTGGGTGTGGTGGCACGCGCCTGTAGTCCCAGCTACTTGGGAGGCCGAGGCAGGAGGATCGCTTGAACCCGGGAGGCAGAGGTTACAGTGAGCTGAGATCATGCCACTGCACTCCAGCCTCGTGACAGAGCGAGACTGTGTCTCAAAAAAAAACAAAAGAGTGAGTGTTAAGGTCTGAATGTGTCCCCCCAAAATTCACACGCTGAAATGCTGAAACTTAACTGCTGATGTGATTGTACTAGAAGGTAGGCCTATAGGAGGTGATGAGGGCCCTTATGAAAGGGCTTGAGGGAGTGGATTCATTCTCTTCTGCTCTTCTGCCATGAGAGGACACTGCATTAGTCCCCTCTAGAGGATTCAGCAACCAGTTGCATCCTTGGAAGCAGACAGCGGCCCTCACCAGACACCAACCCTGCCAGTACCTTGATGTTGAACTTCCCAGCCTCTGGAATTGTGAGAAATAAATTTCTGTTCTTCATGAATCACACAGTGTCAGGTATTTTGTTACAGCAGCACAAACATTCTGAAATAATGAGGTACACTATCTTTAAACCCTGTTTTAGAGGTTTTCTGTCACTTTCAACAGAAGTGATACTAATACTGAGGTCAACACTCACATAACCAGCACACCTTAGTATATGGCTCTTGGTAGAAACGTTCTCTTGAAAGCTGAGGAAATCCTTTGTCCTGGTCCAACAGGCTGCCTTAATTATCACAGGAACCACAAGTAACTTATCAGCCAAGTCATTTCCATGTGAGTTTTAAAGGGTAGGGTGATGAACATACACCTGAACCAGTGTCCCCAGACCACTGCTCTGTCACCTGCCGACCTCCAGATATTTACCCAGAGGTGTTTCTTCCCCCTTTCGGCACCTGTTTGTGCCACAGACCAAGCTCTCCGTAGAGAAAGTAGTACCCAGGAGAGGGAAACCCACAAGGCTATTAACAGTAGAAGATGAAAGATTCCCCACAACAGAAGCTCCCAGTTTTAATTCCTGATCCATCTGTTGGTGCCGCAAAGGTAGTCCAGCCTAGAAAGATGCAGATGTTAGACTGCGTCTGAGAGATCTTCTGGCTGATCAACAGTCACCAACATAAACAAGTTCCTAGGACTTTTCCCTGAAGTGCCAATCTCATTAAGCTCTATTACTAGAAAAGACATTTGAAAAATTCACTTCTGGGTTTATGTAATTACATGTTTGGCTCTGCTCTTTAGACTCACCAGCACTTGGAAATTAAGTGGTTCAAAATTAACTGAGTGATGATAATAATAGCTAACACACAGAACATGCTATATGTCAGGAACTATTCTAAAAGCTTTACATATACTTGGTTATATTTAATCCTCAAATCAACTCTATGAAGTGGGTATTCTTATTACCCCTATTTTACTTTACATAAGAAGAAACTGAGTCAGAGAAGCAGATTAAGTGACTCGGACCAAAGTCAAACGTCTGAAAAACAGTTGAGCCTGTCTTCAAAGTCAGATGGGCTGGCTTCAAGATGCATGCTCTTCGCCACCACACAGTAGAGTAAGCAGTAGAGTAAGAATCAACATTTCTACCCTCATGCCAAGTAACAAACTTACAGTGAAATTGATCAAGATAGAAAACAAACAAACAAACAAAAAAAAACCCTGAGTAAGTACATATGAGGACAGGGGAGAATATAGTACAAATACTCTGACTATAACCATGTAAAAGATATAGGTAAACATGACAGAGAAAATCTGGAAGGCAAACTGGCCAAAAATGAGAACTATGGTTCTTCTACATCATCTCTTTTTTTTTTTTTTTTTTTTTTTTAAGTTTTATTGAGACAGAGTCTTACTCTGTCGCCCAGGCTGGAGTACAGTGGCGTGATCTCAGCTCACTGCAACCTCTGCCTCCCAGGTTCAAACAATTCGTCTGCCTCAGCTTAACGAGTAGCTGGGACTATAGGTGTGCACCACCACACCCAGCAAATTTTTTGTATTTTTAGTAGAGACGGGGTTTCAACATGTTGGCCAGGCTGGTCTCGAACTCCTGACCCAAAGTGATCCACACGCCTCGGCCTCCCATGGTGCTGGGATTACAGGCATGAGCCACCACGCCCAGCCTGCTACATCATCTTAAACAAAAAGGCAGAGAGGTATCTACACTGCTCATGTGAGACCAAGTTCTAGGCTCACCCAGAGCCTGGTTAACAGCTACCACCAAGCAAAGACAAAACAGGGCTATGCTTGAGATTCAAGGGGCAATGTATCCCTCGCAACTGAATTAAGATTATTCCATATAGAATAGTGATTAATTTCAGTCTTTATTCTAAGCCTGAATATGGAGTCTATGGATCCTACTTTGTATTTGTCCCCACAGGACAAACACAAAAGACATCACACACACACACACACACACACACACACACACACACACACACACACACCCCCAAAAAAAACTGAATGGATCTAGGCTTGTTGCTAACTTTGGTGAACTGCTGCTTATGATGCCCTCTCCAAGAAGCAGAAACAAAGAGGAGACCTGCTGGAAGACTAATTATTACTGACTTGTGGGTGCAAGTGAGGCTGGGTCTATTTCTTTCCCCTTTTACTTGAGCGTTAAGAGGCAAGTTGGGATAGTGAAAAACAACAAACTGGGCCCCTTGTCCTGGGTGACACACCAAAACCCACCCACTTGCTAGGGACCTGTTTACTGAGCAAAGATAATATGCTTATTACAGAAATTATGGACTGAAAGAAAGAACTGAAGTCCTTCTGGGTATGAGACACAAAACGAAAGCTGACTTTCCTCCGTTCTTAAAAAACTGAATAGATCAAGAGAGCACAATGTGCCAGTTGGATCCTCTGCCGAATCTTTCCAAATTGCAGGCCGCACATGAGTAAACATTTAATGTGGATGTAACAGCACAACAGTGCTTTGTTGTACAAAGTATATTTTAGTTAACTCCTCCATCCAGTAATCCTTATCTAAACTGGAAAATCAGAAATCAGACTGTCTAGTTATCAAGATTTTTAACATTTTCTTCTTAATTTCTCCTCCAGCACCCACATCTAATGCCCAAATACAGAGCAACAGGGGAAGGAAAGAGAAAGCAATGCCAAGCACCCACTTCCGTTCCTTTTTCAGAGTCTCTTTCACATCTTTGAAAACTAATCTTATTATTTATTCTTCATAGCATTTGAAGAAAGGGGTTCAAGTCCTCTATTGGCTGTCTCAATTCCCTCGACTGTTCCCTTCTAAGTTTTGCTGAATTCGTCATTCATCACTACCATCTCCAGGGCCCCAAAACTCCAAGAATCAAAAAAGAGAAAAGAGAAAAGAACTCCCAAAGCCACATAGACCACGTTACTGTATAAGGAGGAGTAAGTTCATCACACTGGAAGTCATCATAAATTTTCAGGGCTAATCTACTACTGACAAAATAATAATAATAATAATAATAATAAAAAGCAAACATCCTTTGAATATAATGATTTTCTTTTATTAATTTGTGAAACTGGCAGAACTATCAGTAGATATGGGCCAAACTCTTATTTCAGACCCACGCAAATATGAATAACTGATATGACAAAGATGCAAATGCAATTCAGTGGAGGAAGGACAGCCTTTTCAAGAAGTGGTGCTGAAGCAACTGAATGGATATCCATCGACCAAAAAAATGAACCTCAAGCCAAGCATGGTGGTCTGCTCTGCAAAAGATCCTGACAAGAGAATGACAACAAGATACAGGCTGGGAGAATACATTTGCAAAAGGCATGCCTGATAAGAGGTTGTTATCCAAAATATAACAAAAAATAAAAACACAAAACTCTTAAAATTCGACAATAAGAAACAAACCTAACAAAAAATGGTCTAAAGACCTTAACAGACACTTCACCAAAGAAGACATATAGATGACATATAAGCATATGGAAAGATGTTCCACATCTATTGTCATCAGGGAAATGCAAATTAAAACAAGGTACCACTACATACCTATTAAAATGGCCAAAATGTAGAACACTGACAACACCAAGTGCTAACAAGGATGTGGAGCAACAGGAACTCTCACTCATTGCTGGTAGGGCTGCAAAATGGTATAGCCACTTTGGAAGACAATTTGGCAGTTTCCTGTGAAACTAAACAGTCTTACCATACAATCCAGCACCCATGTTCCTTGGTATTTACCCAAAGGAGTTTAAAATGTATGTTCACACAAAAACTTGCGCATGGTATTTATAGAAGCTTTATTCATAATTGCCAAAACTTGGAAGCAAGCAACCAAGATGTACTAAAGTAGGTGAATGAATAAACTGTGGTACAGCTAGACAATGGAATGTGATTCAGTGCTAAAAAGAAATAAGCTGGCAGCCGGGCACGGTGGCTTACGCCTGTAATCCCAGCACTTTGGGAGGCCAAGGTGGGCAGATGACGAGTTTAGGAGATCAAGACCACTCTGGCCAACATGGCCAGAGGGGGTTTCACCAAACCCCGTCTCCACTAAAAATACAAAAATTAGCTGGGCATGGTGGCACGCACCTGTAGTCCCAGTTACTCAGGAGGCTAAGGCAGGAGAATCGCTTGAACCCAGAAGGTGGAGACTACAGTGAGCCGAGATTGCGCCATTGCACTCCAGCCCGGGTGACAGAGCAAGACTCTGTCTCAAAAAAAAAAAAAGAAAGAAAGAAATGAGCTGGCAAGCCATGAAAAGACACTGAGAAACCTTAAATGCATATTGCTAAGTGAAAGAAGCTAATCTGAAAAGGTCACATAATGTATGATTTCAACTACAGTATATGACATTCTTAAAAAGGCAAAACTATGAGGACAACAAAAAGATCAGTGGTTGCCAGGGGTTAGGGGAAAGGCAGGGATGAATGGGCAGAGCACAGGGGATTTTTTAGGGAAGTGAAACTATTCTGTATGATGCTATAATGGTGGATAACATGTTATCATACATTTGTCCAAACCCACTCAATGTACAACAGCAAAAGTGAACCCTAATGTCAACTATTAACTTGTTGATAAGGATGTGACAATGTAGGTTCATGACTGTGACCAACGTACCTCTCTGATGGGGGGTGTTGATAATAGGGGAGGTTGTGCATGTGTTGGGCCAAGGGGAATCAGAGAAATCTCTATCTTTTCCTCAATTTTGCTAGGAACCTAAAACTGCTCTTTAAAAAAAGCATATTAAAGAAGATAATAAACATGCAACTAAACTACCATATGATCAGGCAATTGTACTGATCCCACAGAAATGAAAACATAGTCACACAAAAATACATACACAAATGTTCATAGAAGCTTTGTTAGAGCCAAAAATTAGAAGCCACCCAGATGGCCTTCATTACGCCGATGGTTAAACTACGGTATATCCATACAATGGACTATTACTCAGCAATAAAAACGAATGACTGCTGATACAACAACCTGCACGAATCTCCAGAGAATTGTGCTGAGTAAAAAAGGGCAATTCCAAAAGGTTACATACAGTATGGTTATATTTGTATAAAATTGTGGAACGATTAGTGGTGGACCACGGTTAGGGACAGGGAGCAGTGGAGGGGCGGGAAATCCGGGGCAGGTAATAAACAGCAAAACAGCAGTAGCGATGGAAGTGTTCTGTATCTTCACTGTATCAACGTCAACATCCCGGTGTCTTTTGTAATATGGGATCTCTCTGTATTATTTCTTATGTGTTTGTGAACCTACAACTATCTCAAAACAAAATGTTTATCTAAAAAAAAGATTAGCGACTATCCATCTTCTGCCATTTGTCTTTTTATTTATCCCAGAGGTATAGCTTCTCACTTTTCAAAATTCTTAATTTTTCCTCACAAAGCAGTGTTAATAATTAATTGGGATGAGATGAATGCATTCTGCACACAGGACAAATTTTGGGGGGGTCAGTGGACCATTTATAAGTGAGTTACATTGTTGCCCCCCAAAATCTACGATCATATTCTAACTCCCCCAACCTCAAAATATGACCTTATTTGGAAAAAAGGTCTTTGCACATGTAATTAAGTTAAATATCTTGAGATGAGATCATCCTGAATTAGGGTGGGCCCTAAACCCCATGACATGTGTCCTTCTAAGAAACAGAAAAGGTGAAGACACGGAGACATGAGGGAAAGCCATATAAAGGTGAAAGTAGAGACTGGGGTGATACAAGAAATGGCAGCAGAAGCTGGGAGACAGGACGGAGGCATGGGTCTCCTTCAGATCTTCCAGAAGAGGCCAACACTGCCCACACCTAAATTTCAGTCTTACAGCCTCCAGCACTATAAGAGAATGAATCTGTCATTTTAAGTCATCAAGATTGTAGTAATTTGTTACTATAGCCATAGAAAACTAATACACCTGTCACTTTTTTAATGGGTATATTGAATTTCTTTTTTTAAATCACAGAGGATGTACTTTCTTCAACTTTTATTTATGTACACTCCTGTACATACATTGTTTTTATCTCCTTACAGAGGATATATGTCATAAAGATGTATCATTGCATTTTACAAACTTGTCCTGCAGAATTTTTCCTGGTGTTTTCTGTTTGCTCTAATGGTAAACTGTTGCTATCTGGAATATAGGCATGTCTACCTAATCAAATATCCTGGTTAATAATTTATCATACTTACTAAATACTCAGAAGTAAAACTATACTGAGCACAGGACTTAATCTACTGTTTCCTTGGTGACGAAGATGTCACTTCCAGATCCAGTGGTGTGCTTCAGGGTCTTCAAAATGAGTAGCAATTACTAGGCTGCAGATGTGTGAAACTGCCATTTAAGAGAGGTGTTGTGTTTCCATAGAAATGCCCAATAAACTTCTGGGCAAGATAGATTTTAAAAAGCAAGAGGATGAAAACTACCCACCTACTACAATGTCCTAAAAAGCAAAATATAGGTCCTTGTGGTGTTATGATTTATAATGGTTTTCAACCAGGTTCCTGGTCCATAACTCCCACAGCCCTTGTTACAGTCTTTTGTGATAATGTTGGGTCAGGAAACAGAATCTCTTTCCTGCCTTCCTTTCACCTGGCCCGAGGCAGGAATCTAATCTTTCCCCACCTTTCAGATTGTGGGTCTCAAACCCTCCCCTGAGAGGGCTAAGCACTGTAGGAAGGAACGTTTCCAAAAAACCCAAGAAAGCTGGGTACAGGGAGTTTCCGGATAGCTGAACACCTGGAGGTTCCTGGAGGGTGGCACACAAGGGAGGGGTTGGAAACTCCGCACCTCTTTCCCCATGCCTTGCCCTGTGCGTCTCTTCATCTGTGTCCTTTGCAAAATATCCTTTATAATAAACCAGTAAACATAAGTGTTTCCCTGAGTTCTGTGAGCCACTCCAGCAAATTAATCAAACCCTAAGAGGGGGTTATGGGAACCTCGACTTGAAGTCAATCAATCAGAAGTTCCAGAGGCTCAGGTTTGCATGTCTGCAGGGGGCAGGGGCAGTTTTAGAGACTTGAGTTTCCAACCTGTGGGATTTGACACTATCTCCAGGTAAATAGTGTAGCAAGTAAATTGGAGGACACTCAACTGGTGTCTGTGCCTTGCTGTGTGAGGAAATCCCCCCTCTCTCACCACAATCGGTCACAGAAGTCTTCCGTGTTAACTGTTGTGGTGTGAGAGTAAAGGAAAAATGTGGTTTCAGAGAGTTTCCCTACATAGTCCTTTAAAGTCAGGCTGGGCAGGGCACACAGGACCTGGCTTGATTCCTGACTCTAACATACCAGTGATATCTCGGGCAACTCAACCTCTTAGAACACTGGCATCCTTGTTTTAAACTGCAGGTAACCATACCTGTTCCACAAATGGGCCATAAGTGTTAATAAGCTACATGCCTAAGATAGTGGCTAGCACAAACTATATGTTCAATAAAAATTATTCTCTTCTTTAAGATCCACCAAATTTTCATTTAGACAAATCTTTCCAGGAAAGTCCATTAGGAAGCTTTTTTTTTTTTTTTTTGGTAACTCAGTTGAAAACTTCATCAATTCATGCCCATTAGTTTTATTTTCTTCACGTCTATAAAACGGCACAAAACTACATTATCATACTATTAAACCACACTACACAATGAAAACAACACACTAGTGTTCATACATTATGTACCAGGAAAGAAAAAGCATCCATTTCCTTAAGAGTTAGTGTTCCTGCCACAGCCACCTAAGAAAACACCAGGGCAAAGGACAGCACCCTCTTCTAGAATGCCCAAGCAACTGCAATGCCTTTCATGTCCTCGGTAAAACAAATCTTCCATTTTAACAACCTATAGATGGAAGAAAAGGAATTCTTACGTTAAAAAAAAAATCTTCCTGTTTTATGGCAGAGGCACCTGATAGCCATAACTGAAGCATATCCTAAGAATGAGAAGAGTGTTGGTTTGGAGTTCCAGGCTAAGAAATCTGAGAGTGGCCAACCTGGAGATTCAGTCTTTGTCTATTAAAGACATCCAAATCCCTGCCCTATCCCTTTTAACGCAGGGGATGGAGACCTTTGTTTTGGGAGGCTGCCAGGGGGAGGATGCTAAATGAAAATGCTATATGAGCTACATGTTTTTTACAAAAGGTAGCAGCATGCTTCCTGCCAAGCCCGCTGCCACTGGACGGCTCTGTACGTGAGTCCCCCAAATAAACCCTATGTCTCATTTGATACCTCCGGGTCTTTTCTTCAGTCTCTCAAACATGGTGTCATCCCTATTGGAGTCAACAGGGGTCTAGCATAACATCTATAAACAATCAAATCACAAAGCATTCCCTCAAGAAGCAGGCTGGGTGGCCCAGGAAATGGCCCAGGTGATTGTGGAGCCCAGAGAATCAGTGCTTATGAGGGCAGCATCAAGTTCCCATCTACCCCTGTCTCTTTTGTTTTTAAAATAAAAGTAGTAGAGAAGTAAATTCATAAAATAGAAGGTTGTCCTCAGAGGATGGGATGCATGAAATTAAGGTTATGGAGGACTGCAATTACTGGTAATGATAAGGTCTAAGGTAGAGGGAGACAATGGCTAAAGTCATTACCTATGTTTACACTGAAATTGCCAAGAACTAAAGGAAGCAGTGATACTGGAAAGAAAGAGACAATAAGGTAGGAGATAAAATCACAGAGAAATAGCTCAGGAGTAGTGAGTGGCTCTGGTGATGTGAGATCCAAAGCTGGTGTTTTAGGCAGGAGGGAGGGAGGGAGAATGGTTTGAAAGAAATAGGAAGTAAGAAGGAAGCACCACCCCCCACGTCTCGGCACTAAGGCCCAAAGATAAGCAGCATGTGGGAAAAGCTTCTCCTGAGGCTTGGCAGGAAAAACAGGGAAATCAGGAAAGAGCAAGTTTTTGACAGAAAAGGTAAAGGACACTCAAAAGAAAGGGTTGAGAATATGGAGGTTTTACTGATGATGAACTACGACAGCCCAACGGGAGAAAGGGTTTTCACACTGCAAGAAGTGAAAAAAGAGAAGGTCAGGAAGATATAAAGAATCACACAGAAATGGGAAGCTTCACTTTTTCTCATTATTAAAAAATGAACGTAATAATCTTTTTCTAAAAAGTACAAGTAGGTAAAACAAAGACAGAAATGATTGGCTAAGTCCTACTGCTAGAAATAAATGTAGCTACCATTTTGGCAAGCATTTTTCCGTGTTTATATGCATGCATGGTAGCTTGTGTCCAAGACGGTGGCCATCAGTTTCTTCCCTCCCTATGTGGGCAAGATATTCCTCCAGTGAGGGGTGAAGTCTATTCAATCAATTGCATACTGACTTCTTTTAAGATAACTACATTTTATTGTATCTCGCTATTCTCTATCTCAGAATTCTATAATCTGTCCCTTCTTCATTATTAAATTGTGGCAACCTAAAACCAGACATGAAATTCTGGGGGTTTTTTTGGTTTTCTTTTCTGTTCGTTGGTTTGTTTTTCGGTAGTTCCTACCCTGGTCTTTCTACTTACTTTACTTTTTATAATTAACATTGCGCTGAATAAATATCTTACTCCACTTGATCTCGACTGCCCTTTTCAAGGTAGTTGCTTTTTGCATCTCCAACGTGATGCAAAATTCACAGGGTACAAAATAGTATAAGGCACAAAGCCTGTCTCCTTCCTACTCTATCTCCCAGCCGGATTGCTGATCACTTCTCTGGCAGCTACTGTTTTCAGTTTCGTGTACATCCCTTCAGAGGCAGTCCCTACATATAAAACCATGTGTGAATGATTTTTTTCAAACACAGACACTAATACACGCTGTCTGCACCTTCGTTCACTTATATATCTCAAAGATTATACTGTCAATACTTTTAAGACTGCCTCCTTTTTAAGGGCTTCAAGGTATTCCACTATATGAAGGAACTGCAGCTAGTCCTCCATTGACAGACATAAATTATGTCTCAACTTTTTCTAAAATGAACTTAATGTATGGATATACATATATATTTGTAGAATAGATTTCCAGTAGTGGATTTGCTAGGGCAAAGAATCTGCATTTTTTAAAATTTCCATATATATGCCCAGCTAGCCCCCACCATCAACAATTTATATATAATGTACTATTTCCCCCTCACTCTTAATGATATTTAACCTTTGGTCTGTTTAATTTGCTGTCCTATTTTAAGTGAGGGTAAACATCTTTTATATGCCTAAAAGACGGCCAGGCATGGTGGCTCACACCTGTAATCCCAGCACTTTGAGAGGCCAAGGCGGGCAGATCACTTGACATCAGGAGTTCAAGACCAGCCTGGCCAACATGGCAAAACCCCGTCTCTACTAAAAATACAAAAATTAGCTGGGCATAGTGGCACACACCTATGATCCCAGCTACTTCGGAGGCTGAGGCAGGAGAATCGCTTGAACCTGGAAGGTGGTGTTTGCAGTGAGCTGAGATTGCACCACTGTACTCCAGCCTGTGTGACAAGAGCAAGACCCTGTCTCAAAGAAATAAAAATAAAAAATAAGTAAACTGGCTAGAGCAGCCGGCAAAAAGAGAAAAAAAAAAAAGACTATGTATATGCCTAAAAGGCTTCTGTTCTTCTGGAACTGGTTTGTTGATATCCTGTCCTCACTTCTCTGTTGATTTATTGGTCTTTTATTTCTTATTGATTTATAAAAGCTCTTTATATATTAAGGAAACTGGCCATTTCTCATTTGCCTCACAAATTCTTTCTAGTTAACTGTCTTTTTAAGTAGTGTTTTGCAAAGAAATTCTTTATTGATGCAGTTAAACTGATTAACCTAAACTGATTTTATCATGTTATATTCAGAAACAATTTCCTCAACCAAAGATTTTTTTTTTTAACTTCCCTCTGTTATCTTCTCAACTTCATGTCTTCCTTACTCCTCGGTAGCTCACTTGTCCTTTCTTTGCCTTCAGCTCCCAAGATCCCAACCACATCAAAGGCAGACCACAAGAGGGCACCAATCCAGCAGCTCCTTGAACCCTGAAAAGGCAGGCCAGGCTGACACCCAGAGACCACAGAGGGCAAATAACCGAAGAGGAAATGAGATCTAACAGAGTGGGTTGTAAGGGACTTCCTGTGCATATACAGAGCGTTACAAAAGACCTGCAGCTGTGTCCCTGTGGAGTTCACCAGGAAAGAGACACAGGACCTGCTTTCAACCCTCTAGCCCACAGCTGCACACATGCTAAGGGATCAGGCCTGTGGCACAATTGGAAAAGCATGAAGCAGCAGCAAGTCTGGAGTACAACCCAGATGAAAGCCATTTGTTAAACTATTTTTCTTTAAAACACGAGGTATATTTTCCCACCTTGTGCAGGGTATCCTGTTAAGAGTATGAAATCCTGTTTTTTTCCATACCATGAGAAATGGGTACAATAAGCAAACGCACACGCACACACAAAAAATTCACTCCCCCTACACAAAAAGAAACCATACTAAACACTAACAGGGGCCAGGCGAGGTGGCTCACCCCTGTAATCCCAGCACTTTGGGAGGGGCAACGCTGGCAGATCACTTGAGGTCAGGAGGTCAAGACCAGCCTGGCCAACATGGTGAAACTCCTCTACTAAAAATACAAAAATTAGCCAAGCATGGTGGCACATGCCTGTAATCCCAGCTACTTGGGAGGCTGAGGCAGGAGAATGGCTTGAACCTGGACGGCGGAGGTTGCAATGAGCCAAGATCGTGCCACTGCACCCCAGCCGGGGCAACAGAGCAAAACTCCTTCTCGAAAAAAAAGACTAACAAGGAATTTTTGTCCAATGAAGCCTTCTGTAAAATAATAACACATATATAACTGAAGACTGGATAGTAAGCAGCATAATAAATACATGTTTCTAATCCTACCTTGATAACCTCCTTCCACGTCACTTGAAATGGTTCCTACAGATTTCTAGGAAACAGTACACAGAAAGTTCCCTCAGGGAAGCTCCCTGTAGTGTGCTGTCTACCCATAATGGAGCAAGAGGCTTGAATCTCTTCCTCCTACATATTAAAGCAGAACCCTGTAGCCAGACACTGAGGCTCAAAAACTCCTGTGAGCAGAAGTATCTTCATTCACATATTAAAATTGTCATCCAGCAAATGGTACTGGGAAAACTGGACATTCAAATGAGAACCCTGTAGCCAGACACTGAGGCTCAAAAACTCCTGTGAGCAGAAGTATCTTCATTCACATATTAAAATTGTCATCCAGCAAATGGTACTGGGAAAACTGGACATTCAAATGAGAACCCTGTAGCCAGACACTGAGGCTCAAAAACTCCTGTGAGCAAAAGTATCTTCATTCACATATTAAAATTATCGTCCAGCTAATGGTATTGGGAAAACTGGACATTCATATGCAAAAAAAAAAAAAAAAAAATGAAGTTAGACCTTTCCTTACTTTACACCATACAAAAAAAGAAACAAACAACAACAACAAAAGAAACCACCACCTCAAAACAGATCAAATACCTAAACTTAAGGGCTAAAACTGTAAGTCTTAGGAGAAAATATAAAAATAAAGCACTTTGACATTGGATTTGGCAATGATTTCTTACATGTAATACTGAAAGCACAGGCAACAAAAGAAAAAAATAAGTAAGATGGACTTCATCAAAATTTAAAACTTTTGCCAGGCACAGTGGCTCAACCTATTAATATAATTAATATAATTCCTGTGCTTTGGGAAGATTGCTTGAGGCTGAGAGCTCAAGAATAGCCTGGGCAACACTGCAAGACGTCCACAAAAAAGTTTTTAAAAATTAGCTGGTGGTGGCTCACGCCTATAATCCCAGCACTTTGGAAGGCTGAAGCAGAGGATCGCTTGAGCCTGCAGTGAGCTATGATCACGACACACTGCACTCCAGCGTGAGTGACAGAGCAAGACCCCCATCTCTTTAAAAAAAAAAAAAAAAAAAAAAAGGCCCATGATGAGATTCTCTTTCATACCCATTAGGATGGCAATTTTTTTTTTAAGAAAGAAACTAGAAAGAACAAATGTTAGCAAGCATGCGAGGAAAAGGAATTCTTGTGCACTGCTGGCAGGAATGTGAACTTGTATAGCCACTGTAGAAAACAGTATAGGAACTCCTCAAAAAACTAAATATAGAATTACCGTATGACCCAGCAATACCATTTGTGGGGATGTACCCAAAAGAACTTAAAGTTGAAACTCAAGTAGATACAGGCATACTTCATTTTATTGTGCTTCACAGATACTACGTTTTTTTTACAAATTGAAGGTTTGTGGCAACACTGTGTGAAGCAAGTCTTGTTAATACCATTTTTCCAATAGCATGTGTTCACTTTGTATCTCTGTGTCACATGTTGGTAATTCTCACAATATCTCAAACATTTTCATTATTTTATTATATGTTATGGTGATCTGTGATCAGTGATCTTTGACATTACTATTGTAATTATTTCGGGGTGCCACCAACCACGCCCATATAAAATGGCAAATTGAATCCATTAATGTACATGTTCTGACTGTTCCACTGACTGGGGCATTCCACTGTCTCTCTCCCTCTTCTTGGGCCTCCCTATGATTTCCTGCGACAGAACAATATTGAAGTTAGGCCAATTAATACCCTACAATGGCCTCTAAGTGTTCAAGTAAAAGAGTCACATGTCTCTAACTGTAGATCAATGGATAGAAATAATTAAGCTTAGTGAGGAAGGCATGTCGAAAGCCAAGACAGGTCAAAAGCTAGGCCTCTTATGCCAAGGAGTCAGCCAAGATGTGAATGCAAAGGAAAAGTTCATGACGGCAATTAAAAGTACCACTCCAGTGAACACATGAATGATAAGAAAGCAAAACAGCCTTATTACTGATACGAAGAAAGTTTGGTCTGGATAGAATATCAAACCAGCCATAACATTCCCTTGAACCAAAGCCTAATCCAGAGCAAGGCCCTAACTCTCTTCAATCCTATGAAGGCTGAGAAAGATGAGGAAGCCACACAAGAAAAGTTTGAAGCTAACAGAGGCTGGATCATGAGGCTTAAGTTAAGAAACCATATCCCTAACATATTGTGCTAGATGAAGCGGCAAGTGCTGATGTAGAAGCTGTAGCAAGTTATCCAGAAGATCTAGCTAAAATAACTGATGAAGGTAGCTACACTAAAGATTTTTTCAATGTAGAAAAAACAGCCTTCTATTAAAATAGTATGCCATCTAAGACTTTCGCAGCTAGAGAAGTCAATGCCTGACTTCAAAGCTTCAAAGGACAGGATGACTCTCTTGTTAGAGGCTAATGCAACTGGTGACTTTAAATTGAAGTCAATGCTCATTTACCATTCCAAAAATCCTAAGGCCCTTGTATGCTCCATCTACTCTGCCTGTGCTCTGTAAATGGAACAACAAAGCCAGTATGGCAGCATATCTCATTACAGCATGATTTACTGAATATTTGAATCCCACTGTTGAGACCTATTGCTCATAAAAAAAGATTCCTTTCAAAATATTACTGCTCATCAGCAATGCACCTAGTCACCCAAGAGCTCTGATGGAGATGTACAAGGAGATTAATGTTATTCTCATGCCTGCCTACACAACATCCCTTCTGCAGCCCATGGATCAGAGTGATTTTGACTTTCAAGTTATTATTTAAGAAATACATTTCGTAAGGCTACAGCTGCCATAGTGATGCTTCTGGTGGATCCGGGCAAAGTAAACTGAAAACCTTCTAGAAAGGATTCACCATTCTAGATGCCATTAACAACATTTGTGATTCATTGGAGGAGGTGAAAATATCAACATTAACAAGAGTTTGGAAGAAGTAGATTCCAAGCCTCATGCATGATGTTGAGGGGTTCAAGACTTCAGTGGAGTAAGTCACTGCAGATGTAGTGGAAACAGCAAGAGAACTAGAATTAGAAGTGGAACCTGAAGATGTGACTGAATTGTTGCAATCTCATAATAAAATGTGAACAAATAAGGAGTTTCTTATGATGAACAAGTTTCTTCTTACGAAAGTAGTTTCTTGAGATGGAATCTAATGCTGAAAATGCTGTGGGCATTGTTGAAATGCTAACAAAGGATTTAGAATATTCCATAAGCTTAGTTGATAAAGCAGTGGCAAGGTTTAAGAGGACTGACTTTAATTTTTTTTAAATTTTTTATTTTTTGATTGCTGGGTCGAAAGGTAAAATTGACTCCCACTTTGAAAGAAGTTTGACTATGGGCAAAATGCCATCAAACAGCATCACATAAAACAGAGAAATCTTTCATGAAGGAAAGAGTCAATCAACGTGGCAAACTTCATTGTTGACTTTAAGAAATTGCAATAGCCACCCTAGCCTTCCGGCATCACTATCGAGGCAAGACACTCCACCAGCAAAAAGATTACAACTTGCTGAAGGCTCAGATGACCATTAGCAATAAAGCATTTTAAACTTAAGGTATCTACGATTTTTAGTAATAAAGCATTTTAAAATTAAGGTCTCTGCAATTTTTTTAGACATAATGCTACTGCATATTCAATTGACTATAGTATAGTGTAAACATAACTTTTACGTGCACTGGAAAAGAAACAAAAAATTGTGTGACACTTTACTATGATATTCACTTTATTGCCGTGGTCTGCAACTGAAACCACAATATCTCCGAGGTATGTGTATATTTGTACACTCATGTTCATAACAGCATTATTCACAACAGTCAAAAGGTGAAAGTAACCCAGTGCCTATTGATGAATAAATTGATATATACATACAATGATACGTAGCCTTAAAAAGACAATTCTGACATACAATACAGTACGATGAGTCTTGAGGAATTATATTAAGTAAAATCAGCCAATCACAAAAAGGCAAATGCTGTGTGATTCCACTTAACTAAAGTACCTAGAATAGTCCAATTCTGAGTCAGAAAGTAGAATGGTGGTTGCCAGGGCCTGGGGATGAGGAAGAATTATTATTTAACAGATACAGAGTTTAAGTTAGAGAAGATGAAACAGCTTGGGAAATAAATGGTGGTGACGGTTGTATAACAACATGAGCATGTCACAGAACTGTAAACTTGAAAATAAATTTTACGTTATGTATATTTTGCCAGAATAATAAAATTATCTATTTATATTATTATTCCTCTCACTGCCACTAAACTGAATATATCAAGGGCAGGGATCTTATGTTATCAATCTGTGAACACTTATTCCAGTGCCAAGCCCTCAATAAAAGTACAATGAACCTAAGTTACATTTTTCAGGTAGAGTCTCTAAAACCAAGATGTCCTCCAGGTTCAAAGTGGTGAAAAGTAGCATCTGAAACCACAATTGGGCAGGGGAAACGTTGTCCTACAGCCATTTTCACAGTTATAGAAACCAATTCACTCTTAACAAATACTTTCAAAAAAAATCAATAGCTTGCATTACTAACTGTCAACTTCAAGCCAGCCTCCTAAGAGGTGTTTACTTCCCGGTATATATGCTAAGAGCACAGCCTATACTCCAGTCTCCCAGTTAACTTCCTCTTCCAGGAAGACTTAAAATACTGCTCCCTGAAAGTACCTTTGCTCCCTGCTCCTCCCCTTCTTCCTCTCCCTATTCCCCGTACTACCTAGCCCACCACTCAGTTTTAGGCAGCCCTTCTTCTGTTTCCAGCCACACAACAAATAACTGGTTTGGGAAAGCGGATCAGATCTTTCTGCTTAGCAGGTGGTAAGCATTGGGTTTGATCTCCTACCTTTTTAGAATCAAAAGAACTGGCCTGAGTTCTGTCACTGTTGATGAAAGCAAAGTCTCATTGTGCGAGTGTTCTTCTGTAATTGGTCGTTACGACTGTGGTTATCCTAGTTAGCTTACCCCAGACCCTGGCTTCCAAGCTCTGTCATCAGAGTGCTTGGCTGGTGATCGGGGCATGTTCATTTCAGACCTCCTTTACTGTCTCCTCAAGGTACCGGCTTTGTTTGAAGAGCGTCCTAGTGCAACGGAATGGACAGTCTGTCGGTAGCTCTCTTTTTTGTGTGGGAAAGATGTTTAAAAAGGCAATATAATATAGGAAGTCTATCTTCGTACATTAAAAAAAGAAAGAAATATGATTGAATTGACAAAGAACATCAATTGTCCCCCCTAAAAAATGGGGAAAAAAGCAATGTCAAAAGATGATGGGAATGACTGTCTTCCTGGTTTTTGCCACCGCAGATCTTGCTGCTGCACTTGCCATGCTTTGCAGGGGGTGGAGGGCCTTTCAGTACTGTCACCCCTGCAACACACTACATCTGGGAAACTACTCACAGTGCTACCAACAGCAAGCACCAAGAATTCTGCACACCAGTTTGGCAGGAGTATAACAAATGTCTAGCCTTTTAACCAATGAATTCCACTTCTAGGAATTTATCCTAAGGAAATAATTAAAGAACAACAAAAAATTAACTTAGGAAGATGCCCGTCATTGCACAAAAGTGGATTAACAAACTACATGGTCACCAATAATGGGGGTTGTTAAGTTTTAGTACACTACACATATGATGTGATGTGTACAGCTACCAAAGGACATTTGAAAAGAATATTTGGTAATATGGGAGATGTTCAGTATACATTAAGTTACCAAAAGTGTGTGTGTGCATGTGTGTGTGTGTAAAATCTCAATTTTGGCCAGACACAGTGGCTAACACCTGTAATCCCAATACTTTGGGAGCTGGGATGGGAGGCTCAATTGAGGCCAGGAGTTCAAGACCAACCTGGGCAACACATTGAGAACCTCATCTCTACAAAAAGTAGAAAAAATAAAAATTAGCCAGGCATGGTGGCTCACCCCTGTAGTCCTGGACACTCAGGAGGCTAAGGTGGGAGGATCACTTAAGTCCAGGAGGTCGGGGCTGCAGTGAGCTATGATCATGCCAATGAACTCCAGCCTGAGTGAAAGAGTAAGACTGTGTCTCTAAAAAATAAAAATTAAAATAAATAAAACTAAAATCTCAATTTTATCCAAAACCTTTTTGTCTAAAACCTTACTTATATATGTAAGTTCCATACATACATTTTAAGAAGTTTAGAAAGAAATGTAACAGTGTTAACTATTAGTTAATGGTTAGGTTTGGGTCATGAAAGTTTTTTCTTCTTTATACTATTCTATTCTAATTACTTTTTGTATACCCAATAATCAGGCTGAAGCATAATGAGGTGAAATCCTAAACCCCATACACAATATACTGATACCTATAAAAATAATTAATAAAACATTTGTTTCTGAAATATCATTTAAAAAAAAACTGTTCTCACTTGGCACCCTGGGTGTGACCATCACAAAAGCCAAAGAAGGCACAAAGAGGTGGCAGACCTAGGACCTGGTGGAGTCATGTACCTGGATATTGAAAAATAAGGCAGGACCCGGCTGGGCGCGGTGGCTCATGCCTGTAATCCCAGCAATTTGGGAGGCCAAGGCGGGTGGATCACCTGAGGTCAAGAGTTCGAGACCAGCCTGACCAACATGGTGAAAGCCTGTCTCTACTAAAAATACAAAAATTAGCCAGGCATGGTGGTAGGTGCCTGTAATCCCAGCTACTTGGAAAGCTGAGGCAGAAGAATCACTTGAACACGGGAGGTGGAGGTTACAGTGAGCCAAGATGGCAGAGCAAAACTCCGTCTTAAAAGAAAAGAAGGAAAAAAAATAAGGCAGGAACTACTAAAAAACTACATGACTTTTTATAAAACACATAAGGTGACTGCCATATTTAACAAATACGTTATATAAGTGATATATAATACATGCTTTCTATATAAATTTCAGAGAATGTAATTTTCATCACAAACCAAATCAGTCTGTAAACTCTCCATCAGAAACCACTAGATGACCTCCATGAGTCTACTACTAATATTCTGTATTGCTAGAGCACCCTGCTAGAGGTTATTTCAGCTCAACTGTACTAAGGTAAAATCAAAACTAATTTCAAGCATGCTTTTTTAGCATGTGGTTCCAATGACAACTCCCTTTATCTCTCAGAAGCCCTTGGTTTGAAAAGAATGTTCTCTTCTTTACAAAATGCCCTACAGGCAGTCCCCAACTTACAAACACACTGCCATCAAAAAGTTCACTCACTGTGCAACACGGAAACACATTTTCCCAGACAAACGGGTGAGGATTAGGTTCCCAGCATAGCTTCTAATGCCAACTTAACCCATACTGCTGATGAAATACTGAAGATCTGCTTAACAAAATCAGGAAACAATAATACTGCTGCAAATCTAAAACTGAAGTAAAAAAGAACACCAAAAATGCTGGTGCTTGCAGATCCAGAAAAGTCTATGTTTCTGAAGCATTTTTCCTCACGCCATTCACAACAAATGGCCAACATGGCTTGTTCTCCAACACACAAGCTGCCCACTCTGTGCAGACATCTTTACTCCAAACTTTTGCCTTGCTAATTTTCCATGTGTCTCCAGAGATGAGCCCTCAAGTGCATAAATCCTTATGGGGTCAATCTGCAAAGTAGATCTTCAGCACACCTGGCACCTGGCACGGGAGAAGACAGTGTCCTCTGATAGACATCACAATAGCTGTCTATCTCTTTTCTCTGGACCCATTGGCTCGCACATAATAGGTTTCCTATGTTCCCCATCTGGCTGGGGACAGTTGAGAACAAGACCATCAGAACGATCTCTAAGTAGGCAAATGCCTAACAAAATCCCTAAAAAATAAAGTTTTTCTTTTCTACACAGGGAAGTCCTATTATTTATTATTTCTACACACAGATCTGACAAGCTTCTTTTCCAAATTTCAAAAACCATAAACAGGGAAGTGAAAGGGAAGGTATCCAACATTTATTGATGGCCTCTCTCTCTGTGTCGGGAACTTTTTAAAATTCTCATTTACAAGAGGAAACTAAGGGTTTAAGTGTCTTGTAAAGGTCCCTCGGCAACAACATAAGACCTGTGGGCTGAAACTAGAACTCACTTGGCTGGCTCTAAAGTCAGTGGAGGCTGGGTTGCAGCCAGCTGCCACCTGATGTACTACTATACGGAAGTCAAAAACTGACATCAGACTCAGCCTGCAACGGGCCATTCACTCACTGTTCCTTAAGGACACAAAGCAGTGCTTGAAATACTTCCCAAACATCTCTCTTGTAAGTTTTCCCAAGTGCTGGCACTTCAGACGGGCTGTGAAACACTGCTAATCCTGAAGCTCCAGGCAGATGGGGTTTTTACACCAAAGGACCTCCCATGATCTTCATTCGCCTCTGCCTTGTGCCTACATCAAGCGTGGGCCAGACTACACCCTATGGATGTTTTCTGATCTGGAAGCAGCACTGTCCTGAACCTGGCTGCCCTACCAAGAGCAACTTTGCTCTTCACTTGTTTAGAATGCAGCATGAAGAGACACTCCAGGGCAGCAGTGAAGAAATTAGCTTCAGAGAAGTTTATCATCTGAGACTACGGTACTCTAAAGAAAGGGAAAACAGAGATTAAGAGCCTGTGCATATGAACAAAGAGATTGATGAGAGCCAAACGAGATGACTGATGGTTTCCGTCAAGTATTTAGCAAGGATGATTTAGCACCCTTCTACCAAGGGTGACGAGAGGACTTATGGCTTCCATTTCAGTAAGCAAGGACCTTCAAGTGGAAGTCATGAAAGAATAAAAAACGATGAGGGCTTCCATCAGAACTCCTTCTACCTTCCAAGGACTGCCAGCTAATTATCAGTTAATTGAAAATGATAACATAATTTGCTGAAATTAAAAGTGGTATCATGAAATCTGCGTGTATTTTGCTAGAGGCAGGACTGGCATGGTGAAGAGAAAAATAAGCTTAAGTCACACAAGCTGATGTCTGAATCCAGATGTGCTGTCTGACCTTGGACAAGGTTGTTAACCTCCTTTAACCTGAGTTCCTTCATCTGTAAAATGGCCAGGTAGGGAATGCCTATCTTAGCAGGCATGTAATAAACAGTCAATAAACCAGAGCTATTGAGTTTTACTGTTGTTTTTTTTTGTTTTTTTTTTTTTTTTTTTTTTGAGACGGAGTCTCGCTCTGTCGCCCAGGCTGGAGTGCGGTGGCGGGATCTCGGCTCACTGCAAGCTCCGCCTCCTGGGTTCACGCCATTCTCCTGCCTCAGCTTCCCAAGTAGCTGGGACTACAGGCGCCCGCCACTACGCCCGGCTAATTTTTTGTATTTTTAGTAGAGACGGGGTTTCACCGTTTTAGCCGGGATGGTCTCGATGTCCGGACCTCGTGATCCGCCCGCCTCGGCCTCCCAAAGTGCTGGGATTACAGGCGTGAGCCACCGCGCCCGGCCGAGTTTTACTGTTTTTAGGATACAAATTATATGAAAAGTTGCTGCTAAGGTTGGCATGCCTGTGTCCCCCTAAAATGCCTGTGTTGAAACTTAATCCACGTATCAATAGCGTTAAGAGGTGGGACCTCTGGGAGGTGATTAGGTCATGAAGGCTCAGCCCTCATGAATGGAATTAGCGCCCTTTTAAAAGAGACTTGGGGGATACCTTTTGCCCTTTCCATCAAGTGAAGACCATAAAAGGCACTAACTATGAAGCAGAGAATGGGCCCCCCACCAGACACTGAATCTACTGGTGCCTTGAACTTGGGCCTCATAGACTCCAGAATTGTGAGCTATAAATTCCTGTTGTTTATAAATTACCCAGTCTAAGCTATTTTATTATAGTAGACTGGACAGATGCTTTCTTTTATTTTTCTCAACAAAGCAGTTTCAAGTATTATACTTACTCCCAGTAAAGTATCAAGTATTTTAGGCAAATCATGCAGACTTGGTTCCTACTCTCTTGGAGTTGACCACCACGGCTCTAAGGATTATAATAGAAACAAGGGAGTCAAGAATAGCGAATAGATATGAGATAAGGTTAAGAATTCACTCTGGGGCGGGGCGCTGTGGCTCACACCTGTAATCCCAGAATTTTGGGAGGCTGAGGCGTATGAATCACTTGAGCTCAGGAGTTCCAGACCAGCCTGACCAACATGTTGAAACTCTGTCTCTACTAAAAATACAAAACATTAGCCAGGTGTGGTGGTGTGCACCTGTAGTCCCAGCTACTTGGGAGGCTGAGGTGGGAGAATCACCTGAGCCTGGGAGGTCGAAGCTGCAGTGAGCTGCAATTGCACCACTGCACTCCCGCCTGGGCAACTGGAGTGAGGCCCGTCTCAAAAAGTGAGACCCTGTCTCAAAAAAAAAAGAATTCACTCTGCACAAACATCATGCACAACTGCAGGGAGATGAATTATAACCCTAGGTCACAGTCCCCTCTACTTTTGTCAACAGTAGAAAAGCAATTGGAAAAGCAAGGAAGGCTTCAACAGGAAGAGGGCAGCTTCAAAGGTGTGGTATGTGGCCTTCAAGACAAGGCTGTGGAGGGTGGGGACAAAGGTGGATACAAAGAACTAAGAAGGTGATCCTGAAAGGCAGCAGGCAGGTGTGATCAACACAGCCTGAAAACAAGCAGTGGGACACAGGGTGAGCATCTTGAATCTGCCCCGCAGTGCAACTGCGTGCACAGGGTTAAGGTGGGGACAGAGGACTGATCAATGTCCAGCAGTCTGGACTATAGCAAAATATGATGGTGGCTTGAACCTCCTTCAAAGCTGTGAGCCCTGACGCAAACAGCAACCCAAAGAAGAGTAAAGACTGGTCCCGCACAAGGAGACTAGTGGGGAGGGTTATTGCAGTGGAACGGGAGGCCTGCTGTGATGGGCAAAGCAGGGTGGACAAGGTGGGCAGGGGAGGGCCAGAGAAGGCAAGAGCTTCTTCCCCAGAGTTGAGTTTGGGAAGGGACTTTCACTTCCAACCCATTGATCTTATTGAGACAGGGTCTCACTCATGACTTAGTTCAGCCTTGAACTCCTGGGCTCAAGTGATTCTCTCCTACCTCAGCTTCCCCCTACTCCTCCCCACCCAGTAGCTAGGACCACAGGCATGCACCACCACACCCTGCTAATTTTTTGTGGGTTTTTTTGTAGAGACAAGAATTTTACCATGTTGCCTAGGATGTTCTCAAACTCCCGGGCTCAAAGTGATCCACCCACCCTGGCCTCCCAAAGTGCTAGGATTACAGACGTGAGCCACAGCTCCCGGCCCCACTGATCTTTCTGACAGGGTGCTATTTAGGTCTGAAATGCAGGGAAGGGTTCAGGGATCTGGGCCCAGAGGGCAGAATGTCACTTCACTGAGAGCTGGAATACATGTAACAAGAAAAGTTCAGTTAAGGGGTTCAGTTAAGGTTAACCAACTCAGACACCAGCGGAGGACCAGCAGCGAGTCTCCAACACAGGAAGGAGACCACAGCTCTGGACTGGTGCATGGAGGGGCGGGGCGCAGGAAGGGGGTCCTCCTCTAGACATCCAGAAACTTCAGGGGTAACAAATGGTGTTAACCTCCATTCCCAGGTTGCCAGCAGCCTCCTCCGCAGGGGGAAATGAGATGATGCACCCACCCACTCAGAACACCTGCCCCAAGTTCAAAGTACACTTGGAAAACATGGCCTTTTTATGTAGATTTAATTACAGTCCTCCATTCCCTGTGTCATAAACGTTGCAACTCAGTGAACTGTCTTATCTTTTTCATTCTTCAAAACACACGGTTATTCAACATGTTGTAGCAATCCCAGCAGAAGATTTATCCAGCAGATGCCAATCTACAGAATTTGATTTCTGGTTTACGCAGCCCTTTCAACACTTATGTAGCTAACAAAATAGTCCCTGAAGGCCTCAGAATGATGAATATATAAAACAGGACCCGCTCCCACAGTCATTGTCACTGCTTTGAACACAGCTGGAATGCCTGGCTTCCCTGTCACCCTTGCCCCATCAGCATTCCATTTTCTTTCTTGCAGTGACCCTGGCCAGGTCACTGTGAACATCTTCTCAGAGATTGGGAAGGGGAAGTTCCTATGGCTCAGGGTCCAGAAGTTGCTGCAACTCTCCCTCCTCCCATGGGGCCTCTCCTGGGCTAAGGGACGAGTACCATGCAGGGAGTCAACACAGGGGCCCTACAGAAAGGGCTATGAAGTGGGCACTGCTGGCTCAGCAGACTGTGTGACATGTCCAGACACTTCTGCTTCATGACCTGGCATAACCTTCCTGGACTTGGGCATTCTCTCCGGGGACAAGTTCCCAGGCCTATCAGAGCAGCTGGTTGCTTGTTTGTTCACCTGTCAGCAAATCGAGCTAATGTAGGCAAGGCTCCCAAGGGGGTGGACTGGGAACCACAGCCATTCTGCAGGACACCCAGGGCAGTAGTGACAGACCCACCTACACACATAGGAGGCACAGGGCATGAAGAGGTTGGCCAGCCCACATGTGAATCCTTGGTTCCATATCTTACTGGTGGAGCAACTTCAGGCAGGTTACTTAACCTCTCTGAGCCTCTACTCTCTCCCCTATGACAGAGGTCCAGTACCTCACACCTCGGGATAAAAGTGCACAGACTATCAATCTTTAAGATGCATCTTGCACAGTGGCTGTAAACTCAACACATGCTAGTGGGGTCTTCAAACATCCACCTTATTCACACAACTGATACATCCTGAACTCATGAGTTTTTGTAATGGTCTGAAAGGAAAAAAACCTTTTTCCAATCCTAATACCATGCTTACTCCCTCTTTCTCAGAGTGCTAATTCTAGATGTCATGATCCACAAAACTCCTTCTGTACCAATTCTCTCAATCCCTCCAGCAGATACAGACAGTCTCTCCTAGTAGTCAGATCAGGCCTGGTGGGAGGATCTAACCTTTTATGGGGTGCAGTAAACACTGACAGCCTAAAGCAAACGTTGAGAGGGGTAAAAGGGAGAAAGTAAGGCCAACAGGAGTAGGGTAGAATGACAGATGTCAGCCAAAGCTGCAGGGGAAGGACATGTGGTATACAGTGGTAATGAGACATCATTCAAATGCTTCGCTTCGCACACAGGGCTGTCAAGCCTCAAACTGCTGTTCCTGCCTCTCACTCCTGCTACGTACCAGGTGTGAGCACACACTGCTGTTCCAAGCCCTCCGATTTTGTCTGGAAATGCCACCCAGCACATGCCCGCACCCCCTTTGCAATCTGCCTAACTCCTGCTCATCCCTCCAGCTCCAGCTCAGTCATTACCTCCTGTCATCTGCCTCCTCCAACTCCCTACCCCAGGCAATTGTGGCTCCCTCATGGGTGTCCCCACAGTACTCTGCACTCCAGATCATGCCACTTACGCAACTGCACTGTCATGGGTTATGTCAGTTATCTGTCTACTGCCTTACTCATCTTTGCAATGCCAGGTACTAGAGATACAACAGACACTCAATGTTTGCTGAATAAATTAATGTATCAGATGGTACTTAGTACCATAAGTCACCTACTGCTACAGTGGACCGTGATCAGCTTAGTACAAAGCATGATTCAAAGAGAAAAGGGTTCAAGTACTGGATGTGCCACTGGCTAGCTGCATGTGCTTGGGGAAGGCACTTCCTCTCTGAGTCTTAGTTTTGTCATGTTAATATGTAACAAAAGAGGGGTGAATAATACCATCTACCCCACAAGACTGTGGTTGACTCAAGGTCACTCGAGAAAGCAGATGTGAAGATTCTAGTAACTATAAGTCCTTTCTTCGAGTTGAAATACTTTCCCAAGCCCCTAAAAACATTCTCTCTGCAGAGAATGAAGACAAGGCACATGTATACCTGCCTTCTGAGCCTCATCTCTGTCAACATGTTCGCAAAAGTAAAAAAAAAAAAAAAAAAACCCTGGGGCCGCCTATGAGGGCCATATTTAACACATATCCTTAATTCTCAGGCTCTGAATACTTGTCCCAGTTGACATCTGCAGCTGCCAAGAGTGACATTTGACTCTGGAAGTGTGTTCCAATAAACTTGCCTATTAAAGCTTTCCAGCTCCCACTGGATAAGCCTAAGACTGAAGACTTAGGAAGGTGAACAATTAAATCACCTCCTGGAAAACTAACCATAAGCAATTTAATATAATCGTGTATCACAACTCCTAGTTCACTTACTGAAATCATTCAAAATCTCTTTTCCTAATAAATAACCCTCCGGCCAATTGCAAGATAAAAACACACAGGAATGTCAACTAAATTTTTAAACTAAGAACCAAGGGTAGTGTGGTTAAAAAGAGGGAGGAAGATTTTTGTTTTAAAGCTAAATGCCTCTGAAGCTCATTACAAGTTACTTGTGGGGTGGGGGTGGGGGGAGGAAATTTTAATGACAAAAAAAAAAAAAATCACCTAATACCCAAAATACCAGGAGCTGGGGATACAACAGGCACGTAATGTTTGCTGAATAAATTAATGTATCAGACGGTACTTAGTACCATAATTTGGCTACTGCTTCAATGGGCCCCACTCAGCTTACTAGATATCAGAATTCAAAGAGAAGATTCAAGCACTGGCTAGGCCACTGATTAGCTGTGTGAGCTTGGGAAGATACTTTCATTTCCGGGCCTTAGTTTTATCATCTGAATGCAGACATATGTATCTTATAATATGTAATAAATGTTTTTTATATATACAGATATAGAAAAGATAAAACCTTCTACACTGGAAGACACACATCATTTTAACATGGGGAAATTCTTTATGGTTTATATATATTTTCATACCTATTTTCACATTTTATTCTCACAACACTCAGATGCTATAGACAGCACAGATTCCCAACCGCTGGACCAGAGATGATCAAAAACCACAGGTTAGTCAATCTGCACCAGGGCGTAAAAAGGCCAAGCAGAGAATAGATTGTGTATTTTGATTTCTCTACTCTGCAACTATTCCCAAGGTTTCACATTGGCCAGGACAAGGAAACAGGGTTCCAACTCTCCAGAGGGCCAGGCTGGCTCTGTGACGATGCACACCCCACGTCCCCACCCCACATCCACCTGTGCTCCTCGAATATTCATGTTCCCCATCACAGGTAGCCCCAGCTTCTACACACTAGTCAGACACAGCGACTTCCAGCAGCTCACGCACAGCAAGATTCAAGTAGCACATATTCTACTGCTCTGCACATATTCAGACACCAACAGAAACCCGGGAATGTCCAACTCAGCTGGCTGAGATGTTATGTGGGTCTCAGTCAGCCCAGACAGAAGGAGCTTGCAAGAAAAAAAAAAAAAAAAAAGAAAAGAAAAAACTGGGAAGTGACCGAATATATATGTAAAAACAGTTTTACTTCCTACCACGATGGATTCTGGGCCCATTGAAATGTGTTAAAAAAACTGTGTGAGCTGTCCTGAAACAAAATGTAAGGAAGTAGAATCTGTTGCTATATATAAGCACCTTATTTGGGGACATCTTTGCTGCAAAATAAATGGAGATTCAGACAAGAACTAGGAATAGGTGTTTGTGGAATGAATTAAGAAAGCCTAATACATTATATAACTCCCCTTCACATACACAAGAGCTACCTGGACCTGTCAATCACAATCTATGTCATTCTAAAGGTAAAGTCTTTTTCATTTATTTTATAAGCATCCATCTTTCCAGGGTA
Organism: Homo sapiens; assembly: GCF_000001405.40. Classification (NCBI taxonomy): domain Eukaryota; kingdom Metazoa; phylum Chordata; class Mammalia; order Primates; family Hominidae; genus Homo; species Homo sapiens. The sequence continues at coordinate 165,855,141 of NC_000001.11, read as the reverse complement.
GGATAGTTTAAAACGAAGGTGGGTGGGAGAAACATAGGCTGGCTAACCATCTGCACTCCTTACAATTTAAGGCTGAAAATGTAGCAATGGTAATTTTCCCCCAGTGAGCTACTTTACAGAATATGTCCCTCTCTTTTCAGTGTCATGTGTACAAAGTATCTAGAAAATTATTTATTATACCTTCGTATGGGAATTTATTTAATTATTCAAACCCAGTTAAATTCTTCTCAGTTATGTTCTCCTACAGTAGGGTTCTGTACGAGTTGGGGATTGGCAGGAAAAACAGAAGTATAAAGGAAAGATTTAGAGGACCAGAATAAAGCATGGAAGGTAGTATTCATGGACTAGAAAAGATATGGTGAAGTAAGATAGGAGTTAAGTGGGAAGAGTGGGGGAGCTGCTTCAGCGTAAAGGACTGAACAAAATCAGAACAAACATAGGAAAAGTCAAATACAGATTTTTTTCTAATCTGAAGAGATCCAAAAGACACACTCACTTTATTTATTTATTTATTTATTTATTTATTTATTTATTTATTTATTTTTAAAAAAGGAAGCCTAGTTAGCAATGTACAGTCTAACTCTAGAAGACAGGGCTGGGGGCTGCGGAAGTGGGACCCAGTTCCCTACTACACTGGTCAGGCTGGCAATGGCGCCTTATGCTACATGTTGGTTCTCTGCAGTATGTGACTAATCAGGTCCTACAGCAAAACCAGGGAAATCGGTTTACTTCCCCATGGGACACCCAAGAATCATCTGAATGAGGTTAACTAATATCCAAGGAGCAGACATAATTTGTTCTCCATCCCCCACCTAGTGTGGCAACACCAAATACCACACATACGTCCAGCAGCAGGAAGTAACACACAGGCAGGAGTGGTTTCCAACTCCCAGACAGTCTTTTTGTGTGAGATCACACAGACGTTCTCAGCCTGCCACTGTGCTCTGAGGTGCCTGGTGAAGCCACTCCAGATCCCACTGCTCCAATGCTTCCTATGCGCTCAGAAAGTCTCAACAGGCATTCTGCCTCACAATCTGAACCCCAAAATGAGAGGAGATAGGAATGGCACCTAAAGTTTCTCAGACTTCCCAAAGAGCATGGACTTCTGACTACACAGATCTAGTTGAAAGAACTGGTGAACATTCAGCATCCAAGAATCTAAAACTGTTAACTGTTAAGAAAGAAATTTTGAAAGATGAGGTCTTTATATTCTAGCAACAAAATACAGCTGCTCCCATGAGTGGACATTCCAAAAGCCCTTGAGTGTCTATCCAGAGCCTTACACTTAGGGTAAGTTAAGAGTTCTAGGGAAGATAACTCACTTGTCTCCAGTTGTGAAATACTCAAGAAGGGAGATAGAATTACAGCACAGAGATAAGAATGAAAAAGATGCAGGATAGCAATAGTACCTAAACCTGGTAATACTAGGGGCCCGAAACAAATACTTTTCATTATTTTCATGGGTCATAAAGCATCAAAGGATGGAAAGAGGAACACTCTATGAAATACATTCTGGGTAAGGATGATGTTTAGTGAGGGAAGCACTGAGGTGAAGAAGAACTTAACTCTGAGGTTTAAAATTCCTTTCTGGATAAAGATCCTTTCCGGAAAAAAAAAAAAAGATCCTTTCTGCAAACACCTGGTTGGAGCGGGGGTGGGTGAGAGAGAACCCACTAGATTTAGCAGAAAGACATTAATACTTGGCCTACTTTTTAAAAAATAAATATTTGACATATTTGACATGGTGTTTTTGGAATTTTTTTTAAATGAAAACAAAAAAAAAAATATCAAATATGCCTGACAAGTGAAGGGTAGGAAATGCAATAGGGAAATATATTTCTCCTTTCACTTTGCAAATAAAGGTGGGCATTAAAATCACTGAGATGATCTGCTCTTCCCAGCACCCAAATTTTCCCCCATCTCTGATTAGATTTGGGAGAGGCCTCATCAGTAGGTTCAGCTCTTTGTGGGGCCTCTCAGCACTAGCGCTAAAGCCTAACAGCAGCCCAGCATTAAAACCTGTTCTCTATGACACATATGATTCTACAAAGCTCCACTGGAAGGCGGCCCCTTGGAGCTCACACAGAGGAAGGATCAGGCCTTGATATTCACATGACAAGTAATCAAAGGGGCAACTTAGAAGAAAAGAAACCAGAGCCAGGGCACCAAGAGAGGGATAAACTTGGGAACAATAACCTTTAAGGGAAGATCACTCTTTGATATTTATTTGAGAGATGTTTGACTATCCATTAATCATAATATCCAAGTAGTTTCCATAGAGCTGTGGCAACACTTCCCATGCTATCTATTTCCCTGCACCGTTTGTCCACATACCCACCCATTCTTTCTCCTTTCTACCCAAATAACAAGACACCTCCTGTCCCAACTCCAGAAGAAAGAACTTATATAAGGAAGGATAGATGAAATGCTAAGAGGCAGGTTAAGGGATGTGTTCTATGGGACTAAATATATGGGTCCCCTGCTCTGGAAGCCTTTTAAAAACCATAAGCACTAATTTACATTCCTACCAACAGTGTATAAGCATTCCCATTTCTCCACAGTCTCGTCAGCATCCACTGTCTCCTGACTTTTTAATAATCGCCATTCTGACTGGCGTGTGGTGGTATCTCATTGTGGTTTTGATTTGCGTTTCTCTGATGATCAGTGTTGTTGAGCTTTTTCTCATGTTTGTTGGCCACGTAAATGTCTTCTTTCGAGAAGTGTCTGTTCATATCCTTTCTCCACTTTTTGATGGGGTTGCTTTCTTCTTGTAAATTTGTTTAAGTTCCTTGTAAATTCTGGATATTAGACCTTTGTCAGATGGGTAGATTGCAAAAATTTTCTCCCATTCTATAGGTTGCCTGTTCATTCTGATGATAGTTTCTTTTGCTGTGCAGAAGTTCTTTAGTTTAATTAGATCAACTTTATCAATTTATCAATTTTGGCTTTTGTTGTAATTAGTTCAACCATTGTGGAAGACAGCATGGTGATTCCTCAAGGATGCTGAACCAGAAATGCCATTTGACCCAGCAATCCCATTACCGTGTATGCACCCAAAGGAATATAAATCATTCTACTATAAAGACACATGTACACATATGTTTACTGCAGCACTATTTACAATAGCAAAGACTTAGAACCAACCCAGATGCCCATCAATGATAGAATGGATAAAGAAAATGTAGTACATATACTCCATGCAACACTATGCAGCCATAAAGATCATGTCCTTTGCAGGGACATGGGTGAAGCTGGAAGCCATCATCCTCAGCAAACTAACACAGGAACAGAAAACCAAATGCCTCATATTCTCACTCGTAAGTGCAAGTTGAACAACGAGAACCCATGGACACAGAGAGGGAAACACACACCAGGGCCTGCTGGGGGTAGGGATGAGGGGAGGGAACTTAGAGGACGAGTCAATAGGTGCAGCAAACCACCATGGCACACGTATATCTATATAACAAACCCGCACGTTCTGCACATGTATCCCATTTTTTTCCTTTGTGTTAGAAAGAAAAAAAAAATCCATAAGCAGCTTCAAGCCTTGAGCCCTGAAACGGTTACATTTTAATAAATATTGCAGGGGTCGGGGAGTGGCATGCACAGAGTAGCAACAGTAGCTTTACCAGCTTGACTTTGATTCTCATCAGGCTATAAGGAGGTCTTTCAGAATGTTAAATTAGCCAGACTATCTACACAAGGTACTCAGGTTGGGCTGAGGGCACTCCTATTAACCACATCCAGATCCAGGAAAAAAAAACATGGGCACAAAATGAGGGCTTCCAAATAAATGTTCAAAAGAAAGTAGACAAAGGCAAGAGGCTGAGAATCTGTGCTTGTGGGCGAAGCCAGGAAATAAGGATAAACCACAGAAAGAAAAACCATCATGACAATGTGCCTTTCACAACCGTCTTTCTCACTACTGCTGCCCCTGGGGGCACATGATCTCAGACACACCCAGGTGCACTGGACCAACTCTAAAGACAAGACAGAGATAACAGGGGGAGCAGAATCTCCAGTCTGCCTTCCCAAGATTCACCCTGTGTGACCTGGAGGGGACTTCACAGGCTGATTAAGCTGGGTGCACTGGCTCACACCTGTAATCCCAGCACTCTGGGAGGGCAAAGGGGGAGGATTGCTTGAGCCCAGGAGTCCAAGCAACATAGCGAGACCCATTCTCTATTAAAAAAAAAAAAAAAAAAAAAAAAAAATTTAAAGGCCAGGCGTGGTGGCTCACGCCTGTAATCCCAGCACTTTGGGAGGCCGAGGCGGGTGGATCACGAGGTCAGGAGATCAAGACCATCCTGGCTAACACGGTGAAACCCCGTCTCTACTAAAAATACAAAAAAAAAATTAGCTGGGTGTGGTGGCGGGCGCCTGTAGTCTCAGCTACTCGGGAGGCTGAGGCAGGAGAATGGCGTGAACACGGGAGGCGGAGCTTGCAGTGGGCCAAGATCTCGCCACTGCACTCCAGCCTGGGCAACAGAACCAGACTCCACCTCAAAAAAAAAAAAAAAAAAAATTTAAAAATTAGTCGCATGTTGTGGCATGTGCACCTGTAGTCCCAGCTACTTGGGAGGTTGAAGCAGGAAGATGGTTTCAGCCCAGGAGTTCAAGGCTGCAGACAGCTGTGATCATGCCACTGCACTCCAGCCTGGGCAACAGAGCAAGACCTTGTCTCTAAGAAAAATTTAAAAATTAAAAAATAAGGCCGGGCACGGTGGCTCATGCCTAAAATCCCAGCACTTTGGGAGGCCAAGGCAGATGGAACACTTGAGGTCGAGAGTTTGAGACCAGCCTGACCAACATGGAGAAACCCCATCTCTACTAAAAATACAAAATTAGCCGGGCGTGGTTGGGCATGCCTGTAATCCCAGCTTCTCGGGAGGCTGAGGCAGGAGAATCGCTTGAACCCAGGAGGTGGAGGCTGTGGTGAGCCAAGATCACAACATGCACTCCAGCCTGGGTAACAAGAGCAAAACTCTGTCTCAAAATAAATAAATAAAAATAAAAACAGTTTTTTAAATGAACAAAGGCTGTTTAATTCAGTCTCCTCAACTTAGATCTAAGGAAGGTGTCTTCTCTGGGACACGTAGCGATCTCAAGTTCTTCTCACTATTTCATACCATTTCTGGGTCACTCCAGTCCAAACTCTTACCTGTTAATCCAGTCACTCTCTGAGTAACAGGTGTTATTAACTACACCTAATTTACAGAGAAGATGACTTGCCTGTAGCTACTCAGCAAAACCTGTTTAAGAGCTGGGTGAAAAATGTGGAGTCAGGCACCACACCAAGAACAGAAAAGAAAACTACCTTGAGCAAGAAAACCCTCTGCTACTCATTCCAAGAGACAGATTTTTCCTGCCTAAAATGAGCTTCTCCATTTTCGCAGGTTTTCCAGATTCCCTCACTACAATCACTCTCCAAAATTGGTTCCTAACTTCCAACACAAAAAGTTTAGAGCCAAAAATGGAAAAAGGAACTCTGTTTTAAGCAGAAATTTCATGTTTCTCTATGCAGGCTGGAAGCTGGCATTGTGTAAAACTATAATTAGTGCCCTAGCACTGGCTTCCTCAGGAGAAAAAGGCTTGGCCTTCCTCATCTCACTTCACCTCTGGCCCACTGCCCTGTCCACCATCCCTCTCAATCTTAGAGGCCAGAACGCCCTAGACCAGGCTTGCTTCAGGACAATTTCATTGACTGCAGCCCCATAGAGAAATCTGCTGTGGTCCCGAGTCCACTCTTTCCCAGATCGGAGCCCACGGTTGTGCCAAGCACTACATAGAGACAATGTTTTGCCTCTCGGTCAGGTTCTCAGAACAGAAGCTCTCCACCACCTGACCACCTCCACCTAGTTCATTGGTAAACACCTGAGATCCACAAAACCACAACTCCCCCTTTATCCTTATGCTCTGCCCCTTCCCCCACTCTGGGTAGACTGTACCAAGGAAAACTAAATCAATACTGACATTCCAATTATTAGATCAGCCTAATCCTTTTGTTGAGTGCACTCTTAAGAAACCTCTGCTCTTCCCTACTATATTTTTTAAGAAATGGCGTTTCACTTTGTTGGCCAAGCTGATCTCAAACTCCAGACCTCAAGCAACCCTCCCACCTCAGCCTCCCAAACTGGGATTACAGGCCTGAGCCACCGCACCCAGCTCCATCATTCTTACTTTTCATAATCATATTAATTTGCCTTTTCCCACATCTGGCTCATTTTGTACCAAATCCAACTAGGTTGTCCCATCTGAGTGCTTTCCTATGACCCACCATGTTTTCTGAAATATGGTGGGCTTATTTCTATGGGTAGAAACTTAAGGTTTTCCACCCACAGATGACAATCTAAGAATAAAGACGTGAAGGGCAGATAGTATCAAAAGCTGACACAGATAACAGGTCATCTATTTGTATTCCAAACTCCTCATCTATGGATGTAAAGCTCAGGGGGTTTTTGGGGGTGTGTGTGTGTGTGTGGGTGTGTGTGTGTGTGTGTTTTGTTTGGAGACAAGAGTCTTGCTCTGTCATCCAGGCTGGAGTGCAGCAGCATGATCTCAGCTCACTACAACCTCCGCCTCGGTGGGTTCAAGCGATTCTCCTGCCTCAGCCTCCTGAGTAGCTGGGATTACAGACACACGCCAATATACCCGGCTAATTTTTGTATTTTTTGTAGAGATGGGTTTTCACCATGTTGGCCAGGCTGGTGTCGAACTCCTGGCCTCAAGCAGTCCTCCTGCACTGGCCTCCCAAAGTGCTGGGATTACAGGCGTAAGCCACCACACCTGACAAAAGCTCAACGTTTCTTCAAGAAGTTCAACCTCCACCAATATTTTCTAAGAGTCCAGACTGCTTGTACAAACCAGTAAGGTAAAACTGAGCATCTGAGGAGAAAAATGAGCAAGTCATAAAATAAACCTAAATAAACTGCAACCACACAACAACCTTTAACTTCACTCATAACTAAAGTCAATAAACAATATTTCACCCAACTTTTTCAACTCAGGTTAGCAGTTAAAATGTTCATATGATCATTATGTTAACACTAAATGCCAATTTAACCAAAACTTCATATAATTGCATCAGAAGATGAAGAAAAGTGTAGGGAAACAGGAGGTGTCACTTAAAACCTAATCTTCGGCTGGGTGCAGTGGCTCATGGCTGTAAATCCTAGCACTTTGGGAGGCCAAAGTGGGCAGATCACTTGAGGTTAGGAGTTCGAGACCAGCCTGGCCAACATGGTGAAACCCCGAACCCAGGAGGCAGAGGTAGTGAGCCAAGAGTACGCCACTGCACTCCAGCCTGGGTGACAGAGCAAGACTCAGTCTCAAAAAACAAACAAAGAAAAAACCCTAATCTTCAAGCTGGGAATGGTGGCATATGCCTGTAGCCCTAGCTACTCTGAAGGATGAGGCAGGAGGATCGCTTGAGGTCAGGAGTTCAAGGATGCAATGTGCTATGATGGTATCTGTGAATAGCCACTGCACTCCAGCCTGGGAAACATAGTGAGATCCTATCTCTAGAAAAAAATAAAAACCTGATCTGATCTTCTAAAAGAGAAAGTCAATAAAGAAGCTTAACATAGTCGAGGCTGAGGGAGTGATGCAAATTAGGAAAATGTAATTTTTTGAAATATGGAGATAAAAGAAATAGCTAGAGGATTTAAAAGTGGTTGTTTCTTAAAAATGGGCTGGGGTGAAGAAAGAAGGACTACTGACTTTTGGTTACAGGCCTTTCTAGGTGTCATTATTGTTATCAATACCACCACCATCATAAGAGATAATTATTGTCAGTTTTCCATATACCAGAAAACATTTCAATTGCCTTTTCTGAATTATTTATTGTTTTATGTAATCTTTACAATCCTCACAATACAGGCAGGCACTACTTTGGTACCCATTTTATTGATGAGGAAAATTGACACACAGCGAGTAACTTTGCCCAAGATCATTTCACTAGGAAGTGGTACCACTGAGACAGTGTGATTTGTCTTTTTATACCATATACTTTTTTTTTTTACTTTTACCAAAGTAATAACCTATATGTTAAGTTTTTAACAATATACAAGCACACACACACTTCACAGCAGCAGCAGCCTCATTAACTGGCCAGTTAAATGAGGGTGTGAGCTATCTCCACTCTACATGATACAAAGCTCACAAGGGGACAAAGGCAGTCATGACATTGCTGTCACACCACAACATGAGATTTAATATGAACAGGTGCCCCCGCATACAGGCTAAGCCCATACATCCACCTGATGAGTGCAAACCCCTGTTCTTCACTGAGGAACAGTCCAAACTGCCCTCTCTCATTTTATTCCCACTGATATCATTTTCTGGGACTAGGAATAAAAAGGAAAAACATGTTCTAATCCCTAAATCAAGTCAGCTTCCAGGATCCTTGTTGCCAACTTGACAAAGAATACACCTATATCAAAAAGTGTTCGTGCTTATCCTCATCCTGGGATCTGACATGAAACACTCTCCCCAGTGAAATGTGAAATGCACACTTAACTAAATTCTACATGTGGTTTCAGAAGATAGATAGCCCTTCTGACTCCTATCCATGGATCCCAGGCTAATCTAAAAACTCTTGACCTACAGGTAAACTGTCTGCTACCACCAGAGAGAAACAGAAGGAAAGATAAGACTTGACCAACTTCCAGATGTTTTGTTTTGTTTTGTTTTGTTTAAAAAAAAGGGCAGTCTCTTTTTTCTTATCAGCACAGTTATAGAAACTAGGAAAAGACCACAGTCAAAATCCCATACCCATAGGAATTCAATACCTGTAGGAATCCAGGGACATTAAATAAATTTTAAAATGTTGTGGTTTTTTAGAGACAAAGTCTCACTCTACTGCCAATGTTGGAGCACAGTGGCACAATCATAGCTCACTGTAACCTCAAACTACTGGGCTCAAGTGATCCTCCCACCTCAGTCTCTAGAGTAGCTAGCTAGGCCACAGGTGCCACACTCAGCTAATTTTTTTTACTTTCTTTTTTAATTTTCTGTAGAGACAAGATCTCACTGTGTTGCTCAGGCTGGTCTGGAACTCCTGGGCTCAAGTGATCATCCCACCTCGGCCTCCCAAAGCACTGGAATTACAAGCATGAGCCACTGCACCTGGTCAACTTTCTTTGCAGGGCATGACAGCCAGTGAGAACGCACAGAATGCTGGGCACAGTGGCTCATACCTGTAACCCCAACACTTTCGGAGGCCGAGGCAGGAGGATCACTGGAGTACAGAGTTAGATATCAGCCTGGGCAAAAAAGTGAGACTCCATCTCTAAAAAGAATTTTAAAATTAGCTGGGCATGGTGGCACACTCCTATAGTACCAGCTACTCAGGAGGCTGAGGCAGGAGGATTGTTTGGGTCCAGCAAGTTGAGGCTGCAGTGAGCAGTGATCATGCCACTGCACTCCAGTCTGGGCAACAGAGCGAGACTGTGTCTCAATCAATCAATCAATGAACAAACAAACAGAAAACAGCAGCTGCTGTCTGCAGGAGCACCCCCTTCCCCAAAATACTGCTGATGAGACTTAAATATTTCCCAAATCTCAAGGAGACTGATATTTAGCTGATGTAAAACAACTCAGATCCAGTTAATTGTTACACAGCTAAAATAATGTCACACCTCAAGGGACATGCTCTCCAAAGAGTTGCGAAGAAAAAAAGTCTGTTTCCCAAGAGAGGTAACATTCATTTTATAAGTACTACATCTGTGCATAAATATATATTTGTAATTGAAAAGGAAAAGCTTTATGAGGAAAACAAATTACAGCAACTAACCTCTGAGGAAGAGTGCGCCAAGAAGATGTAGGAAAAAAACCAAAGTGCCTTTCCTACCCTCTACCGTGCACAGAATATTTCACCTCTGGTCACCAAAACGTATGGCGATTTCTCCCCACCAGCAACCAATCAATTCATCAGCAGACACCAGCTGGATGTCCTGTAATTCAATTCTGACACGATCTACCTGGAGAGAGCGCCAGATCCCACAGGCTGAGGGCTCAGTCCCCAAGACTGCCCCATACTTCAGATGCCAATGGCAGGTCCCAGGTTGTGACCTGTGCTTCTGACAGAGGTTTTTAAATCAGGGTTCTCATGACCCCTCCTCAGGTTCGATTAATTTGCTAGCTTGGCTCACTGAGCTCAAAGAAACACTTACTTATGTTTACCCATTTATTATAAAGGGAACAATTTATTATAAAGATTATAAAGGAAACACAGGAACAGCCAGATTAAAAAGACGCAAAGGGTGAGGCATGTGGGAAGGGTGCAAAGCTTCCACACCCTCTCGAGGCAGTCACCCTCCAGGAACCCCCACCTGTTCTGCTATCTGGATGCTCATTCAAACACTGTCCTTTTGGGTTTTTATGAAAACTTCGTTACATACGCATCATTGATCACAATGCTGTCATTAGTGATCAGCTCGACCTTCAGCCCCCCTCTCCCTCTCACCTCCCCAGAGGTCAGGGGCATGGGGCTGAAAGTTCTAACACCGTAATCACGCGGTTCGTTCCCTTAGCAACCAGCCACCATCCTGGCTATCCAGGAGCCCACCACAGTTATCTTGTTAGAACAAAAGATGCTCCTATCACCTGGGAAATTCTAAGGGATTTAGGAGCTCTGTTATCACCCAGGAAATTACAAAGGTTTGAGGGTGCTCTGTGTCAGGAACATATTAGAACAAGAGGTTCTCCTAGTGCCCCTATCCACAGGGTTTTAGGAGCTCTGTGCCAGGAATGAGGGGGCAGAGACCAAACACATATTTCTTATTATATCACAGTACCACAGGTGCTGAAGGATTTTATTTTTACTTCTTACTTGGAATACCTCGTGTTCATCCACACTGAATGTCAACTACGAGGAGGGAGCCGTTCTAGGTGCAGGCACTGCAGGAGAAGGCATACGTGCCCTTTCAGGCTTGCACTGAGACTCAATAGAGCAGAGTAGGTTTTTTGGACTCTGAAGCCAAGAGTTTAAATGCCAGCCCCACCTGGCACTCTATACACAGTGGGTACTTAACTCCTTGGTGCTACAGTCTTCCCATGTTGAAATTGGGGATAATTATAGTACCTTACCTGAAAGGGCTGTGAGAGGAAATAAAGGCATTAATACAAATAAAACACTTAGAATAGCACTCAGTATATAGTTAGTGCTCGGGAAGTATTAGCTATTACCAAAAGAAATACATTGAAAAGAGATAAACAATAAACACGTGCAAAATTATTTCAAATGGTATTAGTGATATAAGAAAAAAATAAGGCAGTGGAATCAAGAGAGTTGCAGTAGGCACTCCATTAGTATTAAATCAACATTTTACAAGAACATGTGTTACTTCTGATTAAGAATAAAAAGTGGCAAAGTATGATAAAGGTTGTTCTCCTGTTTTTTAGAGACAGGGTCTCTCCATCTGTCACCCTCAAACTCCTGGCCTCCACAGATCCTCCTACCTCAGCCTCTTGAGTAGCTCCTACTACAGGTGCATGCCACTGCACCTGGCTCATTACTTATTTTTTGTAGAGATGGGGGGTTCTACTATGTTGACAGGCTGGTATCAAACTCCTGGCCTCAAGTGATCCTCCTGCCTTGACCTCCCAAAGTGCTGGGATTACAGGCATTGAGTCATCAGGCATTGAGTCATCAATCCCAGCCAAAAGTTGTCCTTTTTAGTAAGTTAAAAGCCTGTGCCATCCCTCAAAAAACCTGTGGCCTAACGACTTCTTGAAACTCAGTCCTGTCCCTAATTTTTGCCATAAATGTAGGGTTCATTTAAAGATGACTTTTCCCAAAACTATACATGTGAAATTCAGTTTTCAAATCTTAAATTCTGACATGAGAATGAGAAACAAAAAAGACCCAGATGAACTCCCAGGTAATCCAATCTCACAATCATGGTTTAAAAAAAAAAAGGACTTGAATACATTCACTCAAGTATGTTTGAGCAGCTACAATATTCTAGGCACAATGGACAGAGATAAAGACAGTGACCTGAAACTCAGTCTACTGAGAAGAGAACAGTATGGGGTGGTGTCAGAGAAAGAAAAACACAGGATGCAAACCTCAATTCAGATTGCAGTCAACTGACAGAACACTTCCTAGGGGAAGTGACAGCTCAAGAGGTCTTTGAAGGATGAGTAAAAGTGACCACACAAAAGAGGCACATCAGAAGCAGCAGCATCAACACACGTGCACTAGTGTGGAGGTGAGCTCTCAAGAGCTGGGAACTGGAAGTGCTGACAACTCAGGGTTGGGGAGGACCGATAAGGCAAAGAGGGAGTGACAGGAAGCAAGGCTGGAGGGACTAAGCCTCCTGTGGCTTAGCTGGGAGAACAGGATGACAGCAAGACTGAAGGCAAAGAAGAGCTATTGAAGAATGTACCCGACGGACAGGCAACATCGGAGTTGCATTTTTAAAAGATCACTCCAGCAGCAATGTGGAAAATGTTTTGGAGGTGGTCCAGATTGGCAGCTGGGAAATCAGTCAGTGGAGAGTTACCCAGGCAAGAAATATGGATGTGGATTGGGAGGAGAAATTATTTCAAGAGAAATTCAGAAAGCAAGATTGACTGCACCAGGAGACAGGATGGATGTGGGAGAATGTGGAAGTGCAGGAGTGACAGAGATGACTGTAAGGTTTCTGTCTTGTACATCTGTGTGGAGAGAAAATACAGGTAGAGCAGCAGGTCTGTGGCTAGGAACAGGAGGCAGGTATTGTTAGGGGTCTCATTCTGGATAATCATTGGTGAAGAACATGATGTGGAAATGCCCAGTGACAGCTGAATAAATGAGAAAGAAGCCCAGGAAAGGACTCAAGGCAGGAAATACCCAATCTGCGAAGCACTGACAAATGGAGAATACAGAACATGGAGGGGGAAAAAACAGGGAATCAAGAAGGGGATTCTGAGGCATGACACAGCCATAGGCAGAAAAGGGCCCAGAGATGACTGAGAAGAATGGTGAGAGTGAAGAAAGCCAACCAGCCAAGAGCAGTGAAACCAAGAAAAGTTTCCCAGAGGACAAGGGCACTGTCAAGTGTTACAGAAAAGTCAAGGTAAAGAATCTACAGCTCCAACGGGATTTAGAGACTAGGTGATTACTGGTGACTTTAGCAAGAAAAGCTTTAGCATAGTCATTAACACTTTCTGACTCCTCTCCACCTGCGACAACACTTTATGACTGTAGCATTTACTTGGTATTTAGCATACTTTCAACAATCAGACTGAAGCCCTCCCTGTGCACGAGACTGGGGACACAAGAGGGATAACTGACACTGCAGGATCCTGGAATCTAGAGGTGTAAACAGCTAACCATGACACAAGAGAATGACTGCTACAGGAAACCAGTAAAGGGAGTACTACTTAATTCAGTTTGGCAGACGCTTAAAAACACCAACCATGACACTGGGCACTGGGTTAGCACAGATGAGTCAGACCTAAACATACAAGCTCCCTGAGGTCAGGGCCTTTCTCTAATGCACTGCTGTGTTCCCAGCACCTCACAAGTGTCTGACACACTATAAGTAATCAACACATATTTACTGAATGAATGGCTGAATGAACGAAGACATGGACCTTTTCTTTCAGGAGCAGGAAGGGGTGGAAGCTTCAAAAACTGCAATTTGTGACCTGGATTAAAGAAGTAGTACAGGCCAGGCGCGGTGGCTCACGCCTGTAATCCCCAGCACTTTGGGAGGCTGATTGGGGGTGGATCACCTGAGGTCAGGAGTTTGAGAACAGCCTAGCCAACATGGTGAAACCCCATCTCTACTAAAAATACAAAAATTAGCTGGGTGTGGTGGTGGGCGCCTGTAATCCCAGCTACTCGGGAGGCTTAGGCACAAGAACTGCTTGAACCTAGGAGGCGGAGGATGCAGTGAGCCGAGATCGTGCCATTGCACTCCAGCCTGGGTGACAAGAGCAAAACTCCATCTCAAAAAAAAAAAGCAGCAGCAGCAGCAGTAGGATTTTGCTAGGATCATGGAGATTTTTATATTCATTTTATATATATATATATATATATACACACACACACACATACGTGTGCACACACAAATATATATCTCCTGTACAAGGCTAAGTTACTAGAGTCACACAGATATTGGTCAAACACTACCTTGCCTCTAGCAGGTTATCAAGAAACAGTTGATAGGAGAGGTAGCAATGGGAGGGCTTTCTGTGGTGCTGGGAATAATCTATGTTCACCATATGATAATTCATTGAACCGTGCTTTTAGAATTTATACATTTTGCTAGGTGTTCTATTAGTAATTAAAAGGTTTTTTTAAAAAGATGCTAATAAACTGTTTTTTCTCCCCCTAACTACCTACTACAAAACAAGAGACCTTAACTCCTTTAGGAAAAAGGCACAACTTAACTACAGGAAAGGATCGCTAAGGCCTACAGAAAGCTGGTAAGACAAGAATAAGAAACTTCAAAGGTCGACCCAGGAAGAGGGTGCCCAATATCTGACTAGCTATGGGTCTTATCAGCAAAGAAGTAATAACTCACATTAGTCAGTGGGACTTAAACTATAAAGGCTCCTTATCACTATCAATGCCTCCATTCCTGGACCCTGTCAGGCACAGATGCCAGGGAGCAGTGCTGGCTAGAACTGGACGGCAAGACTGACCAAAGATACACTGGAGGGACAAGTTCAAGGGATCGATTGCACCACATGCTGACTATGGTCAATGGCAATGTATTGTATACTTGAAAATTGCCAAGAGAGTAGATTTCAATTGTTCTCACCACAAAAAAATGACTAAGTGAGGTAACAGATATGCTAATTAGCCTGATTTAACCATTCCACAATGTATACATACATTAAAACATTAATGGGCACACCATAAATATATTTTCATTTGTCAATTAAAATCAATGAATAACTATTTAAAAACATTTTTAAAGGCTGACCAGGCCGGGCACAGTGGCTCACGCCTGTACTCCCAGCACTTTGGGAGGCCAATGCCGGGGGATAACTTGAGGTCGGGAATTCAAGACCAGCCTGGCCAACATGGTGAAACCCCGCCTCTACTAAAAATACAACAAGTAGCCGGGCATGGTGGCACACGCCTGTAGTCCCAGCTACTTGGGAGGCTGAGGCAGGAGAATTGCTTGAACCCGGCAGAGGCTGCAGTGGGCCGAGATCGCGCCACACTCCAGCCTGGGCAGCACAGCAGGACTCTGTCTGGGGCGGGGGCCGGGGTGGGGGAAGGCTGGCCAACCAGCCTGTTCTGACAGCACATCTGCACAGAACATGAATCACGGTACCGGCAAGTGACCGGCCCACTGCAGAAGCATTGCTATGTATATACCTCTGCATACATTTTATCGTTTAACCCTAACACCTCTCCAAACCAGACATCATCTCCTTTTCACAGATGTAGGAATAGGTTCAGAAGAAACAGATTAAAAGTGGCCAAATAGGGATGTTAACACAAGCCTGGCTGACTCCAAAACCCACGCACGTTCTCCACTCCATCAAGCTTCCTGGGCTTACCTCAACAAGGAAGCATCTTCTGAACAAACCAGGGATTCTCTATCTTAACTTGAAGTGGACACATTATAAAGCTTCAATTCTATCACACCAAAAAAACACCTTAAACTCCACCAAGACCCAGCAAGAAGAGCCTCATGGCAGGCTAGGACTGAGTTCTTCCCAGAAGACAGGTCTAAAACACAAGCTTTTCCACCTTAACAATGGATGTCTCCTGACCCCTTCCTCCAGAAATCAAATGGCCAATCTGATGCCCACTTCAGCTTCTGTCATCCCTCTGTAGTCAGACAAGGAGGGCTCGCTCAGCTTGCATTTCCTTCCTGAAGAGTATTCACTACCTCTCTTGTTCAAACACTATGTATCACTCAATATTCTATTCCTTCTGCTCTCAAATGTTTACTTTCTCTACAAAAGGAGGTAGAGAAAAATGTAGCCATTGACTAATAAAAAAAGCATATCTTACCTCAATCAAAAAAAAAGCATTGAGTTAAACAAAATAGGTGACAGTTCTTTAAGAGCTTGACAATACGAATTTAAAGTTAAAAGTTTAAGTTAAAGTCACTCTCTGATTTTTTCTTTCTTTTTTTTTTGAGACGAAGTCTTGCTCTGTCATCCAGGCTGGAGTGCAGTGGCACGATCTCGGCTCACTGAAATCTCCGCCTCCCTGGTTCAAGTGATTCTCCTGCCTCAGCCTCCCGAGTAGCTGAGATTACAGGCACCCGCCACCATGCCCAGCTAATTTTTGTATTTTTAGTAGAGATGGGATTTCACCATATTGGTCAGGCTGGTCTCGACCTCCTGACCTCAGATGACCTGCCCATCCCGGCCTCCCAAAGTGCTGCGATGACATGCATGAGCCACTGCACCCAGCCTGATTTTTTTTAATGCACCACTAAACAGGCACCTAAGCCATCTAGCATGCACACTTACAAGACCAAGCTCAGTGACTGACAATGTGCCAGCAATCTTATCCAGGTGATGGTACCCCAAGAGGAAATACAAATGTGAACAGCAAAGGGACAACTATCCACATCCCCCAGCAACAGGTTTAATGTTAAAACTAGTATTAGAAGCAGTAACTGAGCAAAGTAACTCATTCTTCAACCATTCAACAGATATTTGAGTGTCTAATGTTTACAATTTTAAATAGAGTGATCATGAGAAGGAGACACGTGAGCAACACTTGAAGGAGGGAAGGTGGTTAACGATACTGATATCAAGAGATGCCCTGGCAGAATGAACAGCCAGTGCAAAGGATGCATTTCTAGGGCCCTCCCGATCTTGTTGTAGACTTAATTTACTAGGAGTAAAATGGGAAGCCACTGCAGGGTTGTATCAGAGCAGGGAATTATCCAACTTTCATTTTCACGGGATCACTCTGGCTGTTATGAGAATAGAATGTGTACACAAAGAAAGAAGAGGGAGATGGGTCAGGAGACAACTGCAATGATGCAACTGACAGATGATGATGACCTGGACCAGGGTAGAAGCAAAGGAGTGGAAAAGTGCTCAGGCTGCAGATATGTTGTGAAGGCAGGGCCAACAGGATTTCCTAAGGGAATGGATCCAAGTCACTTAGCGATTATGAATGCAAACATGTTTGAAGACTACAGTCCAACGTCAACACTCTTACCAGCCCATTCTTCATAAGCTCTCTCTAGACAGCCTGAGAGGCTACAGAAGAAATAAAGAGTAGTCAAGGATAACCCCGAGGTTTTAGGCCTGAGCAACTAGAAAGATGAAGCTGTCATCAACTGAGATGGTGAGGTTAAAGATTGAGCACGTTCAAGGGGTGAGATGAGGAGTTCAATATTGGAAATGTTGAGATTCCTATGATACACAGAGTTTGAAAAAAAATTACTTAATATTTGGTTATTCTACAAACATTTGAGAACCTCCTCATCCTTCCCGTTTTTGGACACTTGTTAGCTTCAGGCAATAGTGAGGTAAAACAAAGTCCCTGATCCTGAGAGCTCAGTCTAGAGAAGATAGACTAAACAAGCAAGGACCACACAGGGCAAGGGAAAAAAATTCTGTAACTGAGGTCTGTTTAGGATGCTTTGGCAACATAGAAGAGGAGGCCCCAAAAAGAGCAAAAGAGCAACACCTGCAAAGGCTTAAAAGTGACAGTAAGCATACTGAAGGGTCCCAGGACCTTCAGGAAATCTAACTGGTATCCAGTTGAGATGAATGTTAGCAAACGGCAGGGGATGTCAGTCTTTCAGAACCCCACCAAAGAAAGCTTACAAATGACTACCACTTACACAGGTTCAGATTCAAGAAGTACTTTGTGTGACCAGTGGTAACAATTACAGGATACTCAAGGCTAGTTACAGAACTGTCAAAATGTAAGGGCTTGTAAGGACCCTCTTCTGTAGATGAATATACAGATACTTAATAAGTAAGTGGCAACAGTGGGCTGGAACACAAGGGCTGTGGTTTGAAAGTGTCCTCCAAAGTTCACGTGTTGAAAACTTGATGCCCAATGTGGCAGTGTTGGGAAGTGGGGCCTGATGGGAGGTGTTTGCATCTTGGAGGCACCACCATCATGAACTGGATTAATGCCATTATCGTGGGAGCAGATTCGTTATGACAGGGGTGGGTTCCTTATAAAAGGAACCTCTTGTTTGAAACTTTTGTGCACGAGGACAGGCACTTCCCTCCCCCTCCTCTCCTCCTGCCCTTCTGCCTTCCAGGACGGGATGACCATGACACAGCAAAAAGGCCAGGTGTCAGGCACTCAATCTTGGACTTCTTAGCCTCCAGAACTGTAAGAAATAAATTTCTGTTCATTATCAGGTATTCTGCTATAGCAGTACAAAACAGACTAAGACACCAAGCTACCTAAATCAGTTGTCTTCAAACTAGGGTACATGAAAACTTCCTGAGCCACATGAAAGCAAGCATACTTTTTCACAATCAGGCTTCTCCCACTTTACAAAATAAAGGCCCATCACCCCTCCACTCTGAATCCATGCAAAAAGGTGATCTAAAATACTCGAGCTGATACTGGAAGATGAATGACTTAATGACTGAATAACAATTCCTTTTACAAGTCTGGAGGTTTCCAGTTTTCCTGCTTTCTACAAAATTAGAGGAGATGAATGGCAAGCTAGTTGATTCAAAAAATCCACTGTATTTTGACATATAATTTTAAAGGTAAAAACTGAGTCTAAGTGACCTTCATATAACAATATTCTGTCCATTTCCATCTACTTATTTATGTCAACAGGGTTCCTTAAAGCTTAGATCTATACAAATGAAAAATCTTATTCTAGTATTAAATAGTAATTATCCACAGAATCATCAAATAATTGGGGGTGGAAGGCTCTATCTCATCAAGATGTTTTCTTCAAAAAAATGTATAACATATCCATTTGGTTGTTTTTTTTGTTTTGTTTTTTGTTTTGAGACGGAGTCTTGCTCTTGTCGCCCAGGCTGGAGTGTAGTGGTGCAATCTCAGCTCACTGCAACCTCTGCTTCCTGGGTTCAAGTGATTCTCCTGCCTCAGCCTCCGGAGTAGCTGGGATTACAGGCACCAGCCACCATGCCCAGCTAATTTTTGTATTTTAGTAGAGACGGGGTTTCCCCATGTTGGCCAGGCTGGTCTTGAACTCCTGACCTTAGGTAATCTGCCTGCCTAGGCCTCTCAAAGTGCTAGGATTACAGGCATGAGCCACCGCGCCCGGCAGTATCCATTTGTTTTGATGAATTTTATACTAATAAGTACAGTAGTAATGCAATCGAAAAGAAATAAATACTTAGATTCATGAGAACAGGAAATAAAATTTTAATGTATACTTCTGTCACGTGTGATAGAACGACCAATAAAATATTTTCAAGCATAAAAATAAATGAAATTAAATTAATATTTTGCAGGGGAAGTGGAACTGAAATATGATTGAGGAAAAAAGAAAAATAAACATTTCTGACTCAAATAAGAGCTTGTTCATCTACATGTTTTAAAATGTATGACAATAGGTCAAATTATTATAGATTTAGAGCCCATCAGATACATTTAAAAGAATAATGAAACAATTGTTGTTTTTAAGTGTATATTTACAATATATCAGAAATCACTTCCTTTTCAACTCTTTATTTATAATGAAAAAAACTGATGTCAAAAATATGTGATGGGGCCCAGTACAGTGGCTCTTGCCTGTAGTCCCAGCACCTTGGGAGCCCAAGACAGGACGACCGCTTGAGGCCAGGAGTTCATGCCAGCCTGGGCAACATAGTGAGACACAGTCTCTGAAATAATAATAATAATAATAATAACTAATTTTAAAAATACATATTTTTACAACATATAAAAATATATATATTATATGTGCAAAATGGGATGAAGAATTCTCCAGAATTCTCTTAGCGGTTATGAATACAAAAATGTCTTTTAGACCATAGTCCAAAATCAGCACTGTTATCAGCCCATTCTATCACAAGCTTTCTCTAGACAGCCTAGGAGACTAGAAGCCTGCGAAGGGCAAAGACAGTGCTCATCTCCACTCCCAGGGAAAAGCAATCCCAGAAACACAGAACTTTGGACTTCTAGAGGACAGGCAAGGGAAAGCAGAGCATGCTAGCTGAGATGACAAAACAGCCCTTGCTCCCTGCTAGTCAGCCAAAAAAAAGGTAAAAATGTCAGACCAAATAGCATACTTATGGGCTGAATAAAGAAATAAAGAAGCACAACTCTACAACCCACACAAAATTGTTATGTTTCTGCCATGTACGTACCAGGCAAAATTCTTACCAAACACTACATGGGACAGGAAGAAAAAGTACTGCCTGCTGGTCACCTGTCCCATAGGGTACTGAAGGTTAAGTGTAGGCATTCACAGAAATACTGACACTTTTCCTGTAGTTTCACAGGGAGAAACCAAGTAAAAACAACTGCTTTAAAAAAAACAAAAAAAGAAAGAAAGAAACCCATGTTATGGAAAGAGTATTGCCAATAGCGAGTTGGCAAAGCAAACTGAATTTTTCAGAGTTGTCACCTTCTGTCATTGTTCAAAATTCTCAGGCATACATTTAGAACCACTGCCCCCTCATCCAATCAAATTATGGCTTATGAGGCCTGAAAGCCTAATGCTGGAGGGCTTTATATGGTTCTTTATATTTTTCAGGTTATTCTATTAAATTGTCTACTAATTGCACTTTTTTTGTTTTTTCTGATATAGGGTCTTGCTCTGTTGCCCAGGTTGGATTGCAATGGTGGGACTAAGGCTCACTCCAGCCTCAACCTCCCAAGGCTCAGGCAATCCTCCCACTTGAGTCTCCCAAGTAGCTGGGACTACAGGATGAAAATTTTCTAGCTCGTTTTAAGGAAAAGCCATAGCATAACTGGAGGATGGGAATATCATGATTTAGTAAGTACTACAAAATGATGACTTTCCTCTACTTGGATCTTTTTAGAGGTAACTTTTTCAAATATGATAATCATTAAATAAAAATTCAGAAGACTAAACTTAGAACAAAACCTTCAGTCTTGAATGACCACCAAAACTAACACCACCAAGGTCATCCAAGACTCACCAAGTATTAAACAAGATTTTTAAAAATAAAACGTCTTTCAATCTTCAGTCACAAATAAAAAATATTTTAGTATCAAAAGATTTTATACCATTAAAGAAATTATGTTTCTAAATGTTTCCTTTTTCTCATTTTTTATTCCTATTTTGTATGTCATAATTATATATGGGTTATACTTATATATTTTATATATATGATGAAAAGATCGAATGCTTTCATGACAAATCAGCTTAATGACTGAAATGGTTTAATGGACACGAAAGCATACAGACATGCATACACACTCACATATAAAAGTATACTCTCAACCCCTTTTTATTGATTTTAAAATACTGAAATACAAGTCTAAGATTTAGAGACCTTAAGTAGTTCCAACAGCACCATCACAGAGCCCACTAGCAAAAAAGGTCAGGTCTTCAGCAGTGAAATTCCCAAAGACAATCTGTCTCCATCACAGAACCTCATAAAAGCAAGATTTGACAAAGAAATGACATGAAAGCAAATGCTATGTAGTGAACTGGTAGGTGACCACAAACAGAGTGAGCATCAGAAACCATACTTCAAAGACACTCAAGGAACAAAGAAGAAATACAGCCTGAGGAAAGGCAGCAGGATAGGAACTACTGGAGGCAGCAGGACCCAGGGTTTCTTCTTCATTCTACCAGACATCGTGCTAGGCATGGCTCAGTGAACAAGCAGGAGAGATTCAGGCAGAGCAGACAGCAAATGCGGACATCCTTGGCTGGGGGAAAGCCTGCCATGCCAAGAGTGGGTCTGGCTGGACTAGCTAGAGTAAGGGGGAAAGGGAAGAAGGTCCGAAGGGCCAGATCATGGCAGCAGTTTGAGGTGACGGAAAACACACAATGCCATCTCTGAGAAAAGCAGCAAAAGGACCAAACCAGCCCCACAGTCCTGGGAACACCTGACAGGAAGGTGTGGAATACGTGATCTGGCTGGATGGGGATGGCGACCAAGGTTCCAGAACAGAGCAGTGGGCGCCGACACGGGTCCAGAGCACATTCTGAAGCATTCCAAAAGCAGATGCTGACTCACGGCCAAGCTGCACTGAGGTGGCAGTCCACACCTCAGAGGGGACAGCATCTCCTCTCTTATCCTATAATGGTCACACACAGGCCAACCTCCCTAAAAATATTTACACGAAGAGGCCACTGCTTGTGGAGAAAGTTCAAAACAGGTACAGATTTTAAGAAAAAAAACCGGCCGGGCACAGAGGCTCATGCCTGTAATCTCAGCACTTTGGGAGGCTGAGGCGGATCATGAGGTCAGAAGATGAGACCAGCCTGGCCAACACAGTGAAACCCCGTCTCCACTAAAAATACAAAAATTAGCCGGACATTGTGGTGGGCACCTGTAATCCCAGCTACTTGGGAGGCTGAGGCAGGAGAATCGCAGGAGTTGTAGTGAGCCGAGTTCGCACCCCTGCACTCCAGCCTGGGTGACAGAGCAAGGCTCTGTCCCAAAAATAAATAAAAAATAAAACCCTAGATCCTAATCCCAGTCCTACCACTAAGTCAAAAGTTCCCCTAACCTCATCTTCCATTGTCATCTACCAGTAGGGAAGACACATGCCTGACTTCAAAGGGAATAGATAATCAAATGCTTTAATGATAAAGTGACTTGGTAATAAACACAGTGGAAGAAATTTATAAACAGTAAACTGCTAAGGACAGAGACCTTCTTTCATGGTTTCTTAAATCCTTATTTCCCCTCAATCCCAAGCACTTAAACAGGTTAAGTAAGAAAAAGTATTCTCTCACAGAACACATACTCTACGGGAAGAAGCAGTCAACAAATAAGCATAAGACAAGAAAGATATGGTAAGTCTATGGAAGCAGAAGACAGAAAAAATAATTCTCATTAAGGAAATGGGTAACAAAGCTCCCTCAAGAAAGTATTAACAGAGCTGAGCCTTAAAAAGACTAAAGGCCATTACAAAAAGAAGACCACTGAGCAAAAATGTAAGTGAAGACAGTTCAGTAAGATGGTCTGTGTGCATTTGGCTGTGTAGAAAAATAAGGCCGGGCACGGTGGCTCATGCATGTAATCCCAACGCTTCGGGAGGCCAAGGCAGGCAGATCACCTGAGGTCAGGAGTTCGAGACCAGCCCGGCCAACATGGTGAAACCCCCACCTCTATTAAAAATACAAAAAAACTAGCCAGGCCTGGTGGCACATGCCTATAATCCCAGCTACTCAGGAGGCTGAGGCAGGAGAATTGCTTGAACCCAGGAGGTGGAGGTTGCAGTAAACCAAGATGGCACCACTGCATTCCAGCCTGAGTGACAGAGTGAGATTCCATCTCAATAAAAAATAAAATAAAAAATAAAAATAATAGCCTGGGACCATATTAGGGGCCAAGGGGATTTGTACTGTACTGAAGTGTTTGACCTGTACTGAGCAGTGGGGAGTTACCCAAGGTTTCCAAAAAGGAAAATGGCACATCCAGAGCTATTCCTAAGGAAGACCACTCTGATGGCAGTGTAATGGAGCAGATTTTTCTCGTTTCAGAGGCTATTTTAGTTGTCCAATGAAGAGGTTACAGAACAAGGAACAGGCAAAGATGAAAAGGAAACAGAATGACACCTAAAAGTCACAGATATGTATGCAGGCAAAGAAGTTTAGCCTGGGTTTTTTTCCACCTTTTAGTGTTATTACACCTGTCCTTTAGGGGGAAATATGAAAATCTGGTTTGGTTTGCTTTTGAGATGGGGTCTTGCTACGTTGCCCAGTCTGGAGTACAGTGGCACCATCAAAGCTCACTGCAGCCTCCAAGTCCTAGGCTCAAGCCATCCTCCTGCCTCAGCCTCCTGAGAAGCTGGTGGCACATACATGGCTAATTTTTAATTTTTCGTAGAGACGGGGTCTCTCTCTGTTGCCCAGGCTGGTTTTGAAGGCATCCTCCTTCCTTGGCCTCCCAAAGTGCTGGGACTAGAGGTGTGAGCCACCGTACTCAGCCATAACCTTTTTTGGTTTTTGTTCGAGACAGGTCTTGCTCTGTCACCCAGGCTGGAGTGTAGTGGCACAATCACAGCTCACTGCAGCCTCGACCTCCCATACTCAAGCATTCCTCCCACCTCAGCCTCTAGACCTGCAGCACTGCACCTGGATAATTTTATTATTTGTAGAGAACAAGTCTCACCATGTTGCCCAAGCTGAGAATCTGGTTTTAAACATAGGTCAAAATAACTTTCTCGACCCACCACAATTTTCATTTTATACAGATGGGGTCTCACTATGTTGCCCAGGCTGGCCTCAAACTCCCGGGCTCAAGCAATCCTCCTGTCTCTGCCTCCCAAAATGCTAGGATTACAGGTGTGAGCCACCAGGCCCAGTCTTGGACTTTTTTAATAACAAAAATATCAATAATCTTAAAGGATGACAAACTATCAATCATTCGTATGTCAAAAATGTACAAACAAGCTTGGGCAACATGGTGACCTAGTCTCTACAAAAAATAAAGATTGCCGGCGTGGTGGCGCACACCTGTAATCCCAGCACTTTGGGAGGCCGAGGCGGGCGGATCACAAGGTCAGGAGATTGAGACCATCCTGGCTAACACAGTGAAACTCCGTGTTTACTGAAAATACAAAAACATTGGCCAGGCGTGGTGGCGGGCACCTGTAGTCCCAGCTACTTGGGAGGCTGAGGCAGAAGAATGGCATGAACCCGGGAGGCGGAGCTTGCAGTGAGCCGAGATCATGCCACTGCACTCCAGCCTGGGCAACAGAGCAAGACTCTGTCTCAAAAAAAAAAAATAATAAAAAAAATAAAGATTAAAAAGCCAGCCCAGGTAGTGGCTCACACCTGTAATCCCAGCACTTTGGGAGGCAGAGGCGGGCGGATCACTTAAGTCTAGGCATTTGAGATCAGCCTGGCAACATGGCAAAACCCCTTCTCTACAAAAAAAAAAAAATTAGTCGGGCATGATGGTGCAAGCCTGTAGTCTCAGCTACTCTGGAGGCTGAAGTGGGAGGATCACTTGAGCCCAACAGGTGGAGGGTACAGTAAGCCAAGATCTCACCACGGCACTCCAGCCTGGGCAAAAGAGTGAGACCCTGTCTCAAAAACAAAACAAATCAAACAAACAAAAAAATTAGCCAGTCATGATAGTGCCAGCCTGTACTCCCAGTTACTCCAGGTTGAGGCTGAGGCTGCAGTGAGCTGTGACAGTGCCACTTACTCTGGGCTAGGTGGAAATGCGAGACCTTGTCTCAAAAATTAAATTAATAAATAAAAATGTACAACATGCTTTGAAAACTGCAGAAAAACGGACCCTTCCTTTCTTGAGAGTTTCTACACTCTTCCTCCTGGATAAAAATAGCAGAGAATTAGCTACTCCCACATTGGCTCACCACTATCCCATCCCTCACTTTACCCAAGTAACACCAAAAGCTTGATTATCAAGTTAGAACAGGTGACGACTGAGAAACACACAAGAAGAACAATAACAGAGTTATTCACCTTTTAGGGTCGCAGTTTTCACCCTCGTGGTAACTAAATTATTCAGATGATTACCAAGATCATTTTGTT
Source organism: Homo sapiens (assembly GCF_000001405.40). Lineage (NCBI taxonomy): Eukaryota > Metazoa > Chordata > Mammalia > Primates > Hominidae > Homo > Homo sapiens. The sequence goes on along the minus strand of NC_000001.11, from coordinate 165,829,555 downwards.
TCTAAAAGCTCATATGCAAGTTTAAGCCTCCTCCCCACTTTAGGAGGACTGGACTTCAGCTTAAAATTTGGACCCCACTACATGCCAGGCAGGCATTGTGCTAGGAGGGCTGGGAAAACAGCCATGAACAACAACAACAAAAAATGCTCCCAATCCAACAGGAATATGCCAGAAGAGCAAGAATAATTCTAAAAGAACAGGTAAAGCTTCCTGAAGGGCTAGCATTCTGGTTTTGCTTTGAATTACTAGTATAAGTCATAGTAAAGAACATACTCAAAAATTACAAATTTTTTTAAAAGCCTTCAACCAGGGAGCACACAGAACAGAAACTTCAGGACCTAAAGCAGGCCGATTCCTAACCCCGGGAGCTACGGACGAGATCAACTTCATCAATAAAGAAGTCCAGCAGCGCCAGCCGCCGTGTCTGGCTGGGCTCCTTGCGCTAAAGTAGTCCAGACCAGGAGGGAAAAATGTAAAACCAACATGGAGGAGGGGCTACTGACGAGTCGGTTCGGGAGCTAAAACCTCGTGGCTCTTTCCTCATGGCGCCAACCAGCCTTCCTGCTCTGCTCTCCCCAGCCGGGAGAAGCATCATCCTGCCTCTCCAAACCAGCACCCAGCACCCAGCTCTCAGGATCCCTTGAGGAACCCGTGCTCCAAATGAAGTTGGAGGGTGTTAAACGGTGGGAAAAACAAGTAGCCACATCTTAAAGGCTGTTAGGGGAGCAAAGAAAGAACCATCTGGGAGGACTCCACCCTTCTCCACCTGCAGAAAAAACCCCGGGTAAAGCTAGGAAGTCATTTCCCTTGTCTCTCCTTGCCTTGCGGATAAAACAAAGGAAACAGGCTCCTAAGAGGGTCAGACACCCATACGATGACCCCCTTCCGTGGATCCAAGACGCGTACGTCCTGGACACCGAAGAGCTTGGAGCCAGTACAACTTTCTCATTGAAGCCGACCACGTTTCCTCTTATAACCTTAAAAAACAGAAGCCCCTACTATTATCGTTTCATTGATGTCACGGCACCTATTTGGCTCTCAGACTTTTACCCGGAAACCCCTGTAATCCCCAGCCCTTGCGTGCAGCCCCACACTGGGCTCCCCTTCCCCGGGATGCCGCCTCGCGCGTTCCCGCCACCCTCGCCCTCTCGGCCGCGCTTCCCGGCTCGCTCCGCCCTCGGCACCAGGCTGCGCCGCGGGGCGAGCACGTCTGTGCCAGACCGGGGCTTGAGGGAGTCCATCGGGGGTTAGTGGGGGATCCTGCGGAAAGCCCTCTCCCCCGACACTGGAGTTGCAAAACAATAAGCATCCGCTTCCCTGCCCTTCCCCCATAGGACCCCGGCCACGAGTTATTAACGCGGGGGGAGAAAAGCCGGAGGAGCACTCCCGCCCTGCGATCGTGGCCGCGTACCCCCGGAACCCCCAAGGCCCGAGTCTTCGCCTGCCCCCGCCGCAGCGCCCCCAGGCCGCGCGGGGCGCACTCGGCGCTGGAGCGCGGCCGGGAGCGGAGGCGCGCGGGCCACGCGGTGGCTGCCGCAACTGACACGGCCCGCGGCCGCCGGCCACATGCGCCGCCCAGGGACAGAAGCCGGGAAGGGAGCGCGGCTCCGGGCCCCGCCGTACCTTGCCGCTAGCTGTTCCCCCGCTGACGCCTATAAGGAAGGGCTCGCCGCCGTTGGGCTGCTGGTGGTTCTGCAGGGTCTGCTCGCTGTCCCCGGCCATGGTTCGCGCCGCCCCTCCTCCCGCTGCCTGTGCGAACGGACGCACGCTCCCCGCCCGCGCCCGCGTCGGACTCCCTCCGCTTTCCGCAGCCGCCGCTGGGCGCTGCCGGGGCTGAGGCCGCTGTCGCTCGCCTGCGAGCCGCTCGGAGCCCGGTGACGGGGCTGGGTTTCCCGAAGGAGCCAAGAGCCTTCCTTTGCCCGCAGCGGCTGGTCCGGTTTACATCCCAGGCAGAGGTCAGCGTGATGCTGCTGCTCCAATCCGGGCGGGCAGCGCGCTGCTATTCGCCGAGGCGGAGGCGGCGAGGCGTCTGGCCCCAGCCTCCGCCCCTCCCGGGCCCCGCCGCCGCCCGAGGTCTCTGCGAAAGGTGTGAGCCCGACCTTCCCTCCCACCCGCCCGGTTAACCCTTTCTCCGACGCGCCCTAGTGGACCCTGGGGGAAAGAAACAGGCTGTTCTGTATTTTAATTTGGTATGCTACCACCTATTTTCAGAAGGGATAAAAAGCTTGAAGGAAATAATAGGCAGATTAGATAAGAAGGAATGGCCCAGGTTTGAGAAGCAAAATTTGAACAAGCTTGAAAGATTAGTGTGGAACGAAGAGTTAATGTCATTTACCCATTATCCAGGCTAAAAACTTGTGTTTCCAAAAAATGAGGGTTCTTTTTCCCTTCTCCCGTTCGCCAAGATAATATGTCAGCCGCTGGCTTTAGATATTTCCTGTCTTGGAAACCCCCCAGCGCCATCCTTTTTAGCAGGCCTGTCCTCGTGCGACTCTCTAGTGAAGGGCAATTTGAGGGGCTTATCTGAAGGGTGCCCTCCGTTGGAAAAGCAATTCCCTTCTAAACCACAGTATCTCATCCCATACACTGAGCTTCCTATGGAGTTAGGGTATCTGAAAACATACTGACATTTTGATCCATTAATATCTTCAATTGAACGGTTTTCCAGAGATTGGCAATCAGTCACTTAGAAAGGCAGTTTCAGACTCCACCTCTGGAGCCAGATTTCTGCATTCACATCCAGGTCCCTGAGCAAGTTACTTAATCTCTCTGTGCTTCAGTGTTCTTATCTGTTAAATGGGAATAATAATGGCAATTACATCCCAGGATTTTTGTGAGAATTAAATGAATTAGTGTATGTAAAGTTCTCAGAACAGTGCTGGTACAGTCTAGGCCCTGTATTAGTGTTTGAAGAGAAAAGGTTTCTAAAGCGCTGAAACTGGAAAGAAAAGTTTTGCTGGGACACACCTGAGAGAGGCAGGACTAGCCTAGTAACTTCCAGTCTCTTCTCCTGTGAACTTGGGACTAGTATCAATGAGCTGATGGGGCCTACAATCTAAAACAGAATTTACGTCAATAGCATTATCTTTTGAAACTTAGTAAATTACCTTAAATTGAAGATTATTTTGAAAAAAATAATTTTCTCTCAAGCCAGGGAAATCGAGGCTGCAGTGAGCCATGATCTCCCCACTGCACTCCAGCCTGGTCAGCAGAGCCAGAGCCTGTGTCAAAAAACAAAAACAAAAACAAAACAAAACAAAAAAAAGGATACCAGAGAAAACAAACTTTTTTCACTTTTAAATTAAAGTTGACACTTGAACAACACTGGTTCAAACTGTGAGGTTCACTTTTATGCAGCTTTTTTTTTAAACCAAGGGCAGATGGAAAACACAATATTTGTGCAGTTTCCTCAGGACTGACTGTGGGACTTCATGTGTGGATTTGGTTACATGTAGGCTGTCCTGGGACCAGTCCCTCCGCATATATCTAGGAATTACTGTATTTTATGTCACCATCTAACATCAAACTCGGTAGCAGCTCAGACAGGAGACAAAGATGGGGAGAGTGGCCACTACCTGGTACCCAGAAGCAGGCATTTGGGTGAAGTTTCCTAAAGGGGTGCCTTACCAAATAGCTATGGAGTGGGTGAGTTTTAGGTGGTCCTAGAGTTAGCCTCTTCTCCAAAAGGTCTTTTCTCTACTAGATAGATTTATTAGTCATCATGGACTTTTGTAGAACTCTTTATAGCCCATTGGAATTTGGAAGTTGAACCTACAGCTAAGGGTTAGCATGGGGATATTAGGTAGTTAAGGAGAAGAGGAGGAGGATAAAGGAATGCCAAAGGCCAGTGGGGTGGCTCATGCCTGTAATCCCAACATTTTGGGAGGCAGAAGAGTGAGGATCACTTGAGGCTAGGAGTTTGAGACCAGCCTGGGCAACATAATGAGACCCCCATCTCCACAAAAAGTACAAAAATTAACTGGGCATGGTAGTGCACACCTGTAGTCCCAGCTACACCAGAGGCTGAGGCAGGAGGATCACTTGAGCCCAGGAGTTCGAGGTTGCAGCTGTGATCATGCCATTGCACTCCTCTATCGACTTGTCTCTTAAAAAAAAAAAAAGAATGCCATGTCTTTCATAAACTTTTCTCAAATCTGCATCTTCCTTGTCATTCCTATAGTGTTTATTCCATAATATTTTATCATAAAAATTTTCGAGCACAGTTGAAAGATTTTACAGCAAACACCAGTATACCCACCACCTAGACTCTATCACTAACATCGTACTATATATATACTTGCTTTAAAACATAACTGGTCATCTACCCATCCCTCTATCCATCAAGGCATTTTTATTATAGGACTTACTTCCTTTTGCTTTGTTAATTTTAATTGACTTACTCCACACTGGCTTATACATTTCTTGTTTGGTTTGTTTTGTTTTGTTTTTAATTACTATATCCCCAACGCCTGGAACGGTTCTGGCACCTTGTAGGGCCTCAACAAATGAAAAGAGATAATGTCTCATTTCTACATCCCCCAGGCCCACTGAGCAGAATGATAAGCAAGTAGGAAGCATTTAATACATGATAAATGAATGAACAAATGAATGAATATGGAAGTAAGGACACCAACAAGTAAACTTAATTTCCGTCACTTTGGAAGGAAAGGCTTGTTCCCTTGATTGTATTAATGTGGTTACTATACTTATTTCTGAATGTTTTGTTTTCCTGGCATTCCAGAGTGACTGTCCCCATCTAATCTTAATGCATCTATTACCTAGTTGAGCTAATTCATTAACTGAGCTAATTCTCAATACTTCTCTGCACTTTGTTTAATAATAATAATATTTGACCTCTGTGCATGAGTTAATATACCTGAAAGTGTCTGAAAAAATCAAAAGCATTCTATATAAAGGTAAGGCCTAATTAGCAGAGGGCAGCCATCTGCATTCTGTACTCCCTGTTTTTCTTTCTCCTTCCTATCCCTAGGGCTGGCTTGCCTACATGTAAGGAAATTACCCGTGTCCATTTAAATTATGAAGAGTACTCTCAGCTCCACTGACCTCAACAAGGACTTTCACATCTCTGCCCCCTACAAAGCAAGGCAAGCTGCCTGTGCTATTCCCTGTGCTGTGTCATCCTCTCTTGGGAGCTTGGTCACCAAATCCCATAGCTAGGGATGTTCAAATCACATTTGAGCCTACCATAACAATTACACTGCAGATTCTGAATTAAGTGGTTTTGAGCTGTCCTCCTTTTCCTCCCACTAAAAAAAAAAAAAAATCTAATTTTTTAACAAAATTCAGAGTTAGAACAGATTCAAGGAAATACATTTTCTTGGTATCTGTGATGATTTTTTTTTCTTTTACAGATTTCAGTCTGATCAAGTTCTGGCCTAGTTAACATTTGGGCACGAAGTCAGCATGAGTATGCAAGTGCAGCTGTAGCCAAAGAACAATAAGAGACATTGCTGTTGACAGTCCTTTGTCTGCCTGCCTTCTCCCCTTGAGTAGCCATAGTTCTGAACTAGACAAGGAACGTTACATTTTGCACCCAACTGAAATGTTCTTTCTCTAGGTGCTTCATGCACCATGATCAGTTCTCTATTTGTTTATCTCATTCCCCAGCCAGAAAAATAGATGTTATCACACTTCATCATGTATCCAAAGTATTATCGTTCTCTGTATTACCTTTCTAATTACTTTCCACCTTTTATCAATCAGCAGTTGCTTTGTCAGATCATAAGTACTGTTCTGAAAAGATGGCTGGATGACGTTAAAGCTCTCTGACCTTAATCAGTCACATCCAGCTCTGTGACCTTAATCAATTACATTCTCAGGTACTGTTAGGCAGCACAACATAGTGCAGTCTCAGACTGGCAGCAGCAGCATCTGGGAATGCAAATGCTTAAGCACCACCCCAGAACTAGTAAATCAGAAACTCTGTGTGTGGAGCTCCACAGTCTGTGTTTTATAAGGCTTCCAGGTGATTCTCATGCCCACCAAAGTTCGAGAACCACTGTTCTCGTGCAAAGAAGATGAATAAGCTCTAGTCAGAAAACAAAGATTTATAATCTTACTTTGTTACTAACTTTATAACCTTTGACAGGTTACATAATTTTTCTTTTCTTTTTTTTTTCTTTTTTTTTTTTTTTTTTGAGACAGTGTCTTACTCTGTTGCCCAGGCTATAGTGCAATGGTGCTATTTTGGCTCACTGCAACCTCTGCCTCCTGGGCTCAAGCAGTCCTCCTGCCTCAGCTCCCAAAGTAGCTGGGACTACAGGCGCCAGCCACCACGCCCGGCTAATTTTTGTACTTTTGGTAGAGGTGGGGTTTCACCATGTTGCCCGGGCTGGTCTCAAACTCCTGAGCTCAAGCTGTCTGCCCACCTCAGCTTCCCAAAGTGCTGGGATTATAGGCAAGAGCCATCACACCAAGCCAGCTTACATAATTTCTATAAACCTCAGTTTATTCAACTGCTAAATGATAACTCACTCACAGGATGGTTATGAAAGTAATGATACACATTAGTACACAGTAGTTGTTAAATAAATACTGTTTCCCCTTCCCCCCCCATTTCTGTCACAGCTCTCTGATTTATCACAGATATCCACCATTTAGGGGTCAGGAGTTCCAAAAGTAAGAATTCCTAATCCCCAAGGGCACTTTCTTTCTTTCTGTATTTTTTTTTTTTCATTTTGAAATAGGGTCTCACTCTGTTACCCAGACTGGAATGCAGTGGCATGATCATAGCTCACTTGCAACCTTGACCTCCCCAGGCCCAAGTGATCCTCCCACCTCAGCCTCCCAAGGAGCTGGGACTACAGGTGCACACCACCACGCCCGGCTAATTTTTGTATTTTTTGTAGAGACGGGGTTTTGCCATGTTGCCCAGGCTGGTCCCTAACTCCTGGGCTCAAGTGATCTTCCCGCCTTGGCCTCCAAGAGTGCTGGGATTACAGGGGCACTTTCAAATAAAAATTAAAAATTAATGTCCAGAATGGGCCCCGTCCGATGTAGATTTGTGGTTGCCTATGGCTAGGGAGGTTAGTGTGGGAAATGGAGAGAGACTGCTAATGGGTCCAGGATTTCTTTCGGGGTGAAGGAAATGTTTTAAAATTGTCGTGATGGTTGCACAACTTTGAATATACTAAAAGCCATTGAATTGTACAATTTAAATTGGTGAATTTCATGGTATGTGAATTATATCTTAATACAGCTGTTTTAAAAAAATTGGTGTCAACCAGAAGGCTAGAAGAAAGAGTTTTAGGAAATGGGAACAGAAATGGGCAAAAGCAAAGAGAAATGACTGAGATTTAAAAAGACGGCATCAGAGAACGTCATAACCTGTAAGACATTACACAAATGTAGGTTATTAATTTTGTTGAATTTGACATACACCCTCTCTCAGCAAAGATAATAGTCATTCAAGGGTCCTTAAATTTTAGTTGGCCCAACTTCAGAAATCTCGTAAGAAGAAGCCTTCACAGAATTGAAAAAATTAATATACAGATTTCTGTATGTTATAGAGATTTTCTGATTTTTCTCTCCCTTCCCCATACCAGGACACTTTCTAATGTGATTCTTTGAAAATAGGCTGAGATAAAGTCAAGAGTTCTATTGTCTTGCCCAGCCAGCTACCAGCACCTGTTAAGAGCAGGCCCCAGAATCCGTGTTTTATTCACCATGTTCTAAGCTGTTTGGCTTCATCCTGTTTACCTAGACCCATATCTGATCCTTTACTTCTTTTCCTGTCACCAGTCTTAATCGTTGCTATCCCACTTTTATGCAATGACTTCTTTCATTTTCCCTAATTAGTTCTTAGGTTACTGTCTCTGCAGATAATCTACTACTACCCCTTCCCTCCTCCTGTGGCTGACGCTCTTTCCATCAGGTCATAATGGATGCATTATAGTTGGTGATATAGAGCTGGGATTAGGGTGAGACAAGGGATGTGCCTTGAGTGCAAAAAGTGAGGAGGCACTGACTCTTGGGTTGAGCAAACGCAAGTGCAGGGTGGGAAAGGAGCAGCTCCTTCATACCCTAGGCACCCACTTTGCCTCACCCTCGTCTCAGAGCTCTGGTGATTGTCAAGAGGAGAAGCAGAGGATGGTACTGCTGATGGCATCAATGTCAGAGAAGTAGTTACATTTAGTCTAGTGGCTTGTATTTGAACTGGTGGCCAAGGATGGCAGGTTTGACTTTCCTCAAGATGATGGGCTGAGGTGCCAAGTGATGTTGGAAGCCAAATGAGGTTAGATAGATTAGTTTTTGCTCAGTATTCATGGTATGTTACTAAAAGTTACTTTGGTGTCTTGAAGTGAACTCTCCCCAGGTCATTAGGAGAGAAGATTAGTTTGGTTTTCCTTCAGAATGAAATTATAGCTGTTCTTAGGCAAGGAGGCCTAAGGCTTCAAGTGATGAATGCTAGTGTTTCAGAAATATTTTTAGTCAGAGACGCTGAGAAACAAACAAAAGCAACAGACTCCCCAGGAAAACACTGTGTATGCACACACACAAATAGAATGTTGAGGATAACTCAAAAGGGTTCAGACAGCTCAAGAAACCCATTCATGAAGAACTCCAAAGATCCTTGATTAAGAAACCCTGGTGTAACTGGAAAGGCCTTGAACTGAAGAGAGAAAGTCAGTTAAGCAAGTTCTCCTTTCAGGGTGGTGGAGGAGACTGGTTTGATCCTTGGGTACCTCTCCTGAGAGAGTTTGCAAGATCTTCAGCTGGTTAGGTCATCAGAACTAGAAAAATAAGATTTAAAAATTATGTGTGTATCTGTATCTACATCTATGTATATATCTACATTATATATATACACATTATATATAATATACATACTATATATAGTATATATATAATATACATACTATATATAGAGTGTATATATATATATATAGTATATATAATATATACTTTTTTTGGCTGCTCTGTCACCCAGACTGAAGTGTAGTGGTGTGATCATAGCTTACGGTAACCTCAAACTCCTGGCCCCAAGCAATCCTCCTGCCTCAGACTATATATGTATACATACTATATATACTATAGTATATATAGTATATAGTATGTATAGTATGTATAGTATGTATAGTATATATAGTATGTATAGTATGTATAGTATGTATAGTATATACTATAGTATAGTATATATAGTATACTATATATATACTATACTATAGTATATATATAGTATATTTAGTATATATAGTATACTATATATACTATATATACTATATGTATACTATATAGTATACTATATATACTATGTATATTATATATAATGTAGATATGTATATAATGTAGAGATATATACACTATATATACTATATATAATATATAGCATATATATTATATATATTTTATATGTATTATATATATATTTTATATATATATACTTTTATTTTTGAGACAGGGTCTTGCTATGTCACTCAGGCAGGGGTGCAGTAGTGCAGTAGTGCAATGTCAGCTCACTGCAACCTCTGCCTCCTGGGCTCAAGCGATCCTCCCGTCTCAGTGTCGCAAGTGGCTGGGACTACATTTGAGTGCCGTCACACGGGGCTGATTTTTGTATTTTTTATAGAGACAGCGTTTTGCCATGTTGCCCAGCTGACTTCGAACCCCTAGACTCTAGCAATCTGTCCACCTCAGCCTCCCAGAGTGCAGAGATTACAGATGTTAGCCACTGTACCCAGCCTGTATCTTTTCTTTTTTGTTGTTTGTTTCAAGTTTTAATCAAAGCTTGTACATAAGATTACTTTATTTTTGCATCTTCTCAATTGTTTCTTCCTAGTATTTGCCCTTTTCCTTTCCTACTTGGCGAGATTTGGCTTTCCATTCAAGGATCTTTTTGCTGTCTTTGTCCAGTTTTAGCCTAGTGATAGCCACCTTTCTGGGGTGAATGCCTGTGTGGACAGTTGTGCCATTAGTCTTTTCCCGCTGCACCCATTCAATGTAGATGACATATTTCTTCCTGTAAACCTGGACTACTTTACCAATTTGCTGACCTTTATAGTGCCCTCGTACAACCTGAACTTCATCATCCTTTCGGATGGGCATGGATTGCACATTGTACTTCTGTCTCAGCTCTTTGGAAACAGGGGAAGACATAATCTTCCTGTGAATGTGGGAAGGTGCATTGAAATGCCTTTTGCTATTTTTGATTTGGTTGGAAGTCACAAAGGGATTGAACTTCATTTTGGCCGCTCTGTCACCCAGACTGAAGTGTAGTGGTGTGATCATAGCTCACGGTAACCTCAAACTCCTGGCCCCAAGCAATCCTCCTGCCTCAGACTCCTGAGTAGCTAGGACTACAGGCATGCACCACCATGCTTGGTAATTTTTTTTTTTTTTTTGTACAGACAGGGTTTCACTATGTTGCCCAGGCTGGTTTTGAACTCCTGGCCTCAAGTGATCCTCCCAAAGCTCTGGGATCACAGGTGTGAGCCACCATGCCTGGCCTATGTACTGTGTGTGTATATGTGTGTGTGTGTGTGTGTGTGTGTATCCTCCCAAATGTGCTATATATATACACACACACGCATACATACATATTTTGTATACATGTAAATGTGTATATAGGTGTGTATCTATATCTGTAAATATACACATATATATTTTGTATCTTAAGATAGAAAAGAGGTTAAAGGGATAAAAAATTTTTAAAGGGATATAGCATTTTAAATGTTAAGCTATTAACCAATGTTAGCCAAGAGAACATAATCATCTTGATTAACTTCTAAATAAAAGCTCTAGGACATCATTCAGCAGCATTTTTCCTAGTCCCAGGCTGGAAGTTTATAAAGTCGAATACAAGAAAATATAAATTCAATATGACATTAAATTATAATAAGAATACAATAGGATGAAAGAACCCCTTATTTTTAAATAAATAATAAAAAGTTAATCAGCTCTAGTCAAAAGTTAAACACCTCCTGTAGAGATTATTCCTATTTTTCTCTCCAGATTTCATTTTTAATTCAACTTTTGGAATGTGTAACAAATTACCTGACTTAATGAAATTATCATAATCAACAACAACAAAAAGTCTTATTTTGCCATTCCATTCCTTAAGACACATACTTCTACTACTTTGGGGCACCATCATTTCAATGGGTGTTAATAAACCCAACACTGTGACCTCTTCTCTTAGATTAGCCCTGGCCTGCAGAGGAGAGCCACCACCAAATTTCTTAGGATCAGTGGTACCTCTCTTTCAGCTCATTCCTGATGGCTTTAGCAGTGTGTCCTCTAGGCCTTCCAATGGAACATAATTATCTAGCTGGTCTTCTTGCCTTACATATCAGTTTCGGCATGCCCACCTTCCTCTGCAGTTTGTCAGGGCAAGGCAGGTATTTCCACTTCTCTGAGATTTGGCCATTATTTTTTCCAGGCTTCTTAAATCCTTGCAGCAACTTTGTCCCATCTCCTGGAGTTCCTAGTAGAATATTAAATCTTTTGTCCTGAGAAAGTACCCCCACATCAGTGAATTCTTGCTTATCCAGTCTTCCATTCTGACATCCTTGATTAAACATCCTCAAATGCTAATCCCAGAAATAATCCCCTGACTCCTGCTAAGTCTTGCCTTTTTTTTTTTTTTTTTTTTTTTTAGATGGAGTCACCCTCTGTCTCCCAGGCTGGAGTGCAGTGGTGCAATCTTGGCTCACTGCAACCTCCACCTCCTGGGTTCAAGCTATTCTCCTGCCTCAGCCTCCCGAGTAGCTGGGACTACAGGCGCATGCCACCACGCCTGGCTAATTTTTTTTTTTTTTTTTTTTTTGAGACGGAGTCTCGCTCTGTCGCCCAGGCCGGACTGCGAACTGCAGTGGCGCAATCTCGGCTCACTGCAAGCTCCGCTTCCCGGGTTCACGCCATTCTCCTGCCTCAGCCTCCCGAGTAGCTGGGACTACAGGCGCCCGCCACCGCGCCCAGCTAATTTTTTGTATTTTTAGTAGAGACGGGGTTTCACCTTGTTAGCCAGGATGGTCTCGATCTCCTGACCTCATGATCCACCCGCCTCGGCCTCCCAAAGTGCTGGGATTACAGGCGTGAGCCACCGCGCCCGGCCGCCTGGCTAATTTTTTGTATTTTTAGTACAGACGGGGTTTCACTGTGTTAGCCAGGATCGTCTCGATCTCCTGACCTTGTTATCCGCCCGCCTCGATCTCCTAAAGTGCTAGGATTACAGGCTTGAGCCACCACACCCAGCCCTTGCCATTTTTTTAAGTACATAGTCTCTTTTCTCCTTTATCAGGCCCAGCACAGCCCCAGTTATCAGCCTAGTAGCCAGGAGAGGAGGTGGGGGTAAGGGCAGCATCAGAGGAGGGCACCTATTTCCAGCACAGCCAAAGCGCTAGCTCTTATTAAGAAAGATAAGGTACCTCTGTAAACCCAGAGGGTCCAGGGGCACAGTGGTTGCAGAGGCCAGACTCTTCAAAGCCTTCTCAGCCACATCTTAGGATCTCAGGTTTTTATCACCGAGCCCTGATCTTCACTACTGCTTTGACTGAGCAATGCAAAAACTATGGAGCTCTAAGACTCTACATATTAAGTCTTCAGCCTGCTGCTCAAATGTGCCTGTTCTTCTACTAGAAGAGATAAGGGCCTCTTTGTAAGCTACCACACGGGTTCTGAATCTCACACTTAACCATTAACTGATTGGTTGTTTGTTTGTTTGTTTGTTTGAGATGGAGTCTCCCTGTGTCTCCCAGGCTGGAGTGCAATAGCATGATCTCAGCTTACTGCATTCTCCACATCCTGGGTTCAAGACATTCTCCTGCCTCAGCCTTCTGAGTAGCTGGGATTATAGGCACGTGCCATGATGCCTGGCTAATTTTTTGTGTGTGTGCTTTCAGTAGAGACAGGGTTTCACCATGTTGGCCAGGCTGGTCTCAAACTCCTGATCTCAAGTGATCTGCCTGCTTCAGCCTCCCAAAGTGCTGGGATTACAGGGGTGAGCCACTATGTTGGCTGATTATTAAGTGTCCTCAGTCTCTCATTATCCTTATGTAGTTGTATCACTATGACTTAGCAGCAACCAGCCAACTCCAGCTCTACTGTCCTTGAAAGCATTGTTTCTCCATATTTTTGAAAGGCTTGAGATATTGCACCTGCTACAGCATTCTCTTCCATCAGCATTCCCCTCTAGGGATGCATTTTCCCACATTACCACTAGTGACATCTTCAGCCTCCGAGCCTCCACCTTGTGCCATGCCCCACTTCACAACCACAACAGCATCCTTTTCATTTGCTGGGCAGTAGGTGAGCTAGTCCTAAGTGAGCCACGTCCCCATCTTACTGCCTATTTTCTTAGATCACTCCTGGAACCATTTGTGTTAGTCTGGACCTTTTAAGAAGCAGACACCAAGACGGCATTAAGTATACAAAGATTTTATTAGGGGAGATGACCATGAGAAAAATTGGAGAAGGAACTGGAGAAGTCATCAGACTACAATACAAGCCTAAATCTGAATGAAGGAGAGAGAGAAGCAAGGTTGGGTAGAAGCACCCTAGACTACTATGCAGAATAAGAAAGTTTCAGCAAAGCTGTTGTCCTCGAGTCAAAGTTCTTGATAATCTGAAGAGCCCCATATCTCCCGGGAATGAGGCTGCCTTAGCATTCCAGCTACATGCAGTCATTGGCTGATAGTAGCCTAGGGGAAGCATGGCCAGGAAGCAAATGAAGCAGTTGATCTCAGAGTACACAAGTTGGGGTCTTGGTCAGTTATGTTGTTCCTTGTAAGTGAAGGTCTTTGAGGCACGTCTCCTGGCCACCAGATACTGAGGGTGAAGTGGATTGTCTGTTTTTCTTTTGAATTATGTCAGGTTTTTTGCTTCATGTATTTTGGGGCTTGTTAGGTACATATATATTTATAATTGTTATTTTTATATGTTGATCCTTTTTCATTATGAAATGTCTCTATTTGTCTCTAACAATGAAATGTCCTTATTTGTCTCTAATATGACCTAAAGCCTGTTTTGTCTGATATTAAAATAGCCACTGCAGGTCTCTTATGATTACTGTGTGCATAGTATATTATTTTCTGTCTTTTAATTTTAACCTATTTATGCCTACAACTCTAAAGTATGTCTTTTGGTGGACAGTATATAATTGAATCTTGCTTTTTTTTTTAAGACAGAGTTTCGCTCTTGTTGCCCAGGCTGGAGTGCAGTGGCGTGATCTCAGCTCACTGTAACCTCCGCCTCCCAAGTTCAAGTGATTCTCCCGCCTTAGCCTCCCAAGTAGCTGGGATATAGGAATGTGCCACCACACCCGGCTAATTTTGTATTTTTAGTAAAGACAGGGTTTCACCATGTTGGCCAGGCTGGTCTCGCACTCCTGACCTCAGGTGATCCACCCGCCTTGGCCTCCCAAAGTGCTGGGATTACAGGCGCGAGCCACCTTTCCCAGACTGAAAAGAAGGTTCTTAAAATCTTACTGATGCTATGGTTTAGAACAGTGCCCAGCCATCTTGCTTTTTGATATAGTTTCACAATCTGTGATTGATCGGTTAGCAGTATATTTGTCTGCTAGCAACATATTCTCTCAGTTTTTGCTTATCTGGTAATGTCTTTATTTTAACTTCCTTTTTTAAAAAAATGGTTTTGTTGGATATATAATTCTTGGTTGAAAGACTGTTTTGTTTTGTTTTGTTTTTCCAGCACTTTGACTATGTCTTTCGGGCCTCCATTGCTTCTAATGAGAAGTTGGCTGTTAACTGTATCATTTCCCTAAATGTGATGAGTCATTTTTCTCTTGCTGCTTTTAAGAGATTTTTCTCTTTGGCTGGGTGCGGTGGCTCACACCTGTAATCCCAGCACTTTGGGAGGCTGAGGCAGGTGGATCACCTGAGGCCAGGAGTTTAAGACCAGTCTGGCCAACATGCCAAAACCCTGTCTCTACTAAAAATACAAAAATTAGCCCAGCATGGTGGCATGCACCTGTAGTCCCAGCTACTCAGGAGGCTGAGGCAGGAAAATCACTTGAACCTGGGAGGTGGAGGTTGCAGTGAGCCAAGACTGCACCACTGCATTCCAGCCTGGGCAACAGAGCAAGACTCTGTCTTGAGGAAAAAAAAAAAGAGAGAGAGAGAGAGAGATTTTTCTCTTTGTCTCTGGCTTTCAGAAATTTGACTATGATATGTCTAGGTGTGGTTCTTTTTTGTTTATTCTACTCAAGTTTCATCAAGCTTTTTGTATATGTAAATTAAGGTTTTTCATTAAATTGAGAAGTTTTCAGCCATTGTTTCTTCAAATATTTTTTCTACTCCTTTCTGTCTCTTCTTCTGAGATTATTATTTTACATAAGCTGAAATGCTTGACTCCATGGTCTTCCAGGCTGTATTTTTCCTTCAATTTTTTTTGGTCTCTCCTTGGATTGGATAATTTCTATTAGTCTATCTTCAAATTCAGTAATTATTTCTTCTGTCAACTCAAATTTGCTGTTGACCTCATTGTATGAATTTGTCATGTGAGTTATTGTACTTTTCAACTATAGAATTTCCATTTGGTTTGTGGGTTTTTTTTGTTTTTTTTTGTTTTTTTGTTTTTTGAGACAGAGTCGCTCTGTCACCCAGGCTGGAGTGCAGTGGCATGATCTTGGCTCACTGCAACCTCCACCTCCCAGGCTCAAGTGATTCTCCTGCCTCAGTTTCCTGAGTAGCTGGGATTACAGTTGCTCACCAGCATGCCCAGCTAATTTTTGTATTTTTGGTAGAGATGGGGTTTCACCATGTTGGTCAGGCTGGTCTTGAACTCCTGACCTTGTGATCTGCCTGCCTCGGCCTCCCAAAGTGCTGGGATTACAGGCGTGAGCCACCACGCCTGGCCTCCGTTTTTTGGTGTTTTTTTTTTTAATACTATGTCACTATTTGGATTTCCTTTTTGTTGATTTATTGTTAGCATTTTTAAAATTATTTGAACAGCCAGGTACCGTGGCTCATGCCTATAATCCCAGCTCTTTGGGAGGCCGAGGTGGGTGAATCACTTGAGGTCAGGAGTTCGAGACCAGCCTGGCTAACATGGCAAAACCCCGTCTCTACTAAAAATACAAACATTAGCCAGGCATGGTGGCACGTGCCTGTAATCCAGCTACTTGGGAGGCTGAGGCAAGAGAATTGCCAGAACCCAGGAGGCAGATGTTGCAGTGAGCCGAGATCACGCCACTGAACTCCAGCCTGGGTGACAGAGCGAGACTCTGTCTCAAAAAAAAAAAAATTTTTTGAACATATTTATAATAGCTCCTTTGAAGTGTTTGCCTGTAAAAACTAAAATCTGGGCCCACTCAGAGTCAGTTTTACTAAGTGCTTTTTCCCCCCTGTATATGGATGATACTTTCCTGCTTTTTGCGTGTCTAGTAATTTCTGGTAAAAAACAACATTTTAGCTGATATATTGCAGCAACTCTGAATTCTGTTTTCTATTTTTAATGGTTGGTGGGTTTTTCCCCCGCTAATAACGTAACCAGATTTAAATGGCAGAATCTGTATCTCTGGTGTGCACCCGCTGGTGTCCCTACAGTGGTATGCTCCACCACTTGCTTTGAACGAAACCTCATTCTCAAGCTGGCAGAGCTATGCATTTTTCCTATTTGTACCCAACTAAGTGCACCATTTATTGCTGGCAAGACTATGAGGTTTTGCCCCTCATACTGAATGGAGTCTTACTCCTTTCACAGAAATGAACTCCAAAATGGAAAAGTTTCCAATGAAATAAAATACAACAAAATAAAATTCCAGGCCCTAATACTTTTGCCAGTGAATTCGACCAAACATTCAAAGGAGAGTTAATGCCAAGATTATACAGACTCTACCAGAGAGAAGATGAAACATTTCACAACTCAAGTTATGAGACCAGTATAACTTTAATGCCAAAACCTGACAACATATTACAAGAATAGAAAATTAAAGGCCAATCTCTCCTATGAGTATAAAATGTAAAAATTCTTGTTTTATTTATTTATTTTTATTTTTATTTTTTTGAGACAGAGTCTTGCTCTGTCACCCAGGCTGGAGTGCAGTGATGCCATCTCGGCTCACTGCAACCTCCACCTCCTGGGTTCAAACAGTTCTTCTGCCTCAGCCTCCTGAGTAGCTGAGATTGCAGGCACCTGCCACCATGCCCAGCTAATTTTTGTATTTTTAGTAGAGACGGGGTTTCACCATGTTGGCCCTGCTGGTCTTGAACTCCTGACTTCAGGTGATCCGCCTGCCTTGGCCTTCCAAAATGGTGGGATTACAGGCATGAGCCACCATGGCCCGGTCCCTTTTTGTTTTATTTCATTTTAGTTTTCAGAGACAAGGGTCTCATTATGTTGCCCAGGCTGATCTCAAACTCCTGGACTCAAGCATTCCTCCCACCTTAGCCTCCCAAAGTGCTAAGGTTACCGGTGTGAGCCACTGCACCCAGCCAAAATGTAAAAATTCTGAACACAATTTTAACAAACCAAATCTCACAATACATAAAAAGGATAAATCATCACTATCAAATTTTGTTTATTCAAAAAATGTAAGGTTTAATATTTGAAAAATCCATACTGTAATTAATTTAGATCTGGCTCAAAAACTATGTGCAATGACCAGATATGGATAAATCCTGTAATAAGTAAGAATACCCAGCCAGGCACGGTGGCTCACACCTGTAATCCCAGCACTTTGGGAGGCCGAGGCGGGTGGATCACCTGAGGTCAGAAGTTCCAGACCAGCCTGGCCAACATGGTGAAACCCCATCTCTACTAAAAATACAAAAATTAGCCGGGCTTGGTAACGTGTGCCTGTAATCCCAGCTACTCAGGAGGCTGAGGCAGGAGAATCACTTGAGCCCAGGAAGTGGAGGTTGCAGTGGGCCGAGATTTCGAGATTGCCCACTGTACTCCAGCCTGGGCGACAGAGTGAGACCCTGTCTCCGAAAAAAAAAAAAAAAAAAAAAGTCTTAAATAAAGAATACCCCTCAGTATGCAGTATCCTGTAATAAGTAAGCATACCCCTCAATATGCAAAGAACTCTCTCCTGAACTCCCTAAAGCAATGCTTCCCAAAATGTGCTCCTTGGAACAGTGGTCCTGGGAGGAAAAGGGATACTAGGATACTAGGAACAAATGAGTTTGGAAAAACCTACATACTGCACTCCATTCCCACTTTAACTTCTCAGAGTCACAATGTGTATTAGTGCATTAAATAGACTACAAATGTTAGTAATAATAAGCATATTTATCTTTGTTTAGACCATGTTTTACCAAATTTACCAAACCACAAAATCTTTTTTTCTGGTATGTCCAGTGCCAAGCAGCAAAATTAATGTTCTGTGGATATCACCCTAAGAAATGCTTCCCTATAGTAACTTAGTGTTCGTCTAGCAAATTATCTCTTACAAGGAAACAAACGGTATTCTGCTGTCTTGGGAGAGATCCTAAGAGACCTGTTTACATTGAGAAGCATATTTATTGATGTTAGCTTTCTATTGATAAACATCTCATGTTTAATGTTAAGTTAATAATTTTTTTTCAGTTTATTGCATGAAGGAGTTACACTAGTCCAAGTTAAACACAGACCCCTAATAATTTATCATAATTTTTTAGCATAAAAAGTTATAGATGTTCTGTATTAAAAAAAAAAAAACTAAATAATGCATAGCTTGTTTTGAGACAGGGTCTCACTTTATTATCCAGGTTGGAGTGCAGCGGCATAATCATACCTCACTGCAACTTCAAACTCCTGGGCTCAGGCAATTCTCCTGCCTCAGCCTCCCAAGTAGTTGGGACTACAGGTACCCACTGTCGTGCCCAGCTAAACTTTTTTTGTGGGGTATGGGGGTCTCACTATGTTGAACAGCCTGGTCTCGAACTCCTGGCTTCAAGCTATCCTCCCACCTGGGCCTCCCAAAGTGCTGGGATTACAGGCATGAGCTACTGCCTGGCCAGAACATTTTGTATTGAATGAGAAAGTTCCCTTTAATACCCTCCCTTAGAGATCATCATTATGAGCAGGTTAGTGTTAGCTTAGCTTTTAACATTTCATATTTGCAGAGTTGTTTTAGAATAACTGCTCACTACTAGAAGAGTTGAGTCAGTTTTCACTATCTAACAAAAAGTGTACATATTAATCATGTAAAAACATTTAAGCTTGCAGATAAATGTGAAAATAAATATTAGCATGTAAAAAATTTTGGAAAAAGAATATAAAAAGCTAAACACAAAAGAGAAGATTAAAGAAGAAATAAACCTAGGGAAAAGAAAGCTGAAGATTGAAATCTGATAACTTCAAATAAGAGCTAGGATGTAATAAAGATGTGAAACAAGGGCATAATTCATTTTTTTATTTTGGCATGCACAAAACATCCTTTGAATACTCTAACACTACTATAAGAAAAAGTTTCCCCTATTGCTATTATAAATCAAGATATACTTAAACAGGAAAATATTCATAGGCATAAAACTGTCATGTATGCCAAAAGGAGAAAATGAATAAAAGGCATCATTAGTTGATAGTTATGATTGAGGGGGAGATGTGTCTCATCTTACCAATCCAAGATTTGGAATGAAATGATCAACACAGAGTGTCTCCAGACGATTGTCATCCTGTTGACACCTGCAGCACCATTAATGGTCACCAGTGAAAACAACTTCATTTCCCCCTCTCTTTTAGTGGTACTTCTGCGGACACAGTAGTTTGTAATGTTAAGACAAAGATATTTGTAAATAAGGCCATGTGAGTTATAAGAGTCATGGGTTCATGGTAGGACATCTGACAATGGCATCCAGGGCTATTTTGTGGAAGGGTCTGATGTTCTTCTAGGTGACAACTTCAAAAGGTTTGGGTGCAGACCCAACAACTGCATTTTCTTTGAACATCTCTGACTGAAACAGCAGAATGCTTTCATTCTATTCTGGATCCTTCCAACTCTCAGATCAGTTTCTTTTCCTCCTGTAGCCCTCCTCTAGCTATAGTGCATCTTTCCTCAGGTAAGGACACAGAACTATATACAGTGTTCCAGATGTGGCTCTTATTTCCTTTTGTGTTAAAATGCCCTTCATAATCCTAAATTTTTGTTGGTCTTTGTGGCTGAGGAAGCAATCTGGACCAACATGTTCAAAGAATATGCTGATCCTCTTTGTATGGATGTAAGTAATAGCCAATCTTTTTTTTTTAGTCTAGAGGAAAGAGAACTTGACCAGCAAGTTGGGAGACCTGGCTCAGGGTCTAGTTCTGCCAACAACTGTGTGATCTCATAAGTTATTTAAATTATATTGCCTTCAATTTATTCATCTACAAAATGAAGGATTTGACTTTTCAATGTTTTAAGATCCTTCCCAGCTCTGAATTTTTATGATTATAACATTGTAGCTTATCTGCCACTTTTCTTGACATTCTTGCATCTGATAGGAACTTTTAGTAGTATATCCTTAGATTGGCATTTCATTTACTGGAACTGATTAGTGTCAAATGCAAACTTAAACATTTCACTCTAAACCTCCAGTCTTAAATGTAAGACTCCTACCCTTTATTTCCTAGCTTTAATGAGATCTCTATCCATTAATTCATTTATACACTTTTTTTTTTTAAGAGATGTGCTCTCGCTCTATTGCCCAGACTGGAATGCAGTGGTGTGATCTTGGTTCACTGCAACCTCTGCCTCCTGGGCTCAAGTGATCCTCCCACCTCAGCTCTGGAAGTAGCTGGGACTACAGGCCTGTGCCACCATGGTTGGTTAATTTTTGTATTTTTTGTTGAGATGGTGTTTTGCCATGTTGCCCAGGCTGATCTCAAACTCCTGGACTCAAGTGATCCACCTGCCTTGGCCTCCCAAAGTGCTGGGATTACAGGCATGAGCCACCACGTCTAGCCTCCATCTATTTTTTTTATTTGTTTGTACAGACAGAGTCTCGCTATGCTCTATTTATACATTATGACATTAAATATTAATTTCCTATTATTTGCCAGTAAGAAGAATATCATCTGTACTCTTACTGAGCTTACAATCTGGAAAGAAGGACAGCCATTGATGCAAGCAATGACATGGAAATATAATGCTCGGGAAAATACTAGGGAATTCGAGATAATACAGACAAGTGTCAGAGCAATTTCAGTGTTTTAAAATAAGCTTTCAGCTTGGTTATTCAAAATTTGGAAATTTTGGCCGGGCGCGGTGGCTCACGCCTGTAATCCCAGCACTTTGGGAGGCCGAGGCGGGCGGATCACGAGGTCAGGAGATCGAGAACATCCCGGCTAAAACGGTGAAACCCCGTCTCTACTAAAAATACAAAAAATTAGCCGGGCGTAGTGGCGGGCGCCTGTAGTCCCAGCTACTTGGGAGGCTGAGGCAGGAGAATGGCGTGAACCCGGGAGGCGGAGCTTGCAGTGAGCCGAGATCCCGCCACTGCACTCCAGCCTGGGCGACAGAGCGAGACTCCGTCTCAAAAAAAAAAAAAAAAAAAAAAAAAAAAAAAAATTTGGAAATTTTAAATTATTATGGTTATGTCCACAGCTCTCCTTTATTTAAAATAAGGTAATAACAGTTAGAAATTCTTCTTTCCCTAAAAAAGTAGGTACATTCAAATACCTCTATATATAAATAACACCTTACAACCAAGAAAAAGATTTGCCAAATGGCTTAATACTTATTTCCTAGTAGTTGGGGGAACTGCTTCCTTCCTTTTGAAAATATTTGAGAAACAACTTGGCATTTTCTCTAAGTATTGTGCAAAAGTGGCCTGGCATAGGTGAAATGAGTCAAACCTAATATAATTTATCCATTGTTCATAGAAATGTTTTGGCTGTATTCTACATGGACTCAGTGTAATGCACTACAAAGGACCATAATTGGCCAGCAAGTCTTTTGTTTATTTAAGAGAGTAAGGCTTTCCTGTTGTTATTGTTGAGTATTTTTTAATCTTAAATTTTATGATATTGACTTTCATTTTTTCCTCATTATATAATATACAATTGAAGACAAATTAGAAAATCTGATTTAAAATATAATAAAGAGATACAATCATCTTAAGGCTCCAGTTAGAGATAACTACAGTTAACACTTCAGTGTATAACCACCTATATGTTTTTCCATTTCCTTGCTTTCTTTTCTTTTCTTTCTATGCTTCTTTTCTATTCTTTTCTTGACAGGGTCTTTCTATGTTGCCCAGGCTGGTCTTCAACTCCTGACCTCAAGTGATTCTCCCACCTCACCCTCCCAAAGTGCTGGAATTACAGGTGTGAGCCACTGTGCCCAGTCCTCTTTTTAAAAGTCTTTTAATGGACTTCAATCACACAGATTTTGAACTAAACGTAACCCTTATTTTGTAACTCATTGTCATCATTGACCCTCTTATTATTTATTTAATTAATAAACATCTGCCATCCTATGTAAGATCCAGAATATTGGCAATAAATTACAAGTTACTGTCAGTATTCTAGATGTCTTTCTACGTTTAATGTATACACTGTTTTGTTTTTGTTTTTGTTTTGAGACAGAGTCTCGCTCTTGTCCCCCAGGCTGGAGTGCAATGGTGCTCTCTCCTCTCCGCTTACTGCAACCTCTACCTCCCAGCTTCAAGCAATTCTCCTGCGTCAGCCTCCCGAGTAGCTGGGACTACAGGCGCCTGCCACCATGCCTGGCTAATTTTTGTATTTTTTTAGTAGAGACGGGGTTTCACCATGTTGGCCTGGCTGGTCTCCAACTCCTGACTTCAGGTGATCTGCCCGCCTCAGCCTCCCAAAGTGCTGGGATTACAGGCGTGAGCCACCACTCCCGGCCATGTATACACTGTTTTTAACAAAGTCTTCTTTTTGAGAGATGAGAATTAGACCCTCACATATATGGTCAATTGATTTTTTTCTTTTTTATTGTGGTAAAATTTATATATATTATATATATATATATTTGTATTTTTTTAGTAGAGATAGGATTTCACCATGTTTATATATATTATTATATATTATATATATAAAACATTAAATCTACCAGTGTAACCATTTTTTAACTTTACAATTCAGTACTGTTCTGTTGGTTTTTTTACATTGTTGTAAAACAGAAAAACAGATCTGCAAAACTTTTTCATCTTGCAATTCGGAAACTCTGTGCCCATTAAACAACAACTCACTTTTTCACCCTTTTCCCGGCCCCTGGTAGCCACCATTCTACTGTTTCTATAAATTTGACTACTTTAGATATATAAGTGGAATCATACAGTATTTGTGTTTTTGTTACTGGCTTATTTCACTTAGTATGATGTCCTCAAGGTTCATCCATGTTGTAGCATGTGGTAAGATTGTCTTCCTTTTTAAAGCTGAATAATATTTCTGTGTGTGTGTGTGTGTGTGTGTGTGTACCACATTTTGTTCCTCTGCTCAACATCAATGAACATTTGGGTTGCTTCCACTTCCTGGAATAGTGTAGAGTGCTGCTATAAACATGGGTGTGTAAATATCTCTTCAAGACCTCTCCCTCAATCTTTTTGAATATATACCCAGTAGTGCAATTGCTGGATCATTCTATTTTTAATTTTTTAAGGAACTTCCATCTGTTTCCCATAGCAGATGCACCATTTTACAAAACCACTAACAGTGAAGGAGGGTTCAAATTTCTCCACATCCTCACTAACACTTGTTATTTTTTGTTTCTTGATAGCCATACTAATGGATGTAAGGTGATATCTCATTGTGGGTTTTTTTTGTTTGTTTGCTTGTTTGTTTTTTGAGACAGAGTCTCACTCTGTCGCCCAGGCTGGAGTGCAGTGGCATGATCTCCACTCACTGCAAGCTCTGCCTCCCGGGTTCACGCCATTCTCCTGCCTCAGCCTCCCGAGTAGCTGGGACTACAGGTGCCCGCCACCACGCCCGACTAATTTTTTGTATTTTTAGTAGAGATGGGGTTTCACCGTGTTAGCCAGGATGGTCGATCTCCTGACCTTGTGATCCGCCCACCTCAGCCCTCCAAAGTGCTGGGGTTACAGGCGTGAGCCACTGTGCCCAGCCTTCATTGTGGTTTATTTTGTTTTGTTTTGTTGTTGTTGTTGTTTTGCATTTCTCTGTTGATTTAGTGATGTTGTGCATTTTTTCATATACTTATTGGCCATTTGTATAGCATCGTCAGAGAAATGTCTATTCAAGTCTTCTGCCTATTCTTTTTTTTTCTGTTTCCCTATCACTGATTTTATTTATTTATTATTTTTTCTTTCCAACTTTTATTTTAGGTTCGGGCATACATGTGCAGGTTTGTTACATGGATAAATTGCATGTTGCAGGGGTTTGGTGTATAGATTATTTCCTCACCCAGGTAATAAGCATAGTACTCAGTAGGTAGTTTTTTAGACCCTCACCTTCTTGCCACCTTTCACCCTCAAGTAGGCCCTCGTATTTATTGTTCCTTTCTTTGTGTCCATGTGTACTCAATGTTTAGCTCCCACTTATAAGTGATAACATGTGGTATTTGGTTTTCTATGCTAGTTTGACTAGGATAATGGCCTTCAGCTCCATCCATGTTCTAGCAAAAGAAATGATCTCATTCTTTTTTTATTATTATTATTATACTTTAAGTTCTGGGATACATGTGCAGAATGTGCAGGTTTGTTACATAGATATACACATGCCATGGTGGTTTGCTGCACCCATCAACCCATCATCTATATTAGGTATTTCTCCTAATTCTATCCCCCTGCCCAGTCCCCCACCGCCAGACAGGCCCCAGTGTGTGATGTTCCCCTGCCTATATCCATGTGTTCTCATTGTTCAACTCCCACTTAAGAGTGAGAACATGCAGTGTTTGGTTTTCTGTTCCAGTGTTAGTCTTCTGGGAATGATGGTTTCCAGCTTCAACCATGTCCCTGCAAAGGACATGAACTCATTCTTTTTTATGGCTGCATAGTATTCCATGGTTTTATGTGTGCCACATTTTCTTTATCCAGTCTATCACTGATGGGCATTTGGGTTGGTTCCAAGTCTTTGCTATTGTGAATAATGCTGCAGTAAACATACATGTGCATGTGTCTTTGTAGTAGAATGATTTATAATCCTTTGGGTATATACCCAGTAATGGATTGCAGGGTCAAATGGTATTTCTAGTTCTAGATCCTCAAGGAATCACCACACTGTCTTCCACAATTGTTGAACTAATTTACACTCCCACCAACAGTGTAAAAGCATTCCTATTTCTCCACATCCTTCCCAGCACCTGTTGTTTCCTGACTTTTTGTTTCTTTTTTTTTTTTTTTTT
Organism: Homo sapiens; assembly: GCF_000001405.40. NCBI lineage: Eukaryota > Metazoa > Chordata > Mammalia > Primates > Hominidae > Homo > Homo sapiens. Next base: position 165,804,348 of record NC_000001.11, on the reverse strand, counting down.
TTTTTGAGACAGAGTCTCGCTCTGTCGCCCAGACTGGAGTGCAGTGGTGTGATCTTGGCTCACTGCAACCTCCACCTCCCTGGTTCAAGCAATTCTCCTGCCTCAGCCTCTTGAGTAGCTGGAATTACAGGTGTGCATCACCACGCCTGGCTAATTTTTGTATTTTTAGTAGAGACGGGGTTTCACCATGTTGATCAGGCTGGTCTCAAACTCTTCACCTCGTAATCCACCCGCCTCAGCCTCCCAAAGTGCTGGGATTACAGGCATGAGCCACCGTGCCGGGCCTGTTTCCTGACTTTTTAATGATCACCATTCTAACTGCTGTGAGATGGTATTTCATTGTGGTTTTGATTTGCATTTCTCTAATGACCAATGACAATGAGCTTTTTTCCATATGTTTGTTGGCCACATAAATGTCTTCTTTTGAGAAGTGTCTGTATGCTTCACCCACTTTTTGATGGGGTTTTTTTGTTTGTTTGTTTTTTCTTGTAAATTTGTTTAAGTTCCTTGTAGATTTTGGATATTAGCCCTTTGTCAGATGGATAGATTACAAAAATTTTCTCCCATTCTGTAGGTTGTCTGTTCAGTCTGATGATAGTTTCTTTTGCTGTGCAGAAGCTCTTTAATTAGATCCCATTTGTCAATTTTGGCTTTTGTTGTCATTGCTTTTGGTGTTTTAGTCATGAAGTCTTTGCCAATGCTTATGTCCTGAATGGTATTGCCTAGGTTTTCTTCTAGGGCTTTTATGGTTTCAGGTCTTTTGTTTAAGTCTTTAATCCATCTTGAATTAATTTTTGTATAAGGTGTAAGGAAGGGGTCCAATTTCAGTTTTCTGCATATGGCTAGCCAGTTTTCCCAACACCATTTATTAAACAGGGAATACTTTCCCCATTGCTTATTTTTGTCAGGTTTGTCAAAGATCAGATGGTTGTAGATGTGTGGTGTTATTTCTGAGGCTTCTGTTCTGTTCCATTGGTCTCTCTCTCTGTTTTGGTACCAGTACCATGCTGTTTTGGTTACTGTAGCCTTGTAGTGTAGTTTGAAGTCAGGTAGTGTGATGCCTCCAGCTTTGTTCTTTTGGCTTAGGATTGTCTTGGCAATGCGGGCTCTTTTTTGGTTCCATATGAACTTTAAGGTAGTTTTTTCTAATTCTGTGAAGAAAGTCAATGGTAGCTTGATGGGGATAGCATTGAATCTATAAATTACTTTGGGCAGTATGGCCATTTTCACGATATTGATTCTTCCTATCCATGAGCATGGGATGTTTTTCCATTTGTTTGTGTCCTCTCTTATTTCCTTAAGCAGTGGTTTGTAGTTCTCCTTGAAGAGGTCCTTCATGTCCCTTGTAAGTTGGATTCCTAGGTATCTTATTCTCTTTGTAGCAATTGTGAATGAGAGTTCACTCATGATTTGGCTCTCTGTTTGTCTATTATTGGTGTATAGGAATGCTTGCACATTGATTTTGTATCCCGAGACTTTGCTGAAGTTGCTTATCAGCTTAAGGAGATTTGGGGCTGAGACAGGGTTTTCTAAATATACAATCATGTCATCTGCAAAGAGAGACAATTTGAGTTCCTCTTTTCCTATTTGAATACCCTTTATTTCTTTCTCTTGCCTGATTACCCTGGCCAGAACTTCCAATACTATGTTGAATGGCAGTGTTGAGAGACAGCATCCTTGTCTGGTGCCAATTTTCAAAGGAAATGCTTCCAGCTTTTGCCCATTCAGTATGATATTGGCTGTGGGTTTGTCATAAATAACTCTTATTATTTTGAGATATGTTCCATCAATACCTTGTTTATTGAGAGTTTTTAGTATGAAGGGGTGTTGAATTTTATTGAAGGCCTTTTCTGCATCTATTGAGATAATTGTATGGTTTTTATCTTTGGTTTTGTTTATGTGATGGAGTATGTTTATTGATTTGCATATGTTGAACCAGCCTTGCATCTCAGTGATGAAGCCAACTTGATCATGGTGGATAAGCTTTTTGATGTGCTGCTGGATTCGGTTTGCCTGTATTTTATTGAGGATTTTCGTGTCAATGTTCATCAGGGATATTGGCCTGAAATTTTCTTTTTTTGTTGTGTCTTTGCCAGGTTTTGGTATGAGGATGATGCTGGCCTCATAAAATGAGTTAGGAAGGAGTCCCTCTTTTTCTATTGTTTGGAATAGTTTCAGAAGGAATGGTACCAGCTCCTCTTTGTACCTGTGGTAGAATTTGGCTATGAATCCATCTGGTCCTGGGCTTTTTTTGGTTGATAGGCTATTAATTACTGCCTCAATTTCAGAACTTGTTATTGGTCTCTTCAGGGATTCAACTTCTTCCTGGTTTAACCTTGGGAGGATGTATGTGTCCAGGAATTTAGCCATTTCTTCTAGATTTTCTAGTTTATTTGCATAGAGGTGTTTATAGTATTCTCTGATGGTAGTTTGTATTTCTGTGGGATCAGTGATGAAGTCCTCTTTATCATTTTTCATTGTGTCTATTTGATTCTTCTCTCTTTTCTTCTTTATTAGTCTTTATTAGTTCTTTATTAGTCGGGCTAGCTGCGATGAACATTTCAAACTTCCCAGTGGCTTTGTTTACACTGTGAAGGGAAAACGGCCTACTCAAGCCTCAGTAATGGCGGACGCCCCTTCCCCTACCAAGCTTAAGCATCCCAGGTCAACTTCAGATTGCTAGGCTGGCAGCCAGAATTTCAAGCCAGCAGATCTTAGCTTGCTAGGCTTCAGCCCCCTTTCCAGGGGAGCGAATGGTTCTGTCTCACTGGCTTTGCAGGCGCCACTGGGGTATGAAAAAAAAAAAAAAAAAACTCCTGTAGCTAGCTCGGTGTCTGCCCAAATGGCCGCCCAGTTTTTTGCTTGAGACCAGGGCCCTGGTGGTTTAGGCACCCGAGGGAATCTCCTGGTCTGCGGGGTGTGAAGACCATGGGGAAGTGTAGTATCTGGGCCAGAATGCACCATTCCTTAAGGCACAGTCCCTCACAACTTCCCTTGGCTAAGGGAGGGAGTTCCCTGACCCCTTGCGCTTCCTGGGTAAGGTGATTCCCCACCCTGCTTTGGCTAGCCATCCGTGGGCTGTGCCCACATCTAACCAATCCCTATGAGATGAGCCGGGTACCTCAGTTGGAAATGCAGAAATCACCCGCCTTCTGCGTTGATCTCACTGGGAGCTGCAGACCAGAGCTGTTCTTATTCGGCCATCTTGCCAGCCACACCAATCTCATTCTTTTTTATGGCTCCATAGTATTCCACGGTATATGTGTACCACATTTCTTTATCCAGTCCACCACTGATGGACACTTAGGTTGATTCCATGTCTTTGCTATTGTGAATAGTGCTACAATGAACACACACGTGCATGTGTCTTTATGGTAGAATGATTTATATTCCTTTGGGTATATACCCAGTAATGAGATTGCTGAGTCAGATGGTAGTTCTCAGTTCTTTGGGAAATCTCCAAACTGCTTTGCCCATTCTCTAATGGGGTTATATTACTTTTTGTTGTTGAATTATAGGAGTACTTTATATATTTTGGAAATTAACACCTATTAAAATAAAAACTTCAGCCAAATTAAATTTAAAGGAGTTTAATTGAGCAATTAATAATTTGCAAATCGGGAAGTCCCCAGAATCACAGCAGATTCAGAAAGACTTCAGGGATACCTTGTGGTCAGAACAAATTTATAGACAAAGAAAGGGAAGTGACATACAGAAATCAGAAGTGAGGTACAGAAACAACTGGATTGGTTACACCTCAGCATTTGCCTTATTTGAATACAGTTTGAACATTCAGCAGTGTATGAGTGGTGGAAGTATGGCTTCTGGGATTGGCCAAGACTCAGCTATTGTTACAGGTGCATACTCCTAAGTTAGGTTTTCAATCTTGTCCACCTATTAAGTTAGGTTACCAGGACCCAAATATAGAAATACGGAGTCCTTCTCAGGCCATATTTAGTTTGCTTTAACACACCTTATCAAATATATGATTTGCAAATTTTTTTCTCCCATTCTGTAGGTTGCCTTTTTCACTCTGTTAATTGTGTCCTTTGATACACAAAAGTTTTTAAGTTTGATGTAGTCCCATTTGTCTATTTTTGCTTTTGTTGTCTGTGCTTTTGGTGTTATATCCTAGAAATCATTGCCAAGTCCAATGTTATGAAGCTTTCCCCCCACATTTTCTTCTAGGAGTTTATTAATTTTAGGTCTTATATTTAGATCCTTAATGTAAGGTCCTTAAATGTAAGGACCTAAATATAAGGTCCTTTTTCTCCTCTATTCTCTTCTCTCTCTTTGTCTGTCTTTTTTTTCAGGGTCTCACTCTATCCAATAGGCTGGAATGCAGTAGCATGATCACCACTTACTGACGCTTTGACCTCCCAGTCTCAAGCAATCCTCCCACTTCAGCCTTTCGAGTAGCTGAGACTACAGGTGTGTGCCACCATGCCCAGCTAATTTTTTTTTATTTTGGGAGAGATGGGGTTTCCCTATGTTGCTCAAGCTGGTCTTGAATTCCTGGCTTCAAGCAATCCTCCTACCTTGGCCATATGAAGAGCTAGGATTACAGGCATGAAACACAGCACCTGACCCCAACATAATTCCTTGACATGTGAAGATTCAGTTTTCCCAACACTATTTGAAGAGAGTCTTTGCCCCATTGAGTGTTCTTGGCACCCTTGTTTAAGATTATTTGGCCACCTATGGGAGGGTTTATTTCTTGGTTGTCTTATTCCATTGGTCTACTTGACATGCTTATGTCAGTACCACACTGTTTTAATTACTGTAGCTTTGAAACATGCTTTGAAATCTTTTGAAGATTTTGAAGTTTGAATCTTTTAAACTTGCTCTTCTTTTTTTTTAAATTGTTTTGGCTATTTGAGATTCCTTGAGATTTTGTATGAATTATTTTATTTCTGCAAAATAAATGCCATTGGAATTTTGATAGGGATTGTTTCATATGTAGATCGTTTTGAGTTAAAAGGTCTTTTCAAGCCAAAGTTTCATTAACCTAGTCCCCATAATTACAAGATTGCACTAAGAAGCAAAATCTGTCCTAACAGATATTTACCAATGAACAAAGATTATACAATGTATGGTGAACTTTCAATGCAATTAATATGCATGTATATCATTACTAATACTGAAAAGTATTCCCTTGTGTAAATTTACTATATTTAGCCAGTGCTTTTTTTTTTTTTGAGATGGAGCCTTACTCTGTCACCCAGGCTGAAGTGCAGCAGCGTGATCTCGGCTCACTGCAACCTCCACATCCCGGGTTCAAGCAAGTCTCCTGCCTCAGCCTCCTGAGTAACTGGGATTACAGGCGTGTGCAACCATGCCCAGCTAATTTTTGTATTTTTAGTAGAGATGAGAGTTCACCATGTTGGTCAGGCTGGTCTTGAATTCCTGACCTCATGATCTGCCTGCCTTGGCCTCCCAAAGTGCTGGGATTACAGGCATGAGCCACCGCGCCCGGCTGGCCAGTGCTTTTTTAAAAAAAATTTAGATATTCTTCCTTTTTAATTAGGTAAGGATGTGAAAACACCCTTAAACATGCTTCTTGGACCATCTGCATGATTGTTTTCTTTTATTGAATCAAAGGGTATGCATGTTTATTTCAGACAGGGTCTCTGTTGCTCAAGCTGAGTGCTGTGGCGTGATCACAGCACACTGAAGCCTCAACTTCCTGGGCTCAAGCAGTTCTCCTGCCTCAGCCTCCCAAGTAGCTGGGACTACAGGTGTGCACCAACACGCCTGGCTAATTTTTGATTATTTGTGCAGACAGGGTCTCCCTATGTTACTCAAGCTGGTCTCTAAGTTCTGCACTGAAGTGATCCTCCCACGTCAGCCACCCAAAGTGCTGAGATTACAGGTGTGAGCCACTGCACCCATCCCAAAGGGTATACATGTTTTTAAAGCCTCTGCTACATCCTGCTAAATTGCTTTTAAATGTTTAACCCAATTTCAGCTCTCACCAGAAGTGTGTAAGTGTTTAAGGTCCTTTTTCTTTCCTTGTAATGTTAAACTGTTTTTTAAATCTTACTTATTTGTTTATTTTTAAAATGTATTATTATTTATTTTTAGAGACAGGGTCTTGCTATGTTGCCCAGGCAGGACTCGAGTTCCTGGGCTTAAGTGATCCTCCTGCGGCAGCTTCCTGAGTAGCTAGGACTATAGGCATACACACTGTGCCCAGTTTATTTCTTAAATCATTGCCTTGATTATTGTTCAGTGCTCTACTTTAAGCAAACTTCGTTACAGATCCCAAAATCCATATTGACACTGAAGAATATATCAGAAGATATCTATTCAAATTAAGGAGGGTTGACTGAGTTCTTTCAATTAGGAAAGAATAGAGAATTTCAAGCTTTCCATTGATACTCACTTTTTCTTCTATTATTTTTGAAACTTCTAACTGGTTTCTACAAGTTTCCTTTCTCTTCTATTCTGCCAGGCCCTCTAATGCTTCTCTTCTCCTTCTCCTTCTTCTTCTTCTTCTTCTTTTTTATTTATTTATTTTTTTTTTTTGAAACAGAGTCTTGCTTTGTCACCAGGCTGGAATGCAGTGGCGCAATCTTGGCTCACTACAACCTCCACCTCCCGGTTTCAAGCGATTCTTGTGCCTCAGCCTCCTGAGTAGCTGGGATTACAGGTATGCACCACCACGCCTGGCTAATTTTTGTATTTTTAGTAGAGATGGGTTTTCACCATGTTGGCCAGGCTGGTCTCAAGCTCCTGGCCTCAACTGATCCACCCGCTTTGGCCTCCCAAAGTGCTGGGATTACAGGTGTGAGCTGCCACACCCGGCCTCTAATGCCTGTTTTAAAGGTAAACTCTGATGGCCTTCAAAACCTAGCAAATTAAGACCAAATTCCTTAGTCTGGTATTCAAGCCTTTCCAGTTTTATTTTTCCCTTTTTCCTTATACATACCAACACTCCAGTAATGAGGCTACGCTTACCATTTCCTAAATACACCCAATGTTTTCCCTCATCAAAAGGGCCTTCTTCTCATCACACCTATTGAAATTAAAATGTATATGCCACCTTATTCGTGATTCTCTCTAGCTGCGTAGAATTTTTTTCTTCCTTAAAACACCTACAGCATTTTGCATGCACCTCTGAATATTCTGCCTTGCAGAATTTTTTCCCTAGTACTAGCCTATGAATGCCTTTAGGATAAGAGGTCATTTTTTTGGGTGAGGGGGATGGGGGGAACAGGGTCTGGCTCTGTTGCCCAGGCTAAAGTGTAGTGGCATGATCTTGGCTCACTACAACATCTGACTCTGGGGCTCAAATCATCCTCCTGCCTCAGCCTCCCAAGTAGCTGGGACCACAAGCACACGCCATGATGCCCAACTACTTTTTGTATATTTCATAGAGACAGGGTTTTGCCATGTTGCCTAGGCTGGTCTTGAACTCCTGGGCTCAAGCAATCTGCCCATCTTGGCCTCCCAGTGTTGGAATTACAAGCGTGAGCCACCGTGCCTGGCAAGGTCACTTTCTTAATCTTTGTATCCATTCTAGAGCCTAACAGGACACCCTACGTATAGTAGTCCCATACCCATACATACTTGTTGAATTAATAGGCAAAACGTTAGTTCTCCTACTACAATGCAAGTGCACTAAAAATAAGCATCTGTTTATAGAAAATCACTTTACAAACCTCCCATTATTTATTTTAATTAATTAATTAATTAATTTTTGTAAAGAGAGGGCTCCCTATGTTGCCCAGGCTGGTCTCAAAACTCTTAGCCTCAAGGGATCCTCAAGCTTCAGCTTCCCAAAGTGTTGGGATTACTGGCATGAGCCACCATGCCAGGCCTACAGACATCCCATATTGAGCAATGTGGTTTGATTAGAATAGACAATCCCTTCCTTAGCTTCTCAGGGTTTAAAGTAATGAAATCATTTACAAACAGAAGAAAAAAGAATAAATAATCCTTAAGGCCTCCTTCACTTCTGGTATTTGATAGCTCTAAAAGCATCTAGGATAGTATATCTCACCTGATTTCAGCCCTTATGTGTTAATTCAGATTCCCCACAAACAGACCTTGAGATAAGGATTTGAATGTAAATAGTTTATTTTGGAGGAGATTCCAGAAAATACCAGTAGAAGAATGTGGGAAACTGAAAAAGGGAAGGGATGGCCACCAAGTTATGAAGCCGGTTGTCACTGTGGTTAAATGGAACTCTGGGAGTCAGTGAAGATAAGTATTTCTGAGTTATCCCACCTGGGAAGGGTGCTGGGGTGTTTATAAACCAACTCTGCCAGTCATTGGTTCAGGGCTGTTCCCAAGAGACCTTAATTCTCTTCAGTTGCTGATTGGCCTCCCTAAAGGGGCAGAGGCTTCTGTTGCCAGAAGATCTTCAGCACCTGGAAGTTGCTAGCATAAATACAATAGACCCAAAGGCGGGCAGGGGACTGACAAGGTCTACCATGTTTCAGGAAGAAATCTTAAATTATATATAGTTTTTAAAATTTGGGATATTTCAGCATGTTTATAGGTTATATATGCAAGAGTAACAGCAACACCTATGGTTGGAATGAAAAGTCACAGAAACAAAACCTGGTGTGGCCAGAGGTGCAAAGTTCATAGAAAAGGCAGATTATGTGATGAAAAGTATGAAATCATTTAGAAACACAAAAAGCGTAACTGTTAGGTCCAATCTAATTTTTAGTTCTCTGTAATCGTTAGGCCAATTTTAAATATGCAACATGTAAGCCTTTAGGTAAATGAAGACTAGAACAAACATTTTTAAACTCTTATATGTTTCTATATATGCAAGTAACAAACCCATATTTAAATACTTCTCTAACCTAAATTTATCATCTTCCAACATCTTCCCACTCCTCCCATTTACCAGTTATTTTAGGTCTCAGAAATGGTAAAGAAAAATTGTAAAGTAAAATTAAAAAATACATATAGACAGAATAGGTAATATGTGCACAAGGTAAAAAAAAAATACTAAAGAGTATACAGGAAAAAAGTAAATCTTTCCCATGTGGCTTCCATTGTTCCTCCCCAAAGGCAGTCACTCTTACTGGTTTCTCATGTTTTCTTAAGATAGTCTATGCATATCACACACACACACACACAATAGTAGCATATGCCACAGACTATTCTGCATTTAAAAACAATTACTGCTAGGCGCAGTGGCTCATGCCTGTAATCACAGCACTTTGGGAGGTCAAGGCGGGTGGATCACTTGAGTCAGGAGTTCAAGACCAGCCTGGCCAACATGGCGAAACCGTCTCTACTAAAAATACCAAAATTATCTGGGCATGGTGGCGGGTGCCTGTAATCCCAGTTACTCAGGCAGCTGAGGCATGAGAATCACTTGACCCAGGGAGGCAGAGGTTGCAGTGAATGCAGATCCTGCCACTGCACTCCAGCCTGGGTGATAGAGCGACACTCAGTCTCAAAAAATAAATAAATAAATAAATAATAAAAACAATTACTATATCTTGGAGGATATTTCATATTAGTATACAGATATTTGCCTCATTAAAAAAAAAAAAAGCTGGGCATGGCGGCTCCTGCCTATACTCTCTCAGCATTTTGGGAGGTTGAGGCGAGAGAACCATTTGAGTCCAGGAGTTCGAGATCAGCCTGAGCAACACAGGGAGATTGCGTCTCTACAAATAATAAATAAAAATTAGCTAGGAGTGATGGCACACACCTGGGGTCCCAGCTACTCAGGAGGCTGAGATGAGAGGATCACTTGAGCCTGGAAGGTTAAGACTGTAGTAAGCCATGCTTGGGCCACTGCACTCCAGCCTGGGTGACAGAGTGAGACCCTGTCTCAAAAAAATCAAATCTGCCTCAAATCAAACAAGCAAACAAACAAAAACCTTTTAAATTAAAAGCAAAAAATAAAATTGTTTCAGGGCCTAGAAGAAATAGCTTTTGAGTGGGGGAGGGTAAGTAGATGAGGGAAATAGCTATTCATTCCTTCCTTCATTTACTGACTCAATATGTTTTGAATGTCTACCATATATGAAGTGCACTTTATTGGGTATTAGGAGTACAAAGATTGATTAGAAATCATTTTTACCTTTTAGGAATTACAGATTCTTAGGAAATATAGGTGTATAAATAATTAAGCAATTATAATACTGTGTGATGTGGTATTACAGTACACAGCAGCAACACAAAGCATTAAGTAACCAACTCTACTTGTGCCAGGAACAAATGCTAAGTGATTCATGGACATTAGCTCATATAAGACTCACCATCGCCCTATTAAATGCCTGTAGGGGGTACTTTATAGTCAAGGTCTCATTAGAAAAGTCCCCACAGTTAAGAGATTGCACTAAGAAGCAAAAGTTAACTAATATATATTTGCCAACGACCCAATCATTTGTAAAATTAGTTCTTAAGCATCCCTCCTTATATATCTTTCTGTCCCCATTCATCTATTTGCAAATTTATTCCAAACTCTTTGAAAAGTCAAATTGAAAATCTCTTGCAAAAGATGTAGGATTTTTCAGAAAGTCAGAGAAAACAGTAATTGAGAGCTGCTCAAATCATAAGCAAAGCTGCTGACAAAAATAAGGATGTTGTGGAACTAGACAATAATTGTAGAAGAGAAAATCAACAACAGTGGTGGCATAAACTGACACTTCACAAGAAAATGATTTGAAAGGAAAAGGATTCAAAAGTAAAATATCAGGCCAAGTGCAGTGGCTGTACAGTTTGTTATGATTCCCAGGCTGGGCACTCTGGCTCATGCCTGTAATCCCAGCACTTTGGGAGGCAAAGGCAGAAGGATTGCTTGAGCCCAGGAGTTTGAGACCAGCCAGGGCAACATAGCGAGACCTCGTGTCTACAGAAAAATTTAAAAATTAGCCAGGGGTGGTGGTGTGTGCCTGTATTCCCAGCTACTGAGGAGGCTGAGGTGGGAGGATAGCTTGAGCTCAGGAATTCAAGGCTGCAGTAAGCCATGATTGCACCACTACACTTCAGCCTGGGCAACAGAGTGAGGCTCTGTCTCTGAGAGGAAAAAAAAAAAGTAAAATGTCTTTCAAAAATGACCCTTTGGGAACAAGACGGAAAATTACCATGTCTTCCTCCTTCAACCCAACTGTGAGGATGCTTACTGTAAGAAACCGTTGGGAGTAAAAAGAGTCTGTCAGTTTCTGAATGGAAGGAAATAGCAGTCTGAACAACTAAGAGCACCAGTGTCATGAAAATAGATATTCCAGATGAGAATTTACTTGGGTTTTTCTTTTTCTTTCTCCCCTACATTGAACTGGGCACATCATTGCTTACTCTTTCTCTACTGTGTGGAAGAAAAATATCACTAATACCACCATCAGGCTAGTGTCAAGGCAATATTGGGGCAGTGTTAGAACCTGGAGGAGGAGGGCTGGGCACGGTGGCTCACGCCTGTGATCCCAGCACTTTGGGAGGCCGAAATGGGCAGATCACCTGAGGTCAGGCGTTCGAGACCAGCCTGACCAACATGGAGAAATATCATCTCTACTAAAAATACAAAATTAGCCAGGCATGGTGATGCATGCCTGTAATCCCAGCTACTCAGGAGGCTGAGGCAGGAGAATCACTTGAACCCGGGAGGCAAAGGTTGCAGTCAGCCGAGATTGTGCCATTGCACTCCACCCTGGGCAACAAGAGCAAAACTCCATCTCAAAAAAAAAAAAAGAAGAAGAAGAAGAAGAAGAAAAAACTGGAGGAGGTAATTATAGGTGCAGGCAGACTAGTTGGCTCCATTTTTTTCCTCTGGATCCTTCCCCACCTCCCCTCACCTCAAGTGAATGCAAGAAGGCAGCTCTTAGGAGAGAGCAGAGCAGAGAAGCAAGCTCCATGAGGGACAGAGTTCCCCGACAGAAGTTAAGTGGGGGTGATGGGCAGATGATAGGAGATTGTCCAGTCCAAATATCTGAGGAGAACAGGCATTGTACAGGAAAAACAAAATGAAACATTCTAACAGAGAATTAATAGACCAAACAGAACAAGAATTTAAAACAAACATATTAAATATCCTTAAAGAGTTAAGAGAGGATATTGGGAAAAGGAAAAAAGAACAAGAAAATTATGCTGGGACTCAAACATATAATGACTGAAAGAAAAGCACTCAATGAAAGGAGTAATGTGAAAAATGAGTAAATCCAAAGAACAAACTTGTGAGCTAGGAAATAAGGTCGGAAACGCTAAGAAGAATCTTTAAAAAAAAATTTTTAAGGTAAAATATGAAAGAAAAACCATATGGAGTCAGGAAATGGTAATGTTGAAACCAATATATGCAACATGAATCCAAGACAGAAAAAAATGGAGGGGAGAGAATATCTGGAGAAATGACAAGAATATCCTAGAACTAAAGAAAGGTGAAAGTCCTCAGATTGAAAGGCTTCACAAAGTGCCTGCAATATAGAGAAGAAAAAACCTCCACTTAGACTAATTATAGTGAAAAATTTCAATATTTTAATAAAAACATTCAAACAGAAATGTTGAGAGAGCAATACAATGAACAAGTGTATATCATGTAGATCCAACAATTACTAGCATTTTTTGCAATATCTGCTTTTTCTTACTTTTTTGGAATCATTTTAAAATAAACAGCAGACATCAAACTTCACCCTAAATGCTATAATATGCCTGTTGTAAGGATAAGGACATACCCCTATGTAACCACAATATGAATTCCCTAAAATAATCTTTCAATCTGTATTCCAGTTTCCCCAACTGTCCCCAAAATATCTCTTATACCTGCTTAATATGAACAAGAACTAATGAAGTTTCTCTCATAGCACTTTTTTGTCTTCTCAGACTTGTAAAATCTAGAGCATATCCTCACATTTTTTTCTCCATAACATTGATTTTTTTTTTTTTTTTTTTTTTTTTTTGGAGAGAGTAGACCTATTTTCTTGTGGCATGCACCACATTCTGGATTTGTCTAATTATTTCTTCATGGTGTTACTATCTAATCCCTGTACCCTCTGTATTTCCTGAAAACTAGGAGTTAAGCCTAAAATCTTGATTAAATTCAGATGAAAATGAGCTTGACAAGAATTATTTATAGGTAATGCTATATATTTCATAATACATCTTACCAGAAGGCACATAATGTCAGGTTTAGTGATGCTAAATTCAAGCTCTGAGTTAAATAGTGAATACTAGAGCTTATTCAATAATCCCATACTGATGGACATTTAGGTTGTTTCTAATCCATTGCTATTACAAATTACGTTACAATGAAACATCTTTGAAATATACTTTTATATATGGAAATGTCTCTTCAAGGTAGTTTCCTGAAAGTTGATTGGCATATGTAATTAGATAATGCTAATTCTCTTTTATGGGGTTGTATAATTTTGCATTGCCATTGGTAATGTATGAGAGTGTCTGATAATTCACAGCCATGCTAACAGAATGTGCTGTCACATTTCTGGATTTCTGACAATTTGATAGTTGAGATAAAATGATAGCTAAGGAATAATGTATTAGTGTTGCTTTCAATGAACTTTCTCTTACTACGAGTGAGCTCAATTATCTTTTCATATATTTAAGGAGCATTTGCTATCTTTTTTTGTGAACTATTTGTGAATTTTATCCATTGTCCTATCATACTTTTAGAGTAATCTTCTCAGTTTTTAAGGCAAATCAGCCTTTTGTCTGTGGTACAAGCTGCAATTATCTTCTGTTTTTCATTTGTCTTTTGCTATGCTTATGGTCTTTCTATACCCATGCAAATGTTTTTTACTTTAATCCTTATGTTTTTAAAATTGTCAGCCTTTATTATGATTTCTTCTGATTTTGAGTAATAATTAAGAAAAGATTTTCCCTTCTCCCAGTTCTAAAGGAATTCATCCTGTTTTTTCCTAGGGCTTATATGGTTTCATTTTTTTACATTTAGATCTAAAATCTATTTTGCTAATAACATTTTTCAAGTCTTTTATATCCTTACTGATTTTCTGTCTACTTGTAATCTAGGTATAAATATGGATTTATCTATTTTTTCCTTCAGATCTGTCAGTTTTTCCTTAATATATTTTGAAGCTCTGAATCAAATGCATATACATGTTTTTGTCTTATTTATAATTTTAATTTTTTTAGAGTCTGTATCTTGCTGTCACCTAGGCTGGAGTGCAGTGGTGTGATCATAGCTCACTGCGGCCTCAAAATCTTGGGCTCAAGCAAGCCTCCTGCCACAGCCTCCTGAATAGCCGAGACTACCACACCTGGCTAATTATTAAAATTTTAAATTTTTTGTAGAGACAGGGTCTCACTATGTTGCCAGGCTGGTTTTGAACTCCTGGGGTCAAGCCATTCTCCTGCCTCAGCCTCCCAAAGTGCTGGGATTACAGTATGAGCCACCATGATTGGCTAATCTTTACTTCTAACTGTTGTTCAGTTTTCTTTTCATTAGCAGTGGTCAGCAATCTGATTATAATGTGCCTTTACATGGCTTTCTTATTATATATATCCTACTTGGAGTTAGTTGAGATTTTTGGATAAAGGAAGGTAGTTAAAAACAGTATAAAACAGTATTATAACTGCATTCCATATTGTGAAAAAGCTAGAGGAAAGACTAAATATGGTTAAGTAAAGACAGGAAAGATATTAAAAAGGCCCAAACTGAACTCCTAGAAATGAAAACTACAATTTCTTAGGTGAAAAATACACTGGATAAAAGTAACAATATATTAGTGAAAACACCAGAAAAGGTCCAAAATGAAACACAGGCGCAAGAGAGAATTTACCACAAATTACATTTCTGAGAAGAAAGAAGTGTGGTTATTGAATAAAAATGAGATGACCTCCAATGTGGTAAGTGATGTGAGAGAGGTAGGAAAGATTCCAAAAAGGGAATTGGACAGGGATTTAACGAAGGGGATAAATAAAAAGATTGACAAAGAGCATACAAGACCAAGCTGAGCTTATATTTTTGTTGTTGTTACAGATCCATTCTTCCATCTGCTACTCTAGAAATACCGAATAATTTTCATCATTTCTCTTCTTTTCCTATCCTCCAAACCATGTCAAATTAGTCCTGTGAATTACTTTTCTAGTTCCTTGTATTCGTCTTTTTTTTTTTCAATAACACCCCAGTTCTGGCTCTTGTTTTCTGTATGCCTATACTTCAATAATAGTCTGCTAACCTGCCATCCATCCTGAATTGTACTGCCAAATTAATTTTCCTAAGGCACCACTTTGATCGTGTCACTTCTTTTGGCTCTAAAATCTTCAAAGGCCCCATTCCTACTGTCTTCTGAATCAAGTTTGGATTTGTGTTTATCTGCAATTCAAAGTTTGACCTATTTTTCCAGCTTTTCAAAAGTCCTCTATGTATACTAAAGTATCTGTTATCTCCAACCAACTTTCATTTAGTTGTCTCTTCTTTCAGTCATTAACTTAACCAACAGTTACTGAGCACCTACTATGTGGTAAGCATTAGTCTAAATGCCATTGATAAAGTCACTTTCTTTCAATTAAATTTCTTGGAGGCTGATCACTATTGTATGAACCCATATAATCAATTTTCTAAACTTTCAAAGTTGAAGATCAGGCCTCACATAGAGGTAAGATCATCACGGTATAGTCACTTCAGGAGGTTTTATCTGAATTAGCCAATTGACCTTTCCCATGTTCAGAACACATGAAAGAAATGATTCCCACAGGGTTCAAGAGAGAACACTGAGAACAGACCACACAAAAATGAGAGAATCATGTTGAAGTGAATGAAAGAAGTCTGGCTAGCCTTTTAGAGTCATTTCCCTCTAACTGGGAAAGCATGTTATCTGTACCACACTAAGAGAAAGTAAAAAATTCCTTTTGCTTTTTTTTTTCTTCTTCTTTTTTACAAGACAGTCTTGCTCTGTTGCCCAGGCTGGAGTGCAGTGGTGTGATCTTGGTTCGCTGCAGCCTCTGCCTCCCGGGTTCAAGCGATTCTTGTTTCTCAGCCTCCCAAGCAGCTGGGATTACAGTTGCCCACCACCACGCCCACTAATTTTTGTATTTTTAGTAGAGGCGAGGATTCACCTTGTTGTTCAAGCTGGTTTCAAACTCCTGGCCTCAAGTAATCCACCTGCCTCAGCCTCCCGAAGTGTTGGGATTGCAGGCGTGAGCCACCGCTCTTGATCTCCTGTGCTTTTGTAAACAGAGTATGCATTTCATCTCTTTCACAGTTATTTTTGAGTATCCATTATAGAACAGGCCCTGTGATAGAAGTGTAAGTCAATTTGAGATGGAGCTCCTGAAAAGGCCTAGAGTCAGGGACCTGAAGCTCTGAACATTCAACAGTATTGCTTATGATATTTATGTTTCTGTGTGAATAAAATCAGTGTCTTTTTTGGTAGCAGAGTAAATCACTAAGGTGAAGGGTAAGAGTTTAAACAGTGAGCAAAAATGGATTATTGGCCAACAATGTATCATGGGAATATTGAGTAAGCATGACAGTGTGTATTTGTAATGCGCAAGGTCACCTCAGATTTTAGGCTTCTATTAAGACTGCCTCAACTCATGCATGAGAAAAGGAATGTGGATTTGTTTAGGTATTTATGCATTTTCTAAGGCCCCCTTCTGACTCTAAGATCATAAAAGTTTAGTCAAACTGAAGTTTTTATATTTTCCTTTCCCAATGAAGGAGGTCTTCCCAACCACTCTATGGCAGGCTTGTCACAATATCAGGTTAAAATCCAGAGACAAATTTACCATGAAGTTAATAACATTAAACTTCAGACATTTGTTAAAATTAAACAAATGAGTGGGCTGCTCATTTGCATTGGCCCCTTCTAAATAAATATTCACTTTTGTACCTAATTTTGAGTCATAATTATGTATTCTTTTTCTAAAGAGAATTGTATAAGGCCATATAAGATCTTGAAATGCCCGAATAGAAACCTTAGAATTGTTGATGTATTCTCTTATTCACCTCATCTTTTAATTATTTTGTTTGTTTATAACTGGCACATCTTGTTTAATTCTAAGAACCACAATATCTTTAATTCTATGAACCACCAATGCTCTTGGATTTGCTCTTTCTTCTTAATTTCTGCTGATACTACTTACTTGGTCAAGGGATTCCTCACTAAAAATTGTGTTATAGTGACAGCCTAATAGTTGGTTTCCCTGAATGTGATCTCTCTCCCAAATGAATCTATCTGATATAAGGCTTCCAGACTAATTTTTTTTTTAAAAAAGAAACACTGCTTGTTTTGCAAAATTCTTATGCAAGCTTAAGATGTTTCACTGACTTTCCACTATCACCAGTCTCCTAAAATTGGGATGCTTAAATGCCCAGGCAAAAGTGGCAATTGGTCAGAGGGTACTAGAAACCACAGGAGAAATGTGACACATTTTTCCAGAGTATCCATTTTATTTGATGCTGAGTAATTTAAAACATCACTCCCCCCCCCACCATCTTCCCCTTATTTATATCAAACAGATACAGAATGCATTTTCTAAGGCCCCTTCAGATGCACAGATGCATAGAATTAGATACATCATTATTCTCGACTCATGACACATTCTCATTGTTGGTGCATTCAAGACCCTCAATCCTTCATTCATTCATTCATTCATTTAAAATAATACAACAAATACACTTGACATTATCACCAACATGAAAACTAGGAAATGAATTTCCATTCATATTCACCTGTTTGATCTTCAGTTGTATCACCCAGCCTCTTCCCCATTCCAAGGTAACACTACTGAAATCATTCTGTTTTCCCTTTTAATGTCACATGTAAATATATTCAAAAAGAGTGGGGTTTTTTTGGGGGGAGGGAGTGTTTAGATGTTATTAACTTTATATGTAATCTTTAAGGACATATGCTTTTCACTTAATACTATATTGCTAGGATTAATCCACATTATGGCATATAATTATGGTACATTCACTTGGAGTGGATATAAATATATCCTTATTTATTTATGGGTGCACCTCCACTGCCCTGCAGGGTCCTGGGACACTGTGTGAGATGGGGAAGGTACTGATTTTTTATTTTTTGTAGAGGTGGTCCCTGTCCTCCAGGAGCTTCTAATTAATTTGTCTATTCCCTTGCCTGTTAATGGGCATTTGGGTTGTTTTCAGGTTTTGGTATTAAAAAGAGTGCTCACATGAACACTCTTGTATGCATGACCTGATACTCGTTAAAAAGTTTTTTTGAACTGGGGGCAGTGGCTTATTCCTATAATCCCAGCACTTTGGGAGGCTGAGGCAGGATGATCGCTTGAGCCCAGGAGTTCAAGACCAGCTTGGACAAGATAGTTGATATGGTTTGGCTGTGTCCCCACCCAAATCTCAACTTGAATTGTATCTCCCAGAATTCCCCCGTGTCGTGGGAGGGACCCAAGGGGAGGTAACTGAATCATGGGGGCTGGTCTTTTCTGTGCTATTCTCGTGATAGTAAATCTCACGAGATCTGATGGTTTTATCAGGTGTTTCCGCTTTTACTTCTTCCTCATTTATCTCTTGCCACTGCCATTAAGAAATGCCTTTGACCAGGCCTGGTGGCTCAGGCCTGTAATCCCAGCACTTTGGGAGGCCAAGGTGGGCAGATCACAAGGTCAGGAGATGGAGACCAGCCTGGCCATCATGATGAAACCCCATCTCTACTAAAAATACAAAAATTAGTTGGGCATGATGGCGTGCGCCTGTTGTCCCAGCTACTTGGAAGGTTGAGGCAGAAGAATCACTTGAACCCAGGAGGCAGAGGTTGCAGTGAGCCGAGATCACGCCACTGCACTCCAGCCTGGTGACAGAGTGAGACTCCGTCTCAAAAAAAAAAAAAAAAAAAAAAAAAAGAAGTGCTTTTTGCCTCCCACCAAGATTCTGAGGCCTCCCCAGCCACGTGGAACTGTAAGTCCAATTAAACCTCTTTTTGGTTTTAGTTTCGGTTATGTTTTTATCAGCAGCGTAAAAATGAACTAATACAATAGTGAAACCCTGCCTCTACCAAAAAAAAACAAAAAAAAATTTGCTGGGCATGGTGGCATGCACCTGTAGTCCCAGCTACTAGCAGGGTGAAGTGGGAGGATAGCTGGAGGCCAGAAGATCAAGGATGCAGTGAGCTGTGATTGTGCCACTTTACTTGAGCCTGGACAACAGAGCAAACTCTGTCTCAAAAAAAAAAACAAAGTTTCTTTTATGTATATGCCTAGGAGCAAAATGGCAGGTCAAAGGGCATGGAAATGTTTATCTTTACAGGATAACGCCAAATTGTTCCAAAAGCGCTATACCAATTTACACTCCCACCAGCAATGATTAAGATATTCTGATGATCTGTATCCTCCAGATATGGGCCAACTTTAAACATTTCTTTAACATATATATATCAGGTTTACCATTTTAAACATTTTTAAGTATATAGTTCAGAGACATTCAGTACATGCACACTGCTGTACAACCATTACCACCATCCATCTCTAGAACTTATCTTCTTCAACTGAAATTCTGTATCTAGGCTGGGCGCAGTGGCTCACACCTGTAATCCCAACATTTTGGGAGGCCGAGGTGGGCAGATCATCAGAGGTCGGCAGTTCATGACCAGCCTGGCCAACATGGTGAAACCCCATCTCCACTAAAAATACAAAAACTAGCTGGATATGGTGGCGCATGCCTGTAATCCCAGCTACTCGGGAAGCTGAGGTGGGACAATAGTTTGAACCTAGGAAGTGGAGGTTGCAGTGAGCTGAGATTACACCACTGCACTCCAACCTGGGCAACAGAGTGAGATACCATCTCAAAAAAATAAAATAAAATAAAATAAAATAAATCTGTATCTAAAAATATCTCTCAATTCTCCCCTCCTCCAGCCTAGGAAACCATCATTCTATTTTTTGTCCTGATGGATATGACTACTCTAGATACCTGTTTAAACCAAAAATAAAATTATAAGCACCATCCCCTCTTCCCCCCAACCCACACTATCAGAATGGAAGCCTTCTCTCGGCCAAGGGCATTCCAAAGTGAACTTGAAAAACTAGCTCAGGTCATTATGGAAGCAGGGAGCTGGATATGCCTAATTATACCCTCCTCTCTTTTGGAATTACTGACAGAACAGACTCTTAAAGTCTGATAAGAAATATTTACAGTCTATTCTCTGTGAAGCCTGCCACCTGGAGGCTTCATCTGCATGATAAAACCTTGGTCTCTACAACTTCTTACTGTAACCCAGACACTCATTGATAACTCTTTCAACCAACTGCTGATCAGAACATTTTAAAATGAGGAGGAGCCAAGATGGCCAAATAGGAACAGCTCCAGTCTACAGCTCCCAGCGTGAGCAACGCAGAAGATGGGTGATTTCTGCATTTCCAACTGAGGTGCCGGGTTCATCTCACTGAGGAGTGTCAGACAGTGGGTGCAGGACAGTGGGTGCAGCGCACCAAGCGTGAGCCAAAGCAGGGCAAGGCATCGCCTCACCCAGGAAGCGCAAGGGGTCAGGGAATTCCCTTTCCTAGTCAAAGAAAGGGATGATAGACAGCACCTGGAAAATCAGGTCACTCCCACCCTAATACTGCACTTTTCCAATGGTCTTAGCAAACGGCACACCAGGAGATTATATCCCGTGCATGGCTCGGAGGGTCCTACGCCCGTGGAGCCTTGCTCATTGCTAGCACAGCAGTCTAAGATCAAACTGCAAGGCAGCAGCGAGGCTGGGGGAGGGGTGCCCGCCATTGCCGAGGCTTGAGTAGGTAAATAAAGCGGCCAGGAAGCTCGAACTGGGTGGAGCCCACCGCAGCTCAAAGAGGCTTGCCTGCATCTGTAGACTCCACCTCTGGGGGCAGGGCATAGCCAAACAAAAGGCAGCAGAATCCTCTGCAGACTTAAATGTCCCTGTCTGACAGCTTTGAAGAGAGTAGTGGTTCTCCCAGCATGCAGCTGAAGATCTGAGAATGGACAGACTGACTCCTCAAGTGAGTCCCTGACCGCCGAGTAGCCTAACTGGGAGGCATCCCCCAGTAGAGGCAGACTGACACCTCACATGGCCGGGTACTCCTCTGAGACAAAACTTCCAGAGGAACGATCAGGCAGCAACATTTGCTGTTCACCAATATCTGCTGTTCTGCAGCCCCTGCTACTGATACCCAGGCAAACAGGGTCTGGAATGGACCTCCAGCAAACTGCAACATACCTGCAGCTGAGGGTCCTGACTTTTAGAAGGAAAACTAACAAACAGAAAGGACATCCACACCAAAACCCCATCTGTACGTCACCATCATCAAAGACCAAAGCTCGATAAAACCACAAAGATGGGGAAAAAACAGCAGAAAAACTGGAAACTCTAAAAATCAGAGCACCTCTCCTCCTCCAAAGGAATGCAGCTCCTCACCAGCAACGGAACTAAGCTGGACGGAGAATGACTTTGACGAGTTGAGAGAAGAAGGCTTCGGACAATTGAACTACTCTGAGCTAAAGGAGGAAGTTCGAACCCACGGCAAAGAAGTTAAAAACCTTGAAAAAAAAAATTAGACGAATGGCTAACTAGAATAACCAATGCAGAGAAGTCCTTAAAGGCCCTGATGGAGCTGAAAACCAAGGCAAGAAAACTACGTGATGAATGTACAAGCCTCAGTAGCCGATTCGATCAACTGGAAGAAAGGGTATCAGTGATGGAAGATGAAATGAATGAAATGAAGCAAGAAGGGAAGTTTAGAGAAAAAAGAATAAAAAGAAACGAACAAAGCCTCCAAGAAATATGGGACTATGTGAAAAGACCAAATCTACGTCTGATTGGTGTACCTGAAAGTGACGGGGAGAATGGAACCAAGTTGGAAAACACTGCAGGATATTATCCAGGAGAACTTCCCCAATCTAGCAAGGCAGGCCAACATTCAGATTCAGGAAATACGGAGAACGCCACAGAGATACTCCTTGAGAAGAGCAACTCCCAGACACATAATTGTCAGATTCACCAAAGTTGAAATAAAGGAAAAAATGTTAAGGGCAGCCAGAGAGAAAGGTCAGGTTACCCACAAAGGGAAGCCCATCAGACTAATAACTGATCTCTTGGCAGAAACTCTACAAGCCAGAAGGGAGTGGGGGCCAATATTCAACATTCTTAAAGAAAAGAATTTTCAACCCAGAATTTCATATCCAGCCAAACTCAGCTTCATAAGTGAAGGAGAAATAAAATCCTTTACAGACAAGCAAATGCTGAGAGATTTTGTCACCACAAGGCCTGCTCTAAAAGAGCTCCTGAAGGAAGCACTAAACATGGAAAGGAACAACCAGTACCAGCCACTGCAAAATCATGTCAAATTGTAAAGACCATCGAGGCTAGGAAGAAACTGCATCAACTAACGAGCAAAATAACCAGCTAACATCATCATGACAGGATCAAATTCACACATAACAATATTAACCTTAAATGTAAATGGGCTAAATGCTCCAATTAAAAAACACAGACTGGCAAATTGGATAAAGAGTCAAGACCCATCAGTGTGCTGTATTCAGGAAACCCATCTCATCTGCAGAGACACATATAGGCTCAAAATAAAGGGATGGAGGAAGATCTACCAAGCAAATGGAAAACAAAAAAAGGCAGTGGTTGCAATCCTAGTCTCTGATAAAACAGACTTTAAACCAACAAAGATCAAAAGAGACAAAGAAGGCCATTACATAATGGTAAAGGGATCAATTCAACGAGAAGAGCTAACTATCCTAAATATATATGCAACCAATACAGGATCACCCAGATTCATAAAGCAAGTCCTTAGAGACCTACAAAGAGACTTAGACTCCTACACAATAATAATGGGAGACTTTAACACCCCACTGTCAACATTAGACAGATCAACGAGACAGAAAGTTAACAAGGATATCCAGCAATTGAACTCAGCTCTGCACCAAGCAGACCTAATAGACATCTACAGAACTCTCCACCCCAAATCAACAGAATATACATTCTTTTCAGCATCACACCATACTTATTCCTCAGCAAATGTAAAAGAACAGAAATTATAAAAAACTGTCTCTCAGACCACAGTGCAATCAAACTAGAACTCAGGATTAAGAAACTCACTCAAAACCACTCAACTACATGGAAACTGAACAACCTGCTCCTGAATGACTACTGGGTACATAACAAAATGAAGGCAGAAATAAAGATATTCTTTGAAACCAACAAGAACAAAGACACAACATACTAGAATCTCTGGGACACATTCAAAGCAGTGTGTAGAGGGAAATTTATAGCACTAAATGCCCACAAGAGAAAGCAGGAAAGAGCTAAAATTGACACCCTAACATCACAATTAAAAGAACTAGAGAAGCAAGAGCAAACACATTCAAAAGCTACCAGAAGGCAAGAAATAACTAAGATCAGAGCAGAACTGAAGGAAATAGAGACACAAAAAACCCTTCAAAAAATCAATCAATCCAGGAGCTGGTTTTTTGAAAAGATCAACAAAATTGATAGACTACCAGCAAGACTAATAAAGAAGAAAAGAGAGAAGAATCAAATAGACGCAATAAAAAAATGATAAAGGGGATATCACCACCGATCCCACAGAAATAGAAACTACCATCAGAGAATATTATAAACACCTCTACACAAATCAACTAGAAAATCTAGAAGAAATGGATAAATTCCTCGACATATACACCCTCCCAAGACTAAACCAGGAAGAAGTTGAATCTCTGAATACACCAATAACAGGCTCTGAAATTGATGCAATAATTAATAGCTTACCAACCAAAAAAAGTCCAGGACCAGATGGATTCACAGCCGAATTCTACCAGAGGTACAAGGAGGAGTTGGTACCATTCCTTCCGAAACTATTCCAATCAATAGAAAAAGAGGGAAACCTCCCTAACTCATTGTATGATGCCAGCATCATCCTGATACCAAAGCCTGGCAGAGACACAATGAAAAAAGAGAATTTTAGACCAATATCCCTGATGAACATCGATGCAAATGTCCTCGATAAAATACTGGCAAACCGAATCCAGCAGCACATCAAAAAGCTTATCCACCATGATCAAGTGGGCTTCATCCCTGGGATGCAAGACTGGTTCAATGTACACAAATCAATAAACGTAATCCATAATATAAAGAGAACCAATGACAAAAACCACATGATTATCTCAATAGATGCAGAAAAGGCCTTTGACAAAATTCAACAACTCTTCATGCTAAAAACTCTCAATAAATTAGGTATTGATGGGACATATCTCAAAATAATAAGAGCTATCTATGATAAACCCACAGCCAATATCATACTGAATGGGCAAAAACTGGAAGCATTCCCTTTGAAAACTGGCACAAGACAGGGATGTCCTCTCTCACCACTCCTATTCAACATAGTGTTGGAAGTTCTGGCCAGGGCAATCAGGCAGGAGAAGGAAATAAAGGGTATTCAATTAGGAAAAGAGGAAGTCAAATTGTCCCTGTTTGCAGATGACATGATTGTATATCTAGAAAACCCCATTGTCTCAGCCCAAAATCTCCTTAAGCTGATAGGCGACTTCAGCAAAGTCTCAGGATACAAAATCAATGTGCAAAAATCACAAGCATTCTTATACACCAATAACAGACAAACACAGAGCCAAATCATGAGTGAACTCCCATTCACAATTGCTTCAAAGAGAATAAAATACCCAGGAATCCAACTTACAAGTGATGTGAAGGACCTCTTCAAGGAGAACTACAAATCACTGCTCGATGAAATAAAAGAGGATACAAACAAATGAAGAACATTCCATGCTCATGGGTAGGAAGAATCAATATCGTGAAAATGGCCATACTGCCCAAGGTAATTTATAGATTCAATGCCATCCCCATCAAGCTACCAATGACTTTCTTCACAGAATTGGAAAAAACTACTTTAAAGTTCATATGCAACCAAAAAAGAGCCTGCATTGCCAAGACAATCCTAAGCCAAAAGAACAAAGCTGGAGGCATCACGCTACCTGACTTCAAACTATACTACAAGGCTACAGTAACGAAAACAGCATGGTACTGGTACCAAAACAGAGATGTAGACCAATGGAACAGAACAGAGCCCTCAGAAATAATGCCACATATCTACAACCATCTGATCTTTGACAAACCTGACAAAAATAAGAAATGGGGAAAGGATTCCCTATTTTATAAATGGTGCTGGGAAAACTGGCTAGCCATATGTAGAAAGCTGAAACTGGATCCCTTCCTTACACCTTACACAAAAATTAATTCAAGATGGACTAAAGACTTAAATGTTAGACCTGAAACCATAAAAACCCTAGAAGAAAACCTAGGCAATACCATTCAGGACATAGGCATGGGCAAGGACTTCATGTCTAAAACACCAAAAGCAATGGCAACAAAAGCCAAACTAGATAAATGGGATCTAATTAAACTAAAGAGCTTCTGCACAGCAAAAGAAACTACCATCAGAGTGAACAGGCAACCTACAGAATGGGAGAAGATTTTTGCAATCTACTTATCTGACAAAGGGCTAATATCCAGAATCTACAATGAACTCCAACAAGTTTACAAGAAAAAAACAAACAACCCCATCAAAAAGTGGGAGAAGGATATGAACAGACACTTCTCAAAAGAAGACATTTATGCAACCAATAGACACATGAAAAAATGCTCATCATCACTGGCCATCAGAGAAATGCAAATCAAACCCACAATGAAATACCATCTCACACCAGTTAGAATGGCGATCATTAAAAAGTCAGGAAACAACTGGTGCTGGAGAGGATGTGGAGAAATAGGAACACTTTTACACGTTGGTGGGACTCTAGTTCAACCATTGTGGAAGTCAGTGTGGTGATTCTTCAGGGATCTAGAACTAGAAATACCATTTGACCCAGCCATCCTATTACTGGGTATATACCCAAAGGATTATAAAACATGCTGCTATAAAGACACGTGCACACGTATGTTTATTGTGGCACTATTCACAATAGCAAAGACTTGGAACCAATCCAAATGTCCAACAATGATAGACTGGATTAAGAAAATGTGGCACATATACACCATGGAATACTATGCAGCCATAAAAAATGATGAGTTCATGTCCTTTGTAGGGACATGGATGAAGCTGGAAACCATCATTCTCAGCAAACTATCGCAAGGATAAAAAACCAAACACCACATGTTCTCACTCATAGGTGGGAATTGAACAATGAGAACACATGGACAGGGGAAGGGGAACATCACACACTGGGGCCTGTTGTGGGGTGGGGGGAGGGGGAGGGATAGCATTGGGAGATATACCTAATGTTAAATGACGAGTTAATGGGTGCAGCACACCAACATGGCACATGTATACATATGTAACAAACCTGCATGTTGTGCACATGTACCCTAAAAGTATAATAAAAAAATTTTTTTAATCTACCTATGACCTGGAAGCCCCAGTTTCAAGTGTTCCTGCCTTTCCAGATTAAACCAATGTACATCTTACATGTATTGATTGATGTCTCATGACTCTCTAAAACGTATAAAAGCAAGCTGTACCCCGACCACCTTGGGACCACTTGAGGCTGTATTACAGGTACATCCTTAACCCTGTCAAAATAAACTTCCTAAATGGATTGAGACCTGTCTTGGATACTTTTGGTTTACTTCTGGTATTAGAGAAATCATACACTATTTGTTCTTTTGTGGCTAGCTTATCTCACTTAGTGTATCTTCAAAGTTCATCCATGTTATAACACATGTCAGAATTTCTCAAGGCAGAATGATATCCCATTGTATGTATATACCATATTATTTTATCCATTCATCCATTGATGGACCCTTGGGATACTTCCACCTTTTGGCTACTGTGAATAATGCTGCCATGAACATGGATATATAAATATCTTTTGAAGTCCCTGCTTTCAATTCTTTTGGTAGATACTAGAAGTGGAATTGCTGGATCCTATGGTAATTCTTTATTTAGTGCAGTGGCATGCTCATGGCTCACTGCAGCCTCAACCTCCTGGGCACAGGTGATCCTCCCACCTCAGCCTCCTGAGTAGCTGGAACTACAGGCATGTACTATTACACCTGGCTAATTTTTGTACTTTTTCTAGAGACAGGGTTTTGCCATGTTGCCCAGGATGATCTCAAACTTTTGGGCTCACAAGATCCACCTGCCTCAGCCTCCCGAAGTGCAGGGATTACAAGCGTGAGCCACTGTGCCCAACCTTAGGTTTAATTTTTTGAGGAACAACCATACTGATTTCCCATCCCGACTGTATCATTTTATATTCATCCCAGCAATGCATAAGGGGTTGACTTTCTTCACTTCCTCACTAATACTTTTTTTTTTTTTTTTGAGATGGAGTCTCGGTCTGTCGCCCAGGCTAGAGTGCAGTGGCATGATCTCGGCTCACTGCAACCTCCACCTCCTGTGTTCAAGTGATTCTCCTGCTTCAGCTTCCTGAGAAGCTGGGATTACAGGCATACGCCACCACACCTAATTTTTGTATTTTTAGTACAGACAGGGTTTCACCATGTTGTTCATGCTGGTCTTGAACTCCCAACCTCGTGATACACCCGCCTCGGCCTCCCAAAGTGCTGGGATTACAGGCATGAGCCACTGCACCTGGCCCTGTTTTGTTTTTTTTTAAATAACTGCCATCCTAATGAGTGTGAAGTGGTTTGTTTTGCAATTCCCTAGTTAGTTATGTTGACCATCTTTTCATGGGCTTATCAGCCATTTGCTTATCTTCTTTGGAGAAACCTTTGTTTAAGTCCTTTGCCCATTTTTGAATTGGGATTTTATTTGGTGAGTTGAAGGATTTTAAAATGTATTTATAATGGATTTTAATCCCTTACCAGATATATGCTTTGTAAATATTTCTCCCATTCCATGAGTTTCCTTTTCACTCTGTTGTGTCCTTTGATGAATAAACATTTTTAATTTTGATAAAGTCCAATTTATTTTTTGTTGCCTTTGCTTCTGGTGTTATATTCAATAAATCATTGCCAAATCCAATGTCATGAAGGTTTTCCTGTTTTCATCTAAGAGTTTTAGCACTTTCATTTAAGTCTTTGATCCATTTTGAGTTAATTTTGCATGTGGCTATCTTAAAGATAAATCGTGTTGGGAAAACTGGATTATCCACATGCAAAATACACCATTTATTGAAAAGATAAATGCTGTTGGGAAAACTGGATTTTTTTTTTTTTTGACTCAGTCTCGCTCTGTCACCCCAACTGGAATGCAGTGGCACGATCTTGGCTCACTGCAACCTCAGCCTCTCGGGTTCAAGCGATTCTCGAGCCTCTGGCTCTCAAGTAGCTGGGATTACAGGTGCCCGCTACCACACCCAGATAATTTTTGCATTTATAGTAGAGATGGGGTTTCACCATGTTGGCCAGGCTAGTCTCGAACTCCTGACCTCAAGTGATCTGCCCACCTCGGCCTCCCGAAGTGTTGGGATTACAGGCGTAAGCCACTGCACCTGACCCCAAAAAAACTGGATATTTTTAGATTATTTATTTTTTAGACATTTAGATTTATCATTTAGGTTATTTATCTTTTAAATACATGGTGTTGGGAAAACTGGATATCCACATGTAAAAATGGAGAAAACTGGATATCCTTTCTCCATTGATTGACTGGTCTTGACAACCTTGTCAAAAATCAATTGACCATATATGTGAGGGTTTAGTTCTGGGTTCTTTATTCTATATGTCTGTCTTTATGCTAGGACTACAGTGTTTTGATTACTGTAGCTTTATAGTTAAATTTTGAAATCAGGAAGCATGAGACCTTCAACTTTGTTCTCTTGCAAAATTGTTTGGCTATTTGGGGTACTCTGAGTTTTCATATACATTTTAGGATGAATTTTTCTATTTCTGAAAAAAAGTCACTGGGATTTTGACAGGGATTACCTAATGAATCTGTAGATCACTTTGAGTAGTATCAACATCTTAATATTAACTGTTTCAATCTATGAACACAGTGCGTCATTCCACTTATTTCTATATTCTTTAATTTGCTTCAGCAATGTTTGTAGTTGTCAGTGTACAAGTCTTGCCTCTTTGGTTAAATTTATTCACAAGTATTTTAGTTCTGATGCTGTTGCAAATGGAATTTTTAAGATTTCCTTTTTAAATTTTACATCGAAATGCAACTAAATTTTGTGTGGTTTTGCATCCTGCAACTTTGTTTTTTAGTTCTAACAGGGTTTTTTGGGTGGAATCTTTAGGGTTTTGTACATAAAAGATCATGCTGTCTGTGAACAAATCATTTTACCTTCTCCTTTCTGATATGATGGCCTTTTTAATTTTTGCCAACTGAACAGACTGGTCCCAAATATGGTTCCCTGATCACTGATGAGGCTAAATATATTTTTATAAGGAAGCATTAATACCAGTCCCATAATAGTAAAATTTACATATGATGTTCAGATAAATATAAAGTCCTAAGTTTCAGACTTCATCTCTAAATCTTAGGGTCTCATTCCCCCTCTTCTGTTCCTAATGAATGCTATGGTAGAAAACTTTTGAAGACTAATTTGCTACAGCATTAAGCTTAAGCCTTTCTATTAGTCTTTCAAATGCACAACATGATTCTTAACCTTTATTGGTTTATAAACACCTTTGAGAATTGGATGAAAACTATGAAACTTCAACTCAGAAAAAAATGGACACATGAAGTTTTGCATGTATTATCAGGAGGAGATGTACGGCTCTCCTAAAATTCAACCATGAGGCTGGGTGTGGTGGCTCAACCCTGTAATCCCAGCACTGTAGGAGGCCTAGACGGGTGGATCACTTGAGGCCAGGAGTTTGAGACCAGCTTGGGCAAGATGGCGAAACACCATCTCTACAAAAAATACAAAAATTAGCCGGGTATGGTGGTGCACACCTGTAGTCCCAGCTATTCATTGAGCCTGGGAAGTCAAGGCTGCAGTGAGCCATGATTGCACCACTGCACTCCAGCCAAGGCGACAGAACAAGACCCTGTCTCAAAAATAAATACAGGTGGCTGGGTGCAGTGGCTCAGGCCTGTAATCCCAGCACTCTGGAAGGCCGAGGCGGGTGGATCACTTGAAGTCAGGAGTTCGAGACCAGCCTGGCCAACATGGTGAAATCCCGTCTGTACTAAAAATACAAAAATTAGCCAGGTGTGGTGGTGCAGGCCTGTAATCCCTATATGGGAGGCTGAAGCAGGAGAATCACTTGAACCTGGGAGGCTGAGGCTGCAGTGAGCTGAGATTGTGCCACCGCACTCCAGCCTAGATAACAGAGTGAGACCCTGTCTCAAAAACAAAACAAAAAAAAATAAAGTTCAACGATGGACCTCTTACAGATACAACGTGGATTCACTTTAGTCAATCCTATTTCTATTAAACACATAATCTCTTTCTATATTTTAGTTGTTTTTACTATATACTAACTCCCACATCCTACCACTTTGTTCCCAACTCAATGCTTTTGATCACTGCTTGTGTCCTAATTGAATTTTACCCTTTCTTCAAGGTCCACCTAAAATTTCCAATTCTTCCAAGATATTTCTCCAACCCACTGTCTTCTCTCCCAAAAGTATCATTCACTCATTCGATAAATACATATTGTGCAGCTTCTCTGTCCTAGACGATGTTCCAAAAGCTGAAGATTGCAACAATGAATACAGTCTGTCCTAAAAAAAACAGTGCTCAGCCAGGAGCAATGGCTCACACCTACAGTCCCACTGGTTTGAGAGGTCAAGACAAGACTGCTTGAGGCCAGGAGTTCAAGACTAGCCTGAGCAACATAGCAAGACCCCTAGCTCTACACCTGTGCACACACATACACAAATTAGCTGGGCGTGGTGACACGCATTAGTTAATCAGCTACTCCCAGCTACTCAGAAGGCTGAGGTGGAAGGATTGCTTGAGGACTGCTTTAGCCTGGGAGTTCGAGGTCATAGTGAGTTATGATCGAGTCACTGCATTCCAGCCTGGGTGACACAGCGAGATTCCATCTCTAAAAGAAAACACAACAGTACAGGATTATCCAACTAGCCGATGAAACATGTATTTAGGGCACACATGCACAGACTCGAGGGAAAACATTTGGAAAAAATAAGTTCAAAAATAATAATTAAAATATATTTCACCTTAGTATTTTATTTTTAATTATATTTGGGAAGAGACCTTATGATCTTCTCAGTGCCCAGGGTTTCTGAAGGTCTTCATCTAGTCCTGCTAGCCCAGTAGGAAAAAAAAAAAATCTTCTCCTAAAAACCGGATTCCTCTCCTGTTTTCTCTGATATGAATTCATTCAGGTATCTAAGAAAAAAATCTGCGAGCTGCCCCCCAATTCCTTCTTCTTCCCAATCTTCCACACCCAGTCATCTTTGTATTTGACAAAGATCACTACTGCCTAAATGAGAAGAATGGCCTGAAGGGGACAAAATTGGGTATACAATTGGAGACCAGTTAGAAAGCTGTAATACGAGTGGAGATAATGATGAACTGAATTGAAGTGTAGTAGAGGGGACTGAAAGATGTGTAAAAAGATATGAAAAGGGGGAAATCCATGGAACTTGCAAAGTAAACGCGAGATAAAGAGGGAGTTACTGAAGATAGTTCCCTTATTTTTGGCTTGAAAACCAGTTAGATGGTGGTGCTACTCATTAAGAGAACAAGGGAATATTGGAGTTTGGGGAAAAGAACACAATAGATTGATTCTGGTATATCCACAGACAGACCATGTACCTTCTAAACACTTTCCTTACATATTTTTTTAAAAATAAAATCCTTTAAATTTACATACTATTATGACATTTTACATTCCAGAAAAACCAAGGCATGGTATGGTGAAGTAATTTGCCTAAAACTGCACATCTAGTTAAATGGAGAAGCCAGGATTTGAATACAAGTAGTCTGACTCCAGAACTTTGTTCCCAACCCTATACAAACCTCACGGTAATTCCTGAAGGTAGATATTTTTACTTATACTTTACAGATTTAAAACAATGAGGCTCAGATAAATTAAGTAACTTGCTAAAATAAGGTAGCTTACATGCAGTGGGGCTAAAATTGAAACGTAAAGTTCATATTGTTTCAAATGTCAGAGTGTAAGCAGGTATTTATAATTCTCTTATAATCTTTTACAATGCCTAGCTTAGTATTAAATGTGTATTTAAAGAACAGTATTGGGCTGGGCGCGGTGGCTCATGCCTGTAATCCCAGCACTTTGGGAGACCGAGGTGGGTGGATCACTTGAGGTCAGGAGATCAAGACCAGCCTGGCCAAAAAGGTGAAACGCTGTCTCTACTAAAAATACAAAAATTAGCTGGGCATGGTGGTGCATGCCTGTAAACCCAGGTACTCCGGAGGCTAAGGCAGGAGAATCGCTTGAACCCGGGAGGCAGAGGTTGCAGTGAACTAAAATTGTGCCACTGCACTCCAGCGTGGGCGACAGAGTGAGATTCCATCTCAAAAATAAATTAAATAAATAAATAAAAATGAAGCACAGTATTGGCTGGGCATGGTGGCTCATGCCTGTAATCCCAACACTTTGGGAGGCTGAAGCAGGAGGACTGCTTTGAGCCCTGGAGTTCGAGACCGAGCCTGGGCAACAAAGTGAGACCCTGTCTCTAGAAAACAAAACACAACCCCAAAGCAACAACAGTATTATTATTACTAATTCTACTAATAATGTAAGAACAGGCTTAGCTCCCATTCACCTTTCACAGAAAGTTACTTGAAGATGTACCACAACATCAAGTATAAACTAGAAACAAAAATGTGGTTTCAAGAGAATAGTAAAATTAAGTCCCAGGACAAAAGTCTTCCTATTGTACTAGAGATTGGAGGAGGTCAGTGAGCTTTGGGAGAGCAGTCCTCATGGGGAAAGCTTTGAAATCTAAAAATTAGATAGTACAACTAAGAGCTTAGAGAATTTGGGAATATAACAAAGAAAACTAGTAGAATCTAGAAAAGATGTTATCTGAACTTGTCTCTAGCACTGTTCCTTTTTTTTTTTTTTTTTTTTTTTTGAGACCGAGTCTTGCTCTGTCGCCCAGGCTGGAGTGCAGTGGCGCCATCTCGGCTCACTGCAAACTCCGCCTCCCAGGTTCGCGCCATTCTCCTGCCTCAGCCTCCCGAGTAGCTGGGACTACAGGCGCCCACCACCACGACCAGCTAATTTTTTTGTATTTTTAGTAGAGACGGGGTTTCACCGTGTTAACCAGGATGGTCTCAATCTCCTGACCTCGTGATCCGCCCGCCTCAGCCTCCCAAAGTGCTGGGATTGCAGGCGTGAGCCACCGCGCCTGACTTCTAGCACTGTTCTTAAACAAGGGGCATAGTGTCATGACATCATTACCCTAGAAAAGGAAGTGTATCCTAGCAGTCCATGGTTGTAAACATTTACACAGGAATAACTTAACTGCTTATTAATATATTTCATATTTTCTCATTTTTTCATATTTTAACATCTCTGAATGGGATTCTTCTTACAATCAATGGTGTGTCATGGTTTAATTAGTTATTTTTTCCTCTTTAGTAGTAGATAAAATAATGATGCGTCTTACAATGAATAGCATGTTGAATTTGATGAATTGTGTGTGCCAAGCACTGCTTGAAATGCTTTATAATATACTTTTCCTCATCCAGTCTTCATAGCTGATGTTACCACCATTTTGAAGGCTCAAAGATGCTAAACAATAGGTTCTAGGACTGCTGTCAAGTAAGTGGCAGAGCAAGAATTTAAAATCAGGTCTGATTTCCAAGATCATGCTCTTATTGTTATCTCAGCACTTACCTTGGGTGATACAAAGGTGAATAAAAACCTATCCTTGTCTGAACTGCTCAAATAAAGGTCTAGCTCAAATATGATCTTTCTGAAACCTTTCCAACTCCCCAGGAAGAATACATCTTGTTTTCATCTGTACCCCCTCAACATTTTAAGAATACCTCTATAATACCTATAATCTTATTATATTATATAATCTCCCTGGGCCCTTAGAAGTCAGGAATATTCTCTTAACCATCCTTTTGACCCTACAGTGCCTACCACAGTTCTTGACATATAGTAGAAGCTCAATAATGTTTCTTAAAAAGGAGACAGGGTCTCTGTTGCTAAGTCTGGGAGACAAGAAATGCACATAAAGCTAAAAAAAAGTCAAAAGTAGTGTTTAGGAGAATTATATATTTAAGTGCAGTACAGTTTAAAAGAACCAATGAGGGCCGGCCACGGTGGCTCACGCCTGTATTCCCAGCACTTTGGGAGGCCGAAGTGGGTGGATCTGAGGTCAGGAGTTCAAGACCAGCCTGGCCAACATGGCAAAACCCCGTCTCTACTAAAAATACAAAAAATTAGCTGGGCGTGGGGACGGGCACCTGTAGTCCCAGCTACTTGGGAGGCTGAGGCAGGAGAATGGCTTGAACCCGGAGGCAGAGGTTGCAGTGAGCCGAGATTGTGCCATTGCACTCCACCTGGGCAACAAGAGTGAAACTCCATCTCAAACAAACAAAAAAACACCAATGATAGGAGGAAGTACAAGAGGATACAGCTCAGCCAGCTTCCAGGTTTTCACCCATACACACACACACCCCAGTGTGAAAAAGCTGAAACCGTCTACAATGGCTGAAACCACGCTGCTGAGACATTTTTGAATTTTAATTAGTTAGCAACACTTATAAATTAAGTTTCACATAAAACCCAGGATTTCTGGATTTTCCTGAGAAACGAAGACATCTCAGAAACTGGGTGCTCATTCTCCTAGAGAAATGGGTTGGATTTGGGTATCAAATTCTCCTTTCAGATGAACTTAATGCTCACTTATCCATCGTAGTAACTTCCACCATTTGTTTAGGCTCAGCTTGCATAAGATAATTTATTTTCTCTCGCCAGTCTAGGCATCTGGGTTTAAGACCCCTTCTCTAGATACATTACTCACTGCACTATCACACTATGAATTTTCAGGCATCCGTGCTTTGACTTCCACTTTGCCTAGAAAGTCCTTTGCTATCTCCAAAAGTACTCCTACTCCCCTAAGGCACTGCTTCAATTCCTTTCATTAGCTTCTTCTGACCACTCTCTCAACCGTGTCACGCAGCACTGTGGTAATACCTCTATTAAAACCCTTATCAGAGCGTATGCACAAGCTTCTCCTCTTCGCGCTGACGTTCGCTCCTTGAGGCCAGCGGCCCACAACTAACTCATTTCGCGGTTCCAGCTTCACGTCCATGCCCTGGCACCTACACCCAGTCGTTCAGTACCTTTGCGGAAGTCAGTCTTCTTACTTCACGGCAAACCCAAGCTAAACTAATATTACGACCACAGAAGTTGGGCTGAGGTAGAAGTCAAGACTATCCCAATAACTGGATTCTGGCCGAGAAAAAGGCGCGCGCCAGCACCCCAGTCAGTAAAATCTACCGGGCAAAGTTCGCCGCCGCCACTATCCTCCTCTGGCTCTGAAATAGTTCCAATTCTCGCGAGATTCGGCCTGACTACCAGCCCTTCAGCTCCAGTGAGTTGCGGGTTGGTTTCCTCTAGACTCTCGTGGCCACACCGTTCTCCGATACGAGCCTTTCCGGTGCTATGCCCCGGAAGCGGAAGTGCGATCTTCGGGCTGTCAGAGTTGGTCTGTTACTCGGTGGTGGCGGAGTCTACGGAAGCCGTTTTCGCTTCACTTTTCCTGGCTGTAGAGCGCTTTCCCCCTGGCGGGTGAGAGTGCAGAGACGAAGGTGCGAGATGAGCACTATGTTCGCGGACACTCTCCTCATCGTTTTTATCTCTGTGTGCACGGCTCTGCTCGCAGAGGGTGAGAGCGGGTATTTCTCAGACGTTTGATCAGTCCCCGGGAGGAAGGGCCCCGGGGTCCCCTGTGCCACCAGGGGAAAGATCGCGAGCCTTACTTGCTTGAGAGGCTCATCTACTCCACTTCAGGGAATCTCTGGGCAACTCGTGAACAGGAGCAGGAGGGGAGTATGGAGTCGATTGCCGAGTTTTCTTTGGTCTCAGGTAGATTTCACTTGGGTATTTGTGGAGACACCTTCACATCATGTTACTGTTGTTTTGGCTGAAGAGTCAGTTGTATTAGCCTTTGAAAAAAGTTAACTATGGGTAAATACAAAGCGAAAAGTTGGAATTCCTCCTTCTCCAACAGTAACCACTTTGTTTGTTGTGATCATTCCAGTCATTTCTCTATTAACATGTTGCTTTTAATGTTTTAGGCATAACCTGGGTCCTGGTTTACAGGACAGACAAGTACAAGAGACTGAAGGCAGAAGTGGAAAAACAGAGTAAAAAATGTGAGTATGGCAACACATTAGAAATAATTTCAACACGTCAAGCTCATTAAGTCCATGTTCACAATAAATATTTTAAGAGCACCAGCTGATACAAAGATGAACCTGACTTGAAGCCTATTTAGAAATAGAAGACTTTTATGCAAAATGTGTAATACCAACTAGAGGGAAGTGAGGGGCGTAGCAGATACATGTTATGTGCTGTGGTGGTTCTAAAGAAGAGGTTCAATCTGGCGCAGTGGCTTACTCCTGTTAATCCCAGCACTTTGGAAGGCTGAGGCAGGACTGAACTTAGGGGTTTGACACCAGCCTGGGCAACATAGGGAGACCTCGTCCCTACAGAAAAAATTAGCTGGGTATGGTGGTACACACCTATAGTCCCAGCTATTTGGGAGACTGAGGCATGAGGATCCCTTGAGCCCAGGAGATTGAGGCTACAGTGGGCCACGATGGTGTCACTACACTGCCTCCTGGGCAATAGTGAGACTTGTCTTTAAAAAAAAAAGAAGAAGAGGCTTCATTCAGTTGTGAGGAACCATGGTAGCCTTCATGATGCTGATGGCCTTGCAGTTCCTTGTGGATAGTTAGAATTTGGATAGAGAATGAAATGGGGAAAGGAAATTCCAGGTAAAGAAATAACATATGAGCAAAAATATGGAAATCTTAACATTTAAGGCATGTTTGGAGGATGATATGTCATTATGACTGGTGTCAAGGTAAGTGGTGTCTTCAGAGATAAGCCGAGTTTCAGTTGGGTTAGAAAGTTGAAGAGGTGTTTAAGGAAAAGATTAAAAACAAGAAGGGTTTGTTACCTTTGAAATAAAGCAGGAATTCCACAGGACTCAGCTAAAGGTACAGGGTGAATGGTTCCTTATAGGCCTGATTTAGTTTTCTCTCTTCTTTTTTTCCTTATAAGGATTAAATATAACTTTTGTTTCTTAGAATTCCTACAACTTTCTGTATTCTGTGACTTTTTCTTATATCTTCATAGGGGTTTGAAGTTTTTTTTCTTAAATTACCATATTTGATCTACACAGCAACCATTTGTGGTTACTCGTATAAATATTACCTCCATGTCATAGGAAAGAAAATTGAGCCTCAGGATGATAATGACAACTTACGTCACAGAGCAAACAAAGAATTAGAGACCAGACTCAGGCTTTTAAAATTACAGCTTACTGTTCCTTAATTTACTCAGTGTTGATTATGTACCTCAGCATATCTGGGCCAAACTCGTTATCTTTACCTTCACAAACGTGATATTCTTCCAGGATTTCCCTATCTTGGTGATGGGTACCTCCATGCTTCCAGTAGTGTAAGCCAGAAACCTTGATATGCTTTATTAATTTGGCTCCAGGACACCATACTTTCGGTTTTGCTGCTCTCCATCTTACTAGTCATCCTTTTTTTATTTTTTATTTATTTATTTATTTTTTGAGACAGGGTCTCACTCTGTCACCCCTCAGAGCTCATTGCAGCCTGGACCTCCCAGGCTTAAGCGATCCTCCTGCCTCAGACTTCTGAGTAGCTGGGACTACAGATGCACACCACCATGACTGGCTGATATTTTGGAGAGATGAGGTCTTGTTCTGTTGCCAGGGCTGATCTCAAACTCCTGGGCTCAAGCGATCCTCCCGGCTAGGCCTCCCAAAGTGCTGGGATTACAGGCATGAACCACAGTGCCCAGCCCTTACTGATCATTCTTCTGCAATTTACTTGATGGTTTCATTTCTTGACCTCCCGTTGTTGGGAGTGACACAAAATTTAGTTTTTTTCTCTACATTCACTTCCTTGGTGAACTTATCTTTTGGCTGTATTGGCCAGTGACTCCCAAATTTATGTCTGTGGCCCTCTCTTCTTAATACAAGATTCATATATCCACGCATCAATTTGTTATGTCAGCTAGAATGTTTGGTGGACAGCTCAGTCCCAACACGTCCCAAATTGAATACTTGTTCCTCATGTCTAAGCCTGTGTCATTTGTAGCCTTCTTTATCTTGGTCAATGGCATTTCTGTCCTTCCACTTGCTCAGGCCATAATTCTTGTGTAGTTATCTTTTACTCTTCTTACAACCCACATCTAGTCTGTCTGCAGATACTGTTGGGTTTCCTTTTTGAAGAAACACCCCAAACCAGTAAAGGTTCAGAAAGCTTCCGATATCCAGAATCTGACCACTTTTCATTAGCTCCAGTGTTAACCACTGTGGTCTAAGCACCATGATCTTTTGCATGGATTATTGCAGTAGTTTCCAACAAGTGTTCCTGTCTCCCTGAAGTCTGTTCTCAAGATGACAGCCAGAATAATCTTTTTAAAAGCCTATTTGATCATGTCCCTTTCACTCAGCAGAAAAGCCAGCATCCTACAGATGCTTCCTTTTTACCATTCTGATATTCTTTCTTCTCACTTACCCTGCTTCACCCACACTGTCCAGCTTGCTGTTCTTTACACATACTAGCCATACTCTTGTGCTGGGACCTTTCTAGTGGTGATTCCTTCTGCTTAGAAATGTTCTTCCCTACAATATGTGCTGGGCTAATCCTATTACCTTCTTCAAATCTTTGTTCCAACATCACCTCTGACTCTTAAGTTGACCACTCTATTTAAAACTGCAAGGCAGGGCGCGGTGGCTCAGGCCTGTAATCCCAGCACTTTGGGAGGCTGAGGTGGGTGGATCACGAGGTCAGGCCTTCGAGACCAGCCTGACCAACATAGTGAAACCCCGTCTCCACTAAAAATACAAAAATTAGCTGGGCGTGGTGGCACATGCCTGTAATCCCAGCTACCTGGGAGGCTGAGGCAGGAGAATTGCTTCAACCTGGGAGGCGGAAGTTGCAGTGAGCCGAGATTGCATCACTGCACTCCAGCTTGGCCAACAGTGCAAGACTCTTGTCTCAAAAAAAATAAAAATAAAATAAAACTGCAACCTGCCCATCTCCCCTACTCCTAATATTCCTTACCCTGTTCTATTTTTTCTGTTGCTTTTATTACTTTCTAATATACTGTATGATTTACTTATTTATCATGTTATTGCTTATTGTGTATTTCTACCTGCTAGAATGAAAACTCCACTAGGGCACGGTTCTTTGTTGTTGTTTACCTATGTATCCTGTTTACCTAGAACACTGACTGGCACATAGTAAATGTTTAACAAACATTTGTTGACTTGAATGCTTTCTTCTTTTGCCCCATATATGCAGTCCATTACCAAGCCCTATTGTTGTTTTCCTGAATAGTTTTCAGATCATTTCACATCTCTTCATTTCTCCCATCACCACCTAGTCTAAACTTCTATTATATTTCATTTAATCTGCTGCAGTAACCTCCTCTCTGGTCCATCTGCAGCCACTCAAATTTGCCCCCTATAATGCATCTAGGGTAATTTTTTAAAACACAAATCTGATTATGTTACTTGTCTTTCTTAAAACCTTTCAATTTCTTCACATTGCTTTAGGATAAACATGTGGCCTGTAAGGTCCAGCACAGCACAGTACCACCCTCCCTTCTCCTGGCTACATCTTGTATCATATTCTCTCTTGCTCCCTATTCTCTATTCATTCATGCCTTTTTTCTGTCCTCTGGGCTAGTCTTATGGTTTCCTACTACAGGCACTTTGTATCTGTTGTTCCTCCTACCTGCGATAAGTTTCCCTTCTCATTTTGTTTAGTAAACTCCTACTCATTCTTCAGATCTCAAAGCCTTATCCAGTCTCCCAGACAGGGCCAAATCTTCCTATCATAGTTTATGATTTATCCACATACCTCTCCTTAGAGTGGTTGTCACAACTGCAGTTTTACCTATATATGATTATGGTCATCAGGGTAATGTCTCTCTCCTCAACAAAACTGTAATTGCTATGAGGACAAAGGCCATTGTATCCACAGTACCTAATGCAGTGCCTGGCACATATTAGATACTTGATAAATGTGTATTTAATAAATTATCTGTGTAGCATAACATCACATATATTCTTTGTGAAAAATTGTTCTGCTATGATCCTATGCTAGTTGGCAGCATGCAATGGCATCCCTGTATACATTTCTTCATGTCATTTATATCATTGAGTAGTTTTATGAAATACAAAACAAATTTAGCTTCAAATTGGTTTGAATATTCTTATACCTTAAATATTTATATAATATGGATTTGCCTTATAGATTTTGAGCTTCACTGGTATCTACAATATTGCCTTGTCTTTAATTATTTACTTTATAGAAATAAATGAAAAGTCTCCTTTACTGTACACTGCAATTCAAAGTAATACAGTTGAGGCCAGGTGCAGTGGCTTACGCCTGTAATCCCAACACTTTGGGAGGCTGAGGCAGGTAGATTGTTTGAGCTCAGGAGTTCAAGACCAGCCTGGGCAACATGGCAAAACCCCATCTCTACAAAATGTACAAAAAATTAGCCTGACATGGTGGCATGTGTGTGTGGTCCCAACTACTTGGGAGGCTGAGGTGGGAGGATTGCTTGAGCTCAGGAGGCGGGGTTTGCAGTGAGCAGAGAGGGGAGATTGGGCCACTGCATTCCAGCCTAGGTGACAGAGTTGAGACCCAATCTCTAACAAAAATGAAACAAAGTAATACATTTGCCAGTTTACACATCTGTAGTTGCAATTTTACTATAATTTCTTCATATGCTTCCTTTGAAGGTAAGTATGAGGTAGGTTGATGATTGGAATGACTCATGGCATTTCTTGTGGTCTTAGGTCCTCTACTCTGGATAATCTACCAAAACTCAGTAAACGTGTATTATTTTTATTTATGTGATCAGTCGACTTATTTGATTGCTTGCTATGTGTTTAGTTTACTGTAGTAAGTACAATATGAAATGAGCGGCCACAAATTCTGTCTTCTGGAATGTATAATCAAATGCACAACTATTATATTTAGCATGAGGAATATTAAAAAGGAAAAATATAAGGTAAATTTCCTCTTTGAACAAATGTCTTAATTGCAAATACAGAATTCCTTCTGATACTTTGTATTCAGAACGTAGTATGAATTTAAGCAAGGGAAGTTTGTAGGGTTTTTGAAGAATATCAAAAATATAAAGAGGTTTGAATCAGAATTTGATACAGGTTACTTTGCTTGTGCTGATCTGGTCCTTGGCATTTTTAGAAGAATACTGTTGTCCAAAAAGCAGTCCTACTGAGCTGCTTTTAACAAAAGGAAATGCTTTCTTAAAGGTAGTGAGTTGGTTGACTCAGGTGGTCACTGGGCTTATAGATGTATTCTAAATATCAGTAGGTCTTCTTTTATTGTGTTACTATTATAATATATACTAATGAAAGGATACTTCAATAAATGAAAAAGATTAAAATACAGTATATATAACTTGATTCTTGTAACACAGTTGTTTATTTGAGAGCACTTACTAAGTATAAATTGCTGTGAAGTATGAGGTATTTCTGTTGTTTACGGTAAAATAGGATAAATCTTTTAGAATAATTTATAAACTGTTTGGCAGAACTCTGGAATTTAGAATGCAGGAATACAGATCATGGACAGAAATGTGTTTCATAGTAGACATCTTTTATTTTTGTCAACTCTGACATTTCTACTTCTTGTTGTCAGGTGAGATTCTGATGAATAAATATCCACACACCAAGGTTTCATCACAACCTCATGAAGTTTGAAAAACATTAGATTAATTTATCCCTAAAAACAATTTATCTAGTCTCAATCTGGTCTTCTAGAAGACCAGACTAATGTTTATGGAATTGTCTTATGTTTCTATTCTCTAGCCTTCTGTCTTTTTATTGCCCTGTTTTCTATGCAGTCATGGTTAAATGCCAAGTAGTTGTGTTATAGTCCTTCTGGGGTGGGAAAGAAATATTTTTGTTTCTTTGTTTAATAACAATGATAAAGAACAAAACATTAAGTGTTTTCTGTCCATTTTGTCTTTTAAAATGTTATCCTTATAACATTTTAATAAAAATGTTATCCTTATAACATTTTAATAAAAATGTTATCCTTATAACATTTTAATAAAAATGTTATCCTTATAACATTTTAATAAAAATGTTATCCTTATAACATTTTAATAAAAATGTTATCCTTATAACATTTTAATAAAAATGTTATCCTTATAACATTTTAATAAAAATGTTATCCTTATAACATTTTAATAAAAATGTTATCCTTATAACATTTTAATAAAAATGTTATCCTTATAACATTTTAATAAAAATGTTATCCTTATAACATTTTAATAAAAATGTTTATTATTTATTTATTTATTTTTTTGAGACAGGGTTTCACTCTGTCACCCAGGTTGGAGTGCAGTGGCCCAATCATGGCTCACTGCAGTCTTGACTTCCTGGGCTTCCATGATCCTCTCATCTCAGCCTCCTGAGTAGCTGGGACCACAGGAGTGCACCACCATGGCCGGCTGATTTTTGTAGTTTTGGTAGAGACGAGGTTTCACCGTGTTGCCCATGCTGATCTCGAACTCCTGAACTGAAATGATCTTCCCATCTTGGCCTCTCAGAGTGCTGGGCTTACAGAACTGAGCCACTGCACCCGACATAAAATGTTATTTTTATAACATTTTAAAATGTGAAATTTGACATTTTTCTTTTATGATCTCTCACTAGTATGTTCATTCAAAATCTTTCTCTCTCTCTTTCCATGTACATGATGTTTTGTTTTATTTTATTTTGGCGACAGGGTCTCGCTCTCGCATAGGCTGGAGTGCAGTGAAGTGAACACAGCTCACTGCAGCCTCAAGCTCCTGGGCTCAGGAGCTCCTCCTGCCTCAGCCTCCTGAGTAGCTGGGACTATAGGCATGTGCCACCACACTCGGCTAATTTTTCAATTTTTTATAGAGACAGAGTCTTGCCATGTTGCCCAGGCTGATCCCAAACTCCTGGGCTCAAGCAGTCTTCCCACTTCAACCTACCAGAGTGCTGGGATTACAGGTTTGAGCCACCATGCCTGGCCTGTATCTTACCTTTCTATTTACCTAGAACAGTATCTGTTACTTAGTCTTCCAGAACAAACACACACACACACACACACACAAATACACAAAACACATATTTTATTTTGGCCAGCCTTTTAAATTTCATTTGCAATATTGGAGTCAAGTTGAATTTTACAATTCTTGGATAAAGCAGTGATACCAATTTTGCTTTTAGAATTCAGGGACAAACTTCATGTACTAAGGGAAAGAGTTCTACCCGCTAATTCTCTTTAATGTAGGTTTTAGAAATGGTACCTATACCGTACTGTTTGCTATTAGTATACTAAGATAATATGGGTAACAGATAATATAAATAAACTAAGTAAAGGTAATTTTTGACATATCCCTAGTCCATTTACAGGTGATTAAAGATGGTAAATATAATATAAATACATTACACTATTTCTTTTTCTTTCTTTTTTTTATTTTTTGAGATGGGGTCTCGCTCTGTCGCCAGGCTGGAGTTCAGTGGCGAGATCTTGGCTCACTGCAACTTCTGCCTTCCGGGTTCAAGCGATTCTCTTGCCTCTGCCTCCCAAGTAGCTGGGACTACAGGCACGCGCCACATGCCCAGCTAAATTTTGTATTTTTAGTAGAGATGGGTTTTCACCATGTTGGCCAGGATGATCTCAATCTCTTGACCTCATGATCTGCCCACCTCGGCCTTCCAAAGTGCTGGAATTACAGGTGTGAGCCGCTGCACCCGGCCCACTATTTCTTTTTCAAAAGCTTATTGTTATGTAATCATGA
This sequence comes from Homo sapiens, assembly GCF_000001405.40. NCBI lineage: Eukaryota > Metazoa > Chordata > Mammalia > Primates > Hominidae > Homo > Homo sapiens. The sequence goes on along the minus strand of NC_000001.11, from coordinate 165,760,480 downwards.
TAGTAATTGAAATGCATCAGAAAAATTGGTATTTTTTTTTTTTTTTTTGAGAAACAGAGTCTCGCTCTATTGCCCAGACTGGAGTAGAGTGGTGTGATCTAAACTCACTGCAACCTCCACCGCCTGGATTCAAGTGATTCTCCTGCCTCAGCTTCCCAAGTAGCTGGAATTATAGGCATATGCCACTACGCCCAGCTAATTTTTGTATGTTTTTTAGTAGAGACGGGGTTTCACTATATGTTGGCCAGGCTGGTCTCAAACTCCTGACCTCAGGTGATCTGCCCGCCTAGGCCTCCCAAAGTGCTGGGGTTATAGGTGTGAGCCACTGCGTCTGTCTGGTCTTAGCTTTTTTGGCTCTCCTGATTTTCCTGCAGTGTGCGTATAACTATCTTGTCACATTACTGTAATTGTCATTTGATTATTTCCCCTGACTAGATTATTCTTTAGAAGGTAGGGATCATTTTTTTTTCATCTGCTTAGAGTTATTTAGGCAGCCAATAACTGAGTGAATAAATTTCTACCTTCTGTCATAAGAGAATGGAATTACAATTAACCCTAGTTATCTGAGAGAATAGAAATTTGAAAATTGTGCTTTGAAACTAGCTAAGGTAATCATCCTCAGCTGATGGTCTGTTTTCATTATGATTATATCAATACAATTCTTTATGGGTATTTGATTAATGATGCTTATAATTGTTGTTTCATTCTTAGAATATTGTATCTACCTTTTACCATCAGTAGCTATGAGAGTGGACCAGTTAACTTAATCATGACCATAATCAGTCAGTGTGTAACTTTCTTGCAAGCTTCTTTCATTGGTTCAGCTGTGATAAAGCATCCTTTGTTTCTTTAGTATAATCCAGTTAATTTTTACTGTGTTACTATGTTGTTTACAGTGGAAAAGAAGAAGGAAACAATAACAGAGTCAGCTGGTCGACAACAGAAAAAGAAAATAGGTAAGATGAGATATTAGTCAAAATGAAATTTGGGTTTTCTTAAAAAAATTAATTCTTAGATAATGAAAATATAAAATTATTAATAGTGATAACTCACATTTCTATGATTTTATGGTTTATAAAGCACATGCATACTTTATCTCACTTGATTCTTACCCATTTTGTGAGGTGTACAGGACAAATTTAAGCAGTTCCTCTATTTTTGCTCTTAGCTTTGGAATTTGAGTTTTGTAAAATGACAGTTGTGGCTTTTGAACTTGGCTGAGGGTTTTTGGCATAGTTTGTAAAAGCATGTTGTTTTTTATATCTGAGATGATTATTTCCACTTAAGTCTTACTTGTATTCATTGTTTCCATGGCTTCCTTACTGAGTATTGACTAGTGATGGAAATCCACCAAGGGGTAGGAAATTTTCTGAGTAATTTTGATATACTTGGAGAAATAATGACCATATCATGTGTTTTTAGTTTTTTAGTATAACTTAGAATTTAAGTAATTCTGTTTCCAAAAGACAATTCGTAAAGGATTGTATATGATTTGTTTTTATACATTATGACATTTCTTGATTCTGAAATTAGGAAAAAAATTATTATGAGATTGTGTATTTGTTTTAGAAACTGTGTCTGTATCCCTAGGTCACTGCTGTTACAACCCAGGGGAGAATTCCATGCGATTAGACTATGTCAATTCCTGTTCTGATTAAAGTTTTTCAGTTAGTATAGCGATCCTGGATGTTTTTTAAGTGGTCTGTTCACTTAATTCTATGAGAAAATGCTATTGAACATTTACGCTGTATGTGTCAGTTACTCCTAACAGCATTGGAGAAACAAAGTAGAAAAAGATTCTATTTTTATGAGCTCTATTTAGAGAGGGAAAATAGACCAGAAAATAAATGATTACTATGCAGGATGATAAGTACTTTTTTGTTTGTTTGCTTGTTTTTTTCTGTTTTTGTTTTTGTTTTTTTTTGAGACAGAGTTTCACTCTTGTTTCCTAGGCTGTAGTGCAGTGGTGTGATCTCGGCTCACTGCAACCTCTGCCTCCCGGGTTCAAGCGATTTTCCTGCCTCAGCCTCACGAGTAGGTGGGACTATAGGCATGCACCACCACACCTGGCTAATTTTTGTATTTTTAGTAGAGACGGGATTTTGCCATGTTAGCCAGGCTGGTCTCGAACTCCTGACCTCAGGTGATCCGCCGCCTCAACCTCTCCAAGTGCTGGGCTTGTAGACATGAGCCACTATGCCGGCCAAGAGTCTTGAGGAACAGAAATTTAAGGAACAACAGAAGAAGTAAAGTTCTGAAAAAGTATTGCCAGATAAGTTGGAAAGTAGTAGTGTCACAGAAGTTGAGAGGAGAGTGTCAGGGAGGAGGAAGGGCCTGATGATGATGGTAAATGTCTAAGAAATGGAGGTTATTAGTGCTTCTAGCAAAAATGGTTTCAGTGGCATGATGGGGGACAGAAGCCAGATCATATAGATGAAGAAGAGAATGCAGACATTGAGAATGCAGACAGTGAGAAAATGAAGACATTCAACATGGACAACTCTTTCAAGTACCTTTGCTATAAAGAATAGGAAGGATATAAAAATGGAAGGCAGATTATCCTCTGTCCTTAAATTGGCAACACGGTGTATCTGAATTCAAATGATCTTAACATGGAGTGTAACCTTGAATTGTTTGCTCACCCCAGAAAAACTCATCAGAAGTTATAAGAAATAATATTTATTGCCAGGCATGGTGGCTCACGCTTGTAATCCCAGCACTTTGGGAAACCAAGACGGGTGGGTCACCTGAGGTCAGGAGTTCAAGACTAGCCTGACCAACATGGCGAAACCCCGTCTCTACTAAAAATACAAAAATTAACCAGGCGTGGTGGTGCATGCCTATAATCCCAGCTACTTGGGAGGCTGAGGCAGGAGAATCCACTTGAATCTGGGAGGTGGAGGTTGTAGTGCGCCGAGATCGCGCCATTGTACTCCAGACTGGGCAACAAGAGCAAAACTTTGTCGCAAAAAAGGAAGTAGTATTTATGAAGAGTTGCTTATCAAAATCTTATTAGAAATTATGAGATGTAATATTTATGAAGAATTGCTTGAAAGATGATCTATCCATTCTCTAGATTTGTACATTTTAATCTTAGATTAAGCCAGACTATCAGAAATCTGTAAACCTAAACTGGATTATTTTGGACTTCATAAAACGCTTTTACTGTATTTCGCCTTGGCATTTGCATTGTTAGGCTTATTATGAAAAATTCAGCCAGGTATAATACAATTTGTTATAGTACTACTATGGAATATATTCAAAAACATCCACAACATTACACAATTGTCTTTTGATAAGAAATTGTGGAAACTGTTTCTATTAGTTTTCAATATCAGGAAAAGTAGCAGTTCTCATAAGTAATTGATTTATTTTATCTTACGGACACTGTGCTCGAACTGATTTTTGTTTTCCTTTGAATCGGCTGCTGATAAGCCTGGAATGAGACTTGCTCATTCTCATGCAAGAAAATCATGAGATTTGCTCATTTGGTGTTCATCTCCAGCAACTTTATAGGACCAATTAAATGTATTTTTATGTACTGATCCTATATAGTTTCATTATTATCTAACCCTTACTTTTTCTTAGCCCAGATTCCTCACTTGAGCTTATTTACAAATATATACTATATTTGTATATATAGTATATATTTGTAAATATATATATAGTATCTGGGGAAAAGGGAGTATAAAGAGTAAAGCCACTGCACTGAAAGAAGGGAGTTTTCAGTAAGAGGGAAGCAGCCAGCAATATTCAGTGTTCCGGAGAAGCAAAATGTCATTGATTTCACTAGGTGAAGCTCTTTGATAACAATCCTTGAGAGAACCATTAATCTGCAGTGGAAGCGTCCTTTGCTTTTTAACTGAAGATTTGATGTTCCCAATTCTTAATTTCAGGAGCAAATGTTTTGACTATTTTGCATTTCCCTCTTATAAGAAGAAAAATGAATTTACTTTTGGTATATGAATTTTATATAGTTTGTTTTGTTGTATTCCAAATAAAGAAGTCATAAGGGGTTTATTTGAAGGATATACGTGATGAGAAACTCAGGCAAAGCTGAACTAAGTGGTTACAGGAAGGCAGGAACCGTGGTAAAGCAAGTCCTGCAAGCAGAGCAAGTCTTGAGAAAAAGCTGGACAGGGATCTTCACTGTAAGACTTCACTAATTTTTTTGGCATTCAGCTTTTGTCTTCACCTAACCTTCCCTGTGTCCTTCCCCACTCCCAACCCCTTAGGAATATCTGCTCCAGATGCTTGTGTCCTTGGGTTCTATCTCAGTATTTTCATAATGTGATCCATAGATTACCTACATCAATATTGCTTGAGATACTTGTGAAAAATGAAGGGTTCTAAGTATTACTCCCAGACTTTACTGAATCAGGATCTCTGGATGTGGGACCCAGGAGTCTACTTTTTTCTTTTTTTTTTTTTTTAAACAAGCTGCCCATATAATTCTTAGGCAAATTAAAGTTTCAGAGCCAGTACCATATTATAACTTTTCTATTTCTGTTCCCATAGTTAATTGATTTATTTTCCCAAAATTTTCTAGCATAAATTCCTGAGAGAGGAATCTAATTGGCCCAGCTGATCTTTTTATGTCATAGGTCATGGGAGAGCCTATGGTTTGGCTGCCTCTTGGGTCAGCAGTAGTAGGACAGAGGGTGTTATAAATCTTCATGAGGCTAACCCTTCAACAAGGTATGGTGCCAGGCAGATGTCCCCAGAAGGTGGATGGGAAAGGGAGAGCAGACATTCTGAAGCTTGTCTGAGTGGGATAAGTATCTCTTTTCTTTTTTTGTTTTGTTTTGCTTTTGTTTTTGTTTTTGAAGCAAGGTTACCCTCTGTCAGCCCAGGCTGAAGTATAGTGGCATGTTCATGGCTCACCACAACCCCAACTCCTCTTGCCTCAGCCTCCTTGAATAGCTCAGACTACAGGCATATACCACCATGCCTGGCTAATTTTAAGTTTTTTGTAGAGATGGGGTCTCTCTGTGTTGCCCTTGAACTCCTGGACTCAAGCAATCCTCCTACCTCAGCCTCCCAAAGAGCTGGGATTACAGGTGTGGGCTACCACACATGGCCTCTTTTCTTCATGACTTGGATTTAAATATGAGAGGAAATTTTTGAAATTTAATATATTTGGGGCCCTGAATTTATACACTCATTCTAGGCCTTTTTCTATGTTATTTGGATTGGCTGAAGGTCTACTGACTCTGTGGTCAGAATGGATGTCATCATTGCTACTAGTTTATTCCAATAGCCACAAGAAATGTAGCCTCCATTTTTGGAGTATTCCTTTTCTGAATTTTAATTTTCCCTTTTGCTAGTCACCTTGGAAAAGAAATCATTCTAAATATAAATGTATCTTTTGCATATTTCCAGATTATTCTCTCCATGAAATTTTGTCAAATTTCATAGATGTTGTATTCTAAAGGTTCACTACTTAGAGAATGCGTAGTTTTTTGTTTTTGTTTTTGTTTTTGTTTTCAGACAGAGTCTCACCCTATCGCCCAGGCTGGAGCACAGTGACGCGTTCATGGCCCACTGCAGCCTCAAACTCCTGGGCTCAAGTAATCCTCCCACTGTAGCCTCCCAAGTAGCTGGGACTACAGGGGCACACCATCACGGTTGGCTAATTTGTAAATTTTTTGCAGAGACAGGGTCTTGCTATGTTGCCCAGGATGGTCTTGAACTCCTGGCCTCAAGTGATCTTCTCACCTCAGCCTCCCAAAGAGCTGGGATTGCCCAGCTAGAACCTGAATTTTAAGTTCATCCTATCAACTGGCTTATAATTTTAGACTATATGCCATTTTAGAGAAATTGAAAAAATAGAAAATTTAAGAGAAGGATAACTAATTTGAGACATCTAAGTACAATCATTATGTTATACTTACAAATTAACTGATTGGCAATTCCCTTTGGTGTAACATAAGCATATATATTAATGTACAGAGTTAAGACATTTAATACCAGAGGTAATTTCAAAAAAACACTAAAGATTTATTTATTTAAATTGAAATATTTTGGTGCTCTGCTGCATTTGAATCTTCTGAGTACAAAACGTATACTATCCCAGGTGTTTTCATCATCTTATTAAATGATATTGAGATAGAGTGCTTTTGTAATCACCAATCAGTGACAGTTTATTTAACAGCTGCTTTGTGCTCAGCATTGTATGTATTAACCATCTCATTAATTCTTTGCAGAGAGACAAGAAGAGAAACTGAAGAATAACAACAGAGATCTATCAATGGTAAGAGACCTAACTATAACTTCATGGTTAACCACATAATATTTTTAGCAAAAGACTGATTTACATCAAGTGCATTGCACTCACCTTTTCAGAAATTTATCACCTGTGAAGGCTATAAATAATATCATGGGTGTTCCTGGACCAAATGGAAGTGAAAATATGCTCCTGCTCTTAAACTTCATTTTAATACTATAAATAGCTTTTTTAGACTGTCTCAGAGGTCATAATTTGTCCTCTTCACACAGTTCTTAGTTCCCTCTTATGTTTTCAAATGAAGTAGTTTATTTTCTTTTTCTTCTTTACGTTAATGCTGAATCTTTGGTTTTATGGTGATGTGTGTAATTCCAGTATAGAAGTTGGAACATTATAAATGGCTTTTATTACTGTCTTGTGTTCTTTTTTCTTTTTTCTTTTTTAGAGACAGGATCTTGCTTTGTCAACCATGCTGGAATGCAGTAGCACGATCAGAGCTCACTGCCACTGTGAATTCTTGGGCTCTAGGGACCCTCTTGTCTCAGCCTCCCAAGTAGCTGGGACTACAGGAGTACACCACGCCCGGCTAATTTTTAATTTTTTTTTGTAGAGATGAGGTCTTGCTATCTTGGCTACACTGATCTTGAATTCCTGGGCACACTGATCTTGAATTCCTGGGCTCAAGTGATGGATCCTCCAGCCCCAGCCACCCAGAGTGTTGGGATTATAGGCGTGAGCCACTGCACCCTGCCAAGTCTTTTTTTTTTTTTTTTTTTTTTTTTGAGACAGAGTCTTGCTCTATTACCAAGGTTGGAGTGCAGTGGCTCTACCTCGACTGACTGCAAACTCTGCCACCTGGGCTTGTGCGCTCCTCCTACCTCAGCCTTGCAAGTAGCTGGGATTACAGGCGTGTGCCACCATGCCTGGCTTATTTTTGTATTTTTTGTACAGACAGGGTCTTGCTATGTTGCCCAGGCTGGTCTTGAACTCCTGAGCTCAAGCCATCCACCTGCCTCGGCCTCCCAAAGTGCTGGGATTACAGGTGTGAGCTACCGTGCCTGGCTCTTTTGTTCTTTAAGAGACCTTTTGTTCTCAGTATCTGGCATACCATGAAGTATAAGGAAAACTGATTTCACTACCAATTTCCTCATTATTTATTAAGAGTAGGCTTTATTTGAGCATATCTTCCTAAAGCATAGATAGGCTAATTATATAGCTTGATTAATTTTTCACTTAACTTCTATATATTTAACACAGGACACCTGAACTGTGCAATAGTTCTCTTTTACTTACTGAGAGACCTTTTGCCAGTACTTATTAACTCATTGGCCAGAATTGGGCCACAAAGTCACCCCAATATTCTTCCTCACCGGGTGGCAAGAAGAGGAATTGGAGGTGAAGGGTGGGTTACCCAACATACAGCTATAGCTTTTTGCTAAGGAGTACTATTTTTTTTTTTTGAGACGGAGTCTCACTCTGTCGCCTGGGGCAGGAGTGCAATGGCACAATCTCGGCTCACTGCAACCTCCGCCTCTCAGGTTCAAGTGATTCTCCTGCCTCAGCCTCCCGAGTAGCTGGGATTACAGGCACCCGCCAGTACGCCTGGCTAATTTTTTGTATTTTTAGTAGAGATGGGGTTTCACCATGTTGGCCAGGCTGGTCTTGAACTGCTACGGAGATTTAAAAAAAAAATGACGTGAGGCTGGGCGCAATGGCTCACGCCTGTAATCCCAGCACTTTGGGAGGCCGAGGCGGGGGGGTCACAAGGTCAGGGGATTGAGACCATCCTGGCTAACACGGTGAAACTCCATGTCTACTAAAAATACAAAAAATCAGCCAAGCGTGGTGGCGGGCCCCTGTAGTCCCAGCTACTCGGGAGGCTGAGGCAAGGGAATGGCGTGAACCCGGGGGGACGGAGCTTGCAGTGAGCCGAGATTGCGCCACTGTACTCCAGCCTGGGAGACAGAGCAAGACTCTGCCTCAAAAAAAAAAAAAAAAAAAATGACATGAAACCAAAACTTTTGAGATATGCTTTAGATGTGTTTTTTTTTAGTGTAAAATGACAATTTGTTCGTCTCATTACAGGTTCGAATGAAATCCATGTTTGCTATTGGCTTTTGTTTTACTGCCCTAATGGGAATGTTCAATTCCATGTGAGTGTCCTTTTATATGCTTTTGACTAATAACTATTACTCTATATTTGTATGTATGTTAGCATGAACTTTTTGGGTAAAATATTTTATTTTGATGTAATTTCAAACTTAAAGAAAAGTTGCAAGAATAGTATATCCATTACCTACATTCACAGTTGTTAATGTTTTGCTTCACTTCTTTTTTTTCTTTTTCTCTCTTTTCTTTCTCTATTATATGTGTGCTCATCCATACATTATTTATGTATTTTTCTTAATCATTTGAGAGTATGTTGTAGGCTGTATGCCCCGTTTCCCATAACTACTTCTCTGTATATTTCCTAAGGACATTTTCTTATATAACTTCAAAACAATTATCAAAATCAAGGGAATTTTTGTTTTTTGGGTCTTTTTTTTTTTTGAGACGGAGTCTTGCTCTGTCACCCAGGCTGGAGTGCAGTGGCGCAATCTTGGCTCACTGCAACCTCTGTCTTCCTGCGTTCAAGCGATTCTCCTATCTCAGCCTCCCGAGTAGCTGGTACTACAGGCATGCACCACCATGCCCAGCTAATTTTTGTATTTTTAGTAGAGACGGGGTTTTGCCATGTTGGTCAGGCTGGTCTCAAACTCCTAACCTCAGGTGATTCACCTGCCTCGGCCTCCCAAAGTGCTGGGATTACAGGCGTGAGCCACCACGCCCAGCCAGAATTTAATTTTTATAAAATACAATTACACAATAACTTTTTTACCCTTTTAATATTGAGGGTGTTTTATGTATAAGACATAAGGCGTAGGCATTATGGGTTCTCTATAGAGAATTTAATATGTTCCCTCTTTTTCAGTTGCTTACTAACATGCTGCTTCAAAATGAAGGTAGTCATAAAAAGATCTTTTGCTTCTTAAAATAGAGTCTTAATAACTATAATCTTGTTTAATGATAAGGTAAATTACTGTTGTCTAAACCAGCATATAGCAGACCAGAGTAATTATGGAACTGAGTTTGACAGAAAATATCCAACGATGATAGTAATTTATTATCTTTTTGTTGTTGTTGTTCGGGACAGAGTCTCTCTCTGTCACCAGGCGGGAGTGCAGTGGCGCGATCTCAGCTCACTGCAACTTCTGCCTCCTGGGTTCAAGTGATTCTCCTGCCTCAGCCTCCCGAGTAGCTGGGACTACAGGTGTGTGCCACCATGCCTGGCTACTTTTTGTATTTTTGGTAGAGACGGGGTTTCACCATGTTGGCCAGGCTGGTCTCAAATTCCTGACCTCAAGTGATCCTCCCACCCAGGCCTCCCAAAGTGCTGGGATTACAGGCGTGAGCCACCACGCCTGGCCCAGGCTAATTTTTAAAAAGTTTTTTGTACAGACAAGGTGTCACTGTGTTGCCCAGGCTGAATATAAACTTTAATACAGAAGAATGGTTGTTTTGTAACCTGCTATAATTTTTGTCCACACAAAAGTCTGTGGGCAATTTTTAAAACATGATATATGTATTAATTTCTGTAACTTACTCTTTTTTGAAATGTCTTTATAATGTTCCATTGAATGGATGTACTTTTTTTTTTTTTTCTTTTTTTTTTTGAGACGGAGTTTTGCTCTTTATGCCCAGGCTGGAGTGCAATGGCCTGGTCTCAACACACTGCTATCTCCGCCTCTTGGGTTGAAGCCATTCTCCTGCCTCAGCCTCCCGAGTAGCTGGGATTACAGGTGCGAACCACCACACCCAGCTAATTTTTTGTATTTTTAGTAGAGATGGGTTTTCACCATGTTGGCCAGGCTGGTCTCGAACTCATGACCTCAGGTGATTTGCTCACCTTGGCCTCCCAAAGTGCTGGGATTACAGGTGTGAGCCATTGCGCCTGGCCAGGATGTACTCTGTTTAACTAATTTTTTATTAATCATCATAAAGAATTTTTAGATAGTATGTATACCAATGTATACTTATTATTCCCTTAGGGTATATCCTAGTATTTCGTGAGTTAAACTTTGGTATATATTGTTCCTTAGATTTTATTAATTTATATCTTTAGATTATTGCCATCAGTACTTGTGAATGGATCTTTCTCCTTATACTTATCATCACTGGAAATTATGATGTATCTGCTTAAAATTTGCCAATTGAATAGTTGAAAAATAATATTTCTTTCAAATTTTTTCATTTTTTTGATAATTTGTGTGAGATTTAACATCTTTTCATATACTTACTATGTTTTTCCAGTTTTAAGTTCCTAGTTCATTCCCTCCACTTGCTCCCTGCCTTCTTTTTTTTGACGTTTATTTTTTATGTTTTTATTTACAAGAGTTTTTTACATATAGAGGCTATTAAACTCTTTTTTTGGAAAATATTTTTTGTTGTTAAAGCTGTTACTCTTTTCCATTAGGTAAGTAATGCCATTCGTCATATCAGATTATAGAAAAATTTTTTTCCTGTTTTTTTCTATTTTCTTATTTATTTATTTAAAGACAGGTTTTCACTCCATTACCCAGGCCGGAGTGCAGTGGTGCAGTCATTGCCCACTGCATCCTTGAACTCCTGGGCCCCAGTGATCCCTACCTCTGGCCTCCCAGAGTGTTGGGGTTACAGGCATGAGCCACTGCACCTAGCCTACTTGTTATATTTAAATATTTGTTTCGTCTACAATTTATTTTGGTATTTGGTTTCCAACTTTACTAAGTTTTTAACCATTGTCAATATCACGTAGTTGAATAAATCATCTTTTCCCTGATGATTTGAAATGACTTGTTTATTACGTATCAGTAGCTTCCCAAAACTTAGGCAGTGGATCTTAACCAGGAATGTGCATCAGAATCATATACGGGGGAAAAAATCATATATGGAGTTTTATAAAATAATTTTCTTATATGAGTAATATATAAAACTTATTTCTAAAAAATTCAAACACTTATATAGAATAAAAAGTGAAAGTGAACCCAAATAGATTGAAAACTTAGATCCACACAAAAACCTGTACACAGATGTTTATAGCAGGTTTATTCATAATTGCCAGAAGTTGGAAGGAATCAAGATGTCTTTCGGTAGGTGAAAGGATAAACAAACTGTGGTACAACTAGACAATGAAATATTATTCAGTGCTAAAAAGAAGTGAGCTGGTAAGCCATGAAAAGACATGGAGAAATCTTAAATGCATAATTTTAAGTGAATAAGCTCTTCCAAAAAGGCTGTATACTGTACGATTCCTGCTGTATGAAAAAGGCAAAACTATGGAGACAGTAAAAAGATCAATGGTTGCCAGGAGTTAGGAGGAAGGGAAGGATGACTAGGCAGAGCACAGAGGATTCTTTAGGGCAATGAGATTATTCTTTATGATACTATAATGGTAGATAACATGTTATTATATATTTGTCCAAACCCATAGAATGTACAACACCAAGAATGAACCCTAATGTCAACCATGGACTTTGAAACTCACTTGGAACCAATTGTGTTCCCTGTGAAAGCAGCATTCTCATCCATATGTTTTAGTGGTACTCAATTCTCATCACCAGGAATTCAAACCTTTTTTGTTTCCCTTCCTCTCCCTCTTCTTTTCATTAGACATTACTCCATATCTGTCCTGTCCCAAATTTAATGATATGTACTGGATTAAATCTGACCCTTTCAACTTTCTCTTCCTCTCAGTTAACAGCCCCTGTTTTCTGTCTGTGTAGTCATTCATTCATCCCTCCCTCTCTTCTCATTCATCCTAGCACCAGCTCCCATCCTAGTTTCAATGATTATTTCCTTTTTTCTCCTTTGCTATTACTTTTTGCTTGGTATCACAATAGCCTGCTTTCGCTCCCTCAGGTGTCTCCTCTCTATCCAACATTGTTAAGTTAGCCATCCTCAGAAGCCTGTTACTCATTGCCTAATAACATTATCTGCTACTGATTAAATAGTAACCCATGTTGGGGACTGTAGTGAACTTTTTATATATGTTACCCTTTTACTGGTTTTTTTTTTTTTGAAATGGAGTCTTGCTGTGTCACCCAGGCTGAAGTGCAGTGGCGTGATCTGGGCTCACCGTAACCTCCACCTCCCGGGTTCAAGCGATTCTCCTGCCTCAGCTTCCTGAGTAGCTGAGATTACAGGGACTCGCCCCCACACCAAGCTAATTTTTGTATTTTTAGTAGACATGGGGTTTCACCATGTTGGCAAGGCTGGTCTTGAATTCCTGACCTCAGGTGATCTGCCTGCCTCGGCCTCCCAGAGTGCTGGTATTACAGGTGTGAGCCACCACGCCCTGCCTTCCCTTTTACTTTTAACAGTCTTCTAAGATAAGAATTCTAATCTTTATTTTACAGATGAGGACGTGAGACTCTAAGTCACTTAACTTGCTCAAGGTCTCCAAGCTAGTAAATGTTGAGCTGGGGTTTAACCCTGTCTCTCAGACTCTAAAGTCCACACTTATCACCATGCAACCCTGACTATTGATTTTAGTCAGACTCCTTACCCTGGCTCTCATGACATTCCATGCTTTGGCCCCAGCCTGTTTTTCAAACTATTTTCTTATCATTGCCTACTACGTACTCTGTTTTAACTGTATTGTTCACTGTTCCTGGGGCACTTATTCTTTCAAATGAATTTTAGAATCAATCAAGTGTCAGCTTCCTCTAAAATAATCCCTTCTGAGTTTTGTCTGAAATTTTATTAAATTTGTACATTAATTTTGAGGTATTAAATACCTTTATAATTTTTAGTATTCCCATCCAGAAACATGGTATTTCTGCCAAGTCTATTTTATATACTTTCTGTAGTTTCTTTCCAAATAAGTATAAGTAATATTTCATATTTTCTAGTTTGCTACTACTGTCTATAAGTAGCTTATCAATTTTTTTTTTTTTTTTTTTTTTTTTTGAGACAGAGCCTCACACTGTTCTCTGTTGCCCAGGCTAGAGTGCAGTGGCACGATCTTGGCTCATTGCAGCCTCTACCTCCCGGGTTCAAGTGATTCTCCTGCCTCATCCTCCCGAGTAGGTGGGATTACAGGCAGGCATCACTACGCCTGGCTTATTTTTGTATTTTTAGTAGAGATGGGGTTTCACCATGTTGGCCAGGCTAGTCTTGAGCTCCTGACCTCAAGTGATCCACCTGCCTCAGCCTCCCAAAATGCTGGGATTACAGGCGTGAGCCACCATGCCCAGCAGGTTATCAATTTTTGTGATTTTATTTTCTAATTGGACATCTTCCTGAACTCTCCTAGCTTTTAATTTGATTCTCTAGTTTTCTAGATAGATAATCATATGATCAGACAAATAATATTGTCATCTTTTCCAAATTCTCTTTTCCCTCCATCCCTTCCTTTCTCTCCATCACTGTTCTCTAGTTCTATTGTGCAATGAATTAGAACAACCAGAAGAGGGTTAAATACTCAAAGGTAAAATACCAACGATACTGCAGTAAAGATGGGAACAAGATGAAGAGAATGCCCATATCACTGCTATGATATTTATGAAATTTTTAAAGAATGGAGGTTTTCAAAGCTATATGCAAGCATATGTGATATGTTATCCTTAATAGAGTTAATAATATAATAAGCACTTATCAAATATTTGGTGATTAAGTTATTAGACCTTGGACCAGTATTGAAATGCCAGATTATTTTTGCAGTTCATCAATATAAAATACTAGATGCTGTGTGTGTGTGTGTGTGTGTGTGTGTGTGTGTGTGATATAGGTCTTCCAAGCTATAGAAGTCAAAGAAGTCAAGTAGAGTATCTTCAAGGAGGAAAATTATATGAAAGCTTCATTATAATCAGGTTTCTTATAAAAGGATATGTTGGCAGGAAAGAAGGCTATTTTTTTTTTTTTTTTTTGAGATGGAGTCTAGCTCTGTCGCCCAGGCTGGAGTGCAGTGGCACAATCTCGGCTCACTACGACCTCCGCCTCCTGCATTCAAGCAATTCTTCTGCCTCAGCCTCCCAAGTAGCTGGGACTACAGGCATGCACCACCATGCCTGGCTAATTTTCTTATCATTGCCTACTACCTACTCTGTTTTGTATTGTTAGTACAGAGGGGGTTCCACCATATTGGCCAGGCTGGTCTCAAACTCCTGACCTCGTGATCCACCCGCCTCAGCCTCCCAAAGTGCTGGGATTACAGGCGTGAGCCACCGCTCCTGGCCTTCTTTTTTTGTTTTTATGTATATTATTTTCAGCAACTTTCTTATTCAGAACACTGGCAAACAATAGCTTTTTATTTGCTTGTTTTGTTTTCCCAAACTAGTGGAGGTTCGCATAATATATTTTACCAATATTAGTGCTGTATTCATGTTTTTGTTCTGGTCTTTGTACCCTGTACATTTAAAAAAAATATTGTGTCTTAGATTGTCAGCACCTAGAAGTTAAAGGCTGTACATCTATTTTTATAAACTGGCATATGAAATTAAAAGTCTAATACATGTTTTGATTATATTGGACAAAAGTTATTCAGTCTTTAACATAATTTCTCCAAGTTTAACTTTGATCATCTGTTTTTGAGACCAGATCTTGCTCTGTCACCCAGGCTGGAGTGCAGTGGTGTGATCACTATTCACTGCAGCCTCAACCTGCTGGGCTCAAGTGATCCCCCTACCTTAGCCTCCTGAGTAGCTGGGACTACAGACATGCACCATGACACGTGGCTAATTTTTTTTTTTTTTTTTTTTTTTGGTAGAGATAGGGTTTCGCCATGTTGCCCGGGCTGGTCTCGAACTCATGGCTTCAAGTGATCCTCCTGCCTCGGCCTCTCAAAGTGCTGGGATTATGAGACATGAGCCACCACGCCTGGCCAAGACTATAAGGGATACTAAAAGATTATGTAAGCCAAGAGTGGTGGCTCATTCCTATAATCCCAGCAATTTGGGAGGCTGAGGCAGGAGGATCACTTGAAGCCAGGAGTTTGAGACCAGCCTGAGCAACATAGGAAGACCACAGCTCTACAAAAAAAAAAAAAAAATTAGCCAGACATGGTGCTATACCTCTGTAATCTCACCTTCCTGGGAGGCTGAGGCAGGAGGATTCTTTGAGCCCAGGAGGTCAAGGCTGCAGTGAGCCATGATTGCACCACTGCATTCCAGCCTGAATGACAGAGCGAGACCCTGTGTGAAGCAAACAAAAATAATATCCCTTACACTCTTAAAATTTGTTAACAGCTGGCAGATGCTTTAAGGAAAAAAATCTATGGTTAGACTAAGAAGGGAAGGACTTGAACTCCCAGACTGCCAGAAAAAGGACTAGATATAGCTACTTATTTAGTAGCTGTATCTACTTTTTGGCATCTCTTCCTGAATCATTTACATAAAGTTGAAATAACAGGATTTTAGAATTGAAATTTTTTTTTTTTTTTTTTTTTTGAGATGGAGTTTTGCTCTTGTTGCCCAGGATAGAATGCAATGGCATGATCTCGGCTCACCACAACCTCTGCCTCGCGGGTTCAAGTGATTCTCCTGCCTCAGCCTCCTGAGTAGCTGGGATTACAGGCATGCGCCACCATGCCCGGCTAATTTTGTATTTTTAGTAGACACGGGGTTTCTCCATGTTGGTCAGCTGGTCTCGAACTCCCAACCTCAGGTGATCCGCCTGCCTTGGCCTCCCAAAGTGCTGGAATTACAGGTGTGAGCCACCGTGCCCAGCCTGAAAGAGATCTTAAAAGTCATTTAACACATAACTTCTCTCCTAATACAGAAAGCTCATCACTAATGTCTCTAACAGATAATTTGTCATCCTTTATTTCCAACAATGAGGAGCTTAGTGGTTTCTGAGATAACTAGTACTTTTATTGAGTAGTTTTTAGAGTTTGAAAATAATTCGTTTTACTGGGCCAAAATATGCCTCCCTATATCTGTACTTGTGAGCAGTGATCCTGCCCTCTGGAGTCATAGAGTAAGTGCACTTAAAGAAATAATCCACCTATTGTAAATCATCTCTCTCTTTGCACCTTCCTTCTTCTCTTCCCAGTTTTTTTCTTTATTGTGCTAGACACCAATTTCTGTTCCTTATAACAAGCTTCTATTCCTGTAGGACTTTGAGAGGCTGAGGCAGGCGGATCATGAGGTCAAGAGATCGAGACCATCAAGGCCAACATCGTGAAACCCTGTCTCTACTAAAAATACAAAAATTAGCTGGGTGTGGTGGTGCACATCTGTAATCCCAGCTACTCGGGAGGCTGAGGCAGGAGAATCGCTTGAAGCAGGAGGTGGAGGTTGCAGTGAGCTGAGACGGCGACACTGCACTCTGGCCTGAGTGACAGAGCGAGACTCCATCTCAAAAAAAAAAAAAAGGAATTATCAGAAGATTTTTCAGATTTGTTGCTGGTTTAAAGTCTCATGCATGTTCAACTTCATATAATTAAATAACTTATATATAAAGATATAAAAGATTTTATATCGCTTGAACCCGGGAGGCGAAGGTTGCAATGAGCCGAGATTGTGCCACTGCACTCCAGCCTGACCGACACGGCAAGACTCCGTCTCAAAAAAAATAAATATTAAACATTTCTCATTTTTAATTTCTAATACAGTAAATATTAATAACTATAAGCTACAGAAACACAAAGTTTTTAGGGTCCTAAATAATTTGTCAGTATATAAAGGGGTCTTGATACCAAAAGAATTGAGAATGACTAATTTAGGAAAAGATTGATGAGAATAATCTAGGCTCTTCTTTACATCACCGTACATCAGGTTCATGTGTATTTTTAGCATGTCACCCTCTCTTTGTTTTTCAGAGATCAGAGACTTAAAGCTCTATTTCTGTCCCAGATTCTTCTTTGGAAGTAAGAAAGTTGTCAGTCTTCCAAAGATAACAATTCTTTTTTTTTTTTTTTCTTTTAGATTTGATGGTAGAGTGGTGGCAAAGCTTCCTTTTACCCCTCTTTCTTACATCCAAGGACTGTCTCATCGAAATCTGCTGGGAGATGACACCACAGACTGTTCCTTCATTTTCCTGTATATTCTCTGTACTATGTCGATTCGACAGGTGAGTGATCACATCTACCATTTAATATGTATATTTTTCCTTGCTGTCATACCAATTAGCTTTTACTTTTATAATACTAGAAATGTTTACCCATTGTTCCTGAGTTCTTTCAGTTGCTCATTTTAGAATTTCAGTGTATCTTCCAAAAGCCATTTTAAATGGCTGTAGGTCTAGATGACTGATCCTTAGGGATGAGAAGTAGTGATAAAACCAAACATGGATTCCACATCCCATTCTTAGAGCTCTCAGGCTCCTTCTTTATTACAACTGCCTAAAGCTGCAAAAGTAGAGAGTGGGTTTGGTCTTCCCAGTACCATTTCTTCATTATATACCAGCACCATTTAGCGGCTCAGGAGCACAAGTAAGTTTAACAATGTGGTAATTTTAGGTTATTCACAGTTGAGATAAAGTTTAGGTTATAGAATTTACATTTGGCCAACTTGGTGATTTGACATTCGTAGTGAAAAAGAGTGAGAACTAAGGAGTAAAAGGGTTATGAAGGCCCGGAAGAGAGCTATAACATTCGATTAGTGGGGAAAGGTTCAGGCAGAAAGGTTTAGAGAATGAAGTGGCTTTCGAGATGGGCCTATGGAAGTGAAAAGGTGGCCAGGTGCCGTGGCTCATGCCTGTAATTCCAGCAATTTGGTAGGCTGAGGCGTGAGAATCACCTGAGCTCGGGAATTTGAGACCAGCCTAGGCAACATTGTGAGATTCCATCTCTACAAAAAATTTAAAAATTAGCTGGGTATGGTGGCATGTGCCTGTAGTCCCAGCTACCCTAGAGGCCGAGGTCGGAAGGTCACAAAAGCCTGGGAATTTGAGCTTGAAGTGAGACTTGATTACATCACTGGACTTTAGCCTGGGCAGCAGAGCGGGACCCTGTCTCAAAAAAAGAAAAGGGGGGGAGCCGATAATTAAGGTCTCTGGCTGAACAATTCTTTATTTTAGGGCATTATTCAGTTTCTGAACATATTGCCGTTCGGCAGGCTTTGTAGTGGAAAGGTTTGCACATGCAGTAAATAGGAACATAAAATTTTCCTTACACTTACACAAGTGATTCTCTTTTTCTCCCCTCCTTCTGAATACTGTCTGTGGCAGAAGATTTTTGGTTGCCCTGTGTATTAGTTTGTTCTTGCATTGCTATAAAGAAATACCTGAGACTGGGTAATTTATAAAGAAAAGAGGTTTAATTGGCTTATGGCTCTGTAGATTGTACAGGAAGCATGATGCTAGCATCTGCTCAACTTCTGGGAAGTCCTCAGGAAACTTAGAATCATGGCGGAATGCAGAAGGGAAGCAGGCATGTCACATGGCAAGAGTAGGAACAAGAGAGAGAGGTGGGAGGTATTACACACTTTTAAACAACCAGATCTCGTGAGAACTCACTCACTATCACAAGAACAGTACCAAGGGGGATGGTGCTAAACCACACAATTTGACATGAGATTTGGATGGGGACACAGATTCAAACCATTATCACCCTGGAATGTGAGAATCAATGGGAAATCAAATTATAGTTCATGGCTCACCAAGATCTTTGTCATTGTATTGCTTAATATTTTTTCCCAATTCATATCCCATCACATCCCCACAAATACAGCACTTTGCCCATTCTGGCTTGCTTAATAGTTTTCATGTTACACTCACTCAGATGTACTTTTTGCTTCTGTTTTTCCTTATTTCTGAATGCCTCCCTCTTCTTCCTTTTAAACACAATCAAGTTTTAAGGCTTCCTTTTCTGGCACATATTTTCTGGCACTTACTGCATTGTGAAGGTTAGCTATAAGAGGAGCATGACTAAAATACAGAAATATCAAAAGACTATTATAATAGTGTAGCAAAAAATCATTATGTTATAAACTATAACAGTGAAAAGAGGGATGAAAAGAATGGGAAAAGATTGAGAAATAAATAGAAGGGGAAACCAGCTGAACTTAGTTATTGATTTAATGTGAAGGAGAAAGGAAAAACTAAGAGGACTTTCAGGTTTTTTATTTTGGTGACCAAATGGGGACTAGTTTCACTAAGAGACTGGGAATAGAAGAAAGAAGAGTATGTTGGTTAGAAGACACGCTGAGTTTGAGGTGTTTGTTGAATAGCTAAATGATTATGTCCACCAATAAGTTGTACTCTTGCTTAGCTGAGGTATATACTTAAATTTTTGAAATGGTCTCTGTAATAGAGCTGCCCTAGCCCATTTTCTGTTGCTGTAACAGTATACCACAGCCTGGCTAATTTATAAAGACAATTTAGCTCACAGTTCTGCAGGAAGGCCAAGAGCATGGTGCTGGCATCTACTGAGGGCCTTCCTGCTACATCATAAGATGGTGGAGGACATCACATGGTGAGAAGGCAAGAGCGAGAACCAGAGAGAACTCACTTTTATAGCAAAGCCACTCGTGATAAGGAACCCACTCCAGTGATAATGACATTAATCTATTCATGAGGGCAGAGGGATTACATTTCCACCACATGAACTTTTCGGGGACACATTCAAACCATAGCAGGAGTTTATTGTGAAAGCTAAGGTAATGACAACACAGATCTCTTTTGGTTTAGCACAGATCCTTTGATCTCTGTGGAATATTGGTCTTTAATTTGTTAAGTCTGAAATTTTAAAATTGTGGCTTGGGTTGACATCTTAATAAAACACAATATGATGGGCCAGGCGCGGTGGCTCACGCCTGTAATCCCAGCACTTTGGGAGGTCGAGGCGGGCGGATCATGAGGTCAGGAGATCGAGACCATCCTGGCTAACACAGTGAAACTCCATCTCTACTAAAAAAAATACAAAGAAAATTAGCTGGGCGTGGTGGTGGTCACCCGTAGTCCCAGCTACTCGGGCGACTGAGGCAGGAGAATGGTGTGAACCTGGAGGCGGAGATTGCAGGGAGCCAAGATCACGCCACTGCACTCCAGCCTGGGCAACAGAGCAAGACTCTGTCTCAAAAAAATAAATAAATAAGTAAAACATAAAAACACACGATGTATATATTTCACTTTAAGCAACAAAGAGCAATTCTGAGTTTGTTGTTGTTGTTGTTGTTATTATTTTGAGACAGAATCTCACTCCATCACCCAGGCTGGAGTGCAATAGCTCGATCTCGGCTCACTGCAACCTCCGCCTCCCTGGTTCAAGTGATTCTCCTGCCTCAGCCTCCCAAGAAGCTGGGATTATAGGCACCCACCACCATGCCTGGCTAACCCTTTATATTTTTAGTAGAGACAGGGTTTCGCCATGTTGGCCAGGCTGGTCTCGAATTCCTGACCTCAGGTGATCCACCCACCTGGGCCTCCCAAATTTCTGGGATTACAGGCGTGAGCCACTGTGCCCGGCCCCATTCTGTTTTAATTTCAGGCAGATTTTGTTACTTTACTTGTGATGGATCAATAGTAATCTTAGATGCACCAAAAAGTCACCATCTAAAACTGTAGAGTTTTCAAAATGAAATAAATGTTGTTAAGAATTATCATTTAGAGCCAGGCACAGTGGCTCACACCTGTAATCCCAGCACTTTGGGAGGCCAAGGCGAGCAGGTAGCTTGAGCCCAGGAGTTCAAGACCAGCCTGGGAAACATGGTGAGACCCCATCTCTACAAAAAATGCAAAAATTTAACTGGGTATAGTGGTGCATGCCTCTACTCCCAGCTACTTGGGAGTCTGAGGTGGGAAGATTGCTTGAGCCCGGGAGGTGGAGGTTGCAGTGAGCCGAGATTGCATCACTGCACTCCAGCCTGGGCAACAGAGCCAGACCCTGTCTCAAAAAAAAATTATTTAGGAAGTTCAACTCAAGCTGGTCTTTACACTCCTTTTAATTATTTCTAAAAATGTGATGAGTTGTGTGTCAGTTATTTTATCAGGAATGCAAAGCTCATTTTCAGTGCGGATCGGCAAACTGTTTCTGTAAAGGTCTAGATAGCAAATATTTTAGGCTTTGTGGAGAACTGAAGTGTACGGTATATGCTATTAAGTTAAAATAAGAAAATCTGCAGATCCTAGACTGGTACAGCCTACTGAAACATGCTTGCTGAATACAAAAAAGAGGGGGAGGTGGGCAGCAAAAAACACAAAAAATTTTCATATGTTTGTTTTCAGTTAAGGAGGATATATACTAACACTTTTTATTTCCACTTGTCCAGGTGTATGCAAATTCAGTGTCTAGTGAGGGCCTGTTTCCTGCCTGGTTCATAGAGAGTGCCTTCTCTCTGCATGACACGCATGAGAAAAAAAGTCTATAAGGACTATAGTATTGCATAGCTAATGTAAAACTGTTGTATTTGAAGGATCTGTTCTTTTGGTATATAGTTGTCTTCCCCAAGATCCCAGCTGAATTCTAACTACTTATTGCAGCATCCTCAGTGATAGTCATCTTGCAGATAATTTTATTACTTAAATTCTAAAAACAAAAATAGTCTGAAATACTTAAAGCTTGGAAAAATCACAGAAGTCACCTACCTTTATACTTTTTGTTTTATTAATTATAAATTGTTTCTCTACCTATTACTCACTGTTAGCTTATGCACAAGAGAATTATGAACATATTAATATATCCAGTCTGAAATGCCTTAACAGCATTTGAAGTGTTATCATGGAATATATGCTTCTTCCTTTGAACTAAAATCCTTATTAGCCTGCTATTTCCACATGTTTTATTTGCTTTTTAAGATCTTAGGTTACATGTTGTTGTTTTATTTGCTTTTTAAGATCTTAGGTTACATAAGAATTGACTCTATGGTTGCCTGCGAAATGAATAGTCAGAATATGAGGATTTCAGAAACTCAAATTGTAGACTGTACCGTGATTTTCCCATGAATGCCATTGGCAAAGAAATAGGCCTGGTTTTTCGGTTGTTTTGTTGTTGTTTGTTTGTTTTGGAGACAGAGTCTCGTTCTGTTGCTCCGGCTAGAGTGCAGTGACGCAATCACAGCTCACTGCAACCTTCACCTCCCAGGTTCAAGCAATTCTCCCATCTCAGTTTCCTGAGTAGCTGGGATTACAGGTGCATGCCACCACACCCAGCTAATTTTTGTATTTTTAGTAGAGACAGGGTTTCACCATGTCGGCCAGGCTTGTCTCAAACTCCTGGCCTTAAGTGATCTGCCTGCTGTGGCCTCCCAAAGTGCTGAACGCCTGGCAGCTTTCCAATCTTAAGTGTTCTTGGCATAGGAAACATGGAGGCATGAACGTTTGTAATGGATATAGGGACTACTGAATCTAGAGCTGTTGGTGGGCTGTAACAGGAAGTGAAGCTTGTCACTGAGAAGGATTGCCTGAATCTTCACCTCATGGTATAGCATTAAGGAATTTCATTTTTCTTTCTTGTGCTTCTTATAGTGCAAGTCTGCTGGTGACAAATTCTCTTAATCTTCATTTATCTGAAAATATCTTTATTTTATCTTCATTCTTGAAGGATATTTTCATTGGACATAGAATTCTGGTTTGGCTTTTTTGTTCGTTTTAACCTTTAAGCATTTTAAATGCCTTTCCACTGTTTTCTGGCCTCCATTGTTTCTGAAAAGTTCTTCATGTCTTTGTGTCCTCGTAAGTAATGTCACTTTTCTCTAGCTACTTTCAGATTTTCTCTTTGAGATTGGTTCTCAGAAATTTGACTGTGATGTGCCTAGAGTATTTTTATTTAAAGTTTTTCCTGCTAGGACTTATGGTTTTCATTAAATGTAGGGAAATTTCAATCATTATTTCTTTAACTGTTTTCTGCCTCATTCTCTCTCTCTTCTTCTTCTGGAACACCAGTTGCTTATATATTAGTCATTTTGGGTATTGTCCAACAGGACACTGAAGCTATGTTGAATTTTTTTAAATCTTTTTTTTTTTCTGTTCTTCAGATGGGATAATTTCTGTTGATCTGTCTTCAAGTTCACAGACTCCTCTAATCTGTGTTAACCCTAAGCCTACCCAATGATTTTTGAATTTTAGGTAATATTTTTCAGTTTCAGAATTTTTGCTTTATTTGGCATCCTTCCTGAGATTTCTTGTTTGTTAATATATTATGAGCCATATTTTATGTCCATAATTATTTAGCTGCTTTAAAAACCTTGTCTGCTGGGCTGGTGTGGTGGCTCATGCCTGTTCAGCATTTAGGAAGCTGAGGCAGGAGTTCAAGACCAAGAGCCCAAGAGTTCAAGACCAGCCTGGATAACAGAGCAAAATCTCATCTCTACAAAAAATACAAAAATTAGCTGGGCACAGTGGCATGTACCTGTAATCCCAGCTGCTGGGTTATGGGGACTTAAGTGGGAGGATTGCTTTAGCCCTGGAGATCGGGTTTGTGGTAAGCTGTGATCGCGCCTTTGCATTCATGCCTGGGCGGCAGAGCAAGACTCTGTCTCAAAAACAAAACAAAAAAACCTTGTGTGCTAATTCCAACATTTGGAATTTGGACTCCATTCCCTGTTCTCTTTTTTTTGTTTTTTGTTTTTTTTTTTTTTGAGATGGAGTCTTGCTCTTATTGCCCAAGCTGTAGTGCAGTGGCATGATCTCGGTTCACTGCAACCTCCATCTCCCAGTTCAAGTGATTCTCCTGTCTCAGCCTCCTGAGTAGCTGAGATTACAGGCACCCGCTACCATGCCCGGCTAATTTTGTATTTTTAGGAGAGAGCGGGTTTCACCATGTTGGTCAGGCTGGCTAGTCTCAAACACCTGACCTCGGGTGATCCACCTGCCTCGGCCTCCCAAAGTGTTGGGATTACAGGCGTGAGCCCCCGCGCCCGGCCTGTTCTCTTAAGTAACAGTATATTTTCCAGTTTCTTGATATATCTAGTAATTTTGGATCATATCCTGGATAATGTAAACGATAGGTTGAAGATATTCTGGATTCTTTTATTCTTTGGAAGAAGTGTTGATATTTTTGTATAGGCAGGCAGTTAACCTGGCATTTGTCTTAGTCCATTAGGGCTACTATAACAAAATACCATATACAATAGAAATTTATTTCTTACTCTTCTAGAGGCTGAGAAGTCCAAAATCAAGGCAAATTCGGTGTCTGGTGAGGTCCTGTTTCCTGCCTGGTTCATAGAGAGTGCCTTCTGTCTGCATCCTCACATGGTGGAAGGCACAGGGCAGCTCTTCGGGACCTTTTTTTTGAAAGGACAATCCCATTAAAGAGGGCAGAGCCCTCATAACCTAATCACCTCCAAAAGTTCCCACCTTCTAACACCTTGGTAGTTTGGATTCAACATATGAATTTGTAAGGGAAACAAACATTCAGACCATAGCAGCACTCAAACTCCAAACTCTCCTTTGTGGTAGATGGCAGCTGAAGTCTCAGGTCAGTTATTTTAGTCTTAACTGGGCTGCTTATTGGCTGCCTTGTACATAGTTTAAGAATTAAGCAGACCCAGGCGTGGTGGCTCATGCCTGTAATCCCAGCATTTTGGGAGGCCAGGGCGGGTAGATCACTTGAGGTCAGGAGTTCCAGACCAACCTTGCCAACATGTTGAAACCCCGTCTCTACTAAAAATACAAAAATTAGCCAGGCATGGTGGTGCATGTCTGTAATCCCAGATACTCAGGAGGCTGAGGCATGAGAATCGCTTGAACCTGGGAGGCAGAGGTTGCAGTGAGCTGAGACTGCGCCACCGCATTCCAGCCTGGGTGACAGGGCAAGATTCTGTCTCCAAAAAAAAAAAAAAAAAAAATTAAGCAGAGATTTGGGGGCAGAGTTTATATGCAAAATTTGAGGCTCCTTTTTTGTTGTCTCTCTGTTTTCCAGGATTCTTTCTCTATTTCCAGTAGCTGTGGTTTTCCAGTAGCTTTTTGATTCTTCAAACCAGTAAGATTATAGTTTATTCTGAGTTTTAGACACTCTTCACAGTGCCAACTGGGGTTATGCCCTCCATTATGAGATTTTCAAAAAATAAAACATTTTGTCTTTCTGCACTAAGCTAAAATTCAGAATATTCTCCTTGACTGATCCTCAAAGAAGGAGCTAAAAGAGATCTAGGGACATTTTCATTGGAAAGATACGGGAGAAAGAGGAAAGGAAGGAGGAAGTGAGAGGGAGAGAAAGAGATTGTCACTTAATCTCCTGACCGCAGCAGAAAAGACCTTTATTACAAAGAGGGCCTTTGATCAACCTAAGACAGAAAATATTCATTCATCATTACAAAGGAAGTGACATTACTCTAGTGCAGATTTGATGTGCTTATCTTTCAGAATTTTTATTTCCACTTTATAAGATATGTGTTAAGAAGGTCCCAGAAGGGAGCTTCCGTTTTCTACCCTATTTTATTTGTTTTCTGTATTGGGCTTTTATACATCACATTTTATTTTTCAAAAGGCTTCTGTTAATCTCTGTGAATTGTGTGCAAAAAAACAAAACAAAACAAAACAAAACAAAAAACGATGGGCCGAGCGCGGTGGCTCACACCTGTAATCCTAGCACTTTGGGAGGCCAAGGCAGGTGGATCACGAGGTCAGAAGTTCAAGACCAGCCTGGCCAAGATGGTGAAACCCTGTCTCTACTAAAAATACAAAATTAGCCGGGCATGGTGGCAGGCGCCTGTAATCCCAGCTACTTGGGAGGCTAAGGAAGAGAATTGCTTGAACTCAGGAGGTGGTGGAGGTTGCAGTGAGCTGAGATCACACCACTGCACTCCAGCCTGGACGACAGAGTAAGACTCCGTCTCAAAAAATAAAAATAAAAAAGAATAGAAATTTATTTTAAAAATTAAAAAATAAAAGAGTTATTAAAGGCTTTAAGGGTCTGAAAATGATTGATCTAGTCAACCCTCTTTTTTCTAACAGTAAGGACATTGAGATTTGGTAAAATGAAAAGATACTCCTATTGTTTTATTGTCTAGTTTGTCAGCACTGTAACCCAAGTTTTCTGATTGCTAACCCAATAATATTTCAGCGATATCAAGCTTGTACGATAAGGTTTTTTTAGTAAATATTTAATCTCTACATTATTTTTCCCAAATAGTCTAGTCAGATATAATGTGAGAGCCCTGGTAATATTGGAAAGGGTCGTTTTGAAGTGATTAGATTTTATATACAGCTTTGTTGATAGAGTAAAGATTACATTGTGGGAATTAATGAGATATTGCGATTAATTGGAAGTGAAGACTGGTTGCCAGATGTCAGAGAAACTAACAGAGTGAACTGAGGATTGCCATAGGTGTGTTATTTTAGCTAAATGACTAAGGAATAAAATTCAGCAGAATGTGTTTATTGCCATTGACCTGGGTCTTCCCAAAATATCCAGTTAGCAACCAACAACTTCCGTTTCTTGATCACTGGTTCTTAATCATGGTAAAGAGGAAAGAACACAAATCCTGTGTTTGTATTTTTCAGGTTTTCCTGCCAGTAGAAGACACAATTATGGGAAAATGTTTTTCCTTTGTTTTTCTCTTCTGGGTATACATTCTTCATTTGTTACCCTGTTATACAGGACTGGACAGGAATTCAAAATAATTGTTTTACATTTTTCCAAAACTTGATTGCATCTTACTATATTTTGCATTTCTATTTTCTTTCATAGCATCTTTATTATATATTAAAACTCCTATCTTTTAGCTAAATGCATATTTCTTTCTTTTTTTTTGTTTTTTTTGAGATGGAGTCTTGCTCTGTCACCCAGGTTGGAGTGCAGCTGCACGATCTCCTACAACCTCTGCCTCCCGGGTTTCAAATGATTCTCCTGCCTCAGCCTCCCAAGTAGCTAGGATTACAGGCGCATGTGGAGACGGGTTTCACCATGTTGGCCAGGCTGGTCTCAAACTCCTGATCTCAGATGATCCACCCACCTCGGCCTCCCAAGGTGCTGGGATTACAGGTGTGAGCCACCACTCCTGGCCTAAATGCATATTTCTAAACTAAATCTTGCTAATTAACAAGGCCTGAAAACTTGACCTCAAGAAGAAAGAAAAATTGAGAGATTATAGGAAAGCAGTCAGGTTAAGTTTAATGGATGAGATTGTTGAAAGATGTAATGAGATAATATATACAAAAGTGCCTGCTGTACAGTGTGGTATTCAGTGAGTATTTATTGAATTACAGCCTGACCATTGGTATCTTATTTTTCTTATCTACATGCAAGGATAATGATGTCCACCTCATTAAGTTGTGAGGATTTAAATGAGGACATACATATAAAGGTCTTAGAACAATGCCTTGCAGAGTGTAAGTACTCAGTAACTGTTAACCATTATTATTGTTGTTATTCTTTTTTTTAGCTTCATACTATGACCTTCACTTTAAAATAGCACCCACAGGAATATTTTTCTTTATTTTAAAAGTATTCCATTTAGCAGTATTTCAAAAAGTTGGGGAAGGCAAGATATGAGAAAAAGTATACAACTATTATTAATACAACTGTTATCTTACTATATATTCTTAAATACTTTATATTCCCTTTTATAGACCTTATTTTTTAGAACAGTTTTAGGTTCACAGCAAAATTGAGTGGAAGGTACAGAGATTTCATATATATGCCTTGCCCCCACATATGCATAGCACACCCCTCTATCAACTTTCTCCACCAGAGTGGTACATTTGTTACAATTGATTAATCTACACTGACATATAATTATTACCCCCAAATCCATAGTTTATGTTAGGGTCCATTCTTTGCATTGTACATTCTATGGGTTTTTTGCATAGCAACTATATTTTATATGTGTATGTTTATATATATATATATAGAGAGAGAGAGAGAGAGAGAGAGAGAGAAACCATTTGCTCATTTAACAGCATAATTGTGATTTTTTAAAAAAATAGGCCTGTTACACGATTTTTTATTCCTTTTTTTTTTTTTTTTTGCTTCTTTATGTGATTTTTTTATTCCTAAGATAACAGTCTGTTACAGAGAGGTGGCTTAATAAAGGAAAACTGCACTTTGAGTTATATCAGTTCACTTTCTGACTTGTAACCTCTCCCTACATCAACTTTCTCATCTCAACAGCAGGGATAACTAAGGACTACTATCTAGTCCTTAGAACTGTTTGCAAACTTTAAAGTGTGTAGAAATGTAGGATGTTACTACTGTAGAGATATTAGTGACGTCTGGTCCTTTTACCTGTGGCTCTTGCATCTTGAGACCATCACTTAGTTCCTACATGGGTTTTAGGGGAAAAGATTTCACTGATGGAAAAGCAGGGGAAATCTGTCTGAGAAAAATGGAAGACCTAGGTTTCACCTGTGAGACTATAGGAATTTAAACAGATTAGTTTAGAATTTCACGAAAGGATAAAATTGCATGCAGTAAATGCAGAATGTTTGTGTTAAAATACAAATACCTGTGTAATGTAACACCGATACATTTAATTTAGTGTTCCCAAAACGGGTCTGTGGCAAGAGCCACAAGGAAAGGAAAGTATAGAGTAAAGGAAAGTATAGAGTTGCCTGGATTTCCATGTACTTTGGCTGTGGCTACTGAAGTGTCTCATTTTTAACACTTTTTTGTTGCTGCTATTGCTATTTGAGATATTCCCGTCTAGAGCAGTGGCTTACCCTCAGTAGTCATTTAAATATTTTGAGTTAGTAAATGAAATTCAACAGACTACCAGTTCAGTTTCTTGTTTCTTCAAAATATTATTTTTTATTTTTTCAATCATCTTCTTTAAATCACGGTAAACCTATAAAGGGCATCCAACATTTTTACATTGGTTTTTAATCTCTAAAATGATAAGGACTCATCTATTTGACCCTTCAGAATAACTGAGCAAGAATCCCTTGTGTATTTTGTCTAGGCTATATTACTGTATTTGTTAACTAGACAAATATGTTTATCAGCAGCTAATTCTGTATGTCTTACTGTTTCAAATTTTATCTTTAAAGCAATTTCCCTTAATGCCTAGCTTAGTGCTAAATACATTGTAGGTGCTCAGGAAATATTAATTAAATAAAGAAATTGCAAACTAGTGACATCATTTGGTCTTTTTACTGCTTTGTGTAATGGGTTTTTTAGAGGTGAGCTTTAAGGAGCTATTTTTATTATAAAAGTAATGCAGGCCAGGTACGGTGGCTCATGCCTGTAATTCCAGCACTTTGGGAGGCTGAGACAGGCGGATCACGAAGTCAAGAGATCGAGACCATCCTGGCCAACATGGTGATACCCCGTCTCTACTAAAAATACAAAAAATTAGCTGGGCATGATGATGTGCCCCTGTATTCCCTGCTACTCGGGAGGTTGAGGCAGGAGGATCGCTTGAACCTGGGAGGCGGAGGTTGCAGTGAGCCAAGATCGCACCACTGCACTCCAGCCTGGCGACAGAGCGAGACTCTGTCTCAAAAAAAAAAAAAGTATTGCAAAGTAGGCCGGGCATAGTGGCTCACCCCTATAATGCCAGCACCTGGGAGGCTGAGGTGAGCAGATCACTGGAGCCCAAGAGTTTGAGACCAGCGTGGCCAACATGGCAAAACCCCAACTCTATTAAAAATGCAAAAATTAGCTGGGCATGGTGGCATGCCTGTTAGTCCCAGCTCCTCGGGAGGCTGAGGTGGGAAGAATGCTTGAGCCCGGGAAGTGGAGGTTGCAGTGAGCTGTGATCACACCACTGCACTCCAGCCTCAGTGACAGAGCAAGACCACGTCTCAGAAAAAGAAATACAAAGTCTGATCATTCTCCATCTTTACTAAGGAGAGGTATCCTAATGTACTAACGATTGATTTTTTTCTTCACTCATTTCAGATGTCTTCTTAAAGAATGAGCTATAGTATTGTTGAATGTATGTACTGAAATATTTTATGGTAAATATAATTTAGATGAGTCCTTAAAGTTATGTCCTCCATATTTAAACATTCTGTTGTATTCTAACAGTGTTACCTCAATACACATTCTTTTTTTTTTTTTGTTTTGTTTTGTTTTTGTTTTGAGACGGAGTCTCGCCGTCGCCCAGGCTGGAGTGCAGTGGCGCGATCTCGGCTCACTGCAGGCTCCGCCCCCTGGGGTTCGTGCCATTCTCCTGCCTCAGCCTCCTGAGTAGCTGGGACTACAGGCGCCCGCCACCTCTCCCGGCTAATTTTTTTTTTTTTGTGTGTGTGTATTTTTAGTACAGACGGGGTTTCACCGTGTTAGCCAGGATGATCTCGATCTCCTGACCTCGTGATCCGCCCGCCTCGGCCTCCCAAAGTGCTGGGATTACAGGCGTGAGCCACCGCGCCCGGCCGTCCTCAATACACATTCTTATCCATAGTAGTCATCATTCTTCATGATGAAGGATTGAGGGTGTGTATGCTTGTAGAGAAGCCTGGTTATGGATATTCTCACAGTATCTTATATCTAGTAGGTACTCAGTAACTACTGGATGAATAGTTTAATGCATGCAAACCTGCCTACCACAGAATGGAGTTTGTTCTGAAGAGCAGAACTTTAACACAGAAACTACTGTGTAAGAGAATCCATTAGATTAAGGGTCGAAACACAACAGGTTTAAATTCTAACTGTGCTCTTAATTTAGCTTTGTAATTCTGGATAAGCCATCCATCATACCTTTCTGAGTTTTAGTTTCTTCAAATATAAAATGAAGGAACTGGGCAAGAATAATCAGGATCTCTAAGGTTTTTTTCCTCTTATAAAATGCTACATTGGCTGGGCGCAGTGGCTCATGCCTGTAATCCCAGCACTTTGGGAGGCTGAGGCAGGCGGATCACCTGAGGTCAGGAGTTCAAGACCAGCCTGGCCAACATGGTGAAACCCCTTCTCTACTAAAAAAAATACAAAAATTAGCTGGGTGTGATAGCAGGCACCTGTAATCTCAGCTACTTAGGAGGCTGAGGCAGGCAGAATCGCTTGACCCAGGAGGCAGAGGTTACTGTGAGCCGACATCGTGCCACTGTACTCTAGCTTGGATGACAGAGTGAGACTCCATCTCAAAAAAAAAAAAAAAGAATTATGAGAACAAAGTATGTTTTTAAAAACTGAATAAAAGTATAAAAGTGAGTTTCTTAAAAAATTGCATTAGATGTAGGTGAAACAATGGAAAAAGATGACAGGGTCCTGAAAATTTAGGAGAATTCTGAACTCAGAGTGCTTTGCAGGTTTCTGAGTACTTTCAACACTGTAAAGAAATTGAAACTGGTTTTTTTTTTTTTTTTTTTTTTTTAGACAGAATCTCACTCTGTTGCCCAGGCTGGAATGCAGTGGTGCAGTCTTGGCTCACGCAGCCTCTGCCTCCTAGGTTCAAGGGACTCTCATGCCTCACCCTCCCGAGTAGCTAGGACTACAGGTGTATGCCACAATGCCCAGCTAATTTTTGTATTTTTCTACTAAAAAGTAGAGATGGGGTTTTACCATGTTGTCCAAGCTCGTCTTGAACTCCTAGCCTCAAGTGATCTACCCACCTCAGCCTCCCAAAGTGCTGGGATTACAGGCGTGAGCCACCACACCCGGCCGAAACTGAAAATTATAGACAGTGCAGTAATGACAAATCCAGCCAGCAGACCCGTACTCAAAGAAAATGCCCATAAGAAATAGCTAATGAATATTCTTCATATGCTTCTTGTTAAAAAAATTATCTCCTTTTATGATTCTCTACTCGAAAAAAATCAACCACTTTCATTAGTAGACCAAGGTCTCATCAGGTAAGGAAGGCTTTTACTGTTCTATGATTTTCATTACATTGTAGGCCTTTTTAAAAAATAACATAGTGATTGCCAGGTGCGGTGACTCCCTCCTGTAATCCCAGCACTTTGGGAGGCCGAGGTGGGCAGATCATGAGGTCAGGAGATCGAGACCATCCTGGCTAACATGATGAAACCCTGTCTCTACTAAATATACAGAAAATTAGCCGGGTGTGGTGGCGGGCACCTGTAGTCCCAGCTACTCGGGAGGCTGAGGCAGGAGAATGACGTGAACCTGGGAGGCAGAGCTTGCAGTGAGCCAAGATTGCTCCACTGCACTCCAGCCTGGGTGACAGAGCGAGACTCCATCTCAAAAAAAAAAAAAAGTGATAATCATCCTATTGCAGGTCATAATGGTTCCTTTAATCTATATGAGTATGAGTTCCCTTTGCCTGAGAGCTACATAAAACACATCTTCTGTATATTTGATATTAAAACCCAATCCTTACTGTGCTTTCTTCACAGAACATTCAGAAGATTCTCGGCCTTGCCCCTTCACGAGCCGCCACCAAGCAGGCAGGTGGATTTCTTGGCCCACCACCTCCTTCTGGGAAGTTCTCTTGAACTCAAGAACTCTTTATTTTCTATCATTCTTTCTAGACACACACACATCAGACTGGCAACTGTTTTGTAGCAAGAGCCATAGGTAGCCTTACTACTTGGGCCTCTTTCTAGTTTTGAATTATTTCTAAGCCTTTTGGGTATGATTAGAGTGAAAATGGCAGCCAGCAAACTTGATAGTGCTTTTGGTCCTAGATGATTTTTATCAAATAAGTGGATTGATTAGTTAAGTTCAGGTAATGTTTATGTAATGAAAAACAAATAGCATCCTTCTTGTTTCATTTACATAAGTATTTTCTGTGGGACCGACTCTCAAGGCACTGTGTATGCCCTGCAAGTTGGCTGTCTATGAGCATTTAGAGATTTAGAAGAAAAATTTAGTTTGTTTAACCCTTGTAACTGTTTGTTTTGTTGTTGTTTTTTTTTCAAGCCAAATACATGACATAAGATCAATAAAGAGGCCAAATTTTTAGCTGTTTTATGTACAAGGAGAGATCTGTTTCATTTTGTTTTGCCGTATTTCTAGATATAAGTTTTAGCATGGGCCAGGAAGGACTAAAATAAAAGTTTTTAAGGTACTGTACTTTTTGCCATACTTGACTCATATACTCAAAATACAGAGTTGTCTTGGTGTAGGAATTGGAAAGCAAGAGTGGAAAGGAACGTAATAACTCGTTGGAGTTTAAAAATGAGGGTCTTGGCAAGTAACACTGATGTCTGAAAAAAAATTAAATATAAATAAATAAATAAAAATGAGGGTCCTCAGCTGTTCTCTTCATATCCTATTACAGTCTCTCAGATTCTTGTGGGGGCACTCTTAGATCTCCCTTGGAGACAAGGTTATAGTTATATGTTGTTAATCTCGCAGAGCTTCCTTTTAGTCACAATAGCCTTCATTTTCTGCCATGCCCCTTCATAAGGGAGAAGGATGTTTGTACCATGATCCTCCCCGCATAATCTATGGAATTAGGAGTCCTGTGTGGAGTCTTATCAATAAATATGCACATTCATCAAATGTCTACTTAAATGTGAGTATTCTACCAGTGAGAAAAAACACATAATTTTCAAGGTAATCATTGTTAAACCAACAGCAAACTTCTTTCTTATCAGCACCATAAAGTCCAGAAGACAGTAGAAAAGTATCTTCAAAGTGCTGAGGAAAATAAGTATCAACTTAGAATTTTATGTACAATATTGGAGGCAAAATAAAGACATGTTTAGACATACAAAACTAAGAGAGTTGAATTATTAAAGGTTATATTCCAAGGACAAAAAAGAGGATCTGCCCAAGGTGAAGGTATGGCATACAAGAAACAATGGTCAACAGAGAAATAAAATATATGGATGAATATATGGATAAATTTGAGTGTTTTATGGATTATCTAATTTAAGGATTATCCCAAGACAGCCCTACAAGGTAATTACTGTTCTTACCTTCATTTAACAGATGAGGAAACTGGGGCAGGGGAGGTTAGTAACTTGCTCTGCATCACAGAGCTATTGAGTGGCAGTCAGGATTTGAATTCAACCAGTGTAAAGCCTAATAGTCCAGGCTGTCAAGCTCTATATTACAGCCTCCTCATGGGTATGTGGTGATTCTCTTCTCATCCCATCTCCTCAACTAGAGTGTGTGAGCTCTCTAAAGTTGGACTTTGTCTTTTTTTTTGTTCTCCTTATTACAAAGTAGTCAACGTGGGTGGAAACACAGCAGGAGCTCAATAAAAGCAGATGAAAGGGAACAGAAGTCCCTATTCTGAGACTAGTTTTATCAGAAGGATGTCTGATAATGGATGGTAATGACTTTTAATGGTCTTTTCTCCATATCATTGACCACTCTAAGCAAAATAATAATTCGAATGATAATGAAGAAAATGATGCCCATGATAACAATAATGACAAATATGAAATGGCTAAAATAAAACATGAAACCATCCTCAAAATTCTGCCATCACCTTTTTAAAGTGAGAATATATAGCACACTCTATCACTCATACCCTGAGGCTTTGAAGTTGGTGCTTTCTAATCAGACTTCTTATGGACCAGGTTTTCATATACAAATTATGTTTCCATGGTAAGGAATAAATAAGAGGGAGAAGTTAAAAAGGAGAGATTACATCTATTCACCCTATTCATTAAAATTTTTTTAAATTTTTTTCCAAATATGTTCTGCTTATGTATATTCACTCTATTCTTAAAAGCACAATAACAAAGATATATTACAGAGGAAATAAAACTATCACAAGAATTAAATTCAAGGAGTTATTAAGGGCTACTGCAGCCTCACAATTAGTTTTTTAAAATTTCTTGTCCTGAAGAAATTTCAAGACTAGTTATTTGGATGACACTCTAGGTCCACAGCATCACCAGATCATTGGAGATGACATTTCAAGACAGGCCTCTGAACATCTCTCATAACACATAATTTGGTTATTTTCCCTATGTAAGATGGATTGTCTCCTGTCTAGGGAAGAAAAACAGCCATTACTAATATCTGCATTAGTCTACTCAGGTTGCAATCATAATATGCTAAAGTAGTAAACTTTTAAAAATGACAGTAAACCTGAGTTTATTAACAGGTTACATTCTAAAAGCTAAGCTAGTTTGGAAATTGGAAAGCAAATGTGTGTAGATATTCATATGTCCTTGACCAGACTGGGCCTTTCTCTTCCCAGGTAAGTCATTCTCTCCAATGGGGCCAGTTACTTAAAATTACATCAGACAATTGATAGAGCTTCTAGATCCCCCTTCTAAAACAAAAGCATTTTGCCACAAACTAGGATGGAGTAGGTTTTTTTCAGACTATTTATACTTATTTTATGTATTTCAATACTGCCCTTTAAGTAAAAGTACTATATACTTTCTCTTTTTTTAGATTAATTCTGCTTAAGTCAGTCTTTTAATTTATTCTAGTTTGAGTTTTTAAAAAATTTTAGAATGAAAAATCTCAAAAATATACTATTATGTATATACACTATTTTATATATATATATATATATATATAGAGAGAGAGAGAGAGAGAGAGAGAGAGAGAGAGAGAGAAAGAGAGAATAAAGAACACCTAGGTAACCCATCCTCCACCTTCGACAATTATCAGCTCCTAGCTAATTTGTGTCATCTGTAACCCCACCTGCTTCTGCCCTTTCTGTATTATTTTGAAGCAAATCTTATCATTTATCTGTAAATATTTCAGGACTTTAAAAAATATGTGTAATCTGAATACCATTTTTACACCTAAGAAAATGGACAATTCCTTAATATAATGTGTTGTCTATAGATGTCAAAAATTTTTGCAGTTTTTTGGAATCAGGAACCAAGTAAGGTACTGAATATTGCAGTTAGCTGATACACATCCTAAATTTCTTCAATTGTTGTGGTCCTCAAACTAGAGTGTATCAGAATCACTAGAGCCTTGTTAGAACACAAACTGCTGGGCCCCACCCCAGAGCTGGTGATCTGTAAGTCTGCTGTGGAGTCTGGGAATTTGCATCTCTAACAAATTCCCAGGTGATGCTGAAGCTGCAGGTTTGGGGTTCACTCACCTATTGGTTCATCAGCATCTCTCTGCCCTCTTACAATATATTTGTTGAAGAAGTTGTGTTGTTTACCTTGTAGAGTTTTTCTTAGTTTGGATTTTGGTGATAGCATGCTGGTTTTTTCATACTATTGGTTGTCTCTGTAATGCGAGCAGCTTTTGATCTATTAATTAATGAGATATTAAAAGTGATGGTATTCTAATTGTAGTATTCCTTCATTTATGATCTAAAATACCTCTAAATAGGAACTTCCTCTCATCTACTTTTTGGGGGAAGTTAAGAATAAATGCCTAACTCCTTGGTCTTCAAAATAATGAGCTGTTTATTAACATCCTCCAATAGTGAATAATTAATGTGTATGTCATTAGCAATTCATGCATTTAAACATATTTGATGTACTTCAGTCCACTGAAGCTATTTCTCTTATGAATGCTCAAATTGTCCCATTTTTGGCCAGCGAGAGCCTCTTTCATTTGGCTCCTGAGTCTATTTGCATGACCCTCGTTGTCATTGGTAGCATCCTTGCTAAGTGATATAACAAGATGTTCTAAGGCTCATCTTGTGTATTTCCTGCATGACTTGAAAACAACAATTTCTCCAAAGAGGCTTGTTTCATCTTTACTGGAAAATGGCATTTGGAGATTGTGATCAGAGCACTAGGAATGGTGAGACTGGGTTTTTAGGTTTCTAGGCCTTTCTGTGGACTAACATTGGTATTATTTGTTGTTGTTTTAATACAAAATACAACATGAAGTTATACTGATACTCAGGGCTACAGAATTTTTACTTAATTTCTTTGGTCTGTGTCTCGTTTATCAAACCATACTAAGAATTCCAATTTGCAGCAGCCGGCTGATATAATTAGAATATTACATAATTATTCATTAGTACAAGCTAAGAATATACACTCAGAAGTCTCAGATATTAACATAAACATTACCAACAATATAGTTAATGAAAATAGTTCAAGTTTTGTTTTTTGTGGAGTAAAGGACAGGGAGGATTGTGTAAGGTATATCACACTATGAGTTCACAGTCCAAATACTGAGATTTCAAGTTATCTGGAATTATTTCTTTAAGGTTATTGCCAACAGAATACAATTTACATTTGTTTGATTTTGTTTCCAACTTTAGAGATTTCTCTTTAATTTTACTTTATATAGTGTTTTGAGGGGTTTGCACAAAAAAGCATATTTAAGCTACATAGAGATGGGTACCCATTATCACACTTCTCTTATGGGTTTAAGCCCACTCATAAGCCCCATAATGTGTGAAAAGATGGGCAGGTAAAATTCTTACCAGAAACAATTTAATTTTTACCTAATAGTGGGGCTGGCAGGGACACTCTCTGCAGTGACATTGCCCCCTTAACACTTCACACTTGTTGACTAAAGGGAGGAGACCTATTGTGAAGAGAATACCATGTGGGGATGTCACCAACACTGACTCAGATCCTTATCACTGTCCCCTTAATTTTTCTGCAATAGCCTACCAGGTAGTTTCCTTTATTCTAGTTTCCCTGACTCCAGTTCACCCTCCATCTTGCTGTGGGATGATTTTTTTTTTTTTTTTTTTTTTGAGATGGAGTCTTACCCTGTCGCCCAGGCTGGAGTGCAGTGTGGCATTATCTCGACTCACTGCAACCTCCGCCTCCCAGGTTCAAGTGATTCTCCTGCCTCAGCCTCCCGAGTAGCTGGGATTACAGGCATGCACCACCACGCCTGGCTAATTTTTGTATTTTAGTACATACAGGGTTTCACCATGTTGGCCAGGCTGGTCTCAAACTCCTGACCACAGGTGATCCACCTGCCTCGGCCTTCCAAATTGCTGGGATTACAGGCGTGAGCCACTGCGCCCGGCCTGGCAATGATCTTCGTAAAATATAATATAAATCTGAAGCCGGGCACAGTGGCTCACGCCTGTAATCCCAGCACTTTGGGAGGCTGAGGCAGGTGGATCACTGGAGGTCAGGGGTTCAAGACAAGCCTGGCCAACATAGTGAAACCCCATCTCTACCAAAAATACAAAAAATAAGCTCGGCGTGGTGGCACATGCCTGTGATCCCAGCTACTAGAGAGGCTGAGGCAGGAGAATCACCTGAACCCGGGCAGCAGAGGTTGCAGTGAGCCGAAATCATGCCATTGCACTCCAGCCTGGGCAACAAGAGCGAAACTCCATCTCAAAAATAAAAAAAAAATAATAATAAATCTGATTGTGTTGCTCCTCAAAGGAAAGTTGTTCAATGGCTCCCAGTAGCTTTTAAGTAAATTTAAACTAGTTAGCACACAAAACCATCCCAACCTGGATCTCCAGCCTTTTCTTATCTCTATATCCCACCATATCTTTTTTTTTTTTTTTTTTTTTTGAGACAGAGTCTTGCTCTGTCGCTCAGGCTGGAGTACAGTGGCGTGATTTCGGCTCACTGCAACCTCCGCCTCCTTGGTTCAAGTGATTCTCCTGCCTCAGCCTCCCGAGTAGCTGAGACTACAGGTGCCCACCACCACGCGCAGCTAATTTTTGTATTTTTAGTAGAGACGGGGTTTCATCATGATGGCCAGGATGGTCTCGATCTCCTGACCTCATGATCTGCCTGCCTCAGCCTCCCAAAGTTCTGGGATTACAGGTGTAAGCCACCACGCCCACCTACCCCACTATATCTTGTCCTCTAGCTAAGCAGATTTCTTAAACAAATTCTGCATTTTTCATGTTCTTTTTTATTTTTATTAAGCTAGAGATGAGGTCTCACTATGTTGCCCAGGTTGGTCTTGAACTCCTGGGCTGAAGTGATCCTCCCACCTCAGCCTCCCAAAGTGCTAGGATTACAGGCATGAGCTACAGTGCTCAGCCTTTCATGTTCTTTTTGGACTTTACTACCTTTGTTTTCTCGGCCTAGAATGTTCTTTGTCTTATTTGCCTGATTTTTCTTCTCTTACTTTTCCTACTTAGCATCACCTTTTACATGGTTGAGTTAGATTTCTCTTTCCTGTATTTCTGTTAGAGCCTTTCTTATATGAGTCATTCATTTAAAAATGGACAATTAACTTTCTAAGCTTCAATAGCCTCGTCTGGAAAATGGAGTTAATAACTCAGTCAAAGCTCCCTTATCTGATTTCCACTTACCTGAGTCTTCAGATGGATCCTCCCAGTTCCCTGTGAAAAGCTTGATGACCAGCATCCACATCACGCTGAATGCTCTCAACCATGCTTGTGCACAACTCTTGCCAGTCAATTGTGTAACATAATTTATCTTACTTGTTATTGTAATTAAATGCATGGACTAAATATGTTAAATTATGAAATATGAATACAAAAGAAGGATTACTTCTGTGAAAATTAAACTGAATGACTTGGAATAACAATAAAAAAAGTTGCTAAAAATAATTGCTGTTGGTGAAATAACAAAGACTAAAAAAGTAACAAAAAATTTAGAAAGATTCAGCATTATTTCTTAGTGTTTTAATTCATGCTCCACTTTAAAGAAACCAAAACTGGAAATCAGAGGTGATGGGTTTGGTTTATGCAGAAAAAAAAACGGTATTGCAATCAGTAGACTCATACTCAAGGAAAAGGCCTTGGCCCTACATAAAAAGTGAACAAGTATATATTTGTATGTTTTAAGTTAAACATGTCTAAAGTATGTATATATGTATTTTTTCATAACTGTAATTAAATTTTTAGATTAACCTATAAATTACTGGTTCTAGTCATATCAGATAAATAGGTTTTTACCTCATAGTGTTCTTGATGGATTCTGTAAAGCAATTGATACTATGCCTGGCATATTAAAGGCATTTGTTTTTCAAACACAGGAATCCTATGAGGGAGATAGGGTATCTTTTTATTATTTCCATTTTACAGGTGACAAATCATGATTTATCCAAGATCCTACACGAGTAAGTAACAGAACCAGGAAGAACCCAGATCCTTAGTTTTCAGGGTCCACGCTCTTTCTACTGCAGCACCCAGTAGGGCTGTCTCCATTGGGGCTACAATATAAAACTGCTTAACTTGAATCCCATCTGGACCTGTTACCCTACATGCAAAAGATCTTCAAAATGTCTTTACATAAGACAAGTTGGGGTCTTCAGAGTATCATTTAGATGATTATCACTGTCTCTATTCCATTTTTTTACAAAGCTTTCCCACATTACTCTCATTGTCTAAATAGTATATTTTAACAAGACTTTTTGAATATTAGAAGAAATTTAAAAATTATTCCACCATCACCAGATGAGTGAGGAAGAGGATAAACCTAAGTCTACTTAAGCCTACTAAGAGATGATATTTCAAGTTTCAAATGGCCTTCTGCAGTTGGAGGCTAAGCACATTTTAAAACCCAGAAACTTATATTTGGCTCCAGAATTCATCTGGCTGCTCAGGAATCCTTCAATATAATTTTTTTTCTTTCCTTTTTTTTTTTTTTTTTTTGAGACGGAGTCTTGCTCTGTCACCCAGGCTGGAGTGCAGTGGCGCGATCTCGGCTCACTGCAAGCTCCGCCTCCTAGGTTCATGCCATTCTCCTGCCTCAGCCTCCTGAGTAGCTGGGACTACAGGCGCCTGCCACAAAACCCGGCTAATTTTTTGTATTTTTAGTAGAGACAGGGTTTCACCGTGTTAGCCAGGATGGTCTTGATCTCCTGACCTCGTGATCCGCCTGCTTTGGCCTCCCAATGTGCTGAGATTACAGGCGTTAGCCACCGCGCCCAGCCAATATAATTTTTGTTAATACAAAAGTGATTTTGGGGTTTATAGCTATTTCAGCCATTTGCTGAACAGTCAATTGGATCTTAAACAGAGGTCATACATATCAAGAAAGTAGAAAAAGTCTGAAAGCTTGATCTGGTGACAGATTTTTCCATTCTAGAGAACATTTTACATTTTTAATCAAACTGGGGCAATACTTTAGTGCAGTGGTCTTCAAACTTTTTTGACCACAACCCCACAGTAAGAAACACATTTTTATTATTGCATCCCAGTTATAGAAGTCCCATGAAACAATACCTCTTTTATGCACTTTGGTATTTTATTTCATTCTTCGAAAAATGTGGTCATAATCCATTAATTTTACCACTGACTAATGGGTTGCATCAGGCAGCAAGCCATTGGAAAAAAATAAATAAAGTTCTCTCTGGAACTTGAAGAATAAGGAAATTTGAGTGAAGTCAAGTTTGGAACACTAAAGACCACTTTAAATTAGATGTGGTGGACTTATCTAAGATTTTGACTATATTATAGCAATGAATAACTCGGTGAAAATAATCAAGAACAACCAATTTTCCAGAAAGACATTAGCCAAGAGTGTGACTTCTTTTCTCAGATATACTTTCTGGAGGATCAGAAAGGGCAAGAACCTGACATTTGTATCATGCTATAATTGCATACATTCGTTCACCCATTTACCAAGCACATTTAAAGCACGACCTCTGTGCAAGACCCTGTGCTACGGGCATTGTGGACACAAAGGTGAGTTGAGTAGAAATCTGCTCAGAAATCTTACAACTGGTAGCTACTGTAAGCGTCAGTTTCCTTGTCTAAAAAAAGAGGACAATAATTCCTGCAATGGCCTGCATACTCATAAAATTGTTACAAAAATGAAATGAGAATAATATATGTAAAGTTCCTTTGTAAATTATAAGGGAACATTACTAAAAGCAGTTGAATAGTGAAGTGTTCAAAAAATTTAGATTCATATTGTTTCTATATACACTAAGAAATCATTTGACAATTTGTTTTTCTCTTTTCCCCTGTAATCATTAATTTATAATGACTCTAGATTGGAGTTAGATTATTTTTCTTAAGATTATTTTCATTTGTCTGAAAGCTTTAACTTTATCAAGTAAAATCTTGCTGATTAAGCACTAGACTTGTGGATGAACACA
The DNA here is from genome assembly GCF_000001405.40 of Homo sapiens. Taxonomy (NCBI): domain Eukaryota; kingdom Metazoa; phylum Chordata; class Mammalia; order Primates; family Hominidae; genus Homo; species Homo sapiens. Next base: position 165,718,613 of record NC_000001.11, on the reverse strand, counting down.
TTTCATTTTCCTCTAGTCTTGGCTGTGCTTCATGTTCACTGGATAATTTAAGGTGATCCCACTGGATAATTTAAGGTGATCCTGGCACTTCAGCCTGGGTGACAGAGCAAAACTCTGTCTCAAAAAGAAAAAAAAAAACTGTGGGGTGGGGGGGAATGACTTTTGGATAATATAAAAATACTAAATAATATGCACAATGATTTAGAGAGGCCATTCGAGATAGAAGTGGGCTGCCCAAAAGGGTGATTAAGCCCTTAGTTCCTTTGGCTTGTTGGCTTCTCTTAGTCCATGTTTTGCTTTTTGCTGCCACCTGGTTCAGGGATAGTTCTTTCTATCACTACCAAGTACTCAGCCTGAAGTTGTGGGGCACGAAAAAAAGCAAGTTGGTGATAACGATTTCAAAAAGGCAATTTAAATATGTTTACCTCATTCTTGAAGTTCCTTCTTTGTTGTTGAATGGGTTTGCTTTTTCTAGTTTTCCTTCATCTTTTCTGCAACTCAACTCACTGCTTATATGTGCATGCCACCTAGTGACAAAAATTGGCCCTGCCTGCTTTTTAGGGAGATGAAGTGTTTTGTATCCACTGTTTAGGGGAAGGGAGACAGGTAGAGTAGATTACACACTGAGGAAACTTTAGAATGGGTCCCCTGGGCTAAGTGCGGTAGCTCACACCTATAATCCTAGAACTTTGGGAGGCTGAGGTGGGCAGATTGCTTGAGCCCAGGAGTTTGAGACCAGCCTGGGCAATATGGTGAAACCCCGTCTCTATAAAAAAATACAACAATTAGCCGGGTATGGTGGTAGGTGCCTATAGTTCCACCTACTCAGGAGGCTGAGGTGGGAGGATCACCTGAGCCCAGGGAGGTCGAGGCTGCAGTGAGCCAAGACCACGCCACTACACTCCAGCCTGGTAGACAGAATGAGAACCTGTCTCAAAAATAAATAAATAAGAATGGGTCCTCTAATGGGGCCAACGAGAGGCTCCCTGTGGTTGAACATGAAGACATAGACCTGGTAAATGCACAGCAAGTATTATTACATTTTTTTATTCCTGGACTCTCCTGCCACTCCTCAAGCTTCTCAATAAACTTCCATGTAAAAACAAAACAACAAAAAACAATAAAAGGCTTTGTTTCCCCCTCGACAAGGTGAGAAATCTTAAAAATAGGAGAGAAAGAGAGCAGGTAGATCTGGGAGGGTCTCTCTGGCATGCCTTTTGACCCCCTTGTCCCTCTTCTCCTGGGACCATTGTCTTTCTTATCGCATGTCTCCAGTCTGCCGAGGCCTTCCTCCATCCTGGCTCACCTTTGCTCTGTATTTAATTTTCAATGTGTCCTCTGCAGCCCCTGTTCTTTGCTGAGACTTTGCTAGATTCTCAATTTTATCATAGAATACTCCTACCACTTGAACTAAAAACCTAACTTTCTTATGAGGGAAATGTCAATGTAATTACACAAATATATCTGATAATCCATGATAATTCACAACCCTTTTGAGCAGACGCTGCTGTTTCTCTTCTCTTGTCTGAGGACCAAGAGGCAGGGTCGATGTGCTCCTAGCTACCCACTGCCTCATCCTCTTTTTCAAAAAGCCTTTTTTTGGCTGGGTGCGGTGGCTCATGCCTATAATCTCAGCACTTTGAGAAGCCAAGGCGGGTAGATCACCTGAGGTCAGGAGTTTGAGACTAGCCTGGCCAACATGGCGAAACCCTATCTCTACTAAAAATATAAAAATCAGCTGGGTGTGGTGGCGTGCGCCTGTAATCCCAGCTACTTGGGAGGCTGAGACAGGAGAATCGCTTGAACCCAGGAGGCGGAGGTTGCAGTGAGCTGAGATTGCACCACTGCACTCCAGCCTGAGCAACAGAGTGAGACTCTGTCACAAAAAAAAGAAAAAAGAAAAAAAAGGGCCTTTTTTCTTTTCAGGCTCACATGTTCAATCCACAAAGTTCTGTCTTTCTTATTAAAAATAACAATTGTAAAAAAGCAATATACACATTTGGTACAAATACAAATATCTGTGAAGGTATAAAATGAAAAGCAAAAATCTGTGCCTCTCTTCCCTATGCCGTCCTCATGCACCTTCCCTTACTTCAGATTCCAAAAGGTAACCATTGTCAATATTTGGTTATCTGTGATGGTCAACTTTGTGTCAACTTGGCTAGGCTATGGGACCTAGTTATTTGGTCAAACACCAGCCCAGATGTTGCTGTGCTGTTATTTTTTAGATGTGATAAACACTTAACAATCAGTAGACTTTGAGTAACACATATTACATTCCATAACATGTATAGGCCTCATCCAATCAACTGAAGGCCTCACAAGCAAAGACTGAGGTCTCCTAAAGAAGAAGAAATTCTCAAGGTTGCAATGTAGAAACCGTAACTTAGTTTCCAAATTGCTGCCCTGTGGAATTCAACTCAAGACTGCAACTTAACTCTTATCCTGAATCTCCAGCCTGCTAGCCTGCCCTACTAATTTCAGACTTGCCAGCCCCCACAGTCACATGAGCCAGATCCTTAAAATCTCTCTCCCTGTCTTTTTATCCTATTATTTCTTTTTCTCTGGAGAACTCTGACTGATACAGTGCTTGTATTAATGATGGAGATGGACCTCTGTCTCGCCAAATCCATTCTTCACTCTCATAGTTAGTTTCCCTTGCAGTTCATTGTGGTCATTCAACTAAGTTCTCTCCACTTGCATGGGAAAAGAAGTGATGTGAACCACTTCATGCCTTACCAGTGAAGACTTCTTGCTGTTTTCTTCTCTGGATGACTGGGAGGTTCATGCTGAGAGTGTCCTTGGAAACCATGTGTTGAAGATGGCATCCTGAGTCCTTCAGTTACCATGTGGAGCTGAGTCACCTCTTCTCCAACCCTGCTCCTACAGATTTTGAACATTTTACTTAGATGCCTCTGGACTGTTAGGTAAATTGCAAAAAAATTTATATTGGGTGTAAACTATTACATTTTGGATCTGTTTAATAAACTAGCTTAACATACCCTAATTTAGAAATCCAACACCTAAAACAGAGGGATTGGCTTAGTAGATGCACAGCAGGAGGTTAGGAACTGATATCACTGACTGAAAGACGGAGCCTCTTCCTATGCCATGGCAAAATATTTGGTAAAACTGTTGCTGTGATAACTTGACAGGCAGACACAACTCTTATGGTACTGGTACTTCTAGGGAAGGTAGATGGAATGAGCCAGAATGTAACTGTGAGTTGGCTGCTGCTGGCTGTTTTTGGCTAGGTATGTTCAAAAAAGAGATGAGCTCAGACTAGAATCTACTGGTTTGCAAGTGAAAGAAGGGAATAGAGTCCAGAAGCTTGAGGACTTAAAGATTTCTAAAAGCCAACTGCTTCAATACCGTAATAGCCGAGACAAGACTTGTAGCTCAGAGGACTGTCATTGAGACATTTCAGTCAGACAAAGATCTTCTTTCAATCTTGCCCAATTGTTTCAGATAGTTTCAAGACAACTGACACTAAATTGAGAAAAGAGGGTTTGGGGTAGGGAAGAAAAGAGATAAAATAGGCTTAAGGACTCTGTCTAGAAAAGAATCCTGGCTGTGGCTATTGGCACATGGTACTGAATAGAAGAAGCAAACAGATTAAATGTCTTGTAAGCTTTTGTTTTTTTAAGATGTATTCTTGCTCTGTCACCCAAGCTGGAGTGCAGTGGGGCTATCTCAGCTCACTGCAACGTCCGCCTCCCAGGTTCAAGCCATTCTCCAGCCTCAGCCTCCCAAGTGACTGGGACTACGGGTGCCCGCCACCACACCCGGCTATTTTTTCGTATTTTTAGTAGAGACAGGGTTTTGCCATTTTGGCCAGGCTGGTCTCAAACTCCTGACCTCAGGTGATCCACCCACCTCAGCCTCCCAAAGTGCTGGGATTATAGGCGTGAGCCACCGCACCCAGCCTGTCTTGTAAGCTTTTTTTTTTTGAGACAGAATTTCACTCTGTTGCCCAGGCTGGAGTGCAGTGGCACAGTCTCAGCTCACTGCAATCTCCGCCTCCTGGGTTCAAGCAATTCTCCTGTCTCAGCCTCCCAAGTAGCTGGAATTACAGGCGCCTGCCATCAGGCTCGGCTACTTTTTGTATTTTTAGTGGAGACGGGGTTTCACTATATTGGCCAGGCTGGTCTCAAACTCCTGACCTTGTGATCCACCCACCTCGGCCTTCCAAAGTGCTGGGATTACAGGCGTGAGCCATGGCGCCCAGCCATCTTGTAAGCCTTTGAAGCATAACTATTGCTGGAGAAACCTCAGGAAGCCTGGCCTAAAAAGTTTTTGTTAAAATAAAGCAAGTCTTGTGCTCCCAAACTTGCAGAAATCAGGCTGCAAAAGTTGAATAATCCTTGAAGAAGGCATATTCCTCACCACCTCCTTTAGAATTTTTTATTTGCACAGCTTTTGGGTCTTTTGATTAGGATGTGTTCTTTTTTTTTTTTTTTTTTTTTTAGATGTAGTCTCACTCTGTCACCCAAGCTGGAGTGCAGTGGCACAGTTTTGGCTCACTGCAACCTCCGCCTCCCAGGTTCAAGCGATTCTCCTGTCTCAGGCTCCCGAGTAGTATCTGGGATTACAAGCACGTGCCACCACACTTGACTAATTTTTGTCTTTTTGGTAGAGATGGGGTTTCAACATGTTGGCCAGGCTGGTCTCGAACCCCTGACCTCTGGTGATCAGCCTGCCTTGGCTTCTCAAAGTGCTGGGATTACAGGCGTGAGCCACTGTGCCCGGCCCAGTGTCATTTCCTTAACATTTCTTTTGCTTGAAGTTCATTGAACTTCTTGGGCCAGTAAGCTTGTAGTTTCAATCAAATTTGGAAAATTTATTTTAAATTTTTTAATTTGTTTTTATTTTTAGAGACAGGAGTTCTCACTATGTTACCCAGGCTGGTAACAAACTCCTGGGTTCAAGCGATCTTCTTGCCTCGGCCTCACAAAGTGCTGGAATTATAGTCATCAGCCACAATGCCTGGCCGAATGTGGAAAAATTTTTGATCATTATTTCTTCCAGCATTTTTTCTTTCTACCTCCCAATTGCTGTATCTTTTGAGACTCTAATTACATACATGTTCAGTCACTAGATATTACCCCACAGCTCACTAATTCACTTTTTCTCAGTCTCTTTTTCTCTGTGTTTCATTCGTAGTTTCTAAAAAATGATTGCTGTGCCTTCAAATCCACTGATATTTTCTTCTGTAGTATCTACCTGTTCATGTCATTCAGTTTATTTTTAATTTCCAGTACTGAATTTTTCATCTCTAGACCCATCTCGATATGGGTCTTTTATATATCTTCCATTTTCCTATTCATCATGTTTATACTTTACTTTTTAAGCATAGGAAGTATATGTGTAATAACTGTTTTAACATCTTTGTCTAATAATTCCATCATCTGTGTGTTTTCTGGGTCTGTTTCTTTTGACTGGTTTTCCTCCTGATCATGAGTTATCTCTTCCTGCTTCTTTGCATGCCTGATAATTTTTTATTGGCTCCTGGACATTGTGGATTTTACTTTATTAGGTGATAGACTTTCTTGTATTACTTTGAATATTTCAAGAGTTTTATTCTGGGACAAGATAAGTTATTTGGAATTGGTTTGATTCTTCCGAGGCTTTTATTTATTTATTTATTTATTTATTTATTTATTTATTTATTTATTTATTTATTTTGAGACGGAGTTCCCCTCTGTCGCCCAGGCTGGAGCGCAGAGGCGTGAGAGGCTTCCTTTTAAGCTTTGTTATGGCAGGCCCAGAACAGCCACTAGCCTAGGGCTAATTTGAGCCCATTATTGAGGCAATAGCCTTCTGAGGACCCTACACAATGCCCTATAAGATCTTTCCACGCTGGCTGCTGGGAACCCAAACTATTCCCAGTCCTATATGAGGTCAAGGGATTTTTCCTGCCTCCTCCTTTCTGGTGGTTTTTCCCCTGGCCCTGGGTAGTTTCCTCATTGCTGAATACTGCAGATCAGTACTCAGCCTTCAAATCAAGGGGACTCTGCAAGTAGAATGATGTTTCCAGGAGCTGAGAGGGAGAGAAATGGGGAGATGTTGGTCATAAAGAACAAAGTTCCAGTTATGCAGGATGAATAAATTCTGGAGATCTAATTGTATAGTATGGTTCCCATAGTTAATAATACAGTATTGTATACTTGACATTTGCTAGGAGAGTAGATCTTAAATGTTCTTACCACACACACAAGAAAATGGTAACCATGTGAGGTAATCGATATGTTAATTAGCTTGATCATGGTAATCATTTTACATTATATATATGTATATCAAAACATCACAATGTACACCTTACATACATACAGTTTTTACTTGTCAGTTATACTTCAATAAAGCTGGGGGGAAATAGAGGGAGGAATCTCTTCAAATATCCATAATTCTCTTTTTAATAGTTCCCTTCTTTCTGGCACTGCCCCACAAATTCTAGCTGCTTTTATCTTCCTAAACTCTGAATTCTCAGTTTAGGGAAACACCTGTGTTCTATTTGTTTTTCCTGTTTTTAGGTGGAGAGCTGGGAAACTTGGAAGAGCTGACTTTGTTTCCCTTCTCTCAGAGATGACCGCCTATGCTACCTGTTGTCCAATGTTTATAAATCATTGTTTCCTATATTTTGTCCAGTTTTCTAGTTGTTTAAGGCAGGAAGGAAAGTCTGGTTCCAGTTATTTCATCATGGTTGGAAGCAGAAGTTTCAATATCCACTTAAGATGAGCATATGGAGGACAGAGAAGAGAATACCTCCCAGAAGGCACTGCCAGGGACTTAACATCATCTGGGTTTTCTCAAATCTCGATACTCTCCTTTAGCAACTTACAAGTCACACCCTCAGATTTGTTGAGGACTTAAACACACAGCTTAATCTTTTCCTTTATATCCTTTTTTCTTTTAAAAAAATTATTTATTTTTTTTTGAGACAGGGCCTCACTATGTTGCCAAGGCTGGCATCAAACTCCTGGGCTCTGGTGATCCTCCTGCCTTAGCCCCCTGAGCAGCTGGGATTACTGGTGCATGTAACCATGCCCAGCTCCTTTCTATTCTCTTTTCTGCCATAATTCCAGGTGTCTATGACATCCTTATAGTTGACCAATCCAGTAGTAGCAGCTTCTACTTATTGAGCCCACTGTGGCAGATATTTTACTTATGTTGTCTTTTTTTTTTTTTTTTTTTTTTTTGAGATGGAGTCTTGCTCTGTCACCTGGGCTGGAGTACAGTGAGGCAATCTTGGCTCACTGCAACCACCACCTTCCAGGTTCAATCAATTCTCCTGCCTCGGCCTCTGGGGTAGCTGGGATTACAGGCACCCGCCACCACCCCCAGCTAATTTTTGTATTTTTAGTAGAGCCAGGGTTTCACCATGTTGGCCAGGCTGGTCTCAAACTCCTGACCTCAAGTGATCCATCTGCCTCAGCCTCCCAAAGTGCTTGGATAACAAGCATGAGCCACCATGCCCGGCCTACATATGTTGTCTTCTTACATTGCTCCTACCGTTAGTTATAATTTTCTCCTTTTAAAAAAAAAAATAAGAAAACAGACACTGAGAAGGTTAAGCAACTTGTTCAAATTCATTTGTTGTTAAGGGACAGAGCCAAGATTTAAAAGTAGCCATTGCTCATCATATACCTTGTTAACTAGCTTTGCAATTCCTAGACATCCTTTACTGCAGCAGACTTCCCCTCCACTTCACTCCAACAATTCATTCCCATGAATTAATGTAATCACCACCTAAAGCTCTGAAATACTGAACAGAGAAATCTCTTTGAACACACATATCTTAGATGCTTCCACAACCTTAACTTTTCCCCATTCTTCTCTTTTTCTTTCTTTTTGAGATGGAGTTTTGCTCTTGTTGCCCAGGCTGGCGTGCAGTGGCACAATCTCGGCTCACTGCAACCTCCACCTCCCGGGTTCAAATGATTCTCCTGCCTCAGCCTCCCAAGTAGCTGGGATTACAGGCATGTGCCACCACATCTGGCTAATTTTTTGTATTTAGTAGAGACAGGATTTCACCACGTTGGTCACACTGGTCTCGAACTCCTGACCTCAGGTGATCCACCCACCTGGGCCTCCCAAAGTGCTGGGATTACATGCATGAGGCACCGCCCCCGGCCTTTTTTTCTTTTATTGAAAAAGAAGTTATCATTCATTGTCACAAGGGCCTTCAGGTCCTTTGTTCCTCTTTTTCTGCCGCATTACCCCATTAATCCTCAACCCTAGATGAATCCGAGCACCTGCTTGTTCTCCTCCTGGACCACTGAGTGAGGATGGAAAAAAAATCTATTCAATATTCAACTCAGCACTGAGTACTGCTCAACAACCGTTTTACTAATTCTTAGTTAGCGAAGTTTGTTATCTCCCAGAAGTGCTGTTCCAAAACTTTATCTTCCTTTTTCTTTTCTCCTTATTTTCAGCAGGTGATTTTTCTTCCTACTTCACAGAGAAAACCAGCTCTCTTCCAGCCATGCTCCTTCACTTCCAAACATATATCTGTACTCATCTTTTCACCTTTTCTCTTTTTTGAGGAAAGAAAAACAGTATTTCTTCTCTTTACATTTTTACTTGTCCTCTTGGCTCCACTCTTTCTTGCTGCCTTTGGGACTTTGCATCAATTATTTCTTATTTCCTTTTTTTTCCTCCAGAAACTTTAGTTTCCAAATATGTTGAGCAAAAATATATAACCCCAACAGCAACTCTTTCTCCTAAGGGGAGATCCTGCAATATATCTAGGGAAAGGGACATAAAGGTGAGATGGTGGAGGACTTTGGGGTACATCCCAAACTTCCCCTAAAACTAAACACAGTTTGTCCTCTGCACTAACAACACAGGGATGCCCTGATCTCCTCCTACATGTTTTGAGGGGCTGAAGGCTCTGCTGTTCTTCCTTGAATGAGAGCCTGGGTCCATACCTCTCTGCAGGGGATGTCCAGAGGAGAAGCGCCTACTACTCCTACAGTAATTCCGGCCAGTCCCTGCACCCCATTTTAGAGGTTCCCTGAGGGGTGGTGAGACATGAGGGGAAAGCACCTCTGGAGGCACGAGGGGAAGGCATCCATATCCAAGGTATCTAAGAGGGAGTTTATGCCTCAGTGGTGGCTCATGCTGAGGTGATGACCACGCTCTTCTGATTTTCCAGCCTCTTGTTCTGAAGCCTTCTAGCCATGAAGAAAATGGCCAGCAGAAGTCAGAGAGAGCCAACCAAGATTCCTACACCAAGGCTCAGCATTTCACCTGTAGGATACAAGGATCCCATCTGGATGAAAAAAGCAAAGGTCATTGCTGGTTGAGAGGCTGAGGGGATCAGTAGTTCTGTATCAGGACTTGGAGGGCCCCTCTTCTGTGGAGAACAATGTCTCCTGAAGCTTTTCCAGCCGTTCCATTGAAATCTGGGCCCTTGGACTGAAAACTGTCCAGGGCACCCTCTACTAACAAGGGGAAGTTGTGAGCGAGCTATTGTAAAGGAAGAACTGCCCTAGCTGTCGGGGGAGCAGCTCTCTCACTGAGGTCTTCTGATCTTTATGCTTGATTTCATGCAAGTGACCCAGAATGTGTTCATAAGCTACATTCTTTTTTTTTTTTTTTTTTTTTTTTTAAGTCTCGCTCTGTTGCCCAGGCTGGAGTACAGTGGTGCAATCTCAGCTCACTGCAACCTCCACCTCCCAGGTTCAAGTGATTCTTCTCCTACCTCAGTCTCCCGGGTAAGCTGGGATTACAGGTGCCCACTACCACACCCAGCTAATTTTTGTATTTTTAATAGAGACGGGGTTTCACCATGTTGGCCAGGCTGGCATAAGCTATATTCTTAGTCTCACTCACCTCAATTAGGATGCCCAGGACAGTCAGGCCCTGAGGCCTCTGAGCGGCCTCACTCAAGCTATCACAGGAATCACAGCCATAACGTATGATGTGGAGCTCGGCAACTGTGGCTTCACTGTTGATCTGGTGTTCTGAGCCCCCTGGGGATCATCCTGACCCCAGTGCAGGTGTAGCTGGGTAGCTACATATTTTCTGGAAAGTCCACCTAGATACAGGGTAGAGGGCAGAGACAGTTGTACTGTGTAGCTATTCTTGTGCAGGTCTAAAGGCTCAGTGCCAGGCCGGTCATATCCATGGGGCTGTAGAGCAGTCATCTAAGGGTCAATTGTCACACTGTCTGTCCGGATATCGAAGGGGGACTGTGTATTGTTTCCACACTCAGGGTAAAAGGCTGGCCACAGTGGTCCTGACTATGTGGGCACTCATATGTCCAGTGTTGACCCTCGTCTGCAGCCAGGATCCAAATCACCTCTAGCAGGAGGATGAAGAACAACATGGTATCCCAGGAAGGGGCACAGGGGACTGGGAGTTTGGAGACTAGATGACTAGGGCAGGCAGAGAGAGAGACGGGGAGAGAGGCAGAGAGAGAGAGACGGGGAGAGAGGCAGAGAGAGAGAGACGGGGAGAGAGGCAGAGAGAGAGGTGAGTTCCTGGTGTTGAGTGTCTTTATCCCTTTTTTTGCTGCTGTCTCTGTGGGTTTCCAAGGGATTTGATTTTCAGTAGGGTACCGTGGGTTTCTGGGTCCCCAGAACAAATCTCTTGCTGCTTCTCTCAGCCCTCTCTCTTCACCTCCTCGGCAGTCTCCATTCCACTTGATGACCCAGTTATTTCTTATTCCTCTTGGATTTGCAAGTTCTCCCTCTTCCTGACTCCTTTTTTCTTCCTGAAACTGTATTGCACCTTTCTTTCTTTCACTATCCTTTTGGAAAATGTAGTTGTATGTTCAATGTACACATTGCACCTCTGGTTCATTCCATAACTTATTATAGCCTGGCTTCTTCTCGCCCTTCAACTGAAATTGCTCTATTTAAAGATACTAAAGATCCCTTACTTGCTAACTTTAATGATCTCTTCCCCATTTTACCCAATCTGATTCTTAAACAGCATTTCCTACAGAGTTTAGTAAGTCACCTGAAAAAACAATGCTGAGCTCAAATAAGATTGAGAAACATCAGATTGTATAACATTGAGCAGATTTCTTTACTGCAGCACTTATTTAAGTTCAAAATATGGTAATAATCATTGTGATTTCCAAAATGGGAATGTGTTAAGTACAGTTTTCCAAACTTATTTATCAACAGAATCCTTTTTATATGGAGCATCTTGCAAAATTAGTGTTCTGAGAGTCATAACATGGGAAACAATGCTTAATTGTTTTGAATGTGGTCCAAGGACGCTTGCATCAGAATCACTGTGGATGCTGATTATTGATACAAAAAATCATCGCCACGTCTTGTTATGTCAGAAGCTCTTCTACCAGAAGCTGAAAGAGAATAGCCTTTCAAGGAACATGGAGAAGTTAACGTGAGGATGTCAGAACAAGAACACAGAGGGTCCCTTGGTCCCTAATACTTTGGGGGCCACCATATTATCCCTGGACTGCTTAGCATGGACCGTTATATAATAGAGAAATAAATTTATTTCCTGTATTTGCCATTGCTATTTTTGCCTTCGATAATGCAGCTGATCTGAAAACTAATTAATTCAGAGATAAAAAGAGAACGTACGTTCTGACTAATCATGGTGAATAGTCTCTGTTCTGTTCTTTATTAAAAAGCATGGATTTCTCTGTTGTGATGTCTTCCTATTTAAGGTAAAAAGATAAGGTCTTTCTTCTTTTTTTCTCTTTTTAAATTTCAATATCTTTTGAGGTACAAGTGGTTTTTGGTTACATGGATGAGGTCTGTAGCAGTGAATTCTGAGATTTTAGTGTACCCATTACCCAAGCAGTGTACACTGTACCCAATATGTAGTCTTTTATCCCTCATCCCTCTCCCAACCTTCCCTCTGGGTCCTCAAAGTCCATTATATCACTCTGTATGTCTTTGCATCCTCATAGCTTAGCTGAATCAAGATATATTTTAAAGGCAAAAATGTTAACACTTGATAATGGATTGGATATGTGGCATTTAGAGATTGGATAGGTTGGGATTTTTTAAACGTTCTGAATTGTAATTTATGTTAGAAATTGTCCAAAGCACTTTCATTAAACTTCTGATTTCTCTATTGTGTTTTTCTATGACTCAAGGTAAAGAAAAAATAAGGAACCTAAGGAAACTGGCTACATAATACAACAGCTACTTATTAAGTTCTTACCATGTGCCTGTGTATTCAGGTTTGTATACTCCTAACATCTAATTCAGTGCCTGGTGCAGAATGGGTTCTCAAAAAACATTGGAAAGGCAGATGAAAAACTGCCTACAAATTAGATTTCTCAATAGCAATTCTAAACTAGAAGATAATGGAATTTACATTTAAAATTCTAAAAGAATGTTGTTTTCAACTTGAATACTATACTTATCTATGCACAGCTAGATCATCAATCATATGTGAGAGAATGAATATTTTTCATTTGGGCAGTCTCAAATGATTTACCTTCCTTGTGCCCTTTCTCAAGAAGCTACTACTAGAAGATGTCTCTGTTAAAATAAGGGAGTATACGAAGAAAGAGGAAGACATGGAAACAGAGGATATTGGCAGGCAGGGGCAAAGGGAATGCTTGGGATGACAGCAAAGACAAGTCCCAGGGCAAGAGTGGGGGAGCAGGTGGAGAGAACAAGCAATCCAGAGTAGATGAGGAGGTTGGAAAACTCCCGTACAGGTATCTCCAAGGAAAACAAAACAAAAAGCCACACAAATTATCTCATAGGTTTGACCATATAGAAATTATATATTGACTTTGTTTTACAGAGCTGTCAGAGGGTGTGGAAAGACTTAGTCAAGTATTCATAAGAAAATTAGAAGCAATTGTGAACTGGAAAAATAAAAAATTATGCAAAAAAGAAAATATAATTAAAATAGACTACTTGGCTTAATGGTGATTAATATTTACAGTCATATAATAAAAAAACTCCCTGCATATCATGAATGAAGTAATTACATACCTCTGTCAAAATTTGTTGTACTGTCCCCTTGATATGAGTGCATTTTATTAATTGTAAACTATACCTCAAGACCTCTAGCCAAAAAAAGGCTGCCTGCTCTGTTGGACAAGACTTTTTTTTTTTTTTTTTTTTTTTTAGAGATAGAGTCTCTCACTCTGTCGTGCCCAGGCTGGAATGCAGTGGCGCGACTTCAGCTCACTGCAAACTCCACCTCCCGGGTTCAAGCAATTCTCCTGCCTCAGCCTCCCAAGAAGCTGGGATTACAGGCGCCCACCACCACGCTCGGCTAATTTATTGTATTTTTAGTAGAGACGGGGTTTTACCATATTGGCCAGGCTTGTCTCCAACTCCCAATCTCAGGTGATCCACCCGCTTCGGCTTCCCAGTGTGCTGGGATTACAGGCATGAGCCACCGCACCCGGTCTTTTTTTTTTTTTTAAGGCTACTTGCAAATTGGTATCAAAAAGTTTAAAAACAATTATGTCTTTAGACCTAGCAATTCCACTTCTAGGATTCTGTCCTAAGAAAACAAGCCATATGGGCAAATGCAGCTTGTAGGGGCGGCAAAACTCCACCTCTGTTCTCTTAGACTCCTGATTGGGCTGGAGAATTAAAATGACATAAAACAGATTAACAGGAGAAAGCATCCAAATTTTGTGTGTGTCTGTGTGTGCTGTTTCTTTTCTTTTCTTTTTTCTTTTTTTTTTTTTTGGTACAGAGTCTTACTCTGTCACCCAGGCTGGAGTGCAGTGGCTCGATCTCGGCTCACTGCAACCTCTGCCTCCTGGGTTCAAGCGATTCTCCTGCCTCAGCCTCCCAAGTAGCTGCAATTACAGGTGCACACCACCACGCCTGGCTAATTTTTGTATTTTTAGTAGAGACGGGATTTCACCATGTTGACCAGGCTGGTCTTGAACACCTGACCTCAGGTGATCCACCAGCCTGGGCCTCCCAAAGTTCTGGGATTACAGGCATGAGCCACCGTGCCCAGCACGAATATATTTAATGCAGGTTTTAGGTGGCACACAAGAAAAGAAGCAGTTTGAGTCAGTTCCTTATATACTGAATTGGACAAAGAGTGGTAAGTTATGATGAAGCAACTAAATTATGTGGAAGGACTTAAAAGGTAAGAGTTATTTTAACAAGGTCTGTACAGAATTCTCTTGGTCTTGATTTCTTGTCCTTAAAGATAAGGATATTGCTTCTTTCACATGGGAATTTCATCTTTAGCTTTAAAGGAACAGCACAAGGCCGGGCACAATGGCTCATGCCTGTAATCCCAGCACTTTGGGAGGCCGATGTGGGCAGATGATTTGAGCCCAGGTGTTCAAGACCAGCCTAGGCAACATGGCAAGATCCTGTCTCTACAAAAAATACAAAAATTAGCTGGGTGTGATGGCACATGCCTGTAGTCCCAGCTACTTGGGAGGCTGAGGTGGGAGGATCGCTTGAGTCCAGAAGGTTGAGGCTGCAGTGAGCCATGACAGTGCCACTGCACTCCAGCCTGGGCAAAAGAGTAAGATCCTGTCTCAAAAAAAAAAAAAAAAAAAAAAAAAAGAAGAAGAAACAGCACAAAGGTTACAGTGATCTTTTTGCACCTGCTGTTTTTCTTTTTTTTCTTTTTTTTTTGAGTCAGGGCCTCACTCTATTGCTCAGGCTGGAGTGCAGTGGCACGATCATGGCTCACTGTAGCCTCAACCTCCTGAGCTCAAGTGATACTCTCACCTCAGCATCCCTGCTATTTTTCAAATGCCTTTAACTTAAATGGTATGCCAGAATGGCTTGGTTTTTCGTTTGTTTGTTTTTGAGCCAGTGTCTTGCTCTGTCATCCAAGCTGGAGTACAGTGGTGTGATCATGACTCACTGCAGCCTTGACCTCCCAGGCTCAAACCATCCTTCCATCTCAGCCTCCTGAGTAGCTGGAACCCCAGTTATGTACCACCACACCTGGGTAATTTTTTATTGTTTACTTTGTGTAGAGACAGAGTTTTGTTATTTTGCCCAGGCTGATTTCAAACTCCTGGCCTCAAGTGAGCCTCCCGCCTTGGCCTCCCAAAGTGCTGGGATTACGGGTGTAAGCCACTGCACCTGGCCTCTTTGTTTGAGTTTTTAAAGTTTTGGGTTTTTTTTTAGAATTGGGGTCTCATTGTGTTGCCCAGGCTGGTCTCAAATTCCTAAGCTCAAGCAATCCTTCCCCCTCAGATCCTCTCACCTCAGCCTCCTGAGTAGCTGGGACTACAGGTGTGTGCCCAGAAAAAACACTGACAGGTGTGTGCCCAGAAAAAACCACTGATATACATATCAGTATATACAGGTGATGGCTCACACCTGTAATCTCAACACTTTGGGAGGCTGAAGCAGGAGGATTGCTTAAGCTCAGAAGTTCGAGACCAACCTGGGCAAGATGATGAGACCCTGTCTCTAAAAAAATAAAATAAAATAAGAAAAATTAGGCATCCTGGTACATACCTGTCTTCCCAGGTACTCAGGAGGCTGAAGCGGGAGGATTGATTGATCCCAGGATATTGAGGCTGCAGTGAGAAGTTATCACACCACTGCACTCCAGCCTGGATGACAGAGTGAGATCCTTTCCCAGAAAACAAAAATCATATCCTTTTTTTAAAAAAACCTTCTGAATCTCTCATTTTTATATCTTATACATTTGGAAGAGTTGGAATAATTTCTATATAATGCTACTGTCTTAGATAACAGACAGATTCTAAATTTTTCTGTAAGCTCAGTAGCCTTTAGCCTCTAGCTGATTATCAACTCCAAGAACAAATTCCAAAGTCAATGACCCTGAATTTCATTTGAGAAAAACACGAAGGCACTGCAAACTATGAACATTGTTATTATAATAGCAATTGTATAGTGCTTTCTAATTTTTAGACCACTTTCACATACTGTTTCATATTACCTCAGGTTTATAAATTAAACCTATTTTTGAAAATATGAGTATTATAGCCTAAAAAGCTGTTAAAAATGAAAAAGACTAGATTATCCAAGCAGAGATGCCTAAGTAGCATTAGGGGACATCCTCATCAGCGCAGTGATTTCAAAGTCCTGGTTTGTAACACCTGACTGATGTGTTCATTCAACAAATATTCATTAAGGACCTAATCCTAGTGTCAGGCTGCCTAGATTAGGAAACCTGTTAGGTCTTCAGTGAGAAAATTACATTCTGTATATGAAGAATGTGAGGACACTCAGGCTTAAAATAAAATTCAATCTGTAAATTATTGTTAAGTGAAAGGCCCTGTTAAAATGGGCAGGAACAGGATTCTGAGTAATTTTTTCCTTTCTTTTTGTGTGGATGGTTTTCTGGCTCCCCACTGAAGGAGTTGCAACAGTAGTAAACATACTATTGTTCAGGAAATAAAAATAAATGTGGTGTGTGTGTGTTTGATGTATTAATAGTTCTAGAGGACAGACTAAGAGCTAGTACTCCCTAAAGATCTTTTCTTTCTTTTTTTTTTTTTTTTTTTGTTTTTGGAGAGCGAGTCTTGCTCTGTCGCCCAGGCTGGAGTGCAATGTTGCAATCTTGGCTCACTGCAGCCTCTGCCTCCAGGTTCAAGCGATCCTCGCGCTTCAACCCCCCAGCAGCTGGGACTAGAGGTGTGCGCCACCACACTTGGCTTTTTTTTTTTTTTTTTTTTGTATTTTTAGTAGAGACAGGGGTCTCACCATGTTGTCCAGGCTGGTCTGGAACTCCTGAGCTCAGGCAATCCACCCACCTCCGCCTCCCAAAGTGCTGGGATTACAGGTGTGAGCCACCGCATCCGGCATTTGCTTTTACTCTGGAGGTTGTGTCCAAGAAGAGTACTGCTAATGGTGAAACTAAGCCAAAGCAACAAATTGACAACTGGATGACCTGAGGGAGAGGCCAGTGAAGGACCCTGGATCACACAGTATGGGTTCCCAAGGACTTCTTCCTTTAGGAGACCTGGAGGTGGCAGAAGGGGATCCAGTTGCTTTTCTTTTCCTCCTCTGGTTGTCTGGGGAAGGAAATGTGGAAAAGGAGGGGGCTTTAGTGGCACCCAAGTTTGGCTTTAAGCAAGTTGTGAGGCAGGCAGTTTCTCCTTGGATCTTCTACCCCTTTAGCAATGATTCCACTCCTTTTCTATCTCTTTTTACCCCCAAATCTGCCCTCCAACACACACCCATCTAAGAGGTGTTTCTCTTTTGGCATTCCTTCTGCTCCTTGTGGCATCTTTGTCCCTTTGAATTTCACCCTGAACTTGTAAACTGGCCAGCATCCTCTGTGACTTCTGGGCTGCTTACTGGGTAGTGCTGACAAATATCCTAAGAAGTTTACATGTCCTTTAAATCTCCCTAGAACCAGATTTCTGGGTTTCTGATAAATATCCACCAACATAAGAGTGAATTTTGATAGCAACCTTCATGGGGTCAACATCTCGACCTGGTGTAGTAAGAAGAAATTTACTTTGGACTTGCACAGAGCTGGACTCCAGCCTTAGCTCCTTTATGGGGAAGCTCTACGACCTTTCTATTAGTTTCCTCATCTGTACAATGGGGATGATAAAACCTATCTTGCATGATTGTCACTGAGATATTTGACAAAGTGCCACATACTACCTCCTAGCTCAATCTCTGTTAGTTTCCTTTTCTTTTGTAGGGTTATTATGAGCTTCATGTGAGAAAGTAAATGTGAAAGGGCTCTGTAACCTATAAAGCTCTTTCTACATGTTGGATTTTGCTAATGAAAAATAATACATTAATAATCTAATAATAAGGGTGGAAGGAGGGAGAGGATCAGGAAAAATAACTCATGGGTACTAGGCTTAATACCTGGGTAATGAAATAATCTATACAACACACCCCCAT
This sequence comes from Homo sapiens, assembly GCF_000001405.40. Lineage (NCBI taxonomy): Eukaryota > Metazoa > Chordata > Mammalia > Primates > Hominidae > Homo > Homo sapiens. Next base: position 165,700,830 of record NC_000001.11, on the reverse strand, counting down.
GACACAAGTTTACCTATGTAACAAATCTTTACATGTACCCCTGAACCTAAAAGTTAAAAATAATAATTTAATAATAAAAGCACAGATAGGTAAGAGGAACAGCTAGATATTTAAAAGGTAGATATTTTGGAGGAGATCTGTTTTCTTTGGGGAAGGGTCTTACTCTGTTGCCCAGGCTGGAGCAGTGGTGCCATGATCGCTCACTCCAGTCTTGAACTCCTGGCCTCAAGCAATCCTCCACCTCAGTCTCTTGAGTAGTCAGGACTACACGCTTGTGCCACCATGCTCGGCTAATTTTTAAAAATATTTTGTAGAGACAGAGTCTCACTATGTTGCCCAGGCTGGTCTTGAACTCCTGGCCTCAAGCGATCCTCCTGCCACGGTCTCCCAAAGTGTTGAGATTACAGGTGTGAGTCCTGTGCCTGGCCAGAGGTTTGTCAGTCTTATCATCTATGAATTAATTCAATAGACATCACGACCACATTTCCAAAACAAACATCAGGAATTATGATGTGACAAGTCAAAATGCATTGGTTGGGGACAGAATCTTTTAAATAGAAATTGTCCCATAAAATTTGAGACGTATAGTTTCTGTACCTAAATGACCATTCAGTGATCTTGGAAATCTATAGTGCTGCTCGTCACCAACTCCTGATATGTTTCAATTCTGTTTGCAATGGACAATAATAAAATAATATGTGAGTGTGGCCTCAGGTATTCTGAGTTTGGGCACTGCTGTTTCCATCTGAGGACCAAGACCTACACATCTCAGTAGCACTGAAAAAGTGAACAAACTGGTATAGAGTGCCAGAAAACTTGATCAGAATACATTATATATACTCTAAACCTGAAAACCACACTCCCTAATATTGCGCTGGTGAGCTGGCAGGTAAAGGAAAAAACATTGAGAAAGACAGCAGCCCCCAGAAGAGAAACAATCCTAAAAGAAATGTCCAAATTGCCAATTACTTTCTGTTTGTCAAAGTCTCTACTGGAGGTGCATGGAAGTTTGGTGAGAAGAATGAACCTTTGTGCAAGATCCCTCAGCTGACAGACCTGTGAGTGCCTCTGGGTGGCTGCTTTGTCTTACAGAAGGCATTTTGTTTCCTGACACTTTTTCCTGTGGCCTTTGCTCTTCGTATTCTGTATGTTAGGCTTCTGTTTCTATCAATATTTGTCATTAATAGCATTTACATTGCTCCTTCAGAATTTATTTATTTTGAGACAGGGTCTCGCTCTGTTGCCCAGGCCTGAGTGCAGTGGCACGATTATAGCTCACTGCAAGCTTGGACCCCCGGGGCTCAGGGGATCCTCCCACCTTAGCCGCCCAAGTACCTGGGGCCACAGGCGTGTGCCACCACACCTGGATAATTTTTTTTTTTTCTGAGTTTCACTCTTGTCACCCAGACTGGAGTGCAATGGCATAGTCTCGGCTCACTGCAACCCGTCTCCCGGGTTCAAGCGATTTTCCCACCTCAGCCTCCCAAGTAGCTGGGATTACAGGCGCCCGCCACCACACCCAGCTAATTTTTGTATTTTTAGTAGAGACGGGGTTTTACCATTTTGGTCAGGCTGGTCTCGAACTCCTGACCTCAGGTGATCTGCCCGCCTTGGCCTCCCAAAGTGCTAGGATTACAGGCGTGAGCCACCGCGCCCGGCCCAATTTTTATTATTTTTATTTTATTTTTTTATAGACACGGGATCTCTCTCTGTTGCCCGCAAACTCCTGGGCTCAAGCGATCCTCCAGCCTTGGTGAGAGCCACAGCGCCCAGTCTCTCTTTAAGAATTTAAAAAGCAGTTTCAGATCACAATATCATCTATCTCGTTCACAGTCCCCTTGCTTTTTACTGTCACCCTTTAAAAAGCATTATACAATTACAGAAACGGTGGTTTAGCAGTGAAGTAACCACCAAAGACTCTTGGCACTCCAATCCTCTGCCTTCTTCAGGCGATAGGATTAAGAATGGGATCCTAGGATGCTTACATGCAATGATGAACCCGAAAACACTTGCAAAGTGCTACGCAAATATTGATCACGAAGAAGGAAGTCCTCTTCCCGCCTGGAGACTGTGTGGGGTATGGCGGGGTGGTGGGGAGAATGTGGTGTCTTGCTCCACCCTCCTGGCGAGGGGAGGGCCTGGCCTGGACCGCAGAGGAATCGAGTGACTGCCCCTAAAATCTCCTAGAACCGATCCCGCGGCCCCGCCCCTCCCGCGGCCCCGCCCCTCCCGCGGCCCGTCAGCCTCTGCCGCGGAGCTGCGTCCGCCACTCATGTTTCTCCGAGCAGGCCTGGCCGCGCTCTCCCCGCTTCTTCGCAGTCTTCGGCCCTCTCCTGTCGCCGCCATGAGCACTGGCACCTTCGTCGTGTCGCAGCCGCTCAATTACCGCGGCGGGGCCCGCGTGGAGCCGGCGGACGCCTCCGGTACCGAGAAAGCTTTCGAGCCAGCAACCGGTAACTGCAACGAGCCGGGGAGGCTGGGGCGCCCTGGGGCCGGATGCGCGGATTTCCCGGCCAGCCCCCGTTTCCTGTGTTCTGCAGCGTTGACTTGAGCACAAGACAGTGACAGTGGAGAGTCTAAGGTTGTGTGTGTAGGCAACTAGCGATTCTGGGGCAACGCGAGTGCCTCCGGGCAGGGATGGGTAGGGAGGAAAAGCAAAGCTGATGAGTTGCGTGGTAGGATCGTGAGTTGTTTTACCCGGGCCAGAACAGAGTTCGCAAAGTACTGGTGGGGGAAGTCGTGCCTCTGTTAACTTCCTTTTTTGTTTGTTTTGTTTGTTTGTTTGTTTTTTGTTTGTTTTGAGACAGGGTCTCACTCTGTCGCCCAGGCTGGAGTGCAGGGGCACCATCTCAGAGCTCACTGCGCCCTCTACCTTACGGGCTCAAGTGCTTCTCCCGCCTCAGCCTCCCTGGTAGCTGGGATTACAGGCTCCCACCACCATGTCCGGCTAATTTTTGTATTTTTAGTAGAGACGGGTTTTCAGCATGTTACTCAGGCTGGTCTCGAACTCCTGAGCTTAGGTGATCCTCCCGCCTCAGCCTCCCAAAGTGCTGGGATTACAGCCGTGAGCCACCAAGCCCAGCCAACTGTTCCCCCTTTTAAAACCAGGACTGATGTATTATTGTCTTCAAATGTGTGCATAGGAGAGGAATTCTAAAAGAACGGGGCGGGGTTGTGGGGAAGATAATCATTTGTGCTGGGAATGAAGGAACGCTCACAGATAGTTTCTAATGACTACGAATGAGGACTTTGTCTCCACATTCTAATATTAAAATATTTCTGCACATTAATCAGAATTGGGAAAGGAAAAAACCCCACCTTTATTCAGTACTTTCTTCCCCAGCTTTATTGAAGTATAATTAACAAATAAAAATTGTATATACTTAAGGTGTAAAACGTGTTGTAATGTATGTATACCTTGCAAAATGGTTACCACGGTCAATCTAATTATCCATTGCTTCTGCATAGTTAATGGCTTTTTTTGGATAGTGAAATATTTAAGATCTATTCTTTTAGCAAATTTCAAGTATATGATGCAGTATTGGTAACCATAGTCACCATGGTCTACGTGAGCTCTCCACAATTTATTCATCTTGCTGAAATAAAACTTTTTAATCCAGTGCTTAATGTGTGCTAAGCACTGTGCTAGGCACTGGATTTACTCTGGGAACTCTGAAGGTCACAGAGATAAGGAAGAAGGGGCTTTTTGTTTTGGTTTTGTGTTGTGTTTATTTTGCTGGGTTTTATGGAATATATGTGGGGAGAAAAATGTAAATATTTTGTGTAAAATGTAGCCAGAGCAATAAAACTGATTTGCAGGGGACTGGAGAATTTAGTATTTGACCATCCACACTAAACCACAGAGCAGTGACTTGGCAGAGCCAGAAGGCATTATCACATCTCTTCTTTATATAGGAGGAAACAGCTTCTCTACCCCGACTTAATCCTGATACAAAAGAAAGAAAAATTGCTCTTTGCTTTAATTGCCTACAGTGTGTGTGATCCTCAGCCACCGCCTTTACCAGCTGGCTATTCAAGTTTGTAACAGAAATTGCAGATTTGTGAAATCTCCCTGGAAAGAGTCCCAGGAGTTCTTGTGAAGAGGATTTGCTGAGTTGGCAAACTTAAAGAATTCTTGTTGGTAGAGGCAGTACAGTCCTTGGGCTATGGGCCTAGAAAAACTGATTGTTTCATAATTTGCACCAGAATAGGGAGAGGGAATAAAGGTGGAATAAGAAAAGGAAATCTGGGAATTTTTGAGAAAAAAAAAATGTTCCTTTAGGGTTGCCTTATCCTGATATTACTGCTTATTAACTATATTTATCAAGTATCAAGTAGTATGATATAACCTACATAGAATATAGACAAGGGATTTACAGTCAGAGTTTATAACCCAATAGACTGATTACTTTTGACTTTCATTTTACAAGACCCCTGAGATTCTGAGATAATGTTTAGGAGTGTTGCAAAACTTAATCAGAAGTTAATGTTAGTAAACTCAACTGTAAAATAGTAGAGGGCAGGGGTTCTTAACTCTAAATCCTTGATGAGTTTAGGGCAGGGGACATGACATTCCTGTAATTCTGTTATATGTTTAAGTAGATTTTTCTGGAGAGAGGTCTGCAACTTTTATCAGACTCCTAATGTCAATGACCGCAAAATACAGTTAAGAACTGCTAGGCCGGGTGTGGTGGCTCATGGCTGTAATCCCAGCACTTGGGGAGGCAGAGGTGGGTGAATCACTTGAGGTCAGGAATGTAAGACCAGCCTGGCCAACATGATGAAATCCCGTCTCTACTAAAAATACAAAAATTAGCTGTGTGTGGTGGCAGGCGCCTGTAATCCCAGCTACTCGGGAGGCTGAGGCAGGAGAATTGCTGGAACCCAGGAGGCAAAAGTTGCAGTGAGTCAAGATCGTGCCATTGCACTCCAGCCTGGGTAACAAGAGCGAGACTCCGTCTTAAAAAACAAAAAAACAAAACAAAAAAACCTGCTAGTATAGAGATGGTCACTAAATCAAACCATACATAAAAACAAGAAGTTACGGTAGCCCACGCCTGTAATTCCGGCACTTCGGGAGGCTGAGGCGGGTGGGTCACAAGGTCAGGAGATCAAGACCATCCTGGTCAACATGGTGAAACCCGGTCTCTACTAAAAAATACAAAAAATTAGCTGGGCGTAGTGGCGTGCACTGGTAGTCCCAGCTACTCAGGAGGCTGAGGCAGGGGAATCGCTTGAACTCAGGAGGCAGAGGTTGCAGTGAGCCGAGATCGCGCCACTGCACTCCAGCCTGGGTGACAGAGCAAGACTCCATCTCAAGAAAAAAAAAAAAAAAAAAAAAAAGACTACTACTAAGAGAATATTGATAGATAATATTTTATTTAAATATGTGGCAACAATTTGAGTTAAAACTGATGTTTCCGCTCTTTATAGGCCGAGTGATAGCTACTTTCACATGTTCAGGAGAAAAGGAAGTAAATTTGGCTGTTCAAAATGCAAAGGCTGCTTTTAAAATATGGAGTCAAAAATCTGGCATGGAGCGTTGCCGAATCCTTTTGGAGGCTGCCAGGATAATAAGGGTATGTTCCAATTTATTTCCTTCCAGAACTCAGACATTGCTCTGAGGTTTCTTTGTGATGTTTGCAGTTCGACTTTGTTGCAACATTAGGCCGTAACGTTTTTATAAAATGGAAAAACATTTCCACATGCTCACCTTAGTATATAAAACAAGTTTTTGTTCAATACTTCCCATCTGGATGTTGGCTCTTGGACATCTCCTTTGGCAGGTTTTCATGTTTGTAAAGCTTTGTTTTGAATTATAATGCACTCTTTATAGCTCATCGTCCTTTTTTTATTTTTATTTTTTTTTTTTTTTGAGACGGAATCTTGCTCTGTCGCCCAGGCTGGAGTGCAGTGGAGTGATCTCGGCTCACTGCAACCTTCGCCTCCCGGGCTCAAGCAATTCTCCTGCCTCAGCTTCCCAAGTAGCTGGGACTACAGGTGTGTGCCACCATGCCTGGCTAATTTTTGTATTTTTCGTAGAGATGGATTTCACCATGTTGGCCAGGCTGGTCTTGAACTCCTGACCTCAAGTGATCCACCCACATCGGCCTCACAAAATGCTGGGATTACAGGCGTGAGCCACTGTGCCCAGCCTTTCTTTCTTTTTAAACCATGTGGTTTACTTGTTTCCTTTTTATTCTTTATTTTGATGATTCTCAAGTCTACCTTTCTTTTTCAGATTTGTTTTCAGATAGGGTTTTAAGTATCGTTACTTTAATTGGGAAGATTTCATAGATTTGTAGATGTTCCCTTTAAAAAAAAGAGAGTTAAACTTTTTTTTTACATCATAAATATATACAATTTTTATTTGTCAACTAAAAAAAATTGTAAAAACAAGTATTTAATACTCATCGCAAAACATAAAAAGCCTGCAATGCAAAGGGTTTCTGTGGTGTAGTAGTTACCACGCTGGCCTAACACACGGAAGGTCCTCTGTTTGAAACTTGACGGAAACAAAAGGTTTCTTTTGTTTCCCAGAATCTGACCAGGCTGCCTCTTCCTGGGAGTCCAGAGCTGCGAGGAACAAGTGATAATCCTGCCTCCTTTTTTTTTTTTTTTTATACTTAAGTTCTAGGGTACATGTACACAATGTGCAGGTTTGATACATAGGTATACAAGTGCCATGTTGGTTTGCTGCACCCATCAACTCACCATTTACATTAGGTATTTCTCCTAATGCTATCCCTCCCCCAGCCCCCCACCCCCTACGGCCCCGGTGTGTGATGTTCCCCACCCTGTGTCCAAGTGATCTCATTGTTCAATTCCCACCTATGAATGAGAACATGCAGTGTTTGGTTTTCTGTCCTTGTGATAGTTTGCTCAGAATGATGGTTTCCAGCTTCATCCATGTCCCTGCAAAGGACATGAACTCATCCTTTTTAATGGCTGCATAGTATTCCATGGTATATATGTGCCACATTTTCTTAATCCAGTCTATCATTGATGGGCATTTGGGTTGGTTCCAAGTCTTTGCTCTTGTGAATAGTGCTGCAATAAACATACGTGTGCATGTGTCTTTATAGTAGCATGATTTATAATCCTTTGAGTATATACCCAGTAATGGGATGGCTGGGTCAAATGGTATTTCTAGTTCTAGATATTTGAGGAATCGCCACACTGTCTTCCACAATGGTTGAACTAGTTTACAGTCCCACCAACAGTGTAAAAGTGTTCCTATTTCTCCACATCATCTCCAGCACCTGTTGTTTCCTGACTTTTTAATGATTGCCATTCTAACTGGTGTGAGATGGTATCTCATTGTGGGTTTGATTTGCATTTCTCTGATGGCCAGTGATGATGAGCATTTTTTCATGTGTCTTTTGGCTGCATAAATGTCTTTTTTTGAGAAGTGTCTGTTCATATCCTTTGCCCACTTGTTGATGGGGTTGTTTGTTTTTTCTTGTAAATTTGTTTAAGTTCATTGTAGATTCTGGATATTAACCCTCTGTCAGATGGGTAGATTACAAAAATTTTCTCCCATTCTGTAGGTTGCCTGTTCACTCTGATGGTAGTTTCTTTTGCTGTGCAGAAGCTCTTTAGTTTACTTAGATCCCATTTGTCTATTTTGGCTTTTGTTGCCATTGCTTTTGGTGTTTTAGTCATGAAGTCCTTGCCCATGCCTGTGTCCTGAATGGTATTGCCTAGGTTTTCTTCTAGGGTTTTTATGGTTTTAGGTCTAACATTTAAGTCTTTAATCCATCTTGAATTAATTTTTGTATAAGGTGTAAGGAAGGGATCCAGTTTCAGCTTTCTACATATGGCTAGCCAGTTTTCCCAGCACCATTTATTAAATAGGGAATCCTTTCCTCATTTCTTGTTTTTCTCAGGTTTGTCAAAGATCAGATGGTTGTAGATGTGTGGTATTATTTCTGAGGGCTCCGTTCTGTTCCATTGTTCTATATCTCTGTTTTGGTACCAGTACCATGCTGTTTTGGTTACTGTAGCCTTGTAGTATAGTTTGAAGTCAGGTAGCATGATGCCTCCAGCTGTGTTCTTTTGGCTTAGGATTGTCTTGGCAATGCAGGCTCTTTTTTGGTTCCATATGAACTTTAAAATAGTTTTTTCCAATTCTGTGAAGAAAGTCATTGGTAGCTTGATGGGGATGGCATTAAATCTATAAATTACCTTGGGCAGTATGGCCATTTTTGCGATATTGATTCTTCCTATCCATGAGCATGGAATGTTCTTTCATTTGTTTGTGTCCTCTTTTATTTCATTGAGCAGTGGTTTGTAGTTCTCCTTGAAGAGGTCCTTCACATCCCTTGTAAGTTGGATTCCTGGGTATTTTATTCTCTTTGAAGCAATTGTGAATGGGAGTTCACTCATGATTTGGCTCTGTGTTTGTCTGTTATTGGTGTATAGGAATGCTTGTGATTTTTGCACATTGATTTTGTATCTTGAGACTTTGCTGAAGTAGCTTATCACCTTAAGGAGATTTTGGGCTGAGACAATGGGGTTTTCTAAATATACAATCATGTCATCTGCAAACAGGGACAATTTGACTTCCTCCTAATTGAATACACTTTATTTTTTTCTCCTGCCTGATTGCCTTGGCCAGAACTTCCAACACTATGTTGAATAGGAGTGGTGAGAGAGGGCATTCATGTCTTGTGCCAGTTTTCAAAGGGAATGCTTCCAGTTTTTGCCCATTCAGTATGATATTGGCTGTGGGTTTGTCATAAATAGCTCTTATTATTTTGAGATATGTCCCATCAATACCTAGTATATTGAGAGTTTTTAGCATGAAGGGCTGTTGAAATTTGTCGAAGGCCTTTTCTGCGTCTGTTGAGATAGTCGTGGTTTTTGTCTTTGGTTCTGTTTATATGATGGATTACGTTTATTGATTTGTGTATGTTGAACCAGCCTTGCATCCCAGGGATGAAGCCAACTTGATCATGGTGGATAAGCTTTTTGATGTGCTACTGGATTCTGTTTGCCAGTATTTTATTGAGGATTTTTGCATCGATGTTCATCAGGGATATTGGTCTAAAATTCTCTTTTTTTGTTATGTCTTGGTATCAGGCTGATGCTGGCCTCATAAAATGAGTTAGGGAGGTTCCCTCTTTTTCTAATGATTGGAATAGTTTCAGAAGGAATAGTACCAGCTCATCTTTGTATCTCTGGTAGAATTCAGGGTTTTTAGCTTCTTTGTGATGGGTTCAAACATCATCCTTTACCTCAGAGAAGTTTGTTATTACCGATCTTCTGAAGCTTACTTCTGTCACTTGTCTAAGTCATTCTCCGTGCAGCTTTGTTCCATTGCTGGTGAGGAGCTGCGATCCTTTGGAGGAGAAGAGGCACTCTGGTTTTGAGAATTTTCAGCTTTTCTGTTCTGGTTTCTCCCCATCTTTGTGGTTTTATCTACCTTTGGTTTTTGATGATGCTGACCTACATATGGGGTTTTGGTGTGGATGTCCTTTTTGTTGATGTTGATGCTATTCCTTTCTGTTAGTTTTCCTTCTAATAGTCAGGACCCTCAGCTGCAGGTCTGTTGGAGTTTGCTGGAGGTCCACTCCAGACCCTGTTTGCCTGGGTATCACCAGCGGAGGCTGTAGAACAGCAAATATTGCAGAACAGCAAATGTTGCTGCCTGATCCTTCCTCTAGAAGCTTTGTCCCAGAAGGGCACCCACCTGTATGAGGTGTCAGTCGGCCTCGACTGGGAGGTGTCTCCCAGTTAGGCTACTTGGGGGTCAGGGACCCACTTGAGGAGGCAGTCTGTCCATTCTCAGATCTCAAACTCCATGCTGGAAGAACCACTACTCTTTTCAAAGCTGTCAGACAGGGACGTTTAAGTCTGCAGAAGTTTCCGCTGCCTTTTGTTCAGCTATGCCCTGCCGCCAGAGGTGCAGTTTACAGAGGCAGGCAGGCCTCCTTGAGCTGTGGTGGGCTCCACTCGGTTCGAGCTTCCTGGCTGCTTTGTTTACCTAGTCAAGCCTCAGGAATGGCAGACGCCCCTCCCCCAGCTTCACTGCCACCTTCGCAGTTCCATCTTGGACTGCTGTTATAGCAGTGAGCAAAGCTCCATGGGTGGGGGACCCGCCGAGCCAGCTGCAGGATATAATCTCCTGGTGTGCCGTTTGCTAAGACTGTTGGAAAAGCGCAGTATTAGGGTGGGAGTGTCCCGATTTCCCAGGTACCATCTGTCACGGCTTCCCTTGGCTAGGAAAGGGAATTCCCTGACCCCTTGTGCTTCCCAGGTGAACCAGTCCTAATGAGATGAACCCAGTACCTCTGTTGGAAATGCAGAAATCACCGTCTTCTGCATTGATCACGCTGGGAGATGCAGATCGGAGCTGCTCCTATTCGGCCATCTTGATTCTGGACTCTGATAGTTAAACTTTTTATAGTCTTAAAGATCAGAAGTACCAGATGTTCATTATAGAAAGAAAATTCAGAAGAGAATACATCAAAATAAGAATCATGGATAGCTGAGTGGTAGGTCTGTGGTGACTTTTTGTCATAAGTATGTTACGTCAGAAACTGTGACGGGTCTGAGAGTTTCCCTGCTTTCAAGAGTGTGTGTGTATATGTGTATATATTACATACATATACATATAAAACACATATAATATACATATACATAATTATACACATATAAGCTATGTTATACACATAGAATAATATATAATCTATATAATATACATATATTCTATATTATAGTTGTAAATTACACAATTATGTGTAATATATGTATATTTTATACATATATATATTCTAGCAAGAGACATGAGGCTTTTTGGATCACAGAGAAGGATGGTTTATTACAGCAAAATGCAGCAGCCATAGCAATACCTTAGCACTAATTTCTGTTTATTTATTATTATTTTTTTTTTGTGATGGAGTCTCACTCTGTCACCCAGGCTGGAGTGCAATGGCACAATCTTGGCTCACTGCAACCTCCGCCTCCTGGGTTCAAGCGATTCTCCTGCCTCAGACTCCTGAATAGCTGGGATTACAGGCACATGACACCACGCCTGGCTATTTTTTGTATTTTTAGTAGAGACAGAGTTTCCCCATGTTGGCCAGGCTCGTCTCAAACTCCTGACCTTAGGTGATCCGCCTGCCTTGGCCTTCCAAAGTGCTGGGATTACAGGCATGAGCCACTGCATCCGGCCTAGTTTTTTTGTTTTCAAAGCACCGGTCACCACGGTGAGTGAGGGGATGGGATGAGAACCAGGTGAGATCCCTGTGCATGCAGGAAGTTGCACCAAAGGAGAAGAACCCTAAACTTCTGAGATTCATTTAAATAGAAATTACTGGCACATCTGCCCATCCTCTTCTCTGGGGAGAGAGTGAGAGAGATTGAGATTACTTATTAAGCAAATCTCCAGGGTTGAGAGGGAAGGTATCACTAAGTTTATTATCCTGGAGTATAAGCACATGTTTCAGGAACAGGAAGTAAAGAGGTTTACATTTCTAAATTTCTCCAGATTTCTTTATCTTTAGGGAGATACTGTCTCTGCCTTTCAAGGCCTTTGCTATTCAATCAACTCGTCAGTGTCCTTTGCTTGGAAAGCCCTGACCATGCAGAAATATCAAAATATTCATATAGAATTTTCTCCCAACGAAGTATTTTCCCCGTTATTAAAAATTTATTTTTAATTCGATAAACCAAAGATAACTCAAAGCAGATAATTTATTATTTTCATTTGCCCATTTTTTTTCCTGTGAATGAGCAGCATTGTAGGGCTGTTAAGAATTGGCTCCTTTATTGTTAGGAAATGACTTTTATTGATCCTGGGTAATATCTAATAATATTTTTTGCTCTGAAATCTGTTGTCTGATACTAAATTTCATTTCTTTTTACTTTACCCTCCCCTTTACTTTTCCTTTGATACCTGTGTGGTGTTTTATTAATCAAAAACCCACTGCTTATTATTAAGTGTTTATTAATCAAAAACACTTGTCTGATGATCGTGCTCTGAACCTGCCTTCACCCCAATTTATTCCATAACTGAATAGATCCCACTCTGTGACCACACCTACAATCATATTAGCCCTCAGTTTTCTTTTAAGTGATTTTTCTAGTTAATCAAGATCTGCAGTTCTTTGTTCTTTTTTGACAGGGTCTTGCTCTGTCACCCAGGCTGGAGTGCAGTGGCACAATCATGGCTCACTACAGCCTCAACCTCCTGGGCTCAAGGGATCCTCTTGCCTCAGCTTCCCGTATATGTGCACCACCATACCTGGCTAATTTTTGTTTGTATTTTTTGTAGAGATGGGGTTACGCCATGTTTCCCAGGCTGGAATTTAAAAAAAAGTATTGCTGTAAACAATTATTTTTTAAAATATTTTAAGAATAAGGTAAAATATTTCACATTTGTCCACATATTTACCATTTCTGGTGCTCATAAGTCATTTGTGTAGACCCAGATATCTGTCTGCTGTCATTTTCTCTTCTGCTAGAAGGAATTTCTTCAGCATTTCTTTTCTGTTTTGTTTTGTTTTTTGAGACAAGGTCTCGCTCTGTCTCCCCAGCTGAAGCACAGTAGTGGAATCATAGCTCACTATGGCCTTGACCTTCTGGGCTCAAACGATCCTCCCACCTCAGCGTCCTGAGTAGCTGGGACTACAGACTCATGTCACCACACTTGGCTAATTTTTGTATTTTTTGTAGAGAGCGGGTTTATTCATGTTGCCCAGGATGGTCTTGATCTCCTGGGCTCAAGTCATCCTCCTGCCTCAGCTTCCCAAAGTGCTGGGACTGTACGTGTGTGCCACTGTACCCAGCCTAGAATTAATTAATTTCTTTTCTTTTCTTTTCTTTCTCTTTTTTTTTTGAGAGGAGTCTCTCTCTCTCACCCAGGCTGGAGTACAGTGGCATGATCTCGGCTCACTGCAACCTCCGCCTCCCGGGTTCAAGTGATTCTCCTGCCTCAGCCTCCCGAGTAGCTGGGATTACAAATGTGTGCCACCATGCCTGGCTAATTTTTGTATTTTTAGTAGAGATGGGGTTTCACCATGTTGGCCAGGCTGGTCTCAAACTGCTGACCTCCAGTGATCCGCCCACCTCGGCTTCCCAAAGTGCTGGGATTACAGGTGTGAGCCACTGCACCCCGCCAGGCTAGCATTTCTTATAGTGCAGGTCTGTTGGTACTCTTTCAGATTCTGTATGTCTAAAAAAGTCTTTCTTTTGCATTAATTTTTGAATGAATTGTAGGTAAATAGTTTTTTCTTTCAGTACTTTAAAGATGTTGCTCCACTGTCTTCTGATTTGTATTGTTTCAGAAGAGAAATTTACTGTCATTTTTATTTTTGTATCTTTGTATGTAATGTACTCCCTCTACCCCCCACCCCTGGCTGTTTTAATATTTTTCTCCTTATCACTGGTTTTAAGCAATTTGATTATGATGTCTTTTGGTGCAGTTTTCTTCATATGTATTTTTCCTGAGGTTTATTGATCTTCTTGGATCTGTAAATTTGTTTCATTTGGAAAAAAAATTTGGCCATGATTTCTTTAGTTTTTTTTTTTGCCCCCTCTTCCATCACTTCTCCTTCAGGGCCTCCAATTACACATATATTGGGCTGCCTGAAGCTATCCCACGTCACTGATGCTCAGTTCATTTTCCAGTTTTTGGGTGTGTTTATGGGTTTTTTTCTCCTTCTGAGCCTTCCCTCCCACCCCCTGTGTGTGTGTGTTTTGTTTTCAGGTAATTTCTATTGTTATGACTCAAGTTCATCGGTCTTCTATAGTGTTTTATCTGCTGTTAATCTCATCTAGTGTATTTTCATCTCTAGATTAATTTGGGTCTTTTATATATGTGTTCTGTGGCTCTCCTTAACATGCTTATGTTTTTCTGTGCCTTCTTGAACATACGGAGTATAGCTATCATAACTTAATGTTCTTGTCTACTAGTTCTGTTGTGTTATTTCTGAATGTGTTTTTATTGGTTAGTTTCGCTTCCTGGTTAAATGTTACGGTTTTCTACTTTTTGCATGCCTGGTAGTTTTTGATCACTAGACATATGATCTCTAGTGAATCACTAGGGCACATTATATTGCTGGGTGCTGGATAGTCTTGTACTTTAAAAAATATTCTTAAGCTTTGTTCTGGGACACAGTGAAGTTACTTGGAATCAGTTTGATCCTTGGAAGATTTGCTTTTAGATCAGCAAATTTCGCCATGTTATTCAATACCCTTCTGACTGCTTAACCCTGTGATCCGGGTGTTAATGAGGTTTTCTCACCATGGCTGGTGGGAACATGAACTATACCTGGCCCTGTGTGAGTTCTGGGGCTTTTTTTTTTAAAAAAAAAAACATTTTCTTCTTGGGTAGTCCTTTTCCCAGTCTTGGGTAGTTTTCTCACACTGGTACTCAAAGGGGAATCTGCAGATTTCTGGGGTTCTCTATCTGTGCAGCTCTTTTCCCTTCCACACTCAGTCTTGAAGAACTGTAGCCACTCAAAGTTCCCTAAACTCCCACCCTATCTTCTCAACTCATGTGTCTGCTGGGCGCCACCTAGCTTCCTCCTCCCTGCTCTGTGGCCTGAAAACTTTCTCTAGGCAGTAGACTCCAGCAATTGTAGGGCTCACCTCATTGGTTCCCTCCTCCAGGGACCACTGCCTTGAGTTGCTTAATGTCTGATGTCTGAAAATGGTTCATGTATTTTATCTGGTGTTTTTAGTTGTTTAAGGTGGGAGAATGAATCTGGTCCCTGTTAATCCATCTTGGCTAGAAGCTCATTGATTCCTAGTGGAAATGAACATTTTTTTCCATATTTTCTCATTTTTACTTTGAATCCTTTGGTACTTATACCAGATTGTATAGATCTTGTCTGTGAGACCCAGTCATTTTTCAGTTGGAGACCCCTTGTGAAGTAGCTATCATTTGGATTAAAAGGGGAGGGAGAATGTTACTTAAAACAATGACAAAACTATCTAAATAAAGAAGAGATTGTGTATGTAGGTTATCTTCTTGCCTCCAGCCCTGGCCCAGGTTGGTTTGTCTTGTACAGTGCCACCAGAGTGGTCCTCCTACAGAAGCACATTTGATCATGGTACATCCTTGGGTAAAACTGGCCATGGTCCCCCTCCTTAACATGGCCCTCAGGCCCTGTTTCTCCAGCCTCGTCTTTTCTCTTCACACACCATAAGACCCAGCTCTCCTGCACTACTGGTCCTTCCTCGTTTACCATGTGTATACTGTCACACCTCATGCTTTTACAATGCCATGACGCTGAGTTTGGTGCTGTTCTTTTGTTTTTCTTGCCTCTTGTGCTTACATGTTTAGCATTTAGTGGTCTGTACTGTAATTTATCCCTCCCTCCCTCCATTTTTTCCTTCTGGACAAGGTGATTGTTGTACATAATTGTATTAGCAAAAGCATCTTGAGATGTATATAGCTATTTTACCTATTTGAGAAATGAGAAAATGCTCAAAAAGGTTAAATAGCTTGTCTTAGATCATATAACTAGTAAGTATAAGAGCTAGTCTGTTGGGCTTCAAAGCTAGACATTAAGCCCTGCTGAGGGGTTCGAAGTGAAAGGGAGAAGTGAGGGACCTACTCTTGGCTTCTAATCTTTCATCCCAGTGAACACCTGGTCAAGTCATATTGTAAAGCAGGGTGATATAGAGGAGGAACAGGGTTGGGAACAACACATGTATTTCCTAAGAAATACTTGTAGCAGTATGTTGTTATGGTGAACAATTTTATCTTATGGTTACTCTTGCAATAGTAGCAGGCAGAAATTTTTGTCAGAGACATCTTTGATGATCCTTACGTACTATATCAGAAGATCTCCTAATGCTCTTAGTAGATAACTTTTTTTTTGTAAGGATGGAGAATAATAGAATAACACAGAAAAAATTTCCCAAGGCCATCTAATTAACTGAATTTTCTCTGAGAGTTGAAACCCCAAAACAGCCCCCAAAACCACTTGCCTATCCATTATTTTAAAAGAGAAAAAAATCTCCAGAGTAAAAGTTTCTATTCTCTTAGTAAATGTTCCAGGGCTTAGCAGCGATAGAATCACAGATTACTTCCTATTTGTTCACTCTTACACTAAAGTGTAAGCAGAACCGTGTTTCACTATTGCCAGTGTAATATCTCTTCCCTGTATTTGAAATGTTCTGTACTGATTCATCACTTTATTCAACCGATTAATGCACTAGCCTCTCTAGGGCCTAGTTTCCTCTTGAATTCAAGAAACAAAATTTAAGCTACTTATGGTTGATTATA